>NC_000010.11:44923316-47780368 GCF_000001405.40 Homo sapiens
CTCTCTCTCTCTCTCTCTCTCTTTCTCTTCCTTTCTCTCTTTCTCTCTCTCACTCTCATTTCTCCCTCTCACTCTTATTTCTCCCTCTCTCTTTTTACAAGTCTCTCTACAAGGCTGGCTTGGGCTTCCTCACAATATGTCGGTCTCACTCCTCAGGGATTAGCAGGTGTGTCTTCACAGCAAAACCATTCTTAGCCAATTTTCCTGAGAGATGGCAGCCAGCACATCGCTGAGAAAACTGGGAGACCTTAGAGTTGGCAGTTCCCACTTGGGAGATGTGCAGAGGAAACAAGACGTATGGAGAGGGCCTACTGTCTACATGGCGTGTGGTGGCACCTGAGTGAGGGGCAACAGGGCTGACATGCCCAGGAAGCTTCCAATCCCAGACACCTCCTGGCCAGCCCACACCTCTGCCCCCCTACTGCCCAGATAAAGTCCAAACATCAACATGCAATGGCAGGGCATGCCTTCTGCTTTATGCCTGGGAAGCCTCCTTCTCTGGGTCCCCAGACAGAACAGACCCTCCACTCTTCTGGGCCTCTATGCCAAGCGCCCTGCTGTGCCACTGGACAGTAAAGCCACCTGCACCACACCACCAGGAGCCACAGCCAGAACTGTGCTTCAAGCCCAAGTCAACAAAGAAACTAGCAGATACCCTGTGCTGGGAGAGGGAGTGGCCAGGAGCACCTGGAGCTGGTCTCTGTCCCTCAGCCACCACCAAATATCACTGAAGTCTCTCACCATCTGCACGGGGTCAGGGAGCTTTCTGAAATACCAATCTAAACACGAGTCCCTTCTGCTCACGCTGCAGAGCCCAATATTTAAGAACCCCACAGTCGCCTTGATCCACATGCACTGCCCATTGCCCCCGACTGTGCCCCTGCTTCTGCTGTTAGGGGCCCCCACACCCTGCAGTGCCTGGCCCCTCCATCTGCACAGGTCTATTCCTGCTGCTTTCCTAGTCCACTCTACCTTCATCGTTATTCATCTTCCCTGATAGTCCCACGAGTGGCCCCTCCTGTCTGGCCCCAGAGCTCCTGGGTGAGTCCCTCGTCCAGCTTGGGTTACTGCCCTCGCTGAATGCACTTTTCTCAGTCCACATCACATCTCTCCTGCTGGACTAAGCATACCACAGCCATGAGCCCAGTGCCTGGCCCAACCGGTAACCACAGAAGACCAGGTGGGCCTCGGAGAAGCGGCCAGGAGCCGCCCCCCAAGGAGGGTGGGCCTGCCGCTCCCAGCAGAGCTGCCTGAACATTGAGACCAGAGGCAAACAGAGCAGGGGACAGAGGAGGGACTCGGTGCGAGTCCGTGTTGTTTCAACCTGGCATGCTCTGCATCCAGGAACACGAACCCCAAAAGTGGGAGGACTGAGCAGAAAGCGGTGACCCGTTGGCCTGGATATCAAAGGGCTTTACAGCCTCCCATGAGCGCCCCACTGATCCTCTTCCGCCTTGGGTAAATTGAGGAGCCATACTCCTGGCTCCCCACACTCTCCTCCTCCCGCCAGGTGGCATTCCTCAGTCTCGGCAGGCAGAATCCTGCTGGCTATGGTTGGAGGGAGCTTGTGGGAGTGACCTCACGCCCCTTAGTACAAAGTGGCTGACTGGACACTGGCAAAGCTGCCAGGGCCAAGTTGGGGGAAGGAGTCACCTCTTTGCATTGATCACCTGACATCTATCAGGCACTAAGCCGTGCATTTCAGACTCCAATCCAAGCAATTTTCTCCAATCCAAGCAATGACTGTGAGTTGTAACTTATTCTGCCCCTTCCACAGATGAGAAAACACAGCTTGGATGAGTTAAGTACTTGCCACTTGTATGTAATAACACACAGAACTGGGATTTCCATCCGGCTCTCATTTCTCTGTTGCCATTTTTTTTATGCAAACCAGCACTCTCTCTACAGTGTTCCTCAAATGCCCCTCTGACCGCTGACCCTCTGTTTGTCTAAAGAGTGCAAAACAAAAGGCATCAAAATAGCTCTCCACATGCCAAACAGGTGCAGGTCAGGGAAGAAGCTGAGTTCCCAAGACCCTTTCCTGCCATCTGCTGGTCGTCTGCCACAAGCCCCCTGCAAATTGGCCAACATGACGTGTCACGTAAGTGGAGCCCATGCCTGTCCTACAGAGTGCTCAATGCAGGCATCAGCCTGGAGTCGAACACCCCTTCCCAGGCCCAGGGCAGGAAGCACTTCTTCCCCAGCCAGTGATTCACTGAGCACCCATGACACGCTTGGTATCAGTTAGCTCACTACGGTCCTCATGACCACTGTGTGCAGGAGATAATGAGGAAACTGAGACTCAGAGAGATTGGGTGACTATGCTATGAACTAGAAAATGAAAGACTGAAACTCAGGATCTGACCTGGGCCTCCATCCGTGGTTGGTTGGTTGGTTTGACTTACATTACTTACATTCTGTGTGCCTCAGTTTCCTCTATGTAAAGTGGGGATAACAAGAGTACCTTCTCATAGGACTGCTGCAATGATTAAACAAGCAAATGAATGCTGGGTGCTGATAATAGGACATGGCGAAAACCAAATAAATGGCCATTTGCCTGCACATCACACATATACTCACATACACTCACATATTCACACGTGCACATTCACACACATACACACACACTTACACACACACTCACACACATATATGCACATATATACTCACACTCACATATTCACACATGCACATTCACACACATACACTCACACACACACACTCACACACATCCACATATATAATCACACTCACATTCACACATACATTCACACATGAACTTACATACACACCCACATACACACATACATACACTCACACACTCACATATATACTCACATATACACATACACTCACACACTCACACATGTACACACACACATACACTCACACATACATGCACTCACAAGCCTACACACACACACGTGTCCACACATGCACGCACGCAGGCTGGAAAGCAGTGGGTAGCAGGAAACCGCGCACCACCTAGAGCTGGCTGCCTCCACCTGGTCTCTAGGCCCTCACTGTCCAGCATGTATCCTTGAGTGAACTACACAGGCCACTGAGCCTCACTGTCCTCCTCTGTAAAATGGAGAGAGTGGGACTCCTGTGCCACAGGCCTGCTGGAAGGGCCGGGACGTGTGCAACATGGTGTGGAAGCTCTGAAGTGCTCTGTAAGTTTTGACTCTTCAGTTAGGCTGACACTGCAGGGGGATGTGGCCCACTAGCATCATCTGTCCTCGCCCCAGGTGAGCCAGCAGGGCAGCTGGAACCTGGAGAGAGTGGGAGACTCGGTGTCCGCCTCCTGTGAACCAAGGGACTGGTGGCACGTTAATGTGGGCAGTCGCCCATGAAGCACAGCGGAGCCCCAGAGCCCTCCATCCATTGCTCAGAAAACATAACCGCCTCTTCTCACCTGCCTAGATCCAAGTGCTCTGTCCCCTTTCCCCGGCCCCATATCTCCATGATCGCCCCTCCCACCCCCCACCCCCAGAATCGAGGGATGGAGTGCTGGTAGCTTCAGTGCAAGGCTCTTCCCTGCTCTCTAGAAGAGGCATTTCAGCATTGGACGAAGGGCCCCCTTCAGCTTGAGACACCAGGCGATGGAAGCCCACACAATGTCTCTGCCAGGGAAGAGGAAGCACCAGAAGCCAGGAAGCAGCGCCACGAGCAGCAGGGAGGAGAGGCCACCCCCAGGCAGCCAGGGATGACAGCCCAGCCCACCATCTTTGACTGGGAGGAAGAGAGGATGAAGCCACCCTTCAGCACACAGCAGGGGCATCATCAGAGCCCAGAGAGAAACAGGGTCAGCATTGTAATCAGTTAGGGACAGAAAGACTTCTAGTCAGCAGGCCGATGCACTGCCCCTGCAATGTTTCTATTGGGGACTCCAAAGGTCCGTGCTGTGCTGGTTGTGGGAAGCCATGGGAGCCAGCAAATCCTTGTGAGGAGAGCACCCAGAGACAGCAAGTCTGGAAAGGCAGGTCCGAGATGAAATTCACCTATGACAGATGAAAGTTCAGCACTAACTGCCAAGAAAGGGGAGGAGGAGAGCTGAGGTTGAGCAACATTTTCTTGTCAGAGAAAAACCCCAGGAGTTTAATCAGCACTGGGTCCAAAGCAATGAGCAATGAGTGTGACCTGCCGCCACCCCTCAGCAAGCAAGACCAAGGCCACACAACAGCAACCAGTGACCCAAGCAAGAGAACAGGGCTGGGGCAGGACCCATCCACGGCCAAGCACTGAAGCCAGACACACAGCACACACTGGGGTGGGCCCCAGCACATGACAGAGAACAGCTGTGAATCAAGGGGCTGGTGCCACATTAGTGTGGGCAGTTGCTGGGGGCACTAAGGGTGGCTGCTCTGGGGAAGCTTAATCAGAAGACCTCTGGGCTTCTGCCTGGAGTTCCAGGGAGCAATCCAGGAGGCTTCCTGCTCTCTTGCACCTTGCTAGTCACAGCTGCCTGTATCATGAAGAGAAGAACCTACCTTGGCTGTCAGTCCCCAGGAAGAAGACTCACTCCACAGCCAAGGTACCCTCAACAGGGCAGTGCTGTGGTGTAGAGCACCAGGCCCACTCTTCCTTCTTCTCTTGCCCCTTAGTGTTGATCGGCGTGGGCACTGAGACCTTCCTCCAGGGCCAGTTCAAAAGCCTGGCTTTCTATCTGCTGTGAGTATGTGTGCATGTGCCACTTTTGACCTGCAAGTTCTGCTCAACTCACCCTACATCTGTCTACTCAGAATAACTCAGAGCAGTCCCCTTCCCATGTGAATTCCATCCTATCTCAGGGGTGAAGGGAGTTGAGGGGGGCTCTAGAATAGCTCCTGGTTTGTGCAGACCATCCCATAAATCAATGAATTATCCTTTCTACCCACCCAACCATCCACCAATTGATCCAGCCAGCCACCCATCTATCCATCCATCTGCCCATCCATTCGTCAGCCCACCCATCCATCCACTCACCCACCAATCTATTCATGCACCAATCCACTCATCCATCTATCCATCTATCCATCCATCCACACATCCATCCAGCTACCTATCCATCTACCCACCCACCTCTTCATCCACCTGCCCATCCATCCATCTATTCATCCATCTACCTATCCACTTGCCTATCCATCTATTCACCCACCCATCTATTTATCCATCCACCCACCCATCCATCCATCTGCCCATATATGCATACATACATACACACACCCATTCACCCATCCACCCACCCATTTATCCATCCATCTTCCAATTCATCCAGCCAGCCACTCATCTATCCATCCACCTGCTTATCCATCCATCTATGCACCTACACATCCATCCATCCATCCAACTACCCATACACCCAACCATCCATCCATCCACCCACCTATCCATTTATTCACCCATCCATCTATTCATCCATTCACTCACCCATCCATCCATACACCCACCCATCTATCTATCTACCCATCTATCTATCTATTCATTTACCCATCCATACATCTATCCATCCATCCATCCACCCACCTATCCATCCATCCATCCATCCACCTACTCATCCATACACCCACCCATCCACGCATCTCATCAATCATTTATTTATTCAGCAAATATTAATTGAGCTCTTGTTTAGAGAATGGGGAATCAGGTCAAAGAAATATATATTTGAGCTTCTCTACATGCCAAATACAGTTAAATGTCTTAATTGCATTATGTTATTTAACTTTCACAGCACTGTAGGAGAAGGGCATATTGGCCTAGTTTTACAGATGAGAAAATTCAGAAGGAGTAAGCAGGTTAGCCCACATCACCAAGCTCATGAGCAGCAGGATCCAGATTCAAACCCAAGACCCTTTTTTTCCCCAGACAATGTCTTTTCTTCTCCACTACCAGCTACCTCTGTAAGTGTGTCCTGGCAGGAAGGTGATCCCTGTGCAGTGGTGTCCCAGGGGATTAGAAGAACCTGGGTCTCTGCCCCAGCATCTCTGCAGCCCCATCCTGAGGGGCTTCTAGCAGTTTCTTCCAAATGATATAGGAAGGCTGTGTGTTCTAGCCCCCCAAATCCTGAAGAGCTTACTGAACTGAGAAGCAACAGATAACAATTTGCCAGGCTGCCCCACAAATGTCCTGTTCTGCCTACAGGGTCCACCAGGCTGTGACCTCCACTCCCCCCCCTCCTCAGGATCCACCTCTACCTTCAGGTGGCAGCTGACCTGTGCTTTTAGCAGCCTCCACCCTCCCGCCTCAGGGCAGGCCTCTTGCTGTGTTTGGGGGCTCACACCTGCCATCTCCCAGATGCGGTTCAGCCTCTGAGCCCATTTCCACACTGCCATCTAGACACACAGATCTCTCTGACAACCTTCAAGAGCTTCCACCACCTCTGGTCCACACCCTGTGCCATATTCTGGCCTCTGCCTCACTTCTTGCCACTCATGTACAGCAGGAGGCTTCTGACTCTTTTTCAAACTCACCAGCATGGCCTCGCCTCCAAGCTTCACTCATTCTGTTGGGTGCCCAAGCACCGTCCACCCATTTCCACCTGCCCAATGCCTGACACTCCTTCCTGGCATTCTGCCCTGGCAATTGTGCCCTGAGCCTGGAGCCCCTGCTGGCTGGCAGTGACTTCTCCTGGTTCTGAACACCCTCCGTGTCTAACTGACCATGTCCCTAGCCGCTGTGCACCATTGCCCTGGGATCCAGAAGCAGGCGGGCCTTCCTCCTCTCCAGTGGGTCCCTAACTCTCGGGTCAGGCCATGGCAGGTGAATGCAGGCTGCCTTCTGCCCAGAACCCTGTTTTGTCTCTGTTTTGAGGGGACCCTATGCCCATGTGGTCTCTGGGTGGTCCAGTCCAGCCTGGGGTCCCCTGCCCCTTGCTGTGCCCTGTTCTCTAACACCTGCAGGATCAGCACTCAGTACCTGCCCTGTCTGTCCCTCCCTGCCACTCAATAGCACCAGACAGGAAGTCTGAATGAGTCGCTTTATTCCCCAAGCCTTGATATACCCCTCTGTCCCAGGGCATAGAAAAAGGCAGTGGCAATTATTTTGCAAAACACGTCTTGATGTGCCTGTTAGGCACACAAGCTCTGGAGCCTGCGTGCTAGGTTCTGATCTTCCCCCTGCTACTGATAAGGGGCCATTGGTGATGGGGCAAACCTCTCTGTGCCTTAGTTTCCTCATCGGTAAACTGACAGTAATTATAGTGTTTATTATAATATAATATAGTACTTATTATAAAATTGTTGCAAGGACTAAATGAGTTGATATTTGTAAGGCCTTTAGAATTATGCCTGGCCCATAGCAATCATTACATAAATGTTAGTTATTATCATTTTAAAACCAAGGGGTAAGAGTTAGGCTCACACTGGGAGGCATAGAGACTGAGAGGAGTGGAGATCACTAAATGATCTAACTAATCACAGGGAGAGAGAAATGATAACTAGAATTGATATAATCACTGTGTGCCAAGCATGGTCCTAAGTGCTTTACAAATATCATTTAATTCTTAGAACAGTTTTACTGTTGATGCACTATAATAACCCCAGTTTACAGCTGAGGAAACTAAGACAGAGAAAGGTCACACCTCTCACCTGTGATCACACAATCTAGAAACACCCATGGCTCTGAGGAAACCCTGACCCCAAGCCACCTTCTGCACAACACTATCCACTTTCATTCCTTCATTTATTGCAATGCTCATTAATGGAGCCCAATAAGCCCGACCCACTGTGAGCCTGGGCTGTACAGAAGAATTAGACAGGGAACGCCCTCTGGGGGTTCACAGACTAGTGACTCTGGTCATATGGTACCACATGGAGAAGTAAGAGGAGGTCACCAGACAGACTGGAGAGGGAAGGGGAAGGCCTTCCAGGAAAAGCTCACTTGTGCAAAAGCCCTGTGGCACCTGATAGCTTCTTGTGTTGTCAAGGGAACATGGAGGATAGGCAGTGAGACCCTCCGTAAGTACATATTCCATTTCCAAGGATTCTGATGTGAGTCTAGGGGTGGCCTGGGAGCCATGAATTCTACACATTCCTCAGGAGATGCTGATTGCAGGATCCATGGACCACACTGGGAGCACAAGGAGCCTTTGAGGCATCCTGTATCAGGAGGAACATGATCAGATTCAGGTGTCAGGCAGCCCAGAGTGACACAGTGGGGGAGCAGGAGACAGGCCTGGGGTAAGTGAGGAAGTGGAACTGGTGCAGGGGTCCAGGGGGCAGGGCCTGAACCCAGGCAATGCCCATGAGGTCAGAGAACAGGAGCGATTTGGAAGGTATTGAAGGAATGTAATCAACAGCTCCTGGTGACTATTTGGATAATAGGAAAAGGAAGAAGGAAAGGGTCAGGAACAGGTCCAGGTTTAAGGCTGGAACACAGGCAGTGGGTGTCCATCCTGGTGACCAGCAGGTAGAAGGATGTGCCTGCCAGTGTCACACAGGGTGCCAGGTGAAGGCCATGTCACCTGCTGGCCACGGTGCCCTCCCCACCCATCTCTGAACCCCAGACCCCACCTCTCCCCAGCATGGCCCAGTCCGGAACACGCCATGTCCTGGAGACAGCCCGTGGTGAATGTTGTCTGGGGGAATCCAGGTGAGTCCATTGGCTGTAGATGTGATGTCAGGAGGCCACGTGTGAGAAGACAGCCCTCAGGAAAGCAAAGGAAGACAGAGGCGCCAGCCTCCCTCACCTGTCTCCACCTGCAGGTTTACAGGAGCCGCTGTCTCCATATGTGAAGGGGCCTACTTTGTGGCTCAGCTGCTGGCCATCTGCTTCCAGTAAGTAGTTTCCAGAGAGACCCCTCCATTGTCCACCCCAGCCCCAGACACCACAGATGTCTCCACCCAAGAGCCCACAACCAGGGGATGTCCTGCTCCTGAAGCCACTGTGGACAGGAGCCCCCCACCGAGGTACAATCAGCCTGGCCTGGAGGTGGGCACAGGCCCAAGGGGCTCCATTGCCTTCTTTGCCCTGGTCCCAACCAAGAGAACCAACTGACACAGTCATTCAGGGCCTGTCCTTGCCCAGAATCCCCAGAAAAGTCCAGCTCCCCCTCACCAGGAGCAGCCAGTCACTGGGCCCCAGTGTCTGAGCCATCTGCCATGGGGTGAGGACCCTGCAGAAGGCCCAGCTGGGAGTGAGCAGACCTGGGTTTGGGAACTGGCTCTGTCTCTTCCTAGGGCCCGGGGGCAAGTCAGGGGCAGTATGTCTCTACACCCCTTCGTGGGGCAGGAGTGCAGACCCTGCAGGATCTCGTGAGGCCCTTGCTGCTTCCCAGCCTACACTCAGTATGTGGAAGCTGTTATCGGTGAGACCGAGGACTGCGGCTCTCAGAACCTAGACACTGGTCCCTGGGTGGTCAGTGAGAGAGCCAGTCTTCAGATCCAGATGTCCCAGCACCTTGCAAGGCCACTGGCTGCCTCTCAGGCTCACCAGCCCTAAGGCAGAAAGCTTTCCCCTTTCTGCTGAATTCCACTGCCAAGCTGTGCTTGAAACTTCAGCTGGGGAGAAGGCTGGGGAGGAATGGACCCTGGATGGACTCCACCGCACCCTGCCACCACACACACGCAGGAATGGGCACCAGGGGGCACCAGTGAGCCATGGCAGTCCAGCCTGCGAGCATAAGAGAGCAGTGCTTTGGGCCACCTGGACAGCCTGAGCACTCCCTCAAAGCTAGAGGGGCAGGATGTGGCTGTGTAGAGCCCCAGCTCTAGGCCAATTCAGAGGATGGAGGCGCTGGGTCTAAAGGCAGGCACTTGCCCCCTGTGAAACATGGAGGCAGCGCCCCTGAAGGAAGCTGCTCAGCATCAGGCTTCTGCCAGGGCTATGTGTGGTCCCTGTGTATACAGTTAGAAAAGAAGCCCTTCTGGGCCAACACTGTACTGTGCCTAAGCAAGGCTGGGTGAACAGGGCACAGCTGGGTGCCAGCCTGCTCACTCACCTGGCCAAGCCTCTTATGCAGTGCACTACAAGCACAACTGTCCCAGGCAGGTGGCTCCCAAACTGCACACTTTCTCTGCATTAGTGCAGACTTCCCAGTGAGCCCTGAGCCTCCAGCTGTCTTCCTCACTAACTCATGCAGCATCCTGAGAACATTTAACTTGCTTCCCCTTCGACCAGAAAAACAGGTCTGGGCAGCCTTTCAAAAACTTGTGGACCCTCTAGAGGGACTCAGGCAAATCCACTCATTGTGGAACCCACACCAAGGACCGCTAGGGCTTTCTGTTCAGCCAGGGCCCACTGCAGAGCATGCCCACAGCAGGGCCTGGCCCAGACTCCATGGCATCCAGTCTTGCTGGGGTTTTCCTGGGACACATTATGCTAACCTGGACTCCCTCTCCCCAGGTGTCAACCAGGGTCCCTGGCAGACAGAGTAAGGGAGAAAGCCCACTGGCTGGGCTGCTTCCAGAAGTTCCTGGCCTACCTGCTGCTGTCGGTGGCCTGCTTCCTCCACCCGGTCCTGGTCTGGCACGTGACCATCCCAGGTAAGAGCACAGGGGTAGAGATATGCAGCCCCAGCACAGGTGGACTCTGAGCAGGAGGAGCTGAGCCCCTCAAAGTCTAGCTCCAGTGGTGGCTCCAGGGACCTTACCTGCCCCACTGCCCTCTCTGACCTAGAGGGTGGACATGAGGAATCATCGGAATGCCAGACATACTCCATGCTGATCAAATGGCAGGAATGTCCCAAGAAGTGCATCCTTCCTTCACAGAGCCGTACAGAAGTGGAACCGCAAAGGGGACCTCACCTTTCCTCCCACTGACCATGTGTGGTCTGAGCTTCCCAAGGGTGTGACATGGCCACTTCCCTGCCCAAACCCTTCTGAATCTCCCCAGTGCCTACTCATTCAGGTCCAAACTCCTCAGCCTGGTTTGAAAGGCACTTCAGGGTGGGACCCCAGAAAATCTTCACAGCCTCATCTCCTACTTCCACTTCACGGGTGCATACCACTGGCCAGCTGGTTTCTGGTCAGAGAACCCAGGATTTCTTGCTCCCACCTTTTCAGTTTCATCCACGACCTTTTCTGCTAGTGTCCTTCTCCTCTCTGCTCCCTATCTGTGAAAACTGTGCCCCCTCCTCATGAACCCATCTACAATACAGGGAAGACAGCCCTCCAGGGAGACCATGTTGAAAAGCAGAGCCTCCATCCTTCCTGCCATTTAGCATCCCCATCCCAGCCTCCAAGTGGACCCCCAAATCTGATGTGGGGTGTGAGGACAAGCCAGGCAAGAGGGCCAGGGCCACAGGGGCCTGTGAATGGCCACACAGCGCCGGGTTGCAGGAGCTCTGCTGCACGACATGCTTGCAAGGACTCCGGATTTTTTCCGTGACTCCTCTAGAGCCCTGACCTCTGGCTCTTTTCCAGGCTCCATGCTCATCATCACCGGCCTGGCCTACTTCCTTCTGAGCAAGCGGAAGAAGAGGAAAGCTGCCCCCGAGGTGCTGGCCTCCCCAGAGCAGTACACAGACCCCTCTAGCAGCGCTGTGAGCACCACCGGCTCTGGGGACACAGAGCAAACCTACACTTTCCATGGGGCCCTCAAGGAGGGGCCCAGCTCCCTTTTCATCCACATGAAGAGTATCCTGAAGGGGACTAAGAAGCCCAGTGCCCTCCAGCCCCCCAACACCCTGATGGAGCTGAGCCTGGAGCCAGCCGACTCCCTGGCCAAGAAGAAGCAGGTGCACTTTGAAGACAACTTGGTCCGCATAGTCCCCTCCCTCGCCGAAGGTCTGGATGATGGGGACAGTGAGCCAGAGGAGACCACCTCTGACACGACACCCATCATTCCCCCTCCCCAGGCCCCACTCTTCCTGTCATCTCTTACAGCCACCGGCCTGTTCTGAGCGCTTGCTCCAGCCTGGAGGACGCTCAGTGAGGGGTCTACCTAGCTCAATGGCCCTCCCTGGAGTTTCAGGGTCTTCTCTGGTCAGCTTTTCAAGGGGTAACCAGACACCCCCACACTGGCTGGGCCCCTGAGGCCATCAGGAGGTGTGACTGGCCAGCATTTCTGGAGAGGCCTCGAGGGAGGCACAAACAAGGCTCACGCCACCTCAAGCCAGCACAAGCTCCTTCCTCCTGGCCACAGGTGGGGAAACCCTTATGCTTCCCCAACAAGACCATCACTGCCACTGCGCACGAGGCTGCAGGTGCCATTGACTCAGCCCAGAAGGGACAGAGGATGTCTGCCCAGCAAAAGCCTCTGGGCTTTTCTTACTCCCAACCCAGGGCACAACACTCAGTGAGGAACCTATGGTCCACCCATCTCTGCAGGCCCAGGGAAGTGTCAGTAACTTAAGCATCTCTAAGGCAGAGAAGGTGGCTGTGGGTCTTGACCAACCAAGACTGCTCAGGGTCGGGAGGGGAGGCTGCAGGCCTCTGGTGGGAGCAGCCGGGCCGTGGGCCACATTCTCTGCATGCTCTAGGGCTGGGGCTGAGCTGCTCAGGAAAACAATGCCGCTCTGTGCTCACTGTGGGAAAGCCAGGCCAGATGAGCAAAGCTCATTCCAGAAACATGGCTGGGGACTTCCAGCCTCCTTACCACATGGCCTTTCCAAGATTCCAGGTTGATGATGCAAACTGAACGCAGTGAATGCCAGGGCCCAGAAGGCAATGTCTGCTGTGGGCAGGACCACAGAGGCTGCCCAGGGGTGGCACAGCACAGAGAAGTGTCAGTGCCGTGTTTAGGCACTTGGTAGCAGAATAGGTGATAAATATAAATGTCTTCAAAATGAAAGGAAGTGAGGGGGGAAGAAGAGGAGGGAAAATGGGAGGATAGGAGGAAGTGGGCAGGCAGGCAAGTTCTCTGCCATGGGGCCACGGAAGTGACAGTTAACCCAGAAGGAACAAAGACATCTGAATCAGATATTCCTTTGTAAATCTGTAAAGGATTTGCAATATAGGCTTTACTTCTAAAAATTGTTGTCGGGTCCATGAGGCTGTTGCCAGGAAGAGCACACACACCATTCTTCATGGCAACTGCAGTGAGGGAGCAGTCAGGAGGAAGAGTCCTGTGGCTTCTCAGTCCCTGTGGAGGCTAACGCAAAGCTCTGTAGAACAAGCCTTAGAGTGCATGCTCTATGGTCTAATGAGAAACTTGTGTTTGTGCTTGCACACGTTTCAATGTTCCCTACAGGATATTTTACAAAGGTATGAAAATAATGGCCAACCAGAAGCTAGTATCAGTTTGGGGCCTAAATGCAGCAGGTGTTCCTGATAAGCAGATAAGCAGAGCTCTTCCTGCAGTAGCCCAGGTCTCACCAAATGACAAATGGCTAATCAAGACACTCCTGCAAGCCCTTGATGGTGAGAGCTGCAGAGCTGTTTCTTCAGCTGCCATCAAGGCAGGACCTCAGGACCTGACTGTCTACAGTCAGGGAATAGTGAACAATATGGGATATGGGTATAGGTAGGTGGTAGACAAGGATCGTGCCCCATGGCTGATGGGCCGGGTGTCTCAGGCAGGCCCCCTGTGCACAGAAAGAGCCTAAGTGCAGAGAAGCCAGGCATCTTTCCCCTGTCAACTGTGGAAGGGGAATGTGATGGCCACAGACACCCTCATGGCACAGACATGGCCAGCCTCTGACGTTCCTCTGCATCAGAGTAGTTCTGTCCTCGAAGCCCCAGTCAGCAGAGCTGGATGACCAGATCGCAAGAAGCAAACCAGAAAGTGTGATGGCAGAGATGTCAGATCCCGTTTAATAAACACTTCAGTAAACCCAAGTGTGGAGTGTTGTTTTGGGTGTGTTTTAGAGATGTGTGTTGGGAGCACCCTTTTGGAGGTGTCTTAGTGTGTGCCGGGAGTTCCAGTGATGATGCGATGGAATTCTGAGGCACATAGGCTTCCTGGAGATTGTCATCAGTTAAGAGAGTGTCTGCTGGTGTGCAGCATTACAGGACAATTATGATCTTACCTAGGTTAGTAAAGTTCTCAAACACTCTTATGGCTACAAAACAAAAACAAAAAGCTGGAGTGAGATCATTAAATAGGCCAGAATTCTCACCCATCAGTGGACCAAGCAAGAAAGTGGCATCTTCCTCATAAGCAGATGAGCACCACGTGTCTCCATTGATTCTCAGCCTGTGACCTCTATGACCACATCCTTGTCCAGAAGAATCCCTGCAAAGCAGATGTTGTAATGATCTGCATCCTTGCCAAGAAGCAAAGACTAGAAGGACTGGCCCTGCCATGATCCCCCTCCCTACCTCAGCAGAGAGGGGAGCATTTTGTATATGAAGAACAGAGTGACAGGAAGAAGAAAGAGCACCAGGCTGAGCACCATTCGACCTCCACTAATACACGTCTGACCTTGTTCAAGCCCCTTCGCATCTCTGGCTCAGGTTCCCCTATTAAGTGCAAATCACAGCAGTAACTCAACAAGACATGGGCAAGTGCTTTTCAGAACTACAAACAAGTCACTGTGATTGCACTACATCCCTATCCCTACGGGGGACTCGCCGTGAGGGGGCACTGAGGAAGCACCACCCTGACTTGCGTCTGTGGCAAGGCCAGTTCAGGTCCAAGAGCTCCTGTCTCCACTCCAGGTTCCAGGGCTAGAGCCTGGGGAGGGTACAGCCCCCAATGCCTACCTCAGAGGAAAGTCATAGTGGACCCCACATTTCCTAGCAGCTGCACCCTGGGGGTCACACCGTGGGTCCTCTGTCTCCCTCTCCCATCAGCCCTAAGGTGGTTTTTTGTTGTTAGTTTTCTGAAATATCTTTATTGAGATATAATTCATATAACATAAAATTCACCAATTTAAAGTGTACAGCTAGGCCAGGCACAGTGGCTCATGCCTGTAATCCAAGCACTTTGGGAGTCCAAGGCGAGTGGATCACTTGAGCCCAGGAATTTGAGACCAGCCTGGGCAACATAGCAAAACCCTGTTCCTACCAAAAGTACAAAAAATTAGCCAGGCATGGTGGCACACACGTATAGTTCCAGCTACTCAAGAGGCAAAGATGGAAGAATGGTTTGAGCCCAGGAGGTCAAGGCTGCAGTGAGCTGAGATCATTCCACTGCACTCCAGCCTGGGCAACTGAGTGAGACCCTGTCTCAAAATAATCTTTAAAAAATTTTTAAATTAAAAAAAAGTGTACAGCTAAACAGTTTCTAGTAGATTTTTTTTTTTTAATACATGGAGTCTCCTTTTGTCACCAGGCTGGAGTGCAGTGGTGTGATCTTGGCTCACTGCATCCTCTGCCCCCAGGGTTCAAGCGATGCTCCTGCCTCAGCCTCCTGAGTAGCTGGGACTACAGGCGTGCACCACCATGCCCAGCCATTTTTGTATTTTTAGTAGAGACAGGTTTCACTATCTCGGCCAGGATGGCCTTGATCTCTTGACTTCATGATCCACCTGCCTCAGCCTCCCAAAGTGCTGGGATTATAGGCGTGAGCCACCATGCCAGGCCTCTAGTAGATTCTCAAACTATGTTCATCACAATGTAAATTCACAACATTTTCATCATCCCCCAAAGCAAACACAACCTAGCACCCGTTCGCACTCACTCCCTACCTCCCATCACCTGCCCTAAGCAACCACTAATCTACTTTCTGTCGTATAAATTGAATCATATAATACTGGTTTTTTTGTGACTTTGTTCACTTAGCGTGATATTTCTGAGGTTCATCCATGTCGTAGCATGTATCTTTATTTTATTTCTTCTCATGGCTGAATAATACTCCATTGTATGGATATACTACCTTCTGTTTATCCGTTCGTCTGTTAACGGACACTGGGGTTGTTCCCACTTTGTCCCTATAAAGAATAACGCTGCTATGAACACTCGCGTACATGTTTTTGCATGAACATCTGCTTTCATTTCTCTTGGGTATAAATCTAGGAGTGGAATTGCTGAGTCATATGGTAACTCTGTGTTTAACTTCTTGAGGAAATGCCAAACTGTTTTCTAGAGGGGCTGCGCCATTTTACTTTCCCACCAGCAGTGTATGAGGGTTCTGATTTCTCCACCTCCTTGCCAATACTTGTCATTGTCTTTTTTTATTATAGTCATACATGCACTGTGGCTTTGTAGTTCCTTAATGACCAATGGTGTTGAGCTTCTTTCATGTAATTACTGGCCTTTGAATATCTTTTTTAAGAAGTGTCTACTCAAATGCTTTGCCTGTTTTTTAATTGGGTTATTATTTGTCTTTGTATTTTGAGTTGTAAGAGTTTTTAATGTACTCTGAATACTATACCCTTTCAGATATATGATTGGCAAATATTTTCATCCATTCTGTAGGTTGTCTTTTTAATTTCTTTTTTTTTTTTTTTTTTTTTTGAGACTGGGTCTCACTCTGTCACCCAGACTGGAGTGCAGTGGTGCGATCTCAGCTCACTGCAACCTCCACCTCCCAGGCTCAAGTGATTCTCCTGCCTCATCCTCCCGATTAGCTGGGATTATAGGCGCATGCCACTACTGCCTGGTTATTTTTGTGTTTTTAGTAGAGATGGGGTTTCACCATGTTGGCCAGGCTGGTCTTGAACTCCTGACTTCAAATGATCCACCCCCTTCGACCTCCCAAAGTGCTGAGATTACAGGCGTGAGCCACTGCGCCGGCTTTTTTTACTTTCTTGATAGTGTCCTTTGAGGAAGAAACAATTTAATTTCAGTGAAATTCAATTTTTCTTTTTTTCTTTGTTGTTTATTCTTTTGTGGTCAAATCTGAGAAACTATTGCCTAACCAAAGGTTATGAAGATTTATTTCTATATTTTCTTCTAAGACTTTTATAGTTTTAGTTCTTACATTTAGATCTATGATCAATTTTGAGATAATTATTGTATGTGGTATGAAATGGAATCTAACTTAATTATTTTACATGTGAATATACAATTGTTACAGCACTATTTGTTGACTTGAACTGTCTCGACCTCTTTGTTAAACATTAATAGACTGTAAATGAAAGGGTTTATTTCTGAACTTGCAACTCCAGCCTGTTGATCTGTATGTCTATCCTGATGCCATTGCCACACCATGTATTACTGTAGCTTTGTGGTAAGTTTCGAAACCAGGAAGTCTGAGCCCCCTCCAAGTTTGTTCTTATTTTTCAAAACAGTTTTGGCTATTCAGGGTCCCTTGCACTTCTACATGAATTTTAGGATCAGCTTGTCAACTTCTGCAAAATAGAAAGCTGGGATTTTCATAGGGATTTCTCTGACTCTGTAGATAAATTTGGGGAGTATTCCATTCCATCTGAACAATATTAAATCTTCTGATCCATGAATGTGGGGTGTCCTTCCATGTATTTAGATCTTTAATTTTTTCAACGTTTTGTAGTTTCCAATGTGCAAGTCTCACACTTCTTTTCTTAAAATTATTCCTAAGTATTTTCTTCTTTTCCTTGCTTTTGTGATTGGGATTGTTTTCTTAATTTCATTTTCAGATGCTAGAATGTAGAAATATGATTGGTTTTGTACATGGATTTTGCATTTTGCAAACTTGCTAAACAAATTTATTAGTTACAGTCTTTTTGTTTTGTATTTTGTTTTTGAGACAGGGTCTTTATCTGTTGCCCAGGCTGAGTGCAGTGGCACAATCACGGCTCACTACTGCCTGGAGCTCCCAGGCTCAAACAATCCTCCTACCTTAGCCTGAAAAGTAGCTGGGACTATAGGTGCACACCACCACACCTAATTTGTTACTTTTGATAGAGACAGGGACTCACTATGTTACCCAGGCTGATCTCAAACTCCTGGACTCAAGCAGTCCTCCTGCCTCAGCCTCCCAAAGTGCCAGGATTACAGGAGTGAGCCACCGTGCAGGATTATACAATCTTTTTTTAATGGATACATTGTTATTATCTACATACAATATCATGTCATCTGCAAATATAGAAAGTTTTACTTCTTCCAATTTGGAAGTCTTTTCTTTTTCTTGCCTAATTTCTCTAGCTAGAACATCTAGTACAATGTTGAATAGAAGCAACAAGAGCCAACATTCTTGTCTTGCTCCTGATGGTTGGGGAAAGTATTTCGTCTTTCACCACTGAGTACCATGTTCCTGGTGGATTTTTCACAGATGCCCTGTGTGAGATTGAGGACATTTCCTTCTACTTCCAGTTTGTTGAGTGTTTTTATCATGAAATGGTACTAGATTTTTCGCATGGTCTTTCTGCATCTATTGAATTGATTATGTGGTTTTTGTCCTTTATTGATAAGGTTCATTACATTAATTAACTTTCAGATATTTAATCAACCTTGTATTCATGTAATGCATCCCACTTGCTCATGGTATGTAATCCTTTTACATGGTGCTGGGTTATATTTTATATGTTGATATATTTTGTTGAGGATTTTTGTGTTTCTCTATATAAGGAATACTGGTCTGTAGTTTCTATTCTTGTGATGTCTTTGTCTTATTTTGGAATCAGGGCAATACTGCTCTCATAAAATCAAGAAGTGTCCCCTTCTATTTTTTGAGAGTTTGTGAGAGACTGATATCGATTTTTTGTTGTATTTTGGTAGAATTCACCGGTGAGGCCATTTGGGCCTTGGCCTAATTCAAACTCTTCACTTGATATAGAGCTTCAGATTTTTTGAAAATTTCACCTTTGAATCGGTTTCTATAGTTTGTGTCTTCCTAGAGTTTTGTCCATTTTATCTAAGTTATCTAATTTGTTGGCATAGTATTCCTTTGTAATCTCTCTTATTTCCATAAAATCGATAATTATGCCCCCTCTTTTTATTCCCCATTTTAGTAATTTAAGCCTTCTCTTTTTTCTTGGTCAATCTAGCTAAAATTTTGTCCATTTTCTCAATATTTTCAAAGAAACCACTTGCTTTTATTGATTTTCTGTTTTGTTGTTACAGTCTGTATTTCATTATTTCTTTTCTAATATTTATTTTTTCCTTTCTTCTGCTTACTTTGCACTTAGTTTACTCTTATTTTTCTAGTTTCTTGAGGTGGAAAGTAGGGTTATTGGTATGAAATATGTTTGGGTTTTGTTTGGTTTTGTTTTTTGTTTTGGTTTTTTTTTGAGATGGAGTTTCACTCTTGTTGCCCAGACTAGAGTGCAATGGCGCGACCTCAGTTCATTGCAATCTCTGCCTCCCAGGTTCAAGCAATTCTCCTGCCTCAGCCTCCTGAGTAGCTGGGATTACAGGTGTGTGCCACCACACCCAGCTAATTTTTATTATTAGTAGAGACAGGGTTTCACCATGTTGGCCAGGCTGGTCTCAAACTCCTGACTGTGGTGATCCACCTGCTTTGGCCTCCCAAAGTGCTGGAATTACAGGCGTGAGCCACCGTGTCTGGCCATGTATTTGTTAATATAGACATTTACAGCTATAAATTTCAGAGCACTGCTGTGACTGCATTTCATATGTTTTGGTATATGCTGTGTTTTTGTTTTCATTCATCTCAAAGTATTTTCTAGTTTACCTTGTGACTTCTTCTTTTGATCTGTTGGTTATTTATGAGTGTGTTATTTAATTTATACCTATTCTAACTCAATTCCATTGTGGTTGGCAAACCCATTTGGTATGATTTCAATTCCTTTAAATGCATTGGATTTGTATTATGGCCTACCATACTGTCTAACTTGAAGGGTATTCTACATGATCTTAAGTAGAATGTGTGTTCTCCTGTTGTTGGATGGTGTGCTTTGTGGAGGTCTGTTAAGTCTAAGTGGTTTGTATTGTTGTTCAAGTCTTCTCTATCCTTGTTGATCATCTGATTCATTCCACTCATTACTCAAAGTGGGGCATTGAAGTCTTTATTATTACTAATGTGTCTGTTTGTCCCTTCAGTTCTGTTAGGTTTTGCTTAATGTGTTCAAGGCTCTAATGTTAGATGCATGTAAGCCAGTAATTTTATATCTTCTTACGCACTGACTTTTTATTATTATGGAATGTCTCTCTTTATCTTTAGTAACTTTTTTGTTTTAAAGTCAATTTTGTCTGATATTACTGTAGCTACTCCAGATCTCTTATGATTGCTATTTGCCCAGGGAATAGTTTTCATCTTTTACTTTCAACCTGTTTGTGTCTTTGAAACTAAAGTGTGTATCAGGTTTTCATCTTTTACTTTCAACCTGTTTGTGTCTTTGAAACTAAAGTGTGTATCCTGTAGACAACATAGAGTTAAATCTTGTTTTGTTATCCAATAGAGTAACCACCACCTTTTGATCTGATCATTGAATTCATTTACATTTTATGTTATTGATATGATAGGATTTATATATCTCATTTTGCTTTTTTATATTGATACACAATATTTTACATATTTATGGGATACATGAGAGTATTTGTTACATGCATAGAACGTATAATCATCAAGTCAGTGTACTTGGGTTATCCATCGCCTTAGGTATTTATCATTTCTATATGTTGGGAACATTTCAATTCCTCTTTGCTAGCAACATTGAAATATACATCGCTGCTAATTACAGTCACCCTACTCTGCTGTCAAACATTAGAACGTATATATATATTTATATATATATATATTCTGTCTAGCTATATATGTGACCTATTCACCAACTTCTCTTGATTTTCTCCTCTACTTTACTTCTACTTTTCTATATATCTTGTATATTTTTTGTTTCTGTGTTCCCCTTTTACTGCTATCTTTTGTATAAATAAATATTTTCTAGTGCAAAAATTTAGTTCCTTTTATAATTTTTAAAATTATATTTTTAGTTATTTTCTTGGAGATTGCTCTAGTGATTATAACACGTCTTAACATATCAAAATCTACTTTAGATTTATATTAACTTAATTCCATTGAAATATAAAAACCTTACTCCTGTATAGCTCCATTCTGTCCCCAATTTTCTATAGTACTACTAATATATATTAGATCCATAAATATTACAAACCCAGTAACACATTGTTGTCATTATTACTTTTTACAATCAAGTCTTATAAAGAAGCTGAAAGAAGAAAGGAGTATATATTTTTCACTTCTTATATTAACCTTTTTATTTGCCATTTCTAGTTCTCTTCATATCCTTCTTTGAGTTCAAGTTACCATCTGGTTTCATTTCATTTCTGCAATGTAGTTTTGCTTCCACCTGTCTCCTTTGTGCTGCTATTGTCATTGCCTGAAGAGCTTTCTTTAGTATTTCTTATTAGGTGGATATGTCTGATAGCAACAAACTCTTTCAGGTTTTGTTTGCCTGGGAATATCTTTATTTCACCTTTGTTTCTGAAAGAGTTTTGCTAGATATACTATTCTTGGTCAACAGTTTCTGTTTTTGTTTTTACTTTCAGCACTCTGATTGTCTTCACACTGCCTTCTGGTCTCCATTGTTTTTGATGAAAAGTCAGCTGTTATTCTCACTGGGGTCCCCTTATGTGTGCTGAGTCATTTTTCTCTTACTGCTTTCAAGATTTTCTCTTTGTCTTTGTCTTTCAACATTTTTACGAAAATGTGTCTGAATGT
Organism: Homo sapiens; assembly: GCF_000001405.40. Classification (NCBI taxonomy): domain Eukaryota; kingdom Metazoa; phylum Chordata; class Mammalia; order Primates; family Hominidae; genus Homo; species Homo sapiens. Next base: position 44,944,677 of record NC_000010.11, read on the forward strand.
AGGTCTCTGCATTTATTCTTGAAATTAATTGAGTTTCTTTGATGTTCATATTAATGTTTTTCATCTGACTTGGGAATTTTTCAACCATTATTTCTTAGAATATTTATTCTTCTCCTTTTTTCTCTCCTCTCCTTCTAATACTTCCATTATGGATATGTTGGTGTGCTTAATAGTGTCCCACATTAGTTTGATGCTGTGTTCCTTTTTCTTCATTCTTTTTACTGTCATTGAGGTTGCATAATCTCTGTCAACTTATCTTCAAGTTTGCTAATTCTTTCATCTGCTATCTCAAATCTACTGTTGAGAAGTTTTAATTTCATTATTGTAATTTTCAAATCTAGAATTTCCATTTGGTCTGTTTTAAAAATAATTTATATCTCTTTTATTTCATAAGATATAATCATACTTTTATTTCATTCTTTAAATGTAGTTTCCTTTAGTTCTTTGAACATATTTATAACAGCTGCTTTGATGTCTTTATCAGCTAAGTTCAACATCTGGGCCCCCTCAAAAGTTGTGTCTATTGCTTGCAATTTTCCCTGTGGATCACACTCTCTCATTTAAACATTTTAGAACATAATTGGTATCAGTTCTGGATACTGATTCTCCCTCCTTTTTCACCTGGTCTCTTGTTATTGTTTGTTTATTCATTTGTTTGTTTATTGACTGGTATGGGCTAATTCTATGAAGTCAGTCACTTTTTCCCCAATGTTTGGCTTCTGATGTCCCTGCTCCCTGTCCTTATCTTTTAGACTGGTTACCTCAGAATTTCTTCTGGGTCAGCATAAGCCATTTACTGGTCAAAAGTTGTGGTTAAGACCCCTTAACCAGTAAGACACTTACCTCTTAAGTAAGTATCTAACTAGGGGCATAAGGCTTGGAGGCCTCTACCAAAATTCAAAGAGGTTACATTTATTCCTACATTCATCTAGGGACCAGTAGCTTGGATGTTTCTTCTCTGATCACTTCTAAGAGGGCACAATCTTGAGCCTACAAAACTGTGATCTAGACTGCCTGAGATGTATGTGATTTTATTTTTTTGGCCTAGCTTTCTAGGAGTTGCCCCAGTCTAGGGTTTGGTCAGAGCATGTGCTTAAGCCCCTCGTGCCAGTGAGGCATCTATACTTTTTTTGTGTGTGGATTTGTGTGTAAATTGGGGAGTGTTTTCAAGTTGCCCCACATTCTGCTCTGATTGCTCCTGAGTGGGTACAGCCTAGTATTTGCCCAGGCTTCCCAATTCCCAGAATTGACTGTGATGCCAAGAGGGCTCTTGGGATCTTGGCTGTCTCTTTTCCCAGTTATTTGTTAAATTTCTGGGTGTCCTGCCCTTTTGTTTTTTGCTACCAGTTTCACGGAGTTACGAGCACTTTTAATTGCTCTCCCCAAGCTATTCATTGTTTTCAATAACAGTATGTTGCACAGAATTATCCACATCCTGTCCTGAACAAAATCCTTCCTCTCAGGCAGAGCTATAAGCTCTTCATTCTTACTGTCTGCTTTCTCCCCGGGTAGAATGTCTGCAGCACTGCACAGGAGCTGGGAGTGGGAACTACCTGCTTCCCTGAAGAGGCACCTCTGCTCTACAAGTAGGTACTAGGGGAACCTCTGCTCTACAAGTAGGTTCTAGGGGAAGTGGCCCCTGGTATTCTCAGCTTGCCCCTTTCAGTGTGAAACCTCTGCCCTAGGAGTGAGTTAGGGTGAGTAATCAAGGCTCCAGTATTCTCAGTCTGTTGCTCCTGTAATAGAGCTTCTGCTAAATGACTCGGTGCTCAGAAGAGAAAGTAAACCTAAGTTATCTTGGCCGTGCCTCCCTAGAATAGAGCTTCTGCAACACAGGGCCAAGTGGGATGAGACACACCAGCATCTTGCCCCTCCTGGAGTGAAATTATAGCCTAGACTGAGGGCTACAGGGAGAGGAAGCCCCTGTGTTCTTGACCACACCTGCCCAGAGTAAAGACCCTAGAGCAGAGTTTCCATAAGGCAGAGCTGAGAGAGGGTAGGGGAGTGGGTCATGGTTCAAATGCCATGGACCCTCCCTCACTGTTTTTACCAAAATTTAGTAGATTTTATTAAATGAATGTTTCTCCATTTGCTGTGTGCCCTTAGGACAATTTCCAGAGATTTAAATGAATTAATATTTGTCATTTTCTCCAGTAAAATAGTTGTTTTGCTATAAAACGGGGCATCTGAGCTACTGAGTCCTAAAGTACTGCTCCTAATTTTTACTTTTTTACCATGACCATGAGGAAATAGAGTGCACTGATGAGAACTTTGACCATCAAGTACACAAGACCTAGGCTTGAGCCCTATATCTGCCCTTCACCAGCTGTGTGACCAGCTAGTGGAACTCCTCTGAGCCTGTTTCTCCATTTGTAAAGAAGCAATAATGGATTCTGGATATTAGCCCTTTGTCAGATGAATAGATTGCAAAAATTTTCTCCCATTCTGTAGAATTGAACAATGAGAACACTTGGACACAGGAAGGGGAACATCACATACCAGGGCCTATTGTGGGGTGGGGGGAGGGGGGAGGGAAAGCATTAGGAGATATACCTAATGTAAATGATGAGGTAATGGGTGCAGCGTACCAACATGGCACATGTATACATATGTAACAAACCTGCACGTTGTGCACATGTACCCTAGAACTTAAAGTATAATAATACAAGAAGAAAAAAAAAACAGAAAAAAAGCAATAATAATGTACTGACATCCACAAATGGCTAAGAATTAAATATTATGATATAAGTGAAGTATTGGCAGGATCTTCCTGGCCCCGGAATGCTTCTTTCCTGGGACATTGGTGCCTACAGCTGCTCTGGGGCCATTTGCTCCCTTCTTGCAGGAATGCAGCTCTCTCTGCAGGCTGGAAGTCACGCTCATCAAGCCCTGTCTGCTGCTGTCAGCTCAGCCTAGAGCCCATACCTTGCTGATGGCATGTTTGCCTGAGAAACAAACTTCATTCCCTTTTCCTGGAATTCTACCCCATCTCACTCCTCACCAATCTCTCAAAGAGAACTTATCCTTTGGTATGTCCAAATGGGAAAATCTCTTGCTCCATTCCCTGTGTGCCCAAGATTTCAAGCTTTCTCTGCAAGCTGGTCAGCCATCCAGCTGTCATCTGTCCCTCAAAGCCCCGGGCTCAGCTGCTAGCCTGCTGATGAACAGTCAGCTGTTTGACTACCTGGAAAGGGGAGCAAAAGGGTAGTGTTCTTGGGAGATAAAGAGGAACTGTCTCTGTTGGCCAAAATGGGGATTTCCCATGGGACTTGCTTGACTGGCTGAATGGCTTGTTACGGTCCACAGAAGAAGGAAGAACCGAGTCATGATCTTTGCACAGAAGAGAAGAGGTATTTCGAGAAGCCAAGTTGCAGTTAAGTGGAATGTTATGCCCTGAGTTTCCCATTATGACAAGGGTGAGACAGCTGCATAGAAAGAATAGCAGCATCCAGGAAGTCAGGAGTCCAGGAGTATGGTCCCACTTGACTCTGCTGGGATTTGGAGTCTTGGGTCATTCCCCACATGAAACCCAAGGGATAAGGCCATCCCAAAAGGTCCTGCCAGCTCCAAGCCTCAGGGATGCCCAGCTGTGCACATTACCAGGGGGCATTTGCCCAAACTTAAGAGCAAGCCCAAGGAAAATCCAGCACTGAGTCTAAACATATGCTGTGCAATTCTTTTTACAGTATGAGCTTCTGGAAAGCTTGCATAGTCTCAGGACAGGGATCTGGAGGAAATGGGGAGCATCAGAACCACAGAAGGTTGTACTGGGAATAACTGGGGCAGGAGCAAAAGCCCATCCAAGCAGATGTTTACCACCTCATTGATATGGAAGACTCTGTGAGTTTCAAATCAAATTTCCCTTTAAAGAGCAGATAAAGAGTAAAGCAAATGGGCCATGCCTTTGATTATTCATTTGTCCCTAAATAGGTGCTTCTACCTGAGGCTGCACACGCTCCGCCAGGGGTGAGGATGCCACCAGCCCACTATAGCTTCAGTTTCCAGCTTCCAGGAAACTGGATGAGGTATTTGCAGGCCCCAAGTCTTGAGTTCCTCTTTCCACATTGAAACATGTTCCTTTCTTTTAAACCAACAGCACCAGCATAAACTTAGAGAATAGGTTGCTAAGGGCAAAAGTCGGTTTAACTCAGCAAACATTTACTAAGCACCTACTGTGTGGACCAGGCATCACACAAGGTGCTGGGCTGAAGGAGTGAGTCTGGCATGCTGTGTGCTCTCTAGACAAGCCAAATGTGTGACTGACATGAGGCAGACATGGCACTACAGTAAAATCACAAACAGTATGCTATGAGAGAGGAAGTCAGGCAGAGGGAAGTCTGGGAAGGTAGATTTGAGTTGAGCTTCGGAAGCAGAGCTGGAATCTTATCATGCACATCATTGTCTATCTTGGGACAAAGGAAGCATGGCCAAGTCCATCAGAGTCTGAAGCAGGTGGATTTATTTTCCATATGTAACAAGGCGTTTGTGCAGTAAAAAGAATATAAGGCAAGCAGGCGTATCAACAACAATGATGATAATCACTGAGAGCACTGAGACCTCAGTGGATTCAGTGCTTTGCCTGCTCCATCTCCTCTAATCCCCAGAGCCTGTGAGGCCAGGTCCCTTACAGCCCCATTCTATAGATGGGAAACCACAGTGCGTGGTAATTTGCACACAGCTAAAAACAGGTAGAGCCTGTATTCATTCCAGGCTCAGAGCAGAGATTCTTAATGCCATCAGGAAACTAAAGTCTGAGGCTGGCCACAGACCTCACCTGCCTGATGGCCTGGGCCTCTCTCCTCTCATCATCTGAACAAGGGGGGTTTTGACCAGGTAACCCCTAAGGTTCTGTTTCACTCAGTTTGGGCTGCCATAACAAATACCATACACTGGGTGGCTCAAACAACAAACATTTATTCCTCGAAGTTCTGGAGGGGAGGCTAGAAGTCCAAGATCAGGGTGCCAGCATGGTCAGGTTCTAGGGAGGGCTGGCTTCCTGGGTCACAGAGAGCTGCCTGTTTGCTATAGTCTCACGTGGAGGAAAGAAGTCATCTCTCTTATGTCTCTGCTTACAGAAGCACTAATCCTATGCAAGAGGGTTCCATGCAAATGATCCAATCACCCTGCAAAGGCCCTACCTCCTAACGCCATCACACTGGGGATTAGAGCTTCTACATATAAATTTAGGGGAATACAATTCAGTCCATAGCAGGTTCCCTCCAGCTAAGTCACCTGGGATGCTAAGTGTTCGGGGTGGGGTGTGGCAGTGCAGATGAAGAGGAGGAAAAAGTGGCTCATCAATGTGGGGGATAAAGGAAGCATGAGAAAGGGGAGCACTAGCTCAGGTGGAGAAGGCAAATGGAGCCACTCCCCACTTTGGTTGTGACTGCTGCTGACTGCTGGAGGCCTAGTGCCCTTTGAGTTTTCTCTGAGTGACTGATAATTCCTGAGCGGAGCTGGGCCCCAGCAGAGCCTGGGAGCTGTGCCAAGCTCTCCCTCCAGGCCCCAGCCGTGCCACCTCCAAGACCAGAACAAGAACCCTAGCCTCAGCAGGGTCTCCCCAACACCATGCAGATAAAAAGTGGCCAAGAAAATGTCACCTTAAAACTCAGGAACACAGCATGGACATCCAGGCTTCTCCTCAGTTTCCTTCTAAGGGCCCAGGGCTCCTGTTATTCCTGCTTGCTGTGCTCTAATGCCTGGGACTTACAGAGAAGGCTGGCAAACAGAGTCCAGCCAGCACCCAGCCTCCAAAAGCCTCTTGTGCCCTGAGCCCAGAGCTCACTGCCACCTCCCCGAGCCTCCAGCAGCCCATGGGGGCTTTTCTGGTCTCAGGCCCAGCTGCTGCTCTCCCCTTCACCAGAGCATTTTCAGTTCCCACTTCTCTGGCCTGAGTGGCCCCCTGTGCTCCTGGCCACACTCCTTCTCTCTCTCCCCATCTCTAGGTCCTCTCCCAGCTGCCCCAAGCCTCACTCCTCATGCATGGTGCTCTCCCGAGGAGCTGCTCTCCCAGACTTCCATCTCTCCAGCCTGTTCCCTCTCTCCCTCTTGAGACCCAGCTCACACATTGCAGGCCGTGATCTCGCCCCTGGAATAGACCCCCTCAGCTGCTGGGACTCTGCAGGGTTGTGGCAGGCATTGCACGGCTTCTCCCAGGGGATACTATTGACCCCGTTTTCTGATGGAGCTTGAATTGTCCTGGCTCATGTACCTTCCTCCCCTTGGCCAGCCATGTCCTGCATTGGGTTAGTCACAGTGGTCCACCCTTCCCAAGGTGCCTGCACCCTAGTCGTGGCCAATGGGAAGAAAGGGAAGGTGACTGGGAAGCTTCTGGGAAAGGTTTCCTTCCCTCAGTACTAAAAGGATCCCCAGGTGAGGCGCCATGGCTCACACCTGTAAATCCAGCACTTTGGGAGGCCAAGACGGGAGGATTGCCTGAGCCCAGGAGTTTGAGACCAGCCTGGACAACAAAGTGAGACCCCGTTTCTACAAAAAATTAGTCAGGTGTGGTGGCATGTACCTGTGATCCTAACTACTTAGGAGGCTGAGGTGGGAGGATCACCTGATCCTGGGAGGTCAAGGCTGCAGTGAGTTGTGATCGTGCCACTCACTCCAGCCTGGGAAACAGAGTGAGACCCTGTCTCAAAAAATAAAAAAATAAACGGAGCCTCATTGGAACACTCTTCCTCTTCTTCCCCTGAATGTCGGCATGTCTGAGGGAAAGCACAGAAATCATTTGCAAATATCAAGGAGAATTAAACCAATATGCTGAAGATGGCAATGAGCAAAGAACGAACGAACTTGGGTCCTTCAAGATTACTTTGAGACACTGAATAAACCAAGTCTGGAGCTACCCATTGCTGGGGATTTTTATTACGTGAGGTCATAAAATCCCCATTGTTTGGGTTTTTTACTCCTCACAACTAAAAGCATCCCAGCCCAGAGTGTCACTTATCCACGCCCTTCACCATGTTTGGCGGGGAGAAAATATCCCTGCCAAAGGGAGATACCATATAAACTCTTCTTCACCTATGGCCCAAATCAGGCCCTCTGCTTATTTTTGTAAATAGTGTTTTATTGGAACACAGCCACACTCATTCACTTACATATTGCCTATGGTTGCTTTTGCTTGAGCAGTTGCAAGAGAGATAGTGCAGCCTGCAAATAGGAAAATATTCATTATCTGGCCCTTTACAGAAAATGTTTGCCAATCCCTAAGGTCGACTCATTAGACCAATGGAGCAGCAAAAATTTCTCAAAAATTGCCACAGGTTGCACAGGTAGATGAAATCCCAGGAAAAAGAGGCACCGTTACATGCTAAGGAACCTTGGAATGCCCTGGCATCAGGCCACACTCTGCTACAGAGTCTGTCCTGATAAAACATGAGTACGAGCTGTGGGTCAAACTCTCCATGCTTACTGGTTGTGATGGTTAATTCTAGGTGTCCACTTGGTTAGCCTATTGTGTGTCTGATCGAACATCAGTCTCGATGTTGCTGTGAAGGTATTTTTTCAGATGACACATACATATAAATCAGCAGACTTTGAGTAATGAAGACTTCCCTTTGTAATGTGGGTGGGCTTCATCCAATCAACTAAAGGCTTTAAGAGCAAAGATTGAAGTGCCCTGAAAAAGAAGCGATTGTGCCTCAAGACTGCAACATGGAAACCCTGATTCAGTTTCCACCTTGCTGGCCTGCAGATTTCAGACTCAACACTGTAACATCAACTTACCTGAATTTCTAGCCTGCTGGGGTCAGCCCGGCAGATTTTGAACTTGGCAGCCCACAATTACATGAGCCAAATATTCCTTATAATCTATCTATCTAGCTGTATAGTGAACTACCTAGCTAGCTACACCCATGTCTTTCTTGACCTCAATGGGAGATATATGTAAATATATATACTGTTTCTCTGGAATAACCCTGATTAATACACTAATCATTCTAATTCTGTCTCAGTTGTAAGGTCGACAGCTTATTCATTATTTTGAGAGCATTCATTTTCAAGGTAAAAAGACAGAGATGATCCCCAAATGAGACAAAACTTAAGACAATTTGCAATTACATGGCTCTATCCTTTCTTAAACACTAGTCCTTAGTTCACAGTTAGGAGGACTGGGAAGGCAGCTTGGGCATGGGCAGCCCCCATCAAACGGGAGGCTGAACAGAGGTGGCTTTGATGGCAGGCTGGGAGGTGAGGTCAACTCAACTGAAGCATCTTTAAACACAGGGTTAACAGGTCAAGTCTAGCTAGCTGTGGGGCAGTTTGGCCCTTCCCCCTTGGGGAATGTTTTACATTCCTTGGAAGCTGCATACTTAAAAGAGATAGACAGGACAGAGCTTCCCTCCAGGACATGGGAGTAGCCACATTGTCTGGCTGGTGGGTTTTCCCAGAATACCCTGAGGATGGTGTGTTTTAAAATGTGCAGTCCAGGAGCTGGACAGATCGCCCTTGTTTGTGCATATGTGCTGTGCCCTCTCAAGGTTCCTTTCCTTTTCCATCTGGGAGGTCTCCACTTCCTTTGGCTGTTTCACATCCTGGCTTGAGGGAAGGTCCTGATCACTTACTAGTTCACAGCTTTGCATCTCAGTTATATCTCACCATTCATAAGAATTCTGGAGCCCAAGCTGCAACACCAGGCTCTTTGTGGAGGAAAATCCATTTTTAAGACATTCTCCTTTGAGAAGCGCCGTCCTTCTGTAAACCCTCCTACACTGAACTGTTTTGTGCCTACTTTCCTTTTACAGTGCTGCTGTTTGTTAAATGATCAAAATATTGACCAACATAAAGCTGCTTTCTGATGTTAAAATTAGAGTTATATTGAAAATGCAGTTTGTTCAGGAGTCTTGCATCACCGTAATTATTTTTGTCTTATTTTTAAGATGTTATCAACTCACAGCAGTTACAACGCCCATTAATAATAATCAGCTTACCAGGAGCCCCACACTCTCTGTGCCCCACAGGAGAACAGCCCAAGGCAAAGGTAGAAGGGTGGTGAAGTGTGGATGGGTGGGGAGGTGACACAGTCCTGGGGAGGCAGGGGCAGCCTAGGAAAGTGGAGAGATGTCCTTTTCCAGCCTTTGTTCTGTTGGATAAATCTATATCTATATCTAGATAGATAGATGGATGGATAGATAGATAGATAGATAGATAGATAGATAGATAAATAATTTCCAGTAGCAGGAAGATAGGGAGGTGAGGACAAAGGGAAAAAGCTATCAACAAACCAGGCCTAGTTATGTTCTCTGCATGTGGGCTTTCAGACCATCCTTGTCCTCACAGATGTGTTTGGAGTAGACATGTGTTAGATAGCTTACCCTTTTCTCAGAGACCAAGTAGAGACCAAGTGCTTGAGCCAAGTACTTATTTTTTCCTCAAAAGCAAGTTTCAGCAGCAATTTTTAACTATACCATCTTTTAAAGCAAGCTCCCCCCATCCTAGGAAACTCTGTGCTCAGGCACTTATTAGTTCTGCAGGGTGGCATGCAAAGGCTTTTCTAAAGCATAATCATAATGGAAAAATAATACATAAAATCTGTGCACTTGTGTGTGTGTGTTTAACAAGAAGGCACTTATGCAGCATACATCATTAAACTTTATGTGCATTTGGAGAATAAATTATCATTTCTAGCCTGCCTCTGGTATGGGTTGAAGAGTAAAATACATTAACCTAAAGTTATTATTTATATGCTAACAAATGGAGTTAATGAAAACTATTTCACATAGAAAGGAAAGATAAGTGGTATGCAGATTTTTTGAGAATTCACCTGAAAATTGATGGTAAATACAAAGTCTTCTGTACGTTAAGATCATGCAATGGGATAACCTCATTGCTCGAGGATTTCACCAAAGCAAACAGAGCAAGAAACGTTCTGTACGTGGTCTCTTCCTGCCAAGCACGCACAATCATCAACTGTTTTCTAAAGAATACACATTTGGAATCACACAGACTTTTTGAAAAATTGCTTGAAAAGGTCATTTGTGGCAGGGCATCAGGGCTCACGCCTGAATTCCCAGCACTTTGGGAGGCCGAGGCAGGAGGATCATTTGAGTCCAGGAGTTAGAGACCAGCTGGGCAACATAGAGAGACCCTGTCTCTACAAAAAATTTAGAAATTAGCTAGGTGTGGTGACCCATGGCTATAGTTCCAGCTACTCAAGAGGCTGAGGTGGGAGGATCGCTGGAGCATAGGAGGTCGAGGTTGCAATGAGCTGTGATTGTCACTGCACTCCAGCCTAGGGGACAGAGCACGCAAGACTTGCCAAAAAAGAAGAAGAGAGAGAGAGACAGAGAGAAAGAAAGAAAGAAAGAGAGACAGAGAGAGAGAGAAAGAAAGAAAGAAAGAGAGAGAGAGAGAGAAAGGAAGGAAGGAAGGAAGGAAGGGGATGGAAGGAAGGCAAGCAAGCAGGGAGGGAGGGAGGGAAAGAGGAAGGAAGGAAGGAGAGAGAGAGAGAAAGAAAGGAAGGAAGGAAAGAAGGGGGAGGAAGGGAGAGAGAGAGGAGAAAGAAAGAAAAAGAAAGAAAGAGAAAAAGAAAGAAAAAGAAAGAAAGAAAGAAAGAAAGAGAAAGAAAAAGAAGAAAGAGAAATAAAAGTCATTTGTTTTTAATTTAATGTTGGATACAATGAAGGGGGAAAAAATCACATGAAGCCATCCATAAAAGGCCTTAAGGAATCAATCAGATCTATCAGAAATTAATTCAAAATCCCACTTACTGTCTTAAGAGAATGGCTTGAAAATGGTTCTCATTATTAATATCATTTACATCAAGATATATAAACCTATTTTTCAGGACTCAAAAATCTAAATGACATCTCAACAACATGTGATTGTACCCAGGCATTTCCCCCTGGGAGCACCAAAGGGAAGAAGGTAATTTTTCGGTCTTTTGGAAGCTGTGCCCTGGTGCCAAGATGCCTCAAGCCAAAACCACACAGAGCAGCCTGCCTGACAGATGGGCCCAGTAGCCTTTATCAAGCTCTTAGGCTCTTATGAGCTTCCCTACTTGCGAATTAAACATAAATTTATCCTTTGCGGCTCTTTCATAAAAACACTGGCTCATGAGTGTTTCCATTTGTCTTTTTACGGATCTTACAAGTCAGTCCAAACTGTTTGCAGAATAACAGCATTTCCTAAGTCTTTCTGAGGTAGGAAGGCCAAAAAGAATGCAATTGCCCAAGACGAACAGGACACCCTGCTCACTTAATGGACTCCCAAAGGCCTCCTTTACTGGGGCGGCGCCCTGGAGCAAGGAGTCTTGCAGGAACTTCTGTGTGGCCTTGGCTCCCCTGAGACCCAGTGTGTTCCATTAGAGGTAGATGTTGTTTTTCCCTCACTCCCGGGTGGTACAGACACCACCACATTGGGCCATCAGGCACAAACCTGGACTCTGCCACTATCTGCACATGTCATTTGGAGGGGGAACTCAGCCTCCCTGAGTTTGTTTTCTTACCTGAATCTGGCAAAAAGAAAAAAAAAAAATCAATCATACATCAGATATTGATTAAACACTGTGACAATCCAGACAGAATCAGTTTTTAAGGAAACATAGTGTCTCTTCCTCTAGGAGCTCATGATAAAGACTGGAATATACAGCATGCCAGAGTGGTATGCGTGGGTCAGGGACGGGCATTTTACAGAGGGCCCAGGGACGACCTGAAAAAGGAGGTGATTTGTGATTAAAGACCTGAAGCAGGGGAAGGAGGGAGCGCTGTGGACATCTGGGGAAAGAGCCCTCCAAGGGAAGGAATGACCCTGACAGGAACAGGCTGGGTGTGTGGGAGAAACAGTGTGATCAGAGCAGGGAGAAGGAGAGGCAGTAGGAGGAGATGAGGTCAGAGAGACAATTAGGGGACAAGATCATCTAGGGAAGGGGTTGGCACACTATAGCCCTGCCATCCATTTTTTAAAATAGTTTTATGAGAACCACAACCATGTCCTTTGGTTTACATATTGTCTATGGCTACTTTCAAACTACCCCAGTAGTGGTGAGTAGTTGTGACACGGACCATTTAGCCCACAAAGCCTAAAATATTTACTATCCAGCCCTGTACAGAAAAGGTTTACCAACCTCTGCCTTGAAGAAATAGGGGCTAATTTTTCTCCATGGTAGGGAGTCTGGAGTAGGCAGTGCAGGGTTGGTGCAGAAGCTCCATGATGTTAAGAAGGATCCAGACACCTTTGATCTTTATGCTCTGCCAGCCTCAGCATGCGGACATGTTGCTTTATGATCTCAACATGGCTGCCAGTGCTCCAGACATTACACATCATGTCCTCATTTGAGACAGGCAGGCAGGAGAGACATCTGTTCTTTCTACCAGAAAAGCAAAAGTTATCTTCACCATCCCTCAGATCTCTCCTCCCCCAGGACACCTTCCCCCATCTCTGCGTCCAGAAGTAGGTCGTATGGCCACTTCTAGCTTCACTGAAAAAAAGCTATGAAAAGGATTGTCAAGACTTAGACAGCTGTTTTGTTTTTTTTAACTGTAACCCACAGTAAGAAGCACACATAACTGAAACATAAACAATGCAAACAAAAAGTTCCACAAAACACAACTTATATTTACTATTTGTGCTGTACACTGGTATTTTCCCTTGCATTTTTGAAGTACTAGTCACATCATCAACTAAATTAATTTCATGACCCACTATTGGGTTGTAAGTAGAGTATGAAAAATACAAGTGGGCATGAGCCATAACTAGGGGCTGGCATGTTGCTGCTACAGACAAGTGGGTATTTCTCTCTCCTTTCCTTCCCTCCCTCCCTCTCTCTTTCCTCTCTTCCCCATTCCCTCTTTCCTCCCTCCCTCCTTCCTTCCCTCCTTTCCTTCCTTCCTTCCCTCCTTTCCTTCTTTCCTTCCTTCCTTCCGTCCTTCCTTCCTTCCTCCCTCCCTCTTTCCCTTTCTTCCTTCCTTCCTTCCTTTTTGTCCTTTTCCTTCTTTCCTATCTTTCTTTTTTCCAAAGAAGGAAATGGACATTGGCTGGCAACCAACAGTATCTGTAGCCTCCACCATAAGTGAGCTGGAGACCACACCCAGTTCTACTGAACCCTGAAAGAAAAGGTGACCCCTCCTTCTGAGGGGTCTGACAATGGACCCTCCCCTTCTGAGGGGAGGACGCTGACAATGGACACCTGTGTCTGATGTAAAATGCAAGCACTCACAGCCATAAAAGAGAATAAAATCGTGTCCTTTGCAGCAGGATGGATGTGGCTGGATGCCATTATCCTAAGCGAACTAATGCAGAAATAGAAAAGCAAACACCACATGTTCTCGCTTACAAGCAAAAGAGCTAAATATCGGGTTCACCTAGACATAAAGATAAAAACAATAGACACTGGGGACTTCAAAAGTGGGAGGGAGACAGCGGGGCGAGGGGTGAAAAACTTCCTATTGGGTACTATGCTCACCATCTGGGTGACAGGATCAATCCCAAACCTCAGTACCACACAATGTACAATTGTAACAAACCCGCACGTGTATCCCCTAAATTTAAAATAAAAATGGAAATTTTAAAAAATGCAAGCAGTAACACCAACTGCCCAGGAGTGCTGGGGGAATTGCATGGGATCCCCAATGTAAAGCACTAGCATAGTGTCTGAGCCCACAATGGGTGCACAGGACACATGGGGTTGCTGTCCCAAACCCAGTCCTCACTCAGAGCCAGTCATGGCCCTGTGAACAGCATTAATTAGGTCAGAGAGAATGATTCACACTCGAGTTCTGGAGAGCCCAGGGAAACTGTTATGTCACCCTGGTGCTATGTTTACTTCTCCTATCAGGAGTGATTAAATTCTTAGGATCTCATGCTCAGAGGTTGACAGTTATATTGAATTTTACCCACTTTTAAAAAACCTTTGGAAGCACCCGATTATTTGTCTCAGCTTTGATGAGGGCTGTGGAAGAGCAAATGTGTCATGACAAGTCACCAACCACAGGGAGCCTCAGAGCTGTCAAAGGATGGGCCATTCTCCAAAAATTCAAGCAAACGCAGAAACGGGAGGGCCCCTGGACTGGGTATCTTCAGTCCTGTCACTTTTTGCAGGTGGGGGTTCCAACATAAGTCATACAGCAGCCATACAAGCATTAGCACAGCCCCTCTAAGTCGAAGTTCAGGGACCCATGAGACTCAAATCCCAGGCTGATTTTGGTGCATATGGCCACCTGCACTTTCTAGAAGATCCATATCAGATTCTAAAATGGCCATGAGACCCTAAAAATATTAGGAAACGCACACTGAATGAAACTAAAATGATTTATGTTAGGGGTGGGAGAGAACAGGTCCAGAGGTCAGAGCTGGGAATCGTGAGGTAAAGCAGAAATTGCAAATGTTTTCCATCAACCCCATCCCCCACCTTGACACCCCCACACCCCAGAAACACTGAACTGTTCCCAGTTCCCCAAATGGCTTGTGGTTTTCTGTCCTCTCTGCCTCCGTGCTGGCAAATATTCGTCCAGGAGGCAGTGACTGGGAGAGAAAGACTAACTTCTTATTCACCAGATCGGATTTCTTAAACAATAAGGAGTTCTAAGAGGCCATGCCAAGCAAACGGCCAGACTGTACAAAGGTGCCCCTTGAGCAATAAATAGCAAATGCTCTGGGCTTTACTGATAAGCCTCCCCAGACTCCAAGCCCCACCAGGCATGCAGACAAGTGCCTGCAGTGATTGCAGCGCCTGCGCAGCGGCCCTTGTTGGAAGTCCAGGAGTCCGCGCTACCCCGCAAAGTCCCTGGCCGCTGCCCGCACACCGAACCTCTCGGGGCTGAGTCGGGCTGCTTTCTCCTCGCGTCCCGGGGCGCCCTCGGGAACTCGGGAGCGCGCGGCGAGCTGAACAATGGCCTGGGGACACCTGGCAGGTCGCAGGCCCCAAATCTTCCCCGCCGCCCCTAGGCCACCGCCCTGCACCCGGAACCTACCGGCGTTCCCAGAGCGGGGCGGACGGGGCGGTGCCATTGGCCGGTGCGGAGTGAGGGGCGTGCTCGGGGCGGGACGGAGAGACCGGGGCGGCACCTTTGGCCGTGCCGGGCGAGAGGCGGGGAGCGGGGCGGGGCGAGGGGCGAGGGGCGGGGCGAGGGGCGGGCCTGGCCCCGAGCAGCTGAAGCCTGGGGTCAGCAGGCGCTGCGGGCGCAGCTCCGGTGCAAGCGAGGACACGACACATGCAGTGGCTTCTGGACTGCGCGATGACTGGACGGTGAGTGATGAACGAGCAGGAGAGTGCTTGGGCGTCCATGGAGCATCCCCTCCGACCCAGGACTGCCACCAGGCAGGGACGCTGAAGCCTGGGCACTTGTGCCCTTCGGCCGCAGCGCGCAGGGTCCCTCCCCCGCCAGCCTGGCGCATTGCGGGCCTCGGGCTCATTGCTGAGAGGGGGCACTGCGCCTGGCACCTCTGTTAAGCAATTTAGGGGCTACAACCTGAGCAAGACAGATGAGCCCGGCCACTGGCTACACCTTTTTTGTTCACCTTGTCCTTAACCAGTTTCCTAGAAGCACTGATCCTAGAGTTGGGGAGAGAGCCTAGAGGCCTCTGGCACAACTCTGATTTCACTGATGGAAATCGAACGCCAAGATAATAGCAGCAGGGGGGGTCTGTCTCACAATCGCTGTCTGTAGAGGGCTCGCCTTGCTCTGGGCCAAGTGCTTTAACACGATATGCCTCTTACTCCTCACAGCAAGTGAGAGTCCTACTTTCGTTATCCCCTTTTCAGATGTGAAAACTGAGGCTTAAAGAGTTATAAAATTGTCCACCTTTACCGGATGAGTTGGTGATGGAGCCAGGATTTGAACCCAGGGCTTGTTGTGCCCCTGAGTCTCTTGCTCTTCACCCTTAGTCTCCGAAGGTCAGCCTGCCTGCTGCCCTGCTCTTCTGGGCTCCTGACTCCGGTCCCATCCTGCACTTCCCACTTCCAAAACATGCCTCAGTGTTTTCATTAACCTGGCACGGCGGAGGGAGGGAGGCCTCCTCTCACACCAGAATCAGTGCCCAGGCCAGGGCCAGCACTTTCTTAAAACACAGTAAGGACAGCTTCAGGAGCCCCATTTCACATAGGAATTAAATAAGGTCGCACAGCAAATAAGGGCTGGGCTTCTGGAATTTGAACCCAAGCAGGTTAGACTCCAAAGCTATGCTTTGCACTCACAGAGGAGCCCCTCGCTGGCTTTGCTGTAGTTTAACTGCCCACAGTACTAAGGTGTCAATCAGGATTTGTTGCCAGAAACCATTTTTTTTTAAGTTAGAAGTGAATTGGTGAAGTAACAGGTAAATGTAGACCATCCTGCCTTCTGTTCCTCTGTGTGGTTCCTTAGCTACTTCTGCCAGGACAGCAGGTTAGGGGAGAAGACAGGAAGGGAGAGGGTCAGAGGAGAAAGAGGAAGGGAGGGAAGAGGAGAGATGAAACTCATTAAACTTAGGTTAAAAAAATGCTGGCCGGAAATTGTCATGGGCTGTTTCAGCACTTTGTCAGTGTATGTGAAGGCTGTTGTCATTAGTTCTAGCCATAATTCTCTCAGTGTGTAGTGCTGGTGATTTGACAACAAAAAGGTTGATGCTACAGATTAAAGTGTCTGTCTGAAACTCAGGAGATTGGGTTGTATTTCCACCATGAAGCTCCAGTGGGTAGCCTGGAGGTCGAGAACAGAATCAAGGTCCAGGGTCGCCCTGGGTCAGGACCAAGTGGACCATGACAGATAACAAAGAACATGAACGAAACTTGGGTGTGTGTCAGAGTTCAGATTCTGGACGTGCAAAGCCTCAAAGGGGAGACCTAACTAGGGGATCTGCCAGAAAGCCCTCTGCCCTGGGCCCCTGGGGTCTGGGGCCTGGTTTCAGGTGTCAGCTCAGACTCTCTCCTCATTCATGGCCACTCCTGCAGGCAGGCCTCACATTCCCATCTCTGGGGCTCCACAGTCTCTCCAGAGCCCCCAACTCCCAGTGTCAATAAGAATAGTAATGGGAGCCTCTTTTCATTATGGGTGAGCCCAACACAAGGCCCATCTTACAGGTCTCCTCATTCGTCTTCACAGAAGTCATCGAGGATTATAGTTATTTAATTGATGAGGAGCCCAAGGTTCAGAGAGGGAACTGGACTTGCTTAAGGTAACAGAGCCAGGCAGTCACAGAGCAGAGCTTTAAACCCAGAGCCTTGCAAAGGCTAGGTGGTTATTCTCTCACAGAGTATGTTTGGGGAAATTGTTTTAAAATAAAGAAAATCAA
This sequence comes from Homo sapiens, assembly GCF_000001405.40. NCBI lineage: Eukaryota > Metazoa > Chordata > Mammalia > Primates > Hominidae > Homo > Homo sapiens. The sequence goes on from NC_000010.11 coordinate 44,961,888, forward strand.
ATAAGAAGTGGCTGCACTTCCTAAAGCTTCAACAGTTTTCTTATTTTTGTAAAAGAGAAACTTGTAGTTCCCGGGGTCTCCTTTTCTGGCTGTCCCACCTTCTGCCCTAGGATATACTGTTGAGGAAGAGGCCCGGAACCCCCTCCCTTTGCCCTGCCTGACCTTGGGAAGCAGGGGTGGGGTGTCATTGAGCCCCATAGCTGCAGTGCTGGGAAGAGCCCTGAAGACTCTCTATCAGCTGCCACAACAGCTCTGGCTAAACTGATGCCCAAGAGACGGCGCAACACGCTAGGATCACAGGCCAAGTTAATGCCACAGCAAAACTCACATGCAAGGCTCTACAACGTTCCTCTGCCTCCTCTTTCTTGCTGTGACAGGTTTCAGCAGAGATTCTAAACCTAAGATCTGGGGATCTGGGAGTACATGGACAAGAGCTGTCTCATCTCCCTGCAGTGATATGCAAATTGTGTGTGTGTTTGCACGTGGATGCAGATTGCAACAACATGCACATACATGCATTTTCTGGGGAGAGTGCACTAAGCTTTCAAGAGACTCCAAAGGACTCTATGACCCAAAAGATTCTGGGACCCTTTTGTCTCACAGGGCCCTTATGTCCCCAGCAGTGACATGTGGCACACAGGCCTGGGGCAGTGGACAGCACAGGTGAGGGCAGCCGTAGAGAGCCTCCAGAGCAGCCCTGCAGCAGCAGGCACCCAGAGGGGTCTGCCCCTCTGCATTGCACTCCCAGCCCCAGGCAATCGGGATATTGGACAGTGCCCATTTTGAGCACGTTTGGCCCGAAAACCATAGCTAAGAAGATCTTTGTTTCTGTGGATCTTCTCTTCCATAGGCTAGAGGTGAGCCTGGTTGGTGGGGAAGTTGAGGAGTGGTTCAGGGGGTTCCAGGAGCAGAGAATGTATGTTTAAGGTGTAAGGGGGGAGCAGGAGGACTGGAAATGGTTTTCTTGTCCCAAATTGCTTTGCCTTGAAACAAGGGCAGAAGCCAGAAGTCTTGCCCACTGGGAAGGCTGGTCTGCGATCTACATGGCTGCTCAGGGCCAGGCTCTCAGAGGAAGGGGAGCTGTATCAGGGAGGCCTGGATGCTGGACTGGACTCAGAGAGACCTGTCAGTGAGAGGCCAGAACCGCAGCGGGGAGTAAAGGTGAGCTGGGCCTGTGTGGTCAGTCCAGGGCAAGGCGGGAGTGGAGGTGGAGGGGAGCTCTGTGCCCGCCTCTCCTGGACTCCCCTGGTCTCCATCACCTCCACCTGGACAGTGCAGAGTCTTCTGGGGCAGGGAGGAGTGAGTTGAGCCAGAGGGATGATGGCGGGAGTGGAGAGGAGGGGTCTGGTGATTGGAACTGGGCAGCAGGAGGGGACAGCAGTGTGGAAGGAGGTGGGAGCAGCAGCTGCTGAGTCGCCGCCTGCCATCTACAACCAGACAGCCGGCTCTCACCACAAAAATGCTTGGCTGAGGGTACCCCCTCAGAGGCACCTGGTTTCGGCAGACGCTGCAACTTCTTCACTGGCCAGGCTCCTGCCATTTGCTGGCGAACAGGTGCTGGGAGGGGCCTTTTAAAGCTTCATTGTCCTCTGTGCCCTGCTGCCGTTGTGGCTGGCAATTCGAATGTGGTAGCCACAGACTGCAGTCAGGAACTTAGTCCCCCCAGGAATGCCGTCAGCGTGGCCTGCACCTGCTCTGTGGCCTGCACTTGCTGTCCTCCACCAGCGGGAGCAGCTCAGGCTCCCAGCTGTGCCCCACACACTTGTCCTCCTTTCTTTTGCTTCCCAGGTCACTTTCGTTATGACCTATTTGATTTAAATCACGCTGAAATAAGAAAATAAAAATCACAATTTCAGGAAATGTGAAAACAGAGGTAACCAAGCTCTCAGACTTCACAGATATGCTTAGAACATTTTAATTTGGATGCCTGTACGTTTTCCCTTTTGCCAAGTGAGGACACCACATCTGTGTTGGCCATGTTTTATGTAAGAAGGGACACTGTCAGAAGGAAAAGCAGGCAGCACAGTCTTAAAATAAAAGGCTTTCAAGTGGACTCAATTTCGTGTCACGAAAGCCTCACTTCACTCGGCATCTTCTGTTCCTTTTGCCACTGGCCTGTAGGAATTGGGCCCCGGGGGTGACTGAAAGAATCACAGTCACCTTCTTCTGTAATAACTTTCCCCACAAACACAAAAAAGGAAAGACGGCCCATGCCTAGCAGCTCTAAAGCCCTCGGCGGCCTTTGTCCCTCAGTAGTGACAGCAGACTGTCTCTCTCTGCACGGCTGGCAGAGCAGCTGCTGAAGTGGAAAGGGAGAACAACTCACTGCTTGTTCACTGGGACAGGTAGCCATGGCTGGCATGCCGCCTAGGGGGCCTCCTCTGGGGTACAGACAGCCCTGGCTGCAGCTGATCACTCTGGTTGGGGACAGAGTGTCCTCCAGCCTGGGAAACAGGCGTGGAGGCCTGAGCTATGTCCTGGGACCTGGGGGAGGGGAACGGGCCCAGACAAAGAAAGCTGTACTTTCCCAGCAGAATGGCACGGCTTGGAGGAGGGGAGAGCCTGCTGGCCGACTTGGCCTGTCCAGCTGCATCTGTCACTCTGTGGTTTTTTGAGCCTGAGCCTGGGTGGCAGGCCAGCCCCAGCCCATCCTCTCCTGACTCCTGCTGCCACCCATGCAGCCTCGCTTTAATCCATTTGTGTATTGGGCTTCTACCTAGGATCTAATTTCAAGATAAGGTTGTGCTGTTTATAAAAGACTGAAAAATACTCCAGCAGAGATTCTCAAAGGCCCCACCCAGTGCACTTGGAGATTCAATGCAAAAGGCTGTTCCAGGAAAATGCTCCAAATAGAGAGATGGCTCCCTTTCCTCTCCTGTTGGGTGTGCGTGTTCCCCCTTGCAGTTTGCTGCTGCCACAGCTGTCTTTCAGACACCCCTTAGGTACTCATGCAGTTTCCTGTAGATGTGATGTCAAAACGATTAAATTCATCAAAATGAATGAAAGTCTGGTAAAGGGGATAGGGCGCAAGCACAGTGTTGAGATCTGCAGTGGAATTCTGTGAGTGATCCTGGAGCTCAGGAAAAACAGGTCTTCTTGCGGTGTTGGCTCTGAGAACCAGAGAGACCAAGTGACTTTTGTGGGAGCCATAGGCTCTTGGCCCCTTAAAGTTTCACTAAAAATCACAGACATGAGGCAGATTGATTAATAGGAGAAAAGTCATACACATGTACTTAAGGTGCATGCATGGGAGCCTTCAGAATGATGGTCCAGCTTCCCAGTGAGTAACAGAGACTTATATACCATTTTGAGGTTACAGAAAGAATGGGGCTTAGATTCTGGTGAAACAGGCTATGGAAGGAGGAGAGGCTTGGCTAGTGAAAGTGACCTTGTTATGTAGATGAAGCCTCCCTCAAAGAGACTTTTAAAGGTGTGGATTCTCAGTCTCTCCTGGATGTGGGGAAAGATCTGGAAAGGGGAGGGGGCCTGGCTGCATTAATGGAGATTCTCTACAGATGCAAATTTTCCCACTGAAGACACTCTGCTAGCCACTTCTTTCAGGATGGGCAAGTGGCAGCCATTTAAGAATACGTCAAAGAAATATATGTTGGGGATAAAATATTTTCATCTCCTTCCCTTGCTTAGGGCCATGAAGCTAATGAGTGCTGGAGGACACAGAAATGTGTGCCTCTCTCAAAGGAGAGACTCTCTTTGTGTGGAGCCAAGGTTCCCACCCTGTAAGGCTCAGGACCCAGCCCAGCAAGCTGGAAAAACCTCCTTTTGCTGCAGTGGGCCCTGAGCCACCTCCCTTAGCTTTGCTCGCTGACCCCCCTGCCCTCCCCTGGGATGGTGTGCCCCGTTCTCTGCCCCAGCTGTTTACCCTACAAGCCCACCTTGCCCTTTATCCCTTCACTTTGCCATCTGCAGCCTAGGACTCTCCTTTACTTTCCTCCTGGTCTGTCTCCTCTGAGCAGGTGCCCCCAGCTGGTGCCATTCAGTCATGGCCGGAGACACTCAACACGTTGGTTGTGTCCTATAAATAAGCAGGCGTGCAGGGGAAAAGCACTCCTGAAGGCCAGTGAGGGAGAACCATGCTTTTCAAGTAGTATTACCCAGAGCTCTAGAAGATGAGGCTCTCTGCCACCACCACCTCACTGTCAACCACGGCAATCCCCTTTAATCTGTTTTGCATACATTTTCTATTTGAACAAAGAGTTCCACAGTTAAGAAAATTTCAAACCCATTGGAGGTCAATATTCTTGTTGTACAGATGGGAAAATTAAGGCCCAGAGAGGAGAAGGCATGCAACGAAGCACCCCAGAGCTCTTTAGGAAGCATTTTCTATGAATAAGTAACCACTGCCTGACTTATGGGAAATTCCACTTCTAAGTGTTCCTACTACATATGGCAAAATGAACTTCTTCCCCACACACTATAGGAGACCGGAAGTAAATGTAAATCATGCCGTGTCGTGAATCAGAAGTCACAAACTGGAGCCTCACTGTCCAGTGGACTAGGAGAGGTCCCCAAACACTGGTGGGACTTCGACCCCAGCTGATGTCCAGGCTCTTGACTCCTTGAATTCCTTCCCATATGAGTCAGAAAATAGTGAAAGTACACACTCAAGAAGGGAGAGTGTGCAAGGGGGTTGGGAGCTGCTTCCTTTATGGGTTTCTTTAACCAAGGGGTGCAATATCCAAGAAGATTCCTGGAAAAAGGTGGAACTTTCTTGAAACTGTGGTGCCACCCATTTTTACATGAAATATGGGTGTTCTGGAACTGTCATGGTGCCTGTGGGTGTGTAATTTAGCATCTCAGAGAGTTGCCTGGTTAATGAGCGTATAGTGAGGTCCTAGAAGAAACCTAGGTCGAATCCAGCACCACGTTGGTTTCAGTTGGTCTTAGCCAGCTTGGCCCACACTCTGATTTTTTTAGAGTCTTATGACCCCTAGCTTCTTATGACCCTTATTTTAACAGTTTCCTTTTGCTGGTCATGTGAAATGGCTGCCTAGAATTTTCTATTCTCCTGTGACCATCTGTATTATTCCTGTCTCACCACTAGGTGTATCTGTCTTGCAAAGATGTTTAGTTTATTTATAAACATATTTAAATACAAAATATTACATTAAATATTTGTTGTTTTGATTGGATTATGTATTGCATGAGACTTGGTCTGGGTTATGCTGCAGTAACAAATCCCTGATACACCAGTGGCTTGTCACGGCAGAGGTTTATTTCTCCCTCTCAGTCCATATCCAGTGTGGGTTGGCAGACAGTTCTGGTCCACAGTCACTCAGGGACCCAGGCTGACCATCGAGTAGCTGCACATGGCTTGAAACACATGGCTTTCTGGGTCACCACGGTGGAGACAGGAGAACTGGAGGGTTGTGCACTGGCTCTTAAAGCTGCTGGCCTGGAAGGGACCCACAACACTTTTGTTCGCAGCTCAGTGGTCAGAATGAGGCCCACAGCCCCAGCTAGCTGCAGAGGGCCGGGGTGGTGAGCGACCACACGGGCATTCCAGGGACAGTGCATGCCTCTGCCAGCCAGCCACCTTTCAGTAGTGAAATATAGCCCAGAAAAATCCAGATTCCTGGCTTCTTATGAAACGCCAAAAGAGTTGCCCCGTCGAAGAAGGAATGTGCCCCCCATTCCCCATGGACCCCGTGACGAATGTCCCTCAGCGGAGTCACCTCCGTGGCCATTGGAGACTTTTATATTATTTATTCCTGCTGTATGTGCACAGCTTTGGAAGAGTAGACTTGGAGGGAGTCTAGAAGCTTCTTGTATTTATTCAGCAATTTAACAACCATGTATGGACTTCCTGCGATGTGCCAGGCTTATGCTTGGGGCTGGAAACTAGTGGTAAAGCACCCCCCGCCCTCACCCCCACCATGTTCCCGTTCTCTTGGGAGGGAAGTCTAAACAAGAGCTGGGTTCTGCAGGGCCCAGTGGGGAAATGGGAAGAGACGATGGGGCAGAGAGGGGCTGCCCCAACATGGACTGGGGCTTTTCTGGCAAGGGTTTCCAGGAGGAGCTAACATCAGAAGACAGGAGTAGTTCTGGGTTCTGAACAGAGAACAGCACTACAAAAGCCCTAAGGGAAAAAAAGCATAGGGCTCCTTAGGGGAGCCGTGAACTTGCTCAGTGAGCCCAGGGCTTAGAGCAGGAAGTTGGGGTGGAAGCTGGATACAGAGGAAGGCAAGAGAAAAAAACACTGCCTGTAATTTTGGGGTAAATCCAGCCCTTCCTGTAATGAGTTTGCTGAAAGCAAGACTTCGTTATGCTGAAGACCCACAGAAGCAGTGTGGGCTAAGAAACCCAGTTCCATGGCTCACCCTGGGCTGCACTAGGCTTCTGCCTTGCAAGTATATGAGGAACTACCCAGAGAGGGGGGCAGATCACTTTTTCCATGGGCAAGCGGAGGTGCCGAGGAACTGAAACTTTATGTTGAAATCCCTGTTGCCTGGCCAAGAAAAATGCAGCAATAAGTCCCCAGCTCCAGGCCTTGCTGCTGGGGGCCTGACATCTCTCCAGGCCCTGAGGTGCCTAACTCTGGAGCAAGGCAGAGGGGAGGTATGGATAGGATGATCCTGAGGTCATCAGGAAGCCCACTCCCTCAAATCCTTCCCCTTCTCCAGGCCAACTGTATTTCCCTGCCTCTTGCATCACAGGCTCATGCAGGGCTGATGCTAGCACAGAGGGCAGGTTTGTCACATTTGTGGGTGTCAAGCAAGGGGGGAGAGAGCAAACTGGACTGGTCCAAGTGAGTGCCTGAGGAGCTGGGCATTCTGCAGGGATGGGCTCTGAGGACATTAATAAATACGACAGCAGGTGGAGCTGAGCTTGAGCCCCCCGCCCCCCGTGGCATTTGCACACACTCAGGTCGGGAAGACATGATGGGTTTGTGTGAACAGATGTGGGGGAGTTGTGAATGAGCAGAGCTCTGTCGTGGGCAGGATGTGGTGTGGCCCCAGGCTGTGCCCCCTCCCAATGTGTCCTAACACCCCTAGCCCTGAGCTGCAACTTGGGAGATGGAAGGTGGAGGCAAGGTCAGCACTGGAGTATGTGTGTGTGTGAGTGTGTGTCTGTGAGATTGTGAGTGTTTGTGTATGTGTGTGTGTGTGTGCATGTGAGCATGTGTGTATGTGTTAAGTGTGAGTGTGTGTGTTGAGTGTGAATGTATGTGTGTGTGCATGTGATTGTGTATGCGTGTGTTTTTGTGTGTGTGTGTGTGTGTGTATGTATGTGTGTGTGAAGCTTTACCTCCCTGCCTAGCATGTAGGAGGCCTTGATAAGAGTCCTTGGCCACATTGACATGGGGGAGAGAGAGGAACAGGAAGCTGTGCAGATGCCAACAGGTTCGAGAAAGCTCTGGTGGATTTACTGTCCGTGAAAGAAACCTGGGGAGGGCAGGAGCGGCTCCTCAAACCAATCAAGGCTGTGTGTGGAAAGAGGGAATAGTATGTGTGTGGAACAGTGTGTGTGAACCGCGTGTGTGTGGATCCACTAATGATCCTGTGGGCTTGAGATTACCTTGTTGCACAGACGAGGAAAGGAAGGTTTGGGAGTTTAAGTCACTGCCCGTGATCAATATAGAGAAGGTACTAAGAGACCAGAATCAGGGGTCCAAATGCTTGTGCTGGAACAGTGGCTTTTCTGCTTACTTGCTGGTAATCTTGGGCAAAGTGCTTAAGCTCTTGTCCCTGTCTTCTCATCTGTAAAATGGGAATATGGTGATACTCACCTCACAATATCGTTGTAGGGACTGGAGGAGATAACTCAGAGAAGATGCCAACCATTTACAGCACATAGGGAACACAGTGCCGACTAACCCACTGCCAGGACAGCCAGTGATGGGCCACTGCCTGGCTGAGCGGGAAGGCAGGAGAGAGGCCCAGGGTAGCTCTGGAGGATTGCAGGAGCAACCGAGGCAGAAGCCAGTAGTCAGGCTGTCCCTGCCAAGGGAAGGGAGCATGTGATCTAAAATGCTTAGGAGATGGATCTGGATTCCTGGGGATTATGGAGAGTCTTCTGGGGTGGGCGGCTGAAAGGACCAGTGTCACTGGCTCAGCATGACCTTGCCCAACCAAGGCAGCTTGACTGACATGTGGCCATGTGGGTCTGGGCCAGACCCTTTCAGCCGCAGCCACCTTGTGCCAAGGCGGTGTGATGCCAAGGCCGACGGTGTCTGTGCCAGGGCTGCGGGTGTTGGGTGCTGCACTGGCCGGCACTCCTCTGGCTCACCTGTCTGTCCACCCTTCCTTGTCTTCCCAGCAAGTAACTTCTAGGTCTGCAGACAAGAGGAAGAGAAGATGAAGGAAGACTGTCTGCCGAGTTCTCACGTGCCCATCAGTGACAGCAAGTCCATTCAGAAGTAAGCCTTGGTGTGCAGGTTGGGCGGGGGAGTCTTCACATTTGCCATCCCCCTCATCCTGGGCAGCCTTTAGGTGGAGGGGTTCTGAGCACTTGTTCAGAGATCTGATGGGGTGCCCTGGGGGACAGTGATGGGGTGCTTCTTTTTGAGCCTGTCCAATAGGGGATCCCCAAGCTACACATGACCATGGCTGGGAGGCATGGGCAATAGAAAAGAGGCTCCAGATGGCAGGCACTTTATACGAAATAGGTGTGTACAGGGCCTCATTATAACTTTTACATTGATTGCATGTTGACAAATAGTAATTTAGATATATTGAGTTCAATAAAATGTGTTATTAATGCTAATTTCACCTGTTTCATTTTCCCCTCTGTATTAGGCCATTCTTGTGTTGCTATAAAGAAATACCTGAAGCTGGGTAATTTACAAAGAAAAGAGATTTAGTTGGCTCACGGTTCTGGAGGCTTTACAAGAAGTGTGGTGCTGGCATCTGCTCGGCTTCCAGGGAGGCCTCAAGGAGCCTCCAGTCATGTTGGAAGGCGAACGGGGAGCAGGCACTTCACATGGCGAAAGCAGGAGCAAGAGAGAGGGAGTGGAGGGTGGTGCCACACACTTTTAAATGACCAGACCTCGTGTGAACTCAGAGCAAAAGCTCACTTATCACCACGGGGATGGCCCAAGCCACTCATGAGGGATCTGCTCCCATGATCCAAACACCTCCCACCTGGCCCCACCTCCAACACTGGGAATTACAATTCCACATGAGATTTGGGTGGGGACACACATCCAAACCATATCACCTCCTAACATGTACTAGAAGATTGAAATTACCAGTGTGGCTCACATCCCACGTCTGCTGGCCCCACAGCCCCACAGAGCCCAGCTTGGGTTCAGGCAGCTGTCCAGGCCTCCCCTTCCTCCAACATTAGCCAGGGCTGTGGCTTTCCCTTCGGGAAGGGAGACAGCGTTGAGGGAAAGTGGCTTACTGCAGACTTCAGGGCCTTACTCACAGGGCCATCACCTTCCACTGCGCCTTTGGAAAGTCAGGGTGGGGAAGAAGCAGGCACCCCTCAGGGTGGCCCGCAGCAGCCACAGCAGGCCTTGTAGGAAGTGATATGGGGAAAAGCAAGAGGCTGTACAATGCCAAAAGCAAGTCCAGGGCATTTACTGTGAGGAAGCAACGCAGGTGGAGGGCAGGGAGGCTGCCAGGGCCTTACCTGTGATAGTGAAAGTGTCGGCACCCTGGACATCCTGGACCAGACGCAGGCCTGTCCCGTGAGTCTCGCCTCCTCCTCAGCCCGACCCCCATGCCCCCCACCAGGGCCATGTGCAGAACCATCCGGGTGCATTGCGATGGCAGTCTGGTCTCCTCTGGTTATGCCTGGCCGGCGAGAAGGGTGCTGTCACACTCCTGTTACAAATGAGGAAACAGAGGCCAGGGAAGCCAAAGGCCAGAAGCTGAGGCCCTGCCACACCCTAGGAGTACATGTGTGTCTTTCCCTTTTTAGGTCGGAGCTCTTAGGCCTGCTGAAAACCTACAACTGCTACCATGAGGGCAAGAGCTTCCAGCTGAGACACCGTGAGGTGAGCCTGTTGCTCTTGTTCATGGGGTCACCATGTACCCTGGGAGGCCCTGCCTGATACCTGTTGTTTCAGGGTAATGATGAAGACCATCCCCTTCACTCTCAGCAGTGACCTAGTTTGGACAATAAGTTATATGGTCACTCTCATCACTCACCTCTGACCCTGAGCCAGGGACCAGGTTACCAGCAGCCAGGTCATCTCCCTTGCAGAGGGTCAGTGCATCCCTTCCAGAGTTCCCAGTGGCAGAAATCACCTTGGGGGTCTTCCCCCTTTCCCCTTCCCCCGAGACCTTTGTCCATGTGAACTGCTGCCGAGAACAGGTCCGTCCTCAGCCCATCACACCATTCAGCGGACAAGAGGAGTCAGTCCCTCTCTGTTCCCTGCTGGTCCCGCCACATATCTGCAGGGTCTCACCTGTGGCCCCTGGTCCCCAGTACTCTCATTTGTAAAGTGGGGTGTGGGGCTACACAGGGGCTTATAGGCTCAGATGCTCACAGCAGGCAGCGCAGGTGTGGGGAGTGGGTCTCCACTCAAGGAGTCAGCCGCCCATCAGATCAAACCATCCCTACTGTGCAGGACCGTGGGCCTGGTGCAGCCAGACCCTTTCTGATTTTTCAGAAGAGGATAGATTATCTGGAATTTCATGAGGAATTTCCCAAATCTTGAAACATCATGTGGGCTAAATACATGTCTGATGCCAAACACAGCCCTTGGGCACTGGCTGGACTCTGCAGGGCCTAGGCTTGGGGGACCACCCACTGGGCAGGGCAAGTGGAGCCCTAGTCTTGCGGTCATTCACATCCTCTGATGTTTCATGCGGGAATCTTGGTTGGGCTTTGTGGCCCTATCTTGGTCTAATTCAACATATTTGTACCGCCTAATGGCAAGTCTTATCGTGGTGAGGCTGTTTTTTGGGGGGTTCTGCAGTTGAGATTGGGTTGGCTCCCGGACTTTCTCTCCTCACTAGTCTTGGCTCACTAGTCCTAGTCCTCCCTCTTCAGTAACTCAGACACCCTTCTATAGCTCCCAGGCCAGAGCTAGCCCAGGCATCCAGGCAACTCTGGGCAGCTGGGGATTGCCAGACAGTGGCAGATCAGAGGGCCGGCTGGAACCTGCTGCCAGACGGCCTCAGCCAGCCCCTGAGGCGTCCCCTCGGCTGGCCAGGCCAGACATCACACCCTTCAGGAGCTTCTGGCTCCTGGTCCAAGCTGTGCTGGGCTGCCTGTGACCACCAGGCATGGTACAAACCTCACACTCTGCCTCCTTGACCTGCCCAGGCTGCGAGGCCCCACAGCTTGCTCCCCTCCCTCTCCTGCCATCCCACCTCCTCATGCTCACTTCTGTGACACCTGTCTCACCCTGCCTGCCCCCATCCTGCACTCCCCAGGCCGGGCACCCTGTGGGTCCCTGTGCAGAGTTGGTGGGTGACTTAAGCAGCAGGTGTAGGCCTGGAGAGAGTTGGGGTGAGTCCTCGGTCCTGAGCTCCAGTGTGCTGGGTAGAGGGAGGCATTGGGGAGAGGGTGATGGCACCACAGGGATTTCCACCTGTGCTGTTAACACACGCCACTTCATATCTTCTGGTGGAGGCCTGGGGTGTGGTCACTGCTGTTCTTCAGCTCTGGCTGTTCAGGGATTGATCTAAATCCCAGGTGGCTTTCCACAGGTGGTCCAAGCACCAGCTGCCCTGGGAACTGGTTAGATATGCAAATTCCTACCACGCCCCTCTCCCAGCCTGCTGAACCGAAAACACTTAGTCTTCCCGTCCAAGTTTTAAGGAGCCCTCCAGGGCATTCTGGTGGAAGGTCAAGTTTGAAAACCACTAGTAAGAGCTTAGTTTTGGCACTCGGGATTCCCCAAGATAATCCCCTCTGTAGGAACAGTTGTCGGGGGCAGGGGCGCGGGAGCGGGAAGCCCCAAGAGCCTCCACCCTGCGTTTGTGGTTTGTGTGTGTTGGTGTATGCTGCGGGACAGCCCACATAGAGAAGTAGGGGACTCTCGGGCTGGGAAGAGGTGTTCTTGACAGCCCTTAATGATAGAAAGTTAACCCACTAGGGGGATTTTCCTGTCCCTAACGCTGAAGAAAGTGTAAGGGTTTGACCCGGTCTCCATGGAGTCAGAAAGTACCTTTCAGGAAAATTCTGTAGCCTTAACAGCCCAGGGTACCGGTACCGGCCTGAAGAAGTGTGTGTTTTTGCTGGGTCGCAATTACCACATAAGACGAGGCTTTAGGCTGTGACACTGATAGGCACAACTGGTCCCTGGGGCACCAAGCCCCTCCAGGTCTCACTGCCACCCTGTGATGCACCCACCACGACCTCCTGGGCCACTGGGCACTTGCTGCAGGGGCAGGGCCATCCCAGGCCAGTCTCTCCTCAGGCACCACAGGCCCCAAGGGCTGGGCAGACAAGAGGAACAGACACTTCCCCAGAGAACCTCCAATGCACCAGGCACTTTGCCTCTCCTTTGTTTAATATAAGGTGATATAGGAATGATTATTTTCCAGGCAAAGAGATGGAGGCTCCCAGAGTTTAAGTCTCTAGTCCAAGGTCACATTGCAGTAAATGAAAGGTGCTGGCCATGGCCCCAAGCTCACAGCCACTTACAAAACAGCAATACCGTTTCCATTAGGCTTTGGAGGTCTCCACCCAGTATCAGTGAACAGGTCTCAGGGACACAGGGTGCTGTTTGTTGCCCTTGAGCCCCAAGCTAAGGGGCTCTCAGGCTGGCGAAGGGCTCACCACCCGGGGCGCGCTCCCAGAGCCGCCTGAAAGAGACCCCCCCGTGTTGTCACTGCCCCTCACCCGCAGCACCGGCAGCCTTAGCAGTACGGTTTGGGGTGCCTTCTCCTCCACTGTCTCATCCCACTTCTCCGAAGGTGGGCAGGGCCACGCTCTGGGGCCAGCGTCACGCCCTGGGACCAGCGGCTCCTTGTGAGCCTTCTCCCCGCTTCCGAGGGGCTAGAGGAGGGACGCCATCTCTGGAGGCTGAGGCGCCGACTTCCTGTATCATGAACCTCGCCTTTGGGATAATTTTGCTTGTATTACAACAAAAAGCCTGAGCAACGGGGAACAATCTGTGCCTTTTGAAGATGGCAAAGGGCTTTAGCCAGGCTGGCTGGTATCTCAAAAGAAAAAAGGACCGCCCGGAAATGTCCTTGTGTAAACCCATGGCTCTGGACAAGCAAGTGAGCCCCAGGCGGCAGGACCTTTTCTGGGGACTGTGTGCCGGCCCCGCCCGCCTGGGGCGCGGCGCCGAGGCTCCGGGGCGCCCCCTGGTGACCGCGGGCGCGCTCCACATCCAGTCCCGCTCCTCGGCCCAGGGACCCCTCAGCAATGAGAGAAACGGAAGGGGCTTCCCCTGGTCCGGGGGCTCCGTCTCTCCCAGGGGTGCGGAAAACCAGCATCCCGCCTTGAGAGAGTTGCCCCGTCCCCTCTCCGAAGGCCTGGCAGACCACTGGCCCCTGGAGTGACTGGCCAGCCCCACGAACATCTGTTTTCTGGGAGCCGCAAAGCGCTTCCCAGCCTGCCCGCTCTGGGCAGTGCCTTGTGTCCCACTCACTCCCTTCTTCGCCTCCCATCCCCACCTTCCACCCCCACCCCCACTCCCCTCTCCACCTCCCACCCCCACCCCCACTTCCCTCTCCATTCCCTTCTCCAGTCCCCTCTCCACCCCCAGCCCCACTCCCCTCTCCATTCCCACCCCCACCTCCACTCCCCTCTCTACCTCCCTTTCCACTCTCCCCACCCCCACCCCAGTGGCAAGAAGGAAGGAGAATGTAACTGCTCTACAAGGGCCCCACCAGGAGGCTTAGCTTGAAGGGAAAGGAATTCCCCTGGGCCTCTCTGCAGGAGCTTGGGACACTGCCAGAAGCCCCAACCACAAACCTGTATTCTACTGGGAGGGAGCGCCTTCCAAAGGTGCCATTGACCTCTTTCACACAGCTGGGTATTAGTGAGGAAGCCCGGGGATGGTCTCCTCAAACTGCCAGACCTCCCCAGATGCAGCGAGGTGGCTTCTGAGCATAGGGGAGTCTGCTGACCTCATCCTAGTTGCCGGACTCTCCCTCTGACCCCGTTTCATGATGCTTTGCAGAAGGGGCTGTAGTGAGGCTGGGCCCAGCAAGCCCGGACCTCAACCCCTCTGCCTTGGTGGGTGGGCCCTCTGGATCTCTCCCGAGGATGATGATTGGCTAAAGGCTGCCCCGGCTAAAGGCTGCCCCACACGTTTGCCCAAAGTCAGGGACCTGCAGGTTTGAGACCACCACAGAGACACAGTGGGCTGTGACAGATACAAACATTTGTCTACAGTGCTCATAAATGCAGCTCCAAGTTCACATGCGCAGATTCCCAGCCCTTGCAGGGTGTGAAGAACATTGCTGATGTCCCCATTTTATAGATAAGGAAACTGGGTAATTGCTTGTCTGAAACTTTTTCCTTTTAATATGGTTTACATTCTATCTCCAGAGAAAACACACTTAACAGAAGACAGAAAACATTTAACAAATCCAAAGCAATTAAAAATAGCCACAAAAAAAGAGAATAACCTAGACTGACAGCTCACAGAGCAAGGAGGTGGCAGAGACCTGCCCAGGTGAGCTTGGCTGTTGCCCCCAGCTCAATCTTCCTCCTCTCCTCTCTCTGTCCCTTCACCTCTGATCAGTCCCAGCCTGATTCCCGTTCCCTGATGCCTCACCTTCTTGCTGCCAGATGCCTCTAGGAACTAGGGTCCTTCAGACTCCAGATGCCCTGACCTGGGCCTTAGGACATCTTGACTTCCCCAGTGGACAGCTGGACAGTGCCCTGCTCTCACCCACAGCTGGGACCCTGACCATGCCATGAGGCCCCTGTGTGGAAGTGGTGTAGGGGTGGGGATGGTAGCACTGAGTGGTACAGATTCTATCTTGGCCCTCATCATGGGGGAACTCTCCCAATGCCACCACAGGACGTATGAGTTGTAGCCAGCAGAGTGCCCCAGTGGTGCCAGGTGACAGTCCCCCGGAATACATTAGTGCATTTGCTAAGACTCCATGTGTTCTCTTGGGCCTCACAGAACATGGGCTTTGAGGGTGGGAGCCAAGAGGCAGACTTGGGAGTGCCCGAGGCCTTGTTCTGAAACACCTGGGGGGCTGACACCCCCACTACCCTCACACCCCTACCACCAGTTTCCCCACCAGCGATGATGGTAGCTACTCAGCCAGTGGGCTCCTATATGCGGTTACACGTCAGAATGGCCTGGGAGGCAGGTGCCAGTAATTATCCCTATATTACCCATGAGAAACTGAGGAACACAGATGTTAAGTAAGTTGCTCAAGGTGATCAGCCAGCAAGGGTCAGAGCGAACGGGATTGGTAACATCTCCTCATGTGAAACAGGCTGTTATCATATTCAGAGGGGGTCGGTCTCACTGTGAACTGCCCAAGCAGGGGCCTCTGCAGAAAAGCATTTCCCTTTCAGAGACCTGCCAGGGGCAGTGACCACCATGGAGGAGACGAGAGGAGATGCAGACCCAGCATGCTCTCTACAGAAGCCTTTACTGGGGAGGGGTCAGAGTTCATGGATCACCGGGAGGTGCGAGTAGAGTGTTCTGAGGACACTGCTGGGGCGGGGGCGGTGGCGGGAGGCCATGGCTTGGGCAGACTGCCCAAAAGTCCAGCTTCTTAGGTCAGAGCTCTGCTGCCCATCCTGCGGTGGTCTTGCCAGGGAATGCCCAGGCATCCTGGCTTCACAGAGCCTCCCTCTGGGGGCCCCCATGGGCTTGCTGCTGTCCATCTGTCTATGTGGACCCCAGAGGCCAGCAGAGGGGCCAGTCCTCCTTGGCAGGTCCCTCTGGCTTGGCTGCTTTTCCTGGGACTCCCCAAAAAGCCAGTCCAGGGGGTCCACAGTATCAGCCATGGGCAGTGTGGGCTGCTGGCCACTGAAACGTGCGGTGATGTCTCGCAGGGACACAGCAGGGCGGCCCTTCCGGCAGGCCTGGGCTGGCCTGTGGGGTGGCCTGGGTTGGCCCTGGGCCGTGGCCTTGTCCAGCACAGAGGTGGGCTGTGCCAGTCGAGATATAGACCTCACGTAGTCATCCAGGCTAGGAGAGGGTGGGGGCTCCTGTCCAGGACCCCCAAGCAGCATCTCCTCCGTGGTCTCCCGAATTGTGGGCAGATGGGCCACGGAGAGCAGAAGCCGGGACCTCATCACTCTGGCGAGAGGAGGTGGCAACCTGTTGGGAAACAGAAGCCTGGTGGTGAGGGCCTGCCATGCGTCCCACCGCCCCTCAGCGTCACCACACTCCTCTGGGGCTGCCTGTAGGAATCCGGTGCCCTGAGAGCAATTTGAAGTCTACAGAGCCCAGACCAGAGCTCCGACTGCTGGGATCTTTTCTTCCTGTTCAGGTTAAAAACCCCAAAGGCTTAAGATTTTATCATTATCGTTTCAGAATGTGCACAGATAAGAGAACCTAACCTAACAAACACTGGTCAGAGGAAGGCTGGGTTTAAAACCAGGATCGGCCACGCACTGACCATGGGACCTTTGGCAAGGCCACCTCTCCAGGCCTCCACTTACCCATCCATAAAACAGGGTTATAAATACCCCTGGCCGGGATGTTGTAGGAAATGCATGAAATAACCCCTGAATCCCTTTATAAATGCAAAGCCCTCTACAGACAGCCCTGGTCTCTAACCCATAGGGAGGCTGTGCAAGTTCAGGCTGGGAATTGCCCTCAAAAATAAACAAAGCCCTTGTGTTTTGTCTCAAACCCAAGGGCAGCTGCTCTCTCTTACCTGGAGCTGAGGAGGTCTGGGGGTGGCAGGAGAATGGATGAGCAGGGACAGTCCAGTCCAAAGGAAGCCCCTGGGAAGCTTGGGGGCCGAAGGGTGGAGGGTCCGGCAGGGGGTCCAGCGTGGGGTCGCTGGGAGGAGGACAGTGCACTGAGTCTCACAGTCCACCGTAGCAGGCTCTTCCCTGAGCAGTGTGAAGAACCTTCGCAGGCAAGCTGCTTTTATACCTTCCCAGCAGCTATCAATCACTGTCACGAGGGCCAAAAATAGCCTGCTCGGAAGGCTGTCTTAGGAAAACAGCTTGGTGGGCGGGGCCTGGCCCAGCTGCCAGCTTGGAGGTGTTTTTCTGCCTGTAGGAGGCTGGGGAATGTTTACGCTGCAGGGCAGGAAAGGGGTGGGTTCACTGCTGGTCAAGTAGGGGCACTGGGAGAGGGAGGGGTTCCACTGGGCCCTCACAGGTAGCCCCAGGGCCACCCCTGCCCCAAAGCTTGTTTCCCACTCTGTGTTACACCACCCCATCATGACTCCTGTGAAGTTGGGCCAGGTCCTTGGCAACTTTGATGAAAAATCAGCAGCACAGGACCCCAGTCTGGAGGCAGCTGAGGCTGGGTCCCTAGGCCTGCTCCTAGGAGAGACACACCCTGCTCGCAAGGGACCAAGGGCGGTCTGCGGGGTCTGACCCTGGTCTTCTTACACCCCAGATGGGGTGCTTTCGGAGGATTTGTTTGTTTACTTGTTCACCAGATATGAGGTGCTAGTGTGTGCTGTGAATGCACTAAGCACAGCAAACGTAGCAGCGGACAAAGGTGTGGCCCCCTGGAGCTCATATTCTAGTAAGGGAGGAGATCAAGCCAGAGATGAATGGGTGCTGTGATTCAGGCAACAGCAAGAACTGCCTGAAGGAAAGCAGCGCAGTGGCATGCTGTGGTGGGCTGCCGCCACAGGTACAGTGGTCAGGGGTGTCTTCCCTAAGAGCAGATATTGGAGCAGAAACCTGAAAAAAATGGGAAAATGCACATTCCAGGTGGCAGGGGCAGCACGTGCAAAGCCCCTGTGGTGAGGGCGCGCCGGACAGACATGCTCAGGGCACAGCAAGGGGCCTGCAGACTGGCCCATGTAGGAGGGGGTCAGTGGACCTTGGGGTGGATGCTGTGTTTCCCTCTAGGAGGGAGGGAAAGACTGCAGGGTTTGAACAAGGGCACTGCAGTCTGGCTTCTGCTTCAAAGGATCGCTGCAGCTGCTGGGACTGGGCTGGGGCTGGGGCTGGGGGGCTGCCAAGGAGCACCTGGGCAACATTAGAAAGCCACTGCATCTGTCCAGGAGTGACCATGCCAGCAAAGGAGGCTGCCAAGGATGAGAGAGGCAGCCCCTGGGAAGCTCCTGCACTCCCCAGACAGGCCACAGATCCTCTGCCCCAGCCACAGCCCCACCTGGAACACGCCTGCCTGTGCTGCAGGTGGGGGAGAAAGAGGAGTCTTGAGAGTTAGCCCAAGCCTGAGCTCTGAGTACTGGGCAGACCCCAGACTCCCTAGGCAAGCAAGAGGGACCGGCAGTCCCAAGTTCTTGAATTCTAGGTGGGAACTCCATGTGCACAAAGGCATCGGGGCAGGGAGTGCCTGAGACAGTGACCAGGATTTCAGTGGCACATGGCACTTCTCACCTTGCCCAAGCTCTTATATCTTTTGTAGACCCTTTGTCTAGTTCGCTGGCTCTTCTTTGAATTTATTAGCAATGAGCAGATTAGTCAAGAGACCAAAAGAGGGAGGGAGGCGGAGAATTCGCTGCTGGCTGACGGGGCTTTCCCTCCATTCAGATGCGGCCAAGCTGGGGGAGGGTGAACAGTGGGCGGCTATGCTGGGGGCACACACATCACCTGTGTAGGCATGTCTGG
The DNA here is from genome assembly GCF_000001405.40 of Homo sapiens. Lineage (NCBI taxonomy): Eukaryota > Metazoa > Chordata > Mammalia > Primates > Hominidae > Homo > Homo sapiens. Next base: position 44,980,506 of record NC_000010.11, read on the forward strand.
CCTGAGTCATGGAGAGCCAGCCTGTCCCCAGTACAGCCAAGCCCCCGACCTTGTCCAGGCAGGTCCTGAGGTCAGGGCCACCTGCTCAGCTTTCCTCCCTGTCCCCCTTCACTCGTCTTCCAGGGTGCAGTGCACAAGCACCTCCTCCAAGAAGCTCCATTGCATCTCCTTCTGCGTCCAAGCCCGAGCCCCTCGTGGCCAGGGCTGTGTCTGCTCCATCTTCCTCTGCCTGGCGTCCAGGGTGGGGCTGGAGGGCAGTGGGTCTCCATGAGTGAGCCATCCCCACAAGCTCTCTCCACTGAGAGGCACCCGAGACCAAGAGGCAAGAACAGAACCCCCCATAGACCTTTGAACTCCATAGATCCATGCTGGCCTCTCCTTCATAGGAAGCTCAGTGACACATCTGTGCTTGTAGAGCACCAGTGAGTATCAAAAACAGCTCTGGTTTCTGCTTGTTTGTTTTCCTTTTTAGCAGATAGTGCAAGGTCATATCTGGAAGCTGTGTGTATATTTGATAACCTTTGGATACACTATTTTCTCTGTGGATGGCAGGATGTTTGAACCTAGAAACCCCATTTCTAAGTTACCATGAAATCCACATTGTGCAGGGTCTTCCTGAGTGCTGCCAGGGATACAAAGAAGTTTCCATGGCGTCCCTGTTCTCACAGGGCTTTTAGTGCCAACGAGGAGAGAGAAATGGGATTTGTGAATCTAAAATATGGGTCAGAAATACTGCATGATTCCCTTATATAAGGAATCTAAAATAGGCTCATAGAGGCAGAGAGTGAAAATGGTGGTTGCAGGGACTGGGGCAGGGGAGGAGGAAGTGGAGAGTTGCTGTGCAGCTGATATAATGTTTCAGCTATGCAAGATGAGTAAGTCCTGGATATGGGCTGGACAACGTTGTGCCTACAGTGAACAATACAGTATTGTGCACTGAACAGTTTGTTTAGAGGGTAGTTCTTATGTTAAATGTCCTTATCACAATAAAACATAAATAATAAAATTAAATGTTGGTTGAGATGGCAATGAGAGAATGATATTCAAAGTTAATTGTGGGAAGACTAGTGTCAGAGCACATTAGGAGTGTGTAGTTTCGAGACTGCGGCTCTGGGTAGAGGGCAGCTGAGGTTGCTGGCAAGTATTCTGGCAAATGACTCAGCTTGGCCAGGCTTACACACAGAGTGACCGGGATTGGCACAGAGGCCTGGGGTGGTCTCGCAGAGACAGAGGCCTGGAATAGGTCAGAGGCACTGAATCAAGGGCCCAAGGGGTGCCAACCAGCACTACTAGCAAGGTGCGTGCAGAGGACTCTGTTGATTAGGGCCCCAGGTTGGCAGCAGGAGAGAAGCCATGTCACCTGCAGACCTAGGGAAACCGAGGGAGGTTGGGGACATGGGATGAAGGCTGTTGTAGAAATTCTGGTATGGGATATAGGGCTAGTGATGTCTAAGCAGTGGTGAGAAAAGCAAGACCCTTTGTCAGCCCTGGCAAGTGGACGCTGCTGCTGTTGGAAGGCACCGGGAGAAGGGTGAGGCTGAGACACAGCTAGGACAGAGAGTGCCCACTTCTCCTCTGGTGGGTGTGGGACCCTGCCGGGCCTGGTGGCCATAGGACCTGGTGGCGCAGGACCCCCTCCCAGGTGCAGTGTGGGCAGAGAGGTCCCCTGCTTGGCATGAGCAGACAGGCTGTGCGTCCCTGGAACCACTTCTTCACCGCGGTGTGGACGTGCCTGCCGGCCAGCAGCTGGCTTCCTGTGGGACACCTGACTCAGCCACTGTGTTCTGCGCTGTGCCCCTGGCCAGGCATGAGCTGAGCACATCTCAGGCTCCCTCCCACAGGGCCTGGTCACACGCCCCAGGGCACGTAGTGGCTGATGGTCCTTCCTGAGGGGATGGGGCCACTCAGGAGGAGGGATGTGCAAGGCCTGAGTGTTCAGAGCATCCCATCCCTAGGGGGCACAGGGAAGGTAGGCAGCTGCTCTGGGGGAAGGGCTGATGTGTGGACCCCCACAGGAAGAAGGGACTCTGATCATCGAGGGGCTCCTCAACATTGCCTGGGGGCTGAGGCGGCCCATCCGGCTGCAGATGCAGGATGACCGGGAGCAGGTGCACCTCCCCTCCACCTCATGGATGCCCAGACGGCCTAGCTGCCCTCTGTGAGTACCCGGTGGCTTCTGTGACACCTGCTCAGCCTGAGCTCCCGGGTTGGGGATATCCCGAGCCTCAGGGTGGGAGCCCTGTTCCCTTATGGGACACTGGCACAGGAGGGTGACCCAGCCTCATCCCCATGCCCTGTGACTGCCTCAGTCCACAGCCTCGCCCAGGGTGGCCTCTCCCTCCTTCCTGGAGAACATTCCAGGCTCCCATGACCTCTATTTCTGTTTCTCAAACCTTCCTGCAAGCCACCTTGCTGGCAAGAAGGGACGACTACAGCCAGGGGGGCTCCCAACACCTATGCAAGCCGAACATGTCTCGCCATCTCTTGTTCTATCTTTAAAATTCACACGAATTTAGCCTCTTACTACTCTGTTTTCATTTTAATGTCAAAATTTTAAAAATAAATTTATCAGAATTTCACATTACATTTGTTTAATATCAGAATAATGTTTCTGTCAGGAGGAAATGGTCTCCTGCCTGCCTTACCATTCAATGCACATTTATCTCCTCCTCGGCCCACTCCCAAAAGACGCAGTTAGTAGCTGGGCCTTGCCTGCTTCTGCAGTAGTAACTCCTGTAGAGGGCACACATTCAGAGCTTTGCCCCCTTCAGATTTCATATGAAACCCATGCTGTGACAGCACCCACCACCCTGACAGCCCCAGCACATACCTAGGTGTCCCCAGTCACTCAGCGAATTCTGAGGCACACAGAATTAGAGCATAAAGTCAGACTCCTTAGGAAGGCTGCAAGTGTGACTCACATGTGCCCCTCTTCGAGGTAAAGCACTCACAGACAGCAGTCGCGGCTGTGCCCGTGTATTCTCCAGGATCCCATCTGTCTTCTCTTCCCCAGGTCCCCTGGGCTACAGGGCTGTGCCCCATCATACCCACTCCTTCTCCAGCCCAGCACTAGCTACCCTGGCCTGGGGCTCATCCTGCCAAGAGGCCTGGAGGTTGGGCCCTTCTAGGTGGCCCCTGCCTGACACCCCACTAGGCCTTCGGGAAGCCCAGCGAGCCTGTTTGGCACACAGCTGCTGGCCTGGCTAAGCCTGGTGTCTAGGAATGCGCAGGCCCTGACTATGTTCATGTGTCCGTGTGTCTGTGCGATGCAGCCCAGCACAAGCCCTCAGGTCTGCAGGGCCAGGCTCACTCTCCGTCCAGCAGATGCTGGGGGGAGGCCTCTACTTTTCTTTTATTGTTTCAGACTGACTCTCTTGGTTTGAAATCCAGGCCTCACCTCAGCCTGCCTTGCTTCCCGCCTGTGTCCTACCCCAGGGGCTGCTGGTCTCTTCTCCTTGGCCTGAGCTCCCTTTCTCTGCCGGCAGCCATCTCAGCCCTGCAGTTGTCTGTTTTCAGAAAGGAGCCATCGCCCCAGAACGGGAACATCACAGCCCAGGGGCCAAGCATTCAGCCAGTGCACAAGGCTGAGAGTTCCACAGACAGCTCGGGTAAGCGGAGCCCGCAAGCTGCCCAGACCCCTGCCTCATCCGGGGTAGGAGCAGAGGGGCTTGGCTCACAACCACAATCTCCGAAGGACAGCTTTGTGCCCCAGCCAACGAGGGGCTTCACCTGCTGGACCCCTACCCAGGTGCCTGCCTGTGAGGTGCTCTGCCCTCATTCTCGCTCCTTTTTATGGAAAAGTGAGCAGAGGCTTGGGAGGTGACAGTGACAGTGTGGGGGTGGCCTGAGTCCCCCGCCCTGTGTGTGCTATGGGAAACAGGAGCATCCACAGAAGGCACTGCGCTCTCCTGGCCCCTCACCTCCCTCTGCGACCTCGTCCTCACCCTCTGTACCTGCTCACTCATCCTTTTTATTCCCCTTCCTTTAGCCCTCAGTGAAGGGCCTGTTTCAGAGCAGGGGCTCAGAAGACAGGGCTGGGGCCACCAAAGACCTCCATGGGCACCCTAAGACAGAGACCAAGAGGGGTATGGCCATGTGACATTGTGACCCAGGTTACCCTGTCTGGGTCTCACCTTCCTATCTGCAAGCTGGGAATATCCAGCCTCCAGTCCAGGAATGGCCCTCACGTCCCCATCTGCCCCAGTGCACGTGACCACAGGGCTCTAGGGTGCCAGATCTCCCGACAGCAGGCAGTTGCTCTGTCAGCATCACCCACCCTGCCATTCTCTCACCCATTTCTCATGCAGGGCCCCTGGAGGAGGCAGAGGAGGCCCCCCAGCTGATGCGGACCAAGAGCGACGCCAGTTGCATGAGCCAGAGGAGGCCCAAGTGCCGCGCCCCCGGTGAGGCCCAGCGCATCCGGCGACACCGGTTCTCTATCAACGGCCACTTCTACAATCATAAGGTGATGCCCCAGCCTGGCCTCTCCCCTGGGCGCATGGGGAGCCAGGCCTGAGCACAGGCACAGCAAGCACCATGACCTGTGTGGGGGCTGCTGGCATTCCTGTGCCCTCAGGAGGAAAAACCAGGTTGCATCCACATAACAGCCCCGTTTATGACCTAAGCATTTTCCAGCACATGCTCACTGTCAGTGCATCCTCACAAGTCACACAGAATTCTGGCAAGTAAGCTGGGGATGCCCTGGGCAGACAGTAACGCTGACCGTGTCTTCAATGAGGGCGCTTTCTAGGAGGCTTCCCCCCGAACTCGATTGGTTGATCCCTGGGAACACTGTGTATCCAGCCATCACTCTCACCGAATAATTAAGCAGGGGTGTGCCCAGGGCACATGTGTCTGTGCCCCAGAGAACCTGGACGACCCCAGATTCCCAGCACACAGCCTTTTGTCCAAGGATGCATTGTACTGACCTCAGGAAAAGCTTTCTTTCCCCAAATTACATCATTCTATAAACAAACTGAACTGTAGCAGGAGAAGTTGATTGTTACTGTAAATAGAATGATTGGCTGTCTGGGCAAGGCCCTGGATGGAGCGTCTTGTGACAGGCCATATCTTTCCCTCAGCACTGGGAAATGCAAGCCGAGATTTCCAGTTGAAGCAGCTGCCCTTCTTGATAGAGGATGACTTATGGCAGGGAGGGGGCTCAGGAGGAGGGTCTCAGGGTCCGATCTGAAGGAGCAGGTGTCCCAGGTTAGGCTATCCAGGGGCCATTCAAGCCACACTTAGGGTGCCCTGGACTTTGGAATGTCTACTTTGGAATTCTGCTGGGCAAGCTGAAGGGACCCTGCTTTAATCTCAGGATCTCCCTTCCACCCCCTGCTAGGCTTGTGGTGAGTGAATGAATGACAATAGGGTTGCCTTTGCTAAATCTGGAAAAATCCAGGACTATTCCAAAGTAGAGTCTCCTGAGAGAGTAAAGGGGACCCAGGATTGAAGTTAGGCAGAGATTAACAAAGGTGTAGATTAGCCCAAGGACACATGACATGACTTGAGTATTCTTTAAATCTTGTTCCAAAAGGGGTTTAGTGTGTAATGTGTTGGGTACCCATTGTTAGCATTCAAATAAATGTTGATATGCTAGTGTAAGGAATTATTCAAAAATTTTCCAAAATATGTGCGTGGGTTTAGGTATTTTCCAGTTCTATGTTCCTTACCAAAAAAAGGGTGGGGGCAGGGATGTTTTGCTCCATGATTCAAAGTACTGAATGGTGGAGTTTAGCATTGGTACATTCGCTTCTCCTCGAAGGGTCTCATTCATCACTAAGAGGTGTGTCTGGTACATTAAACCTTATTGTAGTGATTGCCAGTGTCATAGGAACACTGAGCTCTCTGCATGTCCTGAGCACTCTGCAGCCTTTGAAATGAACAGTGAGGGTTTTCATCGCAGCCTCTCATTTCCAACTGAACCACACTATCAAGAAGAGCTACTCAGCCAGACAACATGGGGTCTCAGCCTGTCACCCAGTGAGGGCAGCTTTTCCTCCTAGTGACAGATTTGCCCTTGCAATGTGAATCCATTCTTCCAGAAAAAAGTACTGCTTTCAAGGACACAGAATAGTGTCTTAAGCATTTGGGACAGTAGCTCCCCCACCTCCTGGGTAAGGGAAGTCCCAAAGAAAAGCACTATGCAAAAAGCCCTTTCTTACCACGCTCAACATCCATACAGAACTAATGTCCTTAGAAATGAGGGGACAGATTCCTTGAGTCAGAGGCAACAATTGAAAAAATAAATAATTCCTAGCATTGAATTTCTGAGATAGTTCCAGGTTTTGTTTCTTAGAACTGTGCACCATTACTTCACTCAGTCATTTTCCAAAACTGTTCTGATTCCCAGAAATGTTGGTTTTATTTCCAGACAGGGTGAAACTTTGTAGCTGTTTCTACTGCCTGACCTATTGGATTCAAATGCGTTCTGTTAGAGAGAAACCATTTGTGGTTAGAGATAAGAAAGTAGCCAGGGGGCCTTTGTTCCTACTTGGAGTTGGTTGGTATCATCTTGAGAAAAGGCTTCGTGCAGAAGAAACACAGTGTCTTGTTAACAAGACTTTTTGTCCCTTTGAAATAGCCTAACTCCTCTGTTTCATGTTTCTTTTTTTATTTGAGATGGAGTCTCACTCTGTAGCCAGGCTGGAGTGCAGTGGCACGATCTGGGCTCACTGCAACCTCCACCTCCTAGGTTCAAGCGATTCTTCTGCTTCCTGAGTAGCTGGGACTACAGGTGCGCACCACGATGCCTGGCTAATTTTTGTATTTTTTGTAGAGACAGGGTTTCACCATATTGGCCAGACTGGTCTTGAACTCCTGACCTCGTGATCCGCCCGCCTTTGCCTACCAAAGTGCTGGGATTACAGGCGTAAGCCACTGCACCTGGCCCTCTCTTCCATATTTCTTTGGACAAGAAAGCCTAATCCTAATCCTGGCTTTCTGTATAACTCAGTCATTCTGCACCTCAACTAGAATCGAGCTGGGGGAAGCAGGTCGAGGTTGAGTCTGACTCTGGCACAGCGTGCTTCATTTTATTGTGCTTCTTGTTACTGTACCTTGCAGATTTTTGCAAATGGAAGGTTGCTGTTCAGCAACCTTCCATTTGCAAAAATGTGCACTTTTTTTTTTTTTTTTGCTGCACCTGCGGTTTCTGCAAATTGAAGGTGTGTGGCAACCTTGTGTTGAACAAGTCTATCGGTGCCGTTTTCCAACACTATGTGCTCACTTTGTGTCTCTGTGTCAGATTTTTTAGCAATAAAGTAGTTTTAATTAAGGCATGCATATTTTTTAGATGTAGTACTGTCTCACCCTTAAGAAACTACAGTATAGTATAAACATATCTTGTATATGCCCTGGGAAACCAAAACATTTGTGTGACTCACTTTATTGAGATATTCGCTTCATTGTGATGGTCTGGACCTGAACTCACAATGGCTCCCAGGTGTGCCTGGACTTATCAGAGCGGGGATACTGAATAGGTCCTTGAGCTCTCTGAGCCTTAGCTACCTCCTTGGGAAAACAGAGCTAGGATCTCAGAGGAGGAATATGCGAATCTAAACTTGAGTTTGAAAAGCAAGGAGAGGTTCACCTGCAGAGGAGTCACATTCGCTGGGAGGCACCAGCACCAGGGGGGTAACATGTAGGTTTTCAGGAATCATGGAATCCTTTGAGTCAGGGCTCTGTCTTTTCTAGGTGGGTAACTCTGAACAAGCTGGTTAACCTCCTAAAGCCTCTGATTCCTTTCTAAGAAAAGGGGACTAGTTATAGCTGCCTCAAAGGGTTGTTATGAATATTAAATCAATGATTGTATGTAAAATCTTAGCGGGTTCAATACACAGCTAGGGTTTATTGAGGACGGACCTATTATGTGTCAGGCAGAGTCCTGGTTGATTTCATATATGGTGTCTCTTAGGCAAAGGCAAGATACCTGCAAAAATATAATGTGTCCCCCCACCCCCCAGCCAAATTGTGAAGAAGCTCTGTGACTGGAGCACATGGTGCTTGTTAGGCAACCATAGTGTCATACGTGCGAGACAATGAGAAGAACTACAGATGTTATTGCACAGTCCCCAGGAAGCCTTCAGATACTTTTAGACCCGCGCTTTCAAACAGTGCTTCTCACATTGAACTGCACAGATCGCTTCGCCTTGTGTTCTACAGACGCAGACTCTGATTCAGATGGTATGGAGCAGGGTAGGGAAGGGAGCCGAGACTGTATGGATGCAGCTGGGCTAGACGTCACTTGGAGGTGCAAGGGTTTTAGAAGTCCGTTCCTGTAGGCAGCGGTGCAGACTACGGATTAGAGGGACTGAGACCAGAAGGGAACAAGCTGGGAAGCTGATATGGTGTGATCAGTGCCTCTACTAGGCACTGCTGGGAGAATGAAGAGGAGGAGACAGATTGGGTAACTTTCAGCCTTAGAATCAACAGACAACTGGTGACTTAATCAATAGAAAGAGTGATGGAGAGACTGATTCCCCCACCCTTGTGAATGACTTCCATGGCCCTGGTTCCTCGGGTCCAGAGAGCTGGCCCTTCTGGGTGTGTAGACATCTTCCTTAGGCCTCTGGAAGGAGTGCACTACTACAGCTTCCCGGAGTGTCTCCCAGGTCTGGGAACAGCTTATGTGTGCATCAGCGTGAATGGACAGGTGCAGGTGTTCCCAGATCTCAGCGTCACCTGCTGCCTTGGTCTGTTCACCGTTGTGATGTCAGTCCCTTGTCCCCTCTGGGCCTGACCTGAACTTCTCTCCCTTCCTGGTACAGACCTCCGTGTTTACTCCAGCCTATGGATCCGTGACCAATGTGAGGGTCAACAGCACCATGACAACCCTGCAGGTGCTCACCCTGCTGCTGAACAAATTTAGGGTAAGCCTGGTCAGGAGCAGCCTTGCCCCAGGATGCCAGTGGTCTGCTATTCTGTTGGGGGTGGGGTTCTGGGGAAAGCTGCCCGTGGCAGAAGCTGCCTGGGCAGAAGGTCTAGCAAGGGTCCCTCTGCTGAGCTTTGGTTTCTCGGATTTCAAGCAAGAGGAGGTTGGGAGAGGACAGGTTCCTTGCAACTTGCGTGTGTGTTACTGGGGGTGTAGTTACTGTCAGGGGACCCTCTCAGTTCTCTCCCATCTCCAAGCACCGTGATCTGACTTCCTGTGACTGCCTGTGCAGGTGGAAGATGGCCCCAGTGAGTTCGCACTCTACATCGTTCACGAGTCTGGGGGTAAGTACCTGCCCCACTTCTGGATCGTAAAAGCAAAAGGTCTCTACCTGTTCAGCAAGCCCCCTCCCCACCAACCACTGACTGTACTCCCTTCCAGATGGGCTCCGTGCTGGCTTGCCTAGTGGGCTAGGGCACACTGTGCCTCCCAGCATGAACATTTCTCCCCCACCCAAACCCAGGCACACTATGGAAGCCTTGAGGAAAAGAAAACATACTTTTGGCTTCGAATTTAAAGCACATTAAAATGTCCTTGGATTTTCTAGGTCGCTCAGTACATTAAGTTTAATTCTTTCAGGATTCTGAAGGAGAATCCCACCAAGCTATAGGAAGCCTCCCTCTCCGCCTCTTCCAGAGAAATGGATGGGTGGGTACCTAGCTCCTTGGCGCCGAGTCAGGAAGGGTGGGGTGCGTGTCGCAGTGCATCAGGCCCTGGCCCTCCCGTCTCAGCTTTCCTTTCTCCCACCCCTCAGATCTTGTTTCTCTTCAAGCTGCACCTTTGCTGAATGACACTGTAGGGGAGGAAAATTATCTTCTCTTTCTACCCATTTAGGTTCACTGGCTGGGGCCCTGTATTTAGATTAACAAAAGACAGATTAAGGAGAAGAACAAACAGAAGTTTGTTAACACTTGCATCATGCATGCCCTTTGGAATATCCAGGGATGAATGGTCAGAATTTGGGCTTAAATAGCATATTCACAAAAGAGCAGTAAGTTTTTAGAGAAGTGACAAGACAGAGGAGAAGGGCCTGAGTTTCTGGGGAGGCGAAGGGTGGGAAGGTCACCGCACGGGGAGCTGCGGGAAGGGAAGGGCTTCAGCGGGACGTGCTGTGCAGGTTCCTCTGGTGCCCTCTCCAGGCTGAGGAGGGGCTCGGGTTGTCTCTGGTGATTAACTCCATCATTGCCTAGAGAGGGACGGGGGCACACCTTGACAAATTTATGTCCTGCTTTTTGGCAAATAGGGGAGGGCAAAGAGCCTCACTTGTATCTTCTTCTTCTCAATTGCCAGCCGCTCCACTTAATCCTTATGCCAAAGTGGCAGATCTGGGGGCCCTGTTCTGCCTCCCTTCTGCATGAGCAGGAATCTCTCAGGGCAGCGCTGTTAGCGAGGTCTGTGTTCTTAGGGTTCCCTGCGCCCCTAGACGCACATTTTCTATCAGTTCCTAATCTGGAACAGACAGAGGTGATCCTAATCTCCCGTGATTTTTGTAAACCACCTTCTTTTTCAGAGCGGACAAAATTAAAAGACTGCGAGTACCCGCTGATTTCCAGAATCCTGCATGGGCCATGTGAGAAGATCGCCAGGATCTTCCTGATGGAAGCTGACTTGGGCGTGGAAGTCCCCCATGAAGTGAGTGGGGGCCAAGGCTGGGGAGGCCTGCTCTAGGGTGAGGGGTTCTTGGGTGACGGGGCCTCCCAAGGACTCCTGGCCAGAGCCCTGTCAGTTGATGTCTCCAGGAGCTCCACACTCTCCCAAAGGGCTCCCAGCCTAGCACAGGGAGGCGCCAGCCCTCCCTCTCCCATCAGTGACCGCCAGCACCAGCAGCTTAGGGGAAAGAAGAATTTGGGTCCTATAAAACCATGGCCTGTCCTTTTCCTCTAGGGAAGTAAAGTCTTTTCCTTCATTGGAATGTATTTTGTTGTCATTATGTGAGAGACCTATGCAAAGGCTTTTTAACTAGGCCCTACCTCGCACCTGTGGAAAACAGGGAGATATTTAAGTCTTACCAACAGCCTGAGTTCTGACCAGACAGTGAGTGCATTTCCAAACTCCTCTGCATAGAAGATGCTTACAGGGTTTGAACCTCAAGTAGGAGGCCTAGTGACCCCGTATCCCTCAGGCTGCTGCAATTGCATTCCATTGTTAGAAACAATGGTGCTCCCACCTCCCTACCCCCTAGCCCAGAGGGCACCCAATGTGACAATGCTGCTGTACTGAATGCTCTTCCTAATATTCAGTTTAATATTTCCTCCCAGGGATAACAGTTGCCTTTGAGATAGTAATAGGCTCCCGTCCTGGCATCTGTACACAACACAGCAGTGTGGGGGTGGGGTGGGAAAAGCGGCAGCTCCTTCTGTGGATACAAGATGTTGGCTGGATGGGCCACTATGGAAGCCTTGAGGAAAAGAAAACATACTTTTGGCTTCGAATTTAAAGCACATTAAAATGTTCTTGGATTTTCTAGGTCGCTCAGTACATTAAGTTTGAAATGCCGGTGCTGGACAGTTTTGTTGAAAAATTAAAAGAAGAGGAAGAAAGAGAAATAATCAAACTGACCATGAAGTAAGCAGCACTTAAACAGACAGTCATGGGTCCTGAACATCAGGGCAGGTCTGCAAAGCACAGCACCAGTGCCGGCTGGGAGGTCTCTCTCCTCCATGGGCACCAGTACCCTGGTACGGGAAGGCCTGCTAACCCTAGCTCCCCAGCATCACCCTCTGGCCCCCTGCTCGGTATTGCCACCACGCTGGGGTGACAGCTTGCCAAAACAGTGGGACACAGCCCCGATCACCCATCCAGTCTTGGCATCCTCACCAGCGCAGGCATGAGCTGCAGAACACCTGGCAGGAAAGTCAGGCAGGAACCCAAGTGGGCGCTGGGTCAAGCTTCTGAGTTCTGCTGGTGATGTGGCTCCAAGGAGCAGGCATGCTGAGGCAGACTTGGCCTGATTAGGGCCTTTTGTCCTAGTGGGAATTCTGAGCCTTCCCCAAAGTGGCAGATGCTGGAACTCCCAGCCTCAGCCGATGTTTTCAGGTGCAGAGGGCTAGTTCAATGAAAAGGTGAGCAGGTCTCACCTGCCAGCTCCTGGGGACACCACGCCAGGGTCCGGATGCATGAGTTAGCCAGGCTGTAGTCCCAATGACGTCTCCCCCTCAGCAAAGTGAAGTGTGGTCCAGGACTTGTGGAGGGCACCCCACCAGGGCTGGTGGGGAGGCAGCTAGGAAGGAAAGGGCAGGAGCTCACTGAGAGGGCCTGGGGTGTGTGGGGAAAGGATGGATGTTAGCCTCTGGTTGAATGACCCGTGGAAAGCCACATCCTCCACAGGCTCCTGTCTGTGCAGCCAGACCCCAAACAGGCAGAGGAGACCAAAGTCAGAGGGAATCTTCCATTCTGCAGTCAGTCCTGACCCCGTAAGATTTGAGAGCTGAAAGGGATCTGGGGGGCAACTAGTGGGTCCACTCAACGTACAGAGTGGACGCTGAGGCCCAGCACAAGGAAGGTTGCCGCATAGGTTATGGCAGAATCTGGGCTGAAACATGGGCTTCCCGATCTCTGCTCTACCGCCCTGTCCACTCCAGTGTGCTGTTGTCTGTATTAGAGTCTGCAATAGAAATGACAACACTCTGCTCTGATGCTCTGTGCAGTCCACAGCCTGGTTTGACTGCACCTCATGAGGCGCAGGCCACAGCCTTCCCCCTCCTTGGCAGAGGAGAGATGAGGCTGCTGCAGGGATCTCCTGAGCTGGCCATCTGCAGGTCCCTTGCTCTGCTGCCCACCTCCCTGCCCTGTCTGGCCTCAGTGAGTCCTCTTGGCGATGTCTCCCTCCAGGTTCCAAGCCCTGCGTCTGACGATGCTGCAGCGCCTGGAGCAGCTGGTGGAGGCCAAGTAACTGGCCAACACCTGCCTCTTCCAAAGTCCCCAGCAGTGGCAGGTGTACACTGAGCCCTGGTTGCTGGCCCCGGCCGGTCACATTGACTGATGGCCACCGCCTGACGAATCGAGTGCCTGTGTGTCTACCTCTCTGAAGCCTGAGCACCATGATTCCCACAGCCAGCTCTTGGCTCCAAGATGAGCACCCACAGGAAGCCGACCCAGGCCTGAGGGGCCAGGAACTTGCTGGGTCAGATCTGTGTGGCCAGCCCTGTCCACACCATGCCTCTCCTGCACTGGAGAGCAGTGCTGGCCCAGCCCCTGCGGCTTAGGCTTCATCTGCTTGCACATTGCCTGTCCCAGAGCCCCTGTGGGTCCACAAGCCCCTGTCCTCTTCCTTCATATGAGATTCTTGTCTGCCCTCATATCACGCTGCCCCACAGGAATGCTGCTGGGAAAAGCAGGGCCTGCCAGCAGGTATGAGATCTAGCCTGCTTTCAGCCATCACCTTGCCACAGTGTCCCCGGCTTCTAAGCCTCCAATATCACCCTGTGAGCCTCGCACAGCTCAGCCCCAACACAGAGGTGAGACCAGGAATAAGGCCACAAGTATCTCACTTTCTCTGCAGAAATCAATCTTTACTTCATCAGAGAGACCTAAAGCGATTCTTACAAGGAGCTTGCTGCAAGAAACACGGTCATTCAATCACATTGAGGAGGGTCCACATGGCATTGAGAGGGTGCTGCCCGCTCAATGCCCAGCAGCAGCTCTGGAAGGCAGTGCTCAGCCCCATCACCACTGTCCCGTGGATGCCTGTGTACCTCTTGCCTTTTCTGGGCTTGCGTTTCTCTCCTCTAGTGGGTGGGGATGACTTTCAATGACTTTCAATACTTCCCCTGAAGGAAGAATGATAAGGAGAAATGTCTGTTTTGAGGAAAGGGCTTTGAATTCCCCAGATACTGAACAATTTGTGTTTGTGACTGATGGAGAATTTCAGGAATGAATGAGAAAGCCTTTGCGAAACTATGCAACAGTTTACATCAGTCATGTGAAGTATTTGTCTAAAACAGAGCAAACTGAAGACCAAATTATTCTCCTGTTGAGGTCCGTGGATGGCAGATTTAAAGGGAAGAACCACAAAGGCTTGCAAAGATAGGAGAGGCTCCATCTCTAATGCATGTAGAAGCTCCTTACGGGTGCCCATCAAGAGCATAGCTTGGAAGCCACCATGCTGTGCGGAACTGCGTCAGGGCAAATGTCACAGCAGGATTTCCCCAACCCAGCTCCATCATCACAGACACAGAGAGCTGCAGGGGAGGCCTGCCCACTGTTTTGTCGACTCTGCCCTCCTCTGGCAGCATAGATCCTTAGGTGCTCAATAAAGGTGTGCTGTATTGAACTGAAGAAGTGAGAACCAAGCTTTTTTTTTTTTTTTTGCTTTCTGTGCATCCACCCTGACCCCCGGCTCTAACTTCTGAAACTCTTATCCTAAAGGATGTGTGGCCATGTTTGGCAGAAGAGCCACAACTCGCTGCTCTAGGAGCCGACATGACTCCTTCATTTCTGTGCATGCCCTGGGGACTAGGGTGGAGCCTGAGGAGAGGCTGCCATGGAACACGCAGGCGTCACTGGTGGGAGCCTAGAGGTGACCTGGATGATGAGCAATAGAGTCACCCCGAGTCACAGAATCTTAGCATCAGGAGGGCCCCAAGAATCTTCCAGGCCAGGGGCTCAGGTGGGATGGAAGCAGGGCCTAGGAGAGGGTACAAAACAAATCAAACAGGAGCTCCCAGGTAATTGTACTCCCAAGCTATTATTTACAATCTCAGGTGGAGGACAGCTCCTGTCCCATTGTTCAGCTGTAACTGAGTGACTGCCTTGTGCCAGGCCTGTGCTCAGCCCTGGAGGCACAAAGATGGAGCCAGTCTGTCCTGTGTCTAGGGGTCTTCTCATCAGGAGAAGAAGGCCAGACACTGGAAGGGTCAAGAGATCAGCTGAGCAACGAACCGGCAAAGCTCCTGGGAGTGAGGTGGAGGCCAAGGCAGAGTTGGCTAAGAAGTGCATGTGGCGTCACAGGCCAAGATGCACCTGCCAGCTAGGAGCAGGCCAGGTCCTGGCACACAGGAAGCCAGTGGAGCAGGAGACCCTCCCTAAGTACCAGCCTGTTTGGTTGGTTGGTTTGCTTTTGAAAGTTATTACAATATTATTTAAGGCCTTTTCGGATAAGTTCACTTTTAAAGTAGGTGTTATCAATCTAATTTCTGAACGTTATGGGTCAGAAAAATCACTAGCAAGTGGCTCAGAAAAAGGGAAAAGGTACACTTCTGCAATCAGCTGAGGAGTTCACACCTTTTTTTCTAAATCAACATCATATTTGCTGTTCAGAGGCAATCTGAAAAGCTGCAAATTCAGCTCACCTCAACCCCATAATTTCAAACGTTAGAGGCTGGTCTCTGTGGTTTCCTACTGGTTCCTGTGGGGAGCTCCCGCTTTCTTTCTACATAGAGCTTAGGGTATTTCTCATATGCCCCATTGGCTACCTAGTGTCTCAGGTAATAAACGTATCCGAAGATAAAGCAAAGATTGCTATGGGAGAGTGTTGTCTCCTAAAATAGGACTGTCTTGCCAGGCCAGGCCTCAAGAACCAGAGAGAATAATAAACAGCACAGGATGAAATCAGCATGATTGCAAAAGGACTGGACTCAGGAAAAACAAGTTTGTTTGCCCAGAACAAATTACCAGAAGGGATCAAAAACATCTTGTTTTTCTTTGGTGATAACCATATGCTACCGGATTGGAATGTTTACCAGAAAATGGAATAAAGACCTTCCCACTGGCAAAATAGAGCCAGGGTTCACCCAGGATACATCTGGCCCCTTAGTCCCATGGAAACAAGGCCCAAAGCTTATCCAGTCTGACCAGATGATTTGTGGAGGAACCAGCCCTGCAAAATGTGTCCCGGGTGTGTAGGACGCAGGTGCCTTGCAGCTGCGGAGGGGCAGCGGGATATCCTTGCCAGGTGCAGTGGTGGGCAGCATCCCCCTGCCCTCAGTTCCTCAGTGGTGATCAGACAGGAAGCTTGGTCGATCAGAGCCAAGCAACTGAGTATAAAAACAGCCAGATGCATGGGCTATATTTAGGCCCTGAGAGCTGCGATTGTTTGGGATCAGGCTAGCTGCTCACGTGCCCTGCCTGAGACTCACGTTGTGCAGGGTAGGGCCCTGTGCCCTCCTGGTCAACTTTTAACAGAGATGTTTTCTCAGACCTAGGAATGGGAACTCCCAGGGTTTTCTTTCCCAGAGAGTCCAAAGGAAACAGAAAGCCAAGTCTCAGGCTTGGTGGAAAGAACCATTGTTCAGGATCCCTGGGCTGAGAGTTCTTGGTGGGAGACGGACCACTGTTGTTACCGCACATGAGCCACACCTATAACTGCCTTTCTGGCACTTGGGCTGGGGATCCATGTTGCCAAACACAGACCCAAGGCAGCAGTGCTCCCTGCTGAGACAGCGTGTGTGTGTGTGTGTGTGTGTGTGTGTGTGTGTGTCTGTGTGTGTGTGCGCAAGCCAGTGGTGTGCAGGGGACAAAGACATAGGAAAATGAAACTGTCTTGCCAGGATTTTTCTCACCCCAGAAGACTCTTTTTCCTGGAATGAACCCTTCAAATACCACTGGGCTCAGGGACACACTGGTCCCTGCTGGGTAGTTTCCCAGAGATGTCCCAGCCACTAAGGGATCTGGCCTCTCTTGGGCCAGAATCCCCAGAAATATGTGCAGAAAGATGCCCAGACTGTGTCCACCCCCTGCCTCCCACACCCTTGTTCCCTTTCTCCCTTGTGTTTTGTAAATATCATGCGTGACCATTTTCAATAATTTAATTTGCATAAAAATTGCCTAGAATCCCATTTGGGAGATAGACTGTTATAGAGAGGTTAATAGGCTCTGGAGCCAGGCTTTCTGATTTCAAAGTCTGGCTTTGCCACTTACAAATGTGCATGACCTTGGGCGAGTTTCTTGCCTCAGTTTTCTCATCTGTGAAATGGGGATTCTGTGTGGAAGAAAACAAAGTGCTTTCTACTATTCTCTCACTCAGCAGCAATAATCACAAAAGACTTCTGTGACCAAACGGGGTGAGGGATTCTCCCCACACACCAACCAAGCAATCATTTCTGCAGGGACACCAGCTGGGTGTCCTCTAATTCAGTTTTGACACTATCTACTTGGAGATGGCATCACCTCCCATAGGTTGAGGGCTCAGTCCCATAAGATGGTCTCCACCCTTCCCATTAGTTACAAGCCCTGGCCTCTGGAACTTGTGAACTACCCACTTCAAGTTGGGATTCTCGTGACCCCCTCCTTGGGTTAATTTGCAAGAGCGGTTCACAGAACTCAGCGAAACACATTTCCTGGTTTATTACAAATGATATTCCAAAGGATATAGAAAAAGAAATGCATATAGTGAGGTATGAAGGAAAGGGTGCGGAGCTTCCATACTCCTTCCCCTTTGCACCCCCCGACCCCAGGTGGCACCCTCCAGTAACATCCATGTGTTCAGGTATCCAGAAGCTCTCTGAACCCAGTCCTTTGGGAGCTTTTATGGAGACTTTGTAACACAGGCATGATTGATTAATCCATCAGCCATTGGTGATCCACTTCACCTTCAGTTGCCCTCCTCCCCAGATGTTGATGGGGTGGAGCTGAAATTGCCATCCTTCTAATCCTGCTGTGGTCTTTCCAGTGACCAGCCCCATCCTGAAGCTACCCAGGGGCTGCCAGGCATCAGTCAACTCATCAGCATATAAAAAGACATCACTTTGGAGATTCTAAGGATTTTAGAAGTTGTATGTCAGGAAACGGGGAGAAGATCAACTATGTATTTCACAATATCACAGGATAATAACAATTCCTATCTCTTACGGTTGGTGGGAGGTACATTAGTCAACTTTAATGCAATAATACCACCAAGAATCTCAGTGTTACAAGAGCATTTGTTTCTCTAACATTACGTGGGACCGTTGTGGTTACATGTGAGCTTCTGTGGCTCTGCTCCATGTGTCTTATCATCCTGGTTCCTAGACTAAAGGGGCAGCCCCTACTTGGGACATGCTATTCTCAAGGCAGAGGGAAAGAGCAGAGTCCTGGCAGAAACACAATGACTTGAAGTTTCTTCTGGGATGTGATGTACCCCTTGCATCCAGTCACATGCGGTCAGCCAATTCAAATCAGTGGTCAAGTCAACATCAGTGGGACAGGCATGTGGTTCACCAGGAGGCACCGGAGTCACACCACAAAGTGCAGGGACCAAAACCAGAGAAGGTGGAGCAAACCCTCAGGAATAATCATGCCTCAGGAATCTCACGTGAGATCCTCAAATGCTGCAAACAGTGCCTGGCACACAATAAGCACTCAATAAGTGTTAACTATTATTATACTAACAGCTAGGCTGAAGGCATAAAACCCTACCTGCTTTCTCTCCCTGTCTTTTTCCCATTCTCCTTTACCCTCCTCTCCTTCATATATTTTTCTGGCTCTCCCTCCTCTCCATCCTTACTGCCCAGGACTCTGTCCACACTTAGGGACACACACCCCTTTATTTCCTGACTTTCGTCTCTCTCTTTTTAAAAAATCCATCCTCGTTTACCCAATGCTTTAGTTGACATACCTCTGGCCCTTCTATGGCTGGCCCAGTTGTTTTCAGGTATAGGAAAAAGGGATAATCCATCTTTATGTAGACATTAAAGGAGTTAGTTTTAATTAGTAACTACCTTACTAACAAAATGGCTTTTTAAAAATTATCTTTTTATTTTAGTGTACATAGAGCAGACAGTCCCAACGGGTCATGTTTGCTCCTGACGCTTTTCCTAAACCATTTCTAGATCTCTGGCCATTGCCCTTTACCCCAAACTCTCCAACCACCAGCATCAACCAACTTATAACAATTTAATAATAAAAGTAACAACGACTCTCATTTCTTCTGTGTTATACATTGTGCTAAGTGCCTTACATTACCTCATTTAATCACTGCAATAGTCCAGATACTCTCTAGATTGCGAGTGGAGCTTCTTTGTCCAGACCTCATTCAGCTTTGTGCTTTGCCATATGCAGAGACAGCTCCCTACAGAGCAGAAAGCCCCAACTTAAGAGAATGAACCTATGACTTAGTTTAGCCTCCACCAACAAACCACTGTATTACTTCAGGCAGGTCAGCCTCTCTTGCTTCAGTTTACTGATTTGCAAGACAGATATGATAATCTGTGCTTCATGAGACTATGGTGAAGATGAATAACCAGAAGATAAGATGTAAAAGTACTTTGTAAACAATAAGGCATCTTATAAATTCATTCATTCAACAGCTATTTACTGAGTGTCTGTTCCCTGCTGAGCACTGTTTTCAGCACTGCAGACACAATAAAGAACTAAAGAGACAGATCATGAGAGGCATCGGGTGCCACTGCGAGGTCCTTGGCTTTGCTCTAATAAGTTGGGAAGCCTTTGAAGGTTTTGAACAAATGAATGACATGATCTAACTTAGGTTTAAGAGGATTACTCTGGGGCCGTGAATAGACTGTAGGGCAACCCGTCTGGAAGCCAATATAATAATCCAGAAGGTGGATGAAGGTGGCTTGGTGGTTATAGCAGTGGAAGTGTTGAAAGTGGCTTGATAATGAATATATTTTAACGATGAAGCCGACAGAATTTGTGGATAAATCACAGGTGAATTTTGGATGAAAAAAAGAAGAGACAACAGTGACATCAAGGTTTTTGGCTTGAGCAACTGGAAAGATGATGGGATCTTCACCCATCCCTGGGAAGAAGACTGTTGCAAGAACAGGTTAGGTAGATATCAGGAATTCATTTGGGGGGTATGTTAGGTTTGGGATGTCCATTACACATGCAAATGCAGCTCTTGAGTAATCAGTTCGATATACAAGTCTAAAGTTCAATAACATTTATGTCCCACAGTCAGACTGGAGTTACCAATGCGGGAGTCTTCAGCATGCAGCAATAGCATTGGAAGCCAAAAGGCGGAGGAGCTCCCCAGGGAGTGGGGGAACACGGAGGTCAGCTGGTCAGATGACTGAGCACGGCCAGGATGGCTGAGGAGGAGCCTGGAAGGAATAAGAACAAAGAGAGATCATTACTAATGAGCAACAAAAGGGGTGTGTTGAAATCAGACTTTGGAGCCACAAAGAACCATTCCAATTCTGGGTCGTCCGCTTACACACGGTGAACGGAGCACATTTCTTCTCTGAGCCTTGGTTCCTTTCCTGTAAATGGAGTATAACCACTCCCATCTTGCAGGAGCTTTTTGGTGATAATTAAGGTGACTTCGTGAAAAGTACCAGGGTCTCAAAAATCTCAAAATTTGTGGAAAGTATGCAGTTTCTAGGTTGGAGAGGCTAGAGTTTGGTTTCAAAAGCCTCGACCACACACAGGGGCGGTTACAGCTCTTGAGGTCCCGGGGGTCACAGGACGCCTTCCGAGTTGGGGGGAGGAGAAAACAAAACCACAGGAAGAAACGAACAACGCTTTCGGGTGGGCCCGGGACCATAGAGGGTCGCTCCGCCACTTTCCTAGAGCGACCGCGGCGGCGCCAGAGCGCGGCGAGGCCCTCACTTCCGGCGGCGCGGGAGGCGCCCAGCGAGCCAGAGTGGTGGCTGGTCCCGCGCGGTGAGTGGGATTGGGGCACTTGGGGCGCTCGGGGCCTGCGTCGGATACTCGGGTCCGCTCGGGAGCGCGCTGGCCGCAACGAGGGCGGCGCGGGCCCGGGCGATGGCGTGGCTTGCGTCTCCCGCCTCCGGGCAGGGCCTGGCCGCCGGGCGGGGGCGGGAGGGCCACGCGGGCCCAGGGTGGGGCCGCGGCCTGCGCGGCGGGCGGGCCGGGTCAATGAGGAGCGGCCGGCGGAGTGCTGGGAACGGGAGGCTTGGACTGGGGGCCCGGGCGAGGCGCGGCCCGCGGCGGGTGGAACTGGGCGGGTGAGCAGCAGCCCCGGCCCCTTCCGTCGCTCGGAGCGTTCGAGGACTAGATACGTGGAACAAATGCTTAGGCAGCACAGGGCTGCTCTGAGCGGTTTTCAGATTCAGACTCATTGCAACTTCTAACATCTTGATGGTGTTGCCACTTTATCATTACCCTCCCCATTTTACGAGGAAACTGAGGCACATTCCAGTTAGCTGGGTGTGCAAGAACAGCAGCTTCTGTCACTCAGGTTTAACTTCGTGCTTGCCCCTGCTGGGGAGCTATGCAAAGCACGGGTCGCCGCGCTGGACTGAGCAATGGAAGATGTGGCTGCCACTAAGAGTACAGGCTCTGGAGTCAAACTGCTAGGGTCTGGGAACCCGGCCAGTGCCTTCTAGCATTGTGCCCTCGTTTCCTTAACTTAAAACGGAAATAACTGCATAAAGGTGCCAGGAGAATTAAAGAGCTAGCACAGAATCAAGTTACACAGTGTCTGGCACATACTAGTATGATTGCCTCATCCGTAGGTGGATTTGACAGTCTGAGTTTCTGACTAGATCTGACTTCCATTGTATTAAATGCGTGTGCTTTTATGTATAATGACCATTATAGTTATTAAAAAAAAAAAAAAGCAACACCAACACCATGTACCTAACACAATGTCTCCTGTGTGGTAGATGTTCTGTAAATATTTGCTTAAGTTAAGGAGTGGGTAGTCCTAACTGTAATCTTGTGTTATATGCGGCTTACTCTTACGCTGACCATAATTACAGCTGATGTAATTATTAAATATCCAGATAAAGTCCTGGACCTAAAGTCTCAATTATACAATAAGATGAAAGGAAGGCAAGAAAAATTATGTTTTTGTTTTCATTTATTTGCTTTATATGTTTGTATGCAAAGAAACCCAGAATAATTGTTTCTATTTTAAATTCCACATTCTGACACAAGATAATGAAAAATAGTTCCAATAATTTTATTGCTTTTGAAGTTCTAGATTTTCCGACATTGCCACCTATGTGGGGTTTGTAGGGGTTTTTGTTGGTTTGTTTTGGCCGTTATTTTAAATAGCCACAAGTCAGCCTTATAAATAAATAAAATCATTTGAAATTTTGAATTTTGCAGCATTTGGGTATTCTAAAAATTCCATCCTAGTTTTACATGTAAACTCATTTTCTCCCCCCTCTCCTTTTCTTGTGTCCTACCTACCATGCGTTTTCTACTCAGTTTCATTCCACTTTCTGGTAAAAGTTCTTTTGCAGTTTTTCTGTCTCCGAAAACAGTACTTTCGTTTTGGGTTTTCAACAAATTGCTTTCTTGGATCATTAGGATCTATAAAAACCAATAATAAAGCGTGTCTTCATAGACTAAGTAAACCTACCACTCCCTGTAGAGAAGTTTCAATTTTCAAAACACTTTATGCTACAGAATTAGAGCTAAACTGTCATCTAGAGCTATGGAAATCGAATGCTAAATACAGATAAACAGGAATATATCATAAAGTAGTGTAATTTGTCATTTCTTATTCATTTGGATACCTTAGGCAGTTACTAGTTAGTAGAAGTTTAACATGGAACTAAATATTAAAGCATAGTAATGTTCTGTTACACAAATTTTGATTGTCTTTTGGAGTTACTCCATTCCCATTAAGATTTACCTTATCTCCACTTTTTAGTTCTTCAAAATTATGTACTCATTTGGTAATGCTTGGAAGATTTATATTTCACCTGATCACTTTTAATTTGTCTTGTCCCAATAGACAGAAACTCCAGTGGTAAACTCAGTCAAAATTTGGTGATATTTGTTAAGCTTAAACTCTGGAATTGTTAGAATTACTTTGCAAGTATTTCCCCCAAATTTCCCCCCATATTATCTTTGTTTGCATTTATACTTTTTAAATTTAAACATGAATGCAATTTTGGTGGGTTGAAGAGATATTAAAATTGAATAGTTAACAGATATCTGTAATTTTTTTTCTGATCATCTCTAAATTTTTTTTCCTTCTACACACAGAAAATTCTGAGCTGTACACCTCTAGGAAATGAAACACTAGTTCAGAAGAAGCCTGTAAACTCTCTTACAAATACATTTGGTTATTCACCATGAGGTTAGCAAAGCCTAAAGCGGGTATTTCTCGGAGCTCAAGCCAAGGAAAGGCCTATGAGAACAAGCGCAAAACAGGCCGGCAGCGGCAGAAGTGGGGCATGACTATTCGATTTGACTCAAGCTTCAGTAGACTCAGAAGAAGCTTGGATGACAAACCCTATAAATGTACTGAATGTGAAAAGAGTTTCAGTCAGAGTTCAACTCTTTTTCAACACCAGAAGATCCATACTGGAAAGAAATCCCATAAATGTGCTGATTGTGGGAAAAGTTTCTTTCAGAGTTCTAATCTCATTCAGCATCGACGGATCCATACGGGGGAAAAGCCCTACAAATGTGATGAGTGTGGAGAAAGCTTCAAACAGAGCTCAAATCTCATTCAGCACCAGAGAATTCATACTGGAGAAAAACCCTATCAGTGTGATGAGTGTGGCCGGTGTTTCAGCCAGAGCTCCCACCTTATTCAACATCAGAGAACCCACACTGGGGAGAAACCCTACCAGTGCAGTGAATGTGGCAAATGTTTCAGTCAGAGCTCTCATCTGAGGCAGCACATGAAGGTGCATAAAGAAGAGAAGCCTCGTAAAACCCGGGGCAAAAATATCAGGGTGAAGACTCACTTACCCTCTTGGAAAGCTGGTACAGGAAGGAAGTCTGTGGCTGGTCTCCGTTAAGTATAGGGCTTTTTGACAGCTTTTTGAGACCTCTTAAGAAAAAATAAAAAGTAAAAAATGAAAGGAATCTTTTTTAGAAATAGAGATGCTTTATAGTAGATCACTTAAATACTGGATCTTTTGCTAGTGTGAAAACATTGGGAATTTAATGACATTATTGAGCTGAAAGAAATTACATGAGTCCAGCTACCCTCATTTCTTTTTTATGTGACATGGAGCACAAAGAACTGAAAATATGTTTTGAGGGAGCATGACATCCTTGACCTCATTTGAAATTACTTCCATTTTCAAAAACCATCATGTTTTGTAGATACATTTTGAGAAAAACCATCATGTTTTGAGGATACATTTGTGAAAGTGCAGGCATGCCAATGACTACTCAGTTTTAGGACTTTCTGTGGAAGAAAAAAGGGAGAAGAAATCAATTCCACTACTTTTGAAGTTCTGCAACAGATGAGATTTTGTTTGTAAAGTTTTGTAGTATATTAACCATTGGTTTATCACTCTAGATTCAACATATTAAAATGTATTCAAGCTCACAGATTTTTAATCAGTAAGGCCTATCTATATTAGTTGTCTTTTATTTCTTCTCCTTGTGGACAGTTGTTAATGAAAGGAGTAAGGATTTCCCTTTTTTTGTTTTGTTTGTTTTGTTTTTTTTAACCAAATTCTTAGAGATACTATAGAATCCAAATGAGAACTGAATTGGACCTCAAGTCTTCTATTCCTACTAATAGAGTTCTTTGTGATGGTAACTGCTGTGTCGTTTGTTTTCCACAAGTTGGGATGGATTCATGTCGATACATCCCCATGCCCTTGACCTCTTCTGGCATTCTCCTGTGCTCTGACAAACTGAGCCAGCCTTTTAGATCTACATGAATAAACAAACTATTTTACCAAGAAAAATCTCAGCTTGCTTACTGCTTAATTAAAAACCTACAATTTACACACCTCCCTGCCTTCAAGACTGTGAGCTTTGGATAGCCCTGCTTAAATGTTTGTCAACAACAAGAGTCGTAATGTGTCAGTACATTGTAGCTCCTTTGAAATTTAACTCTTTCTGTGTTACATGAATTGTTTTAAGGAGTCCGGCAAACATGTTTCTTCACTTCCATGAGAATGGTGCCAAGTGTCAGACTCTAATGAGCCCTCAGCTCAGGTTTTAATTTCTATTGAATGCTAACATTCTTCTGATTTTTTGGTATCTTTTATAATCATATCGGTTTCTGCTGTATTAATGACAATTATTCATGAAAATAAAAAATGAAATATTTTGTATACTACTACCTTCTGTTTATTTTTCTTCTGGGGAATTGTTTTAATTATTTAGACAATAGATCTAAAGTCACAGCTTTTGGATGGATCACTTGTTTTGCCTGTTTCTGATTTCCTCAAACTTGAACTTTGCCTTCCTCCTGGCCTTGCATTTGAGTGCAGGGCCATAGAAGTTGGCCTTGTTATGGCCTTGTTGACAAGTGCCATTCAACAAGATATTCACAAGGTGTTTTGTAAACATGAGGTGATCACAGTTTTTTATGAAAGCAGTGATCTTTGGCCGCCCTATTATATCCAAGTCACTCCTTGGCAGGATTGTGGCTATGGGGCCCTTTTGAGGATCTATCAATGCTATTCACATTAGTTTTGTGTATGCAATAGCTTCTGGGTAGGACCAACACTTCTTTCTTACATTTCAGGAATTTGCCCATTTTGACAGCAAACAGGGCTGTGCACAGTAGTGATATTCAAAATAATTTAACGAGCAGTATGCCCTTCAGGACAGCAGAGAAATTGTCACAGACTAAGGTCTCCTATGCGCTTTGAGCATGGGGATGCATTACTCTCTTCACTGTGTTGGGGTATGTGGAGAGGAGCACAGATGAGGGATGTTTTTGGTTAATACAGCTCTGGACCAGTGGGAGATAGATGGAGCCAGCCTTGATCTAGAGATGTCCCAGGGTTTTCAGAGTGTAGTGACTATGGGATTTGGGGTTGTCTTCCTTGGGTAGAAGGTATGTTGTGTGTGGAAGGAGGAAAGAGGGATATTTGGTGAGCAAATACCCAAATACCCCACGTTTCCTGGCACCCTTACAGTGCTGTGAGAAACAACACTAGGTCTGCCCATTTGAGTTAGTGATGTTTTTAAAAGCTGTTGGGTGATTCTCTGTGCTCCTATTTCCCAGGCCAAAGTGGAGCTGACATTTAGGTAGTTCCTGAGTCTCTTGCCAACCTGCTTTAGGTATCCCATGAGTGAGAAATAAACTGTTGAGATAGGCCACAGATTTCAGTGTAGATTTGGTACCTGTCCTGATTGATGCACCCATCCTGCTTTTTTTGTGCATCTCTGGAGCCAATCATCAGTCTTAAAAGTTCTATCCTTTTAGTGGCCTGATGAGAAAAAACAGCTTTTTGAGTTCATATTGAGAAACACTGCCTCGCCTCCCCCACATTGTCTTTCTGTTTCTAGCCGATACTCTGTAATACTTCCATACTTCCATACTTCCTTTTTTTTTTTTTTTTTTTTTTTTTTTTTTGTCCTGGGACCCTTCTCTTTGTTCCTTACTGAGACTTAAAGGCAGCATTAAAGCTTGTTTGTGTGTTTTATTTGTATCCCATGACTCTCTGGCCTGGGTTGAAAGTCCCCACACACAGAGTTGCTAGAATGTCCTGTGATATCAGCCCTGGAAGTTGAAAATCTGTCCTGAGACTGATATGTGTCTTCAAACATGGGAGAAAGGGGTGACTGTCCCTCCACCATGCAGAGTCTGAGTGTGACAGGACCCATGAGAGGATGCTGAGTGGGTGCCAGGAGGACTCACCTCCAAGAGCAAGAGCCTGGTCCCTGTTGCACATTGATTTCAAACAGACCAACCAGCTTGGACAATTGAACTTCCCAATTGCAGTCATGATGAACTGAAGACCAGAGGACCTTCCTCCAATTTCCTGGTCCACATGAAGCGCTAGATTGTAATGTAACCCTAGATATGTTGAGGGGACTCCAAAGTAGGATTTCTCACCACACTGGTAAAATAGGGGGACTGCCTATTTTAGTCTCATTTAGGGATAAGTATAATGGCTGTTTCCTAAATTCAGAGTTCTGTAGTAAACTGATAACTAAGAGATTCTTTTCTGTCATTTTTCAAATAAAGCATTGTGACATCTGGTGAAAGAATTACTTTTTTCTTGTTTTATTGTTCAGAAGAGGTGCAAATTAATCCAGAACAGTTTGAAATGGATAAATTTTACTGCTGAGTGATGGAAAGAGACAAAAATGACAGAAACATAATTCATAGCTGCATTCCTTACAGTAAATCCAAGCACAAATAGCTCTATTGCTTAGAATCATTGCATTTAAATATAGAAAGAACAAATCTTTCATAGTCTTTTTATGGATGATAATTTTTTTCCTTTGATCCACATGGTTGGTAATGTATCAGAATAGATTGAGCAACTTAGTCCTACTAAGTAATGGCATTTTATAATTCTGGTGTTATAATATCTGACAGTATTTTATTTAGAACTTTTACGTCAATATACATC
Organism: Homo sapiens; assembly: GCF_000001405.40. NCBI lineage: Eukaryota > Metazoa > Chordata > Mammalia > Primates > Hominidae > Homo > Homo sapiens. The sequence goes on from NC_000010.11 coordinate 45,007,581, forward strand.
AACTGACATAGTTGTAAGTTTCTTTGTATGTTATCTTTGTCATAAATGTCGATTACGTCGTAGAGCATTTCAGGAACTGTGCCAAGTTCATAACACCAGGTTACTAATGTGTTATGCTACCTCCCAATTTGTCAAGAGACATCTCAGGCACAGATTTTTTGAATTCAGGAATTCAGGATGGGTATGCCAATTTAAATGAAGCTTCTGAGATGAGTAACCTTAAATCCCAGAGAGAACCTGGTTATATCTCTATGTTCAGGGCAATCTAAATGGGTCCCCTAGGATACAAGAAGCCTCTCTATTCAGTGGGATTAAAAGGCTAAATATCAGAATTTAAGCAGGTGAGTCAAAGAGGGGACAATATGATGATTCAGGGGCAAACAGTCATGAAGAGAAGTTCAGGTTCAGTGAGAAAACTGAGTCCATTCTGTGTATTCCACATAGTTTAATATAGCTAGTTAGACTTTCTGTTATGTCCATGTTTCTTCTTTGCCTGATAAGTTCACCACTTCAGTTTAACCCAGCATCTGTATTCCATTTTCTCTATTAGAATAATTGGTCTGGTTTCTCTTTTTGTGGCTAGACTTTGGCTGAAAGGACAATAATAAGAGAAATAAAACTACAAGGAGCTACTATTTCTTATGTATCAAAAGTGTAAAACCTACTCTGTTGGTAAGGCTGTGGAGAACCAGCCAAACTAAGGCTGATGGTGGGATACAAAATGTTACAACCCATACTGAGGAGGGATTTGGCAATATCTAGCAGAAGTATATATGCATTTACTCTCTGATCCAGAAATTATATTTCCAGAGTTTGTTTCCAAAGATACAGTACCAACAATATGAAACAACGTATACACATGGCTGCACATTTTTATAGAAAAAACTCATTTCCCACTAAGGCATCTGGCTCCAATGTAGTGTCATGTATTTGTTCAATAATAGGCTTTTTATGATGCTCTCATGACCTTTGCTTGTGCTGTAGTACCATACGTCATTTTCAGAAGTCAGCTTGCGTCGCTTTGTGCAGGACCCAGAGTGTAGTTTAGTAAGTGCTCTTGAGGAGATTAAGTGTCACTGCTGATGCAAACCAGCAAATTAAATTCCCAGGCTCAGTTGGAAATACTTCAGTCCAGTGAGGGCGCTGCATAAGTAGAGGAAATAGCCACATCAAAACTTCATTGTTAGAAGACACTTTTTCTATTTGACGTTACACAAAACTGTCACTAGATGGCAGCAAAGGAGAGATCATGGAAAACAGCGTGTCCTGTAGTTTCTCCACATTCAACTTGCACAGGTTGAGTGTCCCTTATCTGAAATGCTGGAGACCGGATGTGTGTCAGAATTCAGATTTTTAATTATTTTTTGGAATATTTGTATGTACATGATGAGGTATCTTGGGGATGGGACTCAAGTCTAAACATGAAGTTCATGTGTTTATTATATCCCTTGTATACATAGCCTGAAGGTAATATTTTTAATAATTCTGCACATGAAACAAAGTTTTGACTGTGACCTATCACATGAGGTCAGGTGAGGAATTTTCCACTTGTGGCGTCACATTGACATTCAAAAAGTTGGGTTTTTTTTTAATTTTATTTATTATTATTATACTTTAAGTTTTAGGGTACATGTGCACAATGTGCAGGTTAGTTACATATGTATACGTGTGCCATGCTGGTGCGCTGCACCCACTAACTCGTCATCTAGCATTAGGTATATCTCCCAATGCTATCCCTCCCCCTTCCCCCACCCCACAACAGTCCCCAGAGTGTGATGTTCCCCTTCCTGTGTCCATGTGTTCTCATTGTTTAATTCCCACCTATGAGTGAGAATATGCAGTGTTTGGTTTTTTGTTCTTGCGATAGTTTACTGAGAATGATGATTTCCAATTTCATCCATGTCTCTACAAAGGACATGAACTCATCATTTTTTATGGCTGCATAGTATTCCATGGTGTATATGTGCCACATTTTCTTAATCCAGTCTATCATTGTTGGACATTTGGGTTGGTTCCAAGTCTTTGCTATTATGAATAATGCCGCAGTAAACATACGTGTGCATGTGTCTTTATAGCAGCATGATTTATAGTCCTTTGGGTATATACCCAGTAATGGGATGGCTGGGTCAAATGGTATTTCTAGTTCTAGATCCCTGAGGAATCGCCACACTGACTTCCACAATGGTTGAACTAGTTTATAGTCCCACCAACAGTGTAAAAGAGTTCCTATTTCTCCATATCCTCTCCAGCACCTGTTGTTTCCTGACTTTTTAATGATTGCCATTCTAACTGGTGTGAGATGGTATCTCATTGTGGTTTTGATTTGCATTTCTCTGATGGCCAGTGATGGTGAGCATTTTTTCATGTGTTTTTTGGCTGCATAAATGTCTTCTTTTGAGAAGTGTCTGTTCATGTCCTTTGCCCACTTTTTGATGGGGTTGTTTGTTTTTTTCTTGTAAATTTGTTTGAGTTCATTGTAGATTCTGGATATTAGCCCTCTGTCAGATGAGTAGGTTGCAAAAATTTTCTCCCATTTTGTAGGTTGCCTGTTCACTCTGATGGTAGTTTCTTTTGCTGTGCAGAAGCTCTTTAGTTTAATTAGATCCCATTTGTCAATTTTGGCTTTTGTTGCCATTGCTTTTGGTGTTTTAGACATGAAGTCCTTGCCCATGCCTATGTCCTGAATGGTAATGCCTAGGTTTTCTTCTAGGGTTTTTATGGTTTTAGGTCTAACGTTTAAGTCTTTAATCCATCTTGAATTGATTTTTGTATAAGGTGTAAGGAAGGGATCCAGTTTCAGCTTTCTACATATGGCTAGCCAGTTTTCCCAGCACCATTTATTAAATAGGGAATCCTTTCCCCATTGCTGGTTTTTCTCAGGTTTGTCAAAGATCAGATAGTTGTAGATATGCAGCGTTATTTCTGAGGGCTCTGTTCTGTTCCATTGATCTATATCTCTGTTTTGGTACCAGTACCATGCTGTTTTGGTTACTGTAGCCTTGTAGTATAGTTTGAAGTCAGCTAGTGTGATGCCTCCAGCTTTGTTCTTTTGGCTTAGGATTGACTTGGCGATGCAGGCTCTTTTTTGGTTCCATATGAACTTTAAAGTAGTTTTTTCCAATTCTGTGAAGAAAGTCATTGGTAGCTTGATGGGGATGGCATTGAATCTATAAATTACCTTGGGCAGTATGGCCATTTTCATGATATTGATTCTTCCTACCCATGAGCATGGAATGTTCTTCCATTTGTTTGTATCCTCTTTTATTTCATTGAGCAGTGGTTTGTAGTTCTCCTTGAAGAGGTCCTTCACATCCCTTGTAAGTTGGATTCCTAGGTATTTTATTCTCTTTGAAGCAATTGTGAATGGGAGTTCACTCATGATTTGGCTCTCTGTTTGTCTGTTGTTGGTGTATAAGAATGCTTGTGATTTTTGTACATTGATTTTGTATCCTGAGACTTTGCTGAAGTTGCTTATCAGCTTAAGGAGATTTTGGGCTGAGACAATGGGGTTTTCTAGATATACAATCATGTCATCTGCAAACAGAGACAATTTGACTTCCTCTTTTCCTAATTGAATACCCTTTATTTCCTTCTCCTGCCTAATTGCCCTGGCCAGAACTTCCAACACTATGTTGAATAGGAGTGGTGAGAGAGGGCATCCCTGTCTTGTGCCAGTTTTCAAAGGGAATGCTTCCAGTTTTTGCCCATTCAGTATGATATTGGCTGTGGGTTTGTCATAGATAGCTCTTACTATTTTGAGATACGTCCCATCAATACCTAATTTATTAAGAGTTTTTAGCATGAAGCATTGTTGAATTTTGTCAAAGGCCTTTTCTGCATCTATTGAGATAATCATGTGGTTTTTGTCTTTGGTTCTGTTTATATGCTGAATTACATTTATTGATTTGGGTATATTGAACCAGCCTTGCATCCCAGTGATGAAGCCCACTTGATCATGGTGGATAAGCTTTTTGATGTGCTGCTGAATTCAGTGTGCCAGTATTTTATTGAGTATTTTTGCATCAATGTTCATCAAGGACATTGGTCTAAAATTCTCTTTTTTGCTTGTGTCTCTGCCCGACTTTGGTATCAGGATGATGCTGGCCTCATAAAATGAGTTAGGGAGGATTCCCTCTTTTTCTATTGATTGGAATAGTTTCAGAAGGAATGGTACCAGTTCCTCCTTGTACCTCTGGTAGAATTCGGCTGTGAATCCATCTGGTCCTGGACTCTTTTTGGTTGGTAAGCTATTGATTATTGCCACAATTTCAGAGCCTGTTATTGGTCTATTCAGAGACTCAACTTCTTTCTGGTTTAGTCTTGGGAGAGTGTATGTGTCGAGGAATGTATCCATTTCTTCTAGATTTTCTAGTTTATTTGCGTAGAGGTGTTTGTAGTATTCTCTGATGGTAGTTTGTATTTCTGTGGGATCGGTGGTGATATCCCCTTTGTCATTTTTTATTGCGTCTATTTGATTCTTCTTTTTTTCTTTATTAGTCTTGCTAGCAGTCTATCAATTTTGTTGATCCTTTCAAAAAACCAGCTCCTGGATTCATTAATTTTTTGAAGGGTTTTTTGTGTCTCTATGTCCTTCAGTTCTGCTCTGATTTTAGTTATTTCTTGCCTTCTGCTAGCTTTTGAATGTGTTTGCTCTTGCTTTTCTAGTTCTTTTAATTGTGATGTTAGGGTATCAATTTTGGATCTTTCCTGCTTTCTCTTGTGGGCATTTAGTGCTATAAATTTCCCTCCACACACTGCTTTGAATGCATCCCAGAGATTCTGGTATGTTGTGTCTTTGTTCTCGTTGGTTTCAAAGAACATCTTTATTTCTGCCTTCATTTCGTTATGTACCCAGTAGTCATTCAGGAGCAGGTTGTTCAGTGTCCATGTAGTTGAGCAGTTTTGAGTGAGATTCTTAATCCTGAGTTCTAGTTTGATTGCACTGTGGTCTGAGAGATAGTTCGTTATAATTTCTGTTCTTTTACATTTGCTGAGGAGAGCTTTACTTCCAACTATGTGGTCAATTTTGGAATAGGTGTGGTGTGGTGCTGAAAAAAATGTATATTCTGTTGATTTGGGACGGAGAGATCTGTAGATGTCTATTAGGTCCACTTGGTGCAGAGCTGAGTTCATTTCCTGGGTATCCTTGTTGACTTTCTGTCTCGTTGATCTGTCTAATGTTGACAGTGGGGTGTTAAAGTCTCCCATTATTAATGTGTGGGAGTCTAAGTCTCTTTGTAGGTCACTCAGGACTTGCTTTATGAATATGGGTGTTCCTGTATTGGGTGCATATATATTTAGGATAGTTAGCTCTTCTTGTTTAATTGACCCGTTTACCATTATGTAATGGTCTTCTTTGTCTCTTTTGATCTGTGTTGGTTTAAAGTCTGTTTTATCAGAGACTAGGATTGCAACCCCTGCCTTTTTTTGTTTTCCATTTGCTTGGTAGATCTGAATCCTTTTATTTTGAGCCTATGTGTGTCTCTGCACGTGAGATGTGTTTCCTGAATACAGCACACTGATGGATCTTGACTCGTTATCCAATTTGCCAGTCTGTGTCTTTTAATTGGAGCATTTAGTCCATTTACATTTAAAGTTAATATTGTTATGTGTGAATTTGATCCTGCCATTATGATGTTAGCTGGTTATTTTGCTCATTAGTTGATGCAGTTTCTTCCTAGTCTCGATGGTCTTTACATTTTGGCATGATTTTGCAGTGGCTGGTACCGGTTGTTCCTTTCCATGTTTAGCGCTTCCTTCAGGAGTTCTTTTAGGGCAGGCCTGGTGGTGACAAAATCTCTCAGCATTTTCTTGTCTGTAAAGTATTTTATTTCTCCTTCACTTATGAAGCTTAGTTTGGCTGTATATGAAATTCTGGATTGAAAATTCTTTTCTTTAAGAATGTTGAATATTGGCCCGCACTCTCTTCTGGCTTGTAGAGTTTCTGCCAAGAGATCCGCTGTTAGTCTGATGGGCTTCCCTTTGAAGGTAACCCGACCTTTCTCTCTGGCTGCCCTTAACATTTTTTCCTGCATTTCAACTTTGGTGAATCTGACAATTATGTGTCTTGGAGTTGCTCTTCTCGAGGAGTATCTTTGTGGCGTTCTCTGTATTTCCTGAATCTGAATGTTGGCCTGCCTTGCTAGATTGGGGAAGTTCTCCTGGATAATATCCTGCAGAGTGTTTTCCAACTTGGTTCCATTCTCCCCATCACTTTCAGGTACACCAATCAGACGTAGATTTGGTCTTTTCACATAGTCCCATATTTCTTGGAGGCTTTGTTCATTTCTTATTATTCTTTTTTCTCTAAACTTCCCTTCTCGCTTCATTTCATTCATTTCATCTTCCATCGCTGATACCCTTTCTTCCAGTTGATCACATCGGCTCCTGAGGCTTCTGCATTCTTCACGTAGTTCTCGAGCCTTGGTTTTCGGCTCCATCAGGTCATTTAAGCACTTCTCTGTATTGGTTATTCTAGTTATATATTCTTCTAAATTTTTTTCAAAGTTTTCAACTTCTTTGCCTTTGGTTTGAATTTCCTTCTGTAGCTCAGAGTAATTTGTTCGTCTGAAGCCTTCTTCTCTCAGCTCGTCAAAGTCATTCTCCGTCCAGCTTTGTTCTGTTCCTGGTGAGGAACTGCTTTCCTTTGGAGGAGGAGAGGCACTCTGCTTTTTAAAGTTTCCAGTTTTTCTGCTCTGTTTTTTCCCCATCTTTGTGGTTTTATCTACTTTCCGTCTTTGATGATGGTGATGTACAGATGGGTTTTTGGTGTGGATGTCCTTTCTGTTTGTTAGTTTTCCTTCTAACAGACAGGACCCTCAGCTGCAGGTCTGTTGGAGTACCCGGCCATGTGAGGTGTCAGTCTTCTCCTGCTGGGGAGTGCTTCCCAGTTAGGCTGCTCGGGGGTCAGGGGTCAGGGACCCACTTGAGGAGGCAGTCTGCCCGTTCTCAGATCTCCAGCTGCGTGCTGGGAGAACCACTGCTCTCTTCAAAGCTGTCAGACAGGGACATTTAAGTCTGCAGAGGTTACTGCTGTCTTTTTGTTTGTTTCTGCCCTGCCCCCAGAGGTGGAGCCTACAGAGGCAGGCAGGCCTCCTTGAGCTGTGGTGGGCTCCACCCAGTTCGAGCTTCCCAGCTGCCTTGTTTACCTAAGCAAGCCTGGGCAATGGTGGGTGCCCCTCCCCCAGCCTTGCTGCCGACTTGCAGTTTGATCTCAGACTGCTGTGCTAGCAATCAGCAAGACTCCGTGGGTGTAGGACCCTCCGAGCCAGGTGCAGGATATAATCTCCTGGTGCGCCGTTTTTTAAGCCCGTTGGAAAAGCGCAGTCTTAGGGTGGGAGTGACCCGATTTTCCAGGTGCCGTCTGTCACCCCTTTCTTTGACTAGGAAAGGGAACTCCCTGACCCCTTGCGCTTCCTGAGTGAGGCAATGCCTCGCCCTGCTTCGGCTCGCGCATGGTGCATACACCCACTGACCTGCACCCACTGTCTGGCACTCCCTAGTGAGATGAACCCGGTACCTCAGATGGAAATGCAGAAATCACCCATCTTCTGCATCGCTCACACTGGGAGCTGTAGACCGGAGCTGTTCCTATTCAGCCATCTTGGCTCCTCCTCTTCAAAAAGTTTCAAATACTAGATTTTCATATTAGGGATGCTCAACCTGTGTTTTCCTTTGAAAATACCATGCTCAAAATGTAGAGACTACTCCTTACAATCAACTAGGGTTCAGTTAAATGTCTGAAAATACAAGCATAATTTTAAAAGTTGAGCACACTTTAGTCAAATTACCTGAATGCCATTTCTATTTCCACTGTAACTTAGATGTTAAATAACTTACAAGACACAGGAGGACAGGCAAGTCCCTTTCTTATCCTGGTAGAAAAAGAAATTATCCAAAGTGTTTGCTAAATAAATAATAGCTATTTTCTCAGTTTCTCTCTTTTGCTCTTTTCTACAGCCAGCTCCATGAAAGATTTGTCTACATTTATCTTCCCTGTTTCCTTACCTGGCAGTCTCCCCTTAGTCTATTTCCATCAAGTTTTAATCCATCACTGTGCTTAAAAACACTCTCTCCAAGGAGTCTCCATGAAAATCTGTGCAGAATAGGTGCCCAGACTCTGAGAGGATGGCTAGAATGCAAGGCCAGACCCTTTGGGAATGAAATGCAGCTGTAGAGACTGATGCAGGAGCTGCAGAGTTGGGAGAACAGCTTACTTTTCATAGATAAGCTGTTTGAACTTCTTATCGTGTGCAGACATTCTATTTACAGTTGAAATGTAAATTAAAAGTAAATTACATTCCAGTAGCAAAACGGAGATTGGGAACAGCCTAGGGAAACAGGAAAGGGGGTCCCAGAATAACACTTAGGTCCTTTCTCACCTTTGCCTGGTAGATGAGAAGTCATCACTGAGAAGTCAGTTGTGAGCACTGAATTTCATAAAGCGACCATCTCATCTAGTACTTATTCTAATCCTCCTGGTGCTTTTCTTCTCCCCTCTTCCAAAAGGCTGAGCTGTACCACAGAGCCTACACATGTGAACCTCTTCGTGGTCAGCAGTTGAGTACGTCTCTGGTGGGATGTAGAATCTGAAAGGCAGTGTGATGTAAGAGAATAATCTCTGAATTGGAGTCATTAGTCCTGAGTTTTAGATCCAGTTCTGCTATGGAAAATCTATGTGCCTTTAGGCAAGTCATTTTTTCTCTCTGGTCTTAATACCAGATGAAGCCAAAGCTGGCAATTAAACTTGTTTCAGTTATGATCCTATGGCTTCAAGGTGCTGAAACCAACATTCATTAACTAAAGCAAAATAAAGAGAAGTAAAAAAAGATGACTGAAGAAAGAGTTGAACCACCGGGACTTAGGAAGGGTAGCCAGGGCAGCCCCAGGTATCTCGAGTTTATGAATGGGCCTTCAGGGGACTACCATTAGAAGTTCTCAGCTCTAGCTACAACCTGCCCATAGCTGTAATGACAGGGCTCCTTCCTGTCTTTAATGTGTGTGTTTTGTAGGGGGAGGAGTAATGTTATTTCTAATGATAAGAAAGAAAGTAGGAAAGAAAGGAAAGAAAGGAGGGAGGAAGAAGAGAAAAGACAAAACAGAAAAGAGATGGAATTTATATTCTTGAAACTTATTAGCTCTGGAGGCAATTTCTAAATTTACAAATTAGTATTCTAACAATATTTTGAGCAATCGCAGCATTGCAATGAACATACAACTTTCACATATGACTACTTTGAAAAAACAATAATTTGTCAAATATGTAAGTCTTGGTAGTATGTTTTGTTATGTAAGTCTTGGTAGTATGTTTTATATCCATTATTGCAAAAAATACTAATAAATGTTTATATTATTGAGTCAGGTCTTCTAAGGACTTCCAGTAAGTGAATCCTATCTACTTAGAAGCAATAAAACACAAAATTATAGGCATACCTCAGAGATACTGCAAATTTGGTTCTGGACTACAGCAAAAAAGTGATATCTCAGTAAAGTGAGTCAAACAATAAAAAATAAATTGTTTTATTTCCCAGTGCATTTAAAAGTTACGTTTACACTATACTGTAGTCAAGTGTGCAAGGGCAAGATGTCTACAAAACAATGGGTATACTTTAATTAAAAATACCTTATGGCTAAAAAAATGCTGAAGATGATCTGAGCCTTCACAGACTCAATCTTTTTGCTAAAGGACGGCCTTGCCTTGATGTTGATGGCTACTGACTGATCAGGATAGTGGTTGCTTAAGGTTGGGGTGGCTATGGCAAATTCTTAGTGAAGTTTACCACATGAATTGACTCTTTCATGAAAGATTTCTCTGTAGCATATGGTGCTGTTTGATAGCGTTTTACCCACAATATAACTTTTTTCAAAATTGGAGTCAGTCTTCTCAAACCTTGATGCTGCTTTACCGACTAAGTTTATGGAATATTCTAAATCCTTTGTGGTAATTTCAACAATGTTCACAGCATCTTCACTAGGAGTAGATTTCATCTCAAGAAACCACTTTCTTTGCTCATCTATAAAACACAACTCCTCACGCATTCAAGTCTTATCATGAGATTGCAGCAATTTAGTCACATGTTGAGGCTCCACTTCTCATTCTAGTTCTCTCACTATTTCCACCACATCTGCAGTGCCATCCTCCACTGAAATCCTGAACTTCTTAAAGTCACCCATGAGGATAGGAATCAACTTCTTCCAAAGTTGATATTTTGATCTTCTCTCATGAATAATAAATGTTTTTAATGGCATCTAGAATGGCGAATACCTTCCAGAAGGTTTTCACTTTATATTGCCCTGATCTGTCAGAGGAATCAATATGGAAACTACAGACAAAATATATTTCTTAAATAATAAGATTAGCAAATCAAAATTACTCCTTGATCCATGAGCTACAGAGTGGATGTTTTATTAGCAGTTGTGAAAACAACATTAATCTCCTTGTACATCTCCATTAGAGCTTTTGGGTGACCAGGTACATTGTCAATGAATAGTAATATTTTAAAAGGAATCTTTTTTCTGAGCATTAGGTTTCAACAGTTGGCTTAAAATATTGAGTAAACCATACTTTAAAAAGATGAACTGTCATCCAGATTTTGTTCAATTTACAGAACAGAGTCAGTAGAATTAGTATAATTCATAACAGCCTTGGGATTTTCAGAGTGGTAAATGAGCACTGGCTTTAACTTAAAGTCACCAGCTGCATTAGCCCCTAACAAGAGAGTCAGCCTGTCCTTTGATGTTTGAAGCCAGGCATTGACTTCTCCTCTCTAGTTATGAAAGTCCTAGCTAGATGGTGTCTTCTCCCAACAGAAGACCATTTCATCTACATTGAAAATCTGTTGTTTAGTGTGGCCACCTTCATCAGTGATCTTAGCTAGATCTTCTGGATAACTTGCTGCATCTTCTTCATCAGCACTTGCTGCTTCACCTTGCACTTTTATGTTATAGAGATGGCCCATTCCTTTAAACTTCATGAACCAACTTCTGCTGGCTTCCAACTTTTCTTCTGCAGCTTCTTCACCTCTCTCAGCCTTCATGGAATTGAAGAGAGTTAGGCCCTTGCTCTGGATTACGCTTTGGCTTAAGGAATGTTGTGGCTGTTTTGACCTTCTATTCAGACCACTAAAACTTTCTTCATATCAGCCATAAGGTTGTTTCAGTTTCCTGTCATTTATATGTTCACTGAATCCATGAATGATGATTTTTTAAAAAAACATTAATTTCCGGCTGGATGCGGTGGCTCACGCCTGTAATCCCAGCACTTTGGGAGGCTGAGGCAGGTGGATCACCCAAAGTCAGGAATTCGAGACCAGCCTGACCAATATGGTGAAACCCCGTCTCTACTAAAAACACAAAAATTAGCCAGGTGTGGTGGTGGGCACCTGCAGTCCCAGCTACTCAGGAGGCTGAGACAGGAGAATTGCTTGAACCCAGGAGGCAGAGGTTGCAGTAAACTGAGATCGCGCCACTGTGCTCTAGCCTGGGCGACAAAGTGAGACTCCATCTCAAAAAAAAAAAAAAAGAAAAAGAAAAAAATTAATTTCCTCAAGAACATTTTCTTTGCATTTACAACTTGGCTCACTGTCTGCGTAGCTTTTGACATGCCTTCCCCACTAAGCTTAACCATTTCTAGCTTTTGATTTAAGATGAGAGACATGCAACTCTTCCTTTCACTTGAACACTTAGAGGCCATTGTAGGATTATTGACTGGCCTAATTTCAGTATTGTTGTGTTTGAGATATTGTGAGAATTACCAAAATGCGAATGAAGTGAGCACGTGCTGTTAGAAAAATGGTGCCAATAGACTTGCTGCATACAGGATTGCCACAAACCTTCCATTTGTAAGCAATGCAATATCTGCAAAGTGCAATAAAGGGAGGCAGTAAAATGAGGTCTGCCTGCATTTAAATTGCTTTTTACTTCACACTTACTTGAGAAAAGTTCCTCACCGGCAATTTTCCCTTTAAAAAAATCTTGATTTAACTCAAGTACTGGTTTTAAACTTTATACTTCATAGCAGAATTATTAAGCCATATTTTCTAACTTAGCTTTCAGATTGCTTATATCTACTATGACTACATTATTTTGTTCTCTTTCCTGTGCTCCAATAAAAAGTGTGTATTCTTACCTAGATGTGTATAAACTTTTAATTAGCATGTAATTAGGAGAAAAAGTTCTCATATTAATATTCTGATATTTATTGAAATATATATAAATTTCTTTTAATCCTATTATACTCATCTTTTTAAATATTACTACTGTTTTATTACATAATATTAACTCTCCTCTTTTAAGTACTTTATGAACTCATGACCTTTCACTGGCTTAAGCTCTTCTAATTAAACATAATTATGATTGTGGTCTTTGATTCTCACTAGTAGGAGCAGATCGCCTTGACATCTTGAGAGCATCCCCATTTTCTGTTACTAGTAAGTCCAGACCCATGGTGATTTTTCCTGAGCCGTGGAATCAGTTGTCCTCCAAGAGGTGATGGTTCCTTTTCCTGGAAAATAATCTTGGAGATGCAAATCTGGTTACTGTGCATGGGCATGAGAGTCACAAAGTGGGAAAAATCATGCTTTTTAAGGTTATGTGTTTGCACTGGCTTGTCTTTTCTTTTTCATTTCAAAAAGTTATGTAGCCATGTCCCACTAGACTCCAGGTTTTGTCTATCTCCACAACTTTATACTATGCAGACACCAGGCTGCTACTCAGCTGTGATGTGACTTGCTACTCAGCTCTGATGTGACTCTGGATGGGCGGCCAGCACTCCACTTTGTGTCTTTAATCAGCGAACACTGATGGGCTCCATGCCAATAGTGCCAGTGGGGGACTCAGTGGGCCCCAGCTATGCAAAAAGGGAGCCACAAAACCAAATCATGCCTAAGATGGGGATACATGCAGAACGGAGACATGCACTGGCCCCAGCACAGCACCAAGGATGAGAGAACCTCCTCTGGTTGGGTGGGCCAGGAAGGATTTGCCAGTTCAGAGGAGATGAGGATGAGGAGGTAGAGAAGGCACCAATCATGGAGGGTGTGAATGACCAGCTAAGAAGTGTGACCAATGTTCCTGAAGTCATTCTGGTATTACCAGAGGGCTTTAAGTAGGGGCAATATAGAGTCAGATTTTTATTTTTATTTTTATTTTTATTTTACTTTATTTTATTTTAAATTTGAGATAGAGCCTCACTCTGTCACCCTGACTGGAGTGCAGGGGCACCATCTCGGTTCAATGCAACCTCTGCCTCCCCGGTTCAAGCAACTCTCCTGCCTCCACCTCCCAAGTAACTGGGGTTACAGGTGCCTGCCACCACGCCCAGCTCATTTTGTATTTTTAGTAGAGATGGGGTTTCACCCTGTGGGCCAGGCTGGTCTCAAACTCCAGACCTCAAGTGATCCACCCACCTTGGGCCTCCCAAAGTGCTGGGATTACAGACCTGAGCCACTGCGCCTGGCCAGATTTGCATTTTTAATGGATCTTTCTGGCAGCCATGTAGAAGAATGTCTCAAGTATATATGCTATTGCACGTTACACAGATTCTTTTCAGTTTCCTCTTCTCCATTTTCTGATGCTGAGGGTATGTTATTCCAAATAATACCACTTGACAATCATATATTCTTTTATTTCCTTTCTGAAATTCAAGGGAAATTGAGTGGCTTAGGCCTTTCCTTTCCAGAGCTGGCCTTTTAAACCTCCAGAGCTCCAAAGCCAAGGCAAAGTTTATGTAGTGGATTGAAAGACTTACTTATCTTCTATCAACATTTATTATTTTGATAATTAATTAATGCCTCACATGGTCCTAGAAAAAAATTATAGTAAGTTTCCAAAATGTGCAACAACAACACTCAGAATGGTCATGCTTCATAGTGGTTGTGATGGTTAATTGTACTTGTTGACTTGACTGGGTTAAATAATATGCACGTAGTGGATAAATCATTATTTCTGGATGTGTATGTGGGGAAGAGATTGGCATTTGCATCTGTAGACAGAATAAAGAAGATAAGCCCTCACCAATGTAGATGAGCATCATCCAATCCCTTGAGAGTTGGGATAAAACAAAAAGGCAGAGGAAAGGTGAATTCACTCTCCTCTGGAGCTGGGAAATCCATTTTCTCCTGCCCTTAGGCTCTGATACTATTGGTTCTTGAGCCTTCATATTTGGAGGCTGACACCAGCAGCCCCCTAGGTTCTCAGACCTTTGGAGTCAAATGGAATTATACCACCTGCTTTTCTGGTTCTTGAGCTTGCAAATGGCAGATCGTGGGACTTCTTGGCCTCCATAATCATGTGAACCAATTTCCATGATATAGGCTGGGCGTCTCCTTTTATAGGCTGGGCGTGGTGGCTCACTCCTGTAATCCCAGCACTTTGGGAGGCCAAGGCAGATGAATCACCTGAGGTCAGGAGTTTGAGACCAGCCTGATCAACATGGTGAAATCTCCATCTCTACTAAAAATACAAAAATTAGCCATTCATGGTGGCGCATGCCTGTAATCCTAGCTTCTAGGGTGGCTGAGGCAGGAGAATTGCTTGAACCCAGGGGGCAGAGGTTGCAGTGAGCTGAGATTACACCACTGCACTCCAGCCTGGGTGACAGAGGGAGACTCTGTCTCAAAAAATAAAATAAAATAAATCTCCTTTTATGCATCTATACATATCTGACTGATTCTGCTTCTCTGGAGAGCCCTGACTACTAGAGCAGTCTCTAAAAGAGCTTATTTCAACTGCCCACTGATATCTTCCTGAACACACAGGTGAGAATACAAACCCATGCTCTCACTAAAACCTCAGAATGATAGACAACCTATTAACAAATAAGCCTAGATTAAGGAATACAGTCCAGACTTTGTTACATGGAAGGCTCAGGCTTTGATTGATGAAACAAAGGTGACATAAAAACAGCAGAAAAACACTTAGGTCCTGTATTAGTTTTCTAGCCCTGCTATATAGCAAAGTAACACAAACTGGGTGGCTTTCAATAACAGAAATTTGTCTTCTTACAGTTCTGGGTGTTAGAAGTCTGAAATCAAAGTGTACACCGGGCCATGTACTCCTTGTGGGGTCTGGAGGAGAATAATCTGTTCCATGCCTTTCTCTTAGGTTTTGTTGCTGCTGGCTATCTTTAACATTCCTTGGCTTATAGACACATTGTTCCAATCTCTGCCTCCATCTTCGCAAAGCCTTCTCCCTGGTGTGTCTCAGTGTCTGTGCCTCTTCTCTTCTTATAACAATACCAGTTAGAATGGATTAAGGGCCCACTTATTCCAATAAGACCTCATTTTAACCGTAAGTACATTTTCAATGGTCCTATTTCCAAATAAGGTCACATTCTAAAATTCAGGAAGGACATGAATTTTGGGGAGACACTATCTAACCCAGTACAGGTTCTATCTCTTGGCCTGCTCCTGTGATTCAAGATCAGTGAGAAAACAAGGTACCACCAACTAAGTAGCTTAAAACAACATAGGTCTGTTGGTCAAAATTCTGGATGGGCTCAACAGAGTTTTCTGCTTAGGATCTCACAAGACCAAAATCAAGGTTTAGGCTGGGCTCTCATCAGGAGGCTCTGGGCAAGAAGGTGCTTCCAGGTCATCTAGGTTGCTGGCAAATAATACAGAGTAGTAAAAAGGAATTATCCTGGCATTAGAAAGGAAGAATATACTTGGCTTGGCTTGGATGCTACCAAAAACAGTGACTAAGCAAGAATATATATATAGGATAATTTATTTGGGAGAAAATCTCAGAGAATGGAAGGGAGGCCCCTGGGAAAGTGATAAAAGGAAGAAAGACTGAGAGCAACTGGAACTTAATTCCATCAGGACATTCAAAGGAGCCTATAGAGTGTCTCTCCCATTTGTCTATCCAAGGACCCACAGGGAGCAGCCTTTATCCATTGGCTCTGATAGGGCCGCTGCCCAGGACACTAAATCCCCCACATACTTCCAGATTGTGATGGTTCTTGTGTGCTGGAGAGAGGGCTGCAGTCTATGATGACAAAGACATCCAAAAATGAAAGTAAAGGATGTGCAAGGCATATTTGGAGCAAGACGCTTGTGGTGTGAGGTGAGTCAAAGCCCATGCTAAGTTGTTTGCCTCAGTCACTGCTGGAATCAGAAGCAAGACTGAGAGGATGGGAGTTTGGCACCAGACCTGGTATAATACTTCTGAAAACTATCTACTGAAATGCAGCAAAATGCTTCTCATCCTCACAAATATGAGAGAAGCCAAGTTCAGAAAGCAAAAAGACAAAATAAGAAAACAGTTGGATTAGGAAAGATTGCAAGAAATCTAAAATTGAAATCTAGGCAATTGAAATCCACACTGAAAGCAGCAGAGACCAACGCAGATATTTTAGACAACAAAATGATGTAAAAGAGAGATCAGGAGACACATCCAGAGTGTAGAGAAAAAGAACATAGAAATAAAAATGAGGCCGGGCACAGTGGCTCACACCTGTAATCCCAACATTTTGGGAGGCCGAGGAGGGTGGATCACTTGAGGTCAGGAGTTCCAGACCAGCCTGGCCAACATGATGAAACCCTGCCTCTACTAAAAATACAAAAAATTAGACAGGCGTGGTGGCATGCACTTGTAATCCCAGATACTTAGGAGGCTGATGCCAGGAGAATTGCTTGAACCCGGAAGTTGGAGGTTGCAGTGAGCTGAGTTGGCACTACTGCACTCCAGCCTGTGCAACAGAGCAAGACTCCATCTCAAAAAAAAAAAAAAAAGAAAAAAGAAAAAAAGAAAGAAAGAAAGAAAAGTGAGAATTACAATGGACAGAGTTCAGCTCTCGAGTCTCTGGCTAGCATGATGGGGAATGCACTTGGTGTATTGGAATCAAGAGGAAGGAGCATCCCAGCCTCTGATGACCAAGAGTTTTCTGAATTCAGAGGCTGTATTAGTTATGTGTTGCTGCATAACAAATAACTACAAACTTAGCAGTTTAGAACAACATACACTTATTATCTTATCGTTTCTATGAGTCAAGAGTTCAGGCATAGCTTCTTGGGGTCCTATGCTTCCTGGCTTCCCACCAGGCTGCAATCAAGATGTTGGCTGGCATTGTGGAAAACCGTGTGGAGGTTTCTCAAAAAACTAAAACTACCAAACAATCCAACAATCTCACTACTGAGTGTTTTCCAAAGGAAATGAAATCAGTATATCAAAGGCATACTTGCACCCCCATAACACTATTCACAATAACTAAGATATGGAATCAACATAAATGTCCATCAACAGATGAATGGATTAAAAAAATTTGGTGTGTATACACGATAGAATACTACTCAGCCATAAAAAATGAAATCCTGTGCTGGGCACGGTGGCTCATGCCTGTAAGCCCAGCACTCTGGGAAGCTGAGGTTAGAGGATTGCTTGAGAGTTCAAGACCAGCCTGGGCAACATAGTGAGACCCTGTCTCTAGGAAAAATACAAAAAAGCAACGGGGCATGGTGGCACATGCCTGTAATTCCAGCTACTCAAGGAGGCTGAGACAGGGCGATCACTTGAGCCCAGTAGTTCGAGGCTGCAGTGAGCTATGATCATGCCACCATACTCCAGCCTGGGTGACAGAGACCTTGTCTCAAAAAAAAATATGAAATAAAAACTTGTCATTCATGGCAACGTGGATGGAGCTGGAGGATGTTATGTTAAGCAAAATAAGTCAGGCACAGAAAGATAAATACTGAATGTTTTCATTCATATGTAGGAGCTAAATAAAAACCAAACTCATGGAAGTAGAGAGTAGCATTGTGGGTATTAGAGGCTGGAAAGGGTAGAAGGGAGGGGAGATAAGGAGAAGGCTAACTGATACAAAGTTACAGCTAAAGAGAAAGAACAAGTTCTAGTGTTCTGTAGCACTGTAGCATGAATATGGTTAATTATAATTTGTTGTGTATTTTCAGAAAACTAGAAGAGTGAATTTTGAATGTTCACAACAGAAAGAAATGATGTGTTTGAGGTAATGGATATACCAATTACCCTGATTTTGTAATTACACATTGTATACATACATCAAAATATTATTCTGCATTCTATAAATATGTATGGCTTCTATGTGTCAACTAAAAAGAAAAAGAAAACAATTGGGGAGAAAAAAGATGGTGGCTGGGGCTGCAATTTCATCTCAAGGCTTGACTGGGGAAGGATGTTCTTCCACAATTATGTGGTTATTGGCAGAATTCAGTTTCTTGTGTTCTATTGACTGAGGGACTTTATTTCCTTCTCGTGGTTGGCTAGAAGCTTCTCATAGTTCTTTACTATGTGGGCCTGCCTCCTCATATAGCAGCTCATAGGATAGCAATTTGTTTCACCAAAGCCAGCAAGAGACAGTCTGCTAGCAAGGTAGAAGTTACAATCGTATGTAACATAATCATAGAGGTGATATTCCATTATGCCTGCTATGTTCTATTGGTTAGAATTAACTTAGATCTCCCCCTCCATCAACACTCAAGGGAGGGAACCACACAGGATGTGAACATTAGGAGGCAGAGATGACTAGGGACCATCTTGAAG
The DNA here is from genome assembly GCF_000001405.40 of Homo sapiens. Taxonomy (NCBI): domain Eukaryota; kingdom Metazoa; phylum Chordata; class Mammalia; order Primates; family Hominidae; genus Homo; species Homo sapiens. The sequence goes on from NC_000010.11 coordinate 45,026,100, forward strand.
CCCACACAGCACAGGAGCAGAGGAAGGGTATTCCAGAGATTGCAGTTTGTACAAAGATATGAAAGTGTGAGATAGAATGTCACATTTAGGAACTTGCCAGGGGTTAGCATAGCTGGAGAATAGAACACAAAGTAGAGATTAGTAGAACTAGAAATACCATTTGACCCAGCCATCCCATTACTGGGTATATACCCAAAGGACTATAAATCATGCTGCTATAAAGACACATGCACTCGTATGTTTATTGTGGCACTATTCACAATAGCAAAGACTTGGAACCAACCCAAATGTCCAACAATGATAGACTGGATTAAGAAAATGTGACACATATACACCATGGAATACTATGCAGCCATAAAAAATGATGAGTTCATGTCCTTTGTAGGGACATGGATGAAATTGGAAATCATCATTCTCAGTAAACTATCGCAAGAACAAAAAACCAAACACCGCATATTCTCACTCATAGGTGGGAATTGAACAATGAGATCACATGGACACAGGAAGGGGAACATCACACTCTGGGGACTGTTGTGGGGTAGGGGGAGGGGGGAGGGATAGCATTGGGAGATATACCTAGTGCTAGATGACAAGTTAGTGGGTGCAGCGCACCAGCATGGCACATGTATACATATGTAACTAACCTGCACAATGTGCACATGTACCCTAAAACTTAAAGTATAATAATAAAAGAAAAAAAAGAAAAAAAAATCTGAACTAAGCAGGGACCACATCTTTGTGGGCTTTTTATGCCAAGCAAGGCTCTAGATTATGTTACTAGATCATGTGTTGGCTGGATTATATTGGTGGTCAGAACATTACATGGGCTGTTGGTTGCTAAATTCAGGACCACCACTAGTTTCATTGTTTTTGTATGAATAAGAAAGGAATCCTTTCCTCCAAGTTAACAGGACCCTGCTGCAGGACATATAACATGTAATGTGGAGGAGAAGTGAGGTTTCAGCCCCCTTCATCCTTCCACTGATGAGTGCACAAGTAGAGTGCAGAGCAACAACCTTGCAGGTGCCAATTGAAAGAGTGCAGCATTTTTTTTTTCAGAGAGAAATGATATGGGCCTGATTAATGAGGCCAGTGGTTGTGATGATAGAAGAGGGGAGCAACAAAAGTGATTTCTTTAAAAAAAAAAAAAAAAAGCAAGAATCACACAGACTCAGCAATGGCTAGGTATGAGGAATGAGAGAAGGGAAAGGCACTAGAATGATTTTTTTTACATCTCTGGCTTGGACAACCTATTGAAATGTGACATTGCTAATTAAGATAAAGCAATATGTTAGGAGAAGGATATTGGGGACAAAGGAGCTGTATCAGTGAAAGTCACAGCAGGAAACAGATGGTATGTTCCAATTAGGATTTTCTGTAGAGGATTTATTAAAGAAACTATCTCTTATAGAGAAAATTATTAAAGTTATGGGCAAGATGTGGGAAAATCACAAGAAACAGTGCAGCACCCTGGGGCTAGTAGCAGTGGGGCTGGAACCACCCTTAGGCTTAAAGAGGGGAGAAGAGGGGAAGGAATGATTGTCATAGTGGGAAGGATAATTGTATGGTGAGGGTGACCATTGAGAGGAGCTAGGGCACTTGATGGAGGCATCCAGCCTCCATTCCTCTGAAATGACACAGTAGGGAGGAAGCTGTTAGAATAAATACCCTGACTTCACTCTCCTTCCAACCTCCAATTTGTCAGGGTACCCCCAAATGGAAGAACAGAGAACAAAGAACTCCTATTGGTGTAGTCCTTCCAGGGAAGAACCCAGAGAATGATATATATGAATTAAGCAAAAAACTGCCAAAATATTTTATTATTTTTAAAATATCTGTAGTATTTGGAATGATGTCCCTTTTTTCATTCCTGTTATTTGTAATTTTTGTTTTTTTCTTTATCAGTCTTGCTATCATATCAATTCTAACATCAATTCTATTAACATATAAAAAAAGTCATTTTATTGAAATTGTTGTTTTCTATTTTCATTTTTTTTTTAATGTCATGGAATTCTGCTATTTTCTTTATGTTTTCATTAGCCTTTCAAAAGTTTGATTTACTTTCTTTTTCTAGCTTATTTAGAGGAAAGTTAAAAAATAACATTTCAGATATACTTTTTCCTCTAAGTATGCATTTAAGGCCAAAAATTTTCCTCTATGAACTATGCTTAGAGTATGTACTTTGAATAATTTTGATTATTTTGTATTGAGATTTACTTTGTACTCAAAATATGGCCAGTTTTGGTGAATGTTCCATGTACACTTGAAAGATTTTGTATTTTGATGTTGTTGGATTCTATGCACATCAATTGGGTCACATTTCTCAGTTAAGCTCTTCAGAATGTTTATCTTTACTATATATCCTTTTTAGATTATATTATTGGTTATTGAGAGGCGTATTATAGTCTCCTACTTTAATTGTGTTTTTTCTGTTTCTTCTTCTATTTTGTCAATTTTTGTTTTTTATATTTAGAAACTATATTATTTGGTGCATACACATTGAGAATTGTTATATCTTCCTGGTAAATTGATTCCTTCCTAATTATGAAATATTCCTTTTTCTCTAGTGACTTTTCCTGCCTTAAAGCCTACTTTGCCATTAATTTCTATATCAGTTTCCCTTTTTCACTGTTTTCTTAATACCTTTTCCCACAATTTTGCTTTTAAACTTTGTGTCCTTAACAAGTTGTTTACTTGTAATAGCATATAGGTGAATTAGTCTTCTACTTTTCTAATTCAGTTTGTCTATTTATTGACACAATTACATTATTTATATTTAACATAGTTACAGAGATAAATGTGTTTATATATACCGTCTTTTTTCTTTATATGGATTAACTTTTTTCTATTTGATATATTTCTTTTCCTTTCTTCTCTTTTTTTGGGGGAGAAGGATTTAATTTTATATATACTATATATAAACATCTAATATGTATAATATTCAATAATTAATTACATAAATATACATATTAGATGTTTATATACAGTATACATATTACATATTAGATATTTATATATTAGATATTTATATATTATATGTAATGTTACATATTAGATATTTATATATTAGATATGTATATATTATAGCTAATATTACTTATTAGATATGTATATATTATAGCTAATATTACTTATTAGATATGTATATATTATAGCTAATATTAGATATTAGAATTATCTAATATTACTTATTAGATATTTATATATCTAATATATATTTATATATCTAATATTTTGTATTCGATATTTATATAATCTATTCAAATGTACCATATATTATTTAATTATATAATTTTTATATATAGTATATTTAAATATACTATATATATTTTAAAATATATGAATGTACTATATATTATTTAATTATATGGTTATTATATATAGTAATTATATAATTACTATATATTTACCATACAGTACTATATATTATTTACTATATATTATTTTAATTATGTTATCATACATTAATTATATTAATACTAATTATTATCAATTACTAAATGTTACTTAATATTACAAATATTATATAAATATATATATCTTAACTTGTTAGCCATACAATATTTTACCCTTTTAGTTGTTACTCTAATAATTATGTGTATCTTAGGTATTTGCAGTCCAATATAATCACTTTTATTATTTCCCTGATAATACCAATGCCTTAGAACAATTTCACTTCTTTTATCATCTGCATGCCTTTTATCTTAAGTTTGGCATGCATCTTAATTCTATATGTATTTTAAATTGCATAAGAAACTGTTATTATTGTTTGTACAGGCAATATTCAGTCACTTATATTTTCTTATATGTTCCTTTATTCCCTCCTGCATTTCTACATTTCCATCTAGCATCACTTTTCTTCTGCCTAGACAACTCCCTTTAGTGTTTCTTTTAATGAAGTTACTTGGCAATAGAGTTACTCAATGTTTTTTGCAAAGTATCTTATCAAAATATTTTATCTTTGTTTTTGAAGAATATATTTCTTGGTATAGAATTCTCAGTTGACAGTTAATTTTATTTCAACACTTTAAATATTGTTTTCTTATAGTCTACCTTCTCTTGTTTCTATTGAGAATTTGACTTCAGTTTTATTGCCACTAATTTAAATTATTTTCTCTGGTTGTTCTTAGAATTAACTGTCTTGATTTTCAGAAGTTTTACTATGATATATTTAGGTATGGTTTTGTTTGTATTTAACATATTCGTCATTCACAGAGCTTCTTGCATCTGCGGACCGAAGTCTTTTTCTTAGTTCTGGATAGTTCTTGACCACTATTTTTCAAATATTTCTTCTGCCCCATTCTGTTTTCTTATATGTCTCCAGTTATAGATGCATTTTTCACTGTGTACCTCATGACTCTTACACTTCTTTGTTCTTTTTATTTTTTTATCTCTCTGTGCTTTCATTTGGATATTTTTTATTGAGCTGTCTTCTAGTTTACAAATTGTTTCTTCTGTTGTTTCTAATCTGCTTGTTAAATCTATTCTTTTCAGTTATTCATTTTGAATATTTTTCTACTGCAGAATTTCAACTAGATTCTTTTTATTAAATTCAAATTATCTGGTGAAATTGTTCTCCATTGTTTCCTCCACCTTCTCCTCTATATCTTGGATATGTTAATCTTTTTAAATAACTCATTTTAAGCCCTTATCTGCTAACCTCAATATCTGAATCACCTGTAAGTCCTTTTATTTTTAATTTTTATATTTTATATTTATATTCCCTCCTGCATTTCTGCATTTCCATCTAGCATCATTTTTCTTTAATTTTTTTTTTTTTGAGACAGGGTCTCACTTTGTCACCCAGGCTGGAATGCAGTAGCACAATCACAGCTCACTGCAGCCTTGACCTCCCAAATTCAAGAAATCCTCCCACCTCAGCCTCCCAGGTAGCTAGGACCATAGGAACACATCACCAAACCTGCCTTTTGTTTGTTTGTTTGTTTTTTTGGTAGAGACAGAGGCTCATTATGTTACCTAGTCTGGGAGTTGGCTGATCACTTTATTTTCATCAGGAATTGTGTTGTGTTGAGTCAAATGTGATTGCAGCTTCAGAAAGGCTCCATCTGCCTCTGGCTCATCCATGTTCTTAGGGTACAGTTGTTTAGTGATTCTAACTAAAAGCCTAGCATATTCACCTGGGCCCCTTCTCTTGGAGGTTCCTGAACTCCCTTGTTTCCTCAACTAGCCATGATGGCTAAACATGCTTTACCACTCTCCAGGTGCTTTTCCCCCCACACTCCCACCCCCCAGCTGTGCCCCCACTTGCCTTCTTTTCTGTGAAGCTTTAGGACTCAGCAAATGTCTTAAAGGGAAACTTGTCCATGTATCTGGCTTAGGATTTTTTTTTCTTTTCTTCTCATTAAGATCTTGTTTCTTCCAATCTCTAATTTCTCTTCTTCAACTCCAGAAGATTTCTAGAGTTTCCACTGGTTTCTTTGCTTCCCACTAATGATCCTCTACCTAACCAGATTCTTAGCCTCTTTTCTCTGCACTAGGAGTCTATCAGGTGAAATTCACCCCTGATATTTCATGTAGGTTCTTTTCTATTTTCCTTAAGTGTCAGGCAGTCTGAGAAATAAAGGGACAGAGTACAAAAGAGAGAAATTTTAAAGCTGGGTGTCCAGGGGAGACATCACATGTGAGCAGGTTCCATGATGCCCCCTGAGCCGTAAAACCAGCAAGTTTTTATTAGTGATTTCAAAAGGGGAGGGAGAGTACGAATAGGGTGTGGGTCACAGAGATCACATGTTTCACAAGGTAATAAGATATCACAAGGTAAATGGAGGCAGGGCGAGATCACAGGACCACAGGACCGTGGTGAAATTAAAATTGTAATGACGTTTCGGGCAACCATTGTCATTGATAACATCTTATCAGGAAACAGAGTTTGAGAGCAGACGACCGGTCTGACCAAAATTTATTAGGTGGGAATTTTCTCATCCTAATAAGCCTGGGAGCGCTATGGGAAACTGGGGCTTATTTCATCCCACTGCTACAACCGTAAAAGACAGCCACCCCAAAGCAGCCATTTTAGAGGCCTCCCCTCAGGGACACATTCTCTTTCTCAGGGATGTTCCTTGCTGAGAAAAAGAATTCAGCGATATTTCTCCCATTTGCTTTTGAAAGAAGAGAAATATGGCTCTGTTCCACCTGGCTCACCGGCAGTCAGAGTTTAAGGTTATCTCTCTTGTTCCCTGAACATTGCTGTTATCCTGTTCTTTTTTCAAGGTGCCCAGATTTCATATTGTTCAAACACACATGCTCTACAAACAATTTGTGCAGTTAACGCAATCATCACAGGGTCCTGAGGAGACATACATCCTCCTCAGCTTGCAAAGATGATGGGATTAAGAGATTAAAGTAAAGACAGGCATAGGAAATCATAAAGATATTGATTGGGGAAGTGACAAGTGTCCATGAAATCTTCACAATTTATGTTCAGAGATTGCAGTAAAGACAGGCATAAGAAATTATAAAAGTATTAATTTAGGGAACTAATAAATGTCCATGAAATCTTCACAATTTATGTTCTTCTGCCATGGCTTCAGCCGGTCCCTCCGTTCAGGGTCCCTGACTTCCCACAATGGGAGTCAGCAAATGCTTCTAGGGAAAAATGTGACTGCAAAGCATCATCTAATCAATCCATGATTTCTCTCCTCTGTGTAAAATATTGGTGCTTCTAGTCCTGGTTAATTCAACAACTCCCCAGTGCCTTTAATTTTTTTTTTTTTTTTTTTTTTGAGATGGAATCTCACTGTGTCACCCAGGCTGGAGTGTAGTAGTGCGATCTGGGCTCACTGCAAGCTCTGCCTCCCGGGTTCACACCATTCTCCTGCCTCAGCCTCCTGAGTAGCTGGGACTACAGGTGCCCGCCACCATACCCAGCTAATTTTTTTGTATTTTTTTTTTTTTTTTTTTTTTTTTTTTGAGACGGAGTCTCGCTCTGTTGCCCAGGCTGGAGTGCAGTGGCGGGATCTCGGCTCACTGCAAGCTCCGCCTCCCGGGTTCACGCCATTCTCCTGCCTCAGCCTCCCAAGTAGCTGGGACTACAGGCACCCGCCACTACGCCCGGCTAATTTTTTGTATTTTTAGTAGAGACGGGGTTTCACTGTGTTAGCCAGGATGGTCTCGATCTCCTGACCTTGTGATCTGCCCACCTCGGCCTCCCAAAGTGCTGGGATTACAGGCATGAGCCACTGTGCCCAGCCAGTGCTTTTAAATTAGAAAAAAAAAATCTTATCTGGTTTCTCAAATTGGTCTCAAGATCTTTTTTATTTTTTCAACCATACCACATGTAGTAGTCCACTACACATAAGTGAAACCCCTCATGTGGTATTTTTAACATTGAAATTAAAAGTGGGTTGATATCTTCCCAGTAGTAGAAGCTGTTAAGACATAAAACCTGAGTGCTATCAGTAGCCATGTTTAATAGTGCCACAGAAATTTCACCGCTATAAGAAACAACAAAGCTAACACACAAAGAGATGCATTCATGAGAGATGGAAAACATGTCCTGATAGCATTTAAAGTCCTGGAGTCCTAGTTTAAGTTTTTGTTGAGGCCCATTTTTACTTTTTTTTTTTTAAATAGGGTCTTGTTCTTTCAGCCAGGCTAGAATGCAGTGGCATGATCGTAGCTTCCTGCAGTCTCCAACTTCTGGGCTCAAGCAATCCTTCCATTTCAGCCTCTTGAGCAACTGGGACTACAGATGTGTGCCAGCATACCTGACTACTTTTTACATTTTCTGTAGAGATGGGGTCTCACTATGTTGCCCAGGCTGGTCTTGAACTCCTGACTTCAGGTAGTCCTCCTGCCTCAGCCCTTTAAAGTGCTGGGTTACAGGCATGAGCCACCATCCCTGGTCTCTTCTTATAGTTGGGATATTCTTTTATTACTTGTATTTGTGAGTTAACAAATTTAGCTTCTTCATAAACTAGTTTTGGTTTGGTGTATGTTATTTTAAAACTGGAAGTCTTGATTAATATAGAAATACGTTACTTGGAATTGGAGTGTTATAAATGACAGATTGTAAAATATGATGAGATGGGGGAATGAGGAACGTGAGCATTCCTCGATCTGTGGCCAGGTTGTCCCTGTTATGCAGTGTTGTGGTGGACAGACTCTAAGATTGCCCCTATGCTGCTCACCTCCTGGTGGTCAGACCCTGTGTGATGTACCCTTGAATGGGAATGACCTCTGACTTGCCTCTATCAAGAGAGAATATGGCAAAGATGATGGGCTATCACTCTCATGATTACATTATCTAAGACTCCATCTTGCCAGAATTTCACTCTCTTTCTCCCATGCTGGCTTTGAAGAACCAAATTGTTATGTTATGAGAGGGCCTCTGAAGAGGGTCAGATGTCAGGGAACTGCAGACAGCCTCTGGGAGTTTAGGATGGCCTCCAGCCAACAGCCAGCAAGAAGCTGACTCTCAATCTTATAGCAACAAGGAAATGAATTCTGTCAACACCTTAGAAGTGGATTCATCACCATTTGAGCCTCCAGGTGAGAACCAAGCTCTGACAGACACCTTGATTACAGCTTTGCAGAGGACCCAGTTAAACCATGCCCAGAATCTTGGCCCATAGAAACTGTGAGATAATAAATTTATGTTGTTTTAAGCTGGTGTATTTGTGATAATTTGCTACTCAGCAATTGAAAAGTAATACAATTAGTTAAACAGTTGAGGGCAAGGAGAAGATAATGGAATGCACTTGTCATTGGAACGGGGGACTTCTTTCCAAATCCTGATGCTTCTTTTCATGCAGAGAGAGCTCCTCCAACTGTAAGACATTTGCTTTCCCCCAACCTCATTTACTGAGAAGATGTGAATTGGAGGATGACCTATGCTATTGGTGAATTTTGAGAGAAAAGCTGGGCAGGTATGTCCTCATCCTTCCTTTTCCCTTCCTCCTGGAATCAGGCTGCCCCACAGTTGGCACATGCTCTTCCTGGTGTTTCCAGTGGCACATCCCTATGGAATTGCTTATGCCCCCACTTCCCAGCAGGGCCCATTTGCCTGCATCCATTCCAGCATTCAATATTAATGCACACTTTGGCCTTTCCATTTTATAGTCAACGTCTAGATCTTGCTCTCTTAAGTGTTATAGTTTGTTGGATTTTTCACACATTTATTAGCACTTGAAATGATTTTGCTATTTTCTATTACTATCTTTTGACAGTTTTAGAATGTGTATATTTTACTTAGTGACTTGGTTGAGCTTTTTTACATATTAAGAAATTAACTCTCCTATATATTCTGGCTATTTTTACATTTAATACAGAAGTTTAGCATTTTATACAGTTAAATCTTACATGTTTATCCTTCTCCTTTTTCTCTTCTTTCCCTTTTCTCTTTCTCCTCCTCCTCTTCTTCTCCTTCTTTTTCACTTTTGTGCTTAAGTTTTGTGATTAAGAGATGAGTTAAATATCCACTGTACTTTCCTATTGTTTCATTATTCATATTTAACTCTTTAATTCAACTAGAATTTAGTTTACCATATATTATAAAGAGAGTAGCTATTTTTGTAAATAATTCATTGTTCAAACACCAGCATTTATTTGTGAAACTATGTGCTACAGGTTTGTTTGGAGCCCATTTTTCTGTTCTATTAGATTATGATGATTTTCTATAGTCAAGTGATAAAACCCATATAACAAACTTTCAATTGCACAGCCTTAATTTCAAAGGTAAAGGAAACTAACAGGTTCTGAGCTCTTCTGTGGTTTCAGGCCACCTTACACAAGAGAGAGATATCAGAGGTGAAATCACTGTGACAGGCACATGACAGGCAAGTGACAGGGTGATGTCCTAACATTGTGTAACTCCACATTACCTACATATTCTTGCCTCTCTGCACAGACCAAGGATCTCATAGAATTAACTCCAGCCAAATTCTAGTTACCTCACTTATAAGACTAACATAATAGCATTGTCTCCACATTTTATTTTTTTAAAAAGAGTCATGCCACCCTAAAGCCAGTGAAGTTGTGGTTGAGAGGGTGGGATATGGGGTAAGAGGGATAAATGTTGGGTGATGGTGGAGGAGAGGAAGCCCTATAAACACTGCACATCTCTCATTACTCAAAGCAAGCATCCTAACCCTGCAGGCTTTTGGGAAAGCTCCCTCACTAACTTGGGACATCATTGGTAGAAAGATATATGATTCCCAAAGCAAAGGGTCCTCTGCAGCCTCTATTTTCTTGGCATACATATACTCCAGCCTGTAGACTTTTCTCTTAGTCACAATAATTCCCCTGAATTTATCCATCCCTTATCTACTAGGGGAAATTTCCCAAAGGCTCCGAGTCACTTCAGTCTAAAATTGACCTCTGAAAACACCCCAGAGCCTCCAAGCTGCCTGGAAAAGCCCACTGGGAGGCCACCCTCCTAGAGTTAACAAGGTCCTCAGAGACAGGCAGATAATGACTGAATTCCAGGATCCCTGCAGACATGGCTGGAGCTGTCTCTGCTTCCAAGATCCAGAGGCTTCTTTTTGTAGTTTCCCCAAACTTTCCGGGAGTAATTAATACCAACAGAAACCTCAGTAGACTAGTTAGTCAAAGTTCCAGAAAGGGGCCCTCTAGGGTGGCTCTATTGTGGGCTGAGGAAGCACAGGCTTCTCTCCTGCACTGTCACATTTATCTCTGCTATTTCCCATGTTGTATCCTCTGAGTACTACACTGTGGGAAACACAGAGGATGCTGTGTGAGGAGTCAGGGTAGGAAATCTGGGATCTTCTTTTGGAAATCCCACAGTATTTCCATGTTGCCATGTGTTTTAATAGTGATAACTAATTTTCAAAATGCATTTCCTGTTCATTAGCTTTAACTCCAGTAATGGCCTCATGAAGTACACACCACAGTCAACTATTTACCAGTGTGGAAGCTGAGACTGTGATACAAATTTTGCACATAGATCTTTCTGTACTAGGGCTTTAAGTTCTGTGGGATAGACTCCCCCAAGTGTGATTGCTTTATCAAAATGTATGCCTGTCTCTGCATCCTACAAGCATATATGAAAAAAGCTCAACATCACCAATCATTAGAGAAATGCAAGTCAAAACCACAGTGAGATTCCATCTTCCACCAGTCAGAATGGCTGTTATTAAAAAGCCAAAAAATAACAGAGGCTGGCAGAATGTGAAGAAAAAAGAATGCTTTTACATTGATGGGAATGCAAATTAGTTCAACCATTGTGGAAGACAGTGTGGTAATTTCTCAAAGACCTATAGGCAGAAATACCATTTGATCCAGCAATCCCATTACTGGGTATATATAAATTATTCTGTTATAAAGACCCATGCATATATATGTTCACTGCAGCACTATTCACAATAGCAAAGACATGGAATCAATTGAAATGCCCATCAATGATAGACTGGATAAAGAAAATGTGGTACATATACACCATGGAATACTATGGAGCCATAAAAAATGATATTATGTCCTCTGAAGGGACATGGATGGAGCTGGAGGCCATTATCCTTAGTAAATTAATGCAGGAACAGAAAACCAAATGCCACACATTCTCACTTATAAGTGGGAGCTAAATAATGAGAACACATGAACACATAAAGGGGAACAATGCACACTGGGGCTTACCAGAGGGAAGAGGGTGAGAGGAGGGAGAGGATCAGGAAAAATAACTAATGGATACTAGGCTTAATACCTGAGCGATGAAATAATCTGTACAACAAACCCCCTGATACCTGTTTACCTATATAACAAACCTGCACATTCTGCATATGTACCCTGGAACTTAAAAGTTAAAAAATAAAAGTGTATGCATGTCTCAGTGTCACTAGGTACTGCACATTCTGATCCACAAAGGCTGCAGCAACTCACCCAAAGCAGAGGAATGGGGCTTTTTCCCTGTATCTTTTGTTTGCCCTGACTGTTGTACTTCTTTTAAGTGTGGGCCAATATCCTGGATAAATGTCATTTTACTGTTATTTATTATTTTATTACTTATTATGTATTATTCTTTTGCTTTTTTTTTGGTGACCAGCATGATTGACATGCACACTTCCTCTTCTGAGAGTTGTCTCTTTATGTCATGTGTCAATTTTTCTATTGGATTATCTATTAGGAGAGATTTTTGTGTTAAGAAAACTAACCTTTGTCTGTCAAATATGATGTAGGGGAGGTTTGATGAGAATTGTGGATAGACGGCAGGACTAACTTGCAGCTCCCACTCAGGTGGACAGAACAGCATGTGGAGACCCACATCATGAACTTTTGCTCCAAGAACCACCACAGGAACATAGGAAAACTGAAAGAATTCGCAGATGCCTTGAAAGAAGCAGCTTGCCACTGCAAATGCTGTGAGACTGGAATAAGACAAGGATGCCCACTTTCACCACCTTTATCCAACATAGTACTGGAAGTCCTAGCCAGAGCAATCAAACAAGAGAAAGAAATGAAGGCATCCAAATCGGTAAAGAGGAAGTCAAACTGTTGCTGCTTGCTGATGATATGATTGTATACCTAGAAAACCCTAAAGACTAATCCAAAAAGCTCATAGATCTGATAAATGAATTCAGTAAAGTTTCAGGATACAAAATCAATGTACACAAATCAGTAGCACTGCTATACACCAAATCAGTAGCACTGCTATACACCAAATCAGTAGCACTGCTACACCAAATCAGTATACACAAATCAGTAGCACTGCTATACACCAGCAACCAAGCTGAGAATCAAACCAAGAACTCAACCCCTTTTACAACAGCCGTGAATAAAATAAAATACTTAGGAGCATACCTAACCAAGTAGGTGAAGGACCTCTACAAGGACAACTACAAAACACTGCTGAAAGAAATCATAAACAACACAAATGAATGGGAACACATCCCATGCTCATGGAGGGGTAGAATCAATATTGCAAAATAACTATACTGCCAAAAGCAATCTGCAAATTCAATGGAATTCCCATCAAAATACCACCATCATTCTTCACAGAACTAGAAAAAACAATCCTAAAATTCATATGGAACCAAAAAAGAGCCCACATAGGCAAAGCAAGACTAAGCAAAAAGAACAAATCTGGAGGTACCACATTACCCAACTTGAAACTATGCTATAAGGCTGTGGTCATCAAAACAGCATAGTACTGGTATAAAAATAGGCACATAGACCAATAAAACAAAATGAGAACCCAGGAATAGAGCCAAATAATTACAGCCAAATGATCTCTGACAAAGCAAACAAAAACATAACTTGGAGGAAAGAATACCCTATTTGAAAAATGGTGCTGGGATCATTAGCAAGCCACATGTTGAAGAATGAAACTGGATCCTCATCTCTCACCTTATACAAAAATCAACTCAAGATGGATCAGACTAAAATCTAAGACCTGAAAATACAAATATTCTCGAAGATTATATTGGAAAAACCGTTCTTGGCATTGGCTTAGACAAAGACTTCATGAACAAGAACCCAAAAGCAAATGCAACAAAAACAAAAGTAAATAGATGGTACTCAATTCAACTAAAATTCTCCTGCAAAGCAAAAGAAATATGAGCAGAATAAACAGAAAACCCACAAAGTGGGAGAAAATCTTCACAAACTATGCATTCAATAAAAGACTAACATCCAGAACCTACAAGAAACTCAAATAAAGCAAGAAAAAACAAATAATCTCATCAAAAATTGGGCTAAGGACATGAACAGACAATTCTCAAAAGAAGTTATACAAATGGCTAACAAACATATGAAAAAATGCTCAACAATCACTAATTATCAGGGAAATGCAAATCAAAACCACAGTGCAATACCACCTTACTCCTGCAAGAATAGGCATAATAAAAAAATAAAAAAAAATAGATGTTGGCATGGATGCAGTGAAAAGGGAACACTTTTACACTGTTGTGGGGAATGTAAACTAGTACAACTACTATGGAAATCAGTGTGGAGATTCCTTAAAGAACTGTAAGTAGATCTACCGTTTGACCCAGCAATCCCACTACTAGGTATCCACCCAGAGGAAAAGAAATCATTTTACAAAAAAGACTTGCACACGCATGTTTATAGCAGCAAAATTTGTAATTATAAAAATATGGAATCAGCCCAAATGCCCATCAATCAATGAGTGGATAAAGAAAATGTGGTATATGTGTATACACCATGGAATACTACTCAGCCATAAAAAGGAGCAAAATAATGTCATTCACAACAACCTGGATGAAGTTGGAGACCATTATGCTACATGAAGTAACTCAGAAATGGAAAGCCAAACATCATATGTTCTCACTCATAAGTGGGAGTTAATCTATAAGGACACAGAGGCATAAGAATGATACAATGAACTTTGGGGGCATGGGAGAATGGGTGGGAGTGGGGTAAGGGATAAAATATCACATATTGGGTACAGGGTACATTGCTTGGGTGATGGGTGCACCAGAATCTCAGGAAACACCACTAAAGAGTTTATCCATTGAACCAAATACCACCTGTTTCCCCAAATCTATTGAATTTTTTAAAAAAATACAACTATTTTCTTCCAATCTATCATTTTGCACTTGACTTGTTCATATAAATATATATTTTGCTATGCAAAATCTTAATAATCATTTATGTTCTTAAAATTCAGCTTTTAGTTTAGTTGTTTTAACAATTAGCTTGACAGCTTCTGAATTTCTTCTCTTGCTTAAGAACCGTGGCACAGTTGTGCAGCTGCTAATTAAAGGAAATCACACTTTTCTCAAATCTCCAACAAAAAAATTTCAAAATTCTTGCTTAGGCAAACAGGAAACCAAATGTAGTATTGACCTTTGTCATTTTTTAGATAAGACCCATCAACAAATAAAGTCACATTAAGATTTTGAAGGGGAAAATCTAGATTATCAGCCTTTGGCATTCTTCCTGATAAAAACATAATTGCAGCTCAGTCATCAGGTAAGGGGAAAAGAGTAACTAATTTCACTAGCTGAAAAATTTAGCTGAAGCTGCAGTCACTTGGAGGCAAAAGGATAAGTCTTGGCTTCTGGATCAAGAGACAGGCTATAGGCAATGAGTCACTGATGGGTGTTTTACATTCATGCCTTAAGACCATGACCTGAACTTATCTGGAAACACAGAAAAAACAAACAAACAAAGAAACAAACAAACAAAAACAGCTGTTTATCATAATCTGGAAGACCTAGCAAAGGTAGTTATTGAAGAGGTATTTTGAGGTTACTAAGGGCATTTTTAATTTCTGAGTTTCACAGAAGTGAAGCTCATGTATAGGCCTTGCTATTTCAGTAAAGCTGAGTCACCATTGTATAAAAATACAGCAAATCCAAAAAATGTTGTCTTTTAGAAAATAGCTTTGGATAATTTTGAATAGTTAACAATATTTCCCCAGATAACACCCTAACTTTGGCTGACAAATCATGATTGAGGTAATGATTGGCCTTTTAGAACTGGGAAGCTTTTCCTTAATCTATGTATCCTTTTTAAACCACTTCAGCAAATAGATATTTAGAGTCAGTTGTAGAAGAATCTGAATCAGTGAAGTGTAGAAGGAGATCATCTACATATTGTATAAGGGAGATCAAAATGGAAATTTTATTTTAGCTATCCTAATCTAAAAGTTGAGAGACATGAGCTAGAGCCCCAGTAATTACACAGGTTTCACTGCCCAAGTAATATATTTTCCCAGGAAAAGAAAATAAATATTAACTATCTTTAGTTACTGGGATAGTAAAGAATGCTGAATAGAAGTCTACGTTAGTGAAGAATTTTCTATC
The DNA here is from genome assembly GCF_000001405.40 of Homo sapiens. Classification (NCBI taxonomy): domain Eukaryota; kingdom Metazoa; phylum Chordata; class Mammalia; order Primates; family Hominidae; genus Homo; species Homo sapiens. The sequence continues at coordinate 45,041,840 of NC_000010.11, forward strand.
TTCAGGGTAAGACTGAGCAAAGTATGCTCAGTGGGTTAGGAAATACCAGAAAGTAAAGTATAACCACATAGCTTTGTATTAGTTACTTGGAAATCTTGAAAAGAACTACAATCTCATCCATTTGGCCCTTATGAGCAAATCAGGCATATTACATAGACTAGTGAAAGGGGTGATTAGTTTTGCTTTGTTTTGATTTTCAATAATATGAGACATTGGCTCTACCAATTGCTTTTTTGCTTGCAATAGCTGTACATATCCTCAGTAATAATTCCCTAATTCTTAGATTATGGAAGGCCCTTCAATTCAGTTTCTATTTAAAGACCTGTTGTTTTACCTGAAGGGCCATAAGTTTGTCTTGGCCTTTAGCATATCAACTGTTGTAAGTCCACTTGAAATCACTCAGCCAAATATTGGAGATTCCCCCATAACTACAATTTTCCAAGCAATTTTTAACCAAATTTTCTATTTCAGATTTTAGCACATCTATTACATAAAGAGAGGACAGGGCTCCTTTTACAATAGCTTTGGGCCTGCTTCAGAATATTTTTTGAAAGTCTCCTGAAGTAGAATCCAAAAATCTTCTCTACATTTTTCTTTTTCTTGTTTATAACCTTAGATATTAGTTTATAAAAGAAAATCTTCAGATGGCCTTCTTGGAGTTTTGCCCTACTTTTCTTGCTCTTTCTTGTTCTTGTTTGCTGTTATGCATGGTGGAATTTTAAAAATGTTTTTCAATTTCCCCTTGGTAGGTTTCAATAATTATTTATTCTATATCTGAGAAAGATTTGTTTGTTTAGGTCTAGGATCCCTGGACAGTAAGCATATAATAGGATTCAAATTTTCATAGCAATGTTTTGTCTTCTCTGTGTGGTTTTGGAAGTCTTTTATTATGGCTCTTCACTATAGCTCTAATATGACTCCACTTATATTCACCTTCCACTGCTTTACCTTCTTCCATTTTTATCTCCTTTTTCAAAATTATTGAAGATATTCTAATCTTTTGCATTTCCATATATAGTAGAATCAATTTTTCTATATCTATAATAAATCTTGCTGAGATATTCATTGAAATTAAATTAAAATTTAAATCAATCTGGGAAGAATGTATACGTTTGCAATATTGATTGTATAGTCTATGGACACGGTATTTATTTAGATCTTTTTTGATCTTGTTGCTCATTAATTTGTGGTTTTCAGCACAACACACCTGTACATATTTTGTTATATTTATACTTATTTACATTTTTGAGATATTTTAATTATTGTTTTAAAATTTCTGTTTCTATTTACATTGCTAGTATATAGAAATATGATTGAGGTTTGTGTGTTCACTTTGTATCTTGCAACTTACTGAACTCACTTATTAGATCTAAGAAGCCTTCTAGAGTTTCTTTGGGTTTTTCTGTGAAGATAATCATGTCATCTGTTGGTAGGTACAGTCTTGTTTCTCCCTTTACAGTCTGTGTGTCTTTTACTTTTTTATCTTACCTTATTATACTGGCTGGGACTTGTAGTATGGTGTTAAATTGGGATGGTGAAGGGGGACATCTTTGATTTGCTACCGACTTTTAGGGGGAAAGCATTCACCCTTTTACCATTTAAGTATATCATGACTTTTTTTGTAAATGCCCTTATTACATTGAAGAAGATTTCTGGGAAATTTTCACCATGAATAGATGTTAAATTTTGTCATATGTCTGTTCTGCATCAATTGGTATTGTGATGTGCTTTTTCTTTTGATTAGTAATATTATGCATTATATTTACTGGTTTTTAAAAATTGAACCATCCCTGAGTTCTTTGGATAAGCCCCACAAGTGGTATTTTATTATTATTTAATATTTTTCTAGATTGAGTTTGCTAATATTTTGTTGAGTTTTTTTAAATCTATGTCTATGAAGGATATTTATGTGTAGTTATTTTTTTCATCATGTCTTTGTCTAGTTTGAAGCAGGGTGATATTGAACTCATACAGTGAGTGAGAAATTGTCTCTTTCTCTTGTATTTTCTAGGATAGATTTCTAAAATTAGTGTTATTTCTCCTTTGAATTTTTGGTAGACTTACCATTAAAACCATCTGGACCTAGAAATTTCTTTATTAGAAGTTATTTAAACAATATTTTTATTTTAAAATAGTTTTAGATTACAGAAATATTTATGAAGATAATATAGTTTCCACATACCCTATACCTAGTTTGCCTACTATTAACATCTTATATTATCATGGCATATTTGTTACAAATAAACCAATATTAATACAAAGACTTGTTCTTTGTGTCAGTTGAGAAAGAGTTCAAGACACAGACACACACAAGGAGTGGGTTTAGGAGTCGAAAGTTTAATAGACAAAGTGGAAGAAAGAGAAGAAAAGCGTTCTCATGTTGATAAAGTGGGTTGCCCAAGAGAGGATCTCTGGTTTGTGGCAGAACACAGTTGATTTTGTACAGAGGCTTGAGGATGCAGTGACTGATTGACATAGGGCCCAGGGGATTGGTTTGAGTATGTGTGCCATTCACATAGCCTGCGAAAGACGGACCCTCCCACGATAGAAGACTAGGTTCTTTTATTGTGCAGATGTGGCTTCTACCTGAAGGTTGCCATGATATCTGCACACGTTTTTACCTGGAGGTCGCCAAGACACCGGCACATGTGGTGACAAGGAAAAGAGGGTGGTAAATGCCATACTGAAGGTACCTGGCTTCCAGGTACAGCTGCTTGCATTTACATATGAAAGCCCCTAGTTCGCATATCTATCAGGCTGCTTTCTGTTAGAAAAGAAATGGTTTAGGGCTGCTTTCATTAAAGGAAAATTCCACTGAGAATTTTTCCCCTTTCTATCTGCCTAAAAATAATTTCTTAATAAGTCCTGTACTGTCTATATTAAGCCAAACATGAGTTCATACTGATGTCTACAACTCTCATTCATTACCACATGGATCATTCTAGCCTCCTTCCCATTATTACCAGTAATCCCCAGCTCCAACAGTGTGAAACCTAGCTCCCATCTGCCAATTATTTATGCAAATTTCAATCCCTGTATACATGTATCGTGGCATCAGAATTGTTAAAACATATCCCTGTGAGAAATAACTATCAATCAGAATACAGTGCTTACGTACAATTTCTTTAGCCTTTAGGCTTACAGGCTCCATTCATAGCAAAGTTACTTAAATCAGCAACTTTTTAGCCCAGTGAGGTTTTTTTTTTAATACTTTTATTACATTCTGCATTCCATGTTAGGATCTTCTAACCTTTTCTCATTTTTAAATTATATTTTTCTCTGTGCATTTTAGTTGAGGAAGTTTTTACTGACCTATCTTCAAGCTCACTGATTTCTCACTTGTACCAACTCTGCTGATGAGCCCATCAGAGGCATTCTTTATTTTTTTTTTTTACAGTGGCTTTTTTATTCCTAACTTAAAAAAAAAACAACTTTCTCTTAGAGCATTTCCTAATAAATGTTCTAAGAGCATTACTCACCTTGCATGTATGTTATTTACTTTTCTATTACAGGCTTTAACATATTAGTGATAGTTATTTTAAATTATCTGTCTGATAATGCCAACAACTGTGTCATATCTACCTTGGTAAATATTCTATGTGTACTTGAAAATAATGTATATTTCACTCGCGTCTGTGTGAAGAGACCACCAAACAGGCTTTGTGTGAGCAACAAGGCTGTTTATTTCACCTGGGTGCAGGCGGGCTGAGTCCGAAAAGAGAGTCAGTGAAGGGAGATGGGGTGGGGCCATTTTATAAGATTTGGGTAGGTAAAGGAAAATTACAGTCAAAGGGGGGTTGTTCTCTGGTGGGCAGGAGTGGGGGTCACAAGGTAGGGGAGCTTTGAGTGAGGATGAGCCAGGAAAAGGAATTTCACAAGACAATGTCATCAGTTAAGGCAAGGACCGGCCATTTTCTTTTCTTTTGTGGTGGAATGTCATCAGTTAAGGCAGGAACTGGCCATCTAGATGTGTACGTGCAGGTCACAGGGGATATGATGGCTTAGCTTGGGCTCAGAGGCCTGACAGTATATTCTGCTGTTGTCTTGCAAAGCATTCTGTAAATGTTGTTTGTATCTATTTAGTTTATGGTGTCATTCAGTTCTTTTGTATACTTGCTTTTTTCTTTTTCTTAGTTAAACCCATTACTAACATAGGAGTGTTGAAGTCTCCAATTATATGTGTGAATTTCTCTATTTCTCCTTTCAATTCTGCCCTTTTTTTGTTCCAAGTATTTTGGAGCTCTTTAGTTAGGCATATGTGTATATACTTTTAGGATTTTTGCATCTTCCTGATGAATTGACCATTTTATTATGTAATGTTCTTCTTTATCCTTGGTAATTTTTTTTTTGCTCTGAAGTGTACTTTGTCTGATACTAGTATATTCACCAAAGTACAATTTAGTATTTGCATACTATCTCATTTTTCATTCTTTACTTGTAACCTATCTATACAAGCATATTTGAAATTTATTTCTTGTAAACTGTATATACTGCGATCATGTTTATTTGTTTAATGAATCTGAAAATCTATCTTTTTTATTAAGTTAAAACACATAATATAAATTTTTGCCATATATTTATTTGCAAATATAAAATTTGTCATCTTAACCATTTTAAGTCTATAATATACTGTTAACTATATGCACATTGTTGTACAACAAATCTTTAGAACTTATTCATCTTGCAAAACTGGAATTCTATACTCATCGAACAACAACTCCCCTTTTCCATTTCCTTCCAGCCTCCAGTAAAGACTATTTATTATACTTTCTGTTTCCAAGAGTTTGACTACTTTAGATGCCTCATAAAATAGAATCATGTAGGATTTGTCCTGGCAATCTCTGTCTTTTAACTTGTGACTTTAGGCCATTTCTATTTAACTTCATTATTGATATGTTTGGATTTAGCTATGCCATATTATTATTTGTTTGATTTCCCCCCTGTTTTGCTTTTTTATTTTTCCCCATTTTCTGCCTTCTTGGATTATTTTGATTATTTTTGTATTATCTTTTAATTTACCAAGCATGTTTTTGCTATGTCTCTTGGAATAGATTTGTTTAGTGTTACTTTGAAAATTATAATGAACATATTTTACTTTTCACAGGTTAATTAGAATCAATGTTTTATCACTTAAGTGGAATGTAGAAAACCCACAACCATATGTGTCACTTTACCCTCCCCACTTTATGTTATAGCTGTCTTTTAGTTTACATTTATATACATTGAAACATTTATTTAATGTTATTATTTTTCTTTTAACTATCAAATGTATTTTAAAGAATTCAAGAGGATAAGAATAGCCTATTATATTTACCAAGATATTTGCTATTTCTCTCTTATTATCCCTGTTGTACCATTTTCTTTTGGTATCATTTTCTTTCTGTCTGAAGAACTTCCTTTAGCAATTCCTTTACAGCACATCTGCTAGCAAAATATTCTTAGTTTTCCTTCATCAGTAACACTGTCATTTCACCTTCAATTTTTAAAGGTTGTTTTGATAACTGTAAAATTTCAAGTTGACGGTTGGGCATGGTGGCTCACGCCTATAATCCCAGCACTTTGGGAGGCTGAGGCGGGCAGCTCACGAGGTCAGGAGATCGAGACCATCCTGGCTGGCACAGTGAAACCCTGCCTCTACTAAAAATACGAAAGAAAAAATTAGCTGAGCATGGTGGCGGGCCCCTGTAGTCCCAGCTGCTCAGGAGGCTGAGGGAGGAGAATGGCATGAACCCAGGAGGCAGAGCTTGCAATGAGCTGACATCACACCACTGCACTCCAGCCTGGGTGACAGAGTGAGACTCCATCTCAAAAAAAAAAAAAAAAATTCAAGTTGACAGTTATTTTCTTTTTCTTTTTGTTTGTTTGTTTGCTTGTTTTTGTTTCGAGACAGGGTCTCACTCTATCAGCCAGGCTGGAGTGCAGTGGCACAAACGTGTATATACTTTTAGGATTTTTGCTGCAGGATTTAACTGCAGCCTCGGCCTCTCAGGCTCGAGTGATTCTTCCACCTCGGTCTCCTGAGTAGCTGGGACTACAGGCATATGCCACCACATTTGGCTAATTTTTAAAATTTTTTGTAGAGACAGAGTCTCACTATGTTGCTCAGGCTAGTCTCAAACTCCTGGGCTCATGTGGTCCTCCTGCCTTGGCCTCCCAAGGCTCTGAGATTACAGATGTGAACCACCATGCCTGGCCCCAAAAGTCTTTTTCTTTCAGTAATTGAAAAATATTATGCTATTTCCTTTTGTAGTTTCTGGTTAGAAATCTACAGGAGGCCATTATTCTAAGTGAATTGATGCAGGAACAGAAAACCAACTACCACATGTTCTCACTTATAAGGGAAGCTAAAAAATGAGTATACATGGACATAAAGATGGGAACAACAGACACTGGGAACTACTAGAGTAGGCAGGGTGGGAGGGGGTGAGGGTTGAAGAACTACGTATCAGGTACTATGCTCATTATTTGGGTGATGGGATCATTCATACAGCCAATCTCGCTGACACACAATTTACCCATGTAATAAACCTGCACATGTAACCCCAGAAACTAGAAGTTGAAAAAAAACAAAAAACACAAATTGTTCTTTCCTTATAGGTGATGTGCCTATTTTCTGGTTGATTTCAATTATTTTTTCTTTGTCCTCTAGTTTACAGTAATTTGATTATGATTGGTCTAAGCATGAAATTTCTTTGAGTTTATCCCATTTGAGATTCACTCATCTTCCTGAATCTATAGGTTTACGTAGTTTCCCAAACTTGGGAATTTTACAGCCATTATCTCTTGAAATGTACTTTTTAGCACTGTTTTATGCTGTCCTGAGACTCTGATGACAAGAATGTTATACCTTTATTATTTTCCCCCAGGTCTGAGGCTCTGTTCATTTGCTTTAAATGCTTTTTTTTTTCTGATTTCCAAATTGGATAATTTCTACTGATCTATTTTCAGTTTCACTTACCACTTAATCTGTCATCTCAATTATGTTTTTGAGCTCTTTCAATGAGTTTTATATTTCAGTTATTGTATTTTTTAGTTCTATATTTTCATTTGTTTTTCTTTTCATATCATTGCTGAGACCATTTTTCTTTAAATTTAACATGTCTGCAATTGCTTGTTAGAACACTTTTAAATAGCTGATTTCAAGTATGTGTCAGATAATTCCAACATCTGTGCCATCTCAGTGTTTGTATCTGTTGTGTCCATTTGCTGAGTAGTTTTGGATTGACGTATCATGTTTTGAGGCTTGAAGTAAAATCATTTGGAGAATGTTGATATATTTATTTTAGGAAGAAATTGACCTGGTTAAATTTGGGCCAAAAGTTTCATCCCACCTGAAGTGGTTTCCCATCAGCTCAGTGTTCAAAACTTTTAAAGAGCTATTCAGATCTGTCCCATTTGTGTATTATCCTGTTGTGGTGTGTGTTCTGGCCAGAAATCTTTCTGTTAGTTCAATTTTCAATGTCTTTGTTATACTGATTAGTGCCAGATCCAATCATGTGTAGTTTTGGAGTAAACTTTGGGATTATTTAACATAATGGAGTTTCTTTCCTAAGGTTCTTCATCATTACAGTCTCCTCAGTACATCTTTTTTCCTTGAGGCTCTTCTTTTAGGTTCTGTAGCCAGAAACATAGAGCCTTAGTTACTCTTCTCTGTTGCTTACTTTTGTGACTGTACCTATGTCCTGGAGCAACACACAAGAGGACAAGAAGACTGAAAAATGGTAAACTCGCCACTGATTTGGTGGGGCTTTGGATTCTGATCTTCTTTCCAATCCTGCTACTACTAATTTTTTAGAGTCCGATAATAGCTGCTCAATATATATTCTATTTCATAGCTGCATTCAGTGGTAGAGACAGTGTGGAATGTGTTTTCTCCATCCTATCTAAAACTGGTTCCTACAAGTTATTTATTCCTGTATTGTCACGCATCACCTACACCTAATATTGTCCTCCAGTTTTTTAACATCTTATGGTCTCACCTCATTTTCTTTCTTCCCAAATCAATACTATGTCACTATACTGTTAAGTGACATTTTATATTGTAACTCACTTGCCTAGCCCTGCCCTGAGTTCAAAGATTCAACTCACCAAGGCATTTCATAATAGGAAATGCCTGATAACTACTTTTCTACACTAATTACTTAGCACATTAGTAATATAATTAAAGCAAGCTATTATAATTTCCCACGGGCATGTTAGTTTCATTGAAAACATTTTCAAGTTGAACCAAACAATGGAAGAAAATATACTCTCTGAAGAATTAATTATCTGTTCATTTATCCCCATTGGAGTGACCAGTAGGCCAGGTAATGAACTTATCACTTTCTAGCTTAAGCCCAAATGGGCAGAGAAATTCTGTGGCAGCTCTTTACTTGTGGCGTTAATGGATGACAGGGGTTTTAGGCAACCCTAGAGAACTCTATCCCCATCTCTGAAAATGTTCTATCACAATTACCACCAACTAGCACTGAAGCCACTTCTGCTCATGGCTCTCAGAGCCAGCTGGTACAAAGTAGGCAAAAATAAACTTTCCCTTTCTTCTCTCATGTCTCCAGTCTTTCTATCCCCTACAAGCAGCATGATTATAATAAGCACCTCATTTAAGACTGATACGACCTGTGATACAGATTTGCTTATACCCTGCCTTGTTCTTCTATGTAAAACAGCTCATTAGTTCCTCAGCTTCATTTCCATTACTGTTAATGTTCTGGAAAAACTAATTTACACTTAGCGAAAGAGAATTAAAATGAGTGTCAGAAGAATGAAATATGACATTGGTTCTCAAACTGTGGTCCCTGGACCAGTAGCAATACAGCACCTTGTTATAAATGCAAATTCTTGGACCCTGCATATGGAATTAGAAACTCCTGGGATAGGGCCCAGCAATCTGTGATTTCACAAACCTTCCAAGTGGTAGTGATGCATGCCAAATTTGAGAACCACTGCGAGTAGGAAATTAGTTATTGGCTGGCAGTGGCATAATGAGCAAAAACAGTGCATCCTAGGTGTGGGTTGCTTGTCAAATTGTAAAGACCTATTGAACTGGTTTCCTACCATGCTTGGAAAACAACATGTCACCAGCATCAAGTGGTGGTGGGGTGGAGAGGGTAGGCAGAGGGTATATGGGTAGGCTGGGTGTGACGGGCTGGCAATGCCAAAACCTCCATTCTATGTCTGCTCTCTCTCTTGGCCTGGATTTTAATCTCCACAGTCTGCTGGTAACACTTTGGCACTTATCCCCAGTAGCATCTTTCTGGTAAAATCCACTTATCGTTGTTCCTGGCTTGCCCTCCTTCAGGAGAGCTGGGTGCACTTCACAGACACTTTTTTTTTTTTTAATTTTTAATTTCTATGGGTATGCAGTAGCTGTAAATACTTATGGGATACATGAAATATTTTGATACAGGCATACAATGTGTAATAATCCCCCCCAAAAGAAATGGAATATCCATTACCTCAAGCACTTATCCTTTGTGTTACAAATCATTCATTTATACTCTTTTAGTTATTTTTAAATGTAAAATTAAATTATTATTGACTATAGTGACTCTGGACAAACACACTTTTAAAACCAGACTTCACAACTATGGTATCATTCTGTTCTCCGTATATCACTTCGATAACCCACTGAGACTCCTTGGCTGGCTTCTTACCAGTTTTTAACATTATATAAATTTGTATTTAGCTAGGAATGGATTTTATTAATATAATATATTATAATGACCTAAATTATTATGCCTCATGATGAAAATATACGCTACATTACAATTTGTAATTGAATAGGATTAAAATTTTATTACAAGAAAAATTCTTATTTTACTTTAGAGAAATTTTCAGCAAATGGAATGTATTCATGACAACACTGAAATTTTTCATGTGCTCCTGCATTGGGATTTCTTTCTAAACATCATGGAAATAAAGAATATGAAGGCACAATCAGTTTTCTTGAAAATAGACCACAATTCATTATCAATATAAAGGTTAGCCTCTGAAAAAACTTCAATATTTTTCTAAAAGTTTCCTTAAAGTTATCAAACAAGAAATGGGTTATTTGAACAATAAAGAGTTGGAGAATATTTTTATTGTCAGCTCATAACTATCTCTGTACTGTTCTTCCCATTGGAGTTAAGAATTTCTCAACAGTTAGAAAAATTTTTCACATAAATACACTCACAACTCAGATGACTGTAACACTTTGTTTTGTAAGATTATGTTTCTGAAGAACACGTAATTTTTTATTTTTTATTTTTTGTAAGGACTTTTATGTCTTGAGATTAAAACTATGTATCTTTATAATTTGTATGAAAATGTCAGCTTGTATTTAGCATTTATTTTTTCTATTTATCTTTCTTGGGGCATAATTTATATTTAATAAAAAGCACAGTTTATAAGTTTAAAGTTTGATTAATTTGAAAAATGTATACATATGTGTAGCCACTACTTTAATTAAGATATAGAACATTTCTAAAACTCCAAAAGCTCTCTTCTTTCTTTCCTCAATTACTGCCTTTTGCCCCAAGAGAAAAACACGGTTCCTGTTTCCACTATCATATAATAGTTTCATCTATTTTAAAACTTCATATAATTCAAATCATGCAATATGTACTCTCTGTGTCTAGCTTCTTTGATTCTGCATGTTTTGGAGATGTCTATACCTTTTTGCAAACATTAATAGTTGATTTCATTTAATTTCTAAGTAGAAATCCATTTCCATGGTGACTAACAATTTGTGGCCATCTTCTTTATACTCATTGGCCTTTTATATACCTTCTTCAATGAAATATTGATAGAAATATATTTTCCATTTATTTATTTGGGGTGATTGTTTTCTTCTTATTGAATTGTAAGAGTCCTTCCCATATTCTTGGTACAAGTCCTTTATTAGATATGTGTTTTGGAAATATTTTCTCAAAATCTGTTGCTCATCTTTATTTTCTTAAGAATTTTTTGAAAAAACAAACAGTTCTGTAGACTGGCCATCTGGGTGGTTTTCCAACTGGTCTTACACGAGATTACTCATACAGTTACAGATATCTTACAGCTTGACTGAAACTAAAAGGCCCCAAACAACCCTATTTACATTCTGGAAGTTGGTACTAGCTATTATCTGACATGCCTCTCCTCCTCTAGTAAGCTAGGTTGGACTTCTTCACAACATAGAGGTCTCAATGTTCTAAGAGACTGAAAGCAGACATTGTGATGCCTGTTAAATCCTAGTCTCAGAAATGTTACATCATTTGAGTTGCATATTTTTACCCTTTTTATTGTTCTTTTTTCACTCATGATTTTTCAAGTTCCTTTCTGGTATCATTTCCTTCTGTCTGAAGAAATTTCTTTAGCAAGAGTAGAGGAAGAGTAGGTCTGATGGCAACAAAATATCTTAGTTTTTCTTCATTTGGAAACATATATTTTAAAAATTATAAATTGACAATTTATATTTGTATATACATGAGGTAAAAGGGATGTTATGATTTAAAATACAATGTGGAATAATTAAATCAAGCTAATTAACATATACCCATCAACTCAAATACTTATTTATTTTGTGATGAGAACATTTGAAATGTATTAGCAATTTTGAAATGTACAATACACCATTTTTAACTAAATTCACCATGCTGTGCAGTAGTTCTTAAAAAAATCTTATTCCTCCTATCTAACTGAAATTTTGTAACCTTTGACCATCATCTCTCCATTTCTGTCTCCACCACTGGCAGACTCTGTAACCACCATTCTAATTTGTGCTTCTATCAGTTTGACTTTTTTAGATTCCACATGTAAGTGAGATCATGTGGTATTTGTCTTTCTGTGCCTGGCTTATTTCACTTAGCATAATGTTCTACATTTCCATCTATGTTGCTGCAAATGACAGAATATTCTTCTTTTCGAAGACTGAATGGTATTCCATTGTGTATGTATACCACATTTCTTCATTCACTCATCTGATGATTAACACTTAGGCTGATTTCATAACTTGGCTATTGTGAACAGTTCTGCAATGAATATGAGAGGGCAGACATCTTGTCAACAAACTGATTTCAAATATTTTGGGTAAATAACCAAAAGAGGGATTGCTAGATCATATGGTAAATCTATTTTCAGTTTTTTGAGGAACTGCCATATGGTTTTCCATAATGTCTGTACTAATTTACATTCCCACCAGCAGTATACAAGGATTCCTTTTTCTGTACTTCCTCACCAACACTTGTATCATTTGTCTTTTTGATCATAGCCATTCTGACAGGTGTAAGATTGTATCTCATTGTGGGTTTAATTTGCATTTTCCTAATGATTAGCAATGTTAAGCATTTTTTTCGTATATTCATTGGTCATTTGTAGGTATTCTCATGATAAAGGTCTATTCAGGTCCCTTACCAAATTTTTAATTGACTTTTAAATTTTTTTGCTATTGGGTTGTTTGAGTTCCTTATGTATTTTGGATATTAACCCACTATCAAATGTATGACTTGCAAATATTTTTTCTCAATCTGTAGGTTGTCTCTTCATACTGATACTCGTTTCCTTTGTTGTGCAGAAGCTTTTTAGTTTGAGGTAATGCCATTCATCTTTTCTTGCCAGTGCTTTGGGGTTTAATACAAAAAATTATTGCCCAGATCAATGTCATGTAGTTTTCCCCATGTGTTTTCTTCAAGTAGTTTTACAGTTTCCAGTCTTACATTTAAGACTATAATCCATTTTGAGTTTATTTTCATATATGTTTGAGATAAGGGTTTGATTCATTCTTCTGCATGTGAATATCTAGTTTTTCCAGCACCATTTATTGAAGATACTATGTTTTCCCACTGTGTATTCTTGGCACATTTGTCAAAATTAATTTACTGTGCATGAGTGAGTTCATTTCTGGGCTTTCTAGTCTGTTCTGTTTGTCAGTGTGTCCATTTTTGGTCAGTACCACATTGTCTTATTTGCTATAGCTTTGTGGTAAAGTTTGAAATCAGATAGTGCAATGCCTCCAGCTTTGTTCTTTTGCTCATTGATAGTGATGCTTAAGTAAAACCAAAATTATCCTGGGAATATAAAAAATAATATATCTGTTTACATTTTGGTGTGGGATGAGTAGAATCTTGTTTTCAAATTCCTTCTTTGAAAGGCTATTAAGAAGAATAAATCCTCACTTAACAGTTTTCTAATTCCTTGGTGGTATCCTCTGTCCTTTGGTAACATGTGAAAGTAGAGCACACTTTTCTATTTTTGTTCCTGCCGCACCCCTCATAAGGTGAAGCATGCATAGAGCACTCCCAGGGTCAGTGTGAGCCCAGCACCAGCTCAGGCTGCCGATGCTCCAGAGTTGGATTCCACCTTCCCCTTAAATGGCAGCCACAGGTAGACGTGCCCATCACAACCAACTCTGTGCGTTCATAATCTCTGTTTATCCTACAAGTGGTTTCTACATGAAAAATGGCACAATGTTTCTCAGAAGACAACTACATAAAAATCAGCATACTTAAATTCACAGCAAATAATCAATCGATGAAAATACTTACCCAAACACTAATTATAGACTATGCCTTCTGAATATATTTGTCATAAATTTGGAGTAAGGAATCCTCATAGGCACTGAACAATTCAAAAAATCCAAAGCTGTTTGTTAGAATACTGGTGCTTTTGGGTAGAAACTCTCATCCATATCCTGGTAAGGTTGAAGTTGCACAGGTGTTTTCATTTGTCAAAACCCAGAAAATCATATGCTTTAGATTTGTGAATTATGTTGTATTATATGCAATCTTTCTTTTTAAAAATGAGCTGTAAGCGGTCTCCCAGACAGTAGCTCAGCCTCTAGGACTCTCTTCCAGCATGGCTAAAGACACCTCTTCACACAAGATGGTAGCCACAAATCGCAGGAGCAATCACACCAAATTCACAGAAGATCAATTGAAAATCCTTATCAATACCTTCAATCAAAAACCTTACCCAGATTATGCTACCAAACAAAAACTTGCTTTAGAAATCAATACAGAAAAGTACAGAATCCAGATTTGGTTTCAGAATCAAAGAGCTAGGAATGGATTCCAGAAAAGACCAGAACCTGAGACTTTAGATTCAAGCCAGAGCCATGGGCAAGATCAACCTGGGGTGGAATTTCAAAGTAGAGAAGCCAGACGGTGTCATACCACCTACAGCGCCTCTCAATTACACACTCTCATCAAGGCATTTATGAAAAATCCATACCCTGGGATTGATTCCAGAGAACAACTTGCTGAAGAAATTGGTGCTCCAGAGTCAAGAGTCCAAATTTGGCTCCAAAAATTGAAGATCTAGATTTCATCTCCAGAGAAAAGGGAACCTGTTATGTCCTTAGAACAAGAAGACCAGGGGCAAGATTTCTGAGGGACTTCAAGGTACAGAAGATACACAAAATGGCACCAACCTCACTAGCACTCTCATTTCTCTAGAGCCAGAACATGGTGAACACAGTCAAGTTCAGTGTATTTGATATTATCAACTTGGGCCCTAAATCTCTCTCACAGTCTTCCTGGAGTCTATCCTTCTGCTGAAAGTGCAAGGTAAGCCTTCTGAAAATGGTAAAGGACTTGGCCGGGTGTGGTGGCTCACGCTTGTAATCTCAGCACTTTGGGAGGCTGAGGCAGGAAGATTGCTTGAGCCCAGGAGTTTGAAACCAGTCTGGGCAGCATAGTAAGACCCTGTCTCTATTATAAAAAACAAAATAAATAAAAAGGACTGTAGGAGGCCGAGACAGGTACAGGAGGCACCACACTACCCTATTGACACAGCCTGGATCCAGAGTTCGGCAGACTTTGAGACAATGAAAATAAACTTAGTAATAATCATTTTTCAATCATTGCAGTAATTATTGATTTGGATAAAAATCAGTTGACATCAAAACCTTAAAGTGACACTGCTCTGCCTATGGAGTAGCCATTCTTTTATTCCTTTAGTTTCTTAATAAATTTTCTTTCACTTAAAAAAAACCTTATAGTTCGATGAAGAATGAGATATATACCTCATCTTGAAGAATCTTCTCAAACACACTTATTAATTACAAAAGGAAAATCAGTAATTTTGCAGTGAAGAAATATGGCCAACTCCACCTTAACCAAGTGGCTGAAAGTCACTGCACCAGTAATGGCACAAACCAACATGAGATGCTTCCTGATATGATACACTAAAAAGGGCACAGTCTCTTCTGCATATTGCTGACAGAAAGTGGGTAAGCTGAAACTGAAACTAATAATTAGGCAATGTCAAGCAAACACAAATTCAGGTTGACAGTCTGCAAAGTAACATCCATGTACTCTTCAACAATGGATTGATCCTAGCTCAGGAGGCTGAGGCGGGAGGATTGCTTGAGGCCAGGAGTTCCAGATCAGCCTGGGCAACATGATGAGATCCCATCTCTACAAACATCACTGACTACACTGTGCTCTGCCCAGGGATCAGACCTCGAGTGCTGTCCTTGGAGTACCCAGCACTGGCTGAATGCTCTTCTATGCCCGGTTCATGTAAGGCTGGGGAGCAATGACAATTTTAGTGAATCCACATGCTCTGACTACATTTCATTTCACCAATGAAAGTCATTTTCTAATATTAATTATGCTACTTGAAAGTTACTTGTTTCACTAATGAAAACCCATTTTTGACATTCAATATGTTCATTTGCAAAACATTAAAACAATTTTTTATAAATTTATCTATTGTTATTTTTTAAATTCTGGTTAAATATATGAAACATAAAATTTACCATCTTTTTGTTTTGTTTTGTTTTGTTTTGTTTGAGACAGAGTCTTATGCTGTTGTCCAGGCTGGAGTGCAGTGGTGCAATCTTGGCTCACTGCAGCCTCCACCTCCTGGGTTCAAGTGATTCTCGTGCCTCAGCCTCCCGAGTAGCTGGGACTACAGGCACACACCACCATGCCCAGCTAATTTTTGCATTTTTAGTAGAGATGTGGTTATGCCCTGTTGGCCAGGCTGGAAAATGTACCATCTTAATCATTGTAAGTATACAGTTTAATAGCATTGAATACATTCACATTGTTGTGCAACCATCACCACCATCTATCTTCAGAACTCTTTTCATCTTGCAAAATGGAAACTCTGTCCCTATTAAATAGTAACTGCCCATTCTCTCCTCCCCCGAACCCCTGGCAATCATCATTCTACTTTCTGTCTATAAAGTTGATGATTTTCACTACTTCATTAAGTGGAATCAGACAATACTTGGCCTTTTGTGATTGTCCCACTTTACTTGGCATAATGTCCTCAAGGTTCATCCCAAGAGGTGTGAGACGAGGCTTTTTCTAGCCCCCTTCTTCCTCCAGATCTAAATAATTTCATGCAGCTTTTAGATGGATTAGAAACATAATTTTACTATGGTAAACACAAAATAGTTTTAAGAGAAAAATGGACCTGATGTCTACCATCAAAAACAACAGCTTAACCAAAAACAATACCAGGATCAAAAGTCAGGGTTTAGGCTGTACCATCTTCATTGTCTGAATTAAAGAAATTCATTCACATTGTGGCACATATTATAATTTTCTACCTTTTTAATGCTGAATTCCTTCACATGTATATACCACCTTTTTTTATGCACTCATCCTTTGATGAACACTTGAGTTGCTCTATGTTTTGGCTAATTGTGAATAGAGCTGCTATGAACATGGATGTTTGAATATCTCTTTGTGACCCTGCTTTCAACTCATTTGGGGAAATGTCCAGAAGTGGAATGACTGGGTCACGTGGTAATTTAATTTTAATTTTTTGAGGAGCTGCCCTATTGACTTGCAAAATATGAATTTTTGATGGCAATAAGGATAACAGATGAACTTACATTTGTTGCCCCAGTGTATTAGTCTGTTTTCACACTGCTATACAGAACTACTTGAGACTGGGTAATTTATATGAAGAAAAGAGGTTTAATTGACTCATGGTTCTTCAGGCTTAACAGGAAGCATGACTAGGAGGCCTCAGGAAATTTACAATCATGTGGGAGGAATAGGGGAAGCAAGCACATCTTACTACTGCGGAGCAGGAAGTGAAGGGGAAAGTGCCACACAATTTCAAACAACCAGGTTTCAGGAGAACTCACTATCACAAGAAGAGCAAGAGGGAAATCAGCCCCCATGATCCAATCACCTCCCACCAGGCCCCTCCCCCAACACATGGGGTTACATTCAAGATGAGATTTCAGTGGGGACACAGAGCCAAGCTGTATCACCCAATGTGTGGCCCTTTCTGATTAAGTACTGCTGACCGCCTCTGGGCTGCGCATTCTAGAGAGCAGGTGAGAGATGATTATCCCTAGAATGCAAGCATAAACTCATTGCCCTTACATAACATCCCAGCCATTGTACTGAGCTATTACAGCTGTAACTCACAGCCAGATGATGCCCTGAATTCCCAGACAGATCAGGAAGCTCTTTAAGGATAGAGAACAAGTCTAGTATTTCTTTATTTTCCTTTGCTTTGTGATAGTTACTCATTTAAATGTGTCAGAGAGGTAAGAAAGAGATCTGACTCAGACCGAAAATCCAAATTCTGGTATTGTGTCTTTTCTTTCTCATACAGAGGATTCTTGCACAAGCTGACCATTTCCTTATCCTCGCAACAGCAGAAGTCTCCTACTGAATGAACTGACTGAAGGAGGATTTGTGTGGGATAATACAGCTGAAAGCTCCTGTTCATCTCCCATGTATGGGTATTATCATTTACTGGTTGGTGGTTTTCTGAGAGAGATGGGACTTCTTACTTTTATTTTATTTATTTATTTAAGTAGAGACAGGATCTCGCTGTGTTGCCCAGGCTAGAGTTCAGTGATGCCATTGTGGCTCATGGCAGCATTGAACTCCTGGGCTTGAGCTGTCCTCCCACCTTAGCCTCCTGAATAGCTGAGACTACAGAGCATGCCACCATGCCCAGCAAATTTTTCTACTTTTTGTAGAGATGGGGCCTCACTATGTTGCCCAGGCTGTTCTCAAACACCTGGCCTCAAGTGATCCTCTTGCCTTGGCCTCCCAAAGTGTTGAGATTATAGGCATGAGTCACCGCACCTGGCCAGGACCTCCTGGTTTCAGGATTTGCATCCAGCTGCAGCTGTCCGCCAAGCACCTGGGCTATTCCTCCATGTAGTGAAAAGTGGGGCACAAGCTCTTCATTGGTCATTTTGCTGCTGCAGAAGTCCTCACCCTGTTCTCTTTTAAGTCTCTCTTCTTTCTCAGGTCTGATCATGCAATTCGATTGGGGTAGGGGAGGGGAGGAGAGGGAAAGGAAGTAGGAGGTCAAGGAGGCAGGTGAAGTTTCCTTTCCTCTTTGAATTTTAAGATGGCCGATCAAACTGCCACCTCCACCTGCCTCTGTTGCTCGGCTTCATCTTACTCTCCAATTAATAATGGTTCTGCTGGGCACAGTGGCTCATGCCTATAATCCCAGCGCTTCAGGACACTGAGGCGGGAGGATCGCTTGGGGCCAGGAGTTTGAGACCAGTGTGGGCAACATAGTGAGATCTCATCTCTACAAAAAATTAAAAAAGAAAACAGCGGCTGGGCACGGTGGCTCATGCCTATAATGCCAGCACTTTGGGAGGCTGAGGCGGGTGGATCACGAGGTCAGGAGATTGAGACCATCCTGGCCAACATGGTGAAACCCCGTCTCTACTAAAAATACAAAAATTAGCTGGGTGTGGTGGCATGTGCCTGTAGTTCCAGCTACCCGGGAGGCTGAGGCAGGAGAATCGCTTGAGCTCGGGAGGCAGAGACTGCTGTGAGCCAAGATGGTGCCACTGCACTCCGGCCCGGTGACAGAGCGGGACTCCTTCTCAAAAAAAAAAAAAAAAGATAAAAGAAAGAAAGAAAAAATAGCCAGGCCTAGTGGCATAGCCTGTAGTCCCAGTTACTTGGGAGGCTGAGGTGCTTGGGAGGCTGAGGTGGGAGGATCGCTTACCGGGAAGTTCAAAGCTGCAGTGAGCCATTATGGCACCACTGCATTCCAGACTGGGCAATAGAATGAGACCCTGTCATTCTCTCTCTCTCTCTCTCTCACACACACACACACACACACACATACACACACACACACCTCCAACAAAATGATTGTAATCAGTACTTAAGCTTGTATTAGATCAAATGACAGAAACCTGAACATTTGGCCCTGCAGACTGCAGGCTCACACTGAGGTCTGCTTGCAGGGACTCTGGCTAGGATTTTCTGGAAAGAAAAAAATAAGCCATCTCATTTTTGTTTTTAATTAACGCAGTCACCAGTTTTTCATTCCAAAGTGTCACAAGCAGGAAATCAAAGAAGGTCTTGTATAAATAATAAGAAAAAGAGGTTCTATTAGCAATGGAAAGCATTTTCAAGGAGAGCTCGATAGAGCGCTGATAGTCTCCATGCTCCCTTCAGGTGAAACCTCTCAAAAATCATAACATAAATTATAGATATGTCCAAGGCTTTTTAGGATAAGATATTAAAAGCCTAATTTATTTATTTATTTATTTATTTATTTATTTATTTATTTGAGACGAAGTCTTGCTCTGTCGCCCAGGCTGGAGT
Source organism: Homo sapiens (assembly GCF_000001405.40). NCBI lineage: Eukaryota > Metazoa > Chordata > Mammalia > Primates > Hominidae > Homo > Homo sapiens. Next base: position 45,061,366 of record NC_000010.11, read on the forward strand.
GCAGTGGTGTGATCTCGGCTCATTGTAAGCTCCACCTCCCGGGTTCACGCCATTCTCCTGCCTCAGCCTCCCGAGTAGCTGGGACTACAGGCGCCCGCCACCATGCATGGCGAATTTTTTTTTGTATGTTTTTAGTAGAGACGGGGTTTCACCATGTTAGCCAAGATGGTCTCGATCTCCTGATCTCATGATCCACCAGCCTCGGCCTCCCAAAGTGCTGGGATTACAGGCATGAGCCACCGCACCTGGCCTTAAAAGCCTCATTTCAATAGTGTCTTAAAAGAAAAAAATATGGAAGAGCCTCTTATTTAGGTCATAACACAAATTCTTCTAATTCAGCCAAAATGAGTAAAACTTTTAGCTTTTTTCTGATTGGTTTTCATTTTAGATTAGTTACAATTTTGAGAAGGAGTCTGTGAAGGATTATTCTAGGGATTTATTTTTGTTCCCTCATAGTTTCTCTGAAAAACTTGATCAGGGAGGAGGAAAGGGTGATCCTGGTTCATTGGACCTGTCAGATCTGAATCCTCAGCTAGAGAAGGAACGGATTCCCTGCATCTTCTCCAGCAGCTTGCCACAGTGAGTATGAACTATCCCTCATGGGGATGTAGAGCTGTGTGCTCAGTTCCCTCTGGGGCTGGTTGGTTTCCTCTGGGTTTGTTGTGTTAAGCCAGCTGAAATGTGCTAGCTGAAACATGCCGCCTTTAACTCCTGTGCTCACAGTGAAATATCTCTCTAGGACTTGCCAAGACAAGGCAAGCTAATACTCACTTCAAATGGCAACAAGCCATTTGAATAGCATTAGTTGCTATTTCCATTTTTATTCTTCCAGAAGAGGTTTCTTCGCTTACCACCATCCTCAGCTAACAAACCCATGACGTCATTGTGTTTCTCACCTGCGACTCCTCCCTCGCTTTAGCAGAATCGGCAGTAGAATTGAAGCTAAAGCCATCACGTGGCAGGCAGTCCACAAGAGTCCGCTGGGATGCCATTGTTTGCTGGGAGTGTTGTGTCTTGATGTACATCATCTTGTGTGCTTATCCCAGTCACCAGAGGAGGTTGGCAAGGAGGGAAACTTTTTTGTTATCCCAACTTTGCAGAAGGAGAAGCTGCTGAGGATAGCATGGCTGGCAAATGGCAAGCTGACCTTTGAATGAGGAGAGATTTTCCTACTTCTGGTCTAGGCCTGCTTTCATGAGACGATGTTGCCTCTTAGAAACTGGTGTTAGGAGATGTGAAAGGATGTATGGTTGATATGAAATTAAAAGACCCAGGTTTGCATGCAGCTCTGACCACTTACTACTCATATGACCTGAACATTTGTTGTTTGTTTGAGACAGAGTCTCACTCTGTTGCATAGGCTGGAGTGTGCAGTGGCATGATTATAGCTCACTGCAGCTTCAAACTCCTGGACTCAAGTGATCCTCCTGCCATAGCCTCCAAGAACTAGGACTACAGGTTCATGCCAAATGTCTGGCTAATTTTAAACATTTTTTTTTTTTTGAGACGGAGTCTCACTGTGTCACCCAGGCTGGAGTGCAGTGGCATGATCTCGGCTCACTGCAAGCTCCGCCTCCCGGGTTCACGCCATTCTCCTGCCTCAGCCTCCTGAGTAGCTGGGACTACAGGCGCTCACCACCACACTCGGCTAATTTTTTGTACTTTTAGTAGAGACAGGGTTTCACCGTGTTAGCCAGGATGGATGGTCTCAATCTCCTGAACTCATGATCCGCCCGCTTTGGCCTCCCCATTTTTTTTTTTTTTTGAGATGAAGTTTCACTCTCGTTGCCCAGGCTGGAGTGCAATGGCGTGATTTCGCTCACTGCAACCTCTGCCTCCTGGGTTCAAGCAATTCTCCTGCCTCAGCCTCCTGAGGAGCTGGGATTACAGATGCCCACGACCACACCTAGCTAATTTTTGTATTTTTAGTAGAGACGGAGTTTCATCATGTTGGACAGGCTGGTCTCGAATTCCTGACCTCAGGTGATCCACCCACCTCAGCCTCCCAAAGTGCTGGGATGCTGCCGTGCACAGCCAAATATTTTTAAAAATTACTTTTTTCATACAGAGTCTCACTACATTGCCCAGGTTGATCTCGAGCTCCTGACCTCAAGCGATCCTCCCACCTCAGTCTCCCAAACTGCTGGGATTACAGGTGTGAACCACCACACTGGGCCTGATCCAAGCATTTAAACCCCTTGAGGGTTCCATTTTCTGTCATTTGAAAATATACTATTTCTACTTCATATGATCACAGAGGAGACTGAATTTTAAAATGCTCAGTGATAGCTTTTAAATATCCCTTTATTCCCCAGTAAAACCCACAAGGCTATTAAACATTTTGAAGTTGCCTGGATTTTGCAATGAAGTACATTAATTAGCTACTCTCTGTACAAGGAAGTGGTTTCAAAGGGTGAATGGAAGAAAGCCTGAGTCAAGAGCTCGGAGAACACTGCGGCCCTGGCATCGTTACAACAATGACAAAAGAGTAGAACCTTCCTAAAGTAAATTAGAAAACTTCCCATGCTACCAGGTAGTTCTTTCATTTGTAAATGAGGAGTGGAATAATTAAAGAAAAATCACAACTGCATTCTTAGAATGTGAATTCACTGATTTGCCAACAGATACTTATTGATTATGCAATATGTACCAGGCATTATTCCGGGGACAAGTAGTAAGCAGGACAGACAGCTACTTTCTCTTATGAGTCTTCCACTCCAGTGCAGAAACAGAGATAATAAAGAAATAATGGGCTGGGTGCGGTGGCTCACGCCTGTAATCCCAGAAATTTGGGAGCTCGAGGCGGGTGGATCACCTGAGGTCAGGAGTTTGAGACCAGCCTGACCAATATGGTGAAACCCTGTCTCTACTAAAAATATAAAAATCAGACAGGTGTGATGGCGTGCGCCTGTAGTCCCAGCTACTCAGGAGGCTGAGACAGGATAATTGCTTGAACCAGGGAGGTGGAGGTTGCAGTGAGCCTAGATAGCAGCAATGCACTCCAGCCTGGGAGACGGAGCAAGACTCTGCCTCAAAAAAAAAAAAAAAAAAGAAAGAAAGAAAGAAAGAATGCAATAGTACATAAGAAATCATGGGTGTTATAATGAAAACAAAACAGTGTGATATCAGTTTAAATGACTGGGAAATTTCTTTAGGCTGGAAAGCAGGATAAAACTTTTATAAGGGGGTGCTCTTTGAACATCATCCTGAATGATAAAGAGACAGCCCTGTGAGCCTTGGGGAAGAGTGTGGCATCCAGTGGACAGAAGCCCTGAAGTGGGCATTCTAAAGTCATGGCTAATTGAAAAGTGGTCACTATTTGTCCCTGAATGTATTGCAATAGATACGCAGAAGGCAGATGTATTTTCACACATAGGGACAGGCACATGGACACCTCGGAAACTCAGATTTGGTGCACAGTTTCTGGTCCTGCCTAAGAAGACAAAGTGGTATGGGGTGTCTGTAAATAACACAATTTCATATGGCAGATGCCTTCATAGTCCCCAGTGAGGGACAGTGGTATGTGTTGTGATTAGGTGAGTTGGGCTTCCTGAAGGGGGTGAATTATTCTTTGTGTTTAGAAAGTGAAGGGCAGAGAGAAGCTGTGAAAGTCACTTGGGTCGAATGCGGACCAAAACTTGGCTATAGCAAGAGGCAAACAATGTTTGGGGGCCAGTGAGCACATAGGTTTGGCTGAAGTAGAGGGTTTCTGAGGGACTAAAGAGAAATGGCTGTAGTGGAAAGGGAAGGGGTGTTTGTGGAGGAGGTCCAAGGGTGAGCTGTGGCAGTTGGGTTTTATAGGACGAGTAGTGGAGAGCCTTGGTAGTGCTAAGAAATGGACTTTCTGAAGAGAGGAAGTCTAAAAATGTCCATCTCTCTGTGGGAGGATACTCACAGCTGTTCCCTGCCTCCGGCCCCTTGGCCACCCCCACTTCTTCCCCCACCACTCTGCCCAGTACGGACTCATTCCTCACTTGTCCAGTTTAATACACTTCTCCTTCCAGATGTAAGCAACCCCTTCCCTGAGTGCCCAGGTTTATAATGGGAAGGCTGCCATGACAACATAGCAGAAATAGACAATAGAATTTAAACCCATCCATGCTAGAAAAATCTATGGTTTCGAGTGTGTATAAATCAGTGGAAATCAGGGAGAAACCTCACCTCATGCTCAGGTCAGTCCTGGAAGGTAAACAAGTGTTCTCATCTGACAGAATACAAAGGATCCGAAACCAGCCTGGCAGTCAGCATCTGGTAGACATTGGTCAGGAATTGAGTTATTGCTTCTCAAGAAGAAAAGTTGCTTGGCCATATTGCTCACTTAAAAGCTGTTTTTGTTTTTGTTTTTTCCAAGACAGGGTCTCACTCTGTCGCCCAGGCTGGAGTGCAGTGGTGCAATCATAGCTCACTGTTGTCTCCAAATCCTAGGCTCAAGCAATCCCCCTCCCTCAGTCTCCTGAGGTGCTGGGACTACAAGTGCACGCCACCAGGTCCTGCTAATTTTTAAATGTTTTTGTAGAGACTGGGTCTTGCTATGTTGCCCAGGCTGGTCTTGAATTCCTGGCCTCTAGCTATTCTCCCACCTTGGCCTCTCAGAAGTGTTGGGATTACAGGTGTGAGCCACTATGTCCAGCTGAGAGCTGTGTTTTCTCATTTCTAGACTGCCTTGCATTTGTGCACCTTCCCTCTTTCTTATTATTAATCTGTCACCTGGTGATTATTCTTGCGTTGAAATTCAGTCCCGCCAAATTTCCAAAGCCCTGCCAACCTCAAGCAGAGACTAGAAGGGGTAACTGGGCCCTGTTACTTTACCTTTTTATCCATTTCCCTTTTAGTAGAGAGGTATTTAAGTCTCAAACCTGAAATTTGGGAAGAAAAAAATATTAATTAACTATAATTATCACTTTCCAGTCACTTTACAAATCCTATTTCTTTTCTCTGTCATTCATTCATAAAAATAAGTGGCTCACTTTTAAAATTCATTTGTCTTAGTTAGCAGCTTTATTCAGGAATTTGAAGGAGGGTTCTTAAAGAAGTGAGAAATGGCACATCAAAATTTCAGTTATTTTCCCATGCTTGCTGTGCAACTGTAGGTGACTGGTGATTCTTCAGTAAAGGGGAAGATACAACTTATGAAGGCTGCTGCGGTCTTCTTAGCAGCTATTGGGAGGGAAGTGTATGTCGTAAGTCTTAGCTATAATACTCATCTGTATATCTACATGATTATAATTAAGTAGCACATATTATACTAAATGATTACCAAAAGGAACATAAAATTGATTTCTGCTGATTTTTTAAAAAAGTAAACTCAAACGAAGTACATTCTATCTGAAAAGTACTGAATCATTTCATGTGAGGATTTTTGTTTTAATTCCCTGATAAGGCAAAATTACAAAGTAGGTTAGCTATATACTTCTCACATCTTCTTTAGGAGCCTTTGTCTTAGTTCGTTTTCTGTTGCTATAACAGAATGCCATAGACTGGGTTATTTATAAAGAAAATAAATTTAGTTCCGGAGGCTGGGTAGTCCGGGAGCATGGCACTGGCATCTGATGAGGACCTTCTTGCTGTATCCTAACATAGTGGAAGGGCAAATGAGCCAATGAGACAGAGAAAGGCTCCAGGAGCTGGGCTCACTTTATAACAACCCACTCTTGCAATAAAAAACCCATTCCCATGATAGTGACATTGGTTCATTCATGAGGGCTCTGTCCTCATGACCCAGTCACCTCTTATTAGAACCCACCTCCCAATACTGCTACATTGAGGATTAAGTTTCTAACACAAGTTTCTAACTTTTAGGAAACACATTCACACCTTAGCAGCTCTGCTTGTCAATGCTGAAATTTATTTTCTGTGCTGAGTGCTCTAATTCTGCCTAAATCCATCTGGACAGATAAATGATTCATTAATTATTTCAACAAATAGTTGGATGCATATTCTGAGCCAGGTGATCTGATAAACCAGTTCACCCAGAAGTGAATAGCAGTAACAAGTAATCTCTCTGAGGGCTATTTGATTTTTTTGGTTTTGTGTTTTGATTTTGTTTTTCTTATTTTAAAATTAAAATTAAAATTTTTATGGATACATAGTAGATATATATATTTATGTAGTACATGAGGTATTTTGATACAGGCATACAATGTGTAATAATCACACTAGGGTAAATGGGGTATTCTTCACCTCAAGCATTTATCATTTCTTTGTGTTACGAACATTCCAATTATACTCTTTTGTTTATTTTAAAATGTACAGTAAATTATTGTTGATTGTAAGCACCCTGTTGTGCTATCAAATACTAGATCTTATTAATTCCATCTAACTATATTTTTGTCCCCATTAACCATCCTCACTCCCCCACCCCCACTCCACTACCCTTCATACCTCTGGTAACCATCGTTCTACTTTCTATCTCTGTGAATTCAATTGTCTTAATTTTTAGCTTCCACAAATTAGGGATAACATGTGGAGTTTGACTATCTGTGTTTGGCTTATTTCACTTAATGTAATGTCCTCTAGTTCCATCCATGTTGTTGCAAATGACAGGATCTCATTTTTTTATGGCTTTTTATTCTTTTTTATAGTACTGCATTGTCATTATGTACCACATTTTCTTTATCCATTCATCTGTTGATGGACACTTAGGCTGCTTCCAAATTTTGGCTATTGTGGAGAGTTCTGCAGTAAACATGGGTGTACATATATCTCTTCAATATACTAATTTCTTTTGGATATATACCAGCAGTGGGATTGCTGGATCTTATGTTAGTTCTATTTTTAGTTTTTAGAGGAAGCTCCGAACTGTTCTCCTAAGTGGCTATACTAATTTACATTCCCACCAGCAGTGTATGAGGGTTCCCTTTTCTCCGCGCCCTTGACAGCATTTGTTACTGCCTATCTTTTGGATAAAAGCCATTTTAACTGGGATGAGATGATATCTCATTGCATTTTGATTTGCATTTCTCTGATGATCAATGATGTTGAGCAACTTTTCATATGCCTGTTTACCATCTGTATGTCTTCTTTTGAGAAATGCCTATTCAGATGCTTTGCCCACTTTTAATGGGATTATTAGATATTTTTTCTGTTGAGTTGTTTGAGCTCCTTATATATTTTGGTTATTAATCTTTTGTAAAATGGATACTTTGCAAATATTCTCTCCCATTCTGAGGGTTGTCTCTTCAGTTTGTTGACTGTTTCCTTTGCTGTGCAGAAGCTTTTTAACTTGATGTAATCTCATTTATCCATGTTTGCTTTGGTTACCTGTGCTTTTGAGTTATTACTCAATACATCTTTGCCTAGACCAATGTCCTGGAGAGTTCCCCCAATGTTTTCTTTTAGTAGTTTCATAGTTTGAGGTCATGGATTTAAGTCTTTAATTTATTTTGATTTGATTTTTGCATATAGTGGGAGATAGGGGTTTTAGTTTCATTCTTCTGCATATAGATATTGAGTTTTTCCAGCACCATTTATTGAAGAGACTGTTGTTTCCCCAATGTATGTTCTTGCTGATGTCTCCACACTTAAAACAAAAGATCAGTTTCTCAGAAATTATATACTTGGTTTATCTTCCACTTTCCCTCAGAACTAAAAGTCTTTTAGCACAGGTACCACCCCTAAAATTTCCAGTAAACCAGCACCAGCCAGAGGATCACGTTCTCATCAAAGGGTGGAAAGAAGGGAAACTCAAGCCAGACTGGGAAGGACCCTACCTTGTGCTGCTAACCACGGAGACTGCTGTTCGCACAGCGGAAAGGGAATGTACACATTACACCCGAGTCAAGAAAGCACCATTATCATCAGAATCATGGGCCATTGTTCCTGGATCAAGCCCTACCAAATTAAAGCTAAGAAAAGCTTAGTCTATCTATCTTTTCCTTTTCTTTCCTAACCCAGTGCCTGTATCCATTACTATTCCTACCACTAGCAACTCTAACCCCACTTTAGAGCGTTTCTATGGTTTAGGAGCAAAGGTCACTGGAAAGGATCCTATAGGCTTCTTTAAGATGCGCTTTGTTCTCCTTTCTCCACCTCCTACAACTGCCCCTTTCTCAAACCTACAAAATCAAACTATGCCTCGCCTCATGCCCAATGGCGAAACCAAGGTCTCAGTAGTACAAATAGGAGACCTAAGGCAAACCATAGCCATTAAAACAGGGTATAAAGATGTAAATGCCTGGTTAGAATGGATTAAATATTCCATTTGCACTTTAAACAACAGTGACTATTACACTTGTGCGCATGGTAGGCCAGAGGCCCAGGTTGTTCCCTTTCCACTAGGATGGTCCTCAAATCCAGCGGACATGGAGTGCACGGTAGCTTTCTTTCAAGATTCCACTGCCTGGAATAAAAAATTGTGCCAAGCTCTTTCTCTGCTATTTCCTGAAGTTCAACACCCTGCGGGTCAGCCCCCGAGGGCCATCCAGGCTCCATCTTCCAAGACCAATTTTACCTCATGTCTCCAACAACAAGAGGAAAATTTTCACGTTCCTTGGAGACTTAACAGCATGCAGTGAAGTCAGGCACTTCCAAGAGTTGACCCATCAGTCTGCCCTTATTCATCCCTGATTGGATGTGTGGTTGTATTATGGAGGACCTTCACTGGAAACTCTGCCAAATAATTAGAGCAGTACTTATGCTCTAATTCAATTGGCTATCCCTTTTACCCTGGCATTTCATCAACCAGAAAAAGAAGAAAAAGAAAAAAAAACACATAGCCTCAATTCTTACCTCTTTAACAACTATAATAAGTATACTCCTTCTTCTTAGGTGTTATGTTGTACCATACATCCAGGAGTTAATCAAAACAACTAAGTCAAGACTTGCTAAGCAAGTTTGAAACTATAAAGAGGAGGGAATTGTAGAAAGTAAAAAGTTTCCTCTTCAAAGTTTCCCTTCTTGTTAAATAATAAATCATAAGTGTTAGAAATAATAGTTTCTTTTAAAGACTAACTTTCTTCAAGCCTCCTTGCTTTGTTAAACCCTATTCTGTGTAACTGTTGGACATGCTCACAGGCACATTCCAGCTCACAGCCTATGCCCCTTCTTCATTTGGAAATGTTATTGCTTCCTTAAACTTTTCGTAAGCAACTTCTTTGTTCGTCCCTGCACTTACCTATTTAGGAAGTTTTAGGCTATTAGCAAATTGGGTATCAGTTTAAGAGTGTGAGGTTCCGCTCCAGCCAATGGATGCAGGACACAGCAGTAAGGACAACCCAAATGTGTAAGGGATAAATATGTCTGCTTTTCCTTTGTTCAGGTGTGCTTTCACCATTGGTCCATCTGCGATTGAGCAACCTTTCTGCAGAAAGTAAAGATTGCCTTGCTGAGAGATCTTTTGTCTCTGTGCTGACTTTTCTTCACAGCACTGATGATCAATTTCTAACAATTTTGGTATTTCTAACAAGACCTCTTAAAGGAGCCAGGCGCCAAGAGGAACATGAACTGGGGCTAACGAGGAACCCAGGGCCAGGGGACTTTTGGGGGTCTTTTTTGTCCTCCTTGTCTTTCTTTTCCTTTTTCTTCTTCTTCTTAATGACCCCAGAGTTGACAGCTTTGCCCACTCTCAGATCACCAGGTTCTGATAGTGTTTGTCATGTGGATGGTCCCATATAGACTGCCTGTTGGCAAAGTTGAAAAAATATTTGTCACCCCCCATGTCCTGGCATAGTTTCCACTCCCCAGGCAGTGGGGCCACAATGCCCTCCCATGCCAGCCACATCAGTTCTGTTTCCTTGATGGGATCAATACCAATCTCCAGGGCAAATTCAAGAATTTCTTCCTCACTTAAAATGTAGGTCTCATTATAATCCTCCTCCAGAACTAGCTGATCTCCTATGCAGAGGGGTGGGAGGGGTTGGTGAGGTCATCTAGCTATGACTCACCTGGGCTCGAACACTGGCTGTATGACCTTAGGCAAGGTGCTTCACCTCTCTCAGCCTCAATAACTGCAAGTGTATAATTGAAACAATCTTGACAATCTATGTCAAAAGCCCGCCAGACCCCCAGTCTGCTCAGGAGCCGGCGAAATTTCAAATGGGGGTACTGTTGAGGCACCGTTGCAGGCTGTGTTTTTCACTTCTTCCCTCAGTCCACGCCCACACTCTGGCACATTGTGTGCTGATTGGCTCACAAGCTTCCCTAAGCTACCCCGCCACTCTCCCTTCTCCACCGCCCAACCCCTACCTCGATGAGGTCCTCACCTATCCACCACCCCAGAAGGCTCTGGGTGAGGCTCCGGGCGAGGCACAGCGCCCCCAGTGCCACCCAACAGGCTCTTGCTCTGTTGCCCAGGCTGGAATGCAGTGATGTCATCACAGTCACAATAACTTTGAACTCCTGGGTTTCAGCGATCCTCCCGCTCCAGCCTCCTAGGTAGCTGAGAGTGTAGGCACAAGCCACCACACCCAGCTAATTTGTTTTTTTTTTTTTTTTTTTTGAGACTGAGTCTCGCTCTCTCGCCAAGCTGGAGTGCAGTGGCAGATGTCAGCTCACTGCAGCCTCTGCCTCCCAGGTTCAAGTGATTCTCCTGCCTCAGCCCCTCGAGTAGATGGGATTACAGGCACCTGCCACCACACCCAGTTACTTTTTTTTTTCTTTTTCTTTTTCCTTTTTTTTTTTTTTTTGAGACAGAGTCTCACTCTGTTGCTTGACTGGAGTGCATTGGCATGATCTCGGCTCACTGCAACCTCTGCTTCCCGGGTTCAAGCGATTCTCCTGCCTCAGCCTCCTGAGTAGCTGGGATTACAGGCGCATGCCACCACGCCCAGCTAATTTTTGTATTTTTTTTAGTATAGACGGGTTTTCACCATGTTGGCCAGGATGGTCTTGATCTCTTGACCTCGTGATCCGCCTGCCTTGGCCTTCCAAAGTGCTGGGATTACAGGCGTGAGCCACCGCGGCCGGCCATTTTTGTTGTTGTTGTTGTTGTTGTTGTTGTTGTTGTTGAGACAGTCTCATTCTGTTGCCCAAGCTGGAGTACGGTAGTGCCATCCCCGCTCACTGCAGCCTTTGCCTCATGGGTTCAAGTGATTCTCCTCCCTCAGCCTCCCAAGTAGCTGGGATTACAGGCACCTGCCACCACACCCAGCTAATTTTTTTTTTTTTTTTTTTTTTTTTTTTTTTGAGACAGAGTCCTGCTTTGTCATCAGGCTGGAGTGCAGTGGCGTGATCTTGGCTCACTGCAACCTCTGCCTCCCGGGTTCAAGTGATTCTCCTGCCTCAGCCTCCTGAGTAGGTGGGATTACAGTCACACGCCACCACGCCTAGCTAATTTTTGTATTTTTTTTTTAGTAGAGACAGGGTTTCACCCTGTTGGCCAGGATGGTCTTGGTCTCCTGACTTTATGATCCGCCCGCCTTGGCCCCCCAATGTGCTGGGATTACAGGCATGAGCCACTGCACCCGGTTTTTTTTTTTTTAGACAGAGTCTCACACTGTTGCCCAGGCTGGAGTGCAGTGGTACCATCCCAGCTCACCACAGCCTCCGCCTCCTGGGTTCAAGTGATTCTCCTGCCTCAGCCTCCCAAGTAGCTGGGATTACAGGCACCTGCCACCATGCCCAGCTAATTTTGTATTTTTAGTAGAGACGGGGTTTCACCATGTCAGGCAGGCTGGTCTCAAACTCCTGACCTCAGGTCTCAAACTCCTGACCGAGGTGCCCATCTCGGCCTCCCAAAGTGCTGGGATTACAGGCGTGAGCCACCATGCTTGGTCACATCCAGCTAATTTTTTTTTTTTTTTTTGAATGAGGCAATTTATTAACCCAGCATGGTTTGTTCTAATGCTTCTTGTTGGCAGCTGCCATCTGTCCGGCAATTCTGTCCAGATCTCTCTCTCCCTGAGGTTTCAGTTTGCATCTTGGTCCTTTTCCACCATTTTCAGCCCCTCCAGGGCTTGCAGGACCTGGCGGGCCACACTCTTGGAGCCTTAGCTGAAGTGGCTGGGCATGACGCTGTTTCTCTGACGGCCCTTGTAGATCTTGGTCATAGAGCCAACCCCAGCACCACCCAAGAGGTACAGGTGCCGCGCTGTAGAAGCAGCTCACGTGTAGAACCAGTTCTTATCGTAGGCAGCAAGCTCTCTGTGCTTGGCCGGCTTGATGGTGTCCACCCATTCGGTGACTTTCAGCTTCCCAGACTTTTTGAGAAAGGCTGCCAGAGCTCTGATGAACTCCTGCTGGTTCACGTCTTTTATACCCAGCTAATTTTTAAAAAAATGTTTGTAGACATGAGGTTTTCCTATGTTGCCCAGGCAGTTCTCAAATTCCTGGCCTCAAGTGATTCTCCTGCCTTGGCGTCCCAGAGTGCTGAGATTATAAGTGTGAGCCACCATGCCTGGCCAGTAATAATAATAATAACAACAATTATTATTATTATTTGAGAAGGAGTCTTGCTTTGTTAGCCAGGCTGGAGTGCAGTGGCATGATCTCAGCTCACTGCAACCTCCACCTCCCTGGTTCAAGCGATTCTTCTGCCAATTTTTGTATTTTTAGTAGAGATGAGGTTTCACCATATTGACCAGGCTGGTCTCGAGCTCCTGACCTCAGGTGATCCAGCCGCCTTGGCCTCCCAAAGTGCTGAAATTACAGATGTGAGCCACCACACCTGGCCCTAGTAATTATTTTATGGAATTATTTCCTAGCCTAGACTAAATGGCAGAAACTCTCATTTATTTTTTCTTAATAGGACATTCCTTGGCACCTAATAGGTAATCAGTATTTGTTGATTGGATGAATGGTTGTGACTGTTATCAGCAACCGGTGATACTGACTTTAAAATTATAAAACACACCCAACACGCATGTACATTCTCATGCTCCTCCATATCTGTAATCAAAATATTGACAATCCCCAGACACTGTATTCCTTATTTACTTCTTTCAGAAGTGGCTATGGAAGGCAACTTCAGGAGATTCCTGTGGGTCTTTGCTCCTCCTTCCTTACCCTGGAAAGAGTAGAGAATGAAATAAGGCCACTAAATGCTGGTCAGGGGGAAAATAAGCTGCTGTTTTGCAGATGCATGTAGATGAAGCTGTTGACCTGCAGTTTGAAGGATACTTATTTTCTGTTTTTTCTTGTAGTGTGCAGTCTTCCATATCTGTATATTGGCGAGGGTTTTCCTGGATTTTTCTCAGATATTTCTGAGTTTTGTGTTTTGTGCTTCTGGAGTATTAGAAATGGAGCACATCCTGTTTGATGAAGGCCAGTTATGGTATAATGCAAGCAAGTGGAGATACAGATATTACATCAAGTTCAGATAACTGAGATGAGTGACAGAGTAAAGACACCCTTGATTAAGCTTTCTCCACAAAAGTGTAACTCTTTGTTAAAATATTATAACCATCAGCTCATCCTTAATGAAGTACAGTTACACAGTTACTCGCTTATGGTGAAGACACCATGATTTAAAGAAATGCATCTATTCTGTCTTCTTAAATCTACAGTTTTCTAAAGGCCTACTCACTTTGTTTCCCCAGGAATTTATTTTCTGCACCATACTTCTCTCCTTCTGGCCAGAAGCAATTTGTAATCCTGGTTCTCTGACTTGACCCTGGGCAGCCTTCACTGAGAAGCCTTGGACTTTGACGTTCTTGGAGGTGGATCTAAGTTTGGGTTAAATCGTTCCGTCTGTATACTATAAAGATGACAACAATGGCAACGATAATAAAACGCCCAAAATACCTCCATAACTTTTTGTTTCAGGTACATAAGAAAAGTGTAGAAACTTATTGCCTCAACCTATTCTTTTCTCCCTACAGTCATAACACGTTTAAATGTTTTACGTTATCTTTCTAGGGGAAATCTAATCTCCCACTGCAATTTTTCTCACTGTTTATTTACATTTTTCAATACACACACACGTACATATGCATATACACACATATACACATATCACCACCACACAATAATAACAGAAATTCAATCTTTCCTGGCATTTTAAAGCTTTTAGTGTCCACATGACTTTTCAAGGTAGGAAGCATCTCTGAGAGGGAGAGAAACGGCTCTGGGACCAACTTCTGCTCCTGCCTATCAGCACCTTATCAGATACAGGCAGATTTTCTGAAATCTACAAAGTCAGCTTCCGTAGACTCCTAGTTCTTCTCTTCTGGTGACACCTTATTAGTTTAAGTCACTTCCACATTTTCTACATAAACATTCCCAGTGTTTGTGAAAAGTACAATTTTAAAAGCAAGCAGAGAAAGAAAAGTTCCACATCGCTGTCTCTAAAGAGGATGAGAGAATAGAAGAACATGAGCTTATAATCGTATGATTTAGACCCTTGACAAGCCCAAGTGAGTACTTCAAGGCACTGGCAGGCAGGGGCAACATGCTGATTAAACATGCTGCACTGAAGTCAGAGTTCTGCATAAATACTATTCTGTGTCACTGTTGATTTTCTCCTTTAGCACAACCGAAAATAAGTTGCTCTCACTGTGTCCATCATCTCACCTTGAATGGAATTTCCTTAGTGTACAGAATATCAGAAGTGGGACTGCCTTGCCCCTGCAAAATGGCGAAGTAGATAAAGTTTATTTTTGCTGCCATCTTACCTTCCCTCTGCTTGTACCCCAATTTCCTGGAGTTGTTCCTCAGGCTCTATCCCGTGTCCAATTCCCAAGGGCCTCCTTGCTGTCAGTTAATAATAGCTTTCAATGCTATTATTCTTCTCGGAGTTTTTGCATTTTAATAGGACCCCCAGGGATTAAAATGCCTCCAGAACCAGAAGACTGAATCTCTAATGGTGTAATTTTAGGTACCAGTGACAGGCATTGTGGGAGATTTCATGGGGAGGATTCTCTCAGAAGACAAACACCTCCCCCGACAGCTTTCGACTTGACTGACTTGGTATGGTTGACCCTACAAAGGAGTACAGGAATGTGAATTAATCAGCCATGAAATACTGAACGTTATTGCAAAGATAACCTTCAGCTTTGCTAATTATACTTTAATGTTTTAATCAACATTTCAGTAAATGAGTATGTGGTAATATTGGAGGTGTTTCCTGGCTGGGAAAATTATGCGGTATCTTAGAGAAAGTTCTCTGGAGTGACAGTGGAGTAGGGGTTGGAGTGGAGTTTTTGGGATGGAAATGCTTAGTAATCTGTGTTCCAGGTCTTAGCCCATTACTGAAGGAAGCAATCACATTGACACAGAAGAGAATCACCCGATTAACTCTTAGGTACAGGTGTGAAATAATAATAAACCCCATACTGAACTGTTGTTTTAGTATACGTTTTCCACATGGACAAAAAAAAAAAAAGAAGAAGAAGAAGCTGGGATATTCTTCTCACCATTGTTCAGCACAAGAGGGTGTCAGATTCCTGCACTTTATCTGGACTTCTCTATCGTTCTTTTTTTCTCCTGCTAAGTAAACAGTGGAGATTCATCCATTATTCAGCTATCAGAGACTCAGGATTTTCTGGTTGTGGAACTTGGGAATTCTTACACTTCTTTAAAACTGTGGAAAAATGTATTTCCAAAACTGCTGGAAAGGGAAATGGAGATATCAACCCCTACAATGTAATTAATCCTTGTGAGCTTCTCCCCCAGAGGGCTAACTTGAGTTTTTCTGTAGTGATGGGAATTTAGTTTTGTTTGTTTCTTTTTTTTTTTTTTTTTTTTGGTTGTCATTATTCACACTTAACTACGTGTGGCAAGTACTGTGGAGGAGAGAGATTGTTGTAAACAGGTTTGGGGGAGCACAGGAAGGAAGGGCTTTGAAACCATGCCCCGTGAGAAAATGCATAGAGCTGCTGCGCACCACTCTACCTTAAAGCTGGTAAACACACAGCCCTCCCCACAAGCCAAATGTTACGAATTCTATTTTTATAGCTCTTGGAAGGCTTTCTGCAATCTTTTCCACGTTGAATGCTGCAGTTAAAAGATAACTTTAGGAGAGATTTTCCAGATCAAAAGTCGCAGTTATAAGAATATTGAAAACAATGTAAAATCTTGTGCATGCAAATATTCATTTTATTGCTTTCAACTTTTGAATCAAGGAGGCACAGCAAATGACCCCTTTAAGCAGGGGAGTCATTACACCCTCACATTTTCTGAAAGATTTCTTGTGGGTCAATTGCAAAGCACTATTGGAGTATAATAGTGCAAGGCACTATTGGAGTATTTACTATTTTGTAAATTGCAAAGCACTATTGGAGTGTGCCTTCATTAGAATATGGAAAAGTTATTCTTGTGAATTTAATCATAATCTGCATCAATTTGAGTAATACATTATTAAATGCAGTAGAGAGTGCTCAGAATAGAAAATGGTGGATTATTTTGAGCCTGCATTGGTGAACAAAGAAAAGGAAGCTTACTCCTTTCCTCTGTTTTTTAATTCTTTGATAAAGTGATTACTGTTAAGAGTAGTGGATTGCTATAAACTTGATGTAATCATGATTTAATAAATCATTTGAAAAATTCTCTCATGGTAGCATGTGAGTGTTCAAGTGGAAATAATGACAATAATGACAGCTGACACCCAGGAAGCATTTGTTATATGTAGGGAGAAATGTCAAAAGAAGAAATCTAGTTAGAAAGATCCATAGCTTGTGAACAACCATATATCGAAAGTCACCAATATTATCCCAAAGAGCAGAGGTTCTCAGGGGAATGTTACAGGGCTTCATATCTTTCAAAATATTTATTAATGACTGCATGAAGACAAAGAAGACACTTGTGGAAACCCAGGTGGAATAGCCACCAAGATTGATGAAACTACCAACATTTAATGTAGAATCCAATGAAAACAAATATCTGAGCACTCACAATTTAGATCCTCGGGAGTGGGTACATATCATATTGGGGATTCTACAATTTTAACTGGGAGATCCACGCATAAACAACTAAAATAAGACGCAATTAACAAGATGCACATTTAAGCCTGCATTTGAATCCCTGTTCTAACACTAATTCGTACAATCTTGAGCTAGTTACACTTAGTCTCTAAAATTCTCAATGTTCTTATCTAGAAAATGGGATAATATTAGTACCTAGAATAGAACTTGATAGGATAGGACATGTCAAATAATTAGCATAGTAGCACCCAATACCTTTTAGCTATTATTACTGTCATCATAGTTGTTATTAAGAATAATAAATATGGATAATAAACACGGCCAGCATGGTGGCTTATGCCTGCAGTCTAGCACTTTGGGAGTCCAAGTGAGAAGGATTGCTTGAGGTCAGGAATTCGATACCAGCCTGGGCAACGTAGTGAGACTCTGTCTCTAAAATAATAACAATAATAAATACTATAGTAGAGTTATCTAGTCTTTGTAGGAAACTGCACATTTAATCAAGATAATCATGAATTTTAACATTTAAACAATCAGTTGTGCAAGAAAGGATTGGGAAATTTTGGCTTAACAAATGTGCGTGTGAAACAGAGTGAAGGTTTTTGTTAAAAATCAAGCTTTGCTTTAATCAGTGGTGTGAATGAGCTATTGAAAAAGATAATGGCTAAATGGATAAAAGCATATTGCCCAGGTTGGCAAAGTTGAGAATGCCTTAGTATTCTAAAATAGTCAGATCCTATATGAAGGACCGGGCCCAGTTCTGAATAGCTGACTCTTTGAGCTGGACGCGTTAGAGATGCCTCTAGAGTCTTGAGGGAGGTGATAAAGGATACGGTTAAGGGCACAGAAAAAAGCTTCGGAAGGGACTGGGTAACTGCTTTCAATGGGTTTTCAGGCATCTCAGTGATCACACACATCAATTTTATTTATTTATGTATTTATTTATTTTTTGAGACAGAGTCTCACTCTGTCACCCAGACTGGAGTGCAGTGGCTCCCTCATGGCTCACTGTAGCTTTGACCCCCCAGGCAGGCTCAAGCAGTCCTCCCACCTCAGCCTCCCAAGTAGCTGGGATTACAGGCATGTGCCACCACACCCAGCTAATTTTTTTTGTATCTTTAGGAGAGATGGGGTTTCACCATGTTGGCCAGGCTGGTCTTGAACTCCTGACCTTGTGATCTTGTTTCTTTTTTATAGAGGTGGGCTCTTACCATGTTGCCCAGGCTAGTCTTGAACTTCTGAGCTCAAGCAATTCTCCTGCCTTGGCATCCCAAAGTGCTGGAACACTCGTTGATTTTAATTTATAAAGGTGACTGAGCAGCTAATGTGATGGAAAGATTTTTGTTGCTTCTAATTCCCAAGAGGAAGGGCATGGCAGGCCACCCAGGGCCACATGGGGGAAGGCCAGTGTTGGACAGGAGGTGGAGAGGAGTGAGGAGAGAGATTGGGCCAGTCTTCATTGTGTTTTCTGTGGAACAGGTGTGGCAGGGCAGGGGAAACAGCTTAAGATTGGCTAGTTTGAATGACGCCAGTGGGTTTAGGGGCAGAGGGGCTGTCCCTAGTTGTCTGGTATCTGGTCCTGTGTTGATTTCGGACAGGGGAAGTATTGGCCTGGTATATGTTAGATACAGGAGGTAGTTGGAATATAGGCTTTGGATTGGCTGGTTTGTGTATGAAAAGCACTCACACAGACCAGTCATTTATCGTCTTAGGAATTAGCTAGCCCCGAGGAGGGGGTCAGTTTCTTTTACCCAACTAGATCCCCCAAGAGGTCAAAACATCATAAAATATAAAAACTAAAAACTATGATTAATACATCAGGGTACAAGCTGTAGCTCTAGGGGAAGAACCAGGAACTATGGGGAGAAGTCCTAGAGAGGCAGATTTTAGGGAAAAAGGAAAATAAATCTTTCTGTGAAACAGGGCTATTGGAAAGTGGAAAGAATGTCTTTGTGACACCAAGAATGCCTGAACTCAGATATATTCTGGGATGGCATAACCAGGTTGCTTTATGTCGTAGATGGGATTCCTTCAAGGACTGGGAGGTTGGAATAAGGTCCAACTCAAAGATTCCATTATTCGATGGCTGATGGCAGGCCTAGAAGGAAATCGGATGCCCATTGCTTCTCTTCATGTACTACTTCTTAACTTCTTGGGATTAGAACCAACTTAGAAAGATTAAAATTCAGCACCGGGAATAAATGACATTTTTATATATAGTTGTAATAACTGGGGCTCTGATGGGAAGGACTGGAAATCAGCCACTGGAAAAAAGAACCCCTATTTTAGTGCCAGTTAAGTGGGAGCCAAGTGGCCAGACGCCTACAGTAAAAACAATGGGCTGATCTTGAGTTCTCCTGAGAAACTACAAACTGTAAGGTTTTTATTGGCAAAGTCTTTCTATGAAGTCATTCTTCCACTAGAAATATATTGAGCTCTGGCTTGGCCCTGACCACTAGGGACTTTACTGTGTGTTAGGACCATTTTTTAAGAACCGGCCTTCTTTTTTTTTTTTTTTTAAATGGTTATCATTTTAAGTCTGTGCTTCCATTAAGTATTAAAAGATGCTAATGGATGGTAAGATTCTCAGTTTCCTCTTCTTAAACAGGAAGGAACTATACGAGAATTATCTAAAGGTTTCCTTCTGATTCTAAAATTCTTTGATTTTGTGACGATATTCTCTGTTGACTCTCAAAACTCTATTCCTTGAATTGACTCTACTTGCATGAACTACGCACTGTTGTTGACAGTATACTGTGTGCCTGTCTAGTGTTATTCTAGGCATTTCCATTTGTTATCAGATAGGTAGGGTTGCTCTTATTTTAGAGCCAAAGAAGCAGAGACTCATATTAGTAACTTGTCCAAAATCAAGGAGCTAACAAAGGGGAAGATTAGGGAAGACTAAGTCTCTCTAACTCTTCCTGTCCTATTGCAGAGTTCCATATTACAATGATGAGCGTCAGAAGCTGTCAGAAAATGATGTTGGGAATGCCATTCTTTGTTAGACAGTAAAGCCACTGCCTCTGGCTTGGAAGTATTGATCACTGCATCTGAGATTTGAGAATTGAAGGCGGTTAACTATGGTCCCACTTGCCCCTCTCTCCAGATGAGAGTTTGTTTTTTTCTGGTAAAGGTGTGGAGGGGAGAGAGACAAGAGAACAGACGCATTTAAAAATCATGGAAATATTTTGATGTTTCTTTCATTTACTTATTTCTTTTTGTCCCAAGTTTAATATCAGTTTCTGTTTGTTCCAATTCTACTTAAGGCAAGAAGAAAATTCCCTTTTACTTCTAAAATTCTGTTAATTTTTTCTTTGATATTTCTTTTAAAAATTTTTAAATAATTTTCATGGGTACATAGGTGTATATATTTGTGGGGTGCATGAGATATTTTGATACAGACATACGATGTGTAATAATCACATCAGGGTAAATGGGGTATCTGTCACCTCAAGTATCGATTATTTCTTTGTGTTGCAAATATTCCAGTTATGCTCTTCTGTTTTGATATGCAAAGACAGATACCTGCCTTGCTTTTAAAATCCATCTGCGCTCAGGATGCCTTTCAAATTGGTCATTTTAAGGTAATAAAGGCTGTTTGAGAATCCTGGACATTCAGTACTCACTTGGGGCACTTGAACTCTTATCCAGTCCTAGCAAACAGGCTATTTCCATCTGGATGGCCTCTAAATTCTCATGGGAAATATATCAGATTATTTTCTTTCTCAGATACAGGTTTCTGGATCTCCATTTATTTTTGTCAATCACATGGTCACCATAACTGAAAGCGTCATTTAACGTGTTATTGCTATGAAAAACCTCAACTTTATTTATTTTAAAATGAACACATCAACTATGTCAGGTACGGTGCTTTGTAATGCACAAAAAAATCAGGAGTGGGAGGTTCATTTATAAGTTTGTGACATTTAGGCTCAAGCATCTGTTGGGACTTTGAATTGTCTGGAAAATAGATACTAACCAATGAGACTAAACAGTTTGTGTGGCCATCTGTTCAGAATTAAAACATGGAGGAGGAAATTAGATTAATCATTCTACAATTTGGGGAATTCAGTATGAAGATCTGCTTTTACTGTGAATGCCTCTATTTTTAAGCATTTGAATGAAAGTTTTTCTACATCTGGCTTCCACTATATATTTGTGAAAATGAACTTTAAGCTGTGTGTGTGCGTATGTTTGTGGCATGTGGTATGTGGCACATGAGTAACAATTTTGGGGATGTGGTGGGGGCAGGTGAGACAATTAGCCAAGTGGCTAGGCATATCATAGGCTTTAAAGTTAGATAACTTTTGGGTAAGAATACCTTACTTTTCTCAACTGTACAAGGGAGTAATAAAATTATTTATTTCATAAGGTCTTATGAGGATTACTTAAGATAATTATTGCATGTAAAGTACTTAGTATAATCCCTAGCACATGGTAAACATGCACTAAATATTAGTCACTATTCTGTGTCTACATGTATCATCATCATCATCACTATTATCACCTTTGTCCTCTTATTTCAAAATACAAAATGAATTTTACACCCTTCAAAAATAGCTTTCTTTAGGTTTATTTTCTAATAGGTATTTACTGCATTAGAAACAAATTAAATGGTGTGTGTGTGTGAGTGTGTGAGTATGAGCATAAGTATTAGTGTGTAAAAGTGCTGATGAATGTATGTGTGTGTGTATGTGTGTGTTTTAGTGGATCCAATCTTTAAAAACTCCGATCCACTTAAATTAATTGCTTCATTTGCAGAACTAATGCCTCGTATTAACAGAGAATGACTCCTTTCCCCCTTTTAAATATACAGATACACTGTCGAATATGTTGTTACACTCCATGTTAAAATAGTGACTAATATACAAGGGGCCAATTTAGTAGGAACTCTTAATCATGACTTCCTGCAACTGGGCCCCTGATGGAAGTATATAATTATGGGTCAGAAATTGTAAATAACAGAACACTGGAAAATTGCATGTAGGCCAATGCCAATAGAAATCAGCCCCCAAGCTCCTTTCAATATAGAGTTTAAGAAATTGAAGCTATCTTAGGTATAATCTTGCTTCATCTTTGTCTCTCCTCTTCCACTTTTTTTGGACTCCCAGTTCAATCTCACCATCCCCAACCAACAGTTCATAATGGCCAGAACCCACCATCCCTCCCTCCCTTCCTCCTCCCTCTCTCCCTCCTTCCCTTCCTCCCTCTCTCCTTCCCTTCCTTCCTTCTTTCCTCCCTCATCCCCTCTCTCCTTCCCTCCTTTCCTATCCCTTTTTCTCTTTCCTCTATTGCCCTTTTTTCCCCAGTATATCAACTGGGCATATACTATGTGTCAAGTCTTGTGGTAGATTAAGTGGTGAATAGCACAGACATTTTATTTGCTTTCATGAAATTTACAGAGCAGACATTAAAAAAATGCACACATAATTAATGTTAACGTTTATGACAATGAAAGAGAAGTTCACAGTGTGTGAGAGTTTGTAACAGGGGACTAACTTGTGTTATAGTGGATGGGCAAGAAAAATCATTATGGCAGGATTACATCTGAGCTTGATGGTGAAAGAGGAGTTCACTAAGTGAAGCGGGGGGCAGGTGTTTTCATTAGAAGGAATAGCACAACTTATCTGAAGGCCCCAAAACAGGAAAAGTCACAGACAGCGGGGAACGGAGTCTGGAAAGAAAACAGCTGGAAGAAGAGCAGCTTGGGGTTTTTGTCTTTCTTCTAAGAAAAGTGAATGGCAATGGAATGATCTTCAAAATAACAGTGTTGAAATATTGTATTTCAAACATAATGAAAATTATACAGTGTAATAAACAAAGGTATGTATGCACAGTAAATAACTTCAGGTCAGTGATTTATCTTGTTTATGATGTTTATTGACATACAATAGGCTTTAACTTTTAATTTAGTGAAAGGATGCCATGTTTTCATTTCTGGTTTGTATTTTTCATTGTCTAGTTTAGGAAATCATTACCCAAGATGCTATTCTAAGTTGTTTCCCATATTGTTTTCTAAATCTTTAAGAGTCCGATACTTCACTTTTAGGTCTTGAATCTAACTGAATTTATTTTGGGGTATGGATGTAATTTTACTCCATTTTCCTTATGAATCATCAATTGTTCTAGTACCATTTGAGTTTTTCATTCTTTCTCCTTCTCTTAATTTATATTGTCACCTTTTCTATATGTCTAGTTTTCATATATGTGTGGTTCTCTTTCTGTACTCTCTGTTCTCTTCCATGGGTTTACTTGTAGGTCTCACTACTATAGAACATGTAACTTCATAAAATGTCTTGGTATTTTACATCATAAGTTGTTGTTTGTTCTAGCTCTTGACGTTTGTTCTCCATATGAGTTTAAGGAGCAGCTTGTCAATGAAAACCTCTTTGGGGCTTTTAATCAGAATGGCTTTAAATTTATAGATTAATTTTTAAAGAACTGATATCTTTACTCTGAGTTTTTCTCTCTATAAATATAGTTGCTCTCTCATTTATTCCAAAATTCTTGTATGTCTGTTAATAATTATTTTTTATTAAGTTCTTTATATTTTTGTTTTTTGGATTAATACCAGGTATTTCTAATTTTGATAGAAAATTTCTGTGGGAATTAAAAAATTATATTTTCTATTACATTTTAAGTGGCTATCACTGGTGTGAACTTAAATGATGCTGACTTTGTATCTAGTGCCTTACTGTACTCTTATATATTCAAACAATTTGTAAGTTTTTAAAAATATTAGTTCCTCTACTAATAGCCAAGTAAGCTCATATCAGGCTGAGATTTCACCTTTAATAACTATACACATTGAACAGACAAACAAAAGAGAAGGAAAATTAAAGGAAAAAGAGAAAACAGAGGTGGCACTGGAAGGTGAACCAAAGTAGGAATATTATGAAAGGGAGTTAATGCTTGAAAGAAGGCAATGACTCTAGATGAGTGCCTCATTTTTAGGCACTGAAATGCCTCAGGGGATTCTGCAGCATGTGAGGCAGCTAAAATTCCAAGAGGAAATCTATAGTATTTCTGGCATGAAGAACCAGAGGAAAAATTTAGGCAACAACAGTCTCTGGAAAGTTAAGGAGGAATCTCAGAGAGCAGAGAGCCAGAAAGGGAATCTCCAAATTGTTTGCATAAACTCTGCCCAAATCTTGGTTAACACTTGAGCCATATTATATGTGAGGCAGACTCTGAGAAGCTCAACTAACAATACAAAAAGTGAACTGAGATTTGAGTTGCTATCAAACACACAGAGTTTTTACCTTGTAAAACAAACAAAATCCATATTCTTTGAAGGACTAATGATAAAACCCAGAGATTCCATAACTTAATATTCACAATGTCCAGGATAAAATCCAGTGTTATCTGACTGCAAAGATTCAGGTATATGTGACCCATTCTCTAAGAAAAGAAAATCAACAAGGACCATTCCTGGCTCTTGAAATTATCAGGCAAACTGTATAAAACAGCAACTATAAAAATGCTCAATGCTGTAAAAGAAAATATGCGCAGAATGGACAAAGGCAGAGGAAATTTCAGCAGAAGAATAAGAATTCAGAAATATGGAAATTCTAGAACTAAAAAATCAAATATATTAAAAACTCACTAGATAGTCTTAACAATTGAATGGAGATGACAGGAAATTATAGTTATCTTAATGATTGATCAATAGAAACTATGCAACATGAAGAACAGAGAGAAAAGAGAAAAAATGAACAGAGCCCCAGAGAACTGTGAAGAAAGAATGATATGTAACATATGCATAACTGGGGTCCCAGAGGTAGAGAAGAGAGATAATGGACAGAAAACATTATTTAAAGACAATGTGCTGGGCGTGTTTGCTCACTTTGGGAGGCTGAGATGGGTGGATTGCTTGAGCTCAGAAGTTCAATACCAGGCCTGGGCAACATGGCAAGACCCAGTCCCTACCAAAATTACAAAAAAATTAGCCAGGCAAGGCAGTGCATGTCTGTAGTCCCAGTTACTCAGGAGGCTGAGGTGGGAGAATCACCTGAGCCTGGGAGGTCGAGGCTGTAGTGAGCTGTGATCCCTCTGGGTGACAGAGATCCTGTCTCAAAAAAAAAAAAAGAAGTCATGATGCTAGAAAGGTTTCCAAATTTGATAAAACATACAAATTTACAGACTCAAGAATTTCAATAAATCCCAAGTAGGATAAATTGACAGAAAAACATGCCTAAGCACATCATGGTCAAACTGATGAAAATCAAAGATGAAGGGAAAGTCTTGAAAACAGAGAAAAATGATACATTGCCTATAGGAAGCAATCATTCAAATGACTGGTGACTTTATCAAACAACAGAGTCCAAAAGTTGGTGAAATAACATATGTAAGGTGCTGAAAGAAAACAAAAAAAATCTGTCAACCCAGATTCTATATCCAGAGAAAACAATAGGAGTAATAACAACACTAAAACTTCTTCAGATGAAAGAAATGAAGTTTATTGCCAGCAGAACTAGCAATGCTGAATTTCAAGAAATGTTTCAGTTATAAAAATGCTAAAGGAAGTTTGTCATGCTTAAAGGAAATGATACCAGATCTTTCTGAAGGAGAGAAGAACATGAGAAATAGTTAAAATAATAGATAAATTTCCAAGTCTATATTTTCCTCCTAATTACTTGAAAGTACATATTCTTATTTAAGGCATAAATTATAAGAATGACTTGTGCTGTTTATAAATCCATATATATATATATAACAACTATAGGATCAAAGCTGAAGATTGTCAATGTACCTACATTATTGCAAAATTTCTGTATTGAAAGAGTTACAATAATAACTCTAGTCTTTTAGACTTCCTCTGTGAGCAATTATAGCACCTACAAATAAAGGCAAAGTTTGTCTTTTTCTTTCTAATTTTCATAGTATTTATTTTCCTGTCCTATTGCATTGAGTAGGGCATTCAATATAGTGTTAAATACAAATTGTAACTAGAAAGTTCTTGACTTGAATAAAAATTTTCTAAATTTCAAATCTAAGTGCAACATTTGTGTAGGTTTGTAGCGAGGTATTTTAGTTTAAGAATTGTCCTATTCCTATCTAGTTTTCAAATATATTTTAATAATAAAAATATGTTGAATTTCATCTAGTGTTTTTTTGTTTTGTTTCGGTTTGTTTGTTTTTGAGACAGAGTCTGGCTCTGTTGCCCAGGCTGGAGTGCAGTGGTGCAATCTTGGCTCACTGCAACCTCCCCCTCCCGGGTTCAAGGGATTCTACTTGCTTCAGCCTCCCGAGTAGCTGGGATTACAGGTGCCCACCACTACACCCAGCTAATTTTTGTATTTTTAGTAGAGATGGGGTTTTACCATATTGGCCAGGCTGGTCTCGAACTCCTGACCTCAAATGATCCACTACATGGTGTATGGTGTATTACTTTTACAAACATGTAAATTTGGTTTGCTTTTTAAAAATTAATTTTTAAGGATTTTTGCATGTATGTACATACACAAGATTTATCTGTAACTTTCTTCTATGGTATTGATCCTGTCTCTTTTGAGTATCAAGGTTTTAACTAATACCCCCAAAAGGTACCTTTTTCTTCTCTTCCAACTTAGAAACAGTAAAAGAGAAATTATCTATTCCACCAATGTTTGGTAAAACTCTCCTTTAAAATTCTCTGGGTCTGATGACTCTTAGAGATGAAGATTTGACTACTAATTTAATTTTAAAATAGATTATTGATTTATTCAGTTATAAATTTCTTCTATAGTCAATATTGGTGATATGGTTTGGATCTGTGTCCCCACCAAATCTCATGTTGAAATATAATCTCCAGTGTTGGAGGTGGGGCCTGGTGGGAGGTGATTGGCTCATGGGGGAAGAGTTCCCATGAATGGTTTAGTTTTAGGTGTTTATAGCAACACAAGAACAGCCAAATACAATTGGTAATTTTATTTTCTAAAAGGTTATTTTATCAAGTTTTAAAATTTATTTTTATAAAATTGTTTAGTGAATTCTTTCAATTAAAATTTTTATGCCTATAATCATGGCCTCCTTTTATTCTTAATATTATTAATATATATTTTCTAATTTTTTCTTAACCAGTCTTTCAAGTGATTTGTCATGATCATTTTAAAATAGTCAGCTTTAGATTACCTTATGTTACATTTTTGCTATTATTTTATTTCTTATCTTTATTATTTCCTCCTCCTTCTTATATATAGTCTTCCCACCAAGCATCCAAGTTGAATGCTTAATGCTTAACCTATCTATGTTTCATCTTACATATTTTATACATTAATACATTTAACATTATAATTTTGTACTTAAATATTTTTATGGCTTCATAATTTTTCATATGTAGTTAATTCATTATTATTGTTTAGTTCTAAACAGTACTCATTTTTATTGTGAATTTCTGTTTTACTTATGAGTTAATTTACTTATGAGTTTACTTATGAGTTAATATGTGTTTCTAATCACATATTTTTTGGTTCCATCTTTGTATATTTTTACAAAATTTGATTACATTTTGATGAGAAAATGTGGTTTATATTATACTAAATCTTTGATCTTCATTGAGATGTCCTTTGTAACCTAAGATATCACTATTAAAAATATTTGACATAAAAATAATGTATATTGCTAATTCTTTGAGTGCAGAATTATATACAACCATTTCTTTCTATCCCCCTTCTGTCTCTTCTTACTCTTTTTTTCTTAATTCATAGTTTGCCTGGTATTAACATTGCTGTAATAGGTTTGTCTTTAACATGTGTGTTTCCGTGGCATATTATTTCTCCTTTATGTTTAATCCTGTAAGATATTTTGTTTTAGATGTTCTCATACAAGTAGCATATAGCAGGAGTTTTTATTTTATTTTATTTATTTTCAAAAACAGGGTCTTAACTATTTGCCCAGGTTGGAGTGCAGTGGTGTGATCATAGCTCAGTATCCTCTACCTCCTGGGCTCAAGCTATCCTCCTGCCTTATCCTCCTGAACAGCTAAGACACAGCTGTGCACCACCACACACAACTAATTTTTAATTTTTTGTAGGGAAGGAGTCTTGCTGTGTCTCCTAGTCTGGTGTTGAACTCCTAGCCTCAAGGGATCCTCCTGTCTTGGCCTCCCAAAGTGCTGGGATTATAAGTGTGAGCCACCACCTCTGGCCTATTTTTAAAATCATTGGATAATCTCTACCTTTGAATATATGGATAAATACTTTTACATTTAATGTACTTACTGATACATTTTTTACCACTCTATTTTGAATTTTTTCTTTTTCTTTTCTTTTCTTTTTTTTTTTTTTTTTTTTGAGATAGTCTTCGTTCTGTAACCCAGGCTGGAGTGCACTGATGCAATCTCAACTCACTGTAACCTCTGCCTCTGGGTTCAAGTGATTTTCCTGCTTCAGCCTCCTGAGTAGCTGGGATTACAGGCACGCACCACCATGCCCAGCTAATTTTTGTATTTTTAGTGGAGACAGGGTTTCACCATGTTGGCCAGGTTGGTCTCAAATTCCTGACATCAAGTGATCCCCCTGCCTCAGCCTCCCAAAGTGCTGGGATTACAGGCATGAGCCACCGCACCCAGCTTGAATTTTCTTTATACCATCTTTATCTGCCTTTTTGTTTTCACTTTTCAGCTCTCTATTGGATGGACAAAGTTTTCTAGAGTTCCCCCTTTTAATCTGTACTGATTTGGAAGCTACACATTGTGTTTCCATTTTTCAGTTATTTTTAACTTCTTAACCAACACCCTTAGCTGTACATTTTTCTGTTTCCATTTTTCGGTTTTTTAACTTTTTAACCAACACCATTAGCTGTACATTTTTCTAACATAGTATTTCCTTCCTGCCCCTGAATGTGACATGGGCACATATCAACCATCCATGGATTATTGTATCCATCTTAGCATTCTTTTTAGTTTCTTTTTTAAAAAATATTTTTTTTCACTTAAATACGTTTACTAAAACTTGTTACCTTTTTTCCTAATCACCTTTACTTTTAAAATTCTATATACATATATCTCTGAGCTTACTTTTTTTCCCCCTGAAATAATCCTTTAATTATTTTCTTAGTGAGGGTCTATGGGTATTTAACTCTTGATTTTTCTAAACACAGATTCCACCCCCCATTAGTCTTGAGTTGATAGTTTATCTGTGTATAAAACTTCAGGTTGAGAGTTACAAATTTTTCTTATCAGGTTGAAGATATAATTTCATTGTCTTCCATCATTTATTGTTGCTCATGAGAAGTTCCAATGTTGTTCTAACTGTAGTTCCTTTGCAGATAATCTGTCTTTTCTCTCTGGTAGCTGTAAACATTTTATTTTTATTCCTCATGTTCTGCAGTTTTACTGTGACAATTCTGGGAATGGCTTTACTATTATTTATCCTGATGGGTAGTTGGGGTGTACTGTCCATTTAAGGATTCATGTCTTTTTTCAAATCTGGAAAATTTTAAATTCTGAATAGTGCTTTTTCACTATTTTGTCTGTTTCCTTGTTGGAGAATTCCTGTTGGACACTTAAATCCTCTCAGTCATTCTCTGTGGATGTTAATGTGTGTCATCTTTCTGCACTGTGTTCGGGGCAGATTTCTAGCAGTTCTCTGCTTCTCTCTGTCTCAGATCTGGGCATATATCATTCATTGAAGGTTTTTTTTTTTTTAACTCAATGCCTTCATTTTTTTTCATTTATATCTGCTTTTATTTTAATCTCTCACACTTTTAAAATGGAAGTTATTCATTTATCTCATTGGGCGACTGAACATACCTATTTTAAAGTGTTGCCAGCTGGATCCACACACTTAATTTCCTCTGAGGCGTATTCATGTTTTGAAGGTTGATTTTGCTGGCTGTCTTTCTCAGTATTCGATTTCTTCTTCTGTTTTGGAATTTTGCTTTGCAGGCTTATTTTGAGTGGGATGCTTCTGTTTTTGTTTTTCTTCTTTCTGTGTTCACCTCTCCTGGGCCGGGGGTTTTGTGGTCACCTTTGTGCAGCTGTTCAGGACTCCCTGCCCTAAACCTGGCAGTGCTGCAGTGCTCCTGTCCCACAGTGGCTTTGGGGATATACTGTGGCTTCCTTCCTGTCTTGATCGGACACTGTGTTTCAGTCTTCTTTTTCCTTCCTAGGTTTGCAGCTTATTCAAAACTCTAGCTCCCAGGGAAGGGTTAGCCACAGCTTTTAGTTTGTTTTATGGGTGGGTATTGGGAGCGGGGGTGGGAGCTGGTGAGTGATGCTAGTCTCAGACTCTTGAGTGGAGTAATTGTATCCTTTTTACCCCACTGGAATCAAACTGCAGACTGCCACAGCCTCCTTCCAGAACAGCCGTCCAGCAGGCCCCCGGCTCCAGCAGAGCCCACTGACTTGCGTTTCTCTTTTGTTTCTGGTTCATGGGGAGATTTATCTTGTTATTTGAGTCTCATTATGCTTTCAGTGTTGTGTTTCTATTTAATCTATTTTTTTTTCCTCTGTATTTGGACTGGGGGAGACATGTCCCATAAATAGGTCTTAATTAGGAAATGTCATAAATAGAATTATGTTTTAGAAAGAGCTCTCTGGGCTGGGTGCCATGGCTCACACCTGTAATTCAAACACTTGGGAGGCTGAGATGGGAGGATTGATTGAGGTCAGGAGTTTGAGACCACCCTGGGTAACACAGTGAGACCCTCGACTCTACAAAAATTTTTAAAGAAATAGCTGGGCATGGAGGCATGCACTGTCCCAGCTACTCAGAAAGCTGAGGTGGGAGGATTGCTTGAGCCAAGGAGTTCGCAGCTGCAGTTGAGTGATATTTGTGCCTCTGCACTCCAGCCTGGGCAACAGAGCGAGACCCTGTCTGTAAATTTAAAAAAGAAAAAAAAAGGTGGCAGAACAGTTTCCCCTCTAATTTACTACAAAATTCCAAATCTTTACCAGCTGAGAAACAATTACTACTCCCCTGGGTAGGAATTTCCTTTGTGGGCTGGTTCAGGGCACGGTTTCCAGGACCAGTTGGCTGGTAAGGCGGATCTCTCCCCAGCTGTCTCCCTCAGCAGGGGATTCAGGGAAGGAGGCCAGTTGTGGCTCCGAGCCAAAAATGGAGTGCCCGCTTTCTCAGAATCAGGCATCAGCCATGGCAAAACTTCCCCAGTGGTGACCAAAATAGCTTCCCTAGAGGCGTATCTTTTCTGCTTTTCTCTGTTTCAGGTAAGAAAGGCTCAGAAAAGGGAGAGAAGGCAGAGCCAGTCATGACACAGAGCCTCAACAGAGGCTGGTCTCCAGCATCAGGCACTGATGACATTCACTGAGCCACAGCCCATGCCCAGAAGGTTTCCGACGTTCACATAGACCACAGGCCTTCTCCAGAAGTAAGCACCAACAGGGGCTACAAGATCACTGACAAAGAAATATATCAGAGTGCCATTCTAACAAAATGGATTCTTAAAAATACATGCTGTGACTGAGGCAGAGTAATTGCAAGAAGGGAATTGCAGGAATAACTTTTATTGCCTCTGTACTGCTCCCTCCCAAGATCACCCCACATGGCTGTGAATATCTTTGCAACTTCCTGTATAATTCTAGTTATTCTAATGTAAGTATTTAATAGACTGCACAGGTCATTGGAAACCTTCAAATCCCAGTTAATTTGGATACTCCACTAAACATGATTACTGTCTGTGTGGCTTAGGCTTCCAGGGAGAAAATTAAATAATGTGAATGTCATTTGATATGGTTTGGCTGTGTCCCCACCCAAATCTCATCTTGAATTGTAGCTCCTATAATTCCCACATGTCATGGGAGGATTTGGTGGGAGGTAATTGAATAATGGGGGTGGGTCTTTCCCATGCTGTTCTTGTGATAGTAAATAAATCTCATGAGATCTGATGGTTTTATAAATGGGAGTTCCCCTGCACAAGCCCTCTTGCCTCCCACCATGTAAAACGTGACTTTGGTCCCCCTTTGCCTTCCGCCATGATTGTGAGGCCACCCCAGCCACGTGGAGCTATGAGTCCATTAAATCTCTTTCCTTTATAAATTACCTAGTCTCAATTATGTTTTTATTAGCAGCATGAGAACAGACTAATACATTGTGTATCTGTAAATAATATCAAACCTGTGATAAGAATGCATTTGATTAGATGAAGAGAGAGCTCCTGGTGTTGGCTCAGTGAGCAGTGCTGCTGACCTGCAGCCTCGGGGGGGCCCAGGGAGAGAACAGGCCTTTCTGCCTCTGGGTGTCCCACAGACCACAGCACCCACCCCATGCCCAGCTTGGACCCTGTAACTCAGGACCCTGCTTATCAATCCTGAGCACTTGCTAGGTTTTCTCTTCAGCTGCATGCACCACACAGTTAATTACTGAGATGAGGAGAAAATGCCCCCTTCCATGGAAATTATGGAAATGCTATCAGATGTTAAGGATTAATGAGTATTAGACGCAGGTGTGAGATTAGATGCAGCTGAAAAGAACACGGCATGGTGGCTGGCTGCTTGTTAACAGTCATCATTAAAACTGCCAAAACAAGAAATTCTTTTGCTTAGGTGATTTTTCTTAAAAAACATTTTTTTCTTCGTTTTCACTAAGCATTCTCGTTTTCTTGCCCATGTTGCTAATAATCCCATTGATGAAGGACTTTGCCTCAGAGCATCGGTTTCATCACTGGTAGCTTCGCAGAGTTGAATGGCTCACACAAGGTCTCATCCTTGTCAATTCAGAGTCCATGCTAATTGGCATCCCTAAGAACAGTCCCCACCAGCTTGAAGTAATTTAATTTACAACCTCATGTTTCCAATCAGTCATGTACAAGGGAAAGCTTGCAGGAATGATGGACACTTTTCAGGAAAGTCTTGTCCCTTTTTACAAAACACACTAGACATGAAAATCTCAGAACTTTATTGTACATTTTTTGTTTGTTTGTTTTGTTTTTTTGGTGTTGTTGACATTCAAATCCCCCCCAGTCAGCCATGGGGTGATGTTGTCCGATTTCAATTACATGTAGGACTCTAAATCTACAGGGTTGGAGATGCCATGAGATCACTGCCCTCCCACCAGGGGCCCATCCACAGGCAACGCATGATGAAATGTGGAGCGTGGGGAAAGCCTGCTTTTGTACTTGGTGTGTTTGATTAATTAATGTGAGAAAGAAATCCATGTCGTGTAGAAAATGCTAGAACTGACAGAATGCACCTTTTAATAGAGAATTCGTTTTTCCTGGAAGGAGCTTGTATTCGGAGTGGGGAGATAAGACTCTGTTAGGTAATGGATCCAAAATGGATTTCATCATCTTACTGTCGTAGTAAGAATAGGGGGTCCAGGCAAGATTCGGTGCTCATTGCTGGCATCCCTGAAGGCCCATCCAGGGGCTGGCTGCGACCATGAGCAGATTAAAGGCCTCCCTTGGTAGTTGCTCCAGTGGGAGTTGTTGGCTTCTGGGTCTTCGGTTCAAGTGACCCAAATTCACAACAAAAAGGGGATTGATGAACTTGATGCTAAACATTTATGCTGAGAAACTTAACTGTGGAGATTGGGATTCTATTTATAACAGCCCTATATAGAGACACTTGCCTTGTAGGCGGTCCTTCCTGGGGAAAGAATGTGCATCTCTGTGTGGCATTTCTCAAAAGGGAGCACCTCTCTTCAGGGTGCTGAGGCTTCTCCTGGGAGGCTGTGAGCTGAAACTTGCATTCAGTTGAATCATGGCGGGAAGGGAGAAGTGAGAGGAGTTTGGAGTCGGGGAGGGTGAATGTTAGATTCTGGAAAATGTCATTGACCATGAAGGCAGTTTTCCACAGCTGCAATTGAGCAAGCTGTTAATTAATTCATCTCAGCAAAGCCGGAAGGAGACGTTCTGGAAGCAGACTCCAAAACCCCCTAATTGCCCACACTTCTCCCAGCCTACTGGGTGAGGCTGGGAGCTTTTCCCAAATCAGACTGAAGTTTTAAAATGCAAATCCTGGTTGAGGTGACACACTAGAATTTATGCCCACTAAATAAAATCACACTGCTGGTCAAGTATAAAAGACAAATAGCAGACTTGCTTTGTAAACTTTAAGATAGGGAAGGGTGGAGGGAGGGAGCTTGGGGTAGCTATGGGAGTCGGAACTCAGGGAGAGGGAACACCAAGAGGAGAAGCAGAAGAGAAACCTCACATTTGCTGTGATGATGGCCCTGAGGCAGAAATTTAAAAATAAATAAAGAGGCAAGGCAAGGGTTAAAAAGAAAAGAACAAGTTTTCCTCTGCCTAGCAAGCTCACTTGAAGGACAGTTATAACGCTGTTTGAGAAGCCAAGGCCAAAGGAATGGGCTCCAGACACCCCCGCCCCACTTCCAGAGCAAGGTTGAAGGAAAAAGAAGAGAAAGACAAATTATTTTACTGTTACTCCTTTTCCTGGCTTCTTAGGCATGAGTATGTTTTACAAATGTCTGTATTTAGCCAGTTCTTGTTTTTCTTTTGATGCAGCTACAAGGCCACCAGCTACGCAAGGTCACAAGTTATGTTATGCTATAGATTATGGGACCTATCACTGTATGATTAACTGCTTTTGTTTTGCTTCTGTAAGTCTGCTTATAAAAACCCTGCTCTGTCTTTGTTCAAGGCTCAGCTTTTTGGATGCAAATCCACTGAGCCGGTGCATGCCTAAAATAAACAATCCTCCTGTTCTCCATATCAGTCTCTCCGGTCCTCAGTTTCCCTCAACGGCCCTACGAAGGCTTATTGGTTTACTATGTGCAAGGCACAAGCTGACTACTTAATTGCAATTAGTTCTTTCAACAATGCTATGAAGTAGGGATTATTCACTCCCATTTTATTGACAAGGAAGCTGAGCCTTCAGGAGGCTACACAGTGAAATTCCTCCAATCCCCAGGAAGCTCCTTGCAGCATTTTGTCATGCCAGCTGCAGGCCTTTGCAGCACAGCTTCAACAGTTTCTGCAGTTTTTTTCTAATCATAAATGTGATTTGATACAGAGAAAGTTTCATCCCACAAGCATTATAATTGGGATTTTCATTTGAACTTACACAGCTATGGCAGCCAGTGCTAAGTGGCCCACAGAGAATTGCTGAGAATTAAATAACACGGAATGCAGTTCAGGCCAAGGAGCTTGGGAGGCTTCCTGGAAGGGGAAAGGTGTGAACAGGACCTTGGCGAGAGGAGGCAGGATGAGGATGTCTTCATACAGGAATGGGGAGGAGCCGTGGATGACAGAGACTTTGGGAATGAAGACACTAAAGAAATTGGTGGCTACTTTGATAGGATCAGGGATGAAGAAAAGGAAGTGAAAAACATTCCAGTAATTGTAGACTAGGAAATGGTGATACCATCTCCTTTTCCTGATTGGAGTCAGATGTAGGCTCTGAATCCATCCTTTAATCATTAACACCCACCTCCCACTCTCCTTTTGTCCATTACTTGCTTTACTTTTCTCCTCAGCATCATCATGCAATATATTTATTTGTTTTATTGCCTTTCCCTCAACTAGATTGTAAGGTCCCAAGGCAGGGCTATTTGTCATTTTGGTTCATTGCTGTATCCTCAGAACCTGGAGCAAAACAGGACTAAGTGTTCTCTGTGTGTATGCATATGTATGTATAGCATATATATGTATATAATATATGTGTGTATATATAGCCAGAGCAGTTAGTCCTGTTTTATATTTCATATATCTTTTTTTTTTTGAGACAAAGTTTTGCTCTTGTCACCCAGGCTGGAGTGCAGTGTCGGCTCGCTGCAATCTCTACCTCCCAAGTTCAAGCAATACTCGTGCTTCAGCCTCCCGAGTAGCTGGGATTACAGGTGCCCGCCACCACGCCTGGCTACTTTTTGTATTTTTAGTAGAGACAGGGTTTCGCCATGTTGACCAAGCTGGTCTCAAACTTCTGACCTCCAGTGATCTGCCCACCTTGGCCTCCCAAAGTACTGGGATTATAGGCATAAGCCACCATACCTGCCCTTTTTAATTCTTAAATAAGGAAATTTCACATAAATGGTAACTAATTTATTCTGCTAATTGTCAATATAGCAGAAACTGTTCAAGTACCCACACAACCACTTTGTTTTTTTACTTTCAACACAATATTCAATAAATTATATGAGATATTCAACACTTCAGTATAAAATAGGCTCTGTGTGAGATGATTTTGCCCAACTGCAGGCTACTGTAAGTTTTCTGAGCACGTTTAAGGTAGGCTAGCTAGGCTAAGCCATGCTGTTCAGTAGCTTAGGTGTATTAAACGCGTTTTGACTTACTATATTTTCAACTTAAAATGAGTTTATCGGGGCGGGGGGTTACCCCATTGTAAGCCAAGGAGCATCTGTATTTCCAAATCAACATTTGGAATAAGTGAGGGGAAATGAAAAGATTCAGGACCAGGAGAATAGAAAGGCCTGAGGAGTCTCTGTAGGTCTTGCTTGTCTGGGGCTGCCTGGGAAGAAGGGAGGCAGGTGATTGCACTCAGGGTCTGACACAGATGCCTGGGGGAAAGGACCCGGCGGAGTCAGCAGTGGAAAGCTGTGGGCTGGCACTGAAATGAGCAGCTGCTGCTATGTCACTGAGTGGATGTGGGGTGCCGGTGAAATCAGTGTATCACTGAGCCCTGATAGAATGGTGGAAAATATATATTCCCAGCAACATGATTCTGCCAGTTCCTAGAAGAATATAAATGGATATCTTTAATAAGGAGAAAGTAAGGAGGCAGCATGCCTCCTCAAATCTTCCTGCACTGAATTAAAGCTACAGAGAAAAGCTTTCAGTGCAGATAAGCTCTGCATTTAGGCACAGGCTTAGGTGATTTGTTTTTGATCTCACATGTTTTCTGATAAATATATCTGGAATTATAAATTTCCTTCTGAGTACTGCATTTGTTTTATCACATACATATTGTCATGAAGTATTTTTCCCCTTTATTTTTATTTGACATATAGTAATTGTACATATTTATGGGATACAGAATATTTCAATGTGTATACATTGTGTAATGATTACATCAGGATAATTAGCATATCTATCCCCTCAAACATTTATTCTTTCTTTTTGTTGTGAACATTCAAAATCCTCTCTTCTAGCCTTTTAAAAATATACCATATTGGCTGGGCACAGTGGCTCATGCTTGTAATTCCACCACTTTGGGAGGCTGAGGCAGGCAGATCGCCTGAGGTTAGGAGTTTGAGACCAGCCTGGCCAACGTGGTGAAACACCATCTCTACTAAAAATACAGAAATTAGCCAGGCAAGGTGGTGGGAGCCTGTAAACCCAGCTATTTGGGACGCTGAGGCAGGAGAATTGCTTGAACCCAGGAGGCTGAGGTTGTAGTGAGCTGAGATCACACCGTTGCACTCCAGCCTGGGCGACAAGAGCAAAACTCCATCTCAAAAAAAAAAAAAGAAAAGAAAAGAAAAAGAAAAAATATACTATATTACACTGCTGGTGGGAACATAAGCTAGTACAACCACTATGGAAAACAGTGTGGGGATTCCTTAACTAAAAGTAGAACTACCATTTGATCCAGCAATCCCACTACTGGGTATCTACCCAAAGGAAAAGAAGTCATAATATGAAAAAGGTAAATGCACATGCATGTTTATAGCAGCACAGTTCACAATTCCAAAAATATGGAACCAGCCCAAATGCCCATCAGTCAACAAGTGGATAAAGAAATTGTGGCATACATATACACCATGGAATACTACTCAGCCATGAAAAGGAATGAAATAATGGCATTCACAGCAACCTGAATGGAACTGGGGACTATTATTCTAAGTGAAGTAACTCAGGAATGAAAAACCAAACATTGTATGTTCTCACTCATAAGTGGGAGCTAAGCTATGAGGATGCAAAGGCAAAGAATGATATGAGGATGCATATATGAGGATGCAAAGGCAAAGAATGATATGAGGATGCATATATGAGGATGCAAAGGCAAAGAATGATACAGTGAACTTTGGGGACTCGAGGGAAAGGGTAGGGGATGTGAGATAAAAGACTACAAATTGGGTACAGTGTATACTGCTTGGGTGATGGGTGCACCAAAATCTCAGAAATCACCACTAAAGAACTTATTCATATGGCCAAACACTGCCTGTTCCCCAAAAACCTATGGAAGTTAAAAAAAAAAACCCATAAATTACATTTGACCATATTTACCCTAAAGTTCTGACATAAAGTACTTTTTATTGATGTTCAGTTTTAATATTTCAAAATTATAATTTCTTAATCAGATAAGATGTATTTAGTGGCATGTGTTTTTGTTTCAGGACATATGGACTTTTAATTTTTTATTAGCTAACATTTTTGATAATTTCTACTTTTGTTAATAATTGTTAATAATTTCTACTTCTACCTCATTGTGATAAATAAACACAGTTTATACAATGCTATTCCTTTTTCTAAAATTTATTGAGAATTACTATGTGATTTGTACCTGGTCAATTTTTACAAATATTATATGTGTGCTTGAAAAAATTATATTTTTATGATTCTACATTAATATTTTAAACTTGTTAGTCATGCTATTTAGATCTTCTATGTATGCAAACTTTTTGCAGCTTGATCTATCCCTTTCTGAGATGAACATGTTAAATCTCATTGAGCATAAATAAAGGGTACATTATCAGATACATATACGTTCATGATTATTGAAACATTTTGATCTGTTTTTTCCTTTCCTTTCCTTTCAAACCATATCAGTATCTGAAGGTCACAGAACAAGGGAGTGGGAGAGTGAGGTTTGAACCCAAGCCTAGTGATGAAGAGTGCAGCACTTAACCTCTATTCTCTACTGTTTACATTTAAAAAAGTTTTAAACCTCTGGATAAAATAATTGGGAACCAGTTGACAGAGTGACAATAACAAAAGAGAAGATAAATGAGACACTTACAGAGACTTAATTGATCAAACAAAGAATACTGGATTTCCTTCTTGCCTGCCTCAGTAAAGAAAGTTATTTTTCTTTAGTTTCTCGATGTCCGCAGGAAAAGGATTAAGAGATATAACAGAAGAAATTTTGGACGTACATCCACTCACTGTTAATTCTGTTCATTCTGGAGAATAAATTGGGAGGAAATTCTCAATTCATAATGTCCTTTACTCTCTGAAGGGGATTAATATTTGTTTCCACTCTTCACAAGCATGCTAGAAAATACTATGCTTCTCATAATTACTGTAGTAAAAAATGCTATCGATTATTGGCACATATCGTAGGGCACTAAGCTGGCTAGCCCCAGGTGTGTGCAGCATTGCAGACATATGTCCCATAGGCTGTTTGGATTGGTGCAAATAAGGTTTTGGTGTCAATAACACTTTGTTTTGTTGCATTCCGAGCAGACCAATGTGATTTTCTTCTCTTCTCCAAAGGCAAAATTATCTGGGTAACAAATGCAGGAGAAGAGGTCCCATCATTGCCTAGAAGCCAAGAAACCAGAAACAATTCCAATTCAGAACAAGCAGCAGAAACCATGGAATGCTTAGCAAAGAGAATGATGCAAAACACATAATCCAAATATTCAGCTCACATGACAGTGGTCTCATCGGCGGGTGAGAAAATGCAGAAGTGGGACAGAGAACTGCTTGCAAACCCCAGGTGATGCCGCCAGCTCCCAAATTACCTTTTTGTTTTTTCTCCGGGGCTGCTGACCTATTCTGAGGATTGGTCAAGGCATATATTGAGTTTCCTTTCTCCACTACCAATGAAGGTCTTTATCCTCTCTACTAATTAATTCTTCCAGGAAATAATATATAAAGGAACAAAAAAAGGGTGAAATTTCAGTTAGCCACATGGCTGGCTGATTTTTAGGAGACTGGAAGCTGGCTGAAAATACTGGCCAAAAAGAGACTTCTGCATTCAGGCAGGCTCCAGATGATATTTCAATTATATGCATTCCATTGTCCTGCCCTGGCAGCGTTAACTGCAGATGTCAGGAAAAAGAGAATAGCCCCTATCTGCCTCCTAAAAGAACCCCTTTTTCCTACGAAGCAAAAACACACCACACAGCCCCAGCAATGGGGAGCCATTTGTGGTGCCAACCGAGGGGGCCACAGTCCCTGACTGGCCACAGATGTCTGCCTGCGAGTCAGCCCAACCCATAAACATCCTCAATCCTTCTGGCTTCAGTGTTTAGGAACCACAGTGCTTTATGGCTCAATCTTTCATTCTCTGCAGTCACACCCATAGGATCTCATCCAATTTGTAGCCTTAAATGTATGCTGATAATGCCCCAAATTATATATGCAGCCTAGATGTCTCTTCTGGGCTCCAGATTCTTATACCCCATTGCCTTCTCAATGAGATACCCCAAAGGCATCTCAAACTTAACATATTGAAACTCAGTTCAGTACGACCTCCTCTCCTCAATCCCTCTCCTAATCTACTCTTCCTACTCCTAATCTACTCTTCCTATAACCTTTCTACTCTTCCTATAACCTTTCCTAGCCTTCCAGTTGCTTAGACTAAAACCTCACAGTTAACCTTAACTTTCTCACCCCTCATCTAAACTGTTACCAATTCCTGTTAGATCTGCCTTTGAAGCAGATCCGGTATCCGACCATTACTTGTATCACTGCCATTACCATTTGGATGAAGCCAGTATCTACTCCCACCAGGATTGCTACAATAGTCTCCTGTCTCTCAGACTCTCTGCTTCCACCCTTTCCCTCTGCCCTCCAGCCTATTTTCAACACAGCAGCCAAAGAACTCCTCCAAAAAATAGTCAAGGGCTGCACACCATGGCTCATGCCTGTAATCCCAGTACTTTGGGAGGCTGAGGCAGGAGGATCACTCAAGCCCAGGAGTTTGAGACCAGCCTGGGCAACATAGCAAGACCCCATCTCCACACACAAAAAATGAGAAAATCAGTGGGGCATAGTGGCACATGCCTGTAGTCCCAGCTACTTGGGAGGCTGAGGTGGGAGGATCACTTGAGCCTGGCAGATGGAAGCTGTAGTGAGCTATGATTGCACTGCTGCACTCTAACCTGTGTGATCACATAAGACTCTGTGTCTAAATAAGAAAGTCAGATCATGCTATGCCTTTGCTCAAAAC
This sequence comes from Homo sapiens, assembly GCF_000001405.40. Lineage (NCBI taxonomy): Eukaryota > Metazoa > Chordata > Mammalia > Primates > Hominidae > Homo > Homo sapiens. The sequence continues at coordinate 45,102,136 of NC_000010.11, forward strand.
CCTTCAATGTCTTCCCATTTGTATCAGTTTCCTTTTGCTGCTCTAACCAATGACCACAAGTGGTGGCTTAAAACAACAGAAATCTAGTCTCTTAATGTTCTACAGTGCACAAGTCCAAAAATTGGATTTTATGGAACTAAAATTGAGGTGCCAATAGGGCTGCATTCCTTCTGGAAGTTTCAGGGTTGGGAGCAGAAATCTGGCTGCATGCCCTTCCAGTTTCTGGAGGCTGCCTGCCTCAGCTCGTGGCCCCTTTCACGAGTGACTCAAGCCTCTTGCTCCTGTCACCACGTCTTCTACTCCTACCTCTGACCCTCCTTCCTCCCTCTTATGAGGACCCCTGTGATTACATTGGGCTCACCTGGGCAATCCAGGATACTCTCCCCATCTCAAGATTCCAAAGCCCATAAGCAAAGTCTGTTTCCCTACATAAGGTAACAAATTCTCATATACTGGTGATTAGGATGGGAGCATCTATGGGGGTGTCCATTTCACACAGAGTAAAAGCCCAAGTCCTGACAATGTCCTACTAGTTCCCAGGTGAACCAGACCCCACTTCCTGTATAAGCTCATTGGTTACAACTCTCTCCCCTTCACTCACTGTGTTCCAGCTACACTGGCCTTGCTCTTCCTCAACACAAGCCCACCCAGGACCTTTGCACTTACTGTTCTCTCCATCAGGAGACCTCTCTTCTTCCTTTAAGTCTCTGCATAAAGGGCACCACCGTATGAGTGAGGGTTTCTCTGATTACCCCTTCCCCAGCCGGACACTCCCTTCCATGCTCAATTTTTTCCCAGAACTCTTAATATCACGTGTCTGTCATTCATATTCTCTCTTCCTTTTTTCTGTCCTCTCCCACTAGAACATCATCAATAACGGGTGTTCTGTCTCTTGTCATAACCCTTAGCAAATACCAGGGGCTCAACAAACAGTTGTTGAATAAGTGAATCTTAGTTTACTGGAAAAGAAAGTTCCTTGGACTCAAAGGTCTGCCCTAAAGTAGGAACTTAACCTGAATAAATAAATGAATGAACGGCTACACAAGAGACTCAACTTACATCTCATTTTTGATAGGTATAAAGACTAATATGAAAGCAAGTGCTTTACTACTTAGAAATCAGACATAACGGTTTAAGTAGCTTATTCAAGGACATACAATAAAGGGAAAGTAACACAATCACATATTAAAACTCCAGCTAAGCCCCTGACTTTATTTTGCTGTGTCCCTGCATGTTCTCAGACCTGACAAATCAGAACTCATCTAGATTCTCTTGCTTGGCTGAAATACTAGTACCAAAAAGGTTACAAGTTAATAAACTCTGGATTTATTATGAAAGGAAATTTCACAGAAATCTCAAAAGCATTTATCTTGTATATTCAGATACATAAAAAATATACAGGGAGAGATCATCATCCATGCTTTAAAACACCCCCAGAAGCAAACCTGTAGCATAAGCTTCATGTGCATCATCAGTGCCCGGCACTGCCCATCAGCCAGCCCAGAGCAGCATCCAGATGGTCACCTCAGGTGTTGGGGACACAAACAAACAAAAGACGTTCCCATTGGGGGTCATGTTTGTTGAGGGGAAAGAGACATGGGGACAATGCAACTGACTTGGAATGGGACAGCAATTTGTCTTCCAGAGGCCATCTCAGTTGCATTTTGCAAAGTGTTATGCTAGCCTTCCTCACACACCGGCAAAGCCCATGCCAACTCACCATCCAGCAACGTCTCTCTGCCTGCTTTTTTTAGGGGGGTGTGCTGGGGTTGTGTTTTGTTCAAACTTTAAAACTGCAATTCTAGGAATCCTTTTACCAGCATATGGGTGGGAAAGAGGACCTCACCATGATCAGGAAGCTGGACCCAGAGGAGGGACTGCCAGGTTCGGATCTCACCTCTGTGACTCACTAGCTGTGTGTCCCCCACAGACATGTCACCAACCAACCCTGTCTACACCTCAATGTCCTCACCTCTAAAAAGTCTGCTTGTAATTCTTATGGTAGTTGTAGGCGATATTGCAGGAAAAACACTTATCTTACTGCCTTGCAATTCCAGGCCTTAATACATACTACCTATTATTATAATAGCTGTTACTATATTAGTATTATATTAATGTTGACTTTTTAAAAAAATCACCATTCAAAAATAAATAGTACATTTGTCTTCATCTTGAGTTTAGCTTGTAACAGTGACTTCTAAAGGTTTATCATTTACTTACAACTAAGTGTTTGCCTATAATCAGGAAAAACTGCTATCAGGCAAATGTTAAGATTAAGCTTTTCTACATATGGCTGTCAAAAATAAAGTCATTTAAAGCCTGCCCCCTCAATTCTACACCTGAATAAAAATATACATGATTTGTTAATGGAAAGCTTAACAGAAATGTTGAACAAAGATGACCTCATATAGTATTTAAATAAGATAAGCAAAATGAGTAAGATTTTAAAATATATACATAGGCAAGTGTAGGTTCAACTAGACATTTTGGTGGCAAATTATTGTCTGATAAAATAATTGTTTAATATCCTACGTTGCCTCATTGCTTGAAAAATGAAATAAGATCAAATGACGTCAAAATATACATTTATTTTTCTGTTTCTACTAACCATGCTAACCAAGGACACATGTCAGAGGCATTAAATGAGCTTTACACCAAGTTACACAAGAATTCACCTCACACCTGGAGATCCTGATTTAGTAGGCTGGGGAGGAAGCAAGTATTGGAGTTCTGTAGAAGCTCCGCAGCTATTACTAATGATAACATCTGTGGTTATTAACCACTGTGCAAGATCTCTCTCTCTCTTTTTTTTTTCCCCCTTTCGACAGGGTCTTGTTCTGTCACCCAGGCTGGAGTGCAGTGGCACAATCACGGCTCACTGCAGCTTTGACCTCCCAGGCTTAGGTGATCCTCTCACCTCAGCCTCCTGAGTAGCTGGGACTACAGGCATGCACCACAATGCTCAGCTAATTTTTTGTACTTTTTGTAGAGATGGGGTTTCACCACGTTGCCCAGGCACTGGTCTCAAACTCCTGGGCTCAAGCGATCACCCTCTTCGGCCTCCCAAAGTGCTGGGATTACAAGTGTGAGCCATGGTGTCCAGCCCAAGATCTCTCCTTTGACAAGAAGTTTTTTGCCTTGAAATTGTTTGCAAAAAGCGTTTCTTGATTTTGTAACCCTGCTCCCAAAACAAAACTTGACTGCTTGCAACTCAGTAAAGAGAAATGTTGAGTTGCTCCTCAGCCCTTAAAAATCATTAAATAATCATCTGGTCTTTTAACACTAACAAGAGAGTTAAGGGAAATGGGAAGGGAGGAGGTGGGATTTTCCATCTGTTCCAGGAAATCACGTGACTGCCTTCTCTTTAGCCTAATAAGGCTGCCAGCAGAACTCTGGGTGCTGATGGGTGTGCTCTGTGTCTCAGTCTTCCTATGCGTAACCATTAGCCCCATCGGCCTCCTCATAACCTTCCTAACCTCTTGCCATCCAAGGTCCTTGCTTCTTTCATTCATTCAGTCAATGTTTTCTGAGCAAGTACTGCACCCCAGGGAACAAATGCGAAAACGCCCCTGCCCTCCTGGTGCTTGCATTTTAATTTCTAACAAATGGCCTCTTGAAACGGCCAGACTTGTTTAAAGAACTGCTTCCTCTATGTGTTTCTTAAAAATGATGGTATTTTGGGGCAGAAAAGCAAATAACCGCAGTTTGAGAAAACAATGTGGTTCAAAGGATTAAAGAAATTAGAGGCTATTGAGGGTCTGCACAGGAAAAGATAAGGGAACTTGGGAACCTTTTGCAGTGGAATGAAGCAGTAACAGAATGACTGGCTTGGAGATTATTTCCGGCAGGGGACATAAACCCACTCTGCAAATAGGAACGACCTGGCAGAGAATTAGGATTCAGTGGCCAGAAGTAGGACCTATTCCCAGCAAGAACATATTTAACAATTCCTACTAGAAATGGGATCAGGAGAGAGGCAAATTCACGACCAGCAGAGGTATCAACAACTTCAAGTAGCCGTAACAACTACTTTAATTCTTTGGTAAAAGTTTTTCTAGGTCAATAAAAAAGTAAGGGGTTAAAAAGTAAGAGTGATACTTCGATAAAGTTATCAATAACAACCAAGACCCAGAAAGCTTACCCAGCTAGTCAACGAGGACCCATGCATAAGGCTGTTACTACTAACCCCATGCTTTTTCCACTACATTATGCAGGGAGCTGAGCAGGGTCATCTTTCATCAGCAGTTTCTAAGACACGGGACACTACAGCTGCAGAACACAGCATCGGGGAAGGTCAAACCTATAACAGCTGAACTCTGGTCAATGACAAATGTTTCTCAACATTTGTCATTGTTGAGACATTGGGTGTCTAGGTGGAGAGTAGTTGCCAAGAAGAGGAGGGAGGTTGTTCAGAATTGCTACATTGGGATAATTGTTATTCATGAAACCCAGAACTAAGTTCATTCATCAGCAACTTTACCTAGTTCTGGGCGTAGAACAGTGAGGCGGTTCCTCTGAATGTGGAGCTCTTTAAGCTGGGTAAGCTCCCCAATTTCCTTAAGCAGTGAGATCAGGTCTTTATCCCTATTGCTGAGCTAAACAGAAGAAAACAAGGAGTTGTCAACACATTTTCACATTAAAAGGTGCTCCACAGAAACTCTCATCCTCCTCCACGTCCTCTCTTCTACCACAGCTCAGTCCTTTCCATTTATTTACAAGTGCTGGCGGATAATCAAGAAACACTATCAGAAGTAGTGGTTTATTCCTGCAAAACAAACCTTACTTCTGCTCAGATTTACTTGATTCTACCCCTACAAGGCTGCAGCAGTGAATTGATTTTCTAAGAATTTAGATAACTTACTTACTATCTGCAACTTTGTGAGCTTCCCAATATCTGGTGGCAGGATTTCAAAACCGTTGTCACTTAGATAGAGTGCACACAGGGTGGCTGCAAATTAAACAGCAATATATAAACAGGGTGGCATGGAACCCAACCATTTGAGGTCTGATCAATACGAGGGAGTCAGCTTTGATTAATAACCCTGGCTTGGTGAAAAGCCTTTGACATACCTAGGGCTCCCAATAATAACAAGCAGGTCAAACTTACATTTACTGGCTTATTGTGTAGCTGGTGTGTCCAGGAAAACATCTATATCCAAGAGGACTGATACAATTAACAACGTGGGCACTAGCATTTTGGGGCACAGAGTTTCAACACATTTTCAAAAAAGATTGCTATTTTTCTCACAGATTACTTTTGATTCACATTTATTTCTCCATTTTCATCCAAAGTAAAACAAAGAAAACTACTGTGCCACTTTTATGGATACCTAGGGCAAAAAGTTTCTTTCGAGGGAATACAACTATGTTAAAATAGACCTTTTCCTATGTAAATAGCACTGTGTTAAAAATTAATGAAAGGCTTTCTGGTGATGGAGGCTATAACCACAGCTCATCAGTTCCATAATCTGACTAATTATTACTACTTGTTTCTACAGCCTTAAGGCCAAAAGTAAATGAAGAAAAAGGGGCTAAAATAATGGCATGAAGTTAACAGAGTAAATCCTAACTTCAGCGGAATATCAGCAGTCAGAAATCCTAACTTAAGCAGTAATATCAGTAGTCAGAAATTAAGCAGAATATCAGTAGTCAGAAATTTGTTCACAATTACTACACAATGATAATATGATTACAAACTACTGAAGGCTAAAATTCTAAAGCATCTGTTTATCCTCAACCAAAAAAGCTGAGTATAATTAGAGGTATGTTTTGTTTATCAGTATTTATTTATTTTTTAGAGACAGAGTCTCGTTCTGTCACCCAGACTGGAGTGCAGTGGGTCACTGCAGCCTCAAATTCCTGGCCTCAAGCAATCTTCCTACCTCAGCCTCCCGATTAGCTAAGATTACAGGCACATGCTACTATGCCTGGTTAATTTTTTAATTTTTGTTTCTAGAGACAGGGTCTCTCTATGTTGCCCAGGCTGGTCTTAAACTCCTAGCCTCAAGTGATCTTTGGAGCTCAGACTCCAGAACTGTATGTTAATGTAACATAATAAAAACAGGTGTTCCACTGCCCAAGAAAATATTTTACAGTTGGTTTCATGTGCTTGAGAAAGTCATAGAGATAATGTATATAAGGTAAAAAGTGAAATTTTAGAGACCAGCTCAGAAAATTCAGATTTTCTGAATGCCACATAAATTACTAATTGAAGAAATAGAACACTCATTTAAGAGAAGCAAACTTTGTCTGAAATAGTGCATGAGTTCCCAGAGGAAACCATTTTTTAATTTTCAGAAGCATCTTCAGCAAGAAATTTGTTGGCATATAAAAGAATAAAGTGTGTTCACCTATGGCCAATAATTTCTTAATGCCTGTGTACTGGATAAATAGGTCAATAAGAGTACTTTTTAAAAGGCTGGAAATAAGAATCCTGGCTAGAAAATTTAAGAATTCTGTTAGTGATTTATTAATAAATATTTTTATAAATAACTGATTCGGACTTCCTGGGCAAATATCCTGCAAAGAATTAATACCAACATGGGAGGATACTTTTTTTTGGCATGCTATTTAAAAAGAAAGTCAAGTCTCTTAGCTAAATGTGAGGCTTGATCTCATTTAGGTATATAATCTCTCTCAGAATGTTAATATGATGTTACTAAGTCCACTTCAGCCCAACGGTGTCACATAACGATATATCAAATGCACATACTGCTGAGCTACTAAGGAATATTCAAAAGGAGTCTCTAAAGAAAAAATTATCTCTGTCCAATAATTTCTCTTGGAGTTTAGGTCCTGGCAAATAAATTTCACTCTGAGAAGGCAAAGTATAGTGTTGAGGAGATTTATAGAACTGAAAGTTTCTTACTCAGGTAGAAGTTTCCAGGGGGCCGGGCGCGGTGGCTCACGCCTGTAATCCCAACACTTTGGGAGGCCGAGGTGGGCGGATCATGAGGTCAGGAGTTCGAGACCAGTCTGGCTAACAAGGTGAAACCCCGTCTCTACTAAAGATACAAAAATTAGCCAGGCATGGTGGTGCACGCCTGTAGTCCCAGCTACTCGGGAGGCTGAGGTAGGAGGAGGCAGAGGCTGCAGTGAGCCGAGATCACGCCATTGCACTCCAGCCTGGGGGACAAGAGTGAAACTCCATCTTAAAAAAAAAAAAAAAAAAGAAGAAGTTTCCAGGAAGAGAATTTCCGTTCAAGTTGTAAGTCAAGTCCAGAACCTCAAGAGCTGGCAGAGAGCAGAAGCCTCGTGGCAAAGTGTTCAGCCTGTTCATGCTGTTGCAGGGGGACAAAAATCTACATCAGGACACCAAAGACACATTTATACAGACTATCAAGAGCACCTCTGTTTCACAGGCTGAAAGTGTAAGAGAGTGCCATGATCCTAGAGTCACTTTATTTTTATTTTTTATTTTTTTGAGATGGGGCCTTGCTCTGTTGCCCAGGCTGGAGTGCAGTGGCACGATCTTGGCTCACTGCAGCCTCGACCTCCATGGGCTCAAGCAATCCTCCCACTTCAGCCTCCCAAGTAGCTGGGACCACAGGTGCACACCATCACACCCCACTAATGTTTGCATTTTTTGCAGAGATGGGTTTTTGCCAGGTTGCCCAAGCTGGTCTCAAACTCCTGAGCTCGAGCCATCCTCCTACCTCAGCCTCCCAGAATGCTGGGAGTATAGGTGTGAGCCGCCATGCCCATCCTATTTTTTTTAATTAAAAAAAGTATTTATTTAATATTTACATTGACAAATGAAGATTGTACATACCTATGATGTACAACATGATATTTCTGATATATGTATCATCCATCGTGGAATGCCTTAAATCACACTATTTATATATGCATTGCCTCATATCATATGCTTGTCATTTTTTTGTCTTTTGTGGTGAGAACGCTTAAAATTCACTCTCTTAGCAATTTTCAAATATACTACATATTGTTATTGACTGCAGTCACCATGATGTACAATCCATCTCTTGAACTTACTTCTCCCGTCTAACTAAAATTTCGTGTCCTTTGGCTAACATCTCCACAATTCCCCTCTCCCTCCAGCCTCTGGTGACCATTTTATTCCCTGTTTCAATGAGGTTTACTTTTTTACATTCCACATATAAGTGGGATGATGTGGTATGTTGTCCTATTTAAACTAATAATTTTAGAGAGCTTATATATTCCTGAAACATTTGGAAATTTCTTAGTTGTCATTTTTCTCCAGTGGTGAAATTTAATCATTCTTTTACACAAAAACTCAAACCATCACAAAATATCTGTCCTTGTAAAGAAAAACTTCCTGATGAATGTAGTAATAATATCTGAAACTACACACATGAAGCTTTGTAGTTTTCAGATTTTTGCTTTATTTCATTTCATTTTTTCCTTTTAGGAGGGAAAATCATGTTTTTTTTTTTCTACAACTGTTAAAATTCAAAGTTATCTTCAATTAGAATGGTGATGGCCAGGGGCTGGAGGGAGGGGCAATGGAGAGATGTATTTTAGTGGGTGTAGGATTCAGGTTTGCAAGATGAGAAAGTTCTGGAGATTGACTGAACAACAATGTGAATACGCTTAACACCATTGAACTGTATACTACAAAGACAGTAATTTTTTTTTTTTTTTGAGACAGAGTCTCGCTCTGTCGTCCAGGCTGGAGTGCAGTGGTGAGATCTCAGCTTGCTGCAACCTCCACCTCCCCGGTTCAAGCAATTCTCCTGCCTCAGCCTCCTGAATAGCTGGGACTACAGGCATGTGCCACCATGCCCGGCTAATTTTTGCATTTTTAGTAGAGAAAGGTTTCACCATGTTGGCCAGGATGGTCTTGATCTCTTGACCTCGTGATCCTCCTGCCTCAGCCTCCCAAAGTGCTGGGATTACAGGCGTGAGCCACTGCTTGGCCAGACAGTACATTTTATGTGCACTTTATCACAACTTAAAAATTTTTTAAATCGTACAATTGACTCTTGAGCAACATGGGTTTGAACTGCCTGGGTCCAATGACACATGGATATTTTTCTTCTGCCTCTGCTACCCCTGAGACAAGAAGACCAACCCTCCTCTTCCTCCTCAGCCCACTCAACATGAAGAAGAGGATGAAGACCTTTAAGATGATCTACTTCCACCTGAAGAACAGTAAATGCACTTTGTTTTCCTTATGACTTTCCTGATAACATTTTCTGTTCCTTAGCTGACTTTATTGTAAGAATGCAGAATAGAATACATATAACACACAAAATATGTGTTAATCGACATTTATGTTTTGGTAAGGCTTCCGGTCAACTGTAGGCTATTTGTAATTAAGTTTATTCAGAGTCAAAAGTTATGTGTGGATTTTCGACTCCATGGGGGGTCAGTGTGGTGCTCCCTCAACCCATGTGTTGCTGAAGGGTCAATTGTGTTTGGGTGGGTGCGGGGGTGTGTGGTGTGTGTGGGTGTGTATCTGGTGTTGTGTGTAGTGTTATGTGTGTGTGTACGGGGGTGTTATGTGTGGTGTGTGGGGGGTGTGCTGTGTGTGTGGTGTGTGGAGGGGGTGTGGTGTGTGTGTGATGTGTGTGGGTGGGCATGGGGTGTGTGTGTTGTGGTGTGTGTGGAGGGTGTGGTGTGGTGGTGTGTGTTGTATGTGTGGTGTGTGTGGGGGTATGGATGTGGTATGGTGTGGTATGTGTATGGGGTGTGTGTGGGGGTGTGGGGGTGTGTGTGTTTACGCAGTATGTGTGTGTGGTGTGTGTGTGGGTGTGTGTGCGTGTTTGTGTCTGTGTGTGTGTCTCCGATGAAGTCTAAGGGAATTTTTTTCTTTTCTTTTTTTTTATTATACTTTAAGTTCTGAGGTACATGTGCACAACGTGCAGGTTTGTTACATAGGTATACATGCACCATGTTGGTTTGCTGCACCCATCAACTCGTCATTTACATTAGGTAGTTCTCCTAATGCTATCCCTCCCCCAGCCCCCCACCCCCTGACAGGCCCCGGTGTGTGATGTTAAGGGAATTTTTTTTCTACACTATCTTTTATCCTTTTCTTTAAGCCCCTTATTTTTCTTAATGCCGTTCCCTTTGAGCACACTTAAAAGCCAATTAAAAATTAAACTTTAATAAAAGTTGACAGATATTGAAAGGTGGAAGGGACTGTGACAATAAAAATCATTCTAGTCATCGATGCTTCTCATAACAGATCCAGCTCGGTCCAGTCCTACCAAGTGGGCCTCACCAGAAACAGCAGACAGCAGGGGGAAACCAAAATGGAAACGTGGGTTCCCCCTCTCAGGCAGAAAACGACCCAGACAGACTACACCCAGCAAAACTACCTCCACGACTATCTACTGCAATGACAGCAACAACGAACATTCTCCATGAAGTCACAAATTTGTGAAGCACATTATGGCAAGTACTTGGCTTGTTGTATTACCTTGTAATACAGGCAAGATGGAGCTTGTAATTAATGCTATCTTGAGATGAAAAAAAAGCCTAAGAGAGAGTAAGGAGCAAAGATTTCAGAAGTGACTGATGAAGGTGACATGTGTCTGGAAGCACCCTGTACCTCATGGAGGTCCTCCCTATAACTTGCCTTACTGTGTGAGTATAATTCTTTATGCCATTTGAGGACAGAGGTATCCTTTAGTGAAACCCATCTTAGCTCCTTTCCCAAAGAACTGGGAGGTTTTTTCAAACTTTGACAACTCCGTCTATGTAGCTGTGTAGTTAAATACAAAAAGCTTTACACAATCAATAAAGCACCAATAGCCCCAAATGCAAACAACTCCAAAGAGAACAAGAAGGCAACTAAGATGCATTCATTGAAAAAGAAAAGTTTAGGGCTGGGTGCAGTGGCTCACGCCTGTAATCCCAGCACTTTGGGAGGCCAAGGCGTGTGGATCACCTGAGGTCAGGAGTTCGAGATCGGCATGACCAACATGGTAAAACGGCATCTCTACTAAAAATACAAAAGTAGCTGGGTGTGGTGGTATGCACCTGTAATCCCAGCTACTCGGGAGGCTGAGGCAGGAGAATCGATTGAACCTAGGAGGTGGAGATTGCAGTGAGCTGAGATCGTGCCATTGCACTGGAGCCTGGGCAACAAGAGCAAAACTCTGTCTAAAAAAAAAAAAAAGGAAAAGAAAAAGAAAAGTTTATGGCTCTGTCCTATGGTGCCTCAAACCAAACAGAAAAAAACCTGAGCTTATTATTTTCTTCCCAAACCTGTCTCCATCTGTTCTATTTTTCAGCTGTCCGACACAGAAACGTAGGTATCATTCCATCCCATCAGTTACTGTCTGTCAATGTTACCACCTGTATATTTTTCATATAAAATCCCTCCCTGTCTCCACTGTCACTGTCCTAGTTCACATGGGACATGAAGCTCATGTTCTTACTGGTCTCCTAACCTCTAGTTTCCATCCCTCCACCCTCTTCTCCACACTGATCTTTCATAGGAAAATCTGACCATATCTCATATCCACCACTTGGCTATGCAAATTTCTCAATGGTCAGCATGATAAAATTGGAGCTCGTTTATTTATTTACTTATGTATTTTTGAGATGCAGTATCACTCTGTCACATAGGCTGGAGTGCAGTGGTATGATCTCAGCTCACTGAAACCTCTGCCTCCTGGGTTCAAATGTCTCTCCTGCCTGAGCCTCCTGGGTAGAATACCTGGGATCATAGGTGCACACCACCACACTTAGCTAATTTTTGTATTTTTAGTAGAGACAAGGTTTCGCCATCTTGACAAGGCTGTTCTTGAACTCCTGGCCTCAGCTGACCCTCCAGCCTCAGCCTCCCAAAGTGCTGAGGCTACAGGCGTGAGCCACCACGCCTGGGAGGAGCTTGTTTATTTAGCACAGAGGACTTTCATTAGCACTTTTGATTCCCTGCCATTATTATAAACATTTATTTGTTTATAGTTGGTTTCCTCAACTGTAATGGAAGCTCCATCAGGGCTGGATGGCCAGTAGCTAGAATAATGCCTGGTACACGATTGGGAACTTGGTAAATCCTCATTCACTGAACAGCAGATATCCAGGATTCCCTGTCTAGCCTGACCTCTGACCTTACAGCCACCTGCCTCACACTTTATACTCAACAGTGCCAAAAAACCGACAATTCCTAGGCCCCAGGCAGGCAGTGCTGTGAGTGTTTAAATATGTCATTCGCGGCTGGGCGTGGTGGCTCATGCCTATAACCCCAGCACTTTGGGAGGCCGAGGAGTGTGGATCATGAGGTCAAGAGATTGATTGAGACCATCCTGGCCAACATGGTAAAACCCCGTCTATACTAAAAATACAAAAGTTAGCTGGGTGTGGTGGTGTGCACCTGTAGTCCCAGCTACTTGGGAGGCTGAGACAGGAAAATCGCTTAACCCTGAGAGGCAGAGGTTGCAGTGAGCTGCGATCGTATCACTGCACTCCGGCCTGGCGACAAAGCAAGACTCCGTCTCAAAAATAAAAATAAAAATAAAAAAATTGGCAAATATCTGTCCAGCATCTATTGCCACTCCACGTCAATCACTAATTTAACCAGAGCATTTAGTGGCTACAATTTAATGAGTATACGACTTTGCACAGAGACTGAAGCATGAGTGGGCAGTTTCATCTAATAGCTGTGCCAATGAAGATGGAATTCTGATGCTGCAGTTCCGCTTGGGGTCTATGGATGTATTCGTCTGTTCTCCCATTGCTATAAAGGAATGCCTGAGGCTAGGTAACTTACAAGAAAAGAGGTTTAACTGACTCATGGTTCTACCGGCTGTATAAGAAGCATGGCAGCTACTGCTTGTGGGGAGGCCTCAGGGAGCTTTTACTCGTGGTGGAAGGCAATGCAGGAGCATGTGTATTACATGGCAGGAGAAGGAGAGCACGAGGGGTCTTGCAATAACTCACTCACTATCATAAGGACAGTACCAAGAGGGGATGGTGCTAAACCATTCATGAGAGCTCCGCCCGCAGATCTAATCACCTCCCACCAGGCCCCACCTCCAACAATGGGGATTACAATTCCACATGAGATTTGGTGGGGACACAGATCCAGACCATATCAATGGAGTCTGATGGAGCCTTTAGACCCAGAACCATGGGGTTCTCTTCCCAGCTTGGCCACTAACCTCAGGGGTGACCAGGACCCAGTCCCTTAGCCCCTTTGAAAAGGCTTGGCTTCCTCTGTATAAAATGAAAGCACTAAAACCTGCTTTCCCTACCTCACAAATGTTAAGAGGATCAAGTGCTGCAAAGCAATACACGAAGACAGGTTATCATTATTATTATTTACCGCTCCCCGGTTCTGCAACCTCAGTTGAACCAAAACTCCTCTCTTCACCTTTGCATAAAGAAAGACAGAGGATTGTCACCTCTCAACTACAGAGAAGAATTGCAAAAATGAATGAAGCAGCATTAGGGAATATATTCTTCCCTCCATGGCATGAAGGTGCTTTATAAACTATTCCTATTTAACACAGACAGAAAAAAAATCAACCATACTACAACTTGTCTGTCAGTTCACGTTATGCAAATAAGTCCCTTCTTGGTCAACAGAACTGAGATAAAATTTTACTGGACACAAAATACAGTAAAAATTTAACTTCCTTATTGTGCCAACTATTAGCTTCTCAATTAGCTCTCAAATCTTCACTAATGTAGGCCACCAAAAGGACATATTAAAACAATAAAACTTTTTTTAAAACCCAAAACACAAAAAGAAATCAGAAATCCACTTCTGTGTAATGATATAAATGGAATCCCTCCCCTGGCCCTACCCAGCACGCCCCTTCCACTCTCTTTCTCTCCATCCTTTCCTCTCCACTGATACTCACCCAAGGTTCAGGTGTTTGAGTTTTTGAAGCCTGCTGATCTGTGTTGGCAGCTCCTCGATCTGGTTATTTAAAAATTTGAGCACTTCCAAATTCTTCAGTTCTGCTGTGTTTGGTGGCACCACCATGGAAACATAAATGCTGAGTGTGAATCTGGGAACGGAACTCCTAGCAAGGGATGGCAGCAGCACACTTTGTTTTTCTTCAAAGCTAAGAAACATATAACTCCAAAAGGACCATCGAATTCACCTATCGGTCTTACTTATTTTTTATGGGTTTTTCATAAGCAGTCACTCACTTCTGAGTGGCCGCTGAAATGCTCCTTCGTATATCATTAGCTAAGTGTTTGGCATAGTTTGTTTCAGACAGACAATGAAGAGGGAAACAGAGCAAAAAGGCACAAAAGAGAATTTCTGTACCATAGCAGCCTATAAAAGTGAATATTACGAAGCATATACACTTATAGCTGTCATATAGGATCTTTTAAGTGCAATTGTTTTTTTCTTTCGGTTTTCTTGCATTGCCACCAGAAGAAAGACAGCAACCTCCAAATCCCTTCCTGGGTGACATACATTGAAGCTGTTTAACCCAGTATCTGAACAGCTGTCCTCTTAACATTGCATTATATTAGCTCAATTTTAAATAATGAAATATTCAATCTCCCTAGTTTCTGATTTTGGCCTCTGGAGTAATGTATCTTGAACAATACCACACACACATACAAACATACACACATACATACACATACACACACACACAAATGTTACATCAGATTAGCAACACATCGATATACTGTTATTATATGGAAATAAAAAAGTCAACTCAGTAACATGCTATGAACACTAGTGTGCAGATCAAAGGTGAAAATCAACCACTGGGGACCTGAAAGGTTCCTCCTTCCCTAGCATATATATACTTGAAAATACAAATGTAAAAGCCAAAGGCATCTTTATCTCAAAAGTACAAACTATAAATTGGCAGTAGAAGGACTTTCCATAGGCTGTAATTCATCTATCCCATTTGCTATTCAATCATTCTACAAACATTTGTATGGGCGATAAGCTTGGCCATGGTTCATGTAAACTCTGATACCAAGACTATCCAGGTAACTAAAAACATGAACAGGGACCTGGAGCCCAGTCTGAAAAAGTGTGATATCTCATATCAGTCAGGTTTACTTCCCATCCCATCTGCTTCCTCCAGGGGTGCCCCAGGAGGCCAGAAAACCAACCTGCTTGCCTGCAGTCAGACCTAAACTCAGACCCAAGAGCACTTGTGATCAGAACCAGCACAAAGGTGAGTGTAAAATGCCAAACATACATCTAAAATATTTAAGCAGCTAGCCATTTCAAGGACACCAATTGATAACTCCTAGGGCAACAAAATTAAAAGGACAGGCACATTGCTAATTATAGTTTTGAGTAATCATTTTCAGCTTTCTGAAATGTCTACAGTATCGCTGACCTGATTTCTTTTAGAGTGAATGCTTGGTGAAAGGTAAAAGAAATGTTTTCACTGGAAGAAGGGACTGTGAAGAATACGGATTACTCTGAACTAGGGCACATGGGCAGGGAGCAGTGGTCTAGTGAGCAGTCCCTGGGTGAGCTCCTGAAGTGGCTGTTGATAAAAGAACAGGTTTTCATGGGGTAATCTAGACAGCTGGAAGTTCCTCCAGAACCCTCCCTCTTGGATACCTGCAGGAATTGAAAGGAATCCTACCTGTACAATATGGACACAAATGCACATTCTTAGGTGCACACTCCATGGAACACTTCTGTGGAAATGAATGGTATTCACCTTGTGTAAGCAATTATCAAGAAAATCACCAGGGCCAGGAGTGGTGCCTTATGCCTATAATCCCAGCACTTTGGGAGGCCGAGGCAGGTGGATTACCTGAGGCCAGGAGTTTGAGACTAGCCTGACCAACACGGTGAAACCCCGACTCTACTCAAAATACAAAAATTAGCCGGGCATGGTGGCAGGTGCCTGTAATCCCAGCTACTCGGGAGGCTGAGGCAGGAGAATCACTTGAACCCAGGAGGCAGAGGTGGCAGTGAGCTAAGATCATGCCATTGCACTCCAGTCTGGGTGACAAGAGTGAAACTCTATCTCAAAGGAAAAGAAAATCACCAGGCTGTGTCTTCTAGGTCACTGGATGTCATCTCCTCCCCCCAGATCATAAAGTATATACAGTGCAGCTGCCCACAGACCTCATCCCTCCCCTGTCCACCCTCCAGCTACCACTAAGCCTTCATCTGATTAGTTTGAAGAGTAATAACAAAAGTTAGTGAAATCAGGAGAAAACGATGATCTCAAATTAGCCACAAACCAAGAATAATGCAGCCAGAATTACTGTCATCTTCCCAAAGTTACTCTGCCAGTTGAATTAAATGCTCGTCTAAAGGTATCGCCTTTTTGACAGGATGAGAGATTATTTCACTCTCCTTGCTAAATCAGTCCAATTTAAAACCACAAATTATGCTAAATGTGGTTTAGGGCTTTGTCTTGTGGATGCAAACAATAACCTCATATTCAATTTACAAAACCTCTCCCAGCCTTTTGGTGAGCATGTGAATTTTTTGCTTAAGACTCCATTCAAGCTAGATGAGAAAAAAAATTACACAGCTAATATTCTCCCTAATATACAGAATTTTTTAAACCCCCAGTCATAGTGAAAATCTAAAGAAATTAACATGCAGACCCATCTGGATGGGATGGTATTCACTCTTTGAACCAATACTTAGAGAATGCTGATTAGGTGCACAGCACCATACTTTTTACACATAGCATCTCAATACTTTGGGGATAAAGTAGGAGAGGAATGTTACTTAAGGAAAGTAAGTTACAAAAGATAGGGTATCAAAGTCAATAAACTGAAACAGGCCTAGTGCTTGGAATATAAACTACTCCCAACCAAACTAGTTGTCCAGAAAAAATAACCAGTTAGCAATATGAATTGTGTCATGACTAAATCATATACATATGTGGCAGGAACAATTTTAGCTATTTCAAAAAGGCCACTGCGATATCTTACCAGTCAAAATATTTTATTGGAATTTTCCAAATAGCTATAGGATGCATGAGCAAGAAGCATTTAAAACCTAATAGCGTGCATCAGTATATTTCTTATCATGTCTTTGAAACGTTCCTTTTTCATCAATCTATCCAGCTTCTGACCTATGACCCCAGCTGACCTATGACATCAAAGAAACTGAAGAGCAATGTGGTCCTTGGCCCTACAGTGCTGTGTGTGCCCTTACTCAACTCATAACCTCTCTGGGCCTCTGTAAAATAAGAAGACTGGATTATGACCATTTCCAAGGTCTCTTCCACTTTGTTTTAACATTCTAGGATTCTAAAAGGAGATGGATTATGAAAATCAATGATATGGCTTTAAATAATTCAACAAATGGGGCCCTCAATTAGGAAGCTTAGTCATGTAGAACTTTGCTTTTGACAAAGAATTGAGTATCATTTTCTGCCTAGCCAAAGACGGTTGCTTTAAGTTTGAGACTTCAGTTGCTAGGTTTGGGGGAACAGTCCCAAAGGACTCAGACATTCCCTGGCTCCTCAATGTCACATTTTGCTCTAGCCGCAGGATCACAGGACTGCTGGGGATGCTCTCGTCCCAGAGCATCTGCTGGTGTTTTGGAAAGGTGACAAGGATGTGGTCACATCACCCCAGAGACAAATCTCAAAGTTTCTTCTAGGCTCTGCAGCAGTTCCACCTAACACACCTGGCATGACCTTTTTTCCTTCAAGTTCTCCTAAACTGAAGAACCTGAATGTGATTCAAGAGTTTTGTCCATCTGATGTGCCAGCCCTAGACTTGGCAATTCAGCACCCCTGACTCCTGCAGCACAGTTTCTGGAAGGTTCCACAAGCAGCCCAAAGTGCCTGAAGGGCTCATTAACTTCTCTTTGGCTGGAAGCACCTCCACTTTGCTGGACAGGCTGGAGAAACCACAGTCCATCTGTGCGAAACACTGGCACAGCCCCTTCCTGAGCAACAGCTTTACTCCTAAAAGGACATGTATCTACGGCCATTGGTTATATCTGCAACAGGCATGAGCCACCCGGCACTGCACAGTTGATGCACATTCACAAAATCAACAATCAATCAGCTCAAGAATAGGCTTCCCCCAACCAGCCAGCAGCCCGCAAACTATCTCCCCTCCACACGAAGAATCAAAATCAACTACTGTTATAACAATAGTTTCAATTCTGTTGAATTGAGTAAGGAAAATTCTGTTCTATGATCTAAAATTAATAATTCCACAACCAACAACTTAAAGCATTTTAGGAGTTTACACAATAATAATTAGCAGGGTGTGTTCTGGGGCTGGGCTATCTGATGGACAGCCACTAGCTATATGCAGCTATTTGAATTTAAACCTAGATTAATCAAAAATAAAATGATGAATGCTATTGTTTGGTCACAGCAGCCACATTTAAAGAGCTCAATAGCCACATGTGGTGTCTAGTGGCTTCACTACTGCATGGCAGGGATACTGACCGTTTCATCACCACAGAACGTTCTATTAGACAGCCCTGCTCTATGGCAGTGGGTCTCAAACCACGGAGACATCGGAATCACCAGAGGCCTTGCTAAAACACAGATGGAGGGGTATCCCAGAGTTTCTGATTTAGTAGTAGGTTTGGGGTAAAGCCTGAGAATCTGAATTTCCAGCAACTTCTCAGGGGATGCTGATGTTGCTGTTCTGGGAACCATATTATGGCTCAGAAAACTTTTAATTCATTGGCAGCATCACGATTATCGATCCAACACATATGTCCCTTACCCCATGCAATAATGCGATGAGTATAATAATCAATCTTATCCAAATGAAGACGCCTACTGAGCCTGGGGATTGATGAGAAGTGAAACAAATGATACTCTAGATAGCTAACACGTTCAACGTGGGTGCCACAATCAAACCCTTTCTAGTCAACTTCTGCTTCCCCACACAGGATTTTATGGTAAGATCAGTATTGCTTAAGATGGACAATGTTCCAGAGGAGAAAAGCCTTGAATTCCCTAGCACACTGAATTAAGTCACTTGGTGGCAAATTCATCATGACCAAGGGTGGCCATACAAAGAGATGTCACCTGCTATACTGCTCAGCTTCAAAACACTGAACCTTAACGGCAGGATGCTGGGTGGTAGTGATGGCACAGACAGACCGGCTTGGGTGCAGCTGATTAGGGGGCTTTTTGAGCAAAAGCATCTTGTGGCCCTTGAGGCAAAGAAACAAAGCTGTAAGGAGCGACAGACTCTGGGAGCAGCAGGCACAATGCAAAAACATAAGGACAGGAGGTCTGCTTGGGTGCAGCCCACGGGAGGGTGAGGGGGTCACACTTTGGTCTTTAGAGTCATATGGTTACCAGCAACAGTCAGGTTCTCTTCAGCTCCAGAAGGGCAGCACTAGACCCTGCACCATGATAACGCATACCCACGGCTGCCAGGAAGCCAGAAGCTGCTCCAAACACATGGCACTTTCCATCCACAGCACGGGCATGAAATCTGGCGGTGACCTCCACCCACCATCTCCACCAAACTTCTGGGGAGTTGGGGGCTGCACTACACCCAACTGTTTTTGCAGAAGCACCAAAGGATGTTTTTAGAGCTAGTGATTCCTGAGCTAGGGCTGGCCCAGAGCATGAAAGCCAGGGGACAAAGCCTCTTTGAAAAAAGTGAACTGATGTCTGAACCTCTGCTTCCAGTGATGGATGGTGAATTACAGCAAGGGAATGAAGAGGAGGACTTAGGGCAGGCAATTGCTCACAGCCAGGGCTAGGACAGCAGGTGGCACAGGGGCATGCCCGCCCTTGTGCTGCAATGGAGGCAACATACTGTGCTGTGCCCATTTCCAGGATGCAAAAATGCCACCTACCCTCAGGCCAAAGGGTCCCCAAAGAAACCACATGGAATGAGTCACAGCAAAATGAAGCTGAGTAGCATTGCTTCTAAAAACCTGACATACTGCTATTTTAAAAAAAGGAGGTTTTTGTCTGTTGCCGTAACAAATGAAAATGCCTGGTCAGATGTTCACAATGTCGTATATTTCTACAGCTTTTTAAAATAAAGCATAGAAGGATAGAGGATGGTAGAGGATATTAAAATGAGCTTGTCACTTAGATAACTTAGTATGTTACATTACTACAATTAAGTTACTAGAAAAACCACTAAAAACCTGAGAATAGATGAAAATGAGTGAGATTATTCATTATATATACGGGAGAGGGAAGGACCACTTATGAGAAAATGGTGAAAGTAAACATTTCCTTGCCCCAGCATTTGATGAATATGATACTGAAAAACAAGTGCCCCTCTTTGGCCTGAATGAAGCAAGGGAGAAAAAAAACAAATTAGCAGAAACGTGATGAAATATGACTTGGGGCATCCGTGGTCAAAGTGAAAGCACAGGCTTTTTAATCTCTAGCCATAATAACTGGAGAACATTAGTCCATTCACAGCACAAAGGTGGTGTCTAGACTAATTATAGACATGCCAAGTCTTTCAGCAAATCATAGTTCTCGATGCCATTTTAATGATTTTACATAAAGAAGAATCTTCTCACTCTCGCGTAGGAATAATTAAACTATTCAGCACTTTATATGCAAAAAAGGTCATTTGTAGTTATACTGATTAATTACCTTCAAGTCCTCCTAAGCACTTTATATGCAAAAAAAGGTCATTTGTAGTCATAGTGATTAATTACCTTTGTTTTCTGGCCAAAAACACAAGGTGGATAATGAACTTATTACATATTACCATAAGAGTTTGAAATTCGAAAGTATACTAATGATAACTGGCTTCACAGATTTTACGGAATTTCACCCAAAGCAGCTATTAAAGCAGTGAATTACAGTAGTTCTAGGTTATTTAAAGTTTATGAAACAGTGAAACAAATTCTCATTTAAAAGGTTCTACATGTTCCTCAAGGTAAACATAAAATAGCAAAATATCGAAGCATCTACCCCAAGAAAGGCCAACAAATATTATTAGCTTTATAAATAACAAAGTTCTCCAAATATTATTAGTTTTATAAATAACAAAGGCAATGCTACTTTCAGTTAATAAACAACAAGTATTTACTGAGAACCTGTGCCCCGAAAGCACATGCTCACTCTATGCTATTATGAGCCGCCTCAGGATTCTATAGCCTAAGTTATTTAGTAAACAAAAATGTCCCTGGCTTAACTCACTGCAACACAATGGTCCTACTCTTTCAGCAGCAATGTGAAAATGAATTGCATGAAAATTAGAGAAAAAAGGTATAAGCAAGTAATAAGGTAGATTTTAGTGTATAAAGCCAAACGTGCAAAAATATATGTTCCTGAGCTATAAAAAGGTGTATGCATAACCAAACAAATCTCCTAAAAAACTGACAAGCATAGATTTCTTCTCCTCTGAGC
The DNA here is from genome assembly GCF_000001405.40 of Homo sapiens. Lineage (NCBI taxonomy): Eukaryota > Metazoa > Chordata > Mammalia > Primates > Hominidae > Homo > Homo sapiens. The sequence continues at coordinate 45,123,354 of NC_000010.11, forward strand.
ATATAAAAATTAGTTAATTTCTGAATCTTGTGTTAACTTCCAAAGCATCTTCAGGAGGACATATGAACTCTGAATTCTTGCAGGAACACCGCTTCTAAATTGCACTCCAGTTCTGATGCGCTACCCCTCCAGCAAAGCCATACATGAATAAAGAGCTTTAATTGGGGAGCTGGGAGGGAGAAGCAGCGCTGAGAGGAAAGGAAGTGGCATTCAATGGCATTCAGTGGCCTGGGGAGGAAGTGACATCCAGCGAAGGGTAAGAAAAGGAAGGGTAGGAAAAATGCCCAGGAAATTCCAAAACACCGGGAAGAGAGAGAAAGAGAATATGAAAAAAAACTTCAACCCATCAATGGAGAATAACAAGCTCAGTGTTATAAAAGGAGTGATCTAGGCTCTTTTATATGAGTACATGTCTTTATTATGTATAATATATATGAATGTATATCTATATGTAAGCCTCGATTATTAACATTACGAGGTAGACAGTAAGCAAGTCACATTCTATCTTGCACTCTCTTACACGCACACATAAAAAGCATGTTTTGTCATTAGTTTCTGTCTTCTTTTACAATTAAGAATTAATCTAGGCTGGGTGCAGTGGCTCACACTTGTAATCCCAGCACTTTGGGAAGCTGAGATGGGTGGGTTGCTTGAGCCCAGGAGTTTCAGACCAGCCTGGGCAACAGGGCAAAACCCCACCTCTACAAAAAATTAGCTTGGCATGGTGGTGCATGCCTGTAGTCCCAGCTACTCAGGAGCCTAAGGTGGAAAGATCACTTGAACCTGGAGGTTAAGGCTGCAGTGAGCCGAGATTGCACCACTGCACTCCAGCCTGGGCAACAAAGTAAGGCCCTGTCTCAAAAAAAAAAAAAAAAAAAAAAGGAATTAATCCAGCAAGAGGCCAAAACTGGACTGCTTCTTTTCCTACTGGACCTTATCTTTAGGGTCACTGCATGAGGAGGGCAGGAATGGGAGGGAAAGGAAGAGGCCCAGGGCTGGGAAAATCCACCAAATCCACATGGGAGCTTTGATCTTCCCCTTTGAACTAACACAGCTATGGCTTTTAACCTTAGGAAATGTCCCTGTTCTTCTAATGGAATGAGTAAGGATCCAGAGCCACAGGAACACTTTGTCCATGGCGTTCCTAGATTGACCTGATGGGGCATCTCAAGTGCACAAGTGCACACACACATCACTTGCAGAGACAGCAGGGGACATGGTGGAGCAGCCACTTGGAAGCCATGCAGAAAGCTCTGTCGTTCCCTCGTTCTGGTCACTTAACCACTTTACACCTGTTTCCTCCACGTGATATAGAGTGGGGGTTCAACAAATTTGCTCTTTTCCCTTTCATCTCCTGCTGAAGTTATTACATAGGTGTTGTTCTTGATGGTCCCCAGGCTGTGGGGTACCTTGTATTTCTTTCCACACATTGCTGGTTCAGTTGGATGAAAAGGAGGGCTTCACAGAGAAAGATGAGCATTCATCTCAACTTTCTGAAGGATGAGCAAAATTCAGAGAGAGGGGTAGGAACTTAAGATTTTAGAAAAAAACAGGTAACTAGAACAAAAAATATATAGGCAGGGGAAAAGAAGCTAAAGAAATAGCAAAAAATTAGACAAAAGAGGGTTCAGACTGAAAACAGCAAAATGCAAGGTCCATTAGTTTGTTAACTGGTTATCAATTGTATTCAAGTGGTTTTGGCCTATGAGGCTGACTGACGAAGAAAGCGAAAAATGGAAATGGGAAAGGTATTCCATTTAAAAGTATCTGCATGTGTCCACACCATGTTCCATTCAAGCCTGGGAGCTAAAGATTACAAATTCTTATTTAACCAAATGTAAATTTAAGCAGATAAATAAGGTGGCACTTATCAACAATTTTTAAGAAGCCATTAAGAATGAGTTCTGTGATGCATTAAAAATTATCTAAAGTTTTAAACAAATTTCCAAGAAGCATCTCCTTTAAGAAATAGCATCACTAGGCCAAGGCAGATAGATAGCTTGAGGCCAGGAGTTCAAGACCAGCCTGGCCAACATGGTGAAAGCCGTCTCTACCAAAAACAAAAACTAGCTGGGCATGGTGATGCATGCCTGTAGTCCCAGCTACTAGGGAGGCTGAGGCAGAAGAATCACTTGAACCTGGGAGACGGAGGTTGCAGTGAGCCGAAATCATGCCACTGCATTCCAACCTGGATGACAGAGTGAGACCCTGTCTCAAAAAAAAAAAAAAAAATAGCATCACTATGTCCACACTGCGTACAAACATACTAGTGTTATCTTCACCCAACTCTGGAGTTTCTAAATCTGAGCTACGTAGACCTCTAAAAAATTCATGGATGAACACAATGGGATCCATAAGCCTGCTGAAATTAGAACCATCACGTGCACTTCTCTATGGATCAGGGTTGTAGTTTTCACTCTATTATTTAAAAAAGTCAGTGACTTAAGAAAAGTTAAGAAGGCCAGGCACAGTGGCTCACAGTGGCCTGTAATTCCAATACTTTGGGAGGCCGAAGAAGGAGGATCACTTGAGCCCAGGAGATCGAGTCCAGCCTGGGCAAATTAGCCAGGCGTGGTGGTGCACATCCATCTAGGAGGCTTGCTTGAGCCCAGGAGTTTCAGGTTACAGTGGGCTAGGATCATGCCACTGCACTCCAGCCTGGGTGATAAAGACACTATCTCTAAAAAATAAAAACATAAAAAAAGAGAAGAGATGCTCTAGAAGAATGTATGTACCTAAGTATCGCACTTCTTAGTGTATCTCCTCTAACATCCTGTACATACACTCACATGTACACACACACCAAGTTATTTAGGAGAGAGTGCATCAACTGAAAATCTATGTATAATATTTTGCTATTACATCAATTCTGTTTGATAGACATTCTATCATCAATAGCAAAAGAAATCTTTTTCAGGATCAGCCGTGCACATGGGCTAACTAGGAGTTGGAAAGTGACAGACTTACACTCCCCCATCTTATTTTCTCCACAGCCTGCCACCGTTCTGAAGTTCTCACGATTGGGGTGGTTCCATTTAAAAATATACTGTGGAGGAATTAGCATGTTAGCTAGCTGCCACTTAGCACAGTACAGGACCTCAAGAAAAAGGATTCTGGAACAGGTACATTTTGGTTGGTGGGGCCGAGAACAAAGAGAATGGGGGCAAGGGGGTGGCCACAGTCTACAAGCTGAGAATAGATAAGATGCCATCGGGCGGACACTTCTTCAACTTCACCCGCTGGCCTTGGGTTGCACTGGTTCTGGGTCCCTGGGTCAACAGATCCTCCCATGGGACAATCTCAGGAGCTCACTCACTAAAGACAAAAATAGCAACACATGCCCAATTGCCAGTGATTTCTGCTCCTCTCCCTTCTGCCACCCTCCACCCTATTAAATGAAAAGAACATTCCATGCTCATAGATAGGAAGAATCAATATTATTAAAATGGCCATACTTCTCCCCCAGATTTACAGATTCAATGCTATTCAATGCATTGAATGTTAAAACCCAGATTCTCACCGTGTGCAATTTGTCAGTGGCCAATGTGGAAGAACTCAGAAGTGCTCCTTAAAAAATACTGAGGTCTCGGGGCAGGCACAGTGGCTCATGTCTGGAATCCTAGCACTCTGGGAGGCCGAGGCGGGTGCTCTGGAGTTCGAGACCAGCCTGGGCAAGCTGGGCAACAGAGGGAGACTTCATCTCACAAAAAAAAAAAAAAAAAAAAAAAGGCAGGGTGGTAAAGAAAAGGACAGGCAGCACCATTGCAAGGACAGGTAGCACCATTGCAAGCTGGAGCCAAAATGATATCACCCCTGATGGGTCCTCCTTTTTGAGAATCCCATTATCTCCTATGAATCCTGATGTTCTGAAAAAAATGTGTGAGCTGCTTGGCTAAGTTGCAAATGATGGTAGAGTAGATTCTCAGGACTGTATTTTCATGCTGTTTCCTTTCTTTCAATGTAGGAGACAATGACTTGGCCCAGCAGCTAGCAGTTCTCTGTGGCAGAGAGATCCCTGGGCCCATCCGGTCTACTGAGAGTACACATTCATCCGCTTCACCTTGGACTCCAGTGTAACCAGGGCAGGCTTCAATGCATCCTTTCACAAGAGTAATGAGTTTAAATATTTTTTTAATCCCATGTTATCCCATCTCCTCTCCTTTCCTCTCTCTTTCTCTCTTCTTAATATAGTTTTCTGGGCACCAGGACGCAAGGCAAGTCAGAGGACATGGGTCTCTGCCCAGGTTCTGGATGGCTGGCTCCCCTTATGTCAATGCTGAGTCCTGATCCAAAGCACTGTGGCCAAGTAGTACAAAAGTGTCCTGCCTTAAGGTCTCTGGGTGGGGCATCTTCACTCCAGAGGAGGTGTGTCCATGGAATGCATGAGAGAGAGCTTTAAAGCAATTTTTCAGCCTAACTAAGGGCTGGAACTAGAGCACAGCTCATATCCATAACTCATCGAAGGAGCAAAACATCATCATTTATCCTTATAAATTACTTGGTTAAAGTCATCCATTTGAGGGTTGGCAGGAAGAGTTTGTTGCTCTTGAAATATGAACTTGATGAGTCAAAAACAGGCACCATATATGGGATGCCATCATGCACAATATGATTGAGACTTTTAAAACTTGACATGTGAAGTCCAGTAACAGCCTTAAATCCAAATCAAATGAAAAGTAATAAAGTAGTCCATGGAAGAGTGAAAGACTCCCATGTTTTTAACTGTAAAACATAATTTTAAAGTAGATTCTCAATCTAACATTAAAAATTAATCTAATATTTCCTCCATGCTTATATATACCTTTTATAAAGTAGGGAGCAACTGACGATAAATTGTGTTCCTCACGCTCAACAGAGGAAGGCTGCATAGTGGCTTAAGAGCATGGGCTTTGGAATTAGACCTAAGATAAATTTTCACCTCTGCAATTTAACTAGCTCTGTGAGCTGTCTACCTTTCCTTGCTGATGAGCTTCTAGTCCCTGAAAACTGGAGAATTAATGCCTGCTCCTTTCATCCTCTTCCTTCATCTCCTGCCCTCTCACTCTCATGTATATATTAATATGTATGGCAGTTCATTATACATACATACATATGTATATGTATATAGTGATGGTAGAACCATTGTAATTTATTTGTATGTGTGTATATATGTGTGTGTATGTATGTATATAATATATATAAATATGTGTGTGTATCTATGAGTGTGTGTGTGTATATATGTGTGTGTATATATATATATATACATGGCAGCTCATGGTCTAGAATATATTTCAAATTTAACCTGTGATATAATGGACTTTGGAGACTCATAAGCAAGGAGGATGGGTGGGGTATGAGAGATAAAAAACTATATGTTGGGTGTAATGTATACTAGTCAGGTAACTAGTGCACTAAAACCTGAGACTTCACCAGTATGCAATTCATCCGTGTAACCAAAAACCACTTGTACCCCAATTAGATAGATAGATAGATAGATGGATAGATAGATAGATAGATAGATAATTCATAACAAAAAAAATTAACCTTTGAAAACTGAACACTTAATTCCCACCCTTTTCCATGCCACTACCCCCGCCCCCAGTTCTACACTCCTCACAATGTTAGCAAATGGAAAGTACATTTTTCTCATTATTTAAGGCAAAAATCTTGATGTTATTTTTGATGTTTCTGTTGGTCTCATACTTAACCATCAACAAATCACACTGGCTCTACCCTCACAATGTATCTAGATTTCAACCACGCCCCTCCATTTCTGTTGCTACCAGCCTAGCCCATGCGCCTATCATCTCTCCTTGGCCTCAGGCAGTCCCCTTTTTATTGGACACTCTGCTCCTGCCCTTTGCTGCCCTCCACTCCTTACAGTTTAAGGACTGCACATAGAGTGATATTTTCAAATGTAAGTGAGATCATGCCATTCTGAGGCCCAAAACACTTTGTCTTCCTCTTCTTACTCAGAGTAAGTCTTTTCAGTTTCCAGCATGACCTAGACATGCTGCTACCTTTGGAATCTCTCATTCTGCCTCATCCATTCTGACTTCCATGATGTACCTCTACCACATCAAGCCTTTACACTAACTGTTTTCTGAACTGGAATGTTTTCTCCCACATATCCATCTGGCTTGATTCTTTTATTTCATTAATGTCTCTGCTAAGATGTTACTCCAATGACGTGGCTTTTCCAACTTAACTCTGACAATAAAGTACCCTTCTCCCTCCTCCCGTCCATTTTTCTTTATAGAATTTATCACCATCTCACATATTATGTATTTGTTTATTTTATGTCTTCCCCATCTATAAAGAAATCTTTATGAAAGTAGGTAATTTGTCTTCATTACTTACCTCTATATCCCATATCTCAGTCAACCACCACAAACTGAGTAGCCAATAGCATATGCTCAATACATGCTTGTTATACTAATCATTTCCTACACTCTGGCTTTATTTTCAAGAATTTTTATTGCCTACACTTTGAAAACCCCCCAAGAAAACTAAGAAAGCATAAAAATCCAGTTGCCAATCCTATTTAAATAATCTACCTTTGTTTCTTTGTGGGAAGGCTGCGGCGGATATTTGCATGCAGACACGGGATCATTACGTCCCCCAAGTATCCGGAGACCTACCCATCCAACCTCAACTGTTCTTGGCACGTCCTGGTCCAAAGTGGCCTGACCATTGCTGTCCATTTTGAACAGCCTTTCCGAGATTCTTCTTGCAACCAGGGGGATTACTTGGTGGTAGGTCTTGCTTGCTACCCTTTCTAATTACGTTTTCCATAGACTTCATTCAGAAAACAAAATGATAATTTTTCTCTCCTGGGACATAAATGGATAAGAATTATGTACTCTTTCTTTTGCAATGTAAAGGAGTTGATGCAATTTTAATTTGTCTTTCCAGCTAAGAAATGGTCCTGATATCTATCCTCCACCCTTCGGACCCTGTGGAGGAAATGTTCATTTTTGTGGCAGTCGTGCTTCATCGACTCTGTTCACCTCGGATAATCAAATGTTTGTTCAGTTTATTTCTGATTAGAGTAATGAAGGGCAAGGATTTCAGATCAAATATGGGGAAAAGAGTTTACGTAAGTATTTTCACTGAGAATTATATATACTTTTCCTGCAATTGCTTGGTCTTCTTTGATTAAATAGATTTGAGAAAAAACATATAAAGTTTTCTTTTCTGAACTAACAGTAATAGAATTAATAAGAATGCCTACTCTCAAGTACTTATTATGTTTGATACATTCAATATCTCATCGTGACTACTTTTCAAGTAAAGTATCATTATTTCGATTTTAAAGATAAGTAAAATGAGGCTTGGACTTTTCCAAGGCCACATATCTAATTAGTGACCAAAGTGAAATGTTCCATGAGTATAAGATACGCTATTCTTCTTGATCCCTGAAATTCCTTAGACCTTTCCATTATAAGATGTCTAATTGTAAGTTAAATCTAGTTATAGAAACATTATAAGAATTACATTTGCCCTATTTTGTAATAATGTGTATGCTGTTTTTAAAAGAATACATAATCTTTTGATTCTATTATTACTGATTTAATTATATATTACCTAAGATCTTTACTTAATTGCTTGTACTTAATTACACTTGATTATAATTGCATTTAATTTTACTGTAATGATTTGATTTTGGGGACATTTACTTTTTAGTAATGTTTAATTGAATAAATAAATAAATAAATAAATAGGCATCACTTCCAAAAAACGGAGTAATGTCAGTAGAAAGCAATATAATAATAAATTTTTGCTCTGTCCCACCAGAAGTTAGATAATATAGATTTCAAAATGATCCTATTACTTGTATCCCAGATTCCTAAATGCATTTATATATATATATATATATCAGTGAAATCATGTTTTATTGCACATTGTATGAAATTTAAAGTCAACATCATTTCTTCATTTTGCTAAAAGAAATGAGTAAGAGTGTTTACCAACTGACACACAAAAATAATCGAATAGCTGGAGTAAGGTCCAAAACACCAGAGAAGGGGCTTTGGTCACTTCCCAGTGCACAGAGCTGTGGCACAAGGAGGGAGCTTTAATGCAGCTCTGTGGGCATCTGCACTATGGCTTTCTAGGCTGGGACCTTCTCATCCCTCCCTCTCTCCATGCTGAGCTTTGCAGCTGAGTCATGAATTGGCAGGTTTTCACCTGGTACCAAAGCATTTCAAGAGTAGCAGTGTCTTGAGTCTAGTGAGTAGATGTCAGCCCATCCTATAGGACTCTACTTTTCTATTTTTATTTATGATAAACTCAGTCTTTTTTTCTTTCTTGAGACAGGGTCTTGCTCTGTCACCCAGGCTGGAGTGCAGTGGTGCAATCTCAGCTCACTGCAACCTCTGCCTCCCAGGCTCAAGTGATTCTCCTTACTCAGCCTCCCTAGAAGCTGGGATTACAGGTATGTATCATCACGCCCAGCTAATTTTTGTATTTTTGGTAGAGATGGGGTTTCATCATGTTGCCCAGGCTAGTCTTGAACTCCTGAGCTCAGGTAAGCCAGCTGCCTCAGCCTCCCAAAGTGCTGTGATTACTGGAGTGAGCCATTGTGCCCAGCCAATAGACTTAGTCTTGATTTAAATTTTTAAAGTCAACATTTAATGGTAATTCAGATACACTATTTGACATTGCACCTCTTCTATTTCTTTGTGGACTCACTGTTCATGCAAGTATGGTCATGGCTGTTGCTTTCTCCCTATCTTTCTTGAAGCTTGTTATGACTGCCGTTAACATCAGACTTAAACAAAAGTATTTTGATTTCACAACCTATTGTTGGCAACCTGAAACAACAGCATCACTCTTATTTCTCTCTACTTACCAACTCAATCATGTTCCATAACTATAGTCAGCCTTCTACTTCCCACATCTATCTGGCTATCTTCCCACCATATCTACTTCCATGCCACTCCTATTTCTCAGCCTTTAACATAGGTCCTTTTGTGAACATCTTTCGACACTGAATCACCTAGTTTTATACCGTTTTTCTCCAGAGACACTCCTTCGCTATGGTTGATTGAGATTTCTAGGATCCTGTGGTAGATGCCTTTTATTCTCACCAGATTAATAGGCCTATTAATTAATCAATCAAACATTTACAAAGTGTTTCACATCATGAAAACTACTAGAGTTCTGGCAAGGAGTTCACAGCTTGGTAGACGAGACAGACAAGCAAAGGCACAGTTAGAACATGATGTAGGGCTGGACACGGTGGTTCATGCCTGTAATCCCAGCACTTCAGGAAGCCAAGGCAGGAGGATCACTTAAGCTTAGGAGTTTGAGACCAACCTGGGCAACACAGAAAGACCTTGTCTCTACCAAAAAATTTTTTAAAGTAGCTGGGCATGGTGGCACACTTCTGTGGTGCCAGCTACTCAGTAAGCTGAGTTGGGAGGATCACTTGAGCCCGGGCAATTGAGGCTGCAGTGAGCCATGATCATACCATGGCACTCCAGCCTGGGTGACAGAGCAAGACCCTGTCTCAAAAAAAAAAAAAAAAAAAAAAGAACATGGTATATGGTATATGGTATAATAAGCGCTACGTACAGAACAGAAACACCTACTTCAGCCCAGGACATCAGAGAGGGCTCCAGAGGAAGTAGATGAAGAGATTTGCCAATCAGTGATAAAAAGATGTGAGTGCATAGAAAGTCTCAATGTTAAAAGTCATATTTAATAATTTGAAAGAATTCACCACTGCTTTGGAATAGAGTCAAAAAGAGGTAAACATAATAGTGATGAAGCAGGCAGGAATCACTGTGCTCAGGGCCATGGATGCCACCGTAAGTTAGTTAGATGTTAATCAAAAAGTAATGGGAGGCATTGGAAGATTTTACTCCAAAGCCTGAACAGTGTGATCAGATTAAAAACACTAATGTGGCTGCAACACTGAAAACATTGGAGGCAGGGAAGACTAAAGAGAGAGAGACCAGATGAAAGAGTAATTTAGGAAAAAATATTACTCCCTGAACTAAGGCAATGCCAGTAAGAAAGTAGGAGAGAGGGCATATCAAATATATTATCAACACGGGATGGAGTGAATTTGGAGGTCAGCTGGATGTGAGGCAGGAGGGAAGGGATGGGAGGAGCCTTAGGAGCAGTTGTTAGGTTTTTGGCTGGGTGGATCCATTCATCCCACAGACATTTATTAAGAACTTTCCATGGGACAGACACTGTATTAGGTCCCGGGGATATAGCAGTAAACAAACAAAATCCATGTCCTCATGGAGCCTAATCCTAGTGTTAAGACGTAGACAATAAATAAGTAAAATATATAACATGCCATATGGTGAAAGGTATCCAGGAGAAAAATAAGGCAGTAAGGGTGGATACAGAGTGTCCATAGGAAGAGGGGCTGATGCTGTCATCAGCAGACTCAGGTATGGAACTCTGGATGATGAGCAAATGAGAGTGTTCATTTGAGACATCTTCAGTTTGAAACTTCTGAATTACCCCCATTGGAGATGCCCAGTAAGTGGTCGGAACAGGAGTTTGGAGGACAGAACAGGGGTCTAGACTGAATCTGTAAATATCAACAGAATTTGAATTATCCAGAATTTGGAATTATCAATAGACTGCTTACAGTTTAAGTCATTAGGATGTATAACAGCAATTGGGGAATTATTTAGAGTGAGAAGAAAGGCCTACAGGAGGATTCCTGAGGGCCTTCAGCAATGTCAGGGAAGCCCTGAAGAGAGGCGCCCAAGAACCAGAGGCAGAATGATGCGAGGAGTAAAAGGAGGAGAAGAGCTTGGTGTCACAGAAGCCAAGCGACAAAAATGTAAAGAAAGACAACGTGATCAACAATGTTAAATGCTGTGGATATAAAATAATAATTTAAAAAGTCATTTGGGCATATAACTGCGAGGTGACTTGGGAGAACATGAGTGCTTTCATAGGGTTGAAGAAAGAAGGGCGAAAAGAGAGAAAGAGAGAGACAGACAGACAGACAGAGAGATTAAATAGACCAGGATCCCGGAGGAGACAATAGGATGGGAACTTGATCCAGAGATACAGGAAGATAATATACAGAGGAGAAAATAGAGTGTAGAGATGTGGATGAATTTATTAAGGATAGTAACAAATGAAGGCTAAAAAATGGAAGGGATTATTATGTAATTTCTTCTATTTTCTTTGTAAAGTGGAGCCTAATGTAGTGTGCTGAGAACCAAAAGGAATTGGGGAAAGTCAAGGGTTTATGGAGTAAAGTTACAAAAGGCTGTTGTAGTTTATATGAAAAGAAATGGGTGAATTGCTTCGCAGTGTTGAGATGGGAGAACGTATATTTGCAGAGGCATCAGTTTCCATGAATGAATGGATTGACTTGAACACAACCACGGAGTTGGTATTTTGCAAGGGAAGTCTGAAGGAAAGACATGAAGCAAGGGAGCTGGAGGTCATCAAAGGGATTTGCAATTTAGAGTTTCAGAGATGGGGGAGTTGGAGGTATTGACAGAATTCAGGATGTGACTGTAAGTGGATGAGTGACAGTGGACATAAATGTTGCTAGAGTTGAGCAGATCAAGTATCTGTGTGGCTAAGTGATTGGACAGGTTAATTTCACTGGCATTGTAAGTACATTTACTCCTGTCTGGTTTGTTTGTTGAAAATGCCAAAGAATATTTATTGATAATAGAAAAGTATTTTTTGATAATACTTTGTTTTTTTTTAGAAAAGAAGTATTAAAAAGCTCCTTTATCTTCTGGCAAAACATGGCTAATAAATTGTCTGATGCCATTGATCTTGTTTCTCAAATGCATCTAAATCCCGAAGAAATGTAATGAATGAATGCTCCCAGAGTTGTGCAAAGATATATCTGCTTAGTCTTTTAAATATACCAAGATCATAGCTCTGCATCATTCTGCTGTACTGAACGCTCAGTGGGAAGCGGTAACTGCTAGCATACTTACATGCTTATCGAAGTGCTGGATATTTATTCATGCTTCTGTGATGTTCTGCCCCATGCACATGTGCCATAATCATTTGGTTGGTTTTAAGAAAGAATGAAATTTCCAATGAGAATAGATAGATGGTCTGGCAAATTAAAAAGTGTCACACCTGGTAGCTCCCTCCATAGCAAATAGAGAATTCATTTGCTGGGAAAAAAATGAGGATCATAACAGATGAAAGGAAATTGAGACAAGTTACAGAGAATTCGACTTTAAAAGATGATTTGTGTCCATTAAATGCATCTCCTTCACCAGATCGTAGACTGATTTAACTGTGTTTGCTGACAGCCTGTGGGGGCAACATCTACATCCATGAAGCTGATTCTGCTGGGTATGTGACCTCCCCCAGCCACCCTGATAATTATCCCCCTGCACGCTGATTGCATTTGGATCTTAGCGGTTCCACCGGAAACACGCATACGGCTGCAATTTGAAGGTCAATTCGATATTGAAGTAACACCCAAGTATGTCACTTCCATTTTCATTTTTTTCCTACCCGAAGTTAGTATTTTTTAACTGTCATGTCTCAGAACAATTCATTTCTTTCAGTAGCACATACTGCAAGCAAATCTAGGGAAAAAGGGAAATGCTTAATAACTCAGGCCTGAAAACAGTCTGCCAGCAACTCTCTCATCAGCTGAGCAGGTTATGTACATGGGTACTGTCCTTTGTGAACCTAGACACTTCCTGCAAGGGACGCTGAGGGTGGCTACTTGAGATTGATGTTTATCCATTCTTCCTCCCACAGGAAATATATCGTGTTTCTGAGAGATGAATATTTATTTGCCCAGCCTCGTATTCAGTGTCACAAATGATAAAATGTCTGTTTAACAAATGGGAATTTGTGTGGTATGTCACCAGGGGTCACCAGTGTCAGAACAGTACTAAAGCACTTACAGTATAATTTCCCAGTCTTTATTTAATAAGAGTTCTGAAAGTATTACAAAACAGAGAGTAACTCTTACTATATTGAAGAGAAAGGAAAACTATATAGATTGTAAAAAAACTGTTTTTCTCTTTCCTTTAACAAAGTGTGTATACGTTTGCATGAATGCAGCTGTGGTGCAAAACTTAGATATAAGAGCTTTTGTTGCTATTTCTGGCACTGGATTTAATACTACTCTTCCACTCATGGAGCATTAATTAGCTGATGTAACTTCCTCGAGAAACGCTAGATACATGCTTGTCTACTTTTACGGACACAGAAAATTCCGGTTGGGACTCTCCGTTAGTCCCAATTACAGAGCTGTTAGAGAATTTATCTTTGTCATGTGAAATGTATCAAATCACTGTGTGGAACAAAATACTCGTTGTTTTTTGAAATTCGTAGGGATTAATTTGAAAACAACATTTATATTTGTAAAAGCAATACAGAATATGGAAGGGAAGTAAATATTCTTCAATGTAGGACATGTAAACCCTGTCTTTTTGAGCTGCTAATGAAAGAATGTATTACTATGAAAAATGTCATACAGCATTTTAATGTGACACGTGGCTTACGCTGATTCTATCATAGTCTTTTATGCTAAGAAATGATGATTTAATAATATCGTCAAAGAAAGTAAGTGAAGTTGTCATTATCAAAATAAGTCAAGGCAATTGACCATGTAAATTTAACATAATTTTGTTTCCGCTTTAACTGTACTTCTAACTACCTCTAGTTGTGGGATGGAGTGGATTCAGATGCACCAATACTTTCCAAATTTTGTGGGACATCTTTGCCCAGCAGTCAGTGGTCCTTAGGAGAGGTTATGTATTTGAGATTTCGATCTGACAACAGCCCCAATCATATGGGATTCAAGGTCAAGTATTCTATAGATTATATATATTTTTTAACTTTTATTTTAGGTTCAGGGGTACATGTGCAGGTTTGTTATATAGGTAAACTTGTGCCATGGGGCTGGTTATAAAGATTATTTCATCACCCAGGTACTAAGCCTAGTATCTAATAGTTATTTTTTCTGCTCCTCTCTCTTCTCCCACCCTCCACCCTATCAAATGAAAACAACATCCCATGCTCATAGATCGGAAGAATCAATATCATTAAAATGGCCATACTGCCCCCCCAAATTTACAGATTCAATGCTATTCCTATCAAACTACCATGACATTCTTCACAGAACTAGAAAAAAACTATTTTAAAACTCCTATGGACCCCAGAAAAACCCAAATAACCAAGGCAGTCCTAAACTAAAAGAACAAAGCTGGAGCCATCACAATACCTGACTTGAAACTATACTACAGGGGTACAGTAACGAAAACAGCATGGTACTGGTACAAAAATAGACACATAGACCAATAAAATGGAATAGAGAGCTCAGAAATAGGGCCTCACACCTACAGGCATCTGATCTTCAACAAAGCTGACAAAAGCAAGCAATGGGGAAAAGACTCCCTATCCAATAAATGATGCTGGGAGAACTGGCTAGCAATATGTGGAAGATTGAAACTGGACCCCTTCCTTATACCATATACAAAAATCAATTCAAGATGGATTAAAGACGTAACTGTAAAACATAAAACTATAAGAACCCTGGAAAACATTTTTATGTTAAATAAAAGAGTGGTTATAGAATGAATATGTTAAAACTTTTTTTTAAACCATGACTTTTTAAAAAGAAGTCATTCTATCTGCCTAATTTTAAAAATATTTTAATGCTAGAAATAAGGAGTGTAAATGTTTAAAACCACAGTCATCAACTTTAATTTCTCTTTTAATTTTTATTTTAAAATGTAATCTTAGTAAACCTGAATATTTTATATTTTTTCTAACTTATCTGGGAAGAAATATGTGTAGTTAAATCAAACTCCTGTTTCTCCTGCTTACTATGAAATTCAGTAGTTCTCTCTTATCCATGGTTTCATGTTCCATGGTTTCAATGCACTTGGTAAACAGAGGCCCAAAAAATAGGTGAGTACAGTACACCAAGATATTTTGAGAGACCACATTTACGTAACTTTTCTTACAGTATATTGTTATGATTGTTCTATTTTATTATTAGTTATTGTTGTTAATCTCTTACTATGTTTAATTTACAAAGTAAACTTTATCATAGGCACATATATATAGAAAAAAATCGTCTATATGTCTATATAGGGTTTGGTAATATCTGAGGTTTTAGGCACTCACTGGGGGACTTGGAATGTATCCCCCAAGGAAAAGGAAGAACTACAGTGTGTTTATTACTTTAAGTAATACAACTATTTAAGAACCAGATAACTATATTTAGAACAATGTCTTTGAATTCCTCATCATATATAAAATAATTAAGCTTTTTTTTTTTCTCTGAGTCTCTAGTGCCAAATCAGTCACTGGATAAAAAGCAAATATATCTCTTCAGGATTTTGATTTCCTTATTTAAAAATTGAGCAGTAACTTTGCTTGTTGAAGATTCACTATAGTATGGTCACAATAGCACAGAATTTAGTATCTAATAGGTCTAGACACAAACCAAACAAATATTTAATATAGCAAAAGTTCAGAAAGCCTAGTTGTAACAATATTTAGCTACACCATAGATCATGTTATATCCCGAGTCAAGCTGCATATAATTCAATTAGCTATCACATCCAGCTAATAAGACATAATTGAATAGTAATTTTCAAGGCCTTGAGATATCAGTTATTGTAGTGAACAGTTTAATTGATAGTAAAACTAGAAATGGCAGGTGTCCCCCCTTCCAGCTAAGCTTGGGTTCAGTCTTTAGAATCAACACAGGGTTCTAGGCAGGTCAGATGAGTCTACCAGTTTGTTCTTGAGATGAAACTTGCTTGCAACTAATAGCTCTTATATAGTGTCCCAAAAGAATTAATGTGACATTACAGAATATGCCATTTGGCCGTCATCTTGTTTCCCATTATTGGATTGGACTTGTGGTATCATTTCTGTTTATATCAACCCTAGAATTCAAATAATGAGGAAAGCACTAACCATTTTCAGAATTTTAAAAACTTCAATTCATAGTCACTTGGCACCTAAGTTTTCACATGTGCTGGTGAAATGAAAAAAAAAAAAAAACAAAATTTGTAATAGAATCTTTCTTTCTTTCTTTCTGTGTTTCTTTCTTTCTTTCTTTCTTTTTCTTTCTTTTCTTTCTTTTCTTTTTCTTTCTTTCTTTCTTTTTCCAGCTCAGTGTGGGGGGAAGAGTAACAGGGCAAAGTGGTGTTGTTGAAAGCATTGGCCATCTAACGCTTCCATATAGAGACAACTTATTCTGTGAGTGGCATCTCCAGGGGCTCTCCAGACACTATCTCACCAACTCTTTCGAAGATTTTAACCTTCAGAATTCCTCTGGCTGTGAAAAAGACTTTGTGGAGATCTGGGACTATCATACTTCTGGTTAGTGAAATATATCTGCTCTCTTTGGGGTGTTTATTTTCGCATGTACTTATTCAGCCTCTGAAGTTTCTGCACTTCCGAGAAAGGCAAAAGCATGTCTATACTCTGCAGAGAAGTGCAGATTAATGAGCTTTGGGCAGTACCAGTGATTCTCTACCTCAATTCTACCATTACAATGGATGTCCAGAGCCCAGGTGTCATATAGCCTACCCTGGAGGCCACCTGGGGAGAGCAATGGTAGTGGGAAGGCAACCTGTTGCTGCTGAGGCATCCCATTGCCACATGCCATTATTTGAGGGGTGTTCTATAGCTTGAGGCAGACAGAGGGTCATGCATGTCTCCTGGCAGTAGCATAAGGCAGATATTTGTCACTCTGTTTGTCTCAGACCACTTTTTCAACCAGATAAGCAAGCCTTCCTCATTGTCCTGAGATATCCTTCCCCTAACTGGTTGCATTTTTTTCACTTCTTCATATATTTGAACATGTTAATTTTCATTCATGTTTTCCTGTTTTCTTGACAGAGAGTAACTTTTCTTCATGGGCAAGGTCTTGTTTTTTATTATTTTCTTTGTATACGCAGGACACCTCGAATAGAGGTTAAAAGAAATCAATCACCTGGACATATATATTTAATTATTTGTCTCTCACAGGAAACATCTTGGGAAGATACTGTGCAAACACCATTCCTGACAGCATAGACACTTCTAGCAATACTGCCGTGGTCAGGTTTGTCATAGACGGCTCTCTGACTGCCTCAGGATTCAGACTGCAATTTGAATCCAGCATGGAAGGTGATTTCATTGATTAATTCAAAACAACATTGAGCACCTGCATTGGACAGACACTATGCTAGGCACTGGTGTTACAATAGTTTGAAAAGCAAAATAAAACATGACCTCTATCTTCTTGGACCTTAATCAAAAAGTTACACTGACAAATGAAAAATTACAGCTGTGATCAATGCTATAAGGGAAAACTAGTTATAATAAGAGGATGAGAGTTATACTGCAATGCTTGCCTTAAGAAAGTCCTGTAGTTACTCAGAATTTGCTTTACTGCAAATCCAACAAACTCAGATGAAATAAAGATCTTGTTTGGAAAAACTGGATACTTACATTAACCTCCTGATTTTCCTGATTTTTTTTTTTTGTAAAAATAGGGTCTTGCCTTGGCCTCCCAAAGTGTTGGGGTTACAGGCTTGAGTCACCACTCCTGGCTGATTGCCCTGATTCTTTTTTTTTTTTTTTTTTTTTTGAGATGGAGTCTCACTCTGTCACCCAGGCTGGAGTGCAATGGTGCGATGTCAGCTCACTGCAACCTCTGCCTCCCGGGTTCAAGCGATTCTCCTGCCTCAGCCTCCTGAGTAGCTGGGATTATAGGTGCCCGCCACCACGCCCGGCTAATTTTTGTATTTTTAGTAGAGACGGGATTTTACCATGTTGGTCAGGCTGGTCTTGAACTCCTGACCTAGTGATCTGCCCGCCTTGGGCTCTCAAAGTGCTGGGATTACAGGTGTGAGCCACCACACCCGACCCGATTTTCCTGATTCTTAAGTTCATTATATTCATTGGTCTCTTATATTTCTTGGGTCATGATGATAATTAAATTGCTGTCTGTGGACTATCATCCATGGAAGCCAGGGTTAAATATTAATAGAGATAGGAAATGAATGTATATATTCACTAAAATCCTCACACACATAAATATGGAGAATAATTTTGTCTAGAAGGGTAATTTTTAAATACCTGAATTTTGAGAGCTTTCCCGATGGAAGGAGATATTTTGATTTGATTGGAAGTTTTCTTGGCTTTTTTTCCCCCACACCAGAGTGTGGTGGGGATCTCAGGGCTCTGCTGGAACATCTACTTCTCCCAACTACCCGAACCTAAATCCTCATGGCCGGATCTACGAGTGGAGAATCACCGCCCCAGAAGGAAGGCAGATCACCCTAACGTTTAGCAACCTGAGGCTGGCCACGCATCTGTCCTGCAACAGTGAGCATGTGATAGTAAGCGTTCCCTGTGGCCTGAGATGTTATATTCCATCATTTAAGGAGTTTACTGACCCATAAATCATAGTCAGAAAACTAGGTCAGGAAAATTGCTGTCTATGCAACTATAACTCAGACAAATTCTAAGTATTGTTGAGAGAACAAAACACGGTAAACTGTCAAAATAATTGTAAACATTGTTTTAAGAGACTATCAGCTATCACTCCATGCATGAGGGTCATAGATAGAATACATTTTAAGAGTGAATGATAATGACAAATGGCAAAACCGGGGAGGCTGTGGGAAGCTAAGCCTACAGGAGCACATAGATGAATGGGACCAGAGTCACAGCACAAGCCACCACCGAAAGTTCTGAGCAGATGGGTTGTCCTGCATAATGACTGCTCTTTCCAGGGGTGCAGAGGGACTCCTGGTGGGAGAGCACTACTACCTGACCTCCATGTCGCCAACCTCCAGTGGTTTCAGATGTGCCCTCAGCACTCTCAGCTTCCTGCAGTGAAAGAAAGCAAATGAGATCCCTGAGTGTGAATAACAAATAGATTGTTAACTGTGAAGTGCTATACATACATATGTGTGTGTAGATAGGTAGACTGGATTAATATTAGTACATTTCTCCACCCAACTTGCCCCTTCTGCAGTATATGCTATCTCAGTAAATAATTCCAAACTTCTGGTTGCTAAGGTCAAAAATCTTGATGTCTATTTTGGAATACTTCCTCTCACACCCTATATGGCATCTACAAGCAAGTCCTCTCACACCCTATATGGCATCTATAAGCAAGTATCTTTAAAAATATTCACAAACTACTTGTTATATCTACTACTGCCACCCCCACCGTTCACTTGGATTATTTTATAAGTTCCCTCTGGTGCCCCTGCCTCCATTCTCATCTCCCTACATTCTCAACACAGCAGCATGTGATGGTTTTAAACCTCAATCAGATCATGTTGCTCCCTTTGAAAATCCTCTAATGGCTTCTCATCTCACTCAGAGGAAAATCCCAAATTGCACCTGTGGCCCACCTGGCCAACATTATCTGCTGCCCCTCCCTCTTCTACCTGTCTGTGTTATCTCAAACTCCCCTCTTCTCTGCTCGCTGGGGTCCAGGCACCTGGCCTCCATTCCGTTCCTTGAATGTGCTGAGATGCTCCCTGTCCAGCTGTTGCCTTCATCTGGAATGCCCCTGTTCAGATGGCAGCCCGCTCCACACCCTCACTTCATTCAGGTCTCTGCTTGAATGCCTTTTAATCCATAGGGTGTAAGTATCTTATATTACAGACCCCACCCTAGCCTGACACTTCTCTGCCATGTTGTTTTATAGCACTTTACAACTGCTGCCATACATCATTTTGATTTGTTCATCAGTTTATTGTCTGCTTCCCCCACTAGAATGTAAGCTCCTTGAGCTCAAGCCATAGTTTCATTCACTGCTGGGGACTCACTGAATCCCCAATGCCTGTATATAATAGAGATAAATAATTGTTGAATGAATGGATAGTAGAGGTACTATCATTATCCCTTTAATAAGAAGCCACTTTTGTTTTCAGTTTAATTGTCTCCTGTTGGGTGGTGAATCTCAAAAATATGAAATATATTTGTAACTTATGACCACTTTGTATCACCCTAAAATGATCTCATTCAACCTTCAGATTTTATTTCCAAGTTCTAATATCTGAAGGACGGAACTATTGTCTTTCAGATCTTGAAAATAAGAAACCAAGTGTGTTTTCTTTTATTTGAGAGCCAGGAAATTTTGGACTAAGGTTGTTTATTATAAAGAAACTTTGTTTCCTATTATTGATTGAATATATATAAAGAAAGATGAAGTAGAAAAAATACTAACCACTCCCACTATACCATATTTTGATGCATTTTCTCATCTCTTCTTGGCAAAGCATATTTTAGGTACTTGTAATCATGTGATATAAATCCACTTGAATTCTAATTTTAGTCTATTTTTCTGGTTATAAATATCATGGATGCTTATTGAGCAATATTTGGAGAGTTCAGAAAATAAAAAATATAAAGATATTTTTAATTCTACTCATCTATTACTAAAATTTAGATATATATGCTAACAGTTGTTTTTTACCTTTGAAATTATTTTTATAGTTTAAATCATACTGAATATAATGATTATTAGGAATTTTACAAGCAGAGTATTAACATGTCCTTTAGGAAAGAGAATACGAACAGTCATAGTTTTGGAACTCAAATAAAGATAAAAGTTATAGCCACAACCACAAATTCCAAAGCAGATCTTACTTGTCATCTCTCTATACCTTAATTATCAACTTATAACTCTTGCAGCTACTGCTGGTGGGTTTTATGTCCTTATTTCTAAATAATATTCCTATTCTACTACTCCTTGCTTTTTTTGGACATTATCTATCCACATCCTACTCTGGAAGATGAGAATTAGCCCTCTGCCACCACAAATGCACATGGGGTATACACAGTTTATATACTTTCCCAAAAGTCCCCCAAAATACATATGTCACAGCTTTTGCTGAAATTGTCATTCAGTTGACATTACCATGATTATGTAAACACCATTCACAACTGAGCCAAGTAGTGTACTATGGCAACATTTGCTTTTGTTTTCCCAAGGAATAATAATAATTGTGCCCTCTTTACATTTTCTTGGGTTTTACGCATTGATCACTAATTCTTCCACACCCTTTCCACCCTAGGTGTGCATCTTAACCTTCTGTAGTAAAACATGTCAGTTCCATTTCTTTTCCTCAGTAATATCCTTCCTTGAGCCTTTGTCCATCAGCTGCAAGCCTGATGATAGCTGTCATTTCAGAATTTCCCTTTGCCATCAGATTTGCAAGTTCCTTCATTCTGCTCCTGGGCTAGAAAGCTGGCTTTGTGTTGCTATGTACATCCCTTTCTTGGTTAATTTCCTCTTTTGTGAGGCATACCCTCTTGTAACTCCCCAAGGAAATGGGCAAGGGCAATACATATTTTAAGAAATGATATACCTGAAATTATCTTTATTTTACCATCGTTCTTCGAAAAATATATATTTAAATATTTTATATGTTCACTATATTAATATATCCATGAATATATTAATAATTTTGAAGTTTTGTGTGGCTTATCTGGGGTCAGTTTTCTTCATGTTCCTATCTCGTGTTTACTTATATTGGTCTCTGCCTTTTACATTAGTCACTTCCCTAAATATCTGCTGATCCTTGGCTATTCATTCATATTTAAGAATGAATTACTGAAAGGATGACTGGCATCTCTGTATGCATGAGGGTGCCTTGACTCTTTAAATAGGGAAACCTACAAACCTACAAATCTCATATCCACAGGTCTTTTCTCTTGGGGAGGTTAAAACTCCAGCAAGGAATCACTCTAAGAACTAATTTTTTTCTGAATCTTTAGCATAATGTCCACATTCCTTTTTCTAAAATATATTTTTATATGTTCAATGTTTATTTTGGTTCCTCTTTACTCTGCTCCAAACAAGGGCATGTGGGTTGGCCTTTGCCCCCACTCTATTTGATTGAGAACTTGCCAAAAAAAGGAAGAAGAAAGATGAAAGAGGGAGAAGAAGGAGAAGCAGGATGAGAAGGAGGAGAAGAAGAGGGAGAAGGAGAGGGAGAAGGAGACAGAGGGAGAAGGGGAAGGAGAAAAAAAGGAGAAGGAGAAAAGGGGAAGAAGAAGAAGGAGAAAGAGAAGGAAGAGGAGACTGAGAAGGAGAGGGAGAAAGAGAAAAGAAGAAGGAGAAGAAAAAAAAAGAGTAAAGAAGAAAGAAGATCTGCTGGTGCAGAGGCAGCTTTAACTTTCATTGCACTGCTTCGTGGCTAATGCCTTATCCAGCTGGTCTGAGCCTAAAATTTCTCCAAAGCCACCTGCCTATCTGACTCTCTGTACAGACAGAGAAAATGAAAAGCTATGCCACCCGGTGTGACCTACAATATGACCTATATCTGATTTTGTCCCGTTCATAGCAAATTTTATAGCCTGTCCTAAATCTCACGTACCTACAGCCTATCCATTTGTATTCTGAGAGTTGTAGTTTCTGAGTACAAAAGGGATTAGAGGACAATGATGGGAATTGCATTCTGGTTGCTTCTAACAGCAGAAGTCCATGTGATAAATGGATGACTATAACATGTTCAGTCATTGTGATTCTACGCCAAAGGCAGACTCAGAGGCAGGATAACAGCCATTGATCATGGTTTCCAACATGTACTGTTAACCTTGCAGTTGGTTCTAATACCTTTTGATTTTGGCAATGTGATGCCCATTCCTGTTTTCAGCATTATAGAAATATTTGTCCTCATCTGTTTCTTTATACACTACTTCATGGTTTGGAATCAGAAGGATGGTTTGAATCCCAGTTCTATTATTACTAATTATTTGAACTTCAGCAAATTACATCATCTTTCTGAATTCTGGTATCTTAATCTGGAAAACAGGGATACTATTATCTGCCTGGGAGGGTGTTGTGCTGATTAGATAAGACAGACTGAGTAGATGATGAGCAAAGACTGGCATTTTTGCCTGCTCAGTAAATGATAGCAAACTCTTCTTCTGGTCCCATGAGCCGGAAGACACTTTAGACCAGAAGCCTCCAGACAGCTAAATTTAATTAATTATAGTAAATTTTAAAAGCTGACATCTTTTGTTGTGGAGTGCATTCTCCTACTGCATAACTTTTAGTGCCATAGTCTGAGTCATTATTTCTAATCTTGAGTCATTCAAATCCTTTTAAACACTGGAATATCAATCACTCAATCAATGAATTATTGTTTAGTTATTTCATCTAAATGTTTTTTTTGATTTTGTACAGCATTGGAACAATGTTTGCCAATTATTGTAACTATGTGAATGACTACAGTTATTATTTAATATTTTGGAGTCAATAATAATCCATTCTTAAAAACTCAACTGAGTAAGAAAATTGAAGCTTTGAATCCATAACTAATAAGGAAAGAACTATTATGTTTAATTGCATATGGAGATTGATTTTTCAAATTACTTTTCAAGGTATTTAAAAATATCTGCTTGCTGGTCATGGTGGCTCACACCTGTAATCCCAGCACTTTGGGAAGCCGAGGCAGGTGGATAGCTTGAGGTCAGGAGTTCGAGACCAGCCTGACCAACATGGTGAAACCCCATCTCTACTAAAAATACAAAATTACCTGGGCACAGTGGTGCATGCCTGCAATCCCAGCTACTTGGGAGGGTGAGGCAGGAGAAACGCTTGAACCTGGGAGGCAGAGGTTGCAGTGAGCCGAGATCATGCCATCGCACTCCAGCCTGGGCAACAAGAGCAAAACTGCATCTCAATAAATAAATAAATAAATAAATAAATAAAAATTAAAATAAACAAAAACATCTGCTTTATTATATACATCAAATAATCAGAAACTAACATTTAAGCTTCCTTTCCAAATAACGAAAGTCCTGATGCATTGTTAAGAAAAACTGCCCATCAGTGAGCTCTGCACACCACATTGTAAGCACGATGGCTTATCTCCTTTACATTGGGAGCTCGGTTTCCAGTTCCAAACTGTATAGCAGCTTTTAATCTATGACCACATGGCAGGAAGGCATTACTGCAATACTTTCATTCTAGTGAAATCACCCTGAGGTCACAAAATGTGTTCAGGGTAACATAGTGGCTTGTGGCACTGGGATAGAAACCTGCATTGTTAGGTCATTCATTTTAGGGGAGGGTTCCCATAGAAGGAAGTAGGTCTGGGCTGGGAATATCACCTCCTAGGAAATATGCAGTAAGATGGATTGTGTGTCTAAAGGTTAAACTCTTTTTCCAACAGGTATTCAATGGCATTAGAAGTAACTCACCCCAGCTAGAGAAACTGTGTAGTAGTGTGAATGTAAGCAGTGAGATTAAATCTTCAGGAAACACAATGAAAGTCATTTTTTTCACAGATGGATCTAGGCCGTATGGAGGATTCACTGCTTCTCATACCTCCAGTGAAGATGCAGATAAAGTGGGATGTTGTAAATGTACTTCATTTTAATCAGGTGCATTGCAGATGCCCCCCAGCTACTGCCAATGGCAGCAGAGCCATCCATTTTCCCTTTAGTGATCAAAGTTCACTTGGAATCTTTGACATAAGACAAACACATATAAGCAGATCAAAAACTTACTGCAGACAGAAAAAAAGCTTTCTGATTTCAGGAAGAAGCTGCTATGGTGAATTTAAAACTTGTAATGCCATTAGATGAGCTTCTAGCACAGTTTCAGTCATGTTACCATGAGGATTGGTGTGACCTGTTCCATATTCCGTGGTCCATTATTTGGTGCTGAAAGAGACCATCTACCTCCTAGAAGGTAACTTAGTCTCGGAGAGTAATTAATTTTGCTGGGGACAGAACAGGCTTTATTGTTTCTGGTCGTCTATTCACACACGTATTTCCAGTGAAAATAAATGGGAGGTTTGATTTGATATAGAATATTTCAAAATTAAGCAAGATATGGCCTCTAATTATAAATATCCTCCTATTTCCTGGATTGGTGCTATTATCTAAGGGTTTTAAAATTTAGAAGTGGGAGTGAATATTTAAAAAAACCCACTAAGTTATTTCACTGGTACAGGAAGCATCTGTTCCTTTATTAAAAGGGGGCAAATTCATTGGTAGGCCAAGGTCCTATTATCTGTCTGATTTAAATTAAATTATTAGATCAAGTGGAGAATTGCTAATCAAGCCATTAGGACCTGCCACCGTTATATTTGGGTATTCCTCTAAATTAAATATTAATGAGCACAGGGCCTCAATATTTGGACAAATTGATACAGAGCCAAACCCCAGCCACCTGATCTACACCAACAGGAAAATAGAGAAGTTGTTGATTTTTGCACATTTTTCCTTTTTAAACTTGCAGAAACTTCCATAATTTGCATGCCTTTTACCCATAATCCTGATTGCATCTAGAAAAACAAATCAAAGCAGTAATGTTGATGTTTTAGTTACTGTTCCTATATTGTTTATCTCTTCTGTTGTGGCCTGAATCTTACTACTACTTTCTGTTGCCTTCTGTTTTCTTAGTGTGTGGTGGGTCTCTTCCAAATACTCCTGAAGGAAACTTTACTTCTCCTGGCTATGATGGAGTCAGGAATTACTCGAGAAACCTAAACTGTGAATGGACTCTCAGCAATCCAAATCAGGGAAATTCATCTATTTATATTCATTTTGAAGATTTTTACCTAGAAAGTCACCAAGACTGTCAATTTGATGTCCTTGAGTTTCGAGTGGGTGAGTTCTAAGAACACATTCTCCCATTTATCTACAATATTCTTTTTATCTTTTTGTTGTTGTGGCTGCTGTTGTTGTTTTGAGACAGGAGCTCACTCTCTGCCCAGACTGGTTGTGGGCAGTCCAAACCTTGGGATAATTTGTTGTAGGAAGATTGAGGTAACCTCTTTTGCCCTCTTGGTGGTGGTGGGAAAGGCTTCAATCTGCCTGTTGAAAGTGGTCAACAGGGGTGAGGATATAGTCATGTTTCTTGAGAGGGGGCATATGAATGAAATCAATTTTCCAGGTTTGTAGTGGCCTCTGAACACTGGAAGGTGCCCTTTAGCTTGATTTCTCGGCTAAGTGGGTGGTCTGAGTGCTCCCTGGAAAGAAACTTGTTTGCAGATGGTACGGGCCTGCGTGAGTTGTTGAAAGGTGGTGGCCATGGCAGGAGACTGCAGGTGAGGTTATAAAAACTGAAGCAGAGGACGATAGCTGGTGTGAAAGAGGCTGTGAATGTGAGTGAGTTTGGATTTTTTCTGGGACATGGGCAAAACGAGCTTATTGTCTAGAAAGAACCAGCCCTCCGTTTTTGTGGCCCCAGCCAAAGAAAGATTGAGGCTTTCTCCTTGTGAGTATGAGGGCTGTTGAGCTGGGAAACAGGTAGTATGGGATGGGGCTTAAGGGCTGACTGTTTAGCTGCAGAACCAGCTAATGAGTTTCCTTCTGATAACAGGTTTGTTAAGAGCCTGGTAAGAAGTGCAAGATTGACAAAGGTAAGGTTAGTAGCGGAGGTAAGTGAAAGCTTGAATATAGGAAACCTTGGACCACTTGCCATTGCAGTGGATAAAATTTTCAAGATTTCGTTGAATTTGAAAGTCAAAGATTCCATTTTAAAGCCATTGACTACCATTGTCCAGTCGCTATTGGGGCCAGGCCATGTTACAAAGGATATTGAACGTTTGGGCTTAATGTGAGGGCTTGTGACCTAGAGTCTGGAGGTTGCAAGGGAGACAGCCAAGTGATGTGTCATGGGGAAACCTTCTTCAGGTGGATTTTGAGGCTTCACTGCAATACTAGCTTCCTGTTGCTGCTGCAACAAATTATTATTATTATTATTATTATTATTATTATTATTATTTTCAGATGGAGTCTCGCTCTGTCACTCAGGCTGGAGTGCAGTGGTGCGATCTCAGCTCGTTGCAAGCTCCGCCTTGTGGGTTCATGCCATTCTCGTGCCTCAGCCTCCCAAGTAGCTGGGACTACAGGAACCCGCCACCACACCTGGCTAATGTTTCGTATTTTTAGTAGAGGTGGGGTTTCATCGTGTTAGCCAGGATGGTCTCGGTCTCCTGACCTAGTGATTCACCTGTCTTGGCCTCCCAAAGTTCTGGGATTACAGGCGTGAGCCACACACTTAGTGTCTTTAAACAACATATATGTATTCTCTCACAGTTCTGGAGGCCAGAATTCTAAATTCCCTCCCACTGAGTCAAGGTGGGAGCAGGGCAAGTGCCTTCGGAGGCTCTGTGGGAGAATCCATTTCCTGGCTCTGGAGGCAGCCTGCACTCCTCGACTTTTGATGCCCTCCTTGAATGACTCCAATTTCTCGCTTCCATCACTACACCTCCCACCACTCTCCCATCACCTGCTCTGCTCTTACAAGGATCAGTGAGTACATCAACTTGCCACCTAAAGAAGCCGGGATAATCTTCCCTGCCAAAGGTCCTTAACTTCATTACATCTGCAAAGCTTCTTTTACCATATAAGGTAATGTTCACAGGTTCCTGGATCAGGATATGGGCATATTGAGGGGCCACTTATAAGCCTAATACAGCTAGGCTGCAAAATACTACAAGTAGACTGCAAAACCATTACACCCTCTGGTGTTTTAATGATTGGGAGAAAAACAGTTGGGATTTTTTGCTTTGGGGTACTTCTTAACTTTGAATTTTTAAGGTCTAGGGTACCTCTTAAACTTGTATTTTTAAGGTCTAGCCCTCATCAACCCTCTCTTCCAACCAGAGACACCCACTGCAGTGTTTCCTTGAAAGTCTGGTGACATGTCTAAATCTAAGTTCTGATGAGAGGCACAGGGCCAACCAGCAGCCCCCACGGCAGCCCCCTTGGCCAGAGGGTGCCCACGTAGGCCAAACCAAGTGACTGAAACAAGCTCATGGCTGGGAAGGAACATAGAGAAGGGTCTAGGGCCTGGTGAGGGCACCATGGAGGCCATGGGGTGAGCGAGGTCTGCTAGGACAGTGCAGGTCTGCGGAGCTGAAGTGAGGCTGTAGAGCCTGGCCTAGTGCCACAGGAGCCGGAGGAAGCAGCTGGGGGCTATCGTCCCGGTCCACAGAGATGCTGGAGACTGTGGCACTAGGAGTAGCCCTGAGGCTGTGGGGAGAGCATCTCTACCCCACAGCATCTGGGGGTGACGGCAATTTCCTCACCTGACAAGGGCAGCTTCCAAGTCCCAGATGCTGGGCTTTTTCTTTGTACTCGGAGACTAGTGGGGGCAGTGACAGGAAGCCAGGGAGCCTCTCTTGCAACCTCCTCCATGCTCTGTATCCAAAGACTGAGGGAGGTGGAGCTGGCTGGGAGGTCGGGCACTTTATCCACCTGCTCTTTGGTACTGGTCATCTGGAGGTGGGTGCAGAGGTGGTCCAGCCATTCCAGTTGTTCACGTCACCATAGGTGCACCGGGTACTTCTTGAGCATTGGGATGATCTGCTTCACCTCCAGTCACACAGCTTCCAGGCACTGGGAGTGGTCCTCCTGCAGGATGTTCAGCTTCGACTTGGCCAGGTATGGAGGCATATGGCCAGCTTGGTCCAGGGCATCCACCAGGCCCCTCGTCGCAGCAGTATGGTGATGACAGAGTTGTGGTTGGTACAGGCCAGAATGTGGTCATTACCATTGCAGGAGACAGAGTGTAGAGCTGTGTGGCCCTTGTCAGCTGCACAGGGATCCGTGCCATTTTCCAGCAGCTACCGCACTTTTTCCACATCGTTGGCACTGGTAGCATTGGCATTGTCTCCCTCATTCTCTTCAGAGCTGCACCTCTTTGCCCGAGCCACCAGTGAGGCCTGGCAGTGAGCCTCAGCCGCCAGCAGCGATCTTGCAGCACAGCTCCTGGTGCAGCTCTGCGTCATACTGCCACCAGTCGTGTAGTAGTGCAATGGGGACTTGGCCCAGGAGGCCTCCTGGCCCGGGAGGCCCATGCAGCTGCCCCCGTGCAGACCCGAAGTCAGCGAAGGAGAAGAGGCCCCAGGTACCTTGCAGCTTTTGTTGTTGTTGTTGTTGTTTTGTTTTTTGAGGCAGGGTCTCGCTCTTTTGCCCAGGCTGGAGTGTAGTGGCGCTACCTCTGCTCTCTGCACCCTCTGCCTCCTGTGCTCAAGCCATCCCCCGGCCTCAGTCTCCCAAGTAGCTGAGACTACAGGTTCACTCCATCAGGCCTGGCAAATTTTTGTATTTTTGGTAGAGATGGGGGTTTCACTTTGTTGCCCTGAGCTCAAAGCGATCCGCCCGCCTCAGCCTCCCAAAATGCTAGGATTACACGCCTGCACCACCATACCTGGCCACTCTAAAGTCTTATTTCCACACAGCTAAGACATGTTTTAGGAAGTCTGCTAAAATACCCCTGGAGACCTCCTTATTGTGGTCTCCCTTTTGTCGTGTTAATTTGATTGATCTTTTCTGCCCTCCTGCTTTTCAGAAATTTAAAGGCTAAAAAGAGGACCTAAACTTTAAAACTTCTCTTTTAGTCTCCCATTAAACTAATTGTAAGAACCACCAAAAAAGGGAAAAGTTCTTTGGAAAAATTATTTGGAAAGCAGTAAAATGATATGGACTGTTAGGATGTAAAACATAGGATATAAGTCATTATATGTTAGTGGTGCTCTGACATAGGGACCTATTACTGAGAATCAACTTTTGCTCAATTTTCAGAGAAATGGAATGGTTGCATCACTTATCTACGTAAACAATTGAAGAATTGTCTGAAAGAAAATATGGTATGTTTAAACTGGAAAAGTCCTGTAATACTTTGTTCATGAGCATTTACACAGTGGAGTTACTGTTAATTTTGGGGGTACTGTGGACAAGCCCAGGGCTGCCAGTGAATCGAGTCATCCTTACACGTCTCTCTTTGTAAGGTGCTTTGCAGTGTCTGTCTAAGTACTAGAAACATTCTTTGTTTCTAGATTACTGCAAAGCTAAGGAAAAGCTATATTTCCTTAATTATCAGCTAGCATTTCTTTTAAACTTTTAGCATGGATATTTGGGGATTTATTTACATATTTATTGCAAAGCCCTGGATTACAGAGATTTAATTGAAGATTTTTTAAACTAATAGTTTCTCTGAATCTGCTTTGTTAAAATCAGTATTCACCAGGATGCCCCTGTTGTCTCTGTTTTTATCTTAATGCATCACTGAGTTGACGTTAAATTTCAAATTCTTCTTTGCCCTTAATACTATTCTATCCTGAAGCCACCTTTATATACTGATGAAAGAAGTAAGCAATCTGTTATTATCATCTGTTTGTATATATCAAATGCTCACCTCACAATAGCATCAACCAGTGAAAAACTTCACGTTTTACTGTTTTTATTTGGATAACTATTTACTTTGCAATCAACTAGCAAGGTATAAAATTGTATGATATGCAGAACTTTAACTGGATTGCTTTAAGTGAACATTTAAATATGATAAGCCATATTAATGATATTTAATACACTTAAAATGAACATGTTTTATTCATCATGAGTAATACAACCTACCACTCAATGAAAATCTAAAGTTAGAGTAAATTTGCTCATGAATTCAATAACTTTTCCATAATATTTTTAGTTATTTGGTTAAGGTTCTCTTAATGTTTCTTTCACTTTTTAATAGTTTACGCCTTTTTTGCCTGTGTTTTTTATTGGTTTGTTTAAAGCAAAATCTCATACCGTGTGCTACCTGGAAGCACTGTAACCTAGTGACAAGATCATAGGCTCTAGGGACACACTGCCGGGCCACGTCTCTTCTCCTGTCTGAAACTTGGTCTTTTGTGGTCATGAGAACTGAAGATCTATCCTGAAGATTGGATAAGATAGTAAAGTGCTTCACATTAATTCCTGGCATATAAATACATAATAAATGCTTCCACTTTATCTTGGCTCACTGCAACCTCCGCCTCCCGGGTTCAAGCAGTTCTCCTGCCTCAGCCTCCTGAGTAGCTGGGATTACAGGCACTTGCCACCATGCCTGGCTAATTTTTGTATTTTTTAATAGAGATGGAGTTTCACCATGTTGGTCAGGCTGGTCTTGAACAACTGACCTCAGGTGATCCACCCACCTCGGCCTCCCAAAGTGCTGGGATTACAGGCATGAGCCACCACGCCTGGCCTATATTCTTAATTTAGTACTATTCTGAGTAAAAATAATTAGCTATTAGTTTTATAAATTTACCATGACTATTTTATAAACATCAGTGCTTTCCATAAAGTGAAACAGGTTATGTTGTGGTGCATTTCTTTACCTTGTGCTGGCCAATCCCTCATTATGCTGTTCCCCTGTTGTAATACTTACATTAAATGTTACCAGTTTGTATTTAAGTGATTTATGTCTCCTGATTGGACTCTGACAAAGAGAAAAATGCTAGGAAGAGTACCAGGAGATAGCCCCACAAAGATGGGATTTGGGCATAGGTTTGGTTATTCAAGTAGCAGTGCTTAGCTTCTTGCCAATGGGAAATGGAATGCTGGTAATTTATAGGAAGTGACCTCACAATGACCCAAGCTCCTGTTTGTTGATTGTGATGAAATGCATGCTGAGGCACATGCCTTGGGAGCTAAGTGGCAGCTATACTTCACTACTATGGCAGTAAAGATGACTATAAAGACTGGCGGGGGATGGATCCTTTCAAATGTACCTGAGCTGGGATGCCCAGCTTGTGGAACGCACAGCAGGAGGTGAGCAGTGGCCAGTGAGTGAAGCTTCATGTGTATTTACAGTCCCTCCCCATCGCTGGCATTACCATCTGAGCTCTTCCTCCTGTCAGATCAGAGGCAACATTAGATTCTCATAAGAGTGTGAACCCTATTGTGAACTGCCCATGCCAAGGAAGTAGGTTGTGTTGCCCTTATGAGAATCTATTGCCTGATGATCTGTCACTGTCTCCCATCATCCTCAGTTGAGACTGTATAGTGGCAGAAAAACAATCTTGGGCTTCCCACTGATTCTACATTATGGTAAGTTGTATAATTATTTCATTATGTATTAGAAAGTAATAATAATAGAAATAAAGTGCACAATAAATGTAATGCACTTGAATCATACTGAATTTATCCTCTCCATCCATGGTCTGTGGAAAAATTATCTTCCATGAATTCATCCTCTTCCTTTTTTTGCTGCCCAGGCTGATCTCCAACTCCCAGCCTCGAGCAATCCACCCTTCAAAGCCTCCCCAAATGCTGGGATTACAGGCACAAGCCACAATACTAGGTCAAAACCACGTTTCTTAAACAAAATAAAAACTTGGCGGGAAGATTGCTTGAGCTCAGAAGGTTGAGGCTGCAGTGAGTACTTATCACACTACTGCACTCCAGCGTAGGTGACAGAGAAAGATGCTATCTCAAAAAATAAAATAAAATAATCCCACTCTGCCCACATCTTAAAAAAATATATTGTCCGTATCTTCATGACTCTCATTCCTGGCCCTTAAAATTCTCCTCACACTGGACCTTTGTATTCATCCACTTGTTTGACCCCTTCTGGGACCTGACCTGTCCCAGGAAGAGTCCCCATTTTCCTCCAATGCACTTGTCTTTGAGTCTACCTGGCCAGACACCCAAGAGTTACCTTGAGGTGTTACTTTTCTCCCTTCCCACATCCAGCCTAGCAAGGCTTGCTGATTCCGCCCTGAATACAAATCCCAGACCATACCCCATCTTCCTTCACTGCCTTCCAGCGCTCAGTCAAAGCCATGCCACAGAGCAGCCAGGTTAGTTTCATTGGAAGTAGGAGGTGAAGCCTGTCATTCTCTGGTCTGCCATCTGTAGTGGCTTCCCACTGTACCTGGAATAACCTCACAGCCCCTGATCGGGCCTGTAGGGGCGCGGGTGAGCTGTGCCCTGCTGTTCCTCTGTCATCCCATCATCCCCTCTGTGGATTGCTTGCTCTGTGCCAGCCACCATGGTGGTCTGTGTACCTTTCTTCCTCTCAAGTCACAGCCTCCTGCACTGTCATGCTGAGGGGTGGTGTTTGTGGAATGCTCTTTCTTTAGGGCTTTCTGTGCCTCTCCTTTCTATTTGTGTCACAGTTTAAACATGACCATATTGGAGAGGTCTCACTGAGCACCATCACACCTCAGCCTTGAGGCTCGCTGAACTCATCATCCTTTTATTTTCCACGAAGCAGTGCTGACTGACATTTTTCCTCTTACTGTAGCACAGTAAAAAACATCCAAGGTGAAGGATTAGAGCTTTAAAAAGTTTGGTAGTGTCCAGGCACAGTGGCTCACTCCTGTAATCCTAGCACTTTGGGAGGCCAAGGCAGATGGATTGCTTGAGCTCAGGAGTTTGAGGCCAGCCTGACTAATATGGTGAAACCTGTCTCTACTAAATACGAAAAGTTAGCCAGGCGATGTGGCCCGTACCTGTAATTCCAGCTACTTGGGAGGCTGAGATAGGAGAATTGCTTGAATTGCATTAAGCTGAGTTTGCACCACTGCACTCCAGCCTGGGTGACAGAGCAAGACTCAGTCTAAAAAAAAAAAACGCGAGAAAAGAGAACTTTGGTAGTATTTAAGGAAAGCATACAGAGTGAGTAGAAGTTTGCCAGGTGAAGAGTCAGGAGGATGATATTTAGCAGAAGGAAAATTTAACCAGATTGTGTGTTTGGCAGAAGGAACATCTGAAGGAACACCTGATGAGGCTGCACCCTTGGCGGAAAGAACACCTGACATGGCTGAAAGCTTGGTGGAAAAACCACCTGATGAGGCTGCACCCTTGGTGGAGGGAACAGCTGACAAAATTCAATGTTTGGGGAAAGCAACATCTGGAAAGTTTGAACAGTCAGCAGAAGAAACACCTAAGAAAATTATGAGGACTGCAAAAGAAACATCTAAGAAATTTGCATGGCCAGCAAAAGAAAGACCTAGGAAGATCACATGGGAGGAAAAATAAACATCTGTAAAGACTGAATGCGTGGCAGGAGTAATACCTAATAAAACTGAAGTTTTGGAAAAAGGAACATCTAAGATGCTCACGTGTCCTACAAAAGAAACATCTACAAAAGCAAGTACAAATGGTAAGATGCTTGAGTGAACTTTGTAAGGTTTATTGGCATTTCAGGTTTCTTAGTGAAAAAAGTGTGATATGGGAGTAGCTGGGAATGACTTGAATATCTAAATAAGGCAAGCTTAGGCAACACTTTTTCATAGTATAGAAATAAGTAGATATTATTCCGTAGGCCCTGGAAAAATTCTCACAATACTTCTGGCTGTAAATACTAAGTGAACTAACTAACAATGGCTAAAACCATAGGAACCAAAGTTGTTTTGGTGGTACAGGGATATTATAGGATCCCACATTTTTTTGTTTGTTTTTCATTTGAGACAGAGTCTCACAGTGTTGTCTGGGCTGGAGTGCAATGGCAAGAGCAATCTCGGCTCACTGCAACCTCTGCCTCCTGGTGATTCTCCTGCCTTAGCCTCCCAAGTAGCTAGGATTACAGGTGCCCGCCACCACTCCGGATAATTTTTTGTATTTTTAGTAGAGATGGGGTTTCACTATATTGGCCAGACTCGAACTCCTGACCTCATGATATGCCTGCCTTGGCCTCCAAAACTGCTGGGAATTCAGCCATGAGCCACCGTGCCCAGCCAGGACTCCACTTTTGGTTGGCTAATTAGCAACAGCTCCAATCATCATGCTCTCTCAAGACAATATTTAAAGGCTGGAAGGGCTGCTTTTGTTCACATGTTTCTTTTAAATAGGGAGAAAACTTGGAAGCTTGCAGTAATCTTCCTGTGACATTTTATTGGCTGGATTATACCACATGCTCATTTCTAAACCAGTCACTAGCAAAGCAAATGTAATTACTGTGATTAGCTTAGAATAATGATTTCTCTTTTTGAGATGGGATGGGGTAGTGGAATAATGAATATCTAAATAAGCTTGTGTTTCTGCAGCAAGAAAGAATAATGTCTTTGCATAGGAAGCCAGCAATGTTTTCTGTAGGGATTCATTGGAAAAGTTTAAGCAAGGGAGTCACAAGATTAGATTTGAGTATCAGGGCATACTGGTCATGGTATAAGGCAGAGATTGGCAAACTTTTCTTGTAAAGTGCCAGATAGGAAATACGTTAGGCTGCCGGACATGGTGGCTCACGCCTGTTATCCCAGCACTTTGGGAGGCCAAGGCACGTGGAGCATGAGGTCAGGAGTTCAAGAACAGCCTGGCCAACATGGTGAAACCCTGTCTCTACTAAAAATACAAAAATTAGCCAGGTGTGGTGGCATGCACCTGAAATCCCAGCTACTCAGGAGGCTGAGGCAGGAGGATTGCTTGAACCCAGGAGGCGGAGGCTTCAGTGGGCTGAGATTGCACCACCGCACTACAGCCTGGGTGACAGAGCAACACTCCATCTCAAAAAAAAAAAAAAAAGAAAAAGAAATATATTAGGCCATGTGGTCTCTATAACAGCTATTGAACTCTGCATTGTAGGGTGAAAGCAGTCATAGATAATGTGTGAGCAAATAGGCATGATTGTACTCCAATAAAACTTTGTATAAAAAACCATTTGGTAAGCTGAATTTGGCCTGTGGCCTATAGTTTGCTGGCCCTTCATATAAAAGATAGATGGAGGGTAATTACATAAAAAGATTTAAAGACAAAGTAAGCTTGTGTAGTAGTTCATGCTATAGTCTCCTTTTTGTTTTTTTGTCACCAATCTGTGGCCTAGTATCAATCTATTATGAAAGTTTGACCCATCCAGGATAAAATGAATCAAGTTCAGAAGCTCAGTTTACACATTTAAATATGTAAGTCTTTCTTTGCCATTATTTTATTTTGATTTGTTTTACTGAAATTTTTTTAACTTAAAAAATAACAGTAGTAACTGTTAGGGTTTCTTTTTCCCTGTGAAAGCCATCAGTTAAGGGGCCATGTCTAACTAGGCAATATAAATATAAAATAGTTTGTATTTCCAGTGGCACTGGAAAGATAAAGCAAAGGCAGAAAAGATGTACAGTTAATATGGTTTAGTGATTATTGAGTTTAAAAAGCTAGGGGACAGATACAATCTCAGGTCATTCATAAGTTTCCAGATTGTGCATGAGCATTTACAATGCTCATGGGGAAGGAGTAGGAAATTGTCAGGTTAACAGAGAAGAGCAAACAGTCATGGGACAGACCAGCAGTTTTCTTTACATAATGAGTTTAATGAAACATTCATGTGGGATATTTTCAGTAGGTAATTGGATTATAGGCATTTCTAGCTGGAGATAGAACTCTGGTTGGAGATGTAGGCTTAGGATAATTTTATTATAATTATTGGGCAAAGCCATAGATCTCAATGAGCTTATCCGTGATGCAGAAGATATAGAATAAGAAGAAAGCCATTGACAAAACCCTGGGAATATCAACATTTCACAGAGTCAAAGGACTTGGTAAAGGAGACTGAGCAGTGGCTAAAGAAAAGTAGGAGAGGAGTCAGAGAAAGTGATGTTGCAAATTTTTTTTAAATGTGAGAATTTCAAGCAGTAAGATTACTGAAAAGTGAATTGGATTTAACTTACAAGTTCTTCAGTGGTAATCTGTTCAAAAGAATTATTTTAGAGTTGTTAGGTATACTGTTGATGTGGTTGATATTTCTGTTGTCCAAGAAGAAATCTCCCAAGATCCTACCTAACTTTTTGTAACTAAAGCAGCATACATACACAGGGTCTGGGAAATTATCTAGACTGGTGAGTACACCTGCCAACATTTTTCCAGAATTGTCAAAACCTAAGCGTCATGTGTGAGGAAAAGTGTTGTCTTTTTTATCTGTTTCTTGTGGATAGTGGAGATCTGTGTTGTGTGTGTCTCTCACACGAACACACACACCCACGTACACAAATAAGTACAGTAATTCACCCTTATCCATGGGGAGTATTTTCTAAGACACCCAGTGAATGTCTGAAATTGTGGATAGTATGAAACCCTATATATACATGTTTTTTCTATTTATGCTTATTTATGATAAAGTCTAATTTATAAATTAGGCACAGTAAGAAATTAACAATAACTTATGATAAAACAATAACAATATATTGTAATCAAAGTTAGGTGAATGTGGTCTCTCAAAGTGTCTTGTATTGTACTCACTCTTCTTTTTCTTGTGATGACTGTGAGATGATATAATGCCTGTGTGATGAGATGAAGTCAGGTGAATGAGGTAGGAGTTGTCATGTGGTGTTAAGCTATTAATTATTTCTGGCTATCTGACTACATATCAGAAGGTGGATCATCTGCTTCATGTGGATCATTGAGCCATGATAATGTTGATGGTTGGGGTTCAGGAACAGACCATTTTGATGACTAATGGGCAGATAGCATATACAAAGGGATGATTCATGACCTGGGTGAGATGGAACATGATGTCTTAATACTTCATCGTACTCTTTAGAATGACACATTATTTAGAACTTATGACTTGTATATTTCTGGAATTCCCCATTTAATATTTTTGGACTATGGTTGACCATGAGTAACTGAAATCATGGAAATCAAAACCATGGCTATTATATTGTGAAACATATGTTTGGTCTTCAACACTGTTTTCTGGCATAAAACTCATAAAATGTTTAGAATCTCCAAAGTGATGTCTTTGTATGCTAATAATTGAGTGATGGCTGGCGGTCCCTAGGTAGCTTCAGGATAGGAGCTGGTCACAAAAAAGAACAAGGCATGATTAGAGTGTTGGGACTTTCAGCCCCACCCCTCAACCTCCTAGGAGGTGAGAGGAGATGAAAGTTAGGTCAATTACCAATAGCCACAGATTTGTTCATTCATGCCTATGTAATAAAGCTTTCTTAAGAACACAGAAGGACTGGGATCAGAGACCTTCCAGATAGTTGAATGTATGGAAGTGTTTGGAGGCCGATGTGCCCTGGGAGGGCAAGGAAGCCCCATGCCCCTTCCCCTATATCTTGCCCTATGCATCTCTTCATGTGTCTGCTTTGTGATACCCTTCATAATAAACTGTTAAATGTGTTTCCCTTAGTATTTGGGGCACTCTAGCATGTTAATCAAACCCAAAGAGGGAGTCATGAGAACCCCAACTTGAAACCAGCTGGTTAGATGTTTCAGAGACCCAGATTTGCAACTGTTATGGGAGGGCAGTCTTGTGAGACTGAGCCCTCCGCCTGTGGGATCTGAGACTATTTCTAGATAGACAGTGTTGGAATTAAATAAAGGACAACCAGCTGGTTTCTGCTACAGAATTGGTTGCTTACTTGTTGGTGGAGAAAATCCTCCACACATTTGGTCGCAGAAGTCTTCTGTTTTGATGATTGTTGTGGTGTGAGAGCAGAGGGAAATCATGTTGTGTGTGTTTCTTTCTACACATAGAGCAGATAAAGAGTGACTACTGTATACTCTGTTCTAACTGCTTCTAGTTCATTTGTCTAGAAATTGTAGTTTCTAAGATTGACACTGTCCACTTACACTAATTCTGCTAATAATACAATTTTCTGTCAGTCTTATAGGGTTCTGTTTGGATTATGACTATTGTATACTGTAGTTCACTTGTAGATACCAAATTGTGATAAATTCTATCTTTGCTTGCACTTGAGAACTATAAAGGAGTGGAAATAAGAGTTGTTAATGCATTAATTTCCTACCAATATAATGCTTAATAATAATTTTACTATAGTCTCAATGTATGGTCTCAAATGAATGCTTTATGACAAATCATCTGAGTCTTTGTAACAAAGTATTGGAGTATTATGCTTTTTTAAACAAGACCTGAATCATGCACGAAAGTGTGCATGATTCTTTTAAATTAAGTTGAAGTCTCATGATGTCTCCCAGGCTGCTTTCAGACTCCTGGGCTTCTCAGGTGATCCTCCTGCCTCACCTTCCCAAGTAGCTGGGATTACAGGCATGTGCCATCATGCCCTCTTATGTTTTTAATATTCTGTATTTTTTATTTATATTTGTTGATTTAATATATTTTACTTTTTTTCTTTAATAGTGGATGTGAGTTCTGTAGAGTCTATATTCAGGTAAGACTTTCCAGTTTTTTAAAACATGTATGTTAACTCAGAAAATATAAAGAAACCAGTATCTTTTGAGTGTTCTACTCTGGGATAGACAACATGTGCTTAATATGTATTATCTCACATAGTCATCACACAGTTTTGCAAAGCATCTGTGCTACTATCACCTACTTTGTATTAACCAGGCAAATGTGGTTCAGAGAGGTTGATTAATTGGCCTATGATTTCACAGCTAAAAAGTAGCTGACCCTTGAGTTTGCCATCAGCCTACCTTGCTCCCAAATCCCTTCTCTTGCCCCAAGGCATAGATTGATGGAGACCTGTGCATCACTAGAATCAAGGTACAGGTCCAGATGGGATCAATTCACAAAGTCACATTTTGTTATATGTTACCTCTTTTTAGAGTTTTCCCTTAGAACACTGGTTAATCCAAGACTTTGTTCTAATATGTTTAATAGTCAAAGTGATAACCAGTACCTTGTTTTTATTACCAAAGTTTTTAGAGCAGACCTTACTTAGCTGTGGCCACAAGACATAGGTTTTTGTTTCATAAGCAAGACCTGGTGAATCCTATAGATGAATTATTTTACTCTTAGTGGAGAATATCTACATATAGATATGTTATATTAATCATATTTAGAGGCTATTTCTTATAGATTTCTCTATTTACTGACTTCCCAGTTTAGTTTTTCTTCAAAGCAGTACCCTGCCTAGTTGCATGCACTCTTCATTTTTTTTTAGAGTCTTTTTTCTTCTTCCATGACTTTTCTATAGTCTTTTCCTGGTTACTTTCTTCTCTGCTTTCCTCGGTGTTCTTTTCGTGTATGATTTTATTCTTTCCACCAGCCCCATTTTTCTATAGCTAAAATTAAAAGCACATGGAATTTTAGGATTGTAAGGACTCTTGGAGACTAATCAAAATACTTTCATATTTCAATCTGTATTTAATATCCTGGAAAAATGGTTGTTCAGATGGAGAATCTGAAACTCAAAGTGACTTATTTAAATATCAGAGGTAGCAGAAGTAATATTTAAACTCATTTCAAAGCCCATTACTCTTGTTTTTATAACATCATGTGAGTGAGTGTTTGAATAATAGAAAGAAAAGGGAATGGGTCTAATTAAACAAATGGAAAGGGATAAGAATGGAATTAGCTGGAGAACCCAGTGGAAGTAGATAAGAATGGAATTACCAGGGAAAGGCCAAGTTTGAAGAGAAACAATCCCAGGACTGGTAGGAGTAAGGATTTTACCAAAGAGATCAGAATATTGGATCTTATGACAAGTTTGATGAAGATAAATTAGAGGAACAAAAACACAGATGACATTGGGAGTTATCTAGAAACTCATACTAAAATAGGGTTCAAAGGAAGTCCTGAATAGGTCGCTGCTTTTTCGCTTCTTTAATTGGAGAAATGGACACACTTCATGCTTTCTATTGAAAGATTAAAAAAAAAAGCCACTGCAAAAATTCTCTGCAAGCAGATAGAAATGTCCTATTGTGTTCTTTCACCCCAAATCTCACAGGAGTGGCTTAGAGCCCCTTGAGTGCTAGGGGATTGAAGGTTGCTGAATTACATAGATCTGTGGCCCAGGGCAGGTGTCCCCTCCCCTTTGCCTCTTTTTCCAAGCCTCTGATGTCTTACCCATGTACATGTAAAGCAGGGGTAAGATTGGCTGTCAAATAAGTCATGGTTCAGTTGGGTTTTTGATAACATGCTTACGCTGGAGGTGAATGACTGACTGAGACTCCATTTAGTTGTTTTCCAGGAACAGGTAAATACAGAGCTTCTAGGTTGGTCATTGAGTTTATCTTTTCAGTAATCTGTGCTTTGATGAGCAGAATATTTAAAGGTTGGAGACTGCCATGAAGCTCTGCAGAAGAAAGATCTGGAAGTGGGAGA
Organism: Homo sapiens; assembly: GCF_000001405.40. Lineage (NCBI taxonomy): Eukaryota > Metazoa > Chordata > Mammalia > Primates > Hominidae > Homo > Homo sapiens. Next base: position 45,164,041 of record NC_000010.11, read on the forward strand.
CACTTTTACTATATATAGTGGCTCCCACTTCCAGATCTTTCTCTCTGTGTAAATATAGTATTTAGAGAAATCCAACTATCAGGACTCAGTTTTTCTAGCAGTCTCTCTCCTTGGGTATAAGTACCTATGAAGATTTTTAAGGCTTTTCTAGTTTATGTAGACCTGAATAAGGAAAGACAAGTACAAAATAAGTAATTAGATTTTATTATTTTTAATGTTTCAATTTTTGTTGAGAAAAACATTCCCAATAACAAATATACATTTGTGTTTTGACATTTGTAGGTTCAGCTTTTCAACATTTCAAATATTTCAGGGCACTCTCTGCAGTGTTTTAGGGTGAAGGGAAGCAACAGGGCCTTCTTAAGTGGTTTTTATGCTGAAAAACAAAGAATGTCATTTTCCAGTGACACAGATTAGTCTTTGAATCAGAGATAGATAATGGAGAAGAAACAAGGTAAATGTATCTTTCTACCTCATTTTAGGTTATCAAGTTTGTTCCAGTTTAGATATCAAAAGTTATGTCAGCCATTAAGTAGATTTTCAGTTAATCATTAAGGACAGTTTGTGAGGACGAATTATACTCAGGGTATGCCAATTATATTGGCTGTCACTACTTATTATGGAACTAAGAGTCAGTCTTCATTGGATGTTATAGGTTGGGGAGGTAGAGTCAAAAATAGGTAACTAAAATCTTTTTTAAAAACAGAGGGCATATTTTAATTATACCAAGAAGCATGATTTAATATACAAAGACTGATTTTTCCCAGATTTTGGTTTTTGTTTTCATTTTTTGGAGTGAGCACCAAGATATGAACTAGCAGATTTTCTTTTTAAATATATGAATTTGCTTATTTTTGTTGTATCTTTTTTTCTCTAAAATCTGTTCAGCAAACTGACTATTGAAAATTCACAGTCTACAAAACTTAAGGAAGACTTTAATCTTGCTACCAATGTAAAATGGTCTCTTGTGAAGTTGATTTTCTCAGTTGGAATCTAGTTCTGTATAGTATTTACTTTTCATGTTTAGCAGTGGTGTAATTACCATTATTTCATGTTGGTAATATAAAGTTGGTCAGATAAAAACATTTTATGGAAATATGAGTAGTTGATTTAACGTTTTTTTTTTTTTACTTTAGTAAATAACAAATGATTGGTAAATATTTTGAGGGTGTGAGTGCCAACAAAAGGAATGGACTGGAGAATACATAGTGATAGGAACATTATATTAGAAAAAACTTTTCCACAATACAGAATATATAAAATCTGGTAAAGGTTTATTTGGATAAGTGTACTTACTGTGACTTTTAAAATTATTCTATTGTCACTTAAAAAACTCATGCTTAAATTTATATTTAATGGATCCAGTTACTTACTATAGTAATCAAGGAATCTCTCTGATACTGTTCAGTTCCAAAACTGTGCCACATAGCATATAGGGTTTTTTTTGCACGTATTATTTTGATATCATGTAGTTTTTAGGAGAGAGCTTTTTCTCAGTTTCTCTTCTTGGTTCTTTAATTACACCAAAATAATATTAGAAATTGTGAAAATTTTGGGGGCATGGTGGTACATGCCTGTAGTTCCGGCTACCAAGGAGGCTGATGCAGGAGGATTGCTTGAGCCCAAGAGTTTGAGACCAGTGTGGGCAACATAGCGAGACCTTATCTCTAATTTTATTTTTTATTTATTTTTTTGAGATGGAGTCTCGCTCTGTCACCCAGGCTGGAGTGCAGTGGCACGGTCATGGCTCACTGCAACCTCCGCCTCCTGGGTTCATGCCATTCTCCTGCCTCAGCCTCCTGAGTAGCTGGGACTACAGGTGCCCACCACCATGCCCGGCTAATTTATTTTATTTATTTATTTATTTATTTATTTTGTATTTTTAGTAGAGATGGGGTTTCACCTTGTTAGTCAGGACAGTCTCGATCTCCTGACCTCGTAATCCACCCTCCTCGGCCTCCCAAAATGCTGGGATTACAGGCATGAGCCACCATGCCCGGCCTATCTCTAATTTTAAAAAATAATTGTAGAAATTTAGAAATGTAAATTCTCTTTCTCAGAGTCTGTATTATTAAGGCATGCCAGTGTGTTTTCTAAATTATTTCATTAAAAGTATATTTTACACTCTTCATCTCAATGAAGAATGCAGGTTTTACCCCAAGTAAACAACCAGTGTATGGAAGCAGAGAATCTTACTAAGCATATGGTAGAATTTTAATTTCAGAATTTTTAAATTGCAATTTTTAAACATATTGTTAAAAGATTTTTTATCACATTTGAAAATTTTAAATTTTGGAAGATTTTGTATTGAGTTGTTTAAATAATCGTTTTGAAGTTCTTGCATCACTATAAGATACTGCAGGTTAGAAAACATACTTGTGTGCAGCCTAGTGTACCCAGAATACAGTCTTGCCTATAAAAAGAGTTTTAAAAGTTTTCAATGTGAATAAATAAGCAGAAAAATGAATTTTTATGTAATGAAATGTTACAAGTAAGATAATATGCATAATATATCTTATAATAAAATCTAATGCATTTCCAAAATATGGCTTAAATGTATATTTTCTTTTAATATTTAGAATGCATAAATTCATGTGAGTTATCTTGAGAAAATATGTCTTAAATAAGACAATAAATCAGAGGTATGTAGTAAACAGGAAAGAAGGTTACACTATATCCTCCAAGTGGAGTTTAGATTAAAAAAATTTTAATATATTTAAATATATTTTAGTCTCAACTCATTTTTTTTTTTTTTTTTTTTTTTTTTTTGAGACAGAGTCTCTCTGTTGCCCAGGCTGGGGTGCAGGTGTGCAGGTGGCATGATCTCGGCTCACTGCAACCTCCGCCTTCTGGGTTCAAACAATTCTCCTGCCTCATCCTCCTGCGTAGCTGGGACTACAGGCGTGTGCCATCACACCCAGCTAATTTTTGTATTTTTAGTAGAAACAGTGTTTCACCATGTTGGCCAGGATGGTCTTGATCTCTTGACCTCATGATCTACCAGCCTCGGCCTCCCAAACTGCTGGGATTACAGGCGTGAGCCACCGCACCCAGCCGAAACTCATGTTCTATTAAACATATCATTTCAAGGAATACATTACTCTTTAGAATTCTGATTACCAAAACTTTCTTCAGGTGAAAAGTTTACGAAACATTCCTTTTTAAATTTTGTCTCTCTGTAGTAAAAATGTTCTAGCTTTTAGGTATTGGCTGAAGACCATGTTTAACTAATTGAGTGTCTTATTATATAATAATGAAATTAAAATCTTTATTACACAGGTATTAACAAAATAACTAATTGTAATGCAAATACTGACCAGCATTATAGGAATATATTATGAACAGAAGTCTGTATTTTACGTATTTCATCACATGTCTTATATAGTAGTTGTTTTTCCTTTTCTTTCATGACTGAAGCTCATACTTGATTGACTGGTTATGTCTCTTGTTTGTTTCTCCCTCCTCCTTCACCTTTTTAAAAATGATTTACCCCAGACTTTTTTCTCACAGAATACATTTCTTCAGTGTCTGCTTTTTAGGGCATCTCTGTCTCAATTGTCAGCATATTTATTTACAGGTTTCTATTTAGTTGCTATGTATTATTTTCATTAATCAATCATTGCCGCCCCCCATGATTTATTCTTTTTTTCTCTGTTTCTTGGAAGAAGCAGAATTTATACAATTATTTATACTTAGCTTTTTGCCACACAGAATAGAAACAACCTATGCTATTTCAATGCAAACCCAGTTAAATAAGGTACTATTAAAAACTAAGCTCTCACACTTTTCCATACAAGAGGTAATTAATACAACTGTAAATTGTGAAGAGATATTTCAAAATATAACATGTAATTTAACATTTTAATTATTTCTACAATTCTATAATCTATGTAATGGTAAATTTTTGTCCTAGGTTATTTTGGTTAAAAAAAAATCTAATGGATACCACCATATTTGTATAATAATAAATTAGATGAAGGGGGATGAAAGGAAATTATTCATTGAAGAAGGGTAAGATAAACATAGAGACTACATGAGAGAGTGAAGATGAGACAGACTATTATAAAAACACAGCAAAAATAGTGGTTTAAATGAGAGCAGGAACTCTCTAGAATAAAAGATATAATATAAATTATTTAAAATAAAAATTAAGAAAACATAGCCAGGTAATAAAACACTGCTCAGGTGTTTTTGACTGACTTATAGCTGATTTTAACAAAAAGCTGAAAGAAAATATAAGGACGAGTATAGGTAAGAGCAATTTGTTGTACTCTTTAAAATACCTAGTAGAGAATAGTTTGAATGTTTCTAGCATAAAGGAAAGATAAATACTTAAGGTGATTAATATCTCAACTATTCTGATTTCATTATGTGAATGTATTAAGTTATTATATGTACCCTCGAAACATATACATTTATATTGTGTGAACAAAAAAATTATTAACAAGGAAAGAATTCTCACTTCTTTTAGTAACTTTATGTTTTATATTTAATCTAGTCATACTTATATTAATGCAGAATGCAAAGTTAAATTGGTTTTAGGCCTTGTCAGCTTTATTGTGAATTATTAATTTTTGACTCTTTGGTTTCTGGTTTAAGATTTCTAACTTAATGTTTGACATATTCTTAGGTTATTTAACTAATTTATCCTACTCTTTGATATAACCTTGGTAGCTGTTTTGAATATTTTTGTTAATAGAGTATAAATAAATAAGCATTTTATTTAATCTTATTAAAATTAAATTTTCTGATCATATGAACAAGGTTTTTAATCTATATCTCTTAAAAGAGAAAAATCTTTTTTCTTGAGACCATCATGGCTAACATGGTGAAGCCCCGTCTCTACTAAAAATACAAAAAATTAGCTGGGCGTGGTGGCGGGCGCCTGTAGTCCCAGCTACTCGGGAGGCTGAGGCAGGAGAATGGCGTGAACCTGGGAGGCGGAGCTTGCAGTAAGCTGAGATCGCGCCACCGCACTCCAGCCTGGGCCACAGAGCGAGACTCCATCTCAAAAAAAAAAAAAAAAAAAAAAAAAAAAAAAAGAAGAATCACTTTTAAGCTACAACACTCTCAAAGAAATAAATGTAGAAATTAATCTCTAGAAATATTCTGACATCTTTTGCTCATAATATCTGTATGTAATGGTATTATATGCACACATCAAATGAATGTAATCAATCTTTGTGAATTTTTTAAAGTAAAGTACCTATTATTATAGAATCATATGTAAGGAAAATTGTTAACAGAGTAAACAAACTTATCATTGGAAGAATTTTTTTGCTCTTAAAAATATCTCTTGCAATCGGGATATTTTATATTATTTCCAGGAAGCCTTAACTTAGTCTTCATAATTATTAAACCTTGCACATATATTTGTTTATTTCTAAAACTCAGGAATCCTGTCGACTTGAATTTTGTAGTTTCTTTCTTCACTTCTCCTGTAAATACTGGATCCTGCTTGACAATCATAGATGTATGTAAAAACTATTAAATCTTCAACTTGAATAATTATTGGTTAATTTTCTTTATATGAGATCTTTTCTCCAATTTTAAACTACCATCCTATATGGTGTAAATAGGCAATGTGAGCTAGCATTCTATTGTTTACAGGAACATAAGAAAAACATGTGAATTTTAAAACAGGGTTTCACATTTCTATCTCACTTTATAATGGTAATTAAAAATGCCTCATAATTCTATAATTAGGTAAGCATTTCTCTTGTACAATTAAAAATTTCAAAGTTAATTTTTATAAAGGTTCTTTTGCAGAATCTTGGTGTTTTAGAATTAAATGTTTTCATTCAATTCAAAGATGCATATTGCAATATTTCAGAAATATTTACCTATATAAATAAAATTATTTTCTTGAAACAAATTTGGAAATATATAACTGAGAAACTTAATCCCATGTTTTTGTCTCTCCTTTGATTTTCTTTTTTTTTTTTTTTTTTTTTTTTTTGAGACAGAGTCTCACCCTGTCACCCAGGCTGGAATGCAATGGCACGATCTCGGCTCACTGCAACCTCCACCTCCCAGGTTCAAGCGATTCTCCTGCCTCAGCCTCCCGAGTATCTGGGAGTACAGGCATGCGCCTCCACGCCCAGCTAATTTTTGTATTTTTAGTAGAGACGGAGTTTCACCATGTTGCCCAGGCTGGGCTCAAACTCCTGACCTCATGATCCACCCGCCTCGGCCTCCTAAAATGCTGGGACTACAGGCGTAAGCCACTGCACCTGGCCCGATTTCACTTTCAAAAATTCAACAGTCTGCATAGGTTACTTAATTCTACCCATTTAGCCTATCTTATAAATATTTATCTTATCACTATGTAATTTTCCTCATGTAGGTCATCTACTCATACTCCAAATGTATTTATCCAGATCTTTCTTCCAAGCCCCTTGGGTGCCCCAAATCTTATAGGTCTCAAACTGAAAGCATCATTTTTATTCTGTTCCTGTTTTCTGACTCTTCGTAATCTACTCTGTCATCTGGTTTCCCCATCCTAGGAAATAACACCTAGGAAGTAGCGGTGAAACACTCAAGCACTTAAACCTGCACTTCAACCCTCCCCCACATCCTAAACTTCAACCCTTTTCCATGTCACCCATCCAGTCACACACCTAATTTTGTATTTTCTACCTTCTTATAATTTTCCATATCTTATTACCATAATTAACTCTCTACCTATAATTTTGAAGTACTCCTTTCTAGTTTTGCCCCATCTCCCCATGTTCATCTATCTTTACATCGCTGGAAGGGTCACCTTTCTAAAATGTATTTGTAATGATGTAACTCATCTGCATATTGAGTGAATACCCATTACACGAAGGGGTAAGTTCACATTCTAGCGTGACACATATCTTATATGGTTTGGCCCCATTTTATCTCTTCATCTCTTTCCTCTGTGTTCCAGTTTTACGACATCACCTTGGCACCCCTCAATTGCCATGTTGTTTCATGCCTTATTATTTTACACATGCTATTGCACCTAGAGTCTTTGTATCCTGACTCTGCACTTTGTCTGTCCTTCCCAATATGGCCCCATTATGGCAGCATTTTCTATGCTTTTCAGATAAAACTGATTGTTCTCTCCTTTGTGCCCTTATGTATTATATTGACTTAAATTGTAGAACTGGTGAATTATACTTTTCTGTTCTTATTTGTTTTCACGTCTCTAACATTTCTTGAATATAGGCCAGAATCTATCTTCTGTGTATATTTCCTGCTTCTCCCAGGATAGTGCCTGTGATTCGATAGATACAATGTATGGGTTTTTTTGTTTGTGTTTTGTTTTGTCTTACTGACAAATTGAGTGAATGAGTGAATAAATAAAGTTTTTTCTGAAGTTGTTTTTTGGTGCTTTTTGGTTTTTGTTTGTAATAGAAGGAAGCAACAAAGACAGCAACTGAACAACAAGAAAATGATATTGGAATTATTGAATGAGCGCCATAAGATCTAACAAGTAATGACAATTTTCTTTTTTTATACCAAAATAATAGAAGTGGTAAGTTAGTATCTCTGAAAATTTTTCTATGCTTAAATGCTATTATTTAGAAAACAATTTTATAGACTGAAATACAATGTCTACCTTAAAAAATACTTTTTGCTATCTTTCATCATACTATCAATTTTCTGAACCTGCTTTGATTCTGAAATTCTATATTTGCTATTACTTTTTGAAATATTCATAAATGGAAATAGATTTGTGTATGTTTTTATAATTTACAGTAATAAATGTTCTCATATGTGTGTCTGTGAATACCATTCTGTAGATAAGATGCCCACATCAGAGTCAGGACAAAAAGAAGATACGAAATCACCTTCAGTTTCTGAGGTACCGTGTATTGTTGTTATTTTAAAACTTAAGTAATGAGTAATCTTAAAACATAAAAAGATGACTTTGTCTCACGTCTGCATGTGTCCATAAGCCATAAGAAATTTTCTGACATTTATCAGAACATACTTTATAATCATATGCCAAGTAGATAACAGCTGCATAGTGCAATTCTGCTAATTTGCAGGATTAATTTACAAAGCCAGTGTAGAATAGAGCAAAAGAAAATAAGGCATAGAAGAAACCAGGAATCTGAGTTCTGAAGATAAGTTTGTCTAAAAACAAAATAATTTCTCTGCATTCATTTATGGGCAAATACATGATTCTGTGTATATCTAGATGTATGAAAGCTTTACTTGGATTCAGGGAGAAAGAGTTTAAACTGTAGTCTTAGTGTTGCTCAACTTGGAACTTGAAAAGATAATGCCTGGGACTTGAAAGTATTAGTATATTTCGATTATCCAGTATAGATCTGAAGGAACATTTCAGGAGTTGGATAAACATGAGAAATAGGACACCTGTAAAACTATAACACAACAATTTGGTTGAGTAGTATTTTAATAAGTAGACATTCTTTTCACAAATAGAACTCTTTGAGTCCCTTTGTGGCAGCCATGTTTGCAACCACATAGGTATCAGATAATAATGATGTATTCCAAGGTCACAGCTATGGATGTGGAAGAGATAGGAAAGGCCTCACCACTTAAGATAGAAGCAGCAGCTGCATAGTGGTAACAGCAATGAGTGGATGTCAAAAGGTAAGTCTGTATTTTGATTCTGTCACTTACTAGCTATGGGAACTTGGAAAAAATCATTTAACCTAATCAAATACTAGTAACCTTGTATATAAAAATAGTGCTCATATCTACCTCTTAGGTACATGAGATGAAATAATGTTGTAACAAATGTGAAAACATTCTGTAAACTGGGAAGTCTGTATCCAAATGTAAGACAAAACGATCAAAGTGGCATTTATGTGAAAGCAGAATTGTTAGCACAAGAATAGGGAGTAAGAACAGGCATGTGGATTTCTAATTTTGGGTAAGAGGATGGTAACTTTCAGCAGGCTACCACTGCAGATTTTCCATAGAAATATAGCAGTTTGGAAAATTAGACTTTCCTGTTGAGATTTTCAATGTTTTGACCTGGAGTAATTTCTTTCTAAGTACCAACTGTGTGCTAGGCAGTGAGTCTCTGAATATCCAAGATGAGGGATTATGCTGCAGTAGTAGGAAGATAATAACAAATGAAAAACACTTATAAATCACTGTAACTTTTTCTTAAAAACAAAACAGAGAATGTTTGGTTAGAGAAAATTGAAGAACTTTATAATTAGCATGGGTATGGGAGTGGCAGTGGAATTCTATGGTCAGAGTAGATCTTTCTGCGACTGCCATTCAATCTCCTGTCTCAAAGATGAGGAGTAAGCCATATGAAAGTCTAGGAGGAAGACATTCTGAACAGAGAACAGTGGACCATATTTGTTCATCATTTTGTTCTTAACAACCTAGAATGACTAGGAAGCAGAAAGTGGGGTAACCACCAACATCATCATCATCCTCATTATTCTAAGGTGAAGAAAAATCTGCACATATGTGTCTGGCACATGTTAGATGTTTCACGAATACATGTTTTTATTTTTCTCTTTTTGTGAAGGCTTGCTCTACTTTTCTGAAGTTATGTCTTAAGAATCAATTGCATACTTTATCTAATGATTGTTTTCATTTAAAAATAACAAATATATATTTTCCTTATGAATCTTTCATTTTATTCAAGCAGTTATCAGCAAAAACTTATCAAAATTATTCTTAAGCCTTTGTTTTCCTAAATGAAACAGATTTAGAGTTCTTTTCCTACTCCGCATGACATACTCTGAAAATTCTCGTGCCATGCATAGTTTTTAACAAAAATTCTGTAATTATGCATATGTCAAATGTTTAATCATATTGTATTTTGTTTGCAATGCCCTATTATTTTTGGTGAGGACTACAGTGTAAGGCAGATACTTTGAAGTTAATTCCTTTTGAAATATACACACGTGAATTTTTTTGTGAATATGATTTATTTTTCATGCTCAGTAACCCAGTCAATAGCCACATGAAGATAAAAGATAAGCGTGTTCTACAGAGCATATGCAAGGTTTTCTCTTGAAATGTCTTGGTTTTCAATATGTGAACAGCCTGAAATCTAATTGCCTTTAAAGTAAGGAAATGTGTTTTAAAAAAGATTTGAAATAAAAAATATTGATGCTTGTCATTATTTTTAAATCAAAATTATTTATTGAGGCAGAATGTGGTGGCTTATGCCTGTAATCCCAGTATTTTGGGAGGGAAAGGTGGGTGGATCACTTCAGGTCAGGAGTTTGAGACCCACCTGGCCAACATGGTGAAACCCTGTCTCTATTAAAAATACAAAAAAATTAGCCAGGTGTGGTAGGCAATCAATATATATTTGTTCAGTGTATGAATTAGTGATTGTTAAAATATGCTGTCCTTTATATCCCAAAGTACTAATATATTTTATTTCTATCTCCTCCTCAAGACAGATTCAACTAGCCTATCAATATTCTTGGGTGCAGTTCCTTCTCATGAAAGAGCAAGGGAACTTAAAAAATATCACTGTGAACAACTTACAGCAAAAATAAAACAAATGAAAAATAAGTTTTGGGTACTACAAAAGGAACTATCAGAAGCAAAAATAAAATTGCAGTAAGTGAATCAAAAGGTTAAATGGGAACAAGAGCTCTGCAGTGTGAGGTATGACATCCTAGTTTTAAATAAATATTTCAACTATTTATACTAAAATTATGTAGGATACTTTTTGTAATAGCTGACTTACCTTCTGAGGTTTAACTGCAGAAAAAAACCTGTCTTGTAGAGTGTCAAATTCCTTTAAATAATACAAGTTCTTAACTTTGAATACTTCTACTGATAATTAAATGCATATTTATTTAAATCACAATTTTAATGACTATATAGAAGGCCATTATTTGGAAATCCCATTATTTACTTAACAAATTAATTTTTTTGATTTTTAATTTTTTGTATTATAAGTGCTGCAAGGCATAACTGCAAGTAAATATTTTTCTACCTTTCTAATTATTGATTTGGAATAAATTCTTCAATATAAAAATATTTGGTTAAATTATAGGAAGTTTTAAAAAGTTCTTTGTTCATTACTTCCAAATTGTTCTCAAGAAAATTTATATTCATTTACAGTTCAACAAAGAGAGTGTGAAACGGCCATTCCTCTCCCCCCAAGAATCAATTTCCTTTAATTGTACACTTTTAATCTTAATGTGTATGGAATATAAGGAAAATACTTGTTTATATTTTTAATCTTTTCCTTTCAGAACTGTGATAACTAAAAGTGCTTGTTACAATGTCTCAACTTATAATTTATAAATATAATTCTTAAAATTATATTTTTAAAAATAGAATATCTATAGAATATTCTCAGGAAAAAGGAAATGAAAGGGCTTTGGGAAATTTTATCTGTCTAAATATAAGCAGCACTAATATTGGGGGAACTGGCCAGCAGCCCGCAATGCAACAGGGCTCCTTCTTTGTTCCCAGGCGGATTGGCAGGTTGAGAAATAAAAGACACACACAAGATAGTGAAAGCTGTGTCCAGGGGGGTCACCACCTTCTGGTCCTGTGATGCCGCCAATGCACTGGATATACCAGCATTTATTATTAAGTTTAGTGAGGGTGGGGATAGGTTAGTGAGGGATTTATGGTCATTTGATTATGAGGTGAGATGGTCACGAGGGTGAAGTAATTTAACATAACATCAGTATGCAGAAGTACAGCATACAGAGATAAGAATTTACAATATAGTGTGTGCATCAGCAATTTCTAACAGAGCCTTAAAACAGAAACACAGTCTTTCCATAACCTATGATTAGCAAGATATTAATCAGCAGTAACAGTTGCAGCAAAAGCTGGTTGCAAACAATCCATAGAAACAGGACGTGAAGCTAGACAACTGGTTAGACCACAAATTCTCAGAAGGGAGTATGCTTTAACCCTAAAGAGGCCTAGAAGAGCCGAGGCAAGATAAGGGCATTTATAGCCCCATCTTATCCATATAAACAGGCGCCCCTCATGCGTTCGCTTATAGGCTCTCCACAAGAGTCACATTCCATTCCCAGAGCTATGAACATCTGCTTTTCTGGGATAGGAATCATGGTGATGTGAAACCTCCCTGACTGCATATCCGTTCATAGGCTCTCTGCAGGGGGAAGCGTATCACGCACTGTTGGCTTATTCTGGCAGTCCAACCTGGCATTGTCTTTACACAATCCTGCATGCAATTTTGTATTTACAATAATCAGGAGTATTTCACCTTTTATTCCAAAGCAATAGTTTCAAGGGGTCTCCCTACACACTAAGGCTTCTAGTATGGGGTCTTGTATAGGTTAGACATCAGGGTGTAAATCAAATTTTTGTATGTAGTCAAAGTGATTAATCTTTTATTTTATGCTTTTGCATGTGTTGTAATCCAGGGAAAGTTTGTTTCAATTCTGAAGCTCTTAAAAATTCTCTAGTCATTTCTTTTTTACTTTCATGAATTCATTGTGTTCAAATAAATGTTTGAACTTTGGGGAATTTATGCTCTATAGCATTTGAAGTTTTGATTCAATGGTTCTTCAACTGATACCTACTTACAGAAACCCTTTCAGTGGATAAATGTAAAAATTATTCTTTAAGAGGAACCATGATATCCCATTTTATTGAGTGCTAGCTAAAAATTTATTTTATTTAGGTTTCTCATGCTTATGAAAATGAAAATGATCTCTTACATGAAAATGGCATGTTGAAAAAGGAAATTGCCATGCTAAAACTGCAAATTGGACATACTAAAACATCAGCACCAGGAGAAGGAAAATAAATACTTTGAGGACATTAAGATTTTAAGAGAAAAGAATGCTGAACTTCAAATGACCCTAAAACTGAAAGAGAAAACATTAACAAAAAGGGCACCTCAGTATAGTGGGCAGCTTAAAGTTCTGATAGCTAAGAACACAATGCTCACTTCTAAATTGAAGGAAAAACAAGACAAAGAAATACTGGAGAAAGAAATTGAATCATACCATTCTAGACTAGCTTCTGCTATACAAGACCAAGATAAAGTGTGACATCAAGAAAAAACCAAGAACTTGCTTTCCACAGTGCTCATTTGCAAGGAAAAATGAATGTTGATGTGAATAATATATAACAATGAGAAGCTTCATCAACCACTTTCTGAAGCTCAAAGGGAATCCAAAAGTCTAAAAATTAATTTCAATTATGCAGGAGACGCTCAAAGAGAAAATACATAGGTTTTAGAACATGCACAAAGAGACCTAAGTGAAACATAGTGTCAAATGAAGAAAGCTGAACACATGTATCAAAACAAACAAGATAATGTGACCAAGCACACTGAACAGCAGGAGTCTGGAGCAGAAATTATTTCAACTACAAAGCAAAAACATGTGGCTTCCACAGCAATTAGTTCAGGTGCATAAGAAAGCTGATAACAAAAGCAAGATAATAATATTCAGTTTTGAGAGGAAAACGCAACATCACCTCCTAAAAGAGAAAAATGAGGAGATATTTAATAACTGTAACCATTTAAAATAATGTTTATACCAATATGAAAAACAGAAAGCTGAAAGAGAAGTATCAAAAAAAATAAATATTTTTCAACCTTCCTGAAAGAAAATTTAAAGTCATATTTGGCCTTAGATAAATGCTGAATCTAGTTTAATATAGATAATAAATATATTTACCATGTCAGCTTAGAAACATGGCTTATTTCCACCAAATGCAAGTTAAAGCTGAGAGATGTTTTACTTTAAGACATTGTGTCACTTATGAAATTTTAAGAATTTAAGTTAAAGGTTTTTAATAGATTAACATTAATGACATTGGCTTATACTGCTGAAATAAAGGTTTTTTTTTTTTTTTTTTTTTTTTTGAGACGGAGTCTCGCTCTGTCGCCCAGGCCGGACTGTGGACTGCAGTGGCGCAATCTCGGCTCAGTGCAAGCTCCGCTTCCCGGGTTCACGCCATTCTCCTGCCTCAGCCTCCCGAGTAGCTGGGACTACAGGCGCCCGCCACCGCGCCCGGCTAATTTTTTGTATTTTTAGTAGAGACGGGGTTTCACCTTGTTAGCCAGGATGGTCTCGATCTCCTGACCTCATGATCCACCCGCCTCGGCCTCCCAAAGTGCTGGGATTACAGGCGTGAGCCACCGCACCCGGCCAATAAAGGTTTTAATATCTCTTTGTGGCCACATTTTATGACCACGATGAAACAGATAAATGGGAATGCCCATATCAGCAATGAGTATTTTGAAATTGATTCAACAATTTACTTTGACAGTTAATTCTAAATTTTCCAGAGGAACTGAAGTGTATTTGAAGTATATTTTGAAGTGTACATTTCTGCATCTTGTAATACTACTTTTTCAGTAACTTTTTGTATATTTTAGTTGGTAGAATTTTATTTTCATTTATGTCAATTTGACTTAAATCTGAACATATCTGAATCTCAAATTATGTATTGTTATGACAACTTAATTTTTTAAAGCCATCTGTGTTTTATTAAATAATAGCTTAGGACAAATGTAGTGGATTTTAGCAATATCAAATTTGATTTAATCATCCCACTGGTATTTATAATTTACTTTGAATATTGTTACAAATAATTTGCTCATAATTTCTATTTCAAGGCTCAAAGACTGTCATGTGGATAGAACTTTGTCCCAGAGAAAGATCATTGTAGCTATCTGTGATTTATTAGCTTTGCATTGGATCCCCATTTTTCAATTCATGGGGGGTGGCAGGGTTCATGTATAGTACAAAAAAAGTGAGTAGAGGAGAGAAACTTAGCAGCTGCGGTCAGGAGGGATGTGGAGACCAGGTTACCTAGGGCCTCTAAAGCCTTTGAAACAAAAATACTTTTATTCTGAGATAGAAACCTGTTGGAAAAATTTCACCAGGTGATTGAGTATGTGAGGAACTTTGATGTTGATTTGTGCTTCAATAAAAAAGAAGGAAAGCATTCCACAGCATAGAATTTACCACCACTAGTCCTGCCCACATATTTTCTTGAGACTTCAGTAAGTTGTGAAGCATTACAGATTCATTAGGGGACAAATGACTAGTGGGATGAATCTGGTGTCTAGTAAGAGAGTACCAGTTTGGCAGGAAGATAATACCTTCTTGTGTCCTTAAGTGGATTCAGTAATAAGCAGGAATGTGTACACATAAAGAAAATAAGCTGAACCAATATATTTGGTGATATTTTTGAAAGTAAATATTGTTAATTTGATAAGGTGATTTACAAATCAATAACAAACATGTCAGGTCACTGTGAGACAACTTCAAAAAAAATTGGCTGATCTCAATAAACAATGTGTGTCTGAGGCTTCACTAGAAGCTGCATCACATTACCACATTAATCTCAAAGTTGAGGTACAGGATTTAATGAAAAAATGATTTCGAATTGAAAGTCAAGTATGTATTAAAAGTAACATGCCAACAGTGAATCTATAGCTGGTGAAATTATATAAATTGTTTTATGATACTAATCTCCATGGGGAGACTTCTTTTATATGTTCATTATAATTAGTTGTATTACAATTTTATTATCATTATAATGTGCTTATTTTTAAAACTGTGGCTATAATTCTGCAATGTTTTTCTTATGATTAAAAATTTTCTCATAATATCTGCCCTCAAGAAGGTTAAAAATTATACATCATTTATCCCACAAGTTGAGAGACTATTCTTCGGATAAACAGTATTTTTCAGTGATTTATGTTGCCATGGTGAGGCAAGCGTTATTTAATCAGAGAAGAATGTTTAATGGAATATTCCAGAAAATTATCTGTCTGAGAGGCTGCCTTAAATACTTCCTAAAATGCTTGCTGAAAAGTCCGGCAAGATGAATATGACTTGGAGGCTGGGTGGCAGGCCGGTTTTTTGGAGGCCGGCCTAGAGCCTGCCTGCATGGGAGTCTGGTCGAATGACAAGTCTTCTGGCAGGGGGAGAGGCTTGCTGGAACGCTGATCGAAATGCTGGCTGCATGGAAGGCCGGTCTTCAGGCTGGCTGGCTGGCTAGGAGGCTGACATAGAGGCTTGCTGGGAGATTTGCCAAGAACCCGGGTGAGAGGCGGCCGACTAGGAGGCTGGCGGAGAGTCCGTGTGAGAGGGTACCTCAAATTCTTGCTAATTTTGCTTGCTGAGGGCCTGGTAGGCTGAGTCCGGCTAAGAGCCTGGTTGTACCAGGCTCGCTTGTTAGGAGGCTGGCTACAAGATCCCGTGAAAGCCTCACGGCTCTACTCAACAAATTTCTCTAGAAAGAGGCCGGAGTGTACAAGGGCTTCACTAGACCACACTTTTTACTGATGTTGGGCCGGATGTGGTGGCGATTAAGGGCAAGGGCGAGCGGCGGGGGCTGGGGCTGGGGCTGGGGCTGGGGCTGGGGAAGGGCGAGTGAGAGGAGCGGCCTCTCTCTTAAAAGGTGGCTGCAGCCATGCAGAGGCTTTCTGCCACTGCTGTCAAGGGCGTGACAAGCCTGGAGTGCCAGAGAGCCTTCACTCAGCTGGTCTACCACCAAAGACTCTTAAGTCATCCACTATAGGGATATCAGAAAGATGCACAGAGCTGCCTCCCGGGGCCACGCCTGGAAGCTTGCAGGGGATGATGTGAAGACGAGGACCATCGACCTGAACATAAAAGATGCGAAGAAGAGGCGCCGTGCCCTGCCTGAGCTGGGGCTGCAGGAGGAGGTGACAGCTGTGGGAGGATCGCCCCTTCAGCGTGGGGTGTGGTGGGTGTCCCCGGGACAAAGGCAGCAGGTGGAAGAGTGGGTCGGCAGCGGGGCAGAAATCTTGGGCCCCGGTATCTGGGCCTTCTTCCTGGGCAGGCCCCCAGTCCTGGGATGGGGGCGCCCTGCAGGGCACAGGGACAAGGCCTGCAGGGCAGAGGGACAAGGCCACCTTAAAATCAACCTCAAACTTTGGCTGCCTTCTCCTTCACTCCCACTGAGGCTGTTGGAAACGCTGGCTGCAAGGGAGGCTGGTTTTGAGGCTGGCTAGTCAGGAGGCCGCCTAAGAGGCTCTCTAAGAGGCGTACTGGGAGGCTGGCCACGCCATTGGTGGCATGGGAGGCTGATTCTGAAGCTGGTTGGCTAAGCGGCTGGCTAACAGACTTACCTAGAGGCTGGCTGGAAGGCTGGCCAAGGCGCGGGCTGCATGGGAGGCTGGTGTACTGAAGGACTCTCTTGAAAAGTAGCATAGAGGCTTGCTGAGAGGCTGGCTCACTGGGAGGCTGGCCTAGAGCCTGTGGGAGAGGCTTTCTGTCTGAGAGGCTGCCATAAACGCTTGCTAAAAGGCCTGCTGAGATCCTGGCAGGCTGAATCTGGCTAAGAGTCGGAATGCAAGTCTGGCTTGTTAGGAGGCTGGCCTAGAAGCTGGCTGCATGGGAGGCTAACCAAGAGGCTGGCGAGGAAACTGGCAGAGTGGCAGATTGTCTGGCTGTGCAAGAGGCTTGCTGGATGGCTGTTAAAAACGCTGGCTGCATGGGAGGTTGGTCTGGAAGCTGATTGTCTGGGAGATTCGCTTAGAGACTTTCTGAAAGGCTGGATCGGAGGCTGGCTGTCTAGGAGGCTGGCCAAGAGCCTGCGGGAGAGGCTGTGTGAGAGGCTGCCTTAAATGCTTCCTAAAACGCTTGCTGAAGAGTCCGGCAAGATGAATGTGACTTGGAGGCCTGGTGGCAGGCCGGTTTTTTGGAGGCTGGCCTAGAGCCTGGCTGCATGGGAGGCTAATCAAATCACGAGTCTTCTGGCAGGGGAAGAGGGTTGCTGGAATGCTGTTCGGAATGCTGGCTGCATGGGAGGCCAGTCTTCAGGCTGGCTGGCTAGGAGGCTGACACAGAGGCTTGCTAGGAGGCTTGCCAAGAATTAGTTCAACCATCGAGGAAGGAAGTGTGTTGACTCCTCAAAGATCTAGAAGCAGAAAGACCATTGACCCAGCAATCCCATTGCTAGGTATATATCCAAAATAATATAAATCATTATATTATAAAGAGACATGCACATGTATGTTCACTGCAGCACTATTCACAACAGCAAAGACATGAAATCTACCAAAATGCCCATCAATGTTAGACTGGATAAAGAAAATTTGGTACATGTGCACGATGGACTATCATGCAGGCCTAAAAAGAAACAAGATCATGTCCTCTGCAAAGACATGGATGGAGCTGGAAGCCATGATCCTCAGAAAACTAATGCAGGAACAGAAAATCAAACAACACGTATTCTCACTTATAAGTGGGAGCTGAATGATGAGAACACACAGATCCATGAGGGGTAACAACACACAATGGGACCTGTTGTGGGGGCAGGAGGAGGGAGAGCATCAGGAAGAATAGCTAATCAATACTGGGCGTAATATCTGAGTGATGGGTTGATCTGTGCAGCAAACCACTATGACACACGTTTACCTATGTAATGAACCTGCACATCCTGTACATGGACCCCAGAACTTAAAAGCTGAAGAAAAAAAAAATAAAGAAACTTTAGTGCTGTCCAGGGATGCACACTGAACAGAAAAAATGGCCTTGTGATTTGCTTTATAATATTCCTGTAAAGATAGATGAACAGATAGATGAACAAAATGTAGGACAATCTTGATCACAGAAATTGAATAATGGGTATTTTAGTGTTACTTTTACTATTTTCTCTACTTTTGAATAGGTATACAAATTGTAATTAAAAGATAAAAATAAATATATTAATCCCTGCTTTGAAACCACATACAAACAGTACTCTGAAAAGATTCAAGCAATTTACATGGTACTATATGGATCTCCCTCGCACCTCTGTATGTAACATTTAAATATTTTGCAACTGGCCAGGCACGATGGCCCATGCCTGTAATCCCAGCACTCTGGGAGGCGAAGGCAGGTGGACCACCTGAGGTCAGGAGTTCAAGACCAGCCTGGTCAACATGGTGAAACCCTGCAGGAGAATTACTTGAGCCCGGGAGGCGGAGTCTGCAGTGAGCCAAGATGGCGCCACTGCTCCAGCCTGGGTGACAAGAGCAAGACTCCATCTCAAAAAATATAAATATAAATAAAATAAAAGATCTTCTTTCTTAAATTCTTACTTCATGTTATTAGCACCAAATCTGAAGGGCTCCATTACAGAAACTCTTTGAAATAAGAAACAAATGTATTTTTGAGAAACCACACAAGATGTAGTAATTATCATAGCTGTTAAAAGAAATGTGCTCATAAACAAATAACAGTAAAGGATTAGAGGCTTTCGGTCACACCAGGAAGTGATATTAATTATAATTCTTCTGTTAATTCTGAAAGAAAATATATAAACCTACTTCTAACAAACTTCCCATAAAACAAAACAACAACAAAACTCTTGGAGTTGAGAATGAACAGCAGAAGTTCTAGAAAAGCAGAAGTTCTAGAAGTTCTAGATAGCAAGCAACTGTGGAACACAGCGCACTGCCTTCTGCACTGCCCAGTTTCTGGCACCTGACTCACAGGTGCCAAATGGCTGCAGGATTACGACGTTGGAAGTAGTGAATATTTCCTCAATACTTGCAGTGGTTCATAGCAATGAAAAATCTAAGATTTCCTCTCTGCCTTTCAGGAGCTTTAAGGGAAGCAGCAAATACTACTAGCTTCTCACAAGTGGTTACGTTCCAAGATCCACCTAAAGCCATGAGCAGTACAAAGAGAGCCAAGCTTTTATTGTTTACAAGTAAATGATTAATAAACTGTTATTAATAAAATATTGTTTTAGCTATAATAGCCAAAATATTTTCCAATGGCCATATTATGTGAGCAAAATAACTCGACAGTCTCCTCCTTCTATGAGAAAGATGTAAGCTTGCTTGGTGGCAAGGGTCAATGATTCTATTAGGTTTAGCTGATTCTTTATCTTTTTTTGTTAGGGGCAGGGTCTTACTCAGTTGCCCAGGCTGGAGTGCAGTAGCCTCAAACTCCTGGGCTCAGGCAATCCTCCCATCTCAGCCTTCCGAGCAGCTGGGACCACAAGCACATGCCACCACACTTGGCTAATTGTTAATGCTTTTGCAGAGATGGGGCCTCACTCTGTTGCCTAGGCTGGTCTCAAACTCCTGGCCTAAAGCCATCCTCCTGCCTCGGCCTCTCAAAGTGCTGGGATTCCAGGTTTGAGTCACTGTGTCCAGCCAGGTTTAGCAGGTTCTTTTTACCATGCTCAATTTCCAAAAAAACACAGGAGGGCAGAGGTGAGGCCTCTTATGCAGATCCTTCTTCTCAGGTGTCATCTCCTCACGAATCCTAGTGACATCACAGTGGTATCTCTAATGATAAACAATGTTCACCACCTGACCTATTTTATTGCATGACTTAAAAATATAATGATTTGAAAAGTGGGAGAGACTCTTTATTGATCACTGGCTGATTTATAATCAAGTATTAGGGGAGATCAAATATCACAAAAAGTAATGAGGAGTAGAAACTTAAAATTTTCAATTTTTTCAATATATGAATTTTTAGAGACTTAAAGTAGTATAAATAGTTAAAAACTAAGTACATGAATCCTGCAAGTAACATACAAACAGTGACCTAAGTTTGTAGTTGCCAAATGAGTTGCACCTAAAACCTGGTCTTTGAAGACTCAGTGAGTGCCACGCACCCCACTTCAAATCCATAGGGATATAAAACGTCTGACACATGCTGAATATGGTAACGACATGACATAATAAGTAATTAGAAGCTCCCAAAGGGGTTCTAGCACAGAATGAGCGCTAAATAAATAAATAATAAAAACAAGAAAAATGCTTAGTACCTTAATAAAGTAGTAAATAATAAAAAATGACAATGATAATAACAAGGAAGATGCTTAGTACCTTAAAGATACCTGACAGTTATTTGTTAAGTGGACAAGTGGATAAATAAATAAAAAACATTTTTTAGGAAATTCTGTTGGAAAAAATGCAGAAATTCAATAGGGACAGCTCTACTGTATTATGAGCACCTTAAAGACCCAGACTATGTGTATTCCATCTTTGTCTCCTGCAACTTGCAAAACCTAACTTATCGTTTGATAATTTATCCTTTGATAAATATATAATAAAGATGTGCTCATACAGTTCATATTGTACCATGCATTGTGTCACATTTAGATATCACAGTAGCATTTTTGTTATTGTGAAAAATGTTTGTAATTTTATTATAATTTGTTGAGCCTAGAGTTAAGCTATTTGAATACTTATAATGATAATATTTTGGCTATTAGAAACAGAGTATCTTGTTGTAACAAAATTACTATTAACACGCTAATTATCCAGCAGATAGAACAACATATCTTGTTCTAATGAAGTAAATATATCTTATTTGGTTTCAGCTTGGAATGAAGTTGATAATAGTGAGACCTTGTTGGTACAAGACTATGTAACACAACCTGCACTTCTCAACAAAAAATTGCTTTTCTGACTTCTGCACTCAGTAGGTATCTTTGGAAAATAATCTCCTATTGGTACTGAGGCACCCTGGCTAAGTTTTGTAATTCTTGTTGACATTTGTTCGTGGTGCCAGAAAAGTATTATTAAGTATTATTAACTATTCTAAAGATAGTTACTTTTCTTTAAGACAGAGTCTCGCTCTGTCACCCAGGCTGGAGTGCAGTGGCATAATCTCGGCTCACTGCAAGCTCCACCTCCCGGGTTCATGCCATTCTCCTGTCTCAGCCTCCCGAGTAGCTGGAACTACAGGTACCCACCACCAAGCCCAGCTAATTTTTTTGTATTTTTAGTAGAGACAGGGTTTCACCATGTTAGCCAGGATGGTCTCAATCTCCTAACCTTGTGATCCACCCACCTCGGCCTTCCAAAGTCCTGGGATTACAGGCGTGAGCCACTGCGCCTGGCCAAGATAGTTACTTTCTTAGTGACACAAGTCACTATGTCACAAAGTTGATCCTTGAATAAGGGTTTTCACTGTAGGAGCCCACTAACAGACAGATTTTTCTTTTCCTTTGGCACTGCAAGATAGCAAGACAAATCTCTCCTCTGCCTCCTCATCAGACTACTCAATGTGAAGGCAATAAGAATGAAAACCTTTATGTATAATAATTCACTTCCACTTAATAAATAGTGAATATATTTTTTCCTCCTTGTAACAGTTTTCCTCGAGTTCACTTTATTGTAAGAATACAGTATATAGTACATATAAAATCGAAACTATGTGTTAATTGACTATGCTTTCAGTAAGGCTCCAGGTCAACAGTGGACTATTAGTAAAGGTTTGGAGGAGTCAAAAGAAACAGATTTTCATATGAAGCAGATTTTCAGCTGCATGGGGGATCAGCACCCTAACTCTCATATTGCACAAGACTCCATTGTAATTAATTCTCATTTACTAAATGCAAACCGTTTATTGTAAAAATTAAATAGAGCCCAGAAGTTCAATACCAGCCTGGGCAACATAAGGAGACCCTGTCTCTAAAATACATAAATAAATAAAACCATGTTTCTTCATAGGTTATTGTGGGAGTTCAGTCAGGCTGGTGGGAAACATTTTAAGATGAAGTTATAGGACATAGACACAAATCTTCTTGGAATGCCAAAGGTTTTGTAAAAGTCTCAAGATAGGGTTATGGCTGAAAGCAGCCTAATCCTTACCTTGAGTAAGTAGCTTAAAGTGGGTACAAAGAAAGGTAGAGTAGTTTATCCAAATAGCTTGTTTACTCATGTGGTCTTAAGACTACCCTTTGATCACCCACAGGCAAGATGGCTCTCCTGGGGTAGGGGCACCCAGATTAATTACCCACAGGTGTGTTGGCTCAAAGCCTTTATCATTAAAACTTTGCTAATAAATGCCCACAGGGCCAGCTAGCCAGGGCTGTGGCTGCTGACTCTTTACAGCACCTTCCTTGGTGCCTGTAATCGGCTCAGAACCCTTGCTGCTCTTTCACTGAATATTGGTGTCTGGGTATGTGTCTCATCCGTCATGCAGCCGGGGTCTGTGGGACAGACCACCGCAAGTTAAAATATTCAAATGTTACGGTTTTCTGTTATTAATTCCTACTTTTCATTATTAGATGGTCAATTCTTTGTGGCTTCTAATTCAGGGCATGTAAGCTACTTTAAAATTTGTAATAAAATTTATTTATAAATATATTAATTCATTAAATTGGATAACCTGATCATCCCCTATTACTGAGCTCATCAATCACACTAAGGGTTATACATTTTGTAACAAGCCTAAGTTGTTATGACAATTGAAGAAACATACAATATACAAACTTAAACATTGCATTACTTATTTATACAAAAGTATTATGTAGGATTTTAGGGACCATAATTAAACAAATATTTTTTCAGATAATATTTTTTGAGATTATAAGCTACCTACAACTAAATTCTTAACTAATTCTGAATTATAAACTAAAAAATTTAAATCAAAGCTATATATATATATGTATATATGTAAACACATGCTATTTACACATTGCTTTTTGAATTGCTTTTTTGTGATCAATAGTTCCATAATCTTATGATAGCACCACCAAGAGTAGTTTACTATCAGAGGTCTTACCTGGATTGCTATTTTGAGGATTTTTAGATATCTTTCATATATATTCCAAAAGTTGTTGATGAATGCTATGTATAAAAATGTAATAAATAAAATTACTATTTTAACACTGATATAAAAAACATTTACCAAATTTATTATTAGGGTATTTCAGATAATATCAGAGCTAACATCAGAACATTACTTATTTCATAGACTTTGAGTTTGTAAGCTCTATGAACTTACTAAGCTTTTAATTAAAGAAGAAATAAAGTAAGATGAAATACTCATGAATTGAGGGCAGTCTAACTCAGTAAATTAACTAGAGTTAGCTTGGTATAACGGAAAATGCCCCTAACTCAGAAAAACTCCTAGCATGGTAACCAACAGGTATTTTTTCTTGAACAACTTGCTTCTCTTAGGCGCAATGTCTTCTAAAAATGAGGATTTTAGAGCCTTATTTCACTAGGTTATTATAAGAATTTAACAAGAGAACATTTTTAAAATACTCTGAGAAATAGTGAAGCAATGAAATAATTTGTTCTTGAACCTTATTGCTGAAACTATTTTAAAATTCCCAATAAAACCCAATGTGTTGGCCTGGTGCAGTGGCTCATGCCTGTGATGCAAGCACTTTGGGATGCTGAGACAGGGGGATCACTTGAGCCCAGAAGTTCAAGACCAGCCTGGGCAACATAGGGAGACCCTGTGTCTACAAAAAATAAATTTTTTTTTTAAAAAACTGTTTATTCATAGGTTATAATGTTCAAATGTTACAGTTTTCTGTTATTAATTCCTACTTTTGGTTATTATTAGATGTTCTATTCTTTGTGGCTTGTAATTCAAGGCATCTAAGCTATTTTATAATTTGTAATGAAATTTATGAATATATTAATTATTAAATTGGACAATCTGATTATCCTCTATTACTGAGCTCATCAATCACACCAAGGGAAGAAAACTATAGATGTCAGCATCTGGCTTGGACTACTACTAATCTTTCTCTACCTCCCTAAACTCTGAACCAACAAATCTTTCTTAGAATGATGCTTAGTCACTATGTTCATTTCCAGCTGCTGTGGAAGACAAAAACCTACCTTTATTTTTTGTAAGTTCCACAAAGAAGATGCCAGTTGGTATTTTCTCATTGGCCTACTAACAACATATTGCACACAAGATCCTATGTGTTACCATATCTCATTTCATAGATCACCTTACATAAATATTTTTCATATGAAAATCACAATTGCAATACTGGCTGTCACCCATTTTGCTTTGACTCACACCATTTCCTTGGAGCTAGTTAGAAAGTAGTCAAATGTCCTTTTGGGGACTGCAAGAAATATGCAACACTTCACAGATTTCTGTGTCATCCTTGTGCAGGGACCATGCTGATCTTCTCGACATTGTTTCAATTTTAGTATATGTACCCCTGAAGCCAGCACAAATCCCTACTTTTATATGTGAAGACTCATCAGTGATGGATGAGGCTTAGCTCTGTTTAATCTAAGCAACCTCCTTGAGATAGAGTGAAGTCTATTGAATGGCTTCATGGTAATGCAGAATTTGAAAATATTTTAAAAACTCGAGATAGAGATGCAAGTAGCACGGGAGATTTTTAACTTTTGGGAAAAAAAGAATCACTTGAGGGGACAACCACAAGTTGGAACCCACTACAACTTTGGAAAGATGACATGGGATCTTACAGAATAAGATGAGACCTTCCACTACCTACAAAATGGTGCTACACGGGATATAAAGTGCCAGGGATATACATCTGGTAACAAAATAAAAATGGAACTCTAATTCCTTCCTGTAACATTATTTCAACCTGACTTACAGTTTTAAACTGTCGCAACTAATATTTGCTAGAGAAAACAGAAAAGTCACTTAAAGGATAACTTATGAAGGTCTAGGCCAAGTTCAGGCAAGATGTGGGTTTCACATCAGGTTTTGAGTGGGAGAAGGGTCAATTTGCTCACTATGTGTGTGGCAAAAGATAAAAGTCCTAGCTGCCAGAGCAGGGTGCTGGTACTTTGGAAACAATGGCTGAGAATATATATGTGAACTTTAAAAAACTGTAATAAATTTGAAGTCTACATATGGATCACCATAAAATCTGTGTTAGTAAGGGCACCTGGTCACAAAGGTCAATCATTACCAGACTGCAGGAACAGTTTCAATGGCAACGATGCAGCAACAGAATCAATGGAAACAACAAAATGAAGAGAATGGCCATTTTCCCCCCCAATCCTTCTGACTTACACAAAATGAATCTCTTCCTTGTACTTAAGGAACCCGTTAGATTCT
Source organism: Homo sapiens (assembly GCF_000001405.40). Lineage (NCBI taxonomy): Eukaryota > Metazoa > Chordata > Mammalia > Primates > Hominidae > Homo > Homo sapiens. The sequence continues at coordinate 45,189,762 of NC_000010.11, forward strand.
TTTTAAAAATTCAAGTATTAAGGTATGGAAGACAGCCCCCAGGGGACACTATCAGGTTTTCTGGTAAAGTGGACATTTCAAGACCCAAATAACTAATTAGAAAAATCAAAATTGTGACACTATGTTTATCCCATGCATAGGGGTTATACTTAAAATCAAGTACACAACATTAGGATCCCTAGGGATAAAGCTGTTGAAAGTCCTAAAATAAAGAATCCTGGACCCATTATTCCTTCTAACTAGTCTAGCTTTTTGACTAGTTTCTGGCCGATGAAGTGAACTAACTCACTGTCATTCAAAAATTACCTGAAACAAACTATAAAATCTCACCTAGTCTTTAAATGTAAACACCGATTAAGTCCACAAGCAACAGCATAACGTTCTGCAGTCATTCCACATGTATCTTCAGCACAGATGTCAACATTTTGCTGAAGAACCATGCCAACTATCTCTCATGCTCCATGACATATGGCAAGCATGAGGGCTGTGCTAAAATAACAAAGAGTTAACTTCATTGTTAGGAACAGAACCAATTTAATATGTGCCTGTCAGTGTAGAATTAACCATTTACATGTACTAACAAACATAACTATCTTGAGTGCTCAAGTGTTTATCCTTGTAAATCACCACCAAGGCTAAAAGGAAGGGGCAAAAAGACTCATGTCCCACTGGAATATGGCATACTAGAATTGGCTAACATAAAGTCCTTTGAGGGGCAAAGACTTATGCTTTGTTCACTAACCTAAAAGAGGCAAAGATTTAAGTGAAGAATTATCTATTTCTTCCTTACTCTGATATAATATTTTGTACTTCAAAATCAGCTAGAAGTCAGACAAATAAGAGCAATCTGAAGGCTTAAAACAGTATTAGGAATAATGATATTAGTAGTAGTTACAGTAAGTTTACTTAATGATGCTGATAAGAATGTATGAAACACTGAATTAAATGCTGTTGATATTTATAATGTTACTTCAACACAATCGTCCTTAAAGGACATATTATTATTCTCCTTTTCATATAGAAAATCATAGTTGGTATTAACTAATGTTTGCAAGGTCACACCTATCAAGTGAGGAAGCTAGAAATTAAATTTAGTATTGTGTGAATCAAAAGCCTATCTCTTTTCTCTTTATCACTCACCTATGGCTTATCTTAATTAACTAAAATGTTAATCCAATTAAAGATGTCTTTCTTCCCTCTACCCATACAAATTAAAAATAAAAATACACTATGAATAAAAAAGAAAAAAATAATAAATTCACAGTATCTGGTGATAGCAATTAATAGTCACGTAGGGATAACCTAAAATTAATACTCTTCAAAGAAAACAAAGCAAACAATCATCCTAAAGACAAAATGATTTTAAACTCCTATTTCTATTTAATATTGCTTTTTCTATGAGACAGAATCTATCTCACTCTGTTACCCAGGCTAGAGTGTGGTGGCACGATCTCAGCTCACTGCAACCTCTGCCTCCCGGGTTCAAGCGATTCTTGTGCCTCAGCCCCCCAAGTAGCTGGGACTACAGGCATGTGCCACCATTCCCGGCTAATTTTTGTATTTTTAGTAGAGATGGGGTTTCACCATGTTGGCTAGGCTAGTCTCAAACTCCTGGCCTCAAGTGATCCAACCACCTTGGCCTCCCGAAGTGCTGGGATAACAGGCAACAGCTACCGTGTCCAGCAAATATTGCATTTTTTTAAAAGTGTATAAAAAAACGGAAGTTAGAAAAATACTATAAAAGTGTTAATCATTCAATATTGAATTACAAAGTAAACTAAAAAATCATACTTCTTAAAACTAATACAGAACCACTTTAGCTTATGGAAGATAATGCAACCAAAAACATCAGATTACACATAAGAATCAATCAATATAATAAGAGAAGTCCTACTACATACTGCTCTTTATGTTGATCAGTCCAAATAATTGCTTTACTTCTGATAATTTGTGTTGATATGTTTCACTATAATCTAATAATTTTAAGTAAATATTAATTTAATATTTCTGACTTGAGTCTTATTTCTCTAGAACACTACTCAAGTGTTTTTTAATAAAAAAAAAGAACTACTATACCATTTAAACTTATTAACTGCATTTGCATTTTTTTTGTCTGTAAAAATTCCACAATTTGCTCACGTCTTTTCATTATGGCCAGTAAAAGTGGTGTGAGGCTAGCCTGTAAAACAGTAAAACGATTTATAATTCATGAAATTACATATTTCTCAGCTGAACTGAATACTTTATATAATATCCTATGAACTTAAACACATAAAATATAAAGTCAATCAATAGCAATCCCTTCCTTCTCCCTTTTCTGTGCTTTCTCATGCACTGCACCTTACCTTGTTTCAGCCTCTGCATCACCAAATTAACTCTGGTTATCTCCAAAAATCATTATATTGTAATGATTTTATGGTTTCTCTTCTAAACCAAGAGCTTCTTGAGGGCAAGGGCTGTATCCTTTATCTCTATATCCTTAAACCCTAAGACATAGTAGTAAATATTTTGTTTTTGACTAAATTAGTAATCTAAATTATTACCTCTAGAGCAGTGTTTCTTAAACTATATTCTAAAAGATAATTACCTTACCAGAAGTAATGTACCCCAACAGATTCCACCATTATCTATGTTGAAGAAATATTATAAAACTGTGAATTAAATGTCCATTATTCAATAAATGACTTGAACTTTGCCTAATCCTTATTTGACAATATATTTTTGTGGCAGACATTAACATTTGACAAATTAGAATTTCAGGGATACAGTTTTGAAAGCTTTGCAAGAAAAATGGAGGTTTCCTCTGGGTGATACAAACTCACTTGATTCTCTTCTACCAATAATCCCAAGATCCCAGATGCCAATGTCAGGCACACCTGCTCTAAATGGGTCACTAAGGAAGTGGCTCTAAATTAAAAGAGTTTGGCTTCAAATGAACTTTGATTGCTTATTATTAAATAATAATGGGGTTTCTCCTATTACAAGACAACAGAATTTTATCTCAGCTATTAGAAATTCAGTATAAAACTTTATTCTCAATTATAATAATCATCCTAGGATCCTAATGCATATCTTTTTAAAATGCAATAATCCATTTTTATTCTGATTTCTATTAGCTGCTACTTAATTTTTGACAAAATATCAACAATATTAATAAAATGGCTTATTAATTAAAGTTCTAACTCATCTATGTGGATTAGCATAATATAAGCCACTAAATCACTTGAATTTTAAGGGACGATTCTGAGGAGAAGGATATAATATTTTCTACAATATGCACAACCTATTCAAATACAACCATGATTAATACAAAAAGGCTTAAAGTCATTCTAATAGAAGATGATTATTTATGGTTTATATACAGAAAAATCATTGTTTAAAAAATCTAAATTCTAGAAGTAGCCCATTATTAATGAATTAATGTAAAATATAAACTATATATTATAAACAGCTATCAACTGTCTTGAATACCTTGAAATCTCTACCAAAATATACTATGAGAGAGGAATTGATAACTGAAATATTTACAGAGGCAAAAGAGGTAAGTTGAGGAAGTGATGTAACTAGGTGGGCACAGTAGCAAACTGGAAACATATGCTTTGTGTAAAGTTAGAACGTCTTCATAGCATACCAAACAGTCATATGGGCTCAAGAGACACCAGATTCAATCCTTTAAGAGGAAATCCAGATTTCTGCATGTCTCCTACATTTTACATGTTGACTCAATTTATGCAGGCAAATTTTGCTTTCCTGTAGTTTCACACTAATTGGAAAGAAAAAAAACTTGGGTAGGAAAGAATATTTGAAAAAGTTTTACCTTTAACAAATTCAAATATTTATCATAAATGCATAGAAAAGCCACACTCTCTGGTAATTCTTGTAAAAATATTAATATTTAAAGTAAAATCTTAGAAAATTAAGTTCTTTCAAACCATTTTCATTCAAGGAATGTTTGAGCTTCCAAATATAAAAAACCTTACATATGTTAATGTTAAAACAAATGGATTTCAAATATTTTGAAAATAACCTTGGTTAACGTCCACCTTGTTTTGCACTTTGATGACTGCACCATGGGACAGCAGTTTTGCCACCATTGACAAATTCTCACTATAAACAGTATAATGGAGAGCCGTGTTGCCATACACATCTACAATATTTAGATCGGCACCAGAATCTGTGAGAATATTTGCACAAGCCTCCCTCTGGCATTGTAGAGCCTGTCAGTATTAAAACAAGAAGTAAATTATAAATTATAGGAAATCAAAATAAATATTCCACAGGTTTCACAAACTAGTTGTATTTCAATGAGATAAATTCATTTTTATTCTATGTATTTAAACCAAATCCATCTCCTGCTGAAAAAACTGGCTACGATTTACCTTCATCAGAGGTGTCCAGTTTTCGCCATCAGGACGTCAAGCTGGCACTTTCTGTCTACCAGAAATGTTACTACTTCCGCATGGCCGTTGACACAGGCCCAGTGTAGAGCAGTCCTACGAGAGTGAGAGGACTTTTAGGCAAAGTATAGTCCACTGTCTCAAAACATACAACGATTTATGTAATTGTAAACATTAAATACCATGCTCTTTCTCTGCCTTCAAAAGAAATATTTAATATTCTCCTGAAGAAAGTACAACATTTGTTCACTCTTATTACTCACTGCATTAATGAAAGAGTGGCCTATTTGAATAGAAAGAGTTTGGCCTTTGGATTCAGTTCAACTTGGGCTTGAATATTACTTTAAGAAGTTTCACTTTCTAGCTGTCACTTAAACTTTCTGCACCTCGATTTTCTCATCAATAAAATGAAGATGAATACAGCAGTTATCTCACAGGACATCACTGTGATGCCTCAATGAGAATCTATGCAAAGTATTTTGGAGAGTTCTTAGCACATGTAACAGCTCAGTAGTTGTTAGATATAATTATGACTACTACTTAACAAAGGCAACATTTTAAGTAAAAGGTGCAATTATGCCTGTTTTGTGGTGTGCTTTAAAGGTTAGAGATAACACGGTATTTTAATGATTCTAAGATGCTCAATTTCTCATATTTTAACATTTCTGACATTGAAATGCCACTTATAATTCATTATTTATTACAACTATATTTAGCAGAAATTTAAACAATCTTTTATTGGTGCATAAAATAAGGAAGCATCACACAATTCACAGTGCCTTCCAAGAAGTGGAATACGGTATATACAACAGGACGATGGCAGTCCCAGTCGCAGGATTAACACTGAAAGAAATTTTAACTTTTAAGAGTACTACGCAAAAAGAGAGTTGAAATAAAAACAACTGTTTAATATTTAATATTAAATTAAATTAATATTTAATAACTTCTTTAATATTTTAAAAACTTCAAGCCAAAGAAAACTTGGGATTCAAATAAATAGGTATGGCTCATTTTATTCTGTATTTAGATTTACAGACTATGTAAATTCATATTTAAATTTATAGAACCCATGTAAATTAGATATTTCCAATGATTAATATTACTCTTTAAAGCTGTTATAAATGTCCAACATCGTGGGTGGTAGTTATCACTTACTAGTTTCCCACTTCAGAATTGTTTTTGTTTTAAAGATGAGAGGGAAAGCTTCAACTGAGATTCAGTCCTAATACTCCAATTTTAAATCTCTCACTTTCCTCAGGCTGAGCAGGTAAATGTGAAATTTTTAAGGATGAAAAGGTCTTCAGAGTTAATAGGATGTCTCTTCTACATAATAGGCATTCAGCTTACATGTGATAAATGGATTAAAAGAATGGATCAATACAGTTGGGAAGTTCAATATCTTAAAAAACTGCTATAAATAAAGCACTTATATTTGCTATTTTATTTTTCTAATAATTACACTAAAATGATTAATCTATAATTATTGGCACATACATAAGTCTATATATGTGTCTAATAAAATGTATATGTAAATCAATAACCACAGATAAAAGATTCTCTTCTGAAGATGCTAAAAGTTCACAGAATATACTAATCCATAAAAAAATTATAGAACATGAGAAATTATTTTTATCTGTGAAAAATTCATATTCCTGCACTTCTCAAAAATTATTTCATTAATAACAAACTTTTACTAACAGCATTGTACATGCTCAATGCAGAAATCAAAGATAATAAAAAGGAAAAACATTTAAATTTAAACAAATGCCCTCAAATAATAAATTTTATCATATTTCATACATAATTTCAGATAACACAAGACCATAGTCTGTATGTGTAATCAAACTGAACTTTACCTTCACTTGATACACCAAAATATATTTTCAAATGTCAACATACTTCTGTATATATTTCTACCTTGAGTGGTCACATATTATCCCATGCTGTAAACTCACTGAAGTGTATTTATAAAAGCCATTATATCGATTCTTCTTAATACATTGATATTTTAAGCAGTGCTCAGAAAAGAAATTGTGTGTATGTTTCATTATTTTGTAAAAACATTTTAGTATAATAGAATTGATCACTAACAGGCATAAACAGTTTTTAAATATGGTACTTACCATCAAATTGTCTATTGAAAAGTCATCTGCAACTTAAACTTTAAGGAGCACTATAAATATCACTGCTTTTTATCCTCACAAACTTTGTGGACAGGAAACAGTATTTGAGTCCTCTTTTAACTTAAATGCCTTCTCTAACCAGGAACACTAAATATTGTTTCCTGTGTGCATAGGCCACTTACAGATCTTAAAAAAGGACTTTGCCCAATTTTAAATTAGAGGTCAAGTAGTTTTTTTAGATCTGCAATTTAGACCTCTAATTTATGTTGCCCAATTTTAAATTAGAGGGTTTTTTTGTTGATTTGAGTGAATTCTCTATAAAATGAAGATTTTTAAATCTAATATGTATACACACACGCATATACATATGTAGTAAATATTTTACAAGTATGCTGCCTTTTATTTTTTCTCATGTGCACGGTGATTTAATTTTTGTTTTACTAAATTAACCTTCAGAATGCTTGCTTCTGAGCTTCTTAGAAAGGTTTTGTCAACATAAAAATGTATCTGTGTGAACAGGCATTTTGTTTTCTTCTGGTATTTTTATCATTTTGTATATTAAAAACTTTGGAATTTTGTGGCATAAAAATCTAGTTTTCTCCAAAAAGCAGGCATTTCACTTATGAAATTAGTTATTTTCCTACTAGTACAAAGTGTGACCATTATCAAGATCTAAATTCTTACATATATTTGGGTGTTTCTGGATTTTCTATTCTATTGTATCCATTTACCTGTTAGCAAACAGTTTGTGATTTTATTTATCTCATTTATTTATTTTTTGAGACAGAGTCTCACTCTGTCGCCTAGGCTGGATTGCAGTGGTGGGATCTCGGCTCACTGCAACCTCTGCCCACCGGGTTCAAGCAATTCTCCCGCCTCAGCCTCCCGAGTAGCTGGGATTACAGGCACCCGACATCATGCCCGGCTAATTTTTGTATTTTTGTAGAGACGGTGTTTCACCATATTGGCCAGGCTGGTCTTAAACCCCTGACCTCAGGTGATCCATCTGCCTCGGCCGCCCAAAGCGCTGGAACTACAGACGTGAGCCACTGCTGCTGGCCCATCTTGTGCAAATTGATAGCACATTTTGACATCTAGAAGGGCAAGACTTTTCTACTCAATTACAAAATATTTAAAATGTCATCACAGTAGTAAAAGACAGCCTGTGTAATTTTTTAAAAAAATGTTAAAACGTTGATAACTTTATTTGGTTTATGTAAAACTGATAAAGAACTCGCATCTTGAGAAAAATGAGTCTTCTTAAATTCAAGAATATAAACCATCTTCCCACCTCAAAGTTTCCTTTCTAAGACCCCTCAGCAAAGAACATATTTACATAGACATTCATTGATATCAAAATGGATATTGGACTTCATCCAAAGAACTTTTAGCCAAGAAGTCCATATATTATAGGAATTATTTCATTATGCACCATTTCATAATGTATCTAACATTATCTTTTAAAACCTGTACATTAAAAGTAAAACCCTGTATGTACTTAATTTTGTGAGTTAAATCACTTTAAAATTTTCTACACAGTGCTCTGTGAGAGGAAGTGGAAGTGAAGGAGAAAGCAGCGAAAGTTTGGGGTTGATTTTAAGGTGGCCTGGGCCCTCTGACCTGCAGGACGCCCCCATCCCAGGCCTGGGGGGCCTACCCGGGAAGAAGGCCTAGACCCCAGGGCCCAGGACGGCCGACCTACCGCTCGCCACTCCTCCACCTGCTCCCCTCGTCCCCAGGCCTCCCAGCACCTCATTCTTAAGGGGCGATCCTCCTACAGCCGCCTCCTCCTCCTGCAGCCCCGGCTCAGGCAGGGCCTGGTATCTCTTCGTCACATCTCTTTTGTTCAGGTCGATGGTCTTCCTCATGGTTATCCCCTCCAGATTCCAGGCTTGGCCCAGGGAGACAACTTTGTGGATCTTCCTGAGATCCCCATAGTGGATCACGCAAGAGTCCTTGTTGGTATAGACCAGCTGACTGAAGGGGCTCCGGCGCTCCGGGCCCTTCACGCCCTTGCCAGCTGCGGCAGAGAGCTTCTTCATGGCTGCGGCCACCTCCTAGAGAGAGCCTGTGCCTCCCGCTCGCCCTTCCCCAGCCCCCGCCGCTCGCCCTCGCCCTTCTTGAGTCCCCACACCCGCTCCAACACCAGTAAAACTTGCTGTCTGGCCAAGCTCTTGGACACTACGGCTTCTCCTGGGAGAAATTCGCTGAGCAAAGCCATTAGGCAGCAGTGCATGCGCAGCTCAGCAGGCTGAGGAGACACGCGCCCTGGCCGCCCTCCCCCGGGCACCGCATGCAGGTGGCACCTGCCGCTGAGGCGCTGTCGGGCTGGCCTCCCTGGAGCAGAACGTGGGAGACACCCTGCCACACGGTCCGCTTGACATAGCCGCCCCTGGCCCCTCCTCGACCCGCGATCCAGGAGCTGGGCCCTGGCGCTGGGCACCGTGCAGCCTCCTCGATGGCGCTGAGTGGCGGTTCCCGCCCTCCTGCAGCTGGGGACCCACCCCTGACTTAGAATCCCTGGACGCTTCTGGCCCAGGGATCCGCGCTGCTGGTGGCGCTGACAGGGTCCGGGTTGGAGCCCCTGCTGCCGCGTGCCATGTTCAGATGAGAGCTGCACCTGAGTCCACGGTGGAGGCTGCAGGGCTGGGCCCAGACCGCTGAGGGTCGTCGAGTGAACCGCCCTACCACCCTGGGCTCTGCTCTTTCTTGGCCGGCGCTGGCAGCTCAGGCTCACGACCTCTGAGCCCCGTACAGCTGCCGAGATGAGGCACTGAGGCAGATTCCCGCCCTCCTGCAGCTGACGTCCCACCGCCTGACTTAGGCGCAGTGACGCCGTCCGACCCTAGGGTGTGCCGCTGCTGGTGACAAGGACAGGTTCTGGGGTTGCCACTGCTGCTGCCACGTTCGAATACCAGCTGCAGCTGAGCCCAAGGCGGAGGCTGCACGGCTGGGCCCAGAGGGCCTGAGGGTCGCCGTGTGGCACACGCCCTCCCTCTCCAGGCCCTGCACTTCCTTGGCTCGCGCCCAGAGCACTGGGTTGCGGGCTCTGGACACTGCAGACGCCAGGATGGGGCAGAGCGGCGGGTTCCTGTCCTGGTGCAGATATGGGGCGGACCGACTGACATCAACGCTGTAGCAGCATCTGTCCCTGGTCCGCGCTGACTGGGCCCATGGAGAAGAAGGAAGTTTAGGGTTGCTCGGCCATATTTGCCTGTTCCCCAAGTGCAGGTAGAGGCTAAAGCTCAGACAGCGGCACGGATGGCGGGTCCGTTTGACGGCTTCAGGTTGCTGAGTGTGCCCCCTGCTCGGCCCCAGAGTCCCTTCCTCGTTCACCCGCATCTGGAATATGGCGGTGGCGCTGGGTAATCTGCAGTCATCCTGGATGTGGCTGAGCTGCGGTTCTCTCCCTTGGGCTGAAAGGGAGACTTAGTTGAGTAGAGCAGATGGAGAAAAAGTTAGATTGAACTCATCCTGCTTAAAGACTTGCAGGCTGGGTGCAGTGCCTCATGCCTGTACTTCCAGCGCTTTGGGAGACTGAGATAAGAGGATCACTTGATCCTGGGAGTTTCAGACCAGATTAGACAACACAGGGAGACTTCATCTCTACAAAAATAAAACGAATCAGCCAGGCATGGTGGTACATGCCTGTGACCCCAGCTACTTGGGAGATTGATTGTGGGAGGATCACTTGGTTCCGGAGGTTTGTGGGTACAGTGATCTGTGATTGTGTCACAAACAAGCAATGAGAGGCCTTGTTGCTCCACATCCTAGACAGATTTGACATTTGCAGTCTTCTGGATTTCCGTTATTATTTGGTTATTTCTGCCCCTGCATTTTAAGCCTAGGCAACACAGACTCGCTCTCTAAATAAATAAATAAATAACTTCTAGTCACTGTATCATATCTATGTTGAATTCTTTACACACGAAGCTTGCAGAGTTGAAACTCCCAGCACCCTCTAATTATGTGATAGGGACCATGTGATTAAAGTGGGTGACCACGTTCTTGCTTTTGGTCATTCCAATAGGTATGCAGTGGTAGTTCATTACTGCATTTCCCTAAGGAAATATTATGTGGCCCATCATTACATATGCTTATTTTTTATTTGTATATTTTATTTGGTGAGATGCCTGTTACAGTCTTTAGTTCACTTTTTAATTGGGTTGTTTGTTTATTATTATTCAATTTTAAGAATATTGGTAAATTTTGGAGAAAATTCATTATTCAAATATGTTTTGCAAATATTTTCTTCCAGTCTGTGGCTTGTCTTCCCTTTCAATGGCTTTCACACACACAAAAAAGTGACATTTTAATCAAGTCCAACTTATCATATTATTTCTTTTAGGTACTGTAACTTTGGCGTTTTTCTAGAGATCATCAAACCCAAGAGAGTCTAGATTTTCTCCTGTTATTTTCCAGAAGTTTTATAGTTTTGTATTCGACATTTATGTCTGTGATTCATTTTGAGTTAATTTTGGTGAGGGGGTAAGATCTGATTTTTTTTCACTTGTGGATATTCAGTTGTTCCAGCACCAATTTCAGAAGAAACCAATCTTTGTTTCATCATATTGCCTTTACTTTTCCATCAAAGATTAAATATATTGATTTGTCTCTATTTCTAAACTGTCTTGTTTCATTAATCTGTCTATTCTTTCATCAACATGATACAGCCTTGATTACCATAGCTTTACAGTTAAGTCTTGAAGTTGGGTAGTGCCTGTCTTTCCTCCAACTTTGTTCTCTCCTTCAATATTGTGTTAGCTATTCAAGGTCTTTTTCTTCTCCATATAAGCTTTAGAATTAGCTTTTCTATATCTATAAAATAATTTACTTCCATGTTGAGTAGAAGTGCATTGAATCCGTACATTGGGAAGAGCTGACATCTTGACAATATTGAGTTTTTCTATTCATTAATATAATGTATCTTCTCCATCTGTTCAGTTCTTTTTTGATTTCTGTCATCAGATACGGACAGTTTATGAAATTACATAACTTCCTCTACCTTGACCAAAGAACAGTGATGAATTCCTCATTCTGCAGCCAACAAGTCACCTGTGAGAGCCATGTGTCTAAACATAGACATGTGGGTAAGAAAATGATAAAGAGATCCTGGGAAACATAGGAAATTCATGAATCAGCAACTGTGTCTAAGTAACTCCTTTCCATATCCCCAGTGCACCTGTTGCTTCAGCCAATACCTGCTGGTGTAGCCGAGGATGCTGGTGCTCCTGGCTTTCCCGGCCCTGCCCCCAGGGCTACCTTCGGGTGTGTGCCTCTTGACCTTAGCGAGAATGTAGTTCTTTATCCCTACCATGGGTGAAATATTTTCGCAAATAAACACTTTTTAAAATAATGTCAACTTTTATATTAGAGGTGCTGCGTGTGCAGGTTTGCATGTGTCTTTTTGGTACAGTGTTGTATTTTCTTTCGGTATATACCCAGTAATGAGGTTGATAGTTCAATTAGTAGCTCTATATTACATTTTTTGAGGAATCTCCAAACTGCTTTCCATAGTGGCTAACCTGATTTACATTCCCAGTGACAGTGAATAGGAGTTTTCTATTGTCTGCAGCCTCGCCAGCATTTGTTAACAAATATTTATATATTTCAGGCAAAGATCATCTGTTAGTTTTTATTTCAGCACATCCTCTGAAGAAGATAGTGTTTTTAACAACCAAAGATGATTCAACATTTCAAACTTGTTTTTTTATTTTTCTTTTTCTGACGCCATGTGGAACTTTCTGTCTGCCTCAGTTTAAGGTATAGGTTAAGAGCACTGTACCTTGAAGTGACCCATCTCAGTGGCCCCATGCAGTGTTCTATCCCAGAACTCTTCACAAGCTTTTGCCCTGTGTGACCAGTGTGGAAAGGAGCCCCCCCAGATAGTGTTTCACCAGGCAAGTGACCAACTAAAGAATTACCACAATTATGTGTGACTGTTCTCAAGGTTCCCAAACATACAGAGGGGGACAGTTGCAGGTAATAAAGCTTTATTAAAGGCAGTAACATCTCAACCCAGCAGGAAACATACTGTGGGCTATGAGAACAGGTTACAATAAATATTGAGGAAGAAAAATTCACTTTAATCAGATATTCGCCCCAAAATCCTCTTGCTCAAATATTAAATGTTCTTCCTGCACACGTGGCAATACCAGACTTACAGAAAGCACACGTGGTGAGAGACAAAGCCTGCTGCCTATCTGTGAGCTTCAGTGCCCAATGAGACTCGGCAAGCTGTTCATCTCTTCTTTCTACACTCCTGCTTTTATTGCACAGTATATTTTCATATATGTTTTATTCCATTTTTGAATGTTGTATTCCATTGGTCTCTCAGACTAATGATGAAACAATATGACACAATTTTAATTTCCAAGTCTCTACAATATTTTACAGGGGAAGTCACTCTCTCAATTTTCAGACTTTTCATGGATATTTTGTTTGCTCTTCTATACAATAAAATTTCTATATTCAGAACACAGATGGTATCTACATTGGAGTTAAACTCAACTTATTTAATTTTCGTTATTTATTTAAATTTTATTTTAACCTTAGGGGTACATGTGCAGGATGTGCAGGTTTGTTACATAGGTAAATGTCTGTCAGGGGTAAGGGTTGTTGCACAGATTATTTCACCACCCAGATATTAAGCCAAGTGTCCATTAGTTATTTTTCCTGATCCTCTCTTTCTCCCCACCTTCCACCCTCCAGTAGACCCCAGTATGTGTTGTTTCCCTCTATGTGCCCATGTGTTCTCATCATCTAGTTCCCACTTATATGTGAGAACATGCCATAGATGGTTTTCTGTTAATGCATTCCTTTACTAAGGATACTGGTCTCCACCTTCATCCATGTCCTTGCAAAGGTACATATACACCATGGAATACTATGCAACCAAAAAATCAGCTTATTAATTAAAGTACCTTTGATGTCTTAATAATGTTGACCCTGCCTAATCATGTAATGTCATAATTTTCATTTATACAAATCTATTTTGATGTTTTCAAGAAATATTTTGCAACAATTCCATACAAATTGATTTAAAATAATTGTTCAGGAAATTTTGGCATTATCTGTTTTCCATCTATGAACATGAACACAAGACAGTCTCATTAATTCAATTAACATAATTTATTGTGTTAATGAATTTCCTAATTCGATGACTCTCACTTGCATTTCAGGCATAAATGGAATTCCTAATGATCTAATATTTTAATGGGTTGACACAATGCTTTTTAACATTTAAAAATTTTACTTTCATATAATATGTTCTTATTATCTATAATATTCTATACAGCATCAAACAAGTAAAGTTGTATCACTTTTATATATCCTTTCTAAAAACTATTGGGAATGTTGGTTACCTTATAACTTTTAAATAGTTTAAGCAGTATTGGTATATTAATTAGTTCATGAGTAAAATTTTCTTCTGGACAATATAAATATGGTGCTTTCTTTTGTGCAAAACTAATCTTAAATAAACGTTCCGTTTCTTCTATGAATACTACTTAATTTAGCACCTCTATCTCTATGAGGTAAATGACCTTAAACTATATATTCCTAGACTATATATGAGCCACATTTTAATACTCATTTGCATTGAATCACACAATTTTGTTCCTGTTTTTCATTTTAATATATGACTTTAAATTCTTCTCTGCACGGAAACCTGTTGACACCTCCTTTTCAAGCTCTTTGTGTGGTCCCATCTGTTTACAATTCACTAATACTTCGGCTCAGGAATTTCGGGGTTAACTGAAAATCAGATTTTCAGCAGAGGCAGATCTCAGGGAAGCACGGAATCTGGTAAGACACATGTGCTTTGCTGTCAGTCTTTCATGTCTCAGACTCAGCATTTCCAGTTCTCTCCATGTGAGCCCCTGTCTGCCTCCAGGGATTACGGAAAAACAGAGCCTCTCCCATTTTCATGTCTTTGAAGGTGCTTGGGTATAACGTTGTCATTTTTTTGGTAATTGGAAACTAAGACAAAGTTATTCAAAAATCACTATAACTCATCAAATATGTACTGTCCTTTTATCTACAGGTGAGATGACAATTGTAGTTCTCTGGGGAAGTAAACTCATAGGATCACAAGCCCCTATCCCAGCGTCTATGCGCTCAATGGCTGTTGTGAACATAAACCTGAGCCCATTGTCCCAGCAGCAGAAAGAAATCAGGTGAGTAGTTTATATTTCAATCTGTAAGCAGAGTCTATTGTCTGTGGATCAATAGACAGAATACGTGCTCTTTTCTTGAAAAAAAAAATTTCTGGGTCACAAACTGACCAGGACCAAATCCACGCATGAAAAAGGAAATAATTACTGAGTCGTGAGCTTAACTTTTGGAGAAATAATGGATGTCCAAGACCATAAATCAATCCGTAAGTGTTCCTAAATTAATTGTATGTCATTCTCACTGTTCATCATTGTTGAATTTTGATGTATGAAGCCATAAAATTTGTTTTCTGGGCGCTGTGGCTCAAGCCTGTAATCCCAACAATTTGGGAGGCAGAGGCTGGTAGAGTATGAGGTCAGGAGTTGGAGAACACTCTGGTCAACATAGTAAAACCCCGTCTCTACTAAAAATACAAAAAGTTAGCCATGTGTGGTGGTGTGCGCCTGTATTCCAAGCTACTCAGGAGGCTGAGGCAGGAGAATCCCGTGAACCGGGGAGGCAGAGGTTGTGGTGAGCCGAGATCACGCCATTGCACTCCAGCTTGGCAGGCTGGGCAACAGTGCAAGACTCCATATCAGAAAAAGAAAAAAAAAAGGTTTCTGAAGGTTCTCTAGTATAATTTGAAAGTGAGGGGCGCCCTTCCACACCGCACGCTTGACAGAGCCACCCCGGCTCTTCCTGGACCCGCGATCCAGGAGCTGGGCCCTGGAGCTGGGCACCCTGCAGGATCCTGGATGACGCTGACAGTCAGTTCCCTCCCTCCTGCAGCTGGGAACCCATCCAGTGACTTGGGCGCCCTGGAGGCTTCTGGCCAAGGATCCGCACTGCTGGTGGTATTGGCAGGGTCAGGGATGCAGCCCCTGCTGCCGCGTGCCATGTTCAGGCAGCAGCTACAGATAAGTCCACACTGGAGGCTGCAGGGTTGGGCCCAGACAGCTAAGGGCCGTCGAGTGCATGAGCCTTTCACCCTGGGATCTGCTCTACCTTTGCCAATGCTGGCAGCTCAGGCTCGCGACCTCTGGGCCCTGTACAGCTGCAGGGATGAGGCTTTGCTGCAGGTTCCCGCCCTCCTGCAGCCCAGGGCCCAAAGCCTGACTTAGGCGCAGTGGCGGCGTCCGACCCTAGGGTTCACCGCAGCTGGTGGCACGGACAGGTTCTAGGGTTGGCACCGCTGCTGCCACCTTCAAATGCCAGCTGCAGCTGAGCCCACGGTGGTGGCTGCAGGGCTGGACCCAGAAGGCCAGAGGGTCGCCGTGTGGAACACACCCTCCCTCTCTAAGCCCTGCTCTTCCTTGGCTCGCGCCCAGGGCACTGGGTTGAGGGGTCTGGGCACTGTGCAGCCGCCAGGATGGGGCTGAGGAGCCGGTTCCTGCCCTGGTGCAGACATAGAGTTGATCCACAGATTTCTGTGCAGCAGCGGCACCTGTCTCTAGTCCGCGCTGCCTGGGCCCAGAGGGGAAGTGGGGAGTTTGAGGTTGCTTGGCCATTTTGCCTGTGCGCCAAATGCAGGCAGCCCCTACAACTCAGACAGGCACGGATGGCGGGTCCCGTTTGGACGGCTTCAAGGTTGTTGACTGCACCTGCTGCCAGGCCTCAGGGTCCCTTCCTCGTTGACCCGCATCTGGAGTATGGCGGTGGTGCTGGGTAATCTGCCCCCATCCTGGATAGGGCTGAGCTGCGGTTCTCTCCCTCGGGCTGAGAAGGAGACTTAGCTGAGTAGAGCAGATGGAGAAAAAGTTAGATTGAACTCATCCTGCTTAAAGACTTGCAGGCTGGGTGCAGTGCCTCATGCCTGTACTTCCAGCGCTTTGGGAGACCAAGATAAGAGGATCACTTGATCCCAGGAGTTTCAGACCAGATTAGACAACACAGGGAGACTTCATCTCTACAAAAATAAAGCAAATCAGCCAGGCATGGTGGTGCATGCCTGTGGCCCCAGCTACTTGGGAGATTGATTGTGGGAGGATCACTGGGGCCTGGGAGTTCGTGGGTACAGTAAACTGTGATTGTGCCACAAACAAGTGGCGAGAGGTCCTTTTGCTCCACATCCTTGACAGCATTTGACGTCTTCATTCTTCTGGATTTTGCTTATTGTTTGGTTATTTATGCCCCTGTACTCCAAGCCTGGGCAACAGAGAATCTCTTTCAAAACAAATAAATACATACATACATACATACATACACACATACATAAAAGAATTCTAGTCACTATATCATATCTAAGTCGAATTCTTTACACATCAACTTGTAGAGTTAAAGCCCCCAGCGCCCTCTAATTATGTGATAGGGACCATGTGATTAGAGTGGGTGACCATGTTCTTGCTTTTGGTCATTCCCATAGATGTGCAGTAGTAGCTCATTACTGCATTTAAGAAAATATTATGTGGAACGTCATTACATATGCTTATATTTTATTTGGCGAAATGCCTGTTACACTCTTTAGTTCATTTTTTAATTGGGTTGTTTGTTTAGTTTTAATAAGATTGGTATAATTTGGATAAAATTCATTAATCAAATATGTTTTTCAAATATTTTCTTCCAGTCTGTGGCTTGTCTTCTCTTTCAATGGCTTTAAGAGAACAAAAATGTGGCATTTAAATCAAGTCCAGCTTGTCATATTATTTCTTTTATGTATTGTAACTTTTGCGTTTTTCTCTAGAGATCATCAAACCCAAGAGAGTCTAGATTTTCTCCCGTTACTTTCCAGAAGTTTTGCAGTTGTCTATTTGACATTTACGTCTGTGATTCATTTTAACTTTGGTGAGGGGGTAAGATCTGATTCATTTTTTTTTTTACATGTAGATATTCAGTTGTTCCAGCAGCACTTTCTGAACAAACCAATTTTTGTTTCATCATGTTGCCTTTACTTTTTCATCAAAGATTAAATACATTGATATGTCTCTATTTCTAAACTGTCTTGTTTCACTAAACTGTCTCTTCTTTCATCAACATGATACAGCCTTGATTACCATAGCTTTACAGTAATTCTTGAAGTTGAGTAGTGCCTGTCTTTCCTCCAACTTTGTTCTCCTTCAATATCGTGTTAGCTATTCAAGGTCTTTTTCTTCTCCATATAAGCTTTAGAATTCACTTTTCTATATCCATAAAATAATTTGCTTCCATTTTGATTAGAAGTGCTTTGAATCTACACATTGGGGAGAACTGGCATCCTGATGATACTGAGTTTTTCTATTCATGTATATAACTCCTCCATCTGTTCAGTTCTTTTTTGATTTCTGTCATCAGATATGAACAGTTTATGGAATTACATAACTCCCTCTACCTTGACAAAAGAACAGTGATGAATTCCTCATTTTGCAGACAAGTCACCTCAAAGGGCCATGTGACTAAACATAGACAGGACGGTAAGAAAATAATAAAGACATCCTGGGAAAAATAGGAAATTCAAGAAATAATAACTCCTGTTAGTGAGCTCTCATGAGACAGGATGGTTTTATAAGGGGCTCTTCCCCCTTTGCTCAGCACTTCTCCTTCCTGCTGCCTTGTGAAAAAGGTGCCTTGATTCCCCTTCTGCCATGATTTTAAGTTTCCTGAGGCCTCCCCAGCCATGCTGAACTGTGAGTCAATTAAACCTCTTTCCTTCATAAATTACCCAGTCTTGAGCAGTTCTTTATAGCAGTGTGAAAATGGACTAATACAATTTTCAAACTACAAATTTAAAGAACATACTACATACCTGGGAAATAATCAGACCAGAATGACCTATACCCTACACCAAGTCATACTCCAGTAAAATTACAGGACATAAAATTGTATCAACAGGCTTTCAGACAATTTATGCCAGAAGCAATAAAGTAACACATCGACAACACTCCAGAAAAGAAACTTTGAGTCTGTATACCTGTAAAATTGATTTTCATGTAAAAAGAACACAAATTTTTATGTACTATCCACAGGAAAAACTGGGAATATTATTCTCTTGATACCTTTCTGAGGAATATTTCAGAGTACAAGCTTCAGACAATCAAAATAAATAGAGATACACTGACCTAAGGACTCTTGATGTGCATAAAAGATAGAGGTGCCTGTAGAACTAAGACTACGTGAGGGCTAAAGGAGAGAAAGTATCATAGGAAATGGCTATATGTGCTGAAAATCTAGATACAGTTCGAGTTCCAAGGAGCAGGGAGCCATATTTCCACAGTTAAAAACAGATTAGAGATGTATCGCATTTCTGGTTAGCAAATAGAGTCTGGAAGTTGTCACTACCATGCTCACAGTAAGAAAAAGGCTGAGCAAACAAAACAAAAAACTATTCCGTAGATTCATCAGAAAATTGAGGTCACAGGGCAAGCCACCATACTGAAAACTAGAGACAGGCAAACACAGAGAATCACAGCATACTAGGAGCAGAAATACCTGCTGGAGCCAGCAACTGGTAAGGATGCTTCAAGGATAACTGCCTAATTGCCAGAGACTGAGTGGTAGACTAGTTTGAGAGATTAAAAACAACAACAAAAAACAACTTCTGGGAGCCTGGTCTTAAGGGGTCTCCTGTACTTTGCTGAGTTTTACCTCCAAGAGCCCTATCGGTTTCTCAGGGTGAAAAAATTAGATAGGAAAAAAAAATCCCTTTGTGCTTCATGGAAGGGGAGAAGAGCAACCACTGTGAAATAAGGCCAAAGTATTCTGCTCTCCTTAACAAAGGAGAAATGATTTTAGCAGAGCCTAGGCTACCTGGGTTTTACCAGAGCCTGACCAATAGGAAGTAATGGAAATACCCAACTCCAGCCCGCTCACACCTTCCTGTCTCACTTGGGGGACATGCAGGGAAGCTGAGAAACAGCTGTGAAGGTCACAGCCAAGGCTCACTAAAGGACAGAGATCTAAGCACAGGATTACAGAGCATTTCCCTTTTCCCGATCCTGTCTTGTCAGAAGGGCTCCTATAAAATAACATGGAATTATGGCAGAACTTCAATGCTCACACAGTATTTAAGGATTCAACAGGGAAACTCTAAGACAAAAGGGGAGGAAAAAACAAGGAAGACAAAAGAGAAAATGTTACCCTCTGACACCCACAGCTACAAAAATGTGAGAACTCACACTAAAAGCCTGTTTACCTCAGTTCATTTTACCCAATGCATCATGTCTGGCTTACAACAAAATTACAAGCTACTCTAAAAAGAAAAAAATACAGGCTGAAGAGAGAAATAAAGCAAAAGAAGTACACTTGGATATAGCAGATATTTTAAAGTTATCTGACTGGTACTTTAAAATTACTATGATTGATATGCTAAGAGCTCTAATAGAAAAGGTAGACAAAATGCAAGAAAAGATGGGTAATGTCAGCAAAGACAAAAGCCCTAAGAGAGAACTGAAATACTAGAGATTACAAACACTGTAACAGAAATAAAGAGAGCCTCTGACTGGCTCATTAGTAGAATGGATACAGCCAAGGAAAGAATCAGTGATCGTGAAGACATGTCAACAGAAACTTCCTGAACTGAAAAGCAAAGAGAAAAAAGAAGAGTGGAAAAGTGAAACAGAATATCTAAGAAAATGGGAAAATTACAAAAGGCATAACATGCACATAAAGGGAATATAACGAGAGAAAGAACAGAAAAAAATATTTAAATAACTCAGAATATTCCAAAATTAATGACAGAGACCAAACCACATATCCAAGAAGCTCAGGGAACACAAAAAAGGATAATTACCAAAAAATCTACACCTACACATATGACATTCAAACTGTAGAAAGTCAAAGACAAAGACAAAATATTGAAGGAAGTCAGAGGAAAAAAACAAAACAACAACAAAAAAAAAACCTTACCTATAAAGAAACCAGAATAAAAATCACATTGGATTTTTCTTAAGAAACCATGCCAGCAATGGGGTAAAATATAAAGTGCTGAAGGGAAAAACACCCTCCAATCTAGAATCCTGTATTCAATGAAATTATCTATCAAATATAAAGAAATACTTTCTCACCAAAATAAAAATTGAAGAGACATAAAATGTGCTAAAAACAAGCTCGTCACAGAGAATAAAAACAATACAGCAGAAAATAGTGTCTACATAAAGGAAGAGTGTTAAAGAATGAATAAAAGTAATATAAAATGGTGTATTGTTCTTATTCTTAATCTAACAGATAACAGATTGTTCAAAATAGTAACAGCAGCAATGTGTTGGTTGATTATAGTTTACGGATAAGTGAAATGAATGTTAGCAGTTCTATAAAGGACAACAGGAAGGAACTGGAAATGTTTGATTTTAAGGCATCTGCACTGGCTCTGAAGTGGCACAGTGTTATTTAAAAGTGAGTTGACATTCATTGTAAATGTATATTGCAAACTCTAGGGCTATCATTAAGAAGTTTTTATTCCTTGCCTTATCCTCCTTCTAAAAAAAATAAATTTTTGGCTGGGCGCAGTGGTTCACGCCTGTAATCCCAGCACTTTGGGAGGCCAAGATGGGTGGATCACGAGGTCAGGAGATCGAGACCATCCTGGCTAATACGGTGAAACCCCGTCTCTACTAAAAATACAAAAAAAATTAGCCACGCATCATGGTGGGCGCCTGTAGTCCCAGCTACTCAGGAGGTTGAGGCAGGAGAATGGTGTGAACCTGGGAGGCGGAGCTTGCAGTGAGCTGAGATCACACCACTGCACTCCAGCCTGGGTGACAGAGCGAGACGCTGTCTCAAAAATATATATAAATAAATAAATACATACATACATTTTTACATGTAAGTTTGCTGAGAGGAGAGAAAATGGAATATGTTTTGAGTAGAGAAAATGAAATCATACAACATGCTCAATTAAAGCCATGGAAAGCAGAAAAAGAGCAGAAGACAAAAAAAAAAAGAACAAGGGCAAGAATAGAAAACACTTATTATGTAGGTATTAATCTAAGCAATATCAATGATCACATTATATGTTGATAACCAAACATATCAATTAAAAGACTATAAAAGACTATCAGGGTGGATTTTTCTAAAAGAAAAAAAACAGGATCTAACGATATGTTATCTATGAGATATCCACTTTAAATATAAAATATAGAAACAAATTAAAAGTAAAGGGATGGAGAAAGATACATGACACTGAACACTAAGCAAAAGAAAGCTGGAGTAGTCATGTTAATTTCAGACAAAGCTGACTTCAAAGCAAGGAAGATTATCAGAAATAAAAGGGGATATTATATAATGATTAAAAGGTAAACTTTCCAAGAAGACACAGTAATCCTTAATGTGTATGCATCCAACAACAGTGTCAAAATAGCAAGACAAAAGCTTACAGAAATGCAAAGAGAAAGAAACAAACCCACTATTATACTTGGAGACTTCAACACTCCATTCTGTTAGTAACTGACAGATCCAGCAGGCAGAAAATCAGTAAGGGCAGAGTTAAAAACACAACACCACCATCAATCAACTGGATATAACTGGCATCTATAGACTACTCCATCCAACACAAAAAAACACATTCTTCTGAAGCTTGCACAGAACATTCATCAACATAGACCACATTCTGGGCCATAAAACACCCCTTAAAGAGAATAGAAATTATATAAGCTCTCAGTCCACACTGGAATTAAACTAGAAATCAAACAGAAAGATAGCTGAAAAATCCCAAAACATCTGGTCATTAACAATGTATTTCTAAATAACACGTCAAAGAAATCTCAAAAAATTTTTTAAAATATTTTAATTAAATGAATATACTACTTATCAGAATTTGTGAAGTGCAGGGGCTGGGCGCAGTGGCTCAAGCCTGTAATCCTAGCACTTTAGGAGGCCAAGGCAGGCAGATCGCGAGGTCAGGAGATCAAGACCATCCTGGCTAACACAGTGAAACCCCATCTCTACTAAAAATACAAAAAATTAGCTGGGCATGGTGGCGGGCGCCTGTAGTCCCAGCTACCTGGGAGGCTGAGGCAGGAGAATGGCATGAACCCGGCAGGCGGAGCTTGCAGTAAGCGGAGATCACGCCACTGGACTCCAGCCTGGGCGACAGAGGGAGACTCCGACTCAAAAAAAAAAAGAAAAAATTGTGAAGTGCAGCAAAATCAATGGTAAAGGAAATTTATAGCATTAAATGCATGTATTACAAAACAAGAAAGTTCTATTAGGTTGGTGCAAAAGTAATGGCTAAACGGCAATTACTTCTGCACCAACCTTATAAAATCAATAATCCAAACTTCTACCCTAGGAAACAAGAAAAATGAGAATGAATTGAACTACAAGTAAACAGAAAAAAAATTAATAAATATTAGGGCAGAAATCAATGATACTTAAAAGGGGAAATCAATAGAGAAAATGTCTGAGTCCAAAATCTGGTTTTTGGAAAAGATCAGTAAAACTGGTAATCCTCTAGGGAGGCTAGCCAAAAAAAAAAAAAAAAGAACTAATTACTAACAACAGAAATGAAAGAAGGGCCATTACTACTGATTTCATGGATGTTAAAGGGATAATAAAGTAACATTATGAACAACTCTATGTCCAAAAATGTTATAACTTAGATAAAATGGACCAACTGCTGGAAAGGCATAATCTACCAAAACTCACACAGGGAGAAATAGATCCTTTTAGTAGGCCTACGTCTATTAAATAAATTGAATCAGAAATATTAATAACCTTCTAAAATAGAAAGCACCATGCCCAGATAGGTTTACTCATGAATTCTATCAAACATTTAAGGAAGAAACTATACCAATTCTCTACAATGCCTTTCAGAAAACAGAAGCAGAGAGAACAATTCCTAACTCATTCTATGAGGTCAGCATTAAGTCAAAGACATTACAAAAAGGAGAAACTACAGAGGAACATCTCTCATGAACATAGATACAAAAATTCTCAACAAAGCATTTGAAATTAATTCAAAAATGTATTAAGAGTATACACAATGACCAAATGGAACTTACTCCAGGTATGCAAAGGTGGTTCAAATTCAAAAATAAAAGCAATCCATCACTTCAAACAGGCGAAAGAAGAAAATCCATATGATTATATCTATAGATGCAGAAAAAGCACTGGACAAAATCCAACACCCATAAAAACTCTTAGCCAACTAGGAATAGAGGAAAATTTTCTCAACTTAATAAAAAAATCTACAAAAAACCTACAATTAATACGATACTTAATGGTAAGGAACTAGTTTCTTTCCTACTATGGTTGGGAACAAAGCAAGGATGTCACCTGTCACAACTTTTAGCCAAAATCATATTGGAAGTCTTAGTTAATGCAGTAAGAAAAAGCAGAAAAATGTATGCAGATAGGGAAGGATGAATTAAAACTGTCTTTATCCACAGATAATATGATGTCTACATAGAAAATCCCAAATCATCAACAAAAAAGAACTGAAACTAATAAACAACTACAGCAAGGTTGCAGGATACAAGGTTATATACAAAGACAACTGCTTTTCTATATAATTAGAATTTTAAATTAAAAACATATCATTTACATTAACACCAAACAAATGAAATAGTAAGATATATAGCTAACAAAATATGTACAAGATCTATATGAGAAAAGTTTCAAAACTAGTATGAAACAAATCAAAGACCTAAATAAACTGTGAGATAGCCCATGTTCATGAATAGGAAGACCCAACATTGTTACAATGTCAGTTCTTCCCAAGTTGATCTACATATCAATTCCAGTCAAAATACCGGAAAGTTTATGGATATCAACAAACTGATCCTAAAATTTACATGGAAAGGCAGAACAGCCAATGCAATATTGAAGAAAATACAATTGCAGCATTGACACTGCCCAACTTCAAAACTTAGAGTATGGTATTGGTGAAACAATAGACAAATAGATCACTGGAATAAAATAGCCCAGAAATAGACCACACTAATACAATCAACTAATCTTTAGCAGAAGTGCAAAGGCAATTCAGTGGGAAAAGGAGTCTTTTCAACAAATGATGCTGAAACAGATGGACATCAACACACACAAAAATCAATCTAGACAAAGACCTAACACCTTTCACAAAAATAAACTCAAATCACAGACCTATTATATAAAACACAAAGCTATCAAAATTTCTAGATATAACAAAGGAGAAAATCTAGTTGACCTGAGATTTGGCAATGACTTCTTAGATACAATACCAAAGGCACAACTTATGAAGGAAAAACTTGATAAGTGGGACTTCATTATATTTAAAAATTTCTGCTCTGTGAAAGATATCATTAGGGAAAAGAAAGACCAACTCAAACAAGGAGAAAATATTCGCAACACACATACCTGATAAAGAACTGGTATCCAAAATATGTAAAGACGACTTAAAACTCAACAACAAAGAACCCAATTAAAAAGTACATAAAAGATCTGAATGAACATCTCACCAGAGAAGATATACATATGGCAAATAAGCATATGAAAAGATGCTCAGCATCATATAGTCACTAGGGAATTGCAAATGGAAACAATGAGATACTACTGCATACCCACTAGAATGGCTAAAATCCAAAACACCACCACCACCAAATGCTGGTGAGGATGTGGAACAACAGAAAATCTCATTCTTTATTGGTAGAATGCAAAATAGTACAGCCACTTGAGATGACAGTTTGATAGTTTCTTCCAAAGCTAAACATAGTCTTATCACATGATCCAGTAATCACATTCCTAGGTATTCACCCAAAATCTGCACAAGAATGTTTACAACAGCTTTATTCATAATTGTCCAAATTTAAAAGCTGCCAAAATGTCATCCAACAGGTGAATGGATAAGCACAGTGTGGTACATCCAGACAACTGAGTATTATTCACTGCTAAAAAGAAATGAGTTATCAAACCACAAAAGGCATGGAGGAATCTTAAATGCATATTGCTAAGCAAAAGTAGCCAATCTGTAAAGACCTTATACTGTATGATTCCAACTATATGACATTCTGGAAAGGGTAAAATTATAGAGACAAAGGCAAACTGTAATATTTCAGTGGTTGTCTGAGATTTAGGAGGTAGATAATGAGGGAGAGGGGATGAAGAGGTAGAGCTGAGAGGATTTTTAGGGCAGTGAAACTGTTCCATATGATACTGTAATGGTGAATACATGATGTTAATTTGTCAAAACCCATAAAACTATACTATATAGAGTGAATCTTGATGTTAGCTATAAACTTTAGTTAATAATAATGCATCAACAGCCAGGCCAACATGGTGAAACCCCGTCTCTACTAAAAATCAAAAAAAAAAATGAGCTGGGCGTGATAGCGCATACCTGTAATCCCAGCTACTTGGGAGGCTGAGGCAGGAGAATCACTGGAACCTGGGAGGCAGAAGTTGTAGTGAGCCGAGATCGCACCATTGCGCTCCAGCCTGGGTGACAGAGCGAGACGCTGTTTCAAAAATAAAAATAAAAACAATAATGCATCAATATTGGTTCAGCAATCATAGCAAATGTAACACACCAATGCAAGATGTTAATATGGAAAACTAGGAAGGGGAGATGGAGGAGAGATGTGAATCTGTACTTCCTGCTCCAGTTCTCTGTAAATCAAAAAGTGCTCTTAAAAAAAAAGCCTATTTTTTTTCAAAGAGGGAGAATGAAGATAGCATATGCATAAAACAATTGTTTTTAGCAATACTGACATTAGTAAAATTAGTATTGTTAATTGTGTGTTGGGTACCAAACACGTGATTGTGAGATGTTCTAATTCTATCATCACCAAAATCTGTGAGAGGCAGGGTTCTGAGAGGAAGGGAGAAGGCCCAGATGAGGCATAGAAGGAGTTAAATAAAAGCTTTGCAGTCTGTTATGTATTTCCATTGGAACTACCAGTATAAGCTCACGATGCTGGCAGTCTCATGACTTAAAGGGAGAGTGATTGGGAAGAGCAGGAGCTCCCAACCTACTAACGTTTCTTGCTTTGAAAATCTGTCAACTTGTACTGTCATATATGCACTTATCTATGTGAATACTTCAGTAAAGCTTTTTGGAGTAGGATTTTTTAAAAACTATGTGTAAGTATTTTCAGAAGATGAAGGTTCCTGTTTCCTTGGTTCAAATGGTATCAAGATAGGTAGGTTGCGTCCCTGAATGCATTCCTAAATTGATACAGAATCATTAGCCCAGACAGGGTAGCTACCATAGCTTCTAGAACATGACCAGATGGCCACAGGCACTCAGCGTGCTCGCTGAATTAGCTGTTCATCTTCTTCTCTTCCACAGGGTATGTGTATATGACTGTCAGAAATGAGTAAGGCGAAACAGGATAAGCTAAGAACACTGCTTCTGAAGTCTGCTGGTGTGGGTTCAAATCTGGGCTCTACCACTTATTTTCTGGGTGACTTTGAGCAAGTTAATGAAGCTCTCTAAATCTGTTTCCTTACCTATTAGATAATAACAATTAAACTGTGAGGTTTGAAAGATTAATCCATACAGAGGGCTTAGCACAATGCCTGGGACATAGTAAATGTGTGTGTGTATTAATACACCCCATGCATATATGGCATGTTATTTCGATCATATTATCTATTATTTTCATCCTCCTAACAAAGGGTGAACAACTTTATAGAATACAAATATATAATAAATCATATAGGTATCTTTGACACGGCCTAAAGACTTAAGCACTTACAGCTGTTTTATTATTTGTTCATTTATTTTGAAACAGAGTCTCACTCTTGTCACCCAGGTTGGAGTGAAATGGCGTGATCTTAGCTCACTGTAGCCTCCATCTCTCGGGTTCAAGTGATTCTCCTGTCTCAGCCTCCCAAGCAGCTCGGATTACAGGCATGGGCCATCATGCACAGCTAATTCTCATATTATTAGTAGAGACGGGGTTTCACCATGTTGGTCAGGGTGGTCTCAAACTCCTGACCTCAGGTGATCCACCCACCTTGGCCTCCCAAAGGGCTGGGATTGCAGGTGTGAGCCACTGCACCCGGCCTCACTTACAGCTGTTAAGAAAACCAAGTTACATAGACTACCATTCAAATATTGAGATTGCAAACCATATTACCATTCTCTGGTCTGCACTATGTCCTGAAAAACCATGAGGCCAAACCCCCGTTGCAAGTAATTGCCCGTTCTGATGTGTGCCTTTCATTTGACCTCACCCTTAAAATTATAAGCTACACAGAGTCCAAAGGAATAATTAATGTATATGCAGAGAAATAGATGAAATAAAAAGGATATTTATGAGGTATGGGTACTATAACTAAAACTACCATTTAATGTAATTCGCGTTTATTCTGTTTGATACATGAACCAATATTTCCCCAACACAATCTTTTCCAGCACCATACTTGGTACTGTTTTAAGCTAATGTTCTAAGTTTGAAGACAGAAGAAAATGAATTAATATATGGTATAAAAAGATCTCACATCTGTTCATTCCATTCTGTTAAGATTAATAGTTTTTTAGGAAACCATGAAGAAAGTGGGGAGGGTTCTGCTAATACTGATCAGATGGAGATTAAGTTGCTTCTTATGTTTTCCTCAATAGTTGAAGCTCTGCAACCATCCTGTAAATCCAAGTTTCCAAGCTGGCAGGGTTTTCAATTATTATCCATACCAACTGTAGCACTGGTTATAATGGCAAAGCAGTGGGTGTTATGGTTTCTTATGGTGAAAATATAACTACTTCACATCTAATAAACACCTTATCGTCATCTTAACACAGCAAATAATACTTTGTCACTAGATAATCTTAAAATTCAATATAAGGCTGGGTGCAGTGGTTCATGCCTGTAATCCCAGCACTTCAGGAGGCCAAGGTGGGCAGATCACTTGAGGTCAGGAGTTCAAGACCAGCCTGGCCAACATGGGAAAACCTCGTCTCTACTAAAAATACAAAAATTAGCCGGGCATGGTGGTGGGCACCTGTAATCCCAACTACTTGGGAGGCCGAGGCAGGAGAATCACTTGAACCCGGGAGACAGAGGTTGCAGTGAGCCAAGATCGCACCACTGTACTCCAGCCTGGGCAACAGAGACTGTCTCAAAAAATAAAAAAATTGAAAAAATAGAAATAATAAAATTCAATATAAACTGCCAGGCTCTGCTTACATAATGCCTATCATAAAAAATACATTCAATAAATTGTTATTGCAGGACATAGAGTATTTTAATTATTACTGGAAAAATTACCAGTTTCCAAAGCATGTCTTTCATTCTCAACAGAAACTTGGCCACAAGCACATCCCAACAAAAATCCTGCTGCTGTTCCCCCAGCCACCCCCTGGGCTATCCACAGCTCTGAACTCACCAGTGTGTGGCCATAGCTGTTCCTCTTGACCCCAGCACACTGGGCCCAGCCACCCAACTTCTCCTGGGAATTCTGAATTAGATGAAGAATGAGGCAGTGGGTGTGCGGGTACAATGAGACCATGAGACAGGTGGGCAAAGACCACTGAGAAGTACCATCACTAAGATTTCCTAGAAATAAAGAGATATTGTTTTGCATTGGTTATATCATCACAGATAAAACGGTTTTTAAAATAGTTATGCACCGCTTAATTATGTTTCACTCAACAATGGACCACCTGGGAGGCCAGCGCAAGCAGATCGCTTGAGTCCAGGAGTTCAAGACCAGCCTGGGAGACACAGTGAAACCAAGTCTCTACAAAAATTATCCGGGAGTGGTGGCAAGTGCCTGTAGTCTCAACTTGGGAGGCTGAGGTGGGAGGATCACTTGAGCCTAGGAAGCTGAGGCTACAGTGAGGCAAGATCATGCCACTGTAGTCCAGCCTGGGCAACAGAGTGAGACCTTGTCTCAAACAAACAAACAAACAAACAATAGACCACAAATATGACAGTGTTCCCATGAGAGTACAATAAGGTACTGTATTTTTGCTGTATCTTTTCTATAAAGACACAAATACCACTGTGTTACAATTCCCTGTGATATTCAGTACAGTCACATGCTGTGCAGATTTGTAGCCTAAAAGCAAAAGCCTTAGTCACAAGCATACCATCTAGCCCAGGGGTGTAGTAGGCTACACCAGCTAGGTGTGTTTAGGGACACTATATGATGATCACACAATGACAAAATCATATTAAGCATTTCTCATAACATATCCCCATCATTAAGTGATGCATGGCTGTACTAATAGCGAGTATTATTAAGACCAATAGGTACCAGGTGGTATGCTAGGCCCTTATAGATATTAACTCACAACGACCCTATGAGGTGCTCTTATTATTCCCAATTTATAGATGAGGCACCTGAGGCACAGAGAGGTTAAGCAACTTGCCCAAGGTTACACAGCTAGTAACAAACAAAAAAGATGCTTACAAAAAAGCCACCGTGGCCACTGGGGCCGGAATGTCAGAGGACTGAAAAACAGTCAAATGTCATTACTGGCTCAGTTATACCAAAGAGGCTACAACTTTTGTTTCAGTGAAACATTTCCAGTTTTAACCCTATCCTACAATCAAAAATAGAAGTTGTCAGTTCCATCTTGTTCCTGATAGCTGGAAACTACTTCACTCTGGAAACCGGGAAGAAGCCTGCAGGAAGGAGACAGAGTACATGCTCTTCCTCCAGAGCTATGCTTTCTTCATTAACTAACCTGAATCTCTTTACTAAAAGCAGTAACATTCTTTCTTCAATAAATTTTTCCCAAGTACTACGCCAAGTAGAGAGACACTTCAGTTAGGTTGGATGGGATGGTGGGTCAGAACTGAGTATACTCAAGGGGCTTCCTAGAAGAGGTGACGTGAAATGGAGTCATGTGAATAAATAAGTCCTTCCTTCTTTCAACAAGCACTAACTGACAAGGGGACAAGGGCTAGCTGGAGACAGAAAAAGGAAAAGAGCTTCTCAGGCCAAGATGTGGCATGTTTAAAAACACAAAGGTGAGCACATACACACAACTTAGAGGAGTGAAAACATAAATGATTTTAAGGCCAGGCACGGTGGCTCACGCCTGTAGTCCCAGCACTTTGGGAGGCCGAGATGGGTGGATCACTTGAGGTCAGGAGTTCGAGACCAGCCTGGCCAACATGGTGAAACCCCGTCTCTACTAAAAATACAAAAATTAGCTGGCTGTGGTGGTGCACACTTGTAATCCCAGCTACTCAGGAGGCTGAGGCAGGAGAATAGCTTGAACCCAAGAGGTGGATGGAGGCTGCAGTGAGCCAAGATCATGCCACTGCACTCCAGCCTGGGCAACAGAGCGAGATTCTGTCTCAAAAAACTAAATAAATAAAAAATAAATGATTTTAATAAAGATTATAGCTAAAATTACAGGTTCTCCCCAGCTCTTTTATCTTTCCCCCAAAGAAGGTCTACATGGATGGCATGTGTTCCAGGCTTAACAAGATTTTGAGACAGCTCTTCCAGATAACCCATGATCATATTTGTTTATTATTTTGCCTGGTCCTTTAGAAAGACCACTTCCTTGAAAGCAGGTTGTTTTCCAAGATTTATCTGAAAAGTGTCAGTCTAACCTGGAAAAAAAATAATAAAGGCTTGACCACCCAGAGAGGGCAATAAACTTGAAGAGATTAAAAAATTAGGAAACAAACAAGAGAAATGAAAGAAAGTTCCTCTGGCTGCAGCTGGGATTCTGTCTCTATGGAAATGGAAGCTGATTACAGGGCCCTTCAAAAAAAAATCAGCTTCATCAACCAGCTGAAGACAGTTGCTGCTTGGGAAAGAGTTTCTACAGTGAAATCTCTTTAATACACAAAATCAGCAGCATTACAATTATGCCTGGAAGCTTTTTTTTTTTTTTTTTTAAAGAGACAAGGTCTTGTCCTGTTGCCTAGTAACAGGATCATAGCTCACTACAAACTCAAACTCCTGGGCTCAAGCAATCCTCCCACTGTAGCCTCCCTAACAGCTAGGACTGCAGACTTGCACACCACCCTCAGCTTGTTTTTTTAAATTTTTGTAGACATGGGGTCTCACTCTATTGCCCACACTGATCTTCTTGGAAGCTTTGAGAATGTGTGTGCAAATTACATGTCATGTTAAAACAAAAAGAAGGAAAAGAAATAAATCAGGACAAATTTTAAATAAATAGCTATCTATATCAATTAGAACCCTAGGCAAAAGTACCAAACACTACAGGTTCTAATAAGCCACACAAAAAATCCCAACACCATTACAAATGCCTTACCCAGTCTAGTTAATGAAGCGAAATTCTTAGTTCAGGCCATTGACTATGTTGGAACTGGGTATGTCTGAGGCATTTGGGCCTGTAGCTGGATATTCACATTAATAGTTAACATTTAATGTACATTATTGCATCTAACACTAACTAGTTAATAACTAACATTTAATGTGCATTATTGCCTTTAAAGTGAACCATTAAACCAGTCTTATGAAGTGGTTACTTAGGTTACCATTGGTTAAGGAACTTGAGGATCAGGGAGGTTAAGTAGCTTCTCTAAGGTTACATAGTACTAAGTAGCAGAATTTGAACCCACATCTATCCAAATCCAAGTTCCCCTCATATGCTCCCTGTATTCCTCTGCCTCTTACGGTAGGAACTGAGCATTTCAAGAATCTGGCTGGACTATAAGAAAACTGTAGAACCTGTCTAATATCTGTCTCCAGCCTAAGAAGTTTTCCCCATCAGAAAGCTCTTGGTACCTAAACTCCTCAAAACAGCTTTCAAAGGTAATTTGCTGTCTCTAAGGAAGTGCTGCGTTAGAAGATACAACTCTCCCAAGAAGAAAGACAGGCATCTCATATGCTTAGTAGTACAATACCTTACTGTTATCTTCAAAGCTTAATTCTTACCTTTTGATAAATTAAAATAATGAACGGAAAGCTTGAGATGCAAGAACTATTCTCTGTACATGCCAGTTAATTGTTCCCTGTGTTTAATCTGGATACTAATATATAAAACTTCCTGGTAACAGCTAAAATGTTATCAGTAAAGAAATATGGAGGAAGGTGTGGTGGCTCAAGTCTGTAATGCCAGCACGTTGGAAGGCCAAGATGGGAGGACTCCTTGAGCCCAGGAGTTTGAGGCCTAGCCTGGGCAGCATAGCAAGACCCCATCTCTACAAAAAAATAAAACCATTAGCCAGGCGTGGTGGTGTGTACCTACAGTCCCAGCTACTCAGGAGGCTGAGGTGGGAGGATCACTTGAGCCTGGGAGGTTGAGGCCACAGTGAGCTGTGAATGCACCATTGCATTCCAGCCAGGGTGACAGAGCGAGACCCTGTTTTCAGGAAAAAAAAAAAATTACACTTATAATTAATGTAGCCAAGTGAAATATTTTAATACTTGTATATATTAAGCACTGTGTCACTGTGTGTGCACTGCTGAGAACTGAGCCCTAGTGGAGGCTCCGAAGAGCATCCTGGAACCCCGTAGGCTCCGAGGAGTCCCGAGGTCAGGGAGTTTGCAGAGAGCAGCCTTGGGTCAATGTTACAGAAGCCAGAGGAAGTGGACTCTTGACATCTCCAAATTCACTTCCACCCAGCTTCCCAAAAAGCACTATTATTCTTCATTAGCTTCTTCTTTAGGAAAATTTAAGAATGATCTTGCTTTTCAGTACCCAATACTGAAATTTACTTCAGGAAGCAAGTGGCTATCTTTTCTTCCCTAATAAAAGCAATGGCTTCAAAGAGATAATAGAGCTCAACCGAAATAGCTAAGCCATTCTCCCCATTTATAAATATCACATAAAGTCTCCTCTTCAAAAGCTGAAGGGTATAAAGCTCCTCTGCTGAAAGCAGCCTCTCTCTTCTACCCAGTGAGAACGAGTGCTGGAGGGAGGAAAGCCATGGGGGCCAAGGGTCCCGCTATGCCAGGCATCATCTTCCCTATCCCCTTCTCTTTCTCCTCTGTATCAACAGTGCTCCCAATAATGACCATGATCATGGCAGAGCTGGGCAGGGGCAGCAAGGGACACACCTAGATCTTCAGTTCCAGAGGCATCTGTTCTGTTGCTGACAGCGAGGACCCTTACGGAATGCAAGAGACCAACACACACCAAGGCTGAGAAGCTAACTAGTACACAACCTAAGTTTAATGGCACGTATTTTCATAAAGGCTATGAAACGCAAATCAACTACATTTCCTCCCTTTTCCTTCTGCCAAGACGTATTAATGGCATCAACTCCAATCTCTATCCCAGGCAGGTTTTCAAACCGGGAAAAGCATGGCTTCACAGTAAACCTGACTCTGCCATTCTTTCCATGTCTCAATGGCTTTCCATCACCTTTCAGGGTCTCCTGAACATCTCCCTTCTTCTCTCGTCACATCCTGGACGTGATCTCACACACTCATGGGCCTAATCCATCATTCTTTCATTTTTTTTCATTCCTCAAACTATTTTTGAGCATCTACTGTGCTCCAGGCACTATTATAAAAAAAAAAAATGCAAGCATGAACATTGCACTGCTTTTGTCTTCCCAATGTCCCAGTGGAGAAGGGAGACTTCTAGATTAAAAAAAAAAAAAATCATTACAATCCTACGTGACAGAAGTCACAAAACAAGGCACACGTCCAACTTCACAGGGCAGGGAGTGGCTATGTTAGCTTGGTGCAGACAGAGAAGATTTTACACAGGTGGTGATGTCTAAGCTGACTCTTAGAAGTAAAACGATTTCAGGTGAAAAAGACTGAGGGTGAGAGAAAACAGAATTCGTAAAAGCACCAAGATCTGAACAAGTAGGCTCCGGTCCAGAAAGGACAATAAATTCAGAATGGCTGAAATGCCAACTGCATGGAAGGGTAAGGTAGTGTTCAGATTCGGAAAGGCCTTGTGCATCACGCCTAGAAACCTGGAGCATTACAGTCGGTAACGGACAACCTGGAAAAGTGTGGAGAGGGTTTAAACCAAAGCCACGTCAGCCTGAAGGGCGTCCGGGTGCAGGGAGGGGATGGGGCAGGGCAGGGGACTGGGAAGGGTCCAGCCCCGGTCCGGCCACGCAGAGAGAAGCAACCCCAAGTGCGACGCCGCACACACTCACCGCAGAGGGCAGCCCCTAAGAGGGTGGGCGTGCAACCACAGGCTTCGGCAGGACGCACTCCGGCTGCGACAGATGCCCTCGTTCCCTGCTACACCTGCACTAAATAACTAACACGCCCTGTCTCGGCACACCGCGCAGCTGCCAGCTCCACGCCCGAACCTACCCATATTAAGAGAACAGCTCGCTAGGCGTGGCTCCAGGGCCAGGTTCCGCCCTTAAAAGAATATGGAAGAGGCTGGCCAATCACGTACGTTATTCGGCTTCGAGACCCCGCGCCACGCTGAGGTTAATTTATCGCCGTGGCGAACACTCCGCGGTTTGGAACTCTGATTGGGCCGAGCTTGGCGCGTGCGCGCGATGTTTGGCGCGTGTTCAGTTGATGGGTCGAAGCCCAGAGGGCTGTGGGGGAAAGCAGAGAAGTTTATGGCGCGACTGCGCAAGGGAGGGTAATGGCTGAGGGTGGGTGTTGCGAAAGCTGGAAGTAAATTGCCTTCGAATGTTTCGCTTCTGTAACTGCGGCTCCACTCGCCAGAAGTTGCTACCCTGAGTCCCACAATGTGCCTCTGAAGGACCTTGTGGGGCACGCAGCCTCTCGCCCTATGAAGAGCTTCTCCAGACAGGAATTCTGGCGTGGTCTACGTTTCTCCAGCGCCCCGCTGGAAATCTTTTTTGACAGGTTTCTAAGGCTGGCTTTTACCCCTGACCCTTTTGCCCTTAAGCAACAAGAACCACCCTCAGGGCTGGAAGCTACAAGTAAAACCCTACCATTTAAAGGTCATTTGAAAACACCACTAAAGCGATGTCTTTCCCGACTATGACTTTTACATCTGTGAAACATAACATTCTGGCTCCCAGGAACCTCCCGCTTTCTCTTCCAAAAGCAACCAAATTTTAAATTCTAGCAAAACTGCTGCCCTCTGCCTCCCTCTTTCCTGACCCAGTCTGTTACCCAGCAATATCCTGTGCTTCTCTCACCAAAAACCCTGTCCTGAGAGACAATTTCATACTATGGAATAAAGATTGGCACCAGGCACTTTTCTCCTATTGTCACCTAAATTGATGATAGACGGATACCACACATGCATTTATATATTGTAGATTGTAGCGGGGATCAAAGCTTTAAGGAGATGTAAAATAATGTAATTCTAGCCCTGAACCAATTGGATTAAAAAAGGATCTGCACTCTTAAATTCGAAAGCAGAAACTTATTGCTTAAAAAACATTCCAGATGAAAGGGTTATTCCTGCATTAGTCTTCTTTGATCTGGAACCGTTCCTTGGCTTTTATATTTATTGAAATGACGTTATTTAAGAGTACAGACCAGGTATTGTGTGGAATATCCTTTAAAGTGAGTTTGTCTGATGTTCCCTTTCAGGTTATGAATTTTTGGAGAAACACCACTAAGTGATGTGTCTTTTCCAGTGCATGTTATCAAGGTAGAGATAACATCGGTTTCTCCCAGTATTGATGATGTTCACTTGGTTAAGGTGGTGTCTGCGAGGTTTCTTCACCATAAAGTTACTATTTTTTCTTTATGATTAAAAATAATGCTGGGGGGAGGTGCTATTGGATTACGTCCCTTTTCTCATCTAATTTTTACCTAGTAGTTTTAGCATCCACTGATGATTTTCTAACTTCATAATTTCATCTGTATGTATTAGTTGGTAATCTCCTAATACATTTATTTCTTGAATCACTAACTCTTCTAAAGCAAAAGAACTTTCTTGAAAAAATTAGAATTGTTCTTGTTCCATCAGTTTCTAATAGTGAATCTTGACTGTGTAGGCTGAAGACAGTAGTACCTGTATTAATCGGCTAGTGCTGTCGTTACAATATACCACAGACCGGATGGCTTAAACGACAGAAATTTCTCACAGTTCTGGAAGTTCAAGATCAAGGTGCCAGCAGATTTGATTTATCCTGTGGACTCTCCCCTTGGCTTGTGGATGACTGTCTTCTCTTGGTGTCCTTCCAGGGTATTTTTCTCTGTGCAATCACACCCTTGGTGTCTCTTCCTGTTATAAGGACACCAGTCCTATTGGACAGCCCCACTCTTGTTTCTCTATAATAACACCCTGTTTTTGTTTCATAAATGTACTCTCTTCTCAAGTATCACTGAGGATAATAGTTTTTAAACCTCTCTTCTGTTCACTAAATTATGTTTCTTCAAGGCTCCATTCTTATGTGTGTTTATCTAGTCTTTCCCCTAGAAAAGAAAAATTCTTCCCCTCTCTGGTGGTTTATTCTTTGTTGTCCTTTTGAGTTCAAGTGTGAAGATCTGAAATGGTTTTTCTAGATAGCTGGAGTGGTTTCTTTCCTCTCGTTTGTGTGTATTGTTTTCCTCCTAGATCCTTGGGCTGATTGTTGAATTTCTTTAGAGGCAAGAACCCAGTGTTATGCCTGCAGGTCATCACCAGGCTACCTTTGCTGGTGGAGGGAAATGATGGATTGTCAGTGCCAGTTAAGGCAACTCCATGACTTTGGTTTTAGCTCCTCACACTGCACCTGCCAGCCCCACATCCAGATAACACCTGGAACAGAGAGTCCCAAACCTCCTGCATTTCTCTCTCAAAGTTATTTTGGGCTGCATGCCTCCATTCACTCCTGCTTCACAGGAATTTGTTTTCACTCCTGTTTGAGATAGTAAAAACCAAACTGTTTTTGCTACTCTTACACGCTCAACACTTCTGACACCAGAGATTCCCCCACACATGAAACAGTTCTCCAGCAGACACCAGCTAAGTGTCCTACAGTTTAACTTAATTCTGATACTACCTCAACTTACAGTCAAATCCCACAAGTTAAGGGTGCATTTCCACAAGACTGTCCCCTACTTTAGGTTGACTGTCACCTATACTTCTGACCACCTATAAATCAGTATTCCCACACCCCCTTCTCGGGTTTGATTAATTTGCTAGGGTGATGGTTAGCCTGTCCAGGGTCCTGATTGCTAGCAGTGAGACTTCATGGTGACACAACGTGGAATCAGGAAACATCCCTTGGCCACTAGATCTGGGAAGTTGACTCAATGTGTGTTTCACCAGATAAGAATATTAAGGTTTTTGCCTTGGGACTGGCTCAGGAAATCAAGCAAGATGGACCTGGGAAGTGTGCTTTGTGAAGTTGGGAGAAATCAGCTGATAGTCTTGTATGGCTGTCTGTTCTCTGCTTTATCCTCAGTGCACTTAGTATATGTCACATAGCTGATGCTCAATAAACATTTGGAAATGAGTGAATTAAATGTAAAGCAAAACCAGAGGATATATGATGGGTCTTACTAATGAGAGTAGAGTCGACTCTTTTCTCCTTCTTCCAGCTGAATTACTCAAAAACTGAATTGCTCAATAACTACTTCCCTTTGCTGTACATGAAAATGTCATGCTTCCAAGCCTGTCAATCCCCTAACCCACTAAAAAATCACTGTTTATTTCCTAGATGGTTAGCCTGGAAGATTTTGTAAAGCTTCATTTTGTCTCTTTTTTCTGTATTTTTAATTTTAAAATTACATAATAATATTGATTATGCTTTCCTCAATTTCATGTACACCCCTCCCAGATATTCCAATATGCCTCCTAGAAAAGCATGCCCTTCTGAGTGGAAATGATACCATTACTCTAATGATGCAATCCATGATCCAAGCATCATTTTTTTGACAGCTACATCATGTTAATCTTGCTTTCAGAAAAGTACTGTGTCATTTCATGTTATTATTAAACTTTCCCTGTATTCTGTACCTTTGCAATTCATTTATTAGATAAAAGAGGAAGATTTTATATCTATCACATTTCATCTGTTACTATTGGCCCATTTTTCTAGCTTATCAAGACCCTTTGGATTTGATGGTGTTACTCATTGCATTTGCTGTCCTTTCCAATAGAAATGTCATCCATAAAGTTGATATATCTATCCATAATACAAAAAGGGAGCAGGAATTTTTTTTGTTGTTTGTTTTCTTGAGATGGAGTCTCACTCTGTCACCCAGGCTGGAGTGCAGTGGCGTGGTGTTGGCTCACTGAAACCTCCACCTCCCTGAGTTCAAGCGATTCTCCTGCCTCAGCCTCCCAAGTAGCTGAATTTTTAAGGTGAGAGTATTTTCTTTATGTACCTCCATACTCTGTCCAGGAATAATTTCTCTGAAATTTGAGTATTAGAGTAAGATGAAGTAATATATTCCACAGCTTCTTTCATTCACTTGGTCTCATGTTCTTAATAACCCTTGATTTTGCATAATTAACATAAAGCAAATTTCCTTTGTAAAGGCTTCTGCTTTTCTAGAGGCAGTGAAAAACTTTATAAAAGCATTGGATGTTCTTATAAAAAGGAAGCTGATAACTACCTCACTAAGTTACATGTCTGGCAGCACTGGAGATAAGGATGTGCTATTGAACTTTCTACTTGTTGTTAAATGGCAAACTATATTGTTTATTTATAACTTAATATATTGTGTTAAGGAATAGGCAGTGGTGCTGCTTATGGAAACTTTGTACTCTTGAGAGTAAATATATAATATAGTTTGGATATTTATCCCCGCCCAAATCTCATGTTGAGTTGTAATACCCAATGTTGGAGGTGGGCCTGGTGGGAGGTGTTTAGATCATGAGGGTGGATCCCTCATGAATGGCTTGGGCCATCCCCTTGGTGATAAGTGAGCTCTCACTCTGAGTTCAAATGAGTTCTGGTTACTTAAAAGTGTTGGCACCTGCCCCCTACTCTCGCTGTCTTGCTCCTGCTTTCACCATGTGACATGCTCGTTTCCCCTTCACCTTCTTCCATGATTATAAGCTTCCCAAGGCCTCCCCAGAAGCCAAGCAGATATCAGCACCATGTTTCCTATAAAGCCTACAGAACTGTGAGCAGATTAAACCTCTTTTCCTTATAAATTACCCAGTCTCAGGTATTTATTTATAGCAATGCAAGAATGATCTAATACAGAAAATTGGTACCAGGAGTGGCGTTTTGTTATAAAGATACCTGAAAATGTGGAACTGACTTTGGAACAAAGTAATGGGTAGAGAAGTTGGAAGAGTTTGGAGGGCTCAGAAGACAGAAAGATGAGGGAAATTTGGAACTTCTTACAGACTGGTTAATAGTTGTGACTAAAAATCTGATAGTGATATGGATAATGAAGTCCAGGCTGCCAAGGTCTTGGATGGTAATGAGGAACTTAGTGGGAACTGGAGCAAAGGTGACACATATTATGCATTAGCAAAGAGCTTGGCTGCATTCTGTCCATGCCCTAGGGATCTGTGGAAGTTTGAACTAAAGAGTGGCAACCCGGGGTATCTGGTGGAAAAAATTTCTAAGCAGCGAAATGTTCAAGATTTGGCCTGGCTGCTTCTAAAAGCATATGCTCAGATGTGGGAGCAAAGAAATGACTTCAAGTTGGAACATATATTAAAAAGGAAAGTAGAGAGTAAAATTTTGGAAAATTTACAGCCATATGTAAATTTTGTGTACATGGAAAATTCTCTGCCATATGGCAGAGAAAGAAAAAGCTTTTTCAGGAGAGGGATTCAAGCAGACTGTGGAGCATCCTCTTGCTAGAGATAGTTGTATAACTAAAAGGGAGTCAAGTGCTAATATCCAAGATAACGGAGAAAAGGCCCCAAAGGCATTTCAGAAAACTTTGCTGAAACCCCTCCCATCACAGGCCCAGAGGCCTAGGAGGAAAGAATGATTTCATGGGCCAGGCCCAGGGCCCTGCTTCCCTGCACAGCCTCAAGACACTGCTCCCCACATCCTGGTCACTCCAGCTCCAGCTGTGTCTCAAAGGGGCCTAGGCACAGCTTGGGCTGCAATTTTGGAGAATGAGAGCTATAAGCCTTGGCAGCTTCCACATGGTTTTAAACCTACAGGCACACAGAGTACAACAGTGGTAGATTCTTGGCAGCCTCTACCTAGATTTCAGAGGCAGTATGGGAAAGCCTGGGTTTCCAGGAAGAAGCCTTCTGCAGGGGCAGAATCCTTGCAGACAACCTCTACTAGGGCAGTGTAGCAGGGAAATGTGGAGTTGGAGGCCCCACACTGAGTTCCCACTGGGGCACTGCTTAGTGGAGCTGTATGAAGAGGGCCACCATTTTACAAGAGAGTGGAGAATACTCAGAGAGATTAAATAACCAGGAGAGCACAGGGTCCTGGGGATAAATGGAGAAAAGGTTCAGCGTGGCCAGGAGAAACAGAAGTTTGAGGCAAATGGGAGGGAAATAGAGAATCAGAGGTTACAGCAAATTTCTCCGTAGTCAAGGCAAGGTCTTTGGAGAAGCTCAGATTGACTTAGGGGCATGGCAAAAGTTAAACATAGGTGAGACTTGGGCCTGGCTTTGGAGTAGGGGAAAAGCAGGTACATCGGTATGTTAGGGAGGTGAGCCATACTACTACTAATTGACATAGAAGCTAGCATTTACTGATTACTTAATATGTTCCAGGTATTGTTCTGAGTCTTTACACATGTACATAATTATTGCAACCCTGTGGGACAGGTAAAATAATCCCCTCATACAAATGAAGAAACTGAGCACCGAGAGATTAAGTAAGCACTTAACTAGTAAAGTTAAAATTCAAACTCAGGCAGCTTGTCTCCAGAATTGATTCTCTGGAAGATTCATATGTATATTAAATTCTTTTCCAAAATGTAAAAATTAAACTTGAAAATTTATGCCCCATAGTGAAAGACAGAGTTTTAATATGTCAAAAATTAATGCAGCATAATTGTGTACAATTCAATAATATTTATTATCCCTAATTGAACATTCACATGAAATTTATACTTCTATATTATCATTAACTTTTGTTGTTGTTGTCGTTTTTGAGACAGGGTCTCAGTCTGTTGCCCAAGCTGGAATAAAGTGGTTCACAGGGTTTCACTGCAGCCTTAACGTACTGGGCTCAAGTGATCCTCCTGCTTCAGCTTCCTGTGTAGCTGGTACCACAGGTCCATGCCACCATGCCCGGCTAATTTTTGTATTTTTGGTACAAATGAGGTCTCACTTTGGGTTGCCCAGGCTGGTCTCGAACTCCTAGGTTCAAGCAATCCTCCTGCCATGGCCTTCCAAAATGCTGGGATTACAGGTATGAGCCACTGTCCCTGGCTATTGTTATTAACTTTGAAAAATGTATGTCACATATGCCATAATCATTTCCAAGTCTTTCAAAGATATTTTTTTAAATTTCAGCTGAAAATATTAGAATGAAATGCACACTCAAGACTAAAGAAGGTATATTCTATGCTCAAGAAAATGTACAAATATTGATTTTTTTTTCTTTTTGTGATGGAGTCTTGCTCTGTCACCCAGGCTGGAGTGCAGTGGTGTGATCTTGGCTCACTGCAACCTCCGCCTCCCAGGTTCAAGCAATTCTCCTGGTTCATCCTCTCAAGTAGCTTGGATTACAGGTGCCTGCCACCACACCCAGCTGATTTTTGTATTTTTAGTAGAGACGGGGTTTCGCCATGTTGGCCAGGCTGGTCTCAAACTCCTGACCTCAGGTGATCCATCCACCTCAGCCTCCCAGAGTGGTGAGATTACAGGCATGAGCCACCATGCCCAACCTACAAATATTGATTCTATCCATGGTTTGGTGAAAACCATAAAAGTACAGCTTATTCTCCATGGCATTGGCAGGGGTCGTGTATAAAGATGACAAAGTCCTGTCTAGCATGCTGCAGAGGGAAAGTGCTGAGTGAACATGCTGAGTTACCCACTTAGCAGTCCCAAGTTAATTGCAATGTGGATGGATGCCATGCATAAGCAGCATGAAATTTTATGAAGACCTGATTTGAGGAAGCCACGAAGGGAGCTATGCTGGTATCCTAAAGTTGAAAAAAAAGTATCAAATTATATACTTCACATATTTGAAACTTTTTCTAGAAATGTTAACCTAGTAACAAAGTACCACATAAAGAAATTTTATAGAATTTACAGTGAACCTGCATATATTTCTTGAAGTAACCTTGCAAAGAATGAATGCAAATGCTTTACAAAGAAATATTTCTGGGCATGGGGAGTTAAGGGAAAATGGGGAAGGACTGCTAGTGGGTACAGGGTTTCTTTTGGGGAGTAATGAAAGTGTCCCAAAATTGGCTGTGCTGATAATGGCCACACAACTCTGTGAATCTACTAAAGACCACTGAATTGTATACTTTAAGGAGGTGAATTGCATGGTATGTAAATTGTATGTATGGAAATGTATGGTATGTAAATTATACCTCAATAAAACTGTTATCGAAAAATTTGAACTTCTTATTCAAGTTCTTACTGCAAATTTAATTTTTCTTAAAGAAACATATGTAAGTGAAATGATCACACTAAGTAAAATATGCTATTTTCATCCTCAATGTTTATAGCTTCCTCTTGGGATTTATTTTCATATACTTCTGTGGAACAGTGTGTGTTTGTCTGTGTGTTGAGGGGAATAGATGGGTCCCCGTTTTCTCTCACTTTCTGTTCATTCATTTGGCAAATATTGATCAAGTCACTGCCACACTGCAGGTATTGTTTTTAGTACTAGGGATATTAAAAAATGAGCAAAACAGGCAAAAAGCCCTGCTCTCATGATGCCCACATTACTGGGTTTTCCTGCCTCAGCCCCACCCCAAGTCATCAAAACACAGACTTATTTCCAAGATACTCACTAATTCAAGTGAGTATAGATTTTTTTCTGTAAGAGATATATCAAGGTATATGCAATATTTTTATTCCTATGCATGTCTACTTTTTACCTCCACTTTAATCTGCTTCCAAATTTCAACAACTTCTTTTATATTGACAAACTAGTATGGACAGTCAACAGAAGTTTTAGAATCTCCTTTGATTCTCCTTG
Source organism: Homo sapiens (assembly GCF_000001405.40). Taxonomy (NCBI): domain Eukaryota; kingdom Metazoa; phylum Chordata; class Mammalia; order Primates; family Hominidae; genus Homo; species Homo sapiens. The sequence goes on from NC_000010.11 coordinate 45,233,136, forward strand.
TTTTTCCCATTATTCTTTCATTTGCTTGATGTTCATATTCTGTAGTTGCAAGGGATAGAGGATTTCCCTGTGAACAATGGTATTTACCATAACACAAAATATCTCCCAAATCAGGGGATGGTTTGTATTTATATTAGCAAAATAAGGAGCCACCTCTGTATGTAAATTGTATGTATATAAATGTAAGTTTACATTTTACATACATATTTACATGCATATTTACATACATACAAAAGTTGAATTGTATACTTAAGGAGTATATATAAAAAAGTATATGACTTTTGTATGTGAATATGCATGTAAATATGTATGTATGTAAAATGTAAAAGTTGTATGTATGTAAATATTAGCAAAATATTACAACTTACAAAAAGTTACATACTTACAAAAAGTTGTAAGTATGTAAATATTAGCAAAATAAGAGCTACCTCTCTATGTAAATTGACTATTTTATACTTATGTTTTACTTTTTTAAATTTATGTTTAACATTTATAAAGTGTTAAATCAGTGGTACCTTTAAGGAAAAAAACAATTACACATGAAATTATATCTACATTTATAAAAGAAAATGTAAAACTGGGAAAATACTGTAAACACCAACAGTTTAAAAATTGATGTATCTCGCTATATATTACAGCTTAACGCGGCACTGGATTAAATGGCAATCACTTCTCTCAGTGACTCAGTTTTCTTTTATCTGCAAAGTCCAGGATATACTTGTTCTTTCCACCTTACGGGATTGTCACTGTGGGGATCAAATGGGGTTATATGTTTGCAAGCCACTGAAAACCATGCCCACAAAAAAAAAAAAACCTGTCAATATAAAGTCATGATATTGTTAAAATTGTCTCTTTTCCTCCCTTTTGAAATGTTTGTAAATTTCAATTCAATGTCTAAGAGCTGGTTAGCTTCTAAATCTGATGTGTGGCACATTTACTGGGGTCTCTGTCTGTGGGCCTTCTGTGCAACCCCGTAATACAGTATCTGCTGGTCCTGCGATCACCATTTCTCACCAAGTAATGTAACTCCGTGTATAAAGATATCACTAACAAAAAGTTTATTAAGTGTTGTCTGTAGTTGCAAAAAGTTCAAGAGACCTAAATGTCCACTTAGAGGGGCTTCGTTAAATAAATTAGGCTGCACTTATGCAATGGAATACTCTCCAAAAACTAAATACGATGCACCAGTGTTTTTATTAAGATAAGATATTAATGATGTATTGGTAAGTGGAAAAAACACAACATCAAACAGTAAAAAATATGCATGTAAAATATATGCAAAGATATTCAAAGAAAGGTGTTAAGAATATATGAGAATGCTAGGGTGTTAGAAAAATTAGTCTATTTTCTGATACTTCTGAAAATAGCATTTATCAATTTTATAAATAATATATTTTAAAAAACCATCTAGATTTCCAGCTGATATAATTCTCTGTCTAGTTTGATTACAAAGCCTAAGTGATTAAAGAGCAGAAAAATTAGAAACAGATACCCACTTGCCAGCAGCCACTTTTCCCTTACTTACTCTCTTGTTTTTTGAGACAGAGTCTGGCTCTGTCGCCCAGGCTGGAGTGCAGTGGCGCAATCTCGGGTCACTGCAACCTCCACCTTCTGGGCTCAAGCGATTCTCCTGCCTCAGCCTACTGAGTAGCTGGGATTATAGGCGTGTGCCACTATGCTGGCTAATTTTTGTATTTTTAGTAGAGATGGGGTTTCCCTATGTTGGCCAGGCTGATCTTAAACTCCTGACCTCAAGTGATCCAACTGCCTGGGCCTCCCAAAGTGTTGGGATTACAGGTGTGAGCCCATACTCTCTTTAAGTATCTACTTGCACATAAAATGAGAGGACCGTAAGCACAGATGCCTGCAATATTGAATCAACATCAGATTCTGAGTTGTTGTTTGTAAAGCCCTGATATGAGCTTTACAAAAACAAACTATCAGTCACCATTTCTTCAAAGAATTCCTGCAATTTTCAGCAAGAAGTAGATAAAATAGAGCCAGGTGTCCAAATGTTCTATAGTTTTATTTATGCAGAAATAAACATGGGTATTCAACCCTAGGCGGTGCACTGACGTCACAGAGGGAGCTTTTAAAAAACAGCATGCTGTGGCTCCTCCCCGGGAAATCCTGATTCAATAGGTTTCAGTGGGAACTGGAAGTCTAATGTAAGTAACTCCACAGGTGATTCTGAAGCAGAGCTGATTTTGGTAACTATTAATAGTAATTTAATGCAATGCCCACCAGATGGCACTCATGCTCCGAGAATAGAAAGGCAAGTCGGAAAACTGCTCAATTTGTTAAAGGCTGTGCTTTGTACTCTGCATGTGTCTGCCTTTAAAAGCCTACACCAGGCCGGGCGCAGTGGCTCACGCCTGTAATCCCAGCACTTTGGGAAGCCAAGGTGGGCGGATCACCTGAGGTCAGGAGTTCAAGACCAGCCTGGGCAACATGGCGAAATCCCGTCTCTACTAAAAGTACAAAAATTAGCCGGGCGTGGTGGCAGGCCCCTGTAATCCCAGCTACTCACGAGGCTGAGGCAGGAGAATTGCTTGAACCTGGGAGGCGGAGGTTGCAGTGAGCTGAGGTTGTGCCCCTGCACTCCAGCCTGGGTGACAAGAGCGAGACTCTGTCTCAAAAAAAAAAAAAAAAGTCTACATTAAGTGACTCATTGTCTAAACATAACAAATGGGAATATAAAATGTTTGTTCTACTCACGCCTCTGCAGTATGGTCCATAGGATGGAGAGCTGACGTTGGGCCCATCGTAGAGTGTGAGATAGTTCTGGACACAGTCTCCTGGATCGTCAATGCTGATGAAGTAAAAGTTGACAGTGAGAAGCCTTCCAGCAGGAGCTACCAGTGCCCACTCGCAGTTCGTGTTGTTTGGATAGGTGCCTGGATAGCCAGGGCTGGTGAATGAGCCTCTGTCTCCATAAAGAGTTCCACCACATCCTGCAAGGAAAACAGGACAGGAAGTTTGATTCAACAATGTATAAGCCATCCAGTCTGGCTTGTTAGGCAATAAGACTTCATTTTCTTAAGGTGCTGAGACTCTGCAAGAATAATAGAGGCAGAAACCGCTTTTCCTGTTCCTCTTCTTTGGGCTACACCCTTTCTCCTCACTTCCCCTCTCTTCCCATCGCCACCACCACCTCTTCCATCCTCAACACACATGCCTTTGCCTGCATATCACGATCCAAGGACAACTTCCTCCAGGACTGTACTTTGAAAATCGGGGGTTGACAGCAGAATGGAAAACAATCAAACAAACAAAAACAAAACAAAACAAACAAACAAAAACTTAATAAAGTAACTGTGGGAGAAAATCAAGTTGTTGCCTCTGTGCTTTCGATGGTGCGGAGATCTTTGCTTACCCTGAGTTGATGCCAATGATGTGAGTGAAGTAAAATTAGAAGGAAAATTCAGCACTAAACCAAGAGGAAGTGTGTGATTGTAGGTGGTGGCAGGAATGACTTCATTATAAAAGTAACTTTACCACCCTAATAACTGACATACTTAAGGTCGAATACTTCAAGTTTTGGTGTTAATTTGTTCAATTTGTTAATCTGTATATGAAGGCTGTCATGATTTAGACTACATATAGACTACATATCTGTGGAGATCCAGATCGCCTCCAGGACAGGAAGAAGCTGGCTGTCATAGTTACGGAGCACCTGGCTGGGCCTTTGACCACCGAGGTCTAGTCCCATCTCCACCTCAGTCTAGCAGAGCATTTTGGGCAACTCATTAATCTTGGTGGGTTTTTTTGAGATAGAATCTTGCTCTGTCACGCAGGCTGGAGTGCTGTGGTGTGATCTCAGGTCACTACGGCCTCCATCTCCCAGGTTCAAGTGATTCTCCAGTCTCAGCCTCCCAAGTAGCTGGGATTATAGGCATGCACTACCATGTCCAGTTAATTTTTGTATTTTTAGTGGAGACAGGGTTTCACCATGTGGTCTAGGCTGGTGTGGAACTCCTGACTTCAGGTGATCCAGCTGCCTTGGCCTCCCAGGGATTATAGGCGTGAGACACCACACCCAGCCTAATCTTGGTGTTTTATTTCCTCGTCGATAAAATTTGAGCATTGGAAGTCATCTTTGTCTTCCTTTGGGTGCCAAAATTCCATTACCCACGATTATCTTAATAGAACCATTTTCTTAAGGTATTTAAAGTGATTTCTGTTTATCTTTTTTTATTTGGAATGTATGTTGGTATTTGAGGACATTTCATAAAGGTATTTCTCCTCTCTTGCATTAAATGTATTGACATGACTTAAATTTTCTTTAGCTGTTTGAAAAGTGGCCAACCAAAAATATGAGAGGATACTTACTACCCTAAAAAAGCAATTTCTCTCCAGGACTGCCAACAAATGTCAGGGCCTGTGAGAAGCACAACCATTCATATATATGCCAGAATGTGTTCATAAGTTGGATTTTTGGTAAATATTTTTCCTTAAATTGTCAATGAACTTCCTTGATGGTCAAACCAACAGTCAAAAAGTCTAACAAAATTGAATTTACAAAGGAATTTTTAAATCTTCATACCTTATATGTGCTTCATATATGAATATATATTATTTTATAAACAGAAATAATGAATAAATGTAGAATTTAAAGTAATCTGGCCAGGTGCAGTGGCTCATGCCTGTAATCCCAGCACTTTGGGAGGCCGACACGGGTAGATCACCTGAGGTCAGGAGCTCAAGACCAGCCTGGCCAACATGGCAGAACCCCGTCTCTACTAAAAATACAAAATTAGCTGGGCATGGTGGCATGCAACTGTAATCTCAGCTACTAGGGAGGCTGAGGTGGGAGAATCACTTGAACCCAGGAGGCAGAGGTTGCAGTGAGCTGAGATCGTGCCACTGCACTCCAGCCTGGGCGACAGAGCAAGACTCCATCTCAACAACAACAACAACAAAATAATTTGTACCTTCATTGTTAAAAATCTCTATTCTTAACATGAATTAATCAGTTACACAGGTAGCTAAAAAATATAAGGTTACTTTGCCTTTTTCTATTAGACACCTTATGTTTTACTCACCTACACTGCTTTCCCGTACAAAGTACAAATGTCTTACCAGAGGGTGATGAGGTCCAGATGATTTCATATCCACGATCCGAAATTACACTATTACTCTTAAATCATAGGTATAGTTCATTATTTTGAGAGAAGACAGGGTTTGGCAGCAGAGTACTTGCCAAGTAATGGTGAATTGCTGTTACTTCCATTTCTCACCTTTAGGAAGGAGTCATTCATTATTAAACTTACACTTTCTTCTCCAATGTATATACATTACACTGTGAGACAATTTGAATGATGACACTTTTTGGAAAAGCTTTGTCTTTTTATATACATAAGAATGAAGGGTTTTCTGAAAATACATGCAGAAGTCATCTTCACTTGCAAAGGGGAAAAATGTTCCATGTGTAGATCAAAAAACATTTGTATTTGGATTCAGAAATATCTGTTAACCTGTAGCAATTAAAACATCAGGCTGCTTTTTTATATAATAGTTTTTGCTATGATCCTGCAGCCTTTGCTTTTGGGGAAACATTTGGAAGAATGTAGGTAAAGTGAATTTTTAAAGGGTGGGGATGGGTGGGGGCAATGTTGCCTGCCCTGTTTCCAGTCAACTATTATACATTTTTCATAGTGTGTGTGTGTGTGTGTATGAGTGCGCGCGCACACGGGTTTCCCATTGAAAATTACTTGGCTGTAAAGGGGCTACGAAGAAAATACAATGCAAAGTATAATAAAGTTCAGAACAAAAGGAATTTCTGTATGGGTGAAGGACAGAATTATAAATCTATACAACTTCTGACTGTTGTTAAACGTGTTTTAAAAACACATTCCGAGGCCTTGTTGCTTTTTTGTTTCAACTCCTCATTTTTGAATAGACACATATAAAAACAGGAAATGAGTTGGTGTTTTGAGGGAAGAGAGAACCACACTGTGAATTCAACCATTTTCTGTCCCCCAGCCTGGCTCCTACCCTGCATTCACAACTAGACCTGCTTCCAGGAGGGCTCTCGACGCTTCTAAAGGAAACGTTACACAGGCAATGTATGTTGGAACCAGCCTGACATGTAGAAATGCTGATTTTACTGATCCATGTATTCAAAACACTGGAAGTTCCTCTCTTCCCTTTGTAATTCCATGATTTAAAATTTGGTTAATTGCTGGTATCTTAAGTCACAGAGTTAAGACAGTCTAATCTTGCTGGGCTGTGTTGATCAGGTGAGATTCCTTTTAGGTCTATGTAGTAGCCCATGGGAGAGACTAATGCCTTTCTAGTGCTTCAGGGATTATTCTGCTAAGTGTTTAAATAAAGTAGACTTGCCATGACAGAGTAGCCAGTTATCCACTAGTAGATAGGAGGGCTGCCATATTTAAGACCTTCCAGCACCATACCCTTGAGTTTGGGTGTTTTCACCCAGGGGTCCTCTTTTAAAATGGCGTTGCTCTGAGAGGAGCAGTGAGATACTAATTTTCACGGACACTGCCAACAACTTGTCTTATTCACTTTCGTCTCCTAGGAGGAATGGGGCCACCGAGAGCAGCGGGCATCCCTGCGACATCAGAGGATCCTGGAAGGGGAGGTGAAGGCATGAAAACAATCGCAGATTCCAGGCATGGTCTAGAGCTCGGCCCTCACTTGGTAGTAACACAGAATCCTCAGTCAGACATTTCTGTTCCTACGGCAGTTCACAAGAATGGAATGCTGAGGCTTCCTGGTCCAGCTGCCAATAAACTATGCCCACAGTCTTCCCACCGAGAGCCAGACGGAGCTACATTTTACAGGCCTAAGCTGTGGTTTCCTTTCTTTGCTTATGGGACAGGAAGTTTCAGATCCATTCTACGGAGTAATGAAGGACAGCGAGGAGGAAGAGTTCTTACTGTCCATGGCTGGAAAGCAAGGCTTTGCTTCCCAGCATCTATCAGGCAAATGGCAAATGTTGACTCTGATCAATAATGGTCCATTCAAGCTGGAGTGAGTTAAGAGTTAGTTGCACTGTGACTCCAACCTAACGGGATTATTCCATCTTTCATCCAGATCCCACTCTCCTCATTCTTTCTGCTTTACACTTCATATAAATATATGGATCTCCGTGGTGGGGGAGGTACGTAGGTCCAAGTTGAGTAACCTGACCGGCACAAAGAATACTGTATTTGTCTCTTCGTTTCCTCCCTGCTACATACATCTTTTGGTTTCCTGTCATGGGAATATTCCTTTAGAAAAGGCATGAGCTTCCTCTGAGTGTTATTTATGAAACTACATGTTAAGGCTATTGATTAATAAAGGATTTAGATGAATTCCAAAGGGGAGAGCTTTCCAGGATGATAAAACTGCATCAAGAATCATGTTGAAGCTAAACCCATAGGCAAAGACCATGTGCCAGAACACCCTTCCTCACCAGGCCGGGCAGAAGGTGACAGCAGCCCTAGAAGCCAAATCAGATGAGGTGGGTTGCAGGTGAGAAAAGATGTTTTGTTGGGAACAAAGGCTGCAGCTACCAAGAAACTAGCAGCTGAACAGAAGCCCACTGGAAAGAATCCTCCCACAGAAGGAAAGAAGCCTGCTGCATACACCAGTACATTTGTTTATGCTACAAAGATCAAATCATCTTGGGAAGCTTATTTTGAATGAAGACCTGATCAAAGAGGCAGTGAGAAAAAAAAATAAAACAAAAAATACGACTCCAGATCAGGTGTAGAGGAACAAGCAAACTTTTTGGAAACCTTACTGAAGCCTCTTGTATGGTGAAACAAAGCCAGTTTAGAGAGCATCGGGATGAGGTTTAGATTTAAATTCCACTCTCAGAGGAATTCAGCATCCTTATCCTTTTGAGTCTCAGGTTCCACCTGAGTTTATTTCCTAAGGATGAATGCATTTTCAACAGAGCTTGCAAAGGTCACAACCGCATGAGCTCTGGGGGGTTTTCTGGCAAAACACAGGTGCTGAGTTCCACACACTGGGTCCGCATCAGATGAGTCTTATTCAGACCGTTTCCTGCCTATGAGCAATGATATTCATGTTCCATCTCACATGCTCAATGCAGGTGATGTGGCAGAAAGAGCACAGAGGGAGCTCACCAGGGGCTCTGGAAGACCCCAAAGGTTCAGGCCCACAAGGGGCATGGCTCTGCCTGCTCCAGGTGCAAGGGGGGCTTCTCTCTCAGTGTGTCCTGGGGTGGGAGTTGGGGGTGAATGGGTGGAGAATGGGCAAACAGCAAAGTCACTTCTGTGTCCAAATGAGAGCTCTGGAGTTGTGGTGGAAAAAGGACAGACCACACTTCCTGCAACAAGGGAGCACTTTTTCAAGGCAACACTTGTCTTTAGAGGATGTTGACGATGCCCCAAACTTACTGTAGCTGTCAGGGAAATTAGGTGAGCTATTTAGTATCATTCAGTTTCATTTTACAGAATCAGCTTGTTGTTCTTAGACTTTCCTCTGATCCTTTTAGGTCTCAACTTACATATTGCCCTCTTAAAGAAGCTTTCTAGTTCCCAGACTGAGTTAGGAACCCCTACCCCTGCTGGACTCAGTTAGTCCTTTCCACATTGTGCTGTAATTGGCTATACCCCATCTGTCCTTTCCACCAGACTAGGAGTCTTCCGAGGGCCCTGAGGTTCCCAATTTCCGGTGTTTGGACTGGTGCTCTGTAAATGTTTAGGGAATGAAAGGGTAATGAATAAATTAATGAAACAAGTAAGAATCATAGAGCATTAGAAGCACTAAAGAAAAGGTGTAAAATCCATCATCATTTAAATGATATTCAAATGCATATTACCTCCAAGAAATCGTTTCTGCATTCAATTGAGTTCTCAATGCCAAACAAATGAAAAAAGAGGGTGTGGTTGTGGGGGGCTGTGAGAGTAATGGTGCAATCCATGTCACTGTCGTAGTTATCTGGCCATCCAGTACTCCTCAGGTTGCCAAATGCCTTGTGATAGTCTCTGTTGCAATCTTAGGAGAAAAATATGCATAATTAATGTATGCATTCCAGCGTTCAGTGCTCTTTCAACTTCGCAGGAATAATTCAAAAAGATCATTATATGTGAACAAACTTTAGAAAAAGGTAATCCAGCTTCTTCGTTTACCTTTGAGATAATTGAGACCCTGAGCAGTGAAGTGAATTTCAAGCAGCACACACACATGCAATGCAGCAGCTCATTCACACAAACACCCCTACAGGAAGCATGACACAGGAGCCTTCTCCTTTAAAGACGAATACTCGAGGATCCTTTGAACTTTTCTGATCACATTGAGGTGAAGTGGCTAGCATTCAGACTCTCTTTTAGACAAGGACACTACCTCCAAGACAGAGTTTTGCGCAAGGATTTTAAATCCATTTGTGAGTTATTTGTGGGAAATCGTTCTTTACCTTTTTTTTTGTAAAAAAAATCTAAAGTACTTTTGTTTGTTTAACCAAAGGCAGCTTTCATTTGAATCAATTCAAAATAAATATCAAATAAAGTGTTCTGTGAAAATAAACTTCTCAGTGATAGTAATCAGGTAACTCTTTTAAGGCTTTTTGATTTTTACAAAAATAATTTTCTAAGATTTTCAACCTTGTGAAAATACTAAAAACCTCTGAAATATAAACATTAAATGGGTAAATTGTATGACATGAGGATTATATTTTGATAAAGCTCTTGTAAATATATATATATTTCTCATAAATAAATATGTATATTCAGTGTGGTTAAGTGCGTAAATTAACAAAATAACTGGTATATTTTTAAAATCAACTACATAGACGTTGAAGAAAATGCTAGCATTCTAAGCATCTTGGTTAGTATTGTATTCTCTTTACCTCTTTAGAAACCAACTTTAGTAATTTGCTAAATTGGGCCTGGGTTCTAGTTAAGAGATGGGTGTGGTTTTTGTTAACAAATCTTAATTTACTAACGGGAGTCAATTCTAGAAATAATTGTAATTATTCTAGGAATAATTGTAATGATGGCAGCTTTTCTTAATAAAAGATGAAGTTCTGGGGCTCACCTGCTATCTGATAGGTGAAATTCATTCTAGAATTTCTGTTTAAAACTCCAGATTTGAAAATGACAATTGCAGTACTCATAGAAGAATAAAACACCGGCATAGCCAAAGCATTTCTGCCACAGAACTGAATTCTTGAATTTCCATGACTCTGAAATGAAATGGAAGCCAAGTCATGTTAGATTTATTTTAGAAGAGAACAGCATAACAGAAATTAAACTGCCTATAAAAGTATGGCTTAAATATTTAACCATGGAAACTAGCTCTGTTGTTGGAAGTGCTCTGCAAGAAGACTCACTTTGGCCTTGGAACTGATACAAGTCGCACCTTCCCAGAGGGGAGGGAGGAGGGGAGGCAAAGTTTCTGCTGAAACCACAGACACTTCCCTGCTGAAAACAAGACCCCTCCCCTCTGATGTGACTTCCTAGTCGAGGCCTGTGCCATTGCTCTGAGCACCACTGGGCTGTTTGAGAGTTCACTGGATTTCTCCTCCTGGGGCTTTTGCCAGTCCTGAGCTCCATGAGACTAACAACCATCATTGCCCTGATCCAGCCCTTGCTACCCCTTAGCAAATCTAATCAGAGCCTTTGGTTCCACTGTACATCCCCAAGCCAGCCAGGGCCTGTAATGAGGTGCTGGTTCCCCTTTGTAACACTTGGGCAGCCCTCATTACCTCTCAAAAGCCTGGAGTAAATGCAGTTGAATGCCCATCAGTTCTTGCATAAAAACAAGTTGTACCAAAGTCAGGGTATTTGCAGCCTCCCTGTCACAAGTATGTCTCTAATATCTGCAGTCCTTAGGAACCTACTGAAAGACCCAACCCACCTCTGCTTGCAAACTCCTCTTACTGCTCAGGACTTCCACTCCTCCTCCCAACCGTCTCCTGCTCTTGGTCCTTGTCTAACTTTGCTGTATCCTGTGAACTTTAACTGCACGGTCAATCATTCTCTATATACATCCCCCGCCTTTCCACTTTGTAGCCTTAGCAAAACCTGTTTCTCCACCAGCCTCCTGGTAGAGGCCACTCTTTTCCCATGCTCCACAGTTTATTGAGTAGGAAGGGTGGGGGGTCAGCCTAGGAGGAAGGGAGGGATGCTCCACGTTCCTCACTGCAGCTTCCATCCTTGCCTCAAAGCTGGTTCACCTTTGAGGGTCTCTACGTCTGGTCAAATATATTCTCACCATTGTCATCACTCTCACTTACTTTTCTCCTGGTTACTTCCCAGCATTTATGAAAGACTTGAGGTGTCTCAGCTCATAGTAATCTCCTGCCCCCAATTTCCTTTCTGAACCCTTAGAGGTTTCAGTGTTTATACAGACAAGCCATTAAACACCCTCACTTTATATTTCTTAACACCAGTGACTTCCATCTCTGTGTCTCCGTTCATTCCCAATGCCAGGTAGCTACTGTACATCCTCTATAACAGCCCTACACATCATTCCTTCATGATCTTCCAATTAGACCTTCTCTGTCTATTCTTGGATACCCTGAGAATCCCAGTTTCTCCCAGCTCATCCGTCAATGTTTGTCTTTCCTCCCTACCTACCCAGTCTGAAACCCTTGATTGTTTCCTGTATTCATTCAGTTGAAAACATTATTCAGTCATGACAAACACTGGGTCTTACTCACAGCCACTCCAGCTGCTATTATGTTCCAGCTGGTGCCTAGTGTTCTGTAAGTGGCACGCTGAGTGGTCCACCATGATCCTCATTGTCTTAGCTTCATGAAGCAGGGGGAAAAGGCTTCACCCAAAGGACCTTGTTCCACTTGGCTCTAAGTCCTTCCAGTAAGGGTACCACTGGGTAATAGGGATTTTGTCCTGAAAACCATTACCAACAGAATGATGATAGTCTAGCATCTTGTCCATCTTGAGAGCTTGGGAGCTCATCTCAGCATCTAAGCTTTGCACAAAACTGAGCAAGTCCAGGGCCTATTCAGCTGCCAGCACCTCTCACACCTCTCCACATTGGAGTCAGACAAACGGGACTTTTCTCTCCCCAGCAAGACCAGGTGAGAAGCAGGGGACCCCAGATTTATAATGAAGAGGACCCTGAAAACTCAGAAGACAACAAATGGGACTCTACTATTCCAGCACATGGGGCTTGAACATGACATTCTTGGAATGAACTGGGGAGGGTTAGTTGCTCCCCCGACTGCAGAAAGAGAATCCAGGTATTCTCAAATGTTCTCCCTGGTATCCATCCTCAGTTCACGGCCTCTCCCTTTACATATTTTTCCCTGGATAATCTTATTCTTCTCATTATTTCAATTACTTATCATGATAATGATGATGCACAAAAATCTCTGGGCCTTAGGTCAACATCCCACTTTGTGTCCAACTGTCTCCTCAACATCTTATTCCAGAGGAAATTCAGACTCAGCATTTTGTAAAGCTCAAAATGGCTTTCTTTCTTTCTTTCTTTTTTTTTTTTTGAGATGGAGTCTGGCTCTGTCACCCAGGCTGGAGTGCAGTGGCGCGATTGGGTTCATGCCATTCTCCTGCCTCAGCCTCCCGAGTAGCTGGGACTACAGGCGCCTGCCACCGTGCCCGGCTAATTTTTTTTTTGTATTTTTAGTAGAGACGGGGTTTCATCGCGTTAGCCAGGATGGTCTCAATCTCTTGACCTTATGATCCACCTGCCTCGGCCTCCCAAAGTGCTGGGATTACAGGTGTGAGCCACCGTGCCCAGCCTCTTTGTTTTTGTTTTTGTTGTTGTTGTTGTTGTTGTTGAGACAAAGTCTTGCTCTGTCGCCCAGTCTGGAGTGCAGTGGCGCAATCTTGGCTCACTGCAACGTCTGCATCCCAGGTTCAAGCGATTCTCCTGCCTCAGCCTCCCGAGTAGCTGGGGTTATAGGCACACACCACTGAACCCGGCTAATTTTTTGTATTTTTAGTGGAGATAGGGTTTCGCCACATTGGCCAGGCTGGTCTTGAACTCCTGACCTCAGGTCACCTGCCTCAGCCTCCCAAAGTGCTAGGATTACAGGCATGAGCCACTGCGCCCGGCCCTTTTCTTTTTATCTCTCTTATATTACCATGAATATAGACCTCTGAAACTGGTGCCAAACAGCCTCTTCACTGATTCTCTTGTGTTCTGTATTGACCCTTTCAATTCAGCCTATACATAAATCCTACTAACTATACATATTTCTCCAAGCATGGTCCATGGAGCTCTGGTATTGGCACCAAAACACCAGAGATGTTTGTCAAAAAGTCAGATAAATGGGTGTTATAACTCAGTCTCTGAGGGTGGGCCAGGGAGGATGCACTTTTAAGATGCTTCTTAATGCATTCTTAGGCACACAAAGCTTTGAGAGCTCTGGACCTACAGGACCAAGTTCAAGTTTCTCGACACACCTGATTGGAGGGCTTTGTGTACAGATGAATAACACATTAAGCTGGAAGTAACTTAGAAAATTATTTAATCATGGCCTCATTATTTCAAGTGTTTTGCAAAAGCTAGTGAAAAGATGCGACTGTCATTCATCCTATAATTGTTACCTGTGGTGAGTCCTGAAGCTGTAAGTAATTCTGCATGCAGTCTTATGAGCTCAGCTGTTAACACCCACACAGTTATCTTGACCTGCTGATGTGGAGGGGTGTCAATGACCCAAGTACAGATGGAAAATGGGACATCTGGGTCTGATGAATTGGGTGATGAAATATTTTGTGGGGTCCAAGTTGCATTGTATGTTCCACCACAAGGCACTGGGAAGAAAAAGCAACACAGGAGACAATTTATTCATGTCTCATCTCAGGCAATCTTTAAAATTCTGTCTTCCTCATCTCCCACCCCAGAGGAGCTATATTTTCATCATTCCATTAAGAATTGGGGGTTTATATCCTTGACTAAAAATTGTATCAAATTTTGTACCACAGATTAAACATAGAGTAATTAACATGGTGTTTAGTAATTGACATTGAGTTTAGATAGTAATTGACATTGAGTTTAGTAATTAACATTGAAATTTCAATATAATAAGCAGGGCATTCTTTTCAGTGCCTAAATACATGTGTATTTCATAACATATAAAAATGCTTCTATCTACTCACTGTCCATGATGGTGTATGTAGCATTAAATCCTTCCCTTTCTAATGTTAAGTCACTGATGAATTGAACCATAAGGAAGTTACCAGAAGAGATAAAAGGAGCAGGTACAGTGGAACCACAAAACGTTCCAGCCAAGTTGGCACTTTCACTAACCCCATGGTATAACTGAAAAGAAAAACAATTCATTACTTCTCCATTATTTACAAAAAAGTTGCATCTTTCACACTAAATTGGATGTGAAGTCACAATAGGTCATGATTAAACATTTTTACATGGATGTTCTTAGAGGTGGTCTTAATTTAGGAACAGAATTATAATTGGATTGATGATATTATGACTTTCAGTAAAAACCTGGTATGATGCCTAACATTTTTTTCCTCTTTGGGAAAGTAACCTATGATTTTAAAAAGAATGTGTCATGAGAGTCTGCTCACCCACTGCTACCTTAACCACTGCACCCACTAACACTCTGGCCCTAGTTGCTCTGATCTCTTGCCTTGATGATCACTGGAGACTCCCACAAAGCCCCTGATTCTGCTCTTGTTCCTCTTAGTCTATTCTCAAAATGTCATCGAGAGGATACTGTTAAAATGTAAGTCAGACCAGGTCATCGCTCTGCTGAAACCCTCCTAACTGCCCATCCACTCAATAGAACAAGCAAAGCCATCACAATGGCCTTCTCTCCTCCTCTCCCACCCCTGACCTTTCTGATCTCATTTCTTATTGTCTCCACTTTGTTCATTTTGCTTCTTGAGCCAAACCAGTCATGCTCCTGCTTCTTGGGTATGGCATTTGCTGTTCCCTTTGCCTGGAATGCTCTTCCCTGTATATCCACATCGTTTGTCTTCCTACATTTCTTCAGGTCTTTACTCAGACATCCCCAAATTGGCTGGCGTGATGGTACATGCCTGTAATCCCAGCTACTCAGGAGACTGAGGCAGGATAATCGCTTGAATCTAGGAGGTGGAGGTTACAGTGAGCTGAGATCGTTTCACTGCACTCCAGCCTGAGTGATGGAGCAAGACTGTCTCCAAAAAAAAAAAAAAAAGATAGCCCCAACTCAATACGGCCTTCCTTGTGTAAACTCTCCCAACATTCCCATCTCCTTTCCTGCTTGACTTTTCTCCACAGCAAGTATTACCTTCTTCTACATACTACATATTTAACTTTTTTTTTTTTTGGAGACAAGGTCTCACTCTGTTGTCCAGGCTGGAGTGCAGGGCTACAATCATAGTTCACTGCAGCCTTGAACTTCTGGGCTCAAGTGATCCTCCCACCTCAGCCTCCTAAGTACTGGGACTACAGGTGCATGCCACTATGCATAGCTAATAAAAAAAATTTTAGAGATGTGGTCTTGTTATGTTGCCCAGGCTAACTTGTTTATTTCATTGTCTTTCCCGCTGAAGAGAATACAAGTTCCATGAATGCACAGATTTCTGTTCTGCTCACTGCCATGTTCCCAGTTTTTAGGTGTCTGCACATGAGAGGCACTCAATAAATATCTAATAAATAAATAAACAAGTGCTTTGATTCCTCTCTTCCACAAGCCCTCCCAAAACTGTTCTCCCTGAGACTTCTTTACCTCAGTGTTTCAAGCCTACAACTTCAGTCATCTCTGATTCCTCTCTCTTCACTCCACATCCACTCCATTCTACCTTCAAAACATATCTCAGAGGGCTCCATCTCCAGGTGACCACCATTGTTCTTCACCTGTTCCCACTGAAACATCTTCTTAATAGAACTAATTCCGGAGCAGCCATAGTGTTCTCCACTGAATTGCCTGCATGTCTGCAAACTCCAATGAGATGCTGCTCCTGCTCTGACTAAAATGCTCCGGCAGATCCCTGTTGCACCTAAAGTAAAATTCCAGCTCCTTCTCACGGTCTGCAAGCCCCAGCTGCTCTGGCCTGTGCCTCCTTCCCAGGCCGCCCGCACCTCACTGCTGGTTGCACTTCCTTCATCCCAGGAGGACTCCTGCCCATGGCCCTGCTCCTGCAGCTCTTCCTGCCAGGAGACTTCTTTCCTCAGCTGAAGCTGAACCCGCACAGCTAAGGACTCCCTGTCATGGGCCCTCACCTCACATGTCACCTCCTCAGAGAAGCCCGTGCTATCGAATGTTGCCCTCCCCCAGCATCATCCTGTTTTATTTTCCTATTATAATCAAAACCGATCTTATTTATTGTTTATTTGCTTTGTCCGGTCTCTTTCCCAACAAGGATGTAAGTCCCACGGGTGGGGAGACGGAGACTCTGTCTGACTTCTTCACTGTGGTGTCGCCAGCACCCAGAACAATTCGCAGCCATGGCAGCCTTCTAGAAACATCCTTTGAAATAGTGGGTGCTTGGATTTCTCTCAAACACATAACTAGAAAACATTTGTTTTCTTCTGAGTAATCTTCATTATATTTCTTTTTCTTTTTCTTTTTTTTTTTTTTTTGAAACGGAGTCTCCCTCTTTCTCCAGGCCGGACTGCAGTGGCGCTATCTCGGCTCACTGCAAGCTCCGCCTCCCGGGTTCACGCCATTCTCCTGCCTCAGCCTCCCGAGAGTAGCTGGGACTGCAGGAGCCCGCCACCGCGCCCGGCTAATTTTTTTTGTATTTTTACTAGAGACGGGGTTTCACCGTGTTAGCCAGGATGGTCTCGATCTGCTGACCTCGTGATCCGCAGTGCCCCTTTTCTGTTTCTTTTTTTTTTTCTTTTTTCTTTTTCTTTCTTTTTTTTTTTTTTTTTTTTTTTTTTTTTTTTTTTTTTTTGAGACGGAGTTTCGCTCTTGTCACCCAGGCTGGAGTGCAATGGCGTGATATTGGCTCACTGCAACCTCTGCCTCTGGGATTACAGGCGTGAGCCACCGCGCCCCGCCCTATTGTATTTCTAAATGAGTATCTGTGTGTATCTAACTCCAAATATTAAATTCATAGCAGAGCTATGATGTGCTCAAGGCCACAGAACAGCCATGACCATGACCACTGACATTATCCTAAAGTGCTAGAATTATATAAGGCAGGAATGGCTAAAACCAGTAATTTCAAAAGAAAAAGAAATGCACCACTAGATGGCACTGTCTTTCCAACTTAAATATGATTTCAGTTAATTCAGAATCCGAAGAAGCTCGAGTTTTCTAATCTTCACCCCCTTGTTTCACGGAACAGCACATTTGCCAAGTTTTAGATCATGCACTTTTTCTGGTAAGCAAGTTAAAATTTCATGATAATCATTGCTGTCTTTATGATCACGTTTATATTAGCAAGCATTTTTTTTTTTTTGACATGGAGTCTCGCCCTGTTGCCCAAGCAACAGGCGTGATGCGATGGCGTGATCTTGCCTTAGCTCACTGCAACCTCCGCCTCCTGAGTTCAAATGATTCTCTAGCCTCAGCCTCCCAAGGGATTACAGGTGCCCGCCACCACACCAAGCAGCTCCCCCAGGCTTGCTGCCACCTTGCAGTTTGATCTCAGACTGCTGTGCTAGCAATCAGCGAGACCCCGTGGGCATTGGACCCTCTGAGCCATGTGTGGGATATAATCTCCTGGTGCGCCATTTTTTAAGCCCATCGGAAAAGTGCAGTATTAGGGTGGGAGTGACCCAATTTTCCAGGTGCCATCTGTCACCTCTTTCTTTGGCTAGGAAAGGGAACTCCCTGACCCCTTGCACTTCCTGAGTGAGGCAATGTCTTGCCTTTCTTCGGCTCGCACATGGTGCACTGCACCCACTATCCTGCGCCCACTGTCTGGCACTCCCTAGTGAGATGAACCCGGTACCTCAGATGGAAATGCAGAAATCACCCATCTTCTGCATTGCTCATGCTGGGAGCTGTAGACAGGAGCTGTTCCTGTTCAGCCATCTTGGCTGCAGCCCACTCTATGTCTTTTAATGGGAGAGTTTAGTCTATTTACTTTCAATGTAATTATAAGTAAGGACTTACTTCTGCAATTTTGTTATTTGTTTCTGGTTATTTTGTGGTCTTCTCTTTCTTCTTTCCTTCCTTCTTGTCTTGCTTTTAATGAAGATAATTTTCTCTGGTAGTAGATTTAACTTCTTGCCTTTCATTTTTTGTGTATCTGTTTTGTTTTTTATTTGAGTTTACCCTGAGGTTTGCAAATAATATAACCCATTATTTATGCTGATCACAACTTAACACTAATTACAGAAACAAACTAACAATGAAGCAAAAAGAGAACCAATACAAATGTTACACTTTATTTTGTGCCCCCAACTTTTTGAGGTGCTCCCACCTCAAGAACCCAGACAAAGAAGAGAAAAATAAATTCAAAGCAAGCAAAAACAAGAAAATAATAGTTATAAGAGCAGAAATCAATAAAATTAAAAACAGAAAAACAAAAGAGATAATCAATTAAAAAGAGCTGGTTCTTTGAAAAAATCAATAAATTTGAAAAACTCTATCAAGACTGCCAATGAAAAAAGAGAGAAGACTCAAATCATCAGTACCAGTAATGAAACAGGAGACATTAATAGAGACCCTACAAACATTAAAAAGATAATAAGGGAATGCTAAAAACACTACAGACATAAATTTGACAACTTTAAGGAGATGAACCAATACCACAACTCACTTAATATGAAATAAATTATTTGAATAATCCTATACCAAATAAGAAAATTGAATTCAAAATTTCAAAACTCCCAAAAAGAAATCTCCATATGTTTTAGGAAAAATTGGGTTGTGGCTGAGCATGGTGGCTCATGCCTGTAATCCCAGCACTTTGGAAAGCTGAGGCAGGCAGATCATGAGGTCAGGAGATCAAGACCATCCTGGCCCACATGGAGAAACCCTGTCTCTACTAAAAATACAAAAATTAGGTGGTGGGTACCTGTAATCTCAGCTACTTGGGAGGCTGAGGCAGGAGAATCACTTGAACCTAGAAGACAGAGGTTGCAGTGAGCCAAGATCACACCACTGCACTCTAGCCTGGTGACAAAGTGAGACTCCATCTCAAAAAAAAAAAAAAAAAAATTAGCACCTATTTTATGAAATATCTTACAAAGAAATAGAAGAGACACAAAAGCTTTACAATTCATTTTATAAAGCTATTATTACTCTATTTCAAAAATAGACAGTGATAGTACAAAAAGAAAACTAGAGGCCAATGTCTCTCATAAACATAGATACAAAATTCTCAATAAAAATTAGCAAATAGAATACAGTGATATGTACAAATAACTATATACTATGACAAAGTGGGGTTTATTCCAAGTATGCATGGCTGGTTTAATATTCAGAAATCAATGTAATCTACCATATTAAGAAGCTAAAAAAGAAAATTCACATGATCCTATTATTGGCTACAGAAAAGCATTTGTCAAATTTTTACTTATATTAAAACTCTCAGAAAAATAGGAATATAAGGGAATATCGTCAACTTGCTACAAAAAACCCACAGCTAACATCATACTTAAGAGTGAAATACTGAATGATTTCCCCTGAGGATCAGGAACAAGGTAAGAATGCCCACTCCCTACTTTCATCCAACATAGCACTGGAAGTCTAGCCAGTGCTATGAGACATAAAAAAGAAACAAAAGACACACAGATCAAAAGGAAAAATAAAACTGTTACTATTTGCAGATGACATGATTGCCTATTTAGAAAATTCCAATGAATTTATATACACAAAAAGTTTACAAACATCAACAACCAATGAGTGCGTTCAGCAAGGCTGCAGGATACAAGATCAACATACAAAAATTAATTATATTTCTGTATACTAACAATGAAAGTGTGGACATTGAAACTAAAACATTACCATTTACAATCACCAAATAAAATGAAATACTCCAATTGAATCTAAACAAACATGTACAGAACATGTATGCCAAAACTATAAAATGCCAATGAAAGAAATCAAAGAAGAAA
Source organism: Homo sapiens (assembly GCF_000001405.40). Classification (NCBI taxonomy): domain Eukaryota; kingdom Metazoa; phylum Chordata; class Mammalia; order Primates; family Hominidae; genus Homo; species Homo sapiens. Next base: position 45,253,068 of record NC_000010.11, read on the forward strand.
GAGTGGAGCAAGAAGGCCAAATAGAAGCCTACACCATTCATTCCTCCTGCAGGAACACCAAATTTTCACAGCTAACTACACACATAAAGCACCATCACGAGAACCCCAGATCAGGTCAGCAATCACAATATCTGGCTTTAACTTCATATTGCTGAAAGAGACATTGAAGATGGTAGAAAAGACCATCTTGTATTGCTGATGCCACCCTCTCCCCTATCCCCCAGCAGCAGCACACAGCACAGAGAATCTGTGTGCTTTGGAGAGGGAGAGCACAGCAGTTGTGAGGCTTTGCATTGAACTCAGTGCTACCTTGTCACAGTGGAAAGCAGAACCGGGCTGTACTGAGCTGACATCTACCCACGGAAGGAGAATTTTGACTGGTCCTGGCCAGAGGGGAATTTCCCACCTCAGGAGTTAGAGCTTGAGTTCCAACAAGCCTTGCTAAAGTACCCTGGGGCCCTAAGTGAACTTGAGGGGCTGTTTTGGCCATAAGGTTTGCAATTCCCAGGCACATCCCAGTGCTGAGGTGGGCTCAGAGCCAGTGGACTGGTGGAGCATGCAACTTACTAAACACAAGCTGGGGCAGCTAAGGGAATGTTTGAGCCATCCCTTCCCCAGCTCCCAGTAGAGCCATGCAATGTAGAGAAATCTGTTCACTTGGGAGGAGAGCACAGTGATTGGAGGAATGAACTCAGTGCTGCTATGTCACACAGAGACCTGTCAGGGTTCATCACCTGCTGACTAAAGAGCCCCTGGGTTCTTGAGTTGGGAGCTTAGGTTATTAATGCTTTTCCTTTTTTAATATATGTACTTAGGATGTGCCACACAAGTGTTATATTTTTATTTCATTCAGTTCAATTTCTTTTTTATTTCCTCTGAGACTTCCTCCTTGACCCTTTGACTAGTTAGAAGTATGTTATTTAGTTTCCAAGCATTTGGAGATGTTTTCCTGTTATCTTTCTACTATTGATTTCTGTTAATTTCCTGTTATCTTTTTCTTAATGATTGAATACTGGTCGTATAACACATTCTGTATGATTTCAATTATTTAAAATTTATTGGAATTTATTTTGTGGCCCAGAATGTAATTAGTGTATGTTATTTGTAGTGTAGTGTGTGTGGTTGGTGTATGTTTGATGGGCACATGAAAAGAATGTGAATTCTACTATCATTGGGTAGAGTGTTTTATTTTGTTGGATAGGCTTTATTGGTGATTGGTGGTATTGAGTTACCCTGTATTTTTGTCTAGTTGTTCTATCAGTTATTGAGAGAAGAATAGTGAAGTCTAAAACTGTAACTGTGGATTAATTTTTTTCTCCATTCAATTCTACCACTTTGTTTCAAATCTTTTGCAGTTCCATTGTTTGGGATACGCATTCTACACGTATAGAGAATATATATAGAATGTGTAGAATACATATATTACATAAATATTGGATCATTTGTTATAGTCCTACAGGCCCATGAGGCTCTATTATTTCCTTTTTTTTTTTTTTTTCAGTATATATTCTTTTTTTTTTTCTTTTTTTTTTTGAGACAGAGTTTTGCTCTGTCACCCAGGCTGGAGCGCAATGGCACAATCTCGGCTCACTGCAACCTCTGCTTCCCAGGCTCAAGCGATTCTCCTGCCTCAGCCTCTCTAGCAGCTGAGACTACAGGCATGCACCACCGTGCTTAGCTAAGTTTTTGTATTTTTGATAGAAATGGGTTTTTCACCATGTTGCCCAGGCTGGTCTGGAACTCCTGAGCTCAGGAAATTCACCCACTTTGGCCTCCCAAAGTGCTAGGATTACAGGCATGAGCCACCACACCTGGCCTCAGTATATGTTCTTTCTGTTGCCCAAATTGAGTAAATTCTATTGTTTTATCTATCAGTTAATTGATTTTCCCTTTGTCCTCTCCATTCTGCTGTTGAATCATTCCACTGTTTTAAAATTTTAATTTACTCTATTTTTCAGTTCCAAAATTTTTATTTGGTTCTTCTTTATGTTTTCTCTATCTTGGCTGAAACTTTCTATTTTTTGCTGAGACTTTATTTTTAAAATGTATTTCAAGCATATTTGTAATTGCTTATTGAAGCATTTTTGTGATGGCTGCTTTAAACTCTTTGTCATATAGTTCTAATATCTCTGTCATTTTAATGTTAGTATCTATTGATTTTCTTTTTAAATTTAAGTTGAGATCTTCCTAGTTCCTGGCATAACAAGTGGTTTTCAGATAACACCTGGACATTGTGGGTTTTATGTTATGAGGCACTGGCCTTATTTAAACCTTACATTTTATCTGGCTTTCTTTGACACTGCTCTGGCCGAGTAAAGGGGACATCCACCTCATTACTGCCAGGTGAAGCTCTAAGTTCCTCACTTGACCTTTCAACCCCATCTTAGTAGCAAAATGCAATATGGAACTTTATAAACTTGGGGAATTATATGTACTCCATTTTTAAAGATTTTCATGGAGGACACTTTCAGACATTTTCATATGACAATATTTGGACACATAATGAAAGAGTAACTATGATGCTTGTATAATAAATTTCTATTTCCAACAGTGCCCAATTAGCAGCCACCAGGGATCCTAGAGGGACATTGGTCTCTAGATGGCTTTGTTCTCCTAATAATGTCTGGTGTGTCTGGAGTCTGCCCGTTGGTCCTGGTGGATCCTGACTGGTATCAAGAGACAGTCCAATGTTAAGCATATGGTAAGGGAAATTCATATCACTTTTATTTCTGCTTTCAATAGTGTGGTTATTCTTCCCAGTCTGGAGAGGTCAGGGAGTGGCAAACTCAGTGTGCTTGCATGCACTTTGGAGAGATATTATTTATGTATGAGACACCAGTTTAAGTGAGGATGTTGTTGTCTCCCACCCTGCCCTGGAGTATTTGCCCACCAATTACTGTCTCCTGCTGGTGTTGGCAGACACAGGAGGAGGATGGTGGTCTGGGGGAACCTAGGGCCTACAAAGAGAGTGTGAAAGCTTTTTGGAATTCCAAGTGATCTCACTCCCAGGTTCCTGCAGGATGTTGGGAAAGTATGCTCTTTGCTTTCTTTCCCAGGATTTCATCAAGCAAGGTGGCCATGAAGCTATCACTTTCACTTATCTCAGTTTAGGAAAGCTCTGAATTCATTGATGAATTATGCTTAGCAGGCATGATGCACATGTTGAACTTTTCTCCGGGACAAATTAGGGACATCTGAGATGGAAGTGTGTATTTTCTTACACATCCAATGGCCTGGAACAGCATCTTGGTTTTTTGGAAAGCAGGGGCTAGAGCTCTGGTTGCTGTAAACTGCTTGGGGTGAGTACATGACCTTAGTGTGACTGGAAAATCTTTCCACTCATTTTCTGTGAACCCAAACAGACTCTGTTCCTCTTCAATCTGATCTCACACACTAAAAAAGAGTAGGAGTATTGGGCTGGGCTAAATTAGACAGTGAGTTCAGAGATCTGAGATGAACATTAGTTGACCAGAGTGACAAAAGCTCACCTAAGAGAAGTTTATAAATTTAAAGGATGAAAAATAATATTTATTTTGCCTAGGTGGATAATAGCAAGGAGCATGAATCAGAAAATAATTGCTGCGTTGAAGTCATACAACCCTTCTTTATATATTGTGGTTGTCATTCCTTAAATATATTTGCACACATAATGAAAGGGTAGCTATGATACTTGTATAATAAATTTCTATTTCCAACAGTGCCCAATTAGCAGCCACCAGGGATCCTAGAGGGACATTGGTCTCTAGATGGCTTTGTTCATCTCCTAATGATGTCTGGCGTGTCTGGAGTCTGCCCGTTGGTCCTGGTGGATCCTGACTGGTGTCAAGAGACAGTCCAATGTTAAACACATGAAAAATAATATTTATTCTACTTAGGTGGACAACAGCAAGGAGCAGGAATCAGAAAATAATTGCTGTGGTCAAGTCATACAACCCTTCTTTTTTTTTTTTTTTTTTTTTTTTTTGAGACGGAGTCTCACTCTGTTGCTCAGTTGCTCAGGCTGGAGTACAGTGGCACAGTCTCACCTCACTGCAACTTCCACCTCCTGGGTTCAAGTGATTCTCCTGCCTCAGCCTGCTGAGTAGCTGGGATTACAGGCATGTGCCACCATGCCCAGCTAATTTTTGTGTTTCTAGTAGAGACGGGGTTTCACCATGTTGGTCAGGCTGGTCTTGAACTTCTGACCTCGTGATCTGCCTGCTTGGCCTCCCAAAGTGCTGGGATTACAGGCATGAGCCACCGTGCCCAGCCATAACCCTTCTTTTTATATTTTGGTTGTCATTCCTTAAATATATTTGCACACATAATTAAAGTGTAACTATGATGCTTGTGTAATAAATTTGTATTTCCAACAGGCCCAATTAGCAGCCACCAGGGATCCTAGAGGGACATTGGTTTCTAGGTGGCTTTGTTCTAGATGAAAGTGTAACTAGTGAACTGGAAGGGTCAGAATATATTCCTCCCTGGACTGACCACTTAGCATGGCATGAAGGGAAAAACAAATTCAGCAAAGGTCAGAATGGCCCAGATGGAGTTTGTCTGTGACTCTTTTAGTCTAACTCACTTCGGAGGGCTGCAGTTGGGGCCACAGTATTTTTCCTATATATGGTATTATGATTCCCCCAAGATGGAAACAAACCCTAAGACATGATGAAGAAATACTTTTTGTGGGATGACAGACTTAAATGACCTCAAGTTTTTTTTAAGTTACACATTTATTTTTGCAATATTCATCTTGTGACTGCATGTCATGAGTGGTATCTTCTCAGCAATGTGTTACATGATCAGATACGTAAGTAAAAGAAGGGATTTTTTTCCTGCTTGGCAATAAACTGTATAGGAAAATGACTAATACTTTTAAAATTACATTATCCTTTATGAAGACTAATAGCTACATGCACAGTTATTTTGGGCTGCATGTAATATAAGTATATTCATAGATAAAAATCATAATGTTTACATAACAAAAATTACATAAAATATAATGTTTGAAAATAAACAAGTCCAATTGCCACACGGATACTGTTTTACATGTTTAATAAAATAAAGTTCTCCATTCTTTAATCATGACACTGTAAAATAGCTCACTGAAAATTGATTGAAGAAATGGAAAACCAATGATGGGAGAAGCAAGGAACAGGACAGTAGTCCAGGAATTTATCCTGGAGGGATTTCCTGCTGTCCAGCATCTGGGGAATGTCCTTTTCCTGGTGCACCTGCTGGCATACCTGGCCTCCATCATGGCAAACATGCTCATAATCACCATCACCTGGGCTGACCATCACCTCCAGACACCTATGTATTTCTTCCTCAGCAGTTTTTCCTTCTGTGAATGCTGTTTTATCACCACAGTTATTCCTAAACTTCTGGTCATCTTTCTTTCAGGCAGGCAAATAATCCCCTTTACTACTTGTCTCATGCAGTCCTTTTCATTTTTATTTCTTGGGTCAACAGTTTTCTTCCTTATGGCTGTGATGTCCTTGGATTGATACCTGGCCATTTGCAAGCCTCTGCATTACTCCACCATCATGAGCCTGAGGACTAGCTTCCACCTGGTCACTGCCTGCTTTGTCGTGGGCTTCACTCTCATCACTGGTCTCATGGTGAAGGTTTCCCAGTTATCTTTCTGTGGACCCCATGTCATCCCTCACTTCTTCCGTGACCTCGGCCCTCTGATCCAACTCTCCTGTTCTGACACCAGATCTACTGAAACGTTGGCCTTTGTCCTTGTTTCATTCGTTCTTTTTACATCCCTCATTATAACCATCATTGCATATGGCAACATAGTAGTCACAATTGTACGACTCCCATCAGCCAAGGAGCGGCAGAAAGCTTTCTCCACCTGCTCCTCTCACCTCATTGTCCTCTCTCTGGTGTATGGCAGCTGTGTCTTCATATATGTGAAGCCGAAGCAAATGGACAGGCTGGACTCCAACAGAAAGGCTGCTCTTGTGAACACAGTGGTGACCCCACTGCTGAACCCGATCATTTACACTCTGCGGAACAAGCAGGTCCACCAGGCTCTGAGGGATGCTCAGTCCAGAATGAAATTGTAAAAACAGAATCACAACCTCCCAGTGAAGGAATGCACCTTCTCCTTGATCTAATCCAATCTTTCTCCTGTTTCTGGAATCCTTTATAAAAAATTTGCAAATATGTTTTTTTTAGGTTCTGTTTGTTTTTTCTTAGAATAAGGGCTAATTGTCCCTCTCCCTCTCCCTCTCCCTCTCCCTCTCCCTCTCCCTCTCTTTCCACGGTCTCCCTCTCCCTCTCTTTCCACGGTCTCCCTCTCATGCCGAGCGGAAGCTGGACTGTGCTGCTGCCGTCTCGGCTCACTGCAACCTCCCTGCCTGATTCTCCTGCCTCAGCCTGCCGAGTGCCTGCGATTGCAGGCGCGCGCCGCCACGCCTGACAGGTTTTCGTATTTTTTTGGTGGAGACGGGGTTTCGCTGTGTTGGCCGGGCTGGTCTCCAGCTCCTAACCGCGAGTGATCCACCAGCCTCGGCCTCCCGAGGTGCTGGGATTGCAGACGGAGTCTCGTTAACTCAGGGCTCAATGGTGCCCAGGCTGGAGTGCAGTGGCGTGATCTCGGCTACAACCTCCACCTCCCAGCCGCCTGCCTTGGCCCCCCAAAGTGCCGAGATTGCAGCCTCTGCCCGGCCGCTACCCCGTCTGGGATGTGAGGAGCCCCTCTGCCTGGCTGCCCAGTCTGGAAAGTGAGGAGCCTCTCTGCCCGGCCGCCATCCCACCTAGGAAGTGAGGAGCGCCTCTTCCCGGCCACCATCCCATCTAGGAAGTGAGGAGCGTCTCTGCCTGGCCGCCCATCGTCTGAGATGTGGGGAGCACCTCTGCCCCGCCGCCCTGTCTGGGATGAGAGGAGCGCCTCGGCCCGGCCGAGACCCCGTCTGGGAGGTGAGGAGCGTCTCTGCCCAGCCGCCCAGTCTGAGAAGTGAGGAGACCCTCCGCCTGGCAACCGCCCCATCTGAGAAGTGAGGAGCCCCTCCGCCCGGCTGCCACCCCGTCCGGAAGGGAGGTGGGGGTCAGCCCCCGCCAGGCCAGCCGCCCCGTCCGGGAGGGAGGTGGGGGGTCAGCCCCCCACCCGGCCAGCCACCCTGTCCGGGAGGTGAGGGGCGCCTCTGCCCGGCCGCCCCTACTGGGAAGTGAGGAGCCCCTCTGCCCGGCCAGCCACCCTGTCCGGGAGGGAGGTGGGGGGGTCAGCCCCCGGCCCAGCCAGCCGCCCCATCCGTGAGGGAGGTCGGGGGGTCAGCCCCCCACCAGGCGAGACGCCCCGTCCGGGAGGGAGGTGGGGAGTCAGCCCCCTGCCCGGCCAGCCGCCCCGTCCGGGAGGTGAGGGGCGCCTCTGCCCGGCCGCCCCTACTGGGAAGTGAGGAGCCCCTCTGCCCGGCCACCACCCCGTCTGGGAGGTGTACCCAACAGCTCATTGAGAACGGGCCATGATGACAATGGCGGTTTTGTGGAATAGAAAAGGGGGAAAGGTGGGGGAAAGATTGAGAAATCAGATGGTTGCTGTGTCTGTGTAGAAAGAAGTAGACATGGGAGACTTTTCATTTTGTTCTGTACTAAGAAAAATTCTTCTGCCTTGGGATCCTGTTGATCTATGACCTTATCCCCAGCCCTGTGCTCTCTGAAACATGTGCTGTGTCCACTCAGGGTTAAATGGATTAAGGGCGGCGCAAGATGTGCTTTGTTAAACAGATGCTTGAAGGCAGCATGCTCGTTAACAGTCATCACCACTCCCTAATCTCAAGTACCCAGGGACACACACACTCTGCCTAGGAAAACCAGAGACCTTTGTTCACTTGTTTATCTGCTGACCTTCCCTCCACTATTGTCCTATGACCCTGCCAAATCCCCCTCTGTGAGAAACACCCAAGAATGATCAATAAAAAAAAAAAAAGAATAAGGGCTAATTTATCTAATAATTCAACCTGAAAGCTCCTATATTACCTTTATTTTGAGATGAAAGTATCTTCCTGAATCTTTTTACTAGTTTTAAATAAATAGGATTCAACAAATTTTAGTGAAGAACCTCATATACATGAGTCTGTTTGATGCATGTGGAATTTCAAAGCTGAAATGATGTAGTTTTAAGTATTTACTTGTGGTAAGTGCAAAGGGATGAAGAACAAACTTCATAAGTATTAAGAGTATCAAGTTAGTTCAAGGGTAGATATAACATGGTCATTGTATAAAGTTTTGAAGGAAACATATATACACAGCTGTCAGGATATCAATATAATTACTTAAGATGACTCAGTGCAATTGCTTTCAATGTTGAATATTCTGTATATAAATCTTTACACTTTTTGTTCCCACTATGATAAAAACATATAACTGTCTCTAGATGAAGTTGCAAGTCCTTGTTGGTTTCAATGGTTTGCAAGATTGATTTCAGTGCCGACAAACCTGAAAATGAAGCAGCACAGGGGGAGAAACATTACAATTTTTGGAACAAGGAATTAAATAGTTAATATTTGTTTCCCTACTACAGAAAGTTTAAAGGAATTGGGAGAAATATAATCAGAGATGGGAAGAAGTCTGTGACTGTGAAATCTCTGCAAATGAATGTATAAACAAGTCTCTTCATTTGTGGAATGAGAGGTTTGGTTGTGTCACCTCGGGATGTTCATTTTAGTACTAATGTGAAGTGGCGCTATTGATACTGAATGTGACACAGAAACATGCTGTAACAGAAATATAATTTGAGAATGGCAGAGAGAAGATGATGAGATGTTTTAATGGAAGAACTTATGCTACAACTGAAATTTAGTTATTCAAGATTTTGATAGGAAATGAATTAGAGACAAAACCCTGGAGCTAGGATTTGTTTTGCGTACTTGGTTAATGGCAATGATCATGTTTTGTTTTGACCACATATTTCTGTGATTGTGGTGGAACAGGAATCAAAAGAAATTAAAGAATGTGTAAGCAGAAACTCAGTTGTATGTAAGAAAGCCCAATTCCCCCTGAGAAAGAGAAAGAGCTGGAGTCCTTTAAAAATTAACTGCCTGTTTTACTGTGGCTAGTAAGCCTTATCTCTCCTCCTTTCCCAGGCATTGTGAAGACCCTGTTTCTCTAGCTGTACAGCTGCAAGGTCACTAGACAGATAAGCCATAAAACATGTTTTTCCTTGGAAAGTAAGAAATGTTGTAATGCATGTCTCAATTAATTAAATAACTCTCTTTGTTTCTTGCTTCCGTAATATATTTCCCCTGCACAGGTCTCCCCCCACCTCACGAAATGCTTAAAAGGTAACTTAACTGTTTGTTCAGGGCTCAGTCCCTTGGATGTTAATCTGACTGGGCCGGCGCACCTAAATAATAAATATCCTCCTCAATCCCATCGGTCTCTCTGATTCCTTATCAATCCCACTAGAGGGGGGATAATAAAAGATTACGATGGGAAAGTTTGAGGGACATAATTATGTAAGAATTAGAAAAACACACTTCATTGAACTAGCAGAACCCAAATTTTTGTTCACCCTATGTGTATATAAGGATTTTCATACAACTTTGTGTAGACTTGTTTCTTTTTCTCACATTTGCAGTGTTCAAACTGCTAAAGGGACTGACAAAGCAATACCAATGAACTGAGTGGTCATTGCATTTTTTTTGCCTTTAAAATTTTTAAACATTACTAGTCTGACATAGTGAATCATATTTATCTACTTTGAAATAAATGGAAAATATATACAATGTTTTCATTTACTTTCATCTATACATATAAAGTTACATAGCTTAAAAATAATTGCATTGTTTGTGATTAACACAATTTGTTTACAATTTAGTATACTAAAGATATTCCACAATTTTTAATACACTTATTTGTTGATACACATTTGAGCTATTTCTGCCTTTTGGCTATTGTGAATAGTACTGTTATGAACATGTGTGTACATTTACTTGTTTGAGTACTTGTTTTCAAGTCTTTAGGGGTATATACCTCGGAGATAAATTGTGAGGGTAGGGGAACAGGCAGCAATAGCTTAATGGGTATGGGGTTTCCTTTGGAGATGATATTATAAAAATGTTTTGGAACTAGATAGAGGTGGTGGTTGTATAACATTTTGAACGTACTGCATGCCGCTGAATTGTTCACTTTTAAATGATTAATTTTATATGTACATTTACCTTAATAAAAAATTCCATAGTTCTGAAAGTTTTACATATTGTTGAAAGTTTTATAATGAAAAATAATAGTCCCTCTTTACCAACATGGCAGAGTAACAGGTATCACCCTACAGCCCTCACCTCCCCCAAAAAAACAAATATAGACTTGTATCCACAAATCAAAATGGCCCTGAGAGGACTCAGGGGCCCATTTAATAATCTACAGCAATACCATGGAGTGAAAAGAGAATATTCACGCAGAAAGGACCACTGGTGAGACTGGCATACCTGAGATACCAGGAGATGGCTAGGAACAAAGAAGAAAGGTGAGATCTATTGGTATCAGCTATGTGGTGGGAACCACCATGGCTCCCAGTGGCCTGCTCTGCAGAGGACACTGACATTCCTGCCAGGAACCCCTAGATTGGAAGATGGGGCTGTACATACCTGTCTCCCCAAAAGCAGCTGCTGTTATGCCACTCTGGGACCAGAGCTGCCATCTCAACCAACTCTGTGTATGGCCCTGACTTCTGAGCCTCAGCTGCTCCATGAGTGCCCACACTTCAGACCCCAGCTCTGTGGCTGAACCGTACCTGACTATGCCTCAGACACTGGTTCACATCCTGAACCCTGGAGCCAAGGTCTCTCTGCATGTGCCCACAGTTTAGATACCAGCTCAGCTGCCATTGTGAGCTAGCTTATGCTCTGAATCTGTTTCTGAAGCAAGGCTGCCTAGACTCATGCTTCATACACAAGAGCCACCACTATGGTGAGCTAGCTTGTACCCTGGTCCTTGGGACCAAGATCTCTCTGTTTGTGCCTGTGCTTAGGGCACCAGCTCAGCTGCCATAGAGAACTAGGATTAACCTGACTCCAGAGGCACTGTAGCTCTGTGCATGTCCATGTTCTCATCCCCAGAGCCCTGGCTGCTCTACAAGCATCTGACATGGCATACCATTACCAATTTGTCCATGGTGGTTTCTGTGCCCTGGGCACTGGTACCATTACCACCTCATACCCCAGATGTGTATTTCCTCCACATATGTTCATGCTATAGGATTAGGCTTTGTGGTTGCTCCACAGGTACCACTAATCAGACACCAGTGCCACTGCTACTGCAAGTAGGCATGCAAACCAGATTCAATGTCAACAGGATCCCCTAAGCCCCAACTTTCCCAGTGGGAGAAAAAGAGACTCAGAGGACCTTAACAGTCATTACCACTGGAGAACCTTTTAGCCCTCACTGCCACTGAAGACATCCACAGTGTTGGTTGCTTTGGATCCTTGCAATCTTTGTCAACACCAAACTCATTTGACAGAGCTGCATGGGGACTACATTGCCGCACCATCATCAATGCTAGAACTGCTGTGCCCCACCCAGAGAGTGCCCTTGAACCCCATGTCTCTGCATAGTAAAGATCTTTCTTCACTGAAACTAGCCTATAAGGTCTGGAAAGGGTTACAGACATCAAAGTAAGGCAACAAGAAACATGGGAAACTAAGGAGAAATATTACCACCAAAAGAACACAATAATTTCCTACTAGCTGACACCAAAGAAATGGAAATCTACATACTGCCTGACAAAAAATTCAAAGTACTTGTTTTAATGATGCTCAGTTAACTTCAAAAAATACAGAGAAACAATTCAATTAGATAAGGAAAACATTAAATAACTCAAATAATAAATTTAACAGAGATATTGAAATAATAATAAAACAAAGAAATTCTGGACCAGAAGAATGAAATGAATGAAATGGAGAATGCAACACAGAGAGAACATCAACAGCATAATTAATGAAGCAAAAGAAAGAATCTTTGAATGCAAAGATAGGTTATTTGAAAACATTCAGTTAGAGGAAAAAAAGATAAAAAATTGGTAAAAAAAAAAAAATAAACAAGATTTATGGGACAGTATCAAAGGACCTAATATTCAAATTATACTAGGTAGAGAAGAAAAAGAGAAAGCAATAGGGATAGAGAGCTTATTTAAAGAAATAATAGCTGAAAATTCCCAAAATATGAGGAAAGATATAAATATCCAGGCACAGGAAAGTCAAAAGACTCCAATCAGATTCAACCCAAACAAGACTATGTCAAAATATATTGTAATCAAACCATCAAAAATTTAAGACAAAGAAAGAATTCTGAAAGTAGCAAGAGAAAAGAAGTATATTATATATGAAGGAATCCCAATAAGAATAGTAGCAATTTTCTCAATGGAAGCCTTACAGACAAGGAGGGAGTGGAATGCTCTATACTAACTGTTAAAGGAAAAAAAACTCAACCAAGAATACTTTACCTGGTAAAGCTGTCCTTCAGAAATGAAGGGGAGAAAAAGCTGAGGTGTTTCCTTATAGGAAATGTTAAAGGGACTTCTTTGAGTAGAAAGTAAAAGGACACTAATTAGTAACATAAAAAAATATGAACATGAAAAACTTGGGGGTAAAAGTAAAAACACAGTCAAATTCAGAACGCTGTAATACTGTGATGGTGGTATATATCACATATGTTTACTATGAAGGTGAAAAGACAAAACTATTCAAATAATGACAGCTCCAATAATTTGTTAAGGGATACACAATATAAAAAGATCAGGAGGTTGCTTCCAAGATGGCCAAATAGGAACAGTTCCAGTCTGCAGCTCCCAGTGAGATCAATGCAGAAGACAGGTGATTTCTGCATTTCCAACTGAGGTACCTGATTCATCTCATTGGGACTTGTTGGACAGTGGGTGCAGCCCACAGAGAATAAGCTGAAGCAGGGCAGGGTGTCACCTCACCCAGGAAGTCCAACGGGTGGGGGATTTCTCTTTCCTAGCCAAGGGAAGCCATGATGGACTGCACCTGGAGAAATGGTACACACCTGACAAAATACTGCACTTTTCCCACAGTCTTAGCAACCGGCAGACCAGGAGTTACCCGCCTGTGCCTGGCTTGGCAGGGCAAATGCGCATGGAGCCTTGCTCACTGCTAGTGCAGCAGTCTGAGATCAACCTGAGATGCTGCAGATTGGCGGGCAGAGGGGAGTCAGCCATTGCTGAGGCTTAAGTACCTCACAGTGTAAACAAAGGGGCCAGGAGAGGCCAGGAAGCATGAACTGGGTGGGGTCCACCTCAGCTCAGCAAAGCCTACTGCTTCTATAGATTCCACCTCTGGGGGCAGGGCATAGTAGAACAAAAGGCAGCAGACAGCTTCTGCAGACTTAAACGTCCCTGTCTGATGGCTCTGAAGAGAGCAGTGGTTCTCTCAGCATGGCGTTTGAGCTCCAAAAACAGACAGACTGACTACTCAAGTGGGTCCCTGACCCCCGTGTAGCCTGACTGGAAAACACCTCCCAGTGGTGGCCAACAGACAACTCAAACAGGTGGGTACCCTTCTGGGATGAAGCTTCCAGAGGAAGGATCATGCAGCAATATTTGCTGTTCTGCAGCCTCCAATCATAGTACCCATGCAAACAGGGTCTGGAGTGGACCTCCAGCAAACTCCAATAGACCTGCAGCTGAGAGGTCTGACTGTCAGAAGGAAAACTAACAAACAGAAAGGAATAACATCAACATCAACAAAAAGGACATCCACACCAAAACCCCATCTGTAGGTCACCAACATCAAAGACCAAAGGTAGATAAAACCACAAAGATGGGGAGAAACTAGAGCAGAAAAGCTGAAAATTCCCAAAAACAGAGTGCCTCTTCTCCCCAAAAGGATCACAGCTCCTCACCAGCAAGGAAACAAAACTGGATGAAGAATGAGTTTGATGAATTGACAGAAATAGGCTTCAGAAGGTCAGTAATAAGAAACTTCTCCAAGCTAAAGGAGCATGTTCTAACCCAATGCAAGGAAGCTAAAAACCTTAAAAAAGGTTAGATGAATGGCTAACCAGAATAAACAGTGTAGAGAAGACCTTAAATGACCTGATGGAGCTGAAAACTATGGCAGGAGAATTTCATGATGCATGCACAAGCTTCAATAGTTGATTCCATCAAGTGGAAGAGAGGACATCAGTGATGGAAGATCAAATTAATAAAATAAAGCTAGAAGACAAGCTTAGAGAAAAAAGAGTGAAAAGAAATGATCAAAGCCTCCAAGAAATATGGGACTATGTGAAAAGACCAAACATATGTTTGATTGGTGTACCTGAAAGTGACGGGGAGAATGGAACCAAGTTAGAAAACACTCTTCAGAATATTATCCAGGAGAACTTCCACAACATAGCAAGGCAGGCCAACATTCAAATTCAGGAAATACAGAGAACTCCTCTAAGATATTCCTCGAGAACAGCAACCCCAAGACATGTAATTGTCAGATTCACCAAGGTTGAAATGAAGGAAAAAATGTTAAGGGCAGCCAGAGAGAAAGGTCGGGTTACCCACAAAGGGAAGCCCCTCAGACTAACAGTGGATCTCTCAGCAGAAACCCTACAAGCAGGAAGAGAGTGGTGGGCAATATTCAACATTCTTAAGGGAAAGAAATTTCAACCCAGAATCTCATATCCAGCCAAACTAAGCTTCGTAAGTGAAGGAGAAATAAAATCCTTTACAGACAAGCAAATGCTGAGAGATTTTGTCGCTACCAGGCCTGCCTTACAAGAGCTCCTGAAGGAAGCACTAAACATGGAAAGGAACAACCGGTACCAGCCACTGCAAAAACATGCCAAATGGTAAAGACCATCAATGCTATGAAGAAACTGCATCAATTAATGGGCAAAATCACCAGCTAACATCATAATAACAGGATCAAATTCAAACATAACAATACTAACCATAAATGTAAATGGGCCAAATGCCCCAATTAAAAGACACAGACTGGCAAATTGGATAAAGAGTCAAGACCCATCAGTGTGCTGTATTCATTAGACACATCTCAAGTGCAAAGATGCACATAGTCTCGAAATAAAGGGATGGGGGGAGATCTACCAAGCAAATGGAAAGTGAAAAAAAGCAGGGTTTGCAATCTTAGTCTCTGATAAAACAGACTTTAAACCAACAAAGATCAAAAGAGACAAAGAAGGCCACTACATAATGGTAAAGGGATCAATTCAACAAGAAGAGCTAACTATCCTAAATATATATGCACCCAATACAGGAGCATCCAGATTCATAAAGCAAGTCCTTAGAGACCTACAAAGAGACTTAGACTCCCAAACAATAATAATGGGAGACTTTAACACCCCACTGTCAATATTAGACAGATCAATGAAACAGAAGGTTAACAAGGATATCCAGGACTTGAACTCAACTCTGAACCAAGCAGACCGAACAGAAATCTACAGAACTCTACACCCTAGATCAACAGAATATACATTTTTCTCAGCAGCACATCACACTTATTCTAAAATTGACCACATAATTGCTAGTAAAACAATCATCAGCGAATGTAAAAGAACAGAAATCACAGCAAACTGTCTCCCAGACCACAGTGCAATCAAATTAGAACTCAAGATTAATAAACTCACTCAGAACCACACAACTACATGGAAACTGAACAACCTGCTCCTGAATGACTACTGGGTAAGTAAGGAAATGAAGGAGGAAATTAAAATGTTCTTTGAAACCAATGAGAACAAGGACACAATGCACCAGAATCTCTGGGACACATTTAAAGCACTGTGTAGAGGGAAATTTATAGCACTAAATACCCACAAGAGAAAGTAGGAAAGATCTAAAATCAACACCCTAGCATCACAATTAAAAGAACTAGAGAAGAAAGAGCAAACAACCTCAAAAGCTAGCAGAAGGCAAGAAATAACTAAGATCAGAGAAGAACTGAAGGATACACAAAAAAACCTTCAAAAAATGAACAAATCCAGGAGCTGTTCTTTGAAAAGACCAACAAAGTTGATAGACCACTAGCAAGACTAATAAAGAAGAAAAGAAAGACGAATCAAATAGATGCAATAAAAAATGATAAAGGGGATATCACCACAGATCCCACAGAAATACAAACTACCATTACAGAATACTATAAACATCTCTATGCAAATAAACTAGAAAATCTAGAAGAAATGGATAAATTCCTGGACACACACATCCTCCCAGGACTAAATCAGAGATAAGTTGAATCTCACAATAAACCAATAACAGGTTCTGAAATTGAGGCAATCATTAATAGCCTACAAACCAAAAAAAGTCTAGGACCAGATGGATTCACAGCTGAATTCTACCAGAGGTACAAAGAGGAGCTGCTACCATTACTTCTGAAACTATTTCAATCAATAGAAAAAGAAGATATCCTCCCTAACTCATTTTATGAGGCTAGTATCATCCTAATACCAAAGCCTAGTAGAGACACAACAAAAAAAGAAAATTTTAGGCCAATATGTTGATGAACATCAATGCAAAAATCCTCAATAAAATACTGGCAAACCAAATCCAGCAGCACATCAAAAAGCTTGTTCACCATGATCAAGTCAGCTTCATCCCTGGGATGCAAGGCTGGTTCAACATATGCAAATCAATAAACATAATCCATCACATAAACAGAACAATGACAAAAACCACATGATTTTCTCAATAGATGCAGAAAAGGGCTTTGACAAAATTCAACAGCCATTCATGCTAAAAACTCTCAATAAACTAGGTATTGATGGAACATATCTCAAAATAATAAGAGCTATTTATCACAAACCCACAGCCAATATCATACAGAATGGGCAAAAACTGGAAGCATTCCCTTTGAAAACTAGCACAAGACAAAGATGCCCTCTCTCACCACTCCTATTCAACATAGTGTTGGAAGTTCTGGCCAGGGCAATCAGGCAACAGAAAGAAATAAAGGGTATTCAACTAGGAAAAGAGGAAGTCAAATTGTCCATTTGCAGATGACATGATTGTATATTTAGAAAACCCCATCATCTCAGCCCAAAATCTCCTTAAGCTGATAAGCAACTTCAGCAAAGTCTCAGGATACAAAATCAATGTGCACAAATCACAAGCATTCCTATACACCAATAATAGACAAACAGAGAGCGAAATCATGAGTGAACTCCCATTCACATTTACTACAAAGAGAATAAAATACCTAGGATTCCAACTTACAAGGGATGTGAAGGACCTCTTCAAGGAGAACTACAAATCACTGCTCAATGAAATAAAAGAGGACACAAACAAATGGAAGAACACTCCATGCTCATGGGTAGGAAGAATCAATATCATAAAAATGGCCATACTGCCCAAGGTAATTTATAGATTCAGTGCTATCCCCATCAAGCTACCACAGACTTTCTTCACAGAATTGGAAAAAAAAAAAACACTTAAAAGTTCATATGGAACCAAAAAAGAACCCACATAGCCAAGACAATCCTAATCAAAAAGAACAAAGCTGGAGGCATCACGCTACCTGACTTCAAACTATACTACAAGGCTACAGTAACCAAAACAGCATGGTACCGGTAGAAAAACAGATATATAGACCAATGGAACAGAACAGAGGCCTCAGAAATAACACCACACATCTACAACCATCTGATCTTTGACAAACCTGACAAAAACAAGAAATGGGGAAAGGATTTCCTATTTAGTAAATGGTGCTGGGAAAACTGGCTAGCCATATGTAGAAAGCTGGAACTCAATGCTTTCTTTACACCATATACAAAAATTAACTCAAGATAGATTAAAGACTTAACTTTAAGACTTAACACTGTAAAAACCCTAGAAGAAAACCTAGGCAATACCATTCAGGACATAGGCATGGGCAAAGACTTCATGACTAAAACACCAAAAGCAATGGGAACAAAAGCCAAAATAGATGAATGGGATCTAACCAAACTAAAGAGCTTCTGCACAGCAAAAGAAACTACCATCAGAGTGAACAGGCAACTTACAGAATGGGAGAAAATCTTTGCAATCTACTCATCTGACAAAGGGCTAATATCCAGAATCTACAGAGAACTTAAATTTACAAGAAAAAAACAACCCCATCAAAAAGTGGGCAAAGAATATGAACAGACACTTCTCAGGAGAAGATATTTATGCAGCCAGCAGACGTATGAAAAAAGTGCTTATCATCACTGGTCATCAGAGAAATGCAAATCAAAACCACAATGAGATACCATCTCAGGCCAATTAGAATGGCAATCATTAAAAAGTGAGCAAACAACAGATGCTGGACAGGATGTGGAGAAATAGGAATGCCTTTACAATGTTGGTGGGTGTGTAAACTAGTTCAACCATTGTGGAAGACAGTGTGGTGATTCCTCAAGGATCTAGAACTAGAAATACCATTTGACCTAGCAATCCCATTACTGGGTATATACCCAAAGGATTATAAATCATGCAACTATAAAGACACATGCACATGTATGTTTATTGTGGCACTATACACAATAGCAAAGACTTGGAACCAACCCAAATGCCAATCAATGATAGAGTGGATAAAGCAAATGTGGCACATATACACTATGGAATAGTATGCAGCCATAGAAAAGGATGAGTTCATGTCCTTTGCAGGGACATGGATGAAGCTGGAAACTATCATTCTAAGCATATTGTCACAAGGACAGAAAACCAAACACCACATGTACTCACTCATAGGTGGGAGTTGAACAATGAGAACACATGGACACAGGGCAGGGAAAATCACACACTGGGGCCAGTCAAGGGGTGGTGGGCTGGGGGAGGGATAGCATTAGGAGAAATACCTAATGTAAATGACGAGTTGATGGGTGCAGCAAACCAACATGGCACATGTATACCTATGTAACAAACCTGCACGTTGTGCACATGTATCCTAGAACTTAAAGTATAATAAAATAAATAAATAAATAAATATAAAAAAGAGAAGCCCAGGACCTGATGGCTTCACAGTCGAATTCTACCAAACATTTAAAGAAGAACAAATACCAATCCTATTCAAACTATTTCAAAAAATATAGAGGAGGAAGGAATACTTCCACACTCATTCTACCAGGCCAGTATTACCTTGATATGAAACCAGACAAAAATGCATCAAAAAAAGAGAGAAAAGTACAGCCAATATGTCTGATGAATATTGATGCAAAAATCCTCAACAAAATACTAGCAAACTGAATTCAACAGCACATTAAAAAGATCTTTTCTCATGATGAAGTAGTATTTATCTCAGGGATACAAGGATGGTTCAAAATATGCAAATCAATTAATGTGACACATCATATTAACAGAATGGAGGACAAAAACATATGATCATGTCAATTGATGCTGAAAAGGATTTGATAAAATTTTAACATCCTTCATGATAAAAACCCTTTAAAAAACTGTCTATATAAGGAATATACCTTAACATAATAAAAGCCATAAATAACAGACACCCACAGGGTAGTATCATACTAAATGAGGAAAAACTGAAAATTTGTCTTCTAAGATGCAGACCAAGACAAGGCTGCCCACTGTCACAACCGTTATTCAACATATTACTGAAAGTCCTAGCTAGAGCAATCAGACAAGAGAAAGATATAAAGGGCATCCAAATTGGTGCTAGAGCAATTGTACTTTTATAGGCACACTCACACACACACATAAACACACACACACACATACACACATACATACACAAAAAAGAACTTCACCTGTCTCATATTTTATACAAAAGCTAACTCAAAAATAGTTTATGTTCTTAAATGTACAACATAAAATTGTAAAACTTTTAGAAAAAAAGAAAAAACTTCAAGATTTAGGGTCAGGTAAAGTGTTCTTACAAAACAGCATGATACATAAAAGGAAAAACTCATAAATTGGACTTCATCAAAATGTAAAACTTTTTCTCTGTGAGAATTAAAAGAAAAGCTACAGACTAAGAGGAAATATATGGAAACTACATTTCTAACAAAGGACTCATATCTAGGATATATTAGAATTCTCAAAGCCAAACAGTAAAAATAAATAAATGATATAATTAGAAAATGAGAAAAAAACATGAAGAGACATTCCATGGGAGAAGCTATACAGATGTCAGATAAGCACAAGAAAAGGTGTGCAACATCTCTAGCCGTTAAGAAATGAAAGTTAAGATTACAATCAGATATAAAATAAAAAACTGTGACAATATCAACTGCTGGTAAGGATGCAGAGAAAATGGATCTCTCATACATTTTGGGGTAGGAATGTAAAATATTACAGTTACTCCAGAAACAGTTTGGCAGCTTCTTTAAAAACCAGACTTGCAACTACCATAGACTCCAGCAATTGTCTTCCTATTTATCCCAGAAAAATGAAAATATATGTTCCCTCAAAAACTTGAACACAAATGTTTATAGAAGCTTTATTTGTAATAATGAAAAACTAGAAACAACCCAGCTATCCTTCCATGAATGAATGGTTATTGTGGTACATCCATACAATAGAATGACACTGAACAACACAAAACAGTGAACTATTAATACACAACTTGTATAAGTCTCCAGAAAATTATGATGATTTTTAAAAATCCCAAAATGTTATATATTGTTTGACTCTATTTATATAACCTTCTTGAAATGATAAAATAATACAAATGGAGAGCAGATTTGTGGATGCTAAGGGTTAAGGAGATGATGGGGTGAAAGAAAAGTAGTTGTAGCTATAGAAGGACAACATGAAGAGTCTTTGTGGGAATGTTCTGTATCTTCACTGTATTAATGTGAATATCCTGGTTGTGATATTGTAATGCAGATTTTCAAGATGCTACTATTTGGGGAAATTAAATGAAGGGTATATGAGATTACTCTGTATTATTTCTTACAATTGCATATGAATCTACAAATATAAATTTTACCTCAAAATACAATTTTAATTTTAAAAATTGTAGTGATAACTAAATATCCGTAACATATTTCACTGCATATTCCTCCTTCCTTTTCTTTTATCCTGAAATAAAAGTAAATTCATTCCTCATAGTCCACATTTTTAAAGTCTAGAAATCCTCCTCCCATAATGTATCAGTTAGCTTCTTTGGCCTCTGACAAACCAACACAAACTATAATGACATAAAACAAAAAACAATGTTATATTACTTTTGTGAAAGGAAAATAAATCTTGGGGCCCCAAAATCACTAAGCTAAAGGGAAAATTCAAACTGGAAACTGCTTAGAGCCAACTGCCTCCCACTCGATTCAAAGTCACTCCTCTGCTCACTGAGATAAATATCTCATTGCCTCCTTTGGAAAGGCTAATCAGAAACTCAAAAGAATGCAACCATTTTTGTTTCACCTATCTGTGACCTGGAAGCTCCCTCCCTGCTTGAAGTCTTCCTGCCTTTGCTTCAATTTATCCTACCTTTCCAGACTGAACAAATGTACTTCTTACATATATTGATTGATGTCTCATGTCTCCCTAAAATGTATAAAACCAAGCTGTGTCCTGACTGTAAGAGTTAAAGAAAGAGGAACAAACATGAAAAGCAGCTCAACAGTCAAAGACAGGTTTATTTTGGAGAATAAACCTGAGAGGGGCTTCTGGACAATCTCTCTGGCTGGAGGGGAGATTATCTCAGGGCTGACATGTCTCTGGTTGGGAAAGGGTTTGGAATCTTTCTGGTCAGAGATGTCATTTGTGGTTTATGGTCATGTGGACCTTAGCCATTACACTGATGCCCTTTGGATTTAGGCGGTTTTTGATCAAGGGGAACTTTAGAATGGTGGTGCTTGTTCAAGATGACAATGCGGCTGCTCTGTCAGTCCAGACCCTATAGTTATAAAAAGGCAAGGGGCAGTGTGTTCTTTCTGGCTACTTCCTGCTGATGAGGGGACAGAATTTTCTGGTCTTGAATTCATTGCAGGAGTAACACCATCTGTAGGTGTTTTTGGGTAGTTGTCTGTGAAATGGCCATGATCATCTCAGTTAAAAATCTTTGAAAAAGGTTAATTAGGCAGGGTAAGAACATTAGTCCTAGGCATATTATTAGGAGAGGGCCCAGGAATGGGATGACCCATGTTATGATTTTGTTCCCAAACTAAGAATCTATTTGGTCGTTTTGGTATTCCTTAGCTTTTTAGCCCTTTCTTTAAGTTTTTCAGTAGCAGCTCTTACTAGGCCTGATTGGTTGATATAGAAACAACATTCCTTACCTGATGAGAGCCAGAGGTGCATGTTTGGAAAGGCCCATATGTTATTTTCTGTTAGTAACCATTGTTCCTGCTATGTGGATAATAATTAAGCAAAATGATACAGTAATTGAGATTTTCTATTAGATATTCTACCCTGAGGGTGCTACAGCAGAGTAAGGCAATTCCCACAAGGGTGGCATAGTAAATAATGTCCATTAAAAAGTTTTAATATTTTGCTTAGAAGGAGAGGTAGGAATGACAAAAAGTATTTGGTGAGGTAGGGGTGAGACTGAGTAAAATGAGTAGTTCTCGCTCACTTATTTTTTATGATTTTCTGCTAAAGATGTCCTATTTCTTTATTTCCACTTGTGAGGATCAGAGGGCTTAGAGGCAGTGCCTACTGAAACATCTAGCTTTGAGTTTATAGGGCTTTAAGAAAGCACAGTTTAGGCCAGGCACGGTGGCTCACACCTGTAATCCCAGCACTTTGGGAAGCCGAGATGGGCAGATCACAAGGTCAGGAGATCGAGACCATCCTGACTAACAGGGCAAAACCCCATCTCTACTGAAAATACAAAAAATTAGCCAGGCGTGATGGCATGTGCCTGTAGTCCCAGCTACTTGGGAGGCTGAGGCAGGAGAATCTCTTGAGCCCGGGAGGTGGAGGTTGCAGTGAGCCGAAGTCTCACCACTGCACTCCAGCCTGGGCAACAGAGCAAGACTCTGTCTCAAAAAAAAAGGCACACCTTATTTTGGAAACTTGTAGCGAGAAAAATCAGAATTTAAACTGTATAAAATAATAAAAATTGAAAAATATTAGGCAAATTAGAATTTAACAAGAAGTGTGCTATAGTTTTTGAAACATAATTTTCTCTCTCCAGTTTCCCATTTTTATTAAAAGACAAGTCATGGTAAGACTGATTTACTTTATTATACTTGGCTTAATTATTTGCATACAGCACAGCAAGAATAATTATTTGTTACATAGGCCTTTTAAATTGGCTTTGATGGAACTTTGTTCCATAGAAGGAATCTGAGATAAGAACTTTTTAAAGCCAAGCCCAGCCATGGATTTGTACTATCAAATACCTATGAGTTGGGTGAATTTCTCTCCTCTTGAGGATCCAAGATAACTTGGGGTTCCCAGCCTGTGAGAAAGTGACATTCTTTACTTACCACAGGTCAGAAACCCTGTACAGGGATTGTGTACACAAACCATGAGGCCAGTTTTCCAAGGGTTTTATTGGCTCCATAAGTCAAGTTTGATTCCTTAAAGGAAAGTACACCATTCCAGTCAAAGCCTTGGTAAAATAACCAGTTTTTCCAATTGTGTTCTGTTACAAAAAAAAAAAAAAAATCTTATTGCACTTATGCAAATAACTATATTTCCATAACTTAAGAATACTCACAGATAGTTTCCAAATTCTGGAGAAAATCAGGTAGAGAGAAACAAGTATGCTCCAAATTTTGTTTATGGGAGTATACTAAATTGCTAAAAGCTGTCAATACCAGCAATCCCATTACTGGGTATATACCGAAAGGATTATAAATCATGCTGCTATAAAGACACATGCACACGTATGTTTATTGCGGCACTATTCACAATAACAAAGACTTGGAACCAACCCAAATGTCCAACAATGATAGACTGGATTAAGGAAATGTGGCACATATACACCATGGAATACTACACAGCCATAAAAAATTATGAGTTTATGTCCTTTGTAGGGACATGGATGATGCTGGAAACCATCATTCTCAGCAAACTATCACAAGGACAAAAAACCAAACACTACATGTTCTCACTCATAGGTGGGAATTGAACAATGAGAACACATGGACACAGGAAGTGGAACATCACACACCGGGACCTGTTGTGGGGTGGGGGGAGGGGAGAGGAGATATACATTTGGAGATATACCTAATGTTAAATGACAAGTTACTGGGTGCAGCACACCAACATGGCACATGTATACATATGTAACTAACCTGCACATTGTGCACATGTACCCTAAAACTTAAAGTATAATAATAAAAAAGTGAACAAATATATAGTAACAATCTGAACTAACAGAAAAAATAATACTTATTAAAAATTCTTCCAAAAAAAAGCTGTCAATAGCTCAAAAGAAAAGTTTCTTTGACTTTGAAAAGCAAAACAAAGGATTAGCACTATTTTAAGCAAAACATCAAAAAGATCACTCCAGTCTCTTATTAGTTCAGTTCATGCAGTTAATTCCTGTCCTGCTTGATATTAATGAACATTTTAGCTCTTCAAGAGTCCTGAACATTTTTCCTCTATTTTGATGTCACAATCTCCAAAGTTATCAGAAACCTGCATTTAAAAACACCTGTTAGAGCTTTATAGCTGATTATAAAACCACCTTCTAAAGAGGACCAAAACAAGACAACAATTGTTTATTGATGGCCAAAAGTTTTAGAGTAGCCGTAGTTAAAGATGCAGTTGACAGGCAATCTGCTACCTCTGTGGCACACAATAATTTTAACATAACAATTATAATCACTACTAATAATGTACACTAAGATATATCAAATTATAGGAGTCTCCCATAACTTTGGAACACACACCTTATATGTGTCCATATAAGTCCATATAACTTTGGAACAACATATTTATACAAATATAGCCCAAAGAAAGCCAAACCCTATTTTCTATTTGACAATGCTTTCTGTATGATTTTATACCAAATAAGCCAAATTTTACCTTTATATTAGTGTGCTATTAATGTTAAATGCAATTTTTAGTAAAACTTTGTAGACACATTTACCCAATTTTAACACTTGACCATAGGTAAGATTTTTATACACCCTTTTTAACTATCTACAGTTTCTGTTAAAAGCAGGTAGTGCTGTAAGAAAAACCTGTTGTGCTTTTATTTTAGTGTTTGATTTACAGAAAAACTGGATGATACCCTTTCAACTTTAGCCAATATATTTACACACAGAATTTCCTTTACAATTAATCTTTTGAAACTTGCTTAAACCTTCATTTTTATTTTATTCAATTTAAAACAATTCTTTTACCTTTTAATCCAGTTAAAAATCCCACATTCTTATGCCTCCTTATAATCTTTTTACCAAAAGTATATTTAGATTATTTTTAATAGTCTTAAATACATGTTACACTGTTAACTTTTAGCAACCTTTACTTTTGTTGGTAAGTTTGGGATTTTAATTCCATACTAGGGGTAGAGCCTAGGACCTAGACAGATGTGCAAATAAGGTCTGATTTATTCCAGCATTTAACTCCATGTGTCCTAGGTCTTACCTAGCTGCAAAGCCAGCAAGTTGTACAGCTAAGAGTTATACTGGCATTTTATAAAGCATTCAAGAGGCCTAATTACTTTTAAATTGTACAACATTTCTTGCATAAATTCCCTTTTATAAAATTTTTCACAACTTTCACAGATAATCTCTGACATGCCTCAACTTTCTGACTTGTTGTAAACATCCCTCCTTTTAAACAACCAGTTAATTTACTTTAGGACAAGAATTTATCACATAAGATTTTTTATATAAATTCTATTTTCTTTAGTATCAAAGATGATAACAGTCCTTTCCCAAAACAAACTTCCTTCATGTCTGTGAACTAGACTGCCTAAGGCCACAAGATTAGAAGTTAAGGTATTTCACTAAATAGTTCAAGATGTAGCTATCTTCTTAAAAAAATTTATGTTTCATTCATTTAAAAATTACACAAGCAAAGATTATTCTGTTTGGGTTGAGTTATAGTTCTGTAGCCTCTATGCCAAATTTTGAGTTTGTGGGCAAACTCGTATCTGCACCTTCCACCAGAAGGTATGCTGAGGGCAATCCCTCCCTGGCACCATGCTCCTTGAGGTTATCTGCTGGAACATCTGGAGCCTGCTGTTCTAAGAAAGCAGTCATACAGGCCTGCACTAAATCAAGCAGCTGACCAACAACCACTCCCTTCTTCCTATCTCCTTTATTCAATAAATGCAAAGGGCTCTAGAAGCTCAGGGCCCTTGTTCACTAGAAGCAAGGAGCCCCCGACCCCTTCTTCCAAACATACTGTTTTGTCTTTGTCTTTGTTCCCACATTCGTCCTCCTTTGTTCAGTCCACCAGGGTGTGCGGCAAAGTGGCATCACGAACAGGGACTTCAAGGATGTGAACAAAGAAGGTCTGCTGGAGCACAGGAAGTAAAATTGACCAGACCAGTGGGGACCCCGGGATGAATTTGCTGGCAGGGAATATAAAGTCAGTACTCTAAAGAAGTACTGGGAATGAGAACTTTCTGAATCAGGGTAACATGGAGCAGAATTTGTCTGTTGAAGAAAAGCATTATGTGCAGTTGCTTAAAGTTCTGTTGAAACAGTCTGGAGCTCAAGTTAATTCACAGACATTAACTAAGCTTCCACAGGAGGTTTTTACGCATAACCCATGGTTTCTGCAGGCAGACAGTCTCTATGTAGGAAATTGGGACAGAGTAGGAGAGGGATTGAAACAGGCTCATCAAAAAGGTTTCAAAGTAGACCCTTCTGTTTTATCTGCTTGGGGTTTAGTTCACATGGTCCTACTGCCATTGTCTCCTTCTTATTCTGTCAGACAGCAGGAGTCAGGTTCTGAGTCTCAAGAATTAAAAAAATCATTTGTTCCTCTGACAGTGCCTATTGAAAATAATGAGCAGGAGGAAGGGGAGGAGAATTGGCTGCTTGCTAAGCAGGAAAAATGATAGGAGAATTGGCCTCTGCCACTCCCTCCAATAACAGAAGTAGAAACTCTCATACAAAAAATTTTGCACACTGCTGCTATGGCTGGGGAACCTTTAGACCCTTGCACTTTTCCTATTACTATAAGACCTGATCCGAATGATCCACAACATCTTTTACATGAACACACTCCTGTAGAATTTAAATTACTAAAAAAATTAAACGCTAGTGTGGTTAATAATGGAGTGCAAAGCCCATTTACTATAGGGCTGTTAGAATTGGTGTTTGGAGCCATGCACCTCCCACCCTTTGATATAAGACATTTGGCTCACACTTGCTTGTCCGCCAGTGCATATCTGACAAGGAGTTTAAATTGGCAAGAAATGAGTGCAGACCAGGCAAGGCAGAATTGTGACGCTGGTCAAGGAAACATTACAGAGGAAATGCTGATAGGCAGTGGCCCCTTTTCAGATCTGGTACAACAATTAACACTCCCAGAGGCTGCTTATCACCAGTCTGCCTTAGCCACCAAGCATGCTTAGAGCACAATTCCTGAAGAAGGAGTTCCAGTGCTGTCTTTTCTACATGTCAGGCAGGGATCATGGGGACCTTATGCACAATTTATTGCACAGCTGCAAGACACAGTATGGCATCAGCTCCCTCATGCCTCTGCTAAAGAAATACTTACCATAACTCTAGCCTATAAAAATGCAAATGCAGATTGCAAGCATGCAATGGCTCCTGTGAGAGCCACAAAGAGCTTGGGGAATTACCTTAAATCCTATCAGGATATAGGAACTGAATTTCATTGTTCTACGATATTAGCTCAAGGAATGGCTAGTTTAGTACTTGACAAATCTTAAAGGAGCCAAGGGTCAAACCCTAAAGTGGGAAAATGTTATAAATGTGGAAAAACTGGACACTTTAAAAAGGAATCAATTATTCAGAGAAGTAAAGCGAGCTTTTGTTAAATGGAATCTCAAAATTACTCCAGAGAAAGTGCAAATAACTTCCCGACACCATTACTTAGGAACTATTGTTACAGAGAAGAGTGCAGATCTCAGAACAGAAAGGACCTTACAATGTGAAGCCCCCCTCCGACCCTGCCCCCAGTGGAAAAAATGTCAGGACTCTGTCCTTGCTGTAACAAAGGAAATCATTGGGCTAATCAATGCCACTCAAAACTTCATCAGAATGGCACCCCTGTGTCGGGAAACGAGAAGGAGGCCTGGACCCAGGCCCTTCAAATGAGGCATTCCCAGTTCAGACCAGAACCCCACTTCAGGGGTGGGTCCCAGGAGGAACATTGATTCCCTCTCCCCAGGAACACCAGGATGCACAGGATTAGATCTCCCCACCAGAGAAAGAAGTACACTAGTTGGAGGAGACAAATCTACCAAAATTCCCACTGGCATTTGGGGACCTTTACCAGCAGGATACATGAGACTAATTTTAGGCAAAAGCCAACCTTAACTTGCAAGACATCATGGTAGTCCCCAGAGTAACTGACTCCGATTATGAAGGAGAAATTCAAGTAGTTTTAATGTCACAAGACCTTTAGATTTTTGAACCAGGGGAATATATAGTGTAATTATTGCTTATCCCCTGCAAATTACACCCTTCTCCATGAAAGGAGAAAAGAGGATACAAATGGTTTGGGAGCACAACTACATGAGAAATCTATCTATCACAACCCATAGCCTCTACCAGACCCACCTGTGTAGTACAAATTAAAGGAAGGAAATTCTATGGGCTTGTGGACACAGGAGCTGATGTGTCAGTAATATCCGGTAAGGATTTGTCCCCATCCGGGCCCCTCAGACTAACTCCACATCCCTAGTGAGAGTAGGAGCAGCTCAAAGTGTTCAACAGAGTGCTGAGATTTTACCTTGTCTTGGTCCAGATGGACAATCATGTACTTTCCAGCCTTATGTTGCAAATATAGCTTTCAATTTATGGACTCCAGAATTACTTACAGCATGGGATATGAGACTTACAAATGAAAACTTTGATAACACAGGATTTAAAATGTTGAAGGACATGGGATATCAGAGTGGGAAAGGTTTAGGAAAATTCCAACAAGGAAACCCTAACCCGATATCAATAACTGGAAAGACAGAAAGGACTGGGACATCAGGATTTATGATTGGGTTCATTGATACATCTCCTCCACCCATTGCCTTACCTTTAGAATGGCTCAGTGACAAACCTGTGTGGGTGGATCAGTGGCCCCTAACACAGCAGAAGCTAGGTCAACTTCATCTGTTGGTGAAAAAACAATTGGATGCAGGACATATAGAGAAGTCAGTTAGTCCCTGGAATTAACCAATCTTTGTTATCCCAAAAAAGTCCAGATGATGGTGACTGCTGCGTGATTTGAGAGCTATTAATGCACACATTAAGTTGATGGGTGCATTACAGCAGGGCTTGGCATCCCCAGCAGCAATTCCTAGAGACTGGCCTCTTGTAGCAATGGATCTTAAAGATTGTTTCTTTTCTATACCATTACATGAGGAGGATAAGCCTCGATTCGCCTTCTCTGTGCCTTCTATTAATCAAACAGAACCTGTTTCTCGCTATCAGTGGAGAGTTTTACCTCAAGGCAAGCTTAACAGTCCTGCATTATGTCAGCATTTTGTGGGAAGAGCATTAAAAGAGTCTCAAAATATGTTTCCCTCTGCATATACTGTTCATTACATGGATGATATTCTTTTGGCCACTCCTACAGATCAAATATTGTATCAATTATTCATAGAAGTAAAGCAAGCTTTTGTTAAATGGAATCTCAAAATTGCTCCAGAGAAAGTGTGAACAACTTCCCCATACCATTACTTAGGAACTATTGTTACAGAGAAAAGTGTATGGCCTCAGACAGTAGTTCTCTGTAAAGACAGGTTACAGACTTTAAATGATTTCCAACAGTTATTAGGGGACATTAATTGGCTATGCCCAATGCTAGCTATTGCTACTTATAAACTTGCACATCTTTATCAAACCCTGCAAGGAGATTCTTCTTTAAATTCCCTGTGGCAGCTTATGAAAGAGGCAGAAGCTGAGTTACAACTTGTAGAACAGATGCTTCAGCAGAGACAGGAATCCGGCTACAGCCACAAAAACTTTTGCTTTTGTTTATTCTTCCTACACCCCATTCTCCAACAGGACTCCTGGGCCAATGTTTAGACAAATCTGTAACAGTGATAGAAAGGCTCTTTTTACCTAATCAAACAGTAAAAACTTTGCAAGTCTATCTTTCCTTAATTACACAAATTGTGACTTTGGGCAGGCATATTTCAAAAATGCTTACAGGATATAACCTTGATAAAATTATTGTTCCGTTAGACTCCCAGCAACAGGCTGCAGCATGGGAAATGTTGACTGCATGGCAAATTGCTTTCACTGATTTTGTAGGTGCAATAGATAATCATTATCCCTCAGACAAAATTTTGCAGTTTTATAAAGTCCATTCTTTCATTCTTCATGTGATTACTCATCACAAGCCTATTCCAGGTGGCCAGACCTATTTTACTGACAGCTTTTCCAAAGGTTGCACAGCTATTTATGGACCTAAACATACTCAGAAAATAAGGACCTCTGGGGTTTCAGCTCAACTCTTAGAGTTAATTGCAGTCATTCTAGTTTTAGAGCTCACAGCTTCAACTCCTATTAATATTGTCTGTGATTCAGCTTATGTTGTAAATGTTGCCAGTCCATAGAAACTGCTACAATTAAAAGTACACTAGAGCCAGAACTGCTTAACTTGTTTCTAAGACTTCAAGCTCTTTGATCTTGTATAGCTCCTTTTTATATTTCTCATATCCATTTTCACACTCAATTCCCTGAACCATTATCTTTAGGCAGACAAACTTATCGGTTCTGTATTTCAACAAGCTCAAGCTTCTAATGCATTACTGCATCAAAACACCTCTGCCCTTACTCGTATGTTTCATCTGCCTTGCAGCCAGTCTTGAGCTATTGTACAAGCCTATCCCTCTTGTCAGCGTGTCCCTGGTGTTGCACCTGTAGAAGGCTGTAACCCACGAGGTTTGCTCCAAATGAAATCTGGCAAAATGGATGTTACACATATAGCAGACTTTGGCAAGCTTAGCTATGTTCATGTGACCATAGACACTTATTCTCATATGCTGCATGCTACATGCCAAACAGGTGAGACAGCTGGTCATGTACAGTGACATTGTCTGTTGTTATTGGCTCATATGGGGGTCCCTAAACAATTAAAGACTGACAATGGTCCTGCTTATACTAGTCATGCTTTCAAAATTTCCTACAGCTTTGGGCTATTACTCACAAAACAGGAGTTCCTTACAACCCTAGAGGACAAGGAATTATACAGCAGGCACATCAAACATTACAATGAACGTTGAAAAAACAGAAAGGGGGAATAGGCCACCTCAAACAAAACTACATTTAGCCCAATTTACTTTAAATTGTTTGACTTCTGGTATGGATGGTAAGACTCCAGCAGAAAGACATTGGCAAGTGTTAGAGGAAAAAAGGAAAGTTTGTCTGAAAGTGTTGTGGAAATCCCTGGAAGAAGGAAAATGGAAAGGTCCAGTGGATTTATTAATGTGGGGATGAGGATATGCTTGTGTTTTTACAGGAGATGGACAAACCATGTGGGTGCCCTCAAGGTGCATGCGACCATGGAACAGGAGACTGGAGGGACCCATGGTGACCAACCATGGGCCTGGTCCCTCCAGTACAGGCCATGAGCCAGCTGAGCCTGAGTGCAAAGACTGAGAGAAGGCCAGCTGGAGTCATGACGACATCAAGCCCCATAACCTGGGGGCAACTCAAGAAAACCATGCAGGAAGGTGAGACACTCCTGGATTGTCACGATGAGGCAAAAACCCCTGATTCCATGTTCTTGGCCATATTAGCCATAATGCCCTGTGTGGTATATTTTCCCTGTTCAGAGGCAAAAACATTGGGCATATGTCCCTAATCCCCTAGTAGTATGACCTGTATTTTGGAGTGACACTCCTCCTGAGTTCTATCATGATCAGGGAGCATGGGATCCAGGACCCCTAACTCCCCCTGACATAGAACAGTTAGACTCTCAGAACAATGTCATCAATTATACCACCCCACTGGAAGGACTCCCCTTGTGTATCACTACAAAGATGTCACTCAACCATAGTTGTCTTACAATTCAAGCTCAAGCATGGTTGAGTCGGCATGGAAAAGTCAGGTACTTATTAGGTCTTAGTTCTATTAATGTAACTAGTGTGCTAACCTGGCCCACTGGCTAGAAAACAATCTATGTTAACTGGAGACATTGTGGATTAGAGACCTAAAGTTCAACTAGATGGAAAAGAGGAAAATCTGACATCATGGCACAAACTTTGTTGGCATTGGTGGCAGGCTTTTAATGCTTCTTCTTTATGCCACACGGGGATCCAATCCCAATCTGCCACCCAGATTGCTTGGCATGGAGCTGGCTTTAGCCTGCCTCTTCCTCAGTAACAATATCTAGGGAGGAAAGGTCCAATTCAAGAAACAATATGGAACGCTGCACTCCTGTTCACAAATGGTAGTATCTGGGTAGGGGTACTCTCTAATACTAATACTGCTACTCGACATAGTTTTGATGTTACATTTGTAAAGAGTATCACCTCTCAATTTACGGTTTGTGTTTTTAATCCTTATGTCTTTTTGGCAGCCAGGAAGGACCAGCTCAGGTAAATGATATCCAATTCACCCATAAACCTTGTCAGTTATATCATTGCATTAATCATAGCATATTGCAAACACATAATATCTCTACTTTGATAATTTTGGGTCACATCCCTGGGCTATGGATTCCCATTAATCTCTCTGAGCCTTGGGCCACCACCCCTGCTTTGCACTTTGTGAAACTTCTTTTAACTCAACTTACTCATGGTGCCCATAGAGCCTTAGGCACGATAATTTTTGCTATTGTTTCCTTGGTCACACTAATAACTTCTGTTGTAATGTCCTCTGTAGCTTTGCATAGTTCTGTTCAAACAACTCAGTATGTGGAGAACTGGATGCATACAGCCAACCAAGCATGGCTACTTCAGAATGAAATTAACACTGAGTTACAAATTGAAGTGGCAATGTTGAAATCCACAGTTCTATCATTAGGGGAACAAGTAGAAAGCTTACAATTGCAACAGCAATTGTGCTGTCATTTAAATCACACTCATATTTGTGTAACCAACTTAGAATACAACCAAAGTGAGTATCCATGAGACCTTGTGAAAGCTCTTTTGCAGGGAGCTTTCACATCCAACATCACCTTTGATATTGGTGAATTACAAAACAAAATTCTTGATTTAAATAAGCAAACTCAAGAGTTTCAGCCTTCTTTAGAAGCCTGGACCAAATTTCAGCAAGGTCTGGAGAGCCTCAATCCTCGGGCCTATCTAAAGCACCACATTAACATCTCATATATAGTTCTGGGAATAATGCTGTTATGTCTCTTGTTTTCTGTTCACAGTCTGTAAAATTAGATGGTCCACAAGTTGGAAAATGAGAGCTGTCCAGCCTGGTGTTACATTCATTCAATTAATGCAAAAACAGAAAGGGAGAGATGTTGGGAGCCAAGAGCCTGAGGGTCATGACCAACTCAGCATTCCACTGGAGGCTATATGATCAAACAGCAAACTGTTTATCATGAATGCAGGATGTGGGCAAACTCACATCTGCACCTGCTGCCAGAAGGTATGCTGAGGGCAATCACTCCCTGGTGCTGTGCTCCTGGGTGCCATGCCCCTTAAAGTTATCTACTGGAACATCTAGAGCCTACTGTTCTAAGAAGGCAGTCATGCAGGCCTGCACTAAATCAAGCAGCTGACCAACAACTGCCCCCTGCTCCATATCTCTTTTACTCAATAAATATGAAGGGCTCTAGAAGCCCAGGGCACTTATTCACTAGAAGCAAGGAGCCCCCTGACCCCTTCATCCAAACATACTCTTTTGTCTTTGTCTTTATTCCTGCATTCATCCTCCTTTGTTCAGTCCACCAGGGTCTGCAGCACCTGAGGGCTTTGAGGGCTCACTGCAGGGTAGCCCCAGCCTGAGCCTTGAAGTCCCCTTCAGATTAATTGTCCTCCCCACACAAATTGCTCAAAAATTGCTCAAAAAAAGGAGACAAGATGGGGTGGGTGCAGTGGGATGAGCAGCTGCTGTCCACTGCTTCCTGGGTTGCAACACAGCCTCTACCCCCAACACCCATCCCAGGTTTCAGCACCAAATGTAAGAGTTAAAGAAAGAGGAAAGAAACACAAAAAGTGGCTCAACAGTCAAAGACAGGTTTATTTTGGAGAATAAACCTGAGAGGGCCTTCTGACCGATTTCAGTCAGGAACACTCTCTCTTACAGACTAAGAGTATTTATTGGTTTTAGGGTGAGGAGAAGTCTATTGTGGGATTGGAATATCTCTGGTTGGAGAGGAGGTTATCTCAGGGCTGACATCTCTCCAGCCAGAGGGGAGGTTATCTCAGGGCTGGCATGTCTCTGGTCTGGGAGGAGTTTACCTTATGGTTGGAATGTTTCTGGTCAGAGATGTCATTTGTGGTTTATGGTCATGCTGACCTTAGCCATTAGGCTGATGCTTTTTGGATTTAGGCAGTTTTTAATCAAGGTGAACTTTAAAATGGTGGTGCTTGTCCAAGATGGTGATGCTCCTGCTCTGTTATCCATCACAACTGTTTCAGTACTGACTGAGTGGTTAAGTTAAATATAAAAAGCTAAAAAAGCCAGTGCCCTTATACAAAGGCTGGAATGTAGCAAAAGTCCATCAAGAGTTTTGCCTAGGCCTTTCCTGGGCCTTAAAGCATGATAAAGTAACAAAGAAATTCTTAGCAGGACCCCCTTAGGATTAAACAAGTTTTATTAGGGGTCTGAAGAAACTCCACAGGCTTCCACAATCAAGTTTATTGGAGGTCTGAAGTAACTTCCCAAACCCCCGTGATTTAGCAAGAGACAAGATAAGGGTAATCACCCGAGCACCTAGACCCATTTAGATTAAGTAAACTTAATGAGGCTGTAGAAGAAGGTCTTCAGGATGACCTTCAGCCATGAAAAGAACATGCCACAGGTAGCCTCAGATCTAAGCATGAAAAGACACATGGAACACTTACATGTAGACATATAGCTTGGAAGGTATATAGCTCTGAAAAACTTTGTAATTTTGAGTTGGTCTGGTGAAAATTTCTGGGCCTTCTCCCTGTAACTGGTTGCAAAAAATAAAACTCTCTTCCTCCCGAGTTCATCTGCATCTCATTATTGGCAGCAGGAAATAGCAGCCCAACCCTCAGTTTGGTCCAGGAACACTCCTGCCTTAGCGTCCCGAGTAGCTGGGATTAAAGGCATGTGCCCAGCTCACTGCTACACTCCCACTAGTGCCATGACAGTTTACAATGTAGGGATGTAAACTGTCATGGCACTAGTGGGAGTGTAGCAGTGAGGACAACCAGAGGTCACTATCATCGCCATCTTGGTTTTGGTGGGATTTAGCCAGCTTCTTTACTGCAAGTTTTATTAGCAAGCTCATTATGAGCTGTATCTTTGTGCTAGCCTCCTATCTTATCCTGTGTCTTAGAATGCCTAATTATCTGGGAATGCAGCCTATAGGTTTTAGCCTTATTTTACCCAGCTGCTACTCAAGATGGAGTTGCTCTGGTTCAAATGCTTCTAACAAACTCAAGCATTTTTTTATGCTGAATTCAATTCTTAAAGCAGAGCTTAACTCTTTCAACCAACTGCCTGTCAGAGAATCTTTGAATCCACTTATGACCATGAATCTCCACCCTCTTTGCTTCAAGATGTCTCACCTTTCTGGGCCAAACCAACATATACCTTATGTATATTGATTTATGTCTTTGCCTGTAACTTCTCTCTCCCTAAAATGTATAAAACCAAGCTGTAACCCAACTACTTTAGGCACATGTTTTTAGGACTTCCTGAGGCTGTGCATGGGTCAAGGTCTTTAATCTTGGCCAAATAAACCTCTAAATTGATTGAGTCCTATCTCAGATACTTTTTGGTTTACAAGGGTTATTGTGGCAGATTAGACTATTGCTCCCAATTCTTTGCTCCTTCCCTGTAACAATTACACAGCCATGATACAAGTACAGGTTTAAATAGGTTTGCTTGGTTTGGTTTGTCTCTCCCACTACATCCATCAGCCATGAAAAGAACATGCCACAGGTAGCCACAGATCCCAGCATGAAAAGACACATGGAACATACGTGAAGCCAACCTTCAATGAGAGCCTCACCAATCCAATCCCAGTGGAACCTAGTGGAGCCCAGCCAATCCACCAACTTGTGAATGAGAAAAAGATATGTTTGTCTTTGCAAACTGCTGAGTACAGCTTGAGGATAAGCTTTACTCACCTCCAAGTACAGGGGGTAAGCACACAGCATTATCACAAAAAAAAATTACTGAAAACCATGATAATTGTGGGGCTTTAACTCCACTAAATGCAAAAGAGGATACAAGCATTTGGATTTAACTTAGCAATTTTTTCCTCTGTTTGTGGGTAAAGGTTTAACAAAACCCTGCCTTTCTGCAAGAGGTACTGACCTTCTATTTACTTTCTAGCTTGATTCCTCTGGAAATCTGATAACTATGGAAAGCCTTGTGTTACTAGGTAGCAATGCTTAGGTAAAAGAGACCCCTGAGTGGCTGATTGCTTGTGGATGTGACACCAGATAAGTCATAATTTGAGACTTCTCTTCCACTAGAAGCCACCTACATTAGTTTCCTAGAACTGTCATTAAAAATTATAACACTGGTGACTTAAAACAATAGAAATTTATTCTGCCATAGTTCTGGATATTAGAAGTGTAAAATCCAGGCGTGAGCAGGGCCATGCTCTCTCTGAAGGCTCTAGGGAACTGTCCTCTCTTGCCTCTTCTGGCTAGTGGTGGTTTCTGGCAATCCTTGTTGTTTCATGGCTTATGAAGGCATCGCTCCAATCTCTTCCTCTGTCTTCACATGGATTTCTGCTTTGTGTGTCTCTATGTCTGGCCAGTTTGTGGTGCATATGTTTGAATTGCATCAGTGGGAAATTGAGTTGAGTGGGAACTTAAGTCACTTAGATAAACCAAAATCTATTTACATATCGGTAAAAATCAACTCAAATGGTATGCTTTTCTCATGAGAGGCCGCATGTTCAAATGTAAGAAAAAGATGCAATTACAAATTGGCCTGATTTTATTTCACTTCTTGGGTTGTGTTAGGATATAATGTATCCTCATGGGAAAAAGAAATTACAGACTTAATTTGCATAGTAGACTGATTTACACACACACACACACACACACACACACACGAAGGGAGAGAGATGTCATCAGTTCTGAGAGTATTATTTGTTCATCTACATTTGAGAGGTCCAAGAGTCTCC
Organism: Homo sapiens; assembly: GCF_000001405.40. NCBI lineage: Eukaryota > Metazoa > Chordata > Mammalia > Primates > Hominidae > Homo > Homo sapiens. Next base: position 45,290,281 of record NC_000010.11, read on the forward strand.
ACCATGTAAAAGCCCCAAGAGATCATCAGTAAGAGACTGGGCTCTATTGACATCAAGAGAAATTAATATGATTAATTAATGAGGCCCCTTTTGTTGCTGAGAAATTGTAGGTATAAGCATTTTTAATTGTTTTTAGGGATATGAGGTTTTTCAATTGAGTAAGTGAAGAAAATAGGTAGAATATATCCCTCCCAATACCCATTGGATAAAACTGTTGGTGATGGTCGTTTTTCCACCATTTTAGTCCAGATTGACCGCTCTTGATTTCTTTCAACTGGGTGTATGAGCCACACTCACTCTTGCCAGACACTCTTGCCAGGAGCCTATAATACTCTCTCCCTCCCCACTTCAACACTAAGTTATCCTGTCTGTCTTCCACTTATCCTTAGGAGCACAGCCTAAATGACACTTGTCACAGGAGGCCTACTTTAACCCCCACAAGCAGGGGCATTTCCCTTGTTATGGGGATTTTATTGTTGTTGTTTACTAAATTGTCTTCAAAACTAAGAGCTCAGGCAATGTTTACCAATCTTGCTCACTGCTGTATCCTCAGAAAGTATTACAGGGCTTGATGAGGGCAGAATAAGGATTTATTATAAGAGGAAGGAAATAATGAAAGTCTACAATGACATAGTTAGAACTGAGATTATTATGTGATTGATCTTCACCAAACAACCCAACCAGCAGGAAAAGAATATTTTCAGGAGTAAATCTAGGCTTTATGACATATATTGATCCAATTAGTAGCCTCTTGCTCTCACTTGGTTTATGCATACTGTATTGTAATCTTGAGTTCTCTAAAAGGTAAAGTTAACCTTGAGCAATATGAAAACTATAGTTCTCATCCTTTGACCACATGACTGACCAAGGCAACTGTCATGGTGACTGGACCCCAAGGTCCAGCCAAGGGCGCTGCTCTGCACACCCACCATAGCAACTCCATGATATACAGGAAGGGTTGGAAATGAGTGAATGTCATAGGGAGGATGTCTGGATGGGAGTATGAAGGAGAATGTAAAGCAATGGTTAGGCTTCCAGACACCAAAATAATCACATTTATGTCTAAAGGAGAGATAAAATCTGCACCCCCTGCATCCCCAGTGGTAGTGTTACAGGAAAGGGGTTCCAATCCAGACCCCAAGAAAGGGTTCTTGGATCTTGCACAAGAAAGAATTCAGGGCAAGTCCACAGAGTAAAGTGAAAGCAAGTTTATTAGGAAAGTAAAGGAATAAGAGAAAGGCTACTCCATAGACAGAGCAGCCCTGAGGGCTGCTGGTTGTCCATTTTTATGGTTATTTCTTGTTTATATGCTAAACAATGGGTAGATTATTCATGCCTCCCATTTTTAGACCATATAGGGTAACTTCCTGATGTTTCCATCACATTTGTAAACTGTCATGGTGCTGCTGGGAGTATAGCAGTGAGGAAGACCAGAGGCCATTCTCATCACCATTTTGGTTTCCATGGGTTTCAGCTGGCTCCTTTACTACTACCTGTTTTATCAGCAAGGTCTTTATGACCTATATTTTATGCTGACCTCCTTTCTCAACCTGTGACTTAGAATGCCTTAACCATCTGGGAATGCAGCCCAGTAGGTTTCAGCCTCATTTTTCCCAGCTCCTATTTAAGATGGAGTTGCTCTGGTTCACATGCCTCTGACAGTAGGTGCCTCAGGAAAGCAAGGACATTCATCTTGGGATGAGAGAATAGGGTTACAAACACCATTCTGAAACCAAGAATCAGGTCAGGAGAGAAAGCAATCTAGAGCATTCAAAGAGATTCCTCTCTAGCCCAGCCCCATGATGAGAAGCATGTTGACTTCTTTGAAGAGGTTCCAGGAAATCTGGAAGAGGAAGTCTAAAAGAACTTTTAACTTTTATAGGAGATACCATCCAAGGGCATGAGAAGTGTTAACAAACTCAGGATGAGCTCTCCTCACTCCTGGGACTGAATGAGCTCAGCCCTTTATGGGCACAGATTCAGCCCATTGTTGTGTTCAAAGCAGAAATAGCTGGAGCAGGACCTGGATCTGTCAGAGCCTGAAGAACTCACACCAGAGACCACAGGGAGCAGCACAGGAGCATGGAGCCTACAGGCCCCAGAAGGGAGGCCTGCATCAGTTGGCATCTGGGTGAGAAAACAGAAACCACACTACCAATTTAACAGAGAGGACCTAATATAGGGAACTGGCCAGAGACATTTGGGAGGACTGCAGAGCACAAGAGAAACTGCCGTGCTGCAAAAACAGCAACCACAGAAAGCAGCTTTATATCCTGGGACTGGAGGAGCAAAGAGAGTTTGAGGCCATGGTCAGTGAGAAAGCCAGTGAAGGGACTGCACTGAGCTGGACCAGAGACCCTGAGGAGAGTGGCTTTCCTGGGTGGCCTTGGTCTTCCTGTGGCATAAAGAGATCCCACAGGGCTTCAGCCTGAGGATGCATGCTACTCAGTGCATGCTGCTTCCTCAGCAGCTCGGAGGAGAGCCACCCTCGACAGGGATTGAAACCCCAGAGTAGGCAACACTGGTGACTATGTGCCAGCATCTCTGAGGGGCCAAATGAGGCTGCTCCTGCAAGTGTAAAAGCTGAGAGCAGCTGCTGTCCTTGGACCAAATCACTGCTGCAAAGCTAAGGAATCATCCTCAGGATGATGCTGACAGAAGCTGGAAGCAAATGGGACAGAGCAGGTCCCTGCTCTCTCCCAGCCTTCCAGGATCCCTCTAGGGCCCACTCTGGGCAGAGACTAACAGAAATCCAGCTGCAAAGGAAAAATAAGGTTTGCAGCATCCCAGGCTCAGAGTTGCAGAGATGGGTTTGGAACTGAAAGACAATAGGTTAAGAGTGAGCACAGTTGCTGCCCAAGGAACTCAGGACCCTCAGGTCTGGACCGGCTCAGGCAGCTACCTGAGCACAGAGGGAAGCAGGAGGATGTGGTTTGTTCTCTGACATGCAGACCCACATAACGGTCCTGGTGGGCAGCCAAAGTAGCATCCCAGGGAAGCTGAGTGGAGGTTGGATCATCATTTGGGCTCTGAATTTTTCCACTTATGATATAGCTAACATAGGTGACAATTCCATCTTAGAAATCACACATTTGCAGTGCTATCTAATCACAACTGTTGATTCTAATTCAGAAAAATGAAGCATTCTGATGGGCCTAATACTCCTGATTTTTCTATTATATGCTGAGGACAACTGTTTAAGAGGGAAAAGACAGCATATAGGAGCATACAAATGCAGATCAATTCAGCATAAAACTACCAACAAGTTCCGACTCAGATGTATGGTCTGCCAAAGACATGAGGCTCACTCACCCTAAAACAGGACAAAAGCAAGACCCCATCACAAGTTGGCTCTCGAATGTGACATGGAGCAAGCATAAGGAGATGTTGTCTTCAAGACCCCAGTCCCCTTCCTTATGCCGTGTTTGTATAGAGAGTGCCAGGGGCTCTGTCTATCTGGGCTGCTGAGATGCCAGGATGCAGCTGTGGTGCCTGTCTTATGGGTAGAGCTCTCATTCAAAGAGGGAACTGGGCTCACCTAAGTTGGTGGTGAAGGATGAAATCCTAACCCTGCCTCTGGGCTATGTCCCCTCCCAAATGGGGTGTGCCAAATGCCATTCTTGCTTGCCTTTGATAAAAATAACTCCTCCTCCACCAGCATCATTTTCCAAGAGAAAGAGGGTCCTTAGATTAAATTTAAAAGTTCAGTCAGGAAGACTAAAAATATAAGGGCTTGTGGTTGGAAAATTACTGAAAGAAAGAACGCATTTTCCTTGACTAATATACATTATGAAAGACAAAAAGCAGAGAAATGGGTAAAATGGAAATTCTGTCACTTCTCCATGGCTCTTGAAGCCATGATACTGTGAAGTCATAGCCACTCATTGAAGGTACTGCCTGCAGGATGCCTATGGGGTCATAACATTGTCTTGTTTAATCACAGGACTAATATTAAGTGATAGCATAATGGGGAAGCAAGAGCTGCTTCCCAGTCTCAGCTAAAGGAGGCAAACTGGCTCCAGTTCCTGCAAAAGCATCCAAGAAAAGAACAAAATCCTAGTTGTTAGGTCGGTTGGAGAAAAAGGATGCATTTGTTCCTGAGAAGGCAAACCACCAAGCAAGATAGCATCCTAGCAAGGAGAGATGCTCTGCCTGCACCAAGACAGCTACAGAGTGAAGGACCTGCTGCTTATGTAGGGCTCAAAGGACAAGATAAGCCAAGACCAAGGTAGGGGGCTCAACTGAACTAGGAAGAGCAAGAGATCCAAAGACTGAAATGGACCTGTTTAAGTTTGGAGGACAGGAAAAAAAAAGGTGTTGACCCTGAATGAAGGTGGGTTTTGGGATCAGGGAGATAAATCAGATCTGAGGAAAGGATGATGGTCCAGCTCTGTCAGGTAATTCTCCCAATTTGCCTTTCTTGGGTAGAAGTGGTGTCATTCATCAGCCTGAACATTCCTAAGAAACAAGGTTCACTTTTGTATTGGAGACCACTGAAATGGTTTCTCTTTTACCCACCCGAATTGCTTCACCTCAATGAGTCATTTTTATACAGCCAAGACCACAGCTGCTCACAGCCCTTACCTGTGTGGTCCCACACCACCCAGCCCCACTTACACTTCCCAGCCAGCCACGGCAACCATCACTCCAAGCCAGGCAGAGGTGAGGGGCTGTGACATCCAGGCTTCCTCAGTGATCACACACCAACAGTGAGATCTTAAACTTATATAACACTTGATATCATTTTCTTCACTTCTGTTGATCAATCTTGGCACCATCTCTAGTTTGATTTATTGCCCTCGTTATAGTTAGAAGGAAATGGAGGCTCCAATGGGTTGAGTGTCTGAGTCTGCACTTGAACCCAGATCTTCCCCCTCTCAGTTCAGGGCTCTTTCCACACTCACACTTCTTCTCTAAGCATCTACAACACCATCACCCCACACATGAAATGCAACACTCATTTTTTTTTTTTAAGTTCTGGGATACATATGTGGAACGTGCAGGTGTGTTACATAGGTATACATGTGCCACGGTGGTTTGCTGCACCTATCAACCCATCATCTAGGTTTTAAGCCCCACATGCATTAGGTATTTGTCCTAATGCTCTCCCTCCCCTTGCCCACCACCCTCCGACAGCCCCTAGTGTGTCATGTTCCCCTCCCTGTGTCCACGTGTTCTCATTGTTCAACTCCCCCTTATGAGAAAGAACATGCAGTGTTTGGTTTTCTGTTCCTGTGTTAGTTTGCTGAGAATGATCGTTTCCAGTTTCATTCATGTCCCTTCAAAGGAAATGAACTCATTCTTTTTATGGCTGCATAATACTCCATGGTGTATAAGTGCCACTTTTGCTTTATCCAGTCTATCAATGAAGGGCATTTGGATTGGTTCCAAGTCTTTGCTATTGTAAATAGTGCTGCAGTAAACGTGCGTGTGCATGTGTCTTTATAGTAGAATGATTTATAATCCTTTGGGTATATATGCAGTAATGGGATTGCTGGGTCAAATGGTATTTCTGGTTCTAGATCCTAGAGGAATCACCACACTGCATGCCACAATGAGTGAACTACTTTACACTCCCTCCAACAGTGTGAAAGTGTTCCTATTTCTCCACATCTTTGCCAGCATCTGTTGTTTCCTGATTTTTTAATGATCACCATTCTAACTGGCATGAGATGGTATCTAATTATGGTTTTGATTTGCATTTTTCTAATGACCAGTGATGATGAGCTTTTTTTCATATGTTTGTTGGCCACATAGATGTCTCCTTTTGAGACATGTCTGTTCATATCCTTCACCCACTTTTTGATGGGTTCTTTTTTTCTTGTAAATTTGTTTAAGTTCCTTGTAGATTCTGGATATTAGACCTTTGTCATATGGATAGATTGCAAAAATCTTCCCCCATTCTGTAGGTTGCCTGTTCATTCTGATGATAGTTTATTTTGTTGTGCAGAAGTTCTTTAGTTTAATTAGATCCCATTTGTCAATTTTAGCTTTTGTTGCCATTGCTTTTGGTATTTTAGTCGTGAAGTCTTTGCCCATGCCTATGTCCTGAATGGTATTGCCTAGGTTTTCTTCTATGGTTTTTATGGTTTTAGGTTTTATGTTTAAGTCTTTAATCTATATTTAGTTAATTTTTGTATAAGGTACAAGGAAGGGGTCCAGTTTCTGTTTTCTGCATATGGCTAGCCAGCTTTCCCAGCACTATTTATTAACTAGGGAATCCTTTCCCCATTGCTTGTTTTTCTCAGGTTTGTCAAAGATTCGATGGTTGTAGATGTGTTGTGTAATTTCTTTTTCTTTTTCTTTTCTTTTCTTTTTTTTTTTTTTTTGAGACAGAGTCTCGCTCTGTCACCCAGGCTGGAATGCAGTGGTGTGATCTTGGCTCACTGCAACCTCTACCTCATAGGCACAAGCAATTCTCCTGCCTCAGCCTCCCGAGTAGCTGGGACTACAGGTGCCCACCACCATGCCTCGCTAACTTTTTGTATTTTTGTTAGAGAATTGGTTTCACAATATTGGCAAGGCTGGTCTCAAACTCCTGACTTTGTGATCTGCCTGCCTCAGTCTCCCAAAGCACTGGGATTACAGGCATGAGCCACCACACCTGGCCACATGTGGTTTTATTTCTGAGGCCTCTGTTCTATTCCATTGGTCTATATATCTGTTTTGTTACCAATACCATGCTGTTTTGTTTACTGTAGCCTTGTAGTATAGTTTGAAGTCAGGCAACATTATGCCTCCAGCTTTGTTCTTTTGGCTTAGGATTTTCTTGGCTATATGGGCTCTTTTTTGGTTCCATATGAAATTTAAAGTAGTTTTATCCAATTCTGTGAAGAAAGTCAATCATAGCTTGATGGGAATAGCTTGAATCTATAAATAACCTTGGGCAATATGGCCATTTTCATGAAATTGATTCTTCCTAGCCATGTGCATGGGATATTTGTTTGTGTCCTCTCTTATTTCCTTGAGCAGTGATTTGTAGTTCTCCTTGAAGAGGTCCTTCACATCCCTTGTAAGTTGCATTCCTAGGTATTTTATTCTCTTTGTAGCAATTTTGAATGGGAGTTCACTCATGATTTGGCTCTCTGCTTGTCTATTATTAGTGTATAGGAATGCTTGTGATTTGTGCACATTGATTTTGTATCTGAGACTTTGCTTATCAGCTTAAGGAGATTTTGGGCTGAGATGATGGGGTTTTCTAAATATACAGTCATGTCATCTGCAAACAGAGACAATTTGACTTCCTCTTTTCCTAACTGAATACCCTTTATTTCTTTCTGTTGCCTGATTGCCCTGGCCAGAACTTCCAACACTATGTAGAATAGGAGTGGTGAGAGAGGACATCCTTGTCTTGTGCCAGTTTTCAAAGGGCATGCTTCCAGTTTTTGCCCATTCAGTATGATATTGGCTGTGGGTTTGTGATAAATTGCTCTTAATATTTTGAGATATGTTCCATCAATACCTAGTTTATTGAGAGGCTTTAGCATGAAGCGGTGTCAAATTTTATCAAAGGCCTTTTCTGCATCTATTGAGATAATCATGTGGTTGTTGTCATTGGTTCTGTTTATGTGATGGATTATATTCATTGATTTGCGTGTGTTAAACCAGCCTTGCATCCCAGGGATGATGCTGACTTGATCCTGGTGGATAAGCTTTTTGATGTGCTGCTGGATTCGGTTTGCCAGTATTTTACTGAGAATTTTTGCATCAATGTTCATCAGGGATATTGGCCTGAAATTTTCTTTTTTTGTTGTGTCACTGCCAGATTTTGGTATCAGGATGATACTGGCTTCATAAAATGAGTTAGGGAGGAGTCTCTCTTTTTCTATTATTTGGAATAGTTTCAGAAGGAATGGTACCAGTACCATTTTGTACCTCTGGTAGAATTTGCCTGTGAATTTGTCCTGTCCTGGGCTTTTTTGGTTGGTAGGTTATTAATTCCTGCCTCAATTTCAGAACTTGTTATTGGTCTATTCAGGGATTCAACTTCTTCCTGGTTTAGTCTTGGGAGGGTGTATGTGTCCAGGAATTTATCCATTTCTTCTAGATTTTCTAGTTTATTTGCATAGAGATGTTTATAATATTCTCTGATGATAGTTCGTATTTCTGTGGGATCAGTGGTGATATCCCCTTTATCATTTTTATTATGTCTATTTGACTCTTCTCTCTTTTCTTCTTTATTAGTCTGGCTAGCAGTCTATCTAGTTTGTTAATCTTTTCAAAAAACCAGCTCCGGGATTCACCAATTTTTTTAAAGGGTTTTTATGTGTGTCTCTTTCTCTTTTGCTTTCACTTCTCTAGTTCTTTTAATTGTGATGTTAGGGTGTTGATTTTAGATCTTTCCCACTCTGATATGGGCATTTAGTGCTAAAATTTCCCTCTTAACACTGCTTTATCTGTGTTCCAGAGATTCTAGTACATTGTCTCTTTGTTCTCATTGGTTTCAAAGAAGTTCTTTATTTCTGCCTTAATTTCTGCCGTTATTTACCCAGTAGGCATTCCAGAGCAGATTGTTCAGTTTCCATGTGCTGTGTGGTTTTGAGTCAGTTTCTTAATCCGCAGTTCTAATTTGATTCCACTGTGGTCTGAGAGGCTGTTTGTTATTATTTCCATTGTTTTGCATTTGCTGAGGAGTGTTTTACTTCCAATTATTTGGTTGATTTTAGAATAAGTGCTATGTGTTGCTGAGAAGAATGTATATTCTGTTGATTTGGAGTGGAGAGTTCTGTAGATGCCTATTAGGTCTTTTTGGTCCAGAGCTGAGTTCCTCAATACCCTTGTTAATTTTCTGTCTTGTTGATCTGCCTAATATTGTTAGTAAGGTGTTAAAGTCTCCCACTATTATTGTGTGGGAGTCTAAGTCTCTTTGTAGTCTCTAAGAACTTGTTTTATGAATCTGGGTGCTTCTATATTGGGTGCATATATATTTAGGATAGTTAGCTCTTCTTGTTGCATTGATCCCTTTACCATTATGTAATGTCCTTCTTTGTCTCTTTTGATCTTTGTTGGCTTAAAGTCTGTTTTACCAGAGACTAGGATTGCAACCATGCTTTTTTTCTTTCTATTTGTTTGGTAAATATTCCTCCATCCCTTTATTTTGAGCCTCTATCCCTTTATTTTGAGCCTATGTGTGTCTTTGCACATGAGATGGGTCTCCTGAATACACAACACTGATGGGTCTGGACTCTTTATCCAATTTGCCAGCATGTGTCTTTTAATTAGGGCATTTAGCCTATATATATATTAATGTTATGTTTGAATTTGATCCTGTCATTATGATGCTAGCTGGTTATTTTGCACATTAGTTGATGTAGTTTCTTCATAGAGTCATTGGTCTTTATATTTTGCTGTGTTTTTGCAGTGGCTGGTAGCGGTTTTTCCTTTCCATATTTAGTGCTTCCTTCAGGAGCTTTTGTAAGGCCTGCCTTATGGTGTCGCCTCATGGTGACAAAAATCTCTCAGCATTTGCTTGTCTGTAAAGGATTTTATTTCTCCTTCTTTTATGAAGCTTAGTTTGGCTGGTGATGAAATTCTGACTTGAAAATTCTTTTCTTTGAGAATGTCGAATATTGGCCCCACTCTTTTCTGGCTTGTAGGGTTTCTACAGAGAGATCTGCTGTTAGTCTGATGGACTTCCCTTTGTGAATAACCTGACTTTTTTCTCTCTGACATTTAACATCTTTTCCTTCATTTCAACCTTGGAGAATGTGATGATTATATGTCTTGGGGTTGCTCTTCTCAAGGAGTATCTTAGTGGTGTTCTCTGTATTTTCTGAATTTGAATGTTGGGTTGTCTTGCTAGGTTGGGGAAGTTCTCCCGGATAATATCCTGAAGTGTGTTTTCCAACTTGATTCCATTCTCCCCATCACTTTCAGTTACCCCAATCAATCTTAGGTTTGGTCTTTTCACATAGTCTCATATTTCATGGAAGGTTTGTTCATTCCTTTTCATTCTCTTTTCTCCAATCTTGTCTTCATACCTTATCTCAGTAAGTTGATCTTCAATCTCTGATATCCTTTCTTCTGCTTGATTGATTCAGCTATTGACACTTGTGTATACTTCACTAAGTTATCATGCTGTGTTTTTCAGCTCCATCAGGTCATTTGTGTTCTTCTCTACACTGGTTATTTTAGTTAGCAGTTCCTGTAACCTTTTATCAAGGTTCTTAGCTTCCTTGCATTGGGTTAGAACATGCTCCTTTAGCTCAGAGGAGTTTGTTATTACCCACCTTTTGAAGCCTACTTCTGACAATTCATCACATTTATTCTCCAACCAGTTTTGTGCCCTTTCTGGAGAGGAGTTGCGATCATTTGGAAGAGAAGAGGCATTCTGGTTTTTGGAATTTTCAGCATATTTGCGCTGATTTTTCCTCATCTTTGTGGGTTTATCTGCCTTTGATCTTTGAGGCTGATGATCTTCGGATGGGGGTTTTGCGTGGGGGTTGCTTTAGTTGATATTAATGTTAATGCTGTCTGTTTGTTAGTTTTTCTTCCAACAGTCAGGCCCCTCTTCTGCAGGTCTGCTGAAGTTTGCTGGGGGTCCACTCCAGACCATTTGCCTGGGTATCACCAGTGGAGGCTGCAGAACAGCAAAGATTGCTCCCTGTTCCTTCCTCTGGAAGCTTCCTCCCAGAGGGGCACCAGCCTGATGCCAGCCAGAGTTCTCCTGTATGAGGTGTCTGTCAACCCCTGTTGGAAGGTCTTTCCCAGTCAGGAGGCATGGGGGTCAAGTACCCATTTGAGTAGTCAGTCTGTCCCTTAGTAGAGCTCAAGCACTGTGCTGGGTGAATCCTCCTTGTGAATCTGGGTGAATCTGCTCTCTTCAGAGCCAGCAGGCAGGAACATTTAAGTCGGCTGGAGCTGCACCCACAGCTGCTCCTTCCCCCGATGCTCTGTCCCAGGGAAATGGGAGTTTTATCTATAAGCCCGTGACTGGAGCTGCTGCCTTTCTTTCAGAGATGCCCTGCCCAGTGAGGAGGAATCTAGAGAGGCAGTCTGGCCACAGCCTCTTTGCTGGGCTGTGGGGAGTTCCACCCACTCCCAACTTCCCAGCCTCCTTAGCACTGTCAGGGGAAAATCACCTGCTCAAGCTTCAGTAATGGCAGACACCCCTCCCCATACCAAGCTCGGTCATCCCAGGTTGACTTCAGACTGCTGCGCTAGCAGCAAGAATTGCAAGCCAGTGGTTCTTAGCTTGCTGGACTTCATGACAGTGGGACCCACTGAGCGAGACCACTTGGCTCCCTGGCTTCAGTTCCCTTTCCAGGGGAGTGAACGGTTCTGTCTTGCTGGCATTCCAGGTGCCACTGGAGTATAAAAATAAAATAAAACTCCTGCAGCTAGCTTAGTGTCTGCCCAAAGAGCTGCCCAGTTTTGTGCTTGAAACCCAAAGCCCTGGCGCTATAGGCACATGATGGAATCTCCTGGTCTGTGGATTGCAAACCCCATGCAAAAAGTGTAGTATCTGGGCTGGATAACACAGTCCCTCAGCTTCCCTTGGCTGCAGGAGGGAGGCCCCTGGCTCCTTGCGCTTCCCGGGTGAGGCTATGCCTCACTCTGCTTCTTTCTGCTAGCCCTCTGTGGGCTGCACCCACTGCCTAACCAGCCCCATGAGATGAAGAGGGTACCTCAGTTGGAAATGCAGAAATCACCCACCTTCTATGTTGGTCTGCTGGAAGCTGCAGACCGGAGCTCTTCCTATTTGGCCATCTTGCCAGATCCTCCAAAATGCAACACTCTTTATGTCTTTCTTTTTATATTCATCATCATAAGTGCAAGTCTGTTTAATTAGATTACCAGCTTTGTAAGAATGTCAATCAAGTCTTATATTTCTATTTTGCTGAATTACTAATGCTCTCTTAAACTCTCAATGCATGTCTAAGTCTTTTTTACTTTTCAAATCCATTGTAAAATATAGAAAATGTAAAAAATGATAAGAAATTAAGATGAGTAACACTATAAACTCTCTTCATTACATGTTGAAAACCTCTGAGTAATCATACAGGGTCATTGGTGCTGGTTTTCAAAGCCATGTTTATTGGAAAGTGAGACCACTGAGGGTTTCAACATGTTATTTGGGACTCAGAATTCACTTAGAAGAGATTAAACTGTCTGTAAGAATCTACGTGCCAAAGCTACAGTCAGCTACAATTCATCAAATACTTGAGTCAATGAGCTTCTGATGAATGATAATGAGAATACTGGATGAAGAACCATCCCATCTAAATCAAATATCAAACTCTACTCTCAGCTTCACACACATATCGAATGATATGTTTCTATTCAATTCCAAGATACAACTAAACATTCACATCTTAGTTCTGTCATCTTTAATGGATCATGATAAAGATAATGGATTTTCCAGTGCAGTTTTGTAATAGCATGGAGCACAAGCACAAGACCTGTCTTTATTAGACACAGAGGATTCGTTCACCCAGTTTTATCTGAAACAATGGAAGGATAGCAATGCCTTACTACAATGCCGTTTAACTTATTAGAGCTGACTCATGGCAGCTGTCCTCGCTCCAGGCCAATTAGGTAGGTCAGATACTCAGAATCTGAAGTGTTAGTAAGAAGAAAAGACAAAAGCAGAAACAACAGTTTGCATTAAAATCAAACTATTTTTGAAGTCCAAGTGGCTCCAGAGGAAACAGTTGAGGTAAGATAATGGGGGTAGAAGGTTTCCTAGAGGCCAGTGGTCACCTTAAAACAAAGCTTCAGTCTGACAACCCTTCAGGGGCTGTGGGGTCCACAATTCTGCCTAACTTTTTAGACCCACACAGCTGAATTCTAGGTGTGATTTTAGAATTTACACCCTGAGTGTTGTACATACAAAAGGAAAATGTTTGATGTGGCTATGAGTTGAAAACACAAGGAACACTTTTCTCCTCCTAGGCCCTGTGTTTCTCTGCCAACTCAGCACTGACACCACCTTGGAGTCAGACCAAGAGATCTGGTGTCTCAGAGGCTGGTGGGTCACACCTACCGCAATCCCCCCATCACCAAGTCTCAGGGAACCAGCACTCCCAGCTCATCCATGCACAGGTTCTGCTGGGTTAGAAAAAACAAGTCTATTTACCTCCCAGTCCAGAAACTTGCTCATCAGACTCCACTAAAACTGCAGTCTCCAAGGACAAAAACTTCAGAAGACACAAGTTAATTTCTGAAGAAAGGGAAAAGCTTCCTGAGGGCTGCTTTGACCTCCTTGTTTCTCAAAGTATAGATGAGGGGGTTGAGGGTAGGACTCAGCACAGTGTACAGCAGGCCAGCCAACTTGCTCTTCCCTGCGCTGTAGCCAGAGACCGGGCTTATGTAGGCGTAGAAGACAGCGGTGTAATACATGCACACCACGGTGAGGTGGGAAGAGCAGGTGGAGAAGGCTTTCTGCCTCCCCCAGGCAGTCTTCACCTTCAGGATGCTGGAGACGATGAAGCCATAGGACGCGATGGTCATCAGGAAGTTCACTATGCCGTAGAAAGCATCCGCCAGGACAATCATGACACCGTTGACGTAGGTGGAGCTGCAGGAGAGAAGCAGCAGGGGAGGGACCTCGCAGAAGAAATGGATAATGACATTGGGGCCACAGAAATCCAAGCGCAGCATCAGCCCCGTGTGGATGGCCGTGTTGACGGCGCAGAGCAGCCACACGGCTGTGGCCAGCCCGCTGCAGAACACCTTGCTCATCATGCTGCTGTAATGCAGCGGGTGGCAGATGGCTGCGTACCGGTCATAGGCCATGACCGTGAGGAGCAGCAGCTCTGAGGATGCAGCCCACGTGAGGAAATAGAGCTGGGCCATGCAGCCCCCGTAGGAGATGGAGCTCTCTTCCGACACCAGACTGGCCAGCGCCTTGGGCATGATGGAAGAGGTGCAGATAATGTCCATAGTAGCCAAGTTGAGTAAGAAAAAGTACATAGGAGCGTGGAGCCCAGGGTTGAACGTGATGGCCAAGGTGATGAGGACATTACCTGTGAGGGCCCCAGAGTAGAGGAAGAGGAAACAGCTGAATAAGAACACCCGGTATTCTGGGTGCTCCGAAAAGCCCTGCAGGATGAACTCGGTTACCAACGTCTGGTTACTCATCATCCTTGGGCTGGGACGGGTTTCTGGGACTATCAGGTGACTCTCCATCCACAGCTTCATGTGATTTCAGAGCTAGAGAGATAAACAAGAGGTGTCCTGAGGAAGGCTGCTCCCGTGTTTCTTCCACACCTCACATCACTGCATGAAAGATAGAGATGCATTAGGGCATATTGATTAAGATAAACACCCCAATATTACAGTAGAAAAAAGGCGTGAACACTCAGTTTATAAAAAATAAATACAGTTGGCCAGTTAAACTCATGAAGCATCATTCAACCTCAAACAAATGCAAATTAAATCCATGATCTAGTCTTCATCATCCATGATCTGGCAAAGTTAGAAAAGCATGATATTAACTAGCATTAGAATGGCTGCAAAGATGCAGGCCTTTTAAAATATGTATTCCATTTGAGCCGGAACTTCCTCTTCCAGAAATGTATCCTAAGGAATAATAAAAAGCATCCTGAAGGTGTCAGAGCAGCACTATTTATAATAGTGGAAATTTAAAACAATCTATACCCTTAAACGTGAGTATATTATGGTAAATTGATATAAATGCTGTCTAATTATCAAAGTAATGCTTTGGAAGTGTTTTACTGATGCTTTTAAAAGGAGAATGACACTTTGGGAGGCCGAGGCAGGCAGATCACTTGAAGCCAGGAATTCAAGACCAGCCTGTCCAAAATGGTGAAACCCCATTCTCTACTAAAAATACAAAAATTAACCTGACACGGTGGTGGTGGATGTCTGTAATCCCAGCTACTTGGAAGGCTGAGGCAGGAGAATCGCTTGAACCTGGGAGGCAAGGTTTCGGTGAGCTGAGACCACGATGCTGCACTCTAGCCTGGGCGACAGAGTGAGACTGTCTCAAAAAAAATTGTTTTAATTTTAAAAAAAGGAAAGAATGAAAAAAAATTTAAAATAATGTGTACAATAGGATCTCATTTTTAAAAAAAAAATTAAAAAAGCAGATTTGTTTCCACTGATATTGAGGATAGTGAAAAATTTAAAATAAAAATAAAATGTAAAAGCATGTTTGTATATGCACCTGTAGGAAAAACACTGGTGAGTGCTAGACCAGAGCTTGAACAGTGATTGTTTTCACTTTTTAAATTTTTGCTGGTCTGTATTTTCTACTTTTTCTATAAAATGACCTCTCTAAAAGGCAGATGTATCACACAGAATCCTCCTTACAACAGTTCTTCCATGGCTTCCCATTGCCAAAAGAATAAATGCTCCCAGCAACTTTTCCTGGATCCACCTCCTCTCCAGCCTTTCTTCCCACTCATCTTAAAGCCAGAACTCCAGCCATGCCCTGCACTCACAGACTGGCTGATGCACCAAGCCATTCCAGGATTTCTTGGTTTTGTTCTTCCCACTCCCTGAGCCAGGAATGCCCTTTTTCTCATGAACCAGGGACATAATCAGCCCCCTCTTTCTGAGCATCCCTTCCCTGGGGAGAAAGTACCACTCTTTCCTTTGTGTTTCCTCTGATACTGACTTCTATCCTAGTACACAATACACGTCACTCCTTGATCAGGTTACTGGACTGTGCCCTAAAAGATTAACACATATGCCCGTTTATCTCTGGACATCCCTTCTTGGCACCCAGCCCCCTGCCTAGCAGGCAGTGTGTAGACACTCAAATATGTGTGTTTAAATAATGCTAAAGAATAGGCTAGTATGAATAACAGCAGAATGACTTATATTCTTAAGTTACTGCACATTCTGTACAGCTCAAGATAAAATCAGCATAGTGCACATTTGGTTTTTCCCTTTCAACTCTTTATTCATTAAAAGTTAAGGAAGAGGCTGGGCGTGGTGACTCACGCCTGTAATCCCAGCACTTTGGGAGGCCGTGGAGGGTGGATCAGAAGGTCAGGAGATCGAGACCTTCCTGGCTAACACGGTGAAACCCCGTCTCTACTAAAAATACAAAAATTAGCCGGGCGTGGTGGCGGGCGCCTGTAGTCCTAGCTACTCTGGAGGCTGAGGCAGGAGAATGGCGTGAACCCGGGAGGCGGAGCTTGCAGTGAGCCGAGATCGCGCCACTGCACTCCAGCCTGGGTGACAGAGCGAGACTCCGTCTCAAAAAAAAAAAAAAAAGTTAACGAAGATATTCATTTTAAAAATGAACATTTGGAAGATGTTTGTTTTAAAAATGAACATTTGGAAGATGTCCATTTTAAATATGTTCATTTTAATTATGTTTTTGTCAAGATTCAAGAAATGTATTTACCACTAAAATATTAAAAGGTTTACACAAAATGACCAAACATCATCTCCAGCTCAGGTCATATCACCTTTTAATAAGGTAAAAACTGTTTTTTGAATAGGCAAGCATAAAATCCCTATGACTCAGAGCAATAAGGCTATATTAGCGTGGGGTATGATCAGAATCAATGGAAATGATGGTGTTCCATCTGTGTATCTTCCCAGCAACAAGGTGTCAGAACAGCTCAATAACTTGAGTGGAAGTAATAAATACAATATGCTTTAGCTGATTTCATTATTGTTTGGGACAAAAAGAGTGAATAATTACTTTCGCTGAGTTTGAGTTGTGGATCTGAAGAAATAACTGTAACTTTATTTGCTCTTATGATGGCCCAGTGAGTGACTCCTCTTTAACTCCAGGGACAGAATTGGATTTTCTCCATCAATGTCCCAGTGTGAGGTTTCTGCACTTCCGACTCATGTCCTCCTCCCTAGAATTCTAGCCACCAGATTTCTCCAGCCATCATGAAATCATGGTGCACTCCACAGTGCATATTACAAACGCACCAGAGTCAGCACAGCTGCAGCTGTACCTGGGAGATGGAAAACGCATCCATCACTGAACACCTACCAAGCAGCAGTGTGCAGAGTCTGTCACGCATCCTTCCTGGAGCAAGAAAACCTATTACGAAGGAAACCTTAAACACAATCTCTCTCTTAGCTCCACAATGAGATTAGAAAAACAATAGCTCTGCAATACAAATGGATGTTTTGAACAGGTGCTGAGCACAAGGAAATTTCCACAAATGTATTCACATTCAAGGAGCAAATTAGCCCTCAGGTAATTACCCACTTATTGTGATTGGGTGGGGACAGGAGGACAGTCTTCTCAATCAACTGGTCAATAATGAGATCAAAGAATCGGGGCTCCAATCCTCTTTCCATGAGAATGACCACAAGATTTCTTTACAGCCTCAGCCAGTCATTTCTTCTGAAAAATAACAAAGACCTTGCTCCCTTGAGTTTCATAGGGCATTTGCTTCAATTCTCAGCCAGCATTACAAGAGTATTACTAAGGGTATGAGGCAAAATAACACAATTTCAGGTAATAAATGGCAAGTTTAAACACATACTGCATTCAGACAACACGATGACATCTCACCAGCAGGCCAACAGGATATTCGAACAGCGGTTATTTTCCACATTTATCAAACCCTTGGGCACTCAAGCTTCTGAAGGGGGAAAAAAGGCATCTTGGATTACATTTATCACTTTAAAGAAATAACAATAATAGTCCTCAAAATCTCTGAAATTAAAAAGGTAATTTCATTGAGTATTTTCTAAAGACAAATTATATTTTACATAAAATACAATTTACTTGTAGTGAGATTATATCTTTGTTCCAATTTATTGTTCATAGTTTCATAAACAGAAAATTTAAAAGATTTAATTAATAATGGAGAACTTGACTCATTTCATTATTTTTATCTCTAAAGCTGTTCAATGATTTTCACAGACACCATATTAATCTAATGTCCTTTTATTGTATATGAAGGTAGGCATTTCTATTGTAGACATGCTTCAAGAACAGAAAACTAAAAATCAGAACATGCCAGAATCGCATATGTTCAGGGTCAAATCTGAAAGACATTTTGAAGATAACTTTGTCCAACCTATTGATTTGGAAAGTCATAAATGTATCTAAATAACTTACCCTGGTCACACAGAGTATTAGTGACACAGCTAGTATCTAGGCTCAAGGCTGTGGGACTACAGTCCAGAATTCATTGCTGTGTAATTTGTTGGTTGCCTCCATAAATCCAGCCCCATCAAATGTCAAAGAAAAGCCATGAAAAAGAAAAATCAACCAATAATTTATACAAACGTATTTAAGGCTGGGGTGTGGAATGTAAACCCTAAACTCTCAGCCACATTTGGCATCCCACTTACCCTGTTGTTTTGTTACTGATCAAATGGTAATAACACATATTCAAATGTTACTGACTCTGGATCAACTCAACAAAAACCATTAAGTCTTTTATATAAGCAAATTAAGCAGACAGAGTTATGAGTAGAACTTTTCCCATTTTTTAAATGTCACTCAATCACCATCCTCAGAACAATCATAATTACCTTAAAAAAAATGATTTCACCTTTGTAGAGTGAACAGACTTTATGTATAGCTGTCCTCTCTCTGCCAAGCACAACTGAGGGTAGAAACATGGTGACATTGAGGCAGTGTGCAACCTGTGATAAGATCAGTCTGAACAGGACTGTTCAGGACTGAACAAGGTTTCCTTCCCATATTTAAGATGGCCTTGCCAAGAATTTGTGACTTATCTTTAGCAACATTTGTCACTGCCTGTGGGAGACACTAGGGAGAGCTGTTCACAACTATTACTCTAAGTGGACCCTGAAGGAGCAATTAAATTAAGTGCTTCTTTACTGGGGACTTGCCTGTCATTGGGGTTCACAGAAAGGCCAATTCAGATTTCTAATCCAAATGTGTAGAAAAGGGTGTGGGCCCAAGTGGGGGAGGAGGGACAGCAGGACACATTCTCTGTCCCAGCTCACAGAATCTGGGTCAGGGCAGACCCAGGCTCAGGTGCTCAGAACGTGTCCACACCTGGGGACTGGAGAAAGACTGTCAGGCAGGCAAGTAGCATTTCTGGACTGCTATCCATGGAAGGCGAGGCATGGAGCAAATGTTTCCATGCTTCTCTGTATAAACCACTCTTTCTAACAGAGCTGGCCTCTCCCTGTCCCTCATAAACAGCTTGGATCTTATTTATCCCTGCTTGATCTCATTTCATCCAAATCCCACCCAGATCTAACTCTATCTCCCCTACCAAACCTTCCCTGACTCCCTGGAAGGAAAGGACCACTCTGTCTGCTGAGTCTCTGTCCCATTCAGGGGTTCTCCACCAGGCTCTGGAGGCAATAACATGGGCTTCAGAGTCTTTCCAGACCTGGGGTAAAATCTCTGAAAGTTACTGGTCATGTGACTTTGGGTGACTGCGCTTAACCTCTCCAGGACTCATTTATAATAATGAAAAGCCTTATCGCCTTATCACAGTACCTAATACAGGAAAGGGGATTGGCAATATTTTATTTCCCTTCTCCCAATTCAGGATGTACGTAGATGTATGTTTTTTCTTCCATATTAGTTAGCAAGCAGAGAGCTGACTAAATATCGATGGGTTTACTATTAAAACGCACTTCAAACAGTTCTAATTTTACTAAGCAGCACTAAACTAAACAGTTCATTAATGGCTTTGAGACTTTACTCTGTTTCTTAAATAGCTGCAGAAACTTGTATAAGTCCGTAGTCTCTCTGAATCCCAATTTTTCAATATATAGAATGGGAATAATTATACCTACCTTCAGAATTTTTGCGGGGACTAAATAAGATGACGTACATGAATCCATTTTAGAAACCATGTTAGTTGTCATTATGAATGGGTCATCTATAGAAATAATTATTCCAAAAAATTCTGCCTTGGCAGTATTAAGCCCAAGCAGATTACCTTTATTTCAACAAAATAAAAGATCCATGAACAAGGAATTCCCTTCCTGTGATGTTAATAATATGCTACCATTCAGGAATAAATGTGTGTTAGGTTAAAAGCTAAACTGTTAACATGAAGAGACCTAAATATATAGTGGCTTCATTTTTTCTCTTTTGCTCAACAATCTGAAGATATACATAAGTTGTGGGGTAGCTTCCAGACTGATGGGGCAGTCTTGCTCCACTAAGTCATTAAAGGATTTAGGTTCCTCTCAAATCAATGATTCTTGATCTCCTACGTGATGATTCTCTTTACCATAAAAGTTGCCATAACCTCTACATTTTAGTTGTAAAAAGGGACAATATAGAAAGCTCAAATAATACAATTTATTTTAAGCAAGTGAGGCAGATATTGTGCACATAACTTCTGCTCATATTTTACAGGCAAAAGTTTAGTTACATTGCTTCACCTAGCTGCCAGGGAAGCTGGGAAATGTGGTCAAGCTGGAAAGATACATGTACAGGAAAAAGGGAGAATGGATTTTTGGAAAAAAACTAATAATTGCCACAAATATGCAAGAGAACTAGAGATAAGGAACTTAGGAATAAAAGACTGGAAGTAAGAATGAATTGTATATGTTACTCCCGAGAACTGAGATTCGAGGAAGAAAAAAAGGATGATTATATACTTACACAAGAAAGAGGGCGGAAGTGAAAAGAAGAGGGTGAAAGAGGTAAACAGGCAATGAACAGTATTAAAAGTTAAAAGAGAAAATCAAGGACATGAATTAAAGAGTTATAATATCCTTACAAGGTATCCAGAAAGAGTCAAAAGTGGTGGAACCCTGAAAAATTATGCAGAACCCCAAAAGTTCCCATTTGATGGAGAAAAATGCTTTGTAGAGTTGTGGAATGACTGACTGAAAGAGAGTAGGATCTGTGCTGCGAGATGACTTGCTGGCCAAGGAAATGCTTGGAAACTTGGAAAAACTTAGGGATCTGGAGAATGTCATGAGGAGTCCTGCCTGGGCAATACCACTGCTCAATTTTTCCAGGCCTATCCCCTAACCTCAGCAAGGACCAGCTATAAAACAATCCTTTTAAAACTTTTTAGTTATTTCTATCACCCAGCCATAGCCTTGGGTGCATTTCATATTTCTCAAGACATTCGCCTTCAACTTTCCCAACATATTATCTTGGGCTTGCATCTTACATGATTAAAAAGAGAAATACCATTGTATCAGAGCTCCTCAACTTAATTACTTCCCATCTCAATCTTTCTACATCTTTAACTTCAGTCTTGGTTGAGCTCCACCCTCTGTGCTTGTTCTTGAGAAACAAGCAAAAGAGCTAAGAAAGGCTTAGAGCAAACTGGTAAACATTGTTATTTTCTTTTAGGTATCCATATTGCGACAGGGTCTTGATATAATATCCATACTAGGTATAATTTGCATACCAGATATTCAAAGAAGTAGGAGAATATGGCCATAGTGAGAAAAATAAAATCAACTCAGAAATGACAAAAATAAGAGAACTAGTAGAGACATTAAAATAGTAGTGATACAAAGAGAGGAACAATAAACACTGGGGCCTACTTGAAGTTGGAGGGTAGGAGAAGGGAGAGGAACAGAAAAACAACTATTGGGTACTAGGCTTAGTACCTGAGTGATGAAATAATAAACAAACTCCTGTGACACGAGTTTACCTACATAACAAACCTGCACATGTACCTCTGAACCTAAGGTAAAAGTTGTAATAAAATAAAATAGTTGTCATAACTATATTTCATATGCTCAAGAAGCTAGAGAAAAGACTTAGCATATCAAATAGAGACAAAGAAGATATAAAAAGATGAACAATTTCTAGAGATGAAAACTACAATGTCTGAAATTAATAATACATTGGATGAGATTAACAGTGGATTAGACATTGCAAAAAAATTAGCAAATTAGGGAAAAGTATAATAAACCTGCCCAAATGAAATAGAAGTGGAAAAATAAACATAAGAACTGTAAGTGAGCTGTAAGACAACCTCAAATAGCCTAATATACATATAATTAGACCCCATAAGGGCATGAGAAATGGGAGAAGAACAGAAAAAAATTTGAATGAATAATGGCTACAATTTTTCTAAATGTAATGAAAAATATAAACCTACAGACTTAATAAGCTCAATGAACCCCAAGCACAATAAATATGAAGAAACTCACACCAAGCCACATGATCAAAATCAATAATAAAAATAAAATCTTAAAAACAGGCAGAGTAAAAAGGCACATTAAGTACAAAGACACAAAGATAAGAATTACAGCAGAGTTTCTATACAATCAGTACAAGCAAGAAGACAGTAGAGAAACACTAAACAGTACTGAAAGAAAAAAACTGTCAATGTAGAATTTTACACTCACTAAAAATACCTTCTGAAAATGAAGAAAAAACATTTCACAAATATAAAAGTTAAAGGAATTCATCATCAGAAGATATGAACAAAAAAAAAATGTTAAAGAAAACCCAGAGACTCACAGTGAGACACACTATAATCAAACTCTCAAAAGTCAAAGACAAAGAGACAATCTTGAAAGCAGCAAAAGAAAGTAACTTGTCATGTAAAAGGAAGCCTTTATAAAATTATCAGTGGATTTATCAACAG
This sequence comes from Homo sapiens, assembly GCF_000001405.40. NCBI lineage: Eukaryota > Metazoa > Chordata > Mammalia > Primates > Hominidae > Homo > Homo sapiens. Next base: position 45,312,735 of record NC_000010.11, read on the forward strand.
AAACCTTGCAGGCCAGAAGGCAGGGGGATAATATATTCAAAGAGCTGAAAGAAAAGAAAATTTCAACCAAAAATATTATATCCAGCAAAACCATCCTTCAAACATAAAGGAAAAATCAGCCTTTCCAGGATGAACAAAAACTGGGGAGTTCATTACCACTGGACCTGCTGTAGTATCTTGCAAGTTGAAACAAAAGGATGCTAAATAGTAACATGAAGTCTTATGAAAATATAAAGCTCTCCAGTAAAGATAAATATATGGACATATATAGAGACTGTACTATGCAGTTTTGGTACATAAATGCACTTTTAATTCTTGTATAGAATTTACAAGACAAAAGCTTAAAAATAACTATAAAACTGTGTTAATGAATACATTACATATGAAGATGTAACTTGTGACATAAGTAACCTAAGGTGAGGGTAGGAGCTTTGAAGAAATAGTTTTTGTACACAGTCGAAGTTATTCTCTTAACAGTTTAAAATAGCTTGTTAACACTTTAAGATGTTTTTTATAATTCTTATGGTAACCATAAAAAAATCTATAGAATACACACAAAAGGAAACAGGAAGGGAATCAAAATGTCACCACAAAAAAAAATCGACAAAACCCAAAAGAGGTCAGTAAGAGAAGGAATAAAAAACAAAATTTACAAAACATACAGGAAACAACAAAATGGCAAGTGTAGGTCCTTCCCTATCAGTAATTACTTTAAATGTAAATGGATTAAACTCCTGAATCAAAAGATATAGACTGGAAAATGGATTTGTAAAAAGGATCCAACTTTATCCTGTCATTTAGGTCTAAGAAACAAATATGCTTAAAATGAAAAAAAGGAAAAGTAAATGCCATGCAAATGGTAAATAAAAGCAAGCAGAAGTGACTATACTACTATCCAACAAAATAGACTTAAAGTCAAAAATAGTCACAAGACAAAAAAATGGATATTATATAACAAAAAGTCAATTCAGCAGAAAGATATAACAATTACAAATATATATACCTCTAATACCAGAGCTCCTAAATATCTGAAGCAAACATTGACAGATCAGAGAGGAAACATAAACAGCATAATAATGGTAGGCGACTTCAATTCCTCACTTACAATAATGGCTAGAACAACAAGACAGAAAATCGATAAGGAAATACAGTACTTGAACAACACTATAAATAGTGCTAACAAACATGTGCAGAACATTCCACCCAATAAAATCAGAATAGTATTTTTCTCAAGTTTACATGGAATATTCCCAAAGATAAATCACATGTTATACCACAAAAAAACTTGTAACAAATTTTAAAAGATTGAAATTATACAAAATATCTATTTTGATGAAAATGACATAAAACTAGACATCAGTAGCAGAAGGAAAACAAAAAATTCACAAATATGTGAAAATTAAACAACACAGTTTTCAACAAGCAATGGGTCAAAAAAGAAATCACAAGGGAAGTTAGAAAATATCTTGAGATAAAGGAAAATAAAAATACAATGTACCAAAATGTGTAAGATGCAGCAGAAGCAGTGCTAACAGAGAATTTTATAGCTATAAATATGTGCATTATAAAAGGAAGAAAGTGGCTAGGCATGGTGGGTCATGCCTGCAATCCCAGCACTTTGACAGGCTGAGGGAGGAGAACTTCTGGAGGCCAGGAATTTGAGACCAGCCTGGGCAACAAAGCAAGACCCCATCTCCACAACTTAAGAAAAAAAAAAAAAGAAGTAGAAGAAAGTTTGCAAATCAACAACCTAACTTTATACCTCAGGAAACTAGGAGAGAAAAAAAACTACACCCAAAGCTAGCAGAAGGAGGAAAATCCTAAAGATTAGATTAAATCAGAGATAAATGAAATATAGAATATAAAAACAATAGAAAAAAATCAACAAAACTAAGAGGTGGTTTTTGAAAACACCAACAAAATTAACAAATGCTTAGCTAGATTAACTAAGGAAAAAAGATTCAACTAATAAATCAGAAATAAAAAAGAGAACATTAGAACCCATGCCATAGAAATCAAAAGGATTATAAGAAAATACCATCAACAGTTAATTATATGTCAACAAATTGGATAATTTAGAAGTGCATAAATTTCTAGAAATATACAACCTAATAAGAGTGAATCATGAAGAAGTAGAAAAAACGAACAGACTTATAACTACGAAGGAGATTAAACTGGTTCAAAAACCTCCAAACAAACAACAGCCCAGAACCGGATGACTACCAAACATTTAAGGAAGAATTAGAACCAATGTTTCTCAAAGTCATTTACAAAAATGAATATAAAAAACACTTCAAAGCTCATTATATGAGGCCAGTATTACCCTGATTTCAAAGTCAAACAAAGACATTACATGAAAAGAAAACTACAGACCAATATTTGTGATGATCAGGTTGGCTTTATTCCTGGAATGCAAGAATGATAGAACATGTGGCAGGGTGTGCTGGCTCATGCCTGTAATCCCAGCACTTTGGGAGGCTGAGACAGGAGAATCCCTTGAACCCAGGAGGCAAATGTTGCAGTGAGCTGAGGTCATGCCACTGCACTCCAGCCAGAATGACAGAATGAGATTTCATCTCAAAAAAAAAGAATAATACAACATGCAAAAATCAATGTAATACACTATAGTAATAGAATAAAGGACAAAACAGCATGATCATTTATATTGATGTAGAAAAAATGTTTAACAAAATTTAACACCTTTTATCACGAAAACACTCAGCAAACTAGGAATAGAAGGAAAATAACATAATAAAGGCCATATATGAAAAATCCACAGGTAAACTTACACTCAATGGTAAAAGATTCAAACTTTTCTTCTGGATTAGGAACAAGACAAGTATACTCTGTCTCTTCGCTTCTATTCAATATAGTATTTGAATTTCCAAGCAGACCAATTAGGAAAAAAAAATTAAGCAAGAAAAGACATCCAAAGAATAAAAGAAAAAAGTAAAATTATCTCTGCTCACAGATGACTTGATCCTATATGCATAAAATCCTAGACTCCTGCATAAAATCTAGAAAACTGTTAGATGCATATATGCATAAAATCCAGAAAACTGTTGGAACTATTAAACAAATTCTGGAAAGTTGCAGGATCCAAAATCGACACACAAAAATCAGTTGCCTTTCTATAAATTAACTATAAACAATCCAAAGGTAATTAAGAAAATAATTTAATTACAATACCATCAAAAATAGTAAAATACTTAGGAATAAACTTAGCCAGGGAAATAAAAGGCTTGTACACTGAAAACTACAAAACAGTACTGAAAGAAGTCACAAATAAATGTAAAGACATTGGTATTCATGGATTGGAAGATTTAATGTTAAGATCTCCAAAATATCAGATGTATTCCCCAAATCTGTACAACATTATGTATTAATTTGAAAAGTCAATAGAACCCAAAGCAGTCTACAAATTATATGTAATCCCTATCAAAATCTAAGCTGCATTTTTTGAAAAAAGAGAAAAATTTATCTAAATATTCATATATACTCTGACTAGACAATCTTGAAAACTAACTGAGTTGAAGGTCTCATGCTCCGTGATCTCAAAACATGTTACAAGACTACAGTAATTAAAACAGCATGACACTGGCTTAAAGAGAGACATATAGACCAATGGAATAGAATAAAGAACCCATTAAAAGAAAACTCCACATATATGGTCAAATAATATTTACAGCATTCCAGATCCGCTCAATGAGGGAAGAACATTCTCTTCAACAAACAGTGTTGGGAAACTTGGATATCCACACATGAAAGAGTGAAGTTGAAACTTTGTCTTATGCCATATACAAGAATTAACTCAAAATGGATTTAAAACTTAAATGGAAGATCTAAAACTATAAAACTCTTAGAATAAGGGGATATGGCAATTATTTTTTAATATGACACCAAAAGTACAGACAACAAAAGAAAAAATAGACAATTGGGACTACATCAAACTTTTTAAAACTTTTATGCATTAAAGGACATAACAATGTTAAAAAAAACTTGTGGATGGAAGAAAATATTAGTAAATTATATATCTGATAAAGAGTTAATATCCAGAATATATAAATAATTTCTACAACACAATATTTAAAAATAATATGATTTTAAAATGGCAAAAGGATTTGAATAGACATTTCTTTTAAAATTATATATGAATGGGCAAAAAACATAAGAAAAAATGCTCAGCATCCAAACTGGAAAGGAAATCATTAGAGAAATGTAAATCAAAACCACAATGTAATATCTCCTCACAAAAATTGAGTGGTTTACTATTAAGAAAAAGAAATATTAGATAGGATGCAGTTGATAGCAAACAGCTTAAAAGCAACGTGACCCCAGATACTAACTCAAAGCCACACAAAAAACAAAAAGCTCTGGCAAAGACATTTATTTATATTTTTATTTATGTATTTATTGAGGGTTTTGCTGTTTTGTTGTTGTTGTTGTTTACTGTTTTATTTTTGCTTTTTCAACTTTTATTTTAGATTCAGAGGGCACTTGTGCAAGTTTGTAACCTGGGTATATTGTGTGATGTTGAGGTTTGGGGTATGAATGGTCCCATTACCCAGATACTGAGAATAGTACTCAACAGTTTTTCAACACTTTCTCCCTTCCCTCCTTCACCACCCCAATAGTCCCCAGTGTCTATTGTTGCTATCTTTATGTCCATCAGTACCCAGTGTTTACCTCCCCCTTATGAGTGAGAATATGTGGTATTTGATTTTCTGTTTCTGTATTTGTTTGCCTAGGATAAAGTCCTCTAGCCAAATCCATGTTGCTGCAAATGACATGATTTTCTTCATTTTCTTTTATTTTTTATTTTTATTTATTTTTTTTTATTATTATACTTTAAGTTTTAGGGTACATGTGCACAACGTGCAGGTCAGTTACATATGTATACATGTGCCATGTTGGTGTGCTGCACCCATTAACTCGTCATTTAGCATTAGGTATATCTCCTAATGCTATCCCTCCCCCAGCCCCCCACCCCACAACAGTGCCCAGTGTGTGATGTTCCCCTTCCTGTGTCCATGTGTTCTCATTGTTCAATTCCCACCTATGAGTGAGAACATGAGGTGTTTGGTTTTTTGTCCTTGCAATAGTTTGCTGAGAATGATAGTTTCCAGCTTCATCCATGTCCCTACAAAGGACATGAACTCATCATTTTTTATGGCTGCATAGTATTCCATGGTGTATATGTGCCACATTTTCTTAATCCAGTCTATCATTGTTGGAAATTTGGGTTGGTTCCAAGTCTTTGCTCTTGGGAATAGTGCCACAATAAACCTACGTGTGCATGTGTCTTTATAGCAGCATGATTTATAGTCCTTTGGGTATATACCCAGTAATGGGATTGCTGGGTCAAATGGTATTTCTAGTTCTAGATCCTTGAGGAATTGCCACACTGACTTCCACAATGGTTGAACTAGTTTACAGTCCCACCAACAGTGTAAAAGTGTTCCTATTTCTCCACATCCTCTCCAGCACCTGTTGTTTCCTGACTTTTTAATGATCGCCATTCTAACTGGTGTGAGATGGCATCTCACTGTGGTTTTGATTTGCATTTCTCTGATGGCCAGTGATGATGAGCATTTTTTCATGTGTTTTTTGGCTGCATAAATGTCTTCTTTTGAGAAGTGTCTGTTCATATCCTTTGCCTACTTTTTGATGGGGTTGTTTGTTTTTTGCTTGTAAATTTGTTTGAGTTCATTGTAGATTCTGGATATTAGCCCTTTGTCAGATGAGTAGGTGCAAAAATTTTCTCCCATTCTGTGGGTTGCCTGTTCACTCTGATGGTAGTTTCTTTTGCTGTGCAGAAGCTCTTTAGTTTAATTAGATCCCATTTGTCTATTTTGGCTTTTGTTCCCATTGCTTTTGGTGTTTCAGACATGAAGTCCTTGCCCATGCCTATGTCCTGAATGGTATTGCCTAGGTTTTCTTCTAAGGATTTTATGGTTTTAGGTCTGACATGTAAGTCTTTAATCCAACTTGAATTAATTTTTGTATAAGGTGTAAGGAAGGGATCCAGTTTCAGCTTTCTACATATGGCTAGCCAGTTTTCCCAGCACCATTTATTAAATAGGGAATCCTTTCCCCATTTCTTGTTTTTGCCAGGTTTGTCAAAGATCAGATAGTTGTAGATAAGTGGCATTAATTCTGAGGGCTCTGTTCTGTTCCATCGGTCTATATCTCTGTTTTGGTACCAGTACCATGCTGTTTTGGTTACTGTAGCCTTGTAGTATAGTTTGAAGTCAGGTAGCGTGATGCCTCCAGCTGTGTTCTTTTGGCTTAGGATTGACTTGGCAATGCGGGCTCTTTTTTGGTTCCACGTGAACTTTAAAGTAGTTTTTTCCAATTCTGTGAAGAATGTCATTGGTAGCTTGATGGGGATGGCACTGAAGATTTTCTTCATTTTTATGACTGCATAGCATTCCATGGAGTATATGTACCACATTTTCTTTATCCAATTCACTGTTGGTGGGCACCTAGGTCAATTCCATGACTTTGCTGTTGTGAATAGTACTGCAATGAACATGTGAGTGCATGTGTCTTTTTGGAGGAATAATTTGTTCTCTTTTGGATATATACCCAGTAATGGGGTTGCTGGGCCAAATGGTAGTTCTGTTTTAAGTTCTTTGAGAAATCTCCAAACTGCTTTCCACAGAGGCTGAACTAATTGACATTCCCACTGCCATGCATGAGCATTCCCTTTTCTCCTCAGCTCCACCAACATCTGTTGCTTTCTGACTTTTTGATAATAGCCATTCTGATGTGTGAGATGGTAGCCCATTGGGGTTTCTTTTTTTTTTTTTAAGACAGAGTCTCACTCTGTCACCTAGGCTGTGGCACAATGTTGGCTCGCTGCAACCTCTGCCTCCTGGGTTCAAGTGATTCTCCTACCTCAGCCTACTGAGAAGCTAGGGTTACAGGCACCTGCCACCACACCCAGCTAATTTTGGTATTTTTGGTAGAGACAGGGTTTAGCCATATTGGCAAGGCTGGTCTCTAACTCCTGACCTCAGGTGACCCACCTGCCTCGGCTTCCCAAAGTGCTGGGATTGCATGCGTTAGCTACCATGGGTGGTTTTTGACTTGCATTTCTCTGATGATTAGTAATGATGATCCTTTTTTCATACATTTGTTGGCCACTTGTATGTCTTCTTTTGAGAAGTGTCTGTTCATATCTTTTGCCCATTTTTCAATGGGGTTGTTTTTTCCTTGTCCAGTTGTTTAAGTTATTTATAGATTCTGGATATTAGTCCTTTGTTGGGTGCATAATTTGCAAATATTTTATCTCATTCTGTAGGTTATCTATTTAATCTGTTGATAGTGTCTTTTCTTGTACAGAAGTTGTTCAGTTTAATTAGGTCTCACTTGTCAATTTCTGTTTTTGTTGTAATTGCTTTTGAGGACTTAATCATAAATTCTTTCCCAAGGCCCATGTCCAGAATGGTGTTTCTGAGATTTTCTTCTAGGATTCTTTTACTTCAAGGTCTTATATTTAAATCTTTAATCCATCTGGAGTTAATTTTTGTATGTGGCAAAAGTTAGGTGTCTTGTTTTATTTTTCTGCATATGGCTAGTCAGCTATCCCAGGACCATTCATTCACTAGGGAGTCCTTTCCCCATTGTTTACTTTTGGCAACTTTGTCAAAGATTAGATGGCTGTAAGTGTGCAGATTTATTTCTCAGCTCTCTATTCTGTTCAACTGGTGTAGGTATCTGTTTTCGTACTAGCACCATGCTGTTTTGGTTACTGTAGTCTTATTAGTATAGTTTGAAGCCAGGTAATGTGATGCCTCTGGCTTTGTTCTTTTTGCTTAGGATTGCTTTTTGGGCTCTCTGTTGTTGTTGTTCCATATGAATTTTAGGACACTTTTTTCCAATTCTATAAAAAAATGACATTGGTAGTTTGGTAATAATAGCATTGAATCTGTAGATAGATTGCTTTGGGCAGTATGGCCATTTTAATGATATTGATTCTTCCAATCCCTGAGCATGGAATGTTTTTCCATTTATTTGTGTCCTCTCTGATTTCTTTTAGCAGCGTTTTATAGTTCTCCTTGTAGAGATCTTTCACCTCCTTGGTTAGCTGTATTCCTAGGTATTTTAATTTTTTGTGGCTATTGTAAGTGGGATTGCAGTCTTGATTTGGTTCTTAGCCTGAATGTTATTGGTTTATAGAAATACTACTAATTTTTGCACATTCATTTTGTATCCTGAAACGTCGCTGAAGTCATTTGTTTATTCCAGGAGGCTTTGTTGGAGTCTTTAGGGTTTTCTATGTATAGAATCATATCATCCACAAAGAGAGATACTTTTCTCTCTTCTTTTCCTATCTGGACGCCTTTTATTTATTTCTCTTGCCTGATTGCTTTGGATAGCACTTCCAGTACTATGTTGAAGAGGAATGGGGAGAGAGGGCACCCTTGTCTTATTCCTGTTCTGAAAAGGAATGCTTCCAGTTTTTGCGTGTTCAGTATGATGTAATTATTTTTCTATAATAGACAGTAGAAATGCATTTTTCTTTTTTCTTAACTCATTTTAAAAACAATTATATAAAATAACATGTATACAATATACTATTGGCCCTATAATATATACAATTCTATAATACATATATGCAATATATACAATTTTAATATGTGGGTGTTATGTATGCTAATAATAGCACCAATAATAATTTAAACAATGTATATCTTTGTAACATTAATTGATATAATATAAATAAAATAACCACAAAAGAGCAAGAGAATTAAGTTCTACATGAGTAACATTTCTACATATTACTGGAATTAAGCTAGTGTGAATCTGAAACTCATACTGATAAGATATATACAGAAAATCCTAGAGAAACCACTAAAAATAAAAATACAGTGATAAAATTATTAATAAAACTTAAATACTATATTAGAAAATATTAATTCAATGAAATAGAAAGAAGTAAAGACAAAACAGGAACAACAAAGACATGATACATATAAAAAACAAAAAATCCGGGCGTGCGGTGGCTCATGCCTGTAATCCCAACACTTTGGGAGGCCGAGGTGGGCAGATCACGAGGTCAGGAGATCGAGACCATCTTGGCTAACACGGTGAAACCCAGTCTCCACTAAAAATACAAAAAATTAGCCACGAGTGGTGGTGGGCACCTGTAGTCCCAGCTACTTGGGAGGCTGAGGCAAGAGAATGGCCTGAACCCGGGAGTTGGAGCTTGCAGTGAGCCGAGATCACGCCACTGCACTCCGGCCTGGGTGACAGAGCAAGATTCTGTCTCAAAACAAAAACAAAAAAGAACTAAAATGACAGACATAAATCCCACTAAATAATAATATGCAGTGTGAATGGAATAAACAATGCAATCAAAAGGCAAAGGTGTTATATTGGATAAGAAAACATGAAGTATATATTGTCTGGAGAAAACACAATTTTGATTCGAAGACACAGAATGAAAGTAAAAGAACAGGAAAAATATATTATGCAAACAGCAACCACAAAAACACTGGAGTCAGTACACTGATATCAGACAAATAGACTTTAAAACAAAAATTGTTACTAGAGATAGAGTGGCCTTTTGTAATTACAAAGGAATCCATCCATTAGGAAGATATAACTGTTATCAACATATATGCACCTATATATATGAAGCACCAAAATAAATGAAACAAAAACAGACCTGAGAAAAGAAAGAAATAGACAAGTCAACCGAGTCAACAGAAATAGTCAAGGACTTCAATACTACACGTTCAAAAATGGATAGAACAACTGGACGGATCAACAAGGAAAAAGAGGACTTGAGCAATACTACAAACCAAATAGACCTCAAGGACTATGGAACATTCTACTTAACAACAACAACAAAGTATACATTCATGTCAAGTGAGCATGGAACATTCTAGAAGATAGACCACATATTAGGCCATAAAACACACCTCAATAAATTTGAAGGATAGAAATAATGCAAAGTATGTTATTAACCACAATGGAATAAAATTAGAAATCAACAACAGGGGAAATTTGGGAAATTCACAAATATTTGGAAATTTAAAATGAAATTTCCACTCTAAAACAATTCATGAGTCAAAGAAGAAATCAAGACAGAAATTAGATAATATTTTTAGACGAATAATAATGAAGACAACATACCAAAACAATTGTGATGCAGCTAAAGAAGTAATTAGAGTAATATCAACAGCTGTAAACACTTGTATTAAGAAAGTTCTTAAATCAATAACTTAAAATTCTACCTTAAGACACTTACAAAAAATATGAAACTAAATTTAAGTAAGCAGAAGGAAGGAAATAATGATAACAGCACAAATTAATGAAATAATTTGATCGTTTGAAAAAAATCAATAAAATGGAAAAAACTTCAGTTTCATCAGGGAAAGAGGAGAGAAAACTCAAACTATAGAATCAGAAATAAAAGAAGAGACATTACTACTGACATTAAAGAAATAAAAAGGATTATAAAGGAATACCAAAAATAATTGTACACTGACAAATAAGATAATTTAAGTGAAATGAAAAAATTTCAAGAAAGACACAACTACCAAGACTGACTCAAGAAGAAACAGACAATCTGAATAGACCTAAAACAAATTAAGAGAATGAATCAGTAATCAAAAACTACCCAAAAAGAAAAGCAAATGGCTTCACTGGTGAATTCTACTAAACATTTGATAATACCAATTTTTCACACTCTTCCAACAAAAAGATGAGGAGGGTACACTTCTTGAACATTTTATGAAGCCACTATTTCCCTGACACAAAAACCAAATAAAGACATCACAGGAAAAGAAAACCATAGATCAATACCTCTTATCTTATGGGCACAAAAGTTCCCAACAAAATACTAGCAAACCAAATCCAGCAATACATAGAAAGAATTATACACCATGATTACATGGGATTTATCCCAAGGACACAAGGTTGGTTTCACATCCAAAAATCAGCTACCATAATACACCATTTCAATAGAAAAAAAATGGCCAAACTCTCAACAGACACAGAAAAAAGTATTTGATAAAATTAAATGCCCTTTCATAATTTTAAAAAATCAGCAAACTAAAATAAAAGGGAACTTTCTTAGCATGATAAAGGGCATATAGGAAAATCTCACAACTAAAATCATACTCAGGGGTAGAAAAACTGTAAGCTTTACTCCTAAAATCAGGAACAACACAAGGATGCCCATTTTCAACACTGACACTGGACATTGTACTAGAAGTTCTAGCCAGAGAAAAGAACATAGCCAAGAAAAAGACATAAGAGGCATACATATTTAAAAAGAAGCAGCTAAATTACTTACATTTGCAGAAGGCATGATTCTGTTAATAGAAAATCCCAAAGGATGCACCAAAAAACTACTAGATTTAGTAAATTCAGTAAGGTTGCAGGGTACAATATCAGCACATAAAAATCAGTTGTCTTTCTAAACGCTAGCAATGATGGGTATGGTAATCATTATTTGGCTGTAGTAATCACTTCATTGTGTATATTTATGTCAAAAGAAGTATATCAAACATCATGTGGATACCTTAACATACACAATTTTAAAAATTGTAAACCCTAAGTTATAGTAAATTGCAGCTATTTAGAGATGACTCAAAATGAAGAAGCTGTGGTTTAAAAAAAAAAATACTGGCTGGGTGTCGTGGCTCACACCTGTAATCACAGCACTTTGGGAGGCCAAGGTGGGCAGATCATGAGGTCAAGAGATCGAGACCATACTGGCCAACAAGGTGAAACTCCATCTCTACTAAAAATACAAAAATTAGCTGGGCGTGGTGGTGCACACCTGTAGTCCTAGCTACTCGGGAGGCTGAGGCAGGAGAATCACTTGAACCTGGGAGGTGGAGGTTGCAGTGAGCTGAGATCATGGCACTGCACTCCAGCCTGGCAACAGAACAAGACTCCATCTCAAAAGAAAAAACAATACTGAGAGTAAGCATTCCATTTAAATATAGAACCATCACTAGGCAGCTGTGGAATTTATGGTTACAGGACAGAATAAATACAGTAATATAAGACAAATGTCTAGAACTGAAATTACTGTGGCAAGGGATTTTAATAGATATTGGCTAACTGTCAACCAAGGAAGTATGTTCCACACCTATACCCATCTGTTTTGGTATTTCATCTCTGCTAAGTGAAAAATTATATGTTTTGTTTTATATTTTACTTCTTTAATTAATGGGAAAGGCTGAACAGCTTCTCACATGTATTAAATTTGTATGATTATTCTTTTTCTTAATCATTTGCCTGGGTTCTTGCTATGTTAAGAAATTATTTCTTCATCTACCACAAGTTGTAAATAGCTTTTCGTTAGTGCGTGTGTGTCTGTGTGTTCAGAAATTTTGAATATTTTATGTGATAACATTAACAAGGCTTTTCTATTGAGGGTTTCAGCTTTTCTGTCTTGCTAAGAAACACCTTCTTTACTCTAGAATGTTAAAAATACTTAGTGTTTTTACATAATACATTTAAGGTCTAATATTTTATACGTAAAAGTATGAATCAGCAGCTCCTCAAAAATTTAACAGAGAATTACCATACTTATTCAGCAATTTCACTTCTGGGTATTACCCAAAGAGTTGAATACAGGAACTCAACATGTTGATGGCAGCAATATTCATGATAGCTAAAATATGGAAGCAACCCAAGTTTCTATTGATGGATAAATGGATAAATAAAAGGTAATATATCTATACAATGCAATATTATTCAGCTTTAAAAAGGAAGGAAATTCTGACACATGCCACAACATGAATGAAACTTAAAGACATTAGGCTTAGTGAAATAAGTCAGTCACATATTTTTCTTCCCTCCCACCTCCTCTAAACCATTGAACAAGTATAGACAGTACTATACTGCTCACAAAGGTGGCTTAACAATTAAATTTCTAAAAGACAGTATTTCCTATGAATTTTAGCAAAAAGATATTTACAAAGTGGTATTTTATTACCTCTACATTTAACGTACATCAGGCACTTCTAAACATCTAGATAAACTAGGTGTTTCAAGTAAGGAGTTAATTTGTCCACTATATACACAGCAGTCTCGAATAAACTGCATACATGTAACCATAGTTATAATTTGAAAGAGTCTTCCAAATAAGAACATCCTAGCTTAGAATCCCTCCCATCTCCATCAACTCAGTGCGCAAGAATGCTCAAAGATAGGAAGACAATCTTTCCTAGGAATTTTAAAACAAAATATACAAAATATATTAGTTTACTAACTCTACTTTTGTTATACACTGGCAACCTCTTTAACATCTAAAAAGACTAGATGTTGTAAATTAGGACTCGTTTGTCCTTTATATACACTACATAAACAGATAAGTAAAACAAAATGCACAGACATAAGAGATAATGGTTAATCTTGCCTCACTGTAAACACAGCGGCATAGAGCTCTCTGCACTTTCCCCTCCTTCCTCCTCCCCTGAACCAGGACACAAACACGATGAGTATTACTCAACAGGTAGTTTGGCCATTCCCCTCCAAAAACAACATTTCATATGAATTTTAGCAAAAAGATATTTACAAAATATTATTTTACTACCGCTAATTTTGACATATATTAGGCATTCGGAACACATAGAAAGAATACACAAAAAAGTTTAGCATTGTCAACTATATATACAATAGTGAGGAATAAAATGCACACAAAACAATGGATAGAATATGAAAATGTCTAAATATCACAAGTCTGGTATAGAACCTTCTTTTTCTTCTCAGGCTTTCCAGATCCATGTCCCCTAACCCACTGAACAGATATAGACATATCCCTTACAGAGGTGATCTAACGACTCTATTTTAAAAAGTCATCTCCAAAAAACATCTAATTTGTATGATTTCTTTTTAAACAAATGAGAATTTACAAGATGTGTGATTTTCTAATTCTATCATATGTCAGCAACCTCTTTCCATCTAGAAAGACTGAATGTGGCAAATGTTCTCTTTTATTTTTTTAATCTCTTTTAACTTATTTATTTTTATTTTTCTTATTATACTTTAAATTCTGGGGTACATGTGCAGAATGTGCAGGTTTGTTACATAGATATACATGTGCCATGGTGGTTTGTTGCACCCATCAACCTGTCATCTACATTAGGTATTTCCCCTAATGCTATCCCTCCCCAGCCCCCCATAGCCCAACAGGCCCCAGTGTGTGATACCCCCCCAACCCGTGTCCATGTGTTCTCATTGTTCAACTCCCACTTATGAGTGAGAACATGTGGTGTTTGGTTTTCTGTTCTTGTGTTAGTTTGCTGAGAATGATGGTTTCCACCTTCATCCATGTCTCTGCAAAGGACATGAGCTCATCATTTTTCATGGCTGCATAGTATTCTGTGGTGTATATGTGCCAGATTTTCTTTATCCAGTCTATCATTGATGGGCATTTGGGTTGGTTCCAAGTCTTTGCTATTGTGGTATTTCTAGTTCTAGATTCTTGAGGAATCACCACACTGTCTTCCACAATGGTTGAACTAATTTCCACTCCCACCAACAGTGTAAAAGTGGTCCTATTTCTCCACATGCTCTCTAGTATCTGTTGTTTCTTGACTTTTTAATGATGGCCATTCTAACTGGCATGAAATGGTATCTCATTGTGTTTTTGATTTGCACTTCTCTAATGACCAGTGATGATGAGCTTTTTTTCCTATGCTTGTTGACTGCATAAATGTCTTCTTTTGAGAAGAGTCTTTTCTTATCCTTCACCCACTTTTTGATGGAATTGTTTGTTTTTTCTTGTAAATTTGTTTAAGTTCTTTGTAGATTCTGGATATTAGCCCTTTGTTAGATGGATAGATTGCAAAAATGTTCTCCCATTCTGTTGGTTGCCTGTTCACTCTGATGGTAGTTACTTTCGCTGTGCAGAAGCTCCTTAGTTTAATTAGATCCCATTTGTCAATTTTGGCTTTTGTTGCCATTGCTTTTTGTGTTTTAGTCATGAAGTCTTTGCCCATGCCTATGTCCTGAATGGTATTACCTATGTTTTCTTTTAGGGTTTTTATGGTTTTAGGTCTTACATTTAAGTCTTTAGCCCATCTTGAGTTAATTTTTGTATACAGTGGAAGGAAGGGATCTAGTTTCAGCTTTCTGCATATGGCTAACCAGTTTTCCCAATGCCATTTATTAAGTAGAGAATCCTTTCCCCATTGCTTGTTTTTGTCAGGTTTGTCAAAGATCAGATAGTTGTAGATGTGTGGTGTTATTTCTGAGGCCTCTGTTCTGTTCCATTGGTCTATATATCTGTTTTGGTACTAGTACCATGCTGTTTTGGTTACTGCAGCCATGTAGTATAGTTTAAAGTCAGGTAGTGTGATGCCTCCAGCTTTGTTATTTTTGCTTAAGATTGGCTTGGCTATGCAGGCTCTTTTTTGGTTCTATATGAAATTTAAAGTAGTTTTTTCCAATTCTGTGAAGAAAGTCAGTGGTAGCTTGATGGGGATAGCATTCAATCTATAAATTACTTTGGATATTATGGCCATTTTCACGATATTGATTCTTCCTATCCATGAGCATGGAATGTTTTTCCATTTGTTTGTGTCCTCTCTGATGTCATTGAGCAGTGATTTGTAGTTCTCCTTGAAGAGGTCCTTCACATCCCTTGTAAGTTGGATTCCTAAGTATTTTATTCTCTTTGCAGCAACTGTGAATGGGAGTTCACTCGTGATTTGGCTCTCGGTTTGTCTGTTATTGGTGTATAGGAATGCTTGTGATTTTTGCACATTGATTTTGTATCCCAAGACTTTGCTGAAGTTGCTTATCAGCTTAAGGAGATTTTGGGCTGAGATGATGGGGTTTTCTAAATATACAGTCATGTCATCTGCAAACAGAGACAATTTGACTTCCTCTTTTCCTAATTGAATATCCTTCATTTCTTTCTGTTGCCTGATTGCCCTGGCCAGAACTCCCAATACTATGTTGAATAGGAGTGGTGAGAGAGGGCATCCTTGTCTTATGCCAGTTTTCAAAGGGAATGCTTCCAGTTTTTGCCCATTCAGTATGATATTGGCTGCTGTGGGTTTCTCATAAATAGCTCTGATTGTTTTGAGACATGTTCCATGAATATCTAGTTTATTGAGAGTTTTTAGCGTGAAGGGCTGTTGAATTTTGTCGAAGGTCTTTTCTGCATCTATTGAGATAATCACATGGTTTTTGTCATTGGTTCTGTTTATGTGATGCATTACGTTCATTAATTTGCATATGTTGAACCAGCCTTGCATCCCAGGGATGAAGCCAACTTGATCATGGTGGATAAGCTTTTTGATGTGCTGCTGGATTCGGTTTGCCAGAATTTTACTGAGGATTTTTGCATCAATATTCATTAGGGATTTCGGCCTGAAATTTTCTTTTTTTGTTGTGTCTCTGCCAGGCTTTGGTATCAGGATGATGCTGGCCTCGTAAAATGAGTTAGGGAGATTCTCTCTTTTTCTATTGTTTGGAATAGTTTCAGAAGGAATGGTACCAGCTCCTTTTGTACCTCTGGTAGAATTCAGCTGTGAATCCGTCTGGTCCTGGACTTTTTTTGGTTGGTAGGCTATTAATTACCACCTCAATTTCAGAGTTTGTTATTGGCTTATTCAGGGATTTGACTTCTTCCTGGTTTAGTCTTGGGAGGGTGTATGTGTCCAGGAATTTATCCATTTCTTCTAGATTTTCTGGTTTATTTGCATAGAGGTGTTTATAATATTCTCTGATGGTAGGTTGTATTTCTGTGGGATCAGTGGTGATATCTCCTTTATCATTTTTTATTATGTCTATTTGACTCTTCTCTCTTTTCCTCTTTATTAGTCTGGCTAGTGGTCTATCTATTTTGTTGATCTTTAAAAAAAAACCAGCTCCTGGATTAATTGATTTTTTTTTTTTAATGAGAGATAAATTGTTTAATTTTAGGTTCAGCAGTTGAACAAGCTTTTTGTGGTTTGGTGGCAGTTTTCTGCCTTGGCATTACAAGGTTACCTCTTGCTAACAATCATAGCTTTTGATAGACTTAGATAAATGTGTTCAAACAGCTTTTCTCTGTTTGAAGATGCCTGGCTCTCTTTTTTTTTTTTTTTTTTTTAAGACATTTCCAAAGCCTACAGTTAGTGTCTCCATCTGGGCAAGAGAAAACATGTGAAAGTCTCATTTATGCTGGAAGATAGGGTAGGGTTGAGAGTGATGGTTACAAGAATTTTAACTTTACATCTACAAGAATGTGGTACAGATTAAGTCCTTGATAATCATGTTGTATATTTAAAAACATCTATAGATGATTTTATGTAGAATGGGAATTTTAACATTTTATTTGTGTTTATTTCTTTTTTTATTTTATTTTATTTTATTTTTATTTTTATTTATTTATTTTTTTATTGATCATTCTTGGGTGTTTCTCGCAGAGGGGGATTTGGCAGGGTCATAGGACAATAATGGAGGGAGGGTCAGCAGATAAACAAGTGAACAAAGGTCTCTGGTTTTCCCAAGCAGAGGACCCTGCTGCCTTCCGCAGTGTTTGTGTCCCTGGGTACTTGAGATTAGGGAGTGGTGATGACTCTTAAGGAGCATGCTGCCTTCAAGCATCTGTTTAACAAAGCACATCTTGCACCACCCTTAATCCATTTAACCATGAGTGGACACAGCACATGTTTCAGAGAGCACAGGGTTGGGGGTAAGGTCACAGATCCACAGGATCCCACGGCAGAAGAATTTTTCTTAGTACAGAACAAAATGAAAAGTCTCCCATGTCTACTTCTTTCTACACAGACACGGCAACCATCCGATTTCTCAATCTTTTCCCCACCTTTCCCCCCTTTCTATTCCACAAAACCGCCATTGTCATCATGGCCCCTTCTCAATGAGCTGTTGGGTACACCTCCCAGACGGGGTGGTGGCTGGGCAGAGGGGCTCCTCACTTCCCAGTAGGGGCGGCCGGGCAGAGGCACCCCTCACCTCCCGGATGGGGCGGCTGGCCGGGCGGGGGGCTGACCTCCTACCTCCCTCCCGGACGGGGCGGCTGGCCGGGCAGAGAAAACCAGTCAGGCGTGGCGGCGCGCACCTGCAATCGCAGGCACTCGGCAGGCTGAGGCAGGAGAATCAGGCAGGGAGGTTGCAGTGAGCCGAGATGGCAGCAGTACAGTCCAGCTTCGGCTCGGCATCAGAGGGAGACCGTGGAAAGAGAGGGAGAGGGAGACCGTGGGGAGAGGGAGACGGAGAGGGAGACGGAGAGGGAGAGGGAGAGGGAGAGGGAGAGCGATTAATTGATTTTTAAGGGTTTTTCATGTCTCTATCTCTTTCAGTTCTGCCCTGATCTTAGTTATCTCTTGTTTTCTGCTAGCTTTTGAATTTGTTTGCTCTTGCTTCTCTAGTTCTTTTAATTGTGATGTTAGGGTGTCGATTTTAGATCTTTCCTGTGTTCTTTTGTAGGCAATTACTGCTATAAATTTTCCTCTACACACTGCTTTAAATATGTCCCAGAGTTTCTGGTACATTATTCTTATTGTTTTCAAACAACATCTTTATCCTTCTTCATTTCATTATTTATCCAGCAGTCATTCAGGAGCAGGTTGTTCAGTTTCCATGTAAGTGTGAGGTTTTGAGTGAGTTTCTTAATTCTGAATTCTAATTTAATTGCGCTGTGGTGTGAGAGACTGTTTGTTATGATTTCCATTCTTCTGCATTTGCTGAGGAGTGTTTTACTTCCAATTATGTGGTCAATTTTAGAATAAGTGCGATGTGGTGCTGAGAAGAATGTATATTCTGTTGATTTGGGGTGGAGAGTTCTATAGATGTCTATTAGGTCTGCTTAGTCTGGAGCTGAGTTCAATTCCTAGATATCCTTGTTAATTTTCTGTCTCATTGACCTGTCTGATATTGACAGTGGGGTATTAAAATCTCCCACTATTATTGTGTGGGAGTCTAAGTCTCCTTGTAGGTGTTTAAGAACTTGCCTTATGAATCTGGGTGCTCCTGTATTGGGTGCATGTATATTTAGGATAGTTAGCTCTTCTTAGCCACTATGTAATGGCTTTCTTTTTCTCTTTTGATCTTTGTTGGTTTAAAGTCTGTTTTATCAGAGACTATGATTGCAACCCCTGTTTGTTTGTTTGTTTGTTTGTTTGTTTGTTTTTTGCTTTCCATTTGCTTGGTAAATATTCCTCCATCCCTTTATTTTGGGCCTATGTGTGTTTTTGCATGTGAGATGGGTCTCCTGAATACTGCACACTGATGGGTCTTGACTCTTTATCCATGTTGCCAGTCTGTGTCTTTTAATTGGGGCATTTAGCCCATTTACATTTAAGGTTAATATGTTATGTGTAAATTTGATCCTATCATTATGATGCTAGCTGGTTATTTTGCCCATTACTTGATGCAGTTTCTTCATAGCGTTGATGGTCTTTACCATTTGGCATGTTTTTGCAGTGGCTGGCACCATTTTTTCCTTTCCATGCTTATTGCTCCCTTCAGGAGCTCTTGTAATGCAGGCGTGGTGACGACAAAATGTCTCACATTTGCTTGTCTGTAAAGAATTTTATTTCTCCTTCACTTATGAAGCTTAGTTTGGCTGGATATGAAATTCAGCATTGAAAATTCTTTTCTTTAAGAATGTTGAATATTGGCCCCTAGTCTCTTCTGGCTTATAGGGTTTCTGCAAGTTGATCTTCAATCTCTGATATCCTTTCTTCCACTTGATCGATTCAGCTATTGATATGTGTGTATGCTTCACTAAGTTCTTGTGCTGTGTTTTTCAGCTCCATCAGGTCATTTATGTTCTTCTCTAAACTCGTTATTCTAGTTAGCAATTCATCTAATCTTTTTTCAAGTTTCTTTGCTTCCTTGCGTTGGGTTAGAACATTCTCCTTTAGCTCAGAGGAGTTTGTTATTATCCACCTTTGAAGCCTACTTCTGCCAATTCATCAAATTCATTCTCCATCCAGTTTTGTTCCCTTGATGGTGAGAAGTTGTGATTTTTTGGAGAAGAAGAGGCATTCTGGTTTTTGGAATTTTCAGCCTTTTTGTGCTGGTTTCTCCCCATCTTCATGGATTTACCTACCTTTTGTGTTTGATGTTGGTGACCTTTGGATGGGGTTTCTGAGTGGATGTCCTTTTTGTTGATGTTGATGCTATTCCTTTCTGTTTGTTAGTTTTTCTTCTAACAGTCAGGCCTCTCTGCTGCAGGTCTGCTGGAGTGTGCTGGACATCTACTTCAGACCTTGTTTGCCTGGGTATCACCAGTGGAGGCTGCAGAACAGCAAAGATTGCTGCCTGTTCCTTCCTCTGAAAGCTTTGTCCCAGAGGGGCACCTGCCAGATGCCAGCTGGAGCTCTCTTGTGTGAGGTGTCTGTTGGCTTCTTCTGGAAGGTATCTCCCGGTCAGGAGGCCAGGGGGTCAGGGACCCACTTGAGGTGGCAGTCTGCTCAAACACTGTGCTGGGAGATCCACTGCTCTCTTCAGAGCTGGCAGGCAGGGATGTTAAAATCTGCTGAAGCTGCACCCACAGCTGCCCCTTCCCCCAGGTGCTCTGTCCCAGAGAGATGGGAGTTTTATCTATAAGTCCCTGACTGGGGCTTCTGCCTTTTTTTCAGAGATGCCCTGCCCAGACAGGAGGAATCTAGAGAGGCAGTCTTGCTACAGCAGCCTGGCAGCGCTGTGGTGTGTTCCACCCAGTTGGAACTTCCTTGCAGTTTTGTTTACACTGTGAGAGGAACACTGCCTACTCAAGCCTCAGTAATGGCAGACGCCCCTCCCCATACCAAGCTCCAGCATCCCAGGTCAACTTCAGACTACTGTGCTGGCAGCAAGAATTTCAAGCCAGTGGATCTTAGCTTGCTGGGCTCCATGGGGGTGGGATCCACTGAGCTAGACCACCTGGTTCCCTGGCTTCGGCCCCCTTTCCAGGGGAGTGAATGGTTCTGTCTCGCTGACATTCCAGGCATCCCTGGGGTATGAAAAAAGACTCCTGCAGCTACCTTGGTGTCTACCCAAATGGCCACCCAGTTTTGTGCTTGAAACCCAAGACCCTGGTGGCATAAGCACTGGAGGGAATCTCCTGGTCTGTGGGTTGCAAAGACCATGGGAAAAGCATAGTATCTGGGCTGGAATGCACCACTCCTCATGGCACAGCTCCTTACAGCTTCCCTTGGCTAACAGGGGAGTTTTCTGACCCCTTGCACTTCCCAGGTGAGGCAACACCCCACCCTGCCTCAGTTCACCCTCCATGGGCTGCACCCACTGTCTAACCAGTCCAAATGAGATGAGCCGGGTACCTCAGTTGGAAATGCAGAAATCACCCACCTTCTGCATTGATCTCACTGTGAGCTGCACACCTGAGCTGTTTCTATTCAGCCATCTTGTCAGCCTCCCCACAGATGTTATCTATTAAAAGGTTGGGGGTGAGTTGAGAATAGCTTTTTCATAATATACACACAGCCTTCTAGAAGCAGATAGTAAATCTTCCCAAAGTGTGGCGGGCATTTCCCATAGGCCAAATGTGAGGTCCTTCCAGGTCTGGTAGAAGGAAGACCAACAGCCCAATGCCTGCTAACTGTTCCACACTGTCCTCCTCTGTGCCTCCACTCACCTTCCAGGCCTATTAAGGCCATTGTCTGTTGTCCTCAGGACTAGGTAAGTCTCACCCAGCTGGGACAGAGTGGTCACCAGGACCCGGATCTGGCAGCGCCATGGCCTAAAGAGGTGGCTGAGCCCGTGTCCTGCATCCCAAGAGCACCTTCCCAATCCTCACACCCGGATAGTCACCAAGCTGCCCCTGCCACTCCCACCACCACCCAAAGGCACTGCATCCAGGCTCAGTGGGGACTTCGTCTATACCCGGCAGGGTGCGGCCTGGGAAAGGCCACCACCACCCTCAGTCACTGAGGTGTAGGGGGAAGGGAGGCTTGCTGCATCTTCAAGGCCCAGGCACCCACCCCAAGGGTCCTGGTGGCAGCCACCACAAGGGTCCTGGTGTCACGGGGCAGAGGCTACAGCCTATCCTGGCTCAGCTCCCCCACTGGCCAGGGCAAAGGCTCAGAAGTCCCAGGGAGCTGGTCCCGCACCATCTCACCACACTCTCTGCTGGATTGGAACTCTTTATTTTGTTTTACTTTATTTTATTTTATTTTTTTGAGACAGAGTCTTGCTCTGTTGCCCCGGCTGGAGTGCTCTGTTGCCCAGGCTGGAGTGCAGTGGTGTGACCTCGGCTTACTGCAAACTTCGCCTCCCGGGTTTAAGTGATTCTCCCACCTCAGCCTCCTGAGTAGCTGGGATTACAGGCACGCACCACCATGCCCGGCTAATTTTTGTATGTTCAGTAGAGACAGGGTTTCACCATGTTGGCCAAGCTGGTCTTAAGCTCCTGACCTCAGGTGATCCACCCGCTTTGGCCTCCCAAAGTGCTGGGATTGCAGGCATGAGCCACTGTGCCCAGCATGGACCAGAGGTCTTAATTGTATTTTTGTACCCATATACCAACCTCTCTTCATCCACCTCTCCCAGCTGTCCTTCTCAGACTGTGGAAAGCATCCTTCTACTCACTGTTTCCACAGATATTTCATGGACAGCAAATAATCACATGAAAAGATGTTCAAAATTATTAGGTTTTAGGGAAATGCAAATTGAAACAACAATAAGCTATCACTACTCATCTATCAGAATGGCTAAAATTAAAAATCATGACACCACCAAATGCTGGTAAGGATGTGTAGAAACCGGATCACTGATACATTACTGATAGAAACATAAAATACTTCATCCACTCTGGGAAATTTTGGGAGTTTCTCAAAGAAAAACACACAACTATCATATGACCCAGCAATTGCACTCCCAGGCATTTATCCCAGAAAAATAAAAACTTCACACAAAAAACTGTCAAACAAATGTTTATAGCATCTTTGTTTATAATATTAATAGCTAAGAACTAGATTCAGCCAAGATGTTTTTCAACAGGTGAATGGGTAAACAAACTGTTGTAAATACATAGCATGGAATACTACTTAGCAATGTAAAGGAATGGATGATTGATGCATGCAACAACTTGGATGGATTGCCAGGAAATTATGCTGAGCAAAAAACATCAATCCAAAAAGGTTACATAAATGTGATTCTACTTTTATAACATTTTGTTAAATAACAAAATTTTAGAAGTAGAGGACAGATGACTATCCACTGTGTGAATACTTGGTGTTCCTGAAAAGGGAACCAAGAAGTGGAATCAGACAAATTTAAAGAGAGTATTAAAGAAAACTTCCAAAGACCAAAGAACACCCAAGTCTTTAGCCTAAAACATTCATCATGTCCAAAGCTGGTTGTACGTATCACTTCAGTAACTGTAGATACTAGGAGATAATGAAGCAAAACCACAAAGTTTTAAAGCAATAGAGATTTGACCCAGAAATGTACTACATAGCCTAGTTATGGATCAAATATAAAGGCAACATAAAAAAAGTCTCCATTACCCAAAAATTAAAAATGGCATTCAATTACCCATCCCCAAATGCAGACTTGTATATATTGGCTAAATTTAACAAATAAACTTTTAAATGTCATGAGTGAGGAAATCATGATGTAAAATCTGACTATGGACAAGAATCTATTTAGAAATTGACCTATATTTAAATAATAACAATTCAAAATGCAATTGTAACAATTCTTGAATATTATTTAAAACATTATAATAAGCTGGCTCAGATCCAATAATATGTCCATAGAAACCAAGCCATGGGTAGTGGATTGTGTGAGGAAACAGTGTGATAACTATGCTAACATCCGCATCTTTTATATGGTGGTATTAGTAGATAATGCTTCTGTGATGGTTAATACTGAGTGTCAACTTGATTGGATTGAAGGATGCAAAGTATTGATCCTAGGTGTGTCTGTGAAGGTGTTGCCAAAGGAGATTAACATTTGAGTCAGTGGGCTGGGAAAGGCAGACCCACGCTTAACCTGGGTGGGCACCATCTAATCAGCTGCCAGTGCAGCTAGAATATGAAAAGTTGGCAGAAAAACATGAAAAGACTAAACTGGCCTAGCTTCCCAGCCTACATCTTTCTCTGGTACTGGATGCTCCCTGCCCTTGAACATCAGACTCGAAGTTCTTCAGTTTAGGACTTGGACTGGCTCTCCTTGTTCCTCAGCTTGCAGATATCCTATTGTGGGACCTTGTGATCATGTGAGTTAATACTTAATAAACTTTCCTTCTTATATATCTCTATCCTATTAGTTCTGCCCCTCTAGAGAACCCTAACACAGATTTTTGTACCAGGAGTGGTTCTAGAGGAACAGAACATTAAGGATGCAGTTCTTTCATTGGTTTTAGGGTTTCTGGAGTGGCTGTTTAATATGATTAGACTCAAAAATGCTAAGGACTCTACTTCTGATAGTATGGAGAACACTGATTCAGTGTTCCTTTCTATGAACTGTTTAGAGAGTTAAGCAAAATAAATGCATTTGACATTCCTGATTCAGCGCTCATGAGAGGCAAGGAGTTTAGTGACTCTATAAATAATACCTTTGACCATATGTGGAAACATAATGAAGTTGGTTGGTTTCTCCTAAGTTCAATGGACAAAGTGATGAAAGAAAATGAACTTAGGGATTCTAACTCCTGGCTTCAGAAGCAGATACTGAGCCTCAAATCTGCTAAGATTGCCCTGAGTGAAAGTATTATCTCCTGCAGAGAAAGAGCTGAAATTGTGGGAAAATGGATATGAGCTCTTATTGTGCAAGTGGCTGACTTCCAATGAAGGGTGCATGCACAGCCTCACCAGGTATGTACTATTAAAGTGAGGGCATCGTTTGGAAAAGAATGGGACCCTGCAACTTGGAAAGGGGACATGTGGGAGGACCCTGATGAAGCTGGGGACACTGAGTTTGTAAAGTCTCAGGAAACCTTTTTTGCCAGAAAAAAAACAGCTTCCCCATCCCCAGTAGTGGTGACATCCTCTCCCTGACCCATGCTGCCATCAGCCTTTCCATATTTGTCTGGGGAGATAAACACTGTGCTGCCTAAGGCAACAGTGATGGCCCCCCCTGAGCAGTTGCCAGGCAAAATAATGTTGATTCTCCTCAGGAGCCACCCCCAACACCCCTGTCTGCTTCTAGACCTATAACCAGACTAAAGTCCTTATGGGCCCCAAGAGGTGAGGTTGAGAGTGAAACCCATGAGGAGGTTCACTATACTTGAAAAGAACTACTTGAGTTTTCTAATTTATATAAACAGAAATCTGGAGAACAGGCATGAGAATGGATATTAAGGGTGTGGGATAATGGTGGAAGGAACATAGAGTTGGATCAGGCTGAATTTGTTGATTTGGGCCCACTAAGTAGAGACTCTGCATTTAATATTGCAGCTCAGGGAGTTAAAAAAAGGTTCTAATAATTTATTTGCTTAGTTAGCTGAAATATGGATTGAAAGATGGCCACTGTGAGGGAGCTGGAAATGTCTGATCACTCTTGGTTTAATGTAGAGGAAGGGATCCAAAGGCTTAGAGAGATTGAGATGGTGGAGTGGATTAGTCACTTTAGACCTACTCATCCCAGATGGAAGGGCCCAGAAGATATACCCTTGACCAATACCTTGCAAAATAGATCTGTGAGGGTAGCACCTGCATCTTTGAAGAGCCCCGTAATTCTCTGCATATCAGATCCAATGGTGAGAACCACAGTCACTCAACTAATAAAGGTAAATACAATGGGAATAATTGGATCCCAAGGTGGCAGAGGCCAAGTGGTGGCACTCAACCATCAAAGGCAAGGTGGGCATAACTACCATAACAGACAGTAGTGGCAAAGCAGCAATCAGAATAGTCTGACTCATGTAGAGTTCTGGCATTCGCTAATTAATCACAGTGTTCCCAGAAGTGAAATTGTTAGGATGCCTACTTCTTTCCTACTTAATTTATATAAGCAGAAAACTTCCAGGTCAAATGGACAAAACACTACTTTGAATTATAAAAATAGAGAATCATGGCCCCTCAATCAATTTTTGACTTGAGCCAGTTTACAGACACAGAACCCCTTGAATAAAGGGGAAGTTGGGTCCCATTAAGGAAGGAGCCCACTACACTACCAACAATTTATGCTGTTAATCTTTCTCCCATTTTTTCCCAAGGAGACCTCCAGCCTTTTATCAAGGTAACTGTGCATTGGGGAAAGGGAAATTATCAGTCATTTGGGGGATTACAGGACACTAGCTCTGAGCTGACGTTAATTCTAAGGGACTCAAAACGTCATTGTGGTCCTCCAGTTAAAGCAGGAGCTTATGGAGGTGAGGTAATTAATGGAGTTTTAGCTCAGGTCTGACTTACAGTGGGTCCAATGGGTCCCCAGGCTCATCCTGTGTTCATTTCCCCAGTGCCAGAATGCATAATTGGCATAGACATACTTAGCAGCTGGAAGAACACCCACATTGGCTCCCTGACTGGTAGGGTGAGGCCTATTATGGTGGGAAAGGCCAAATGGAAGGCATTAGAGCTGCCTCTACCTAGAAAAATGGTAAATCAAAAACAATATCACATCCCTGGAGGGATTGCAGAGATTAGTGCCATGATCAAGGACTTGAAAGGCGCAAGGGTGGTGATTTTCATCACACCCCCATTCAACTCTCCCATTTGGCATGTGCATAAGACAGATGGATCTTGGAGAATGACAGTGGATTATCATAAGCTTAACTAAGTGGTGACTCCAATTGCAGCTGCTGTACCAGATACGGTTTCATTGCTTGAGCAAATTAACACATTTCCTGGTACCTGGTATGCAGCCATTGACTTGGCAAATGCCTTTTTCTCCATTCCTATTCATAAGGCCCACTAGAAGCAATTTGCCTTCAGCTGGCAAGACTAGCAATATATCTTTACTCTCCTACCTCAAGAGTATATAAACTCTGGCTTTGCATCATAATCTTATTTGGAGAGATCTTGACCACTTTTTGCTTCTGCAAGATATCACACTGGTCCATTACATTGATGACATTATGCTGATCGGATCCAGTGAGCAAGAAGTAGCAAACACACTGGACTTATTTGTGAGATGTTTGTGTGCCAGAGGATGAGAAATAAATTTGACTAAAATTCAGGGACCTTCTACCTCAGTAACATTTCTAGGGGTCCACTGGTGTGGGGCCTGTCAAGATACTCCTTGTAAGATGAAGGATAAGTTGCTGCATTTGGCCCCTCCTACAACTAAGAAAAAGGCACAATATGTAGTGGGCCTACTTGGATTTTGGAGGTAACACTTTCCTCATTTGGGTGTGTTACTCAGGCCCATTTATCGAGTGACTCAAAAGGCTGCCAGTTTTGAGTGGGGTCCAGAACAGGATAAGGCTCTGCCTCAGGTCCAGGCTGCTGTCCAACCTGCTCTGCTGTTTGGGCCATATGACTCAGCAGATCCAATGGTGCTTGAGGCATCAGTGGCAGATAGGGATGCTGTTTGGAGCCTTTGGCAGGCCCCCACAGGTGAATCACAGCAGATGCCTCTAAAATTTTGAAACAAGGCCCTGCCATTTTCTGCATATAACTACTGTGCTTTTGAAAGACAGCTCTTGGCCTGTTACTGAGCTTTGGTGGAAACTGAACATTTGATTATGGGTCATCAAGTCACCATGTGAACTGAACTGTCTATCATGAACTGGGTGCTTTCTGACCCATGTAGCCATAAAATGGGTCATGCACAGCAGCATTCCATCATCAAATGGAAGTGATATATATGTGATTGGGCTCGAGCAGGTCCTAAAGGCACAAGTAAGTTACACAAGGAAGTAGCTCAAATGCCCATGGTCTCCACAACTGCCACCCCACCTTCTCTTCCCCAGCCTGCACCGATGGCCTCATGGGGAGTTCTCTATGATCAGTTGACAGAGGAAGAGAAGACTAGGGCCTGGTTCACAGATGGTTCTGCACGATATGCAGGCACCACCCAAAAGTGGACAGCTGCAGCACTACAGCCCCTTTCTAGGACATCACTGAAGGGCAGTGGTGAAGGGAAATCTTCCCAGTGGGCAGAACTTCAAGCAGTGCACCTGGTTGTGCACTTTTCATGGAAGGATAAATGGCCAGATGTGCGATTATATATTGATTCATGGGCTGTAGCCAATGGTTTGGCTGGATGGTCAGGGACTTGGAAGAAGCATGATTGGAAAATTGGTGACAAAGAAATTTGGGGAAGAGGTATGTGGATGGACCTCTCTGAGTGGCCAAAACCTGTGAAGATATTTGGATCCCATGTGAGTGCTCACCAATGGGTGATCTCAGCAGAGGAGGATTTTAATAATCAAGTGGATAAGATGACCTGTTCTGTGGACATCACTCAGCCTCTTTCCCCAGCCACCCCTGTTATCACCCAATGGGCCCATAAACAAAGTGGCCATGGTGGCAGGGATGGAGGTTATACATGGGCTCAGCAACATGGACTTCCACTCACCAAAACTGGCCTGGCTATGGCTACAGCTGAGTGCCCAATTTGACAGCAGCAGAGACTAACACTGAGCCCTCAATATGGCACCATTCCTCGGGGTGATCAGTCTGTTACCTGGTGGAAGGTTGGTTATACTGGACCTCTTCCATCCTGAAAAGGGCAGAGGTTTGTCCTCACTGAAACAGACACTTACTCTGGATATGGGTTTGCCTAAACTGAACACAATGCTCTGCCAAGACTACCATTCATGGACTCACAGAATGCCTTATCCACCATCATGGTATTCCACACAGCATTGCCTCTGACCAAGGCACTCACTTTATGACTAAAGAAGTGTGGCAGTGGATATACGTGGAGCCAAGATGGCTGAATAGGAACAGTTCCAGTCTACAGCTCCCAGCATGAGCGATGCAAAAGACAGGTGATTTCCACATTTCCAACTGAGGTACCGGGTTCATCTAACTGGGGAGTGCCAGACAGTGGTTGCAGGACAGTGGGTGTAGCACACCATGCGTGACCCAAAGCAGGGTGAGGGATCACCTCACCTGGGAAGGGCAAGAGGTCAGGGAATTCCCTTTCCTAGTCAAAGAAAGCATTCACAGATGGCACCTGGAAAATTGGGTCACTCCTGCCCTAATATTGTGCTTTTCCAATGGGCTTAATAAACAGCACACCAGGAGATTATATCCCACACATAGCTTGGAGGGTTCTACACCCACAGAGCCTCACTCTTTGCTAGCACAGCAGTCTGAGACCAAACTGTAAGGCGGCAGCGAGGCTGGGGGAGGGGTGCCCGCCATTGCCCAGGCTTGAGTAGGTAAACAAAGCAGCCGGGAAGCTTGAACTGGCTGGAGCCCACCACAGCTCAAGGAGGCCTGCATGCCTCTGTACACTCCACCTCCAGGGGCAGGGCACAGACAAACAAAAGACAGCAATAACCACTGCAGACTTAAATGTCCCTGTCTGACAGCTTTGAAGAAAGAAGTGGTTCTCCCAGCACACAGCTTGACATCTGAGAATGGGCAGACTGCCTCCTCAAGTGGGTCCCTGACCCCCGAATAGCCTAACTGGGAGGCACCCCCTAGTAGGGGCAGACTGACACCTCACACGGCTGGGTACTCCTCTCAGACAAAACTTCCAGAGGAATGATCAGGCAGCAACATTTGCTGTTCACCAATATCCACTGTTCTGCAGCCTCTGCTGCTGATACCCAGGCAAACAGGGTCTGGAGTGGACCTCCAGTAAACTCCAACAGACCTGCAGCTGAGGGTCCTGAATTCTAGAAGGAAAACTAACAAACAGAAAGGACATCCACACCAAAACCCCATCTGTACGTCACCATCATCAAAGACCAAAGGTAGATAAAACCACAAAGATGAGGAACAAACAGAGCAGAAAAACTGGAAGCTCTAAAAATCAGAGTGCCTCTCCTCCTCCAAAGGAACACGGCTCCTCACCAGCAACAGAACAAACCTGGATGGAGAATGACTTTGACGAGTTGAGAGAAGAAGGCTTCAGATGATCAAACTACTCTGAGCTAAAGGAGGAAGTCCGAACCCATGGCAAAGCAGTTAAAAACCTTGAAAAAAAATTAGATGAATGGCTAACTAGAATAACCAATGCAGAGAAGTCCTTAAATGACCTGATGGAGCAGAAAACCATGGCATGAGAACTACATGATGAATGCACAAGCCTCAGTAGCTGATTCAATCAACTGGAAGAAAGGGTATTGGGGATGGAAAATCAAATCAATGAAATGAAGCATGAAGAGAAGTTTAGAGAAAAAAGAAAAAAAAAATGAACAAAGCCTCCAAGAAACATGGGACTATGTGAAAAGACCAAATCTACATCTAATTGGTGTACCTGAAAGAGACGGGGAGAATGGAACCAAGTTGGAAAACACTCTGCAGGATATTATCCAGGAGAACTTCCCCAATCTAGCAAGGCAGCCCAACATTCAAATTCAGGAACTACAGAGAATGCCACAAAGATACTCCTCGAGAGGAGCAACTCCAAGACACATAATTGTCAGATTCACCAAAGTTGAAATCAAGGAAAAAATGTTGAGAGCAGCCAGAGAGAAAGGTCAGGTTACCCACAAAGGGAAGCCCATCAGACTAACAGCTCATGTCTTGGCAGAAACTCTACAAGCCAGAAGAGAGTGAGGGCCAATATTCAACATTCTTAAAGAAAAGAATTTTCAACCCAGAATTTCATATCCAACCAAACTAAGCTTCATAAATGAAGGAGACATAAAATCCTTTACAGACAAGCAAATGCTGAGAGATTTTGTCACCACCAGGCCTGCCCTAAAAGAGCTCCTGAAGGAAGCACTAAACATGGAAAGGGGCAACCCATACCAGCCACCACAAAAACATGCCACATTGTAAAGACCATCGATGCTAGGAAGAAACTGCATCAACTAACTAGCAAAATAACCAGCTAACATCATAATGACAGGATCAAATTCACACATAACAATATTAACCTTAAAAGTAAATGGGCTAAATGTTCCAGTTAAAAGACACAGACTGGAAAACTGGATAAAGAGTCAAGACCCATCAGTGTGCTGTATTCAGGAAACCCATCTCACATGCAGAGACACACATAGGTTCAAAATAAAGGGATGGAGGAAGATCTACCAAGCAAATGGAAAACAAAGGCAGGGGTTGCAATCCTAGTCTCTGATAAAACAGACTTTAAACCAACAAAGATCAAAAGAGACAAAGAAGGCCATTACACAATGGTAAAGGGATCAATTCAACAAGAAGAGCTAACTATACTAAACATACATGCACCCAGTACAGGGGCACCCAGATTCATAAAGCAAGTCCTTAGAGATCTACAAAGAGAATTAGACACCCACACAATAATAATGGGAGACTTTAACACCCCACTGTCAACATTAGACAGATCAACGAGACAGAAAGTTAACAAGGATACCCAGGAATTGAACTCAGCTCTGCACCAAGCGGACCTAATAGACATCTACAGAACTCTCCACCCCAAATCAACAGAATATACATTTTTTTTAGCACCACACCACACCTATTCCAAAATTGACCACATAGTTGGAAGTAAAGCTCTCCTCAGCAAATGTAAAAGAACAGAAATTGTAACAAACTATCTCTCAGACCACAGTGCAATCAAACTAGAACTCAGGACTAAGAAACTCACTCAAAACCACTCAACTACATGGAAACTGAACAACCTGCTCCTGAATGACTACTGGGTACATAATGAAATGAAGGCAGAAACAAAGATATTCTTTGAAACCAATGAGAACAAACACACAACATACCAGAATCTCTGGGACATATTCAAAGCAATATGTAGAAGGAAATTTATAGCACTAAATGCCCGCATGAGAAAGCAGGAAAGATCTAAAATTGACACCCTAACATCACAATGAAAAGAAATAGAGAAGCAAGAGCAAACACATTCAAAAGCTAGCAGAAGGCAAGAAATAACTAAGATCAGAGCAGAACTGAAGGAAATAGAGACACAAAAAACCCTTCAGAAAATCAATGAATCCAGGAGCTGGTTTTTTGAAAAGATCAACAAAATTGATAGACCGCTAGCAAGACTAATAAAGAAGAAAAGACAGAAGAATCAAATAGATGCAATAAAAAATGATAAAGGGGATATCGCCACTGATCCCACAGAAATATAAACTACCATCAGAGAATATTATAAACACCTCTATGCAAATAAACTAGAAAATCTAGAAGAAATGGAAAAATTCCTCCATACATACACCCTCCCAAGACTAAACCAGGAAGAAGATGAATCTCTGAATAGACCAATAACAGGCTCTGAAATTGAGGCAACAATTAATACCTTACCAACCAAAAACAGTCCAGGACCTGAAGGATTCACAGCCGAATTCTACCAGAGGTACAAGGAGGAGCTGGTACCATTCCTTCTGAAACTATTCCAATCAATAGAAAAAGAGGGAATCCTCCCTACCTCATTTTATGAGGCTAGCATCATCCTGAGACCAAAGCCTGGCAGAGACACAACAAAAAAAACAATTTTAGACCAATATCCCTGATGAACATCGATGCAAAAATCCTCAATAAAATACTGGCAAACCGAATCCAGCAGCACATCAAAAAGCTTATCCACCATGATCAAGTGGGCTTCATCCCTGGGATGCAAGGGCTGGTTCAACGTACACAAATCAATAAATGTAACCCAGTATACAAACAGAACCAATGACAAAAACCACATGATTATTTCAATAGATGCAGAAAAGGCCTTTGACAAAATTCAGCAACGCTTCATGCTAAAAACTCTCAATAAATTAGGTATTGATGAGATGTATCTCAAAATAATAAGAGCTATCTATGACAAACCCACAGCCAATATCATACATCATGGGCAAAAACTGGAAGCATTCCCTTTGAAAACTGGCACAAGACAGGGATGCCCTCTCTCACCACTCCTATTCAACATAGTGTTGGAAGTTCTAGCCAGGGCAATCAGGCAAGAGAAGGAAATAAAGGGCATTCGATTAGGAAAAGAGGAAGTCAAATTGTCCCTGTCTGCAGATGACATGATTGTATACCTAGAAAACCCCATCGTCTCAGCCCAAAATCTCCTTAAGCTGATAGGCAACTTCAGCAGAGTCTCAGTATACAAAATCAATGTGTAAAAATCACAAGCATTCTTATACACCAATAACAGACAAACAGAGAGCCAAATCATGAGTGAACTCCCATTCACAATTGCTTCAAAGAGAATAAAATACCTAGGAATCCAACTTACAAGGGATGTGAAGGACCTCTTCAAGGAGAAATATAAACCACTGCTCAAGGAAATAAAAGAGGATACAAACAAATGGAAGAACATTCCATGCTCATGGGTAGGAAGAATCAATATCGTGAAAATAGCCATACTGCCCAAGGTAATTTATAGAGTCATTGCCATCCCCATCAAGCTACCAATGACCTTCTTCTCAGAATTGGAAAAAAACTACTTTAAACTACATATGGCTCTCCCTCTCCCTCTCCCTCTCCCTCTCCCTCTCCCTCTCCCTCTCCTTCTCCCTCTCCCTTTCTTTGTTTCTTCAGTCTCCCTCTGTTGCCGAGGCTGGACTGTACTGCCATGGTCTCGGCTCGCTGCAGCCTCCCTGCCCTGGGCTCCCATGGTTCCCCTGCCTCGGCCTGCCGAGTGCCTGGGATTGTGGGTGCGCGCTGCCATGCCTTACTGGTTTTTGTATTTTTGGAGGAGACGGGGTTTCACCATGTTGACCGGGCTGGTCTCCGGCTCCTGACCTCGAGTGGTCTGCCCGCCTCGGCCTCCCAGGGTGCTGGGATTGCAGACGGAGTCTCACTCACTCAATGCTCAGTGTTGCCCAGGCTGGAGTGCAGTGGCGTGATCTCGGCTCACCACAACCTCCACCTTCCAGCCGCCTGCCTTGGCCTCCCAAAGTGCTAAGATTACAGCCTCTGCCCGGCCGCCACCCCGTCTGGGAAGTGAGGAGCATCTCTTCCTGGCCGCCCATTGTCTGGGATGTGAGGAGGGCTTCTGCCCGGCTGCCCCATCTGGGATATGAGGAGCGACTATGCCTGGCCACCCCATCTGGGAAGTGAGGAGCGCCTCTGCCCAGTCGCCCCATCTGGGAGGTGAGGAGCACCTCTGCCCAGCCGCCACCCCATCTGGGAGGTGAGGAGCACCTCTGCCCGGCCACCACCCCATCTGGGAGGTGAGGAGCACCTCTAACTGGCCACCTCCCCGTCTGGGATGTGAGGAGTGCCTCTGCCCAGCCGCCGGGTCTGGGAAGTGAGGAGTGCCTCTGCCTGGCCACCCCATCTGGGAAGCGAGGAGCGCCTCTGCCCAGCTGCCACCCCATCTGGGAAGTGAGGAGCGTCTCTGCCTGGCCGCCCATCGTCTGGGATGTGAGGAGCACCTATGCCTGGCCGCCCCATCTGGGAAGTGAGGAGCGCCTCTGCCCGGCTGCTCTGTCTGGGAGGTGAGGAGCGCCTCTGCCCGGCTGCCACCCCATCTGGGAGGTGAGGAGAGCCTCTGCCCAGCTGCCACCCAATCTGGGAGGTGACAAGTGCCTCTGCCTGGCCACCATCCCATCTGGGAGGTGAGGGGCCTATCTGCCCAGCCACCCTTCGTCTGGGAGGTGGGGAGCACCTCTGCCCGGCCGCCCTTCATCTGGGAGGTGGGAAGCGCCTCTGCCCGGCCACCCCATCTGGGAAGTGGGCGCCTCTGCCTGGCCATCCCATCTGGGAGGTGAGGAGTGCCTCTGCCCGGCCACCCCGTCTGGGAAGTGAGGAGCATGTCTACCCAGCCACCCCGTCTGGGAGGTGAGGAGTGCTTCTGCCTGGCCGCCCCATCTGGGAAGTGAGGAGCGCCTCTATCTGGCCACCCCTTCTGGGAAATGAGGAGTGCCTCTGCCCAGCTGCCCCGTCTGGGAGGTGAGGAGCGCCTCTGCCCAGCCGCCACCCCATCTGGGAGGTGAGGAGCGCCTCTAACCGGCCACCTCCCCGTCTGGGATGTGAGGAGCACCTCTGCCCGGCCGCCAGGTCTGGGAAGCGAGGAGTGCCTCTGCCTGGCCACCCCGTCTGGGAAGCGAGGAGTGCCTCTGCCCGGCTGCCACCCCGTCTGGGAAGTGAGGAGTGTCTCTGCCTGGCCGCCCATCATCTGGGATGTGAGGAGCACCTATGCCTGGCCGCCCCATCTGGGAAGTGAGGAGCGCCTCTGCCCGGCCGCTCTGTCTGGGAGGTGAGGAGTGCCTCTGCCCGGCCGCCCTGTCTGGGAGGTGAGGAGCACCTCTGCCCGGCTGCCACCCCATCTGGGAGGTGAGGAGAGCCACTGCCCAGCTGCCACCAAATCTGAGAGGTGACAAGCACCTCTGCCTGGCCACCACCCCATCTGGGAGGTGAGGAGCACCTCTGCCCGGCTGCCCCATCTGGGAGGTGAGGGGCCTATCTGCCCAGCCACCCTTCGTCTGGGAGGTGGGGAGCGCCTCTGCCCGGCCGCCCTTCATCTGGGAGGTGGGAAGCGCCTCTGCCCGGCCACCCCATCTGGGAAGTGGGCGCCTCTGCCTGGCCATCCCATCTGGGAGGTGAGGAGTGCCTCTGCCCGGCCACCCCGTCTGGGAAGTGAGGAGCGTGTCTACCCAGCCACCACGTCTGGGAGGTGAGGAGCGCTTCTGCCTGGCCGCCCCATCTGGGAAGTGAGGAGCGCCTCTATCTGGCCACCCCTTCTGGGAAGTGAGGAGTGCCTCTGCCCGGCCGCCACCCCGCCTCGGAGGCGAGGAGCACCTCTGCCCGGCCACCACCCCATCTGAGAGGCAAGGACCACCTCTGCCTGGCCGCCATCCTGTCTGGGAGGCGAGGAGCACCTCTGCCCAGCCGCCGCCCCACCTAGGAGGTGAGGAGCGCCTCTGGCCAGCCGCCCCACCTGGGAGGCGAGGAGCGCCTCTGCCTGGCCGCCCCATCTGGGAGGTGAGGAGCGCCTCTGCCCAGCCACCACCCCATCTGGGAAGTGAGGAGCGTCTCTGCCAGGCCGCCCCGTCTGGGAAGTGTACCCAACAGCTCCGAAGAGACAGCGACCATTGAGAACGGGCCATGATGACGATGGCGGTTTTGTCAAAAAGAAAAGGGGGAAATGTGGGGAAAAGAAAGAGAGATCAGATTGTTACTGTGTCTGTGTAGAAAGAAGGTGACATAGGAGACACCATTTTGTTCTGTACTAAGAAAAATTCTTCTGCCTTGGGATGCTGTTAATGTACAACCTTACCCCCAACCCCGTGCTCGCTGAAACATGTGCTGTGTCAACTCAGGGTTAAATGGATTAAGGGTGGTGCAAGATGTGCTTTGTTAAACAGATGCTTGAAGGCAGCACGCTCATTAAGAGTCATCACCACTCCCTAATCTCAAGTACCCAGGGACACAAACACTGCTGAAGGCTGCAGGGACCTCTGCCTAGGAAAACCAGAGACCTTTGTTCACCTGTTTATCTGCTGACCTTCTCTCCACTATTATACTATGACTCTGCCACATCCCCCTCTCTGAGAAACACCCAAGAATGATCAATAAATACTAAAAAAACAAATTAATTAATTAAATAAATTTCATATGGAACCAAAAAAGAGCCTGCATTGCCAAGTCAATCTTAAGCCAAAGGAACAAAGCTGGAGGCATCACACTACCTGACTTCAAACTATACTACAAGGCTACAGTAACCAAAACAGCACGGTACTGGTACCAAAACAGAGGTATAGACCAATGGAACAGAACAGAGCCTTCAGTAATAATGCCACATATGTACAACTATCTGATCTTTGACAAACCTGACAAAAACAAGAAATGGGGAAAGGATTCCCTATTTCATAAATGGTGTTGGGAAAACTGGCTAGCCAATAAATGGTGTAGGGAAAACTGGCTAGCCATATGTAGAAAGCTGAAACTGGATCCCTTCCTTACATCTTATACAAAAATTAATTCAAGATGGATTAAAGACTTACATGTTAGACCTAAAACCATAAAAACCCTAGAAGAAAACCTAGGCAATACCATTCAGGACATAGGCATGGGCAAGGACTTCATGCCTAAAACACCAAAAGCAATGGCAATGAAAGCCAAAATTGACAAATGGGATCTAATTAAACTAAAGAGCTTCTGCACAGCAAAAGAAACTACCATCAGAGTGAACAGGCAACCCACAGAATGGGAGAAAATTTTTGCAATCTACTCATCTGACAAAGGGCTAATATCCAGACTCTACAATGAACTCAAACAAATTTACAAGAAAAAAACAAACAACCCCATCAAAATGTGGGCCAAGGAAAAGAACAGACACTTCTCAAAAGAAGGCATTTATGCAGCCAAAAGACACATGAAAAAATGCTCATCATCACTGGCCATCAGAGAAATGCAAATCAAAACCACAATGAGATACCATCTCACACCAGTTAGAATGGTGATCGTTAAAAAGTCAGGAAACAACAGGTGCTGGAGAGGATATGGAGAAATAGGAATACTTTTACACTGTTGGTGGGACTGTAAACTAGTTCAACCATTGTGGAAGTCAGTGTGGCGATTCCTCAGGGATCTAGAACTAGAAATACCATTTGACCCAGCAATCCCATTACTGGGTATATACCCAAAGTATTATAAATCATGCTGCTATAAAGACACATGCACACATATGTTTATTGTGGCACTATTCACAAGAGCAAAGACTTGGAACCAACCCAAATGTCCAACAATGATAGACTGGATTAAGAAAATGTGGCACTTATACACCATGGAATACCAAGCAGCCATAAAAAATGATGAGTTCATGTCCTTTGTAGGGACATGGATGAAGCTAGAAACCATCATTCTCAGCAAACTATTGCAAGGACAAAAAACCAAACACTGCATGTTCTCACTCATAGGTGGGAATTGAACAATGAGAACACATGG
Organism: Homo sapiens; assembly: GCF_000001405.40. Classification (NCBI taxonomy): domain Eukaryota; kingdom Metazoa; phylum Chordata; class Mammalia; order Primates; family Hominidae; genus Homo; species Homo sapiens. The sequence goes on from NC_000010.11 coordinate 45,350,561, forward strand.
ACACAGGAAGGGGAACATCACACACTGGAGCCTGCTGTGGGGTGGGGGGTTGGGGGAGGGATAGCATTAGGAGATATACCTAATGCTAAATGACGAGTTAATGGGTGCAGCACACCAACATGGCACATGTATACATATGTAACTAACCTGCATGTTGTGCACATGTACCCTAAAACCTAAAGTATAATAATAAAAAAATAAGCTTATAAAATGCTTTTAATGCTATATAACTTTATAACTCTGAAAGAATAATAGATTTGTATTATGCTGTCAGTGAGTAGGTCTATTAAGTGATAACATTAAACACAAATACCACCATTTATAAAGTATGATTTTGATATCATCGGTTGTGTATTTTCACCCCAAACTCTGTAGATAGTAACTTTGTTTTCTCATTTGACCATGCTCAATCTTTAGAGACCATGCTCTTCTCTCAAAATGACTGTAGGTTCATCCAAGTATGTTTGCTACCCAAAATCAATGAAACACAGTCACAACTATGTCTGTCTAGGAATAAAGCCAGCTAATTAGATTCTTATTCTAAGGAACAAGAAGAGGGCAGGTAAGAATTTGATTATGGCAGAATTCTGACCATAATCAATAACTGTTTTCTATTTTTTCTCCATGTTGTCGGGTGGTTCATACCTGACTTTCATCATTTCCAATGATTCCTGTTTGTTTTGTTTATAAATTTCAAAATCATCATGAAAAGTTTCACTGAATGAAAACCTGAAAATTGGGAAATAAACATTTTTCTGCAAAAAAAAAAAAACAATGAACACTGACTTCTCCTATTTCTCAAAGTCATCTCAAAGCCATATGAGGATTACCACAAACTTGCAGGTGAGAAAATTCTTTGCAATGTAAGAAGTGCCATGCAAATTAGTTGATGCTATTATAATTAGTCTCAGGGATCAAAAATGCTTGAACCCTAAATCTAACACTTCAAAGGAAAGCATTATTTTTCATTCATTTTACAAGTTACACCTCCCTTCTTCCCCACATCTTTGTTTAGAATCTGGACCCTGAAGTTAGAGGACCAAGATTCAAATCCCAGCCTCATCAGTACTAGCTATGTGATATTGGGAATGTTACTTGATCCCTGCTTATCTTACTTTCTGCATTTATTAAATGGGGATGAGAATAATATCTACCCAAATAAGGTGCCCAATGCAGTGCCCAACAGCATGAAGCCCAATAAAGGTTAGTTAACATCACATCCATAATTGACACCTTTAGGTATTAGATTTTCATCATCCCAGAACATTTTCCTTCTTTAAGCCTTTTTCTTTCTAAGTGGCACTTTCTTGGATACTGATTGCACTCCTCACAAACTTGAAACGTTCAAACACACAAGATGCCATTTAGGAGACATTGGAACTTGGGTTTCCTTCTCTGTAAAACTGAGTAATGACAGTCACCTCCCAGGGCTGTTGTAAGAATGAATGAGCTAGAGTATGTAAAATATCTTAGCACAGAGTGCTTAAGAAATTATTAGTTCCAGCCAAGCGTGGTGGCTCACGCCTGTAATCCCAGCACTTAGGGAGGCCAAGGCAGGCGGCTCATCTGGGGTCAGGAGTTCAAGACCACCTGGTCAACATGGTGAAACCCCGTCTCTACTAAAAATACAAAAATTAGCCAGGCGTGGTGGCATGTGCATGTAATCCCAGCTACTCAGGAGGCTGAGACAGGAGAATCACTTGAACCCAGGAGGTGGAGGTTGCAGTGAGCCGAGATCGTGCCATTGCACTCCAGCCTGGGCAACAAGAGTGAAACTCTGTCTCAAAAAAAAAAAAAAAAAAAAGAAGAAGAAGAAGAAAGAAGGAAAGAAAGAGAGAGAGAGAAAGAAAGAAAGAAAGAAAGAAAGAAAGAAAGAAAGAAAGAAAAAGAAAGAAAGAAAAGAAAGAAAGAAGGAAAGAGACAGAAAGAAAGAAGGGAAGAAAGAAAGAAAGAAAGAAAGAAAGAAAGAAAGAAAGAAAGAAAGAAAGAAAGAAGGGAAGAAAGAAAGAAAGAAAGAAAAAAAGAAAGAAAGAAAGAAAAAGAAAGAAAGAGAGAAAGAGAAAGAAAGAAAGAAAGAAAGGAGAGACAGAACGAAGGAAAGAAGGAAGGAATTATTTCCCTTTTTCCCACCCACGCCTCACCACAAACCTTGTTGTGGGGATAACATGTAAAAGTGAACAAAACTGAGAAGATCACATCGCATATCACTCAGCCTCTAGTGGGAGACACAGGCAATAAACAGGAAAAGTTAAAAACAGTACTAGGTAGTGGTGAGTGCAATTAGCCTCCCGCAGCATAAAGGGAGGAGAATAACCAGTGGCTCTTTCATGCAGAGAATCAGGGTAGACCTCTGGGGAGAGACCCGCACTCAGACTGGGATGGAATTATTTATTTTATGCGTGTTCAGTTAGGAGTAGAGGTGCTCTGTCGTGATTATCTAATCTTGGGAGGAACAATGTCAGACGGGTTTCAAGATGAGTATGAGAATTGGTCTTCCTTCTGAAAAAACAAGAATTGAGTTCACACTAATCACAAATACATCAAGCCTATTTGAGTCTTGTGTGTGTCATGGATTGAAGTGTATCTTTCCACTTAGTCAAGAAGTTCCAATGAGAAGAATGCTCCTTAACTTCCTAAGTGCAACAGAGTAGTTGAACTGAGCCATGGATGGTAAATCTACTTAAGAAAGCACATGCCATGGAAAGATAGCATTGGCTGCCCTGCCTACTTCTGATGGCACAGCCTTGCAGGAAGGGAAAGAAGCCAAGAGGCAAAAGCCTGGTCTTGTTCTGAAAGGCACAAGGAGGTGGAAGATTAGGGGAAACTCACCCAAAAATGACTCAGCTCTGAACTCAGACTCAAGAAGCCACAATAAGCAACATGAATGGAACTGGAGGGAAATAAACCAGGCGTAGAAACACAAATGTTGCATATTCTTACTCATGTGGGAACTAAAAACATGCATTTCAAGGAGAATAGAATGATGGTTATCAGAGACTGGGAACAGTTGTGGGTGGGGGTGTTAAGAGAGGTTGCTTAATGGGTACAAACATATAGTTAGATAGAAGGTATAAGTTCTAATGTTTGACAGCAGAGTAGGAGAACTATAGTTAACAGTAATATATTGTATACTCCAAAATAGCTAGACAGGAAGATTTGAAATGTTCCCAACACATAGAAATGACAAAAGCTTGAGGTAATGGATACCCTAAATATCCTGACTTGATCATTACACAGTCTATGCGTGTAACGAAATACCATATGTACCCCATAAATATGTACAAATATTATGTATCAATAAAAATTTTTAAAAAGAAGCTGCAATCAACATTTCATCATTATCTTTTCAGCAGCATCCTTACAAAGTTACAGAGACATCTTAAGATGTATCCCTCTTCCTCTGAATCTTCCTGGGATAGAACAAATGAAAACTAAACAAGGAGTGGGCTGGGAGGAGCTGTCAACATCCATCCTAAGGAAAAGTCTGTTAGGGCTATGAGCTTCCTCTGTCCTAGAGTAGAGCTGGGAAAATAGAGTCTTGACAATTGATTTCTTATTCTTTCTTTCTCTAAATCCCCAATGAATATGTTTTTCTTTTTAGTGCTCAGTGGTAGACAGGGCTTAATTCTGTTTAGTTATGCAAACAGGCCAGAAGAAACTGAAATAGGCTATAAATGTTTGAAGCTGGCCAAAAGAAGATGTAGTCACACAAGATACCCTCTGGAGGAAAGTGACTGTCAGGAAAGTCACTTTCCTGACCAGCAAAAGGACCAGCACTATTTTGTCCTGCTGAAGAAGTACATTTGTCCTGCTGCTGTCATGGGGACAGTGGCTCCAGGGCTTCCTGTGGACATGCCACAAGTTCCACTCCATGAGTCAGGAGATCATGCGGTCAGCTGGGGGGAACTTAGGGTTGCTCTCTTGAGCTTAGCCTTATGCTGCGTGTCTGCTTTGCCAACCACAAAAACGATAGTTTCATAGCAAGTTGCAGGCTCCCTGGAAACTTAACCTACCTACTAGGATACATTTACAGCTGCTTTTCTCCTGGCATCAGGCTGGAGATCAAGAAATACATAAAACATAGTCCCTGCCCTCAGTTAGCTCAGAATATGGTGGGGGAATGGAGACAGAAGCAAATACTGGTGGGACAAGTGACGATGGGCCAAAATATGGGCTTAAACAAAGGTTGTGGGAGCTCAGAAAAGGAGCAACTCACTCTGCCTGAAAGAGTCATGGAGGGCTCCACGGAAAAAGCAACATTTGTGCAGGAGGAGATTAGAACACAGAGGAGAAGGATAGCAGCACTCCAGATGAAGGGAAGGAAATGTGCCAAGATTTCATGGGAATGAGAAGATGTAAACTGCTCAGGAAAAACCATGGTTGAAGCTCTTCACAGTGGCTGAAGCATGGTGTGATTGTCAGTTTTGCTTGTCAACTTGGTCAGGCTGTAGTACTCAACTATTCAACCAAGCACTGATCTAGGTATTGCTGTGAAGGTATTTTGTAGTCGCAATTAACCTCTACAATCAGTTGACTCTATTTAAAGGACATTATTCTGTACTATCTGAGTGGACCTGATCCACTTCATCCCAAAGGTAAATGATTCTCCAACAGTGTTCTCATCTACATCTAGGGCTTGGAAGATGAAGGTGAAGGAGAATATGGAAAAACAACAAGAAAAAAGTCAATCAATCAGAACTTCCAGCCCTGTGTTTGTTAGTTCACTTTATGTTCAACCAGTATGTCTCCACTTTTATCTGCTTCCTTGTAAGATTTCATCTGAAAAAGGGAATTCACTCTTCAGGTGTTGGAAATCAATTATGAGAGAAGCACTTACAGAATGACTATCTGAAGAGCTCTGCAGACATTCTCCAGAGTAAAACAACCATAACCGGTGAAAATTAAAAACAAACAAAATAAAAAAATGTTAGAGTATTGGAAATTGTTCTAAGGGCCGACAGCAAATGAAGAAATCCAAGAAAGCCTACCAATTTCAGTGAGAGGAGTGAGAGTCTATGGTGTTGAGTCTATGGTGTTTAAGTTCTGTTCATTTCCTCCCTCTCCTGCAATCAGTTCAGTGAAACAGAAACCCTGCTCCAGAGATGTGCAGCCAAAAAGACAGGGTGCCCTTTCCCCTCAGCTCCCAATCTAGGGCAGACTACCAGCATTTCCCAAGCCCATCTCTGGCTCTATGTTGCAGAAGTTCTATTCCAAGAAAGTTTGACTGAGAATCTGAAGCTTCCTTCTTCCACTCAGCCTCTACTATTAAGGCGTAAGTTCTATCCCCAGTGCCACGGGCCAAGAATACTGATGCTGAATGTCCTTGCTCCGCTACACTCATAGGGCAGAGATTCCATGGGAGGAGTGAAGTTTCCATTCCAGAAAAGGCAGAAAAACAGAAATTACTGCCCAATCCAGTACCCCACCCATAAAGAAGGAAAGACATCTGAGAAAAGCATGACACTGTCCCCAAAACCACCTGCAGAGTAGTGGCAGTAGAGGCAGTAGGGAGACTAGAGGACCTGCCTAGAGGGAGAAGTAGGCCATAAGAAGAAAAGTCTCTAGTTCTCCCTAAAGGGACAAACTTTATTTGCAACAGAACATGCGGAAGTTCAAGCCTAAGGGCACTGTCAAAAACAATGAATATTTTGGTGGTAAGCAATTAATAGGTTAATGGCAGCTTAGTGAGAGCAACAAACTAAACCATAAACCAGCTAGACATATACAATAAAAATCCAAGAAAGAGAGAGCCAAGAAGGGCCTTCCTGAGGTTAAAACAAACATCAAAGTCTTGTCTGAAAAACTGCTCCTGCAAAGGAAGCAAAATATATTTGGATCAGACTGTGGAGCAATTTATGCCCCTAAAAAGCTGTCAAAACCAAAAGAGCAATTATCTAGCAATTGCTGGAGGTTAACAGTTGGGTATGATACCAAAAGAGGCAAACAACTGAACAGATCAGAGAAAGAGGCAGTCAAAGAGAGCACTGCTAAATGCACTGTAATTCCAATTTGAGAGAAAATGTGCCCAGTGCTGTGACTCCCTCAGGAACAACATCAGAGGCCACAAATTATGGTGGAAATAGGCTTCACTATATAGTCTAGCCAGGCAATTAAACAAATAAACAATTAAACAACAGTAACATAGTGAGGGGGGCAGAAATGAGTATTGCAACTAGCTAGAACATATTTTTGAACAAAAAAATTATGAGTCAAGCAGAGATATGGAAAAGACAGAGCCATACACCAGAAAAAAGGTAAGCAAGAGAAACTGCCTTTGTGAGTGCCAAGATGTCAGACATAGCAGAAAAAAAACCTCAAAGTAATTATTATAAATATGTTCAAAAACTAAAAGAAAATGTGCTTAAAAAATAAAAGATGGTATGATAATTTCTTGTCAATTCAAAAATACCAATAATAGATTAAAAATATTTTTTCAAAAGTTAATTAACCAAATGGAAATTCTGGGGTTTAAAAGTAAAATAACAACAATAAGAACATTTTGCTAGAGGAAATGAACAATAGATTTGTACCAGAAGGAAAAATAATCAAATAAACAGGGATTTCATCAACACCAAACCTGTCTTACAAGAAATACTAAAGGGAGTTCAATCTGAAAGAAAGAACATTAACAAGCAACAGGAAATCATCTGAAGGTACAAAACTCACTGTACCTTCAGATGATAATAAGTCCTCAAAAAACACAGAATATTATAACACTGTAATTATGGTGTGTAAGCTACTTATATCATAAGTAGAAAGAGGAAAAGATGAACTGATTAAAAAACAATTACAACAGCTTTTCAAGACAGTATAATAAGATATATAAATAACAGAAAGCTTAAAAGCATATAAATAAAGTTAAAATGTAGAGGTTTTTTTAGTTTTCTTTTTGCTTGATTGTGTATTTATTTATGCAATCAGTGTTGTTTTCATCAGCATAAAATAATGGGTTATAAGATAGTATTTGCAAGCCTCATAGTAACCTCAAATTTAAAAACATACAATGTATACACAAAAAGTGAAGAGCAAGAAATTAAAACATACCACCAAAAAAAATACTTTCACTAAAAAGGAGACAGGAAGTAAGAAAAGATGGGAGAGAAGATCACAAAACAACCAGAAAATAAATAACAAAATGGCAAGCAAGTCCTTATTTGTCAATAATAATATTGAATGTAAATGGACTATACTCTCCAGTAAAAAGATACAGAGTGGTTGAATGGATTAAAAAAAAGGACCCAATGATCTGTTACCTACAAGAAATAAACTTCACTTATAACAATACACAGACTAAAAATAAAGTCATGGGAAATGATACTTCACGACAATGGAAACCAAAAAAGAACAGGAGTAGCTATACCTTTATCAGACTAAATAGATTTCAAGACAAAAATTGTTAAGAAAAACCAAATAAGGTCATTATATAATGATAAAGAGATCAGTTAAGCAAGAGGATGTAACAATTGTAAATATATATGCACTCAACATTGGAGCACCTAGATAAATAAAACAAATATTATTAGAGCTAAAGAAAGATAGACCCCCTCCCCCAAAACAATAATAGCTGTAGATTTCAATGCTCCACTTTCAGCATTGGACAGATCTTCCAGACAGAAAATCAGCAAGGAAACATCAGATGTAATCTGAACTATAGACCAAATGGGCCTAATAAGTATTTACAGAATATTTCATCCAAAGGTTACAGAAGACACATTTTTCTCCTTAGCACATACATCATTCTCAAGAACAGGCCATATATTAGGTCATGAATCAAGTCTCAAAACATTCAAAAAAACTGAAATAATCTCAAGCATCTTCTTTGACCACAATGGAATAAAACTAGAAACCAATAACAAGGGGAATTTTGGAAACTATACAAAAACATGGAAATTAAACAATATGTTCCTAAATGATAAGTGGGTCAATGAAGAAATTATGAATTGAATTGAAAATTTTCTAAAAACAAATGACAATGGAAACATAATGCACCAGAACCTATGGGATACAACAAAAGCAGTACCAAGAGTGATATTTCCAGATAAGGGCCTACATCAAAAAGGAAGAAAAACTTCAAGTGAATAACCTGATGATGCATCTTAAAGAATTAAAAAGGCAAGAGTAAACCAAACCCAAAATTAGTAGAAGAAAAGAACTAATAAAGATCACAGTAGAAATAAATAAAATTGGACTTCTGCTCCAAGATGGCCTAATAGAAACAGCTCCAGTCTGCAGCTCCCAGCATGATTGGCACAGAAGATGGGTGATTTCTGCATTTCCAACTGAGGTACCAGGTTCATCTCATTGGGACTGGTTGGACAATGGATGCAGCCCATGGAGGGTGAGGTGAAGCAGGGTGAGGAGTCACCTCACCCCGGAAGCACAAGTGATTGGGGGATTTCCCTTTCCTAGCCAAGGGAAGCCGTGACAGACTGTACCTGGAAAATCGGTTCACTCCCACCCAAATACTGTGCTTTTCCCATAGTCTTAGCAACCGGCAGACCAGGAGATTCTCTCCCAAGCCTAGCTCATCAGGTCCCATGCCCACGGAGCCTGGCTCACTGCTAGCACAGCAATCTGAGATCAACCTGCGAGGCTGCAGCTGGGTGGGGGGAGGGGTGTCAGCCATTGCTGAGGACTGAGTAGGTAAACAAAGTGGCCAGGAAGCTCAAACTGGGCAGAGCCCACCGCAGCTCAGCAAGGCCTACTGCCTCTATAGATTCCACCTCTGTGGGCAGGGCATAACTGAACAAAAGGCAGCAGACAACTTCTGCAGATTTAAACGTCCCTGCCTGACAGCTCTGAAGAGAGCAGTGGTTGCCCCAGCATGGCATCTGAGCTCTGAGAACAGACAGACTGCCTCCTCAAGTGGGTCCCTAAACTCCATGTAGCCTAACTGGGAGACATCTCCCCATAGGGGCCGACAGACACCTCATACAGGTGGGTGCCACTCTGGGACAAAGCTCTCAGAGGAAGGATCAGGAAGCAATATTTGCTCTTCTGCAATATTTGCTGTTCTGCAGCCTCTGCTGGTGATACCCAGGCAAACAGAGTCTGGAATGGACCTCCAGCAAACTCCAGCAGACCTGCAGCTGAGGGACCTGACTGCTAGAAGGAAAACTAACAAACAAAAAGGAATAGCATCAACATCAACAAAAAGGACATTCACACCAAAACCTCATCTGTAGTCACCAATATCAAAGACCAAAGGTAGATAAAACCACAAAGATGGGGAGAAACCAGAGCAGAAAAGCTGAAAATTCTAAAAACTGAGCACCGCTTCTCCTCCAGAGGATTGCAACTCCTCACCGGCAACGGAATGAAGCTGGGTGGAGAATGACTTTGACAAGTTGGCAGAAGTAGGCTTCAGAAGGTCGGTAATAACAAACTACTCCAAACTAAAGGAGCATGTTCTAACCCATTGCAAGGAAGCTAAAAAACCTTCAAAAAAGGTTAGACAAATGGCTAACTAGAATAAACAGTGTAGAGAGGAACTTAAATGACCTGATGGAGCTGAAAACCGTGGCATGAGGACATCATGATGCATGCACAAGCTTAAATAGCTGATTAAATCAAGTGGAAGAAAGAATATCAGTGACTGAAGATCAAATTAACAAAATAAAGCAAGAAGATAAGATTAGAGAAAAAAGAGTAAAAAGAAATGAAAAGCACCTCCAAGAAATATGGGACTATGTGAAAAAACCAAATCTACACTTGATTGGTGTACCTGAAAGTGATGGGGAGAAGGAAACCAAGTTGGAAAACACTCTTCAGAATACTATCCAGGAGAACTTCCCCAAACTAGCAAGGCAGGCCAACATTCAAATTCAAGAAATACAGAGAACACCACAAAGATATTCCTCAAGAAGAGCAACCCCAAGACACATAATTGTCAGCTTCACCAAGGTTGAAATGAAGGAAAAAAATGTTAAGGGCAGCCAGAGAGAAACGTTGGGTTACCAACAAAGGGAAGCCCATCAGACTAAAAGTAGCTCTCTCAGCAGACACCCTGTAAGCCAGAAGAGAGTAGGGGTCAATATTCAACATTCTTAAAGAAAATAATTTTCAACCCAGAATTTCATATCCAGCCAAACTAAGCTTCATAAGTGAAGGAGAAATAAAATCCTTTACAGACAAGCAAATGCTGAGAGATTTTGTCACCATCAGGCCTGCCTTACAAGAGCTCCTGAAGGAAACACTGAACATGGAAAGGAACAACTGTTACCAGCCACTGCAAAAACACGCCACATTGTAAAGACCATCGATGACATGAAGAAACTGCAACAATTAACTGGCAAAATAAGCAGCTCACAGCATAATGACAGGATCAAGTTCACACATAACAATATTAACCTTAAATGTAAATGGGCTAAATGCCTCAATTAAAGACACAGACTGGCAAATTGCATAGAGTCAAGACCCATCAGTGTGCGGTATTCAGGAGACCCATCTCACATGCAAAGACACACATAGGGATGGAGGAAGATCCACCAAGCAAATGGAAAGCCAAAAAAAAAAAAAAAAAAAAAAAAAGCAGGGGTTGCAATCCTAGTCTCTGATAAAACAGAGTTTAAACCAACAAAGATCCAAAGAGACAAAGAAAGCCATTACATAATGGTAAAGGGATCAATACAACAAGAAGAACAAACTATCCTAAATATATATGCAACCAATATGGGAGCACCCAGATTCATAAAGCAAGTCTGTAGAGACGTACAAAGAGATGTAGACTTCCACACAATAATAATGGGAGACTTTAACACTCCACTGTCAATATTAGACAGATCAATGACACAGAAGGGTCACAAAGATATCCAGGACTTGAATTCAGCTATTCACCAAGTGGACCTAATAGACATCTACAGAACTCTACACCCCAAATCAACAGAATGTACATACTTCTCAGCACCACATCATACTTATTCTAAAATTGACCACATAATTGGAAGTAAAACACTCCTCAGCAAATGTAAAAGAACAGAAATCACAACAAACTGTGTCTCAGACTACAGTGCAAACAAATTAGAACTCTGGATTAATAAACTCACTCAAAATCACACAACTACATGGAAACTGAATAACCTGCTCCTGAATGACTACTGGGTACATAATGAAATGAAGGCAGAAATAAAGATGTTCTTTGCAACCAATAAGAACAAAGACACAACATACCAGATTCTCCGGGACACATTTAAAGCAGTGTGTACAGGGAAAATTATAGCACTAAATGCCCACAAGAGAAAGCAGGAAAGAACTAAAATCAACAACCTAACATCGCAATTAAAAGAACTAGAGAAGCAAGAGCAAACACATTCAAAAGCTAGCAGAAGGCAAGAAATAACTAAGATCAGAACAGAACTGAAGGAGATAGAGACACAAAAAGCACTTCAAAAAAATCAATGAATCCAGGAGCTGGTTTTTAAAAAGATCAACAAAATTAATAGACCGCTAGCAAGAATAATAAAGAAAAGAGAGAAGAATCAAATTAGACTCAATAAAAAAAGATAAAGGGGATATCACCACTGATCCCATAGAAATACAAACTACCATCAGAGAATACTATAAACACCTCTACATAAATAAACTAGAAAATCTAGAAGAAGGGGGAGGAGCCAAGATGGCCAAATAGGAACAGCTCCAGTCTACAGCTCCCAGCGTGAGTGACACAGAAGACGGGTGATTTCTGCATTTCCATCTGAGGTACCGGGTTCATCTCACTAGGGAGTGCCAGACAGTGGGCACAGGTCAGTGGGTGCGCGCACTGTGTGCGAGCCAATGCAGGGTGAGGCGTTGCCTCACTCGGGATGTGCAAGGGGTCAGAGAGTTCCCTTTCCTAGTCAAAGAAAGGGGTGACAGATGGCACCTGGAAATTCGGGTCACTCCCACCTGAATACTGCACTTTTCCAACGGGCTTAAAAAACGGCGCACCTGGAGAGTATATCCCGCACCTGGCTTGGAGGGTCCTATGCCCACGGAGTCTTGCTGATTGCTAGCACAGCAGTCTGAGATCAAACTGCAAGGCAGCGGCGAGGCTGGGGGAGGGGCGCCTGCCATTGCCCAGGCTTGCTTAGGTAAACAAAGCAGCTGGGAACCTCAAACTGGGTGGATCCCACCACAGCTCAAGGAGGCCTGCCTGCCTCTGTAGGCTCCACCTCTGGGGGCAGGGCACAGGCAAACAAAAAGACAGCAGTAACCACTGCAGACTTAAATGTCCCTGTCTGACAGCTTTGAAGAGAGCAGTGGTTCTCCCAGCACGCAGCTGGAGATCTGAGAACGGGCAGACTGCCTCCTCAAGTGGGTCCCTGACCCCTGACCCCCGAGCAGCCTAACTGGGAGGCATCCCCGAGCAGAGGCAGACTGACACCTCACACAGCCGGGTACTCCAACAGACCTGCAGCTGAGGGTCCTGTCTGTTAGAAGGAAAACTAACAAACAGAAGGACATCCACACCAAAAACCCATCTGTACATCACCATCATCAAAGACCAAAAGTAGATAAAACCACAAAGATGGGGAAAAAACAGAGCAGAAAAACTAGAAACTCTAAAAGGCAAAGCGCCTCTCCTCCTCCAAAGGAATGCAGTTCCTCACCAGGAATGGAACAAAGCTGGACGGAGAATGACTTTGACGAGCTGAGAGAAGAAGGCTTCAGATGATCAAATTACTCCGAACTACGGGAGGACATTCAAACCAAAGGCAAAGAAGTTGAAAACGTTCAAAAAATTTAGAAGAATGTATAACTAGAATAACCAATACAGAGAAGTGCTTAAAGGAGCTGATGGAGCTGAAAACCAAGGCTCGAGAACTACGTGAAGACTCAGGAGCCGATGCGATCAACTGGAAGAAAGGGTATCAGCGATGGAAGATGAAATGAATGAAATGAAGTGAGAAGGAAAGTTTAGAGAAAAAAGAATAAAAAGAAATGAACAAAGCCTCCAAGAAATATGGGACTATGTGAAAAGACCAAATCTACATCTGATTGGCGTACCTGAAAGTGACGGGGAGAATGGAACCAAGTTGGAAAACACTCTGCAGGATATTATCCAGGAGAACTTCCCCAATCTAGCAAGGCAGGCCAACATTCAGATTCAGGAAATACAGAGAACGCCACAAAGATACTCCTCGAGAAGAGCAACACCAAGACACATAATTGTCAGATTCACCAAAGTTGAAATGAAGGGAACAATGTTAAGGGCAGCCAGAGAGAAAGGTCGGGTTACCCTCAAAGGGAAGCCCATCAGACTAACAGCGGATCTCTCGGCAGAAACTCTACAAGCCAGAAGAGAGTGGTGGCCAATATTCAACATTCTTAAGGAAAAGAATTTTCAAACCAGAATTTCATATACAGCCAAACTAAGCTTCATAAGTGAAGGAGAAATAAAATCCTTTACAGACAAGCAAATGCTGAGAAATTTTGTCACCACCAGGCCTGCCCTAAAAGAGCTCCTGAAGGAAGTGCTAAACATGGAAAGGAACAACCGGTACCAGCCGCTGCAAAATCATGCCAAAATGTAAAGACCATCGAGGCTAGGAAGAAACTGCATCAACTAACGAGCAAAACAACCTGCTAACATCATAATGACAGGATCAAATTCACACATAACAATATTAACTTTACATGTAAATGGACTAAATGCTGCAATTAAAAGACACAGACTGGCAAATTGCATAAAGATTCAAGACCCATCAGTGTGCTGTATTCAGGAAACCCATCTCACGGGCAGAGACACACATAGGCTCAAAATAAAGGGATGGAGGAAGACCTACCAAGCAAATGGAAAACAAAAAAAAGGCAGGGGTTGCAATCCTAGTCTCTGATAAAACAGACTTTAAACCAACACAGATCAAAAGAGACAAAGAAGGCCATTACTTAATGGTAAAGGGATCAATTCAACAAGAAGAGCTAACAATCCTAAATATATATGCACCCAATACAGGAGCACCCAGATTCATAAAGCAAGTCCTGAGTGACCTACAAAGAGACTTAGACTACCACACATTAATAATGGGAAACTTTAACACCCCACTGTCAACATTAGACAGATCAACAAGACAGAAAGTCAACAAGGATACCCAGGAATTGAACTCAGCTCTGCACCAAGCAGACCTAATAGACATCTACAGAACTCTCCACCCCAAATCAACAGAATATACATTTTTTTCAGCACCACACCATACCTATTTCAAAATTGACCACATACTTGGAAGTAAAGCTCTCCTCAGCAAATGTAAAAGAACAGAAATTATAACAAACTGTCTCTCTAACCACAGTGCAATCAAACTACAACTCAGGATGAAGAAACTCACTCAAAACTGCTCAACTACATGGAAACTGAACAACCTGCTCCTGAATGACTACTGGGTACACAACGAAATGAAGGCAGAAATAAAGATGTTCTTTGAAACCAATGAGAACAAAGACACAACATACCAGAAATTCTGGGATGCATTCAAAGCAGTGTGTAGAGGGAAATTTGTAGCACTAAATGCCCACAAGAGAAAGCAGGAAAGATCCAAAATTGACACCCTAACATCACAATTAAAAGAACTAGAAAAGCAAGAGCAAACACATTCAAAAGCTAGCAGAAGGCAAGAAATAACTAAAATCAGAGCAGAACTGAAGGAAACAGAGACAAAAAAAACCCTTCAAAAATTAATGAATCCAGGAGCTGGTTTTTTGAAAGGATCAACAAAATTGATAGACCGCTAGCAAGAATAATAAAGAAAAAAAGAGAGAAGAATCAAATAGATGCAATAAAAAATGATAAAGGGGATATCACCACCGATCCCACAGAAATAAAAACTATCATCAGAGAATACTACAAACACCTCTATGCAAATAAACTAGAAAATCTAGAAGAAATGGATAAATTCCTCGACACATACACTCTCCCAAGACTAAACCAGGAAGAAGTTGAATCTCTGAATAGACCAATAACAGGAGCTGAAATTGTGGCAATAATCAATAGCTTACCAACCAAAAAGAGTCCAGGACCAGATGGATTCACAGCCGAATTTTACCAGAGGTACAAGGAGGAACTGGTACCATTCCTTCTGAAACTATTCCAATCAATAGAAAAAGAGGGAATCCTCCCTAACTCATTTTATGAGGCCAGCATCATCCTGATACCAAAGCCGGGCAGAGACAAAACCAAAAAAGAGGATTTTAGACCAATATCCTTGAGGAACATTGATGCCAAAATCCTCAATAAAATACTGGCAAACCAAATCCAGCAGCACATCAAAAAGCTTATC
The DNA here is from genome assembly GCF_000001405.40 of Homo sapiens. NCBI lineage: Eukaryota > Metazoa > Chordata > Mammalia > Primates > Hominidae > Homo > Homo sapiens. The sequence goes on from NC_000010.11 coordinate 45,365,812, forward strand.
CACCATGATCAAGTAGGCTTCATCCCTAGGATGCAAGGCTTGTTCAACATATGCAAATCAATAAATGTAATCCAGCATATAAACAGAACCAAAGACAAAAACCACATGATTATCTCAATAGATGCAGAAAAGGCCTTTGACAAAATTCAACAACACTTCATGTTAAAAACTCTCAATAAATTAGGTATTGCTGGGACGTATCTCAAAATAATAAGAGCTATCTATGTCAAACCCACAGCCAATATCATACTGAATGGGCAAAAACTGGAAGCATTCCCTTTGAAAATTGGCACAAGACAGGGATGCCCTCTCTCACCACTCCTATTCAACATAGTGCTGGAAGATCTGTCCAGGGCAATCAGGCAGGAGAAGGAAATAAAGGGTATTCAATTAGGAAAAGAGGAAGTCAAATTGTCCCTGTTTGCAGATGACATGATTTTATATCTAGAAAACCCCATTGTCTCAGCCCAAAACCTCCTTAAGCTGATAAGCAACTTCAGCAAAGTCTCAGGATACAAAATCAATGTACAAAAATCACAAGCATTCTTATACACCAACAACAGACAAACAGAGAGCCAAATCATGAGTGAACTCCCATTCACAATTGCTTCAAAGAGAATAAAATACCTAGGAATCCACCTTACAAGGGATGTGAAGCACCTCTTCAAGGAGAACTACAAACCACTGCTCAACGAAATAAAAGAGGATACAAACAAATGGAAGAACATTCCATGCTCATGGGTAGGAAGAATCAATATTGTGAAAATGGCCATACTGCCCAAGGTAATTTACAGATTCAATGCCATCCCCATCAAGCTACCAATTACTTTCTTCACATAATTGGAAAAAACTACTTTAAAGTTCATATGGAACCAAAAAAGAGCCCGCATCACCAAGTCAATCCTGAGCCAAAAGAACAAGGCTGGAGGCATCACACTACCTGACTTCAAGCTATACTACAAGGCTACAGTAACCAAAACAGCTTGGTACTGTTACCAAAACAGAGATATAGATCAATGGAACAGAACAGAGCCCTCAGAAATAATGCTGCATATCGACAACTGTCTGATCTTTGACAAACCTGAGAAAAACAAGAAATGGGGAAAGGATTCCCTATTTAATAAATGGTGCTGGGAAAACTGGCTAGCCATATGTAGAAAGATGAAACTGGATCCCTTCCTTACACCTTATACAAAAATTAATTCAAGATGGATTAAAGACTTAAATGTCAGACCTAAAACCATAAAAACCCTAGAAGAAAACCTAGGCATTACCATTCAGGACATAGGCATGGGCAAGGACTTCATGTCTAAAACACCAAAAGCAATGGCAACAAAAGCCAAAATTGACAAATGGGATCTAATTAAACTAAAGAGCTTCTGCACAGCAAAAGAAACTACCATCAGAGTGAATAGGCAACCTACAGAATGGGAGAAAATTTTTGCAATCTACTCATCTGACAAAGGGCTAATATTCAGAATCTACAAAGAACTTAAACAAATGTTCAAGAAAAAAACAACCCCATCAAAAAGTGGGCAAAATACATGAAAAGACACTTCTCAAAAGAAGACATTTATGCAGCCAACAGACACATGAAAAAATGCTCATCATCACTGGCCATCAGAGAAATGCAAATCAAAACCACAATGAGATACCATCTCACACCAGTTAGAATGACGATCATTAAAGTCAGGAAACAACAGATGCTGGAGAGGACATGGAGAAATAGGAATGCTTTTACACTGTTGGTGGGGGTGTAAATTAGTTCAATCATTGTTGAAGACAGTGTGGCAATTCCTCAAGGATCTAGAACTAGAAATACCATTTGACCCAGCAATCCCATTACTGGGTATATACCGAAAAGATTACAAATGGTGCAACTATAAAGACACATGCACACGAATGTTTATTGTGGCACTATTCACAATAGCAAAGACTTCTAACAAACCCAGATGTCCATCAATGATAGACTGGATTAAGAAAATGTGGCACATATACACCATGGAATACTATGCAGCCATAAAAAAGGATGAGTTCATGTCCTTTTCAGGGACATGGATGAAGCTGGAAACCATCATTCTCAGCAAACTATGACAAGGACAGAAAACCAAACACCGCATGTTCTCACTCATAGATGGGAACTGAACAATGAGAACACTTGGACACAGGGCAGGGAACATCACACACCAGGGCCTGTTGGGGGGTGGTGGACTGGGGGAGAGATAGCATTAGGAGAAATACCTAATGTAAATGATGAGTTGATGGATGCAGCAAACCAACAGGGCACATCTATACCTATGTAAGAAACCTGCACTTTGTGCACAGGTACCCTAGAACTTGAAGTATAATAAAAATGAAAAAAAGAAAATGTTACTAGCAAATTGTAGATGGGTATACCTAATATAACTCTGCATGTGCACTATGTGTCTGGATACACATGGAAAGTATTCAGGCATACACACCAAATTGTTAAAATAAATCCCCTTCCAACATTAGGAGTGGCTGGGGAGCAGATGGCTTTCACTTCCGCACATTCCATGGTGCCAGGGTAATACCACATCACAATAGTAAATAGCAAAAATAACAACCTTAAGTTTAGATTTTCTTATCTAAATTTTAATTCTGTGAAGAAGTTTCCATTTCCCTTTTTCACACAGGATAGTAGAATGCAGTTTAGAAAGAGTGAGATCACTTGTTAGACTGTACAATTTTTAAGCATCAGCGAAGTATACCATTAAACTTCTCTATCAATCCATTCTCTAAACTTCCCAACCCAAAAAAAAAGAAACACATAAAATTGAAATGAAGAAAACAATACAAAAGATCAACAAAAATGAAAGGTTGGCTTTTTAAAGAGATAAACAAAATTGACAAATGTTTAGCCAGACTAAGAAAAAGAGAAGGCCCAAATAAATAAAATCAGAGATGAAAAAGCAGACATTATAACTGATACTGCGGAAATTCAAAGGATCATTAATGGCTACTATGAGCAACTGTATGCCAAACATTGGAAAATATTGAAGAAATAGATAAATTCGTAGACACACGCAACCTAACAAGATTCAACCATGAAGAAATTCAAAATCTGAACAGACCAAAAACAAGTAACAAGATCAAAGCCATAATTAAAATTTTCCCAGCAAAGAAAAGCCTGAGACCCAATGGCTTCACTGCTGAATTCTATCAAACATTTAAAGAACTAATACCAATCCTACTCAAACTATTCCAAAAAGTAGAAGAGGAGGGAATATTTCCAAACTTATTCTATGAGGCCATTACTGCTCCTATATCAAAACCAAGGACACATCAAAAAAAGAAAACTATAGGCCAATATCTCACATGAATATTGATGAATCCTCAAAAAATGCTAGCAAACTGAATTCAACATCACATTAAAAATCATTCATTATGACCAAATGGGATTTATCCCAGGGATGCAAATATGGTTCAACATATACACATCAGTCAGTGTAACATATCATATCAACAGAATGAAGAAGAAAAACCATATGGTCATGTTAATTGATGCTGAAAAAGTATTTGAGAGAATTAAACATCTCTTCATGACAAAAACCCTCAAAAACACTGGAGACAGAAGGAACATACCTCAACACAATAAACAGACATATATGACAGACTCACAGCTAGAATCATACTAAATGGGGAGAAACTGAAAGTCATTCCTCTAAGATCTGGAACAAGACAAGGATGCTCATTTTCACCAGTGTTAGTGGAACATAGTACTGAAAGTCCTAGCTAGAACAGACTAGAGACAGAAATAAGGGGCATCCAAACTGGGAAGAGAGAAGTCAAATTACCTTTGTTCGCAGATGGTATGATCTTCTGTTTGGAAAAACCTAGACTCCATAAAAAAATGATTAGAACTGATAAATTCAGTAAAGTTTCAGGATACAAAATTAACATACAAAAATCAGTAGCATTTCTATATGTCAATAGCAAACAATCTGAAAATGAAATCAAGGAAGTAATCCCATTTCCCATTTGCAATAGCTATAAATAAAATTAATATAATCTCATCTCTTCAATAAGTGGTGTTGGGAAAACTGCATATCCACATACAAAAGAATAAAATTAGACCCTTTTAATATACAAAACTGGACCCAAGTTAATATACAAAAATTAACTTGAAATGAATTAAAGACTTAAATGTAAGATCTGAAACCAAAAACTCCTAGAGAGAAACATAGGGGAAAAGCTCCTTGACGTTGGCCTTGGCAATAATTTTTTGGGATATTACACCAAAAGCACAGACTTTTGAAAAAATAAACAAGTAGGACTACATCAAACTAAAAAGCTTCTGCATGGCAAAAGAAAGTCAACAACATGAAAAGGCAACCTACAGAATGGAGGGAAATATTTGCAAACCATATACCTGATGAGAAGTTAATATCAAAATATAGAAAATATATAAGGAACTCACATATCTCAATACCAAAAAAATAATAACCTGTTTTATAATGGGCAAAGGACCTGAATAGACATTTTTTCAAAGAAGACACACAGATGGCCAACGAGTGCAGGAAAAAGCGTTCAACATCACTAATCATCAGGGAAATGCAAATCAAAACCACAATGAGATATCACTCCACACCTGTTAGGAAAGCTATTATGAAAAACACAAGAGACAATGAATATTGGCAAGGGCATGGAGAAAAAAGAACCCTTGTACACTGTTGGTAGAAATGTAAATTGCAACAGCCTTTATGGAAAATAGAATGGAGGTTCCTCAAAAAATAAAAATAGAACTACCATACAATCTAGCAATTCCACTTATGAGTGTACATCCAAAGGAATCAAATCACTATGTCAAAGAGATATCTGTACTTCCTTGTTTATTGCAGCTTTACTCACAGTAGCCAAGATAAGGAAAAAATCTAAATGTCCATCAACGGATAAAGAAAATGGGGGGAGGGGTGTGCATGTATACATACACAATGGACTATTTTTCAGCCATAACAAAGAAGGAAACCCTGCCATTTGTGACGATATGAATGAACCCAGAGGACATTATGTTAAGTGAAATAAGCCAGACACAGAAATACAAATATTGTATGATCTCATTTATATGCGAATCTAAAAATTTCAAACTTGAAGACGAATAAGTAGAACAGTATTTATCAGGAGCTAGGGGATGTGGGGAAGAAGCAAAATATTGGGCAAAGAGTATAAACTTTCAGTTATGAGATGAAGGCCAGGTGCGATGGCTCATGTTGGTAATCCCAATACTTTGGAAGGCTGAGGCAGAGGGATTGCTTGAGACCAGCCTAGGCAAGAAAGTGAGACCTCATCTCTACAAAAAATAAAAATAAAAGAATCAGCTGGGAGTGGTGGCATACACCTGTAGTCCCAGCTAGTCAGGAGGCTGAGGGGGGAGGATCATTTGAAATTGGAAAGTCAAGGCTGCAGTCAGCCAAGATAGTGCCACTGCATTGCAGCCTGGGTGACAGAGCGAAACCCTGTCTCAAAAAAAAAAAAAAAAAAAAGATGAATAAGTTCTGGGGATCAAATGTACAGCATGGTGACTATAGTTTATAACTGCGTTATTACTTGAAATTGGATAAGAGCAGATTTTAAGCATCCCCAGCACCCCCCCAACATACACACACACAAATGGTAACTATAGGTGGTGATAGATATGTTAATTTGACTGTGACAATCAGCATTCAATATATACATATATCAAATCATCACATTTTACCCCTTGAAATAGAAACTTTGATTTGTCAATCAAATATTTTAAAACGAAAATAATCATAATATTAATATAGCATACAGGAAAAAATTTCGTATCTCGACTGATACAGAAAATTTCATGATAAAAACACTTTAAAACAAAAGAAATAAAAGGGAACTCCCTCAACCTGATAAATGGCATCTGTGGAAACCCCCAGCTAGCATCAAACTTAATACAGAAAGGCTGGGTGTTCACCTCTTGAACCAGGAACAAGACAAAGATGCCTGCTTTTGCCACTTCCATTTGACCTTGTACTGAGGTTCTGGCTAGGGCAATTATCCCTGAAAAAGAAATAAAAGGCTTCCAAATAAAAGAAGAAGTAAAACTATCTCTACTCGCTCATGACATGATCTTGCATATAGAAAATGTGCACATGTACACACACACAAACCATTAGAACTAATAAACAAGTTCAGCAAGTTTGCAGAATATAAAATGAATGTACAAAAATCAAGTGTTTTTCTATATACTAGCAATTAACAATCTCAAAATGAATTAAAATTCCATTTACAATAGTATCAAACATAAATTATTTAGAAATAAAAAGTGCACTGAAAACTACAAAATATTTTGAAATAAATCAGAAAAGATTTAAGTAAATGGATCACTTGAACCTGGGAAGCAGAGGTTGCAGTGTGCCGAGATTGTACCACTGCACTTTAGCCTGGGCAACAGAGGGAGACTCCAAAGAGTCGAAAAGAAAAGAAAAGATTTAAATAAGCTGAAACATATTCTATGGATCAGAAGACTTAATATTGTTAAAGTGACAATATTCCCCAAATTGATCTACAGCTTCAACTCAACCCCTATCAAAATCCTAGCTTGCTTTTTGGCTGAAATTGACAAGCTGATTCTATAATTTATATGGAATCTCAAAGGATCCAGAATAACCAAAACAATATTGAAAAATAAAGAACAGCGTTGGTGGATTAACATTTTCCAATTTCAAAACTTACTATAGCACTGCGGTAATCAAGCAGTGTGGCACTGTATAGCATGTACATTACAGATCAGTGGACTAGAATCAATGTCCAGAAATAAACCGTTATGTTTATAATGAATTACTTTTTAATAAGGTGTCAAGACAACGCAATGGGAAAAGAATAATGAATTCAACAAATGATGCATGGACAACCGGACATGCACATGCAACACAATGAATTTGAATTCTTCTATCGCTCCATGCATAAAAACTAACTCAAAATGGGTCACGGATGTAAATGAAAAGCTAAAACTATAATAATCCTAGAGGAAAACCTAGGAGTAAATCTTTAAGATGTTATTGTAGGCAGTGGTTTCTCAGATAGGACCCCAAAATCACAAGCGACAAAAGAAATTGGACTTAAAGTTAAATACTTTTGTGCTTCAAACATCATCAAGAAAGTGAAAACACAACCCGCAGAAGCAATAAAAATGTCTGTAAGTCATGTATCCGATTAGAGACTTCTATCCAGGATATATAAATAATGCAATTCAATGATAAAAAAGATAAATAGCCCAGTTTTCCAAAGAGTCAAGCATCTGAATATACATCTCTCCAAAAATATACAGATATCCAACAAGCATGTGAAAAGATGTTCAAAGCCATTTGCCAGGTGCACAAACCCAAGACAGTATGAGGAGATGCTACAGGGACTCTGCTGCTTCACAGACATGAAGCGTTGGTGAGAATGTAGGCAGCCGCCTTTGGGGACTTCACATCCCCGCCGCCCCACGCACGGTGAGCTAGTGTTTAAACTTAGCCGAGATCAATACACGCGACTGTGTGCCCGTCAGACCCTGCGCTGCCGGCGGGGCTGGGAGAGGCGGGCGCCAGGAGTGGGCGGGAACCTGGGGGTCAGGCCCCAGCCGCGGGAAGCCGCCCAGGAGCGCGCGAAACCTTCTCCACACCCTTCCAGGCATTTGCCCGCCGCGATTCAGAGAGCCGACCCGTGACCCCTGGCCTCCCCTAGACAGCCCCGCATGTCCAGATGTGCCGTCCCGCCTGCCTCCCGCGACCACTGGCCATCTCTGGGCCTGGGCGCGGTCTCGGCGCCCGCCTGCCCCCGCCAGGAGCCGCAGGTCCAGCCAGTGAAGAAGCCCGCGCTGAAGGAGCCTCTGTGCTCCAGAATCCATCCTCAGTATCAGCGCTGGGGTGGCCTCCTCCAGGAAGCCCTTCTGATTCTCTCATGGGTCGCTCTTCCTCTGCAGACTCCCGGAGCACCCCTGCTCCAAGTACCGCAAGTGGCACTGAGAACTTGGGGAGAGCAGAGGCTGTGCCTAGATTTGTAGGGAGTCCCCGCAGCTCCACCCCAGGGCCTACAGGAGCCTGGCCTTGGGCGAAGCCGAGGCAGGCAGGCAGGGCAAAGGGTGGAAGCAATTCAGGAGAGAACGAGTGAACGAATGGATGAGGGGTGGCAGCCGAGGTTGCCCCAGTCCCCTGGCTGCAGGAACAGACACCTCGCTGAGGAGAGACCCAGGAGCGAGGCCCCTGCCCCGCCCGAGGCGAGGTCCCGCCCAGTCGGCGCCGCGTGAAGAGTGGGAGAGAAGTACTGCGGGGGCGGGGGCGGGGGCGGGGGCGGGGGCGGGGGCAGCCGGGAGCCTGGAGCCAGACCGGGGCGGGGCCGGGACCGGGGCCAGGGACCAGTGGTGGGAGGAGGCTGCGGCGCTAGATGCGGACACCTGGACCGCCGCGCCGAGGCTCCCGGCGCTCGCTGCTCCCGCGGCCCGCGCCATGCCCTCCTACACGGTCACCGTGGCCACTGGCAGCCAGTGGTTCGCCGGCACTGACGACTACATCTACCTCAGCCTCGTGGGCTCGGCGGGCTGCAGCGAGAAGCACCTGCTGGACAAGCCCTTCTACAACGACTTCGAGCGTGGCGCGGTGAGCGCGGGCGGGGCACGGGTGGAGCGCGGGCTGAGGTGCGTCCGGGACCCGGTTTGGACGGCAGAGGCCTGGGCGGGGGCGCCGAGGGCCCGTCGGGGCGGCCCGGACAGGACTGGGGGTGTCCAGGACCCTGTCAGGGAGGGCAGAACTGCGGTGGGGCGTGCCCTGGGCTCCCAGTGGCCGGTGGGTACCCTGGTGGGCAAGCGTCCAGGACCCCTCGCGGCGGCCGCGACCCCTGTCGGAAACGGAGACTTCCCGCGTGCCGCCTGCAAGGCGTCTTCCCTGGGAGGAGAAGGCCCAAGGTTTCCCCTCCACTTCAAGATCTGGGCTCCGAGGCTCCGGAGCCCCCTTCACTGGGCCGCGTTTCTTGTGCCACCTCTTCCTTAGGCTCCTTCTGCAGGTCGCACAGGGAGGGAGAGGCAGATGAGTCATGCTCACAGAACTCTGAGGGCACCTCGGAGCAGCCAGCTGTGAGCCGTGGGGAAGGGTGCACGTCAGCGGGTCCAGAGGCCTGAGTTCTGTCCAGACATGACCACCAGCTCACTCTACCGTCTGTCTGGGCCTCAGTTTCCCCAGCTGAAAATGGAGGGTTGGCTTCAGTCTGGTCCATGAGTCATGGGTGAGCCCAGGCCCATCTGGTGGCTCAGACGGCACCTGGGCAGCTTACATTCTCAGGACAGTCCCCAGAGGAAATTAAAGGGAAGGAACAGAACCCAGGCCAGGAGAGGCTTTTCCTAAATGGAGGGGCTGCACTCCCTCCCAGCAGAATGTACACCAGGGAACACTTCCACGCTAGGTGTGAGGACGCGAGGGAGCCCTCAGCATTTGGAAGCTAGTTCCTAATGCTGATCTGGACCTGAATTCCAGCCCCACGACTCTTTTCCATGAGCATGGGCAGGTCGCAGTTCTCACTGAGCCTTTAATGAAGTGCCTAATCCAGTACCTGGCACAGAGGAAGCGCTCCGTAAATGACTGGTAATAGTCCCAGACATACTGCAGGTGCGCAGGGAATATCAGTTCCCTTCCACCCCACCCCAGCTCCTAACTGGACCAAAAAGATTTAGACTTTACCAAGCTGCCTTCTCACCATTTAGTTTATTATTTGATCAAACCTTGTGAAATTGCTCATAATGGACAAATACAACCGGCAAGTTCATGTTTCAACTGATTACTCTTGGATAAAATTTGTGTTTTAGGTGTGCAGAGCCTAAAGTAAGTAAAAACTACTCTTTTTCTGGATTCCAAGCTCTCCATGGGCTCGATTCCTATCCAGGAGCCCATACCCTCGCTGTAGCACGACATGGCCCTCAGCCAAGTTCACTAGCATCCTGGCTTGAGCTCCCTTCAAGAAGAGTTAGGTGTTGAGTACAAGAGCAACCTTCAGTTGCTTAGTTGCCCCAGTCGGGGAACTGACCCTGAGGACTGCGGTGCCCTGGAGTTAATGTGTCGTCCATTTAGGGTGATGGCACCCTCTGCCATTTCTGACGCACCTTCATTTACTTCCATTATTTCATGGATTCCCCACACCTGGGGGAGAAGGACAGGGTACAGGCTACTTCCCCTTTGTAAGTGCTTCCTCCTCCCCATTCTCCTCCACACATCATAAGGTTCTAGAAGCACAGGCCATTGGTGTGCTCACACTGCACAGCACGGGCACCCCGTGTGTGCTTTCCTCCTGCAGGGGACATGATAACGTGGCCATAGCGGGCTCTTCGGACAAAGAGTGAAGGCACTGTTTTGTCCACTATCTCCCTCTCTCGGTCTGTCTTCCCCTACCCTGAGAAGTCATTCAAATGACATTATAATTAAACACCTCAGCCGGAATCCCAGGGGCAAATTTCAGGAGAGATTTGCATGTCACATTTCCATTGGGTTGAGAGGGCTATAAGTCAGGGGTGGGGCGGGGGGTGGTTGGGGGTGGGGGCTACCGCAGGGTGGGGAACCAGCTAAGGCTGAAAGTTTCCTTGAAAAAATCAGCTTTTGAGAAAGTTCCTGTTGATGCAAAGTTACTCAACACTTTCTCTTGCCCAGCCCAGAACTACTTCCTCATTCTCCCAGCTTGGTATCTGTAAAGACAATCATCCTTTTTGGGTAAAGGTAAAAGAGAAACCCTAGAGGAAGTACTTGCTGAGAAGACAAGGTTATCCCATTTTACAGGGAAAAGTGTTAAAATCTGTATTGTTAACAGTAGTAACGATAACAATAACAATAAAGGTATTTCCACACAATTTAATCATTTCCAAGTTATTGGCAGGTCAACACCCCCCTCCTCCAGGGCATAGTTCAGTCAAATAATGGACAGGACTGATTTTTTCCTTGATAAAGTGAGTCACAGGTCCCTTGTTATTCTCATCAGAGTTCCGCATAGTGATTCAGTCAGGACTGGGAATCAAGTCCTTCGCAGGTGGGATTATCCTATAAACGGTTGTGTCTTCCTTGGCTCCTCACTGTCTGCTGGAGAAAGCCGGGATCCTACACAGAATGGCCCTGTTTCCAGAGGCTAACCCAAGTCTAGGCAAATTTAACAAGTTGATTTATTTCTTTAACTCTGTAAATTTAAAGTAATTCAGATCGGATACGATAACTGTAACAGATCTGAAGATTTCTGAGAAATCTTAGTTGGCCCATTTCATTCTGTGCTGGTACTTTTAAGAAAGCTAAGGGCAATAGCGTGGTGTTTAATATATGATACTTGAATATGTTCAACAAGTGTAGAAAAGTGTTATAATGATTCATGCTTCTTAAGTCAGTGAGTATTCTTACATTCATGAAAAATTAATTCTAGAATACCTCCTTCTTGTGAATGGGAATATATTAGTGGAGCATAAATATTTCTTTGGTATGACCCTCAATCCGTCTCTCATCTCCCAGTCTCCCCCTCTGAGCCATCTTTTCCCTACATTCTGCCCCCTCTTCTGCCTCCTCTTCCTTCCCCTGCTCCCAGTTCCCTAAATGCCCCCCGTTTCTGCTCTCTACCCTACAACTCTCCCTTCTTTTTTGCTCTGAATTTTCCTCTACACTCTGTCTTCCAGCCACCTCTCAGAGGCCCCTTCTCTGCTCCCTCAATCTCCGGCTCTCTGTCCCACATTTTCCCCCTTCTCTGCCCCTTGGTCTCCCTATCCACTACCCCAATCCCTCTCTCCGTCCCTTGTTTTCCTCAGCTCTTCCCCATAGCCTCCCCCTCTCTCATCCCGAGTCTCTGTTTTGTCTGGCCCCCAATCTTCCTCTCTGCTCTACAGCTTCCTCCTCCCACAGCCCCTCATTAGTCCCCCTCCAAGATGGGTAGTCTGGGGGTGGGGCACACATCCTTGCTTCCGCAGAGAGATCCGTCTCCCTGTCCCAGCAACAGCAGAGATCTGATGAAAGACAGATGAAAACTTTCCTAAAATGCTGATAGAAAGCTCACATGAAAACTGACCAACTGACTCTTTGCCGAAATATTCAAAAGCTTTAAAACTACATATCCAATAAAAAGTTAAAAGCAACAAGCAAAATCAGCAAAGTGGCCCCTTGTGAAATGAGGCCGGTGAGTTGCAGGTTTCCCTTGTTTCTCTCCAGCATCTGCACCACCACGCCACCCACTTCTGTCCCCAGAAACTGTGTCCAGCCTTCCTCCTCCCACGTGTGAATCCCCCGGGGACCCTGCCCTCCCAGTTCCCCACATCTGAAATGTGCTACCCATGCCCATCCTCCTACTCATCTGCCCTCTGAAATCTGATCAGCCCCTAAAAGCTGCCTGAAATACCCTCTTATGAAGCTTTTCCCTGTCCTTCCATGCCACTCCACATTGCCCCTTTACACTCCATCCAGGGTACAAACCAGGGCTCAAAGCTGGGCCTTCTAGCTTCCGGTTCAGGGCTTTTCTCAAGATGTGGCCTTGGGGAACTGTGGGAGGAACCTGGGCTTGGCCATCACACAGGTGTAGGTTCTGATCTTGAGGCCACCATTGCTCTCTGAGCCTCAGTTTCTATCTGTAAAGCAGGATAATCACTCGCTCGGCCATTCCCAGGCCCAGTGCTTCCTGAGGGCCTGTTGGGGGGTGTCCACTGTTGATAGTGCCCACCATAATTCAGTGTGTCACCTGAGAATTTAATGTGTCACAGCAAATAGACAAATATAGCATCAGCCCAGTGTACTTGGCCCAGAGAGGAGGGAGGAAGGTGGCCATTGTAGTTCCACAAACCTTCCGAAGATATTTTGCAGTTTGACACATGTGACCCTGGTATTTTCCTGGAAGGAGGCCTTTATCTGTCATTCTTCCATTAGTGGCCCCTGGGATGTTAGAACCACAGCCATCAAGCTTTGTCTTTTACTCCCTGAGTTGGGTCAAGGCTGGAGCCCTCTGCCCCTTGTTCACCTCTTATCATATTCAGGCTTGAAGCCAGCACCAGGAAAGTGGCTGGGCTGGCCATAGACCAGCCAGACTGCAGGCCTGGCCCCCTCCTGCTGTGGAAGTCCCTGTCAGATGGCAGATGGAGTCCTTGTAAATCTGCCTAGTGATTTCACCCCAAGTGAAACTCAGGGGCTCTCCACCAGGTGCCTGCAGGTGTAGGTAGGGCAGGGGGCCAGGAGTGTCCCAGTCCCCTGTGACTGCACCACAGGTGTGCTGGAGGGTCACCCCACTGTCCACTCCCTCAGAGAAGCTGCTCAGTCTCTTCGTGTGGGTCGTCACCCCCAGGTAGACATCGGGCCCTCCCTGTGGGACCTGCCCAGTCCTGGAATGCCTCCTCAGCCCATCTCCCTCCCCTCTTAGTCCAAGGTACTGGGAGCCTCCCTCCCATGAGAGTGTCCCTGTTAGCTCCTCCCACCCCACCCCAGCTTTCCTGTCATCTATCCCCTGGGGACACCTTCCTCCCTCTCCAGCCCCTCAGAGCCATAGGAAAGCTACTTCCCCTGCAGCAGCCACACTCAGACCAGGCCCGGGCCTCTGGTGGCCGCCCCTCAGTCCTCACCGCACACAGACTTGCTCTGCCTGCCCCACCAGCATTCAGAATGCCTCCCACTCTCCCTCTGTCCTCACAGCCCTGTCTCCAGCCTTTCAGGAGTTCCTTCTGGGCTTTGAGTGAAGGAGTTTGAGGTCACAGGTTCAGTTTCCTCCTCCCATGTGTGCTCCAGTTACTCGGATTGGCACATGTAGTCACGAAGTGGCCGTGACGCAGGGGCCCATGCTAGCTCACAGGCGGTGTGGGGCCTGGTGCCCTGCAACCCCCTGGATTCAGGAAGGGGCACTGGTGGTTCTGATGCACACAACCGGTGGCCTGTGCCTCTGGAGAAAGGAGGCCACCCAGGATGGTGTCATTTCATTTTCTCAATGGTCCTGCAAGTGAGGGGTATCTCCTTTGGGTAGATGAAGAAACAGCTTCAGAGAATGAAGCAATGTGCCCAGGCCATCCAGCTACTTGCCTGAAGCTGGGATGTGAATTCAGAGCTCCAGACCCCAGGGCCCACCGAGCCTTCTACCCCTCACTGCCCTCTCCCCACTCCTCGGTGGGATCAGGAATCTCTGTCTTGGCTCACAACCTGCAGCTAAGGCCTCTGTAAATCCCTGTGGCATGCAGGGCCTGGCGTGGGGCAGGCCCGACGCGTATCCAGTCCTGGGCCACTCAGCCCCCACTCTGCTCCTCCAGATGGGCCCGAGCCCCTGAGATGCTGAGACTCCTGTCCCATCAGAACCTGCCCACCCTGTCCATGATGGGCGAGGCCTTGTGTGTGGCCCTGCTCTCCTGAGGACAAGCTGTGGCAGGAAGGCTTTCTCAGAGGTGGCAGATGAGGCTGATACTCTCCCTGCAGGAGGGGCATTGTCGTGGGGCCGAGGCTGGTCCACATGTGGCTGGACCCAAGACATGTCATCCCACCACATGGGCCTGGCTCCTCTGTCATCAGAAACTGTTCCTAGGGCCTCTGGCCTAGACTACAGAGCACAGGGAGGAAGCTTCCGCTTTCTGACCACAAGCGTCTGGCCTCAGCGTCAGCCACCCCAAACTGCTCACGGTATTCAGAGCCAGGAGGTTTGTGGAAAACACTCAAGTTCCCATTCCTCTTAGGAAGCCCTCCAGGGGTCCTCCTGGCAGCTTGGAGGCAGGGCATGGAATGGGGATGCCTGCGCTCGCACAAAGGATGATACCCCTCGCCCCTTCCACTTTGCCATCATGCTGAGAACTCTAGGTTCTGCCGCCAGGGATAAAGTTCAAGGGTTGATGAATCTGGCTTAGAAAGTGCCTTGCAGGGGCCAGGCACAGTGGCTCATGCCTGTAATCCCAGCACTTTGGGAGACCGAGGCAGGTGGATCACTTGAGGTCAGGAGTTTGAGACCAGCCTGGCCAACATGGTGAAACCCTGTCTCTACTGAAAATACAAAACTTAACCAGATGTGGTGGCAGGTGCCTGTAGTCCCAGCTACTTGGGAGACTGAGGCAGGAGAATCACTTGAACCCTGGAAGTGGAGGTTGCAGTGAGCCGAGATCGAGCCACTGCACTCCAGCCTGAGCAACACAGTGAGACTCCACCTCAAAATAAAAAAGAACATGCCTTGGAGGGCATCGAGTCCGGGGCTTTCCAAACCTGCTGGTCATCAGAATGCGTGATGCAATGCCTGAGCCTCTCATCCCAACTTCCTGTCTGCCATCCATTGCTGCAGAGACAAAAGCCCTCCAGAAGCTATGGCTGTTGCCTCAGAGCCGCCTGTGTCCTGGAAGCAGGAGCCTGGCAGGGAGGGGGCCAAGCAGCCTTGTCCCAGAGGCCTGGGCAGCTGCGCTGTACACAGCCTGGGGTGGTGCCTTCTAGCTGCAAGGCTAGCCTCACCCTGCCACCAGTAATGCCACAGGTGCAGCAGAGCTGCTTGGTCTCACTGTTCTCTGGGCATCACCATGCAGCTGTGAACTGCAAATGTCCCAGGACGACTCGAATCCATGCAAGCTCCCTGTATCTAAGCCTCACCATTTTCACTCACTTATTATCCCCACTGAAAACTGGAAAGAGAGGAAGTGGCTATGATGGAAAGACCTGGGGTGTGACTCCAGCTCTGCTGGCAAGTGGCAGAGGTGGGAGTCACTGAGCCTCGCTGTCTTCATCTGTGGAAGGGGTGGTAACTCCCCTGCACTCCCAGAGTCATTGTGGGGATCCACTGTCAGCAAGCCCATCTCCAGTTGTAAAGGTCTCCCACAAGGCTATCCCATGTGGGGGCAGCTGCGGACCCTCACTGGGCACAGCCTCGCAGGTGCAGGCATGAGCCTGGGCATCTCCCCATCCTCCAGCCTGAGCTAAGTGCAGTCAGCAGGCGTTGCCCTCTGAGCAGCACAGCACCATCCTGGCTCACTGGATTCTCTCTCCTCAAGGGCAGGGCCCAGGATTTGTCCATTTCTTTCACCTGCCTGGGTCGTAGCACTGAGCCTTGTCAGGGGCAGGCCTTCAGTGAATGTCTTGGGTAAATGAATTCAGGAGTTCATTTAAGGTGTTCATGAAGAATCTTGGCTCCATGAACTGTAGTGGAGGCAAAACTCCACCTCTTCCCATTTCAGCTAGGTCTGAGAATCGGCATAAGACAGATTCATGGGCGAAAGCCTACAGATTTCTTTAATACAAGTTGTACGTGGCATGGGAGCCCTCTTAAAAAGATGAAGACCCCAAGAAGCAGTTAGAGTCAATCCCCCTTAGATACTGCATTGAATGAATCATCGTGAGATGTGATAAGGCCAAGGGGCTTGGGCTAGGGCAGGTAACTGGGCAGGGAAGTGACTCGGGAGGTAAGCGTTCATTGTACAAGATCTGTTTGTATGGATTTCCTTTGGCTTCAACTTCCCAACCTTGATGAAAAGAGTGTTACTTTCCTTTTGGTATAGTGAGGACATCTTTCATAGGGGACTTTCATCTCCTGCTTCTAAGAAACAGCACGAATGTCAGAGTATCTTGCACCTGCTGTTTTTTTAAGTGCTTTTCATTCAACGTAGTCCCTGTGCCACAGCAGCATACCTTGGGGTGACAAATTCTTAACACCTCCAGAACAAAGGCTCAGGAGACCACGCATGGCCTGATTGCCTGTTCTCCTTCCCAGGTGGATTCATACGACGTGACTGTGGACGAGGAACTGGGCGAGATCCAGCTGGTCAGAATCGAGAAGCGCAAGTACTGGCTGAATGACGACTGGTACCTGAAGTACATCACGCTGAAGACGCCCCACGGGGACTACATCGAGTTCCCCTGCTACCGCTGGATCACCGGCGATGTCGAGGTTGTCCTGAGGGATGGACGCGGTGAGCAGCTCAGGCCCCTTCTGCCCCGGGCTTCCCAAGAACCGAAAGTTCTTCCTGTCCTCAAAGCACTGTAGTCATAGGAGGAATGACACTGCTGTGCAGGGGCGGGAAGTGGGAGGGCTCTGCCCTGTGCCTCGACACACCTGCAGGAGGCATGACTTTCCTTGGGATTCTTACAAGCCCCTGAGGGTGGAGCGGGTGGCCCCAGGCCTCACTGTCGTCATGTCCTCACTCTGCGCTACAGTTCTACAGGGGAGGGTTGTGCCCCTCTTTTTGTCAGTGGGTAACTAGGGTCCATACAGGCAGATACCTATGGGACATGCCCCTGGATGGGCACTTCTCTAGTTGCCAGGGTGTGGCATCACTTTCTAGTTCATAGCCTGCCCTCCGTGAGATCACAGTAGGGCTCAGGCAAGCTCAGGGTGCCCCATGTGGGCCTAGGGAGGGAAGGGGTGGACAAGGAGCACCCCAAGTGCCAGCTCTGAGGAGCCATGGACAAGCCTGCAAATCACAGTTACCAGTTCTTCAACCCGAAGTCTCACCTTTCGCTGAAAGAAAGAAGAACCTCAAATCTGTTCCCCTTACTAAGATGCCCAGATGTGCAGACCCCAGTTAGGAGGCCATTCTTTGTTAGGGACACACAGCTGACCTGGTACAGAGCATCAGAGACGGACGCAGGCGTCAAGGTCAGCCAAGGCTCCCTGAATGAACCACCTTGCATACCCAGCCTCCTAGTGTGCCTGGCAAAATCCTACCTCACTTCGAGTCATAACCCTTCAGCTTGCTCTCAGTTTAAACCTGGAAAGATAAGCCTTCAAAGGCCAGGCAGCCACCGTAATAAGAGAAAGCCACTGCTTCTGCCATGACAGCGTCAAACTCTTTCTCTTTGCCAAGTTTCCTGTAGCTAGTGTGTTCTTCACGAAGTTTGGTGGGGTAGGTAGGAAGAGATGACTGTTACCCCCATTTTATAGCTAAGAAAACTGAGACAAAGGAGAAAAAAGTTATTCTGTACCTGCTGTTCTTAAGCTACCAGGCCACATCCCATCGTTTCTGATGTGGAATTTGACTTAAGAAACCAAATTTCCAGAATATTTCTGAACATGGAGTTAAGAGGATTTTTGTCCCCCTACCTAATGACAGGAAAAAAAATCACAAAGTTCATTTATTCCTGTGGTCAACAGAATGTGGAAGGTTGTGGACAGGGCACTTCTCTTTTTCTGGTAGTTAGAAAATGCTGGCTCTGAAACTCCCTCCTGCACATCTACCCAAGGTCTCGGTTATGAAGCCCTTCTTCCTGCAGACCCTTCAGCTCATCTTGGCAAAAAACAGATGGTACACTAGGATGAGGGTTTAACAAAGGGGCATCACAAAGGTGTGGGCCCATGTGCAGAGGGACCATGCAGAGTGCGGGGCCATCAGCACCACTAGTCCTGATGCAGGGGGAGGGGGAAGGTTGTGGGAGTAATGCAGAAGTATCCTGGAGACAGCACCCTTGGAGGAGCTGCGGCCCTCAGTAGAAAGGTTCTGGGGAGTGATTGGCCTCTCCTTCCTCTACACATTCCCTCCTTTCTGGTCAGAGTTCCCAGTGGAAAACCCATTGAGGCATCTCATTCCAATCACTTTCAGGGACAGCACAGGTTGGAGGGTGAGCATAGAGAAGCTGTCCAGCAAGTTCCATTCTCTCTACTGCTGTAAAACCAACCTCCTTGGTAACTTTAAACAGCCATTTAATTTTGTTCATGCTCTTGCAGGTCAGGAATTTAGGAAAGGCTTCACTGGGCAGTTCATCTGTGGCCATGTAGCATCAGCTGAAGGGGGCTGGGCCTTCTTCTGTCATGTGTCTGGCACCTCTAGGCTCCTTGGCCTCTCTGTCCATATGGAGTCTCATTCTTTAAGGCTTCTCACAGAATGGTGTCCTCTGGGTGCCTGCATTTCTTACATGATGGCTGGCTTCCAAGAGCAAGTTTTCTAAGAGACAGAAAGTGGAAGCTGCCAATCTCTTCAGGCTTGGGCCTGGAAACTGGCACACTGTAACTTCCATCATATTCTACTGGTCCAAGCAGTCACAGAGCCCACCCAGACTCCGGGGGTGGGGGTGGGGATGCAGACCCCCCCATCTCTCAATGGAAGGAATGTCAAAGAATTTGTGGCCTATTATTATTATTATTATTATTATTTTGGGACAGAGTCTCACTCTATTGCCCAAGCTGGAGGGCAGTGGCACGATCTCAGCCCACTGCAACCTCTGCCTCCCAGGTTCAAGCGATTCTCCTGCCTCAGCCTCCTAGGGAGCTTGGTTTACAGGCTCCAGGTAGCCACCAAGCCTGGCTAATTTTTGTATTTTTACTAGAGAAAGGGTTTTGCCATGTTGGCCAGGCTAGTCTGGAACTCCTGACCTCAGGTGATCCACCCGGCTCGGCCTCCCAAAGTGCTGGGATTACAGTCATGAGCTACCATGTCCAGCTGTGGCCAATTATTAATCCACCACATGGCAAAACAACCAATCCCTTGAACAACCTGGAAATGAGGGGGGCCAGCCTACAAGTGATTCAATTACTCACCATATGATCACCCCTTAAATCTAATATTTCACCACTACACCTTGGGTGAACATGAATGTCAGAGGGCCATTACTGTGGCCCCACAGATCCAGAGCATCTGTGTGAAGGGACAGCTTCATTAAGGCACTGTGTCAGTCCTTGGAACCTGCCCTGCTGAGCTCTTCTGCCGTCAGTCCAGGCTTTCTCATCCTGCTGTGCTCCCAGAACTTCATCAGCCATTGGATAAATTCTTCAAACACCTTCGGGACCAGGGGAGACAGAACTATTCTCTTTTTGAAACTTGGCATGTTGCAATTCCGCATGTACTGACTTATTCATACCAGTGAAACTGAAGAGATCCAGCTCCTCAGAGTCAAGGTGCCCAAGAGATTAGCTGGTTCCTTAAGGTAGATAAGAGATGATGAATGTTGAGTGCCTCCAGAATTACCCCCATAGCCAATGATAACAGTTATTGTCACCATTAATACTCAGCTTGCCTTCTGTGGCCTCAAGCCTCCCCTCCTGGCTGGCTTTACATCCCCAGGGGAGGATGCAGAGGTATCCCGTTAATATTCCTTTTTGGACCCCAGTTCCAAGCTCAAGGATGAAGATGTCTCAGCCTGGAAGTGCTGTCGGGTGGACAGCTCAGAATGTGGCCTGAGTGTCATCTGAGAACTAACTGCGTCCAGGTCTGCAATTAGATCAGTACAGAGGTTGAAGCCTATAGTTCCAGCACTTTGGGTGGCTAAGGCGGGAGGATTGTTTGAGTCTAGGATTTTGTCACAAGCCTGGGCAATGTAGAGAGACCCCATCTCTACAAAAAAAATTGAAAATTAGCTAGGGGCCGAGGCGGGTGGATCACAAGGTCAGGAGATCGAGACCATCCTGGCTAACACAGTAAAACCCCGTCTCTACTAAAAATACAAAAAATTAGCTGGATGTGGTGGTGGGCAACTGTAGTCCCAGCTACTTGGGAGGCTGAGGCAGGAGAATGGCGTGAACCTGGGAAGTGGAGCTTGCAGTGAGCTGAGATCATGCCACTGTACCCCAGCCTGGGCAACAGAGCAAGACTCTGTCTCAAAAAAAAAAAAAAAATTAGCCAGGTGTGGTGGTGTGTGCCTATAGTCCCAACTACTTAGGAGGCTGAGGTTGGGGAATCACTTGAGTCCTGAAGTTCAAGGCTGCAGGGAGCTATGATCATGCCACTGCACTCTAGCCTGGGAGACAGAGGGAGACCCTGTCTCTTAAAAAAAATAAAAATAAAATAAATACAAAATAAAATACAAAGACTCAGAGGAGGGGTTTTAGAAACTTTTATAGCAACTTAACAGAACAATTTTGTGACTTTTGCACCTAATAAGAAAAAAAAAGACTTGGATTTTGAATATCTTTGGGTTTTTAAAATTTCATTTTTCTAGTAATTAATTTTTATTATATTTTACAAAAATATAATAATCTGTGTTGAAAAGTAAGTTTTAAAACACAATGCTTTACCACGAGAGCTAGAGAAACTATTCCAGGACCTGTTTTCAGGAGATCTGGGCTCCCCCTATTCACAGCTCTATGGGCTGCGTTCACAGGCTTGGCCTTAAGCAATAGTTTAAAGAGTGGTCATGATATGACCTCATCTGCTCTAAAGGCTCTGAGAAGCAGCCCCGCCCTTAGCTACCTGCTACCTGCTCCAACTCCTGCAGTGAGAGACGGCAGCAGGACAGGCTGAGAGATAAGATGCTCTCAGAGCTAGGCTTAGAGGGAGGAGCAGAACCCTCAGGCCAGTGATGACTATAGGCATAATGATAATGATCATTGTTCCCATCCATTGGCATTTACTGCGTGCCAGGCGCCGTGTGGAGGGCTTTCCTGCATTCTCTCCCCAAATGCACACCATGACCCGGAGAAGTAGGCATTATCATCTCCATTTTACATGTGAGGGGGTCAGGGCAACTCTTGGTCACACAGCTTCAGTGACAGAGCCCAAGTCCAAGCACATGTGTCTCTTCTAAAGCCATCTAGGACACTGCACTCTTTTAGAATGGAGCTCATTCTCAATCCTCTGTGTAGGCACGACAGGAAACCGGGTTGTGTCATCGTCACACATTTCTCCATGAAACAATGAAATGGACTTAGAAACATAAGAGCTGTGAGAACTGCTGCTCTCACAGGCAACACTAAAACCCAGAGTGAACTCCCGTTTTTGCTCAGTATAAGAATTTCAGAGAAGAGGAGTAAACTATTCTGCAGTGATTTAAAGATACCCACCAAGGGCCACGAAATGCCTTTCTCCTGGAGCAAAAAGGCAGCTCTGCACCAGGGGCCCTTAGGTCCCTGAAGAGTCTTGAGGGGCTGAGTGGAAGGTTAGGACCTCAAGTGGAAATGCACACGCAGGCCAGAGTTAGGCATGTACTGTGCCTGCCAAGCCCAGTGAGAACCAAGCCTGGCTCTTGCATCTGAACATGATTCTCTAAGCACTGAAAGGCAGGGGCCCCAAGGCTTGCTGAGTGAGTGGGCAAGAGGATGAGGAACTGGATTTGGCTTTTGTAAAGTGAGTGGCTAAGAGCACAGGAGTTGAGTTTTATGTTGAAAATTCACTAATTCAGACTGGTTCCAAGATGGCCGAATAGGAACAGCTCCAGTCTACAGCTCCCAACATGAGCAATGCAGAAGATGGGTGATTTCTGCATTTCCAACTGAGGCACTGGGTTCATCTCACTGGGGATTGTTGGACAGTGGGGGCAGAACAGTGGGGGCAGCCCATTGAGTGTGAGCATCACCTCACCTGGGAAGTGCAAGGAGTCAGGGAATTCCCTTTCCTAGCCAAGGGAAGTGGTGACGGACAGCACCTGGAAAATTGGGTCACTCCCACCCTAATACTGTACTTTTCCAACAGTCTTAGCAAACAGCATACCAGGAGATTATATCCCATGTCTGGCTCGGAGGGTCCCATGCCCACAGAGCCTTGCTCATTGCCAGCAAGCTCGAACTGGGTGGAGCCCATCGCAGCTCAGGAAGGCCTGCCAGCCTCTGTAGACTCCACCTCTGGGGGCAGGTCATAGCCGAACAAAAGGCAGCAGAAACCTCTGCAGACTTAAATGTCCCTGTCTGACAGCTTTGAAGTGACTAGTGGTTCACCCAACATGGAATTTGAGATCTGAGAAGGGACAGACTGCCCCCTCAAGTGGCTCCCTGACCCCAGAGTAGCCTAACTGGGAGGCACCCTCCAGTAGGGGCAGACTGACACCCCACATGGCCAGGTACACCTCTGAGACAAAGCTTCCAGAGGAGCAATCAGGCAGCAACATTTGCTGTTCAGCAATATTCGCTGTTCTGCAGCCTCTGCTGCTGATACTCGGGCAAACAGGGTCTGGAGTGGACCTCTAGCAAACATCAACAAACCTGCAGCTGAGGGTCCTGACTGTTAGAAGGAAAACTAACAAACAGAAAGGACATCCACACCACCAAAACCCCATCTGTACGTCACCATCATCAAAGACCAAAGGTAAATAAAACCACAAAGATGGGGAAAAACAGAGCAGAAAAGCTGAACATTCTACAAATCAGAGTGCCTCTCCCCTTCCAAAGGAAGGCAGCTCCTCGCGAGTGGTGGAACAAAGCTGGATGGAGAATGACTTTGACGAGTTGAGAGAAGAAGGCTTCAGATGATCAAACTTCTCCCAGCTAAAGAAGGAAGTTGGAACCCATCGCAAAAAAAGCTAAAAACCTTGAAAAAAGATTAGACGAATGGCTAACTAGAATAACCAATGTAGAGAAGTCCTTAAATGACCTGATGGAGCTGAAAAACATGGCACGAGAACTATGTGACGAATGCACAAGCTTCAGTAGCCGATTCGATCAACTGTAAGAAAGGGTATCAGTGACTGAAGATCAAATGAATGAAATGAAGCGAGAAGATAAGTTTAGAGAAAAAAGAATAAAAAGAAATGAACGAAGCCTCCAAGAAATATGGGACTATGTGAAAAGACCAAATCTACATCTGATTGGTGTACCTGAAAGTGATGGGGAGAATGGAACCAGGTTGGAAAACACTCTGCAGGATATTATGCAGGAGAACTTGCTCACCCTAGCAAGGCAGGCCAACATTCAAATTCAGGAAATACAGAGAACACCACAAAGATACTCCTTGAGAAGAGCAACTCCGAGACACATAATTGTCAGATTCACCAAAGTTGAAATGAAGGAAAAGATGTTAAGGGCAGCCAGAGAGAAAGGTCAGGTTACCCACAAAGGGAAGCCCATCAGACTAACAGCTGATCTCTCGGCAGAAACCCTACAAGCCAGAAGAGACTGGGGGCCAATATTCAACATTCTTAAAGAAAAGAATTTTCAACCCAGAATTTCATATCCAGCCAAACTAAGCTTCATAAGTGAAGGAGAAATAAAATCCTTTACAGACAAGCAAATGCTGAGAGATTTTGTCACCACCAGGCCTGCCCTAAAAGAACTCCTGAAGGAAGCACTAAACATGGAAATGAACAACTGGTACCAGCCACTGCAAAAACATGCCACATTGTAAAGACCATCAATGCTAGGAAGAAACTGCATCAACTAATGAGCAAAATAACCATCTAACATCGTAAAGACAAGATCAAATTCACACATAACAATATTAACCATAAATGTAAATGGGCTAAATGCTCCAATTAAAAGACACAGACTGGCAAATTGGATAAAGAGTCAAGACCCATCAGTGTGCTGTATTCAGGAAACCCATCTCATGTGCGGAGACACACATAAGCTCAAAATAAAGGGATTGGAGGAAGATCTACCAAGCAAATGGAAAACAAAGGCAGGGGTTGCAATCCTAGTCTCTGATAAAACAGACTTTAAACCAACAAAGATCAAAAGAGACAAAGAAGGCCATTACATAATGGTAAAGGGATCAATTCAACAAGAAGAGCTAACTATCCGAAACGTATATGCACCCAATACAGGAGCACCCAGATTTATAAAGCAAGTCCTTAGAGACCTACAAAGAGACCTAGACTCCCACACAATAATAATGAGAGACTTTAACACCCCACTGTCAACATTAGACAGATCAATGAGACAGAAAGTTAACAAGGATATCCAGGAATTGAACTCAGCTCTCCAGCAAGCGGAGCTAATAGACATCTACAGAACTCTCCACCCCAAATCAACAGAATGTACATTCTTCTCAGCACTGCATCACACCTATTCTGAAATTGACCACATAGTTGGAAGTAAAGCACTCCTTAGCAAATGTAAAAGAACAGAAACCATAACAAACTGTCTCTCAGACCACAGTGCAATCAAACTAGAACTCAAGATTAAGAAACTCACTCAAAACCTCTCAACTACATGGACACTGAACAACCTGCACCTGAATGACTACTGGGTACATAACGAAATGAAGGCAGAAATAAAGATTTTCTTTGAAACCAATGAGAACAAAGACACAACATACCAGAATCTCTGGGACACATTTAAAGCAGTGTGTAGAGGGAAATTTATAGCACTACATGCCCACAAGAGAAAGCAGGGAAGATCTAAAATTGACACCCTAACATCACAGTTAAAAGAACTAGAGAAGCAAGAGCAAACACATTCAAAAGCTAGCAGAAGGCAAGAAATAATTAAGATCAGAGCAGAACTGAAGGAGGTAGAGACACAAAAATCCCTTCAAAAAATCAATGAGTCCAGGAGCTGATTTTTTGAAAGGATCAACAAAATTGATAGACTGCTAGCAAGACTAATAAAGAAGAAAAGAGAAGAATCAGCTCTCCCTCTCCCCTCTCCCCTCTCCCCTCTCTCCTCTCCCATCTCCCCTCTCCCCTCTCCCATCTCCCCTCTCCCCTCTCCCTCTCCCTCTCCCCACGGTCTCCCTCTCCCTCTCCCCACGGTCTCCCTCTCCCTCTCTTTCCACGGTCTCCCTCTGATGCCGAGCCAAAGCTGGACTGTACTGCTGCCATCTCGGCTCACTGCAACCTCCCTGCCTGATTCTCCTGCCTCAGCCTGCCGAGTGCCTGCGATTGCAGGTGCGCACCGCCACGCCTGACTGTTTTTCATATTTTTTTGGTGGAGACGGGGTTTCGCTGTGTTGGCCAGGCTGGTCTCCAGCTCCTAACCGCGAGTGATCCGCCAGCCTCGGCCTCCCGAGGTGCCGGGATTGCAGACGGAGTCTCATTCACTCAGTGCTCAATGGTGCCCAGGCTGGGGTGCAGTGGCGTGATCTCGGCTCGCTACAACCTCCACCTCCCAGCCGCCTGCCTTGGCCTCCCAAAGTGCCGAGATTGCAGCCTCTGCCCGGCCGCCACCCCGTCTGGGAAGTGAGGAGCGTCTCTGCCTGGCCACCCATCGTCTGGGATGTAAGGAGCCCCTCTGCCTGGCTGCCCAGTCTGGAAAGTGAGGAGCGTCTCTGCCCGGCCGCCATCCTGTCTAGGAAGTGAGGAGCGTCTCTGCCTGGCCGCCCATCGTCTGGGATGAAGTGAGGAGCGTCTCTGCCCAGCCGCCCATCATCTGAGATGTGGGGAGCACCACTGCCCCACCACCCTGTCTGGGAGGTGAGGAGCGCCTCTGCCCGGCCGCCCTGTCTGAGAAGTGAGGAGACCCTCCGCCCGGCAGCCGCCCCATCTGAGAAGTGAGGAGCCCCTCCATCTGAGAAGTGAGGAGCCCCTCCGCCCGGCAGCCGCCCCTTCTGAGAAGTGAGGAGCCCCTCCGCCCGGCAGCCGCCCCGTCTGGGAAGTGAGGAGCGTCTCCGCCCGGCAGCCACCCTGTCCGGGAGGGAGGTGGGGGGCGGTCAGCCCCCCGCCCGGCCAGCCGCCCCGTCCGGGAGGGGAGGGGTTCAGCCCCCCGCCCGGCCAGCCGCCCCGTCCGAGAGGGAGGTGGGGGGGTCAGCCCCCCGCCCGGCCAGCTGCCCCGTCCGGGAGGTGAGGGGTGCCTCTGCCTGGCCACCCCTACTGGGAAGTGAGGAGCCCCTCTGCCTGGCCACCACCCCATCTGGGAGGTGTAGCCAACAGCTCATTGAGAACGGGCCATGATGACAATGGTGGTTTTGTGGAATAGAAAAGGGGGAAAGGTGGGGAAAAGATTGAGAAATCGGATGGTTGCTGTGTCTGTGTAGAAAGAGGTAGACATGGGAGACTTTTCATTTTGTTCTGTACTAAGAAAAATTCTTCTGCCTTGGGATCCTGTTGATCTATGACCTTACCCCCAACCCTGTGCTCTCTGAAACATGTGCTGTGTCCACTCAGGGTTAAATGGATTAAGGGCAGTGCAAGATGTGCTTTGTTAAACAGATGCTTGAAGGCAGCAGGCTCCTTAAGAGTCATCACCACTCCCTAATCTCAAGTACCCAGGGACACAAACACTGCGGATGGCCGCAGGGTCCTCTGCCTAGGAAAACCAGAGACCTTTGTTGACTTGTTTATCTGCTGACCTTCCCTCCACTATTGTCCTATGACCCTGCCAAATCCCCCTCTGCGAGAAACACCCAAGAATGATCAATTAAAAAAAAAGAAAAAAAAAAGAAGAGAAGAATCAATTAGACGCAATAAAAAGTGATAAAGGGGACATCACCACGGATTCCACAGAAATACAAACTACCATCAGAGAATACTATAAACAACTCTAAGCAAATTAACTAGAAAATCTAGAAAAAATGGATAAATTCCTCGACACATACACCCTCCCAAGACTAAACCAGGAAGAAGTTGAATCCCTGAATAGACCAATAACAGGCTCTGAAATTGAGGCAATAATTAACAGCCTACCAACCCAGAAAAGTTCAGGACCAGATGGATTCACAGCCGAATTCTACCAGAGGTACAAGGAGGAGCTGGTACCATTCCTTCTGAAACTATTCCAATCAATAGAAAAAGAGGGAATCCTCCCTAACTCATTTTATGAGGCCAGCATCATCCTGATACCAAAGCCTGGCAGATACACACACAAAAAAAACAATTTTAGACCAATATCCCTGATGAACATCGATGCAAAAATCCTCAATAAAATACTGGCAAACCGAATCCAGCAGCACATCAAAAAGCTTATCCACCAGGATCAAGTGGGCATCATCCCTGGGATGCAAAGCTGGTTCAACATACACAAATCAATAAATGTAATCCAGCATATAAACAGAACCAAAGACAAAAACCACATGATTATCTCAATAGATGCAGAAAAGGCCTTTGACAAAATTCAACAACCATTCATGCTAAAAACTCTCAATAAATTAGGTATTGATGGGACGTATCTCAAAATAATAAGAGCTATTTATGACAAACCCACAACCAATATCATACTGAATGGGCAAAAACTGGAAGCATTCCCTTTGAAAACTGGCACAAGACAGGGATGCCCTCTCTCACCACTCCTATTCAACATAGTGTTGGAAGTTCTGGCCAGGGCAATCAGGCAGGAGAAAGAAATAAAGGGTATTTAATTAGGAAAAGAGGAAGTCAAATTGTCCCTGTTTCCAGATGACATGATTGTATATTTAGAAAACCCCATTGTCTCAGCCCAAAATCTCCTTAAAGCTGATAGGCAACTTCAGCAAAGTCTCAGGATACAAAATCAATGTGCAAGAATCACAAGCATTCTTATACACCAATAACAGACAAACAGAGAGCCAAATCAGGAGTGAACTCCCATTCACAATTGCTACAAAGAGAATAAAATACCTAAGAATCCAACTTACAAGGGATGTGAAGGACCTCTTCAAGGAGAACTACAAATCACTGCTCAACGAAATAAAGGAAGACACAAACAAATGGAAGAACATCCCATGCTCATGGATAGGAAGAATGAATATCATAAAAATGGCCATACTCCCAAGGTAATTTATAGATTCAATGTCATCCCCATCAAACTACCAATGACTTTCTTCTCAGAATTGGAAAAATCTACGTTAAAGTTCATATGGAACCAAAAAAGAGCCCGCATTGCCAAGACAATCCTAAGCCAAAAGAACAAAGCTGGAGGCATCATGCTACCTGACTTCAAACTATACTACAAGGCTACAGTAACCAAAACAGCATGGTACTGGTACCAAAACAGAGATATAGACCAATGGAACAGAACAGAGCCCTCAGAAATGACACCACACATCTACAACCATCTGATCTTTGACAAACCTGACAAAAACAAGCAATGGGGAAAGGATTCCCTATTTAATAAATGGTGCTGGGAAAACTGGCTAGCCATAGGTAGACAGCTGAAGCTGGATCCCTTCCTTACACCTTATACAAAAATTAATTCAAGGTGGATTAAAGACTTAAATGTTAGACCTAAAACCATCAAAACCCTAGAGGAAAACCTAGGCAATACCATTCAGGACATAAGCATGGGCAAGGACTTCATGTCTAAAACACCAAAAGCAATGGCAACAAAAGCCAAAATGGACAAATGGGATCTAATTAAACTAAAGAGCTTCTGCACAGCAAAAGAAACTACCATCAGAGTGAACAGGCAACCTACAGAATGGGAAAAAAATTTTGCAATCTACTCATCTGACAAAGGGCTAATATCCAGAATCTACAAACAACTCAAACAAATTTACAAGAAAAAAACAAACAACCCCATCAAAAAGTGGGCGAAGGATATGAACAGACACTTCTCAAAAGAAGACGTTTATGCAGCCAACAGACACATGAAAAAATGCTCATCATCACTGGCCATCAGAGAAATGCAAATCAAAACCATAATGATATACCATCTCACACCAGTTACAATGGCAATCATTAAAAAGTCAGGAAACAACAGGTGCTGGAGAGGGTGTGGAGAAATGGGAACACTTTTATACTGTTGGTGGGACTGTAAACTAGTTCAACCTTTGTGGAAGACACTGTGGCAATTCCTCAGGGATCTAGAACTAGAAATACCATTTGACCCAGCCATCCCATTACTGGGTATATACCCAAAGGATTATAAATCATGCTGCTATAAAGACACATGCACACGTATGTTTATTGCAGCACTATTCACAATAGCAAAGACTTGGAACCAACCCAAATGTCCATCAATGATAGACTGAATTAAGAAAATGTGGCACATATACACCATGGAATACTATGCAGCCATAAAAAAGGATGAATTCATGTCCTTTGTAGGGACATGGATGAAGCTGGAAATCACCCTTCTCAGCAAACTATCGCAAGGACAAAAAAACAAACACTACATGTTCTCACTCATAGGTGGGAATTGAACAATGAGAACACTTGGACACAGGAAGGGGAACATCACACACCAAGGTCTGTCATGGGGTGGGGGTAAGGGGGAGGGATAGCATTAGGAGATATAACTAATGTAAATGACGAGTTAATGGGTGCAGCACACCAACATGACACATGTATACATATGTAACAAACCTGCACGTTGTGCACATGTATCCTAGAACTTAAAGTAGAATTAAAAAAAAAAAAAGAAAATTCACTAATTAGGTGTGTGACCTTGGGTAAAGTTCAAGAGCAAAGCTACACAACTTCCCTAAGCCTCAGTTTCTTCATCATTAATTGGGGAAGTGCTCTGAGGCTCAAATGAGGTCATGCACATAAAGCACTCGGCATGGGCAGGGCATCTGAGGGAAGCCTGAACACTTGGCATTGGGCATTGTTATTGTTCTTCCTCAGGCTCCTCTCATGTTGTTCTTTCTTTACAGCAAAGTTGGCCCGAGATGACCAAATTCACATTCTCAAGCAACACCGACGTAAAGAACTGGAAACACGGCAAAAACAATATCGGTGAGTTATGACATCAGATCGAGTGGCCACGGGGCCATGGTTTCTTCTATCTCAAGAGCATGGTATGAAATAAACCCTTTCCACAGTGTATGGCCTGTCACTGCTGGAAAGTCACCAAGGCACCAGCTCCCAGTGTGGGTGCACAATCCCCAAACTTCACCTTACCTACAACTCCAGACAAGAGATGGAGAGGAGAGTAATGAAAATAACTTTGGATCAACCATATTGGCATGTAGGAAGAATGGGCAGAAAAGCTTGAGTGTACCTTAATGTTCTCCATTGTAGGGGTTGCCTCTTACTTCTTATGTCTTCTTATAACAATTCAATTATAAAAGTGATACATGATCAGCAATAAAATTGACAACTCTTCAGCCAACTGACCAGAGGATTCAAACCATTAAAATGAGCAATAAGAGAAAATCAATACAGAAATTAAAATGAATAAAAAAGGAAAAATGAGACTCATAAAATGAGGGAAAATCAATACAGAAATTAAAATTAATAAAAAAGAATACTATGAACAATTGCATGCCAACAAACTAGTTAAATGAAATGCGCAAATTCCTAGAAAGACGCAAACTGCCAAAACTGACTCATGAAGAAATAGTTAATCTGAATAAAACAATCACAACCAAAGAGATTGAATTACTAATTCTAAAATTTCCCACAAATAGAAGCCCAGACCCAGATAGCTTCACTGGCTAATTCTATCAAACATTTAAAGAATTAATACTGATCTTGCATAAACTCTTTTAAGAAATAGAAGGAACACTTCCCAATTCATTGTCTCATACCCATATTATACCAAAACTAAAGGCATCACAAGAAAACTATAAACCAATATCCCTTAGCAATATAGATATAAACATTTTCAACGAAATACTAGCAAACCTAACCCAGAAGTATATAAAAGGCATTAAACAATATGAACATGTGGGATTTAGCCCAGGAATGCAAAGTTGGTTTAACATCCAAAAATCAATTAATTGAATTCACCATATCAATAGAGTAAATAACAAAACAAAACAAAGTACATAATCATTTCAATAGACATACAAAAAAGGCATTTGACAAAATCCAACACCCATTCATGATAAAACACTCAAAAAATAGGAATTGAAGAAAATGTCCTCAACCTGATAAAGGTTTGAAAATTCACAATTAGGCTGGGCGTGGTGGTTCACACCTGTAATCCCAGCACTTTGGGAGGCCAAGGCGGGTGGATCACGATGTCAAGAGATTGAGACCATCCTGGCCAACATGGTGAAACCCCGTCTATACTAAAATACAAAAAGTAGCTGTGTGTGGTGGCATGCGCCTGTAGTCCCAGCTACTCAGGAGGCTGAGGCAGGAGAATCACTTGAACCCAGAAGGCGGAGGTTGCAGTGAGCTGAGATCATGCCACTGCACTCCAGCATGGTGACAAGCAAGACTCCGTCCCCCCACATACACAAAAAAAGAAAATTCACAGTTAACATTATACTTAATGATGAAAGGCTGAATCCAGAAACAGGATAAAGATGTTCACTTTTGCTACTTCTATTCAACATTGTACTGGAGGGTCTAGCCAGCTCAGTTAGGGAATAAAAAGATAAGTAAAGGCACCCACAATGGAGTACAGTAAGTAAAACTACCACAATTTACAAATAACATGATCTTATATATAGAAAATCTGAAGGCATTCACCAAAAGAAATTATTAGAACTAATAAACCACCAAGATTGCAAGATACAAGATAATCAATTGTTTTTCTATACATTAACAACCAACTATGTGAAATAAAAGTAAGAAAAAGTTCAATTTACAATAGCATCAAAAACAGTAAACATTTATGAATAAATTTAACAAAGTAGTCTGAGACTTGTACAATGAAACTACAAAACATTGTTTAACATTATTAAAGAAGATCTAAATAGGTTGAAAGACATTTCATGTTCATGAATCAGAGGACTTAATTTTGTTAAAATGGCAATACCCCACAAATTAATGTACACGTTCAACACAACCCTTATCAAAATTCTAGCTGATTTCTTTGCAGAAATTGACAAGCTGTCAATTCTGCAAATTCATATGGAAATGGAAGGGACCCAGAATAGCCAAAACAATCTTGATAAAAAGAAAACAAAGATGGAGGACTTGCACTTCTCAATATCAAAATTACTACACAGCTATAGTATTCAAGACAATGTGATATCGGCATAAGGATAGATATATAGATCAATGAAATAGACTTGAGAGTCCAGAAATAAGCCCTTACACTTATGGCCAATTAATTTTTGACAGAAGCAGCAAGACAGTTTAACAGAGAAAGAATAGTCTTTTCAACAAATGGTCCTAGCAAAACTGGATAGCCACATGCAAAAGAATGAAGTTGGATCCTTAGCTCACACCATATACATAAATTAACACAAAATGAGTCAAATACCTACCTAAATGTAAGAGCTAAAACTATAAAACTCTTTTAAGAAAACACAGGAGTAAACCTTCATGACTTTGGATTTGACAAAGGACTCTTGATATGACACCAAAAGCATCAGCAACAAAAGAAAAATAGATAAAGTGATAAAGTGATGTCATCAAATTTACAAACCTTTATGTTTCAAAGGACACCATCAAGAAAGTGAAAAGATGAACCACAGAATGGAAGAAATATTTACAAATTGTATATCTGATAAGGGCCTTCCATCCATAATTTATAAAGAACTCTTACAACTCAATAAAGACAAATAGTCCAATTAAAAAATGAAAAAAATGAGTGAGGATCTGAATAGATATTTCTCCAAGGACCCATTAGTCATCTAGGAAATGCAAATCAACACCACAATGAGATACCACTTGATACTAGGATGGCTAGAATAAAAAAATCCGACAAGAACAAGTGTTGACAAGGATGTGGAGAAATCAGAACCCTCATACACTGCTGGTGGGAATGTAAAATGGCACAGCTGCTTGGGAAACAGTCTGCTAGCTCCTGACTGTTCAACAGAGAGTTACAATATGACAGCATTTCCACTCTTAAGCATATTCCCAACAGAAATGGAAACATATGCCCACACAAAAACTTGTACATGCATGATTATAGCAGCATGACCTGTAACTATCAAAAAGTGTACACAACCCAAACGTCCATTAATGGATGAATGGATAAAATATAGTATATCTATATAATTTGACCATGAAAGAAGAATGAAATACTGACACTTGTTACAACATGGATGAATCTCAAAAACATTATGCTAAGTGAAAGAAACCAGTCACAAAAGATCATATATTGTATGATTCCTTTTATATGAAATTTCTGGAAAAGAAAAATCTGTACAGATATAAAGTAGATTACTGGTTGCCTAGGGGCAGGGAATGAGGAAGTGGTCATGGGAGTGACAGCTAAAGGATACAGTGTTCCTTTTGCCGGGGATGAAAATGTTCTAAAACTGATGGTTGTCCATTGTGTAAAAATTAATACTAAACATCCTTGAATTGAACACTTTAAATGGATAAATTTTACAGTATGTGCATTATATTTCAATAACGCTGCTAGATAAATTTAAAAATTAATTCAAAATGGATGATAGATCTAAAAGTAAGGGCTAACAACATAACACTCTTGGAAGAAAACATACAAGTAAGTCTTCATAATCTTGGGTTCGGCAAAGTCTCTTAGATATGGCACCAAGAGCACAGGCAGCAAAAGAAAGTAGACAAGTTAGATGTCATTAAAATGTAAAAGATCTATGCTTCAAAGGACATCATCAATAAAGTGAAAAGACAATCCACAGAATGGAGAAAATATCTAAATCATATGTCTGATAAGGGACTTGTATCCAGAATATATAAAGAACTCTGACAACTCAATTTTAAAATATTCTGTACAAAAAACCCCGTTTAAAAATTAGCAAAGGATTTAATTAAATAGTTCTCCAGAGAAAATTTGTGAATCTCCAATAAGCACGTGAAAATATGCTCAACATTATTAATCATCAGGAAATTTCAAATCAAAACCACAAGATACAATTCTAACCACTAAAATGGTTAGAATAAAAAAGACAGATAGTAACAAGTGCTGCCAAGGATGTGGAGAAACTGGAACCCTGATGCTGCTACCGGAATGTAAGATGATGCAGCCACTTCAGAAAACAGTTTAGTGGTTCCTCAAAATCTGAAACCCAGCTACAATATGACCCAGCAATTCTACTCCTAGGCCTCTACCCAAGAATATTGAAACCACATGTCTATACAAAACTTGTACACACATATTTATAGCACCATTGTTCACAATAGTCAAAAAGTAGAAACAACCTAAATTCCATTAACTGAGGAATGAATAAACAAAATATAGTTTATCCATACAATGGGATATTTTTTGGCATCAAAAAGGAATGAATGCCAAGCGCGGAGGCTCACACCTGTAATCCTAGCACTTTGGGAGGTTGAGACGGGCAGATCACTTGAGGTCAGGAGTTTGAGACCAACCTGGCCAACATGGTGAAACCCCATGTCTACAAAAATACAAAAATTAGCCGGGCATGTTGGTGCACGCCTGTAATCCCAGCTGCTTGGGAGGCTAAGGCAGGAGAATCACTTGAACCCGGGAGGCGGAGGTTGCAGTGAGCCTAGATCCCGCCACTGCACTCCAGCCTGGGTGACAGAGCAAGACTCCATTTCAAAAAAAGAAAAGAAAAGAAAAGAAATGAACTACAGATAGATGCCAAACACTGAATGAACTTCAAAAATATGCTAAATGGAAAACTCACTTACGGAAGACCCCATATTGTGTGATTCTATCTGTATGAAATGTCCAGAATAGGCAAACCCACAGAGTCAGGTTAGTAGGTGAGTAGTTGCCTAGCACTAGGAGTTGGGGAGGGGAAACAAGGAGTGAATGTTAATGGGTTCGAGGTGTCCTCTGGGGATGAGATTATTTCAGAATTGGGTTATAATGATGGTTACACATACAACTCTGCAAATATATTAAAATCTTTTGATAGCATATTTTTAAGGGGTGAATTTAATGGTATGTAAATGTATCTCAGTAAAGCTTTTTGGAAGATAATAACACATTACAGAGTGCTCCTCTGGAAATGGGTGGCTGATGGGCTGTATCCAGCCTCTACAAGTGTTTGATGGATCATTATTGACTTATGAGTAAACAGAGATATTCTTCAGGCTTCCCCAGTCCACACTTGTCTGTTGTCTATATCAAGGTTTTCTTTCATTTCATTTCCTGCTTTGGCCCCTGGAAACATTTGAGTCTGTGCCTCCTTCCAAGGGAAGAAAGTGGAAGGAATCATTCTACATGGACAGTGAAGTTACCTGGGCTGTGGAGGGGCCTTTGGGAGCCAATATTGTGATACTTTTCTACATATCCCTCAATAGTTGAACTTCTTACAAGGAATATGTAGTATATCTGGGTTGTTTTTTTAACTCAAAAAAGTAAAAGAAGGAAAATAATATAGAGCCAGAAAAATACCTATTTTCTGTATGAATTATGAATTTTATGAACTTTTTCATAAAAATTCATGTTTAATTGTTTTCACTTTGTCTTATTCACTTTTTAAAATTTGGGATTGTGCTATATATACCACTTTGCATCCTCCTTGCTGCCCTTTAGCAGTGTAGCAAAAATCATTTTCCCATATTTTCAAAATCTCATCATAAACATTATTCTAGTTTCTATGTACTATTCCATTGGATGGATGCCTCATCATTCACTTAAACACCCAGCTTCCCTGGACATTTAGGAGGTTTCTAATTTTTGTATTCTTATAAGCAAAGTGAAAACCCTTGTATGTGAAATTTGTATACATTATTAAGTATTTTCCTAGGACAGATGCCCAGATATGAAATTACCAAATAGTAAAAGTTATTAGTATACATTGACAAATTTCTCCTCAAAAATCTTTAACCATTTGGGAGGCTGAGGTGGGTGGATCACCAGGTCAGGAGATCGAGACCATCCTGGCTAACACGGTGAAACCCCGTCTCTACTAAAAAATACAAAAAATTAGCCGGGCGTGGTGGCGGGCGCCTGTAGTCCCAGCTGCTCGGGAGGCTGAGGCAAGAGAATGGCGTGAACCTGGGAGGCGGAGCTTGCAGTGAGCCGAGATTGCACCACTGCACTCCAGCCTGGGCGACAGAGCGAGACTCCGTCTCAAAAAAAAAAAAAAAAAAAATCTTTAACCAGTTTTCACGAGCCATGTATGGGTCCCTGTTTCATCAAACACTTGCCATAACTGAGCAATATCTTCATTTTTCTTAATTTTTCTAAGTTGCAACAGCATCCCTCAACCCTGTAGCTCCTTCTTCCCCTATGCCCAGCCACCCACTGCTGTCAAGGGGTGAGAAATCCCACACCAAGAACACAATTGCCCCACCTCAAAACTGTCTTAGCTTCATCCCCCTTTTCATCAAAAACATTCCTTGAAACAGAATAAAGAAACAACAAACAGCCACACGTATGTGGGTACTGGGTCTGCTACGGAGGGCTCGGCTGATGGGTGGCACTGGGCCACTGGACATGCATCTCGAGGACAGGGGCCAGCCAGCACGGAGGGCTGAAGGAGAAGGAGAAGAAATCAGACTCCACCTCTTGCCATTCAGGAGACTCAGCTTGGGGTTGATTAGACTTAAAAGTTAAAGGCAAAACTGTAAGACATTTAGACTACAGGTGATTATTCTTCCAGGTCTCAAGCTAAAAGGATTTTTCAAACAAGACTCAGAACATATTAAACACAAAGGAAAAGATTGGTAAGTTTGCCTCCCTCAAGATAAGGACACTCTGTTCATTGAAAGACACCAGGAGAGAGTGAAGGCAAGTCATGGAGTGATTGACGAGAATTATTCCTAGTATGTGAAGGACCTACAAATCTTTAAGAAGGGGAGTGTCATTCACTAGAAAATGGGCAAGAAGTTTGAGTACTTACTGTACAAAATATAAGCAGCAAGTATACAAAAGGTGTTCAACTTCATTAGGACTCGGGGAAATCAGAAGATCACAGTGAACTGCTGCTACTACCACACATATGCCCCCAGATGGGCAACACTTCAACAACTGACAACACCTGAGTATTAAAGAAGATCCAGAGGGCTGGGAACACTCATATACCACCGGCAGGAGGACAAGTTGGTAAGACCTCCGTGGAAAACAATTTAGCAATATGTCATAAAACTGAAGCTACATTATAATCTATGACCCAGAAATCCTATAGTGGGATCCAAATTTGTGTGCATGTGCGCCTGGATACTCACAACAGCATTACTCATGATGGCCAAAAAATGGCAACAACTCAATGTCCAACAAACAGTAGAACAGACAAATTGTCAAGGAAAATTCTACACTGCAAGGAAAATCAACAAACTGCTGCTAACATGGACAAACCTCACTGACGCAGTGTTGAAGGAAAGAAGCCAGGAGCGTGTCTGGCCAATTCATAACTTTGGAATGAAATTGTTTAGGGAGGTGTGTCATAGCGGAACCTTAAACAATAACAAGAAAATGATTATCATAAAGCCGAGGATGGTCATTACCGGGGATGGAAGGAGGGTTGATTGGGAAAGGTGGGGGTGAGGGTACGGACAATGTTCTGATTTTTTACCTGGATGGTGTTCGTACAGGTGTTTTGTACATTTTTCTGCATGTGTGAGTGTGTGTGTGCATATATACATATCCATACATATTTTATATATTCTATTTCCCAATTGAAAAATCAAAAATAAAACTTACATGCCATTAGCATCAAGTGTGGGAGAGTAACCTGCTGTGCTGTGGGTCATGTTAAGGGTTTATAAATGTGTGATTTGTTTTAGAGTATTTGTGCACAAGCCTCTCAGCTCAGGCACCATATGATGTGTTTCCAGACTTCCATACCTGGTGCAGTGCACACGTTGTGCTTGAGCTCTGCCTCCCATCCCAAAGGGCTGTTGTTTCTATGCTTCTTCCTTGGCTTCCCTCCCTGTTTCAGACACCTATGGCAAAGCCCCTGCAGCCAGTTCTCAGAGCACTTCTGGCCTGTGAATCTGGGTTAAGATAAAATGCCCATAAAATTCATTTAATTTGTTATAAGCCACTAACACTTTAGTATGAATTAGTGGGGCTCTAATTAGACTTTGCTATCTACTCATCTAAGATAACACAAACTAGCCCAATTATCTGGGAGCTACTTAACATTATCATAATCTTGCAGCAGGGGGCTTCTGGTGAGATCGTTTCCCCCTTTCTTAGATTTAATCATTTTTTTCTTCCTCCTTCCACTCATCTGTCCTTTTCAGAAACCCTCCTTTGCTTCCGTTCAGGAAACACTGAACTTTGCACTGTCTGCACAATCTTGGAGTTCCTCTTTCTCAGAAGATTTCTCAGGCTTCCAGATCAGAGTTTGGAAGTAAAGCAATGACTAAGAATAGTCCACACTATGTCAGAAAGCTGGCGCTTCTTGCAGGCCCTCCTTACTCACTCAGCCACGCAGGGAGAAGGAGAAGCAGACCCAGGTCATAGCCCACAGCTTGTGCTCTCCCACTGTGACCACATCTGTCTGTGTTACATGCACACTCACACACAGCAGTAAATGGCAAAGTGTAGGTGTTTGTTAATCGATATAATTTAATCTAATCATTATGTGACCTGCACTTTTCACTCATCACTAAGTATTGAAGAGGATCTGGTTGACACAGATAGATGTGGTTCATGCAGTTAACTTCTTCATGGCATATCAGTATCTGAATAACCCATGCGCTCGTCCGCTCTCCTGCTGATGGGCAGGCGGGCTGTCTTTAATTTCTAGCTGTTGCAAACCAAGCGACAGTGAGCTTTCTCACACATCTCTCTGTGCTCTCATGGAAGAGTTACTGTAGGGAATATTCCAAGAAGTAGAGTTGCAGGGTTGCAGACCACGTGTTTTTAAGCTTTCTAGATATTGCTGATTGTTTTCCAAAGGCATTCTGCCAGTAGACACCCCAGTAACTGTTTCTGAGATTCACTGTTTCCCTGCATCATCAACACTTCGCATCTTCAGATGTTTTCATTCTTGCGTGTGAAATAGTATCTCATATATTTTCCCCTTCTTAAACTGCTACTATTTCTTGCCTTCTGGGAATGCACCATAATTTACTTAGCCATTCCCCTATTCACTGACGTTCAGTTCATTTCCCATTTGTAGATGTGTTTGTTTGTTTTGGGTATTGCAGTACAAACAATGCTGCCAGAACCAACCTTGTACAAACATCTTGATGTACTGGTGCTTTAATTAATGGCAGATCCATTTCCAGAACTCAGATTGCTGGAACAAATCAGCATTTTTTCATCTTAAGAAATACCGACAAAAATCCTTTCACAAAATTGTATCGTAATTTGCGGTCCTACCAGCTGTGTATGAAAAGATACTTTTGCCCATCCATACATTTGTCAGTACCCGATGACCTTGTTTGACAGTCTAAAAATCCCTAAGACCTTGTGGTTGTTTTAGTCTGCACTCCCCTGACCACTAATAAGCATCACTGCATTGCCTATTTATAAGCTTTTTTTCCCTATTGTTCTTTCAATTATTAATCTAAAGGAGCTCTTTCTATATCAGGATAGTATCCGTTTGTTACATATGTATAGCATTTATTATTTGTCTTCTGTTGCTTTTGCCACAGGAGATTTTAGTTCTTTATTTTATTAACTATGTATTGTTTACATCTATAACTTTTGGGTTTCCTCCTTTGCTTAAGAAAACCCTTTCCATCCCAGTGTTACACAAATACTTCCCCCGTAATTTTGTCTAATACTTTTATAATTTCCCCTTTGAGTTTAGAGCTTTCATTCATCTACCTTTTTTTTTTTTTTTGAGACAGAGTCTTGCTCTGTTTCCTAGGCTGGAGTGCAGTGGCATGATCATGGTTCACTGCTGCCTCAAACTAACCCAGGCTCAATCCATCTTCCCACGTCAGCCTCCCAAGTAGCTGGGGCTACAGGCGTGCGCCACCATGCCCCACTCCTGCCACGTGTTTTCATACATACCTGGGTGGAACTCTCCCGGTAGCATTCGTTCCTGACTTGGATGACAGGGATGATGTCTTTCCTCCTGACTTGGATGACAGGGATGATGATACCCACGGTACAAGCTGGCATAGGATGGCAGTCATGAGCTCTGGATTCGAGTGTCTGGGCTCAACTCACACTTACTGGCACTTTCTCCAGTCCTGTGAAAGTTGTTTAATCTGTCTGTGCCTCACTTCCCTCATCTGTAAAATGAGGGAAATAACAGTGCCTTCCTTTTAGGGGTTTGAGATAATAGGTTAAACCATGAAAACACAGAGAATAGTAGTAGGCACATAGAAAGCACTGGATAAGTGTTGGCGAGTTTTGTATTATGTATACATAGTCTCTGGGTCTGTTTCCGCACTTTATGTGTTAGCCTATTTTTCTACTCGAGACCCCAGCACCAGCTTTTGGTTATCATAACTTTCTAATAAATGTTAATGTCTGTTACATATCTCACTGTTCTTTCTTAAGTTTTTCATAATGAGAATTACTTTGAACTTCACATAACTGTGTTATGTGTTGGCATTTTACTGAGATTCAGTCTTTCCATCCAGGAACACAGCGTGTCTTTCCACCTCTCTAGATCCTGTGTCAACGTACTTCCATAGAATTTCTAGTTTTCTTCATGCAGGTCCTTCACCTTTCTAGCTACTCTACATTTAGCATTTGCTGTTCTGAGTAGGATATTTTTCTGTTTGCAAAAATATTGCTGGGATAAATGTAAATTACTTGTTTCTTACATTTACTGTGTGTTGGTCCCTTACTGAATTCTTTCATTGGTTCTAATCACTTGTTTTTGTTTGTTTGTTGTTAGTGAGTCTGGTTAGTTAATGTGCTCATATTATCTAAATGTTAATAATTTTGTCTCTTACTTTCCATTATCTACACCACTGATATTCTTTTCTTATTCCATGTCTGGAATTCCCAAAACAAGTAGTGGTAGTAGTGATGAACATCCCTCTCATATTTTTGTTTCTTTGTTTACTATTATATTTGCTGTAGTTTTATAATGCATATTCTTTGCTGTATTTAGGAGTTTATTGATTCATTCTAATTTAATTTTTGTTCAGCTGAACTTGTTCAATTAATTTCCTCAGAAGGTCCATGTGTAGTGTAAGATCTGAGTCTGTGCTTGTCGTCCTGTCCCCCTACCCATCCCCTCAAACAAATTCCCCTGCCCTCATTGATGACAATATGAGAGGCTTAGATGACGATCTAAAAAAAGTGTGTATACACTTCAGTCTTCCCATTTTCAGAATGACAGAGGAGAAATCTAATGATAGTTTGTTTCTTTTCCTAGAGTTTCTATCTCCCTCCCTCCCCCACTTTCTTCCTCTCTCGTTCACTCTCTGCATCTCTTTCCTTCTCTCTGTCTCTGTTTCTCCTGTCTCTTGGACATTTTAAAATGTATTCAGTATATACCTAGGTGTATCTTTTTCCTTTTTTTTTTTCCCCCCCACCTAGGACTTGTCATTGAGAAAAATGACGAGACAAGTCTCAATCATTTTAGGAAATTTATTTGCGAAAGTTAAGGACGCATGCCCGGGAGACAGCACTATGCCTTTCTCTGAAGGTGATTTTGAGGGCTCCAAATTTAAAGGGAAAAGGGCGGGATATTGAGAAGTACACAATTTTCATGTAAGAGCAGGGCAGGGAAAAATAGTTATTCATGCCTTTCTCTGGCTCAGTGAATCTGCATTTTTTTTAACATAAGATGACATAAACAAATGAGGCAGAGGAAAAATGCAGGGAGTCTGCATTTTACATAAGAGAACATAGATAAAGTAAGGCAGGGGAACAATCAGATATGCATTTGTATCTGGTGGGTGACTGCACTTGTAAAGATAAGCTATCAATTTGCATTGCCATGGTGAAATTTTAACGGTTCACTAGGAATTTCCTTGTGAGCAAAATATGGTGGAGACATGTAGCTTTTCATCATAGCCATCTTATTTAGGAACCAAAAGGGGGAGGCAGGTTTGCATGACACAGTTCCCAGCTTGACATTTCCCTTTGGCTAAATGAGTTTGGGGTCCTAAAATTTAATTTCCTTTCACAGACTTAAGATATTGAAGTATTTTTCAGCTTAAAGGAGTTCTTCTTTTATTTCTTTGATTTTTTTCACTTCTCCATATATTACTCTCTCTCCTTTTGGAGCTTTTACTCCTTGCATATTACATCTGTATCTGGCTTTCATGTCTGTTAATGAAAAGAGTCACACTCTGTGAAATATTTGAAAAGACTTATTCTGAGCCAAATATGAGTGACCAGTGGCCCATGATGCAGCCCCAGGAGATCCTGAGAACATGCACCCAAGGTGGTTGGGGTACAGCTTGCTTTTGTGCATTTTAGGGAGACATAAGACATCAGTCAATACATGTAAGATGGACAGTGGTTTGGTTTTGGAAAGGTGGGACAACTTGGGGGAGGGGAGCTTCCAGGTCATAGGCAGATTCAAAGAGTTTCTGATTGGCAACTGCTTAAAAGAATTATTATCTAAAAACTTGGAATGTCTAGGTTAAGATAAGGGGTTGTGGAAACAAAGTTTTTTATCATGCAGATGAAGCCTCCAGGTAGCAGGCTTCAGGTAGAATCAATTGTAAATGTTTCTTATCAATCTTAAAGAGTCTGTTCTAATGGGCTTAACATCTCTGTGTTGATGTGAATGCTGATCAGTTGTGCCTGAATTCCAAGAGGAGGAGAGTACAATGAGGCACGTTTAGCCACCCATTCCTATCATGGCCTGAACTAATTTTTCAGGTTAACTTTGGAATGCCCTTGGCCAAGGGGAGGGTCCATCAGTCAGTTCAGGGGCTTAGAATTTTATTTTTGGTTTATGTCTCTCATAGTTTCATTTATGGCTTCCATTTCTTTGTAGTTTCACCCTGTATTTGGGTTACATGTTCTTCTATTTTGCACAAAGCACTTCCTGGCACATAGTAGGTGCTCCATAATTAGTTGTCGAATGAACACCTTCTCTCTTCTAGGTGTTAATGAGTTTAGCTTAAACTTTTCTCCTTACATATTTTAAATTCAGCCTAAAAGTTTCTCTGTACATAGTGAACTGTAACCTAACTGGATGTGTAAACAGACTGTCACCTACTCTCATAGCAAGTAACCAAGTCTCAGCCAATCACAGCGGCCAGACTTCAGCCACTCACAGTGGCCAGCTGTTCAAACTGGGCTCAAGTAAGGCAAATGCTGAGCCATCACCAATCTGGCTGTTTCTGTACCTCACTTCCATTTTCTGTACATCACGTTCCTTTTTCTGCCCATAAATCCTATCCAACTATGAGACAGCATCAAAGTCACTCGGAGCCTGCTCTGGTTTAGGGGCTGCCCTATTCTTGAATTGTTCTTTGCTCAATTAAACTGCTAAATTTAATTTGTCTAAAGCTTTTCTTTTAATACAAGAGACCAAACATCTCACAGTGATTATTCTCTTTGTCTGTTTCTCTATTGAAGTCTTCATTCAGAAATCATGTTTGTGGTTACAGAAAGTCTTTTTACACTCCAATTATACTAACTGCATCCCCTTAGGATCTCTCTGTCTGTCTGTCTCTCTCTCTCTCTCTCTCTCTCTGTCTCTCTGTCTCTCTTGCTTTCTCTCTCTCTCTTTCTCTCTCTCTCTCTCTCTGTCTCTCTGTCTCTCTTGCTTTCTCTCTCTCTCTTTCTCTCTCTCTCTCATTTTTTTTCCAATAAATTAAATGCCTTTCTACTTCTTTGTTCCTTCTGCCTGGGTGTTCCACTTGGTCTTCCTCAATGGAGTGGGATTCCATCTCCACCAGTTAATGTCTGTGGCCATGCAGGCCTTCGGCTCCTGTGCAGGTCAGCCTGT
This sequence comes from Homo sapiens, assembly GCF_000001405.40. Lineage (NCBI taxonomy): Eukaryota > Metazoa > Chordata > Mammalia > Primates > Hominidae > Homo > Homo sapiens. The sequence continues at coordinate 45,409,790 of NC_000010.11, forward strand.
CAGGGTCTCTTAAGCAGCAGTGACCTGCAGTGGAAGGGACATAAACATTTGGTTTCAGGGGGGCAGTAGTGAACTAGCAAGCAAGCTGTCCTGTCTCCATGTGCTGTGAGGCCATCATCTTCTAACCACACAAGTGGGGCATTTCTGCCCATTGGTGCTGCCACCCTCCATAGACCAGGGCAGGGCATGGGGCAAGAAGGTCTTTTTGGTGCTGAAGAAGTATTCCACATCCGTCCAAGTGGACTATTCACTTAAGAAAACATTAATGCCATTTGCTGGCACAGATGCCCTTGCATGGCTCATTGTTTACATACTGAAAAACATCTAGCTCCACTGAGCTTTTAAAATTAACTAGAGCCCTTGAACTGTCCAGGCAAAGAGAAAATCATCAGTAATATTTAAATTGATATGACTAATGATAGCTAATTAATTGATCATTACTACCAGTGAGGCTACTGAATGGCTCAATTTTAGATATATATTGGAGATGCCTTGAGTCATTTTCCAAAACAAACAAACAAAAAATGTGTAGACTTGTCCACATTTTTATCCTTGTTAATATACTATCATTGGCATTAATACAAACAGCAAAAATGGAAGGTTTTCTTAAAATCTGAGGACGTAGAATATTCTAAATAAACCAACAGTGAGAAATGTAAGGTGCCACATAACAGAAAACACTTGACAAAATGCCTTTGCTGTCAGAAGGATCATACCCGGTCCCTGTTCACTTCTTGTGATCCTAAGGAGAGGCTACTGGGCCAAGAGGACACTGTGACAGTTGGGATTTGGGGAAAGTCAAAGCACAAGATCATATTAAAATAACTCAGGACTTTTTTAAGACCCAAAATCTCGATATTTTACTTTCCTCTCAAAAGAAAATTTTAAAAGGAAGGAGAATTAGGAATATAAATGAAAAAGCTAAAACCCTAAAATGTAAAATCTGGTTTTTAAACAAACACAAAATCATTCTCCCTCCCCAAAGAAACTAACAGGATTTCATTTTGTTTTTGTTACCAGAAAGGGGTCCTGATCCAGACCCCAAGAGAGAGTTCTTGGACCTCCACAGGAAAGAATTCAGGGTGAATCCATAAAGTGAAAGCAAGTTTATTAGGAAAGTAAAGCAATAAAGAAAGGCTACTCCATAGGCAAGGCAGTAGCATGGGCTACTCGACTGAGCATACTTACAGTCACTTCGTGATCATGTGCTAAACAATGAGTGGATTATTCATGAGTTTTCCAGGAGAGGGGTGGGCAATTCCAGGAACTGAAGGTTCCTCCCTTTTTTAGACCATATAGGGTAACTTCCTGACATTACTATGGCATTTGTAAACTGTCATGGCACTGGTGGGAGTTTCTTTTAGCATGCTAATGCATTATAATTAGCATATAATGAGTGGTGAGGATGAACAGAGGTCACTTTCATCACCATCTTAGTTTTGTTGGGTTTTGGCCGGCTTCTTTACCACAACCCATTTTATCAGCAAGGTCTTTCTGCCCTGTATCTTGCATCAATGTCCTGTCTCATCCTGTGACTTAGAATGCCTAACCTCCTGGGAATGCTGCCCAGTAGGTCTCAGCCTTATTTTACCCAGCCCCTATTCAAGATGGAGTTGCTGTGGTTCAAACACCTCTGACATTTTCACAATTTAAGTTTACTCAATAAGTAAACAAAAAAGCAAAATAAACATTTTTCAAAAACACAAATGCCCAATGCCACGGGATACGTTTCAAGGATGTCAGGATCTGAGCATGTTTACTGGATGCAGTCCGTGGCTTGTCTTTGGGGAAGCTGTTTTGATTGTAATAATCTCTAAAGCTGCTATTGGCCAGCAGGTGAGAGAGGGAAGCCTTTTAGCCATCTGTGCCTGGGTCCCTCTCCCAGGCCACCTGCTGCCGTGTCGTCCTATTGTGAAGGCAGAAGAACTGTCCCATTTCCCCAAATGCCACATGCAGGACATGCACGCAGTCCAGGGCACACACTGATCAAGTTGGCAGAATGGTGGATGTCCAGGTTGGGCGTGGCTGGGCAGCCTTAATACCTTCTACCTCCAGTGACTGGCAAGGCAGGCCTCTACTGTTCAATGTCACCTCTAGTAAGTGAGGTCTCCCTAGACTACCTACAGAACTTTTTATGCAGTGGTGCACACCTGTACCACTATAAGCCCAGTCTCAGGGTTCCCACTCTGATGCTCAGGGCACAGCAAAGTTGGTGCGACTGGACTTTGGAAGAGGTCCCAGAACCTTACTGGACACAGGGTCAGCCTATGATGTGTTGACTTTATTTTGAGTACATCAATCTCCCTGTGTAACATCGTCTGACAGTGTGGGCGGCCCTCAGCTGAGGGGGCAGACCAAAGGCTGGCATTTAACTCAATTTCTTCTCCTTTCTCATGCTCAGATGGATGGAGTGGAACCCTGGCTTCCCCTTGAGCATCGATGCCAAATGCCACAAGGATTTACCCCGTGATATCCAGTTTGATAGTGAAAAAGGAGTGGACTTTGTTCTGAATTACTCCAAAGCGTAAGTTTACGAGAACTGAGGGACTCTGGGCAGCCCCTCCAGTGGCTGGTGCTGGGGGTGGAACCCTCACTCCTTTCCTCATGGGGTCCTTGGGTTGGGGGAACAGCCTAGCTGAGCCAAACGCTTTGATGATATGTTGGCCATAGAGTGGATTCTCAACGCACAATTGCAGGACAACCGGTATCTTAAAAAAGGCATAACCAGAGGACTCCAGACACCAGACATACATGTGTTTTTGGCCCAAAGCAGGGGTCTTTAGTTGGAATGCCTCCTCCCCATCCATATCTCATGCTCTCTATGGCCACTTCAAAGGTGTGAAGGCTTTGTGTCCAGGCTGTCACCAAGATGGCAGGTGCTATGGTAAGAATGGCCAAATTGCCAGTGCTGATCCCAGGACATATGTCCCCTGTTCCTCCGTCACAACCCCACGAGGGAGCCACAGTCATCATCCCCATTTTACAGTTGAGGAACTGAGGAATACGGAGGTTGACTACCTTCCTTGCCTAAGGCCCCCAGCTAATAAATGGCAGAGATATAGGTTCTGTGCACCTTTGTTTCATCCGAATGTCCGCAGGGCTTTTTAAAGCTTGCCCAGGCTATCGGGAGACTCTAGGCTGCTTGTTAAACATATGGATCCCCCGACCCTATCCCAGGACTACTGAGTGTAGGGATCTTTAAATCTGCACATTGACCCTATAGGGAATTTTAAAAATCATGTCAGTTTGGCGAAACTATTCCAATCAATAGAAAAAGAGGGAATCCTCCCTAACTCATTATATGAGGCCAGCATCATCCCGATACCAAAGCCTGGCAGACACACAACAAACAAAGAGAATTTTAGACCAATATCCCTGATGAACATCAATGCGAAAATCCTCAATAAAATACTGGCAAACCGAATCCAGCAGTACATCAGAAAGCTTATCCACCATGATCAAGTGGGCTTCATCCCTGGGATGGAAGGCTGGTTCAACATACGCAAATCAATAAATGTAATCTAGCATATAAACAGAACCAATGACAAAAAACACATGATTATCTCAATAGATGCAGAAAAGGCCTTTGACAAAATTCAACAACCATTCATGCTGAAAACTCTCAATAAATTAGGTATTGATGGGATGTATCTCAAAATAATAAGAGCTATTTATGACAGACCCACAGCCAATATCATACTGAAGGAGCAAAAACTGGAAGCATTCCCTTTGAAAACTGGCACAAGACAGGGATGCCCTCTCTCACCACTCCTATTCAACATAGTGTTGGAAGTTCTGGCCAGGGCAATCAGGCAGGAGAAGGAAATAAAGGGTATTCAATTAGGAAAAGAGGAAGTCAAATTGTCCCTGTTTGTAGATGACATGATTTTATATCTAGAAAACCCCATCGTCTCAGCCCAAAATCTCCTTAAGCTGATAAGGAACTTCAGCAAAGTCTCAGGATACAAAATCAATGTGCAAAAATCACAAGCATTCTTATATACCAATAACAGACAGACAGCCAAATCATGAGTGAACTCCCATTCACAATTGCTTCAAAGAGAATAAAATACCTAGGAATCCAACTTACAAGGGATGTGAAGGACCTCTTCAAGGAGAACTACAAACCACTGCTCAACAAAATAAAAGAGGACACAAACAAATGGAAGAACATTCCATGCTCATGGATAGGAAGAATCAATATCATGAAAATGGCCATACTCCCAAGGTAATTTATAGATCAATGCCATCCCCATCAAACTACCAATGACTTTCTGCACAGAATTGGGAAAAACTACTTTAAAGTTCATATGGAACCAAAAAAGAGCCCGCATTGCCAAGACAATCCTAAGCCAAAAGAACAGAGCTGGAGGCATCATGCTACCTGACTTCAAACCATACTACGAGGCTACAGTAACCAAAACAGCATGGCACTGGTACCAAAACAGACATATAGACCAATGGAACAGAACAGAGCCCTCAGAAATAACACCACACATCTACAACCATCTGATCTTTGACAAACCTGACAAAAACAAGCAATGGGGAAAGGATTCCCTATTTAATAAATGGTGCTGGGAAAACTGGCTAGCCATATGTAGAAAGCTGAAGCTGGATCCCTTCCTTACACCTTATACAAAAATTAATTCAAGATGGATTAAATACTTAAATGTTAGACCTAAAACCATAAAAACCCTAGAAGAAAACCTAGGCAATACCATTCAGGACATAGGCATGGGCAAGGACTTCATGTCTAAAACACCAAAAGCAATGGCAACAAAAGCCAAAATGGACAAATGGGATCTAATTAAACTAAAGAGCTTCTGCACAGCAAAAGAAACTACCATCAGAGTGAACAGGCAACCTACAGAATGGGAAAAAAATTTTGCAATCTACTCAGCTGACAAAAGGCTGATATCCAGAATCTACAAACAACTCAAACAAACTTACAAGAAAAAAACAACCCCATCAAAAAGTGGGCAAAGGATATGAGCAGACACTTCTCAAAAGAAGACATTCATGCAGCCAATAGACACATGAAGAAATGCTCATCATCACTGGCCATCAGAGAAATGCAAATCAAAACCACAATGAGATACCATCTTACACCAGTTAGAATGGCAATCATTAAAAAGTCAGGAAACAACAGGTGCTGGAGAGGATGTGGAGAAGTAGGAACACTTTTACACTGTTGGTGGGACTGTAAACTAGTTCAACCATTGTGGAAGACAGTGTGACGATTCCTCAAGGATCTAGAACTAGAAATACCATTTGACCCAGCCATCCCATTATCGGGTATATACCCAAAGGATTATAAATCATGCTGCTATAAAGACACATGCACACGTATGTTTATTGTGGCACTATTCACAATAGCAAAGACTTGGAACCAACCCAAATGTCCATCACCGATAGACTGGATTAAGAAAATGTGGCACATATGCACTATGGAATACTATGCAGCCATAAAAAAGGATGAGTTAATGTCCTTTGCAGGGACATGGATGAAGCTGGAAACCATTATTCTCAGCAAACTATCGCAAGGACAAAAAACCAAACACCGCATGTTCTCACTCATAGGTGGGAATTGAACAATGAGAACACTTGGACACAGGAAGGGGAACATCACACACCAGGGCCTGTCATGGGGTGGGGAGAGGGGGGAGGGATAGCATTAGGAGATATACCTAATTAGGAGTTAATGGGTGCAGCACACCAACATGGCACATGTATACATATGTAACAATCCTGCACGTTGTGCACATGTATCCTAGAATTTAAAGTATAATAATAAAAAAAAAGACATACACGGAAAAAAGGAACACAAATCCACAGGAACAGTTGGTGGACTGTGCCTTTTTCCGAAGATGTCTTTAAGGGCATCAATATTTAAAGGAGAACAGGCTGGAAGGAAGAAAGGGAGGGCATGGTCACGTTACTGAATCCACATGTTGCAAAAGAAAAGGAGCAGGTAGGGGAATAGTCAGTTATGTATTCCTCTTGCGCTTAGTACATCAGCACTTGATAAGGTGAACACCAAGAGCTACCTGTGGAGGTTTTCACCTTTTATCTGTAGCTATCTTCGTTTCTTGCATCACTCAGCTTTCAGCTTAATTTTTCCCTTTTGGCAGAGTGAATTGGGGTCCAAAGATTTTCATTTCCTTTTACACCTAGAATCCTCTGAGGAGCATTAGCACCTGCTAGTGCCAGGCCAACCCCACACCCACAGATGACAGTCTATGAGGGTGGGACCCTGGCTTTGAGTCTGCACACCCAGCAGGTAGACGAGGCTGAGAACCCAGCCAGACTTCAAAGCTTAAAATAATATTATTTATTTCTAAACATTGTGTCGGTGTTTTGGGGGGTACAATAATCTATTTTAAGCTTCATGGCCATCCTGGGAGGTAAATAATATTATTGACCATTTCTAGGTGAGGAAACTGAGTCTCCAAGGGGTCAAGGTCAAGGAGTTTGCCTAAAGTCATTTAGGCAGAAATTGGCAAAACCAGGATTTGAATCCAGGTCTGTTTGTGTCCAAAGCTGGGGCATTTTTCTCCTACCACAATTGGGGTCTACTGGAGAGAAAAATTAAAACCTAACATCTGGATTAGTAATGCAGCAGTATCCACCATCTCCCTGGAAACATCACGGCAGTTAGGGGCTCACTTCCCTTCCCCTACTCTGGGATTGGGATTGTTGATCAAAGCCATGTAGCTTTAGTGGGATAGGTCCCAGACCAGGATGGGACAGGCAGGACAGAAGGCCCTTGTGAAAGAGACAGTTTGGAGGGAATAATAAGGATGGTGAGGTAGTGAGGTGGAGAGTACTGCCACCCAGTTTGGAGGGAATGGAGGAATACTGGACAGATGGACAATCAAACCGATGGACAGGCAGATGGATGGGTTGAGGGATGGATGATGAATGGATGGATGAAGGGAAGGAGGAAGGATGGAAGAAGAGGTGGATGGGGGATGGATGGAGAGATAGATGAGAAATTGATATACGGATGGATGGATTCATGGATGGTGGATGGATGGATGGATGACAGATAGTGAGATGGATGGATGGATAGATGGGTGGATGGATTGATGGGTGGATGGTGAATGGATGGTGGATGGATGGAAGTATAGACAGAGAGATGGATGGATAGATGGATGGATGGATGGATGGAGGAATTAATGGTGGAGTGAAGGCCAGACTGTGCCTTTCTTATCTCTGTTCAGTGTTTCTGAAGGTCATTGTCATCTCTGTATCTCAGGAGCCTCTGTATCTTAGCAGCTGTCACAGAATAGGTGCTCATTAAATCCTATTAAAATGAAAGTGTGACCCACCTGGCCCCTGAGTGCCCCTGAGTGCCAGCTGGGTCACAGTCCATTTTAACAGGGTTTAATGAGCACCTATCCTGTGGTATAGAAGGTAACTGTGCACCTCCTTTTCATGTATCCCCATCATGGCTAACAACAGCCTAGACATATGGTTCTCAATCCTGTGTGTTTAGTGTTACAGACTCCATGCTGCCCACTCTGCACAAACTGTGGAACCAGGGGAAGTCCAGCACAGTTATATTTTAGGGCTACTGGTGGATTCCAGTGTATAGCCAGGATTAAGAACACTGGCCTGTAATGCCTTTCTGGGCCTCCCCACCCCCCACATATGGTTGCATCTATTTGCTGAGTCAAGTCCATCTGCTGGGTCCCAGGGAGTGCCTCCTCCTCTCCCAGCTCCACCATCTCTCCTGAGTGAGGGCAGGAGCATCTTTCCAGCTGCCTCCCTGGGCTCCATCTCTCAAGACAGTGGGAGGGCTTATTCTCAAGTGCTTGTATAATTTGTTGGAGGCTCGCTCTAAAAAGTAAATATAATTTCTTGGTTGGCTCAATTGCAGGTGAGAGCCCAGATGTCTCTGCCCAGAAATGGAGATACATCCATAGGGACGCACCCGCCCCTGCCATCTCTCAGGTCCTACATGCATAGGATGCTCCACCGTGGGGAGCCAGCAGGGCTTTGCAGAGCATCTCTTGTCTCTGACCTAGCTGTTTCCTTTGCCACACCCACCCTCCCCACTTCTTGGCCAAGACATGGGTGAGGGGCCCCTTCTTGCAGAAGCTTCTAGAAGCCTCTGGCCCCAGTGAGGTCCCCTCCCCTGTACTCCCCAGTGCCGCCCACCCTGCCCTTGGCCCCAGAAGTGCTGCAGCCCACGTTTCTCCACATCGTCCTGTCATTAGCCCCTTGAGTGATGGCCTATTGGCAGGAGCAGAGCGAAGGAATCCTGAGAGGGGCCCTTCTGCCCCTCCTGGCCCAGCAGGCTGGACAGTAAGCTTAGCCCCACTCTGAGCACCGCCTCTGTGCTGGCACAGTGGATGGAGACCCTTGAGTTCTGCGGGGGAGAGAAGAGGTGTCCCTGTATTTGAGGAGCTGAGCCAAGGGGGCTGGACCACAAGGAAGCAGCTTAGAGGAGCCTGTGTGGGGATGAGGGGTGCCTGGGAGAGGGCCCTGGGCCGGTGGGGGTTGGGGGGACCCTAGGAAAGTCGTCTAAGTTCCCTGAGCCTCGGTGTCCTCAAATGAACAATGAGACCCGGCCCCAGCTCCTCCCCAGGGTTGTGAGATTAAAATGGGATCGCACACATCAGCCCCTCAGGGAAGTTTCTCCCTAAAGACAGCCTTTGTCTTCTCCATTCTTGGTTCAGGCCCTCTGGGACCGCGTCTCCACCATCACACACCGGCCTAGGGCTGCACTCTTGGAAGGGCCCCTGCGCTTGCAGGGTGGGCAGGGGACCCTCGCTTCACCTGGGCGTCCTCTCTGATGGGGCCCAGGAAGGCTTTGCAGCCGGGGGCCATCTGACCAGGTCTTACTGGGCCCAGGCAGAGGTACGTGGGGCCTGGAGAATGGCACAGGGGGCTGCAGCGGAGAGAGACTGTGGGCACAGGTGTGGCGAGGCCAGGCCGCCGAGAGCCAAGTGGTTTGCGAAATTTCCTGGTGGTGTGGAGGGAGGAAAAGCTGATGTGTTCACCTCCCCACTCGCTGTTTGCAGCCTGGAAGACGATTGCAGGGGGTGGCAGGGCTGAAAAGACAATGTCCTCATTAAAGGAAATTGAGAAAGAGAGTTTCCTTCCCAGTGGGGCGGGACAGTGCAGAAATGCGGCCGGTCCTGGAAGAGGTGGGGGCGAGGGGTCGGGGGCTCACACGCCCTGCGATTTCCTCCCATGAGAATGGGCGGGGGCAGCTCCGGGAAGGGTGGCGGATGGAGCCGCCCTCTCCCCAGGACCACAGGGGCGCTTTCCAGTGAAGGCGCCGTAGGAAACGCCAGTCTGTGCCGCAGTGTACGTAGAGGCGCTATGAGCCCGAGTTTCCCACGTCCAGGGACAAACTGGGAGCCGTGACTGTCAGGCCGCGCGGAGGCTGCCCTGGCCGCCTTTGCGGTCAGGTGAAGGCGCAGAGGCAGGGAGGCCGGGCGAGCGCAGGCGGGCGGAGAGCAGACCACGCGGAAGAGGCCGAGAGAGAAAGCGGGGCACCCGGCCGGGGGGGTCATTTACAAGGGACGCTGGGCACGAAGGAGGCTGGGGCGAAGATGAGTCCAGGGGTTGGGTTGAGAGCGCTGCGCAGCCGGGCTGAGAAGAGAAGCTGACGAGTGACTCCCGACAAGGGACGGGGGAGAGGGAACCTGGGGGCAGGCAGAGGCCTAGGGGGTGGGCTCTGAGGGCAGCCACTCCCACCGGCCCTCCCCCAGCCCCGCAGGCCAGCCACATGCCCCGTGCTCCAGACGACCCAGCTACATGGATGGCAGCGTCCTGAAGGGGGATGATCGGTAGGGAGTGGGTGCGGAGGCTCACGCCTGTAATCCCAGTGTTCGGGGATTCCCGAGCGGGAGGATCGCTTGAGCCGGGGAGGTGGAAGCTGCAGTGATCTGCGCCACTGAACTCCCGCCTGGGCGGCAGAGTGAGACCCTGTTTCAAAAGGCACCAGGGGTGTAGGGAAGGAGCGATATCCCCCAGGCAAGGAAGGCTGCGGAGGGGCCAGGCCAGGAGAGAAGGGCCCTGAGCTCAGTGGACGGGCAGGGTGCCTGTGGAGGAAGGGAGGGACGTAGCAGCAGGAGGAAGGGTGAGGACCCAGGCTGGGGATCGGGAGAAGTGATGGCGGAGGAAAGAGAGGCCGGAAGAGGAGGGGGCCTGCTGGCCTGGCACTGGAAAGCAAAGCGTGGGTTTGTATATGGGAAGAAGACCACATCCCCTCTTATCGTCATCCCAACTCAGAAACCATTTGGCCCCAAGTCACCAAAGCACTCATAGGAACCACTTTTCCTGTGACACAAGTAGGATTCTCCCACTTTTAACTTCCCAAATGCTACCCGAAAGCCTCTGAAATCCTTGGAAATTTAAAAAATAATCCCCTTCTATTAACTGATGCCTATAAAACATATTGACTTTCATTAAATTTTGTTATGAAATCAGGGATGTGTCCCATTGTAAAATAAATTTGTTTGGAAAATGTAGGGTGGTATCCCATCTAAAAATCAGACGAGGCTAGAAAATTTCAATTTTATTTGCTAAGGTAGCATCATGTTGTTAAAAATGCATCATAAAATAAGACCAAGAGTTAATACAAAGCATGAAGTCATGTTTCCCTCAAAAAAATGATTTGTTCTGTAGTCAAATTAATTTGGAAAACATTGCAAACTCTTCAGCAGTGGTTCTCAAAGTATAGCTTGCGTCAGAATCCCCTGGGGCCCTTGCTAAAATCTGGATGGCTACACTCCCCGCCTAGAGTGGGTTAAACTCAGTGCCCACTGGCAGGAAACTGAAACTTGGCTGAAGTCACCGAGGAGGCCTTCCCCGTTAAACCTCTGGCTGGCGACAGCTTGGTTTCCTCGCCGCTGCTTCTGAGTAATTCTGGCACGCAGTTCCTCCTAGCCACCTGCTGTACCTGGAAGGGGGCCAGCCCTCCTCAGCAGGCTTTGCTCCTGCCCTGCACAGCACAACTGTGGCGTAAAAAATGGAAAAGCTGGTAGCAGAAGGAAAGAGCAGGGAGACAGAGGTTAGGTGAACCTCAATGGCCTCATTAAAGCAAATTGAGAAAGAGAGTTTCCTTCCCAGTGAGGCGGGACAGTGCAGAAATGCGGCCCGTCCTGGGAGAAGTAGGGGCGAGGGGTGGGGGGCTCACCGGGCACATGGCCAACAGCTGGTGCCCAGCCTGGGCCACAGTTTGGCACAGGAGAAAGCTGAAGATGCAGGAGAAAGCTAGGTCACTGCCCCTAGGCCAGGTGATCAAGGTGGCTGTTACCTGCCTGTGTGGCCTTGAAAAAGCCTGGTGCCCTCTCTGGCTTGCAGGGTCCTTCTTTTTACAAAAGCGGGTCTTCGAAGCCCTGAATATTCCAGTTATCTGTAAGGATATAGAAATATTTTGCCTCTAGATGACATGTAAATATGTTCCTCCTAACTCCACTTCTTCCTACATCTGTGGCTTCTTCTGAGAACTACCAGACCCACCCTGTTTTCAGAGTAAACCTCCTGTTTTGAGGTCAAACAGACCCAGCTGGGTAATTGGTGACTCACTCCTGGTTCCTCCAAAGAACAGGGGCAAGGGACCACCCGGGACCTCAGGTGCCCCAGCACAGGACCTCTTTCTGGGGCACCCTCTGGCACTGGGCCATCTTCAGGCCCTACAGGGCTCTCGGGGCCTGCGTAGGCCTCTCATCTCCCAGAAATAAGTTCTTTTCCCCACCCAGACTGACACCAGATGCTACAGTGAGGTTTACCCCTCCAGCTTGACAAGCATTCCTAGCCCAGAACACTCAGCTGACGAGGGGTGCTGGGGGAGGAAGGAGGCAGCAAGGCTGAAAGAAGCTTCTCTGGGTATTCCAGTGCCTGGCTGCTGGTCGTAGCCATGGTGAGACCACAGCAGCCTCCCTGGAAGCAAGCACCTGTGTAAAAGCCCCTCCTTCCCCACAAGGGGCTGGATCCAAGTGAAGAAGGTACCAGAAGGACTGGAAGATGATGCTGGTATTATTCGACAGCTCCAGGGTGCTGTAGCACTGAGCACCTACTGTATGCAGCCCATCACAAAGCCAGCCACACTGCCCAGGCTGTGCCATGGCAACTTCCAGCAGTACACCCTCTCGGTCACCTGCAGGCTCCTTGTTCATCCTGACACATGAGGAGAAAAAGACAGTACTCACAAAGGCCTCTAGCCTTGTGGCCCCAGGACCCTCTCCTGAGCATCATGGCCTCCTAGGAGACCCAGGGTAGCCAGGACAAAGGAGAGAAGCATTTGCTAAGCTAAGAAAGGATGGAAGGGGATTGCTGTTCTGCCTGGATGCACCCCTAGACCTGGCAGGGCAGGCAGGAGAGACCCCCAGTGTCTCTTGCTTATCCTAGGAGTTCCCCCCTGTGGTTGCTCCAGTTTGCTGCCTTCATGCATGTTCACAGGGTGATTCCCCTGAGACAACAGAGCTGGGATGTCACCAAGCCCTGTGTCCCATCAGCCAGGCTCTCCCCAGCCTCCATCCTCTCATTCTGCTGGATCAGGAGGATGTGGGGAGGTCCCTGACTCCCCAGCTTTCCCCATGACAAGGTGTGTGTCTACAGCTCAGACCCAGCCATGCTCCACCTGAGAAGTGGGTCCAGGCAGAGCACTGGGTCCTGGCCACCTAGGGCTGCCTCCTCAGGGGTGGGCAGGAAGGGGAGCCACTGGAGGAGTGCCCCGGGCACAGTCCCCTGCACCAGGTGAGGTCACCTCTTAGTCCATGAGGCGATGCTGCATGAGCCCCTCTGGACACTAGAAGGCCTGGGCTCAATGCTGAGTAAAGTGCAGGCATGACTGTGCCCTCAGCATGCATAGGGCAGCAGGCATAGATTCATACACGTGAGTTTGCACTTAAGCTGCAGTAAGAGCTACAGAGGAAATGAACAGAGACAGCATCACTCCAGTGAGCCCTCCAGATACACCCCATGTGCGCAGTAAGAGAATGGCATAGTCTATTGGGACAGCCACATCAAAATACCACAGACCAGATGGCTTAAACGGCAGATATTTGTCTCTCACAGGTCCGGAGGCTAGAAGTCCAAGATTAGGGTGCCAGCCAATCCACTTGCTGGTGAGGGCCCTCTTCCCAGCTTGCAGATGTCTCTGTGTTCCCACAGCATGGTCACGTGGCAGAGAGAGGGGGACAGGGCATGAATAAGCCCTCGGTGCCTTCCTCTTCTTACGAGGATGCTAATCCCATCACGGGTACCCCACCCTCGTGACCTCGTCTAACCCTAATCACCTCCCAAAGGCCCCATCTCCTAATGCCATCACACTGGGGGTCAGGGCTTCAACACATGAATTTGGGGAGCACAATTTAGTCCACAGCAGAAAAGAAAGGGGCACAGAGCATTCCAGCCTGAAGGAAACAGATGTGCAAAGGCCCAAGGCAAAGGCCTGAGCTCTGAGGGGCAACCAGAGTCAAGGCTGAAGAGTGGGCAGTGATTGAGCACTGACGGTGGAGAGGCAACAGGCTATCTTGTTAATCTCAGTCTTTTGTGTGCCAGAGAGAGAAACTGAGGCACAGTGTGTCATGGTGAACACTGGGCAGCACTCCCACGCTCCTGTCCTGCACTCTGCAGGGTTATGGAGGAAGCCTGGGAAGTCTCTCCCCTCTTTTCCACCTTTCCTGGACCCATCCCACACCCTGCCTCCTCCAGGAAGCCCTGGGGATTGCTCATACACTCACATCTCACTCCTTAGTACCTGCAGCCTGCATTCTGAATTTAGCAAGCTCTGGCCTTGGGTTTCTATTTTCTTGTCCTGTGCAGTGAGCATTTGGAAACTTCTCCTCAGCACCAAACACGGAGCCATTTAGCAGAAAATACATGAGTTTTCAAGTCAATTGAACTGTTCATCGCCCCAAAAGCCAGGCAACACGGTAGAGCAGCTGGATCTCTGTTCGTAGAAGCTTTCTCAGGGACTGGCCCACCGAGTGGGGGACTGCAAGTGCCCGATGAGTGAATGAATGAACACATGTGTGAATGGAATTCAAGGCACTGCAGGCTATTCTGGAGGGTACTGGCCTGTCTCTTCGACAGGTGAGGTGCAGTAGAACAGCATCCCGTATAGATGCCAGTTTCTGACCTGGTTCTGAAAAGCCAGTCACCTACCTCTGCAGAGCTGCCTGGAGGGGGCGGGGGTTGTGAGGACCCCTGAGAGCTTGGTGTGAAGGGGCTCTGCAGAGGGAGGCATGGCTAGTGTGCGCAAGGTGACCTCTCTCCTGGTCTGCAGGATGGAGAACCTGTTCATCAACCGCTTCATGCACATGTTCCAGTCTTCTTGGAATGACTTCGCCGACTTTGAGAAAATCTTTGTCAAGATCAGCAACACTATTTCTGGTGAGTGTGCCTCTGGGGGCCCAAGTGGTGCTGGGGACAGGGGATGCTGCTCTCCTGTCTGATACTTGCCGGGAAATTGACAAGGGCCTTCCTGCCTGCTGCAGCATGGGGGCCTCGCTGCCACCATGCCACCCTGGACAGCACCCCCTACACTCCACACCTTTTACCATCACTGTGGTCACCCTTGTGCCCAGAGGTTTCTCCTCCTCAGATATTCAAGCTCGAGCACCCTCAACCTCATTTCACTATCAAAAGTCTCAAAAGTATCAGAACTTTTTCTTGGCACAAATCAATCATTTGTGCTTCTGAACAGAGCAAAGGCAGAACTTGGCTTGTGTTTTAGGTATTTACACAAAAGCAACTTTGGGTTCCTTTGGACTAGGATGTGTTTGATGAGAGCACTAGCTTCATAGTGGCCAGTCATGGCATGGGAAGGACGTTAGGAAGGCAGGAATGGCTGGACAAGAAGAGGTGCTGAAATCAGGACATGGGGAACCAAACTTGGCAAACTGCCCCCAGGGACTCTCCTCCACGCCCTCCTTCTTCCATCCTGGACACTCCATGCTGGGCTGAAGGACCTGAGTGCTCCAGGAGGCTTCTGAGCCACGAAGGGCCAGCTCAGGTATGATGAGTTGGTGCCACAGCCTGACCCAGTGATGGGCAGGGGGCAGCAGTTGGAGCTGTGCCCATCCAGGGAGCACTCGGGAGAGGAGACCAAGCAGGGACTCTGCTCTTAGGTGAGGTCAGGAGGGCCATGGCCCTGGCTGCCCTCTACTCAGAGCTCAGGGTGGGCCTCGCTTTTCTCCTGGTAGAGCGGGTCATGAATCACTGGCAGGAAGACCTGATGTTTGGCTACCAGTTCCTGAATGGCTGCAACCCTGTGTTGATCCGGCGCTGCACAGAGCTGCCCGAGAAGCTCCCGGTGACCACGGAGATGGTAGAGTGCAGCCTGGAGCGGCAGCTCAGCTTGGAGCAGGAGGTCCAGGTAGGGGTTGATGGGCTGGGGAAGTGGCCAAGGTCACAGTCTGTCAGGTGGAAGCCAGTTCCTCCTGGCCAGTGCTCATAGGCCACCAAGACGCTAACTGCAGGCCCATCTGGCCTACAGCAGCCGCTTCCTTTTCCTGGCAGCAGTGTCAGCCAGGGTCCTGGGCATTATGCAGACTGTCTTGTGCAACATCAGAGGAGGAATTGCGGGGAATGTTTCTCCATGATGCTCGAGTCTGGGAACATAATGTCAATATTTTCACTATCAGTATCAATAATTACAGGAGCTACCCTTGATTAGGGGCCTGTGGTGGGACAGGCATTGTGACAGGTGCTTTACACACAAGGTCATCAGTTGTCACCCACCTTGCAAAGGGGAGAACACTGGAGAAAGAAGCAGACCTTGTGTGAGAATAAAAAAGGGGCACGAGGAGAAACCCAACAGAATGGTTGATTTTCTCGTTAGAAATGCTGCTGCCCATGCTCCTGTCGCACCCTCCTCCCCACCCTCACCTGCAGACTCAGCTGCCTCCGGCTGCAAGGCTGACCTAGTCTTGAGACAGAAGAAGTTCAAACCAACTCCACCTGGATCTGGTGGGGCTCAGCAACAGGCGCTGGCCCATCAGCCTGCCTCTTCCCCATGGATCCAGCGTGATGGGGCCTCCTGCCACCCAGGCCCTGCTGCCTATCCCCAGGTGTCCAGGTGGCCTCTGCTGCTTCCAGTCTTTTGAGCTCAGCTTACCCTGAGGCCCTAGTTGGAGAGGGATGGTTGGTGCCCTTTAGAGATAAACCTACAGCCCCAGTACCTGGCCCACCTGAATCTAGAGGGCCACCCACCCAGCTGAAGTCCCTGGGCAAGTCTCCTGCCCCAGTGCAGGCAGTGTTTCCTAACCTCCTCCTCCTCCTGCACCCAACCAGGCCCAGAACACTTCCTGGTCATGTGAACAGCTGACAGTTACAATCCCCCACACACTGAGAGAGCATCTGTGTTCCTGAGTGGACTGAATTGCTAGATGTAGTAACATTGATTTGGTGGCTATAGGTTTCAAACTTCAAGTCAGAGATCATAGAACTTTAAGCCATATAGAATCCTAGAATTGGAAGACTCTGAGCAGCCATCTCTGCACCCAGCAGCCAAGGAGTGGCCATCCTCAGCACCTGGCAGGGCATCAGCCTCCCACTGGGAGTCCCGGCCACCTCCAGGGCACGTGGGTTATGAGTCACCTTTCCTTTGAGCTGACCCACCCCTCACTGACTAGACTCTTAAACACACACTGCCCCGTCTAATACACACCAGCATGATTCTTAATCCCCACAGTCATTCACGCTGCCCATCTGGCAGCACCTTAATGATCTACAGCAAGCTTGTGGCCTACTAAAAACGCCTCCATTGTTTTTTAAAATGTGCAGTTATTTTCCGGATCATGAATAGAGAAATTGTATCCCTGTTGTTGGTATTGATTCAGTGTTCCAGCTCAAGTTTGAGTTCTTAGACTTTATATTTGGATTCTTTGGTTTCAAATCACAAAAATCAACTCCATCTGGTTTAATCCAAGAACTCTATTGGCTCAGGCAACAGTAAAAAGCAATGCTAACTCATTTGGGACCAGGGCTCAGATCATCCCCTGCACTGTCTCTCTCTCGCTCCATGTCTCAATCCTCTGCCTCTGGTGATTTTTTCCTTAGGAGGGTTTCCTTATGTGGAGGTAAAAAATGATCACCGGCAGCTTCAGATTTACCTTCCACCAGCTTAGCAAACACCACCCACTCCCAGCAAGAAAGACCCTGTTTCCCAATGCTCCCAGCAGATGTCTTAGGCCATCCTCGGGCCTCACTGATTCTGTGAGCCAGTGCCCACGGCCAGGAGAATGGAATACACTGACCTAGAGGGGACAGGGACTCTAGACAGGCAAAAACTCCACTGTCAGAAGCAGAATCCTAAAATGTCAGAACTGAAAGGTAGGCCCGCCCCTCGTTTTCCAGAAATATGAAAGGGAGGCTTGGGATAACAGAGAAATGCTGCAGGCATTGGCCCCAAATCTCAGGCCTCCTATTCCCAGTATCACCTTCACCAGCCTGGGTGGTCTCAAGATTGGATTAGCAGCCATTCCTTCTGGGTAGAGTCTGATGGTCACTTCAGCTCTCAAAGTCCAGCTATCCAGCCATAGTCCTAGAAGGCAAGACATCACTGTGCCCGACCAACCCAAGGGTCTCCACCTGCCCCCCTCAACACAAGGTGCCCTGAGTGCCTCCGCGGGGATAGTCCCCGTCCCCACCCCTGCTTCCCCCGCCCATCGCGACAGATGCTCAGAGCTCATCCCTGGTGTCACACCACATAAAGGAGGAGGGCGGTGGCCAGGCTCCGAGCTCCTGCCGTCCTGGGTGGGTGGCTTCTGTCCTGCGTGCCGCCGGGCAGCCCGGGGGTCCTGCGCGCGGGCGCGGTCGGTGGAGCTGCAGGGGGGCGCTCTGGGATGTCTCCAGGCAGAGTAGATACTGACCCCTCCGCAGCCGGGACCCTCACCCTTTCCTTCATCACTCAGGAAACAGAAAAGGCTTCAGAAGGAGCGGCCATGCCCCCGGCCTAAGCGCTGCGTTCCCGGCCCAGCAGGCCTACCCTGCACCTGGCGTTCCTAGGGGCCCCTCTGCGGGACCCACTGCGCGGCTCGCAGCGGCCGCCCGCCTCCCACTTCACCGGCACGCTCGTTGCGTGTCGAGGTGTGTTGACTCCTACAGCAAAGGGCACGGATCCGCGGGTCAGCAAGCCCGACGAATTTACACCAATGACCCGCCGTGTCGCCAGTCTCAGACCAGGGCACAACACGCCAACCCTGCAGACCACCCCCACCTCCCCAGCCACTGCAGACCCTTCCCCCTCTGCTTCTGCAGCACCTCTCCCGAAACACGCTCATTCCCGCCCCCGCAGACCTTCCCTACCTCCTGGAGACCCCCCTCAACCCCTGTAGAGTCCCCTGCCCGTGCAGAATCCCCTCCCCCTTCCCCCGCAGCCCCCCTACCCCACCCGGCGGACAGCCCCGCCTCGCTTCCTGTCTCTTCCTCCCAAGGGAGACCCCTGTCCTGGCTCTGACTGGGGTTGAGTTCGCCAGTTTTGACTTATGTGTAGAGTCCGGCAGCATCATTTTTTGGCATTTAACTCGTCACATCTATTTCACCTAACCTCTTTCTTCTTAGTAAACTGACACTCGGGTCGGTCTCTCATCTTTCGTGCCAGTCAAGCAGGTTTCAGACACCACAAATGCCGAATGAGCTGCTGCCATTCCTTCATCTTACCCCGAACTGCCACAACCTGTGAACACCTTCCATGTGAATCAATCAGCCTTGGAGTCAGAGGAGAGAAGTACACATTCTGAGCTCCGCTGAGTCGCAGGAAAGGGAGAGGGGTGCCCAGAGGTCATCACTCTTTCCCCAGGCCTGATTTTTGGTCCGTCTGCTGAGCCTGATTTGGACACATCTCTCTGCCTCCTGCAGCAAGGGAACATTTTCATCGTGGACTTTGAGCTGCTGGATGGCATCGATGCCAACAAAACAGACCCCTGCACACTCCAGTTCCTGGCCGCTCCCATCTGCTTGCTGTATAAGAACCTGGCCAACAAGATTGTCCCCATTGCCATCCAGGTAGGCTGCTGGGGGGCACACCTTTCTGAGCAGCTCAGTCCTCTGCGATCCAGGGCTCCTGGGTGGCTCCATTCACACTCCAGCTGAGGAAGCTATGTCTTGAAAGACACTAGGGCTTCCTGCAGGCCCTGAGGTGGGCTGTCCATAGGGGCGGAGAGGGTTCTACTCCCCAAGGCACACTTGAGAAGCCCCTGGCCAGTCGAGGCACACTGTGGAGGACCTGCCCTGGGATCATATTCTGCACTCTCCACCCCAGCACCCTGACCAAGGGCCCCCAGTCAAGGTGCTGCCAGGGGCCAGGCAGGTGAAGCTGTGGACTAAGCTGGAGACCAAGACCACTGAGGGGCACCATGGGTTCTGGGGTCAGGAACCAGGCCAGTCCTGGTATGCCACCTTTGATGATGATGTGAGTTCTTATGTCCACCGGAGATGAGGCAGGAGGAAGAGGGAGACCCTGGAGGAAAGGCAGGCGGGCACAGGGCTTTGTCTCCCCCTGTTCCTGGCACCAGCCTGCTGCCAGGCTGGGAGCTGGTGTGCAGACAGCAGGGGCCAAGGCCAGGACTGGACTGGGCATAGGTCCCTGGGAGTAGGGAGGAACTGCGCAGAGGACACCGTGGGAGACTGGCAGATGAGCATTCAGCAAATAATGTCCATGAACTGGACCTTGGGAGCTGTGGACACAATAGCAGCTGGATAGGTCAGGCACCAGCCACATGCCAAGGCTATCCTATGGGTTAACCTGCACAGTCCGCAATCCCTTACCCTCGATTCTAAATCTAAAAAATCTGAAAACTGCTGCATATTTCAAAACTGTGCAGCAAATTCATTGTTTGTAAACAAACCTTCTTTGAAGCAATAGGTGAGGTTATTTAGAGGCTTTTTCCATTCAATGTGATATGTATGTGGATCACTGCAGAAATACTGCTCTGTTCGATTGTAAAATAGTATGTTGCCCTAGACTGGGGGTGGGAGGGGGTATGGCACATAATGAAGTATACCCACTGCTAAAATCCTAAAAATTCTGGATTCTGAAGCACATTTGACCACTGGGGTTTTAGATAACCTATCTTTATTTGTGTAATCATCACCACAACCATCCTAGGTAGTGGGCTCTATTGATGTTGATCATTTTACCCAGATAAGAAAACTGAGACACAGGTGCCCACAGCCAGCCACAGAGCTAGGATTCAAGCCAGGTCATCTGACTCTAGATTCCAGCCTCCCCACAGTCTCCCAGGGGCACGTAGCCTCAGAGGAGCTTCCTGTCTGTTACCAGAGAGAAGCCCTGTGCCTAAGAAACTGAAGCAGCAGGTAAAGGGACAGGTGACCTAAAAGAAGACAAAATTGCTGGGAGATCCCCGGAGATCCCAGGCACCACTGATGGTGCCTTCAAAAGCTTGGCTCAGAGATCTCTTGGAGCAGCCTGGAGTCAGGGGCCTAGCTTAAATTCCAGTTCAGCCACTTGCTAGCAGGCTGTGGGACCTTGAGCAAGCCACAGAATGTTCCTGGGTCTCTTTCTTCTTCTGAAAATGGAAACTTTGCAAACTATAAAGACTCAAGCAAATGAAAGCCAGAGGATAGTAAATCCAAGATCTGGTTCTTTGAAAGGTCCAAAAAATAATAATAATAACCTCCTCATGAGGCTGATGGAAAAAAAGAGATAGAAAAAAAAAATGCAAGATTCGGAATAAAAAAGGAATCATAAAAAGAGTAATTATAGCCAGGCACCATGGTGGTACACAACTGTAGTCCCAGCTACTTGAGAGGCTGAGGCAGGAGGCTCACTTGAGGCTGTAGTGTGCTATGATCACACCTGTGAATAGCCACAGCAGTCTAGCCTGAGCAACATATCAAGACCCCGTCTCTTAAAAAAAAAAAAGAACAGTAATTATGATTACATATTTTTTAAATGAGAGTAATATGGCAAAAATTTGAAAAATTAGAGAAATGGATAAAAACCTAGGAAAAGATAAATTAGAAGAAATTGTAGAAAATAGGCCAATTTCCATATAGTGATTGGAAACAGACCTACACAGCGAGCAGCTGAGTCTCACCCAGCCACTAGACAGCTGACATTTCCAGGGCTCTTTATCAGCCCCAAATTGATCATATAAAGCTGGTGTAAGCTTAGTTCTGAAACTGGATACAGGCAGGCTTCAAAAGAAGGCTGAAGACCAATCCAAGTATTAAATAAAGATTTAAAAGAAAACTAAAGGTGATATTAGCGAAGTGAGTGCAGCAGTGTATTAAATGACTATATGTAATAACCAAGCAGGGTTTATTCCAGATATTTCAATATCAAGAGAGCTACCACCATAATTTATTATACCCATAAGGATAAAGTTTATGATTATATCAATTCACACTAAAAGGGAATTTAATAACATTTAATAGCCACAACTAATAAAAATTAATAGGAGGAACCTTACTTTATATGATAAAGATAGCTAACATCAAAAAGGTGCAACTCTAATGCCATTTCCATTAAAATAATAAGAATGCTGATATCACTGTTTTTATTCAACATTATTTTAGAGGTCATACCACATGATAAAACAGGAAAACAATCAATAAACATATTGTCAAAGAACAGGGAAGATGATCTTTTCTGGTAATGCTATGGTAGACCTAGAAAACACAAGAGATTCTAATTTTTTTAAAAGCTACTAGATTAATAAATTCATTTGGCAAAGTGTTTAGATAAATATATTTCTCAAAAAAATCAATAGCCTTTCTCCATACTAACAATAAAATATAATGCCCATATAAGGAAAAACTATAAAGTTATTTATTTATTTATTTATTTATTTATTTATTTATTTATTTGAGATGGAGTTTCGCACTGTCACCCAGGCTAGAGTGCAGTGGCGTGATCTCGGCTCACTGCAACCTCCACCTCCCAGGTTCAAGCAATTCTCCTGCCTCAGCCTCCCGAGTAGCTGGGATTACAGGCACCTGCCACCACGCCCAGCTAATTTTTTGTATTTTTAGTAGAGACGGCATTTCACCATGTTGGCCAGGCTGGTCTCGAACTCCTGACCTTGTGATTTGCCTGCCTCAGCCTCCCAAAGTGTTGGCAT
Source organism: Homo sapiens (assembly GCF_000001405.40). Classification (NCBI taxonomy): domain Eukaryota; kingdom Metazoa; phylum Chordata; class Mammalia; order Primates; family Hominidae; genus Homo; species Homo sapiens. The sequence goes on from NC_000010.11 coordinate 45,431,845, forward strand.
TACAGGCGTGAGCTACCGCACCCGGCCAACTATAAAGTTATTTTAAAGGATATACAATGAACTCTTAACAGTGATTTGATATTGGGGAGGAAACTGTAAAAATGTCAGTTCTACCAAATTCTATTATAAAAACTTAATGCACTTCCAAGTAAAATTTCAGCCAGAATTTTTTATCTTTCTTGGTGGGGGTGTGGTGGTGGTGAAGAGGAACTAAAAAGGAGAGAAAACAATTAAAAAATTGAAAGATTCATATGGAAAAAGAAATCTAGCATAGTCAAAAATTTTTTGAAAAAAATTAAAACCACATAGAGAGGCAGGGCAACCAAGTGAGACCTCATGTCTTAAAAAAAAAAAAAATTAATAGAAAAAATTAGGTATGGTGGCGCATGCCTGTAATCCCAACTGCTCAGGAGGCTGAGGTGGGAGGATGGCTTGAGTCCAGGAGTTTGAGGCTGCAGTGAGCCATGGTCGCTCCACTGCACTCCACACTGGGCAACAGAGTAAGACCCTATCTTTAAAAAAAAAAAAAAAAAGTAAAAGAAAACACAGAAGGAACACTTTCCTTGCTGGATTTGTAAGGTTACTGTTAAGCAGACACTGTGCTTGAAAACAGAGAGAATTGGGGGACAGTATAGAGTAAGATCCAGAAATGGACTCCCCCACAGAGGAATTCAGTGTATCACAATGGAGGTTTTTCAACTCAGTGAAAAAGGGATATTATTTTAATGATGCTATCACACTGCCTTTGCATGAGAAGAAAATTAAATTGGACTGCTCTGTCATGCCATTTACAAAAATAAATCTCATCATGTAGAGGAGTTGCTTAGAAGAAAAAGAAAAAATTCAGATGAAGTAAAAATTAAAATGAAAAAAGTAAACGAATTTAGAAAAACTAATTACGCAGACACTCAGAAGACTTTTAGAAGGAAAAGGAAACCAAGAAGTTATAAGGGGAAAGCTAAGCATATTTGATTATGTAATGTTTTAAAACTTGAGTGATAAACCATAAACAAAGCCAAAAAGCAAAACAGAGATTAGGGTGAGTAACCATAACAGAAGTGACAGCTAAGAGATGCCTATCTATGATACACAGGTAGCTCCTTTACATTGACGGGAAAATACCAATACTCCAGTGGAAAAATGAGCAGAGAATATGAATAGGCAATTCACAAAAGAAGAAATGTAAATGGGCAACCAGCATATGGAAAAACTCCTAACTTCACCTGTAGTTAGAGAAATGCAAATGAAAGTTAACAATGAGATATCATTTCTGACATGCCTGGTTGGAAAAACAAAGGGGTAACTCCCAGACACCAGCAAGGACGGAGCCCCATGCTCTGCTCATGAGTTGTTGCAGCCTGGCAGTGTTCACGGGATAACTGGTGGGCCTGGGCAGCCCAAGGTCAGAGCTTCGGCCAGCACCGGAGCAAGGTCAGAGCTTCGGCCAGCACCGGAGCAGATCCCACAGCGCCTGCTGTACCAGGTGCATGTTGCAGTGGGCGGTCAGAGGGTCCTGGGGTTGAGGCTGTCGTGGCGAGGACAGTTGTGTTACCGAGCTGGACTGGGATCTGCTTGCCCAGTGCAGCAAAACCAAACACTGAGATTGGGATATAATCTACGAGAACACAAGGCATTTATTGCGGGGACCAAAAAAGGAGAATTGGGCAGCTCACTCTTAAGACCGGAACTCCCTGATGGCTTGCAGGTAAGGGTTTTTAAAGGCAGAGTGAATTTCAGGAATTGCAGAAGTTAACAGGCAAAATCATTAATCAATACATGGAGGGTACACATTGGTTTTGGCCTAAAAGGGCGGGATATCTTGAAGTGGGGGTGGGCTTCCAGGTCATAGGTAGATTCAAAAATTTGTTGTTTTGAAATTGGTTAAGGAAGAGAAGTTTCATTTAAAAATTTGGGTTACCAGAAAGGAATGTTAGCTGTGGCTTGTGGGCGGGACTTCCCCCAGGCCCCCCAGGAAGAAATTTAGAACAAAGAGCCTGCTCAGAGTTCAGTCCTCAGTTCCGTCTTATCTGAGGTCTCTGTGCCAGTGGATCGGTTTGGTGGGGGTCTGGGTTTCTGAAAAACAACTCAGAGACACATGTTCAGGGGTTCTCTTTAGTTTCCAGAGGGAACCAAACAGCCCAGGACTCTGGCTTCCTTGGCTGTTGTTTTAGGCTGCTGTTACCCTCTTGTTTGTCAAGTTGCTCATTTATTTCTCAGGGCTAGCTAGGTGCCTGGAACTTCCCTTCAAGGAACTCGGGATTTTCCTTCATTTCCATGCCCTGTTGCGGGGCTGGGGGGCTACAGTGCCCTAAGAGGAGGCCCCTGCCCCGTCTCAATTGGAGGAGCACTGGAGGGGACTTTATTGTTTAAGTGTTCTGACAGCCAGTAGCACTGAACAGGTGTGCACCAGGAGAGTGAAACTGTCTGAGGAACAGTAGGGCAGGCACTGTCTACTCGAAAACATACCCAAACCCCCAAGGCTCAGCCTTCGCTAGCAGCCACTCAGCAGAAATGAAAGCACAAATGTGTGTGGGTAGCAACAGGAGCATAGTTTGTGATGGGGAAAAAAATTGAAAACAGTCTGAAGGCAGAAGAGGATTGAGTGAGTGAGCCCTTCCATGTCCTCACCATAAAATGTTGAGGCGTCTTTGAAAGGAATGCTTTGGTTCCCTTCCAGCTGACCTGGAGGGGTCTCCACAATGAGTTAACAGTGGAAAAACAAGACACAAGGGACCGATAAAGGATACATATCTGTCGTATACAAATAGCTCCTTCAAACTGCTAAGGCAATGGGCATGGTCTCACTTATGTAAAATGAATGCAAGGATGCAGCAGGCCTACTGTGCCAGCATGGGGACACAAGGACGCAGTGTCACCAGGTAGGAACACAGTGATGGCCCAGTGGGGGACAGGTGAGCAAAACAAAGAGACAGATGTTGATTATAATCATATTCAGTTGATGGAAAATTGGACAGATAAATGTGCACACATGCAAAGACCTATGAAAGGAGGCTCCCCAGAATTTGGTGGTTATCCCTGGGCGCTGGAAGATGAGATGATGTTTTCTTTCTCAGGCTCTCCTGTCATGACTCAGATTTCTTTTTACGATAAGCACATATTCTTTTCTAATCAGAAACGCAAAGCTACTTCCTTACCCAAAAAACAAATTTAAGAAACACAAATTGCTCAGGGCAAGTTCTGGCATCCCATGGCAGGCCAAAATCCTGGACAGGAGTGGGAGGATGTGAAGGATGGGTTGGGGAAGGCCCAGCTCAGTGGTACAAGAGCTCAAGGAGATGGGCAGGTGAGGCCCGGTCAGGCCGGGAGGTGAAGAGAAGCAGAAGGGAGAGTGATGGGCTGAAATAGGCAGAGCACTGGGCCCATCCTCATTCAGCTCTTTTTTTACTGGTCAGAACAGTTTTTTTTTTTTTAATATATAAAATTTTAGATTCAGGTACATGTGCAGGTTTGTTACATGGTTATATTGCATAATGCTGGGGTTAGGCTTCTATTGAACCCATCACTCAAATACTGAGCATAGTACCCAATACCCAGTTTTTCAACCCTTTCCTCCCTCCCTCCCCTTCCTGGAGTCCCCAGTGTCTTTTGTTCCCACTTTTATGCCCATGTGTACACAATGCTTAGCTCCCACTTATAAATAAGAACATGCAGTATTCGATTTTCTGTTTCTGGGTTAATTCACTTAAGATTATGGCTTAAGTGCCAATCCTAAGCTGCATCCATGTTGCTGCAAAGAACACGATTTCATTCTTTTTTATGGCTATGTAGTATTCCTTGGAGTACATGTATCACATTTTCTTTATCTGGTGCCACTATTGATGGGCACCTAGGTTGATTACATGATTTTGATATTGTGAACAGTGCTGCAATAAACATATGTGTGCCTATGTCCTTTTGGTAAAACAATTTCTTTTCCTTTGGGTAGGTACACAGTAATGGGGTTGTTGGGTCAACTGGTAATTCTATTTGCAGTTCTTTGCAAAATCTCCAAACTGCTTTCCACAGGGATGGAAGTAATTTACACTGCCACCAACAGTGTGTAAGCATTCCCTTTTGTCTGCATCCTGCCAACATCTGTCATTTTTTTACTTTTTAATAATAGCCATTCTGACTGGTATCCCTTTGTGGTTTTAATTTGCATTTCTCTGATGATTAGTGATGTTGGGCATTTTTTCATATGTTTGTTGGCCACTTGTATGTCTTCTTTTGAGAAGTGTCTGTTCCTGTCCTTTGCCCACTTTTTAATGGTGGTGTTTTTTCTTAAGTTCCTCATAGATTCTGGGTATTAGTCGTTTGTGGATGCATAGTTGCAAATATTTTCTCTCATTCTGTAGGTTGTCTGTTTACTTTGTTGATAGTTTGTTTTGCTGTGCAGAAGCTCTTTAATTTGATTAAGTCTCATTTGTCAATTTTTGTTTTTGTTGCATATGCCTTTGAGGTCTAGTCATAAATTCTTTGCCTAGGAAATGTCCATAAGATTTTTTCCTAGGTTTTCTTCTAGAATGTTTAAAGTTTGAAGTCTTACATTTAAGTCTGTAATCCATCTAGAGGTAATTTTTGTATATGGTGAGAGGTAGGGGCCCAGCGTCATTCTTCTGCATATAGGTAGCCAGTTTTTCCAACACTATTTATTGAATAGGATGTCCTTTCCTTATTGTTTATTTTTGTTGATTTTGTCAAAAATCAGTTGGTTGCAGGTATATGGCTTTATTTCTGGGTTCTCTGTTCTGTTCCATTGATCTCTGTGCCTATTTTTGTACCAGTATACCATGCTGTTTTTGTTACTGTAGTCTTGTAGTATAGTTTGAAGTCAGGTAATGTGATGCCTCCAGCTTTGTATTTTTGCCTAGGATTGCTTTGGCTATTCGGCTATTTTTTGGTTCCATATGAATTTTAGGATTTTTTTTTCTAATTCTGTGAAAAATGATGTTGATAATTTGATAGGAATTGTGTTGTATCTGTAGATTGCTTTCTTCCAACCCATTAGCTGGGATGTTTTTCCATTTTTTTGTGTCATCTATGATTTCTTTCATCAGTGTTTTATAGTTCTCTCTGTAGAGCTCTTTCACCTCCTTGGCTGGATACATTCTTTGGTATTTTATTTTGTGTATGGGGGACTATTGTAACTGAGATCACCACGTTCCTGATATGGTTCTCAGCCTGAACCTGAACATTGTTGGTGCATAGAAATGCTACTGATTTTTAGGCCAGGCACAGTGGCTCACGCCTGTAATCCCAGCACTTTGGGAGGCCGAGGTGGGCAGATCACCTGAGGTCAGGAGTTTGAGACCAGCCTGACCAACATGGTGAAACCCCGTCTCAATTAAAAATACAAAAATTAGCCAGGTGTGGTAACACCTGCCTGTAATCCCAGCTACTTGGGAGGCTGAGGCAGGAGAATTGCTTGAACCTGGGAGGCGGAGGTTGCAGTGAGCTGCGATCACACCACTGCACTCCAGCCTGGGTGATAGTGAGACTCCGTCTCAAATAAAAAGAAATGCTACTGATTTTTGTACACTGATTTTGTATCTTGAGTGTAGAAAGTCAAAAGTTTTTTTTTTGTTAAGGAGTAAATTATGTGTTAGAAATAATAGTTTTTTCTAAAGACTAACTTTTTTTAAGCCTTTTCGCTTTGTGCTAATAACTTTTTGTTAAGCCCTATCATATGTAGCTGTTAGATATAAGGGAATGAGTACATTCTATGTCCTTGTACTTTAACCAAGATATTTGTGCTGGACGTGCTCACAGGCATGTCCCAGCTTGCAGCCCATGCCCCTTCCTTATTTGGAAATGTTATTACTTTTCTAAGTCCTTTCATAAGCAACTTCCTCTTTTCCTTTGTCTTTCCACTGCTTTTACCTATTTAGAAAAGTTTTAAGTTATTAGCCAGTCGGGTTTTAGTTTAGACTGTGAGGTTTGGCTCCAGCCAATGGAGACAGGACACGGTAGCAGGGACAAGCTGCGTAAGGAATAAAAATTGCTTCTCTCCATTATTCAGGTGTGCTCTCGCCATTGTTCCATCTGCGAGGAGCACCCTTTCTGCAGAAAGTAAAATTGGCTTGCTAAAAAAACTTTTTGTCTAAATGCTGATTTTTCCTTGCAGTACCGAGGAACAAGCATTCTGTTTCTAAACAAGCATTTTACTTATAACATTGAGACTTTACTGAAGTTGTTTATCAAGTCTAGGAGTCTTTTGGAGGAATCTTCAGGGTTTTCTAGGTATAGAATCATATCATGGATGAACAAAGATAATTTGACTTCCTCTTTTTTTTTTTTTCATTTGGATCCCTTTTATTTCTTTCTCTTGCCTAATTGCTCTGACTAGGACTTCCAGTACTCTATTGAATAGGAGGGGTGAGAGTGGACATCCTTGTCTTGTTCCAGTTTTTAGGGGGATTGCTTCCAATTTTTGCCTGTTCAATATCATGTTGCCGGCTGAGCTCTTTACCTACTGTGTGACTTGGGAGAGCTGCTAAACCAGCTGGAGCCTCAGTTTCCCCCCATGTAAAATGGGTACAGCAAGGAATATCTGCCTTGCAGGGTCAAAGTGAGGATTAAGTGAGATAGCATGGGTAAAGCCCCTAGCACACAACAGGGGGGCTCCTCGGCCCCAGAGGATGTCAGGAACATGTCAGTGTCCCAGAGCCATCAGGAACATGTCAGTGTCCCAGAGCCATCAGGAACATGTCAGAGCATGTGGGGACATGTCAGAAAGTGTCTCAGAGCATGCCAGGCAGCCCAGCATTCTAGGGCACAGATCAGGTATCAGTGGCCCAGGCATCTCATGCAAACGGGTGTGGCAGTGGGGACCCTGAGAGCTGGGACTCTGTAAAAGGGACAAGAGCGTAGTTCTGTGAGAACCTGGGTGCAGAGTTCTGAGACCTTCTAATTTTTCAAGAAAACCAGGTCATTCAAATTTTTATGTGAAACTGTCTGGTATTTAAAAGCAGCCAACTAATCTCAAGTATAAACAGACAGGCACGCCTAATGTGCAAGTCACACTCTGCTCTCCCTCCTCCCTCCCCCCTCCTTGGTCCTCAGGGAGTGCTGAGGCTTCTGGGGTCTCTCTGACCAGGGTGGAGCCACTGGCCACCAGGGCTCTGGAGCACTTGGGATTTGGCTCGTCCAAACCAAAACCTGCTGCAAGTGCAAAGTTCACACCTGATTTTTAAGACTTAGAATAAGGAGGTGGGGAATGTGAAATATCTCATTTAATAGTTTTAGATTGGTTTCATGTTGAAGTGATAATATTCTGGATATATTGGGTAAAATAAAATTATATTATTCACCGGCATTTCACCTGTTTCCTTTTATTTTTATTAATATGGCTTCCTGAATATATACAATTCCATGTGTGGGGTAGCATTATATGTCTATTGGACAGCACTGTTTTCGAGGGAGAGACGCCCAAGGACCCCACCTTCCACAATACTTATAGCAAGTGACACAGCTGTGTGCTCTGGGACAGTTCTCCCTCCCCAGCCATGACCACTGTGCTGCAGTGACACTGGTCTTTCCCAGCACCTAAAGTCTGGCCATGCCCCTTCCTGGCCGCTCTTGGCTGCAGCCCTGCCACCCACCTCATTCTTTCTGTCAACCCCTCCAATACCCCATGTCTTCATGTAAAAATGGGCAATGCCAGCACCTGCTGCCGGCTCCCGTGAGAACTCACTGTCGGGTGCTGAGGCTGTGCTGGGCTCTCAATAAGGGGGCAACGTGCAGGGCTGCTGGCATGGAGGGACCTGGGGCTGGGTGCTGGTGTGGGGGCACGAAAGTGAGGCTGTGTGTACAGAGGCATCAGCAACCAGGTCACCACAGAGCTTGGGGATTTTATTTTCTGGCATTAAGAGGTGATTGAGGAGGCAGTTAACATGACATGATTTGCATTTTGGAAAAGAAAAAAACTCACCTTGTCCCAGTGTGGAGTGGAAACTGGAAAGGGAAGACAGGTCCAGCCTCTGCTACAGGAGGTGCCTGGCCACAGGTGTGGGCTCCAGGCAGAGCTCAAGCTGCAGACCCTGATCTGGGAGGCTCAGTACCAGGAGGGCCCCAAGCCTTTAAACAGGAGGAGCTGACTTAGGGCAAGAAAAGAAGACAGGAGCACCAGGGCAGACCCTGGGGAGCTCCAGCATTTCAGGGAAGAGGAGAGGGAGGAAAGTATGAGAGACCAAGGAGAGGCAGTAGAAGAGGGAGCAGGGCAAGGAGGGAAGAGGGGGACAGCGATCCTCCCCCTCCGCTGCTGGGCCTTCGGCCTGCCCGCTCCTTCCATGCTGCCAGCTCCTGAGTAACTGTGAGCCGAGCGATCACTGTCCCCACATGACAGATGCTGAAGCCGGAGCTTAGAAAGCCCAGTGTGTCATCCAGAGTCATGCAGGTTGTAAGTAATATGGCTGGGACAGGAAATACCACCGCAGGGCCCTTTACCCCCTCCAGGCTCTTCTGATTCCAAAGTCACTGTTAAAGAAATTCAGATACTTCTGGAACTTCCCAAGAGGCGAAGTTCTCCAACAACTATACTCTGAAGTGAAATATAGCAGTGTGTTTCCTTTCCCCCAATGTATCAGCTCAACCAAATCCCGGGAGATGAGAACCCTATTTTCCTCCCTTCGGATGCAAAATACGACTGGCTTTTGGCCAAAATCTGGGTGCGTTCCAGTGACTTCCACGTCCACCAGACCATCACCCACCTTCTGCGAACACATCTGGTGTCTGAGGTTTTTGGCATTGCAATGTACCGCCAGCTGCCTGCTGTGCACCCCATTTTCAAGGTACAGCCAGCTACCGCCCCACCTGCTATGGGAGGGCATCTGAGATGTGGAGTGGGAGGGATCACTGACATCCCACAGGGGGACCTGTGGCTGGGAGTGGGTGGCAGAAAGGGAGCCCTGGAGAGATGTTCTCAGAGTCAGTAATGCCCCTAAAGGAAGAAAACAGCTAGGAGCCTGCTGTTCCCCAGGACACGCGGCTGGGGCATGGGCCTGACACACGGGCCTCGCTGGCCAGCCAGTAGAGTTGGAAAAGGCAAATGAGTTCATGGTGATCCTCGGCTGATGCTGATGGCCGCCCCTGCCATCACTCTCCGTCCCTGTTCTCGAATCCTACAAGCATTGGCTGCTGGGGTGACTGCATGCTAAAAGTACCCATGTGCCTCAGTTTCCTCACCAGTAAAACAGGTCAAATAGTACAGCTGCCTTACAGAATGATGGTCAGATTAAGACAGTGAACTCAGGGAGCAAAGAGGTAAGCATTGTACAAGTGCTGGCCAGGACCCTCTGAATCATTATCATGCTTAGTAAGCATCAGAGGGGTGCAGGCCTCCAGCACTTATTCAGCAGAAAGATCAGCACCCAGCCTTCACTTCCTCCCTGCGCCCAGCATCATCCTATAGGGCAGGCCTGGGTGGGGGAGCTGCGGGTCCCTGAGGCACCAGGTCACCTGACTGGGCCCCCTCTGAGGCCTCCTCCTCTCCCCTCCCCAGCTGCTGGTGGCACACGTGAGATTCACCATTGCAATCAACACCAAGGCCCGTGAGCAGCTCATCTGCGAGTGTGGCCTCTTTGACAAGGTGGGTGCCCTCCTACCCTACTTGTTGCCTGGAAGAGCCCAGCCTGGCCGCCTTCACTCCCTATCTGAGATCTAGACACCCTTTCAGGAGGCCTGGAAGGGTGAAGGCTGGAGTCTGCTCAGAGCACTGGCTCCAGCATCCTCCTGATGTCTCCAGCCCGTGCCATTCAGCCAGGAGCACTCCTCCAGGCGCACCACCAGGTCTTCCTTCTCACTGATGGCTCCTGGTCCCCTCCTCCCACCCCTCCCCTCTCCCAGCCTCTGGGACCTGGGTGTAGACCCCCCTCTGGAACACACTCCTTATGGCCCCCTGACCTCCTACGCACCAGGAACCTGTGTCTGCCTCTTAATCTGCCACACCCCTGCCACCCTGACCTGGACCTCCCCAGCACTCTGCTTCCCGGGTCCCAACCCTCCCAACCCACTGTCTCCTGCATCGGGGACTCCAGGCCCTGCCCAGCCCTCGCATCCCTCAGGTAGCACCCCACCTCGTTTTGAGCCCTCTGTAGCCTTACCAAGCTTGGACTCTCACATGGGCCCTTGCCCCAACCTTCCTCCTTTCCCCAGCCCATTAGTGACCAGGCCAGATGACCACTGAAGTTGAGACACTGTTTGGGCTGCAAATGACAAAACCCAACTCAAACCAGCTGCAGCTGGACAAGACATGCCTTATCTCAAATACCTGGACACAATAGAGGGTCGGGGGCCTCAGCCAGAAATGGATCCAGGGACTCAAGCAATGCCCCAGGGTGCATGCACACTGGCTCCCTCTTTCTGTCTCTTTCACCTGTGTTGGCATCACACTCTCCTGCTGCAGACAGGCCCCCATGGGAGAGGGCACAGGAGCTCATCATAGTAGCTCCACCTCAGGTTCTCATGTGGCCATTATCTCCCAGCCGCATCTAAACAGAAAGTGCTGGGGGGCAGCTCTGGTTGGTCCTGCTTGGGCTGAATGCCCACCGTGGACCAATCTCTGGCACCCCAGCACCCAAGTCCTTCTTCAAAACCTCTGTGGCACCGACAGCCCAGCCCCCTGGGTGTATTTGCATGTGTGTGTGTGCACGTGGACACACATATGTGCCAGTGAGCTTGTGAGTGTGTCTGCATCACTCAGAAGCCGGGATCGGGATCAGGACCAGGATCCCTCCTTGTGGGTCTCTCCAGCCCTCACCTGAGCACACAACAGGCCCTCAACAGAGTTGCATGGGTCCTGGAAACTGAGGGTCACTGAGAGCAATGACTGAGGGTCGTGTGCTCAGCACTAGAGCAGACTTCACAGCCCAGGCCCGCTGGTGCTGGGGTCCCCCACACACCTGCCCACGCCTGCTGCCCTCCTGTGGCTGGGAGCGCACCCTTCCCTCTTGTACTCTGCAGCCCCACGGTTCAGTCCCTTGCATTGGATTGGGCGGGAGGCTCCTCCCTAGCACCTCTCCACCCGGCTGCCCTTGTCATTCTCTGCGTTAAACATCCCTCCCCCATCTCACAGGACAAGGGCTTGCACCTCTGCCTGCCTGGCCTCCTCGCCTCCCCTGGCACATTTCCTCAGGGATGGGTCTGGACAGCTGTGGGAGGAGCCACCCGCTCAGGGCACTCTACCTCCCACTCCAGGCCAACGCCACAGGGGGCGGTGGGCACGTGCAGATGGTGCAGAGGGCCATGAAGGACCTGACCTATGCCTCCCTGTGCTTTCCCGAGGCCATCAAGGCCCGGGGCATGGAGAGCAAAGAAGACATCCCCTACTACTTCTACCGGGACGACGGGCTCCTGGTGTGGGAAGCCATCAGGACGTGAGCGCCCGCGGGGCGGTGGTCCTGGGGGAGGAGCCGGGACCCCTGCCTGACTACCTGGGGCGGGCCTGGCCCCTCCACCGCTAGCGCTGAATGGGGACGGGGTGGGGGAGTCCCAGCGTCCGTGAGGGGGTTGCCGCCGGGCACCGCTCCGCAGACCTGGCTGGGTCGCCCACCCCGGCTGCGCCCCCTGAGCCAGGTTCACGGCCGAGGTGGTAGACATCTACTACGAGGGCGACCAGGTGGTGGAGGAGGACCCGGAGCTGCAGGACTTCGTGAACGATGTCTACGTGTACGGCATGCGGGGCCGCAAGTCCTCAGGTAGGGCCTCCGGGACGTCTCCGGACCCGGCTCCCCCGCAGTCGGCAGCGCTGGCCCCTCCGCCACCCCTCCGGGGTGTCCTGCCCAGGGTGCCCTCCGGCCTTGGGGCAGGGAATCCGGGCACGGGGTGGGCGCCGGGCCCTGGGGTCCTCAGGGACTGGGCCTCAGCCCGCCGGTGGTTCCACCCTAGGCTTCCCCAAGTCGGTCAAGAGCCGGGAGCAGCTGTCGGAGTACCTGACCGTGGTGATCTTCACCGCCTCCGCCCAGCACGCCGCGGTCAACTTCGGCCAGGTAGGCAGGGCCGGGCCCGCTGGGCAGGGCTCCCTTCTCAAGGCCGCTGCCTCCTCCCCCGCCCCGGTTCTGCACGCGTACTGCACCCTCGGACAGCCTCGGGGCCTGGCACGGGACTTGCAGGATGGATTCTGCCCGCTCAGCCAAGGGCGCTGGCCGCGGGGAAAGAGGATGGACGGACTGCAGGGCCCGCTGGAGTTGGGGGGCACGGGGAGGACGGGGCCCAGGGGGCAGCTGGGCAGCAGGGCTTCGGGGGTGCCCACGCTTGCTGGCGGTCGTCTCCGCAGTACGACTGGTGCTCCTGGATCCCCAATGCGCCCCCAACCATGCGAGCCCCGCCACCGACTGCCAAGGGCGTGGTGACCATTGAGCAGATCGTGGACACGCTGCCCGACCGCGGCCGCTCCTGCTGGCATCTGGGTGCAGTGTGGGCGCTGAGCCAGTTCCAGGAAAACGAGGTGAAGCTGGGCAGGGCGGGGCACAGCCCCAGGTCACCCCAGGTTAAGCGGTTCCTCAGCCTCAGGGCTTTGTGACTCGGGCCCCAAGGCTCACTTGGAGCAAAGGAATCCTGACTTCCAAGGCTGGAAGGGCCCAGAAGGCTGCAGCCGCCACCAGGTCCCCCGGCCTCAGCCTGGACAGAGCTCAGGGTGTGCAGGGCAGGAGAGCACACAGCCCAGGCTTTGCTCACTGTCACCAGAGGGTCGTGTGTGACGCCCCCTCCCCCCAGCTATTGACAAAGTTCTTGCACATGTGTTTTACCCTGGTACTCCAGAGGGAATGACCAAGAGTTTCCTGGGTTCCTTCCGGACACGTGCATCTCATTTAACCTAACAACTGAATCCGGTGTGTCTTCGTGGATGCACCCGCTTTGGGGTAGCTCAGTACTGCATAGAATGGCCGGACCAGTCCAACCTGCTCCAGACTGCTGGGTGTCTGAGTTGTTCCCGGCCAATGTGTTGGTCCCTCACTGGACATCCTTGTTTTTGTGGCTTTGCACATGTGTTCAGTATGACCGCACACATTCCTAGCAGACAAATTCCTTGGTCAAAGAATATTGATACTGAATTGCCCTCCACAAACTAAATTCAAAATCCCATTATCAATAGCCTATGTTTCTTGGACCTTTCCAGCTCAGAAGCTTTGTGATCTTAATCCAATACAGTATTTTTTTAAAATGATATCTAGCTCTGCCCCGCAGACATCTGTGTGAGAATGCAAATAAGCACAGGACCCCAACAGGGCAGCCACCCCTTCAGGCTCCCTGGCCCGCTTTCTGCCTTCCTGGGCTGGAGAGGCCAGTGCTGGCCCCAGCGCCCCTGATGGGAGGTGAGAGTGCTGCGCAGGGGTGGCCCAAGACAGCAGGATACCATGGCTGCAAACACCAGCAGCCCCCAGCTTCATCTGCATCATCTCGTAACCACTTGGCAGCAGGCAGTTATTTTCCCACTTATCCATGAAGCCCCAGCCCTGGAGCCTTCCTTAGAGAAGCAGGTTGGAGGCGACGACACTTGCCTTCCCGAGGCCCTCTTGTCAGGCAGCAGAGGGTGAATATGGGGAGGTGAATAGATGCTCCCTCCTTCATCTCCCAAACGGTGGCTGGCCCCTTGGGATGAGACAGGCCTGTCAGTTTACACGGGTAGTGGATTGACCTATGTGTGTGTCCATGTCTGGGCCCTCAGCTGTTCCTGGGCATGTACCCAGAAGAGCATTTTATCGAGAAGCCTGTGAAGGAAGCCATGGCCCGATTCCGCAAGAACCTCGAGGCCATTGTCAGCGTGATTGCTGAGCGCAACAAGAAGAAGCAGCTGCCATATTACTACTTGTCCCCAGACCGGATTCCGAACAGTGTGGCCATCTGAGCACACTGCCAGTCTCACTGTGGGAAGGCCAGCTGCCCCAGCCAGATGGACTCCAGCCTGCCTGGCAGGCTGTCTGGCCAGGCCTCTTGGCAGTCACATCTCTTCCTCCGAGGCCAGTACCTTTCCATTTATTCTTTGATCTTCAGGGAACTGCATAGATTGATCAAAGTGTAAACACCATAGGGACCCATTCTACACAGAGCAGGACTGCACAGCGTCCTGTCCACACCCAGCTCAGCATTTCCACACCAAGCAGCAACAGCAAATCACGACCACTGATAGATGTCTATTCTTGTTGGAGACATGGGATGATTATTTTCTGTTCTATTTGTGCTTAGTCCAATTCCTTGCACATAGTAGGTACCCAATTCAATTACTATTGAATGAATTAAGAATTGGTTGCCATAAAAATAAATCAGTTCATTTAAAATGGGTCTTGTTCCATGTGTTATATTCCAATCACCCCAAACAGCTCACTGCCATCTCCCACACCAAGAGAAAAAAAAAGCCATAGTCACCGTGATTTTATCAAGGCAAAAGCCTCCCCACCCAAGTCTGGATAGAAGGTGCTTTTTCCCTCAAGCAGTGTCTACTCTCTTTGGAACACATCCCAAATGTCACCACCTCTGGGAAGGCATCCTTGGTTCCTGTCTCTACCCTGGATTTGTCAGAACCTCTGTTCTTGCCCCCTCTGTGGTCTCTCCCTTGGGACAGGAGCCCCTGGAAGGACAGAAAACCCACTTTATTTATGTCTGTGCCCCAGGGCTGGCATAAGGCACCAGCACTCAGCTGTTCTCTCCTTTTCCTCCTGGAAGGGCACCTAGCTAATGGATATTAGGCATTGTCTTGGGAGCTGGGGGCTTATTTTTTCCTGAGGCAGGGTTCTTAACATGACATAAAAAATAAAAATGGGCAGGGCGCGGTGGCTCACGCCTGTAATCCCAGCATTTTGGGAGGCCAAGGTGGGAGGATCATTTGAGGTCAGAATTCAAGACCAGCCTGGCCAACACGGTGAAACCCCATCTCTACTGAAAATACAAAAATTAGCCAGGCATGGTAGCAGGTACCTGTAATCCCAGCTACTCAGGAGGCTGAGGCAGGAAAATTGCATGAACCTGGGAGACAGAGGTTGCAGAGAGTGGATATCGCACCACTGCACTCCAGCCTGGGCAATAGAGCGAGACTCTGTCTCAAATAGTTAATAAATAAATAAATTAAATTAAATAAAAACGCATTCTCTTTCCCCAGCCCCAAGTAGCAGAGCCCGCTCTGAGCCTGGGCATGGTGACCCATTCTCCTCGTGCTCACATGCCCAACTCCCAGCCCTCCAGCCCCTGGCTTCGGAATCATGTCATCAGGGTCTCCCATGTCTCTGGAAGGTGCTTCCAGTGTGGCAGGCCATCAGCTCAGTGTCTGGGTAAAGGCTTCTACAGGGCCAGCATGGCATAGGGGGGAGGTGTGCATGCGTTCCTGAAGCCACAAGGTCTTCTGAGGAGACCTGACTATTGGGGTGGGGACTAGAGACTGAGGTCCAGCCCCTTAATGCCCCAGACTCCCTGCCATCCCTCGGAGAATTTCCCACCACACTTATGAATGATCTTCGGGACAGGTGACATAAACATACAGCTATGGTAGAGGCATTCAGCTCCATGCCACTGTGAGAATGAACATACCAACTTTTAGGCAACAAGGCCATGTGGTCAAGGAGAGAGGAGAAACGAATAGGAGTAGGCAGGGGTGGTGAAGCAGGTCTGACATTGGCAAAAGTGACAGAGAAGGATTGGGTTGGAAGGGCTTCAGATGGCAGAGAACCTCTGAAAAAGTCTCATGCCAGCTAATGAAGAGTCCTCAAAGTCACCATCACAGAAATCTTACATCTGGCAGAAATGACAGCAATAGTTTGGCATGAACCCCACAGTGGATCCAAACGTGTGGCAGCTGAGATCGTCAGTTAATTATGTTCTCTGCAGCTGGTCCTTCTGGTTCCCTGGAGCTGGGTATCTGAGTAGCACAGCTCCACTGCTACCACAGGAGAGGGAGAATCCCAAATTCTGTGCATAGACTGTCTAAACCTCTGGATGACCCCTAAGACACATGTACATAAGGCAAACTGCAAACAGCCCAATTTAGGATAAAACAGCCTGTCTTACTCTGTTTGTGCTGCTATAATAAAATACCTCAGACTGGGTCATTTATATAGAACAGAAATTGATTCCTCACAGTTCTGGAGGCTGGAAGTCTAAGAGGAGGCACTGGCAGTTTCAGTGTCTGGTAAGGGAGGGATCAGTGTCTGCTCCCAAGAGGATGCCCTCTGTGCTGTGTCCTCACCCAGCAGAAGAGCAAAAAAGGGCGAACATTCTCAAAAGCCTCTTTTATAAGGACATCAATCCATTCATGAGGGCAGAACCCTCAAGAATTAATCATTTCTCAAAAGGCCCCTCCTCCTAATGCCATCACCTTGGGGTTTAAGTTCCAACACATGATTTTTGGAAGGACACATACATTCAAATCATTGCACAACCAAAGTGATATTTGAACTTTCAAATAGTTTGCAGTTTGAGATCAACTAAGTTAATTGCTTGCTTGAATAAAAACATCACAGCCGGGCACGATGGCTCACGCCTGTAATTCCAGCACTTTGGGAAGCCAAGGTGGGCAGATCACTTGAGGTCAGGAGTTCGAAACCAGCCTGACCAACATGGTGAAACCCCATTTCTACTAAAAATACAAAAATTAGCCAGGCGGCCGGGCGTGGTGGCTCATGCCTGTAATCCCAGCTCTTTGGGAGGCCGAGGCGGGTGGATCACAAGGTCAGGAGATTGAGACCATCCTGGCCAACACAGTGAAACCCTGTCTCTACTAAAAATGCAAAAATTAGCTGTTGAGACTACTCGGGAAGCTGAGGCAGGAGAATTGCTTGAGCCGAGATCGTGCCATCGCACTCCAGCCTGGGGGACAAGAGCAAGACTTCGTCTCAAAAAAAAAAAAAGAAAAGAAATTTTCTGGATTAGGATAATGTTCTATATTTGGATAAGGGTTTAGGTTACCTAGATAGATACATTTATCAAAAGTCATCAAATGGTACACTTCAGATGTACGCATGTCACTGTATGTAAATATTACCCCAAAATCAACAAGAACCATGAGCAAATACTGACTTCTAGTGAACGACATGCATACTGAAACTTTCGTAGTGAAGTATAATTATGGCTGCAGTTGACTCTGAAATACATAAAAACCTAAGTTGATGGGTGAATACAGTGATTAATAGATAGAAATCTGTGGTAAAGCATACGGAGAAAAATGTTAATTGTAGATTCTAGGGTTTATATATATTCTCACTATATAATTAAACGTTTTTATGTTTAAAAATTTTTATAATGTTGAAAAACCATGAAATCCTACCTAACGCAGTAAGACAAGAAAAAGAGATAAAAGGTATATGTACTGGGAAGTAAGAAATAAAACCGTCTTTGTTAGCAGATGACATGCTCATCTATGTAGAAAATCCAAAAGAATGGATAAAGAAACTCCTGGAACTAATAAGTGGTTACAGTAAGGTTGTAGGATACAAGGTTAATATACAAAAGTCAATCACTCTCTTATTCACCAGTAATGAACAAGTGGAAATTGAAATTCAAAACAAAATACTATTTACATTAATACTCCAAAAATACATACTTAGGTTTAAATCTAATAAAATACATACAAGATCTTTATGAGGAAAACTGCAACCCTGATGACAGAAATCAAAGAGAAACTAAAGAAATAGACATAAGTAAATATTCCCCAGAAAGACTCAATATTGTCAAGATGTCAGTTCTTCAAAACTTGACCTATAGATTCAATGCAATCCTAATCAAAATCTCAGCAAGTTATGTTGTGGATACTGACAAACTTATTCTTTTTTTTTTTTTTTTTTTTTTTGAGACGGAGTTTCGCTCTGTTGCCCAGGCTGGAGTGCAGTGGCGCGATCTCGACTCACTGCAAGCTCCGCCTCCCGGGTTCACGCCATTCTCCTGCCTCAGCCTCCCATGTAGCTGGGACTACAGGCACGCGCCACCATGCCCGGCTAATTTTTGTATTTTTAGTAGAGACGGGGTTTCACCGTGTTAGCCAGGATGGTCTCGATCTCCTGACCTCGTGATCCACCCGTCTCGGCCTCCCAAAGTGCTGGGATTACAGGCGTGAGCCACCGCGCCCGGCCAACTTATTCTAAAATTTAGATAGGGAAGCAAAAGACCCAGAACAGCTAACACAACAATATAGTAGGAAAACAACAAATTTGGAAAATGGATACTACCCAACTCCAAGACTTACTATAAAGCTACAGTAATCAAGATAGTGCCGTATTGGTGAAAGAATAGACAAATAGATCAATGGAACAGAATAGAGAGCCTAAGAAATAGACCTTCATAAATACAGTCAACTCATCCTTGACAAAGTAGCATAGACACTACAATGGAGCAAAGATTGTCTTTTCAACAAGTGGTGCAGGAACAACTGGATATCCACATGCAAAAACAAACAAACAAGCATGAATCTAGATACAGACCTTATGCTCTTCACAAAAATTAACTCAAAATGGATTATAGATCTAAATGTAAAATTCAAAACTATAAAATTCCCATAACATAGGATAAAATCTAGATGACCTAGGTATGGCTATGACTTTTTAGACATAACACCAAAGCCATGGTCCATGAAAGAAATAATTGGTAAGTTGGACTTAATTAAAATTAAAACCTTCCGCTCTGCAAAAGACCACACTAGGAGAGGGAGGAAATATTTACAAAGACACATCTGATAAAGAATTGTTACTTAAATTATACAAAGCCTTCTTAAACTTAACAGTAAGGAAACAATCTGATTGAAAAATGGGCCAAAGACTTTAACAAACAAAAGAAGATATACAAATGGCAAGTAAGTATGTGAAAAGAAGCTGCACAGCTGGGGGGCGTGGTGGCTCACGCCTTTAATCCCAGCACTTTGGGAGGTCAAGGCGGGCAGATCACCTGAGGTCAAGAGACCAGCCTGTCCAACATGGAAAAACCTGTCTCTACTAAAAATATAAAATTAGCTAGGCATGGTGATGCATGCCTGTCATCCCAGCTACTTGGGAAGCTGAGGCAGGAGAATCGCTTGAACCCGGAAGGTGGAGGTTGCAGTGAGCCAAGATCGCGCCATTGCACTCCAGCCTGGGCAACAAGAGTAAAACTCTGTCTCAAGAAAAAAAAAAAAAAGCTGCACATTCTATGTTATCAGGGAAATGCAAATTTAGAATAACGCAATAACAAGATACCACTACATACATATTAGAATGGCCAAAATTGAGAACACTGACAGCACCAAATGTGGAGGAGGATGTGGAGCAACAGGAACTAGAGAGAATGCAAAATGGTATAGCCACTTAGGAAGACAGCTTGGCAGTTTCTTACAAAACTAAATATACTCTTACCACACAATCCAGCAATCACACTCCTTGGTATTTACTTACATCCCAACAAAAACCCTCATATGGATGTCTAGAGCAGCTTTGTTCATAATTGTCAAAACTTGGAAGCAACCAAAGATGCCCTTCGGTAGGTGAGTAAATAAATAATATCCAGACAATGGAAATACCATTCAGTACTAAAGAGAAATGAGCTATCAAGCCATGAAAAGGCGTGGAAGAAACTGAAGTGTGTATCACTAAAAGTCAATCTGAAAAGGGTGCATAAGTTTCCAAAGATATGATATTGCAGAAAAGGCAAAACTGTGGAGACAGTAAAAAGATTGCCAGGGGCTAGGGCAGTGGGAGGGATGAATAGGCAGGGCACAGAGGATTTTCAGGGCAATAACACTACTCTGTATGACACTATAATGTTGGATACATGGCCAGATCCACAGAATGTAGAACACCAAGAGTGAACCTTGAACTATGGACTTTGAGTGATGAGGATGAGTCAGTGTAGGCTCATGGATTGTAATAAATGCACCACTGTGGGGGGGGGGGGATATTGATAACTGGGGGGCTGTACATGTGTAGGGACAGGAGTAAATGGGAAATCTCTACTTTTGTTACCGGTGGAGGGTGTACCGCATTTTGAACAAAAAATTGGACAAAACGCACAAAGCAAGGAAAGAATGAAGCAACAAAAGCAGAGATTTATTGAAAACGAAAGTACACTCCACAGGGTGGGAGCAGGCCTAAGCAGGTGGCTCAAGGGCCTGAATACAGATTTTTCTGGGGTTTAAATACCCTCTAGAGGTTTCCATTGGTTACTTGGTGTATACCCTACGCAAATGAAGAGGATGAAGGGAGGTTACAAAGTTATTTACTTGGTGTAGAAAATTAGGGTTTTTCCCTTTTATTTAGTTGTAGGAAGCCCTTAGGTTACCTGCCTCCAGACCCTATTCTCCTGCCTCATTTTATTCCTAATTTTGTTGTGAACCTAAAATTGCTCTAAAAAATGAAATCTTTTAAACAAGAAAATAAACTTATAAATTGCAAATATGTGTCACTTACATAAAAACAAAGAATTAGTGTCCCTACATCAGGAAAAAAACACCTATAATTCAATGTAAAAATGCAAAAAAGCCAAGAGAAATGGCCAAGCCATGGAAATTCACAGAAGTAGAAATAGGCAGTAAATAAACAATGCTCAATTTCATTTATCTGAGAAATGGAGAGTAAAACTTCAGTGACATACAAAGGAGTAACAATCATTTTAGGAACAATTTTAAAAATAACACTTGTGATGTGGCTCAGGAAAGATTCATATTCTCACTGTAGGAAGGTAAGTGAATCATTTTAGAGGTCAGTTTTGCAACTTAGAAGATCAAATGCATCTACCCTTTTTCTACTTCTAGAAATGTATCTTCAGAAGTGCCCCTCCCTCCCTCACACACCCCCAAGTGTACAAAAATAAATGACATGGATGTGGACTGCAGCCTTGTTTCTAATACCAAAAATCAGTAAACAACCTAAAAATCTGTATCCATGAGGATTTAAAGAAATCCTGCATGAGTTAGAAAGAATAAGGTAGATGCCTGGGTTCTAACATAGAAAATATCAAACTGGTTGTTAGATGAAAAAAGCAAGTTGCAAAGTGAGGTAATGTGTAAATGCAGTAAGCAAAATACATCATATATATAGTACTTTCTATGTATTTACCTATATGAGCGTGATGCCTCCAACTGCATAGCTGTGGCTCCGGGAGCAGGACCTTGTAACAGAGCCTCTGCCCCTGACTGTCCTGAGGGGCCTTTCCCTGGGAAAGGAACCAGGTTTGATTTTCAGTCTCTTTTGTTATCACCATGCTGACAGCTTTGCTTGTCATATGCCTTTCCCTCCGCTGTACTGATTTTACCTTACAGAAGCTCTCCTTAGTGCTTCATCAGACACTCCCTCTTTTCCAAAGAAAAGACAGCCGCATTCCATGGTCATCTGGTTGAGCTCGAGGTGAGCCCCAGGGATCATGTGCCTCCCACCAGGCTGACACCCCAGTGGTGAGGAGTTGCCCCTTGGCTTTTTCGAGGCCAAGCAACTCAGAGGTGTGGCAGGATTGCATGTCACAGTGGCACTTCCAAGGCCCTGGAGAGTGACTCAACGCCTCTGTTATTAAGATGTCACACAGGCTGTGCAGCAACAACTCTAGGGACACCCTTCACACTGACAGAGTTGGCAAGCTTTTCCTATAAAGGGGCACACAGTGAATACTGTAGGCTTTGTAGGCCATACTATCTGTCCCAACAATTCAACTTTGCCCACTGTAGCTGTGAATCAACCGTAGATAATATTAAGTGAATGTGCACTGCTGTTTGCTAATAGTTTATTGACAAAAACAGCTGCTTTTGAGCAGTTTGCTACCCCGACAGAGACTGTGGGGAGTCCCTGGTGGCAGCGAGCTACAGGCAGCCAGTACCCCATCAGTGTGGCTGGTTCCATCCTCTCAAGCCTGCCTGCACCCAGACACTGTCGAGTGTGTCTTCAGAAAAACTCCTAAAATTCCCCAAAAGCACAGTGGCTCCCCGAGAGCCACCTCCCTCACCTTCTTACAGGGGCAGGTTCCTCTTCCGGTTCCACCCTCCTCAGCACGGAGCTCAGGGGCCATCCCCACCTCCTCTTGGCCGCAAGCACAGACCTTCCCACACAGGCTCAGCAGCTCTGCGGGCCTGTCCCCCACCTGGAGCTGCAGGCCTCCACTCCTGGGGACAGCTGTGACCATGGCTCTGCAAAGCAGCCTTGTGCCTAGCTCCCAAGTCAGCTGGCAGCCCAGAGTGGAACAATTCTGTGGATCACCTCTGAGACAGCAGCACATCTGGGCAAGCCTGGCTTCCCACCCCTCACCTCCTGCAACCTCTGACCCTTGCCATGCATGTGGTAGGGAAGCTGCAACCAGGCCTCAGCACTCCCAGACCTGTGGGCGGTTTGCTGTCTGAGGATCGTGGCACTGCCTTCCCTCAGAGGCCTTGCCAGAGCCAGGGGATGCAGCGTGGCAGAGCTGTCACTGGCAACCCTGCTGGTCTCCCTGGTGCTTTCTCAGCTGGGCTGTGGGTCAGGACAAATTTCTATGGATAAG
Source organism: Homo sapiens (assembly GCF_000001405.40). NCBI lineage: Eukaryota > Metazoa > Chordata > Mammalia > Primates > Hominidae > Homo > Homo sapiens. The sequence goes on from NC_000010.11 coordinate 45,454,252, forward strand.
GCTGGATCATAATCTAGTGCTCCATGGTCATGCAGCGACAGACTCGAGTCTGCCTTCTCTCAGGGTGGTGAGCTCAGGTAGGAACGGGATGTTTGAAGCAAGCACACCTGTGAGAAATGCCTGTTTTCACTCCCATCCCACACACTCGTCCAGACACTGCCAGCCCACCCCCGACACACGTGTCTGAGGGAGGCTGAGGAAAACAGACACCTCCAGGAGCCGCATACTATTTCCTGATGTGTAAGCCAGACAACCCTGGAAAGGAGGTCAGGGAACCGGAGTGCCTGCCAACGTCCCCAGCCTCCCTGCAGCAAAACACTCTCATGGCAAAACTCCTTTTTAAAGAAAGGCTTTATTGCTGCAATTAGACATCCCAGTGTATAGCACAAACCCCCCTGTACAGAGAATTATTCAAGTGGTAATACTGAGAAACAGTGAACACACACAAAAGAATACAAAACTAGACATTTAGATCACTAGAAACTTTCTAAGGTAAGAAAAATTTCAAATGTGAAGTGCCTTTTAGAAACTACACCACACATGCCAGTGTAAATTTGGTTTAACAATCAATTTCTATAAACATTGCATCTAACTGTGCACTGATCAACTGCACAACTTCAACAATTACTTCCAAGACAAAGATAAATGCTTTTATTTCCCTATGTTTTGGTCTTTCCTTGGGCTAGAGACAGAAGCTGCATGTTTCAAACCAGATTCAAAAGGGAAAGCACTTCAAAACAGAAAGTACTTCAATTGTGTATTTGCCTTCAGCCACATCCAGAGACTTGTGGATCTCACCCGGTTGGTCCCAGCCCTTCTCCAACCCTGAAGCCCACAGCAGGGGTGCAGAGGCAGCCCCAGATCGTGCAGACATCACCCGAGGCTCCCAAACTGGCCCAGCTGCCTGAGGCCTGCATGCCTGTGGCCAGGTAGGACACATGTGCAGGTTTGAAAACTAGGCCTACAAGACTGAAGAGTGGACTGAAGCAAAAAGGGGAGAAACATTAGAGGCCTACAGTAGGAAGAGACCTTTTATAGAGTTTTCAGGAAATTCTCACAATAAACTTGGGCACAAAGACCAAATTGCTGAGGCCAGAAGCCTGCTTATGGTACTGTGACTTATGGGGAGTAGAGGCCAAATCAGAGAGGGCTGGCTGGTGATACCCCAGACCACTTGCCTCTTCCCCTTCCCTGGCCTACAAATACCAGGCCTCCTGGCCCTGAGACCTCATTCTGGGTTTCTATATGGGTCAACCAAATGCCATCCTTTCACTAAACCCAGGTGCAAAATGGGGGGGGAAGGGGGGAAGCTGGGGAGTACACAGCACCCAAAAGAACCGAGAGAGCAAGTTTTCCAAGGCTACAGGAACATTGGCAGAGCTGGTGGCCACACCAGATGGGAGTACCACATCCCCACCAGGCTTCATGCTTCACTGCTAGATGCAGGGGGCTAGAAGGGTCTGATGAATCAGGAGCTGAACTAGAACCTTCAAGAAAAGAAAAGGCAAGGGGGTGGCTCTGTGCCCCGCCAGGAGAGGAAAGAAGAATGTGTGTGGATTGTCCACAGTGAGGCCAGAAACGATGAGATGGTGTTAGGCAGAAAAGAAGGGAGAGGGCTTCCCATGAGAATCTGGCTGGGCATGGGAGGGATACAGGGCTCAGTTATCAAGGCACCTTTGCCATAGTGGGGTGCCAGCTACATTGGGTGGGATGCCCAGGGGCTGTCCCTACCTAAGCACTTTCTTGTCTACAGGAAGTCTTGGTGCTTTTCAAGTTCAGCATAAGGGGTTCCATATGTGAAGTGGGGATTCACACTTAGAAAATCTATCCTGGTCTTCACCTGAAACACTCATCTACTGCTGGGTGGCAGGAACAAGTATACAAAACCAGGGGCCTTGCCTGGGCAGTTCCTAAGGGACATTGGCAGGGCTGACCTGGGATTCAGCTCCCCTGAGTGGACAGTCTGTGGTTGCCTGGGGTCCCCAGGCTGAGAAGGGGTATGGGTAATTGCACTTCGGGGCACAGTGAACACAGGCACGGGCTGGATGTGCCCTGGGAGACAGAAAGGAGAGGCTGACCTATTCTCAGGAGCTGGCTATGGCTGGACAGTGCCTGCCCGGCCAGAGGAAGGCCACAGCAGAGCCACTCCACAGACTAAGACCTGTGTTGCCAAGGAATCAGACACTGGCTTGGAGGAGACAGGAGGACAAAGCCTGCTGCTATTAAGCCCACACCGTAGCTTAGAGATCCTTCAGCCTCCTGGCCTTCAAAACAAACTCCAGGGCTTCCACTCTGAAAGGCAAAGGAATCACCTCGTGTTTGCTTCATCCCCTTAGCAGGATGAACGAAACGCCTAAGGCCCAAAAAGACTGAGGGCAGGACCCCCAGCATCTCCCATCTCCTCCGTGCAGGCTGGGTGAGAGAATGGCCTGGAAAGGAAGCATCTGCGCTACATTGTGCTTCAGGCCCCCCCAGCAACTTTCCCGGAGGTAACTATTTGCCTGGAAAACTAGGAAACTGGGTTTTAAAAACAGAATTTTAAGCAGACTTTTTAGAGGGACAAGGCCATTTGATGGTAGTGATTTTGGTTTTGTTTTATGAAAATGGTACAGGTGGTAATCCCTGATGACAGAATGCACTGAGAGTGGGGCCAAGGGCCCTGAAGGATCCTGTCTGTTCAGTCTGGTTAAGGCGACAGCTGGGCGGGCATGTGGCCGGGGAGCAGTGGCACAGCGGACCCTGGCAGTTTGCTCACACCTGGCCCTCGTCCCAGAGCCAGCCCACCTGCCTCTTGGCCCTGGTAGTGACTCCACAGAACTTCCCCGAGCAGAAGCCTCACAGTGGGCCAGCACCCATCTTGCATGCAAGGGAGAACCTGCATGCAGTGCACACACCCCGGCCAGGGTGGCACATGGCTGCTCTTTCAATGTGAAGCCAACACCAACTGGAGAGATTTAACTATAAAGGAATATTTTTTAAATATTCAGTTTTGTTGTCATTACTCACTTCCTTTCCTTCCATTTCGATCTCAGAAACTGTTCTTTTTCAGTGTTGACAAAAAAGAAATGTATGGGCCAGGTCTACAAAGTAACACCTTGTCATAAAACAGGCTCAAAAGCATAGGAATCATGCTTTAATTGCCATTTAGCATCCACTAATTCCCATGAGATCTGTGATTAAAAAAAAAGCCTCTGGCCTGCTTGTCCTGTCTTAAAAGTCATGAGTCTGTTTTATGAACAGAAAGAATGCCACGCTTCTTAGCATATGTAAGGCAAAATGGATTTTTGATCTCTCATGATGTAAAGGAGATACAAAGGTAAGGAAGGGAAGATTTCTAAGTGAGACTTTTTTTGAGTGTCAATCCCGCTGGACACACATATTACAAAATAAAGATTTTCTTCTGTAAAGTGCTGTTTGCTCAGTGAATCATGCGCCACCACAGAGCACCATGGCTCCACCTGCTCAAGAGCATGGAGGAGGCAGCATCGGCAGAGGGCAGGCAGGAGTCTGTGTTTGGGGGTCTGTTTCAATACCATCTCCTGGGGTTCGCCGTGATGCAGAGGGAATCTTCTCGTCATGGCTAGACACTCCCCAATGCTCTGCTCCAGGCTGGGGACCACTGCAAGCTGGAGGCGGCTGGGTATCAGGGCCTGGGCACCCCTGCTCCTCCTCTTCCCTTGGGATTGGCATTTTATTCTCTCATTCAGCTCAAGACCATGGGCAGGAACTCTGCTGGCTCCCCATGATGTCATCATGGGGTCTTCCACTTTCCCACAGAGCTGCCAGGCAGAGGCAGGACCCAGGCATGCCTGGCCCACAGGAAGGTTTTCTAGGAGACTAAGGAGGGTTTAGAAAAAGAGAAGCCACTATAAATAGTCACCTGTCCAGTCTATGCTATTAAAGGACATAAGAAAGGTATACAATTGGCAGTAAACAATTTCCTTCAGCTCTTCATGGATGTCCAGGAAAATGACAACCCGCACACAATCAGACGTGAATGATTTCTGCTCCAGTGTCTTCAGGCTCTGTGCAACAAGAAGAGTTTGTGTCGGAATGACAGATTCCATATCCATGTTTATTTTCAAAGTTGGGCTCTGTTAGTGGAGATTTTTCAAAAATATTCTTTTTGCTTGTTTCTGGACAGTTTTGAACATAGATCACTCTATTATAGGCCTTGAGTCTCTTCCACAATTGCACATACACTTTACACTGAACATACATAAAAAGAAGTCCTCCGGTGAAGCCGATGGCCACAACCACCAATTTAGTCCAAAAGGGCCATTCTAGGATTCCTGGAAGGGAAAAACTCAGCCTATTAGATTTTATTTAAGATATGAAGTAAAGAAAAACACAACTTCTGAACTTCCCATAATCAACTGATTCTTTGTTGTTGTTGTTGTTTTTTAAGAGATGGAGTCTTGCTATGTTGCCCAGGCTGGAGTGCAGTGGCTATTCACAGGTGTGATCATGGCACACTACAGCCTTGAACTCCTGAGCCTCAGCAATCCTCCATCCCTCAGCCTCAAGTATCTGGGGACCACAAGCCTGCACCACTGACCAATGGATTCACAACTCATCCAATGTTGCTCAGTCAAAGAAGAGTGGAAGACAGTGTCCAGCTACTTCCTGCTTTTATAGGATGTAGTTTGCGGAGATTCTCATGCTCCAGAATATGAACTCTCCTGACTGGGTTTCAAAAACTACCACCACAGCAAAAGAAATGCCAAAAAGGAGGCTAGTGCCTCCTAACTGATGTCCCTCCTCCGGAAACCCAGACGTTTTTGGCTAACTGGAAAATCCTCTGACCCCAGGACTCCTGTGAGCTATCCCGGCCCCCATGCTGAGCTTGCTCCAGCCTGAGAACTCACCTGTTGCCTGCCCCTGCTTGATCTCCTCAGCAGTACGGTCAATGAGCACATACAAGGACCAGACCACACATGTGATGGCAATGACGTGGAATGTCACTGAGCACATGATCTTCCTGCGCTCGCTGGACGTCATCTGCAACTTCTCCCACTAGAAAGACAACACAGAGTGTGAGGCTCAGGCTTCTGGGGAAGGGCTCCGGTGGGGTGAGAGCATTGTAGGTAGGTAAGATTGGCTTTCCACCCCACTTCTCCCTTCCCAAACTAGATGCATTCCCCCAAGTATTGTTCTCCTAAAACCACTTGGCTTCAACCAGGTACCAGGTGCAGCCAACTTTCTATGCAATGAAAAGAAGCCAGGATCAAGATGAATGCAGAACTACCATCAAAAATCCCCTTGTCTGCTTATTCTTGCAAGCAGACATAAGATGGCCTGATAAAGAATTCTATGATTTCAGTCCTAATGAAAACAGTATGTTGGCCCAGGACCCAGGTACTACGTTTTAAGTCTCCCTGATGTGCTGACTGGCATGGACGAGCGGAAGAAGAGGGTTGATGATGCCACAACACACTAGCAGATGGGTCACACTACATTGTGAAGGTGAATGGCAGAAGACGCTCACTCTTTGGTCCTTGCTACTTTGGCAGCAACAGCTCGAAATCGACGCTAAGAGTTCCTGGTACAAGCAGACTCTGCTAGTCCCATCTCCTCTAGGAGCTCATTAATTTACTCCAAATAGCCAGACTTTCTTTTTCATTTACTGGTTTCCGAATCAGGAGAAAACACATAAAGGTAGAGAGAAAGAACAATGTGTAAACACTCTGCACATATCCTTTGCCAACCCTAGTCACAGCCTCTTTCCAGATGAGTCTATGCAGGGTAGTTGAAAATAGAGCCTCAAGGACTTCCCATGTTGAGAGATTAGCATAGAGTAGGCACCCAATAAATTACAAGGTTTCTACTGGGCAAAACATTTTTTTAAGCAGTTTGCACAAGCCTTCTCTAAATCTGGTTGTTTTCTGCTGGGATTTTATACACTAGCAAGTTCCCTGGTCTTCCTACCTATAATACAGAGTCAGTGCCTCAGTGCCCCATGCTCCCTGCTACTTCCTACAACGCACGTAGCTTGACACCCTGTCAATGTTCACCTTCACCTTTCTAGGGTATGCTTTACTCCACAGACAGCCTGACCTCTCTAAACTCCTTGCACTCTGCCTCCAAATCCTAGTGATCCTTCAAGAACTGCTCTAAAACCCAAACACCCTATGAGGCTACCATCGCTCCACTTCCCCAGCACTCTAGCTCATAATGAGCATTTCCTTTTCTGAATGACTGTTATGCTCTACCAGCACACCATTTAGCATTTAATTGGCTAGTATTTGATTATGTGACTTATCTTGCAATTTATATATTAATGTTCTGAGATAGGAACAGTTTTTTATTCTTCCAGACAAAACCTTTTGTGCTGGGCATCTAGAGAGATATATGAAACAGTCAAAATTTAAACAGGAAGCCAGTGTGGCGGACAAAGCTCCTCTCAGAGGGAGCAGTGACATGGGCCTCCAGACAGCTGCGTGTCATGCAATGCCTGTGGGTCCTTTCTGAAGACAGTTGCACATCACGCAACGTTTGTGCTTCCTTTCTTTTCCCTATCCACCTACTCACACTCCCATCCAGCAAATAGTTATCATGGGTGTATACAAATAAATTTACTGTATGCTACACTGTGCTGGGTGCTGGGGAGATACTAATCTCCAACAGACAGTCCTAATCAGAGAAGCAGGACGTCAACAGTTAATATGTATAAAATTAGGTGCTAAGATATGTCACAAACAGTCTGTAGTCAAAGGCCAGAGGACTGACACCGACAAGCAAGCAGTCTTACTTTGAAGGGAAAAGAAGGATTATGAATGGTCAGAAAGAGCTTCTTCCTGAGAAGAGGGACTTGAAAATCAGCACCAGAAACAACAATCTCTACAATGCAAATGTAAGCACCAGCCCCAGCTTTTTAAGGAAATGAACGCAGGCAAGCCATGACCTCATGATCTGAGACACCAGCTTTCTGGGGGTCACTGGTTTCAGGAAGGGTGAAGCATCCCTTCCTCCCACGTACTTTTCTCAGTGGCTTCAGCTTGGTCTCCATGATGAACTCATACTTGCAGAGCTCGCAGCAGCGCGTGTCGGAGCTCTTGATCCACTGCTGCAGGCAGGCCTGGTGCACGAAGTGGAGGCTTCCTGTGCAGTGGCAGGGGGTGATCAGGGGGCTCTCATCATCTCCTTCACAGTGGCAGATCCTATGGTGGAAGGAAAACCTGTCATTCCAAGGACAGTCCCATGACAGGGAAGCTGACACTTCAGTGGCAGGTTAATCCCCCCAAAGGAAACTCAGAAACGAACATTACAGAAGTGACTATGGGCACAAAAACATACAAACACAAACGAAAACAATCACTACAAACTAAAAATGTCTAGCTTACCGCACCAACATGGAAAGTCTGGAGGGCATTTGGCAACAGAAAGGAAAAAACGATGTAAGAAATGACAAAGCTGTCATTTTTTGGTAAGAAATAAGAACTTCACTGAAAGATGAATTTAAAGCAACATGGAATCATTTTCCAGAACATAAGATGGTAAAATAATTAGAGGGAAAATTTCTATGTAAAACAAAACCTGCATTCCAACATCCAAAAATACCAGTGACCTTAAATGACGTTTGCTTTTTAGCTATAATCACTGACTTTACCTTCATACCCCACAACTACACATTTCTGTCGTCTCTCAGCAAGTAAACAAAGATGACAGTACCTCTCTCCTAGACCTAAAAAACTCACCATTACAAGATGCTGCAATTTCATCTCTTTTTCTTGGGACCACTAATAGCAATAAGTGAGAAATTAATTTGAAAGCACTCTCTATTTCCAAGGAAGTATGCAACAAGGTGTAGCTACTAGCCTGAAGGAACTTAACAGGCTTTTAAGAAACAGAGGGGTCTTTTCCAGCAGCTAGAGAACAGGTTGGGGCACTCGTCCTGGAAGGAGCCAGGCTCTCAGGCTGTTTTAGTGAGGGGATCTCTGATCCAAATGTTAGAAATGATGACAGCTGGCACTAAGGAGCGGAGACTGGAGAAAGGTCAGAATGAGGAGGGCACAAGAGTCATGACAAAAAGTGAATTATGGAGGCCAGACAAGGATGCTGCACAAGGGAAGATAAAGGGGGGAAACAGAGTTAGGATGGGACATAGGTGGCTACACCTCAGTTAAAAAGAAGGAAGGAAGGAGCTACTGGAGAACAGCCAGTCCCCACACACCTTTTGGGGGTAGGTAGGGAGCAAGGGTTAAAAAAGAGGCTGGGAGATGCAACAATGCTTAAAATCTGGACCATCAGGCTGGAAAACTGAAGATACTAGTTTCTTTCTTCCAGTTTCTTTATGCAAAGTCTACTTATTTTTAGTTTAGAAGAGTCAGCTTGGCCTTTAATATGTGTAGCTTCTTCCTCTTTTTTTTTTTGTTTTGTTTTGTTTTTTTTTAGACAGAGTTTCACTCTTGTTGCCCAGGCTGGAGTGCAATGGCGCAATCTTGGCTCACTGCAACCTCCGCCTCCCGGGTTCAAGCAATTCTCCTGCCTCAGCCTCCTGAGTAGCTGGGATTACAGGCGCCCGCCACCACGCCCGGCTAATTTTTGTATTTTTAGTAGAGACGGGGTTTCGCCACGTTGGCCAAGCTGGTCTCAAACTCCTGACCTCAGGTGATCCACCCGCCTCAGCCTCCCAAAGTGCTGGGATTACAGGCGTGAGCCACTGCGCCCAGCCAGCTTCTTCCTCTTTTATCATTTGTAAAACTATCTTGGGACTCACATCATAAAAATTAAGTTTTTCAAACGATATTGATACTCCATTCTTCTGGAGAAAACCATCAACCCACAACTGGTTACAACTTCCTATTACTTCATTTTCCTGAAACTTCACATACTAAAGCAAGAGGAGGTTCCTGATGCGAGCAGAGATGGCTAGAATGGCACTTCCTGGCAAACCAACCTGCAGACATCCCCTGACGTGGACACGGGAGATATGGGGGGTAATTTTTCAGAGAAGGGAGAAGGACAATCCAGGTCGCTGTCCTTTTCCGTGGAGCAGAGGGGCGCCCGCAGAACCCTACTCTTCAGTTTTGCAGATGTGCTGTCCTCAAAGACATCGTCGTCTCCCATCTCGTCAGAGCAGAAGCCCATACTCCCTGCCAGCCCGCTGGAGGACTTGGCAGTGTGCAGGCGAGCAGCGCAGCTCTCCAGCTCATGGAACCTGTGCAGGCTGCTGGCGCTCAAGCCGTGCGAGAGTGAGAACAGGTACTGGAGCAGTTGCCGGCTTCGGGACGTGGCCTCACCATCCGCCTTCTCTTCCAGCAGCAGGCCGGGCCTGCCCCCCTTGCCAGCTTCCACCTCTGAGGCAGTTGAGCGACCGGCAGAAAGGCATGAAACACAAGAATGTTTGGAATTGCCAAGAGGTTTGTGGTTCAGGGTTCTTTTTTCTTTATGATGAAACCTGTTAGTTCTGAGACACGTATCTTGAGGGAGTATTAATTTCCCTTCAGAACAAGTTCTTTCCACATAGGCAAAACTTTCTGAAGTATCCTGCGCCTTCTCACCCACATCATTGAGGGACCTTGAGAACTTTAGTGTTCTTCTGGCTTTGGTATTCTTAGCAGGCTTCAAGGCCTGGGCCCATTCTGAACCAAAGGAATTTCTCTTTGACGCCTGTAATGTGTCCTTACAGATAACTGTCACAGTGAGCCCTTGTGTCAGAGAACTCTGGCAGTGAGGAGCTTTCGAGACAACAGCAGACTGCACGGAACTGTGGTGACAACACTCAGAAAACACTGCACTGGAACTGCATGCAGAACAGTGGGATAAAAGCACAGAAAGTAAAAACAATTTTAAAAGAGAATAGACATCATAGTGAAGAAATGAGACTAGCATGGGTAACTTGGTGAGCAAACCACACATAAAACTCGCCAACTGTTTAGACCAAAGGCAGATTGATTAAGCAAATGGAAATTCAAGAACCTACAGACACTAATGCTTATTTCTGGCTGCACACTGATCATGGCAGCATCTGAAGCAGAGTGTTACCTGCAGATGTCCTGGCTGGATGGCGTGATAGAAGTGCGAGAGAAGGAGGACACCGGAGCCGGAGCTGATGCTGACGGAGGACTCCCAGCCTGCAATGACAGACCTGTGGTCAGTGTTCAGGTAAGAGCCAAGGGGATTGTGTGCACTGTCTCCTGAATGGTGACAGGGAGAAACCCTAGAAATGTCTGCTGCTTCCCGCTGCTCAACGAGTAACACATATTAGATCCTTCTAAGCCTTGGCAAAACAAATCAAATATCACTATTTTTTTCTTATCTGTGGATAAAAGTGTAAGAAATGTCTAAGGCTATGGAACACCACTACTAATCTCTTGCAGGTCCAGTGGCCGTTTATTTTCTAAGCATCTAAATTGAGTTAGTTCATATATAAGTCAAAAAACGAAGTACTAGAAGGTATCATACAAATGCCAAAGAAATATGAGGCTCCAGGCCTGCTGGCACTGGCTTCCCTAGCACTCTCTCCTAGTTCCCAAGATCAACAAGGCTGGTAGATTTAAGAGCTCTCTCCCACCTCACAACCTCATACATAGTGCCAGATGCTCCCTGAGTTCCACAAAACCTCACTGCCCTGCCACAGCTCTTCACACAAAAGGGAGTCCAGACCACGTCACCATGGGGGACACCAATCCATAGCTCAACCAGGGGCTGAGGTAGAGCACAGAATGCTCCCAACAGATCTAATCTTGAAACTGTAAATTAAGAAAAATAATCAAGAAAATTTAGATTTGAAAGAAAGTACAGCAAGAGGTCATGGGATAGAACAGAGTCTCTGGGGTGGTGAATAGTCAAACTTAGAGAAAAAAATCTAGGAAGGAGAGGAAGCACTGCAGTGAGGAGAGAAATGGACAGAGAGAAATAGGGACAGTGAGTGGCACTGAGCTGAGGATGCACCACCACCGCTAGAGGGCCCCAGACTCCCACGCCAGCCTCGGATTCCCCAGGCTCCACAGCCCCACAGACCTATGCGTATTCATAAAAAAGCATTCTTCCCTCCTTAAGACAGTAAGCCTGAGTAAGAATCTGCTCCATGCAACCCCAACAGCCCCAGGAAAACAGTGCCACGAGTCTGTTATCACCAGAAAGGCCATATCACCACCCACCTTCTGCAGGCCCACCTGCATGGCCCTTGGCCCTAACTCCTTGATACAAAGGAGCTCCACCCTGGCCCACCATTCCCTGGCTGAGGCCTAGTCCCCACTCTTTCTAAGTACCATCCCCAAGGGTGCACTCTCATCCTGGAACTCCACCTTTGGGACCCCCGACCCTTGGTCAACCACCAGAACAGATAAGGCCATTGCCTGGAAACTCCTCCTCCCCCTACCCCTCACAGCAAATGAAGCAGCCTGGAGAGAGCCAGGATGGCACTCGGATTAAGGCACCCATCGCATGGCTGCTCCCACTCCCAGTGCAGAGATTCAACAGCACTTTAATGCAAGTCCACCTGAAGAAACAAGATCCAAGAAGCTCTCATCAGCATGCTTCATGTGTACACTGAGATCACGCTGTGCCACTCCATGAGCACATCTTCGAATTCACCAAAGAATCTACATTTATTTTCTAACTGAATGTGCATATGGGCATGAGGTACACGGTCTTTAAAAGCATTAGAGGTCAAAGTTCTTAGGAATCTTAAGTTTACTTGGACACATGAAAATAGCATCCTTGAAATAACCCTCCCATCACTACCTTTGTCAATATTCTTCCTGAAACAAAATGAAAGACATCTAGGGATGCCTGTGGACACTATGCTGTGACATCCCTTGCATCTTCTAGGCCTGACTGCATAAGCCATTGTCCTTTTTCTCCAACTGCCTTAGACACTGTCCCCTCTCCAGCATCCTCCTCTCGGGGCACCCATCACTGGCTCCACCTGCCCCAGAGACAAGCACTCAAGGCCTTTTAGTACAATGGGCTTTACTGTTTATACCACAGGGGAGCAGATTGAGAGGGTATCCATGCTAAGGTCCCCAAACTCCTACAGTCCCCCTGTTCTCTGACATTTAGTCCTAACACTATTCTGGGACTGAAAGCCTTCCTGTACTTATTGCTCTCTTCTTTTATTTCTGAGGATGACCAGCTCTGTTCAACACACATAGGCAAGGCTAAAATGTGTCATGAAGACCAAAGCCTGATCACGGTGTATTGCAGAGAAGTAAGCGTCTTCATCACCTGTCCCCAGGTAGACTTTGAGGAAGAAATACCCAGCAATATCCACATGCTTGCCCCTCATTGCTATGAGGTCACTTCTTCCTCTGTGTTGCTGGGTCAAGCATACTCCCTGGAACTGATGAGGCATTGAAGGAAGCCCCCTTCCTTCAAGGGATGGCAGCAGAGGAAAGTACCTAGTCACCCTCCTCCCTTTTATCTTAGTAAGAGCATGGTCCTCTTGGAACCACGTGTACTTTCCTGTATTCTGAAGGGAAGGCAAACCCTGTTGGGAGGAGGTAAGGTCTTATCTGGAAAATCGTGCCCAATCAAGGTCAGTGTCCTGGGTCCGGGAGGCAGGTTTCTGATGGGAAATTAAAGTTCTGAACTCCAGTACTAAACTACAAGTAATCCAAGTCAAAAAGTGTACTCTGGGGTAACGATTCCATCCTTGCATGCCCATGATGAGGAGCAAGGCCTGAAGGTAGGAGGGCAGAGCCTCGTAACAAAACAAAGCCTGGATCAAGGAAGCAGCCACACCAGGCACACACACACGTCAGGACATGTGTTCACTTCCCTGTGTGGTTCCCCATGTGTGTGCACTTGTAGCAGATGTCAAGGCCAGCATGACAGTGACAGCGGACCCAAGGAGGAAGGGAGTTCTGGCAGGGCTGGGGAGATTCTGCCCTGCTCAGTTTTACTTAGGAAATAGGAAACAGCGTTGGCATCCTCTGCCTACATTTCTGCTCTCATTTCACCATTTCCAATCTTATGAAAACATTACAGGATACTCTCAGCAGGTATGTCCGATCCTCATCAAGCCTCCCAATGACAGAGAAAGAGTCTCTCTTCTTATTAGATCACAGAATTTAAAGAAAAATTTTAAAATCTACTTATTGTTATTTTACATAAATATAAACTTCAACAAATGCTAACTCTTCCAATAAAAGCAAGAAAACCAGTGAGATCTGTGGGGTCTTCACAGCTCCCAGAAGAGGCTCCTTCTGTCACGATCTAAAGGACAGCAAACATTTCAAAGGTCAGAACCAATCCATAGGCAGAATGGTCAAGAAAATAATTTTAAAGAGCTTTATTTGTTGCTGCTATAGACCTGAGAGAAATCTATCAACCAACAAAGACCTAAAAGACTGGCCTGATCAACAACAAAATGAAGCTGACAGCTTCAAATAATGGTTCCATGGTCAGATTCTGGAAGCCAGTGTAATCAAAGGCCAGCAATCCCCTCTTAGGAGCTCTGCAGGACAGAACCTTACTAGATGGGACAGGACCTCACTAGATGGGACAGGACCAGCCGTCCTGCTCTTTCTGAAAGCAGCAGGCAGTGTGGCACGTGTGAGCCGGGGGCAGTACTAGCTCCAGAGAACACCTACACTCTCCTCTCCATAGGATCAGACCACACACGACTCGACAATTACTAATAAAAGTGCAAATGTTCATCATGCAAAAATCCAAATGTGTCAAGAAAACTTAGGCCCTCTGTTCCTGAAGTTCTTTGCGGGTTGCCAAATGACAGACTCTCCAGTCATGAAAAGGAATATAAAGCAATCTCACTACAAAAAAAAAAATTCTTGTAAAAATCCTCCCTTCTTCAGATGTTGTAATTAATTATGCCAAAACAAACCTCTGGATTTCTATCCAAGCCTAAATCCCAGTTTATTTTATTTCTTAGAAATGATAAATACTTTTTGACAATTTGTTTTGCTACATCCAAGTCTTTTAGTGGCTGGCTTTGTTATCAAATTCACCATTTTAAATGATTTTAACAAGGTTGCCAAAGAACATACGGGGAAAAAAAACTTTTCCATATATCCTTGGCAGAAACTGGCATTCCCCTTTTCTCAGTTCCCTTCTGAGAGTGCCTGCTGTCGCTGGAGCAGCTATAGCAGTGTGTTTACCCAGTTGATAGTGCACACATCCTTCTCACTGCAGGACACCAGCGCACCTTCCTTGGCCTCTGGCGCCTTCTGCCAGGTTACTGCCCAGCCTCCTCTATTACCCACGCCCCTCATTTTCTGTGCAACCCCCAACTGGGCCTCCTTTTCACTCATCAGCTAAGCTACTTTTAAACATTTGGGTCTCAGGCCCCTAACAAAAGCAAATTTGCCCATCTGATTTATTTCAAAAGGGAGAGGGCCACAGGAATGATCTGTTTGAGTGAGCTTGTTTTTAGGCAAGGAGGAACGTGAAGACAGGCTGGATAAGGATGGTTAAGAGGCCAGAAGAGCTCATGTTTACAACTCATCACAAATTACAGTACTGCAAATCAATGACTTAACAGAAACAATGGGAAAAGATGCACAGATGGCTCTCAAAACATGAAAAGATGCTTCATTTCTCTCACAATGAGAAATACAAATTAAAACTACAATGAGATACCATTATCAGCCAAGAAAATTAATCAAATAATATGTGTTGGCGGAAGTGTTGGGAAGCAGGTATGCTTATACATTGCTGGTGGGAGAGCAAATGGTAAACCTCCACAGGATGACAACTGCCCTCAGGATGACAAAGGCACATATACTTTGTCTCAGCAATTCTTTTAGGAATTCATCCTCACACACCTGCGGGAAGAGGTTTGTACACTGCACTAGTTTGTGACAGCAAACGGCTGGAATCACCCTAAATGCCCATCACCTTGGAGCTGAGGCAACACTGTTCCATCTACAGAAAGAAATATCAGCAATCATTAAAAAAATGGGAAAAGTTCTCATTATGTCCAGTAATGAACACACAAAGTGAAACAAGCAGAGAGAGGCACCACTGCCATCTGTGCTGGTGCTGCACAGACTACTCAGGAGGGAGACCAGGGAACCTGGATGGAGGGACATGGACTTGTCACAGAGACCCACAAAACCATAATGCCACTTTACACTGAGCAACATTTCCCAAACAGAAATTCATTCTTAAAATAACAGGTGATTGATGATTTTAAAAAGTAAAACAAAACTGCAGAAGCACAACCAACTGCAACAACTTTCCGACTTTGGGATGACAGGTAAAGAAATCAATGTAGTGGGTGATGACCTATGTTTTTAAAAGTACAATAAAATAGAATATGTCAGAATGTATCTGACATAAAAAGGATAAAGTCTTTTGAGGTAATTTTGTCTCTCAGATGTGTATGCAAAAGTGAACTGGGTTTCAATATAAAAGCTACTTCTGGCCAGGCGCGGTGGCTCACGCCTGTAATCCCAGCACTTTGGGGGGCCGAGGCGGGCGGATCACGAGGTCAGGAGATCGAGACCATCCTGGCTAACACGGTGAAACCCCGTCTCTACTAAAAATACAAAAAATTAGCCAGGCGTGGTGGCGGGCGCCTGTAGTCCCAGCTACTCGGGAGGCTGAGGCAGGTGAATGGCGTGAACCCGGGAGGCGGAGCTTGCAGTGAGCCGAGATCGCGCCACTGCACTCCAGCCTGGGCGACAGAGTGAGACTCCGTCTCAAAAAAAAAAAAAAAAAAAAAAAAAAAAAGCTACTTCTTACTTTGGATCATGGTCAAAGTCACTTGAAAGTCACTGCCTGACTGTATTTCTACAAAGAAAATAAAAATTATCAAAAAAAAATAAAAGAAGAAGATGGCTAAATCAAGAGTTCATGTTGGCTGTTGGCCCAGAGGCTCTAGAAGCAAATGGCTCTTACAGATCTCTAGAAAGAAGGTTTTCCTCTACATGGAAAGCATTTGCCACCCATATAAGAGGTGTGTTGCTATGTAAACAAAACTTAGTGGCTTAAAACTACACAAATGTATCACTTCACAGTTCCCACAGACTAGGAGTCTACATGCGCATGCTGAGACTCTCTGCTCTGGTCAGTCTCCCTCCTTCCTGGAGGCCTGGGGAGGACTGCGTTTACACATTCTCTCAGGTTGTTGGCAGAACACAGCTCCCTAAAGCTTGAGGACTGAGGGCCCGTCTGCTGGCTGACTCCACCTGGGGCAGGCCACATGCATCTGCAGTCACATGACCCCTTCCCATCTTCAAAGCCCACTTGCGGTATCAATCTCTCTGACTTCCCTTTCTGCCACCAGTCAGAGAACGTTCTCTGCTTTTTAAGCACTTGTGGGATTCCATTGGGCCTGTATTTATAACCCCAAATAATCTCCCTTATTTTAAGGTCAACTGTGCCACACAACACAACATGATCATAGGAGTAATAATAGCAATGCATTCCCAGGTTCCAGGCAATTGTGGGGACATTTTTGGGGGCCGTTTTAGAAATCTTGCTCACCAGATCACTTTTTTATTTGTGCTTCCTGCTCATGAGATTGCTAGCGGTTACTGCCCTCCCACTTCCAAACTAAGAGATAGGGATCTGCTCCTAACGGTCAACTCGGCAGGCCTGACTTCATACCACAGAGCCAGATAAACTCACTTGGTGTTTACATATTGCAATGTGCAGACTGAGATTACATCTTGACAAACTTTCTGCTTAGCACAGAAGTTACTCTGTCAAACCAATGCTTCATTATGAGTAACTCTGCTTTCGATAAATACCCAGTTGTATTCAACTTCAAAAATGAGCCACAATTAAAAGAAAAGAGGCCATTCTGTGGCTTTTCTGTGGCTTGCTCTGATAAATACATGTTGACTCTTATGAAGGGCTGTGCCAAGAACAAGCTTTCACAAAGGCAATTAATTAAAACTGACCATTAAAAAAGTAAGTATATACAATATACTTACAGAGAAGCATGTACAATTAAAAACTACTGAATGCTAAAATGATATCCATTATAAATGACTCTCATTAGCATTGCTTACGCCAAGTAGCACTAACATGGAATTCTTTTCTACAGTGGCCTTTTAAAGGGAGTCGGAATTACTTGAGTAGCAATAAATCCCCAGAACAATGAGGGGAATATATTACAGCACTGGTGGAGGGGACAGAAGGCCACAGCTGAAGGGACTTTTTCAGGACTGTCTTCCTCCATGCTGCAGCTGAGGATCTTGCAAATATAATTTGTTTTCAATAAATTACATTGAAGACAATGATTTCTGAGCAAAGGTGGCTTCACAGTCCCAGAAACTAAAGATGTAACCATATAAAAATCCAAAATCACCAGAAATAACACGGTGAAAGGGGCTGTGTTTGTGAGTTACTTATCACTCACAAGGACCCTTTAATACTGTTGATTTCCTTTAAATATTGAACTTTTCAAATATAGTCGAAATACATTTTCATTGCCAAGAGGCAATAAAATATTTCCTCTGAGAGAATTCTGGGGCAGTGGCCAAAGCACTGGCTTTTGACCCCAAAGTCTTCCCTCTGTGTTCTGGGGCCAGTCCACTGAGCACACTACCGAGCAGGAGTTTAATCATTTAAAAAATGAGGTCAACAATCTACAGGGCTGCTACTAGGATCAAATAAAGTCAAGGGAGATGCAGAAATGCAGCACACACCACTCCAGGCACACCTCCAGTGTGGAACAAGACTTCCGTGTGACTACCACTCTTGATTCTTGATGACCTAGAGAGTAAACCTGCAGGTCTCATATCTGCTACAAAATGCCTCATTCCAACCAAGGTAACCACCGTCCACCCACCTGGGAAGAAAACAGCTTCTGCTCAGGCTACTCATCTGGCCAGCCCTGGCCCAAGATGCACAGAACTCTAAGAGCGAACCCTGAGCCGCGGAGTATACTACTGACAGAAACATGGCAGGCAGGAAAAATGACCCTCACTTCCTCTAGGCCTAGGCCCTCCTTTCCCGGCAACTGGTGGCCTTTCCCACCCCTCCTCCTCCTCCCAGGAACACTCCCACATTCCAACCCAGCATGATGGCCCCTCCTCCTTTCTGAGGAGAAAGGGCTTTTCATCCCTGTTATCATATCCTTGTACCCTATTCATTTCTTTCACTGCACCTATCAAGGTTTATAAGAAGATGTTACTGGGATATGTTAACTTAGAAGCTGTTGCTGATTGGTCTGGTACACACTAGGTGTTTAGGGAACATTTGCTCAATGAACTAAACAGCTACCCTCTGGGGAGACTGTGCCTCTACAACAGAGATTCTCAAACTTGTTGGCCACAGGACCTCCTTAAACTCTTAAAAATTACTGAGGCCCTCACAAAAAGCTTTTGTTTACACGGGTTCCATCTCTCCATCTTTGCTATATTAGAACATCTTAAAACACAGGAACATATTCCACCAGCTAAGGAAGATGCTATCCTGCATGTTGCTTAGCTTCTGGAACTCCGCTGTATACTTGTGGAAGAATGAGAGTGAAAAATGGAAATAATCTTGGTATTATTGGGAAATTGTTTTAAACCTGCCCCCCTTCCACCTTCAGGAGACTGAACCAAACTTCAGCCAAAAACTAAACTGTAACAGTCAGATGAAAAAATACTGCAAAGACAGTCGGTTAAACTTTGCAAAAGGGGAGCTGAACGGAAACACTGCCTCAGTGCTGTCAGGATTCGAGTGAGGCTCAGTGGTGCTGAGGCCACCTGATGCCATGAAACTCCTCCAATTCATCCTTTGTTTTTGTCACTTAGGAATAAATATCCTGTTTTGGGACAGCTGTTTTCTTCAGAATAAATTAAGAAAGCACATTTTGCCTTATTTGTAACCCATAAGTTTTGAGTAACCTGAGCGTGTCACTGGTCAACTCTGCATTCAGAAACAGAAAGAAGCAAACCCTGGTCTTGACAATCACATCCAGGTCTGCCCTCGCGTAATAAAAGTGGGTCAGCAAGAATTCCTTGTAAGGAATGTCCCTCTGATACGTGACATTCTGCTGTATCTCATCCCTGTCTAATGGCAACAATAACCGGAAAATATTCAGGAGGCCTAGGAGGGTTAGTGCTCAAATTCATTGAGATGTGCTTGCCAAGCAATAGAGCAATCATTGTAATTGCTCATTAAACATGTCCAGTCTGATTCTACCCAGGAATATTTGATTAACAAGAGGTACATATCACAGTCTGCAAGGCCCCAGCCTTGGGCAACTGCCAGAGCCTACAGAGCCAGGCTGGCTAGGGGGCTGGCAGAGAGATACTCGTGCTACGGGCTTCCACTGCCTTCTCCCTGGGGTAAGTGCTGCCAATCATGAACTTGCTCAAGAAATTGTGTCACCTGGACCAAGTTTGATTCCCAGGGTTGAATGAGAAGGCTTCCCTGGGGATAAAATAACATTGTGTCTATGTACTGCCCTTTTTGCACCACAATCTTCCTCTGAGAGGCATCAAGAGAGGCTCCAAAAAGTCCAGCCCCTATGATTAGCCTAGCCTAGGCCAATTCCTGGTATTAAAGAAATTCCAGCTGAATAGAGTGGGTTTAAGCCTCCTCTGCGAATTTCAATCAGCCTCTATAGGATTTTAGGCCAAAGTACTCACATGAACAGCCACAGTCAACACAATCTTGTGGTTACAGCCACCTGCAATAGGGTGCCATGAGAGCCATCACCCCCAGCCACTGAAGATGCCTTTCATTGTCCATCTAAAGTACTGGACTTTCCAAGCAGGTGACAAATGATCTTTCTACTACAGTTTAACCTCATCCTGGTTGGCTCCTTTCCACCTCTCACATCTGCTTTACATGTCTCTCCTGAGCCACATCTTCTCTGAGCAGTCCTTCAACTTGGGTTCCCTGTAATTCTCTACCTAAGCTCCTTACTGTTCCCTTTGTAGGAATTCTCTCCATCCGTGGTATCGTATAGAGGTCTGCGTACTTCCCTCTGCTGTTTGGTTCAGCATTCAAAGCACAATTTCTGGCACACAGTTAGGTGCTGGACAAAATCTCAATGTGTGCAATCCTCGTAAACTCTGCATGGCCTCCTTGTCTCCATGTTAGAGATGAGACATATTGTCAAATGGTAAGACAGCCTGCAGGTGGGGGCAGTGGTGGCACAGGACACAACGTCCTGAACAGGCAGTCACCTCACGTCACCTGAGTCCACCCTGAGGCCATGCCCAGTACACTGTGCATCGCCCCTGCCAGCCATACTCTATGGCTTCCTGGTACCCCGAGACAATGGCCCCTTGACAGGCAGAGGCTCACAGCAGAGATGGAAAGTTGGCTTGCCCCATCCCCACCCCTCCCTTCTCTCTACCACACAGCCTCCTGAATACCCATCTGTCAGAGCTCTATCTCACAAAGGGCCATCACAATGAGTTTAGGTGATATAATGAAGAACATGCTTTTTAATAGTTATATTTTCACATTAAAAAGTTAACCAATCAAAATCTAGAGGAGGGGCTTCAAGATGGCTGACTAGAGGCATCTGGTACTTACCTCCTCTACAAAGAAGAACCAAAATAGCGAGGAAGAATCAGACTTTGAATAGATCATCTAACAGAGAACACGAATTCAACAGAGAAGTGACAGAAAACACCTAGAGCAGGCAAGGAGAGGGCAGTCAGGCAAGGCAGCCAAGAGGTTCCCCAGTGTGGGGAAAGGGGAAGCGAGCGATCCCCAGCGGTCCACATTCCTACCATGCACTTCTGCAATTCCAGCCATGACAGAGCCCTAGACCCTCACAGGCCTTGAGGCTAACAGAGGGAGCTGCCTGGAGATGGCGAGAAGGCATTGCTCCAGGGAGGGAGCTCGTGATGGGTCCCACACACCCCTGGAGTCCAAGGCAGCTACAAGAAGACACCATACTGAGAGCCCAGTCCTCAGGAGACTGCATCCTGCTGGGGGCCCAACAGTCCCTGCTTCTTCACATCCCTGGAACCCCACTGATATTCCTCACCACAGCCATTGCAGCAGCTAGCTGCTGCTGCCAGGGATGAAGTGCAAACCATTTGGCAAAGACCCTGCTGCTTCCAGCAGTGAAGCCACTGCACGTTTTCACAAGCGCCAAGGACAAAGTGAGCAAAGTGTGCACTCCCTAGCCGCTGGCATACCTATTGCCACTGAAAGCAACCCCACTCTCCCCAGTAGTAGGGCTGCAGTATAGCCACTGCTGCCTCCACCAGAGCATTCTGCCAGGGCCTTGGAATCACCCAGCCCCTACCTAAGACTGTTAGAGCCTGAATGCATCCCCGGGGGGGGCTGAAGTATGTCCTACCCAGTTCCTGAGTAAACCATCCTGAGGCCTGGGGACTGCGCAGCCCATTCCACCACTATTGGAACCTGAGCATACTGCCTGGGCATCTGAGGTCAGGCCCACCCAACCTGCCATTACCGCCACATCTAGCACTCAATTGCGTACACATTTGGGCCTGAAGACTGGTTCAACCAGCCCATCACAGCCGCAAACTGCTTGGGAGCCAGAGGGTTGTCCTGCCACTGCTGCTGCCATCACCCATATCATGCCTGCTGCCCAGGAGCCCAAGAATTCACCCACCCACCCAGTTCGCCACTGCCACTACCAGCGTTTGAGCAAGCTACAAGGAGGTCCCCCAAAAATAACCCACCTGACCTGCTAACACTGGTGCCAGCATATACTGCACTGAGGCCCAAGGGCAGGCATACTCACCCCACTACTGCCACCACTGGGACCAAGGACAGGCCAACCTGGTATCCCTGTCCCCAGCAAAACCTCACTACAGCCTCCACCATACCCTAAGATACTGAGGAAATCACAGACACCACAAACATGACTTATAGCCAAAGAAATCATACAGAGACTATACTACTGCACACAATGAGAATCAAAGCTAAAGTGCCCTGCACAACCAACACCATAGACACACCCTCAGGAAAAACTCCTCTCCTACAACAGCAAATTAAGAAAACTAGAAGAGACTGTTACACCAGACGTGCAGAGATTAACATAAGGACACAAGAAATGAAAAATCAAGGAAATATGACACCCACAAAGGAACCCAATAATTCTCCAGCAATAAATTCCAATCAAAAAGAAATTTATGAAATCCCAAAAAAAGAATTCAAAATAATGATATTAAAACTCAGTGAACACTGGGCATGGTGACTCTCACCTGTAATCCCAGTACTTTGGGAGCCCCAGGCATGAGGATTGCTTGAGGCTAGGAGTTCGAGACCAGTCTGAGCAACATAGTGAGACCTCGTCTCTATAAAAAATACAAATAAAAATTAGCTGGGCATGGTGATGTGTGCCTGTAGGCCCAGCTACTCAGGAGGCTGAGGTGGGAGAATTGCTTGAGCACAGGAGTTGGAAGCTGCAGTTAGCTATGATCGCACCACTGTACTCCTGCCTGGGCAACAGACCAAGATCCGGAAGCTCAGTGAGATACACAGGAATACAGACAAACAATACAAAGAAATGAGAAATGCAATTCAGGATATGAATGAAACATTTTCCAAAAATACATTATAAAAAAAAAAACAAACAGAAATTCTGGAACTGAAAAATTCATTACATGAAATACAAAATACACTTGAAATATTCAACAAATAGATCAAGTAGAAGAAATAATTTCAGAACTTGAAGACAGGTCTTTTGAAATAATCCAGTAAGACAAAAAAATTTAAAAAAGGAATAGAAAAGAAAGAACAAAGCATACATGACATATGGGACACCATGAAATGACCAAATATTCAAATTTTCAGTGTCTCAGAAGACAAACAGAAAACAAAAAAGATGGAATATCTAACAAAATAATAGCTGCAAACTTCCCAAGTCTTGCAAAAGATTTAGACATCTAGATATAAGAAGCTCAGAGATATCCAAATATAATTCAAGGTCTCCTCCACAGCACATTATATAGTCAAACAGTCAAAAGTTGAAGCCTAAAAATAGCAAGAAAAAAGCATCTAGTCATTTATAAGTGGACCCCCATCGAACCAACAGCAGACTTGTCAGCAGAAGCCTTATAGACCAGGAGAGAATGGGATGATATATTCAAAGTGCTAAAAGAAAAAAAAAAGGCCAGCCAAAGATACTATATCCATCCAAGTTATCACTCATAAATGAGAAGAAATAAAGTCCTTCCCAGACAAGCAAAAGCTGAGGGAATTCACCACCAGATTGGTCCTATAAGAAATGCTTAAGGGAATCCTACACATGGAAGCACAAGGACAGTATTTGCCATCATGAAAACATACCAAAGTATAAAACCTACTGGTAGAGCAAGCACACAAATAAGCAAAAAAAAGGACTCAAACGTTACCACTACAGAAACCCACCAAACCACAATTATAAACAATAAGAAAGAAGGAAACAAAGGATATACAAAACCAGAAATTATTTAATAAAGTGACAGGAATAAGCCCTCACATATCAATAGCAACCCTGAATGTAAATGAATTAAACTTTCCACTGGAAAGACAGAGACTGGCTGAATGGATTTAAAAAAACATTACTCAACTATATGCTGTGTACAAGAAGCTCATCGCACCTGTACAGACACATATAGACTTAAAGTACAGGGATGAAAAAAGATATTCCATGCAAATAAAAACCAAAAGCAAGCAGGACTAGCTATACCTATATCAGATAAAACAGACTTTAAGTCAAAAACAGTAAAAGACAAAGAGAGTCATTATATAATAACAAAGGGATTAATTCATCAAGAGGCTATAACACTTCTACATACATCTGCACCCTACACCAGAGCACTCAGATGTATAAAGCAAATATTATTAAATCTAAAGGGAGAGACAGACTTCAGTATAATAATAGCTGAGGACTTCAACACCCCACTCCCATCGTTAGACAGATCATCTAGGCAGAAAATGAACAAACATTACATTTAAACTGCACGTTAGGACAATGGACTAAACAGACAGTTACAGAACGTTTCATCCAACAACTACAGAATACACATTTCTCAGCACACAGACCATTCTTCAGGATAGGCCACAGGTTAGGACACAAAACAAGTCTCAACAAAGTTTTTAAAAATTGAAATCATGTCAAGTATCTTTCTCAGACCACAATGTTTAAAACTAGAAATCAACTAGAAACTGTACAATTACATGGAAATTAAACAACATGCTCCTCAATGACCACTGGGTGAAGGAAGAAATTAAGGAGAAAACATAAAAATGCCTTAAATAAAAATCGAAATACAACATACCAAAACCTGTGGGATAGAGCAAAAGTAGTGCTAACAGGGAAGTCCAGAGCAATAAACACCTACATCAAAAGAGTAGAAAGATTTCAAACAAACAATCGAAGGATGCACCTCAAGGATCTAGAAATCCAAGTAAAAACCAAATCCAAAATTAGTAAAAGAAAAGAAATAATAAACATTAGAGGAGAACTAAACTAAATAGGAGCTAAAAAAAAAAAAGATCAATGAAACAAAAAATTAATTTTTTGAAAAACTAAAATTGATAGACTAGCTAGACTAACCAAGAAAAAAAGATAGAAGACCTAAATAAAATCTGAAATGAAAAAGGAGACATTACAAATAACACAGAAATACAAAAGATCATCAGAGACTATTACGAACTACATGCTATCAAACTGGAAAACCTAGAGGAAATGGATAGACACATAACCTACCATGATTGATCAGAAAGAGACAGAAAACTTGGACAGATCAATAAGAAGTAATGAGATTTAAAGAGTAATAAAAAGTCTCCTAACAACGAAAGGTCCAGGATTGGATGACTTCACTGCCAAATTCTACCAAACTTTCAAAGAAGAACAATTCTTCTCTATTCCAAAAAACTGAAGAAGAGAGAATTCTCCTTAACTCATTCTACTAGACCAGCATTATGCTGACACCAAAACCAGACAAGGACACAACAAAAAATAAAACTACAGGCCAATATCCCTGATAGGCATAGATGCAAAAAATCCTTAACAAAATACGAATAAAGCAAATCCAATTGCACATCAAAAAGACAGTACACGATTAAGGGAATTTATCCCTAGGATGCAAGGGTCTTTCATCACATGCAAATCAATAAATGTGACACATCATGTAAACAGAATGAAGGATAAAACCATATGATCATCTCAATAGAAGCAGAAAAGGCATTTGGTAAAATTCAACATTCCTTCATGATAAAAATTCTCAACAAACTAGGCAAAGAAAGAAATACTGCAATATTAATAAAGGCTATATATGACAAACCCACAGCTAACATAAATCTGAATGGGGGAAAAGTGAAAGAAAGCCTTCCCTCTAAGAACTGGAACAAGATAAGAATGCCCGCTGATATGATTTGGCTGTGTCCCCACCCAAATCTCATCTTCAATTGTGGCTCCCATAATTCCCACAGGTTGTGGGAGGGACTCAGTGGGAGATAACTGAATCATAGGTGCAGTTTCCCCCATACTGTTCTTGTGGTAGTGAATAAGTCTCATGAAATCTCATTTTGTAAGGGAAGCCCCTTTCACTTGGTTCTCATTTCTCCCTTGTCTGCCGCCATGTAAGTAAGATATGCCTTTCATCTTCCCCCATGATTGTGAGGCCTCCCCAGCCATGTGGAACTGTGAGTCCATTAAACCTCTTTTACTTTAAAAATTATCCAGTCTTGGGTATGTCTTTATCAGCAGTGTGAAAACAGACCAATACAGTAAATTGGTACCAGTAAGTGGGGTGCTGCTATAAAGATACCTGAAAATGTGGAAGTGACTTTGGATCTGGGTAACAGGCAGAGGCTGGAATGGTCTGGAGGGCTCAGAAGAAGACAGGAAAATGTGGGCAAGTTTGGAACTTCCTAGACATTTGTTGAATGGCTTTGACCAAAATACTGATCATGATATGGACAATGAAATCCAGGCTGAGGTGGTCTCAGATGGAGATGAGAAACTTGTTGCAAACTGGAGTAAAGGTGACTCTTGCTATGTTTTAGCAAAGAGACTGGCAGCATTTTGCCCCTGATGTGTGGAACTTTGAACTTGAGGGAGATGATTTATGGTATCTGGAGGAAAAAATTTCTAAGCACCAAAGCATTCAGGAAGTGACTTGGATGCTGTTAAAAACATTCAGTTTTAAAAAGTTTTAAAAGCATTCTCAGAGAAACAGAAAATAAAAGCAGAAAATTTGTGGCCTCCTGATGCCATTGAAAAGAAAAACCCATTTTCTGAGGAGAAATTCAAGCTGGGTGTGGAAATTTGCCTAAGTAACGAAGAGCCAAATGTTAATCACCAACTCAATGGGGGAAAATGTCTCAAGGGCATGTCAGAGATCTTTGCTGGCAGCCCCTCCCATCACAGGCCCAGAGGACTAGGAGGAAAAAAAAATGGTTTCAAGGGCTGGTGCCCAGGGCCCCCTTGCTGTGTGCAGCCTAGAGACTCCATGCCCTGCATCCCAGCCACTCTAACCAAAGGATACAAGCAGCCAGGGTATAGTTCAGGTCATGGCTTCAGAGGGTGCAAGCCCCAAGCCTTGGCAGCTTCCATGTGGTGTTGAGCCTGCGGGTACACAAATGTCAAGAATTGAGATTTGGGAACCTCTGCCTAGATTTCAGAGAATGTATAGAAATGCCTGGATGTTCAGGCACTGGTATGCTGCAAGGATGGAGCCCTCATGGAGAACCTCTGCTAGGGCAGTGTGAAAGGGAAATGTGGGTTGCAAGCCCCCACACAGAGTCCCCACTGGGGCACTGCCTAGTGGAGCTGTGAGAAGAGGGCCACCATCCTCCCAACTCCAGAATGGTGTATCTACTAACAGCTTGCACCATGCACCTGGAAAAGCTACAGACACTCAATGACAGCTCGTGAAAGCAGCCAGGAGGTGGGCTATACCCTGCAAAGCTACAGGGGCAGAGCTGCCAAAGGCCGTGGGAGCCCACCTCTTGCATTAGCATGACCTGGATGTGAGACATGGAGTCAAAGGAGATCACTTTGGAGCTTTAAGAATGGACTGACCCATTGGATTGTGGACTTACATGGGGCCTTTAGCCCCTTCATTTTGGCCAGTTTCTCCCATTTGGAATGAGTGTATTTATCCAGTGCCTGTGCCCCCATTGTATCTAGAAACTAACTAACTTGATTTTGATTTTACAGGCTCACAGGTGGAAGGGAGTTGCCTTGTCTGAGATGAGACTTTGGACTGTGGACTTTTGAGTTAATGCTGAAATGCGTTAAGACTTTGGGGGACTGTTGGGAAGGCATGGGTGGTTTTGAAATGTGAGGACATGAGATTTGGGAGGGGCCGAGGGCGGAATGATATGGTTTGGCTGTGTCCCCACCAAATCTCATTTTGAATTGTAGCTCCCATAATTCCCATGTGTCGTGGGAGGGACCCAGTGGGGGATAACTGAATCATAGGGGTGGTTTCCCCCATACTGTTCTTGTGGTAGTGAATAAGTCTCATGAGATCTGATGGTTTTATAAGGGGAAACCTCTTTCGCTTGGTTCTCATTTCTCCCTTGTCTGCTGCCATGTAAGACATGCCTTTCGCCTTCTGCCATCATTGTGAGGCCTCCCCAGCCACATGGAACTGTGAGTTCATTAAACCTCTTTTTCTTTAAAAATTACCCAGTCTCAGGTATGTGTTTATCAGCAGCATGAAAACAGACTAATACACCCACTTTCACCACTCCTGTTCAACACAGTACTGGAAGTCCTAGTTAGAGCAATCAGGCAAGAGAAAGAAATAAAAGGCATTCAAATTGGAAAAAGTAAGTTAATTTGTCCCTTTTTGCAGATGATATGATTTTATACCTAGAAAAACCTAAAGGCTCCATTAGAAAACTTAGATCTGATAAATTTGGAAAAGTTATAGGATACAAAAATAAACATACAAAAGTTGATAGTGTTTCTATACACCAATAATGAACTAGCGGAGAAAGAAATCAAAAAGGCAATCCCATTTACAATAGCTATACAAAATAAAATACCTAGAAATAAATTTAATCAAAGAGGTGAAAGGCGTTGCAAGGAAAACTACAAAACACTGATAAAAGAAGCTGAAGAGGACACGAACAAATTGAAAGATATCCCACGTCCACGGATCAAAAGAATTAGTGTCATTAAAATGACCATACTACCCAAAGCAATCTACAGATTCAATGCAATTGCTATCAAAATGTCAATGTCATTTTACACAGAAACAGAAAAAACAATCCTAAAACCATATGGAACCAAAAAAGAGCACAAATAGCCAAAACAATCCTAAGAAAAACAAACAAAGCTGCAGGGATCACACTGCCTGACTTCAAAGGATATTACACAAGGCTACAGAAACCAAAATAAGCATGGTGTTGTTATAAAAACAGATACAGGCCAGGAGTGGTGGCTCACACCTGTAATCCCAGCACTTTGGGAGGCCAAGGCAGGTGGATCATCTGACATCAGGAGTTCAAGACCAGCCTGGCCAACTTGGTGAAACCCCATCACTACTAAAAATACAAAAATTAGCCAGGTTTGGTGGTATGCACCTGTAATCTCAGCTAATCAGGGGGCTGAGGCAGGGAGAATTGCTTGAACCCAGGAGGCAGAGGTTGCAGTGAGCCTAGATAGTGCCACTGCACTCCAGCCTGGGCGACAGAGCAAGACTCTATCTCAAAAAACAAACAAACAACAACAACAAAACAAACCCAGATACACAGAACAATAGAACAAAATCAACAACACAGAAATAAATCCACGTACTTACTGCGAACTGATTTTCAACAAAGGTACCAAAAACATGCGTTAGGGAAAGGATACCCTCTCAATAAATGGTGCTGGGAAAATGAGAGATCCATACGCAGATGAATGAAACTGAAGCCCTCTCTCTCATCGCATACAAAAATCAACTCAAGATGGACTAAACACTCAAACATAAGACCTGAAACTATATAACTATTAGAAGAAAACACAGGGATTACACTTCAAGACATTGATCTAGGCAATGATTTTATGGCTAAGACCCCAAAGCATAGGCAACAAAACCAAAAACCGACAAAAGGGACTATATTAAACTGAAAAGCTTCTGCACAGCATAGGAAACAATCAACAGAGTGAAGACACAACCTGTTGAATGACAGAAAACATGTGAAAACTACCCATCGAACAAGGAACTAACATACAGAATATGTAAGAAACTCAAACAACATTAAAAACACAAACAATCCCATTAAAAAGTGGGCAAAGGACATGACTAGACATTTCTCAAAAAAAGACATGTAAATGACCGACAGCTGCATGAAAAACTGCTCAGCATCCCTAATCATCAGGGAATAACAGATGTTGGTGAGGATGCAGAGAAAAGGGAACTCTTATGTATTGTTGGTGGGAATGCAAATTAGTACAACCAGTATGAAAAATAGTATGGGAATTCCTCAAAAAACTAAAAATAGAACTACTATATAATCCAGCAATCTCACTACAGAGTATTTCCCCAGAGGAAAACAAATTAGTATTATCAAAGAGATATCTGTACTCCCATGTTTATTGTAGCACTGTTCGCAAAAGATATGGAATCAGCCTAAGTGTCCACATCAATGGACAAACAGGTAAAGAATTCGTGACACATATACACAATGAAATACTATTCAGCCATACAAAAAGAATGAAATCATGTCATCTGCAGCAACATGGATGGAGGTCATTAGCCAGACACAGAAAGACAAATATTACATGTTCTCACTCACATGTGGGAGCTATAAAAATTTGATCTCATGGAGGTAGAAAGTAGAATTATAGGTACTAGAGGCTGGGAAGGGTGTGCATGGAGGCAGGAGTGGGGGATAAAGAGAGATTGGTTAATGGGTACAAAAATACAGTTAGATAGTCACAATAAGTTCTAATGTTCAATAACAACAGAGTAGGGTGACTACAGTTAACAATATATTATATACTTCAAAATAACTAGAAGAGAGGTTTAAATTGTTTCTGACACATAGACATGATAAATATTCACAGTGAGGGACACCCCAAATACCCTGACTTGATCATTACATAGTCTATGCATGTAACAAAATATCAGAGGTACCCCATAAATATGTACAAATAAACTAAAAAAAGAAAACCAATCAAATGTGATTTCAGATACTACACAATGATATAAAACTTTGAGTTTGTTCTTTAGAAAATGATTAAGCAAACAGCAGCAAGGGAAGTACATAGGGTGAGGACTGAGTGTGGATGGGGCATCTGGGGAACATCCTCCAGGATGGCTCGTGGGCCCACATGGTCAAGGACCCTGCGGTGAGGTGAAGGTCTGGGCAAGATGCATGGCGATTTCATGGGGGCTGCATTCCAGTGCCCGTCTTTGTATAAAGCATGTCACCTGTGGGACTCAAACTGCCTCAAACTTCTCCAAGCACCCAGTCAATTAAACAGATTTTTTTCCAAGGGGGGACATTCTGCTGCTTCTAAAAATATAAGATTTTCTACACACTGCTATCATTACAAACTGTGATAGGTGCTATGAAGAAAGAGTAACAAAACCCAAATGGGTGATAAAATTTAGACTAAGGGGAGGGTGTCAAGGGTAAGTGCCTCTAAAGAAGCTAAGAACTGAAAGAGAAATGAGTTAGGAATTTTAGCCATTCATGCAAAAAAGGGGTAAGATTGGGAGAGGCCTCTCGGACAGAACAAAAGGTGCGCAAATAGGAATTTGGCTTGTTTGAAAATCATCAAGGTAGACACCATACCTAGATCATCATGACCAAGGGGATATTGCACAGGATCAGGTTCCAAGTGGCCAGGCCCAGGTCACCTTAGATGTGACAGCTCAAGGTAGTGTAATCAGAAACACTGAAGAATTGAAAAGAGAAGCATTAGGAATTCTACTTACTGGCTACTGGGTGCTAGATGGTTTGGGATAGATTCTTGAGAAGCTACTGCAGGAGTTTAGGAGGCCTGGGCCTGGGAAGTGGCTGGGATGATGAAGAGGGATGAACCAATGGGCTGGGTATCAAGTGTCTAGCAGAACAGCATGCAAACATTGACTCAGCATGTACTGACAACCTCCAGGGCTCCATCCCATCACTGGTTCTGCAGATTTAGGGGTAAACAAAGCATGGCTCTACACTCATGAAGGTTACATGTGGGGTGAAGGTGCAATGGAAAAAAATTCATGAAAACCCAGGCAGTGATAAGTGCGATCCTGAAAAATAAAAGGAAAAGGTGACTTTGGACCCCTTAGGATGTTAATTGGAGGTGACAAATTTCATGAAATCCCTTGGTAACAGAGGCTCAACAAATGATATCCATTAACATTGTACTATCAATACAAAATAAGTATTGGGTGAAGACTTTGCCATTGTAATTGCTTAAATATCCCAATATGCTTCTTCTATTAACTCCTTAAGGGGATCAAATCCAGCTGCCCACTTTGAAGAGAGGCAAGCCACCACAGACCTAGCAGCCTCATAAACATCTCATCCAACCTACCTGCTTCCTTCTTTGAAAATGGAGCCTGGTTTTTAAAGTCAATATGCTTCCAATACACACTGAGACACTTTGTAATAAAATCTAGATGGAATACTAGGAGGCATGATTAAAGGTTTATTTTTTACCTCTTTTCAACCTCTAAATTTACGCCAGCAAGAGGTGAACTGCAGAAGCATAAAGCAGACTGCAGTGACTGGCTCATGTGCTGACCCCAGCTGGGGTCTAAAAGTCAGCAGAAAGTCTCCTGACAGAGACAACGGGGATTTCAGGTAGCATACAGTATGTCCACATTGTGGCCTCCTTTAATCTCAAGAGTATGTCTGCTATACTGAAGATACGATTTTACATGTCACGGCCTAAAACTGGCTTCAAACAGCAGGTTCATTTAATAAATACTCCAATAAAAAAACTGTCTTCTCAAAAACAGTTATCTTCCACAGGGGGCCTGCCCTCCCTTCCTTGGTCCCACTGAACTGGTTCATGTCTAACCACCTTATACAGCATGCTAACTATCTTCGTTACAAAAGGGTACACTTTGCAACAGAATTTCACGTTGACAGGTTAACCAGGAAGTTCTGTGAGTAATCAAATGTTCTAAAGGCTCACTCCACTCAGATACTCTCCAATGACCATAGTAAGCATCCCGGAACTCACTGGACACACTAAGTGTCCAGTCGCAAACAGCACACAGTAAAAATGTATTCAAGAAGGGGCCGGGCACGGTGGCTCACGCCTGTAATCCTAGCACTTTGGGAGGCCAAGGCGGGTGGATCAGGAGGTCAGGAGTTTGAGGCCAGCCTGATCAACATAGTGAAACCCTGTCTCTACTAAAAATACAAAAATTAGCTGGGCGTGGTGGCACGCACCTGTAATCCCAGCTACTCAGGAGGCTGAGGCAGGAGAATTGCTTAAATCCAGGAGGCGGAGGTTGCAGTGAGCCAAGATTGCACCACGGCACTCCAGCCTGGGCTACGGAGCGAGACTCTGTCTAAAAAAAAATGTATGCAAGAAGGAAAAAATAATGTATGGTTCTCCATTGTTCAGCAATAAATAATAAAGCTACCATTAAATGAACTGTCCTGGCCCAATCAACCTAAGGTCACCAGGATTCAACGAACTTTGACAAGAGTCAGGTTTGTTGGCTCAGTGTAATGGGTGAGCTGCCCCATGGTTCCATGCAAATGTTAATCCCAAGACTCGGAACAACCCTGAAGGTTGTATTATTACCCTACTTTTTTTTTTTTTTTTTTTTTTGAGACGGAGTTTTGCTCTTGTTGCCTAAGCTGGAGTGCAATGGTGTGATCTTAGCTCACTGCAACCTCCGCCTCCCAGGTTCAAGCGATTCTCCTGCCTCAGCCTCCCAAGCAGCTGGGACTGCAGGTGTGCACCACCACGCCTGGCTATTTTTTTGGAATTTTAGTAAAGATGGGGTTTCATCATGTTGGCCAGGCTGGTCTCAAACTCCTGACCTCAGGTGATCCGCCCGCTTCAGCCTCCCAAATTGCTGCGATTACAGGTGTGAGCCACCACGCCTGGCTTACCCTACTTTTACTGATAACTAAATTAAAGCTCAGAGAGATGTCCTTTTTCAAAATCACATGGCTAGTAAACCATCATCCATGTTAATTCCAAAACCCTTACAAAGCTCAAAATACCCACAACCCAAGCCAGGACAATAGCCTTTCCTCTAGACTTTTTAAGATGGTGGTTTGCAAACAGTTTTTTTTAACTATAGGAAGAAGTTTCCTTTAAATAAAATGTGACTGAAATCCATGAATGAACAGGTACATATTTAAAGCATAGGATGTCCTCCTTCAGAACTGCCCTTGGCTACTAGGGCAAGGCGACATACATGTGTTACTGAGCGTTTTTTAACACATTTAATTCAACTTAAGCAAACAGGCCATCTGCAGCTGCACCTTCTCACTTTTCTCCGTGCTTAGACACTGATTAGCTCCTTTAAAAGGTGCAAAAATGGGCAGCAATGGTTTACCACTGCATAGTTCTAGCACTGCAGCATTCCTGGCCAAAGGGACAGCAAAAGAAAAGAAATGGAGGTTGGATGGGAAAAAATATTTTGTGAAAGGCATTCCTATTTTTAACGCAAAATTAAGCGGAAGAATAATATAATTAGATTACAAATATGCCTAAGAACAGACAAATGTCTTAAGAAGGTTTGCCAGAGTTTACTTTTAGTCTTAAAAAAATAAGGTGACCTGAATGAAAACATATATGTAGTCAGCACATTAAAATGGCATATAATGTAACTGTTCATTTCAGAGTATCTAGGAGGCCTGAGACAGCAGATAGACTTTGTCACTTGTTCAAATCCTCCCAGCTGAATCTGTGGTGTGTTTGGCCATATGCCAAAAACATGGGGAAAAGGTCCACCCTTACAAAGAACTTTCATGGCCTTAACTGTATGGCGAAGGGGTTGGCCAGAGTCAATGTGTGGGCTGAGAGAGGAGCACTGCCTGGAAGCAAGCTCACTGCATCAGATACACTCTGCTGGTTCCCAGGCCATACCCTAGCAGCCAGTGTGCTCCTGGTGCGCTAAAAAGACCACACCACAGGTGAGGAGATGCTGTTGGATGGCTGATTCACTTCCCAAGCCCTCCTTTCCCTAGCTGCCTTCCAGCTAGAGGTGGCCTGTGATCCAGTTCTGGCCAGGGAGATGTAAGCAGATTTCAGGCGGCCAGGTGGGACTTGTGGGACAACTTTTGCCTTCCTGCTGAAAATGGTGACTCTCAGCTAACAGACCTGTTAATCCTTGATCAGTCCTCTAATTCCTGCCAAGGCCACAACCGCAATGCCTGAAGGTCCAGCTCTCATCGTGAGACCATGTGTCAAGTAGGAGATAGCACAGAGAGGAAAGAGCCTGGGTCCCTGGCAACATCTGTTACAGGGAGCCGAAGACCCATGGGACGTGACCAACTCAGCATTCCCCTGGAGACTATATGATCAAACAGCAAACCGTTCATCATGAATGCAGGATATGAGCAAACTCACGACTGCTCCGGCCGACTGCTCCTGCCAACAGAAGGTTTGCTGGAGGCAATCACTCCCTGGCGCCAAGGTTCTCTACTGCAACATCTAGAACCTTTTGTTCAAGGAATGCAGTCTTGCAAGCCTACTCTAGACTGAGCAGCTGACCCCTTCTTCCACCCGCCTTCTCACTATCTCTTTTGCCTAATAAATATGGAGGGCTGTGTAAAGCTCAGGGCCCTTGTCCACTAGAGCCAAGATGCCTCCTTCTTCCAAATATACTCTTTTGTCTCTTGTCTTTTATTCCCGCCTTCACCCCTTGTTCAGTTCCCCTAGGTCCATGCGGGTTACACAGTGGCACCCCGAACAGCCACAGAATCGGGTGCACTACAATCTGTGATCAACTCTGCCCTGGATCACCTGCTTCCAGACACCTTGTCAAATGAACCATATAAATCCATAATTATGTAAGTCATCATAGTTAGCTTTCTGTTACTTTCAGTCAAATATATTCCTAATTGTGGCAACAGACTCTCCTGTGCCTGAGATTTCTTCTGCCTTAAAGTATATGGTTTTCTGGAAAAAATGGAATTTTCTCCCAGAAGTCACTTCCCCCAACACACACTCAAAATTGCCTTACCAGAAAAATGTAACTGCCACATACCTCTTATGGTCCCAGAACAGATTACAGAAATGTATCAAGAACTCTAACGTCTTTTCAAAAAAAAAAAAAAGAGTATAAACACATGTAAGGCATAAGAACAGAAAAGACTCAAGGTAATAAATAACATTTTTCAGTGGCACTCTACCTTAGAAATGTTGCTTGAATGACTCATGAAATGTCCCAAAGTCTTCTCATTCTGCAAGAAAATCAAACAGGTTTTAATTATCAATCTTTGATTAAAATATGCAAAGAACAAGTAATTGATCACAACAACCCTACTGACAAATCATTCCCTGAACTAGAATTTGCAAAGCACAACCTACTATATACTAGATGTATGTAGCCAGGCAGTAAATATTGCACATTTGGGCAAAATGAATACACAATAGTCCCTGTCCTAAAGGATTTAACATTTTATTTAAGAGATTTAATTTTTTATTATCAGGAAAAAATAAGAGTTTAGAATTCACTGTCAAAATAAGATGGTAATAAGTGTCTTAAGTCACATTTCACGTGAAAGTTCAGATGGTGATAAGTGTCTTAAGACACATTTCAAGTGGAGAGGCTGCATGCTCAGTTGTATGTGACACAGTCCACATTATGAGGAGTCACGGCGAAAGAGTGAAGAAAGTAGGACAGCTGACCAGTCCTGGGGTGTCTGGCTAACAAAGTGCTGAATACTCAATCGGGATATCACACAGCTCACATCTCCTTCAACTCAGTTTCTCCTCCTGGAGCAGGGAAATCTGGGAGCCATGCCAGCCTCCTTCCTCTCATGCCCCTCCACATTCAGTCACATAGTCTTGTATCAAATTCTTCCTCCTCTCAATCACAACTCATTTTCATTTTTATTGACAATGCTTTAGTTTAGATTCTCTTCATTTCTCAGCTAGAATTCTTGAAGAATAACATCCCACCTGGCCTTTTTGCCTTTAGGTTGACCTCCCTGATACACAACTATCATGGGCTAAACTGTGTATTCCCCTCCCTTCTGTGAAAATTTAGATGTTGATGTCCTAAACTCCTTCTTCCTCAGAATATAACTATTTGGAATAGGGACTTTAAAGATGTAATTAAGTTTACATGAGGTCAATAGTAGTCCCGGCTACTCAGGAGGTGACTCTAATCCTAGTGGACTCTAATCCAATAGGATTGGTGTCCTTGTAATAAGAGGAGTTTGTGACACAGACACACACAGATAAAAGACAATGTGAACACAGAGGGAGAAGATGGCCATCTACAAGCCAAGGAGAAACCAGCCCTGCTGCCACCTTCATCTTGGACTTCCAGCCTCCAGACTATGAGAAAATAAATTTCTGTTGTTTAAGCCACCTTCCGTATGGCAATTTGTTATGGCAACCCTCAAACAACTACGATCATCTTCCATCCTATGACTTTCTTTAAAAAAAAAAAGTGAACACTCTAAACATAAATCTGATTTTTAAAAATAAAGTCATTTTCCTGAATCTACTCATTCTTGCTCTAAACCCAAATGAGTAACAAAAACTATTGCCTAAGGAAGAGAAGATCTTAGTTGTATTTCCTTGCTCTGTCACCTAGGCTGGGAGTGCAGTGGCATGATCATGGTTCATGGCAGCCTTGACCTCTTGGGCTCAAGTGATCCTCCTGCCTCAGCCTTCTGAGGAATTGGGACTACAGGGATGTGCCAACATGTCTGACTAAATACTTTTTGTGGAGACAGGGATCACTCTGTCACCCAGGCTAGAGTGCAGTGGCACAATCACAATCATGCTTCACTGAAGCCTCAACCTCCTGGGTTCAAGTGATCCTCCCGCCTCAGCCTCCCGAGCAGCTAGGACTACAGACATGTGCCACCATGTCTGACTAAGTATTTTTTATAGAGACAGGGTCTTGCTATGCTGCCCAGGCTCAACTCCTGGCCTCAAGTAATTCTCCCATCTGAGCTTCTCAAAGGACTGGAATTACAGGCATGAGTCACCATACCTGACCTGTTTCTTCATCTTAAGGCAGTCAATTAGTAAATTATAAAGTATGCTCAAAGTGTTGGGAGAATGTTACCAAAGAATGTTTCTAAAAGATCAAGTTTCACTTTGGGAGGCTGAGGCGGGCAGATTGCCTGAGGTCAGTAGTTTGAGACCCGCCTGACCAACATGGTGAAACACCGTCTCTACTAAAAATACAAAAATTAGCCGGGCATGGTGGCACGTGCCTATAATCCCAACTACTCCGGAGGCTGAGGGAAGGAGAATCGCTTGAAACTGGGAGGCAGAGGTTGCAGTGAGCTGAGATCACACCACTGCACTGCATTCCAGCCTGGGCAACAGAGCAAGACTCCGTATCAACAACAACAAAAAAAGACCAAGTTTAACTAGCAATTTAATTCAATCATATTATTCACACATTCATTCACTGGGAATGAAAGCCCTCTGTCCAGAGAACAAGTAATCTGAGTTTCATTCATTAGTCAAGAATGTACTTATAGGTAAACACAGGGCACTGCTGTGAGTCCCAATTTTAAGGCCAAGCTACTGGTGACTTACTATTAAATTTTAGTGTAGTCTACTAAGTTCAAACAAAGACACCATAGGCCTTGGATTATCTGTACAGAAAGCCAATTATAACCACTGCTACATTACTTACTACCTCACAAGGAATGGCTGGTTTGACACCATCTGGAAATCTACAGAGAAGTTCACAAGTACTAAGAGAAGCCAATAAATCATATCCTCAGACCTTTTTGACATTAATTATTCAACAGAGAATGGATATTGGGGTGAGGGAGAACTACCTGCTAACTTAACATTATAAACCCAGATTGAGAGCTAAAGCTGTTCCTTACCCTTTAAGAAATAAATTTGATAATGCAAGCTTTTATTTTGTTTTCTTGTTAGAACAATTCATATTTTACATTGGTAAAACCAAACAAATAACAAGCCCTAGAAAACACAGGGGTTTTAAAGCCTGAAACCTGTCAATATTTAGGGTTGCTTCTCCACTACTTGGTAGGATCTTAACAGTTCAGTTCCAGCAGACCAGATCATCTTTTATTTTCCCCCAATAAACACTGCTCTTTTTCTTCTTCTTCTTCTTCTTCTTTTTTTTTTTCTTTTTTGATACGTAGTCTCGCTCTGTCGCCCAGGCTGGAGTGCACTGGTGCAATCTCGGCTCACTGCACGCTCCGCCTCCCAGGTTCATGCCACTCTCCTGCCTCAGCCTCCCAAGTAGCTGGGACTACAGGCGCCCACCACCATGTCCGGCTCAGTTTTTGTATTTTTAGTAGAGACGGGGTTTCACTGTGTTAGCCAGGATGGTCTCGATCTCCTGACCTCGTGATCTGCCCGCCTCGGCCTCCCAAAGTGCTGGGATTACAGGCGTGAGCCACTGCGCCCAGCCTAAACACTGCTCTTTAGATGTCCATTTATTTGGACTTAAAATATATAGTGCAGGACAACATCAGAGATATTTTCCAGAAAGCAAGTCCCAAAACTCATTCAAATCAGTCATTCTTTCCACACTTATTTACTATGCAACTACTATGTGTGAACAACTGTGTCAGGCATAGAATATGGACCAAAATCTCACTCCTAACCATATGCCAATGATAATATTGAGAATCCCTTATTTGAAATGCTTGGGACCAGAACTGTTTCATATTTCTGAGTTTTTTGGACTTTGGAATATTTGCATTATACTTACAGGTGGAGCATCCCAAATCTGAGAATTCAAAATCTGAAAGGTGACAATGAGCACTTACTTTGAGTGTCATGCTGACATTCCAAAGTTTCAGATTTTGAAGCATGCTGGATTTCGAGTTTGTGGATTAGGGACGCTCAACGTGTATTACCACTGAACTCCTCTGAAAAAGTGTTTTGGTGAGAAATGTCCAAACTAGGGAAGAGCTTAAGAATGACATAAAAGAAGCACATACATAAAGTATATCAAGGTGGAAGTGTGACACCACTCTGCCCTGTAGTCAGAATGGCATCTTGGTTCTGAATGAGAAGTAAAGTTTGCCAAGCATCAATGTAAAGAAGTGGAATTAGACATACCAAGGAGAAAAAAGTTCCAGTTCAAGCCCAAACTAAGCTTCAATGCCCAAGTAATAAAAACCCTGGCAAATTATTTACAGCTCTTTAACACATTCAGTCACTGCTTACTGGATACCACCACCTTGTGACCCCAGGAGAGATGGAAGCCTCGCTGCATCTTCCTTCCTTCCTCAGAGAAGGTACTAAGAGATGCCACACACTACCCTGGCTTTCATCTCCACATCTCTCTGGTGGGCTCTTTTCATCTACATTCAACATGAGAGCTCCTCAGAACACAGCCTCATGCCCTCTAGATTTCATTTGTTTTCTCCTTTAGCCAGTGCTTTTCCAACTCTGGACACCTAATCATTTAGGGATCTTGCTAAAATGTAGATTGTGGTTTGTTAGGTCTAGGGGGGACTCAGATTTCTGCATTTCCAAAAAGCTCCCAGGTGACTCCCATGCTGCTGTCCCCAGACCACAGTTTGAGGTGCAAGTTTTCATTCCAAATCTTGAACCAGAAAAATCAATAAAGTCTATGAGTTTTGTTTGTTTGTTTTTAAGACAGGGTTTTGCCATGTTGTCCAGGCTGGAGGACAGTAGCTATTCACGAGTACCATCATGTCATACTACAGTCTCTAATTCCTGGGCTCAAGTGATCCTCCCACCTCAACCTCCCAAGTAGCTGAGATTACAGGCATACTACTGCACCCAATTTATGACTCATGTTTTAAAAAGCAAATCATGACCATTTTAAAAGTAAATTCCTATGTAAAAGATGGCTGTGAGCCCACAATTGAGTTAATACAAATCAATCAATCAGGAAACACAATGGTACAGATTGGGAAAGACTGAGTCTGAGGGTGTGAGAAAACAAAGTTTTCTTAATGTGAGAAGCTACCAGATCACAAAGATAAAGAGAAGCTCTGCTGAAGAATAAGGCACATTTTACAATTTAATCAGTGCTGTCAATGATGTTTTTCACAAGTCCACATGTGGCTCCCAACAGAATGTACTTGTGGGTAGAGCCAAGGCATAAAACTCACATAGACCAAATACACCCTGGAAAGTAGAAACCAATAATTATCAAGAAGACAACGAGGTGAGATGCCTAAGCGAGTTTTTGGGATTCTGTATGAAAGAGTCAAACAATAGGACTTCATCATGTGGGGTTTTCCTGAAACTCTGACCAGGACTGGTCCTTAAAAAAAAAGACAAAATATGTGGGCAATGAACACCGCTAACTACATACTCAATACCTATCTCCCTTTGTCCCCACCAAAAGAACCCTGACTTTGTCCTGAGCAGCAACAAACCCAGCTAAAAGTTCTCACTTTTCCACACTACTTTGCAGTTAAGGAAAACTATTAAATATATAAAAAGTTCTTTTGAAAGAAATTAACTAAAGATTTCCTGGGAAAACATTTTGCTTTCCTGATATTGCCATTGCCCATTTCTCTGGAATTCCTCCTCCCTCATCCAGCCTGGAATATAGACGTAATACCACGAAGTAAAGCAGTTCACTTTGGGACTATGAAGAAGATAGTTACTAGAAGTCTGAAACTTTTTGGTCTCAGGACCCCTTTATCCTGTAAAAAATGATTAAGGGCCAAGCGTGGTGACTCACACCTGTAATCCCAGCACTTGGGAGGCCGAGGTGGGAGGATCACCTGAGGTCAGGAGTTCGAGACCAGCCTGGCCAACATGGTGAAACCCCATCTCTACTAGAAATACAAAAATTAGCTGGGCGTGGTGGCACATGCCTGTAATGCCAGCTACTTGGGAGGCTGAGGCAGGAGAACTGCTTGAACCTGAAAGGCAGAGGTTGCAGTGAGCCGAGATCGCGCGACTGAACTCCAGCCTGGGCAACAAAAGCAAAACTCCATCTCAAAAAAAAAAAAAGAAAAGAAAAAGATTAAGGACTCCCAAAACCTTTGGATTATGTAGGGTTTTATCTATGGGTATTTGCAATATTAGACATTAAAACTGACAGCGTAAAAACTATATCTCTTAATTCATTTAGCATTAGTAATAAACCCAGTTAACATAAATAACATTTCAATGAAGTTTAACTATTTTCTCAAAAAAAAAAAAATTAGTGAGCAGAGTGGCACTCCTGTACATTTTTATAAATCTCATTGTTTAATAGAAGACAGCTAGATTCCTGCATCTGTTTATGTATTAAATCTCTTCTGATCTGATGCTTTTGTGAGGACCCATTCAAAACTCAGAGTTGACATAATCATGATTTTAAGCTGAAGACATCTGATATTCAATGAATGCAGGAAGAAGCCCTCTCCATACTTCCCTTATATGATTAAAAGCAGAAACTGTGACAAATGAGGCTGCCATAAATTCCCTCTTCAACGGTTTACTCCCAGGAAGGAGATCAAGAGTAAACGTACCATAATTCCCCTGTCTAGGAGGAGTTTTATGGCCATGAAGAAGAGGAAAAGACACTCCCATCTACACAAACATTATCACAAGCTTTCTTATCTCTTAATTTGTTAGGAGGGGAGGGGAGGGGAGGGGAGGGGATGCTAGGGGAGGGGAGGGAGACAGGCAGGAAGGTGGGGAGGGGAGAAAGGAAAGGAAGAAAAGAGAAAAGAGAAAAAAGAAAAGAGAAGAAGAGAAGAGAGAAAAGAAAAGAAAAGAAAGGAGAAAGGAAAAGAAAAACTAAAAGCAGCAGGAAATAAATGACTCATCATATTCTCCATGGTACATGGGAACCACAAAAAGATTAACAGCTGACTTATCCTCAGAAACCAGGGAGGCCAGAGACAGTGGAAGGACATAAAGAACTCAAAGAAAAAAAATGTGAACCAAGATAATTATATTCAGCAAAACTATCTTCAAAAATGAAGATGAAAAATACATTCATAGATAAACAGAAACTCAGAGAATTCATTGCAAGTGGATGCACCTGAAAAGAAATACTAAAGGAAGTTCTTTGAGTTGAAAGCATGTACTGCCAAACAGTAGTCAAAAGTAACTGTGTAACTATAAGACAATATAAATGCATATATATTTTGCATATATATTTTCCTTTCTTAAATAATTTAAAAAGGAATTATATAAAAACTATGTTTATAATTGTATTGTTAAACCTATAACATAAAGAAATGTAATGTATTTAATAGTAATACAAGATAAGTGGGTACAAAGTTGTCATCATTATACTAATATCAGACGAAACAGAATTCAGAAAATTTTACCAGAGATAAAGAGGGACTTCTACTATGAAAGGTTGGCATAAGGAAATGATATCACATGGAAACTCTACACTGAAACAAATGAAGATAATAAGGAGTGCTAACTTTAAA
Organism: Homo sapiens; assembly: GCF_000001405.40. Lineage (NCBI taxonomy): Eukaryota > Metazoa > Chordata > Mammalia > Primates > Hominidae > Homo > Homo sapiens. The sequence continues at coordinate 45,496,555 of NC_000010.11, forward strand.
ATAACAAACTGTATAAACATATAATGCTCTCCTTTCCTTTATGTCTTTAAAAGACAGTTAAATAAACTAATAACTGCTACAATGTATTGTTGGGTTTGTAACATAAATAGATATGTATAAACAATAATTAGTAAAGAAATAGAGGTACATAGGAGGAATCATTCTATGTCTTACAGGAATTAAATCAATATGAATCTGAAGAAGATTCTGTTAGAAAAATATATATATATATAGTAAACCCTCAACCATTAAGAAAATAATTTTTTAAATAGCATTAGAAATCTTTTTTAAAAATCATTTAAGGAATTAAAATATTACAATACAAAATAATGCAAAAGAAAGCAATAAAGGAAGAACACAGGAACAAAAATGGCAAGACACATAGAAAACAAAAAGTAAAATGGCAAACAAGCAAACCATATCATTAATAGCATGAACTGCAAATGGATTAACAAATCAACAGGAAGGGTTGTCAGGATGTACAATAACACAAAATCCAGTTGTATTCTAAGTTCAGGAGATACAATTAGACTCAAAATTATAAACAGGATTACAGTAAAAGAAGCAAAAAGATACATAGCACAAAAACAACCACCATAAAAAGGGGTAGTCATTATATTAATATCAGATAAAAAAGACTTAGGAAAATTTTACTAGAGCTAAAGAGGGACTTTTACTATGATAAGGTCAACCATCATGAAGGTATAATAATTATAAATATATAAGCACCTAATATGAAAACCACAAAATACATAAAGCAAGAACTGACAGAGCTGACTGAAAAACAGATAATACTTGCAGACTTCAAAATCCTGCTTTCAACAATGAACAGCCGAGCTATGTAAAAGACTTGAACAGCACTAAACCAACTTGACCTAACAGACATCCACAGAATACAAAACCCAACAACAACAACAGAATATACATTCTTCTCAAGTGCACAACAACAGACTATAGAGTAGTCCACAAAACAAACATCAGTAAATGTAAAAGGACTCAAATCATATACAGTATGATTCTGGCTACAACAGAGTTAAACTTTAGAGTTAAATGTTATTGTTTATCAACAGCAGAGAGAAACTACCAAATTCACAAATGCGGAAATTAAACAACAAAATCTGAAATAACCAGTAAATCAAAAAAGAACTCACCAAAAAAAAACTAGAAAATTTATTTGAGATTCATAAAAATGAAGTCACAAAATACCACACTTACACAATGCAACTAAAATAGTGCTTAGGGGGATATTTATAGCTGTAAATGACAAGATTAAAGAAAGGTACAGAGAAAACGCAGTCATATGTAAGTCAGAAAGAAAGGCCTACCAGAAACCAAATTTTCTGGCAACGTGATTTTGGACTTCTTGTCTCCAAAAATGTGAGAAATTAAATTTCTGTTACTTAAGCCACCCAGTCTGTGGTATTTTGTTATGGCAGCCTGAACAGACTAATACAAACATCTACTAAAAAACTACAGGTAACATTATACTTAATGGTGAAAGATTGAATGCTTACTCCCTAAATTTTAACAGCAATTCTATCTGCTTTCACCATTTCTTTTTAACATTTTAATTGTGGCAAAATACACACAATGTAAACACACCATCATATAAAGTATGCATAATATAAAATTCACCATCTTAACCATTTTAAGTGTACAGTTCAGTATTAAGTATATTCACATTGTTGCACAATCTACAGAACTTTTTCATCTTGCAAAAACTGAAACTCTATACTCATTAAACAATTCCCTATATCTTCCTACCCCCGAAATATTTTTAAAAATTTTTACTTTCTGTTTCTATGATTCTGACTACTCTAGATACTTTATACAAGTGGAATCATAACAGTATTTTTCTTTTTGCGATTAGCTCACTTCACTTGGCATAATGTCCTCAAGATTCCTCCGTGTTGTAGCATGTGTCAGAAGCCTTTTTTTTTTTGAGAAGTCTCGCTCTGTCACCCAGGCTGGAGTGCAGTGGCATGATCTCGGCTCACTGCAACCTCTACCTCCTGGGTTCAAGCAATTCTCCTGACTCAGCCTCCCAAGTAGCTGGGATTACAGGTATACACCACTACATCCAGCTAATTTTTGTATTTTTAGTAGAGATGGCATTTCACCATGTTGGCCAGGCTGGTCTCAAACTCCTGACCTCAGGTGATCCTCCCTCCTCGGCCTCCCAAAGTGCTAGAATAACAGGCGTGAGCCGCTGTGCCCAGCCAGAATCCTTTTCTTTTTAAAACAAATGTGAAACTATATGCAATAAATGTACCATATTTTATTTATTCATTCACCCTTTGATGGACACTTGTATTGCTTCCACCCTTTGGCACTGTAAATAATGTTGCTATGAACACAGGTATACAAATATCTCTTTGAGACCTGGCTTTTAATTCTTTGGGGTATATACCCAGAAGTGGATTTCCTGGGTCATACAGTAATAATTATCTTTTACTTTTTAAGGAACTCCTATACTGTTTTCCATTGTGGTTGCACTATTTTACATTCCTATTAGCAGTGCACAATCAGCGTTCCACTTTGTTCGGATCCTCATCAACACATTTTTAAAATATATATAACAGCCATCCTTGATGGTTGTAAAGTGGTATCTCACTGTGGTTTTGATTTGCGTTTCCCTAATTATCAATGATGTTGACCATCTTTTCATATGCCTACTAGCCATTTGTATATCCTCTTTGGAAAAGTGTCTATTCAAGCATTTTAGAATCAGATTATTTGTTGCTGTTGAGATGTAGGAGTTCTTTATATATTCTAGATATTATCCCTTTATCAGATATATGATTTGTAAATATCTCCCATTCCCTAAGTGGCCTTTCCACCCTGTCCACTGTTTCCTTTGATGCCCAGAAGTTTTAAATTTTGATGTAATCTAATTTCTGTATTTTTACTTCTGTTGCCTTTGCTTTTGGTGTCATATCCAAAAAATTTTTGCCAAATCCAAAGTCAAGAAGCTTCTTTCCCTAGGTTTTCTTTTAAGAATTTTATAGTTTTAAGTCTTAGATCCATTTTGAGCTAATCTTTCTACATGGTGTAAAGTAAGGGTCCAATTGTATTCTTTTGCCTCTTAATATCCAGACCCCTGCCACCCCCACCAATATCATTTGTTGAAAAGACTGTCCTTTCCTCACTGACTAGTCTCGGCGCCATTGTGGGAAATCATTTGGCCAAATATGTGAGGCTTTATTTCTGGGACTCTCTATTCTATTCCATTGGTTTCTATGTCTATCTTATGCCAGTACCACACTAACTTGTTTACTGTAGCTTTGTAATAAGTTTTGAAGTCAGGGAGCATCACACCATCACTTTGTTCTTTTTGTTCAAATTGTTCTGGCTATTCAGGATCCCTTGTGATTCCATATAAATTACAGGACAGATTTATCTATTTCTGTAAAACAAAAGTCACTGAGATTTTGAGAAGGATTATACCGAATATACAGATTGATTTGGGCAGTACTGTCATCTTAACAATATTAAGTTTTCCAATAAACACAGGATGTCTTCCCATTTATTTTATGTCTTCTTTAATTTCTTTCATCAATATATAGTAGTTTTCTGTGTATAAGTCTTTACCACTTTGGTTAAGTTTATTCCTATTTTATGCATTTTTGATGCCATTGTAAATAGGACTGTTTTCTCAATATCCTTTTTAGATTGTTCATTATTAGTATATAGAAACACAGCTGATTTGTGTGTGTGTGTTGATTTTATAACTTGAAACTTTGCTGAATTCATTTAGTCTGATTTTTTGTTTGTTTTGCATGGAAACTTTAGGGTTTTCTATATAAAAAATTTTGTCATATGTAAAGAGATAATTTTACTCCTTTCCAATTTTGATGCTTTTTACCTCTTTTTCTTGCCTAATTGCTCAGCTAGGATTTCCAGTAATGTGTTGTACAGCAGTGGCAAAACCAGGCAACCTTATCTTGCTCCTGATCTTAGAGGAAAAATTTTCAGACTTTCGCCAATGACTATAATGTCAGCTGCAGACTTTTCATATATGGCCTTTATTATGTTGAGGTAGTTTCCCTCTATTCCCAGTTTCTTGAATGTTTTCTACTATTCTGATGCATCATAGTGCCAAAAGTTCTAGCCACCACAATTAGGAAAATAAACAAAATAAAAGGCATATATATCAGAATGAAAGACATAAAAATCTCTATCTGCACATGACATGAATGCTTATGTAGAAAATCCTAAGGTATTAACAATAGCAACAACAAAGTCCTCGAAGGAGTCCAGCAAAGTCAGAGGATACAAAATAGACATACAAAAATTAACTGCATTGCTATATATATATATACATATATATAACACACATATAGCAATGAACAAAAGAACTCACAATTACTATTATAGAGCCACTCTAAAAAAACTGAAGTATTTAGGTGCACATCAAGTAAAACATGAATCTGATTGCTGATGCTGCAAAAAAAATTGATCAAAAATGATCTCAACATATAAAAATACATACTGTTCCTGGAATGAAAAATTCAATATAATGTAAGCTGACAACTCTTCCCCAAATTGATAAACAGCTTAAACATAATTCCTATCAAAATTCTAGCAAGTTTTTTTTTTAGATATAGACAGGTTATTCTAAGATTTATATGGATAGGCAAAGGAACTAGAATACTTAAAACAATCCTAAAGAATCCTAAAAGAATAAAAAAACTGGGAGAAATCCATCCATCCAATTTCAAGAACTAATATACAGCCAGAGTAATCACTACTGTGTGGTACTAGTGAAGAACCAGACATAACCATCAATGGAACAAGACAGAGAATCCAGAAATCAACCCATACAATATGCCCAACTGATTTTTAAGAAAGCAATTCAATAGAGGAAAGAGAATTTTCAACAAATGATGCTGGAACAAAGCAATGAACTTTGACTTGAGTCTCAAACTTATACAAAAATTAACTCAAAATAGTTCATGGACTTCATGTATAATCTAAAACCATAAAACATTTTAAAAAATAGGAGAAAATCTTCAGGATTTAAGGTTGGGCAAAGAGTTCCTATACTACACACCCAAAGCAGGATCCATTTAAGAAACTGATCAATTAAACTTCATCAAAATCAGAAACGTTTGCTCCATGAAAGACCCCGCTAAAAGGCTGAAGATAAAAGCTATAGCCTGGGGGAAAATATTTGCAAATGAATATCCAATTAAGGACTAGTATTTAGAATACAGAAAGAATTCTTAGACCTGAACATTTTTAAAAATCCAATTAGAAAATAGGCAAAACATGTGAAGGGACATCTTAATGAATAGGATACTCAGATGGCAAATAAGCACATGAGAAGATGTTCAACATCACTGGCCATTAGATAAATGAAAGTAAAATCACAATGAGATATTACTACACACCTATCAGAATGGCTAAAAATTTTTTTTTAAATAATGACATCACCAAATGTTGAGGATATAAAGAAACTAGATCACTTATATATTGCTTGCAGGAAAATAAAATGACAGTTATCCTGGAAAAAACTTTGGAAGTTTCTTTAAAAATTAAACATGAAATAGCTATTGCTCTCCTGAAGATTTACCTTGGAGAAATGAAAACACATGTTCACATAAAAACCTATAGGTGTCTATAGCAGCTTTGTTCAAACAAATGTCCTTCAACAGGTAAACGGTTAGAAAACTGTGGTCCGTGCATAACATGGAAAACTACTCCACTAGTAAAAAGGAACAAACTATTGATAAACACAAACCTGGAAGAAATCTCCAGAGAATTACACTTAATTTAAAAAGCCAATCCCAAATGGCTACAAATTATTCCAAACAGTAAACGAGAAAGTACGGTGCTGGCAAATATTTGAAGAAATTTGTTAAAATTTTCCCAAGTTTGGAGAAGGACATAAACCTATGCATTCAAAAAACTGAATGAACTACAAGAAACCTATGCCCAGGCATACCATAGTCAAATTAATGAAGACAAGAAGAAATCTGGAAAGCAGAGAGAAAAAAAGGATGCATTACTTATAGAGGAACAATGATTCAAATGACTGTGTCTTGCTCATCAGGAAACCCTCAAGGCCAGTAGTCAGAAGTAACATCATTTTTCAAATATTGACAAAAGAGACCTGTTTACCTAAAACTAAGTATGTGGTGAAAATATATTTCAGGAATGAAGGGAAATAAAAACAGTCACAGACAAAGAGTAACAACAAGATTAGCAACCAACAGAACTGCTTAAAAGAAATTCATCACATGGAAGGAAAATGATACCAGAAAACAATGTGTATATCAGCAATAAAGAAAGAGCAACAGAAAGGCTAAGCATTCAGACAAAAACAATTGACTATTCTTTTTCTCTTGATTCTTTACATTTGACGGCTGAAAGCAAATAATAATAATAATAATACATTCTATGAGGGGCTCTGAAGGTATGCAATGTAGAATGTAAGATAACTGTAACAGAAAGGGGGAAAGTGAAAGTTGTGATATATTTTCTATATTTTAGCGAAGTTTCTACACTACAATTGAAGTAGCAAAATACTGATTCTAAATAGACTCTGAGAAGTATGTATTTTGTAACTCATTTTTTAAAAAGCAAAGAGATAGTCAAACTCCAAATAGATAAATATAGCAACAATTAAGTGTACATAAACACTGCAATTACAGGACACAAATGTGGAGAACTGACTTTTTAAAAAAACAACCAATTATGGCCGGGCACGGTGGCTCACACCTGTAATCCCAGCACTTCAGGAGGCTGAGGCGGGCAGATCACGAGGTCAAGGGATCAAGACCATCCTGGCCAACACGGTAAAACCCCGTCTCTACTAAAAATACAAAAATTAGCTAGGCATGGTGACGTATGCCTGTAATCCCAGCTACTCAGGATGCTGAGGCAGGAGAATTGCTTGAGCCCGGGAGGCAGAGGTTGCAGTGAGCCGAGATATCGTGCCACTGCATTCCAGCCTGGCGACAGAACGAGACTCCGTCTCAAATAAATAAATAAATAAATAAATAAATAAATAAAATAAAAACTAAAAATAAATAAAAAACAACCAATTATATGCTATCTATAGGAAACTCGTTTCATTGATACAGGTAGTGTAAAATAAAGGAATGGGAAAATATATACCAAGCAAACACAAATAAAAATTTCCAAAAGGTAGAAACAACTCAAATGTCCATCAACACATAAATGGAGAGACAAAATGTGGTATTATCCATACAATGGAATATTATTCAGTCATTAAAAGGATATAAATACTGACACATACTACAATATGAACCCTGAAAACATTATGCTATGTATGTAAAAGAAGCCAGTAGCAAAAGATCATATATTATATGATTCCATCTATATAAAATGTCAAAAATAGGCAAATCCACAAAGACAAAAAGTAAATTCGCAGTTACCAAGGATTGTGGGGATGGGAGAATGGGGAGTGACTGCTAATGGGTAGAGGGTTTCATTTTCGGGTGATGAAAATGTTCTGGACTGGCACAGTGGTGGCAGCTGTACAACCTTATGAATACACTAAAAATCTACTAATTGGGCACTTTAAAAGGGTGATTTAATGGTATGAAAGCTGTATCTCAACTTTTAAAATATACTAAGGTCTGGCCTGGCACAGTGGCTCACGCCTATAATGCCAGCACTTTGGGAGGCCGAGACGGGCAGATCACCTGAGGCTGGGAGTTCAAGACCAGCCTGACCAACATGTAGAAACCCCGTCTCTACTAAAAATACAAAATTAGTGGGCAAGGTGGCACATGCCTGTAATCCAAGCTACTTGGGAGGCTGAGACAGGAGAATCGCTTGAACCTGGGAGGCGGAGGTTGCGGTGAGCCGAGATCGCGCCATTGCACTCCAGCGTGGGAAACAAGAGCGAAACTCCGTCTCGAAAAAAACTAAGATCCAAAAAATAACCTATGATGTATAAAACACTGTGCTATACACCTTGTTTTTTCTCCAGTGTTTTTTCTGTATAAGCTAATCAATACAGGACACCAGCTATCTAATTACAAGCCATTAGCACAAAGCTAGCACTGGATATTGGAAATTTAAGTGAATGGACACTCACTCAGAATCTAACAACAAAACACCATACAGTATGAATTTCATTCTTATACTGTAAACATGGTGAATAAATATAGCCAATTTTCTTTCTAGATGGTGTTTCCTAAATTTAAAGAGGATACTAATGACTATAATCAGAGCTAAGGATGTCAAGATTCATGTTCGCGTATCTGGCATGTTTAAAAGAAAAATATGCCAATTTGCTGAAAATACTGTCACTTTTAGCACTAGTATTTCCCTTACTGCGTCCCTCTTCCTCCTGAGTAGGGGCTTATACTGAGTGGCCAGAGATCATTAACAATTCCGACATTCTACAAAGGTGGCCCTACATTCTGCATTTCTACTTTTATAAGAGACATAAATTTCATTTTATTGCTCATTTCGAGCTGTTAATTATATATACAATTAAGCACTTATGCCTTCTTGCCTTTAATCAAGATCTCACTGTTCAAAAAACAAGACATATTATTAATCCAGCTACTCCTGAATAAGAAAGAAGGATTGCCTACTTCACAGCACAGGATCAAGACCCGCCTTGATGGCTCCCTCCATGGCTCAGTTTGTCCCTATCACAAATCAGAGTTTCCAACACTATTCTCTCCTTTACCTTCCCCTGAAGAGCCCTAAACTTCTCAGCATTGACTTTCAGTAGGATTGGGTCCCCACTCCCAGTCCTAGGGGTAGACACTATCCTAAAACAATCCCTGTGGCAAGAGACTGCCTGACTTCACTTGTATCTATTAAGCCAATTTCACATATTAGGGTCTGTTACTTGCAACTACCCAGTTGCTATCGCCAAATTCTGTTACAGTTAAGTTGCTATCCATTTATTTGTTTTTAATCAATACCACAGGCTTGTAATTAATGCCAGATGTGATCTAGTTACTGTTTAAGCCAGAAAACTTCTGTTTCCCAGCAACATTCTACCCCTACTTTTTCCCACAGTGACTGGTTGAAGAACAAGATAACATTAATTGCTTTAGGCCAATTAGAGCCATCTGGAGCTACAGGTGATTCTATCCTATTCAAACCACATGGCTGTGAAATTTGGGACCTCCAACAAATTATTTCCCAATGGGGATTCGGTTTTATGGTCTGGCCATTTTATAAAAATCTCTAATCTTTGTGAATGGTTTAATGGGTGAGCAACTATAAATAGTCTGGTTTGTTAGTTTTTTTCTGTTTGTCTATTTGTCTGTTCTCACCACGAATCAATTAAGAATTCATGCTCACTGGGAAGAGAGCAACTCTTTGACACGGACTGATGAGTTTTATAATTCTGTATTTGCCATGGCCCCATAGTTGAAATTTCAGAATTGAAGTCATAAACTCTTTCCGCATCTGCGTGTCTATGTGTAATTCAGAAAGGCTGTTGTCTTTCAATGTGTGAAGGTGCAATAATTTTCTACCTCAGAATGGGATTAACAAATTAGATTATAAAATCTACTACATTATGAAATCTCTTAAAGTAATATATTCTGATTTACTCATAGAGGTAAATAAGTACATATATAAACAGAATATTCCTAAATTTCCCAGAAAATAAGGAGGTTGAAGATCTAACACTTTCAAGAAACCAATTATTGAGCTGTATTAAGAAATCAAGTTCACATAAAAAAAGCAAATCTTTGGAAATGGGACCAGTTTAATATTTATGGTTTAAAAGAAACAGTTGTATCTTTACTGATTTATCAATATTAAGTATAAGCATAGACTTTTATTCTATTTGGGTACGTCATTCATAAACCTATACAGGTTTACTGATTGAATAAACTAGCGTTACTTCTACTTAATGTCTAAGATTATGGAAAAGGTAAATTTGTGTTCAACCAAACAAAATCATTATTCTGATGACCTTGTATTTCAACAGTAATTATGTCTTGCAATATATCAGCTTGAAGACAAATTTCCAAGATCTTTAGGAAACTTAAAAACTCGAACTGGTATCAATTTGAATTAACTAATGAATATGCACTCAATACTGATCTCATTTCTAAGTAAGACTGAATATTGAGACATTTATAACTAAGCATAAATTTAATATTGTCACGCACGTCCATGTGAAGAGACCACCAAACAGGCTTTGTGTGAGCAAGAAAGCTTTTTAATCACCTGGGTGCAGATGGGCTGAGTCTGAAAATAGAGTCAGCAAGGGGAGTTGGGGTGGGGCAGTTTTATAGGATTTGGGTAGGTAGTGGAAAATTTTCACTTCTTTTGTGATTCTTCAGTTGCTTCAGGCGATCTGGATGTATACATGCAGGCTTGGGCTCAGAGGCCTGACAAATATACTTGTTTCTTATTTTTATATGCTACAAAGAGGCTATGTCTTTGGCTCTTTTAATCAGTTAAATGTGTTCATTTTTGCCACTCTTGAGACTTGTACACAATGAAAGTGTACACACAGTTAAAGTTGTGTTAGCTCTGGATGTTAGCTCTGCTAGTTTGCTAAAACAGTGGCATGCAACAGCTCACAATTATCCACTCCCTAGTTTTCTCTGTGTAATAAAAGTTACTTTGGCTAAAAGTTATCAATAACATGTGAATGAGACTACTAGAACAATGGTGGCAGGCAGGTACAACACTACGTGTGAGGTAGTAGGATGGGTTTTGTTTATTAAGGAAAAAAAAATAGTTTTGTCCTAAAATAAAAGGGCTGGTTGTTCCAGAACGAGAAAGAGGGTTGTCTCAGTCTGTTCGCATTACTATAAAGGAATACCTGAGGCTGGGTAATTTATAAAGAAAAGAGGATTATTTGGCTCATGGTTCTGCAGACTATACAAGAAGCATGGTGCCAGGATCTGCTTCCAGAGAGACACTCAAGAAGCTTCCCATTCATGATACAGGGAGAAGGAGAACAGAGATTACAAGGTGAGAGGAAGGACGACAGGTCAAGAGAGCAAGGAGGGAGGTGTCAGGCTCTTCTTAATATGATCTCAGAGGAACTAAGTGAGAATTTATGCATTACCCAGAGGAGGGCATTAAGCCATTCATGAGGGATCCGCCTCTATGACCCAAACCCCTCTCAGAAGACCCTACATCCAACATTGGGGATAACATTTCAATATGAAATTTGGAGGGGACAAATATCCAAACTACATCAGCTGTAAAGGACAAAAATTGATATAGAAAGTTGTAGAAGATTTGAGAAAAGATAATTTTACTTGCCTTGGCCAAAGTTAGCTCAGTTTTGAAAAAAAAAAAAAAAGATTTTATAAAAGTGCTTGTAGTTCCTGTAGTATCAAATATTACACTGATACAATACTGGAGTTTGGTTTTCTCTGTTGAAATTAGAAAATTTTCTTGGATTATTGATCTGCCCTTAGTAAGAGATTGTAAGATATCTGCTGTATAAATAACAAAGATTCTGTTTTACCAAAATAGTTTTCTGTGCTTTTCATGTTGATTGTACAATGTCCTTGATTAAATATTTCTCACTTATGAAAGAGCCAAATGCTTTACAATCATGTAACCTTCACTTTATTTTCAAATGTTTGGATGTCACTTTGAAATGAGTAGGAAAGTATTTCTCAGGCACCTATGATCTGATTCCTAAGTGTTGAAATCTCCTGGTAACTTTTCATTTATGTCTTTACAAATTCAAATCCTAAATGTAAAATAAAATAAAAAATTTGAGATACTTTTGGGACTAAAACTGTCTCTGAGATTTATAAGAGGGCCCATGAAAGAGGACAAAAATTTATTCTTTCACAGTAAAAAAAAAAAAAAAAAAAAGTACTGGAAACAATTGTGTTTGTTACTATTGATGAAACTGCATGGGAGGAATTAGCAAATCAGAAGAGATTTGTCAATGCTCTCACTGTCATGATTAGTTTCTATTTATCAAAGTCCTGATACTCTGCACTGTATAGCTGTTATCACTCTTATGTTTTAAAATGTTAACTTGGTTACAACTTCACTTTTCAAATGTGAATGCAGCATCTTCTGGGCCAGTGGTTTTCAATTAAGGATTCACATAATTTACTATGGAGATGGAGTTTCATTAATATACAGAAGCTTAGGACCCACTCCAGACTTACTAGATCTTTTCACTTGATATTCTGGATACATTATTGGTACATAATATCTAGGATTATTGCTATATTTCAAGATTCATTTCTCTGTAAAGTTTATGCTCATCTGCTTTTATAAATCAGATATAATATTACATCCTTTAACTATAGAGTTCATTATTACATTTTAAATTGTTTAAAATTTTTTTATTGACTTTATTATCTTGTTTTGCATGTCACAGAAACCAGATTTCCTTGTCAGTTATATTTTTCTCAAACTCTCATCAGATCCTTCATTTTTTGAAAATGATCAGTAAAAAATTAACTGCAGCCATTTTAAATGTTTTTATCTGCAGACATCTATTTGTTGCTGTTTTATTCTGATGTTTCCCTCAGAGCCTTTTCAATCAGCTACAGGCCAGAAGGAATCAGAACCCCATGGAAAAGGGCTATGCCAGGTACTTTGGGGCACAGGCTTCTAAATGACATTGCTTAAACAACTTTCAGACCATACCAGTGGCCTAAGTCAGAATTTCCAGGACTCTTATGAGGAAGCCGATGGGTTGATAATACTACTAACCCCACATCCAGTGGAACAAAAATTAACTAGATATGGCTGAATGAGCTAATGAGGGATGACTGTAGTTTTTGTCTGGAATATTGTTGATGCTGTTTGAATGTATTTTCCAGACATATAAGGAAGCCTTTTCTCTTTCTTCTTAAAGCTATCTATAACTCATAACTTAGTAGACTCTGCTTTTGTATACTGAAATGAAACACTTGTAAACATCTTATTCTCCCTGCTTGAGCCCTCCAAAGTTCAGAAACGTAATAAATATTCTATTTTCAGGGCAATAAAGTTATTTGCATAGATTAAATAAGAATCTGTCCTCTTTTTTACTAGGACATAAGTGGAAATATTGGTTTTGCAACTAAACTCACATTTGAAAATGATGCTCATTCAATCAAATATGACTAAACACTTTTAAGTGTTCTGGAACTAAGGAACTAAGACTGCCTTTACAGAGTCATCCTTACAAAGCCTTCTTTGGAAAAACTGGCTTACAGAGTTCCCAGCCTTGCAGGTGAGTAAGAAAAGCCACTTCCTGGGAGGCCCATGAGTCTTAGGATATTTTAGGGACCTCAAGAAATGAGGAATTCTTATAAATAAAACAGGTGAAATCTGATATAGAGTTATTGGCATAGCTTCCTAGCCTTAAGATCACTAGTAACAAGAGGCTTTAAAAAATCCAATCTGAGATTCCTAAAGAAAACGTGCAGCAGAGCAAACTTAAGAACTTTAAGGAACTTTTAACACTCTTGCTGTGCCCAGCTGAACAACGCCTGTAATCTGGGGAAAGAAGACTAAACATCTCATACGTGCCTGACTTGAAGAGTAGCGTAGGGAGAAGACAGAATGGGATAGAGTAGTACAGTCTCTCAAATTTTTAAACAAATTCTAACATCGGGAGGTTGGAAACTAGAATTATTCAGCTTACAGATGCTTTCAGCTTGTGCACAGAGAGAAGGCCATGTCAAGACATGGAGAGAAGGCCAGCAAGAGAGGCCACACCAGAAACTGCACACTGCGAGACCCTGATCTTAAGACTTTCCTACCTCCAGAACTTTGAGAAAATGAATTCTATTATTTAAGCCATGCAGTCTATGGTATTTTCTTATGGCAGCCCAAGCAGACTAATACAGTTAGTAAAATAGATTTGGGAAAATTATGACATAATCTACATCTATCTCAAACATAAAAGGAAAAGCCAAGTCGTCTTAAGGAATAACAAAAATGGCATAAAGTACCATTTTACAAGAAGTTCAATTTTGAAATAAAATTTAGTACATATTTTAGTCACTAAAATTTTAACTCAGGAAAAAAACAATTACATCACAGAAGTCAAGACAGGAAAATTTATTTCTTATAAAACTATATTTCAACAAACTAAGGTAATTTATTTAAAGTAACGTCAAAATGCATCAATATTTGTCTTCAGTATAATAATATAGTCCAAATTTCTAGTAATGTGATTATCTGTTTCCACCACTGCTTTCTTTTTTAAACCTCATTGTGGCAATAATGAAGTTAACAAGCAACTAGAAAATATGAAACAACCAAGCACAAGACCATAACAGCCACACATTTGTTCTAAGCCATTCATCTAGGGTCTCTGGATTTCAGCTTTCTCCTCTATAAAGTGGACTATGTGGAAGTGGAAGGAGGAGGAGAGTAGAGTTAATGAAGATGACCCCTTTGGTTCCTCTGAGAGTCAAATATCTATGGGGAATATGTTGCCCTGCTTAGCGCTGCTCAGCACCACACACTGCAGCTGAAAATTCACCCTTAAAGTTATGAAAAAATGGATTTATAGTTCCCCAAGCCTTTCTAATATAGACTGATAAATTAAATGCTTTTTAAAAGTTACATATAACATATGATTAGAATCATAATATTTTAGTAATGTACTGAAGAATACAATCTTTTCCAAATGCTTTCTCCATTAAGTATTTTTCATTTTCATTTTCTGAATATGAAGTAAGGGTTTGCTAAAAACAAAGGTCTTTGTATTCATTGCTGACTTTTTAAAAATCTTAATTATACATTAGTAAAATGAACAGATAAATTTCTGCCATTTTAAAATAATGTATCCAATAAATACACGAAAACCTTGAAATAATCTATGTCAATATAAGTCAGAATTCATTTGCTGTAAAGGTTGTTATAGAAATTATAACACTGTGCCCTCTCCCTCTCCCTCTCCCTCTCCCCACGGCCCACGGTCTCCCTCTCCCTCTCTTTCCACGGTCTCCCTCTGATGCCGAGCCGAAGCTGGACTGTACTGCTGCCATCTCGGCTCACTGCAACCTCCCTGCCTGATTCTCCTGCCTCAGCCTGCCGAGTGCCTGCGATTACAGGCGCGCGCCGCCACACCTGACTGGTTTTCTTACTTTTTTGGTGGAGACGGGGTTTCGCTGTGTTGGCCGGGCTGGTCTCCAGCTCCTAACCGCGAGTGATCCGCCAGCCTCGGCCTCCCGAGGTGCTGGGATTGCAGACGGAGTCTGGTTCACTCAGTGCTCAATGGTGCCCAGGCTGGAGTGCAGTGGCGTGATCTCGGCTCGCTACAACCTCCACCTCCCAGCCGCCTGCCTTGGC
Organism: Homo sapiens; assembly: GCF_000001405.40. Lineage (NCBI taxonomy): Eukaryota > Metazoa > Chordata > Mammalia > Primates > Hominidae > Homo > Homo sapiens. The sequence continues at coordinate 45,511,789 of NC_000010.11, forward strand.
CTCCCAAAGTGCCGAGATTGCAGCCTCTGCCCGGCCGCCACCCCGTCTGGGAAGTGAGGAGCGTCTCTGCCTGGCCGCCCATCGTCTGGGACGTGAGGAGCCCCTCTGCCTGGCTGCCCAGTCTGGAAAGTGAGGAGCGCCTCTTCCTGGCCGCCATCCCGTCTAGGAAGTGAGGAGCGTCTCTGCCCGGCCGCCATCCCATCTAGGAAGTGAGGAGCGCCTCTTCCCGGCCGTCATCCCATCTAGGAAGTAAGGAGCGTCTCTGCCCGGCCGCCCATCGCCTGAGATGTGGGGAGCGCCTCTGCCCCGCCGCCCCGTCTGGGATGTGAGAGCGCCCAGCCGCGACCCCGTCTGGGAGGTGAGGAGCGTCTCTGCCTGGCCGCCCCATCTGAGAAGTGAGGAGACCCTCCGCCTGGCAACCGCCCCGTCTGAGAAGTGACGAGCCCCTCCGCCCGGCAGCCGCCCCGTCTGAGAAGTGAGGAGCCCCTACGCCCGGCAGCCACCCCGTCTGGGAAGTGAGGAGCGTCTCCGCCCGGCAGCCACCCCGTCCGGGAGGGAGGTGGGGGTCAGCCCCCGCCAGGCCAGCCGCCCCGTCCAGGAGGGAGGTCGGGGGGTCAGCCCCCCGCCCGGCCAGCCACCCCGTCCGGGAGGTGAGGGGCACCTCTGCCCGGCCGCCCCTACTGGGAAGTGAGGAGCCCCTCTGCCCGGCCAGCCGCCCAGTCCGGGAGGTGAGGGGCGCCTCTGCCCGGCCGCTCCTACTGGGAAGTGAGGAGCCCCTCTGCCCGGCCAGCCGCCCAGTCCGGGAGGGAGGTGGGGGGGTCAGCCCCCCGCCCGGCCAGCCGCCCCGTCCGGGAGGTGAGGGGCGCCTCTGCCCGGCCGTCCCTACTGGGATGTGAGGAGCCCCTCTGCCCGGCCACCACCCCGTCTGGGAGGTGTACCCAACAGCTCATTGAGAACGGGCCGGGACGACAATGGCGGTTTTGTGGAATAGAAAGGGGGGAAAGGTGGGGAAAAGATTGGGAAATCGGATGGTTGCCGTGTCTGTGTAGAAAGAAGTAGACATGGGAGACTTTTCATTTTGTTCTGTACCAAGAAAAATTCTTCTGCCTTGGGATCCTGTTGATCGGTGACCTTACCCCCAACCCTGTGCTCTCTGAAACATGTGCTGTGTCCACTCAGGGTTAAATGGATTAAGGGCGGTGCAAGATGTGCTTTGTTAAACAGATGCTTGAAGGCAGCATGCTCGTTAAGAATCATCACCACTCCCTAATCTCAAGTACCCAGGGACACAAACACTGCGGAAGGCTGCAGGGTCCTCTGCCTAGGAAAACCAGAGACCTTTGTTCACTTGTTTATCTGCTGACCTTCCCTCCACTATTGTCCTATGACCCTGCCAACTCCCCCTCTGCGAGAAACACCCAAGAATGATCAATTAAAAAAAAATAAATAAAATAAAATAAAAAAGAAATTATAACACTGTAACTGCTTCCTACAGTGCTATATGAGCAAGTAACCTTTCTAGAAAGACAGTTAATGGTCTTTAGTGCAGAATGTACTCATTCAGAAACACGTTTATTAACCACCTACTATGAGCCAGGTACAGGTCCAGCCCCTGCGAATGATGAGTGAACAAAACAAAGATCCCTGCTGTTGTAGAGCTTATGAAAACAGTGTAGAAAGAGATTGTCCATTTTCTCTGGTTGTCTCAGAGCTCAGGGCTTGTGTTCAGGGGATGTTTGTTAGAGTTTTAAAACTATAAATGATATATTTACTGATGAAATAGTGTATTCAATTTGGCCTGGATTCCTTAATACTCTGGCTCTTTTCATCTTTGCTATTTGCATGTCCCCACAGCTCAAGAACATCTCATAGCCTCAGCAAAGTTAACAGAGACGGCATCCACAAAAAATCAGACAGAGGGAGCAAATGGCAACACTGGAACAGCCCTGCCAAATGAAATTACATGTCTGGCTTACACACACACGTGGGAAATAATACCACAAAACAGAACAAAGACCCTTTGTTCTGTCTTCTATGCATTTTTCCACCCTATGAGAAGCTAAAAGATCTTCCCAGAATGAATGCTCCAGCAGAAAGAATTGGAGTGGCTTCTGAAAACAACACTTCCTCTAGAAAATAGCAATAGAGCCTGAAGGTGCGTTCATTAAAATTATGAACTCAGTTGTCTTTCTCAGGGTTTTTCAAAGCCATAACTCCATAATTTAAGTGGGCAATATTATATCAATAAAAAAGATTTTTTTACATCAAGAATAAGACGATACATTTAAAAATGCTATAATCTATATGTTTAAATGCTTACTGGCTTAAGAATACTTTTCGCAATTTCAAGAAACAGTTTTGTTAGAAACAAAGTACATCATTGAAAATGAAATTAAAATTAAACTGCTAAGTTTTTCTGGCTGGGAACCTCAAGAGTGAGGCATCCTTGAGCAACTCTGGGTTCTACACGTCTGTTCCATAAAGCCTAATGGCATCCCTGAATCAGTGAGAAACCAGGCACAGCTGACAGGGCACGTCTCCTACCTGAAGCTTCATTTTCCAACAAGAATGCATTGGTGTGCGCTCAGTGCAGCGCTTCCCCGCAACATGGTCCCTGTGCTTGATGCCGGGGAACAGGCGCTGCCTGCACAGCAGCTGCCACCCTACAGCTGCCAGCAGCAGCACATGGCTGGCTGTCGCAGCTGGACTTGTGAGGGCTTGCTGAAGCCCTCAGCATACCACTCCTGCCATCAAACTGGACTACTTCCTCCAGCTGATTTTCAAGGAACGAGGCAGTGAATGAATAATTCATGACAAGTCCATTCTAGCAACCAATTTCACCTCTGCCTATAGTCTCCCCATAGCAATCTGCAATGTAACGATTCTAAGACTTACTTGGTGCCATACAAGGAATGAAAGCTCAGTTTCCCGTCAATGACAGTAAATGTTACAGGATCTGTTTGCTCTTCCTGTGTGCCAACCTGTCACCCAGACTTACTTGAAATATTTTTTTTAATGTAGAAAAGCTAAATGATTAACCACAGATGTCTGACAGAACAAAACAAAATTTTTTTCCCCACAAAACCCACCCTACATAATGAGTTCTGGATGCAGAAAAAGCAGCAAAATGCTTGCCCTGTGATCAGCAGGTCAGTATTTACATTTAGTAAAAGATCAGTTCCTGCAGACCATCATCACAGGGTGGGGGAGGGGAGCTCTGCGTATCAATGCCAGGAAACAAACTGCTTCAAGGAGGAATTTTCCTGGTTTCAGGCTATAAATAAATCGTCCATCTCATTGGTATTCTTCTAGGAAGTACATGAATATTCATTTTCACCAATTTGTCCATGCTTACATATTTCCAAATGAGTCATATCTAAAGAAGTCAATTTTCTGCAACTTAAAATCATCATTCCAAGACAAACTTGAACCAGAGAAGGGAAGGCCAATAATGGTATCATCTCAACTGCACCTGTAGGCAGTCCAATCACCTGTAATGTTCTCCACCTGTTTCCCATAGCCGTCCTTTTTTCTCACTGCTGCAATGTTTTCTCTTCTGAACTCACTGTAAACATCTCAAGCTTTTGCTGTCACTAAGGTAATTTTTCAGCCATGAGTATTCTGTTCCTCGCTGCTTCTAATTTATTTGTTGTTCTGCAACAAACAAGTTCCCCAAGTGTTTCTTGCCCTTGTATTTTCCCTTTTCACCTTCTTCTTTTCACCTATTTTATCACTTCTGAACTTATGTTTTATAAACTTCTAGTTCCTATTATACTATTCCACAGTAGATAGGAATTCTCTTCCTTTTTTGCAGGGAAATAATGATTTCTTCCAGTACAGACTCTGCATCATTCCACAAGCACTGAGCCTTTCACTGTCCGGACATGTGTACAGAGGCCTCACCAAGTCCCCTCATTGCCTTCCACTTCACAAGGACATTCGATCTGGCTTGTGTGTGTGTGATGCCGTGTTGTCTAGGGGAACCCTTCCTCTTCCAGCTATTGGGAGCTGATGCCGCATTCAAGCAGCTTTCTGCAGGCATGCTGCGGAGAGGGCAGTTCATGGTGTGTGGTAAAGAGACAAAGGAACCAGTCTCTATTGAAAGCCCTAACTCTGTTCTCTTCTCCCAGGGATATCCTTTTCCTCAACATTCTGTAATCCCCTCAATGTCTTACGAGATTTCATGTCCACCAGAAAGTGTCTAGCCCAAGTTGTTCTCTTCCCCTTTTGAAGTGACATTCCTTTTTCTCCAAATCCTGACCACCCACTCCCCTACCCCATCCCATGAATGAGAGGATAAGAGGGCCTATCACCTGAGGCTCACAATGTGTCCCTTCTTCCACTTCCTGTTCTCTACAGAGACTTATTTCCTTGATGTTCTCTTTTGCCCTGCGTTCTGCTAACTCCCAGTTTCCTGATGAAGATAATCAGTTCTAAGGTTGATCACTATGCTTCTTGTCTTCTCTACTTCATTCCCAGCCTAGACACAAGAGATCACTAAAACAGTGATCTCCAGTATGTTTCATTTTGCTAATTATTTTTTGTAGAGACAGGGTCTTACTATATTGCCCAGGCTGGTCTCAAACTCCTGGCCTCAAGAGATCTTCCTGCCTCGGCTCCCAAAATGGTAGGATTATAGGTGTGAGCCACTGTGCCTGGCTCAAACTGATTGATTATTAAGAATCAAGTGTGGGCCAGGCACGGTGGCTCACGCCTGTTAATCCCGGCACTTTGGGAGGCCAAGGTGGGTGGATCACCTGAGGTCAGGAGTTCGAGACCAGCCTGGACAATACAGCGAAACCCTATTTCTACTAAAAATACAAAAATAAGCTGGGCGTGGTGGCACGTGCCTGTAATCCCAGCTACTTAGGAAGTTGATGCAGGAGAATCGCTTGAACCTGGGAGGCGGAGGTTGCAGTGAGCTGAGACTGCGCCACTGTGCTCCAGCCTGGGTAACAGAACAAGACTTTGTCTCAAAAAAAAAAGAATCAAGTGTGGCTAAGAGTGCTCAAAAAAATCCTCAGAATTAACAGCGACATAAAGATCATTTAGTCCAACCCAATCCAGAGCCTCAATCCTATAAAATGGCAACCCCAGCTGTTTCTCTCAACACTCCCAGACAGCTCTCCAGTCACCTGCCAAGGCAGCTAAATCTATTCACTCTGCTAAAATATATGTATGTACCTCCTTATTAACAGCCAGGCTCACCCTTTGGCCTGCAGTATGTATGGGAACACTGGATTGTAAAAGCAAATTAAAAGGACAGACAGTTTGGCACAATGGTGGCAACAGTGGTGAGTAGCACAACAAGAAGTCAAAACATGGACACCAAATTTCCCTGGAGTATCAGCTAGTTGACAGTAGAGTTGTGAATCCACTAGCACTTAACCAAGTTATTAAAAACTTTTCTTATGGACTATACACGTGAACAATTCTACCGATGTTTTAGGGCCTCCTTCCATTCCCCATCCCAAGAATAGTAATATGAATATAATGTAAAAAGAGAACCTCTTAAGAAGGGCTCAAAATAGTTTGGATATTTGTCTCCACCAAATCTCATGTTGAAATTTAATTGCCAATGTTGGAGGTGTGACCTGGTGGGAGGTCGACTGGATCATGGGGGCTGATCCCTCAGGAATGGTTTTTACCACCATCCCCTTGGTGCTGTCCTCATGATAGAGTGATTTCTCAGAAGATCTGGTCATTTAAGAATGTGTGGCACCTCCCCAGACCTCTTGCTCCTGCTCTCGCCATATGAGACAACACTCTCCCTCTGCCTTCTGTAAGCAGCCCAAGGCCTCACCAGAAGCTGAACAGATGCCGGTGTCAGGCTTCCTGTACAGCCTACAGAACCACGAGGCAATTAAACCTCTTTATGAATTACTCAGTCTCAGGTATTTCTTTACAGCAACAAGACAGCCTAACATAAGGGCTTAGAACTGCTATAACTAAAACTTCACACAAAAAGACTCTGGAATACAGTGCCCTTCACATTTTCTTGTATACCTTCATGAAAGTCTATATTCTCCATGTCCTCCTTAGCAGACTGATGTCTGGGTGAACAAATATATAACACAGGCAAGGATTTGCAATGTTTTTTCATGACAAATGTCAAACAAGCATAAGAGACTGCTAGGCACTATTAATTGTAAGTGATAAACTAACCCTCCAATTTTAAGATGATCGTGATCTTAGCAATCTATGTTTCTTGAATATTTTAAGTTAAAACTTAATTTTTTTGCATTATCAGGTACTTCTCTCAGAGACTAGGCTTCCTGGCAGCTAATACAAGAGGTGATGAGTGCACATCGTATCTCAGGTGTCTCATAAAGAATTCTGGTTGCTCTTGGTTGTCTGAGATAAAAGGCCTGATGACTATGGAGGGGCAGGCTTTCATAAGAATTATCAATGAAGGCAAGGTGATGGTTATCAGGCAAGTCCTTCCAACCTTCAGAAGAACTCTGAATTAAAGTTGGACTGACCCCTGAGTATCTGTGATTCTACCATCACAGTGCCACATCAGTACAGAAAAGAGAGCTCCGATGACACAGAACGCAGTTTGCAGCTTGATGACATGTGTATTCTCGCACTGCTGACATTACAACCAAGACCTCAGAACTCTTAAGACAACAGCAATGGTATGTCCTTGAGGCAGCAGGAAAGTATCAACAACCTACCTGCCTGCAGTTCACCCATTCATGGATTTTCCCTGCCTAGACTACTGCTCTAAAGACTCTGATCTGAAGAACTTTTGCTTTCCATGATCTTCAAAACCTGCCTCCTCAAACACTGCCCAATACTCTAGACGAGATATCCAGTTTGCTCTGACCTTTACTGTACATGTTTGGTCCTTCCAGAATATTAGGAGCTTCCTCAACTCCTAACAGATTGCCCAAGGGAGCATCCTGTGGAATGGAAATCCGTTTCCACATTATCTCTGTAATGCCAATCCTGCTGATCTCAGTTCAGCAGCAAACTGTAACCCCTGGACACTGGTATGGTTCTAGAGCCCTCTTGTAACTTTCAAGAGCATTCCCAAAGCTACCAGCATCCTATCATTGCTCTTGGCCAGAATGGCTCTAATAAAGCATGTATCATACACTAATCAAAATGGCTTAGCTTTTAAACCACTGTACTTGTGAGAGGACCTAGTAACACCTTCGTAACACTTCCTTTGTCAGTGTTACAAAAGAAGTAACAAGGATCCCACCACCTTGTAAAAGCTCTAAAAGATATGCTGGAAGGGAGTCTACACACACAAAAAAACTTCTGACAGATTTCACCAACTGCTGTCTTTTTCAATTTGATCTTAAAATGAAAATATAAAATATGTGAGTAAAAATTTAAAGTGCCATTCGTAAAGGATTGAATATATCTTCATTCAAGCATGGGTATCATGTGGATACCATCCCTTTGTTCATGAGTAAGGTATCATCTGTACAATAAGGAGTTCCTACTCTATTACATGAGATAAACAGGTAAACAACTAACAGATATGACTATGTGGCAAAACTAAATAAACGCCATATCAGAGATACAGATGCTAGTTTCTTGTATCCTCCCACTACCACCCATCCATCCACAATGAGAACAGAAAGGAAGGAGACATAAGGGAAGGTTTGGGAAGTCAGTAAGTAGACTACTGCAATAATCTAGATCAAGGGTCAGCAAACTTTTTCTGTAAAGAGCCAGAGAGGAAATATTTTATGCTTTGCAAGTCATATTCTCTATTACACCTACTCAATTCTGCCATTGTCAGACAAAAGTAGTCACAAGGAAATGAGCATGGCTCTACTCCAATAAAACTATATTTATGAAAACTGAAATTTTGATTTCATATCATTTTCATGCATCGTAAAATATTAATCTCTTGACTTTTCTCCAACCATTTAAAAATGTAAAAACCGTTTTTAGCTGGCAAGTCATAAAAAACAGCAGTGGCTGGATTTGGACCATGGGCTATGATTTGCCAGCCCCTGACCTACACGGCTGCCTGAAATACAGCAGTAGCACCAGGGCAGAGAGGAAGGACAAAGAAAACATTTCAGAGGTGGAATCAGTAAAACTTATTGATGAGTGGCGCATTAAGAGCAAAGTCGGCAAAAGGAGCTCCCTAGTTTCTAGCCCAGGTGACTCAGAGGGAATGTCATGAACAAATAAGAGCAGCAGCTCTCCTTCACCTGAGGAGGACAACAGCACCTGGAGTGCACCACTCACTGCCCAGGTGATGAGAACTACGCACTCAGCAGCAGTGACCCAAGACTCAAATCCCACCTCCATCAGTTATCACATACCCAACCTTTTTGATTCTCAGCTTCCAAATCAATCCATAAAGTGATCATGACCACAACAGTAATGCCTACTTCAAAGGGTTGCTGTAAGGATTCAATTTAGTGAGTTAACATATGGAAAGTCCTTGGGACAGTGCCTGGCTCACAGTAAATGATATGTAAGTGTTAGCCATTATTCGAAATATAAAAATTTTAATCCATAAATGTTATAGAGGCAATTTATAAATACCATATGTTGGCCTACTTAAATACAGTAAAAAACAGTATTCACAGTAATAAACATTCTTAAGCATTTAAACCATCTGTGAATACTTGACATAGTATACAGCATTATTTAAGCTAAATAATATCAAATTAAGTTCCTTTCATACTGGGGAAAAAAATCAATGCTGAAGTAGTGCTGGCCAGGATAAACTGTACAAAGGTATGTGTGGTTCAGGGTAAAGCAAAGTCAGTCTTGAGAGTTAGAATGGGACGAGGGTCTAAAACAGGTGACAAGTACAACTGTGGCCTGGGCTAGTCACCAGATTTCTGGGGGACTCCATCAGGCGCTTTTCTTATGTTCTAAGAATTTACCTAGTCTACAAGTTCCATTCTACCACACGAGGGGGCGTGAAGCAAATACCAATGTGAGATTAAAACCTGCTGCAATTACTGTACTTCTAAAAACAAATCAGTCTGACAGCAAGAATGTAATTACATTTTTTATTAGGAGATAGAAAATACAAAATATTTTATGAGGATTAAATATAATTGGAATATTTTCTATGATTTGATAAAAAGAAGCATTAACTACTTTGTTGAATGATACACATTTCAACTGAAAGAAATCACAAAATACTTTTAACTTTGTTCTTTATCTGTAATATCTTGAAAAGTTGCTGTTCAAAGGTATATTGCTTTCTAGTTAATTACCCATCGTAGCAACTAAACCTGTGAACAGCTAAAAAAAATAATCAACTTATCTTTAATTACGTTACATTTTTTAGAAAACTATTTTCATCACTTGAAACTCACTCTGCTTTGCTTTTAAGGGTCTTTTCCCCAAAAGTTCTTCATTGAAGAACAATTGATGGGGAATGAAGTCACTTTTATAAATCTACCTATGATATATCTGAATCCAGAATGTGCCCAAATACCTTCATTTTGAAGCCTCTTGAATAAGACAGGAAAAGATAAACTGCCTAGGCAGGTATACCATGATTTGATTAAGCAGTAAAAAAGATTACCCAAAACCAGTAATTCCAAGTATTCCTTTGTTTGATGACCTGATTTTTATTCCCTAGAACAATGCAGCATAGCAAAATTAAGAGACATAGTAAAATGTAGGGGCCTTTCCTTCTTCAGAGTCGAAAACTAGCTGCTCAGAAATGTGGGTGCATGAACAGTTTTAGGCTCAAGTGTATGTGGAAGGTAAAGATCTGAAAATGGAGTCGTTAAAACTGCCCATGCTTCTGCTCCTTTTGGAAAGTCTGCCTGTGCCTCCCAGACATGGTGCAAACCAATGTTTACATAAGATAACAAAAAATTTGGAATTAGATTTAAAATTATATGAATACCTAGGAAGTGTGAGATAACTTGCCCATTGGCCTTTAAATTATTTCGTATAATTTACTATTTATTATTGTCTACTGCGACGCTTTCTTCAGCTCACTTTCGGCAAGCATAATCTTTTATTTCCCAAAACTTTTGATTTGAAAAACTTTAAATCTACAGAAAAGCTAAAAGAATAGTACAATGAATACCTGTCTGTCCTTCACCTAGATGCATCAACTGTTATAAAATCTGCCCATTTACTTTTTCTTTCTCTGATATACATATTCTGATGCATAAAATTAACTGTAATTCTATCATTATTATCTAATATATAGAAAATATTCAGCTTTCCCAGTTGTCCAAAAAACACACCTTACAGGTATTTATGTTTTTAACATGTTCCACCAAGGTACACATATTACACTGGTTGTCTTTTTAGTTTTTTATAATCTAAGACAGTCCTCCCACATTTTTCTGTTTTTAATGATAAACAACTTTTTAAAGTCAGGGGTTCAAGGTTCAAATTTCCCCCAAAAAACTCTGCATATTAATTTAATAAAATAATTTTTTCAGTTATTATCAAAGTTTTGTTGGTAAAAGATGCTAGCCTTGTGACTGTTAGATTTGGGGTGACAACTCTCAGTGGATTGGTATGGGAGGGCCACTGAGGCCTGAAGGACACTATCTGGGAGTGGACACACTGTGGGAGTGACTATCTCCCACAAAGTAACCATTTCATCTCCACCACTTTCCAGAAAATAAGCAGTCTCCTCCAAGTTCAGTAAGAACCCAAGGTCACACTGCTAATTAGATGAAAAGACCTTTGCTCTCAGGGAACAGACATCTACACACCTTGGGTAACAATCCTGGGGTGTAATACAAATCAGTTGAGCACATCTTTCCCAATTTGGGTGTATGACTGCTTAGAAGTGCTAATTACGTACACAGCTAGTAATACATAAACACTACCTTAATCATCCTAAGCCTAACTCAAAACCAAAGCCCTGAGGCAAAAGATGCTATTAAGATGTCCTTGTAATTCTACCACTGTTCATGTATTACCTGAACAGTGTGAATCCAACAGCAGTGCCCTGCTCTGCTTTTTAAAAAACAGGCTTCTGAAATGTGGTAAATTGAGTTCTTCAGAAACAAACATGAAAAACACACAAATTCGGCATTAGGATGACTGGATGAAAGGGATGACAGTTCATTCCCTATGCAAAAGTGGTATGGAAGATATAAAACATTCCAAGCCAGGTGTGATGGCTCGTGTCTATAATACCAACACGTGGCCCCCCAAGTGAGCTATAATTGCACCCCTGCACCTCAACGTGGGCAACAGAATGAGACCCCTGTCTCTTAAAAACACAAAACTATTTGATGCACAAATGAATGAAAAAATATGTGTGTGCAGTCTATATTCATGTGCAAGCATTTTTTTAGAGGAAACAAAACAATATGGAAAAAAATATACAGTCAGGCATTTATCTTTGGTGCTGTTTTATTCATGTGTAAAATAAGGAAGTCATCTCAATAACATCACATATCAAAAGCCATTAACAACGATTACAGGACACTAGGACTGTAGTATTATTTACTGCAATCTCTGCATTAAAAAATAAATTAGGGGCCCAATAGGGTGGCTCACACCTATAATCCCAACACTTTGGAAAGCCAAGGTGGGAGGATGGCTTGAGGCCAGGAGTTTGAGGCCAGCCTTGGCAACATAGCAAGATCTCATCTCTTCAAAATAAAAAATTTAGCCACATGTGATGGTGTATGCCTATAGTCCCAGCTATTCAGGAGGCTGGGATGGGAGGATCACTTGAGCCCAGCAGTTCAAGGCTGCAGTGAGCTATGATCATGCCACTGCACTCCAGCCTGTGAGAGTGAGACCCAATCTCTAAACTAAATAAATAAAAACAAAGAGTGAAAAATAAATAAATATATTTGAGTGGTTTTCTTATTTTCAAGTTACTGACAGAAAATCTGAAAAATTATCTGCCACCTAGTTGTCCAATTCACACAGGACAGCTATAAGAGAGTAGTGACAACCAAGAAATCATAATCATCAAGTCCTACAGTGATACCTAGACAAACGTATTCATACACCACCTTGACTCAACTTATATGCAACACACTGAAACCAACTGCAAATGCTTCACTTACCGCACAACCAGACAAGACTCTTGGTTTTACCTAGATTATGTACACTCTTAACTAGCAAACTCTCACTAGACCAACATCCACAGAGGTCAGCTACAGTTATTCTGTGCATTCCTTCCATCTCTAAACTCTAAATAAATAAACAGCAAACCATTACCAGTTCTCAAGTTTTACGTGAGAATTGGCTGATATAGGTAAGCTGCTAATATATAAAATAGCTGGAATCGATATTGTTGGCTTTTTACTAAGAATATTTAAAATTGCAGGACCTCAAAGTTGCACATAATTTTATCTGCATTTAAGCTTCAAAAATCTATATATGCAAAAGAAAATGTAGATGTAGCCGTTCAAATGGGTCAACCTGAATTTAATGTTTTATAACAGCATACTCTTTTTTAATCTCTAGAAAAACATCAAAACTTCTCTTTATTCTCAAAGAAAACAAGCCTACAAAGCAGAAAATGACCATTTAGTAAAGAAGTCATCTTTGGTTCTTAAATGTTAAGCATGCTACAACTTTCTATACATGTTTGAGCCAACTAGGAGATACTTCCAAGGGGTTTCAGAGATCGCTGTGATTACCAAATAGGAAAAACACGCTTGGAAGCAGAAGTGAAAGACTCCAGGGAGCAAGAACAGGTAAACAGGTGACAAAGAAATTCTGGTTTCCAGGTATGAGAAAATTAATCTCTTGTGGCCCTTGCAGGTAAGGTAGATGGATGATTCAAGAAGCCACGCAAATGATCTCACAGATGGTGATGCCTAACCAGACAGTAATCTGCAACAGGTTTATTTTAAAGATGCATATTCATCTCTTCATGAAAACATACTTCTATAAAAAAGCTAGAAATGGTCTAAAAGACAGTAACTAGAATGCTGAGAGACCCAACTAATAATACGTGATTATAAGGGATTTTTATCCTGCAGAATAAGACTGGCAGTTCCTGGAAGCAAAAAGTAAAAGTGTCAGTAAGAGAAAGCTACAGACAGTTTGGTCTTATACTGTATCTCAAATCTCTGGTAGCCCAAAAAAAAAAGCACAAAACAACCGCCTTTCGAAGTAGTGGGTTAGCATCAGGGCTGATGCCCTAATGGTGCCCTAAAAACAAACTGGCCATGATAATACAGAGTAGGTTCAAGCATTAAACTGGGAGTTTGCCCACATGGCTCTGGAGATACTGCAATGTTAAAATTCAAGAGGTTTTCTCCAAGTTCCTTATATTAGGTTTTTATTATTTAAAAGGGAAGAATTTATCTAATAGAGAAAAGAGAATAATTTTTAAGTAGTAAAAGTGTGGTGATTCTGTCTAAAGATATTGTTATCACTTGAACATTGTGAGGTCATTTTTTCAAAAGATGTTAGGTACAAATGAATACAGTATGATCTATCAATACTCATGTGTTTTTAGAGCAAATACGAAATTGTGTTTACTGACCATCATCCTGATGCTGCATGGTAAAATCCTCCTTTTGACCTCAGTAGCAGGACAACAGGGCCAAAACTAGGACTGTTTATAAATATATAAAATACCACTTTTATTTTCTGTGTAGCTTACTTTAAATATAAGTTGATCATTGAATTACCTTCTTACTTATCACCTTTCAGGAATCCTGGGATACAGATCATTTCTTTCAGGATCCCTTTATCAAGGAGGACAGGGCAGAAAATTGAAAAATGTATTTTTTGGACAATCTTGCAATTTGGGTTCCAGACATGTAGAAGAATTCCAGATAATTCATGTAAAGACTCCACCTTCAAGGAGGGGGAGCACAACTCCCCATTCTTTAAAGTGGGCTATGCCTAGTGACTTCCTTCCAAAGAATGAAGTACAAAAGGGGAGAAAAAGAGTAACTTTATAGTGGAGAGACCTGATAGTCACTATATCAGCCAGGTGGTCAAGAAAATCAGTCATAAATCATGTTGATAGTATACTCGATCTGTTGTGATGAACTGGTACATTGTATCTGTGGACTTCCATCCCAAAACCTATAACCCTAGTCTAGTCATGAGAAAAATATCAGACAATTCCCATAGAAGGACATTCCACAAAATACCTGATCAGTATTCTTCAAAACTGTCAAGGTAATCTAAAACAAGGGAAGTCTGAGAAACTGTCATAGCCAAGAGGAGCCTAAGGAGATACAACAACAAAATGTAATATGCTACATCCTAGAGATGAGATCCTGGAACACAAAAAGGACATTAGTTAAAAAGTAGGGAAATCTGAATAAAGCATGGACTTTAAAACTATAATGTATTCATATTAGTTCACTAACTATGATGAATGCAGCACACTATTTTAAGATGTTAATAATATGAGAAACTGGAAGCTTGGTTCAAGATGGCTAACTAGATGCAGCTAGTACATGCCTCTTCCATGGAAAGCTCCAAAACGGCGAGTAGATATTCACCCTTCAAATAGGTCATCTAAAACAGAACACTGGAATTCAACTGAAAAGCAACAGGAATCACTGATCACAAAGGAGAAGGAAGCAAGGCACGTGCTCAGCCAGGATTGCTGAGAGATGAAAGAAGCTTCTAGATGCTGGGAAAGGGTAGATGAGAGACTCCCAGGGCTCCACATTCCCACCATGGACTTTTGCAACGCTAGCTGTGGGAGACCCCCTTGACCCTCGCAGGTCTCCAGCCTAATAGAGTGAGTTGCCTGGAGATTGACAGAGGCATTGCTCAAACTCACATGGGAGTACACAGGCTTCCGAGCCCTGAGCAGCTGCTGCTACCAGCCAACAAGCCAGGCTGAAGAGAGGAGGCCAGGCACTTTTACACAACCACTGTGCTTCTTGTACAGTCTGCAGAATAGTGAGCCAAATAAAATCTCTTATTTATAAATTACCCAGCCTTGGGCATTCCTTTATAGCACAAGAGGGGACTTCAACACCCCACTGACAGCACTAGACAGACCACTGAGACAGAAAAAAAAAGAAAAAAAAAACCCCACTGGATTTAAATTGGACTGTAGAACAAATAGACCTAACAGATGTTTATATAACAAGCTACCCAACAATCACAGAATATACATTCTTCTTATTAGCATGTGGAACATTTTCCAAGACAGACCTTATCTTAAGGAATGAAGCAAGTCTCAATAAATTTTTAAAAAACTGAAATCATTTCAAGTTGTCTTCTCAGACTACAGTGGAAAAAACCTAAAGTCAATTCCAAGAAGGACTCTCAAATCTATACAAATACATGGAAATTAACCTGCTCTTGAATGATTTTTGGGTCAGTGATGAAATTAAGATGGAAGTTTAAAAATTTTTTAAACAAAAGTAGAGACACAACATACCAAAACCTCTGGAATACAGCAAAAGCTTATAGTGTTGACTGTAAATGGATTCAAGAAAGAAAAGTTTATAGCGTTAAATGCCTAAATCGAAAAAAATAGAAAGACCACAAGTTAACCTGACATAGTACCTCAAGGAACTAGAAAAACAAGAACAAACCAAACCCAGAAGAAAAGAAATGATGAAGAGCAGAACTAAATGAAATCCAGATCATAAAAACCCAAAAGATAAAGAAACAAAAAGTTGCTTCACTGAAAAGATAAACAAAATTGACAGCCTACTAGCTACATTAACCAAGAAGAAAGAAAATTCAAATAAGCACAATCAGAAATGAAAAAGACACTACAAATGATACCACAGAAATACAAAAGATCATCAGAGTCTACCATGAACATCTCTACACTAACGAACTAGAAAACCTAGATGAAACAGGTAAATTCCTAAAGACACACAACCTCTCAAGAATGAACTAAGAAAGAGAAAGCCTGAAGAGACCAATAACCAGTAAGACTTAACCAGTAATAAAAATAAAAAAAAATCTCCCAACAACAAAAAACCCCAGAAGCAGATGAATTCACAGCCAAATTCTACCAGACATAGAAGAATAGGTACCAATCCTATTGACAACACTGTTCCCCCAAATTGAAGAAAATCCTCTCTAACTGAAGCCAGTATCACCCTAACACCAAATCCAAGCAAGGACACACAAAAACAGAAACAGAATCAATCAGTACCCCTAATGAACACAGATGCAAAAACGCTCAAGAAAATACTAGCAAACCAAATCCAACAGCACATCAAAAAACATGGTACACCACAATCAAGTGGGTTATATTCCAGGGATACAAGTAGGGTTTAACATACAAAAATCAATAAATGTGATCTGCCACATAAACAGGATTAAAAACAAAAACCATATTATCTCGATAGATACAGAAAAAGCATTTGATAAAATTCAGCATTCTTTCATGATAAAAACCACTCAACAACTTGGTGTAGTAGGAACATACCTCAAAATAATAAAACCCATATACAAGAATCCCACAGCCAACATCATACTGAATGGGGAAAGGTTGAAAGCATTCCCCTTAAGAAATGGAAGAAGACAAGGATCCCCACTCTTACCACTCCTACTCAACACAGTACTAAAAGTCCTATCGGGCCAGAGCAGTAATGCAATAGAAAGAAAGAAAAGACATCTAAATTGTAAAAGAGGAAGTTAAACTATCTCTGTTTGCTGATATAATTTTATACCTGGAAAACCCTAAGACTCCTCCAAAACACTCGTAAATTTGATAAATTAATTCAGTAGAGTTTCAGGATACAAAATCGACCTACAAAATCAGTAGTATTTCTTTTGTTTAGTTGGGGTTTGTTTCTTTGTTTGTTTTTGAAACGGTCTCACTCTGTTACCCAGGCTGGAGCACAGTGGCGCAGTCATAGCTTAGCGCAGCCTCGACCTCCTGGGCTCAAGTGATCCTCCCACCTCAGCATCCCAAGTCGCTGGGACTTACAGGCACGTGCCACCACACCCAGCTAATTTTTGTATTTTTTGTTGTGAGGAGGAATCAGTAGCATTTCTATACAACAATGATATAATCAAGCTGAGAACCAAATCAAGAACCAAACCAAGAAGTCAATCCCATTTACAATAGCTACAAAAAAATAATAAAATACTCAGAAATACACTCAACCAAGGATGTGAAAGATCTCTACAAGAAAAACTACAAAACGCTGACGAAAGAAATCACATATGACACAAACATGATCATGGGTTAGAAGAATCAGTATCATTAAAATGACCATACTACTCAAAGAAATCTGCAGATGCAATTCCTATAAAAATACTAACATTGTTTTTCACAATATTAGAAAAAACAATCCTAAAATACCCAAGGAACCAGAAAAGAGCCTGAATGGCCAAAGCAATGGTAAGCAAAAAGAACAATACTTGAGGCATCAAATTACTTGACTTCAAATTGTACTATAAGGCTATAACAACCAAAACTATTATAAAAAGAGACACACAGGTCAATGAAACAGCTTACAGAACCCAAATTAAAGACACATGCCTACAGGCAAATGATCTTCTTCAAAGTCAACAAAAACATACACTAGTGGAAGAACACCCTATTCTATACATGATACTTGGGAGAATTGGGTAACCATATACAGTAGAATGACACTGGACCCATATCTCTCACCATATACAAAAATCAACTTAAGATGGATTAAAGACCTGAAAGTATAAAGACCTGAAAGATCTGAAACTATAAAGATTCTAGAAGAAAACCTAGGAAAAACTCTTCTGGACATTGGCCTAAGGCAAAGAATTCATGCCTAGGACCTCAAAAGGAAAGCTACAAAAATGAAAATAGACAAATGGGACTTAATTAAAATAAAAAGCTTCTACACAGCAAATAAATAATCAACAGAGAAAACAGACAATCTACAGAACAGGAGAAAATATCTGCAGACTATGCATCTTACAAAAAGCTAATTTGTAGACTCTACAAAGAACTCAACAAGAAAAAAATAACCTTTTTAAAAAATGGGCAAAGGGCATGAACACATATTTTGCAAAAGATGACATACAAATGGCCAAGAAACATTTAAAAAGTTAGAAATGCAAATAAAAGCGATGAAATACCATTTCACACCAGTCAGAATGGCTATTACTCAGGTGTCAAAAAAATCAATAACAGATGTTGGCAAGGATGCAGATAAAAGGGAATGCTCACAGACTGTTGTTGGGAGTGTAAACTAGTACAGCTGCTATGGAAAACAATATGGAGACTTCTCAAAGAACTAATAGAAATACCATTTGATCCAGTGATCCCACTACTGGGGATCTACGCAAAGGGAAAGAAATCATTATATCAAAAAGATACCTGTACTCAAATATTTATTGCAGGACTACTCACAATAGCAAAGACATAAAATCAATCTAAGTGCCCATCAACGGATGATTGGATAAAGTAATCCACATCATGGAATACTACTCAGCTATAAAAAAAGAATGAATTCATGTTTTTTTGTAGCAACATGGATAGAACTGGAGGTAACTATCTTAAGTGAAATAACTCAGAAAGAGCAAGTCAAATATCACATATTCTCACTTACAGGTGGGAGCTGAAAAATATGTACACAGGGGCATAGAGAGTGGAATAATAACATTGGAGACTCAGAAAGGTGGGAGGATGGGAGTGGGTGAGGGATGAGAAATTACCTCATGGGTGCTTATGTGCACTATTCAGGTGGTGTAACAACACTGCACTTGTACTAAATCTATAAATAATAACAATATGAGAAACTGGGTGTCAGGTATATGAAAATACTCCATCCTAGCTTAACAATTTTTCTGTAAATCTAAAACTAGTCTGAAATAAACTTTTACTTAAAAATGAAACTGGGCCAGGTGCAGTGGCTCACACTTGCAGTCCCAGCAATTTGGGAGGCCAAGATGGGAGGATTGCTTAAGCCCAGGAGTTTGAGACCAGCCTGGGCAATAGCAAGACCCCGACTCTACAAAATGAAAGAAAAACTTATCCAGGCATGGTCTATAGTGCCAGCTACTTGGGAGGTTGAGGCAGGAGGATCATTTGAGCCCAGGAGTTCGTGGCTGCGGTATGCTGTGATCACGCCACTGTATGCTAGCCTGGGCAACAGAGCAAGATCTGTACTCAAAAATAAGTAAAAAATAATAACAAAAATGAAAATAAAACTGACCGAAGTGAGGGAGAAAAGCAAACTCAGAATAGTCACACATGCCAACAATGACAGAAAAGAGGACTAAAACTGTCATTATAGCTGTTATTTCATATACTAAAAAAGTTGCATAGAGACATGGAAGATATAAAAAAGATCCAAAACAAATGTCTAGTGATAAAACATGTCTGAGATGAAAAACACACTAGACGGAATTACTGGCAGATTAGATATTGAAAAAGAAAATATTAATGAAATTATAAACAAAGTAATTGGAATATCCAAAATAAAATGCAGAAAGAAAAAATAACCTTAAAAAATTAAAAGTGCAGCAGTGGACAACTTTAAGCCAGTCAATGTGTATACTGGAGTCCCCAAAGAAAGAATGGGGGGACAGAAAAAGTATCTGAAGAATAGCCAAAAAGCTCCAAATTCTATGAAAATTGTAAACCCACTGATCCACAAGCACAACTTCAGAATACAAGAAACAAATAAAAAATATTTTTTAAATAAAGCTGAAAGAAGTCATTGTCAGCCAACTCACATTATAAGAAATGCTAAAGTCCTTTAGACAAAAGAAAAATGATAGATGGAAATACACCAGAAATGGTAATTATCTGAGTAAACAGATCTTTATTATTATTTAAAAGAAAAGTATTTAAAGAGAAAGTATTTTTTTAAATATATTCTAGGGTTTAAAATTTATTAAAAGACAATAATGAAAAGGCCAGAAGGAAAGAAATGAAAGTATACTATTGTAAGGTTCTCATACTGTATTTGAAATAAAAGATCATCTCCACAGTGACATGACCCATATCACTGAAACTGAATTCATATTCACTCATTCATTCATTCATCAACTGTATTGAGTACTGTATAAAAGTCATTAACCCTCTGTAGAAGTTATGGGCTTCAGCGAGGGTGTGTTAACAGATTAGACTAAGCAAACAGGTGGATTATTTGAGTCTAGGTAAAATGCAAGGGTTCACTCTTCTTATGGGACTCAGTAGGAATAATATCTCCCAAGCACAGGAGGATCAGAAATCATAGCAAAAGATTTTGGGTTGAACCTGTGCCAGGAAAAACTGCATAAATAAAAATGGGCTCCACTGGACAAAAATTTACCTTTCAAATCAAACCTGATACCACAATTGAGACCCTAGAAACACAACCACTATTTTCATCCTGTGCCATTGCTGCTGAAGCTCTCACGGGGCCCTGCAAGTTCCTGGTTCAACTGCTCTTCCACTACTGCCACCTCATCTGGGCTCCACGACACCCTGAACTGTCAGGCTGCCACTGGGTGTTCAAACCATCCCCACACTAAGGTAAGACAGAATGGTTTCTCTTTCTTCCCAATACCAATAAAAATCCCCATTCTACAAATAATTGATTAATGCTATTTATTTAGACCTTAAAAATCCCATCAAATAGATAAATTCAATAAGGCTTTATTAAATAACCACCTACAGTAAACCTGCAGTGAGGGTGTATATCAAAAAGAATCTCCCTTCCTGGCCTAACTGTTGGACATTTTCCTTTTTCTATTCCAAACAAGTTTGTATAGCTTCCCCATGTACACACTATTATGGACTAAATGTTTATGTTTCCCACAAAACTTTTATGCCAGAACTCTAATCCATAATGTAATGGTATTTGGAGGTGGGGCCTTGGGGAGACAATTAGGTCCTAGGGGTGGAACCCTCTCCATGGGATCAGTCCTTCTATATGAACAGCCACATGACAGCTTGCTTCCTTCCTCCCTCTATGCCATGTGAGGACACAGCAAGAAGGCAGCTGTTTATAAGTCAGGAAGTAAGACCTCACCAGAATCCAACCATGCTGGCACCCTGATCTCAGATTTCCAGCCTCCAGAACTGTGAGAAATAAATGCTTGTTATTTAAACCACCCAGGCTATGGCATTTTGTTACAGCAGCTAGGGCAGACTAAGACACATATTAAGAAATTCCAGCCATCTGGTGTCCAAATTTCACACTACGATGAATAGGAAACTAGCAGCATCATGTTCTGAGAATCCAAAGAACTTAGTCACAGTGATTAACCAAAAATAATCAGGTAGATTTAACCAATGAAGATAAGTCATTTATAACCATTTATAAACAGTAGTTTACACCAAAATCTGAAAACCTAGAAATCTACAAAAAGACAATTCCTTCTGAGTACAACTATTTGTGTGCTTGTCAGTATATTATCAGAGAAAACCTGACCTTTAGAGTTTAAGCACTGTTCTAGGTCATCTTTAATAAAAATTTAATAAAAATAATGAAACTAAAAAAGATACTCTCCCAGTACCTGTTCTTCCCTCTCCTTTTCTTTGGTCTTACTTCTGTAGACTCTAGCAGAGATGGCATCCTGGGATGGAATGGCAGAGATCTGATGCAGTGGCATGCTCATCCCAACCTCTTATCTGGTCGTCTTCTTCACAGAAGAGAGTCTCCACTGGTAGAGTCATTTTGGGCCATGGATTTCAAGCTGAGAGAAAATGAAGAGAGAATAAACATAACTCAGCTAAAACACTTTAAATTTCCAAGAGTGAGCTTAACATTTTATACTTATATTCATATGTATATTTAAATAAGTTACGGCAACATAAATGTTTGGTCTTCAAAAACAATAGAAGATGAATGTCTAAGGGGAAAATTCTAACATTTCTCATAATAAGATGGGAGCACCTGAAAGAGGCAGGTGGATCACGTACATGTATAATCAGAGATATAATCTTCCATTGGCTACTTAGGATTAAAACAAAGCAGTGCCACCATTTATTTTAAGAATATTTTTGAAGTTAAACTTTTTTTTTTATCATGACCAAGCATTTGTCCTGAAATAAGCAGTGATCTTTCCTTAAAACCACTGTCTGTGAGTCCACATAATGGTGAGATCAGAGGTTAGGAAGTCCAAATTAAACTCAAGGTATCTATGATCCATACTTAACCTTCCAAAAGTAGAGACTCTACACGAGCTGTTGGCAAACTATTCCTATAAAGGGCAAGATACATATTTTAGGCACTGTGGTCCAAGTGTGTTCCAGCTAATTAACTCTGCCACTGTAGCATGAAAGCACCCATAGAGAGCATGTAAATGGGCCGGGTGCGGTGGCTCATGCCTGTAATCCCAGCACTTTGGGAGGCCAAGGCGGGCAAATCACGAGGTCAGGAGATCGAGACCACCCTGGCTAACACGGTGAAACCCTGTCTCTACTAAAAATACAAAAAATTAGCCAGGCATGGTGGCGGGCGCCTGTAGTCGCAGCTACTCAGGAGGCTGAGGCAGGAGAATGGCACAAACCCAGGAGGCGGAGCTCGCAGTGAGCCAAGATCGCACCACTGCACTCCAGCCTGGGTAACACAGCGAGACTCCAACCCCCCAACCTCCCCCCCACCAAAAAAAAAAGAGTATGTACATGAATGAGCATAGTTATGTTCCAATAAAACTTTATTTACAAAAATAGGCAGCAGGCTAGATTTGGCCCACCAGACTATAGTTTGCCAAACACTGCCGTAAAGGGTTTCCTAGGGAATATGAAGGGTCACCATGACATGCCTAAGAACCATGAGAAAGGCTGCCTTTAGGTAAAATAACAGTGTATGCATAAACTGTCTTCAGTGATTCCAGGTACTCCTGCCCTGTTTCTGGTTTTCTCTTACGCATCCCCCAAAATGTCTAATAATTGAATTGTGTGTTGTTCTTTCTCCCCACTTACCCACTGAGATCTATCCCACTCTGTATACAAAACCAATTAAACGTAAATTATCCAGAAGGTTTAATGTAGTAAAATGTTTCATGTTGTTCAAATTTTAACAGAAAATGGAAGCCTTCAACCAAAAGAATGAATCTCGAATTTGGAGATTTTCATTTATTAACCATGTGCTGGGGTAGGGGGTGGGGACAGGTGAGGCAGTAGGAAAAGGTAGGGTAAACAACAGGGCCTGACAACCCCAAGGTCACATTTGATAAGCAGTCACTTACTCTACCTCTCCCCAAACTCTACTCTGGATCAAAGGCAGGTGTTTGTAAGGCTGGTGCCAATTCTTAGTAGTGTCACTAAGCAAGCAGAGGAGCACCAGGAATCACGAAATGGCTTCCTTCACACAACTCTAGAATCAATGAACAACAAAAAGGAACAAAAACTGGGAGGGATCAACACATAGAAGAAAATTAGCTAAAATAATAATCTGTTTATAAAGTCTAGTTTTACAGTAAGTGAGTGACCATTGATAATAACAACAAAAAAAGGAAAATAGAATAGGGGATGTTAGTGTCTAGGTATCACACACCACCTACTCTATTTCAAGCCTTTGATGAGGCTGGCATAAGATGGAGCACTACTGTGCCCAAGAAACAGTCTGAATGTTTGTATTCAAGCACGTCACACAAAACAAGAGGCACTTACTGCGGAGCTGCCTTATACTCCCTGGGAGATCACAATAGTCAGTGGTAAGCAGTTTTTTCATCACTAATGCACTAACGTCCTCTATTACAGATGACAAACTCCATGGGGCCTCTTGGAATACTTGGTCAAACTGACGATATCCACAGCCCTATACCTACCATGCCAAAAGCTACCTGTGGTGCTTCTGATATAATCATCATTATTACATCATTGGTACATGCCCATGACAAGCCTGAGAAGGGCTATTTATGGCACAGAAACACAGATGCAAGAGGGTCTC
This sequence comes from Homo sapiens, assembly GCF_000001405.40. Taxonomy (NCBI): domain Eukaryota; kingdom Metazoa; phylum Chordata; class Mammalia; order Primates; family Hominidae; genus Homo; species Homo sapiens. The sequence goes on from NC_000010.11 coordinate 45,535,491, forward strand.
AAATTTTTTACAGTTTTGAAGGACATCCCTCCTCACTGTCATTGAAGTTAGTCTTTTGATATGTACCACCACAACAAAGCAACAGACCTATAAGTTTGCCTGAAACAATCTCCCTCCTATGCCACACATATTTAGGATAAAAATGAGTTTACAAACAAACGATAAAACAGGCCATGCCATTTTTTATGTGAAGATTTACATGAAAAATACAAATCATATATTACATTATTTTCTTTGCATAATTTCCAAACATCTTTTATATCAACTAAATTAATCTTTACACAGAATAACAGTTAAACCTCAGCACTATGCCTCACAATCCAGGCATGAGGGCTTCAATTTGACTAATGCTAACTTGCAAAATACAGCCCACCTAACATGAACATTCACATCTAGAAGAGATACTGCCAAAGCTGGTTGTTGAAGAAATTGGAAATGGATGTCCATGTTCATGGATCAGAAGATTTAATATTGTTAAAATGGCAATTCTTCCCAAGTTGACATAGAGAGTCAAAGCAATCTCTATCAAAAACTGAGCTGACTTCTTTACAGAAATTTGACAAGCTGATCTGAAAATTTATATAAAATTCAAGGGACTCAGATCTGCCAAAACAACCTTGAAAAAGAACAAAGTTGGAGAGCTCACATTTCCAGATTGCAAAACTTACAACAAAGGAACAGTAATCAAGACTGTGTCATACTGGAATATGAATAGATATATCAATGGAATAGAATTTAGGGCCCAGAAATAAACCCACGTATCTATAGTCAGCTGATTTTCAAGAAGGGTGCCAAGATCACTTCTTGGGGAAAGAGTACTGTTTTCAACAAATGGTGCTGGGACAACTAGATAGCCACATGCAAAAGAAATTTGGATCTCTTCCTCACACAAAAGGAAAAACAGACAAACTACACATCATCAGAATAAAAACTTTTGTGCTTCAAAAGACACCACTGAGAAAGGGAAAACACAGCCAGTCATAATGGTTCACACCTATAATCCCAGAACTTTGGGAGGCCAAGGCAAGAGAATCTCTTGAGGCCAGAACTCAAGAAAGGCCTGGGCAATATAGCAATACTCTACCTCTATTTATAAATGTTAAAAAAAAAAAAGTCTAAAGACAACTGACAGAAGAAAAAGTTTGCAAATCATATATGTAATAAGGGACTTGTATCTAGAATATATAAACAACTCTCTTACAACTCAGTAACATAAGGGCAAGGCCAGGTGCAAGTAGCTCACGCCTATCATCTCAGCATTTTCGGAGGCTGAGGTGGGAGGACTGCTTCAGGCCAGGAGTTCAAAACCAGTGTGTGAAACATAGCGAGGCCCCATCTCTACCAAAATAATAATAATAATAATAATAATAATAATAATAATAATAATAATAAAGACAAATAACCCAATGAAAAATGGGTTAATCAACATCATTAGCCATCATGGAAATACAAATCAAAACTATTAGATATTACTTTAATTATGTTCATAATAAAAGACAAACAAGTGTTAGCAAGGATGTTGTGACACTGAAACCCTCATATACTGCTAGTGAGGATCTATGCAGTCGTTTTGAAAAATAGTCTGGCTCTTTCTCAAAAGGTTAAACATGTTATCATATGACCCAACAACTTCAATCCTAGGGTATATACACCAAAGAGAAATGCAAACATCTCCTCATATGAAAACTTGTCCATGAATGTTTCTATCACATTACTCATGATAGCCAAAAGGTGGAAATAACCTAAACGTCCATCAAATGATAAACGGATAAATCAAATAAGCTATATCCATTCAACGGAATCATATTCAGCAATAAAAAGAAATAAAGTACTGACACATGCCACAATATGGACGAACCTTTAAAAAGTTATGCTAAGTAGGCCAGGTGTGGTGGTTCGCGCCTATAACACCAGCACTTTGGGGGGCCAAGGTGGGTGAATCGCTTGAGCCCAGGAGTTCCAGACCAGCCTGGGCAACATGGCAAAACCACATCCCTACAAAAAACTCAAAACTTAGCCGGGTGTGGTGGCTCATGCCTGTGGTCCCAGCTACTCAGGAGGCTGAGTTGGGAGGATCGCTTGAGCCCAGAAGGTTGAGGCTACAGTGAGCCGGTATGGCGCCACTGCACTCCAGCCTAGGTGATACAGTGAGACCTTGTCTCAAAAAAAAAAAAAAAGAAAAGAAAAAAATTATACTAAGAAGCCAGTCACAAAGAACCATATATTACATGATGACAGTTGTATGGAATGCCCAGAGGAGATAAATCTATAGAGACAGAAAGTAGAGCAGTGCATGCCAAGAGCTGGGGTAGGAATGGGTAAACGGGAGGAAGCAGTGGATTCAATGATTTATTTTTAGGATAATGAAAATATTCTAAAATTGACTATGGTGCTGGTTGCAGAACTTTCGAGTATATTAAAGCCATAGAAATAGTAAAAGGACTAAGATAGATAGAGAAAATTTTAATTTTTCCTTTGTGTTATCCCTAATCTAACTAATCTAGATGACATGGAGATGGCTACTGTTGCCCTATCTCACTCACCCTTCCAGTTTTAAGAAGGCGATAGAAAGAGTACAAAGGTTGGGTTACCCACAAAGGGAAGCCCATCAGACTAACAGCTGATCTCTCGGCAGAAACTCTACAAGCCAGAAAAGAGTGGGGGCCAATATTCAACATTCTTAAAGAAAAGAATTTTCAACCCAGAATTTCATATCCAGCCAAACTAAGCTTTGTAAGTGAAGGAGAAATAAAATCCTTTACAGACAAGCAAATGCTGAGAGATTTTGTCACCACCAGGCCTGCCCTAAAAGAGCTCCTGAAGGAAGCACTAAACATGGAAAGGAACAACTGGCACCAGCCACTCAAAAACATGCCAAATTGTAAAGACCATCAAGGCTAGGAAGAAACTACATCAACTAACGTGCAAAATAACCAGCTAACATCATAATGACAGGATCAAATTCACACATAACAATATTAACCTTAAAAGTAAATGGACTAAATGCTCCAATTAAAAGACACAGACTGGCAAATTGGATAAAGAGTCAAGACCCATTACTGTGCTGTATTCAGGAAACCCATCTCACGTGTAGAGACACACATAGGCTCAAAATAAAGGGATGGAGGAAGATCTACCAAGCAAACGGAAAACAAAAAAAGGCAGAGGTTGCAATCCTAGTCTCTGATAAAACAGATTTTAAACCAACAAAGATCAAAGGAGACAAAGAAGGCCATTACATAATGGTAAAGGGATCAATTCAACAAGAAGAGCTAACTATCCTAAATATATATGCACCCAATACAGGAGCACCCAGATTCATAAAACAAGTCCTTAGTGACCTACAAAGAGACTTAGACACCCACACAGTAATAATGGGAAAGTTTTAACACCCCACTGTCAACATTAGACAGATCAACGAGACAGAAAGTTAACAAGGATATCCAGGAATTGAACTCAGCTCTGCACCAAGCGGACCTAATAGACATCTACAGAACTCTCCAACCCAAATCAACAGAATATACATTCTTTTCAGCACCACACCTCACCTATTCCAAAATTGACCACATAGTTGGAAGTAAAGCTCTCCTCAGCAAATGTGAAAGAACAGAAATTATAACAAACTGTCTCTCAGACCACAGTGCAATCAAACTAGAACTCAGGATTAAGAAACTCACTCAAAACCACTCAACTACATGGAAACTGAACAACCTGCCCCTGAATGACTACTGGGTACATAAAGAAATGAAGGCAGAAATAAAGATGTTCTTTGAAACCAATGAGAACAAACACACAACATACCAGAATCTCTGGGACACACTCAAAGCAGTGTGTAGAGGGAAATTTATAGCACTAAATGCCCACAAGAGAAAGCAGGAAAGATCTAAAATTGACACCTTAACATCACAATTAAACGAATTAGAGAAGCAAGAGCAAACACATTCAAAAGCTAGCAGAAGGCAAGAAATAACTAAGAGCAAAGCAGAAGTGAAGGAAATAGAGACACAAAAGACCCTTCAAAATAATCAATGAACCCAGGAGCTGGTTTTTTGAAAAGATCAACAAAATTGATAGACCGCTAGCAAGACTAATAAAGAAGAAAAGACAGAAGAATCAAATAGAAGCAATAAAGAATGACAAAGGGGATATCACCACTGATCCCACAGAAATACCAACTACCATCAAAGAATACTATAAACACCTCTATGCAAATAAACTAGAAAATCTAGAAGAAATGGATAAAGTCAATTAGGAAAAGAGGAAGTCAAATTGTTCCTGTTTGCAGATGATATGATTGTATATCTAGAAAACCCCATCGTCTCAGCCCAAAATCTCCTTAAGCTGATAAGCAACTTCAGCAAAGTCTCAGGATACAAAATCAATGTGCAAAAATCACAAGCATTCTTACACTCCAATAACAGACAGAGAGCCAAATCATGAGTGAACTCCCATTCACAATTGTTTCAAGGAGAATAAAATACCTAGGAATCCAACTTACAAGGGATGTGAAGGACCTCTTCAAGGAGAACTACAAACCACTGCTCAATGAAATAAAAGAGGATACAAACAAATGGAAGAACATTCCATGCTCATGGGTAGGAAGAATCAATATCATGAAAATGGCCATACTGCCCAAGGTAATTTATAGATTCAATGCCATCCCCCCATCAAGCTACCAATGACTTTCTTCACAGAATTGGAAAAAGCTACTTTAAAGTTCATATGGAACCAAAAAAGAGCCTGCATTGCCAAGTCAATCCTAAGCCAAAAGAACAAAGCTGGAGGCATCACACTACCTGACTTCAAAGTATACCATAAGGCTTAGCCACAGTAACCAAAACAGCATGGTACTGGTACCAAAACAGAGATATAGACCAATGGAACAGAACAGAGCCCTCAGAAATAATGCCTTATACAAAAATTAATTCAAGATGGATTAAAGACTTACATGTTAGACCTAAAACCATAAAAACCCTAGAAGAAAACCTAGGCAATACCATTCAGGACATAGGCATGGGCAAGGACTTCATGTCTAAAACACCAAAAGGAATGGCAACAAAAGCCAAAATTGACAAATGGGATCTAATTAAACTAAAGAGCTTCTGCACAGCAAAAGAAACTACCATCAAAGTGAACAGGCAACCTACAGAATGGGAGAAAATTTTTGCAATCTACTCAGCTGACAAAGGGCTAATATCCAGAATCTACAATGAACTCAAACAAATTTACAAGAAAAAAACAAACAACCCCATCAAAAAGTGGGCGAAGGACATGAACAGACACTTCTCAAAAGAAGACATTTATGCAGCCAAAAGACACATGAAAAAATGCTCATCATCACTGGCCATCAAAGAAATGCAAATCAAAACCACAATGAGATACCATCTCACACCAGTTACAATGGCGATCATTAAAAAGTCAGGAAACAACAGGTGCTGGAGAGGATGTGGAGAAATAGGAACACTTTTACACTGTTGGTGGGACAGTAAACTAGTTCAACCATTGTGGAAGTCAGTGTGGCGATTCCCCAGGGATCTAGAACTAGAAATACCATTTGACCCAGTGATCCCATTACTTGGTATATACTCAAAGGATTATAAATCATGCTGTTATAAAAGACACATGCACACGTATGTTTATTGCGGCACTATTCACAATAGCAAAGACTTGGAACCAACCCAAATGTCCAACAATGATAGACTGGATTAAGAAAATGTGGCACATATACACCATGGAATACTATGCAGCCATAAAAAAGGATGAATTCATGTCCTTTGTAGGGACATGGATGAAGCTGGAAACCATCATTCTCAGCAAACTATTGCAAGGACAAAAAACCAAACACCACATGTTCTCACTCATAGGTGGGAATTGAACAATGAGAACACATGGACACAGGAAGCGGAACATCACACACCGGGGCCTGTTGCGGGGTGGGGGGCTAGGGGAGGGATAGCATTAGGAGATATACCTAATGTAAATGAAGAGTTAATGGGTGCAGCACACCAACATGGCACATGTATACATATGTAACAAACCTGCACGTTGTGCACATGTACCCTAAAACTTAAAGTATAATAATAATAAAATTTTAAAAAAATGCAAGTGAAAATATAAAGCAATTACTAACAACAACAAAAACTATAGAAGAAAGAAAATGTAATAATTTGGCTTTAAAATGAAACAAATTTCAACACGGACAATGGTATAAACATTACAATCATATAAGCAACACAGATATAACCAAATTGGGAGGATGGGAAGAGGGAACGTTGGGTAAGAAAAGGAAGTCAACAGATAATAGCTAATGTTTATGAACATATTATTTGAAAACATGGAAGCAACTCTCAGAAGATACATGCGGCTGCCTATGGGGAAGATTCTGTCCATTCCAACAACAAGGCTTTGGACTGTGCCAGAGCAAAGGACTACTGTTTTTCATTCTAGGACATTGGGTACACCAAGCTCCTAACCATAGTTCTAAAATTCAGAAAACTACCAAAATTAAAATTTTTTAAAAACCACTCTACCCTTTCTTTACTTATTTAACACTAAAACTTGATTGAACTCCTAGGCCGGGCGCAGTGGCTCATGCCGGTAATCCCAGCACTCTGGGAGGCTGAGGCAGGCAGATCACGAGGTCAGGAAATTGAGACCATCCTGGCTAACACGGTGAAACCCCATCTCTACTAAAAATACAAAAAATTAGCCGGGGCATGGTGGCGGGCACCTGTAGTCCCCAGCTACTTGGTAGGCTGAGGCAGGAGAATGGTGTGAACCTGGGAGGCGAAGCTTGTAGTGAGCCGAGACCGTCCTACCGCACTCCAGCCTGGTGACAGAGCAGGACTTCGTCTCAAAAAAAAAAAAAAAAAAAAAAAAAAGACTTGATTGAACACCCTGGGGCCAAAACCTGACCTGAACTAACAGGAAGCTATTCAAAACTATACTTATGCTACTTAGTGTAAATATTATATATACTTCAATGCAGAAATAGCGCATTTGAGTAAGGGATCTTACTCCAAGCCTCGATGGGAGTATCTGATAATTTATAGTATATGTAGCAGAGTACTGTAGCAGACTACTTTCCTAAAAACCTGAGAATTTCTAAATTCTAAAATATTTCTGATCCAAGAGTTTTGAATAAGAGAGTATGGGCTTACAATTCATTTTTCAAAATGAAATGTATTACTTTTATTACATGTATTTTAGTACACGTATTACTTTTATTTTTTAGATTTTGAAGGTATTCTGAAGAATTCAATGGAGAGAAAGTATAAAAAGAATAACAGGTATGAGACTCATGTGACCTTAAACAGATCAACATCTAATGCCACACACTTTCCAAAAGTGGCATTATTCCTGGATCATTATTTAAGATAATAAATAAAGAGGTTACATTGTCTAATTAGAAATTTGAAAAAGAAGGCAAGAAAACTTCACTTGACTCCTCATTCATATCCCACTACTGTCCCATCTATCCTACTCTTCTAGGAAAAGGTGGTCTACACTCACATTCAACATTTCTTCACTTTCTATACACATTTCAACTAACTACAATCTGGCTTCAGTACAGTAAGGTCTACAATGCTCTCTATATTAAGCCTAAAAATTGTTTTGCAGCCCTCATGTTATTTGACTTGATACTTTTACTCTCTTCCTAGTCTTAAAATACTCTTTTCTTTGACTTAAATGACATAACACCGTCCTAGTGTTCCTCCTGCTCCATCTCCACCTCTGCAGATCTATCCCCTATAGCATGACATTGTACACAGATATTCCTCAAAGTTCCATTTAACCCTCTCTGATTCTCATTCTGTGCTCCCTTTTCCTGGGTGATTTAATCCATAACTTTGGCTTGAATGCCCACCTTTGCAGATGTTATTTAAAAAGAAAATATTGATAAATCAGACTTTATTGAATTTAAAACTTTTGCACTTTAAAAGATACCATTAATAAAACTCAAGATAAGCCACCGACTGGGGGAAAAATACTTGACAATCATATATCTGATAAAAGACTTGTATCTGGCCGGGCACGGTGGCTCATGCCTGTAATCCTAGCACTTTGGGAGGCCGAGGCAGGCGGATCACAAGGTCAGGAGATCGAGACCATCCTGGTCAACATGGTGAAACCCTGTCTTTACTAAAAATACAAAAAATTAGCCGGGCACGGTGGCGGGCGCCTGTAGTCTCAGCTACTCAGGAGGCTGAGGCCGGAGAATGGCGTGAACCCGGGAGGCGGAGCTTGCAGTGAGCCAAGATCGTGCCACTGCACTCCAGCCTGGGTGACAGAGTGAGACTCCGTCTCAAAAAAAAAAAAAAAAAAAAAAAGACTTGTATCTAGAATAAAGAACTCCTACGTTAAGACAAACAACATAATTTTAAAATAAGCAAAATACATTAACAGACATTTCATCAAAGAAAATATATGAGAGCCAGGCTCTCATATGTGCCTGTAGTCCTAGCTATTCGGGAAGCTGAGGCAAGAGGGTCGTTTGAGCCCATGTGTTCGAGGCTACAGTGAGCTATGATCACAACACTGTACTCCATTCTGGGCAACAGCATGAGACCCCGTCTCTAAAAAATAAAATAAAATAATGAAGACATATGAATAGCTAATAAACTCATGAAAAGATGCTAAAAATTAAAACCACAATGATATACCACTATACCCCCACTAGAATGGCTACAACCAAAAACACTAGAATGGCTCCAATCAAAAAGACAGTCAATACTAATTGTTTGATATAGAAAAAATTAGATCTCTCATGTATTGCTGGTGAGAATATAAATTGGTATAGATACTTGGAAAATAGTCTGGCAGTTTCCTAAAAAGTTAAACATAAACTTATCCTATGACCCAGGAACTGCAGTCCTTGGAATTCATCCAAGAGATATGAAAACATACGTCCACACAAAGACACATACATGAATGTGCATAGCAGCATTCCTCATAATAGCCCAAAACTGGAAATATTCCAAATGTCCACCAACTAAAGAATAGATAAAAATGTGGCTTATCTATACAATGAAATTCTATTCAGCAATTAAAAGGAAAAAACCAATCATATACACTACAACATGGATGAACCTCAAAGATTATGCAAATTGAAACAAGTCAGACACAAAAGTCTATATATTATACAATTCCGTTTTTATAAAGTGTCTTGAGAAGGCAGATCAGTGATTGCCTCATGTTGGGTGTAGTTGTGGGTACTATCTGCAAATGGGCAAGAGGGAACTTTGGGGGCAAAGGAAATGTCTCTAACTGGATTACAATGACACTGCACTACTTCAAATTTATTAATCACTGAATTGTACACTTATAATAGGTGAATTTTATGGTGCCTAAATTACACCTCAAGATGCTCATTTAATACAGCTTACAAGGCCCTATGTTATCTATCCCACCTCATTTTGTACTACCCCTCTCTCTATAGTCCAGCAACAGCAGTGTTCCTTCAGTCCCCTCAGACCTCCCAGCACCTTACCATCACAGCCTATATATATGGTATTCTCTGCCTGCAACACTCTTCCTTCCCCTTTTGGGCTAACTAACTCTTCCTCAACCATCTGACCATCCTGACAGAGGAAATTCCACATTCATAGTTCTTTATAGGATCAATGAAGAACCTCTACTTCATTAACAATGTTCACAGAATGTTACATTTATTGAGTTCTTTAATTAATGACTTTCTCCCCTACTCAGCCGTAAGCTCCCCAAAGGCAGCATATCTCATTTTGCTCACCTTTGTATCTCTCTTTCTGTGGCCCAATGCCTATCACATAAGATCTATTAAATAAATGCTGGTTGGATCAATCTCCCTGAGACAGCAGGCAAAAATGGCTGAGAATTTCATTTGTAACTCAAACTATTAAGCAACACTGTTCTCTGTCTCAAATCCTGATCAAGTACCCTAGTGGAGATTTGGAAAAACTAACAAAAATTCATGTTTGTCAACCTGGTACAATTCATTTCAGATGGGAAGAAACCCACTGATCTTTAAATATCTGCAGCAGATTGACCACATCAGACTTAGTTGAAAATTGAAATGGATTTCAAATATAGTGGAATGTAATCTAAGTATCTTTAAGAATAATTTTAGAAGATGACAAGTATAAGTAGTTAAGAATTACTGATCAAAGCATTTTAAGACAGAGGAAAACTTGAGTTTCCTAAGTTACAGATAAGAAATTTCAACCTTTGAGTCAAAAACGCAATGCTGGATAGATAGCAAGTTATGGAAGCTTGCTATCCAACAGCTGAACGAGAGCCCAAATATGCTACTGCACTAGTATCACCTCAAAGCCTTCTTCCCTTCACTCAGCCAGGAAAGAAGGCTCCCCCTGCCACATCACATCTCGCCCTCTGTCTCACTCTCACTTAACCACTGGTTAGCAAGGCTAACCTTAAGCTATAAAGCTATAAAGATTGCCCTGCTCCTGCCTTTTACTGAAACGAAGACCAAAATTAAACTTGAAAGCTCTGAGAAATTTCAGGGAAGATGACAGAGAAACACCACAAGGTCTCCATATGTTACCCACTAAAAAACAGTCTGATGCAAATTTTGTTATTTGGGCTTGGCCTGTTAAAACTATTAGCTTTAAAAACAGCGAGTTCATTTTAAAATATAAAAATGAGCTGAATTTTTATTTATTTATTTATTTATTTATTTATTTATTTATTTTGAGACAGGGTCTCGCTCTGTTGCCCAGGCTGGAGTGCAGTGGTGCAATCTCGGCTCACTGAAACCTCCACCTTCCTGGTTCAAGCGATTGCGCTGCCTCAGCCTCCCGAGTAGCTGGGATTACAGGTGCACGCCACCACTCCTGTCTAATTTTTTTGTATTTTTAGTAGAGACAGGGTTTCACCATGTTGGCCAGAGTGATCTCAAACTCCTGACCTCAGGCAATCCGCCCGCCTTGGCCTTCCAAAGTGCTGAGATTACAGGCGTGAGCCACAGCGCCCGGTCATGAGCTGAAATTTTTTAATGCAACAAGAATAAAGCAGGCCAGGAGTGGTGGCTCACACCTGTAATCCTGGCACTTTAGGAAGCCAAGGCGAGTGGATCACTTAAGCTCCGGAGTTTGAGACCAGCCTGGGCCACATGGTGAGACCCCATCTCTCCTAAAAATATAAAAAAAATTGCTGGGCGTGGTGGTGCATGCCTGTGGTATCAGCTACTTGGTCGACAGATGGGAGGATCACTTGAGCCCAGGGGACAGAGGTTGCAGTGAGCCAAGATTGTACCACTACACTCCAGCCTGGGTGACAGGAGGAGAACCTGTCTCAAAAAAAAAAAAAAAGTTAACTACCAGAAAATATATATGCAATTACCAATAGTGAAGAAATCATAAGACATACAAACATATCCCACAGACTAAAGTTTATCCAGAAACAAAAGACTGAAGTTTGTTAGTTTTTAAATCTCCTAGAGTAATTTAGAGCATTGCCAGTTGCAGTGGCTTGTATCTGTAGTCCCAGCTACTTGGGAGGCTGAGGTGGGAGGACCACTTTAGGCCAGGAGTTCTAGACTGGCCTGGGCAACATAGAAAGACCTTGTCTCCCCACCAAAAAAATTCAGATCATTACTAGAGGTAATAAAGGGTACAATAAATGTTAAATAAAACAATAGTAAATAAGCAATGCTGAAAATAAGTGGAAAATAAAATCCAAAGCATAAATAATTTAAACAGATAAAGTATATGAAGAAACTAAAAAGTATAAAAATACTGCCTGTCAATAATAATGGAGGAAAAAACTAGATGAAAGCATTTGTAAATCTTAAGTATTTTACATGCATATTTCATTTAAATCTCACAGCAGTGCCAGGAGGGAGAGAAACTTTTATCTCCCTTTCATGCATGGCTTAGAGAAATTAATCAACTTGCCCAAGCTTTCACAGCCATATTTCAAGGACTCTCAGCTGCCAGCATTTGCTTGACCTTACAGAAGGTGTCAACAAAAAGTTTTTATGCAACTAGACCATAATTATCCCTGACTAAGCGGGGATTCCAAGGTGCCAATTTCAGAGATGTTAGAATGGATAAAAATGCACAACTTATGCTTGACTAAATGTGATAGTGTGCAGCAACCGATCAGGTGAACCTAAAATATGTAGCGGTTTTTTTGTTTTTTGTTTTTTTAATTTCACAGTGGCACTGCTACGGGAAGGACTAAGATAAAACATAATATGTTCCTGTCTTTGTTGTAGTAAAGAAGAGCTATTATAATCCCTATGGATATAGAAGACAACATGGAATTCACATTTGAAGTATTAAATAGTGACAGGCCTTTTGTTGTCTTTTTTGTCTATAGAGGGACAACTTAACCAAAGCAATGGTTATATCTGCCTAAAATTTGGCAAAGATAATAAATTAGATATTTCAAAAGTGGGTTACTTTAAGGCACTAAGATACCCCTCAAATAGTTAGGTCGAATTCATGGCAGATATTTAACTGTAGCATTTTGAGTTCACTTGCAAATTTGTATCACAAGCCACAGAAAAGAAACACTGCATTTAAAAACTATAGCCCACATCCTTATGTTCTTTCATCTTTATTCTAGTAGAAGATGCAAGGTAATTTTCCAACACATAACCTCAGAGGTTGAAGCCAAGAGCGGCAGAATGGATGGATTCAAGGTGTGCCAACAATGCTACCCAGTAGGAAAAAATTCCATAAAAACTGGGCCCCTAAGGAAAACAACAAAGCCTAATGCTGAAGTCCTGTCCAAATGCAAGTGCTTGGCTAAGAGAGAGCAGTCAGGCTGTAGACTGAAAGGCAGTGTATGCAATTTAGAATCCCCAGAAGTAGAGTAACAGAGAGACACCACAGCTGCATGAGAGTGAGATGCTAATGTGGGGCAGGCAGGACTCGGCTCCAGACAGTGCATGCTATCAGGACACCTTCCATGACTCGGGAAGACCTCAGTACAACCACCGGGGCAGGTACGTGAATTAGGTAAACCAGGTGCAATTAACTGGAAAAAGGGCCTGGACTAATGTCTGGGCTTTCTGAAAGATTTTGCATCTCAGGGAAATTATGGAATAGCCACAGTATTCCCTTGGTAATAGAATGCAAAAATACTGAAAACACTCAAAGTTAAGAAAAGGGAAAAGAGAAGATTTGTTAGGGTTCTTTTAGCATTTCACGTCTGAGAAACAGAACAGGTGTTTTCAACACTTGGAAAACACCTTCAATCCATCAAGCACAGAAATAGTCTGCGTTTGGCCAGGCACGGTGGCTCATGCCTGTAATCTTCGGGAGGCCGAGGCGGTGGATCGCCTGAGGTCAGGAGTTCGTGACCAGCCTGGCCAACATGGTGAAACCCTGTCTCTACTAAAAATGCAGAAATTAGCCGAGAGTAGTGGCAGGCGCCTGTAATCCCAGCTACTCAGGAGGCTGAGGCAAGAGAACTGCTTGAACCTGGGAAGTGGAGGTTGCAGTGACCCAAGATCATGCCATTGCACTCCAGCCTGGGTGACAAGAGCAAGACTCCATCTCAAAAAAAAAAAAAAAGAAAGAAAAGAAATAGTCTACCTTCTTGAGCTCCTACAAGAGCTCTTCAGTGCTTGCCCTGCAGAGAACAGTGTCTGATCCCTATAGATAACGAAAGGGGGATGAAGGAGAGGTCAAGGCTCCAGCAGCCCAGCGTTCTCCCTGGGTATTCAGCACATCATTAGAGAATAAACCTGTTTACTTTGCTGCCTCCTTGAAGGCTCAGTAATGAAGCCATGATTAGAATTGCAGTCATGGATTCCAGCCACTTATCACAAGATGTTCCATTTTCTCTTGCTATGTAACAAACTACCCAAAACTTTGTTGCTTGAACAGCCATGATTTCCTATTTCTCATAATTCCATGGGTTGGCTGGGCAGCTCTTCTGCTGCCCTTACCTGACTTACAAAGGCTGCTTCGCTGGGCTCAGCAGGGAAGGCAGGGCCTTCTCCATGTGGCCTTTTCTTCTAGGCTTCTTCACATGTTGGCAGCAGCATCCCAAGACAGTTCACCCACTACACATGGTGCCTCTGCTTGCACTGTGTCTGCTGATTGAGACCAAAGTCAAGAAGGGGGAAAAGAGACTCTACCACTTGATGGGTCCTGTGGTTTGAATGTGTCCCCCAAGTTCATGTATTGGAAACTTAATCCCCAATGCAACAGTGTTGACAGGTGGGACTTGTAAGACGTGATCAAGCCATGAGGGCTCTGCCCTCACTAATGGATTAATGCTGTTATTGAGGAAGTAGGTTAGTTATCATGGGAGTGGGTTCCTAACAGAAGAATAAGTTCAGCCTCCTTCCCTTCTCTCCATCCCAGGCACATGCTCTCTTGCCCATCTGCCTTCCACCATGGGATGATGCAGCAAGAAAGCCCTCACCAGATGTGAGCCCCTCAACCTTGGACTTCCCAGGCTGCAGAACTGTAAGAACTAAATCTCTGTACTTTATTAATTACCCCATCTCAGGTACTCTGTTACAGCAGCACAACACAGACTAAGACAATGGGAGAAACAAGTGAAGTCATACTGCAAACAGGCAGAGCTGGGAGCGGGGACAGGGGGCAGTGATTCATTAGGAGCCGTTTTGTAACAATTTACCACATGTTGTTTTCGCTGCTTTTTCCTCTGATAATAATAGTTTTTATCAGTAGAGTGTTTTTATAAGGTGTTTTCACACCTATTATAAATTCAAAGCTAATTATGATCTTTATAATACGGGGAAAAAGGTGCTCAACTCTATTTCTACTACAGAATAACATTAATAAAGATCCAAAAATATTCCCAAGGTTTAGATACTTGAATTCCTTCTAGCAATCCATACCGCTTGAAGATCTCACGTTCCTTAACAAACACATGGATCTTGTGAAGCATCTTTAGTAGGCTGACAGAGGAAGAAACTGTGGCCAAAGTTTGTAACAGAAAAATCGAAGGCAATTATACTTCATTTGAAGTGCTTCCTGCAGAAAGAATTCTCAGCATGTCATTGTACAATGCAGCATGTAAGGACAGTGGCACACACTGCTCTGCACCAGTCAGCTGTCATCTCAGGCCAGAACAAGCATATTCTCCACATACTGCAGTAAACCAGAAAAACCAGAGCAGAATTTGCCTCACTACTCACCTTACCCCCTGACCATCCGAGATATGTCTGCCCAGGCAGGACAAATCTTCTCAAGGACCCCTGTACATGCCATGTACAACCTTACCCTTGTTCATTCTGTCCCACCTTCTTGGGATGCTCTTTCCTCTTTGCCCATCAGGCCCAAAATTCCCTGGCCTTCAGACCACACCTCAAAGCATTTCTTCTCTACAAGCAAAACATGTTCCCCTTTCCCTTCTTTACAACCCATAGCAGTTACCCAATTTCTTTACAGGTGGACATTAGTCACATTAAAAACAGTCCTTCAATATAAGTGATGGTTAATTTCACATGTCAACTTGACTAGGCCACAATATGCAGATATTTGGTCAAACATTATTCTGAATGTTTCTGTGAAGGTATTTTTAAGATAAGACTGACATTTAAATTGGCAGACTTTTTTTTAAGGCAAGACCGGATTTATTCCCATTTTATAGACGAGGAAACACTCAGAGAGGTCAAGTGATCCACCTGCTCTAGGTCAATACATGACTCAGCTGAAACTTCCTCTCCTAGATATACAATGAGAGTAATGCCAGACCTGCTTCTCAAAACAGATATGCACAAGAAAACTGTTTTAGTCTCATTCTTCTGACAACTAGAAAGTAAATATTCACCAGGCCCTCCCTGTGCACATAACATTATCATAAGTCAGAAGTCTGTCATTAAGAACATAAAATCACAGTGCAGATTGGGAGTGGGAAGATACACAGAAAGGATACCAAGAGTTTCTGTCAACTGCCCCTGGTTTGAGTTCAACATTTTTTTTAGAGATGCAATTTTTTTTTTTAGGAGATGGGGTTTCACTATGTTGCCTAGGCTGGACTTAACTCCTAGGCTCAAGTGATCCTCTTGCCTCAGCCTCCCAAGTATCTGGGACTATAGGTGCCTGTCACCACACCCAGCTTCTAAATTGGTGGATTCTGAGTAAAATATCCTGCTTTCCATAATGTGCGTGGGCCTCAACCAATCAGTTGAAGGCCTTAATATAAAAATGACTGACCTCCCCTAGAAGAAGAGGGAATTCTGCCAGCAGACTGCCTTCAGCCTTGAACTCCAGAATCAACTCTTCCCTGAGCCTCCAGCCTGCCAGCCCACCCTACAGATTTTGGACTTGTTAGTCTCCACAATCATATGAACCAATTCCTTAAAATAAATCTCTCTCTCCCAATCTCATCTAGCTATCTATCTATATATATAGGTATATCTGTACACACACACACACACACACACACAGACACACACACCCTATTGGTTTTGTTTCTTTGCAGAACTCTGACTGATACAATATATCACATAGTTTAGATCATTCCTTGCAGGGTACAAAGCCTGGCCTACTTAAAAGGCTATATGATCCCTGGAGTGTTGCATATTTTTTGGCAATTCCTACAGTCTTCTGTACCATCATGTTTCTTTAGTATTCCCTACGGTGTTCCATACAGAGCAGGGGTAAAAATATTCCAGGAACTTGAATTTGTGCTTCCTTATGACTAAACTTTGTATCCTTCCAGTTTCCTAACCTTTCTGCACCATTGACTGTGATATGTATACATACTAAAGAAGGTGAAAGAAAGAAAAGGAATACTGCTCCCATTTTCCCATGGTGAAATCCCAAAGGTGGTTAATGTCTATTAAAAACTAGTAGTTTTATTACTAACTGGCACACAGGTGGTAGAATTTAAAAAAAAAAAAAAACACTATAAACTATTATTTGCTTTATGATCCTGGAATCCATTCTTTTCAATTTTCTCCACCTAGAAAACATCTTTTAGTGAAAAAACTATAATAAAAGCAAAAAAATGTTTTAGTCAATCATCAAAATAATAACCCAAGACCAAATTTAAAGTAATATAAACGTAAATCAGGAATAGTTTTTAAAGTCAGCTATCACGTCTTAGAGATTTTTAGTTTATTTTAAATCCCTTTGGGAAGACCTAGAATATTTCATTCATTTAACCTAAGCAAACAAATGGACAAGGACGTATTCTCATAGTCTGACCCAATTTTCCGAGCATCTTCCAAGTGCCAGGCTCCTACTAGGAACTGGAAAATTTTAGAAGTGAACTGGTGCTATCATTCGTCCCTAAAATAGATTAGTGAATGCCCAGAAAATAAAGAATGCTCACATTTAAGCTACTCTCTAACAATGTGCATATTTCTGCTACTACCAGTTGAATTGTGCACATTATCAAAAACCTATTGTTTCATCTCCAAACCTGTTTATGTCAGTTGTACTCATTCTGCAATGGTATAATTTAATTGAATACTATATAAACTGATCACAAATGGACAAACATGTGGCTACAAAAGTAAGAAGTTACTATTTCTATAAAACCTATGTTGAATACTTTGGAAAGCATCCATACAGGCATATTACTTTCCTTAAAATTTTTTGACAAATTGAGTATATATAAAACAACTATAAAAGACTAGAAAACAACACTAAAATACCAGAATCCTGGCTAGGTGCAATGGCTCATACCTGTAATCCCAGTACTTTGGGAAGCTGAGGCAGAAGGATCACTTGAGGCCAGGAGTTTGAGACCAGTCTGGGCAACACAGCAAGACCCCATCTCTACAAAAAAAATTTACATTTAAAAAAAAAGATAGAATTCTATGCTCTGACTGCTTCAGATGTTCCTAAAGTCTCAATCTACTTTAAACAGAGTGAAACTAGAAAACACAGAAGCTACTCTATAAATGTGGTTTTTACAAGAACAATAATACAGAACTGAGAGGACCCATAATACTCAAAGAAAGATTACTACCCTAGATCACAAGACTGGCCTTTTGCATCCTCCACTATTCCCAGAACAATCCATCAGTAGCAGTAACATTACGCTTGAATACTTCCTGAAGTCAAGTTGTTTTATTTAAAACTGAAATATCCCTCTAAAAGACAACAACAACAACAAAAAATAAGTATGTATATACAAGGTATTCACTGCAGCACTATTTCTAACAGCAAGACACTAAAGACAATCCAAATGTCCATTAATATGGGACTGACAATAAACTGGTAAATTCACACAATGAAATAGACAAAAAGGCATGACAAATGTCTCTATATACTTCTATGGAGTGATCAGCAGGAAAAATAGGAAGACAAAAAAGCAAGAAGAAAATTATACATAGTGTGCTACCATTCACCTAAGACGGGATTAGGAGGCAGAAACTATACGTGTGTGCACATGCATGGACATGCACACACACACACACACACTCTTGCTCATGTTTTAAATGGAATGCAGGAAAAAAAATAGAGGGAACCACAATCAGAGATGGATTTCTCTGATTCTGCCTTGTTTTACACATTTAGCTCTGGAACCATGTATATGTTTTCCATAATTGTTTAAAAAATAATTGAAAAACTGTCATCTCTAAAATTCAAAAGCAAAATGAAATGACCCTAAATATTTGTTGAATTGGTGGTATAATCATGCAAAAAGGAATTATTTCAAATGATTTAAAACAGTTTTACCAGACATCCCTATAGGAATCTATCCTAAAAATGAAAAGAATTTGGGAAAGTGCTTTTAATTCTTAAACTATTTTCAGTAATCATATTGTTAGCAGTAACACTGACAAGTAATGGTATCAATATGATTATGATCAAGAACCAAAATTTTTAGCATGAGACAAAGATAAAATTAAAGAAATTCAACAAAATCATCTGTTCCTAAGTTTATAATGGAAAAATCAGTATGAAACTCATAAAATATTTTACCTTAAAAATAACGTATTTCCTAGCCCCATTCACTGAAAAGGCCTAGAAGTAACAACCAATCTGTAGTTTCCAGACTGTGGTCACTAAATACAATTTCCCTCTGAAAGGAACCAGGGCTGGTTAAAGAAAGGGATAATTCCAGATCTATGGCTGTTAATGTACAAGATGAGCCTGGACATCTTGTCACACAAGAAAGCAAGAAGCCATCAGAAGCACCCATGCCAAAATGACCCAGGAGCTAATGTGAAGGCACTCCCATTGGCCAAAGAAGAGACAATGTGGACCAGGTGCAGTGGCTCATGCCTGTAATCTTAGCTCTTTGGGAGACTGAGGCAGGGGGATCACCGGAGGTCGGGAATTCGAGACCAGCCTGACCAAAATGGAGAATCCCATCTCTAGTAAAAATATAAAATTAGGGCCGGGCGTGGTTGCCCACACCTGTAATCCCAGTACTTTGGAAGGCCAAGACTAGCGGATTGCCTGAGGTCAAGCGTTCAAGACCAGCCTGGCCGATGTGATAAAACCCCGTCTCTACTAAAAATACAAAAATTAGCCAGGCGTAGTGGTGCGCACCTGTTGTCCCAGCTACTTGGGAGGCTGAGGCAGAAGAATTGCTTGAACCCGGAGGCAGAGGCTGAAGTGAGCTGAGATTGCGCCACTGCATTCCAGCCTGGGCGACAGAGTGAGACTCTGTCTCCAAAAATAAAAATAAGAAATAAAACATTAGCCGGGCGTAGTGGTGCATGCCTGTAATCACAGCTACTCAGGAGGCCAAGGGAAGAGAATCGCTTGAACCTAGAAGGTAGAGGTTGCAGTGAGCTGAGATCATGCCATTGCACTCCAGCCTGGGCAACAAAAGCAACACTCTTGTCTCAAGAAAAAAAGAAGGGACAATTTGATCATTAATAAGAATAACTGTGGCTGGGTAAACTGGTTTGTGCCTTATAGTCCCAGCTACCTGGGAGGGTAAGGAGAGAGGATCACTTGAGACCAGCCTGGGCAACATAGTGAGATCTATCATTAATTAATGTAATTAACTCATTAAAGAATAACTGCAATGAACTTAAGAAATCATCAAACATATTAAATTCACATGCTGGCTGGGCGTGATGGCTCACACCTGTAATCTCAGTACTTTGTGAGGCCGAGGTAGGAAAATCTCTTGAGGGCCAAGAGTTCAAGACCAGCCTGGGCAACACAGTGAGATCCCATCTCTCCAAAAACGATTTCTTTTTTAATTAGCTGTGTTTGGTGGTGCATGCCTGTGGTCCCAGCTACTTGGGAGGCTGAGGCAGGAGGATCGCTTGAGCCCAGGAGGTTGAGGCTGCAATGAGCCATGATTACACCACTGCACTCCAGCCTGAGCGACATTGTAAGACCCTGTCTCAAAAAAAAAAAAAAAGAAAAAGAAAAAGAAAAGAGTATGTGTTTATAATGATACTTTTTAAATAAAGGAAAAAGCACTGGCCATTTTTGGAAATGCTAGGGACCCTCCAAGAGTTGTAAGTAAAGAGAAAGAGTCACTCATTTAACCTGACTTCCCTGTATAAGCTATACCTCTGGGTAACTGAACAGTCTGTAAAAAGAGTCTTCTCTGTACTAGTATTCCAGCGAATAAATGAAAAAGGAATGATGAAATTAGAATTGCAACATCTTGCATGCCCATGATTAAGTAATGGATCTATGTGAAGAATAAGTGGTCACTACTGTTTCAAAGCAAAAAAATCATTTCGCAAAATTCATATATAATAGTATGAGCAAGTGCACAAGATAAACGGCATGATTTTTTCAGTAAATAACATTTCAATAAGACAGAAAATAAGGAAAACCTATAGCTTAAAAGATATTGAAGAAAACCTATCAACCGAATGTAATGTGTAGACCTTGTTTACATCCTGATGCAAACAAATCACAGTACACACAAACACACACACAAAACTGTGAAATAACTTTGGGATGATAGTGGTATTGTGTGATTCATTCTAAGAAAAACAGCCCTTATCTTTCAGTGAAAGTACTAAAATATTTACAGATAAAATGAAAAGAACAAGAATGTACCCCCAAAAATGGACTGGGAGAGGGATATAAAGAAACAAAAGACGCTATGAGTGGATGCCAGCTAGAGCCAGGCACAAGGCGGTTCACGGTATTCTTCCTTTACTTCTGTGTATGTTTTAAATTCTCCATAATAAAAGTTTTGAAACTTTGATGTATGACTGTATGTCTGTATGCTTTAATAATAAAATGTTAATGGCATATAAAATTTTTCAGGATTTCCTGCTTTATGTTAAAACGGCTTCTCCGGTTCTTTCCACAAAAGAGGCATCTGGGGGTCAAGTCCCTTATTTCTCTGAATTATCAACTTAAAGCATAGGGCCTGCTACCCAGGAAGTGCTCAATAAATGTTAAATGAACGAATTCTGTTTGCTATACTTCTCTGCTCTGCTAAACCTTCCAAAACCCTAATCTAGTGATCCAACTTGTAGTAAAGGATGAGTAAATAGAATCAAGTATTAAAAAGACAAAAAATCCAAAACCCTGTATGTACTTAACCTTTTAAGTCTATGTTCCATAAAAAAATGGTTGTTTTTTTCTTGTGGTAAAAAACACAAAACATAAAATTTATCAAATTAACTATCTGTAAGTGTACAGCATTCAACAGTGTTAAGCATATTCACATGGTTGTGAAACAGATATCCAGAATTTTTTCATCTTGCAAAACTGAAACTATACCCATTGAACAACAAAAGGTGCCTATTCTTTTTTTTTTTTTTTTTTTTTTTTTTTGAGACGGGAGTTTCGCTCTTGTTGCCTGGACTGGAGTGCAATGGAACAATCTCGGCTCACTGCAACCTCCGCCTCCCTGGGTCAAGCGATTCTCCTTGCTTCAGCCTCCCGAGTAGCTGAGATTACAGGTGTGCGCCATCACGCCTGGCTAACTTTTCTATTTTTAGTAGAGACGGGGTTTTGCCACGTTGGCCAGGCTGGTCTTGAACTCCTGACCTCAGGTGATCCACCTGCCTCAGCCTCCCAATGTGCTGGGATTACAGACGTGAGACACCACGCCTGGCCCAAAAGGTGCTTATTCTTAATACTTCCTACCCATTGTCTATTCTATCCTACACAGACCTCTAGCTACCACAGCTTTCAAAGTATTATTTTCTGACAATATACATTGTGGATCACCAGCACAATAACATCAAATAGAAAACAACCAGTCCTTAAAGAAAATAGGAAGGGTCTTAAGTCTGACTGTGAACAGAAGACCATACGACCTCCTGTGCAGAGGAAATGAAGATAGGGCTGGAATGTGGTTTCAGGGTCACTCTAAACGGAAGTGAGGAACCAAAACAGGAAGAGGCAGGCCCACAGCTAAGAGGAGGCCACACGGGCTGCAGAAGGACTCATTCCATGTCTGCATTTAACAAAGGCTTACCACTGCTTAGGCAGCCCCATAACAATGATGGAAAGGCCCCTGGTAAGCACACAGACTCACAGGTGCCTTAGGTCAGGTACCTGGGGAAGCACTATGCAAGTCTCATTCAACAGACTTTTAGTTAAATATGCTTATGCAGGCCTGCAAAAAAAATGACTTAGCTATAAATTTGGTAATAATAACTTAGTATATTATGTAAGAAATGTCAATGATCAGTATCAGTGACCAGTGATCACTGATATTTTTCCATGTGTTACTATAGTTCTAATTATCTTTGGTAATAGATGAACGCTTAGTCAATCACTCCTTTTTCAAAATCATTTTCATACATTATTCTTCAGAAGCATGACTCCTAGCCTGAGTCTGCACTGGGACAACTCCAGGAAAGATAGAGATTTTGTACATGACTGAGGATAATAGCAGAGTCAAGGCAGACAAGGACCTGTTTACCAAAAGCACCTAGAAATCTCCAGGGGGCAGGGATCTTGGGGAACGGACATTCATTCTACAGCAAGAGTTCAGGTTAATCCAAAGAAAGCCACAGACCATGAGAAGAGAGTAGTGGCTTGGAGGACAACATGGTATCTGTCATTCACACTATCCTACATAAAAGCAAGGGATGATAGTGGTATTGTGTGATTTGTTCTAAGAAGAACAATCAAATTAAAGGCATTCTCAAAAGGCTCTGAAGAACAGTAACACTTCAAGGAATCAGCAGCACGGAAAGCAGCAGCTGTTGCCACAGGACTGACAGCAGCGTGGGTAACAAGGAACATCCTGATGGCCACAGCCATGACAGTTGACCTATCAACCAAACGATCTTTGCACTGACAACAGTGGCTGCACTTCTGGTGCCAGGCGCACGGTGGTGGCTCTCAGTTCTGCCTCCAGCACTAGCAGGCTGTGTGTACATACAAACATACATATGTGTATGTATGTATAACACCCAGCTACTGACAGTGAGACCGGAGAGCATGCGGGGAGAAAATGGGAGCAGAGGTACAAAGGATCTTTCACCTCTTCAATATTAACTGTTTTATAATTATGTAGTACCACAAATAAAACTTCTATTTTGAATAAATAGAACAGAACACATTGAGGCCTAAAGGGAAGAAATATGTAGTAAAATCAGAAAAAAGAATTTATAATAAAGTCCCACTTGTGCTTTGACAATTCTTGCCTTTTAAACCAAGTAATATTCCAAGTAAATACATCTTTAAAGAAAGAAAAGGTATAGTTTAAGATGTAGTAATTTATGGCAATTTCAATTATTCAGGAGGAATATGTATTTTAGGAAAGGAATGAATAACTTTAGCCCTGTCATCATCTGGAAATTAGAAGTTGGTAAACATACCGTAAATCTAACCTGCCTGTATGCTTTTCACCTTACGGCTCTGGGTAAGAATGAATGCCATAACATATGTGAAAATCACTTGCAAACTATACGGTGGTATGTACATAGATGATAGTTAAGTTTCTACCATCACAAATGTGCTATAATTTTTTTATCTGACTTTATATTACAGAACACAGTATAATGAATTTTTAAGAAATACAATGGTCCCTAAGGCTACTTCCTTCTTTTTTGAGACGGAGTCTCACTCTGTTGCCCAGGCTGGAGGGCAGTGGCACAATCTCGGCTCACTGCAACCTCTGCCTCCCAGGTTCAAGCAATTCTCCTGCCTCAGCCTCAGCTGAGATTACGGGCATGCGCCACCACGCCCAGCTAATGTTTGTATTTTTTAGTAGAGACGGGATTTCATTGGCCATTTCTTATATTACTAATTCATACACATAAGAATTTGTTTTCATTTAATTGAAGATGCTCTTATGTATACTGATATTTAAATAAACATGAACATTAAATCTTTGAGATTAAAACCTGTATAAATATAACTGGAAACCTGCAATTCCTTCTTGGCTAGAAACCCATAAAAAAAATTCCAAGTGTGCATTAGACTCACAATAGTTTTCATACAAGTATGAATGGCATAAAAATTTTTAATTCACCAAATATATTTCTGCAACTGGGTCATTCATTTTCTAAGTTAGAGGCCTTTTATTTTTATATCCTTTGTGGCTTCAAAAAGAATTTTAAATACCTTGTAAGTATACACACTAAGTATACATCACGGCACCCTTCCAAGGGAGCGGGCCTCGGCAGTGAGATTTGAACACAGAATCCTTCCTCCCCGCAACACACAGACAGGCAGCTGCTCCAAGGACAGCCAATCTGCTGGCTGGGAAGAGGCTAATTAGGTAAGCTGGCAAATTAGGCACTAAAAGGGAGGTGAGGCTGAAAGAATATATAAAGGAAGATCCTCAAAGATTCACAAGCAAAGATGAGGTGAGAGGGAGCTGAGAACCAGAAAAACGAGATATGAAATAGAGAAAAGATAATGTTGTAGATGAGGAAGCCTTCTGGCTGTAGGAGATCCATCAGGGTGGTAGGAACAATTGCAGAACGATGCAAACCTTCTTGGAAGGCCAAGAGGTTTTATAAAAGCTTTGGAAAACGATTTGGCTGAAGGCAGCTAGACTCTCTTATCTGGTGCCTGAAAGCTTAGGTTAGATAACAAGGGGATGTAAAAAAACTGATCTAGATAAGTTAGTTTACTTAGGCCTCCGAACCTGGCCTTTCATCATCCGCACACAGGACTGCTCACTCCGGGGAGGGCGACCATGTTGATTACCCACAAGTGTGTTGACTCAAAGCCATTGTCATTAAATCCGTGCTGAATAAATGCCCACAGTGCCAGCTTGTCAAGGCCGCAGCTGCTGACTCTTTACAGCACCCTCCTCGGGGTCTGTGAGCAGCCCGGTCCCCTAGCCCGCTCCCCTAGCTCACTGTTTCATTGGATACCTGCATGTGAGTGCATTTTTTCTCCTGTCGTTCAGCCAGGGTCTGCGGGTCGGACCCCACATCTGTCCTCGTGGGAAGAGTGTAGCAGACATGAAGAGAACAGCAGAAATGCAATAAGCAGTAAGTGTAGCTGCTCCCTAGAACTGTGTTGGATCCTGAAAGCCATTCAGCTCCAGTTTCCTTGTGATCTGAAAATAAACACTTTATTCTTAAAGAACACTGATGTGAGTTTCTGTTCCTTAAAATCAAAAAAGCCTCGTATAAGATACATACAAGGATAAGATATGTTTAAACATGCAAGGGAAATAAGGCAAAGAGAGAAAGGAGTACAAAAAAGGTAACAGTCCTTTCCCAGTTCTTTATGATAAAACTATGTCATCTCTATACACAGGAAAAGAATTTCAGTTCTCTATGATGGCAGGGCACCTGTCTAGTGCATTCAAATATGGTAATAATGAAATCTGTCAAAAAGGGAATAAAAATAAATCTGGAAAAATAAGCTCACAATAAAAAAATTACTATATACATAGAGAAGTAAATATGAGTGAGAGCAAGCAGAAAGAACAAACATCAGATACTGCCTTCACTATCATTTCAGATAATGTAATTATGAAACAGAATTTTTTTTTTTTTTTTTGAGACAGACTCTCCATCTGTCACCCAGGCTGGAGTGCAGTGGCATGATCTCGGCTCACTGCAACCTCCATCTCCTGAGCTCAAGCAATTCTTCTGCCTGAGCCTCCCAAGTAGCTGGGATTACAGGCGTGTGCCACCACATCCGGCTAATTTTTGTATTTTTAGTGGAGACGGGGTTTCACCATGTTGGCCAGGCTGGTCTTGAACTCCTGACCTCAGTAATCTGCCCACCTCAGCCTCCCAAAGTGCTGGCATTACAGGCGTGAGCCACCACGCCCAGCCGAAACAGATTATTAAATAGCGAATTATGTAAATAAAGAAATTTTAGGCCAGGCGTGGTGGCTCAAGTCTGTAATCCCAGCACTTTGGGAGGCTGAGGCGGGCAGATCACAAGGTCAGGAGATCGAGACCATCCTGGCTAACACGGTGAAACCCTGTCTCTACTAAAAAATACAAAAAATTAGCAGGGCGTGGTGGCAGGTGCCTGTAGTTCCAGCTACTCAGGAGGCTGAGGCAAGAGAATGGCGTGAACCCAGGAAGCAGAGCTTGCAGTGAGCCAAGATGGAGCCTCTGCACTCCAGCCTGGGCAACGGAGCAAGACTCCGTCTCAAAAAAAAAAAAAAAAAAAAAGAAATTTTAAAATGAGCAAACAACAAAGTACTAAAAACAGCCAGTTTCAAACAATAAAACATTGCTTTCACAAATTAAAAATCTAAGTATTAAAATGAAAACCAAATGAGTTAATTAAATAGCATATTAGTCACAGCTAAGGAGAGATTACCAAACTACATGCCAAATTGGAATAAATTACTCAGAGTTAGGGAAATGAAAAACACTAAAGAGATTAAGGGACATAAAGAATAGACTGAGATGGACTCACACATGACTAATTTAAGTCCTAGTGGGAAACAATACAGAGAATAGAAGAGAAGCAATACATGAAGAGGTTAAGGGCTGAGAATTTTCAAAAACAGATAAAAGACTTAAATCTAGATTTAAGAAGCACAACATACACCTACCAATATAAACAAAAAGAAATCCACCCCTAGACTCACAGGCATTGTGGTAAATCGCAAAATAAAGCCAAAGAAAAGATTTTAAAACACAGAGAGTAAAGACAGAAGACAGACTACTACAATTAGCTCAGACTATAGAATTCTCACCAGTAACAAGCCAGCAGACAGTAGAATATTATCTTCGAAGTATCAAGGAAACTTGTCAACTGTCATCATATGCACAACAAAACTATCCTTCAAGAACAAAGATGAAATCAAGATATTCCCAGCTAAAGTAACAGAGTTTATGACCAGCAGATGATCACTAAAGAAACCTCGTCCTTAGATAAGCTTATTTTTTTTAAAAAAAAGAAACTTCAAAAGAATATACTGTAGCAAAACAGAAAATGAGCTCAGAATAGAGATCTGAGATGTCAGATGAAATGACATTCAAGTATTAAACACGCAAGTATGTGTCAGCAAACATTCCCCATGCTAAAAATAATAATAATTAGCAACAGGATTTAAACAACAGTGAGAAAATAAAAATCTCAAAAATCAGTGTTTAAGGTAAGGGCATGAGGAAGGGGAGGTCATTAAAGTACAGTTGACCCTTTGAATAGTACGGGTTTCCACTGTGCAGGTTGACTTATATGTGGGTTTTTTTTTTTTAAACCAAACATAGATGAGGGATGCAAAACCCACATATATACAGTCTCTCTCCCTCCCTCCCTTCCTCTCTCCTTCCCCTCCCTTCCAAGACAGAGTCTCACTCTGTCACCCAGGCTGGAGTGCAGTGGCACCATCATAGCTCACTGCAGCCTCCAACTCCTGGGCTCAAGTGATCCTACTGCCTCAGCTTTCGGGGTAGCTGGGACTACAGGCCTGCACCACCATACCTGGGTAATTTTTTTATTTTTTGTAGAGACACTGTCTCACTTTGTTGTCCAGGCTGGTCTCAAGCTCCTGGCCTCAAGCAATCCTCCTGCCTCGGCCTCCCAAAGTGCTGGAATTACAGCCGTGAGCCACTGCGCCCAGCCCCGATTTTTCTTAAAGACAGGTTCTGCTGGGTCAACAGCATGATATGAGTATATGCAGGCTGTAGTATACGCAAGGGTTCTGGAACCAATCCTCTGTATATATGAGAGATGATAAAGTCTTTGTCTTAGCAGGCAATTAAGATATTGATAAGGTTCATTCAGCTTTGTTAACGTAAGTCTATGATAATATCTCAAGAATAAACCACAAAAATACTTCCAAACCAATTCAGAGGAAAAATACCATAAGAAAAAAATCAAGTGAAAAAACCTTAATTGTATTTTTAAAAGGAACAAAAAAGAAAAGAGCACGGAAAGTGTCAACAGAAAGCAAAAAGTAAAATGGCAAATATTCATTACAAATATATCAATAACCATAATCTATGTAAATGAATTAAACTTGCCAATTAAAAGACAAATAAGATTATTTTATAAAACATAAATTAATTTCAGTTACATATTATTTACATAAGACATACCCAATGAATAGCACAAAAAGTTTAAAGTGAGGACTAAAAAGGTTAAGTAAGCACCAGTCAAAAGTTAACAAGAATTACCATATCAGAATAAGGCTTATTTCAGCTATTACCCACCAAAAGTAAGAGAAAGTTGACAACACATGGTCTTATTGAGCAAACAGGTAGGAAATCTCAGCAAAGAAATAAAAAGTGGCTAGGCGTGGTGTCTCACGCCTGTAATCCCAGCACTTTGGGAGGCCGTGGCAGGTGGATCACCTGAGGTCAGGAGTTCGAAACCAGCCTGGCCAACATGGTGAAACACTGTCTCTACTAAAAATACAAAAATCAGCCAGATGTGGTGGCAGGCACCTGTAATCCCAACTACTCAGGAGGCTGAGGCAGGAGAATCGCTTGAACCTGGGAAGCGGAAGCTGCAGTGAGCAGATTGTGCCACTGCACTCCAGCCTGGGCAACAGAGTGAGACTCCGTCTCAAAAAATATAAATAAGAAGTATAAAACAGAACCAAATAGAAATTCAAAAACAGAAAAGACTGAAAATTAAAACAAAAAATGCACTTTATGATCTTAACAGTAGACTGAATATGACACAGTCACTGAACTGGAAAACAAACCAATAGGAATTACCCACACTGAAAAACAGAAAAAAAGACTGGAGAAAAATGAACAAACTCTCACAAACTTCTGAGATAATATCAATCATTATGACATGTACATAATCAGAAATGCAGGTGGAGGGGAAGAAAGTGAAACTGGACCAGAGAAAATAATTGAAGATGCAATAACCAAAAACTTCCCAAATTTAGCAAAAAATACTGACTTATAAATCCAAAAGACTCAGAGAACACTAAGTAGGATTAATACAAATAGAAATACAACTGAGCACACTGTAGATAAACTGCTGAAAACCAAAAGGAGAAAAATATTGACAGTAACTAAGAATAAACAACAACAACGACGACAATAACAGTAATATGACGGCCAGCTGATTTTTTTTTTAATCAGAAAAAGAAGCCAGGAAGTAATGCAACAACATCTATAATGCTCAAAGAGAACTATCAGCCCAGAACTCCACATGCAGCAAAAACATCCTTCAACAGTGAAGACAAAATAAAGACATGGTCTGATAAACAAAAACTAAGGAAATTAATCCCCAGCAAATAACATATAAAAACTAGGATCCACTAAAAAAAAAAAAAAAAAAAATACTGGAAGTGTTAAATGTGTGGATAAATATAAAGAACTATTTTTCAATTTATTCTCTTAATTTCTTTAGAAGACACACGCTGGCTGTTGAAAGCAATAACAACACTGTATCATGGGGCTTATAACATAGGTGTACATAAAATACATGACAGTAGGCTGTCATCTCTGTAATCCCAGCACTTTAGGAGGCCAAGGGGGGTGAATCACTTGAGCCCAGGAGTTCAAGACCAGCCTGGGCAACATGGTGAAATCCCAACTCTACAAAAAGTACAAAAATTAACCGGGCCTAGTGGTGCATGCCTGTAGTCCCAGCTACTTAGGAAACTGAGATAGGAGGATCGCTTGAACCCAGGAGGCAGAGGATACAGTGTGCCAAGATTGTGACTGCACTCCAGCCTGGGCGAGAGAGTAAGACCCTGCATCATAAAAATAAAAATAAATATAAACATATATGACAACAATAGCACAATGACTGGGTAGGGAATGGAACTGTGTTATTGCAATTCTTAATTTTATGAGAAGTGGTATGTTAATTCTAAGTAGGCAAGGATAAGGATGCAACTGCAAAAAAATAAAAAAAAAAAGTCATTACATGGAATACTAAAAAATATTCAATTAGCCCTAAAGTAGAAAAAGAGTAGCAGGAAAAAAAAAGGACACCAGAAGACAAACAGCAAACTAGTAGACCTAAACCCAACTACAGTGAATTCTCCTTATTCATAGTAGTTATGCTCTATAAAGTCATCATGAACACTGAGTTACCAAATATGGAACCACTGCTCTTGGGAAAATAGTATTAAGTCCGTGCAAGCCTCTGGTCCTGCTACCTTAGTCAGCTGAGCAATACATAATCTTGTTTTATATGTGTTTTTGTTTAAAACACCTCATTTAATATCTATTGTTAATTTACTTATATTAAACCCATGGCCAACAGCACTACAATTCTTGTCTGAGTGAAGCTTATCTAATACATGTATTTTCTCCATTGGCACATCACAGCCTCTTGCACTTGGGATCACCAGGTGGCACATCGGCCCTACACTTGAGGGTCATTTTAAACAGCAAAGTCACCCCAAAAGAAGTATAAAAATGTGGAAAATGTGGCACTGAACAGACTGGAAAAGAACCCTTTCTTAGATTTCTGTGGGCACACAGTAGGTGTATATATTTATGAGGTACATTAGATGTTTTCATACAGGTAAGCAATGTGAAGTAAGTACATCATGAAGAATAGGGTATCCATACCCTAAAGCGTTTATCCTCTGAGTTTCAAACAATCCAATTATACTCTAAGTTATTTTAAAATGTGCAATTATTATTGACTATAACCACTTTATTGTGCTATCAAACAGTAAGTCTTATCCATTCTATTTTTTTTTGTACCCATTAACAATCCTACTTTCCCTTCAGCACCCCACTACCCTTCCTAGCCTCTGGTAACCACCCTTTTACTCTCTACGTCCATGAGTTCAATTGTCTTGATTTTTAGATCCCACAAATAAGTGAGAACACGCAAGGCTTGTCTTTCTGTGCCTGGCTTATTTCACTTAACATAATGATCTCCAGTTCCATCCATATTGCTGCAAATGACTGGATCTCATTATTTTTGACAGCTGAATAGTAAGTACTCCACTGTGTATCACATTTTCTTTATCCATTCATCTGCTGATGAACACTTAGGTTGCTGGCAAATCTTAGCTATTGTAAACAGTGCTGCAACAAAAACAGGAGTGCAGGTATCTCTTTGATATATTGATTTCTTTCTGGCGGGGGGAGGGGGGGAGGGTATATACCTAGCAGTGGGATTGCCAGATCATACGATAGGTCAATTTTTAGTTTTTTGAGGAACCTCCAAACTGTTCTCCATAGTGGTTATACTAATTTCCATTCCTACCAACAGTGTATGAGGGTTTCCTTTTCTCCACATCCTCACCAGCATTTATTATTGCCTGTCTTTTGGATATGACATATTAATTAGGTGAGATATCTCATTGTAGTTTTGATTTGCATTTCTCTGATGATTGATGTTGAGCACCTTTTCATATACCTGTTTGCCACTTGTACATCTTCTTTTGAGAATGTCTACTAGAATCTTTTGCCCATTTTTAATTGGATTATTACATTATTTTTTCCTATAGAGTTAGTAGAACTCCTTATATACTCTGGTTATTAAGCCCTTGCCAGCTGGGTAGTTTGCAAATATTTTCTCCCATTCTGTACGTTGTCTCTTCCTTTTGTTGACTGTATCCTTCGCTGTGCAGAAGCTTTTTAACTTGATGTGACCCCATTTGTCCATTTTTGCTTTGGTTGCCTGTACTTGTGGGTTATTGCTCAAGGCATTTTTGCCCAGAACAATGTCTTGAAGATTTTCCTAATGTTTCCTTGTAGTAGTTTCATAGTTTGAGGTCTTAGCTTTAAGCCTTTAACCCATTATGATTTGATTTTTTATACAGTAAGAGATAGGGGTCTAGTTTAATTCTTCTGCATATGGATATCCAGTTTTCTCAGCACGATTTATTGAAGAGACTGTCTTTTCCCCAGAGTATGTTCTTGGCTCCTTTGTCAAAAATGAGCTCACTGTACGTGTGTGGATTTATTTCTGGGTTCTCGGTTCTCTATTCTGTTCCATTGGTCTATGGATCTGTTTTCATGCCAGTACCATGCTGTTTTGGTTACTGTATCTCCATAGTATAATTTGAAGTCAGGTAATGTAATTCCTCCAGTCTTGTTCTTTTGCTTAGAACGGCTTTGGCTATTCTGGGTCTTCTGTTGTTCCATAAAAATTTTGGGATTGTTTTTTCTGTTTCTGTGAAGAATGTCATTGATATTTTGGTAGGGTTTGCATTTAATCTGTAGACTGCTTTGGGTAGTATGGACATTTTAACAATACTGATTCTTCCAATCCATGAACATGTAATATTTTTCCATTTTTTGGTGTCCTCTTCAATTTCTTGCATCAGTGTTTTATAGTTTTCATTATAGAGACCTTTCATTTATTTGGGTAATTCCTAGGTGCTTTATTTTATGTGTGGCTTCCAAATGGGATACTTTTTTATTTCTTTTTCACATTGTTCACTGTTGACAAATAGAAATGCTACTGATTTTGGTACGTTAATTTTGTATCCTGCAGCTTCACTGAATTTACCAGTTCTAATAATTTTCTTGTGGAGTCTTTAGGTTTTTCCAAATATAAAATTACACCATCTGTAAACAACGATAATTTGACTTCTTCCTTTCCAATCTGGATACCCTTTATATCCTTGTCTTGTCTGACTGCTCTAGCTAGGACTTCTAGTACTGCATTGAATAACAGTGGTGACAGTGGGCATCCTTGTCATATTCCAGATCTTGGAGCAAGGGTGTCCAATTTTCGGTTTCCCTGGACCACACTGGAAGAACTGTCTTGAACCACACATAAAATACACTAACACTAAGCCAGGTGCAGTGGCTCACACCCGTAATCTCAGCACTTTGGGAGGCCGAGACGGGCAGATCACGAGGTCAAGAGATCATGACCATCCTGGCCAACGTGGTGAAACCCCATGCCTACTAAAAATACAAAAATTAGCTGGGTGTGGTGGCACGTGCCTGTAATCCCAGCTACTCGGGAGACTGAGGCAAGAGAATCACTTGAACCCAGGAGGCGGAGGTTGCAGTGAGTTGAGATGGCACCACTGCACTCCAGCCTGGTGACAGAGCGAGACTGTTTCAAAAAAAAAAAAAAAAAAAAAAACCACTAACACTAATGATAGCTGGTGAGCTTTAAAAAAATTGCAAAACAAGCCGGGTGTGCTGGCTTACACCTGTAATCCCAACACTTTGGGAGCCCAAGGCAGGTGGATCACGAGGTCAGGAGATCGAGACCATCTTGGCTAACACGGTAAAACCCTGTCTCTACTAAAAATACAAAAAAGCCGGGTGTGGTAGTGGGCGCCTGTAGTCCGAGCTACTCGGGAGGCTGAGGCAGGAGAATGGCATGAACCCGGGAGGCGGAGCTTGCAGTGAGCCGAGATGGCGCCACTGCACTCCAGCCGGGGCGACAGAGCAAGACTCCATCTCAAAAAAAAAAAAAAAAAAAAAATTGCAAAAAAAAACCACATCATAATGTTTTAAGAAAGTTTACAAATTTGTATTGGACTGAATGCAGCCCTTAAGCCATGGATTGAACAAACCTGCCTTAGACAAAAGGCTTTCAGTTTTTCCCCATGCAGTGTGATATTAGCTGTGAGTCTGTCATATATGGCTTTAATTACGTTGAGGTATGTTCCCTCTATCCCCAGTTTTTTGAGGGTTTTTCAACATAAAGAGATGTTAAATTTCATCAAATTTTTTTCAGCACTAATTGAAATGATTATATGGTTTTTATCCTTCATTCTGTTGATATCATGTACCATACAGACTGATCTGCATATGCTGAAGCATCCTTGCATCCCAGGGATAAATCCCACTTGGTCATGTTGAATGATCTTTCTAATGTATTGCTCAATTTAGTTTACTAGTATTTTGTTGAGGATTTTTGCCTCAATATTCATCAGAGATATTGGCCTGCAGTTTTCTTTTTTTGATGTGTGGAAAAGGACCCTTGTTTTTCAAAGTATGAGAGCTGAAACAGGAGGGCAGAGCGTCACCTTATTTGACCTCAGTTGGGAAAAAATGTGTGAAGATGACTCAAATTTTTCGCTACTCTGTACATGTCTATGAATGACCACGGGAACACTTCAAGTATTGATTTAGGGGTTACAAATAAAATTTGCAATTTTCACATGTATGGAATCCTCAAATAATGAGGATCAATTGTGTATCAAGGAGACTAAATATTCCAATTAAAATGTAGCTTTTTTTCAGATTGGGGAGAAGAAAAAAACAAGACCCAATTATGTCTACAAGAGATACCTTTTGAATATAAAGACACGGGTTAAAATAAAGAGGATGGAAAGATAAACCACACAGCACTAATAATAGAGTGAAAAGCACAACACTTTCCACAACTGACACAAGATAAAACTTTTAAAATCTAAACAGCCATGTATTTATTAAGTTAAAATACTCAGCCTACCCTTTTACAAAAAGAAGACTCAAAACTCAGATGGTTTCACTGGTGAAGTCTATCAGACACATGTGGAAGAAAATAAAGGAGTAAACAATTCCCAATTCATTTTAGAAGGTTTGCATAAACCCATTACCAAAATATTTTTCATTTATAAAAAAACTATAAAACATGACCATAGGTGATTAACACAGATGAAAACATCCTCAGCAAAACAATGGAAAGATCAAAATCAGTAACTTACAAAAAGAATAATATATCATGATACTGCAGTATTTATCCCAGGAATATAAAATTTGGATTCACATATAAAAGGCAATTTCATTTACTATAATACCAGATGCAATGAAAGCATTTGACGAAGTTCCATATCCATTCCGGGTTAAAAAAAATAAAAATTTTAGCACACCTACAAACAGAAAGAAACTTCCTCTATCATATAAACCTTCAGCAAATAATGAAATTCTGAGGACTTTCCCTCAAAGATTGGCAACATGGCAAAGATAGTGATAGAAATCGCAGCAAGTCTACTCAACATTATATTATATAGAAGATCCTAGCCAATGTAATAGGCAAGGAAAAGAAATACTACGCATAAATATTTGAAACGAAGTTATAAAACTTTCTTTTCAGAGGCAATATAATTGTTAACAAACAAATTTTTAAGAATTATGTCAATCTAACAAGATTCATTTAAGTAAGTTTGGCAAAGTTGCAGGATGGCAGGTCAATAAACAATTGTATTTCTATATTCCACCAACAAAATGAAATTTTAAAAACGTTTCTCAATACCAAAAAGCAGATTACTTAAGAATAAACTTAACAAAAGATATGGAAGCCCCATATACTGAAAACCACAAAACACTGCTGAAAGAAATACCTAAGTAAATGAAGATATATACCATGTTTGTAATTCGAAAATTTCAACACTGTCAAGATGTTGATTCTGCCCAAATCACAATTCCAACCATATTCCCACCAGGCACTTTTATAGAAATTAGGCTTTTGATTCTAAAAGCCTATGAAATATAAAAGTATATGAAATATGAAAGTATATGAAAATTCAAAAGACCTAGAACGGCCAAAACAATCTTAAAAAAGAACAAAGTTGAAGGAGTTAATGTCAGGCCTCTGAGCCCAAGCTAAACTATCATATCCCCTGTGACCTGCACCTATACATCAAGATGGCCTGAAGTAACTAAAGAATCACAAAAGAAGTGAAAATAGCCTGTTTCTGCCTTAACTGATGACATTACCTTGTGAAATTCCTTCTCCTGGCTCATCCTGGCTCAAAAGCTCCCCCACTGAGCACCTTGTGACCCCGACCCCTGCCCACCAAAGAACAACCCCCTTTAACTGTAATTTTCCTTTACCCACCCAAATCCTATAAAATGGCCCCACCCTTTCTCCCTTTGCTGACTCTCTTTTTGGACTCAGCCCACCTGCACCCAGGTGATTAAAAAGCTTTATTGCTCACACAAAGCCTGTTTGGTGGTCTCTTCACAGACGTGAGTGAAATTTGGTGCCGTGACTCGGATCGGCGGACCTCCCTTGGGAGATCAATCCCCTGTCCTCCTGCTCTTTGCTCTGTGAGAAAGGTCCACCTACGACCTCTGGTCCTCTGACCAACCAGCCCAAGCAACATCTCACCAATTTTAAATTGGGTAAGCGGCCTCTTTTTACTCTCTTCTCCAACCTCTCTCACTATCCCTCAATCTCTTTCTCCTTTCAATCTTCGCGCCACACTTCAATCTCTCCCTTCTCTTAATTTCAGTTCCTTTCCTTTTCTGGTAGAGACAAAGGAGACATGTTTTATCCGTGGACCCAAAACTCCAGCACCAGTCATAGACTCAGGAAGACAGTCTTCCCTTGGTGTTTAATCACGCGGGGACACCTACCTGATTATTCACCCACATTTCATTGGTGTCTTATCACCGCGGGGACGCCTGCCTTTGTCATTCACCCACATTCCCTTGGTGGCAAGTCAATTGCAGGGACACCTGCTTTGGCTGCTCACCCACCCCTTCTCCACTTTCCTGGGGGGCAAGCACCCCTTACCCCTTCTCTCTGTGTCCCCACCCCTTCTCCACTTTCCTGGGGGGCAAGCACCCCTTACCCCTTCTCTCTGTGTCCCCACCCCTTCTCCACTTTCCTGGGGGGCAAGCACCCCCTCACCCCTTCTCTGTGTCTCTACCCTCTCTTTTCTCTCCACTTTCCTGGGGGGCAAGCACCCCCACCCCTTTTCTCCATGTCTCTACCCTCTCTTTTCTCTGGACTTGCCTCCTTCACTATAGGCAACCTTCCACCCTCCATTCCTCCTTCTTCTCCCTTAGCCTGTGTTCTCAAGAACTTAAAACCTCTTCAACTCACACCTGACCTAAAACCTAAATGCCTTATTTTCTTCTGCAATATTTTCTTCTGCAATGCCACTTAACCCCAATACAAACTCGATAACGGCTCTAAATGGCCAGAAAACGGCATTTTCGATTTCTCCATCCTATAAGACCTAAATAATTCTTGTTGTAAAATAGGCAAACGGTCTGAGGTGCCTGACGTCCAGGCATTCTTTTACACATCGGTCCATCCCTAGTCTCTGTTCCCCAATGCAACTCGTCCCAAATCTTCCTTCTTTCCCTCCCGCCTGTCCCTTCAGTCCCAACCCCAAGCGTCTCTGAGTCTTTTGAATCTTCCTTTTCTACTGACCCATCTGACCTCTCCCCTCCTCCCCAGGCTGCTTTTCTGGTAGAGACATAGGAAACGTGTTTTATCCGTGGACCCAAAACTCCAGCGCTGGTCATGGACTTGGGAAGACAGTCCCAAGTCTTTCCATTTTTTCCTCAGCCTCCGCCCCGCCACCCTACAATCCTTTTATCACCTCCCCCTCCTCACACCTGGTCCAGCTTACAGTTTCGTTCTGCGACTGGCCCTCCCCCACCTGCCCAGCAATTTCCTCTTAAAAAGGTGGCTGGAGCTAAAGGCATAGTAAAGGTTAATGCTCCTTTTTCTTTATCGGACCTCTCCCAAATCAGTTAGCGTTTAGGCTCTTTTTCATCAAATATGAAAAACCCAGCCCAGTTCATGGCCCATTTAGCAGCAACCCTTAAGACTCTTTACAGCCCTAGACCCTGAAGGGTCAGAAGGCCATCTCATTCTAATTATGCATTTTAACACCCAGTCAGCTCCTGACATTAAATAAAACTCCTAAAATTAAATTCCGGCCCTCAAACCCCACAACAGGACTTAATTAACCTCTCCTTCAAGGTGTACAATAATAAAGTAGAGGCAGCCAAGTAGCAATGTATTTCTGAGTTGCAATTCCTTGCCTCCACTGTGAGAAAAACCCCAGCCACATCTCCAGCACACAAGAACTCCAAACACCTGAACTGCAGCTGCCAGGGGTTCCTCCAGAACCTCCTCCCCCAGGAACTTGCTTCAGGTGCCGGAAATCTGGCCACTGGGCGAAGGAATGCCTGAAGCCCGGGATTCCTCCTAAGCCTTGTCCCATCTGTGCGGGACCCCACTGGAAATCCAACTCGCCCAGCAGCCACTCCCAGAGCCCCTGGAACTCCGGCCCAAGGCTCTCTGACTGACTCCTTCCCAGATCTTCTCAGCTTCGTGGCTAAAGACTGATGCTGCCCGATCACCACAGAAGCCTCCTGGACCATCACAGATGCTTTAGGTAACTCTTAAAGTGGAGGGTAAGTCCATCCCCTTCTTAATCAATACAGAGGCTACCAACTCCACATTACCTTCTTTTCAAGGGCCTGTTTCCTTTGCCTCCATAACTGTTGTGGGTATTGAAGACCACGCTTCTAAAACCTCTTACACTCCCCAACTCTGGTGCCAACTTGGACAATACTCTTTTAAGCACTCCTTTTTAGTTATCCCCACCTGCCCAGCTCCCTGAATAGGTCAAAACATTTTAACTAAATTATTTGCTTCCCTGACTATTCCTGGGCTACAGCCACACCTCATTGTTGCCTTTTCCCCCAGTTCAAAGCCTCCTTCACACATCCTCCCCTTGTATCTCCCCACCTTAAACCGTAGTATAGTATACCTCTACTCCCTCCTTGGCAACCGATCATGCACCTCTTACCATCCCATTAAAACCTAGTCACCCTTACCCCACTTAATGCCAATATCCCATCCCACAGCACGCTTTAAAAGGATTAAAGCCTGTTATCACTCACCTGTTACAGCATGGACTTTTAAAGCCTATAAACTCTCCTTACAATTCCCCCATTTTACCTGTCCAAAAACCAGACAAGTCTTACAGGTTAGTTCAGGATCTGCATCTTATCAACCAAATTGTTTTGCCTATCTACCCCGTGGTGCCAAACCCATATACTCTCCTATCCTCAATACCTCCCCTCCACAACCCATTATTCTGTTCTGGATCTCAAACATGCTTTCTTTACTAGTCCTTTGCACCCTTCATCCCAGCCTCTCTTCGCTTTCACTTGGACTGACCCTAACACCCATCAGGCTCAGCAAATTACCTGGGCTGTACTGCCACAAGGCTTCACAGACAGCCCCCATCACCTCAGTCAAGCCAGTGTTCTTACACAAGAGCTGGGACCGCGCCCTGTAGCCTTTTTATCCAAACAATTTGACCTTACTGTTTTAGCCTAGCCCTCCTGTCTGCATGTGGCGGCTACCGCTGCCTTAATACTTTCAGAGGCTTTCAAAATCACAAACTATGCTCAACTCACTCTCTACAGTTCTCATAACTTCCAAAATCTATTTTCTTTCTCACACCTGATGCATATACTTTCTGCCCACCCCACTACCTCTCAGCAAGCCAAACTCATTGCCTTAACTTGAGCCCTCACTCTTCCAAAAGGACTACACATCAATATTTATACTGACTCTAAATATGCCTTCCATATCCTGCACCACCATGCTGTTATATAGGCAAAAAAAAAAAAAAATTCCTCACTATGCAAGGGTCCTCCATCACTAATACCTCTTTAATAAAAACTCTTCTCAAAGCCGCTTTACTTCTGAAGGAAGCTGGGGTCATTCACTGCAAGGGCCATCAAAAGGCATCAGATCCCATTGCTCAGGACAACGCTTATGCTGATAAGGTAGCTAAAAAAGCAGCCATCAAAAAGTATCAGATCCCATCGCCCAGGACAATGCTTATGCTAATAGGGCAACTAAAAAAAGCAGCCAGCGTTCCAACTTCTATCTCACAGAGCAGTTTTTCTCCTTCTCATCTGGCCACTCCCACCTACTCCCCCACTGAAACTTCCACCTATCAATCTCTTCCCACACAAGGCAAGGGTTTTTGGACCAAGGAAAATATATCCTTCCAGCCTCACAGGCCCACTCTATTCTGTCGTCTTTTAATACCTGTTTTTCTCCTCTTATTCTGTTTAGTTTTTCAATTCATACAAAACCATATCCAGGCCATCACCAATAATTCTATACGACAAATGCTCCTTCAAACAACCCCACAATATCACCTCTTACCACAAAATCTTCCTTCAGCTTAATCTCTCCCACTCTAGGTTCCCATGCCGCTCCTAATCCCGCCCTGAGAAACATCGCCCATTATCTATCCATACCAGCCCCAAAAATTTTCGCTACCCCAACACTTTACCACTATTTCGTTTTATTTTTCTTATTAATATAAGACTACAGGAATGTTAGGCCTCTGAGCCCAAGCTAAGCCATCATATGCCCTGTGACCTGCACATATATATCCGGATGGCCTGAAGTAACTGAAGAATCACAAAAGAAGTGAAAATAGCCTGTTCCTGCCTTAACTGATGACATTACCTTGTGAAATTCCTTCTCCTGGCTCATCCTGGCTCGAAAGCTCCCCCAATGAACACCTTGTGACCCCCACCAAAGAACAACCCGCTTTGACTAATTTTCCTTTACCTACCCAAATCCTATAAAATGGCCCCACCCCTTTCTCCCTTTGCTGACTCTTTTCGGACTCAGACCGCCTGCACCCAGGTGATTAAAAAGCTTTATTGCTCACACAAAGCCTGTTCCGTGGTCTCTTCACAGGGACATGAGTGAAATTTAAACTATCTGACTTCAAGGCTTCTTACAGAGCTACAATAATCAGGAGAGTACTGTGCTGGCCTAAAGACAAACAAACAGATCAAGAGAACAGAATACAAAGTCCAGAAACAGACTCACACATATACAGTTAAATGATTTTCAGGGGAGGCATCAAAGCAATTCAATGGGGAATTGCTTTTCAACAAATAGTGCTGGATCAGTTGGATATCCAATACAGAACAATGATGAACTTCAACCCCATCTCACACCATGAATAAAAAATAATTTGAGATTGATCATAGATCTGAACCTAAAGCCAAAACTATAAAACTTCTAGAAATAAATACAGCATATCTTTGCACAGAGTGTAGGCAAGATGCAAGAAAAGCATTTGATGAAATTCAACCTAAGGAAGATGCAAGAAGTACCACCCCCTCATGGTGTTAGAATAACACTGGTAGAATCAATATGAAATCATATTGTTAATAGTTGTTAATATATGTGTGTATACATAGATGTTGCTAGGGTATGAACGTGTCCCCAAAATTCTCATGTTGAAACTTAATCACGCCCTGGTGTCCTGGCTCAAGCCTGTAATCCTAGCACTCTGGGAGGCCAAGGCAGGAGAATTGTTTGAGCTCAGGAATACAAAACTAGCCTGGACAACACAGTGAGGCTTCATCTCTACTACAAATAAAAATTAAAAAAAAAAAAAAAAAACTAGCCAGGCATGGTGGCAAGCACCTTAAAGCATCCCAGCTTAAAAGTCCCAGCTACGCACGAAGCTAAGGTGGGAAGATCACTGGAGCTCAGGAAGTCAAGGCTACAGTGAGCTACAATTGCACCACTGCACTCCAGCCTGGGTGATAAAGTGAGACTCTGTCTCTAAACAAAAAGAGAAAAGAAAAAAAAAAAAAAAAGAAACTTAATTGCCAATGCTAATATTAAGACTTGAGGACTTTATGAGGTGATTAAATCATGAGGGCAGAGACTTCATGAATGGGATTAGGGACTCATCAAAGAGCCAGAGGGTGAAATAAGCCAGGCACAGAAAGAGAAACATCACATGTTCTCACTTATTTGTGGGATCTAAAAATCAAAACAATTGTACTAATGAACATAGACAGTAGAAGGATGGTTACTGGAGGCTGGGAAGTTAATGGGGGGCTGTGGGGAAGGTGGGGATGGTTAATGGGCACAAAAAAAAAATTGAAAGGATGAATAAGACTCACTATTTGATAGAACAACAGGATGACTACAGTCAATAGTAACAATTATACATTTTAAAATAAGAGTGTAA
The DNA here is from genome assembly GCF_000001405.40 of Homo sapiens. NCBI lineage: Eukaryota > Metazoa > Chordata > Mammalia > Primates > Hominidae > Homo > Homo sapiens. The sequence continues at coordinate 45,577,371 of NC_000010.11, forward strand.
TTGGATTGCTTGTAACACAAAGGATAAATGCATGAGGGGATGTATACCCTATTTGCCGCGATATGATTATTTCACATTGCATGCCTGTATCAAAATATCTCATGCACCTCACAAATATATATATACCTACTATGTGCCCACAAAAATTAAAAATTAAAAATATTATTTAAAAAAGGGCTGGAGGAGCTAGTCAGCCCTTTTGCCCTTCCACTTTTCCATCACACGAAGATACAGCAAGAAGGCCCTCACCAGAGAATGAATGCTGGTGCCTTGAACTTCCCAGCTGCTAGAACCATAAGAAATCAATTTCCACTGTTTATAAATTACCCAGTCTCAGGTATTTTGTTATAGCAGCATAACGAACTAAGATATATAAATTTAAAATAAGTATCTGTAATCCTACCACTTTAAGGAGGCCAAAGCAGAGGACTGCCTGTGGCTAGGAGTTAAGACCAGCCTGGAGAATACAGCAAGATCCCATCTCTACTAAAAATTTTAAAAATAGCTGGGCATGGTGGCCCATGTCTGTAGTCCTAGCTACTTGGGAAACCAAGGTAGGGGGATTTGCTTGAGCCCAGGAGTTCGAGGTTACAGTGAGCTATGATCATACCACTGCATTCCAGCCTAGGAGACAGAGTGAGACCCTGTCTCTAAAAAAATTGTTTAATAAAAAATTAAAATATGGATATACATATATCTATTTACACACAAACAAACATATCCTAGCTGTGGCCACTGAGTAGGCCTAGAAATAATGACACATCAGTCACAATAAGCACATCATATATCCAGATCTTGATTTCCAAATACCATTTTTTCCTCACTAATAGTAACAATACTCCTCGAAGAAAAGCTGATTTGAGGGGTGGGCCATACAAAATGAGCCCAGATCATCTTGTTGCACCAGAAAGTAAATAGGTACTCAAAGAATTCTGGAGACATATGAAAACACAGAAGCCAGTTTGAAAGAGTTTACACAGACCAAATTTGGGATGATTTTAGTATCAAGATAATAACAGTAATGAGTTACAGACCACTAAATAAGAATATGTATATGAATCATTCAAATAAATAATTGAACAAATAAATAAATGGGATGTGGAGGGAGGAGGGAAAGGTCTTCCTTACAGTAGAATGCCAATCAATAGCTACAGAAGGAAGCATGCAGTTGGAAAGTCATCACTGGACGCTAAAACTAGTGGGTGAAAGTTTGATGAGGAACAGGATATTAACACATTGTCAACAAATATTAACTTCAAAGAGAAAAACAGTATCATGGCAGTAGAGAAATCTGGCAGATACCAACTAAACCAACTGTTTGATGTTATCAGCAATATTAGAACAAACTGACATCAGGTTGCTCCTAATATGCTGCACTGAGAAAAATAAAAATCACTTTTTTGTTATCCTTGCATAAAATGCATGAACTGAATCTAACCATGAGGAAATTTCAGACAAGTAAAAAGTGAGGGACATTCTAAAAAAATAACTGATCTGTACTCTTCCAAAAGATCAATGTCAAGAATGACAATGAAAGGTTAACAAAGTACTCCAGATTAAAGGAGACTAAAGAAATATGATAATTTCATGGCGATTCAGGACTGGATACTGGACATGGAAAACAAAAGGGCAATAAAGGACATTATAGGGACAACTGTTGAAACTGCACTATGAATTAGATAACAACACCGTACCAATTGTTAAATTTCTTGACTGCTAATTTTACTGTGGTTATGCAAGAGAATACCCTGGCTCTTAGAAATACATGTTGAAGTATTCTTAGGACTTATACAACTTAAACTCAAATGAATCACAAAAAATACATTCACATATATGCATAAAAAGAAAGGGGGAAAGAGTGATAAAGCTAATGAGGTAAAATACAAACAACTGGTGAATCTTAGTAAATTATATGTAGTAATTCTCTATATTCTTTGTGTATTTTTTCTGTAAGTTACACATAAAGCAAAAGACATAACTAGAAAACTAGGTAAGCTTTTTTTTTTTACAAAAATGACAGACAAAAAGTCACTACCTTTCATATATAAACAAGCTATATAAAGCAAATTTCTTTTAAAAAGCACTATAACCCCTCCAAAAGATTAACAGGAAAAGGACATGTACAGCCAACTGCACAAAAGAAGCTAATGAAGTTTTAAAGGAAAGCAAAAACAAAAAGTCAATGAAAGATGAGATGTTTTCCACCTGTTAAATCGGTAATTTTCTTTTTAGAAAACATCAACATTGGCAAGGATGTCCTAAAATGGCCACTCAACACCTTGCTAGTGGAAGCATTAATTAGAATCTTTTAGGAAAGCAGTTCAGCAATATGAATCAAGAGCCTTAAAAATATCCACACCAGGCCAGGCGTGGTGGCTCACGCCTATAATCCCAGCACTTTGGGAGGCAGAGGTGGGTGGATTACCTGAGATCAGGAGTTCGAGACCAGCCTGGCCAACATGGTGAAACCCTGTCTCTACTAAAAATACAAAAGTTAGCCGGACGTGGTGGCGGGCATTGTAATCCCAGCTACTCGGGAGGCTGAGACAGGAGAATTGCTTGAACTCGGGAGGCGGAGGTTGCAGTGAGCCGAGATCATACCACTGCACTCCAGCCTGAAAGACTCCGTCTCCAAAAAAAAAAAAAAAAAAAAAAAAAAAATCCACAGTATTCTACTTCATGACACTATCTGAAAGAAATAATCTAAACTGTGGACTAAAATTTATGCTGAAGATATTCATCAAATGATAACTATAATAGCAAAATTCTTAAAATAATCCACATTAAACAATAGCGAAATCATTACGTAAACAACTTAGGATATAACCACAAAACGCAATATGCAGTCATTAGAAGTTATTTAAAATCAGGAAATATGACATAATAAATGTTAAGAGAATAAAGTTTACAAAATGGGCAGTTAGGATGATCTTAAGTAAAAAAAAAAATTCATAAAGCTCAGAACAGACATATTATAAACAGTGACTGTTTGAAAATGAAAATAAGTAGGGAATATGAACACCTGTCCCAGTCTCCAGTTTATGAGATCTCACCCCTCACCATCTGTGAACTACCACCGCTTACATGATGGTGCCTGTCTCACTCCCTGTGCACTCCAAGTATTTCTTGAGGCCATGGCACCATACCTGGCTGCATTCAGTAAACATTTGCTGCTTCAAATTTACAAACTCTCCCACCTCATTTCATATATGTAAAAAATGTATCTAGCTATTTAAGTCACCTGAAAACTGAAACTATATTGAATATGAAGTTCGTCAAGAACCAGTTTCACTTTTCTTTGCTTCTTTCAAATAAAAACATTAAGGAGGAAACATGCTTGGAGCTTTCGTTAACAACAGACTCCAAGGCAGGCTTGAGACAATATAAAGATACCACATACCTGATTAGTATTGTGCGCTAGGACCACCGGTGGTATTGTCAGTTTATTTTCATGTCAAAGATCATTTGCTTTAGCAGTCTAATCTTAGCTACCACAAAAAAACACACCCATCTGTGTGCTGCCAGAGCTTAGCCCCTACCCAGGGCCACACCTGACTCCAGCTCTGCCCTATTCCCCACTGATTCCACCTTCTACTTGGCAACTTTCTGCCTAATTAGCTAAGCAGAGCACAGTCAGGTAAGAGGAGGCTGTGAGCAAGGCTGGGAACACGGAGAAACCAGACAAGAGTAGGAAGACCTTAACCATGGCAGAGGACCAGCTGAGCGGTATTCGTAAGTCTGTGGTTCTCAACAGGGGCAGTTTATCACCCCAGGGGATTTTGCCAGTGTCTTGGAGATATTTTTAGTTGCCACAATTGTGGTGGTGCTAATGGCACCTAGTAGGAAGAGGCCAGGGATGCTACTGAACATCCTACAATACACAGAACAGTTCCCCACAACAAAGAATTATCCAACCCCAACTGTCAGCAGAGCTAAGGTCAAGAAATCCTACCACAGACTGATGCATCCACTAATACAGTGGAGTCTACTGCACAGTACAATTCAGCAGGAACAAGACACCCAGTGGTTAGAGGAGACCTGAGGTAGTTCAGGAAATGTAAACACACACATTACCTCCTCACTCAGATGCTAAGGTGATCAAAATTCTACCTCAAGAATTGGGAATGAGGGCATTGTAATTAATTAATTAATCAAATAAAACTAGTAAGAATGCTTTTTTCCCCAAGGGCTTGCTCCTATAAATATCTTATATTTCTTCAAAGACTGCTTCACAGCAGAAACTGTAAGAAGATAATACTATCAAAATTGCCCAGACTGGTAAACATCTCCAGAAAACTTGGCAACACACCCACATAATCAATGACAAATTTAATTTAGCTGTGTATCTCAACAGGCCCTTCCTACTAGGTGCCATTAGCACCCCCACAGTTGTGGCAACTAAAAACTCAAACTCAAAGTTCCCAGCTTAGTTTACGGGGAAAGTGTCAAGCTTTCAAAGATCACTCAAAAAGAAGAAAAGGGCTGCTTTCCCAGATGAATCATCAAGAACTACACAAGACTTAAAGGAGTAACATTTTCAAAACTGAGAACAGTACTTAGGCACTTCAACCAAAAAAAAAAAAAAAGCAGATTTTCAAAAAAGTATATGAATCATCATTATTATAATTTGGTTAAAGTAATGACCAATGAGTCACGCCACAATATGTTTTTTAAAATTATTTTAACAACCTTATCATGCCATAATGTCCACCTATGGGAGGCCAAAAGGTTAGAGAAGCCATCCAGTACTATCCCTGGCTGGCTGGGACTTAAATAACTTCAACCTGTCTCTAAAGCATCATTTTGCCTATCTACCTTGACCTCTGTCCTTTCAGTGTTAGGAAATACCCACCACTTAAGGTGGCCCCCTTCAATGTTGGACAGGAATTAACTGTTAGGAGTGTGTCCATTATGCTGAATCCAGAGCACCTCCCGTTCAACTACAGCTATTAGTTTTGAATCACATGAAACCAGCCTAATTATTCTCTATACAGCAGCCCTTCAAGTTTCCATATTATCTTGTCTTTCTCATCCAAGCCTTTTTCTTCTCCAAGTTGTAAAATGCACTCCCCCCACAAGCTGTTACAGTTAGCTATTTAAGTGATACAATTAAGATTAAACAGGAGACCAAAAAAACCAGAATGGCAGAACTGAAAGGAATCAGAGACCAGCCAGTTCAAACCCAATCCCATTTTTATAAATGAGTAAACAAGGCAGAGAGAGGTGAGGCAAGGCTGCTTGCCAGAGGTCAAGCTATTCAGAAAAGTCAGGAGCAGAATTCAAGTTTCCTAACTCTTTCGCCCCTCAGAACTGTATCAAGTTGTACAGATGTTGTGTGAAAGGATTGACAGTTTTTGTTTTATAAAAATATAAATACTGAGAGAAAAGATGATCCATCTACCAAGAATCTGTATTAAAAAGTGATGCAGGTGAAAAAAACTAGGTAACTTAACTTAAAAAATACATAAGAAAGGAAATGTAGTCATAGACTACTACCTGGCTTTGCAGATGAATAGTTAAGTTGTCACTAACTAAATATTTCTTATTGATTTCACTAAAAATACGGATGTAACCACAGTCAGAGAGTGGGAAATGGTAAATGAGGAGTTTAAGATGTCCAAATCCTCACCTATCAAACTGGGAAGGCAATGCATAATATTTAAAGTGGATAAACAAATAACAGTGGAATAAAATGTTTAGAAATATTAAAAATAGGTATTATAACAAGAATAGAGTTTGCCTCTATTTTTCATTGCAAGACTTTATGCTCGCTATTTTTAAACAATGTCCAAGTATTATTTTGATAAAAATTTCAACATTAATTTTAAGATACAGAAAAATAAGGGATCGGTAATAGATAATGTTGTAGGCAAGTGAATAGGGGAAAGAACACCAAAACACCATTAGTGGGAGTACAGACTGAAATAAAAACGGGACAACCAATTGCCACTATCCAATTTAAATCTCCTTTGACCAGGCAATTCCACTTCTAGGGCTCTAGACTAAGAATACACCCATAAATGTTCAAAGATATATATATGAGAATGATCACTGTGACACCATTTTAAAAGATACAAATCAGAGCACACTAAATATCAACTAACAGGGGAAGGGCTGAATAATTCATGAATATATGTACCCATATATTCTTCACACTCATCCCACAAATATTTATTGATTGCTAGGTACTAAGTATAGAATAGTAAATAAAACTCAACCTGCAAAGGAATACTACATCATTATTAAAAGAATGCGGATCTGTATGTATTGATCTAGGTGAAAAAGCATATTTCAAAATATAGTATGTAGTATGATGCTACTTTTATTAAAATACCCAGTATAACTAGATGAGACTTTTTCTTTATGTACTTACAGTATTTGACTTTTTTAGCATTGTGACATTACCTGTGTAGCTCTTTTAAAGACAATAAAGACATATGCTTGTCAGATTGGATAAAAGCAGTAACAAAAGAAAGCAAAAAAGAATGGAGGGAAGGTGATGGCACGCGCCTGCAATCCCAGCTACTCCGGAGGCTGAGGCAGAGAATTGCTTAAACCTGGAGGGGCGGAGGTTGCAGTGAGCCAAGATCGTGCCACTGCACTCCAGCCTGGGTGACAGAGCGAGACTTCATTTCCAAAAAAAAAAAAAAAAAAAAAGGAGGAAAGGAAAGAATCTACTTTTTGTAAGTCTATATAGTAAAACAGGGAAGATGCACATGATTTCCACTTCTAGATTCTACCAACATATATACAATCATATATATATATATATATATATATATATATATATATATATATCAAGAAATTCTCTCACACATTCACAAGAACTAAGAAACAATCTAAATTTTCATCAATGAAAGAATGAACAAATTGTGATCTATTCATACAATAAAACACCATACAGTAGTTATTAAAACTCAAACCACAAAAGCACAAATCTGAGGGAAAATCTCACATGTTAGAGAATACATACAGAATAAAATTATTTATGTAAAACTTTTTAAAAAGCAACAAAATAAAACTATCTTTACTTATGGATAAATATGGACCCACAGATTATGGACCCACAGATTAAAAACACCATGAGATACCACTTCTCAGCCTAAATATCTGACAATATTAAGTGACAATATTAAGGACATGGAACAAGAACTCCAATGTCTGCTAAGGTAAATGCATACTGGTACCACCACTATGGAAAACAACATTATATACAGTGGTAGTCAGAAATCTAAAGATAGTCCTCCAAGATTCCTGCCCCTGGTTATTCAAACACTAATTTGAGTATAGCTGTGAAAGGACCACGGAGATAAAATAGAGTAATCTAGATTATCCCAGTGGACCCAATCAAATCATATGAGCCCTTAAAAGCAGAGAATGGTCTCCATCTAGAGAAGGAAAAAAATATGAGTCAGAGAGATTCAAAGCATGAGAGAGATTCAACCTCCTATTGCCGGCTTTGAAGATGAAGAAAGAAAGAGGATCACAAGGCAAGAAATGTATGGCCTGTAGAAGCTGAGAACGACCATCAGCTAACATCCAGCAAGGACACATGGACCTCAGTCCTACAACCATATGAACTGAATTCTACCAACAACCCAAATAAGTGTGGGAGTTGATTTATCTCCAGAGCCTCCAGAAAAGAATGCAGTCCTACTGACAACTTGATTTCAGCCTCCTAAGACCCAGAGCAGATAACCCAGCCAAGCCTACTGCATTTCTGACCTATAGGACCATGAGATTTTAAAATGTGTGTTGTTTTAAGCCTCTAAGTTTGTGGTAATTAGTTACACAGCAACAGAAAACTACTACTTCTAGAAAAGTTGAAGAAATGCATTATCCTACAACCCAGCAGCTATACACCTGACCATACACAAAGAGAAACTCTTGCCCAAGAGCATAAAAAGACATGCACAATGTTCACATCACCACTGCTCATGATAGAAAAAAAATGGACAATCCAGTCATTCATCAGTACTACAAAGGACAAATTGTGGAATATTCATAATGTAACACAATAAGACAAGGAGACACCAATGAACTACGGCCATACAAAAATATGAATGAGTCTCAAATCTCATACGGAATAAAAAAGCAAATGAAAGAAGTTTACCCACAATACAATTCTAGTCATAAAGTTCAACAGCATGCAGGGCAAAACAACACAGCTTAGAGATACAAATGTGGTAAAACTATAGCAATGAAATAATAAAAACAAAATTCAGGGTAGCAGTTATGTCTCTGGGAACATAACAGAATGGGATCAGAGAAGAGAGATGAAGGGCATCAAAAGTAATGTAGATTGTTCCTAACTGGTGATTACAGAATAACAGCACTTACATTCTATACATAATTTATAAATATTGTAATATCTATTCAATATTTGAAAAATGAAAACATCTAGATAATCAAACTTCTACATAACAAAAAAAACTTCTTTTCTTTGGCAAAGATGTGTTCATTGAAAGGAATAATTCAAATGATATAAAGAGTCCAATCATTTTTTTAATCACCTAAAATTCTCACCACCTGGACATAATTAGTAACAATTTGCTTAACATCCTTCTAGACATTTCCTATGAGTATACATACATTTAAATATTTTACATAAAATCTCAGTATATATACACATAGGTATATGTTCAGTCTGTAAATGCTTTTTAGACCCTTTTTAAAAACAACTCTATTAAGACATAATTTACATAAAATAAAATGCACCCATCTTAAGCATAATGTGAAGTTCTGACAAAAGTGTATAAAAAGTGTATACGTAGTATAACCACCACCCAATCAAAATACAGAGTAATTCCATCACCACAGAAAGTTCTCTTTTGCTCCTCTGCAGTCATTCCCCACCCCTACCTATAACCTCAGGCAACCACTAATCTGCTCTCTTAATGTTTTGGTGGTTCTAGAATTACACATCAATCAAATCATACAGAATGTAGTGTTTTGTCTGGCTTCTTTTGCTCAGCATAATGTTTTTAATTTCATATAGTGACACTGTGCAATTCACTCCTTTTTTCTCCTAATATCCCATTGCAGACTTGTTGAAAGATTATACTCTTTCCGGTGTTAAGCACTGAGTACAAGTCATTTGTGAATTTAAGGTTTTATTTTACACCCAGGGGTGTAAATGTCTAGGTCATACAGTAAGTGCATGTTTAAGTTAATAGGAAACTGTCAAACAGTTTTCCAAAGTGCCTGTACATTCCTATCAGCAATTTATGTAAAATTCTGATTGCTCTACATCCTCACCAACACTTGGTATTGTTAGTCTTTTTCATTTTGACCCTTCTTGTAGGCAAAAAGTTGCTCATAATTTCCTTTAATAAATATATTGGGAATTTTTAGTATGTCTACTAGAATTTCAAATACCTTATTTTGTGAAGTTGCTCCACAAATTTTTTTTTTACCGATTTTGCAATTTGAGTTCTCTAGCTTCTTCTTAATTTACTGAAGTTCTTTATATATGCTGGATAAAAGTCCTCTGTCAGATACATAAATTGCCAACATTTGCTCCCAGTCTATAGTATACTGTTTCTTTTCCTTAACATCTCCTAAAGTGCATACGTTTTAATTTTATTAAGTCCAATTTAACATTTTTAAAATGTTGTAGTTAGTGCTTTTTGTACCACATATAAGACTAAATGCTTTCTCCCTCAAATTGACAACAGGACATGGACATCTGCTCTCACCACTTCTATCATAATATTGGACTTGAGGTCCTCATCAGTGTCATAAGGCAAGAAAAAGAAATAGAAAGCACATGAGTGGAAAGGAAGACGTAAAACTGTCTTTATTCAATGACTGTATGTGGAGAAAATCCAACCAAAAGACTACCAGAACTAGTAAGTGGATTCAGAAAGGCTACAAGACACAAAGACAATATACAAAAATCAGCTGTATTTTTACACATTAGCAAGGAATACTTGAGAAATGATTTTTTAATCCTATTTACAATGACATTAAAAATGTAAGATATTAAGATATAAATTCAACAAAATATGCATAGGACCTGTACACTGCAAAACTAAAAAACATGTTGCAAGAAATTAAAGAACTAAATAAATGGAGAGCTATACCATGTTCATGTATTGAAAGGTTCGATGACATTAAAATAGCAATTCTCCACAAACTGATCTATAGAACCAAGACAATCCCAATTGAAACCACAAGTTGTTTTCTTTTTTAAAAAACCTAACAAGCTGATTTTAAAATACTTTTGAAAACACAAAGGACCTATAATACCCAGAAAATTTTTGAAAATAAGGAACAAAGTTGGAGGATTTACACTAACCAATTTCAAACCTCATATAAAGTTATAGATAAAGATAATATGGTACCGACATAAGAACAGACAGCAAAAGCAACAGGAGAGAGTCCAAAAGCAGATCCACACATACATCACCAGTTGACTTTCAACAAAAATGCCAAGAGAACTCAATGGGCAAAGGATAGAGAAAGGGGAAGAAACTCAATAGGGAAAGAATTACCTTTTCAACAAATGATATTAAAAAATGTATATTAGACCAGCTAGCTTGAGCCCAAGGCCTCCTCGGACAAAAAATAAAATTAAAATTAAAAAACTGTGTATTCATAAAGGAAAGTAAAGAACCTAGACCCATAGCTCATACCAAACACCCTATCAACCCCTAAAAATTGATCATGAACCTTAATAGTGGAGCTATAAAACCTCTAGAACATAGGAGAAAATTCAGTAGGCTTTTTTTCACACAATATTTCAGCTATCCTTACATGCTAATAAATATATTTTTTCATTTTGTCAAAAGTAAAAAAAAAAAAAGAAAATCCTTACAAACTGTGAAAACATGTCTTCATTTCTTAAATGAAATTTCGAAACACTTTCCTTATCCATACAGTCATACAACATTTCTTCAACTGAAGAACAGAAATATTCAAAGGAAAAGAACAAAAATCTTTTTAACCTCCTTTCATATAGTTCCTACAAGAACGGGTTGGCTTCTATGAGACGGTAGTTTTGCCTTGATGATTCTTTTTTGAGTGCCTTTGCTGAAGTCATAAATAAATAAATCTCCCAACATATTAATACCACTTATGTTTTAAATATAAAAGTTACCAGAAAACCATACCAATATGTGAAATGTTATGTACTGCTATATTGTCTTAAAATTGCCTGTTTTGGTTGATAAAGACTTGTATTATACAGAGATTACACATTTTTTCAAACTGTAATAAAAGAAATTTTAGCCATTTTAAGTATAATTTATCCCCAATAATTGGCAGGATATCTCAATAAATGTATCATTGACTATTGGTTATGAATTGTGGTTAACAAAATAATGAATAAAAGAATCCATTATAGGCCGGGTGCAGTGGCTCATGCCTGTAATCCCAGCACTTTGGGAGGCCAAGGTGGGTGGATCACGAGGTCAAGAGATCGAGACCATCCTGGCTAACACAGTGAAACCCCGTCTCTACTAAAAATACAAAAAATTAGCCTGGCATGGTGGCAGGTGCCTGTAGTTCCAGCTACTCAGGAGGCTGAGGCAGGGAGACTGGCATGAACATGGGAGGTGGAGCTTGCAGTGAGCCAAGATCACGCCACTGCACTCCAGCCTGGGTGACAGAGCAAGACTACGTTTCAAAAAAAAAAAAAAAAAAAAAAGAATCCATATTATAATTTAGTAATTTAATCACCATAGTTTTCCAGAAAACTAAAATTTAAAAAATACACATTGCAACACTGCTGCTTATGAGTGTTTACTGTTGCACACAAGTTAACCCAAAACTCAGTAGTTTAAAACAATGGACATTTATTACCTCATAGTTACCATAGGCCAGAAATCTAGGCACAGCTTAGCTGGGTACTTCTGGGTCAAAGTCTATCATGGGGTTGCAGTCAAGCTGCTGGCCAAGCTGTGGGATCCTCTGAAGGCCTCCATGTATTAAAAGGATATGGTTCCCATCTCAGTCACATGGCTATAAGCAAGTCTCAGTCCCTACCACCTAGGATTCTCCAGGAGGCATACAACATGGCATCTTTGTTAAAAAAAATTTCCTTCTTTCCACTAATAGCTTTTTTGCAGGTGTGCAATTCAATAGTTTTTAGCAAATGCACAGAACTGTACAACCATCACCACAATCAATTTTAGAATATTTTATCACCCCAAAAAGAAACCTAGTCCTCTTTAGCTGTCAAACCCCCATTTTTCCCCACCCCCTACCCCAACACCAGTTCTAGGCAACCAGTAATCTACTATCTAATTCTATATTTGTATTCTGGACATTCCATATAAATGTAATCACACAATGTGTTGCCTTTTGTGACTGTTTCTTTTATCACTTAGAATGTTTTCAAGGTTCATCCATTTGTAGCATGAGTCAGTACTTCATTCCTTTTTATTCCTGAATAATAGTCCACTGCATGGATAGACCACATTATTTAAACCATTCATCAGTTGATATATGTTTGAGTTGTTTCAACTTTTTGGCTATTATGGCTACCGCTACTGTGAACATGTACATACAAATATTGGCATAAATATATGTTTTCATTTCTCTTGGGTATATACCTAGGAGTGGAACTGCTTTATCATCCCTTATCCCAAATCTAGCCATTTCAAGAACTGCCAGACTGTTTCTCAAAGCAGTTGCTCCAGTTTACATTCCAACATGTAGATTCCAATTTCTCCACAACATCACCAACACTTATTATTACCTGTCTTTTTTATTATACATAGCCATCTTAGTTTACTAAGATGGTCACTTAGACAGTCACTTAGTAACCGTCTTAGTTACTTCGTTGGTGTAACATGGTATTTCACTGTGGTTTTGATTTCCATTTACATGGTAGCTAATGATGTAAAACATCTTTTCATGTGCTTACTGGCTATTTGTATGTCTTATCTGAAGAACTGCCTATTCAAATCCTTTGTCGATTTTTTTGAGTTCCTTTTCTTTTTATGACTGAGGTATAAGAGTTCCTTAAATACTCTGGATACTTACTCTGGATACTAGACCTTTAATAGATACATGGTTTTCTCATACCAAACACTGGGGAGCATGTAGACAGGATAAAAACAGGAACTCTCCCACTGCTTGTAGGACAATAAAACCGTACAGCTACATTGGAAAGCAATTTGTATCTAGTAGTTACTGGTGTACGCACCTGACAAACAACAACTCCAATCCTAGATGTATATTCCAGAGAAATTCTTACCTTTGAAGAAAAACATGGATGAAACTTAGTAACTAATTTAAAAAGTTGCAGGAAAAAAAGTCCACATAGCATGATGCCATTTATATAAAGTTTAAAAATATGCATAAGCAAACAATATTTTGGGGGGATATACATATACAACGTAAAATAACATTATCAAGAAAGCAGGCCAGGCGCAGTGGCTTATACCTGCAATCCCAGCACTTTGGAAGGCTAAGGCAGGCAGATCACTTGAGGTCAGGAGTCTAAGACTGTCAGGCCTGAGCCCAAGCTAAGCCAACATATCCCCTGTGACCTGCACTTATACATCCAGATGGCCTGAAGCAACTGAAGATCCACAAAAGAAGTGAAAATAGTCTTAACTGATGACGTTCCACCATTGTGATTGGTTTCTGCCCCACCCTAACTGATAAACGTACTTTGTAATCTCCCCCACCCTTAAGAAGGTTCTTTGTAATTCTCCCCACCCTTGAGAATGTACTTTGTGAGTTCCACCCCTTGCCCGCAAAACATTGCTCCTAACTCCACCACCTTATAGGTGTTGAGAAACCTATAAGAACTAATGATAATCCACCACCCTTTGCTGACTCTCTTTTCGGACTCAGTCTGCCTGCACCCAGGTGAAACAGACAGCCTTGCTGCTCCCACAAAGCCTGTTTGGTGGTCTCTTCACATGGACGCCTGAGACACAGACCAGTCTGGCCAACATGGTGAAAGCCTGTCTCTACAAAAATACAAAAATTAGTAGGGCATGGTGGCGTGTGCCCATAGTCCTAGCTACTTGGGAGGTTGAGGCAGGAGAATTGCTTCAACCCAGGAGGCAGAGTTGCAGTGAGCCAAGATGGTGCCACTGCACTCCATCCAGCCTGAGTGACAGAGCAAAACTCTGTCTCAAAAAAAAAAAAGCAGCAGCAGCAGCAAGCAAAGAAATGACAGACACAGAATTCAGCATGCTGGTTACCTTTGAGAGGAAGGAAGAAGTACACAGGAGGTCTCAATGCTATTGGTAATATTCTACTTTTTTCAATACATACTCTTATATGCGTGACACATTTAATAAACATTTTTTCAAAGAGCTTCACTGACAACTGAAGGTCTTTCTAATACAGAAAGACACCAGAGCAGTTCAAAGTAAATATAAAGGAGATGAGAGCATCACAGTGAACCAAACACCACACATACACAATATTGTAAAGTATTTTAAATCCAGCAAAGTGTATGCTTTGTAGAACTGAGAAGACAGATTCCTTGCCCTTATCCACTTCTTTCCACCGTTCTGTCCACCTCTGTCTTCCTGATCCCACCTCTACTTCCATGTCCAGAATCCACTTCTACCTCCTCCAGAGATTTTCTTCCATATATCAATCTGAAGGGCACCCATCCTTCCTCTCAATTTCCATAGCATTTGTACCTCTTCAAAGCCTTCATCATATTATCCTCAGATTACACGTTTTAACTCCTCTATCAGAAATTAGCACCTGGAGAACTAGAACACCAGTCACATCATCAACCTGGCTCTCCAAACACACCAAATTTTTTGTTGACTATTGATTTAAAAAATGAATTAGAAAATTCAGGCATTTCCAAGTGAGTTAAGAAATTGGTCTGGACAAGAAAGAAAGAAAGAGTTTAAAATTACACTCCTTGAAAAAGAATTTCAAAATTGAAAACCCTTCAATACAGCAAAGACAAAGCTGACAACAGTCAGATAAAATATAAAATGTTTATAGTGTATACAGTGATAATTTTTCATATTCACAGGGAACAAAATTAGAAGCCATAAGAATAACTTCCTGATTACTTGGCATCAGAACAGTCCACGGCTTTAGAAAATGTCTTGCAGTCAACCACAAACCTAGGGAACAGGTAGGGTTGTAAAGTGTCTTTTACGGGGGGGAAAAAGCACATACCATTTCAAGGCTCGAAAAAATGAGGTTACTTTTAGAAATTTCAGCAATATTTTTAACTTGCTTTCAGATATTTTAAACTACTTACCACCAGAAGTATAAACCTAAACATTATGTGATTATAGCAGAAATGGAACTACTACATAAGGGAAAAAGAAACAAACCACAAGTGAATCAACGACAACCCTCAAGAACCAGACGCTACTACTGACAACCATTAGGGTTTCTTGGCTGCTTGAATCAATTCATTCCCAGCTCTGCTTTGAGCTGGCACTAATTTAAAGGAGACAAAAATGTTGGAGCTAAGGCTGCCAGATTTAGGAAATATAAATACAGCAAGCCCAGTTACACTTTAATTTCAGACAAACAACGAATCTTTTTTTTAGTACAAGTATGCTCCCACGTAATATTTATAGTAAAAATTTATTTTAAAAATTTTACAAAAATTCACTGTTTATCTGAAATTCATATCAACTAGGCATCCTGTATTTTATCTGGCAAACCTAGCTGGAGCCAAAAGGTAGAATAGTAATCAATCCAATTTCCTCATTTTTCAGCAGAAACTGAGAACCAAAGAAAGGAACTGACTTGCTTAAGCTTAAGCCAAAGATCAGGGAAGTAAGTTGGTTTTGAAAAGAGAAAACCTTTCCACTAGGTCACCTTGGGTACCACTTACAGTACATTCCACTTCCAATTCTTGCTCAACTCACAGAAGCACCAAGCAGACAAGGTGTAAAAGAGTATGGTTTCCCTCTTGTAACATTAAACTTCAAGTTTCAGTACATCTCTTAAAACCCTAGTCTCCAAAATCAATTAGGAAACTATGTGCTACTCTTAAAAAAAAAAAACCTGATAATTTTGTCTACACACTACCACCTCATACTGTTTATATTTTCACTCACCATATGAAACAGGACATCCTTCTCTCCTGAACTCAGTTCTCTCAAAATCCAAAATTCTCTTGCTCCAGGGTCTCAAGATTTCACACAAGAGCATGTTCACATTATTTCATGACTCTCAACGACTTGAGTTCGTATACTCCTTCAGTTTTCATGCTTTTTAGCGTTTTCATGTTTTTCAGATATGTCCTAACCCATTCGGTTGGCCTCAAAAGTCTCCCATTCCCATTCTGTATCGGAGCAACTAAATCAGCAATGAGGAATGAAGTCTCACTATTATAAACATACACTTACTTCCCCAGGGACTGGGATGCAAGGAAACATGGAAAGAGAAACGTCTTTATCAGAAATTTTGGGGCCAAAAAGGCCCCGAAGTATGGTATGTGAGGGTTATGCTAGCTGTCTAATTACATAGCATGCAATCGAACAAAATAAAGAGAAAAATAACAGAAAACTCCACACATGCAAAGAATTCATTTTCCAGATCCCATCAAATTAAAAAATACACAAAACATTTCCTCAACTCCATACAGAGCTCCTCAACCTATGACTTGCAGGGGTCCTCAAGGGTAGTTAGCGTGGGGATGGGTGGTGAGAATAGTGATAGTGAGGCAGAAAAGGGTTCCATTTTTATTTATTTATTTTTACAATTTGGGCTTCCAAATAGGTTTTAAGAAAAAAAGGTTTTGTTGCATTAAAGAAACATGAAAACGGTAACATAAACCATTATAACCCCCACCCAATAAGTTTTCTATTAAAAACTTCACCCAGGTGGACAGGAATACGAATCGTTTAAGATGAAAACAGATTTAAAGACCAAAGAAAAGTTAGCAATTAAAGGACAAAATAGTTACCTATGCTTTCCTTCTGGCACCCCGAATGTACGCAGGTCTCTCGAGATCACACGTCAGACGTGGAAGGTCCTCACGGATCACTAGTCCGAGCTTCCATTTTACAGATGTGCACACTCAGGCCAAAGACGACGGCTGACGGGCCAACGTCTCACAGCCGGTCAGGGAAAGGAATTCACCTGGCACCCGGGGCGGCCGGCCTAGAGCCCTGGGCGCTGACCGTTTCTGCGATTCCTGGTTCCGCTCGGCCCGGCCCCAGGGGCAGACGCGAGCACCGGGGCAGAGAGACCCACTGCCTGGAGTCGCGCTGCCTCTCCGCGGGCTCCACGCCGGGCCCGCAGCGCAGGGATGGGTCCTTGGCGGCCGCCCCCACCCAGCCCAGCCCAGCCCAGCCCAGCCCAGCCCACCTGTAGCCGACGCGCTGCCGGCAGCCACACCCCCTGCCCGGGCCGGGGGCTCGGCCGCCCTTATTGGCGGCCAGCGGCGGCGGCTGCGCGCGGCGTGGGGGACTCCGATCCTAGAGGCCGCAGGAGTTACCTCAGGTGGGCTCTGAGCTGGCGGCGCTACCGCCCTGGCCCGCCTCGAGCATGCCCGAGACGTGGACGCAGCAAGGCCGCACCTCCCCCAGCGCGTCGCCTGTTTACACCCTACGCCCCTCCGCGGGAGGACACCGAGTGGCAGGTCACGTGACGCGGGCGTCACGTGTCCGGCCGAGTTGGGTGGAGGCGTTGCCCCGGCGACTGCAGCGCGCTGGGGGCGGGCTGCAGCGGGTGCCGCCGCGCGGCCTTTCTGTGCTTCCACCCCTTCGCAGTGCCCAGGCGACAACCCACTGGGCTTGGAACCGAAAAGACTTCCCCAGCTCTGTGTGTGTCGTTTAGTGTCTCCTGGCCCTGACTACATGTTATTAATATTAGTGTTTTGGAAGGAAAAGGAAATTTTGTCTGGCAAAAGGATGTTTTACTTGGAGAAGAAGATGGAAAATACTTTCTTACCTGAGGCTATCAAACGGGAGGAAAAGCGAAGGAATAAGTAATAACGGTTTTTGCCTTGACAGATTTTTGTTTGCTTTCGCTCCCTAATCTGGACTGAAAGATTCCCACAGCATAGCCTCTCAGCCAGAGAAAGCACGTGAAGGAGGTTTATACGACTTCTTACTTTTAAGTTGTATTTTAATTTTTATGGGGGAATCATCTCTGTGTACATACAGACGTCTAAATATTTGATTCTGCATTCATCTCTTTTTTTTTTTTTTGAGACGGAGTCTCACTCTGTAGCCCAGGCTGGAGTGCAGTGGTACGATCTCGGCTCACTGCAAGCTCCACCTCCTGGGTTCACGCCATTCTCCTGCCTCAGCCTCCCCAGTAGCTGGGACTACAGGCGCCCGCCACCACGCCCGGCTATTTTTTTGTGTTTTTAGTAGAGACGAGGTTTCACCGTGTTAGCCAGGATGGTCTCAATCTCCTGACCTCGTGATCCGCCTGCCTCTGCCTGCCAAAGTGCTGGGAATACAGGCATGAGCCACTGCACCGGGCCAGACTCTGCATTCATCTTTTGTCCACATAAAACTCTCATTATTCCTCTGTCACTTTCATCACTGTCTACCAAATCCAATTTTCCTACATCAAACTTCCCAGAAATAGTTTCAACCACTGCCAGTTTTATTTCTCCCATAATCATGCATAAAAGATGAATAATTTGTATTTCTTAGTAAATTCATGAGTGAATTATAAGCAAATCCTCTCAAATATTCCATAGTTGTTCTGTTGTCCCGGAGTGATCTATCATATAGCTAATCAATTCCTCCCTACAATTCTGACCACTTTGAATTTTTGGCTAAGTAAAAAGCAGATTGTCAGGTTCAAAACAGTGTGCTCAAGATATCCTCTGGATCAGCAAGGTCAAAACATCTCCATTTCTATAACACACTTACAATACAGTATTACAAAGAGCAGAAAAATGATGAATTTTCTCCATTTGTCTTTTACTGTGGAAAATAGGTTATCAAGGCCAGTTGCCACAACCTGGTTGGCTCTACTGCTTCTGGCAGCAGGTGTTCCATGAAGGTAGTACCAATATCTTCCATTGGTATAGCTTATGCCTAGACCAGGCTTGTTGAGCCAAAGGGTTGGCTGACTGATGAATGGATATGGAATCCTGTCATCCTTCTACAGGAAGCGGCAGAACCTTCGTAGTTCAACAGGGATCTGTGAGCTATGCAGGGCTGATAAGCAGCACTCATGGAGACAAAGCTAGGGTGAGTCCTGGCGCAACCATTACTGTCTAGGCAATTTCCTTAACCTTTCCGAGCCTCTCTTCAGCTTTCTGAAAGATATCTACTGAATAGAGTGGTTATGAGACAAAATGAGGTAATGCCTGTATAACACTTTTAAGTGCCCAATACATACAGTGTTGGGTAAATGTTAACCAATATGGTCTTTGGCGACGGGGTATTAGTATAGGAGGTCAGAGTCCTGAGGGAAAGGGAGCTGACAACTTGAACGTGTCCAGGTCCTGGGTCCAGATTCTTGCCACCTGGAGTGTAGTTCAAGAAGGGATTGCCAGCCAGGCGTGGTGGCTCACGTCTGTAATACTAGCACTTTGGGAGGCCGAGGCAGGCAGATCACCTGAGCTCAGGAGTTCAAGACCGGCCTGGCCAACGTGGCCTAGCCAACATGAAACCTCCTCTCTACTAAAAATACAAAAATTAGCCAGGCATGGTGGCGGGTATCTGTAATCCCAGCTACTCGGGAGGCTGAGACAGGATAATCACTTGAACCTAGGAGGCAGATGCTGCAGTGAGCCAAGATCATGCCACTGCACTCCAGCCTAGGTGACAGAGTGAGACTCCATCTCCAAAAAAAAAAAAGGGGGGGGCGGATTGCCAGCAAGGAAACAAAGCACAATTGGGAAGAAACTGTTGCACTCAGAATGTAAGGCAGCCAGTAAGGGAATTGCTCATAGGGCACCAGGTGCTCACTCCAAGAGGCATACTGGCCTTGTGGCAACAGCTTAATTCCAAATCCTCCCTGCTTGTGTTAATGGGGACTCCTAATACACTGCCTTTCCTTTGCCTTAGCCCACATAGGGAAATTACCTACCCTCTCCTACAGTTTGTGGGACATGAAGACATAAGAAAGAATTCAGGCTTGAGCCAAGTGATCAGTGTTATCTCCAGAACCAGTCACACTGACTCCCTACCAAATGGTTAAATACATCAACCCATCAACCATGTTCTAGTTTTGTTGTTGTTGTTGTTGTTGTTGTTTGAGACGAGTTTTGCTTGTGTTGCCAAGGCTGGAGAGCAATGATGCGATCTCAGCTCACTGCAACCTCCACCTATCTGGTTCAAGCAATTCTCCCATCTCAGCCTCCTGAGTAGCTGGGATTACAGGCGCC
This sequence comes from Homo sapiens, assembly GCF_000001405.40. NCBI lineage: Eukaryota > Metazoa > Chordata > Mammalia > Primates > Hominidae > Homo > Homo sapiens. The sequence goes on from NC_000010.11 coordinate 45,597,628, forward strand.
TGCCACCACACCCAGCTAATTTTTGGTATGTTTAGTAGAGACAGGGTTTCACCATGTTGGCCAGGCTGGTCTCGAACTCCTGACCTCAGGTGACCCGCCCGCCTCGGCCTCTCAAAGTGCTGGTGTGCCCGGGGTTGGTTCCTTCTGGTGGGTTCTTGGTCTCACTGACTTCAAGAATGAAGCCACGGACCTCTGCAGTGAGTGTTACAGCTCTTAAAGGTGGCACGGACCCAAAGAGCGAGCAGCAGCAAAATTTATTGTAAAGAGCAAAAGAACAAAGCTTCCACAGTGTGGAAAGGGAGTCGAGCAGGTTGCTTCTGCTGGCTGGGGTGGCCAACTTTTATTCCCTTATTTGTCCCTGCCCACATCCTGATGATTGGTCCATCTTACAGAGCACTGATTGGTCCATTTTACAGAGTGCTTATTGGTGCATTTACAATCCTTTAGCTAGACACAGAAAAGTTCTCCAAGTCTCCACTTGACCCAGGAAGTCCAGCTGGCTTCACCTCTCACTGGGATTACAGGTGTGAGCCACGACGCCCAACCATGTTCTAGTTCTTTAAAGAGTTTCATTGCAAAAAATAAAATGTGTTGGCCAGGCGCAGTTGCTCACGCCTGTAATCCCAGCACTTTGGGAGGCCGAGGTGGGCAGAACACAAGGTCAGGAGATCGAGACCATCCTGGCTAACAAGGTGAAACCCCATCTCTACTAAAAATACACAAAATTAGCCAGGCGTGGTAGCGGGCACCTGTAGTCCCAGCTACTCGGGAGGCTGAGGCAGGAGAATGGCGTGAACCTGGGAGGCAGAGCTTGCAGTGAGCCGAGATCGCGCCACTGCACTCCAGCCTGGGCGACAGACTGAAACTCCATCTCGAAATAAAATAAAATAAAATGTGTTATGTATGACAAAATATATGGCAAATGTACAGTGCATGGCTCTATAATGCCACCCAATCTAATACAACAGATATGCTAGTGTTCCCACTAGAATAGATGAATGTAAGGACTAATGGGGAGCTTGCAAACAAAGGAAGAAACTAGCAATAACCTAGTAAAGTGTTGCAAAGCTATGTGGTAGAGCCAACATTGAATTCACGTTTCCTGGTCCCAAATCTAAATGCCTTTTCCTTTTTTTTTGTTGTTGTTGTTGTTGTTGCCTTGATATAATACTTTTTCCTTTTTATTAATAACCTTAATAAAGATATAGTTTCACCAGACTCGAGTTCACCAGACTGGAATTCAGAGGAGAGATATAGAGATATAAATTGAAGATTAGGCAGTGGTATTCAAAAAGCCACATGATTGGATGAGATCACACAGAGAATTATTTTCATATCTTTGACCTCAACCCAAAATACAAAATACATTTTACATATTAACCAAATACATGTATATAATTTAAAAGTTTCCAGAAACAAATTTACCATTCCTACGTGTGATGCACGATTTCTTCTGTTTAAATTTTTCACTCCGAACTCAATTGATTTTTTTAACCCAGTAACAGTTGTGGCCTACAGTTTGAAAATCATTGAAAGTCACCGATCTAGGACGTTCATAAGTCCGAATTGCATAATTGCAGCAAAAGAAGAGACTGAAAGGCTAGACATCTGGTACTGTAGAGATAAGAAGGAAATTTAGAAGAAGCAATCAGAGTTAAGAGGAGAACTGGAACAGAGGAGTCCTGATCAAGTGAAGAAATGTTTCAGGAGACAAGTGCCTAAAGGTGTCATTTGCACTGAGAGGCTGAGTCAGTTGAGGATTGACCTCTGAACTGTCAGTGTAGAGATCACTGAGACCTTGGGAACAGAGCAATTAAGATAAAGTGGTAGGATTAAAAGCCTGATTCTTGAGATAACAGATGGTGACGACAAGTAAATACAATCATTGCTTTCTTGCTGTAAAGGAGAGCAGGGAAATAGGATCATAGTAGGTAAGAGATGCAGGATTGAGGTTTTCTGTTTAAATATTTATATGCTAATACAAATGCTGTAATAACTGGATGTACAAGAAAGTGACAACTGTAAGAAGGAAAATCTTGAGTAGATTGGAGGAGTCATCCTTAGATAAGGAAAAAACAAGAGAAGGGGAATAGCAGGCCACAGATACAGATAGCTTGGTAGATTCGTTGTTGAACATGAAACTGACCCAATAGTCCCATAGACAGTTCTTTTGGCCAAACATAGAAAGTGACCCTTCTTTTCTTAAAGCTCGAAACTTACATTTGTTTTATCTGAGTTCCTTTCTCGGGAAGGACCCCTGGCCTCTGAAAAAGTATCAAATAATTGAAACTTACCAGATTACCACATTCAGACAATGAGATGCCAGACCCTTCCTTTTGTTTCCTTACCGCTCCCTAGTTCGTGTTTTCTAACACACTGTTACACTTCTTCCCCGCTATATAAACCCCAAATTTTAGTCAGGGAGATGGATTTGAGACTGACCTCCCATCTCCTTGGCTGCAACACCTGATTAAAGTCTTCTTCCTCAGCAGTGAGCACCAAGACTTAGACAGAATCCCCGATGTTTCTGTATCATGTGGAATTTCTCTTCGATTGTTGATAGTTTAATAAAATAAAAGCTGAGCATGACAAGAGGGAGAGAGGTGCTGGTGGTTTGAGAAAGGAGAGCATGTGACTATCATCCAGGAGCTGCTACAGCCCAGCCCAGCCCTAGGATCTCCCACGTGGATGACTGCTGTATATTTCTCTCAACTTCCATCCTTGCCTCCTTACAGTCTTTTTTTTCCTACACAATCGCCAAAGTGACTTTTCAAAACCATGTCAACCCCAGTATTTTCCCAATTCAGAATAAAATCCAGAAGTGTTTGGCTCTAAGTCCTGCATGATCTAGCCCCTATTTCCCATCGTCCTCTCACTTGCTTTGCTCTAGCCACCTGACTTCCTTGCTGTTCCTTAGTCTCCTCAAGAGTAGAACATTTCCTTCCATTTCTGAGAGGTGACAGCGTGCGCCCTCGCTCGCTCTCGGCGCCTCCTCGACCTTGGCGCCCACTCTGGCGGCGCTTGAGGAGCCCTTCAGCCCACCACTGCACTGTGGGACCCCCTTTCTGGGCTGGCCAAGGCCGGAGCCGGCACCTTCAGCTTGCAGGGAGGTGTGGAGGAGGCGTGAGCAGGAACCGGGGCTGCGCGCGGCGCTTGCGGGCCAGCTGGAGTTCCCGGTGGGAGTGGGCTTGGCGGACCGGCACTGGGAGCGGCCTGCCGGCCCTGCCGCCCCGGGCAATGAGGGGCTTAGCACCCAGGCCAGCGGCTGCGGAGGGTGTGCTGGGTCCCCCAGCAGTGCCGGCCCACCGGCGCTGCACTCCATTTCTCGCCGGGCCTTAGCTGCCTCCCTGCAGGGCAGGGCTCTGGACCTGCAGCCAGCCATGCCTGAGCCTCCCCCTCCTCCGTGGGCTCCTGTGCGGCCAGAGCCTCTCCGACCAGCGCCGCCCCCTGCTCCAGGGCACCCAGTCCCATCGACCACCCAAGGGCTGAGCAGTGCGGGCGCACGGCGCGGGACTGGCAGGCAGCTCCACCTGCAGCCCTGGTGTGGGATCCACTGGGTGATGCCAGCTGGGCTTCTGAGTCTGGTGGGGACGTGGAGAACCTTTATGTCTAGCTCAGGGATTGTAAATACACCAATCGGCACTCTGTATCTAGCTCAAGGTTTGTAAACACACCAATCAGCACCCTGTGTCTAGCTCAGGGTTTGTGAATGCACCAATGGACACTCTGTATCTAGCTAATCTGGTGGGGAGGTGGAGAACTTTTGTGTCTAGCTCAGGGATTGTAAACGCAACAATCAGTGCCCTGTCAAAACAGACCACTTGGCTCTACCAATCAGCAGGATGTGGGTGGGGCCAGATAAGAGAGTAAAAGCAGGTTGCCTGAGCCAGCAGTGGCAACCCCCTTGGGTTACCTTCCACACTGTGGAAACTTTGTTATTTCGCTCTTTGCAGTAAATCTTGCTGCTGTTCACTCTTTGGGTCCACACTGCCTTTATGAGCTGTAACACTCACCATGAAGGTCTGCAGCTTCACTCCTGAAGCCAGCGAGACCACAAACCCACCGGGAGGAATGAACAGCTGCAGACGCGCGGCCTTAAGAGCTGTAACACTCACCAGGAAGGTCCGCAGCTTCACTCCTAAGCCAGCGAGACCAGGAACCCCACCAGAAGGAAAAAACTCCGAACACATCTGAACATCAGAAGGAACAAACTCCGGACACGCTGCCTTTGAGAACTGTGACACTCACCGTGAGGGTCCGCGGCTTCATTCCTGAAGTCAGTGAGACCAAGAACCCACCAATTCCGGACATGTTTCCTCACTTCCTTTATAGCTTATTTAAATGTGACTTTCTCGAGGTTGTCTTTGACCATCCTTTGTGAAACAGCACTCCTATCAATGTCACCTTCCCCTGCTTGGTTTTTGTTATTAGCACTTATTGCCATCTCTGGCAGAGATTTATAGCACATTAAATATCCATTTGCTACCAGCTCCTTTCATATAACCCTTGCAATTAGGTCAGGCCCTATAAACAATGGGCTGTGAGCAAAAAGGGGCATATACACATCTAGGCAAAAGCACCAAATGCAACCCTCCAGCTCTGTCTTCCCCTGCTGCAGTGATCTAGACCACATGTTGCAGTGGTGAAGCCACAGAGTGGACACAGCCTAAATCACTGAGTCACTGCCTGGGTCAGCTGTTCTGGGAAGTTGCCTGGCTCAGTGAGTTTTCCATGGTGGAAAAATAAACTTTGTTGTGTTAAATCACTGAGCTTTTGGGATTGATTTGTTACCACAGCATAATGTATTATCTGATATGGTCTAAATTGTGTCCCTCCACCCCCAAAATTCATATGTTGAAGTCCTAACTCCCAGATCTCAGAATGTGACTGCATTTTGAGATAGGGTCCTTAAAGAGGAGGTTAAAAAAGGAGATTAGAGTGGGCCCTAATCCAATATGACAGATGTCCTCATAAGAAGAGGTGATTAGGTCGGGTGCGGTGGCTTACACCTGTAATTCCAGCACTTTGAGAGGCCAAGGTGGGCAGATGAGGTCAGGAGTTCGAGACTAGCCTAACCAATGTGGTGAAACCCCATCTCTATCAAAAATACAAAAATTAGCCAGGAGTGGTGGTGCACACCTGTAATCCCAGCTACTCAGGAGGCTGAGGCAGGAGAATCGCTTGAACCTGGGAGGTGGAGGTTGCAGTGAGCCAAGATAGCACCACTGCACTCCAGTCTGGGTGACAGAGCGAGGCTCCATCTCAAAAAAAAAAAAAAGAACAGGCGATTAGGACACAGACACACACAGAGGAAAGACCGTGAGAGCACACAAGGAGAAGATGGCCATCTGCAAGGCAAGGAGGTGTCAGAAGAGCTGGTTTCTGACCAAAAATGTGAGAAAATTAATTTGTCCCTGAAGCCGCTCAGTCTGTGATACTTTGTTATGGCAGCCCTACAAATGAATGCAGAATCCTAACACCATCTGGCATATTTGTTTTATTTCCTCTAGAATATAAATGTGTGATGAAAGCAAGGATGTTTAGTTCAACACTGTATCCACAGTACTTAATTGAGCCTGACACCTACCAAAGGCTCAATTAATATCTATTAAATTACTGAATACTGCATTTTAATGAAAAAGTTCAAAGAAAATCTTTCTGTGGCTCTACTCATTTTGCTAACTTTCTCTAATAAATTTTTAGACTCCTCTGCATTGAACTTTATTTTCATTTCTAATTTTGCTAGTTTGCTTTTCTTTCTTAAGGTAAGGTTGATGTGAATTTGGTTGAAATATTTCAGGACAACTGCAATTTTATACAATTCCCAGTATTCACTTTTTTCCTAATTTCCATTTCCTCCTCTATTTTGGTTTTCTGACATCTTTTCTCAAGTTTTAGATTATAGTTTTTCTTTCTTGGTAACATGGACATTTCTATATTCAATCCTTTCTGGAATAAAGAATATAGCACTATAAATTTTCTGGTAATGACAGCTTTGATGGTGCTCTCAAAAACTTAATAGGTACTACTTTAAAATGTAGTATAATTGATTCTAGAATTCTTTGATCTACATGTGAAGATTTTTTTAGCCATTATTGCTATAGATTTTAATGACAGTATTTTGCAACACAGTATTTCTAAGAAGGCAATGCTGACTTTTATATTTTATATGAATTTTCCTGCCTCCAAAGTGAACTTTTTATAAAGCAATTATATAAATGAGAAAATGAAACCCCTACTGTTTGTCCCATTCTCTACAAAAATCTAAAAGCCACCTTGTTTTTCTCTGCAGACTCACTCTATCTACAATGGGTATCAAGGCACTTGGTACCTAGTCTATTCCACTTCTTTCTGCAGGTATCTTTTCTTAAAAGTTTTTTTTAATAAACTATTCTTAGAACAAGTTTAGATTTACTGAAAATTTGCAAAGGTAGTTCCCATACATCTCACACCCACTCTCCCCTATGAACATCTTACGTTACTATGGTATATTTGTTACAATTAATGAGCCAATAATGAGACATTATTTAAAGTCCATGCTTTCTTCAGATTCCCTCAGCCTTCCCTTTTCTGTTTCAGGACCCCATCCAGGGTACGACATGACATTTGTCAGTATGTCCCCGTACTCTTGGTTGTGACAGTTTCTCATACTTTCCTCTTTTCAATAACCTTGACAGTGTTGAGAAGTACTGGTCAGGTATTGTGTAGAATGAGCCTCAATGGACAGTGTCTAATGTTTTCCTCATGGTTACACTGGGGTTGTGGGTTTTGAGAGGAAGACTACTAAAGTGTCATTCTCACCACATGGTATCAAGTGAACACACTAGCAACATGATTTATGCCTGCTGATGTTGACCTTCACTACTTGGCTGAGGAGTTTGTCAGGTCTCTCCACTATAAAGTTACTCTTTTCTCCATTTCCAGACTGTACTACTTGGAAGAAAGTCATTATGCATAGCCCACACCTAAGACTTGAGGCGTTTGCTCCTCCTCCTCCTTGGGAGTGGAGTATCTACAGAATTCTTTTGTGTGGAGAATACGGCCCTTCTCCCTTATTTATTAATCTATTTATTTATATCAGTGTAGAATCATGGATATTTATTTTATACTGAGTTATAAGCCAATACTACTGTATTTTGTTGCTCAAATTGTTTTAGATTTGGCCATCGAGAATGCTTTCATTTGGTTCCTGTGTCCCCCTGGCATACCCCATAGTTCTTGTAAGTTTTTGATATCTTGGGGTTTTTCAGTACTTCCTTACTTTTTGGCACTTTAAGACATACTTTTGGCTGGGCATGGTGGCTCACGCCTGTAATCCCAACACTTTGGAAGGCCAAGGCGGGCAGATCACCTGAGGTCAGGAGTTCGAGACCAGCCTGGCCAGCATGATGAAACCCCGTCTCTACTAAAAATACAAAAAATTAGCCGGGCGTGGTGGTGTGCGCCTGTAATCCCAGCTGCTCGGGAGGCTGAGGCAGGAGAATTGCTTGAACCCAGGAGGTGGAGGTTGCAGTGAGCCCAGTTCATGCCATTGCACTCCAGCCTGGACAACAAGAGCGAGACTCCATCTCAAAAAAAAAAAAAAAAAAAGACATATTTCCTGCCCCAGTTCCACAATCAGGCATCTCTCCAAGGAACCGTGTCCCCTCTTTAGAGAATGGTATTAGAAAGTAAGACGTGGGCAGTACATGTGCTCATTGCTGCTAGGGTATTGTTGCGTCTAGGACCCCTCAGCTGATGTCACAATGAAATATATTCACATAATAAAACATGATTTACAAGTACAAGGAAATGAGCTAACAGTAAAAGATTAGCCTACTATTTGTCTATATCTTTCTACTTCAGGTGTTTCTTATAGGCAGCAAGGTACCAGATTTTATTTTTTAATCCTATCTGTAATTTTTTCTTTTTATTAAAGACTAAAGTCTATTTGTATTTATTCTATACTTTATCAACATTTTCTCCCCTTAAGGTCTTTGTTTTATAAGTAATTCTATTGACAGATGTTAGCTGTGGTAAAGTAGAATTGAATATCATTAAATACTAAACATATGATTATAATTTTAAAATACTATATAGACTTAAAACCTCAACCTTATTCTTTTTTTTCTATTCTACGTGCATAATAAAATGTTTCATTTCTTTCTTGGACAAATTGGATATGAGTTTTGGGGCTGATTTAGTGTTCCTGCATTCTCTTCATTAGGATTTTGTTCTTTATATTTTCTTTCTGTCTCAACAAACCTTAAATACTCTTTTGGAATCAAATCATCTTCTGTAGCAGATATTGTAGATCATTAGCTCAATCTTTTTTTCCAAACTTGTTCTCCCTTGATTGAAACTGCTATAATGGAAAGGCTACCCTTTTAACAGATTCTGATCAATGAAGTATAGGCTGAAGTCACTCAGCAGGGCACCCATTCCTAAATAGAGAATAAAGTTTGACTAGGAAAAAGTCCTTCAGAATATACAGTTGTCTCTTGGTATCTGTCAGCTATTGGCTCCAGGATCCCCTACAGATACCAAAATCCACAGATGCTTAAGTCTCTTATATAAAATGGTATAGTATTTGCACATAACCTACAAACATGCTCCTGTATAATTTAAATATTCTCTAGATTACTTATAATACCTCATACAGCATAAGTGCTATGTAAATAGTTGTTATACTGTGTTGTTTAGGGAATAATGACAAGAAAAAACTTCTGTATGTGTTCAGTACAGATGCAACCATCTATTTTTTTCGAATATTTTCAATCCTTGGTTGAATCCATGAACATGGAACCCATGGATACTGATATGATTTGGCTCTGTGTCCCCACCCAAATCTCATCTTGTAGCTCCCATAATTCCCAAGTGTTGTGGGAGGTACCCAGTGGGAGATAACTGAATCATGGGGGCGGGTCTTTCCCTTGCTGTTCTCATGCTAATAAACAGGTTTCACAAGATCTGGAAGTTTAAAAACGGAGTTTTGGCCGGGCGTGGTAGCTCACACCTATAATCCCAGCACTTTGGGAGGCCGAGGTGGGCAGATCACTTGAGGTCAGGAGTTTGAGACCAGCCTGGCCAACATGGCAAAACCTAGTCTCTACTAAAAGTACAAAAAAGTTAGCCAGGCATTATGGCGCATGCCTGTTGTCCCAGCTACTCGGGAGGCTGAGGTGGGAGAATCACTTGAATCTTGGAGGGGAGGTTGCAATGAGCTGAGATTGTGCCACCGCACTCCAGCCTGGGTGACAGAGTAAGACTCCATCTCAATAATAGTAATACTAATAAATGAATAAAAATGGGCATTTCCCTGCACAAACTCTTCTTGTCTGCTGCCATGTGAGACATGCCTTTCACCTTCCATCATGATTGTGAGGCCTCCCCAGCCACGTGGAACTGTAAGTCCAATAAACCTCTTTCTTTTGTAAATTGCCCAGTCTTGAGTATGTCTTTATCAGCAGCGTGAAAATGGACTAATACAGATATGAAGGGCCAACTATATGTATTTTTTCTCCTAGACCTCTCCCCCATCATCTCCTTCACCACTTTCCTAGCTAATTTTCATTACTCTTTCAGAAGTTTCAACTTCAGGAGTCCTGTACTAGGTCAGGTGCCTGTGTTTCATATTTGCATAGCTTCGCATACTTCCCCTTTAAAATATTTATCAAAATTATAATTATATAATGACACACTTAGTTGTTTAAAGTCTGCCTATATTGCAATGTAAACTCCACCTAATTTACTACTATATTCCAAACACTAATTACAGTCCCTTGCACCTGGGAGGCACTCCATAACCATCTGAATGAATAAATTTGCAAAAGATTACCTAATAAAGCATAGTGACCAAGTACATATAAGTTAAGCAATACTTCCACTCTTATCCTTAGGCCCCACCCATGCTAATTGGTCATATTCTTACTTCCTCGCTATGTACAAAATTCTCAAACATTTGAGAAAAACCAACAGTACAAAAGAAAGAAATTGTGACTGACAAAGAATCCAAGAGAATGAATTGGAAAAAATTCAATTAAAATAAAAAATTCAATTAAAATAAAAAATTTCTAGGAATAAGGCTGAATAGGTTAATTGAGCCACTCCTCAAACTAAAAATGCTGGAAAAAAAAATTTAAACGTATATATGCTTAAAGAATCAAAGAACTGGGACAACTCTCAAGAATCACTGGGATAAAATCTAAGTGAAAGCATGCATCCAAAGTGGAACACAGAGCACTGAAATCCTGTGTCCTATGTACATGTGACAAACCAAGTAGTGTGACTTTGGTTCCCATGGCTTCCCAAAGCCAGGGAGACAGAAGTCAAAGCTGCATGTCACCTAAGGGAGACCCTCTTCTCCCCAAAACTGGGATCCCACTCTACCTCCCAACCCCCAAGTCTGCAAAGAAGGATACTCTGAGGCTGGTAGAGAGGGAACCTGAGGAGTGGAGGAGGATATGAGAAATTATAAACAAAAGCCAGTTCCCAGGGGACTAGATGGGGGAGGGAAAAGGGGGAAGGGGGAGGGGGAAGGGAAAGGGAAGGAAGGGGGAAAAAGAAAGAAAGGAGGAGTTAGGTAAGAGTGTGTCCTTGTTCAGGGAAAACACATACTAGAAATACATAGAGATGGATGCGCATGAGGTCTGCCTCTTACTCTCTCATTCAGAAAAAGGCTAATGGTAATTGCTAAACATGTGCTGACAGAGAGTGCAAATATGGTGAAATATTAATAGCTGGGGACCAAGAAAGTTCTTTTTCTGTACTTATAACTTTTCTATAAAGTTGAAAGTATTTCAACATAAATTATAAGAATACTAAATTAAAAGTCAAGTGATTATGTGAAGAATGTCTTCAAGAAGAATAATTCTCAATATACTAATTATATGATTAGTAGCCTTAATAGGGACAGTCTTAATCTGATGATAAGATCCAGGTATATTTTTCCAATGACATTAATAAACAAGAAAAGTAATGGGAAAACAAAAACCCATGAGCTTCACAAAAAAAAGAAATTAAAAAGCAAAATAAACTATGGCATAATTTTAGACAAATGAAGGAATTTAAGGGGAATCAGTTTTATCTCTATGTTTAGAAAATGAACCTTTGCCTATCACAGGTTTAGCGAGCTTGGATTACAGAAAAGATATCATACTCTCATAATTAGATCTTCAGTAAATATTTCTAAAAATGTAATATTTTAACTTTATTAGTGTCAGATTTTAAGTCAACCTAAAAAAAAGGCAGAAAAGGCTATAATTTAACAGAACATAATATGCTTTAGGGCTAACATATACTACTTAAAGTGGATAGATCACTAAAAAGACTTTGTACATTCTTTTTTTTCTTTTTTGAGATGGAGTCTTCGCACGATCTCAGCTCACTGCAACCTCCACCTCCTGGGTTCAAGCGATTCTCCTGCCTCAGCCTCCCGAGTAGCTGGGATTACAGGAGCACACCACCACGCCCAGCTAATTTTTTGTATTTTTAGTAGAGACGGGGGTTTCATCATGCTGGCCAGGCTGGTCTCGAACTCCTGACCTTGTGATCCACCCACCTCAGCCTCCCAAAGTGCTGGGATTACAGGCATGAGCCACCACGCCCTTTTTTTTTTTTTTTTTTTTGAGATGGAATCCCGCTCTGTAACCCAGGCTGGAGGGCAGTGGCATGATCTTGGCTCACTGCAATCTCCAACTCCCGGGTTCAAGCGATTCTCCTGCCTCAGCCTCCTGAGTAGCTAGGATTACAGGCACCTGCCACCACACCTGGCTAATTTTTGTATTTCTAGTAGAGATGGTGTTTCACCACGTTGGCCAGGCTGGTCTCGAATGCCTGACCTCAGGTGATCTACCCGCCTCTGCCTCCCAGAGTGCTGAGATTACAGGAATGAGCCACCAAACCCAGCCGAGACTTAGTACATTCTTAAAAGCTTTTTCATTCATTCAACAAATATTTATTGAGGGCTTAAGCACAATGCCTGGTGATGGCTTGGGAGCATGGATGGATAGATGGGCAGGAGAGCAATTCCTGCTTTCATGGACTTGCCATCTTGTCCAACTCAAAGGCTCACACAATTAAACCTGTTGTGGATTTCCTTTCAGGGAAAGAAAATGGTTTCAAGAGGAAAGGCACTGACCTAGACAGGAATATATCCTGGCAGGCTTCCTTCAGGAAGTAATGATGGAGTGGACATCTGAAAGAAGAGTGGGTGTTAACAAGAGAAAACAGGTTGGAAAAGCTAAAAGAAAGTGAATGTGGGCAAATCCCAGGAAGCCTAGGGAAACAGTGCAAGATGAGGCTGGAGAAGTAAGAGTGGGCTAGACAACAGAAGCCTTACTAGGAAGAGAAAAGGTTAAAGATTTGGCTCTGCCATAGACTGAATGTTTATGTCTTCCCAAAACTCATTGAATTCATTAGGGTGAAATCTAATTCCCAGTGTGATGGTATTTTGAGGTGGGGCTTTAGGGAAGTGATTAGGTAACAAGGGTAGAGCCTTCATTAATGGGAGTAGAGCCCTTATAAAAGAGACCCAGGACGGAGGCCCCTTGTGCCTTCCACCATGTGGACATGATGAAAATATGGTCACCTATCTTCAAGTAGGCCCTCACCAGACATCAGATCTGCTAGTGCCTTCATACTGGACTTCCCGGTCTCCAGAACTGTAAGAAATACATTTCTGTTGTTTTTATAGTATTCTGTTATAGCAGGCCAAACAGTTAACACAGGGTCTATTCTAAGAACAGAGGAAGTCCTGAAATATTTCAAACACTGATGTGCTCAAAGTTTTGTTTCTGTAAGCTCACTCTGGCTAAGTGTAGAAACAGGTTGTAAAGGGCATAGAAGTAATTCAGGGAGCCTAGGTAGGGACCTATTGCAATAGCTCAGGTAAAAGCTATGGTAACATGGACTAGTCTAACTGCAGTAGAATAGGGAATTTGAAATAACTGACTTATGGACTGAATGTTTGTCCCCCCTCCCACAAATTTCTATGTTGAAGCCCTAACCCATGCATGGCTGTATTTGGAGTAAGAAAGTAATTAAGGCTAAAGAGGTCATGAGAGTAGGGCCCTAATCTAATAGGACTGATATCTTTATAAGAAAGAACACTGAAGAGCTTGTTGTCTCCCCACTGCCCCTCACTCTGCTGCACATGTACCAAGGAAAGGCCAGGTGAGAACACAGCAAGGACGCTGCCATTTGCAAGCCAGGAAGAGAGCCCTTACCCACAAAGAACCCTGCTGAACTTTGATTTGGGACTTCTAGAATCCAGAACTGTGAGAAAACAAATTTCTGTTGTTTAAGCCACCCAGTCGTCCCTTGGTATCCATGGGGGATTTGTTCTAAGATCCCCTGTAGAACCCAAAATCCATGGATGCTCAAGTCTCTTATATAAAATGGCATAGTATTTCCACATAACCTATGCCCATCCTCTTGTAATTACACTGCCTTATTTAGAGAATGAGAGGGAAAAAAAGTCTGTACATGTTCAACATAGATGCAAATATCCTTTTTTAACGGAAATATTTTTATCCCCAGTTGGTTGAATCTATGGATGTGGAACCCTTAGATATGGAGGACCAACTATACTTTGTTGTGGCAGCCTGAAGATAAATACAGATTTTGGTACCAAAAAGTGGTATTTCTGTAACAAATACCTAAAAATGTGGAAGTGGCTTTGGAACTGGGTAATGGTGAGAGGCTGGAGGAGTTTTAACATGCATGCTAAAAAAAAAGTCTATAGTGTCCTGAAGGACTGTTGATAGCTATGGTCCAACAGATGATTGAATTAAAGGTAACTCTTATAAGGGCTCAGAAAGAAAAGAGGAGAGCCAGAGAGAAAGCCTCCATATTCTTACAGAATACATATATCATCATCAACAGAATGTTCGTGGGCATGATGGACTTTAAAGGCCCGTCTGGTGAAGTCTTAGGTAGAAATGCAGAACAGGTTAATAGAAACAAAGGAGATTCTTGTTATAAAATAGAAAGAAATAAATAGTTGTGTTCTAGTGTTTTGTGGAAGGCAGAAATTGTGAGCAATGAAACTGGATCTAAATTTAGCTAAGGAGATTTCTAAGCAAAGTATTGAAGGAGCAACTTGGTTTCTCTACCACTTAAAATGCAAGGAGATAAAGCGAAGGAATTTTAAGCAAAAAGAAACTAGAACTTGAAGATATAGAAAATTCTCAAGCCTATCCACATTGCGAAGAAATGAGAAAGCTTGTTTGGAAGAGAACATTAAAGGTGTGGTTGAACAACCATTTGATAACATTAGTGTGGGTGTGAACTACAGATTTAATCAGCCACCTGAGCAGAAGCCAAGAATAGAGATGGGATTGTACCAGCAGAGATACTGTCAGCCAGGACTAAAGGGGACAGGAAAAATCAGAATGGAATGAAAGAAGGCTGTAGGACTTCTCAGATTCTACAGAAACAGACAACAGAGCTATCTGGCTGTGAGCATGAGCTACCCTTTTAAAAAGTGAAGAATGGCCCCAAAAGTGATTCAAATACTGTCCGTGAACCACAGCCTGCCATTCTCACCACAGGCCTAAGAGGCAGGGCTAGTTCCTCCTCCATTTCAAAGGGTGGGGCTTTTTCACTCAGGGGAGGCCAGGATCCCACTGCCCAATGCCTCAGGGACAAGGCTGAGGCCCAGTGCCATAAGGGTGACAGTGCAAGTGGGCCTGGAGGGCATAGCATCAAACCAAAAAGAATAATTCTAGAGCCTTAAGACCTAATGGGATTTGCCTTGCCAGGTTTGGGGACTTGCTTGGGACTTGTCATCCTTTTTTTCTTTCTTGTTTCTCCTTTCTGAGATGGCATGTCTTTCCTATGCCCGTCCCATCATTGTGTTTTGGAAGAGCATATTGTCTGGTTTCACAGGTTCACAGCTGGAGAGGAATTTTGCCTCAGAATGAATGGTACCAAAAGTCTCGGCCATACCTGATTTATGCTTACATTAGGCTTTGGATTTTAGACTTTAGAGTTGATACTTAAACAAGTTAAGACTTTTAGTGTGGTTGGGATG
Organism: Homo sapiens; assembly: GCF_000001405.40. Classification (NCBI taxonomy): domain Eukaryota; kingdom Metazoa; phylum Chordata; class Mammalia; order Primates; family Hominidae; genus Homo; species Homo sapiens. The sequence continues at coordinate 45,612,641 of NC_000010.11, forward strand.
GAAGAGAATATATCTACATGTGACAAGAACACAGATTTTGGCAGGCCACGGACAGTATGTTACAGATTGAACGCATGTGCCCCCCACTTCAAAATTCCCACTTTGAAGCCCTAACCCCTAGTGTGGCTGTATTTGGAGTAAGACAGTAATTAAGATTAAATTAAGTAATAAGGGTGGGGCCCTGATCTGACAAGACTAGTGTCCTTAGAAGAAGAGACACCAGATAGCACTCATGCTCTTCTCCCACCCACAACCCACTTTGTGTGTACACATTGAACAAAGGCCATGTGAGGACAAAGCAAGAAGGCAGCTGTCTACAAGCCAGGAAGAGAGCCCTCACCAGAAACTGACCCTGTTGGACCTTGATCTGAGACTTCTAGCTTATAGAACTGTGAGAAAAATTTCTGTAGGTTATGGTACTTTGTTATGGCAGCCTGAAAAGACTAATACACTGACAAAAATTAGGAAGTATTGAGGTAATGTGTTGTTAAGCTAATTCCTCACTTTTAATAGTAGAGTAGAATAAAATAACGTCTAAAATATACTGGCTAGTGTTATGATGGTAACAACTAGAAAAACTAAAATTAATTATTAGAAGAAATTGGAGGGGGGTGTCTATGATAAAATTTTACTTTTTAACCCTTAGTTTTTCTAAAGCTATGTATATTAGTTTCATCAACCATTTCAAAAGTTTAACTTAATTTTCAAAGAAAACTTAAAATATCATGCCTTCATTCCTTAAATTTCATTGTTTTATTTTTATGATTTTTGCTATATTAATCCTTGCCAATTTTAAACCAACATTTTTAACCTAAATCAATTTATTTTACATTATTTTCAACTTAAGCTGCTTATACTTACATTTTCCAATACATTAAAATATATAATTATTACAAATGTTCACCCATGTAATACCTAAAATTATCTCACGTTCCAGGAGTGGTAGACGGCTTACACTTTGAAAAACATGACTAGATGCAAAATTTGAGTATTCGTCTTGATGGCTTAAAAACATATTAAACATAGGCTGGATACGGTGGCTCATGCCTGTAATCCCAGCACTTTGGGAGCCTGAGACGGGTGGATCACGGGGTCAAGAGACTGAGACCATCCTGGCCAACATGGTGAGACCCTGTCTCTACTAAAAATATAAAAATTAGCTGGGCGTGGTGGTGCGCACCTGTAGTCCTAGCTACTCAGGAGGCTGGGGCAGGAGAATCACTTGAACCGGAGGCAGAGGTTGCAGTGAGCTGAGATCATGCCACTGTACTCCAGCCTGGCAACAGAGTGAGACTCCATCTAAAAAAAAAGAAAAAAAAAAGAAAAATCACATTAAACATATATGAGAAAATGAATTCCTGTCTTTTAAAAAATAATTGTCTCCACAAGTTACACGTACACTGATAGGATTTTAAGGACACCTGAGTATTTGGATTTCCCTTTTTAGAATGATTACATTAAATATAACCTGAAAATATTCCACATAGCCAAAAGTTAAAAATTTAAAACTTTTAGTGCTGTTAAAACTAAATGCTGTTTTAAAAAAATCCAGAAACTGAACTTCGTTACATAAAATGGGCTTAGCTAAATAAAACAATATAAATGCCTTTTTTAAAAAAGCATGGGCCAGGTGCAGTGGCTCATGGCTGTAATCCCAGCGCTTTGGGAGGCCAAGGTGGGCAGATCACTTGAGGTTAGGAGTTCAAGACTGGCCTGGCTAACATGGTGAAACCTCTTCTCTACTAAAAATACAAAAATTAGCCAGGCATGGTGGTGGGCACCTGTAATCCCAGCTACTCGGGAGGCTGTGGCAGGAGAATCACATGAACCCAGGAGGTAGAGGTTGCAGTGAGCCAAGATCGCACCACTGCACCCAGCCTGGGTGACACAGCAAGACTCTATGTCAAAAAAAAAAAAAAATCACGGTTAAGTTGTCCAATGCATCAATTTATTCAACTAATGTTTAACCAGTACCTACAGGCAATCTACTCTGCTAATTACTGGAAATGCAAAGACAGATACAATGTCTCTAAAATTTGGAATGTGTCTGTGTAAGAATTTAAAGCATAAAGAAATGCCCCTCAATATAATGATATAACTTGTTGAATTAAAATAGTTCAGCTGTCAGTTATTGAAAACTAGTAAAAAGACTTAACTTTCACCACAATCTTTAGTAAAACTTAGAATGAGACTTACTTCTACTTATAGTCTTGGTTTAAAAAGCATAGCACACTACATCAAGTAGGCCCTAGGCATTCATATTTGTTTGCAGAATAAATATGCTATGGTCCATTTCTCAGCAGTCTAACTCTGTAAGGCAGTTCTTATATTTTAAGTGTCTAAAACACGTGTCTTCTTGATACAGGAGGAAATACTGAATTATTCATAACACAGATGAAAGTATTTTTCATCTACTTATATCCACCCTTCTTAAAAAGCATGCCTTCAACCCCCATTTGCATAGCTCCTCTGCTAACTTTTAGCCATTCCCTCTTATGAATGTACTGCCCTCTTTGTCTGAAGGCATCTGTCTCCATCAACATTTCATTTCTTACAGGAGCAGGGGCAGTGAGCTCTCCAGTTCATTCAGCCTTAAGTAGAGGAAGGGGCCCCTCACAGCTCCTAAGTTAGCCTTCTGGTACTCTTAGCAGAGTCTGGTACTCTTAGCAGAGTCTGCTACCCCAGGGCTGCAGAGTCTACCTGGGTTAGGTGCTAGTTGTTTACCAGGGTTCAGCATCAGTCTGAACTGAGCTTCTATACAGCAAGTGGCCACTAAGTGCCTTAGTGGTTTCTGGTTACACCTGGGGAACAGGGTCCTTAATATCCTAAAAGAATATTTTTATACTGATAGTTATTTTATCCACGTAAAATAAATCACTCATTTAATTAAATAGTTTTATAAAAGAAAAATTATTTATAAAAGAAAAACTATTATAAATAAATAATGAAATTCATAATGAAATTGAATATTTATTTGAATTTCTCCTGGTAATAGCACTCAACAAATAAGAAAAACCGAGCTGTGAGATTTTGTTTTAAATGTAGCCATATTTCAAAAGGTAAAAAGTTGGCTTCTATATTTAATGGCAAGTGGGACATCTTCTATTTTAAAATTAACATTCAAAAAGTAGTAAAATATACACTATCATGAACACGATGTGTTTTATAGAATGGATTCATGTCCGAATACTAATCTGAATGTGGAAGAAATGTATTATCTGTTAAAAACCACACTGGAAAAATGTTCTTTTTTATAAAAAGTAGCTTGAAGTAAAAAGGAACTTGCTAATAAAGCCAGTAAACTTTCACACGTGGGATTTTTAAAAAATCTCCACCCATCCCACCTCTGAAAAAAAAAGAAGGAGAAGAATAAAAGAAAGAAAAAGAAAAAACCCATATGGTCAATCTGAGTAGAGCCATTCATTACATGACTGCTCATTCTGTACAATGTGGAAGCCTGGTTATTTAGGAAATATTTCGTTTCCTAAAGTGCATCTTTTGAAGATTTGCCTAGTAAAACTGCAATATCATATACAAAACACTTAACACAAGACATGCAATAACAAAGCTAAATCATTCCAGTGTAAAGTTGTTAAAACTACTTTTAAAACTTTTGTTTCACCAAGAAATAAAGATGTAAAATACAGTAGCATTCTTGTTCTCCAACAGTATGCATTGTATGCTTTTGTTATTTGGCAAATCTTTTAGAGTCGAACAAAAATAATAGTCTAAACAACATTTCTTCTGTCATTATAATACGAATCCCGGGCAGAACAGTAAGATGTAGAGGAAGAGTTAGATTTTTGGAAGCTTTGGTGCATTAACCACAGGATTTGCCTCGTGCAAGTATCTCCTCCCTGCACTCTTGTAATCATAGGTACAGCCATGAGTTTCTGCATAACGATGAGATGCACAGAAGTTGTTTCCACATCTAAAGCACAAAAAAAGTTTACGTGAATAGTTGTATTTCTATGAAAGGCTCATCTGTCTGGGAGACAGGAGCTTGACTTCAGGTAGTCCAACAGGGGCCCTTTGGTTCTTTTTAGCAATTTCACTGCTGACATTTCCCTTCCATTCGTAAACAAGCATAAATACCCCCAAAAAGAACAAGTTAATTATCTACGAATATGACAATTTATGATAAAGAAGTCATTATTGACTGAAACAGGGTAGACCAGGGGCGGTGGCTCAAGCCTGTAATCCCAGCACTTTGGGAAGCCGAGGCGGGTGGATCTCCAGGCCATCCAGGCCAACATGATGAAAACCCATCTCTATTAAAAATACAAAAATTAGCTGGGTGTGGTGGCGTGCATCTATAGTCCAGCTACTCGGGAGGCTGAGGCAGGAGAATCGCTTGAACCCAGGAGGTGGAGGTTGCAGTGAGCCAAGATCGTGCCACTGCACTCCAGCCTGGTGACAGAGCGAGACACAATCTCAAAAAGAAAAAAGAAAAAAAAAAAAGAATGAAACAGGGTATAGAACTCTATCAGTAGTAAAACTGCAAAAAGCTGATAAATATGCCCATCGTTTCTCTTATACCTAGTAAACCTAAAAGAATTCTGAATTTCTGAGGAATTCAGTCTCATGATAAAATTAAAATAGTAAAACCTAACTATGCCATGAAAGGATTTTTAAAAATATTTCTAGTAGCAAAATAGGTTGTTTTCATTCGAACCGAATACACTCTAAAAAGCAGGGATTGGGATGGGTGTGGTGGCGGCTCACACCTGAAATTCCAGCACTTTGGGAGGCAAAGGTGAGAAGATCACTTGAGGCCAGGAGTTTGAGACCAGCCTAGGCAATATAGTGAGATCTGTCTCTACAAAAAATTTAAAAAATTAACCAGGCATGATGGCACATGCCTATAGTCCTCACTATTAGGGAGGCTGAGGCAGGGGGATCGCTTGAGCCCAAGACATCAAGGCTCCAGTGAGTTATGATTACAGTACTGAAAAAAAAAAAAAAAAAAAAAAGTCCGCAGCAGCAGTTATTTTAATTCAAGCCTAGCCCCAATCTAAGGGCAGACATCCAAGATAATATGACATAACATCCTTGGAGGATATCAATCAATACTAATGAAATAAATAATTACAGTAAGAAAAAGGTCATACTTTTTTGGAAATATATTATTCATCTATTTTATATTAACTTTTAATTTTTTAATTAAATTTTTAATAGAATATTCAGGGAGGGGTTCTTCCAAGGTGCCACTCAAACAAAATCCAAGCAGGTTCATCATAAGACGAAAAAGGTACACTCTCAGATTGGTTTAAACCTCCTAACTTAAAGGACAAGGAAGGATCTGTTTTTGTCTTTTGGAAACCCATGAGCTATCTACTTGTTCTTTACTTCAGCCAATTAGAAGTTCAACTGAAGATAGCTATTGAACATCATCTTAATGATGTTATAAACAGGCAATTTAAATATTTTATTTTGCATAATCCCCAAGCTGGGTTATCACAGAGAAAGCATCTGAGCTTCTCCAGCTCGCCAACCTGCCTGCATTCGTAGCTACTAGCCAGTCCTGTTTTCTTTCCACAAAGAAAACAATGATTTGTTGTTTTCTTCTTTGTCTGAAGAGGGGCTTTCACAGGTGGGAGGTGATGAGTAGTACATTCTCCTGTTTAGAGAAAGGACACCTTGATTAACACAGGCATAAAATCCTAAACATGAAATATTATTAAGCAAAACACAAAACATAGTCCTATCAAAGTAAATATCTATGCCATAAAAATTAATTTGTGCTATTTTTATATCTAAAATTACTTATAAAATCTACAGGTCAAGTTGCAGTGGAACTATTTCTTTTAAGATGTGGTAGGTTTCTACTGATTAGCACTTATATTTTTAGAACTTTTTATACACACCACTTTCCTCATTATTTCTAATGGTAATCAGTTTATATAAAGTACACCAAATTTTGACAGAGAATAAAGAAAAATGTCTGCTTCAAAATCATATTTGATGAAGCCTCTGAGAACATGATTGCAATATAAATATTCTGTTTGTTCACACCAAAAAGAAGTACCAGAATATCATGAAACATGCCTTTTAGTCCTATTACACCACTGACAGTTCATCAAACCATGAGCAAGTCATTTATTCTTTCAAAACTTCAATATGTTTATTTTTAACATAATAGAACATGTATTTTTCTCTCTAGGTTAATAAGCACTTTAAGGTCAACTCAATCCATATATGTAAAAAGCACTCTGAAAGTTTTAAGCATGTTATAATTACATAAAATGTCATATTAATAATAGTAACTAACAGTACACAGCTCAATTTCACAGTACTACTAGTTTTCCAAAAATATTTACTGAATTCTGTATTACTGTATCAACTTGAGTTTTTACCTTAAAAATAAGAGCACATCTGTTATTATATAAGAAAGAATTAAATCAATTTTTTTTTTTTTTGAGACATTTTGCTCTGTCGCCCAGGCTGTAGTGCAGTGGCGCAATCTCGGCTCACTGCAAGCTCTGTGTCTTGGGTTCAAGTGGTTCTTCTGCCTCAGCCTCCCGAGTAGCTGGGACTATGGGCACGCACCACCACGCTCAGCTTTTTTTTTTGTATTTTTAGTAGAGACGGGGTTTCACCATCTTGGTCAGTCTGGTCTGGTCTTGAACTCCTGACCTCATGATCCGCCCATCTCAACCTCCCAAAGTGCTGGGATTACAGGTGTGAGCCACCACGCCAGGCCAAATCAATTTCTTTAATTACTAAGTTAAATGTCTTTTAGAACTGATCAAAATGCCAACAAACCCCAGTCATAAGCAGAGAGGCTCAAAGTTCCTGCCCATAGTTGATAAAGTAACAGTACAAATACACATGTGCTTGGTGTCACACAAAGGCTAAGAAGCAAGAGGCAAAGAAAGAATGCAAGAACAAGTGGAAGGAGTGAGGAAAAACTGGTAGTGTCAATGGTGCTGGGACCTTTTCTCCACTACTGAAAAAGGTTTAGGAGGCCTAAGCTTGGTATTTAGTTGGCAGCTAAAAGTCTGAAATTTCTTAAAGGGTTCAAAAAATTGGATTTACAATTAATTGGTTCTATGTCTTTTTTTTTTTGTCACAACAGAGATTAGGTAATTTGTACACAAGCCCAGCAAAATTAAATCTTCTTTATTACCAGTATAAAATACACTTCCAGATCTTGCCAAAACTAGAAACAAAATTTGAAACAATTGAGAGACTCCTAATGGTGCCTGGGTACCAACTCAGTTAATAAACGTTTTCTTTCTCAAGTGCACTTAGAGATACCAAGAACATCTCACAAAGGTGAGGGAGTAATTCCATTATTTAAAGTATTTTTAAAAAGATATTTACTTGCACTTGCACAAGACACCAAAGAAAGGCATATATTACAAGATGTCCAATGAATGTTAATCTACTCGAAACCATCTTTAAAATTCAGGCTTAGGATATTCTTCCTTAAACAATGGTGGAAGAATCTCTGATGATAATTTAATTCACTGTAGTCACATTTTCATTTTTTTTCTTTTCTTAGGGGATGCTTAACTTGATATTCTCCATACTTTTTTTCATTTAAGAACTCTTGTGAGGCTGGGCGCGGTGGCTCACATCTGTAATCCTAGCACTTTGGGAGGCCAAGGTGGGCGAATCAACTGAGGTCAGTTCAAGACCAGTCAGGCCAACATGGTAAAACTCCGTCTCTACTAAAAATACATAAATTAGCTGGGCATGGTAGCACGCGCCTGTAGTCCCAGCTACTCAGGAGGCTGAAGCAGAAGAATCACTTCAACCCGCGAGGAAGAGGTTGCAGTGAGCCGAGATCGTGCCACTGCACTTCAGCCTAATCAGGTAACAGGGCGAGACTCTGTCTAAAAAAAAAGAACTCTTGCGAATGTGTAGAGACAGAGAATACATTAGTGACAGTAATGAGGTAGCACAAAAATATAAGTGCAGTACTCTATGAGAGCAGCCTCCATACATCCTTCTACCAATAGAGAAAACTATTAGCAACTACTGTGTACTAGGAACCATCAATAAACATATTGATTCCCCACTATAAACAGGAAAAATCTAAATTCCTTGGACTGGCATTTAAGGTATTATTATGTCCAATATAATGCCTTTCTAACTATCCAGAGACACTGTAATTTACCATGTCATACCTACCCCGAAGGATGTACCAAGTCCTTCCACATCTGCAATCTCTTCTAAAGTAAACTCTACCTTGTCAACCCAGTAGAATTTGACTTATCCTGTAAGACATCATCAATTATCAACTCCTCTCTGAAGCCTTCTCTCAAATGTGTACTGAACAGATGAATAAAGAAAAAAACCCATAAAATCATATTGATGGTAAGAGTTGCTTTTCACAACAAGATGAAAGGTACTTGAGGTAATTCACTTGCTTGCCATTTCCTAGTCTCATATTTTATCTAACATCTAACAGGATCTACAAAAACTGACCCAACAGAAAGGCAGCAAAAAGTAATAAATCAGTGTTCCAGACGCAAGGCTGGTAGTCGTCTGCCTAAAATCAATGGCTAAATCTATAATAATGAATACAGTTTCCAAGGGAAACCTTATAGTGAAAAGAACAGAGGACCAATGGAGGAATTTAGGAAGTCAATTAAATGAAACTTGCATCAAAATGTATATAGACTCTTCTAGATAATTCAGAATGATAGTTATTACAGTGAGAGAAAAATGGAAGCAAGTTACACAGCTCTACTGCAGCTAGCAGCTGATACTTCAAATCTAAATGAAATCAAACAAAAAAGCATATATCTGGGGACAAGCAGAGGGCTGGTTAAAAAAAAAAAAAAAAGGACAGAAGAAAACTGAGGTTAAGGCCAGGCGCAGTGGCTCACACCTGTAATCCCAGCACTTTGGGAGGCTGAGGTGGGCGGATCCCGACGTCAGGAGATCGAGACCATCCTGGCTAACACAGTGAAACCCCGTTTCTACTAAAAATACAAAAAATTAGCCGGGTGTGGTGGCGGGCACCTGTAGTCCCAGCTGCTCGGGAGGCTGAGGCAGGAGAATGGCGTGAACCTGGGAGGTGGAGCTTGCAGTGAGCCGAGATCGTGCCACCGCACTCCAGCCTGGGAGACAGAGTGAGACTCCACCTCACAAAAAACAAACAAACAAACAAACAAAAACTGAGGTTAAAAAAAGATTAAAACAAAAGTAAAAATTTATAACAATGTGATAGCCTAGAATTTTTTTTAAAAAAAACTATTTCAAGAATGAAGGACACAAAAATCAAATAAGATAAAGATATGGAGGCATCCAATGGATTTGAAATTATGGAGATTGTCAGTGACCACGGCAATAGCAGTTTCAGAAGAGCAGTGAGACGTGAACCAGCACTGAAGACTGAACTAGAGCTGAGTGAGTAGGGATGGGTGCAATGCAAATTTCCAAGAAGATCAGTTGTGCGTTAGGGCAGGACAGAGTTATGTGTCAACGAAAAACAACAACTATAACATTAAAAGTCAATAAATTACAGTAATAAAAACGATGTGATACTGGCATAAAACAGACACATAGACCAATGAGTAGACAGTCCAGAAACAAATCCTCGTATACATGATCAAATGACTTTCAACACGGGTGCCAAGACCATTCAATGAGGAAGGACAGTGTTTCAACAAAAGTTAATAAGAAAATGGGATGTTCACATGCAAAAGAATGAAGTGGAACCCTTACTTTACACTCTATTTTAACTCAAAATGGATCAAAGACCTAAACATAAGACCTAAAACTATAAAACTTCTAGAAGAAAAGATAGGGGAAAAGCTTCATGGTATTGGATTTGGTGGTGATTTCTTGGATATGACACCAAAGGCACAGGTAACAAAAGGAGAAAATAGACAAACTGGATTTCCTAATGTGTCAGGCATCGGATTTCCTAATGTGTCAGGCATTCTGGACTTTCCAGTGATGCCACTGAGATAGCACCTGTCAAAAGAGCAGTGGTTCCATTTCTAGATTGTGGATCTTCAGATAAATTCTGCCATTTTCATTTCACTTCCTGAAAGTCAGGGTTGGCTTGTGAAAAGTTGTTAAACAACATGCTAAATGTGAAATGTCAACCCTCACTCTAAACTTTCCCCGTTCAGAACATCAGATACTTCATTGGGTTTTATAGTGGCTTTCTGATTTTTGGTAGTCCGTTGAAGACGGGAGTTTGAAAGTTGTTGTATACTGTTAACGACTGTCTGTCCATGTACTGCCTGAAATACCATGATTGTTTATGGAAAGTATCTTTAATAAAGCTGGATACAGTTTGGTTTCGGGGAAAAAAAAAACATGAAAAGACATTTCTCCAAAGAAGATCTACAAATGGCCAATAAGCACATGAAACTACTCATTAGGAAATCAACTTCACTAATTAGGGAATCAATAATCAGTAACACTAATCGTCACAGATACGCAAATCAAAACCACAGTGACATCACCTCACACCCATTAGGATGGCTACTAGCAAAAACATAGGAAAATAACAAGTGTTGCCAAGGATGTGGAGAAATTGGAATCCTTTTGCACTGTCGATGGAATGAAACATGGTACAGCAACTGTGGAAAACAATATGACGGTTCCTCAAAAAATTAAAAATAGAAATACCTTCTGATCCCGCAATTTCATTTCTGGGTATATATTCTAAAGAATTGAAAGTAGTGTCTCAAAGACATATATGTGCACCCATGTTCACAGCACCATTATTCACAATAGCTAAAACATGGAAACAATACAACTGTCTATTAACAGATGAATGGATAAGCAAAATATGGTGTGTGTGTATGTGTATATTGTGTGTGTGTGTACACACACACGCACAATACAGTATCAGCCCCAAAAAGAAAATAATTTCTGATATATGCTACTACATGGGTAAACTTTGAGGACATTCTGATAAGTGAAATAAGCCAGTCATAAAAAGACAAATACTGTTTGATTCCACTTACATAGGTACTTAGAGTACCTAAAAAATCATTGAATTAGGAAATGAAATGGTGGTTGCCAGGGTGGTGGGAGGGGGAAGAGTGTTTCAGTTTTGTAAGATGAAAAGTGTTCTAGAGAAAGGTGGTGGTGATGGATCCCCAACAATGTGAAAGTCACTGAACTTTATACTTAAAAATGGTTATGACAGTAAAATTTATGTTATGTTTATTTTACCACAGTACAAAATAATTGAAAAAATGTGCAAATAGATTATGATTTTATAACCTTGGGCCTTACATAGGAATGAAAAACAAACCCTAAATGTCTTCAATAAAAACATAAAACCCACATGACAACCATAACAAATAAGGTATCTTTTAAAACCTTGAGGCTACAAAGGTGGCACATCTTTGGTAACGAGTTTCCCATCCCTGGTCTGGGTATTAAAACATTTAAAAAGATGGCTTCCTTCCTCCTTGAAAATAATGACTGGCCGGTGCATCTTTAATGTGTTACCATACTGGTAGAAAGAAGTGCTAATGTCATGGTCACTTCCACTAATAGGCCTTGGAAAGGGCTGGCCCTACAGACTGTCCCTTTCTTTTATCCAGAAATGACTAGTTCATCAAAAAGAGATTCTTACCACCACCTCTGATGTTTGGCCATGATGTTGAAAGACATCTTTCTAGGGTAATTCTTCAAAACCCACATGGCTCTAGAGTGGCCAGCAACTAAGGTGGTTGGGAACTACATGTTCATTCTTCAATAATCTTGTGGGTTTTTTTGACATAGATAACACCTCTTCCAAGATAATATATTTCAATTTCAATTTTTGTTTTATTCTTTATATATGTCCTACAGTCCGTTCTCATAATTATTCTTAATTGGAAAAAGCATTTAGAGACAGAATTTACTCTGTACATGCCACAGAGAAGGTTCTTCCCATTTCTCTTTGAAAATTCAACCGGATGCATAATTATGTAATTATCAGCCTTGTATTGTTTTCAAAATTATCTGTAGCTTACCTACGCTTTTCCCTGCTGCTGCATTATTTCCATTCATTCCAACACCATGGGTAGACTACAATTAAAACACAAAACATCTATAGAGGTGAGTCAATGAAGAATAGAAATGATCAACAAACATGAAATACTTGTATTTTATCACTAAGATGCTGTTGGACTTTCATTTTAAATTATTTATTCCAATTTTTGTTTAATTAAATTAACTCAGAACCTGATTCCACATCTAGCAATATCGTGCTTATTATTTATCTTTAAGAGGGTAGAATTTGCCGGGTGCTGTGACTCATGCCTGTAATCCCAGCACTTTAGGAAGCTGAGGTGAGAGGATTGCTTGAGCCTGGGACGTCGTGGCTGCAGCGAGCTGTGATTGCACCACTGTGTTCCAGGAGTTTGAGAGCAGCCTGGGCAACATGGTGAAACCCCATCTCTACAAAGAATATAAAAGTTAGCCAGGCATGGTGGCATGTGCCTGTAGTCCCAGGGACTCAAGAGACTGAGGCGGGAGGATTGCTTGAGCCCTGGAGGTCAAGGCTGCAGTGAACCATGATTATGCCACTGTGCTCCAGCCTGGGTGACAGAGTGAGACCCTGTCTCAAAAAAAAAAAAAAGGCCGGGCGCAATGGCTCACACCTGTAATCCCAGCACTTTGGGAGGCCCAGGCGGGTGGATCACGAGGTCAGGAGATCGAGACCATCCTGGCTAACACGGTGAAACCCCATCTCTACTAAAAATACAAAAAAAATTAGCCAGGCGTGGTGGTAGGTGCCTGTAGTCCCAGCTACTTGGGAGCCTGAGGCAGGAGAATGGCGTGAACCCGGGAGGCAGAGCTTGCAGTGAGCCGAGATAGCGCCATTGCACTCCAGCCTGGGTGAAAGAGCGAGACTCCGTCTCAAAAAAAAAAAAAAAAAAAAAGGGAGAGAGAGAGTGAAATTTGATGACTCAAATAAAAAGTTCTTACTTGGGATGGAAAAAAACATTAAAAACATTTAGCATTTAAAAATACATATTTTTAATACGTATTTGAAAATATGGGTGTATTGGCATGTTCCTATATTCCCAGCTACTCAGGAGGCTAAGGCAGGAGGATTGCTTGAGCCCAGGAGTTTGAGGAGTACAACATATACATACATATCTGATAAACTGTTTACATTAACTTATGTTCAAATTACTGTTCTCATTTCAGGACTAAAACAGCATTCAAAATTCGACTATCAAGATTTTATACAAACTAAATAAACATTTTCAGATAAATTTATGAAAATAATCTAATCTTAGCCTTCCTTATTTATGTAAACAAAAACCAAACTTTAAATAAGTTGAATCACTACAAGGATAACTACTAGAGCATGTTGAAAGGAAAATACTGACCAAAAAAACTCCTGTATGTTCTAACTGGGGAGAACTTTTCCTAAAGTTTTCTTCCTGAAAATGCTGGAGGTTTGTAGACAGCCCAGTTCCAGAGTTCTGAAGCCTGCCTGCCCCACGTGTGCTCTGTAATCTATTTCTGCTTGTGCTCCCGGCCAGTGAGGCAAGAAAACTGATATTATTTACACAACCAACAGGCTCTTTGGAAGCCTTGTTAGTCATTTCTGTGATATCCCGAGCCTCAACTTTGGAAATAACATCAGATCTTTTCCCAAGTGAATCAACTTTAACACCTTGAAAGCAAGTAGTCCTAGAGAAAGAAGAATCAGTTATGTTTTGAACATCCAGTGACTGAGAAGAAGAAGGCTGTAGCTTCCCAAACTCAAAACATTTGGACTGTCTCTCTGGTTTCACCAGAGAATTATGTAGCGACATTGGTGCAGAACAGCGAAGAGGTGACAAGAGTCTATTCTTGTGAGGACTTAATTCCCGGTAGTTAAGAACTGAAGTCTCTACTGATTCCCCATTCAGCACTCCTGCAACATGCTTGAGATGCTGCTCTGGAGCTTTCAACCCTTTGTCAGCATTAGTGAGTAGCAACTCCAGATTCACTTTGCACGCACCTTCTAAGCCGCTGCTCTGTTCATCAGCATTTCCTTCTGCAAATGAAGCCAGTGAGCCCACTTTAGGTAGAAGTGATTGTTCGGTTACACATTCTTCTGAAGGTAAGACAATGTTCCCATTACTAGATGGCAAGTTTCCTAAAAAATGTTTTGTTTGCCTAGGCAGGGATGATCCAAGATGGAGAACAGAGTCAGCAAGCTCCTGGTCATTTCCCAACTCCAAATGGGGTATCTGAGGAGGTAGTTTGACGTTGCTACTGAAGTGAGACAGTGTGTTATTCTCCCAGCTATTATCTTCCTTAAGAAATTCACCAGTGATAGAAGATATGTATCTCTCAGCAGAGAGTTGAGTTGCCAAACTTGAAATTCCATTCCTGGAGATTTCGGGCGGATATGCATTCCCAAAAGCAGGTGAACAAGATTGACCAATGTTGGGGAGGACCCTTAACAATCGGTGGCGAGATGGTGCAGTGGAACCACTAGAAGGTCGAGGAGCTACAGGTGGGTGAGGTTTTATCTTGACAGCTTTCTTAGGCTAAAAGGAATGAATATACAGTTTCTTTACACAGTCGTTTTCTCTGCCCATTAACAAAAATTAGCGAAGGAAGAAAATGTTACTTACCATAACATACTAGCATTTTTACTATCTCAATTTAAAATGTTTAAGAAGAATAAAATCTTAAGATTATGACAGAGAAGATGCTATTTTCCTTCACTGAGTATACTTTTCTGGGAATATTAAAGAAAAATAATTTTGTTTTATTTCCTTACTGCTGTTTCTCAGAGTTTTACTACAAAGAAAATGAACTGATTATATTAGATATGACATTGCTGACCTATTTTAGATCTCCAACAATTTTTCCTACTATGTTGAATAAATGTTTCATTGGACTGGTACACAGAAAAAAAGTTATCAATCCTAAAAAAAAAAAAAAAGTTAAAAGGGCTAAACTGCTATCCTTGAAAAGACTTGCTGGCAACACTGGCCTTTGGCTGGCTTTTGGGAACATCTATTTCAGGAGGTTCAGGAGGGTTCCCATGAACCTAACTGATAAGAGTCGTTCATTGTGCCAAACTATTTACGCAATAATACAGTTCATGATGAACACTTGCTTTCCTTTTGGGAGTCTGAACCGCAAATGCTAGGCAGAGGGTGCCTACAATGAAGAGGCCCAGTAAAATCCCTGGGCACAGAGTCTCTAATGAGCCTCCCCGGTAAACAACATTTCACATATATTGTTACAACTCACTGATAGAGGACTAAGCACATCTCATGAGACTCCACTGAAAGAGGACTCTAGGAAGCTTGCACTTGGTTTCCTCCAGACGTGGCTCTATGCACCTTTTACCTTTGCTGATTTTGCCTTGTATCTTTTTGCTGTAATAAGTACAACTATATACAGCAACATACTACAGCCCTGTGAATCTTCCTAGCAAACCATCACACCTGGGGTGGTCTTGGTGCCCTCTGGCATGGTAGATTTTTTAAAAAGTACCACAAAAATTCAAGATCTTATGAATAAAGTTGAGAACTAAACACAAGAAATCTAGCTCTTAAAAATAAGCAAAAATGGTAGCAAGCAGGCATGAGGATGGGATGGAATACCTTATGACATACCAATGCTCCCACTTACAGAAGATATAAAATATATGAAAATATAAGAAAAGCTGGATAATTCAGTGGATACCAACTGAGGCAAGAAAAATTAGAGGAGCTAAGAAGGAAGAAACCTTGGAAAGATGAGCTGGCTCCTATAGATGTTTTTATCCTAGAGACAGAGTTGTCGCCTAGGCAGGAGTGCAATGGCACAATCTCAGGCCTCCACCTCCCGGGTTCAAGCAATTCTCCTGCCTCAGCCTCCTGAGTAGCTGGGATTATGGGCACCCGCCACCATGTCCAGGTAATTTTTGTATTTTTAGTAGAGATGGGGTTTCTCTATGTTGGCCAGGCTGGTCTCGAACCCCTGACCTCAGGTGATTCACCCATCTCAGCCTCCCAAAGTGCTGGGATTACAGGTGTGAGCCACCACGCCTGGCCCAATCTGTAATTCTTTATCCAGCAAAAAATTCTTCAAAAATTAAGGATATGACTTCTGGGCTGTTGAAATTAATGACAGCTGCCTAAAACTGAATTTCTCCATGCTCCAGAAAAACTACACAGATCAACAACATACACAAATAAAATCACTCATAACCCATGCATCAGAAAAACTGGGAGACATATGATATGAACTTCAAAATATTCCCCAATCCAAGAAACTCATCTGCAAAGCCTATGCCTGTGGTGACAGACAGGCAAAAGTATGGAGAAGTATGGAGCTTCACCAAAAAAAAAAAAAAAAAAAAAGGGAAAAAAAATAAAGAAAGAAAAGGAGAGGTTTGCTGATGGAACAAAGAAAAATCCACAAAAGACAAAATCCCACTTGATTATGAAGATACTAAAAATAGATCTAAGATATGGGATATCAAACACAGGCTACCGAGAAATTAAAAGGAAGTGACTTTATTTTTATGTGTATTTTTTGAGACAGGGTCTGGCTCTGTTACCCAGGCTAGAGTGCAGTGGTACAATAATGGCTTACTGCAGCCTCACCCTC
This sequence comes from Homo sapiens, assembly GCF_000001405.40. Taxonomy (NCBI): domain Eukaryota; kingdom Metazoa; phylum Chordata; class Mammalia; order Primates; family Hominidae; genus Homo; species Homo sapiens. The sequence goes on from NC_000010.11 coordinate 45,629,168, forward strand.
CCAGGGTCAATCGATCCTCCGAGCAGCTGGGACTACAGACACACATCACCATGCCCAGCTAATTTTTATATTTTTTGTAGAGATGGGGTCTCCCTATGTTGACAGGCTGGTCTCAAACTCCTGGATTCAAGTGATCCTCCCACCTCTGCCTCCCAAAGTTCTGGGATTATAGGCATGAGCCACCACACCGGGCATTAAAGTTGTTCAGGATAAAGGAGGTAGCTTCAAGAAGACATCACTTTTTGAAGGGAGAAGGGGTAAATTGAAAGGAAAAGGCAACCATTGAGACTTTGATAGTAAAAGTAAAGAAAGAAGCAGGAAAGGGAAAATAAGGATCCTTCAAAAACAGTAGTGAATCACAAATCAGAAAACATACTGACACTGCCCTCCAATAAGAGTGTCATTGATTTGAGCCAGGCATGGTGGCTCACAACTATAATCCCAGCACTTTGGGAGGCCAAGGTGGGAAGATTGCTTGAGTTCAGGAGTTCAAGACCAGCCTAGAAAACATGAGAAAAACCCATCTCTATCAATAATACAAAAAAATTAGCTGGGCATGGTGGCAGGAGCCCGTAGTCCCAGCTACTTGGGAGGCTGAGGTGGGAGGATCGCTTGAGCTCAGGAGGCAGAGGTTGCAGTGAGTCAAGATCATGCCACTACACCCCAGCCTGGATGATAGAGCAAGACCCCATGTCAAAAAATAAAAATAAATTAATTTTTAAAATAACAAATAAAAAAGTGTGTCACTGATTTAAAAAACCTGCATCTCACTACACCAAAGGAAGAGGATGCTCTTGAAATAAGAAACTTACTTCCCTACACAAAATCCTCACTTCTGTGTATTAATATATAACTGTTAATACTCATCTAAGTAAATAAAATTATAGAAAATACAATTAGAAAATAAATAGAAAAAGGCAGACCAAATCCATGTAAAGCTGCTATAAAAATAAAACAGAAAATGAGAATCAGAACATTTTAGCTAATGAAAATCCTCCCTAAAACAATGAAACAAAAGAAAACTCCATCACAATACCCCAACCTAAATTAAGTATCTTTTAGTATTTGCAGATATTTTTTAAAATCTCATCAAATCATAAATGCAAAAACTCAAGGCAGAATAGATAAAAGTAATAGGAGGATACGAAATGAGAGCTGAGCAAACCCAGAAATACTCTGCAGAAAACAAAATCATCTCAGAAATGAAGACTAAATTACAAGGTGCCCACAGGAGACTAAAATTCTACTTAATATTTAATAAAGAATACTGAGAAAAGGTATAGGCCGGGTGCGGTGGCTCACACCTGTAATCCCAGCACTTTGGGAGGCCGAGGCGGATCACGAGGTCAGGAGATCGAGACCATCCTGGCTAAGAGGGTGAAATCCTGTCTCTACTAAAAATATAAAAAAATTAGCCGGGCGTGGTGGCAGGCACCTGTAGTCCCAGCTCAGGAGGCTGAGGCAGGAGAATTGGCATGAACCCGGAAGACAAAGCTTGCAGCGAGCCAAGATCGCACCACTGCACTCCAGCCTGGGCGACACAGCAAGACTCCATCTCAAAAACAAAAATACTGAGGAAAGGTATGAAAACAGCCAAAAGAATAAAAATAAAATAAAGAATCTAAAAGGATAAGAGAGAAGGTGGTTGTATATTAGACAAAGAAGTTCTAACAGGGCAGAGGGGGTATCTCATGCCGCTGAGGCAGGAAGGTCACTTGAGCCCAGGAGTTCGAGGCTGCAGTGAGCTCAGGCTATGGCACTCCAGCCTGGGTGACACTGCAAGACCCTGTCTTTAAAAAAAAAAAAAAAGAAAGAAAGAAAGAAAAGACCACGACGATGTTCTAACTTATGTATAAAATAAGCTCCAAAGGCCGGGCGCGGTGGCTCACGTCTGTAATCCTAGCACTTTGGAAGGCCGAGGCGGGCGGATCACCAGGTCAGGAGATCGAGACCATCCTGGCTAACACGGTGAAACCCTGTCTCTACTAAAAATACAAAAAATTAGCTGGGTGTGGTGACGGGCGCCTGTAGTCCAGCTACTCCGGAGGCAGAGGCGGGAGAATGGCGTGAACCTGGGAGGCGGAGCTTGCAGTGCGCCGAGATCATGCCACTGCACTCCAGCCTGGGCAACACAGCAAGACTCCGCCCCCCAAAAAAAAAAAATTCCAAAAAAGAAAACAAACAAAAAAACAAATAAAGTACTAAAAAAAAAAAACATATAAATTCTAAGAAATAATCCTGAAATAAAAGACTTGAATCTTTATGTTAAAAAGACTCAAGTGTATAGTGAAAATTGACCCTGAAGAGTTAATTCCAAGATACATCCTAATAAAACCACTACATTTAAAAGAAAAAAAAATCCTCATTTTCTCCAGACAAAAAAACCAAATCATTTACAGAGAAAAGAAAGATTGGTAATTAGATTTCTCAATGGCAATATAAAAAGCAAAGCATAGCAGAGCAACATTTTAGACAAACTCAAGGGAAAAGATGTGAACCAAACATTTTATATCCAGGCAAGCCATCATGTAAGGATTAAGGCTAATGTTTCTAGCATTAAAAAAAGATGAATATTTAAGGTTATGGATATCCCAATTACACTGATCTGATGTTTACAAATTATATTCATGTATTAAATTATCACATGTACCCTGAAAATATATCTATTACGTATCAATGAAAATAGGAAAATACAAAAATAGAAGAAAAACCTACAATTAATATCATACATAATGGTAAAAACAAATAAAAATGTTAAGTCTAAAGAAAAGGGTTTGAACATCGAAAAATTCAAGAATTACTGTACCTACAAGCCTTTCTTGAGGACTTCAGATGAGCTTCTTCTAACCAAAATGTATGGGGAAACCTACAGCAAAAAGACTGATCATAAGAATGGAATACAATTGGCCGGGCATGGTGGCTCATGCCTGTAATCCCAGCACTTTGGGAGGCCAAGGTGGGTGGATCACAAGGTCAGGAGTTCGAGACCAGCCTGGCCAACATGGTGAAACCCCGTCTCTAGTAAAGATACAAAAAAAAAATTAGCCGGGTGTGGTGGCACACGCCTGTAATCCTAGCTACTCAGAAGACTGAGGCAGGAGAATTGCTTGAACCCAGGAGGCACAGGTTGCAGTGAGCCAAGATCGTGCCATTGCACTCCAGCCTGGGTGACAGGGCAAGACTCCATCTCAAAATAAATAAGTGAATAAATAAAAAGGATGGAATAAAATTAAAACTAAAATAAGAGTGAGTAGAAAGAAAAATGATTTGTAAAGGCTATGTTTTCTTTAAAAAAGTAGAAAAAAATTTTTAATGAGAGGATGAAGAGAGAAGAGAAAAAAATAAGTTCACTGATTTTCACTTAGTAATTAGGAGTCAAAGGATATTTAAAGCTGGCAAATAAAAGAGGAGAAGGTTAAATAAGGAAAAGGCAGATCAAGAACATGATAAATAGTATTAATGTAAAGTGAATCAATAAAACAAAATGCAAAAGCCTTCTGAAATACCAAAAAATACACCCTTACACATTCATATATACAGATACACACAAAAGAAAGCATAGAGAAGGAAACTGTAAGTATAACAAAATAAGACATTTAAGACCAAATATGAAGTCATATCAATAAATATAAACGTGATTAAGTTACCTGTTTTAAAATTTCAAGCTGGCTCACAAAGCAAAAACCAACTCTATAGTGTATATAAAGGAAATATGTAAAACAAAGTAACTTAAAAGTTAATAAATAGAGACATGGGAAAAGGTATACCAAGCAAATGAAACCAAGAAGATACCAGTAGGTATGGGCCTGATATCAGGCAAGGAAAATTCAAGGGGAAAGTCAGTGAATGTGATAGAGATGAAACATTTCACTACTTTTGTAACTAGCAACACAGTGAAAATATGTTATTAATATTTATGTACCAAATTACACAACTACCACTTTCTTACAGCAAAAAGTATGAGAAATGAAAAGAGAAATACACAGAAACCTATGAATAATAGACCTTCATCTATTACCATTCTCATTCTAAGACAGATCAAGTTGACAAAAAAAAAAAAAAACTTTAATAAGGTCTATCTTATAAATATCTAGCAAACTTTTACCTTTTTGATAGAGAATAAACTGTCTTCTGAGGTATATATTCATGAAAAGTGCTATTAGATCCCAAAGAATAAAATGCTATAAAGTAGAAATACAAACAATATTCTCTGAGTTCCATGCAATAAAACTAGAAATTAAAAACAATGAAAAATCAAGCCCGGCATGGTGCTGCACACATAGTCCCAGCTACGTGGGAGGCTGAAATGAGAAGATCCCTTGGTCCCAGGAGTTCAGTAACATAGTGAGACTCCCACCTCTAAAAACAAGAAAAGAAAAGAAAAAGAAAAACCAAAAAGCCTCTGCCACCAGAACATTTTCAAAATATATTAAAATACTCTTGGACTAATGAGGAAATACCAACTAAAATTGCAAATTTTCTTTAAAAAAAAAAACGAAAAAGAAACTACTACAAATTAACATTATGTGCCTTCTGATGTGTTGCACTGAGAAGAATAAATCATCTGTGTAGTATTCCTACCAAAAATGTTCAAATTCCATCTAATCATAATGAAACAGCCAAATCTCCAAATTGAAGAATATTTTACAAAACAACTGATCTATATTCTTCAAAAATATTTTACATGCATGTCCAAATAAGGCTTAGAAACAGTTTTGTATAAAAGGAGACTATGAAAACATTACAACGAAATGCAATGCATCATTCTTGATTGGATCCCAGATTAAAAACAATATAAAATGCTATTAAGCACATTATTAAGACCTGGGAAATATGAATATAGATGACATAATGTGTATCAATCATAAATGAGTATGGTAACTGTATCATAATCATGTAAAAGGTGGCCCTTATTCTTAGGAGATACATAATAAATAAAGTACTTAGGGGAAGTGTCATGATATCTAACTTGCACATAGATCAGCTAAAGAAAAATCCAAACAGAAAGCAAATGTGGGAAAATATTAATTGATGAATCTAGTCTTATAACATTTCTAAATAATTAAACATTTCTCAGCCAGGCGCGGTGGCTCATGCCTGTAATCCCAGCACCTTGGGAGGCCGAGGCAGGCAGATCACGGGGTCAAGAGATCAAGACCATTCTGGCCAACATGGTGAAACCCCATCTCTATTAAAAATACAAAAATTAGTTGGGCATGGTGGCTCATGCCTGTAGTCCTAGCTACTGCTACTCGGGAAGCTGAGGGAGGAGAATCGCTTGAACCCAGGAGGTGGAGGTTGCAGTGAGCCGAGACCACACCACTGCACTCCAGCCTGGGCAACAGCAAGACTCCATCTCAAAAAAAAAAAAAAAGAATTAAACATTTCTCAAAATTAAAAAGGTAAAATAAGTTTTCAGACAAATGCTGAGAGAATTATCATCAGGAACCCTAAATGAAAAGAAGTACTAGTACTAGAAGTCCTAGCTGGAGAAATCAGACAAGAGAAAGAAATAAAGGGCATACAAATTTGAAAGAAGGAAGTCAAATTATCCTTGATTGCAGATAATATGATCTTGTATTTGGAAAAACAGAAAGACTGCACCAAAAAACGATTAGAACTGATAAACACATTCAGTAAAGTTGCGGGATACAAAATCAACATACAAAACCCAGTAGCATTTCTATATACCAACAATAATCTAAAAAAATCAAGAAAGTAATCTCATTTACAATAGCTACAAATAAAGTAAAATAAAATACCTAGGAATAAACTTATCTAAAAAAGTGAAAGATCTCTATAATGAAAGCTATAAAACATTGGACGACACAAAAATATGAAAAAATATTCCATGTTCATGAGTTGGAAGAATTAATATTGTTAAAATGTCCATACTGCCCAACGCAATCTACAAATTCAACATAATCTCTATCAAAATACCAATGACATTTTTCACAGAAACAGAAAAAATAATCCTAAAATTTACATGGAACCACAAAAGACACAGAATAGTCAAAGCCATCTAAGCAAAAAAAAAAAAAAAAAACAAAAAAAAAACAAACAAAAAAAAACTGGAAGAATCACAATTATGTGACTTTAAATTATACTACAGAGCTACAGTAACCAAAACAGCACAGTACTGACATGAACATAGATGCACAACCAATGGAAAAGAACAGAGAACCCAGAAACAAGTCCACAGACCCACAGTGAACTTATTTTTGATAAAGATGCCAAGAACATACACTGGGGAAAGGATAGTCTCTTCAATAAATAATGTTGGGAAAACTGGATCCACATGCAGAAGAATGAAATTAGACCCCTTATCTTTTACCATATACAAAAATCAAATCTAAATGAACTAAAGACTTAACTCTAAGATCTGAAACTATGAAACTACTAAAAGAAAACATTGAAAGTAGGGTCTCAAAGACATATTTGTATACTTATGTTCATAGCACCATTATTCACAATAGCCAAAAGATGGGGGCAATCCAAGTATACATTGAGGAATGAATGGATTAAAAAAGTGTGGTATATAGCCATACAATGAAATATTATCCAGCCTTAAAAAGGAAGGAAATTCTGACACGTTATGACAATTTTACAAGACAAAAAACTTCTGGAGATTGGTTGCACAACACTGTGTTATACACTTAACATTACTGAACTGTTTGTACACTTAAGATGGTTAAGATAATTTTATGACATATGTATTTTACCACAAAAATAAAATTTAAAAAATTTTAATGGTAGAATCTAGATATTAGATAAATAAGTGTTCATGGTAAAATTCTTTCAACCTTACTGTATATTGGAAAAGAAAAATATAGATCAAAATTTCTCTCATGAATGAAATCGTAATGCAAAAATCCTAAAGAAAATATTAATAATTTAAATCTAAAGAAATGAAAAATACATCACAACCAAGAATGGTTCATTCTAACAATGCAAGACTATTTTATATTTTTAAAAAATCAGTTCATCACAATATCAGAATATTTTTATTCAGTGAAAAAATACTTACTTCTCTTTGGACTTCTTGACTATCAGTTACTTAGAAGTGTGTTATTTTCAAATATCAGAAAGCTTTCCACATATCTATTATTAATTTCTAATTTTATTCCATTGTAATCAGAGAGCATTTTTGTATTATTTGGAATCTTTTATAATTTATTTGAAACTGGTCTAGGCGCAGTGACTCATACCTGTAATCCCAGCACTTTGGGAGGCCAAGACAGGTGGATTGCTTGAGGTCAGGAGTTCAAGACCAACCTGACCAACATGGTGAAACCCCGTCTCTACTAAAAATACAAAAAATTAGCCAGGCATGGTGGCATGAGCCTGTCGTCCCAGCTACTCAGGAGGCTGAGGTAAGACAATCGCTTAAACCTGGGAGGTGGAGATTGTAGTGAGCCAAGATTGTGCCACTGAACTTCAGTTTGAGGGACAGAGCAAGATTCTGTCTCAAAAAAAAAAAAAGAAAATTGAACCTGTTTTATGGCACACAATATGGTTTACCCTGGTAAATGTTCTACATGCACTTAAAAAGAAATGTGTACTCTGCTGTTTTGGGTAGAGCATACTGTAAATGTCAGTTGGGTCAAGTAGGTTGATTAGTGTTGTTCAAGTCTCCTAAATCCTTCACTGATTTTCTATCTGTTCCATCGATTTTTGAGAGTGGGATGTAGAAATCTTTCAACAAAAGTATTTGTTTATTTCTTTGTAGTTTTTGCTTCATGTATTTTGAAGTTCTATTATTAAGTGCATAAACATTTAGGACTGTGAAGAAAGGATGTTTTTTCTTAATAGAGCTAAGTCAATTGTTCCCCATCAGAAAAAAAAAAAAAAAAGATCTTTACCCCACTTTACGTTATATCAGAAAAATTTCAGCTGGGCGCGGTGGCTCGCTCCTGTAATCCCAACACTTTGGGAGGCCAAGGTGGGAGGACTACCTGAGGTCAGGAGTTTGAGACCAGCCTGGCCAACATGGCAAAACCCCATCTCTACTAAAAATACAAAAAATAGCCGGGCATGGTGGCACATGCCTGTAGTCCCAGCTACTCAGGAGGCTGAGGCACGAGAATCACTTGAACCAAGGAGGTGGAGGTTGCAGTGGGCCAATATTGTGCCACTGCAGTCCACCCTGGAGACACAGCAAGACTCCGTCTCAAAAAAAAAAAAAAAAAAAATTTCAGCTGGACTAAACCTAAGTGAGAGAAAAACAATCATAAAGCTTTAAAGACCTGTGGTAGGAAAATATTTCATCAAAAGGTTATCAAAAATGATAATCATAAAAGTAAGCTGGGTGCAGTGACTCATGCCTGTAATCCCAGCACTTTGGGAGGCCGAGGCAGGCAGATGACAAGGTCAGAAGTTCAAGACCAGCCTGACCAACAAGGTGAAACCCCGTCTCTACTAAAAATACAAAAATTAGCCGGGCGTGGAGATGCGCACCCGTAATCCCAGCTATTTGGGAGGCTGGGGCAGAAGAATTGCTTGAACCCAGGAGGTGGAGGTTGCAGTGAGCAGAGATCACACCACTGCACTCCAGCCTGGGCAACAGGGCGAGACTCTGTCTCAAAAACAAAACAAAACAAAACAAAACAAAACAAAACTGATAAATTAGAATACAATTAAAAACATTCACCCAAAGAATAAGAAAGTAAAAGAACAAGCCACCATAGAGTGTTAGAAGTATCTGCAACCCATATATCTGACAAAGGACTTGTACCCATAGTATATAAAGATGCCTAGAAATCAGTAAGCAAAAGGCAGAGAACTCAATTTAAAAATAAGCAAAAGACTTGAACAGGCACTTCACATAAAAAACGTATCTTAATGGTCAATAATCATATGAAAAGTCAATATTATTCCTCATTAGAGAAATATAAAAGAAAACCATTTACACAGTCACCAGAATGGTTAAAATTAAAAGGACTGACAATATCAAGTGTTGACAAGAATGTGGCATAAACTAGAACTCTCACGTTGCTGGGAAGAATGTAAATTGGTTCAAATGCTTGGCAAAATTGGCCGGGCGCGGTGGCTCATGTCTGTAATCCCAGCACTTTGGGAGGTCGAGGCAGTCAGATCATGAGGTCAGGAGATCGAGACCAACTTGGCTAATACGGTGAAACCCCGTCTCTACTAAAAATACAAAAAAAAAAAAAAAAATTAGCCCGGCGTAGTGGCGGGCGCCTGTGGTCTCAGCTACTCAGGAGGCTGAGGCAGGACAATGGCGTGAACCCGGGAGGCAGAGCTTGCAGTGAGCCGAGATAGCGCCTGGGTGACAGAGCAAGACTCTGTCTCAAAAAAGAAAAAAAACAAAAAACAAAAAAACAAAAAAACCAAAAAATGCTTGGCAAAATTGTCTGGCATAATACTAAAGTTAAACGTGCATCTTCCCTCTGACTCCGAAAGTCCATTGCTAGGTATATGCTCCAAAGAAACAAGTGCTATGTCCACCAAAGAATGTATGAGAATATTCAAAGGAAGTTTATTGATAAAAGCCAAAAGCTAGAGACAACTCAAATGTCCATCAAAAGGAAAAGAAAGAAGCAAATTGAGGTAAATCAATCACACAGTACAATAGTACACAACAATAAAAAAGAATTAACTGATACATACAACCACATGGATAAATCAAACAAATACTTTTAACAAAAGAAACCAGACCATACTCTCTATGATTCCATTTATATAAATTTCAGGAATAGGAAAAACGTATTTACGGTAATAGATGTAAGAACAGTCGTTATTTCTGAGAGTAGGAACAGGTACGTATTAACTGGGAAATATTATGAGGAAACATTCTGGAGTGAAAGGTCCTATTTTAATTTGGGTTGTGTCTACATGAGTGTATATAAATGTAAAAATTCGTCAAGTAGTATATTAAAGATTTTTGAATTTTATTATACATGAAAAGGAAGGGAGCCATTAATAGAGTAAAAAGGAAAGCAATAAAGTGGTAATATGAAACAAAGGACTTTTATCTAGAATATATATAAAACTCCAAAAAAAATCTGTAACAAAAAACATACAACCCAATAGAAAAATGGAAAAATATAGGTGTTTTATTAAAAAGGGTATCCAAATGCCCAATAAACATATGAAAGGTGCTCAACCTTCCAGGTCTCATGAGAGAAATGCAATTAAAACCACAATGTGATGCCACCACAAACAAAGTAGGATTACAAAAATTACAAAGGACCATGCCAAATACTGGTAAGAATATGGGAAAATGGCAACTCTCATTCACTGTTGTAAAGAATGTAAATTGGTTCAATCACTTTGGAAAAAACTGGCACTATCTACTAAATAGTAGATATCTTTATCCATAATAAATAAATATTAACATATTTTAAAAAGTAATTATTGCCAGATTAAGATTAAGCTCTCTTTTTTTATCCTTCTTAGACCCAGAATGATCTTTAAAATGATGTTAAGTGCAGTATAATCCCTTCAGGTGTGCTTCTAATCCAAAAAATCCAATTTATCCCTTTTAGAAGTTTAATAAATAACTGAGGCCAGAAACCTGAAATGAATAATACTTTATAATTTTTTCACAATGACCAACAGACCTCATTGCTGAGTGCTCTGCAGGGGTAAGCTAGAGATAAGCCTGGTCAAATGCCAACAGCTTCACCTTTTTGCTGAGATTCATGTTCTTCATCTTAGCCTTCAGCAGCTTCATCTTATTCATAGTTATTGAATTTTCAATTATCTGTTGCCCAGAAGAAGAAGGCTCAGTTTCTTCATCCTCATCTGTATCTGAATTATACATAGAACCACCACTGCAAAGAAAACAATAACTACTTGAAATTTTTCTGATACCTGCTCAGTGACTAAAAATGCTCTATATGAAACAGCAATCTATAGAAGTTACTAATGATAAAACACTACATCCATTTTGTCAATGTTAATGTCAGGAAAATATATTTCAAAGAATGTACTTCTTAAAAGAAAAAATGAAATGGGAATAAATATTATGATCTAGGATTACTGAAAATCTAGTATAGCTGAGCTTCTCTGAATTCAGTATATCATAAATGAAGATGTTTTGACACCTGCCATATCATTCCCAAAGAGGCAAAATCCATTTCCATGAGAATGTCTGATTTCATTTTATCAGCCAAGGCTGATAATTGTGCAACCCAGACAACAGGCTGATGAGATTTCCATGAATCAGAATTTTTTTAAATTTGGCACGGGAGAGAAGTACAGATTTTTAGTCATCCTGAGGAGATTCTCACTAAAAAAAAAAAAAAAAAAAGAATTCATACACAGGTGTCATCAGAACATTTTCTATTCTTAAGGAGCAAAAAACATTTTTTTTTTCTTGAGACAGTCTCACTCTTGTCGCCAGGCTGGAGTGCAATGGCACAATCTCGGCTCACTGCAACCTCTGCCTCCCGGGTTCAAGCGATTCTCCTGCCTCAGCCTCCCAAGTAGCTGGGACTACAGGTGTGTGCCACCATGCCCAGATAATTTTTTGTATTTTTAGTAGAGACAGGGTTTCACTGTGTTAGCCAGGACAGTCTCAATCTCCTGACCTCGTGATCCGCCTACCTCGGCCTCCCAAAGTGCTGGGATTGTAGGTGTGAGCCACCGCGCCCAGCCAATACATTTTTTTAAGTAGAGATAACTTCAAATTTTTCTAAGTGTGTTTGAAAATGTAAAAACCTAGACTAGCATAGATTTTAACAAGAAAAAACACATCCAGTCAAGTCATGATACAAGCTATTAAACAGGTTAAACATTTCAATTACTGATCAACCACAGCGACGTTATTCATATTTCAATGTAATTAATATTTGGAGCCCTTCCTCTTTGATTGTATAATATAATGATGTATCACACGATCCTCATATTTATACTTACATGTTTGTTTTGCCCCTTATTCTCCCACATGTAAGCAAGTTGAAAGCAGACATTAGACTTTATCTTCTGAGTCTGCACCAGGCACAGCGCTTGGCACATAGCCAATAAATGTTTGATGAACTGAACACAAAGATTTTGAAATTTAATTTATTTTTTCTATAATGGGAAAATTAGAATGGCAAGGATTTGATAAAACACAAGCTTGGCACATTTGGAAAACAATTAAGACTTTAAATAAAGCAAAATAAGAATACATATTAGTTTCTATGCAGATTTACTTATAGGAAAACTAGGTTATCTACACTATGGAAGTATGAGGAAAATTTCCCGTTTTATATGGTTGTAAGAAATGGAAACAATTTAGGACAGCCTTAATGGGGTATATTCCTTAATGTTTCTGAAGCACATATTGTCACACAAGGCCAAAAAAGAGAGCAGACAGCCCCATTCCTAAATTTTATATGGTGCAACATGAAATGTTCTGAAACTGTGGGTTAATTACACGCACTATACGCATGGGTAGCATCTGAAGGAAGAATGTAGGACTGGTCTCCACAACCAATTCAGTCTGTGGTGCTTGACTTGTGACAGCCACAGTTACCTACTACAGCATGGCTACCACAGTATGATAACTGACACAAGTACAACACTGAAGTAATAATATTGCCTGCCATTTACTGAATGCCTGCTCTGCCAGGCACTTCCCACACATTATTCCTAATTCTCACAAAACTACATAAGGTAGATATTATAGCTGATTTTATTAATGAAGAAACTGCAGGTGAGAGAGGTTAAGTGATTTGGCTCAAGATCAGAAAGCTATAGACAGCAGACCTAAGATTCAAATCCCCTATGTGTCTGGTTCCTAAGCTGATTCTTCCTACTACTACTCATTGCTTCCCCAGGCACCAAATGACAGGACTTACTGCATCATGCTTGTGCACCCAGATGAGTGCCAGAACTTCTACTGTGTGAAGGCTTTTGTCTCAAGGCCAACTATACAATACCTGAAGAAGGGTGCATGAAGATTTTCGTCATGTCACCCTGTGGAGTTAGAAGGAATAACTCAAGTATACACTATTCTCAGTTACCTTGCAATATTTTAACCTTAAATACTTCTGAGTTACTCTGTGGCATTTTAAGTATCTTTACTGAATACTGAAAGAAGTTTCTGATTCAACATTACTGTCATGAAAAGACCTATTCTCTCATGGAATAGATACATATATACACACACATACATACACACATATATATATATATAAAAGAACAATCAGCTGGGCGTGATGGCTCACGCCTGTAATCCCAGCACTTTGGGAGGCCGAGGCGGGTGGATCACGAGGTCAGGAGATCGAGACCATCCTGGCTAACATGGTGAAACCCCATCTCTACTAAAAATACAAAAAATTCGCCGGGCGTGGTGGCGGGTGCCTGTAGTCCCAGCTACTCAGGAGGCTGAGGCAGGAGAATGGCGTGAACCCGGGAGGCAGAGCTTGCAAGTGAGCCGAGATCACACCAGTGCACTCCAGCCTGGGCGACAGAGTGAGACTCCATCTCAAAAAAAAAAAAAAAAAGAACAATCATGATAAATCACTGGACTCATTTTAGAGTATAAAAACACTTTTAAATTCACCTTTTTTTTTCAAAGAACCACATTATTTTGTTTTCTCTCATGAAGTATAGATTCATGAGATGAGTTAGAATCCAATCACAAATTTTTTTCAGATGAAAAAATGTAACTAGGTTAACATACTAATTTATAAATTTAATCCGAAATGACTTTCTTTATATTTAAATATAATATAACATTTCCTTGAATTTCTAAATTTTTTTTAGTGCTATATGTAATTTCTCCAAATCTTTTTTTTTTTTTTTTTTTTTTTTGAGACAGAGTTTCACTCTTGTTGCCCAGGCTGGAGTGCAATGGTGCAATCTCGGCTCACCGCAACCTCCACCTCCCGGGTTCAAGCGCCCTTTCTCCTGCCTCAGCCTCCCTAGTAGCTGGGATTACAGGCATGCACCATCACGCCCGGCTAATTTTGCATTTTTAGTAGAGATGCGGTTTCTCCATGTTGGTCAGACTGGTCTCAAACTCCTGACCTCAGGTGATCCGCCTGCCTCTGCCTCCCAAAGTGCTGGGATTACAGGCATGAGCCACCACGCCCGGCCTCAAATCTTTTGATTTAATGATATGATTAAAGGATACAAGATAGGCAAATGTAATATTATTCAAGCATGAAATCTGCACATCGCAAAGCCAAGACCTCATTTAACTTTCACAGTTTACCATTAAGTCTTACAATGTCTCCTTATCTATCTTTCTGCTTAAAAAATCCCAGGCCGGGCACAGTGGCTCATGCCTGTAATCCCAGCACTTTGGGAGGCCGAGGTGGGCGGATCACCAGGACGGGAGATCAAGACCATCCTGGCTAACACGGTGAAACCCCGTCTCTGCTAAAAATACAAAAAATTAGCTGGGCATGGTGGCGGGCGCCTGTAGTCCCAGCTACTTGGGAGGCTGAGGCAAGAGAATCGCTTGAATCTGGGAGGCAGAGGTTGCAGTGAGCCAAGATCGTGCCACTGCACTCCAGCCTGGGTGACAGAGCAAGACTCCATCTCAAAAAAAAAAAAAAAAAAAAAAATACCAGTAAGGTGGCATGATCCACTAAAAAGATTTGAGACTAAAAAAAGACTGATGCTGCATTTTGTATCAGAATGAAACAAATTAACACTCAATTCTCCCTCTTTCTTTTTAGAGTAGAAGCCAGCAAACCATGGTCATGGGTCAAATCTGCCCCACCACCTATTTCTATTTCTGTGTGGCCCATGAGCTAAGAATGGTTTATGAACTTTAATTAGTTGAAAAAACTCAAAATAATGGTATTTCATAACAAATGAAAATTAAATAAAATTCAAATTTGTGTCCATAAATAAAGTTTTATTGGAACAAAGCCATATTCACCCAATCATGTATTACAAATGGCTGCTTTTGCCTACAATGGCAGAGTTGAGTAGCTATGACAGACTTTATGTGGCTCTCTCGTTGCTCTACACTGTGATATGGAGAACTACAAATCACAGTAACATAGTCATAATTCAACAGTATTTTGACTGCCATGTATATTGCTATTCTGTGACTTTTTTTATTACTAGGGTATACCCAACCTTGTCAAACAAGAAAAGTAGACTTCAAATGTTGCCATTTTAAGGTACCGTAGAGTGGATTATTTGTTAGCAATTAGATAGCAAAGCATGATGCTTATAATGCAGTGACACTATAGCTATGCTAAAGGAAAACAGCATAAATAGACATTACCAGGTTAGGCATTCATCACAATATTCCCAACTTTCAGGAAAGCAACAGTCAGAAAAACTAGAAAATTTACAGTAGAATATCTCATCACAGCAGAATTTCTTTACACAAATAAAAAATGAAAATGAAGCTATAAAACCAAAGAAGTTTCTGAATGTTTATATCTGCTAGCCAAGCAAGGAAAGCTACTCATCAATAGTGAATTAATTCACTATTGATCACAGCAGTTGAGGAAGTATGTCCTGAGAAAATAAAGTTGTTTAAAGATTACTTTTCCAGCAGGGACAATTTCTCAAAAAGTTGATAGAATTGGAAGTAATGTCAACAGCTGATTTAAAAAGCTGATTGTTTTTTGATGAGCTGACATATATTACCCATATTGCTCTGTGTTATTGTTTATTGAGGGCGTCAATACCAAGTTTGAAGTGACTGAAGAGTTGGCCCCTATGAATAGTCTGCATGAAGCTACTACAGGTGAGAATATTTTCAAATAAATTGCTAAATACTAATTTAGTACAACTTTAAGTGAACTCTGCTATAACTGATGGGGTGATGTGTGAAACAGAAAAAAACTTATTGGACAAATTTATAGTTAGTGAACATGTAAGGTCTTTTTTTTTTTTTTTTTGTCTTTTTGAGAGGGGGTCTCACTCTGTCACCCAGGCTGGAGTGCAGTGGTGTGATCTCGGCTCACTGCAACCTCCACCTCTTGGGCTCAAGCAATCCTCCCACCACAGCCTCCGAAGTAGCTGGGACTACAGGTGTGCACCACCAGGCCCAGCTAATTTTTTTCCAGATGGAGTTTCACTGTGTTGCCCGGACTTGTCTCAAACTCCCGGACTCAAGAGATTCGCCCACCTTCCAAAAGTGCTGGGATTACAGGTGTGAGCCACCATGCCCTTTAAACATGTAAGGTCTTTAAAGTCTACAGTTATTCATTGTATTATTCATCAGCAGGTATTTCATGGTAAATATCTGAGTCTATCCTGTGTTATTAAACCAGCAGTGTTAATGGTAAACTTCAATTGTTTCATGGACTTATCCATCATCAGTTTGGTGGCTTACTGGTAATAAAGTTTTATTATGTTTTTTTTAGCTCAGGAACTCTGAATGAGAAGAACTGGCCTTAACTACTATTACAAACACTTTTTAAATTTTTAAATTGCCTTTGGAAATTAATTTTTACTGTGGACTTCATAATGTTTCATAATGAATTTAACCTAAAATTACAAAATAAAACAATATTTATATGTGAAACATATACTGCAATAATGTCATGTTAACAACAACTAGTGTTTGAATTACACGTAACAGCAAGCTGCAATCATTCCCATGCTTTCAAAAGTAGAAATTAAGTGATATCTCTATTCCCACAGAAATTTGCAGCAGATATATTTCCGAGCTCAAATTATAGGTCTAGCAGTGTTTTTATACCTCAGTGCAATTTCCAAATAATGTTCTATTTCAAAATTCATTTAAATGTGCAACTGAGGAGCTTCCAGGGCAAACACCAAGAGAAGATCTGATAGAATTTTATAAACGCCTTAAAAATGATCAATATGTTCAATAAAAGCATGTGCTCATGGACTGATATCAGCATCTGACAGTACCTATCTGTGTGAAAAAAAAATTTCTAAGATAAAATACATAAAATCTCATTACAGATCAGCTCTAACAAGTGAACTTTTGCAATTGACTTTGCAAATTTGATGGGCAACACTAACTTTCCACCTCAATTAGGTAAAACGTTATTCCCATGAAAAAGAATTCCATTCTTCTCTGGAATTCTGTGGTACAAACAGAAGAAAAGTACCCAATTGTTAGTCTTATATTTTGAACTTTGTTAGTGAAAGTTCTGTGGAAATTTGTTTTCTCTCGTTACATAAGTACCTATTTAATATCCTTGATGCTGTCTCTTGGCCTAAAAATCCTAAAATAGTTACTATCTGCACACCTTTACAGAAGAAGTTTGCTACCCCTGTTGTAGACTAGGAAAGCCTCTTCTAGAACAGGAAATATAAATGTTCTTCATGGTATGATCAGATTGTTTTCTACTCCTCTTTCTCATTCATCCATCCCTTTCCTTGTCCAATTATTGTAGATGAATACAAAGGAAGAAAAAATATATAAATTATCTTGTGATGAACAACAAGACAGTTCTAATTAAATTCCATGATGATATTTGGGCTGAGTCATAAACACAAATAGAAGTTGGCTGAGGAGAAGCTGGAGTAAGAGGAGAAAATGACGTTTCAAGCAAAGGAGAAAAGATGTCTAAAAACACAGCATAATGAGAAGACCTGGAAAACTGATGGTAACACGTTGTCAAAGGACTCATACGCTAAGCTGAGGAGCTTGGGTTTCCTTTAGGAAAAGGGAGCCAAAAGAGTGTGTACTAGAGAAGAAAACTAAACAGTGAGCCAGCACACGGCAAAACTGGTATGAAGACATTCTATTAATGGCCTAAGGCTGTAACCCTCACTGCTACCTCCTCCATTTCTTGCCCAGGGTTTATGCCAAGTTTGAAGTGCTAACCAGATGCTGACATGTTAAAGTCAACAGGTAACACCCATGTGTCACAGTCTGCTCTCTGAGGCCACAAAAAATTCAGTCTAATCTTTCTTTCATGTAACACTCTGTGGAGGGGCAGAAGCCTAGGGGAATCTCTCTGACTCTTGACCCTTGGTGTTCACATCACATATGGTTTCCTACCCTTGAGTGTGGGCATGATGGACATCTAGCTTCTAGCCAACTGAATATGGCAAAGGACGTTGCAGATGTAATTTAGGCCCCAAATCAGTTGGTTTTGGGTTCATCAAAAGGGAGCTGAGGGCAGCCTCTAGTCAATAGCCAGCAAAAAACTGGGCGCTCCATCATATAACTGAAAGGAAATGAATTATGCCAGCAATAAGAGTGACTCTGTAAGTAGATTCTCCTCCCCAGTCAAGCCTCTTGATAAGAGAATTGCTGACACCTTGACTCCAGATTGTGGGACTTGGAGCACAGCAATGCTGTGCCTGGACTCCTGATCCACAGAAACTGTTCTCCAAACTACAAGCTGTTTTTTTTTTTTTTTTTTAATGATTTTACCACTACCTTTTTATTTTGCAGGATGTGTAACACCTTCCCTTGCTTTGTCTGCTTGGCAAACTCCACTCCCCTTTTAGGGTCACTTCTTCTCAGAGGATGTGTCTAACTCTCTGCCTTTCATGCATAATAAAGGCCCTGTCATCTATTCTCCCAGAGATCTTGATATCTTTTTATAACATCACCAACATTATATCACTGATACTCTTCATAGCAGACTGCATGCTCCATGAAGGTAGGAATAATCATCTTTACAACATCAGTGCCTTGCTCAGTGAATGGCCATAAAAGTTCAGTGAGTGAATGCTTAATAACTTGAAGTGAAAGGAGATAAAAAAATCATAGTAACTCAGAATGCACAGCAACTAACTGAGAGGTTGCCTTGTCCAATTCTCTAATTCTTCTATTGCTTAGCTAAATATATGTAGGGTTTTTCCTCCTGATTTTAGAATATTACAATTTATCTCCCTTTTATAGAGTAGGAAAACAAGACCAGAGAAGTAAAGAGATTTATCTGCCTTTAAGGAGCAGAGTTAAATTTAGAAAAAAAGGTATCAACTTTAGGTTTAACCCTTTCTATTATGCTAAGGTTGTATAATAACACACTATTATGACAGGATTCTATAATCTATTAGGCATCTTAGAGTTTCACAGACTAACAGAAACAAATCTTTTTATGAAAACATCCCACTCTAAAAAAACCTCAGTTTTATCATATCAATTATACGAAGGACAATTTCAGACTTATATATTGGGGGCTGGGGCAGGAATGAGATGCATGACATTTGTTAATATATATAGATTATTTTGACAACACAAGGTAAACAAAAGTTTATGGAGTACCTCATACGATGTTCTCCTTTTCTCCGTAGGACATGCAAATGAAAATCTATTTTCTTTGAAGAGTCAGATAACGGTGTTAAAGTGCCATCTCCCCTATCTACTGCAGGAAAGAAATTCAATTGATCTCCTTCTTGGTATACCAAAAATGTAACTTGTTTGCTGCAGGAGGTCTTCTCCCAGACCTCAACTCGACTGGAATCCAAGTACTCTGCCATCTTCCTAAGTGGATCGTCTGTAGGAACTACAAATGGAAAATTGAAATAAGTCTTCAATTTGGATCAAGTTTTATGCATCTTGGTACAGTGACAGGATATAATATACTGAATTTGAACAACAGTCCTGTGCATATAATATAAACATGATATTCTTCAAATAAGTTTCTGATCTTTCTACAATTAATATAGCATTCCCTATGTTATATTAATAAGAAACAAACAAACAAAATGCATGATTATGTTGCTATATTCAAAGACAGGGCTAAACTAAAACATGAGAGTTTTTTGTCCTATGCCATTATAGTCTATATTTTTTCCCTATGTCACTAGAGTCTGTGTATTTGCTGATTCTATGATATTACTATCAATAATTTTTTTACTATATACTTTCTGCTCCCTATATTTTCAAATATTGGTTCCAACAATAATTAAAACCAAAATAAATTCCACTTACGTTAGATTAAAAGTACACAGACACGGCCGGGTGCGGTGGCTCATGCCTGTAATCCCAGCACTTTGGGAGGCCGAGGCGGGCAGATCATGAAGTCAAGAGATCAAGACCATCCTGGCCAACATGGTGAAACCCCGTCTCTACTAAAAAAAATACAAAAATTAGCTGGGCATGGTGGTGCGCACCTGTAGTCCCTCAAAAAAAAAAAAAAAAAGTACACACACACACACAATTAGGAGACATATCTAAGAAATTAGAAGTAAGCAGACCTATCTTTTTCTTTCTGGTTTTATATAAAGGCTGATTCTTAAGAGCTGTTCCTTGACATGAAGTTAGGTAATTAAAAGTACATAATAACTTAGAACGTGAGGGGGGTCACTTCATGTACTAAAACTGCAACAGTTCCAGGAAAAAATAAAAGTTCTCTCCCAAAGACATTCTCATCATACTGCAGAAACATCTGTTTTCTCCTAAAAGAGGTAAAGATTTCCCAAGCTGCATAACTTTCACTTATTTATTAACAGAATCGTGGTGCTCTACAACCCTTTAAAAAGAAGTTGCAGCAATAGGAAAATATTAAACTTGGAAAGCAGTAAGGTAAAAACATCAAAGATGCTTCCATAGCCTAAATTCAATAACACTATTACTAACATAAAAATCTTATAATATGGTTTAGCTTGCTTTATGAAAACAGTTATTTGGATGTTTTGATTTACTTTCACAGGCCCAAAATGTATAAATATTAAAAGACACTTTTCAAACAAGTTCTTGCCTTTTGTAAGTTAATGCTCCACTTTCCATATTACATCAAGAGATAAAAATTTGGATCAGAGAGCAGACCTTTAGGGGGGAAAAAACCCAACAAAACACAACAAAAAAGAAATAAAAATTATGCCCATTTTTTAGATATTGCTATAGCCATTACCACAGTCACATGAAAGCCTTTCCTAAACCAGCACAGGGTGCCTTACTCAGGCAAGTGTATGTGTGGATCTTCTCATAACAGAAAAATCTTTCAGATTTTATCAGCTATAAAACAATATATATGAAGTTTGATATGCATTGGGCACAATTTAGTTTTAGAAAAGAAACATTTTAATCTTTCTATGCTGCTTTGATAATAGTTATTTCAAAAACAATTTTTTTTTATTTGTATTCGTTTTTTGAGACAGAGTCTCACTCTGTCACCCAGACTGGACTGTAGTGGCGCAGTCTCCACTCACTGTAACCTCTGTCACCCAGACTGGACTGTAGTGGCGCAGTCTCCACTCACTGTAACGTCTGTCTCCCAGGTTCAAGCAATTCTCATGTCTCAGCCTCCTGAGTAGCCCGCCACCATGCCCAGCTAATTTTTGTATTTTTAGTAGAGATGGGGTTTCACCATGTTGGCCAAGCTGGTCTCAAACTCCTGACCTCAATACCACTGCCTGTAATCCCAGCTACTCGGGAGGCTGAGGCAGGAGAATCACTTGAACCCAGGTGGCAGAGGTTGAAGTGAGCAGAGATCATGCCACTGCACTCCAGCCTCGGTGACAGAGCAAGACTCCGTCTCAAAAAAAAAAAGAAAAGTAAAAAATATATATATTTACCTCAGAATCTGTATCACACTCCTCATAAACATATAAAATAATTTTAGTTCTAATAAGAAAAGTAGGTGTTTTGATTAAACACTTTGGTTTAAAGTAGTACTACGCACAAATAACCAACTTTCAAAAATGTAATACAATAGAGTTCACATGGCATTAAACACTATATAATTCTATCTTAACATAATGGTTCAGTAAACACAGGGTTCTTGTGCTACTTCAAGAGTTATTACTATAAACATCACATAGTTATTACTATAAACATTTATAGTTATTACTATAAATGTCACATAGGACAATTACCTAAATCCAATTAATTAAAAGTCTCTGGTATCAGGAGTGCTAAAAGGCCCTAACATTATTAACTTTGTTTTTCTCTAACCTATAAAAAGCAGTCCAACAGCCAAAGTAGCATATCTCATTAAATCCTCTTGAAATAGCTAAGAAAAAGATGGCAATAATCCTATTTTCTAACCAAAATTATTAAACATAGGGATATAATTTGACATGTGGAAGCAAGCCAGGAGTAGAATCAATACTTATCCTTCGGTTTTCTGGTTAGTGAAGGATCAAATAAATCTGAAGGACTTCCTCAAAATGAGGTCCACAGAAGAGGATGCTCTGACTAGTCTCCTCCACTTCATGGGAATTCATGTGACATACCTGACTCAGGGACCAATGTGAATACTGCCGTCTCTTCTTGTGCTTAATAAAACCCTCTCATCAATCAAGTCTCCACTAATGTCATCTTTTTCGAGGGCCCTTCCTACCCTATTTTCTGCATAGCACTTACAACCATTAGGAGTTACATCGACTCTTTACACATTTATTGTAGGCACTGTCATGAAGCAGAGACTTTCTCTCCCATGTCTACCATACTTGGAACATTGCACTGACCATTCAGTAGACGCTCAATACGTATTTGTTGAATGAATGACTGGATTTCAGAACTACTTATATTCTGAGAAAGGATGCAACCGGGGCCATGATAATATCCATGAAACCCAGACACATCACAAACCAGGTAAACAGGCAATGTTGGAATTTTGCAAAACGATCATCATCTTGGGATTTGAAGATCTGGTAGATTTAAAAATAAACAAGACTCGTATGAAACTAAACACAATGGTAAAGTAGTATTTATAGTATGTCATTCCATTTCTGTTCCCTATACTGGCAAAAGGTTTATTTTTAAACCTCTCTGAATTGGATCAGGAATCATGTGATTTTTCTGAATTGTATTTTAGAGTTCCAGCCTCTAGGCATTTAGGTTTTAAAGAACAATGCCTAGAGAATCAAATGTGATTTTTCTAAGACCTAATAGCAGAAAGGAAACCTAAATAAAACCTGAGGCTATAAAAATACTAACTGACATAAAGAATGTTACTGTCAAATTGCTTTAATATATATATATGCCTACCTCTTCTAGTATTTATAGGTCCGCCACGCATAGCCAAAACTAGCTTCAAGGTACACCCTTCTGAAATGCTGTGGATAGTTAACACAAAAATAAATCATAATCATCAAAATGCATTCAGTTAAATGTACACATAATTATGTGCTGGCTTATCAGGCAGAGTGGCCACTCTCTAAAATATAAAAAGATATAGCAATGTAAATACATATAAAATGTTAACATATTTACTGGTACAAATAATAAAAAAGGTGAAACAAATTCTCATAAGCCATAAAGAAATCCAAGAATAAACATACTGGAAAAGACCTCTGTGATTACGTGTTTTAGCCTGTTCATTTCACATTAAGGAAAAGGAGGCCCAGAGAACAAAAGTGGCATGCCGGAGACCCAAAGTGCAGAAAATAGCAAATCTATTTAATAAAACAGAAAATAGAAAAATAACAAGGTCTCCTGACTCTCAGTGCTCTTACAGCTATTCCACACTGCCTCTTATCCTTTTACTCTTTTCTTAACAAAAGAGTGATGAATTATGTGAAAGAGGGGAGAAATAAGAGAGACAAAGTGTCAGAAAGTACGTTGGTAGTCACTGGTGCACACAGCATTGCTTAGTAACAAAAGGAGGGCTTAATGAGAAAGGAAAGACTTTGGGAAGAACAATTCTCTCTTATCCAAAACTCTTGTAAAAACAGAAAGAAAGGAACATAGCCAGGAAGGAATGGTTCAATATTCAAAGAAAGGAGAAAAGTAGGCAAGAAGATAATAGGAGGATTTCAAAAGGCAGGAGATAAACAGCTTGACATGAAAAATGAAAAGGGAAAATAAATGTATCAGAGGATAAAGGTTAAAGTAGTATACAGTACCAAACTAATGCATCTAAAGTTCAGGATGTATAATGAAATCTAGGAATGTGAACTATTCAGGAGAAAAACAGACATGATCTAAGAGTTCAAAAGAAAAACATTAGCATATGGAGTCATAATACTAAGTGCCTACAAAACAGCCAATATGCAATTACACTCACTTGTAATCATTCAAGCAATAATCATTTTCAAGTTCCATGTTATTCCAAATTAAGTGTTGTCGACAGATGGGAATACCTTAAGGGAAAGTTATTAAAAAAAAGTGTTAAAGAATTCAATAGCATCTCCAAAAGAGTATGATACAAATCTATTTCATTAAGGAACTAAGAGCACTAAAAAATTAAACATTCTTCTAAATTGAATGCTAGGTGCTAAAATTTACAGAATCATAGGTAGAAGGCATGCCTAAAAGGAGATATAGTCCAATCCATTCACTGTAGAAAAGAACAGCATGTTGCAATAACTCTCTGGTCCTAAAACAAGGTATAAGATAGGGATCCCTTTAAAAGGCAAGATATCATGCTCCTGCACAGCAAAAGAAACTATCAACAGAGTAAAGAGATGATCTACAGAATGGGAGAACATATTCACAAACTATGCATCTGACAAAGATCTAATATCTACGATCTGTAAAGAACTTAATTCAACAAACAAAGAACAACCCCATTAAAAAATGGGCAAAGGACATGCATGAACAGACACTTCTCAAAAAAAGACATATATGTGGCCAACAAATATATTTAAAAAGCTCAACATTACTAATCATTAGACAAATGTAAATCAAAACCACAATGAGATACAAGCTCACACCTGTCAGAATGGCTATTAATAAAAAGTCAAAAAATAACTGATGTTGTCAAGGTTGAGGAGAACAGGGAACGCATACACTGCTGGTGGGAATGCAAATTAGTTCAGCCATTGTGGAAAGCAATGTGGAGATTTCTCAAAGAGTTTAAAACAGAACGACCATTGAACCCAACAATCCCACTACTGGGTATATACCCAGAGAAAAATAAATCACTCTATCAAAAAGACACATGCACTAGTATGTTCATCACAGTACTATTCACAATACAAAAGAGATGAAATCAATCAAGATGCCCCTGCAACAGTGGACTGGACAAATAAAATGTGGTGCATATACACCACAGAACACCATGCGGCCATAAAAAGAATAAAATCATGTCCTTTGCAGCAACATGAATGCAGCTGGAGGCCATCATCCTAAGAGAACAAATGCAGGAACAGAAAACCCAAATAACATGTGTTCTCACTTATAAGCAGGAGCTAAACACTGAGTATATATGGAGACAAAGATGGGAACAATAAACACTAGGGACTACATGGGGAGGGAAGGGGATGTGGGTTGAAAAACTACCTATCGAGTACTATGCTCACATCCTGGGTGACAGGATAATTCATACACCAAACTTCAGCAACACACAATTTACCCACGTAACAAACCTACCCATGTATCCACTGAACCTAAAAGTTGAAAAAACAAAAAAAGATATTGGGCTGGGCACAGTAGCTCATGCCTGTAATTCCAGCACTTTAGGAGGCCGAGGCAGGTGGATCACGAGGTCAAGAGATCGAGACCATCCTGGCCAACATGGTGAAACCCCGTCTCTACTAAAAATACAAAAATTAGCCAGGCATAGTGGCAGGCGCCTGTAGTAGCAGCTACTCTGTAGGCTGAGGCAGGAGAATCACTTGAACCTGGGAGGCAGAGGTTGCAGTGAGCCGAGATTGCGCCACTGCACTCCAGCCTGGCAACAGAGTGAGACTCCATCTCAAAAAAAAAAAAAGATATCATGAATCAGGCCTGAAGAGTTTAGTATTTGAGGCCTAAAATGGAAATCAAAAGCAAGCAGGAGTAGCTATTCTTATATCAGAGAAAACAGAGTTTAAAGCAACAATATTACAAAAAAAGACAAAGAAGGTCATTATATAATGATAAAAGGATCAATCCAACAAGAAGATATTACAATCCTAAATATATATGCACCTAACTCTTGAGCTCCCAGATTCATAAAACAATTGCTATCAGGAAAAGAGATAAACAACAACACAATAATAGTGGGGGACTTTAACACTCCACTGACAGCACTAGACAGGTCATCAAGCCAGAAAGTCAACAAAGAAAAAATGGACTTAAACTGCACTCTAGAACAAATGGACCTAACAGATATTTACAGAACATTCAACCGAAGAACTGAAAAATATACATTCGTCTCATCAGCACATGAAACATTCTCCAAGATAGATCATATGAGAAGCCACAAAAAAGTCTCAAAAATTTTTAAAAAATCAAAATTCTATCAAGTATCCCCCCCAGACCACAGTGGAATAAAATTAGAAATCAACTCCAAAAGGGAATCCTCAAACTATACAAATACATGGAAATTAAACAATCTGCTCCTGAATGATTTTTGGGTTAACAATGAAATCAAGATGGAGATTTAAAAATTCTTCCAAAGGAATGATAATAGTAATACAAGTTATCTAAACCTCTGGGATACAGCAAAAGCAGTGCTAAGAGGAAAGTTTATAGTGCTGAATGCCTACATCAAAAAGTCTGAAAGGTCACAAACTGACATCACAGTTTGATGTGTAACATCACACCTCAAGGAACTAAAGAAACAAGAACAAACCAAACCCACAGCTAGCATTAGAAAAGAAATAACAAAGATCAGAGCAGAACTAAATTGAATGGAAACAAAAAATACTAAAGATCAATAAATAAAAGTTTGGTTCTTTGGAAATATAAACAAAATCCACAGGCCATTAGCTATATTAATCAAGAAAAGAAAACAGAAAATGCAAATAAACTCACTGAGAAATAAAAATGGAGACATTACAACTTACACCACAGAAATACAAAAGATCATTCAAGATTACTATAAATACCTTTATGCACATAAACTAGAAAATCTAGATGAAATGGATAAATTCCTAGAAACATACAATCCTCCTACCTTAAGTCAGGAAGAAATAGAAATCCTGAACAGACCAGTAACAAGCAGTGAGAATGAATCAGTAATTTTTAAATTGCAAACAACAAAAAAAGCCCAGGGCCAGATGGATTCACAGACAAATTCTACCAGACATTCAATGAATTGGTACTGGCCGGGCGCAGTGGCTCACGCCTGTAATCCCAGCACTTTGGGAGGCCGAGGTGGGTGGATCACGAGGTCAGGAGATCAAGACCATCCTGGCTAACACAGTGAAACCCCATCTCTACTAAAAATACAAAAAATTAGCTGGGCGTGGTGGCACGCACCTGTAGCCCCAGCTACTTGGGAGGCTGAGGCAGGAGAATGGCTTGAACCCGGGAGGCGGAGGTTGCAGTGAGCTGAGATCGCACCACTGCACTCCAGCCTTGACAGAGCAAGACTCCGTTTCTAAAAAGAAAAGAGAAGAGAAGAGAAGAGAAGAGAAGAATTGGTACCAATCCTACTGAAACTATTCCAAAAGATTGAAAAAGAGGGAATCGGCCAGGCAAGGTGGCTCATGCTTGTAATCCCAGCACTTTGGGAGGTTGAGGTGGGCAGATCACAAGGTCAGGAGACCAGCCTGGCCAATATGGTGAAACCCTGTCTCTGAGAGCTCAAAGCTTCAGTGAGCTGTAATGGTGCCACTGCACTCCAGGCTGGGTAACAAAGTGAGAACCTGTCTCAAAAAAAAAAAAAAAAAAAAAAAAGAAAAGAAAAAAGAAAGAAAGAAAAGAAACAAAAACTGTAATGGAAAACTTAAAAGCACCAGAATATCAAAACACAGTAACAAGAAAACGACAAAAATTTGAAAAGACGCTTCACCAAAAAAGATATACAGATAATGCAACAGACTGAATGTTTGTATTCCCCCACCCAAATTCATATGCTGAAGCCTAAATACCCAATATAATGGTATCAGAGGTAAGGATGGGGGTCTTTGGAGGTAATTAGGTCATGAGGGTAGGGTCCTCAAGAATGGGATTAGTGTCCTTAGAAGAGAGATGATCTCCCTCTCTTTATCTACCGTGAGAGGATGTAGAAAGAAAATAGCTATCTGCAAACCAGAAAGAGTGCCCTCACCAGACCCTAGACCTGTGGATTAGTAATCTTGGACTTCCCAGCTCCAGAACCGTGAGAAATAAACTTCTGTTGTTTAAGACATCCAATCTATGGTATTCTGTGACAGCAACCTGAACTTTTTTTTTTTTTTTTTTGAGACAGGGTCTCATCCATTGCCCAGGCTGGAGTGCAATGGTGCAATTTTAGCTCACTGCAATCTCCATGTCCTGAGCTCAAGCGATCCTCCCACCTCAGCCTCCTGAGCAGCTGGGACTACAGGCGCATGCCACCACGCCCAGAAAAAATTTTTGTATTTTTAGTAGAGACAGGGTTTCGCAATGTTGCCCAGACTGGTCTTGAACTCCTGGACTTGAGTGATCCACCTGGCTCAGCCTCTCAACCTGAACTTATTAAGACAGATGACAAGCAAATTAAAAGATGCATAACATCATCAGTCATTAGGAAAATGTAAATTAAAACCACAGTGAAATATTTCCAGTTCGAATTATAATAGCAAAAATGAAACAAAAAGTAAAACTAAAAGAACCCAGACAATATTATTAAGTGCTGATAAGGATACAGAGCAACTAGAACTTTTATGTATTACTCATACAAACACAAAATGGTAACAACCACTCTGGAAAATAATTTAGCAGTTTTATAAAGTTAACTATATACTTCCTATGCAATTCAGCAATTCCACTCTTAAGTATTTACCCAAGTGAAATAAAAACCTATGCTTCCATAAAAATGTGTATGTGAAAGTTTATATGGCTTTATTTGTAATCACCAAAAACTAAAAACCACCCAGATGTCCCTCAACTTGGGAATGAGTAACTATGGTACTTCCTTATAATGGAACATTACTCGGCCATAAACAGAATGAACTACTGATACATATAACAATATGATAAGTCTCAAACATATTATGCATAAGTGAAAAAAACCAGACTTAAGAGACTATAAAGTATATGATTTCATTTATATAAAATTCTAAAAAAGGCAAAATTACAGGAACAGAAACAGATCAGTGGGTATGATAGGGGCTTGGAATAGAGGAAGGGATTGACCACAAAAGGTACAGGAGAATTCTGATAGGTGATGGAACTGTTCTATATCTTGATTGTGGTGGTGACTGTATGATAGTAAATGTCTGCCAACACCAACAGAACGATATACTTGTTATGATATACTGTGTCCCTTCAAAATTCTTAGGTGGAAGTCTAAGCCTCTTATACCTCAGAATGTGACCTTAACTTGAAGACAGAATCTTGACATATGTATTCAAGTTAAAGTGAGCTAACTAGGGAGGGCCCTCATCCAATATGACTGGTATCCATATAAAAAGGAGAAATTTGGAGGCAGATACACACAGACACAAGGAGATTATCACATGAGAAGACCAGGGTGATGCCTTGAATAAGCCAATGAACTAGAAAGATTGAAAGCAAACCCCCAGGAGCTGGGTGAAAGGCATGTGACAGATTCTACAGCCCTCAGAAGGACCTGACACTGTCACCAACTAAATCTTGTATTTTCAGCCTCCAAAATCGTGTAACTTTCTGTTAAGTCACCCAGTTTGTGATACTTTGCTATGACAGCCCTAGCAAACTAATACAATATGTGAATTGTATGATATGTAAATTATATCTTCCTAAAAAATAGTTTGTTAGAATTTGGAGACAAATAAAAACATGCTCAGTATTATTAGTTAGCAAATTAAGAATGTGTATAAACTAAAAAAAATGATCGAAGCTGTCTAATCGTATATATTGCTGTGATTACAAAGCCCTTAAAGAACTATTATAATTTTTTAAACAAAAAAATATTTTTAGCAAAACAAATACTTGGAATTTAATAACACTGACATTCAACTTACCAAAAACTTGTAGGATATAGCTAACACAGTTATTGGAATTTTAAAATAAACGGTTATGTTTTTAAGAAGTTGAGACTCCTAGTTTCAGCTCTGATATATGGAGAACTTTTAATTCACCACTCCTTACAAGAAAAAAAGCTGAACAAACCGAAAACCAACAACTTTTCTTTGTGCCATCAGAGAAATTAGGTAGTAAGGTAAATCACCATAAGAAAATCTGTTGAGATAGGCAAACCCAGAGAGTCAGAGCCAAGATCCATTTACGTGAAGCTGAAGCCTCTAAAGTCATAAACTGGAAGGAACACTTGAATGGTAATTTTGATGAATTCATAGAGGCTGAGTGTGGACTAGTATGAGACTGGGAAATTATTGAGGGCCAGAAACCAGGCCCCTCTAGCCTCCCTACCTCACCTAAACTACTAGAAGTTGAAGGAGGGGAGAAGCTAAGATACACTTTGAAGGTCCCAGCCTAGAGGCACAGGCCCACTGCAAGATTTAATCATAAGATTACAGAATGTTCCCCCTCTTCCCAATACCTCACCACCACACTAACAAGGCTCCAGTATAACAACAGTGGATTACAACGGAAAGAATTGTAAGACGCAAACTCTAAGGAGGAGTCTTTAGGGAAACTCAAAGGCAACAGGGGAGACAAAACAAGAAAAAACTAGAGGAATTTGAAGGCTCTGGCACTTATAACTACAGCAAACATTAAACACAGCCCAATTTCTAGCAAGTTGAAGATAAAACCTCACTCTAATGTCCTATTTACCTCAATTCCTATTACCTGATATGTTATGTCTGGTTTTCAACTAAAAATTACAAAGCATGCTAAAAGACATGAAAAAATATGGTATGAAAAGACAAAACTAGCATCAGAAATAGACTCAGGTATGTCAGAGATCTTGAAATTATCAGACAGGGAAATTAAAACAGCTAAGATTAATATGCTAAGAAATCTAATGGAAAAGTATACAACATGAAATAACAGATTGATAATACAAGCAGAGATGGAAACTTTAAGAATAAAAAGTAGATGTTAAAAATAAAAGCTCCAACAGAAATAAAGAATGCCTTTGATTGGTCATCTGCAGACTGGATCTGGAAAAGAATTGGGAAGTTTGAAAAATGGCAACAGAGGCCGGGCGCGGTGGCTCACGCCTGGAATCCCAGCACTTTGGGAGGCCGAGACAGGCGGATCCCGAGGTCAGGAGATCGAGACCATCCTGACTAACACGGTGAAACCCCGTCTCTACTAAAATACAAAAAATTAGCCGGGTGTGTAGTCCCACCTACTCGGGAGGCTGAGGCAGGAGAATGGCGTGAACCCAGGAGGCAGAGCTTGCAGTGAGCCAAGATCACACCACTGCACTTCAGCATGGGCGACAGAGCGAGACGCATCTCAAAAAAAAAAAAAAAAAAGAAAAATGGCAACAGAAACTTCCTAGGCAAGGCACAGTGGTATGCACTTGTAGTCCCAGCTACTTGAAAGGCTGAGGCACAAGGATTATTTGAGTCCAGGAGGTCGAGTCCAGCCTGGCCAACATAGTGAAATCCCATCTCAAAATAAATAAATAAATAAAAGAAACAAAGAAAAGAAAATAAACTTGGCAAAACGGACTGTTAAGAGAAAAAAGAATGCACAAAAACAACATCTATTAACTGTGGGACAATT
The DNA here is from genome assembly GCF_000001405.40 of Homo sapiens. Classification (NCBI taxonomy): domain Eukaryota; kingdom Metazoa; phylum Chordata; class Mammalia; order Primates; family Hominidae; genus Homo; species Homo sapiens. The sequence continues at coordinate 45,660,432 of NC_000010.11, forward strand.
TCAAAAGTTGTGGCAATTTCAAAAGGTGCCACTAGAATATCAGAAGAAAAAATGAGACAGAAGAAATACTTAAATAATGGCCCAGATTTTCCAAAATTAATGAAACATACCAAACCACAGATCCAAGAAGCTCAGAGAATACCAAACACGATAACTACCAAAGAATCTACACCTTCAACATATTATATCAAACTGTAGAAAAGCAAAGACAAAGACAAAATTCTTAAATCAGCCAGGAAAGGGAAAAAAACACCTTACCTAAAGAGAAGCAAAGATAATTACTACAGGGGAGTTTTCATCAGAAATCATGCAAATAAGAAAAGACTAGAGTGAAATATTTAGTGTTGAAAGAAAAAAAATACCAACTTAGAATTCTATACCCTGAAATATTATCCTTCAGAAATGAAGGAGAAATACTTTTTCAGACAAACAAGAAACGTTAAAAGATGGCTTTTTTGCAAGAAACGTTAAAAGACATTATTCACAGAAAAAATGATGTAGGTCAGAAACTAAGATCTACATAAAGAAAGCAAGAGGTGGAATTTGTTGCCAGTGGACCCATATTGCAAGAAATGTTAAAAGACATTCTTCACAAAAAACAGGATGTAGGTCAGAAACTCAGATCTACATAAACAAAGGAAGAGGGCTGGGCCTGGTGGCTCAGGTCTGTAATCCCAGCTCTTTGGAAGGCTGAGGCAGGAGGATCACTCTGCTAAGCACTTCACCTTTAACTCATTTAATCCTGAGAACAACCCTTTGAGATAAATACTATTATTCTTCCTATCTTAGACTGAGACAACTAAGATACAGAGAGATTAAGTAATTTGGGCAGCCAGTAATCTGAAGCCAGGCAGCATGGCTTCGGCACTCCAGTCCCTTTTTCAAGGCCCATTGTAAATCCCTGAGCAGGCCCTGCTCCTCCCTTGCTGCAGCCTCCTTGTTCCTAATGCAGCACACTCCTTCAGTCCTTTCTCCACTAGCCCCTCCATCCTCCCCACTCTCCCCACCAGGCTCTAGTTCTCAACTCACCAAAAACTTCCCCTAAAGAAAAAGCAGTCTGGCAGAGTAATCATTTTCCCAGCAGGACGAACCCAAGCAGCCTCATCTCTGCCCTCCGTATTCCATATCCCTCTAACTTGGAGAATCTGACTCACACCATGTGACCCCAAATGTCTTCCAGGATATAAATATAAAGATCACCCAGAAAGGGCTTAAAATGTGTTTTTCAGCTGGGTTAGGTGGCTCACGCCTGTAATCCCAGCACTTTGGGAGGCCGAGGCAGGTGGATCACCTGAGGTCAGGAGTTCGAGACCAGCCTGGCCAACATGGTGAAACCCCATCTCTACTAAAAGTGCAAAATCAGTCAGGCATGGTGGCGCATGCCTGTAATCCCAGCTACTCGGGAGGCTGAGGCAGGAGAATCGCTTGAACCCAGGAGGCGGAGGTTGTGGTGAGCAGAGATTGCGCCATTCTCCAGCCTGCGCAACAGGTGCAAAACTCCGTCTCGAAGAAAAAAAAAAAAAAAAAGATACTATGTTCTCTCTCTGCCATGTGAAAATGCAGTGAACAAGCCTAGAGGACAGCCCCCACCAGAACCTGCCCATGCTGGTACCCTGATATTCAGCCTTCAGACAGTGAGAAATAAATTTCTGTTGTTTAAGCCACCGGTCTGTGGTATTTTGTTATGACAGCTCCAGCAGACTAAGATAGTAGGTATTTTACATATTACCTTATTTAATTTCCTAATATCTGTATTTGTTCATAAACATTTAAACTTAGATTCAATTGTCTAATAACCAAAAAGCCACTGCTTTTGTCCCCACAATGTCTCCTCCTACAGAGACAAGGACTCTATAACTTGGCTCTGGTTCTGACTCATGGAAACTAAATATTTCCCTTGGATGAGTTATTAATCTCCTCTAAACCCAAGTTGACTCTTCTGACATAAAAAGATTGAAACAGGATTCTCTCTAAAGTGCTTTTGCTGCATACAAATTATTTAAAATTCATGAAAGAGATAAAAAGTACAGAGATTATTTACAACGCAAGATTTCACCTTCATGCTCCAAAAAAGGTATCCTTTAAACTATGATATAAATTGCAAAGCAGAACGAAGTCAAAATAAACTATCATGACTCTAGATCTCACCAAATCATTTAGGGCAGACAAAAGCTTCAAGAGTCATTACTGAATGTGCTGATGTGGTCACTGGACTCGGCCAGCCACTCACTTCAGTAGGATCTCCTGGGTCTAGAGAAATAGCAAATATTCAGGAGCTCATATATATCCTTGGCCTCACAAAAATGAAAAATTCTAACCCTCCTCATCCTTCTATAATTCTGAACTTAAACCAGCTGGAGGGCAACCCTAGTCACTACCTTTATATTACAAGCAAGTTCCAGCTGGTTCCATCAACAAAGATCCATTTACTGTTATATGGAACAATTTAATTTTCTACTAAAAACTGGATTTTTAACAACTATAAATGGCAAACATTACTTATTGCAGAAATCTGCAAAATGCAAAGACTAATTTTAATAAAAATTAGTCTTTTTAGGCACTTTCTGCAAATATACAAACCACAAAAGAGACATTACACATTATTCAGCACCCCTGCTATACTAAGGGAACTTTGAATATACGTAAATGTAAGCCAAAGACTCTTTTCGGAAAACCTCCACATTAAAAAAAAAAAAAAGGAGGGTGGTTGCAAAGCAGTGTAAAAAGGGAAATAAGGTCCCTAGAAGGGAATATAATTACTATTTCCCATTAAAAGTAAAATATAAAGTAACATTAAAAGTAACTATAAAATAGTTAAGGCATAATTTGCAGGTCACCATAACCTGCTGAAAGCTATTCTAAAATATTATTTCACACCATAGCATGATGCCAGGGATTTGTTTCCAAAGAATCTGGTGAACACAGCAATGGGGATAAAATAGTTCATAAGCTGATAAATGTTGGAGAGAGGGAGTAGGAGGGGGTTCATTATCTTATTCTAACATCATATATGTTTGAAATTGTCTCCATTAAAATACTTTAAAAACTACTAGACATTATTGATGAACAAATTTAATTTTCATATCCTAAAAACAAAGAAAGATGAGTACCTTCCAATCTTCGAATTTTTGCTTTCACAGAAATAACAGTTTCAAAAGGTGAAACTCTCAGCTCAAAACATGTTCCAGTTAATGTTTCAATGAAGAGCTCCATGGTATCACAGAAATGAAGTCTGTAGTAAAATGGTCCCATGTTATCATCATTGAAGAATGGAGGCTCTTTTCTGTTATCCATTACTTTGACTTTTCTAGTTCTTCTAAAATATGTCGCAGGCAACTGTATTCCAGTTCTAGGCAAACCAGGTTTGAAGATTGGTAATATATATTGTTGTTCATGTTTTGAGTTTTGTACCTAAAAAAACAAGAATTTTTTTAACAAGCCTATCTGAAAGTTGTATTTGTCCATAAAGATTTTCCGTTAACTGTGGCCCATATCAATCTTCCAGACGGCCCCAGAATTCACTTTAGTGCTTTTAATTATGTCTAATCCTGAACTTTTCACATTTGTCTCTGAAATCACTCTCCCATCTAGACCATAAGATTATTAAGAATACGCATATTTTTGATATTATAATGTATCTTACTAGAGCTCAGCACAGTTATATATATAGTACATGCTCAACAAATACTTTTGTTGTTAAGTGATATATAAGCCAAACTCAACAAACACATCAGTATATTTCTGTAAGGCTTTGAAAAATTTATTCATATCCTTTTCTAAAACATACAAATTATGTCTTCTATACCATATAAAGCATAACTTTACAACGATTGTACATTTGACTTTTTTTTTTTTTTTGACAGAGTCTCGCTCTGTCGCCAGGCTGGAGTGCAGTGGCACAATCTCGGCTCACTGCAACCTCCGCCTCCCGGGTTCAAGCAATTCTCCTGCCTCAGCCTCCCAAGAAGCTGGGATTACAGGCACCCACCACCATGCCCAGCAGATTTTTGTATTTTTAGTAGAGACGGGGTTTCACCACGTTGGCCAGGATGGTCTCGATCTCTTCACCTTGTGATCCACCCGCCTCGGCCTCCCAAAGTGCTGGGATTACAGGCGTGAGCCACCATGCCTACTCCTGTTGTATATTTGAATCATACTGGATAAAAGGAATGCCAACCACCATAATAGGTTGCTTAAAAATAGTACTCACTAGGCTGGGGGCTGTGGCTCATGCCTGTAATCCCAGCACTTTGGGAGGCCGAGATGGCAGATCATGATGAGGTCAGGAGATCGAGACCATCCTGGCTAACATGGTGAGACCCAATCTCTACTAAAAATACAAGAAAAAAATGAGCTGGGCGTGGCGGTGTCTGCCTGTAGTCCCAGCTACTTGGGAGGCTGAGGCAGGAGAATGGCGTGAACCCGGGAGGCAGAGCTTGCGGTGAGCCGAGATTGCGCCACAACACCCCAGCCTGGGCAACAGAGCAAGACTCTGGTCTCAAAAACAAAAAAAAGTAGTACTCACTAAATCATCAACGGTTTCCAGAGGATATTATAGCATTCAGATGACATTAGAATTGGTAATAAGTATTAGACAATCTCTGCTCACATACATACAATGGCTAATAAGTATGAGTGGTAAGCCCAACAAATAGAAGTAGTAAACTAAATGACAAGTATAGAACTAGGAGCACAAAAATGATCAAATTGCTATTGCTATTAATCGTGAAAACTCTATACAGGGGGGCCTTGAACTTAAACTAGGACAAATGATACACATCTTTCTGGTGAGGTGGTTAAACCTTTTTAAAAATAGCTTTATTGAGGGCCAGGCACAGTGGCTCACACCTGTAATCCCAGCACGTTGGGAGGCCGAGGTGGGCGGATCACCTGAGGTCAGGAGTTCGAGACCAGCCTGGCCAAAATGGCGAAACCCCATCTCTACCAAAAAATACAAAAATTAGCCAGGAATGGTGGCGCACACCTGTAGTCCCAGCTACTCGGGAGGCTGAGGCAGGAGAACCGCTTGAGTCCAGGAGGCAGAGGTTGCAGTGAGCCAAGATTGCACCACTGCACTCCAACCTGGGTGACAGAGCAAGACTCCATCATTAAATAAGAAAAAAAAAGCTTTATTGAAATATAATTCACATGCCATAAAATTCACTCATTTAAAGCCTAAAATTCACTGGTTTTTATGATGTACACAGAGTTGTGCAACAATCACCACATTTGCTTTAGAAAATTTTCATTACCTCTAAAAGGAACCCCATACCCTGTAACCAACACTCCCAAATTCCCCCAGTCCCCCACTCAACCCTAGGCAACCACTAATCTACTTTCTATCTCCAAATTGGTCTATTCTGGACATTTCACATAAATAGAATCATATATGATTTTTTTGTGACTGGCTTCTTTCACTTAGCATAATGTTTTCAAAGTTCATCATGTTCTAGGATATATCAGTATTTCACTCCTTTTTATTGCTGAATAATAGTCCCCTGTAGCAATATATCTCATGTTGTTTATCCATCCATCAGTTGATGAGCATTTGAGTCGTTTCCAATTTTGGGCTGTTACATATAGTGCTAAGATGAACATTCAACTGCAAGTTTTTGTGTAAACATATGTTTTCCTTTCTCTTTGAAGTAGCTTTGCTAGATAATGTGGTAACTCTTATGTTTGGCAATTTGTGGAACTACCAAACTGTTTTCTAAATGGTATGGATCATTTTATAGTCCCATCAACAATGAATGAGGGTGCCAATTTCTCCACACCCTTGACAATACTTGTTTCTGTCCTTTTGATTAAAGCTATCCTAGTGGGTGTGAAGTAGTATCTCACTGTGGTTGACTTCCATTTCTTTAAAAACTAATGATATTGTGCATCTTTTTTATGTGATTATTGGCCATTTGCATACATTCTTTGGAGAAATGCCTATTCATATACTTTGTCTATTTTTTAATTGGATTTTTTATTGAGTTGTATGAGTTTTTATATTACATATTCTAGATAAAAACACTTAACAGATATATGAATGGTAAATATTTTCTCTCATTTTGTGGGTTGTCTTTTGATAGTATCTTTTGAAACACAAAGGTTTTTAATTTTGTTAAACTCTAATTTGGCTATTTTTCTTTTATCATACTTAAAAAGCTTGGCTTAACCCAAGGTAATAAAGATTGACTTATATATGTTTCTAAAAATTGTAGTTTTAGCTCTTATGTTTAGGTGTACTGTCCAATTTCAATTTAGTTTTGTGTATGGTGTGAGGTAGAGTCTAACTTTATTCTTTTGCATGTGGATAACCAGTTGTTCCAGTATCATTTGTCAGAATTACCATTCATTCCCAATTGAATTGTCTTGGATCCTTGTTAAAAACCAATTTACTGTAAATGTGAAGGTTTATTTCCAGACTCTTTATTCTGTTGATCTACCTATGCCAGTACCACCACATCTTAATTAATGTAGCTTTGTAGTAAGTTCTGAAATCAGGAAGTGTGAGGCCTCCAATTTGTTCTTTTTAGATTGTTGGCTATTCTGGACTCCTTGAATTGCCATATGAATTTTAAGTATGCCCATTTTGCAAAAATGTCAGCTGGGATTTTGACAGGGATTGTATTAAGTCTGTAGATTTGGAGAGTACTGCAATCTTAATACTAAGTCTTCTAATCCATAAATACATACTATTTTTCAGTTTATATCTAATTTATTTCAATGTTTTATAATTTTTAAAGCACAAGTTTTGTTCTCTTTTATTAAATTTATTCCTAAGTATTTTATTCCTTTAAATGCTATTACAAATGGAATCACTGTCTTATTTACAGATTGCTCATTGCTGGTTTATAGAAACACAACCGATTTTAATATCTTGATCCTGTACACTGCAACTGTGCTGAACTGTTTATTTCGTTCATTTAGTTATTTAAATCTTCCTAAACGCTCTCTATAAAAGCTCTATATACAAGATCATGTCATTTACAAATAGAGTTTTACTTCTCCCTTTCTAATCTATATGCTCTTTTCTTTCTTTTTTTTTTTTTTTTTTTTTTTGGAGGGGGTGAAAGTCCCACTCTGTTGCCCGGGCTGAAGTGAAATGGCACGATCTCCGCTTATTGTAACCTCCGCCTCCCGAGTTCAAGCGATTCGCCTGTCTCAGCTTCCCAAATAGCTGGGATTACAGGCACCTGCCACCACACCAGGCAAATTTTTGTATTTTTAGTAGAGACAAGGTTTTACCAAGTTGGCCAGGCTGGTCTCGAACTGCTGACCTCAGGTGACCCACCCACCCTGGCCTCCCAAAGAGCTGGGATTACAGGCCTGAGCCACTGCACTGGGCTTATTTCCCTTTCTTGCCTAATTGCCCTGCTCTGGAACCTTCAGTACAAGATTGAATAAAAGTGGTGAGACTGGACATCCTTGTCTAATTCTTGATTGTAGAAGGAAACCATTGAGTCTTTAGGTATAATGTTAACCGTGGGGTTTTCATAGATTACCAATATAAGGTTGACGAGCTTCCCTTCTATTCCTGCTTTAGGTGGGTTTTCTTTTTAATCATGAAGGGGTGCCAATTTTATCAAACGCTTTTTTCATTGTCTATTGAAATAATCATTTGGTTTTCTTTACTTTTTTATTCACATATTACATTACTTTTTATGTGTCAAATCAATCTTGCATTACTGGGGTAAATCCCATTTGTACCTGGTATGTAATCCTTTACATATGTTGATGGATTTGATCTGAAAATATTTCCTCAGGATTTCTGTGTCTATAATCACAAGAGATGATGATCTGTAGTTTTCATTATGTCTGTCAGGATTTGGTATCAGGGTAATATTGGCCTTAGCCAAACTAAGCTTCGTAAGTGAAGGAGAAATAAAATCCTTTACAGACAAGCAAATGCTGAGAGATTTTGTCACCACCAGGCCTGCCTTACAAGAGCTCCTGAAGGAAACACTAAACATGGAAAGGAACAACCGGTACCAGCCACTGCAAAAACATGCCAAATGGTAAAGACCATTGATGCTGTGAAGAAACTGCAACAATTAATGGGCAAAATAACCAGCTAACATCATAAAGACAGGATCAAATTCACACATAACAATATTAGCCTTACATGTGAGTGGGCTAAATGCCCCAATTAAAAGACATTTTAATGTCTGGCAAATTCTTCTCAGCACCACATCGCACTTATTCCAAAGTTGACCACATAGCTGGAAGTAAAGCACTCCTTAGCAAATGTAAAACAACAGAAATCACAACAAACTGTCTCTCAGACCACAGTGCAATCAAATTATAACTCAGGATTAAGAAACTCACTCAAAACTGCACAACTACATGGAAACTGAACAACCTGCTCCTGAATGACTACTGGGTAAATAACGAAATGAAGGCAGAAATAAAGATGTTCTTTGAAACCAATGAGAACAAAGACACAACGCACCAGAATCTCTGGGACACATTTAAAGCAGTGTGTACAGGGAAATTTATAGCACTAAATGCCCACAAGAGAAAGCAGGAAAGATCTAAAATTGACACCCTAAAATCACAATTAAAAGAACTAGAGAAGCAAGAGCAAACAAATTCAAAAGCTAGCAGGAGGCAAGAAATAACTAAGATCAGAGCAGAACTGAAGGAAATAGAGACACAAAAATCCCTTCAAAAAATCAATGAATCTGAGAGCTGGTTTTTTGAAAAGATCAACAAAATTGATAGATTGTTAGTAAGACTAAAGAATCAAATAGATGCAATAAAAAAAGATAAAGGGGATATCACCAGCGATCCCACAGAAATACAAACTACCATCAGAGAATACCATAAACACCTCTACACAAATAAACTGGAAAATCTAGAAGAAATTGATAAATTCCTGGACACATATACCTTCCCAGGACTAAACCAGGAAGAAGTGGAATCTCTGAAGAAACCAATAACAGGCTCTGAAATTGAGGCAATAATTAATAGCCTACCAACAAAAAAAGTCCAGGTCCAGATGGATTCACAGCCAAATTCTACCAGGGGTACAAAGAGGAGCTGGTACCATTCCTTCTGAAACTATTCCAATCAATAGAAAAAGAGGGAATCCTCCCTAACTCATTTTATGAGGCCAGCATCATCCTGATACCAAAGCCTGGCAGACACACAACAAAAAAAGAGAATTTTAGACCAGTATCCCTGATGAACATCTATGCGAAAATCCTCAATAAAATACTGGCACACCGAATCCAGCAGCACATCAAAAAGCTTATCCACTATGATCAAGTCGGCCTCATCCCTGGGATGCAAGGCTGGTTCAATACAGGCAAATCAATAAATATAATCCATCACATAAACAGAGCCAATGACAAAAACCACATGATTATCTTAATAGATGCAGAAAAGGCCTTTGACAAAATCCAACAGCTCTTCATGCTAAAAACTCTTAATAAACTAGGTATTGATGGAACGTATCTCAAAATAATAAGAGCTATTTATGACAAACTCACAGCCAATATCATAGTGAATGGGCAAAAACTGGAAGCATTCCCTTTGAAAACCGGCACAAGACAGGGATGCCCTCTCTCACCACTCCTATTTAACACAGTGTTGGAAGTTCTGGCCAGAGCAATCAGACAGGAGACAGAAATAAAGGATATTCAATTAGGAAAAGAGGAAGTCAAATTGTCCCTGTTTGCAGATGACATGATTATACATTTAGAAAACCCCATCGTCCCAACCCAAAATCTCCTTAAGCTGATAAACAACTTAAGCAAAGTCTCAGGGTACAAAATCAATGTGCAAAAATCACAACTATCTGATTTTTTTTTTTTTTTTTTGAGACGGAGTTTCACTTTTGTTGCCCAGGCTGGAGTGCAATGGTGTGATCTTGGCTCACCACAACCTCCGCCTCCCAGATTCAAGTGATTCTCCTGCCTCAGCCTCCCTAGTAGCTGGGATTACAGGCATGTGCCACCACGCCCGGCTAATTTTTTTGCATTTTTAGTAGAGATTTCTCCCAACAGGGGTTTCTCCATGTTCGTCAGGCTGGTCTCAAACTCTCAACCTCAGGTGATCCGCCTGCCTCGGCCTCCCAAAGTGCTGGGATTACAGGCGTAAGCCACTGTGCCCAGCCTACAACCATCTTTGACAAACCTGACAAAAACAAGACGTAGGGAAATGATTCCCTATTTAATAAATGGTGCTGGGAAAACTGGCTAGCCATATGTAGAAAGCTGAAACTGGATCCCTTCCTTACACCTTATACAAAAATTAATTCAAGATGGATTAAAGACTTAAATGTTAGACCTGAAACCATAAAAACCCTAGAAGAAAACCTAGGCAATACCATTCAGGACATAGGCATGAGCACGGACTTCATGACTAAAACACCAAAAGCAATGGCAACAAAAGCCAAAATAGACAAATGGGATCTAATTAAACTAAAGAGCTTCTGCACAGCAAAAGAAACTACCATCAGAGTGAACAGGCAACCTACAGAATGGGAAAAAAATTTTGCAATCTACCCATCTGACAGAGGGCTAATATCCAGAATCTACAAAGAACTTAGACAAATTTTCAAGAAAAAAACAACCGCATCAAAAAGTGGGCAAAGGATATGAACAGACAGTTCTCAAAAGAAGATATTTATGCAGCCAACAGACACATGAAAAAACACTCATCATCACTGGTCATCAGAAAAATGCAAATCAAAACCACAGTGAGATACCATCTCACACCAGTTAGAATGGCGATCATTAGAAAGTTAGGAAACAACAGATGCTGGAGAGGATGTGTAGAAATAGGAACACTTTTACACTGTTGGTGGGACTGTAAATTAGTTCAACCGTTGTGGAAAACAGTGTGGCAATTCCTCAAGGATCTAGAACTAGAAATACCATTTGACCCAGCGATCCCATTACTGGGTATATACCCAAAGGATTATAAATCATGCCACTATAAAGACACATGCACACGTATGTTTACTGTGGCACAATTCACAACAGCAAAGACTTGGAACCAACCCAAATGTCCATCAGTGATAGAGTGGATTAAGAATATGTGGCACATATACACCATGGAATACTATGCAGCCATAAAAAAAGGATGAGTTCATGTCCTTTGCATGGACATGGATGAAGCTGGAAACCATCATTCTCAGCAAACTGTCACAAGGACAGAAAACCAAACACCGCCATGTTCTCACTCATAGATGGGAACTCAACAATGAGAACACTTGGACACAGGGAGGGGAACATCACACACTGGGGCCTGTCGTGGGGAGTGAGATGGGGGGAGGGATAGCATTAAGAGAAATACGCAATATAAATGACGAGTTAGTCGGTGCAGAAAACCAACATGGCACATGTATAGCTATGTACCAAACCTGCACGTTGTGCACATGTACCCTAGAACTTAAAAAAAAAAAAAAAATCAATTCCCAAAGCATTTCTCTCATTTCTTCTGAAAAGTTTCTAAAAACACAACTCCAAGGATGAAATGGAAGTTAAAGGTAAACAGGCAATAGCGCTGAATACGTAATTTCAGTAACTCAGAATTTTCTCCAACCTCTGCTCTAAAGAAGCTTAGCTACAGAAGAGCAGTTACCTTTGAAACATTTTCCCCAACATAAAGATATCCGGAATGTGAAGCTGCCATTAAAACTGTGACACAGATCTACATTTACTGATACATCAAAACATCCCTAAAGTTCGAAATACGAGCTACAGAATCACATCAACCGCCTAACTTGTCTGTAGCCTAAACTCTAGTCCGGAGTTCATCTGCAAGCGGAATTGGGAAGTATTTCAGAGCCAGCATCTCCTCGCGCCATCCAGGTACCTACACACTTGAGGCCACCGAGTCACCTGCGCAGCCGTTGCTCCTCCAAGACCAATCCGGGCTCCCCAGACCCACCGGCCTGAATCTGGAGGACAGCAGTCCGCGTGACAACAGCGACTCGGAGATCAGCACCCGTCGGGAAAGCCGCGTACCCGTTGAAGCTGGCGTCACGCCCAAAGGAACAAACGCCAGAGCGTGTGTCCTGGGCAAAGGCGGCCCGCCGCTCCGGTCCCCGGGCAGCAGCGGCCGGCGTCAGGCCGCAAGGCGAGGGGCGGGGACAGGACTCTACCCGGCAGCCCAGCGCCGAGCGCCCGCGCCACTCCGGCCTTGCGCCATTCCGGCCCCACGACGGCCGGCGGCGGCAGCGCGGCTGGGCTCAGCGGCTCGCAGCCCGGGCGCCCCCCCTGCCGGCCGCTCGCTAGCTCAGCCTCACCCGCAGTCTTGTCCGCTGGCTCGCTCGCCCGCCTACAGGTCGACAGGGCCCAACGACCCGGCGAGCAACTTCACGGAAGGCACTGGCCGACAACGCTCCGCTGCCGCCGCGCCCCGCCCCTTTGTGACACCACCTACCAATCGCTGGACGGCGCTTTCGCTGCCCTCCAATCAGCGCGGGCGGGGGCAGGCCTGGCCCCCGGACGTGGGCGGTTGCCGGGGCGCCAGGGCCCTGGGGCCTTCTTGGCATTCGCTGGAGGTTGTGAGTTACGAGGCCCGGATGTTGATCTTTTATTACTAGCAACACTGGACCCCTGACTCGTGCCCACGCGGGCGTCTGGAGGGCAGCCGCATGGCCTGCTGGGAACGGCGGGGTTGAAGCCGGAGCCGCCCTCCGTGAGACCCACCGGGGATCCTCTTCCAGGCGCCTGATTTGCTGGAGATAGGCGATACAGGCAGACGCTGTCCAGTCGGTGGCCTCTCCAGAGTGAGGGGCGCTCCTGGTGCGTTTGGGCCGGCCTGTCCTAACAAATCTGCTTTAGGCTTCACCGTCCCCTAATGTTTCTGGCCTCAATTGCCTCATCTGGAAAATGGGGGCATTACCGTGCCTGCTTGAAGACAAAGGCGAAAACAGATAACTTTCTGTAGTCCTCATACAATTTACTGAGAACTGTAGGCCAGGCAATGGAGTAGGCACCCTGGGCTCAAATCCCAGCGTTGGGTAAGCCCAGCCACACCTCCTGCTCCAGTTTCCAAGCTGCTGAGCTGCGGTGTAAACAGTAACTGGCTTCAAGCCAACACCTGCCTTTCAACCTAACATGGGAGCCCACTGCCTCGTTCCGTTCCCCCTACCGATTTTCCAACTCCGTGAACCTCCTTCACTAAGTGGGTTACTCAGCTGACAAAGAATGTCATCTCACTCCCACTGCGGGTTCACTCATCCTCGACTTCTGGCTCAGAGGAGCCAGTCTAATATGAAACTAAACATCTAATCTGTGTCTCCTGTCCTCTCTCATTCTTCTGAGACCCTACCCACCAACTTATCTCCACAGTTCAACGAACTATTGAGCATACACTGGGGGAGTATGGTGAGGCACTGGGCATTGATTCACCAGTCTCGCCGTTGGTTCCTTCTGAAACTCCACATATGCTTAATGCTAAATAGATTGGAGACCTTTGAGGACAGAGCTATGATGGTAATCATCTTTGCATTCCTGAGCCTAGAATAGGGCCTGTGATGGAGACTTACTGAGTAAAAACCTTAGCGTTTCTCACCCTTGCCTGCCCACTTCATTCACACTGGAGAATTGACAGCATGGACCGTGGAGTCAGGCAGGTGTGTTTAAAGCCTTGCCTCCCAATACCAGAAGCTCCATTACCTGGCCAAGTCATTCATTCTTTACAACATCATCATCATTATCATCTGCCATTCTTCAAGTGCCAGATAGTTGATAAGGGTCTTTACGTATTCTCTCCCCATCACAATCCTGCAAAGTTGGTAGTGAAATCCCTCGTCTACAAAGGAGTAAACAAAAGCCAATTAAAGTAGAACAATTTACCTATAATCAAACAGCTCTATGTCGGAAAGCCATATTTAAACTAGGACACAATACAAAAATCCAACCTTGTTCCATTATTCCACATTGCTTCCAGATTTTAGCTTTATCTGTAAAATTAGTGTTACTACATTACCTATCTGATAGACCATGGAGACTGAATAAAATAGCATTAAAAGTTGTTACCATAGGAACTTTTTTTTAACGTAAGTTCTCTCTCCCTTTCAAGCCTCTCAAAATAGCAGCTTGCGTATTTTCTAAACCTGTTGTCTCCTGAATCCCCTGAAACCAATCCTACTGATTGATGAGTAGATTTAGTTGTTCCAAAAGAAAATCATCGTATTTAACAAATGCTGACTCTGACCGACATTGGGTACTACAGCAAGAAACTATGTGCACAAATAACCTACGGACAGAAGGAAGATGCATAAAATGAATAGGGGAAAGGAGTGGCCAACTAGCAAGTGCCCTCATCTGTCATCACGTCACTCTCACAGCAGACTTGGGCAAATGGTTGACCTGTGGGAGCTGAACAAAATCTTTGACTCTGGGTATGAGTAATTCCCTGTCTGATCTTACAGTGCCCAAGGAAGAAGTCAGTAGCTCCAGGATCGCTGAGACCAACCTGGGCGGCCTACAAGACTGCACCATGGTGACAGGCTGAATAGTCAGCAGCAAGACGACAGAGCACCAAAAAACACAGACTAGAATGGGGTCAGCCATCCAGGTGGCTAGTGGCTACTGCCTTTGACGATGCAGATAAAGAAAATTTTCATTCCTGCAGAGTTCTATGGGGCAGTGCTGCTCTAGAGGCTGACATTTCTATCCTCAGCACTTCCCCCGGCTATTACCTAGGTTCATTCTGCTGCTTCCACAAGGCAAGAATGGAACAGAATGCCTTAGAGCAATGGTCAGCGAACTGTTTATGTAAAGGGGCAGGGCCAGGCGCAGTGGCTCACGCCTGTTATCCCCGCACTTTGGGAGGCCGAGGCAGGTGGATCACGAGGTCAGGAGTTCAAGACCAACCTGGCCAACATGGTGAAACCCCAACTCTACTAAAAATACAAAAATTAGCTGGGTGTGATGGCAGGCGCCTGTAATCCCAGCTACTCGGGAGGCTGAGGCAGGAGCATCGCTTCAACCCAGGAAATAGAGGTTGCAGTGAGCCAAGATCACATGACTGCACTCCAGCCTGGGTGACAGAGCAAGACTCCGTCTCAAAAAAATAAATAAAAGGGGCAGATAGAAAACATCTGAGGCTCTGTGAGCCATCCGGTCTCGTCATAATTACTCAACTCTTACATTGGAGGTAGGGTGAAAGCAACAATAGAAAGTAAGTAAATCAATGAATGTGGTTGTGTTCCAATAAAACTTTATTAACAAGATCAGACAGTGGGGGGGGGGGGGTAGCATAGTTTGCCAAACGAAAATCCAATAAAAATTTATTAAAGATTTAAATGTGGCCAAGCGTGGTGGCTCATGACTGTAATCCCAGCACTTTGGGAAGCGGAGGCGGGTGGATCACAAGGTCAGGAGGTCGAGAACATCCTGGCCAACATGGCAAAACCCTGTCTCTACTAAAAGCACAAAAATTAGCTGGGCGTGGTAGCGCGTGCCTATAGTCCCAGCTACTCAGGAGGCTAAGGCAGGAGAATCACTTGAACCCGGGAGGCGAAGGCTGCAGTGAGTCGAGATCGCACCACTGCACTCCAGCCTGGGCAACAGAGCGAGACTCTGTCTCCAAAAAAAAAAAAATCAAAAAACAACATTTAAGTGTAAGACCTGAAATGAGAAAACTTTTCTTTTAGGTTTTTGTCTAGAAGTTTCTAGGTATTGATCTTGACAATAATTTACAGAATATGTCACAAAAGTGGAGACATGAAAAGCCAAACTAAACATGGGACAATGCCAAATTGAAAACCTTCACAGCAAAGAAACCAATGAACAAATTAAAAAGCTTTTTAACAATTATCCAAAATACCTAAAGAACTTGTATTAATAAATAGGAAAAAAAACTGAAACAAAACAGAAAAGCATCAAAAAGCTTAAAAATAAGCAGATTTGGCCGGGCACGGTGGCTCATGCCTGTAATCCCAGCACTTTAGGAGGCCGAGGTGGACGGATAACCTGAGGTCGGGAGTTCGAGACCAGCCTGACCAACATGGAGAAACCCTATCTCTACTAAAAATACAAAATTAGCCGGGCATGGTGGCACATACCTGTAATCCCAGCTACTAGGGAGGCTGAGGCAGAAGAATCTCTTGAGCCCGGGAGGCGGAGGTTGTGGTGAGCCAAGATCATGCCACCAGTCTGGGCAACAAGAGCTAAACTCCGTCTCAAAAAAAAAAAAAAAAAAACATGTTCAGCAAGGTTGAAGCATCAAAGGTTAATAGCCAGAATCATTTATCAATTGTATTTCTACACATCTGCAAGACACAATCTGAAAATGAAATTAGAAAAACAACTTCATTGGGCAACAAGAGCAAAACTTCATCTCAAAAAAAAAGAAAAAAAAAATAGTAATCTACAATGTCATTTCCTGTTCAAGCTTGACTTCTACCTTTACTTTCTGATATGGTTTTGCCATGTCCCCCCACCCACATCTCATCATGAATTATAATCCCCATAATCCTGATGTGTCGAGGGAGGGGCCTAGGGGGAGGTGATTGGATCACGGGGGCAGTTATCCTCATGCTGTTCTTGTGATATTCAGTAAGTCCTCATGAGATCTTATAGGGTTTTGTTTTGTTTTGTTTTTTGGATGGAGTCTTGCTCTGTCACCCAGACTGCAGTACCATGGCGCGATCTTGGCTCACTGCAGCCTCTGCCTCCTGGGTTCCAGTGATTCTCCTGCCTCAGCCTCCTGAGTAGCTGGGATTACGGGCATGCGCCACCACACCCAGCTAATTTTTGTATTTTTAGTAGAGACGGGATTTCACTAAGTTAGCTAGGCTGGTCTCGAACTCCTGACCTCAGTTGATCCACCTGCTTTGGCCTCCCAAAGTACCAGGGTTACAAGTGTGAGCCACCAAGCCCAGCTGAGATCTGATGGTTTTACACATGTTTGACAGTTGCTCCTTCACATGTTCCCACTCTCTGTGCGGCCACCATGTAAGTCGGACCTGGTTCCCCTTCTGCCATGATTGTAAGTTTCCTGAAGCCTACCCAGCCATGCGAAACTGTGAATCAATTAAACCTGTTTCCTTTATAAATTATCCAACCTCAGGTATTTCTTTATATCAGTGTGAAACAGACTAATGTGCTTTCCGATAATCATGCTTCAGGAATTGGGGAATTCAGACTACCTGGGATCAAATTGTGGCCCCAACCTTAGCAGCCATGTGACCTTGGGGAGGTTACTTACCTTCTCCATCTCAACTCCTTCAGTAAAATCTGTAAAATGACATTGTTTCTGAGGGTTAAATGAGCATAGCACAGTGTCAGGCACACACTACTTGCCAGATGTCGAGTATTCATCTTTATTGAAATAGGACTGTGGTAAGCCACTTTATGGCTCTCGATTTTGTATGAGAAAATCATGCTTAGTGCCTTGTTAGTAAAAGAAAGAAAACCTGAAAGTCCCTGCCACGGAAGGAAGAAATAGCGGGGAGAAAAGGGAGTTGGTAAGTTTCAGCATTTCAGAGCTTGGAGAGGGACAAGTTAGGTTTCCATTTTATGGAGAAGGAGGTGGAGGCAGGATGGGTCCTAAGGTGTCATTCAAAACACACAGCCATAACTCTTTATTGAGAGTAGCGCTAGGGCCCCAGGGATTGCTGTGGTCAAGTTGCGGACAAAAATGACCACTCGTTGGAAGACAGGAGAGGAGTGTTTAGTTACAAAAGCAGTCAACAATTCAGGTGTATCTATATTCAGACAGCAAATAAAAGTTGTTCAACTTGGTTGCTAATGGGACCCACTCTACTGAGGCTTTGTATAGAACTCATAGAGGAAGATGGCTTCAAGGAATGAACTACCCTGTGCTTTTCTTAGGACTAAAATCTCAGGAAGCTGGTGATGAATGAAAACCTTAGTCCCACTGGCACTGCACGAGGGGCCAGGAGAGCAGCAGCATCATAAGCCGCAGGGTGGGGCAGCCAAGGCAGGGGCATTCTGAGCTGTTGGGGAGGGGTGGCAGGCAGGGTGGGGCACTGTGAGCTGTCGGGGAGGGCATTGTGAAGTGTGGGGTGGGGCATTGTGTGCCACATGCCTGGGCTCCCACCTGGGGCCAGTGGGCTTCAGTCTGTAGGTGACTACAGAAGGAGGAGGAGCTCCGTCTGTTCTCTCTTCAGGCAGTTGTTGTGTCTCTCAGCACTTGTTGGGTTCACAACCTATTAAATAAGCCGGCTGGTCTTCACCCTCCCAGACAAGTCAACTCAGGGGAGGCAGCAGGGTGCGGGCCTTGGCCAGGGCCAGGGCCAGGGCCAGGGCCAGGGCTGGTGCCCGGGGCCGCGCTGTGAGGTGGGCAGGCGAGGAGCGGGAAGACCATCTCTGCAAGTGCAGCATAGCCTCGGCCTAGGACAGCGGGAGTGCGTGGCCAAAGCTGTGAGCAGAGGCACAGGTGGTGGCAGACAGTAGAGGCACCCCATGGGGAACATACTGACCTGTCGTGTGCACCCTAGCGTCAGCCTCGAGTTTGACCAGCAACAGGGGTCGGTGTGTCCCTCTGAATCTGAGATCTATGAGGCAGTAGCTGGGGACAGGATGGCAGGAGCGCCCATGGCTGCTGCTGTGCAGCCTGCTGAGGTGACTGTTGAAGTTGGTGAGGACCTCCACATGCACCACGTTCGTGACCGGGAGATGCCTGAAGGTAAGGAGGTGATAGGTGCCATCTACCCTCGGTTTGCCTCTGGCTGCTGCTGTCCCCAAGGTTCCCTTTGAGGCATCCCCCACTTTGAGCTCCTTTCTGCTTGTAGCCAGCTTTTCCGGGGGCTGGCCAGGAACAAAAGCTGGCTCTGCCTTGAATTCCCACCCCTTAGTCTTTCCCCACCAAGTCCAGTCAGTTTCTTTTCGCCTCCCCTCCCAATCGCCCAGTTCTTGCTCTCTCACCTCATTCTCCCAGGCTGGCATGGGACCATTTATTTATGGCTCTTGTCGAATAAGCAGCAGTTGAATAAATGAGTTGATAAATTTTTATAAATGATTACATCTTTTTTCTTTTCTCCCTCTATACATATAGCTTTGGAGTTTAACCTTTCTGCCAATCCAGAGGCAAGCACAATATTCCAGAGGAACTCTCAAACAGATGGTGAGACAACAGTGTCTGTAGCTCTGTTTATTATCCTGTGGGACTTTGTTTAGGCTTCTTTGAGCTATTCTCTTCCTTTTCTCAATAAAAACTCAAATATCCCAACTTTTCAGTACCCATCTTATTTTTTCTTTGTACCTATCCAGATGGTACCTAAGTGAAGGAACCAGGTAAGTGCCTAATTGTTTCCTTTGTTAAAGTAGTCAAATCTCAGGACAGTTCCTATTCAAATATTTGGGGATTTCTTATTTAAAATCAGAATGGAGTTTGCCACGGGAGAGGCTATATGGTATTCTTAATGGGCTGCTTTAAGTCACCTTGATAGAAGCTGCTTAGTTTCTTCTAACTGTAATTTGAACACAGAAGGAAAAAGAAAAAAGGAGAGTGCTTAAAATAATTGTGAAAGGTGTGAAATGTCACAGCCGGGGCTGCAGAAAAATGGTTGTGTGTGTGTGTTTGGGGTTTCTCAAAGGAGTTTACCTATGAGGCTCTGATTACTTTAAAATTCTTACTTTAACAGAAAATGTGTCTCCAGATTTATTCTGGTGACTTAACAGACTTTATTTACCTCCTTGTTCTAAAAGAGAGGTGGGGATTGGTTCATGGTCAAAACTTTCAAAAGACATGAAACGTCAATGTAGACTTTCAATGTGTAATATAAAGATTGCAGGTTAAAATGTCAGACCTTCCCTGTAAGAGTGTTTGTTGCCATGGCTCCCCCTTTGTCCCTTCCCCTCCTGACAATAGCATCTTGTTCAAAGATAAGAAAGTTACAGTTTTGGCTGGGCTTGGTGGCTCACGCCTGTAATCCCAGCACTTTGGGAGGCCGTGGCAGGCGGATCACCTGAGGTCAGGAGTTCCAGACCAGCCTGGCCAACATGGTGAAACGCTGTCTCTACTAAAAAAAAAATACAAAAATTAGCTGGGCGTAGTGGCACATGACTGTAGTTCCAGCTACTCACAAGGCTGAGGCAGGAGAATTGCTTGGACCTGGGAGGTGGAGGTTGCAGTGAGCAGAGATCACGCCAATGCACTCCAGCCTGGGTGACAGAGCGAGACTCCGTCTCACAAAAAAAAAAAAGGAAAGAAAGTTGGAGTTTTTTAGTCTCTACACTGCTGGCAGAGGCAGGGGATGGGAGCCGGTAGAAAAGAGAAAACAATTAGTTGGTTTGCCTCTAAAATTTTGCAAAGAGATGAATCTAAGTAAAAGTAATTCTGGGTAATAATATGGTTCTTGAATAAAAACTGAAATTTTCAAAATAGAAAACATTGCATCATAAACATATTACATCCAGTAGGCTTATTGGTTTCATTTAAATGCCAGAGATTTCATCACTGTAGAGGAAATGTCTTATAGCTCTTCTATTTAAACTTTGGTTGCGCTCTTAATTTTTAAAGAGGTAGGATAATTAAGACTCATTATGAGTGTGACTTTGTAACTTGGAAGTACTATCTTCACATTTCAAGATATTTAAGGATTGCTTTAGAATAAACAAATGTATTATGTGAATTAATTGATTGTACCTTTATACACAAAGCATGTAAGTACTTGTGTAAACTTATACTCTGCTTGGTGATGTTCGGAAAGCCTGATGGATGTTACACACCAGTTAGTAGATGGGTAGTGTTGGATGAGAGCCCAAAAATGGCTCTTTATTGTCATTCTTTAGGATTACAACACAGTTTATGTATGTCTCACTTGGCCCTTTCCAATACAAATAAGGCCTGTGTATGTTCTCCCTATGTGTTGCTAATGAAGAAATGAAAACTTAGAGATATCACATGACTATGGAAGACAGCTACTCAAGAGAACTAAGGTTCTGTGTCCTCAGAATGAAATGGAAGTGACAGATATGATGAATTTACTTTTTAAAAATTTTAAAAACTCTAGAATACCTCTTATATTTTGCCTATAAAATAGACCTGTCTTTTAAAACTTACTGCCATCTTGATTTATTTTATGCAAAGTTGATTTTACACAACTCAAAGCCAAAATTTACCTCTTCTTTTTTTTTTTTTTTTAAATAAAGGAGGGTGTCATTATGTTACTCATGCTGGCCTCAACTTCCTGACCTGGGTTCAAGTGATTTTCCCATCTCAGCCTCCTGAGTAGCTGGGACTACAAGCATGTGCCATCTTGCCTGGCTCTGTCTTGTGTCTATACGCTCATTTCAATGGATAAGAATCAAAGTAGAGATAGTGAAATAGCCTAAATGCAGCAGCCGAATAAACGAGTTGATAAATTTTTATCAATGATTACATCTTTTTTTCTTTTCTTCCTCTATGCATATAGCTTTGGAGTTTAACCCTTCTGCCAATCCAGAGGCAAGCACAATATTCCAGAGGAACTCTCAAACAGATGGTGAGACGACATTGTTTTTTCCGCCAAGAGAAAGAATAAAAGCTCTTGTTTGATCAGGTTATAGAAAGTATTTAGAAAAACTCATATTGGTTTAAAATTTTCATCTTTTCACATGTTCCCTTGTCTTATTTTAATATGTGATATACTTTCCTTTAGTTGTTATGATGTTAGTGAAAACGTGTAACCTTTTTGTTTATACATTTTGCCATCTTTTTATCAACACAATTAATTTGTGATGTGATGGAGGAGTCATGGATTTCTCTTTATAATTCTTGGATTTATCTTTATTTATAATTAATGGATTTATCTTTATTTATAATCCCTTTTCCCTTGCTCCAAAAAGTACATTTTAAAGATGAATGATAGAACTTAGGCTTCAGCTTGGTTTTCATTTAAACAAATTAAAAAACGTAGTTGTTTATCATCAGGGATTGAATCTGTGATTTGGGCCTCCTCTTACACAGTCCTCTGACCACATTCATTTACCACATCCAAGTTCATGCTACTCAAAAGTTTTAGGTTATTAACTTTTTCATTTGATATAATGTAAATTTAAACATGCCTTACTCCTGCTTATTTCCCTTAATGTTATGTTAAATCCTCATTTATTTGCCAACAAGCCATACACAGCCAAGTTTTCCAGTTGACTTAAACAGCAAGAACACAAGTGAGGGTTCTATAATAATGTGCGAAGTAATGCAGCACAGTAAAACACGGGAGTTTGTAACCTTTGTTTTTATAGTTTGAGTAGACTTTGCCCATCTTGAGTCAGTTATTTCTGGTTAGAATTTGTCTTCATTTTTTACATTACTATAAAGAGATACCTAAGGCTGGGTGATTTATAACAAAAAGAGGTTTAATTGGCTCAAAGATTTTCAGGCTGTACAAACATGGCTTTAACATCTGCTTCTGGTGAGGGCCTCAGCAAACTTACAATCATGATAAAAGGCAAAGGGGAAGCAGGTGGTTCCACACCGTGAAAGAGGGAGGAGAGAGGGGAAGGGGGAAGGTACCACACTCTTTTTTTTTTTTTTTTTGAAATGGAGTCTCACTCTGTTGCCCAGGCTGGAGTGCAATGGCACGATCTTGGCTCACTACAACCTCCATCTCCCAGGTTCAAGCAATTCTCCTGCCTCAGCCTCCCGAGTAGTTGGGACTATAGTTGGGCACCATAACACCTAGCTAATTTCTGTATTTTTGGTAGAGACAGGGTTTCACCATGTTGGCCAGGCTGGTCTGAAACTCCTGACCTCAAGTGATCTACCCGCTTCAGCCTCCCAAAGTGCTGGGATTACAGGCTTCAGCCACCGCACCTGGCCAGTACCACAGTCTTTTAAATTACCATAATGAGAATGTGCTTATTACCATGGGGATGGGACCAAGCCATTCATAAGGAATCCACTGCCATTACCCAAACGCCTCCCACTAGGCCCTGTCTCCAACATTAAGGGTCACATGTTAACATGAGACTTGGAGGGGCAACATATCCAAAACATATCAGAATTGTATTTCCCAGTTCCTTCCAGAGGCATGGGCTTCTCACACCTAGAGAGCATGGAAGCAGTAAAAGAAAAGCTATTCCATGTCCCTCACTCTTCAGTGGTAGTAACTTTTGCCTACAAGGCCCTCCCAGCATCAAAGGCAGAGGCAGTGTAGGAAACAAAGCATGGCCCAAGTCCCTCTTGGGGCTTTTATTATTCTGGCCTCTTTTTAGGGAAAAAAAAATGATTTTTTGTGCTGCAGACACCATGTCCAATTAGGTTTGTATACTTATTTTAACATCAAAATTTAGGCCAGGCTCTGTGGCTTACACCTGTAATCCCAACTCTTTGGGAGGTTGAGGTGGGTGGATCACGAGGTTAGGAGATCAAGACCATCCTGGTTAACACAGTGTAACTCTGTCTCTACTAAAAATACAAAAAACAATTAGCTAGGCATGGTGGCACGTG
Source organism: Homo sapiens (assembly GCF_000001405.40). NCBI lineage: Eukaryota > Metazoa > Chordata > Mammalia > Primates > Hominidae > Homo > Homo sapiens. Next base: position 45,683,790 of record NC_000010.11, read on the forward strand.
CCTGTGGTCCCAGCTAGTCCGGAGGCTAAGGCTGAAGAATTGCTTGAACCTGGGAGGCAGAGGTTGCAGTGCGCTGAGATCCCGCCACTGCACTCGAGCCTAGGTGACAGAGTGAGACTCCATCTCAAAAAAGAAAACAAATTTAAGATAGGTTACTTTCCAGTTGTGTAAAGACCATTTTTTAATTTTGTTTTGTTTTTAGTGACATATTAGTAGATAACCACTAAGTGTGGTTCAAGATGCTTACAGGGTTTCTGTTGCATCTAGAGATAGGTGTCTGGTCAGGAAGTAGTTTTTAGAACTGTTAGCTCTTAGAGTCTGATAATTAAAGTAAGCTATGTGTAAATGCAGAATGAGAGAATACTAATGGATCATGGCTCATATATGCAACAGTTAAACTTTTTATTAGCTAAATTTTTCATCTGGCCTAATTTTTTTGCCCTTTTCTTTTGTACATGAGGATTCTTTCATTTGTATGTAATAGAAACAAAAAGTAAACTAAATGAAAATCTAAGTTTTTAGATTTGACTTATGAAATTAATCATGCCAGATAATTTAAATTATATGTTATTGAAAATTTTTTTTAATGGAATTTTGTCTCATTTTTCATAGGAGTAATCAGTAAGATGTTAACAACTACTTTTATTTTATGGTATTTGTATCAGAAGTGACCAGTTTTTTTTTTTTTATTCTTAGTTGTAGAAATAAGAAGAAGCAACTGTACAAACCATGTAAGTAAACACTCAAATAGTTAAGAAATTGATAGTTTGACATAAATGGATGTCTCTCTTGATTTCTTTAAATTACAATGTGGACCTGGTGGTGGTAGCATGGACCTCTTTTTGTGGATTTTCTAAATCTCTTCTATTTTCCTGAGTATTAAATTTATCCAGGAAAGTGCTTAGTTTAGCGTGTCCACCTTTTAAAGATTTCTGACATTTAAGTTAAATTTCAATAGTCCGGTTCAAAAGATCTGCCTTAAGGCTGGGCATGGTGGCTAATGTCTGTAATCACAACACTTTAGGAGGCCGAGGCAGGCTGATCATCTGAGGTCAGGAGTTTGAGACAACCCTGACCAACATGGTGAAATTCTGTATCTACTAAAAATACAAAAGTAGCTGGGCGTGGTGGTGCATGCCTGTAATCTCAGCTACTCAGGAGGCTGAGGCAGGAGAATCACTTGAACCCAGGAGGCGGAGGTTGCAGTGAGCCAAGATCGCGCCATTGCACTCCAGCCTGGACGACAGAGCGAAACTCTGTCTCAAAAAAAAAAAAAAAATTGCCTTAAATATTTAATCTTATTTTTAATGAAAGAACAAAAATAGAATAGCTAAGTTAATTGCCAGCACTGTCTATTGACTTTCTGTCACAGCAGGTAAAAGCATACCTTCCCCGCTACACCATGATCTTATGTTTCTCCCTGTGTTTTTTCCAATTGTAGCACACTTTTTAATTAAATCAGTAATATTTACATGATTATGACTCTGCAAATATTATTCACTGCTAAGTCATATGGTGTTTTCACTGTGCCTCTGCATTCCATGTCCTTCATCCTGTCTCTGAAACAGTTCTGAAATCTGAGCACTTCTGCAATTCTCCTGGATCTTCTTTTTTCCTAGCCTACGTTAGTTTATCTATCCAAATATCGTTAAGTAGCCTCTGGGTGCTCTGTTTGCTTTCACATCCATTATTTTTTAGCATGAAGCTAATTTTCTGACTATATTCATTTGCCTGTTTTCTAACAGCTGTTTTCCCCCAAGTATTGTAGCATTTATCACATGCCTTTCAAAGATATTTTCCATCTGCGAAAACACATCTGTTCCTTTTTATGTTTGTGTGGGGGGCAACTTTCTTTGGCCTTTTGTCATCCTAGTTCAATATAGCGTGGGTTTCCCTAGATATGCTCAATGTCTGCTTTTCTGGGCTAACTCTTTAAAGTCTTTTGGTATCTCACGTAACTGCTGTCTTGTGTGGGATCGCCTGAGTCCTAGATTCTGTGTTTCCTTCTGTCCTGTTATCGTCTCTAGTTGTACTTGAACACATTTTCCTGTGTGGAGATGTTAAAATCCCTCCTCTTTGATAGAGAGTACACCTCTAGGTTGAATCTAAATGTTGTGGTTCTGAAGACATTTTGCAGTTGTGCTCTTATTACAGTGTTGTTCTTGAATCTATTGCCAGTGTGTGATACGTTATTTACAACCAGGTTTTAGTTATCTGCGGAAGCTTTTTGGAATCTCTCTCTCTAAGGTTCTGAAATTTTATAACAGCTTGTTGGGGATCTTTTCATTTTATTGAGGCTACTAAACCTGCAGACTATCTCTTCTTGAGAATTTTTTTTTATTTTCTCTGTTACTTTTTTACTGATAGTCTTGTTATTCAGATGCTAGGCTGCTTAGACCAATACGCCTGCATTGATTTTTAATTTTTTCCCTTGTATTTTTTTCAGTTTGTCTTTTTATTCTAGTTCTGGGATATTCTGTGACTTTATCCTCTACTATTTCTATTGAATTTTATATTTTTTGAGAGTGTTTTAAGATTTTTTTTTAAAGTTTTGCTCCTGATTTTGACTGGTCCTATCAATTCCTTTTTTCTATTGTTTTGATCTCTTTTCTTGGAGGCTTCCCTCCAATGTGTGGTGGTCCCTGGCCTGCTTTATTTGGAAGCAGGATTTCTGTTAACTGATAGCACTCAGTGTGAGGCCTTAGAAGCCTGACTAGCTTTTCATTTGGGAGACCTCAGTGTATTATCTGGGGATCTTTATTGAAGACATTTCAGTTTCTTCTGAGAAGGATCTCCCAATTTTCTGCCTGGAAAGTAAAAGCAGGCCTGGAAAGGAAAAGCAGAGTTAGCGAAGAAAGTTGGAGTTCCATTTTTGGTGTACAGTTTTCTTTATATCTCAGGTTTAAGCCATGGTATCTCTGAGCCAGAAATTCTCAGGTTTGATATATCCAGAGAACACACATCTAAGTTTCTTGTCAGATGGAAGGACAGGTGGACTTGGGGCTCTAGTTAGAGATTTGCAACTGAACTTGCTGGCTTTTTTTTTTTTTTTCACATTTTACCCTACTTTCCAAAGTGCCATTTGCCTGTAAGTTCACAACCTGCCTTTAGTTCTGCAAGACAAACTGGCTCGCTTCTGTTCCAGTCACTTTCTGTAGGCACCAAAGTTGTGTTTCTGTGTTATTTACCACTCCTTTATCTACTTTTTATGTCTCAGCATTTATTAGAAATTATCTCTGTCAACCTTCTGTGCTGGTCATGGGTGTAACCTTTATTTTATGACTGATGAGGCTTCCGGAGGGAGACGAAATAAATTTGTGGTCAATCTATTATATTTAATCCAAATTTAGGACCTGTGTTTAAATCAAAGTCTAATTTGAGTATAATTAATGATATTAAGCCAGAGAATTTTTTAAATTAATGTATCTATAATAAGCATATTACACTTTTCTCCTAAGGCCTTGTTTAATATTTTCATTCAAAGTTTATCCACTGCCATATACTTCCCATTACTTCACAACATAGATGGAGCTGTTTTCCTGAATGCCCAAAATGTTAGAAATATTTAAGTTAATTAAGATTTGTTCATTTTTAGCCTGGTCAACATAGCAAGACCTCATGTCTACAAAAAGGTTAAATAAAAAATTAGCCAGGCCTGGTGGCATGCACCTTTCGTATTACCTACTCAGGAGGTTGAGGCAGAGGATCGCTTGAGCTCAGGAGTTTGAGGCTGCAGTTAACTATAATTGCACCACTGCACTCCAGCCTGGGCAACAAAGGGAGACCCTGTCTCGGAAAAAGGAAAAAAGTTACTAATTCTTTAAAAACCTATCTAAAATTTGTCCTGCCCAAAAGGAGAGTGAAAAATATGAACTTTAGTCTTTGTTTTATTTTATGTTTGCTGAGAAAAATGCTGTACTTTATTTATTTATTTATTATTTCCATAGGTTTCTGGGGGAACAGGTGGCATTTGGTGACATGACTAAGTTCTTTAGTGATGATTTGTGAGATTTAGGTGCACCCATCACCTGAGCAGTATCCGCTGAACCCAATTTGTAGTCTTTTATCCCTCACCCTCCTCCCAGCCTTTCCCCGAAGTCCCCAAAGTCCATTGTATCATTCTTATGGCTTTGCATCCTCATAGCTCAGCTCCCACGTATGAAAGAGAACATGATATTTGGTTTTCCATGCTGAGTTATTTCACTTAGAATAATAGTCTTACTTCCATCCAGGTTGCTGGGAATGCCATGAATTCATTCCTTATTATGGCTGAGGTGGTATTCCTCATATATATATATATGTATGTATATCACGGTTTCTTTATCCACTCATTGATTGACGGGCATTTGGGCTGGTTCCATATTTTTGTAATTGTAATTTGTTTGAGTTCCTCATAGATTCTGGATAATAGCCCTTTGTCAGATGTATAGACTGTGAAGATTTCCTCCCACTCTGTGGTTGTCTGTATACTCTGCTGATTGTTCCTTTTCCTGTGCAGAAGCTCTTTAGTTAAGTCTCACCTATTTGTTTCTGTTGCATTTGCTTTTGTGTTCTTGGTCATGAAGTCTTTGCCTAAGCCAGCGTCTAGATGGGTTTTTCCAATGTTATCTTCTAGAACTTTTATGGTTTCAGGTCATAGATTTATGTCCTTGATCCATCTTGAGTTGATTTTTGTGTAAGCTGAGAGTTGAGGATCCAGTTTCATTCTCCCACATGTGGCTTGCCAATTATCCCAGCACCATTTGTTGAATAGGGTTTACTTTCTTCACTTTATGTTTTAGGTGGCTTTGTTGAAAATCAGTTGGCTATAGGTATTTGAGTTTATTTCTGGGTTCTCTATTCTGTTCCATTGGTGTATGTGCCTATTTTTATATCAGTACCATGCTATTTTGGCGACTATGGCCTTATAGTATAGTTTGAAATCAGGTAATGTCATGCCTCCAGATTTGTTGTTTTTGCTTAGTTTTGTTTTGGCTATGCCGGTTCTTGTTTGGTCCATATAAATTTCAGGATTGTTTTTTCTAGTTCTGTGAAGAAGGATGGTGGTATTTTGATGGGAGTTGCATTGAATTTGTAGATTGCTTTTGGCAGTATGGTCATTTTCACAATATTCATTCTACCCATTCATGAGCATGGGGTGTCTTTCCATTTGTTTGTGTCCATGACTTCATTCAGCAACGTTTTGTAGTTCCCAACGGCATATCAAAAAATAATCGGGCCAGGCACAGTGGCTCACACCTGTAATCCCAGCACTTTGGGACGCTGAGGCGGACGGATCATGAGGTCAGGAGTTCGAGACCAGCCTGGCCAACATGGTGAAATCCCATCTCTACTAAAAATACAAAAGTTAGCCGGGTGTGGTGGCGCTCACCTGTAATCCCATCTACTCAGGTGGCTGAGGCAGGAGAATCGCTTGAACCTCGGAGGCAGAGGTTGCAGTGAGCCAAGATCACCGCACTGCATATTCCAGCCTGGGCAACAGAGCGAGACTCCATCTCAAAAAAAAAAAAAAAGATAATCCACCATGATCAAATGGGTTTCATACCAGGGATGCAGGGATGGATTAACATACACAAGTCAATAAATGTGATACACCACATAAACAGAATTAAAAACAAAAAATCACATGATCATCTAAACAGATGCAGAAAAAGCATTTGACAAAATGCAGCATCCTTTTATGATTAAAACCCTCAGCAAAATCAGCATACAAGGGTCACAGCTCAATATAATAAAAGCCATCTATGACAAACCCACAACCAACATGATACTGAAAGGGGGAAAAGTTGAAAGCATTCCCCCCGAGAACTGGAACAAGACAAGGATGCCCACTCTCACCACTTGTATTCAACATACTACTGGAAGGCCTAGCCAGAGCAATCACACAAGAGAAAACAATAAAAGGCATGCAGATCAGTAAAGAGGAAGTCAAACTGTTGCTGTTTGATGATGATATGATCATATACCTAGGAAACCCTAAAGACTCCTCCAAAAAGCTCCTAGAACTGATAAATGAATTCAGCAAAGTTTCAGGAGACAAAATTAATGTACACAAATCAGTAGCGCTGTTATACCCCAGAAGAGACCAAGCTTAGAATCAAACCAAGAACTCAACCCCTTTTCTGATAGCTGCAAAACTAAACTAAACTAAAATAAAATACTTGGGAATAGACCTAACCAAGGAGGTGAAAGATGTCTACAAGGAAAACAACTTTAGTATTTTTAATGGGTTAAAATGAGAGGCAGCAGGTACAGCAGAAGAAGTCAGTGCGTGGGCATCCGCATCCAATGGGTACTGCACCTTTGATGGTAAGGCTTTGGTTTTGACTTACTAAATTACTAGGTACGATTATTTTCTAGTTTTTGTCATTAAACCTTAAAACTACTAAGTAACCCCTTCCATTTCTTGTTAAATATTGTAAAATTTCATACTCTCATTTATGCTGCCTGATGTTAGAGTATTTGTTTCTATTTTGTGACTACCTTAAATAATACCTATAAAGAGTAAACTGTTAGTAGTGTTTTTGCTGTAATTAAATGTAGTAAGACTTACCTTCCAAATGATAACTGAATTGTCAAACACTTGTCGAAGTTTTGGATTTACTCAAAATTCTATGCTCAGCAGCTGGAGGTAGGAAGAGTAAGGGCCCTCCCTTACTCTTATGGAGAGGCATACTTTCTCACAAGGGGAATACTCTGCAGGAATTAGCATCTTGTAAGCAGTGGTGAATTCAACTAATTAGTGTATAAAAATACATTTTTTGGTGTGGCTGCCGACAAAGAGATCCAAGAGGGTAGATGGAGTCGAGCTTGCTGAAGCAAGGAAAGAGAAAAGCAGTATTCTAGGCAGAGAGCAGGGGTAGAGCAGGAAAATGGCTAGGTGCAGGTCAGATGATTTATAGAATGCAATTGATCAAGTTTTGAAGTGAATGCAAAGTATTCTCCGAGAGTCTCATTTGAGTCATGTCTTGGCAGTCTTATTTAAACATGAAGTGAAAGTTAGATTTTTTAAGTTGTCATTTGTTTTCAGGGTGTGAGAGAATATGTAAGTGATACTCTTTTTATCCTCCACATAAGAAAATAGGACTAGAGAAACCTATGGCTTCCTCACTTGTTGGTGGCCTAGCAGCCCTGGCACACAGAGCCTCTGAATCTGAAACACTTCTTTTGTAACAATATCACCTGAAATAATACATTTAGGATTAGTAATTTAGTAAATGCATTAGTCTTGTATTCACTGCAATAAAATGCTCTTGTAGCAGGATTATTTAATACATTACATTTTATTGTAGTAAATAAATAATAGAAGGGCTGGGCGCCATGGCTCACGCCTGTAATCCCAGTACTTTGGGAGGCTGAGGCAGGCAGATCGCGAGGTGAGGAGATCGAGGCCATCCTGGCTAACACGGTGAAACCCCGTCTCTACTAAAAATACAAAAAGTTAGCCGGGCACGGTGGTGGGCGCCTGTAGTCCCAGCTACTCAGGAGGCTGAGTCAGGAGAATGGCGTGAACCCGGGAGGCGGAGCTTGCAGTGAGCCGAGATCGCGCCACTGCACTCCAGCTTGGGCGACAGAGCGAGACTCCGTCTCAAAAATAAATAAATAAATTAATTAATTAATAGAAATTCTCAGCTGCTTTTTATTGCTGCAGAAAAAAAATGAAATCTTATTTTAAACTTTTCTTTTTTTTTTTTTTTTTTTTTTTTTTTTTGAGACGGAGTCTCACTTTGTCTGCCGGCCTGGAGTGCAGTGGCGCGAACTCGGCTCACTGCAAGCTCCGCCTCCTGGGTTCACCCCATTCTCCTGTTTCAGCCTCTCAAGTAGCTGGGACTACAGGGGCCTGCTACCACGCCCGGCTAATTTTTTGTATTTTTAGTAAAGACGGGGTTTCACCATGTTAGCCAGGATGGTCTCGATCTCTTGACCTCGTGATCCGCCCGCCTCCACCTCCCAAAGTGCTAGGATTACAGGTGTGAGCCACCGCGCCCCGCGAAGCCGACTTTTCCCATTATTTTTAACGGTAATTCATAAAATCCTTGTTAGGTTTGATGACAGGTACCATATTAAGGGCAGCATTTTATAACCCATATCTTAAACATCATCTCTGGAAGTTGAGAGCCTCCAATGGGTTTTCTATAGAGTGCACATGATACCACACTCAGGCAGTTCATGGAGTGTAAGACATATCTTAGTGCTTTGTCATTTGACATTTTAACTGAGAAAATAATACACTTTGATAAGTTTGACTTACACTTCCCTTCCCCTTCAGGTATCTACTGTGCGTTTCAGTCAACAATACAGCTTGTGTTCGACAATATTCCTTGATGACAGCACAGCCATCAGCATTATCTTACAATGACAATAATATCGTGAGTACAACTATGCTGCCGAGGGACAGATTCCTTTATTCTAAAATTATTTCAGTCATTTGGTTGTCCTTTTCAGCAATCAGTTTAAGAAATTGGAGTCAACCATATATTGATATCCAGATTCTGAATATTAAGTATCAGTTTCTCTTTTAATCTTAGACGTCGTGGTGGAAGGAAAAATCAGTTAGCAAAGAAGCAATCCCAGAAACAGTGTATCTTTTTGATGCCTTTATGCCTTTAGACAATGTTGAACAGAGTGAGAAGGATAGGTTCCCTTTATTGAATGTTTTCTTGTGGAAACTTAGTTTTTCAATGCATCATAGGCCTAAATCAGTGTGCACTACTTTGGACATTATCCTTGGAAGAAGGAACAGCTTTTCTTCTTCTGGCAACGCAGTGTATCTGCATTTGAATTTCTCCCATTGTGCATGAGCACCTCATGGGCCACAAAGATGCGCTTTGAGAGCACCCTGAGATGAAGTTTATTTTAAAAGGAACAACAACCAACACCACCACCAGCTCCACAGGGGCTGTCCAGTGTACATTATTCTCATCTTCTTGGGTTATTAGTCTTGATTTTTAGAACACAGTTTGGAAAGTGCTAATTTAGAATATTAATGTCTTTATCTTTAATTTAACTTTTCATTCTGTACACATAACTAGCTTATAAACAATTTTGTTTCAAATGCACTAGCCTTTTTAACTAATTCAATTGTCAATAACTTTTACTTCAATTAAAAGTGGAAAGTTTACACTCATAATAATGTCACTTTCCTCCCTCCCTTTTAACAATAGTTGAGAGGAAATTGTGTTTCGAACAAAAACTGGACTCAAACTCTGTCTCAAGTCCTGAGCTTTGGGACCTATTGAGTAATCACTAAATGTCTGTAGTCAGCTAAGTCTCTTAAATCTCTGAGCACACATACACAAAAATTACTTTGACTAGAGTCCCTGGCTTCTTCTGAGTTCCAAAGATTTTCATATGTTAGCATATAATTCAAAAGCAGCTTTGAAGATTAATTTTGCTGAAACAAATTTCGTGCTTTTTTCCTCATTATTCTACTTTTTAGAAGTCTACTTTTGAGAGTATAGTAAGTTTTAATTTGCCACCAGCAAATTTGAGAAATGATCATTTGGTGTATTCACTATTGGTGAAATAAAGTTATTGAACAAATTAATTGGGCAAATTGGCTTCAAGAAGATATTTTGAAAAATGTTTTATCATGAATCAGTAGTGCACTGTTGTCAGTGGGATAGGTGGAACTCGCTGAGATCACTTATGCAAGGTTTTTTTCAAAACACAAGTCTGCAAACACATGTATCTTCCCATCTCCACTTTCCCTCTATCTCTAGGCACTGAGAAGCCTTTTAGGAAAATCGGGATGGATGTGAGGCATCTTTCTGTGAAGAAAAGCATCCCAGAAGATTCTGATTTTCACCCCAACTCAATCATTCCAAACTTTGCTGCTGATTGAAATCACCTGGGAAACGTTTACCAAGAACCTTGATGCCCAAAGCCATACCCAATACTAATTAAATTAAAATGTCTCATGTGGAAGATGAGGCAGATATTAAAGCTTCTCAGGCGATTTTAATGTGCAGCAAAGTTTGACAGCCACTGCTTAATTTGAGTTTAGGATGAGAAACTGCTCCTATTTGGTGGGACCTTGGGCAAGTCAGTTTTAAGGTCTGTTTCCCTGATCTGTAAAACGAGTGTTGAATTAAATGTCACATAAGGTCATTGGTCCTTTCCAGCATGTAACTTTAAATTCTGTGATTTTAAAATTATTTCAGAGATGAAAACTACTTGAAGCACTATAGACATATCCATCTTACCTGCTAATGTTACAGGCTTTTTAAAAAGTGCTAATATTGTGTAGACCTATTAGTAGAATTGAGATTTGCCTTCCCTCAGTTGTTTTGAGGCTCACTCTACAAAATTAGCTGGGTGTGGTGGCACATGCCTGTAATCCCAGCCACTTGGGAGGCTGAGGCAGGAGAATCTCTTGAACCCGGGAGGCAGAGGTTGTGGTGAGCCGAGATCACACCATTGCACTCCAGCCTGGGCAACAAGAGCGAAACTCCACCCACCGCCCCCCTCCAAAAAAAAATTATCTGGGCATAGTGACACAAACTTGTAGTCCCAGCTTCTTGGGAGGCTGAGGCATGAGAATCGCTTGAACCTGGGTGGTGGAGGTTGTGAGGAGTCAAGATGGCACCACTGCAGTCCAGTCTGAGCAAGAGAGACAGACTCTGGGTCAAAAAATAAATAAATACATAAAATAAATCGCATGGGACGAAAGGTTTCGTGGGTAGAAAAGCATGTAACAAGGAAATCTGTTATTATTTATATATTGTAATCACCAACAGAAACGCGTCTTCTAACGGCATATTTCCTTGCATTTTGGTTCTCATATTTTTGTAAAAAACAAAGAAATGAAAACAAAGTGCCCTTATGGTACTGTTCTGAACTAGAAGATTTGAATTTCAGGGCCACTAGGAGAGTTTCCTCTGCCCCCCTTTTAAAAAATGTCTTCAGGCCTAACAAATGTTAACATCTATTGTTATGAATTTTTTTTCCTTCCACAGTGTGACCTTGGAGATACCTCATCATATCACACAAAGGTGAGCTTTTTAGAAACCTGTCTTGTTATTCTAGCTAAGTACTTTGCAAGATATCAAGCTCAGTGTTAGGCACATCATAAGCTGTATTGTGCCTACTAAAATATTGAAGCAAATTATTTGTATTTTCTTTGTTCCTTAAGACTCTCATAATTCTTAAATGATTGAGAATCTCAAAGAGTATGTGTTTATATTGATTATATTGATATTTAGTGTGGTAGAATTATACAATTGAAATTTTTTCAAAATCTATTTTTAGTTTAGATTTCACAGCCTTACCACTGTTGATATTATGGGCTAGATAATGCTTTGTTGTGAGGACTGTCTTGTGCATTGCAGAGAGTTTAGCAGTATTCATGGCCTCTACCAACTAGATATCAGTAGTAACCCATGACCCAGGTTATAACAACAGAAAATATTCCTTGAGAACAGTATTGTTAACAGAATTTTTTCATTGAAAAATAACTTTTCTACAACAAAAAGTTGAGTAAAAAGTGCGTCATGTATTTATATTATTTAAAGTCTCTCATGTTGAGCTTAATAGGAGACAAATGGATTCTCTAGAGCTTTCTTTGCAATTTGCTTTAAAGCAGCAATAAGAGGTTGGGCACGGTGTCTCACGCCTGTAATCCCAGCACTTTGGGAGGCTGAGGCGGGCGGATCACAAGGTCAGGAGATCGAGACCATCCTGGCTAACACAGCGAAACCCCGTCTCTACTAAAAATACAAAAACTTGGCTGGGCATGATGGCACACACCTGTAGTCCCACCTATTCTGGAGGCTGAGGCAGGAGAACCGCTTGAACTTGGGAGGCGGAGGTTGCAGAGAGCTGAGATGGTGCTATTGCACTGCAGCCTGGGTGACAGAGCAAGACTCTGCCTAAACAAACAAACAAAAAAAGCAATAAGCTGGTGGGGCGCAGTGGTTCACACCTGTAATCCCAGCATTTTGGGAGGCCGAGGTGGGTGGATCACTTGAGGTCAGGAGTTTGAGACCAGCCCGACCAACATGGTAAAACCCGCCTCTACTGAAAGTACAAAAAATGGCTGGGCGTGGTGGTGCATGCCTGTAGTCCCAGTTACTTGGGAGGCTGAGGCAGGAGAATCGCTTGAGCCTGGGAGGTGGAGGTTGCAGTGAGCCGAGATCTCGCCATTGCACCCCAGCCTGGGTGACAGAGAGAGACTCTGTCTCAAAAAAAGAAAAAAAGAAGCAATAAGATGACCGAACCTCATGCAAATATGTAGTTGGTAGAAGGTGTATTTTTAAACTTTTCAGACAGTTGTGGGTATTTGTTAACACTAAATCAAAACTTCACAAGTGGTGGTTTCTTAAATTAGTTACGGTGGCATTTTACATATTAATAAATTTATTCCATCAGTACTCATTGATCTTTCTTCCACAGTAAATGGATCTTTTGCTCCATACTTGCATTTATAATATCATGCATTAGTTACTTGGAATATATCGGTTTATGTTTTATTGTGTCAAAAATCACTTTTAGTTTAACCACCAATCTTACTTTAACACGCCTTTAAGTATTGAATAGCTGCCAAGCCTACAGTAGAAGGAACAAGTTTTTCAAAGTCCACAGGAAAGCTTAAATTTTATCATTGGGAACAAATACGTATTTCCCTTGAAGTGACAACCTCTCACTTCATTTATTTTTGAGAATGATAGTTGAACTGGTTTTTTAGACCGAGTTTCACTCTGTCACTTGGCTGGAGTGCATTGGCATGATCTCAGCTCAAGCAATCCTCTCACCTCAGGCTCCTTTGTAGCTGGCACCACAGATGTGTGGCACCACGCCAGGCTAATTTTCTTATATGTTTGACAGTGACAGGGTTTCGTTATGTTGCCTAGGCTGGTCTCGAACTCCTGAAGGAGCTCAAGCCATCTGCCTGCTTTGGTCTCTCAAAGTGCTGGGATTTTACAGGCGTGAGCCACTGCGCTGGCCCAGTTGTACTTTTAAATAAAAATGATGTTCTGTGAAAAAAGTGATTTTTCAGTTCATAGTTAAATCACGGATTCTTTAAAAACAAAAAAAAAAGCGCTTCTGGTTAACTTTCCACTTATTCAGAATATTAGAGACATGTCAAGATTTAACAACATTAATTTTTACTGCTTCATCAAAGACATTCTTAAGAAATTCAGGCTATGTTTTTTACCTGTAGGGGACAGTGAAGAATAGAATGACTACTAATGTAATTGGTACCACTGCCTTGATTTATGCTGAGAAACCAGCCATTGTACCCACTTTTGCTTTTATATAATCATGGCAAGTGTCAACGAAAGAGCAGGCAATGGCTTTGTATTACTTTCACAAATTTTTAAAATTTTTCATCAGCTTTCTCAGGTTTAATTAGTATGATTCAGAACAGTGTTGGCCAGGCACAGTGGCTCAGGCCTGTAATCCCAGCACTTTGGGAGGCCGAGGCAAGCGGATCACCTGAGGTTAGGAGTTCAAGACCAGCCTGGCCAACATGGTGAAACCACATCTCTACTAAAAATACAAAACTTAGCCAGGAGTGGTGGCAGGTGCCTGTAATCCCTGCTACTTGGGAGGCTGGGGTAGGAGAATCACTTGAACCTGGGAGGCGAAGGTTGCCATGAGCCGAGATCACACCATTGCACTCCAGCCTGGGCAACAAGAGTAAAACTTGGTCTCAAAAAAAAAAAAAAAAAAGAACAGTTATGACCTCTTAGGCCTTCTGGAAGGGGTCTTCGGGATCCCGAGAGGTCCACACAGCACATTTGGAGAACCACTGGTTTATACACAGGCACAATGCATTAGTTTTACAAAGTTTAAAGTTCATCAAAGACTGGCGTCTTAAAAAGGCAGATGAGTTTGTCATTCAAACAACAGAAAGTACATAAATACATCATGAGAGTATACTACAGAGAACTAAAGAGAAAGGAAGCTAGGAAATCTGAATCACATTTACATTTATTAAAGTTTACTACTACTGCTTTGTAGAACATTCTTGTGTTTCAATGTGTGGTTAGAAGAGTGAAAATATGTTTGGTTTATTGCCATGGCCTGTTAGGGAGAGTCAATACTCACGGGCATTTCTGACTGGTTATCATATAAAAGACTTCACGGTACAGGCCATGATGTGCTGAGAAAGAAGAAGTCAGGAAACCCTCTGCAAGTCAGGATCCAGGAGAAGAATTCGTAAAAACTGCTTTGGTAAACACCAAAGCACACAGGAGGCAGTATTTTACTAAACAAATATTATACTAAGATATTAACAGTTTTTGAAGTAACGCGCTTTCTTATTTTATAGAGATGCAGATAGATCTTTGAGCATACCTGATGAACAGTTACACTCATTTGCGGTAAGTGGCACTTTTATTGAGGTTGTATTTTCATCGTACACTTGTATCTGTTTCATGCTGAAGTCAAAGCCATCTTTTTTTAAATCTTCCCCATTTCATGTTGCATTTAGTCATCTTAAGTGTTGTAAAAAGAATGTGCTGGAGTAAGAACTGATCTGCAGCTCTGTTTAGTTAGTGAGCTAGTATGAGTAAATATACTATCCAAACAACAGAAAATGTATCTTTTTTTTTTTTTTTTTTTTTTTTTATGGACTCTCTTTCTGTAGCCCAGGCTGGAGTGCAATCGCGCGATCTTGGCTCACTGCAGGCTCTGCCTCCCAGGTCCCTGTTCAAGCAATTCTCCTGCCTCAGCCTCTTGAGTAACTGGAATTACAGGCATGTGCCACCATGCCCAGCTAATTTTTTTTTCTTTTTTTTTTTTTGTAAAGACAGGGTTTCACCATGTTGGCCAGGATGGTCTTGAACTCCTGACCTCGTGATCCACCCACGTTGGCCTCCCAAAGTGCTGTGATTACAGGTGTGAGCCACCATGCCTGGCCCAGAAAATGTATCTTTTTAAAAGGTAATTGTGAGCTGTCTATAGGACCCTGCAAGCCACTACCCAATTTTTGAAGCCATTCCTCCTTCTGTTCCACACAGGTTTCCACCGTGCACATTACGAAGAACAGAAATGGAGGTGGGAGTTTAAATAACTATTCCTCCTCCATTCCATCGACTCCCAGCACCAGCCAGGAGGACCCTCAGTTCAGTGTTCCTCCCACTGCCAACACACCCACCCCCGTTTGCAAGCGGTCCATGCGCTGGTCCAACCTGTTTACATCTGAGAAAGGGAGTGACCCAGACAAAGAGAGGAAAGCCCCGGAGAATCATGCTGACACCATCGGGAGCGGCAGAGCCATCCCCATTAAACAGGGCATGCTCTTAAAGCGAAGTGGGAAATGGCTGAAGACATGGAAAAAGAAATACGTCACCCTGTGTTCCAATGGCGTGCTCACCTATTATTCAAGCTTAGGTGATTATATGAAGAATATTCATAAAAAAGAGATTGACCTTCAGACATCTACCATCAAAGTCCCAGGAAAGTGGCCATCCCTAGCCACATCGGCCTGCGCACCCATCTCCAGCTCTAAAAGCAATGACCTATCCAAGGACATGGACACCGGGCTGGGTGACTCCATATGCTTCAGCCCCAGTATCTCCAGCACCACCGGCCCCAAGCTCAACCCGCCCCCCTCTCCTCATGCCAATAAAAAGAAACACCTAAAGAAGAAAAGCACCAACAACTTTATGATTGTGTCTGCCACTGGCCAAACGTGGCACTTTGAAGCCACGACATATGAGGAGCGGGATGCCTGGGTCCAAGCCATCCAGAGCCAGATCCTGGCCAGCCTGCAGTCATGCGAGAGCAGTAAAAGCAAGTCCCAGCTGACCAGCCAGAGCGAGGCCATGGCCCTGCAGTCGATCCAAAACATGCGTGGGAACGCCCACTGTGTGGACTGTGAGACCCAGAATCCTAAGTGGGCCAGTTTGAACTTGGGAGTCCTCATGTGTATTGAATGCTCAGGTATCCACCGCAGTCTTGGCACCCGCCTTTCCCGTGTGCGATCTCTGGAGCTGGATGACTGGCCAGTTGAGCTCAGGAAGGTTATGTCATCTATTGGCAATGACCTAGCCAACAGCATCTGGGAAGGGAGCAGCCAGGGACAGACAAAACCCTCAGAAAAGTCCACGAGGGAAGAAAAGGAACGGTGGATCCTTTCCAAATATGAGGAGAAGCTCTTTCTGGCCCCACTACCCTGCACTGATCTGTCCCTGGGCCAGCAGCTGCTGCGGGCCACCGCTGATGAGGACCTGCAGACAGCCATCCTGCTGCTGGCACATGGCTCCCGTGAGGAGGTGAACGAGACCTGTGGGGAGGGAGACGGCTGCACGGCGCTCCATCTGGCCTGCCGCAAGGGGAATGTGGTCCTGGCGCAGCTCCTGATCTGGTACGGGGTGGACGTCATGGCCCGAGATGCCCACGGGAACACAGCGCTGACCTACGCCCGGCAGGCCTCCAGCCAGGAGTGCATCAACGTGCTTCTGCAGTACGGCTGCCCCGACGAGTGCGTGTAGTTCTGTTTTATTTGACTACAGTCTCCTTGGTGCAAAAACAAAATGGGAAAAATAAGGATAACTCAGAATTTCAAAAGGAAATCACAAATTCAGCTTATAATAGCATTTTCAGTACTTCTCATAAACTAAGTAAATACACAAAATGTTGATTTTTCTGACCATAAGACATATTTTATGTCCTTTTGCCGAGGTGGATGTGTTAGTCTCAGGCCCTCCTGGCCACATTGCCCAAGTCACACAGGCTTCTGTATTATGTATTTAGATAAGATGTGTGAAAATATATTTGAAAAAAAGTTCATAAATTTGCATTGATTTTTGTACACATGGCACCTCTTTTTCATTTTTTTTTTTTTTTTGGACGATGTTTTGCTCTGTGGCCCCAGCTGGAGTTCAGTGGCGTGATATCTGCTCACTGCAAGCTCTGCCTCCCGGATTCACACCATTCTCCTGCCTCAGCCTCTCAGGTAGCTGGGACTACAGGTGCCTGCCACCACACCTGGCTAATTTTTTGTATTTTTAGTAGAGACATGGTTTCACCATGTTAGCCAGGATGGTCTCGAACTCCTGACCTTGTGATCCACCTGCCTCGGCCTCCCAAAGTGTTGGGATTACAGGCGTGAGCCACCGTGCCCGGTCCGTGGCACCTCTCTTAATTTATAAATTGAACTGAATGTGAAGTAATAATGTCAGCTAGTTGAGATAAGAGGGTTACAGATCGGCTGGGCGCAGTGGCCCACACCTGTAATCCTAG
The DNA here is from genome assembly GCF_000001405.40 of Homo sapiens. Classification (NCBI taxonomy): domain Eukaryota; kingdom Metazoa; phylum Chordata; class Mammalia; order Primates; family Hominidae; genus Homo; species Homo sapiens. The sequence goes on from NC_000010.11 coordinate 45,700,983, forward strand.
CACTTTGGGAGGCCTAGGCGGACTGATCACCAGGTCAGGAGATTGAGACCATCCTGGCTAACATCATGAAACCCCATCTCTACTAAAAAATACAAAAAATTAGCTGGGCATGGCCGGGCGTGGTGGCTCACACCTGTAATCCCACCACTTTGGGAGGCCGAGGCAGGCGGATCACAAGGTCAGGAGATCAAGACCATCCTGGCTAACATGGTGAAACCCCGTCTCTGCTAAAAATACAAAAAAAAAAAAATTAGCCAGGTGTGGTGGCGGGCACCTGTAGTCCCAGCTACTTGGGAGGCTGAGGCAGGAGAATGGCGTGAACCCAGGAGGCGGAGCTTGCAATGAGCTGAGATTGCACCACTGCACTCCAGCCTGGGTGACCAAGCGAGACTCCATCTCAAAAAAAAAAAAATTAGCTGGGCATGGTGGCGGGCACCTGTAGTCCCAGCTACTTGGGAGGCTGAGGCAGGAGAATGGCATGAACTCAGGAGGCAAAGCTTGCAGTGAGCAGAGATTGTGCCACTGCACTCCAGCCTGGGCAACAGAGCGAGACTCGGTCTCAAAAAAAAGAAAAGAAAAAGAGGGTTACAGATCATTGCACATGGAAAATATTCCCAGCAGTAAACACTTCCATTAATGTGATCTACAGCTTTTAAAAAGGAGCATCTCAGAATAAGATGGTGGTACAATTTGCTTATTGAGAAAGGAAAAAAAAATACATGAGTATATTACAAAGGGAAAAGAAGGAATGTGATTTCTCATGATTGAAAGCTTGATTTAGATTGCATACAGCTTTTGCTACCCAAGACCAAGCAGCTCTGGCAAGACAGGGTGGTTTTCCGAATGCCAGACCGAGGTGCCTTATGAAGGCAGCTGCCGATGGTTCCAGATGTAGAGAGATAGGTGATGCAGGAGGGAAAGCTGGATTGGAAAAGGGAGAGTTTTGTAGACGGGCTATGCTCATTGTGCCTTTGAAAGAGCAGAGCTGGCAGCCTGTAGTCATCATTTGGATATACAGGACTAGAGCATGAATCTGATGTAGAGCTACAGAATGAAGAGCAACAGCAGCTGTTTAAATACCGAGAAAGTGTGTAGAATGAAATTGGACGAGCCAAGCATGGTGGTTTCATGCCTTTAGTCCTAGCTACTTTGGAGGCTGAGGTGGGGAATTACTTGAGCTCAGCAGTTTGAGTCCAGCCTGGGCCAGATGGTGAGACCCTGTATCTTAAGAAAAGAAGAAATAAGACCAGGTACAGTAAGTATCTCATGCCTGTAATCCCAGCACTTTGGGAGGCCAAGTTGAGAGGACTGCTCGAGTGTAGGACTTCAAGACCAGACTGGGCAATAAAGTGAGACCCATTTCTACCAAAAAAAAATCAAGAAATTAGCTGGACATGGTGGCACATGCCTGTGGCCCCAGTTACATGGCATGGCAGGCTGAGGCAGGAAGATCACTTGAGCCCAGGAGGTGGAGGCTGCAGTGACCCATATTCATGCCACTGCACTCCAGCCTAGGCAACAGAGTGAGACCCTCTCTCAAAAACAGATAAAGTGGACAGAAAATAGGTCGGTAAGGACTAATCATTTAAGGGACAAGCCCCCAGAAGAGTGGCTACTAGAGTGGGAGGAGGAAAAGCAGAAGGAGAAAGAGTTGAAGATAGGCGAGGCTGTGGTCCCAGTGCTGAATTCTGCCAAGCAGTGACTTGATTCATGAACACTCACTGGATGCTGACTCTGTTGCTCTTCTGAGTGCTGGGGTAGAGGAGAGGAGAGGTGGAGCACAGTTCTTGCTTTTATGAGCTTATGTTCTAGGAAGTTCAAACAAGTATTTTTTCAGGTAGTATGAAATAGCAGGAAGAGGAAGCAGGCTAAAGGGACACAGAGTGATTGGGGGCTATTTTAAGTAGAATGATAAGGAAGAGCCTGTCTAGAGAGCTATTTGAACAGTGACCTGACTGAAGGGACAACAGAAAGCAGTGCTGACATTACAGGTAGCAGGATGACTGCCAAGACAGAAACGCATTTCATATGTGTTCGAGGAACAAACAGCAAGGTGACCAGCATGGGGAGAGTGAAGAATGAGGGAAACCTTGAATGAGAATAAAGCAATTCCATCTTGGATGCTAATCTGCAATATTCTGATTAATCCCAGTTCCAACAATTCATCTACGATTTCTATTTTATCTTTTTAAAAAAATTATTTTTTATTTTTTATTTTTTGAGACCGAGTCTCACTCTGTCTCCCAGGTTGGACTTCAGTGGCACAATCTCAGCTCACTGCAAACTTCACCTCCTGGGTTCAAGCGATTCTCCTGCCTCAGCTTCCCGAGTAACTGGGATTACAGGCGCCTGCCACCACGCCTGGCTAATTTTTGTATTTTTAGTAGAGACGAGGTTTTACCGTGTTGGCCAGGCTGGTCTGGAACTCCTGACCTCAGGTGATCCGCCCACCTTGGCCTCCCAAAGAGCTGGGATTGCAGGCGTGAGCCACCGTGTCTGGCCATACACATCCCTGCTGAAGCCCGCATTACCCTTCCCCTATGCTATAGAAGCCCTGGGTCGGGGGGGTGGGGGTGATGGCACAGGGATCCACCATCTTATCTTGGTGCCATCCCTGACTTGCCTTCTGTTCATAAACGCCTATTAAATGTTTCTTTCTGAGAAACTGGATTTGTCAGCCTCTTTCTTTGGTATCTCAGGTTCCTTGGCCTTTGCGGGTAGGTTTATATAGACCTGCTCAGCACAGGACAGGCAGTTTCTCAAAAAATTGAAAATAGAATTACCAAATGATCCGGCAATATCACTTCTGGGTATATAGCCAAAATAATTGAAAGCAAGGTCTCATAGAAATATGTGTACACTGATATTTATAGCAGTGGTATTCACACTCGTCAAAAGATGGATGCAGCCGAATTGTCCATAGGCAGATGAATTGATAAAATGTGGTATATACATACAGTAAAATATTCTTCAGCCTTAAAAAGGAAGGAAATTCTAACACATGCTACAACATGGATGAACATTGAGGACATTATGCTAAGTGAAATAAGCCAGTTAGAAAAAGACAAATACTGTGTTCTTTCACTTATGTGAAGCGTCCAGACTGAGTAAGCAAACTAATAGAAACAGAAGGTAGAACGGGGGTTGCCAGGGACATGGGGAAGGGAGAAAATGGGAAGTTGCTTAGTGGATATAGAGTTTTGGTTTTGTCAGATGAGAAAGTTCCGGAGATTGGTTGCATGGCAATGTGAATATACTCTACATTACCCAACCCAAGGGCTCTCCTTGACCCCTGTTCCAACTGCCACTTAGAAGTGGTTAAGGTAGTAAATTTTATGTATATTTTACCACAATTCAAAATAGAATTATTATTATTTTTTTTATTATAATTTTTTGAGATCCCTCACTCTGTTGCCCAGGCTGGAGTGCAATGGCACCATCTCGGCTCACTGCAACCTCTGCCTTCTGGGTTCAAGCGATTCTCCTGCCTCAGCCTCCCAAGTAGCTGGAACTTACAGGCACATGCCACCATGCCAAACTAATTTTTGTATGTTTAGTAGAGACAGGGTTTCACCATGTTTGCCAGGCTGGTCTCGAACTCCTGACCTCAGGTGATCCACCTGCCTTGGCCTCCCAAAGTGCTGGGATTACAGGTGTAAGCCACCATGCCCAGCTGTCAAAATAGTTTTTTTTTGTTTTTTTTTTTGTTTTTTTTTTTTTTTTTGAGATGGAGTTTTGCTTTTGTTGGCCAGGCTGGAGTGCAATGGCAGGATCTCGGCTCATGGCAACCTCCACCTCCCGTGTTCAAGCAATTCTACTGCCTCAGCCTCCCGAGTAGCTGGGATTACAGGCATGCACCACCATGCCCAGCTAATTTTGTATTTTATTTTAGTATAGATGGGGTTTCTCCATGTTGGTCAGGCTGGTCTCCAACTCCTGACCTCAGGTGATCCACCCACCTCGGCCTCCCAAAGTGCTGGGATTACAGGTGTGAGCCATTGTGCCTGGCCTTTTTTTTTTTTTTTTTTTTTTGTGATGGACCTTCGCTCTTGTTATCCAGGCTGGAGTGCAATGGCACGATCTCAGCTCACTGCAGCCTCTCCTCCTGGGTTCAAGCGATTCTCTTTCATCAGCCTCCTGAGTAGCTGGGATTACAGGCATGCACCACCACGCCTGGCTAATTTTGTATTTTTAGTAGGTATGGGGTTTCTCCATGTTGATCAGGCTGGTTTTGAACTCCTGACCTCAGGTGATCCACCCGCCTCGGCTTCCCAAAGTGTTAGGATTACAGGCGTGAGCCACTGCGCCTGGCCTGAAAAAAAATTTAAAAGTTTGAGAAAATATAAAATTTTTATAGTCTCCATGTATTTCTCCTAAGATCTTTCCCCCTATGAGGGGAGGAAAGAGGAATTATTATAACACAGGAAGATGTTTAATACTCAGGATTTTTTATATCATCATATTTAAAGTCTTTTTCTGCACAGCTAAATCTGATTCCCTGCTACTAAATCTGATTGAGTTAGCAACTAAACTAACTGATTTGGTAGTATCTATCCAGATCACAAACAGAAATATTGTTAAGACTCCCTCAAAAAGGAGTTTAACCTCAATAGGTAACTCCTCCTAACTATAGTTCTAAATTAATGAAACACAGTAGTCATTTAACAAGATACTAGTATATATGGCCATTGGGGTATATGGGACATGCTACCTCAAAATATGACACCTTGGCATTTGAGAAAACAGAAGCAGAAAGGTCTCTCTGACCTTTCCCTGGCCCTTCTCCTCTGAAGCAGGACATAGAAGAATCCTCTAACCCTCTCTGGAGTAGGTCATAAGAACTTAATTCCAGTCCTCCCTATTCCCAGAGGAAAGGAGCCTCCTTATTTGTAAAGATGCAGAGAATGATCTGACCACACAGGCCTTGCTGAGCTCCCCCAGCTTATTCCCTTCAGGTCACACCCCTTTCATCTAATCGTGCTTCTCCAAAACTGTCCGCTTCTTCATCAGACAGCATCCAATTGACACAGGATTTCCTGTTTCTCTTGAGTTTTTCTTTCTGAAGGCTCCTGTGTCTGGTAAAACTTATCTTACGTAAACTTGCACACTTTTCTCTGGTTAATCTGTCATTTGTTCTAAGGGACTCGACCATGAACCTAGCGATGGCTGAGAAATCATTTCCCCCCTAGCCGGCCTAACTCATTTGAAGGAGCATACACTATTGTGTGGGAGTCATACTTATTCCTAACCATTTTGAAGAGATTCATCTTTAAATTAATATATTACATTAAATGTCTTCCTTCAGAAAAGACAATCTTGTGAACATCGCCTTTGGTGACTGAACATCACGAGATATAAAACAGGTAGAAAAAGAAAATATTTGGGGTGGCTCTAACTCTTAAATCCCATGAAATAATCCCCTCTTCTTTAGCAGAAACCTCAGCTCACCTCCTCATCACTGCTGAACAACAGGGCAGATGCTTTCTTTTTGGAGAGCTTGGAGGCTTTTGCTTTCTCTTGTCTTTGAGCTTGTAGAGACAATGTCTGCTTCTTAGCAGCTGTACCCCCAAAAAGATTATCCTAGAAAAGCAAATGGCAGAAAGGTAAGACAACTTTATAATCAGAAAACATAGGATGTCCTCCTATATCAAACTTTAAGGAAGTAAGTCTCCAGTCAGGTATACAAATAACAACTCTGGTGAGGAAAAACCACAAAATGCTAGTAAATCCCAAACTACAGCCTTTTCTCACTGCACCCATAGAAGGGAAAGAGATTACCATAGAACTCGAAGGCAGAACAGCTGTGAATAAGCAGGAGAACAACATGCGAATGAGATCATGAAGTACAAGGAGAAACTGAGCCCCATCCAGTCGCCCTGTGGGCAAGTGCCTCTCTGCTCATTTCAGGTGGTTACAGCCTGCGATGGGCACGGGAGCCCCCGCAGCAGCCAGAAACTCACACTGTTGTCTCCACAAATGAGAAACCAGAACAATGGCTGAAAGGAGAGAACTGGGGGTCTGTCTCCACTCCTTTACAGGTCAGAAAGACATACACCTGGGATGGAGGGAAGGCATGACTTGTGTTTCTCATTAGTTTCAAAGAGATTATACAAAGTGGAGAAATAGCTTACTAAATAAAATTGCTGGTGTACTAAGTTTAATGGCATTTGTAAATTCTTCTGTGGTCAAGCACTCCCCAAAAGTTATATTTATTAAGGTGCTTTTATTCAGATAAGGGGAACAAAAGCATCAGAGGGCCTGAGTCTGAGTTAGGATGGACAAACTCTTAACAGCAGGTGAACAGCCCTGGAATGTGAAGATGGATGAAGGGAGTGTCTTCCTGGATGAAGTCTCCTTTAAGGAGAGTGCGGTAATGTAGGACAGGCCAGGAGAATAATGAGCTGGTGTCCATTGGGGATGCTAATGACAGAGCTCACATTCACTATGCACTTATTATGTGCCGGCACTCTGCATGAGCTTCACACTAGTAGTTACAGCTGCCACAATGACCCTACTCACTGTTAAGCCACATGAGCTTAAGGAAGGTTAAGTTACTTGCCCCAGGTTCCTGGTTTGCAAGTGGTGGAGCTGGGATATGAACCCAGGGGTCTGATGGCAAAGCCTCTGAGCTCACCACCGCCCAGTACTGCATGAGAGTTAAGGTTTGGGTTGTCTTCTCTCTTATTTCTCTTCCCCACTGTGCTCTCTCCAGCCAGGATGGGAAAGAAAGACAATGGTCAGGACATGGCTGCCTTCTCCTTTGTATCTCCACTTGATCCAAAACATTCTTGTAGGTCATTGGGTATATGTTGATCCATCCTCTAGACTAAAGTACAGCTCACCCTGAATGACACAGGTTTGAGCTGCACAGGTCCACTTCTACACAAATGTTTTCTCAGTAATATGCTGAAAATTTTTTTTGGCATTTGCAACAATTTGAAAAATCTTGCAGACAAACCACTTAGCCTAGAAATATCAAAAAAAAATAAGGAAATGCTAGATATGTCAGGAATACAAAAATATATAAATAGATACTATACTATTTATAGGTTAATCAACTGTTTGTGTTACCCATGAGGCTTCTGGTTAACAGTAAGGTATCAGTAGATAAGTTTTTGGGAAGTAAGAAGTTATATATGGATTTTTCACTGCAATGTGGAAGCCAAAACAACCTCCTCACTGTTAAAGGGTCAATTGTATTTCTCAAAGGAAGATTTCTAAAAATAAAACCTGTAGATTTCACTCCATAAGAACTGTGTCAAGAGGCCAGGCACGGTGGCTCGTACCTGTAATCCTAGCACCTAGGGAGGCCGAGGCAGGCAGATCAACTGAGATCAGGAATTTGAGACTAGCCTGGCCAACATGATGAAACCCTGTCTCTACTAACAATACAAAAATTAGCCGGGAGTGGTGGTGCACGCCTGTAGTCTCACCTACTTGGGAGGTTGAGGTAGAAGAATCTCTTGAACCCGGTTGCAGTGAGCCAAGATTGCACCACTGCACTCCAGACTGGGTGACAGAGAAAGACTCCATCTCAAAAAAAAAAAAAAAAAAAAAAAAGAACTGCGTCAAGAATCTAATGTCTTCTCCATTGCACAGCTAGGAAAATATAAGGAAGAAGTCACTGAAATAAAAACAGAAATATTTTTGTTATATAAACTTCAGGTAGCCTGACTGCTTCCCTACCACCTTTTGCTAGTATATGAGCCTCTGGGTAGAAAGTTACATCAACAACCGTTTTCTCCTAATCTAAATTATCTAGTGTTACAATAACAATGTTTACCTCTTCATCTTCATCATCAAACAGGGAAACCGACGTGGGGAGCTTGCCAGGCAGCAGAGACGCACCTTTTAAGTTACTCGCACTTTGAGAAGAAAACAAATCCTGTTGGATTGAAATTAAAAAGTTGCTGGTTAACAGGAATATCAGTTTTTAAAATATCAGGTCAGTATAAAACACAAGTGACTCAGACATGACAGCTGCCATGTGTCTAGGCTTCTTTCCTGAGAGGGAAGGTGGCTCAGACAGAGTCCTTAAAGGAGGCCTCAGGGTCTGTGCAGGGTGTGTGCAGTGGCGCTAAGGAGGAGGAGAGCTACAGGATCTGGTGGGCTCGCAGAGCCCAGGGGCTTCTGTATTCCCACCTGAATGACAGAAGGCAGGAATAAGTTTTTGAATCAATTTCCTACACCATGCTAAAAAAATAAATAAATAAGAATGGCTTCCCATTACTGTCTAAAGAATCAGAAATTAGACAGGGTCAATAAAGAAATAGGAGCTAGATTCCCAAATTAAGGGACCTACAACTATTTTATTTCGTAACACCCTTCTTTCCTAAGATTATGACTTATTTCTTTTTCTTTTTTCTTTCTTTTTTTTTTTGAGATGGAGTCTCACTTTGTCACCCAGGCTGGAGTGCAGTGGCGCCATGTTGGCTCACTGCAAGCTCTGCCTCCCGGATTCACACCATTCTCCTGCCTCAGCCTCCTGAGTAGCTGGGACTACAGGCGCCCGCCACCACGCCCGGCTAATTTTTTTATATTTTTAGTAGAGACCGGGTTTCCCCGTGTTAGCCAGGATGGTCTCGATCTCCTGACCTCGTGATCCGCCCGCCTCTGCCTCCCAAAGTGCTGGGATTACAGACCTGAGCCACCGCGCCCAGCCCACTTATTTCTTTTAAATAAATACAAATTAAATTTTTATTTGTAAATGTTTGATAGTCTACTTAGTTTTACTACAAGTATATGATGTTGCAAACCAGGATAAGACCTGCTAGATTCTGAATAAACTTTCAGCCTGGCACTGTGGCTCATACCTATAATCCCAGCATTTTGGGAGGCTGGGGCAGGTGGATCACCTGAGGTCAGGAGTTCGAGACCAGCCTGGGCAACATGACAAAACCCTGTCTCTACTAAAAATACAAAATTAGCCAGGCGTGGAGGTGGGTGCCTGTAATCTCAGCTACTCAGGAGGCTGAGGCAGGAGAATTGCTTGAACCCGGAAGGCGGAGGTTGCAGTGAGCCGAGATCCCACCATTGCACTGCAGCCTGGGCAAAAAGAGTGAAATTTTGTCTCAAAAAAGTAAAAAATATAAAAATAAAGAAATTTTCAAAACGTTATAAGACATCAGCTTATCCTGCAAAGAAAGACCTACAAATTGAGCTACATGAAGTAGAAACATAAAATGGGACATCTAATCCCTTGGGAAGAGAAACATTAATACACAAGAGCTGAACAATTAAATAGGACAAGAACATATTTTCTAAGACCTCTTCTGACAGTTTTTTTTTTTTTAATCATGGGGTTGATGTCTACTCCTCAAACATAGACCTAATGAGTTCACTAAGTGAGATCTCCTCCACACAGTGTTTTTCCCCTGTGCTCCCCGGAGTCCCATGGGTTTATTTAGATAGAAGAGGCCACAAGGGGAATTCCAGGCATCCCGTGTCCCTCCTGCATGTTACACAATGGCAAGAGAAAGGGTTCTGCTGTTCTAAGAAAATGAAAGTAAACCAAAGCAAAGAACAAAAACAAATGTCAACATCACAGTTTTGGACCCTTAACTAATACTTTTATTGGTACTGCAAAAAAAGACACTTCCATTACCTCAAATATGTTCCCCTAAAATGACTTCACAGGGCAAGCTTCAGCCCCACACTTGAGATACAGAGAAAGGAGTCAGGACGCATTCCTTTGGGTCCAAAGCTTTAACTCTTACTTAGACTGCCTTAGTTTTACTTCTCCTTGCCTCAGAATCTGAACAATATCCAATAAAAACATTCACTCTATGATGACACACATGAGGCAAAGCCTTTGGTAGGGTTTTCACACAAGTCTGAGAGTACATTTACACTCCCACCATCAAGAAGGGGAGCCTATGGCCCCTCCCCATGAACCTGGATGGGCCATTGTGACCATCTTGACCAACAAATGAAGCAAAAGGACCACCGTTGACTTCCAAGGCTGGAACACAGAAGGCAACATGGCCTCCACTGGGCTCTCTCTGAGGACTCTCCCCTACAGCCCTGAGCCAGCATGTAAGAGGACCGGCTTCCCTGACTACATGCTGGGAGCCACACAGGGCTAGTGAGAGATGTCCCAGGGGCCCCAGTGCCCAGGTACCAGACATATGAGTGAGCTGACCCTCAGCCCAGCCACCTTCAGACACAAGAGACCCTCAGTGACAACGGCCTAGCTAAGCCCAGTCAAACTCTCGAAGTATGAGATAACAAAACTACTGGTGTTATAAACTACTAGGTTTTGGAGTTACTTGTTTCATAGCAACAAATAACCAGAACATCTCGTAAGTCACTGAAATTGCTCACATTTGGTTTTCTTGTCTAATCAACAATTACTGGATGGCTTACCACATGCCAAGCACTGGTATTAAGGACAGGGTGCTGGGGATACAAACAGGGAATAAAAAGTCCTGTCCTTGTGGCACTTACTTTAGTGGGAAGTAGAGACAATGAATAAGTAAATATACATTGTCCCTGGCAACACGTGCTGTGGTAAACAGTGAAATAGGAAAGAGGACCAGGAGCACAGCGTGGTATGTGCTAGCAGGCTTCCTGTTGTGTGTATTTCATCAGCGAGGCCTCACAGAGAAATCGAAGAGTGAGGAAGAAAGCTGGATTCTGGGAACAGCATTCCTCAGAGTGGCAGGGGCCGGTGCAAAGACCCCGAGGTGCAGGTGTGGGTGACACAGGGGATCCATGAGCATAAGACGGTGGAGGCCCCATCATGCTGTTTCTCAGGGGTCAGGGTTGTGACTTGACTGGACTTTGGTTAATTGCCATGTTTTGTACACTCGCCTTCAATGAAATAATAGCCTCAAAGGTATTCTTTACGTCAAGGGCAATCACTATACTTCCAAAGGGTTCCATGTTCATCCTTGCTGTGAGTGCAAAGCCCAACCATGACAGCCTAACCTAGAGCCCACAGTTTCTTGAAATACATGTAAGTTTCTGCCATGTCCACATGTTTTTCTGTAAAAGGGGCTTATTATTTCCCATTACATTTCTCATACAGGTCTCCGATCTCCTAAAAGGCCAACTTAAAATTAGATCTAAGACGACCTAGGCCTGAGAGATTCAGGAAAAGCAGTGAAATTCTGAGAGGTGGTTCTAAGGTACCTGGAGGGACCAAAGCAACCTGTGAACCAGGGTCCCACAGGCTGTTAGTGGTCTCAGTCTCGACAAGACAGATGGCTATGCCAGAACCCATCTGCTACAGCATTAAGCCACGGTCTAGTTAGTGAGAATGTGAATAAAGGAAGTAGCATGGTGACCTCCACTCTGGTGCAAGCTCCTCATCACATCATGAGCCCATGAACAGTTTACAATCTGAGCATCCTAAAAAGAGAGTATTTTCATCCCAGGAAACGTAAATACAGTCCAACCCAAAAGTGAAAAGTATTGTAAACATATTGCTTTCTAAAACCCCTGTGCTCTCAAGAGATTATTTTTTATTCATTTATTTATTTTGAGACGAAGTCTCACTCTGTCGCCCAGGCTGGAGTGCAATGGCGTGATCTCGGTTCATTGCAACTTCTGCCTCCCGGGTTCAAGTGAATCTCCTATCTCAGCCTCCTGAGTAATTGGGATTACAGGCTCGCACCACCATGCCCAGCTAATTTTTGTCTTTTTAATAGAGACAGGGTTTCATCATGTTGGCCAGCCTGGTCTTGAACTCCTGACCTCAGGTGTCCACCTGCCTTGGACTCCCAAAGTGCTGGGATTACAGGCATGAACCACCGCTCCTGACCTCTAGAGATAATTTTTAAAGAACTGGAGTACTTAACGAAAAGTCTTATAACTCTGCTGAGAAAAACCTGATTCAGAAATAGTTTCTATGTCATATCCATAGACTAATACCCACAACTAAGGAAAAGAATACCATACCTCAGAGTCCTCCTGATCCTAAAATAAGCCTTTTTGAGTGTTTGTTTCTGACGAGGGCTTGAGATTTTTGCTGGAAGGTAAGGTAACCTTTGTTGGGGGAAAAGAAAAGAAAAAGAAAAATTAAGCATTAACAAATAAGATACCCAGAAAAGAGTGTTTACTCAATCAACCATTTAGAAAATGCACGGAGTCTCTGCTGTGATAGGCAGCAAGCCGAGGGGGCTGTTAGGAGAACAGCAAGACAAACAGAGGACACATCTGGTGTATCAGGGAGCAGGACACACAGTCTGGGTCAATGGGTGCACAGATGGGACATATGCAATGAGAGACAGCATGGAAAGACAGGCTGCCTGACAGGCCTACCAGGTTCTGAATGCTGGGCCTTAGGGGGTCGGCAGGAGAAAGTCAGGGTTTCACAGCCAGGACATGACATGATGAGACAAACTGTAGAAAGAGGAGGGACCAGCTGTACAGGACAGCAGTGAAAGGTCAAGCAGTCAAAAGGGCTTAAAAACTGCTGGGGACACACACACTGGCCAAATGCAGGTCAATCTGAGCACCAAAAACTATGATGGTCTGGCCAACATGGTCAAACCCAGTCTCTACAAAAAAATACAAAAATTAGCTAGGCATGGTGGTGTGCACATATAGTCCCAGCTACTTGGTAGGCTGAGGCTGGAGAATCGCTTGAGCCCAGGGGGTTGAGGCTGCAGTGAGCTGTGATTGCACCACTATACTCCAGCCTGGGCAATAGAGCAAGACCCTGTCTCAGAAAAAAAAGGAAGAAGAGGAATGATGGTAATGGATTATCATCTACACTGAAGAATGAATTCATGATCCCAAAGCAACACTAAAAATTAGGGAAGCAGAGGACGAGGAAACTCTTTATTCAGAAGATACCAACTAATAAGAAATATAGAATTAAAAAAGCAGTGGTTTATGACCACTAACAGGTTAACTGATTCAGGAAAAGATCATCAGTGGATTTTCAAAACACTGAGTAAAAGGCTGGGAGAGAACAGGTATTCACACTGTTCAGCTATCACTTTAGAGATCAACTTAGCAATGGCAAAAGAGAACAGGGTACCTTTCCAATGAAGCAGTGTGGTGGGCACCCTAACAACCAAGTGACAAACGTGTCTGAATGAGGCAGACAGTGGACCTGATGTATCTTGGGAGGTGATCCAACTGGAAGTGCACAACCCTGCCTGCTTGTATTCTTGCCAAAACTGCTCACCCTGAATCAATTCATAGAAAAATAATCAAGCAAATTCATGCGACACATTCTACAAGACAAGTGGCTGGACGTTAAAAAAAAAAAAAAAAAAGATGTGGGAGGTGTTGCACTAGATTAAGGAGACCAAAGAGACAGGACAACCAAATGCAATGCAGACATACTGCCTGAATCCTGGGTTTCTTAAAACAAAACAAAAAAAATCAAAATACACAAAAATACTATAAAGCAGGGGTCCCCAACCCTGGGCTGCAGACCAGTCCATGACCTGTTAGGAGCCAGGCCGCACAGCAGGAGGTGAGGTGAGCAGCAAGCATTACTGCCTGAGCTCCTCCTCCTGTCAGATCAGTGGCAGCATCAGATTCTCATAGGAGGGCAAACGCTATTGTGAACTGTACATGCGAGGGATCTAGGTTGCAAGTTGCACTCTCCTAATGTCCCCAATGCCAAAAAGGTTGGGGACCGCTGCTATAAATGGCATTTTGGGGACAAGAGAGGAAATTACAATATAAACTATATGTGAGATAATTTTAAATCTGTATTCTATTTGTTGGGGTGATTTTACAAAGACATTCTGGGACAACTGGAGCAATTCTAATACAGACTAGATATTAGATTCTACTATAGAATTACTGTTAGTCTCACAGCTGTTGATAATGGCATTGTGCTTATATGGAAGTCTTTTCAAGAGAGGCTTAATGAAATATTTAGGGGTAGAATGTCACAATGACTACATGGAAACAGTTCCATGCAGCAAACAGTTCAAACAACTTACATGCAAATAGTTCAGGAAAAAAATAGATATGTAACAAGGTTTACATCCATAAAGTGTTTGCCAAAACCCTAAGAACTGATCAATCTGGGTGGCAGTTATTTGGGTGTTCACTGCAATGTTCTTTCCACTTTCTGTTTGAAGTTCTTCAATATGAACGTGAAAGGGAACAGTACTTCCCTCTGGGTTCCGGATGAATTATTAAAATGCTGCAGATCAATGCTCCTGCGTTAAGTCCTCCCTCCTGCTCGCCTTTTTTTCTGCTCTTGCTTTATTTTCATCTGTCTGACTCACCGTGGCTTCTGGCGATGCTACGGCTTTTTCTTTGAACAGATCTCCTTCTTCATCACCAAAGATATCAGCAGTGGATTGGACTTTGCCTTTAAATACCAAGGCATAAAATTACAATAAGGCCGGAAATCCTACCACAAAAAATCCTACCACAAAATTCATAGAATAAAAAATTCTTCCCTCCCGAAGATTAATATGAAAGTTACATTGTTTCTTGGTTACTTATAAAGAAATAGTAAGTGGAACTATACTCTTCCCTTCAAATTTTTCAAAGAGTGTATTGACAGCTCAGTTGAAAGACAGAACAAATAGTTTAACCATGCAGCTGACATGCTTATCCAAGCAGCAGTCTCCTGCTGCGGTTAGAGAAGCTTGGACTAACTTAAAAGGTGAAGAGGGATCTAGAGGAAGAAAGATCACTTAAGAGGAACACCAAGTCAATCATCTAAGGAATCTGAGAAATGAAGGCTGGGCTCCTGCTTTAAAAAAATCAAACTGGGCTGGGCACAGTGGCTCACACCTGTAATCCCAGCACTTTGGGAGGCCAAGGCGGGTGGATCACGTGAGGTCAGGAGTTTGAGACCACACTGGCCAACGTGGTGAAACCCCATCTCTACTAAAAATGCAAAAATTAGCTGGGTGTGGGGCAGGCGCCTGTAATCCCAGCTACTCGGGAGGCTGAGGTAGGAGAATTGGTTGAACCCAGGAGACGGAGGTTGCAGTGAGCCGAGATCCGCCACTGCACTCCACCCTGGGTGACAGAGCAAGACTCCATCTCAAAAAAAAAAAAAAAAAAAAAAAAATCAAACTGTACAAAAGCAGATAAAAGCAAATAATGAAATTCCCTCATAATTCCACCTGCCTACTCGAACAACATGGACATTGGAAACAGTTCAGCATACATGCTTCCAATTCCCCCAAAGGATGTACTAATGAGTTAACACTAGTTATTTACAAATAAGGCTATAAATAAGAAGGTAATTTGAACAATGTGTCTTACCATTTGTATTTTCCACTTAATGTACCTATAAAACCTTCCCAAGTCAACAAGCGTAGACCCCACTCGTTTTAACAGTCGCACAATATTCCACTGAATAGAAGGGCCATCGCTTACTCTACTGATGAATATTTTCACCACAGTAAACACTGCTGTACCGAATGGGGCATGCGTTGCTGAAATGAGGTCACTGACTCATGAATGTCTGAAGAGACTAGGAGTTGTCAAAGAAAGCAGCATCAATTTACTAGTGATTCTAAATCAGTTCTCAAAGATATCCACTAAGTGAGAGCCCTGTGGAGCTACAAAAAGCACTACTACCTTCATTCACTGTCATCTTCACCGAGACCTGCATGCATTCTGCATCCGTTTGCACTCTTTCTAGATTAACTAGGCTATCGTTTTCCCTCGTGCTTTGGCTTCCATCCTTACTTTCTACACCTAACACTGGAAAAGGACAGTAAGTCCAGACAGTCTGCTTCTAAATGCATTCTGATTCCATCTATTCCTATATCATCCTTTTTTATTTTTTAAAGTTGCTGAAAATCATGTGCAACTTAGGGATCTAGGGATCTACCTTTCTTTTCTGGAAGAGCAGTCAATGGATCTAAGTCTTGCTATTCCAAGTGTGATCTACAGACCATGAAGCTTGCTGGAAATGTAAATTCTCAGGCCCCACCCTGGACCTACTGAATCGGAATCTTCATTTTGACAAAAGCCTCTGGGAGATTCATCTGCGCATTTAAAAACAAATGATTTACAGGAATGACTTCAGGAACACAGGACTTACATTTAAGAGGAAAAAGAAAGGAGAATGCCAAAAAGAAAGGAGTGGCCAAGTGGATGAAAACCCCATCATGTGAAGAAAGACCAAGGCCACCTGAGCTTTTTGGCAGAGAGAAGAGAAGCTGGGAACTAAACGGCCAGCACACAAAATGCTGCTCATGTAATTGACTAAGGTCAGCTGGAAGAAAGTATGATTAAAACTTTATAATTCCAAAGGTCAGAACTGCGAATTAAGCAAAAATTATAGGGATAAAGACTTCAGCTCTCTATAAGGAAAATAATCATAGTAATTAGCTTACAGAGCAGAAAAGATTGGGTCATAAAACAGACCTCCCAGGCACCACACCTACGTAAGTACAGACACAACAGCTCAATGACAGGAATGCTGGGGAAGGGATTCTGGTACTATAAGAGATACAGAACTAGGTGAGCTTATCTTCCATTTAGGCAACATTCTTTTTCTGGCTGAAGTCCTAGACACAGAGGCAGGAACAAATACCTGTTTTGGAAGGTTTGCTGTGGGGTGTCGAGAAAAAGTCGTTATCATCATCACCATCATCATCATCAAACAGGCCAGTGGGAGGGGGACCATAGGGGCTTTTCCTTGGAGTGGGCTGCTCAGGCTTCTGTGGCTCCTTCAGTGATGGAACGGAGGCAGCACATCCGTGTCTCCTGTGAGTGAAGGGACAAGACAGACACAGCTGTGAGCCAGTGTGGGCCTGTTGAATTTACAGAAAAAAATTATCACCCACCAAAAACTTTCCATTTCAGTTAATCCACAAAATGCATTAACAGGGCCCAATAGCCTCCATCCATTACTGCTACAGAACATCTCACAATGGAGAATCACCAGGTCACTCAAACACAAAAAAGTCCAAGGCCACTGAGCTCTAGGAGAATAAGAGCTAATATCAGTAAATGAGCTCTTTCTATACGCTGCTCAAAGCCCTTTGAAGCTCCCAGGTACTTCCTCATCTCCAGCCAGGCTTTAGAAGATGATAATTTTGAAATGGAAAAAACAGTATTTGTGTAGTTTTTAGAAAACAAACCTGTTATGTTACCTAAAAATACAGAAACAGCTCCTGCTAGGATTTTCTTTCCAGGTTTGGATGATGAAGACTCTAGAATGAGAAAGCAAGGGATAACCATTTTTACAAGGGAAATAACTTTCCTTGCTATTTTCTTCCTGAAATATGTGCAATGTAACACACAGCTAGTACCAGACCTTTTGAAACTACTTTTTCCTGAACAAGCCATTTTAAAATTCTTTAGTATTTTCTTCTCTACTGACATCAGGACTTTTTTGGGGGGATTGATACAATCTCAGCTGTGACTCCAATGGAAGAGCATGCTGACCGTCATCAAGCCACAGCAGTGGGTCAGCTGGGGGACACCAAGGGAGGAGGTGAGCACAGCTGGCAGAGGCAGGGACAGCATGACCGGGGCTCCCCCAAACAGTTCCACCTCTACCCATTCCAGTTGGATGAGAATGAACGAGTGAAAAAGAACAGCAAAAACATGTGAGTCATCAGTAAAAAAATAAAGACATAAGAGCAAAGGGGGAAACCAAGCAAGTCACTGATGCCAAAACGTGGACAGCAGAATGCAGAGGAGCCCGCACAGCACGCACAAGGAGCGGCTTCCAAGGCCCAGCTCTGATGCCTGTGCCCGGGAGACTCGGCACTTAGAATCACTAATTCCCAAGTCCCAAGAACTACCACAAACCTATGGAGTAACATTTGTAGGTTAAAAAACATATTTATATTTGTGTTTTTTAAAAACTGCACCAATGGGACAGGTGCAGTGGCTCATGCCTGTATTCCTAGCATTTTGCCAGGTCTAGGCGGGTGATCACTTGAGGATAGGAGTTTAAGACCAGCCTGTCCAACCGTCGTCCAACACGGTGAAACCCTGTCTCTACTAAAAATACAAAAACAAAAACAAAAACAAAACCTGTGCAGATGATTTTAATGCACACTGGGTTGGGGAATTACTGGTCTCCAACTTATATACAGAATGTTAAAAACGTTTCTTTAAATTAAACTTCATTCAATGAAAATCATCCTCAACATTGCTCTAGGGTACTTTTCTTGTCTGACTTTTTATGAGTTCTCTCCTAACAAAGAGGCAAGACTGTGGTATGGGTTTACCGGTGGTACTGTTTTTTCCAAGACATGAATTAGTGAAGATGAATTACTTTCAACTGGACCGCAGTAAAAACAACAGCTTCCTGCTTAACACAGAAACAAGGCTTGGGAACAACCTCAGGGTTCCATCTCCTAGTGAGAAAGACAGTTTTGGAACTCTGCACACGGAGACGCAGCTGCCCAGCCCCAGCTTACCCTCCTTAACAGAGGCTCCAGCTTGCCGATCCTGGGGGGCTTCCGTGAAGAGGTCACTCTGGTTGAAATAAGGTATATGACAAAGAATTCAAAAAACCAGGAGAAAGCATAGCTGCATGTGAGGATTCCTAAGGAAAAATAACCTACAAGATTTAAAGCTACATATTTACTACTCTGCCAGAAAATCAGTTGCAAAGTGATAACTATGGCAAAATCAGACCCTAAAATAATTTAGGCCTGTCCAGGAATTAAAAACAAACGTGGAAGACAACAGATAAGGCAAGAAACAATCACCTAGTAAATTATTCACATTAACACGTGCACATCTTCTCCTCACCTAACAAAGCACAGAAGGATACGGCATTTCTCACTCTGTGATTCTTAGTTCAAAATGTCCCAAAATATGAAAATAGAAGCAACTTCCAACTGAGAAACTGTTTTTTCCCCACTAAACAAGCAAAGCCTATTTCTTCCCTGTGGACCCCTGACACAGCTAGCTGCAGGGAGTGTTGCTGAGTGCCATGGACTCACCTCCTCGTCCTCATCATCAAAGAGCCCCTTGCCCCCACTGAACAGGCCACCTCCAGAGCCAAATGGCGAGAAGTCCTCGTCGGTCAGCTTGGGGGGTGCGAATAAGTTATCCTCTTCATCTAGCAAACAGAAAGCAATGTTTTGCAAGGAGTATTAAAGACGGGTCCGGAACTCAAATTCCTGGGTTGGCGTCTGCAATGTCTCCAAACTGGCATGAAGTTTATCTGACCCTCTTTATCGAAGTGTGAGGCAGTCTGACGAATTTCACACTAACCCCCTGGCACAGTCCACTGACACCCTCAAAAGACTCTCTGGGCCTCCACTCTCAAGTCTGTCCATGTCTGCGGCAGACAGCATTCATTCTCTAGGCCAGCACCCTGGATCTAGATTTACTCTGAAGCAAGCATTCAGGTCAGATGCCACATTCAAGACCCATTCCCCAACCAATCTGGGGGAAGGAAGGGCAGAATAAACAAAGGGACCTGCAGACTGACACAGGGACAAGTGGAATGTAATGGACATGGCTGTTTAATAGGAAAAGGCCTGGTGTATCCTTTATTGAAAACAAATGCTAGAGATCCCTAAGTTTCTATATTTCTAAAGAATTCTAGAAAGACAAGAAATGATTGCTGTAAAATCTAATAAATCAAATCTCTACAGGAATTTTTACTCCACACCCACATATCCTCCCAGCACCCCAAAACATGCCTTCCAAGGCTTTTGTTTGTTTGTTTTTGAGATGGAGTCTTGCACTGTCACCCATGCTGGAATGCAGTGGCGCGATCAAGGCTCACTGCAACCTCTGCCTCCCGGGTTCAAGTGATTCTCCTGCCTCAGCCTCCCAAGTAGCTGGTACTACAGGCACCCGCCACCATGCCAAGCTAATTTATTGTATTTTAGTAGAAATGGGGTTTCACTATGTTGGCCAGGCTGGTCTTAAACTCCTGATCTTATGATCCGCCCACCTCGGCCTCCCAAAGCGCTGGGATTACAGGCGGGAGCCACCACGCCCAGCCCAGAGGCTTTAGAAAAGTAAATGGAGACAGACCCATTTGTCAGAAGGAAAACAGCATGTAAAGCAGTACTTCATGAATTATGTAAGCAACATTCCCGAGTCAAAGCCTCCTAAAATAACAGAATTGAGGGAAAAGGCCCACCGTCCGAAGGAGTTCTCCTTTCCTTCTTCTCTTGAGTGTCTTCCGAAGTTTTGCTTCTCCTGAGGGTAAGGCTTGAAGAACAGTTCACAGTTTTAATAGTACTAAGTCCTCCCTCAGTATACGCATCCTGGTTCTTTCCACGTCTGTCATCCTCATAACTCACAGCTAAGAGCAAGACATCTGCCTTTCATCTCAGCTGCACTGAACCCCCTGCCCTGCCCACAGTGGGCACTCAAGAGTCTCTTTGTAAGGCAGAAGGCTTCTGCTTTCATCCCAGGCTCATGTGCATAACAGGATTGTATTTGTTGAAAGAATTATTATGTTATCTTTCTACTCTCTTATAACTAGAATATGCTATATAGCACATTCTTACGTGTTCAAAATATAGGAGTAAATATTCAGCCAGGAATTCTTAAGCTGTTGCCCATGGTTCTCTGGAGTTTCCATTAGTCCCCTGAAATTATATGTAAAGGGTTATCTACATGTGTACATGTACGTTTTTCTTGTGGGTCCACAGTGTTCAGTTATCTAAAGGAGCTCATTAACCAAAAAAGGAATAAGCACTACAATTTAAATTATATGTAGCAATTACTAATAAATATATGTGGTAATTACTAATAAAAAGAGAAATCCGCCTTTGGTGAAGCCAGCAGAGGGCCCTGCACTACCCCTCCCCTACTCCCCATCAACGCGGCTGGGGCTCACTTGTCGGCTCCTCGTCCACTCGGCCCACGGCATCCCCCTTGATGCGGGCAGCCAGCTCATCTGCAAACGATGTAGGTCTGCTTCTTTTCTACAGCAGGAGAAATCAAAAGAATCGCTTTTTTGTAACAAACTAGTACACTTCACTTTGGACACCTAACAACATTATGTATACAAGAGCAAAGAAATTGAACTGAGGAGAAAACTGAGTTTAATTAAATGAACTTAAACATATGTACCCTATACAGCTCACCCAAGGAATGGGACTCAAAATGTTCCTTCAAAGGGAGATGCTCTTTATTTCCTTATTTTTTTAATACTTGACTTTAATACTTAAAAATCTAAATAAGAAAATAAGAAAAAGGTCATGGGCAGGGAGACAGGAGCACTATGGTCTTCAAACTCTGGAACCAGACATATTCTGAATGATCTGACTCATAAAATCATAACATCTGGACAAGAAAGTGGTACTTGTGAGGCAATTTGAGATGCTTGCCATTATTTTCCAAAGTGTAGATGAAATGACAAATATGCAAAAATGAGAGATGTACAAAGTAAGTCACAATAAAAAATAAAAAAAGTCATTGGTTCTAAAACCCTGCCAAGTGATAGCAACTACAGCCTTCCTTACAGGTCTAGTATTTTCTTCAATGTCCTCAATATCTTTCTCCTCCTTCTCAGAGTCAGCAAAAAGGTCACAGCCATCATCATCCTCTTCCTCATCACTCACTTGTGTGATGTGCTAAGAGTATAAAATACCAAATTAGAACTACTAGTTATTAAGCTAAAGAAGAGATACTGCCACTTAGCCTTTAGGCTCCTCCTTCAAAATCGTAACAGCTGTTTAAAATAATAATCATAATCACGATGCAGTAAGTTATAAAGCAAAAGATGTGCTGGAACAAATAATACACAAGATTTACTTCAAATCTAAATAAAAATGCAATCTTTAATAAGAATGTAACCACAAGAATATAAAAAGCAAAATATTAAAATATCAAAATTGTCTGTTACTAGAGAAATATTTTTATTTATTTACTTTTTTTATTTTTGAGTAATTTTGTTGTTGCCCAGGCTGCAGTGCAATGGGGTGATCTCGCCTCACTGTAACCTCCGCCTTCTGGGTTCTAGCGATTCTCCTGCCTCAGCCTCCCGAGTAGCTGGGATTACAGGCACCTGCCATCATGCCTGGCTAATTTTTATATTTGGTAGAGATTGGATTTCACCATGTTGGCCAGGCTGGTCTCAAACTTTTTACCTCAGGTGATCAAACTGCCTTGGCTTCCCAAAGTGCTGGGATTATAGGCATGAGCCACCACACCTGGCCTATTACTAGAGAAATATAAACAAAATCAGTATAGTCTTACCTTAGTAAGAATACTGAGTAATAGTTAAAAGGTAAAAGCTGTAACAATTAGAGAGCCATCCAAGGTAGGTCAAGCAAAAAAGTGCCAATAACAAATCCAGCACGATACCGCGCCCCCTCTACATACAAGCATTTCTATGGAAACAGATATATTTATAAAAGCAAAGAAAAAGACGTGGAAAGACATGCTCCCAGAGCATGATCCCAGTTACCTCTGAAGAGTATGCAGAGAAAGAAAGTACTGGAAGGCTCAAACTTAGCCTCATCTGTTAAGTTCTAATTTTTCCAAAGGTACACAGTAGTATGTATAACAAAAAAAAAATTTTGTTCAATGTTTGAATCAATGAACTGTGCCAGGCATGTTACTAAAAGCACTTTATTATCTAATTTAATCCTTACAACTTTGAGGTTAGCTGCAGCACACAAAACCAACCTGTTGCATAAGCTAGTGCTTTTACTCACTATACTGTACTGTTTTGAAAAACAGTTTGTGGCCAGGCATTGTGAATCACGCCTGCAATCGGAGAACTTTGAGAGGGTGAGGCAGGTGGATCACCTGAAGTCCGGAGTTTAAGACCAGCCTGGCCAATATGGCAAAACCTTGTCTCCACTAAAAATACAAAAATTAGCTGGGCATGGTGGCACACGCCTGTAATCCTAGCTACTTGGGAAGCTGAGGCACGAGAGTCACTTGAACCCAGGAGGTGGAGGTTGCAGTGAGCCAAGATCGTGCCACTGCACTCCAGCCTGGGCGTCAGAGTAAGACTCTGTCTCCAAACAGACAAATAAATAAATAAATGGGCTACTCTATTCAGGAGAAATTCAGATTTTGGAGTCACAATGTTTCAGTGATAAATTCCAGGGTGTGGGACGTAGATTAAGGGTGTTAAGTTCGTGGCCACTGAAGTTACCCATGATGGTGTTACATAAAATCCAAGTTTGGTAATTGGCTCGCCTCAATTTTACCAACCAAGTTCCAAGTTCTAAAGTGTGTATGTGTGTGCGTGCGTGCGCGCGCGCGTGTGTGTGTGTTTTAATGAATGTGGGGGAAGTGGAAGAGGTTGGTAGATGGTGACTTAAAAATGAAGTCCCCTTAAGACTCTAAGACTGTTTTTGCAGACAGCAGTCTTAGTCTTCTTCCAGGCTGGAGTGGAGTGGTGCAATCTCGGCTGACTGCAACCTTGGTCTCAGGGGCTCAAGCGATCATTCCACCTCATTCTCCTGAGTAGCTCGAACTACAGATCTATGCCGCCATGTCCAGCTAATTTTTTTTTTTTGTAGATATGGGGTTTCACCATGTTTCCCAGGCTGGTCTCGAACCGCCTTGGCCTCCCACAGTGCTGGGATTACAGGTGTGAGCCACCACGCCAGCCCAGCCTTAGTGTTAACACTGTTATAGGTTACTGTAACATATTGGCTCACAGTGTGTGTTCTCGGGTCTGCCTCTTTCCTGGTTACCTAATCATAAGTAAGTTACTTCTCCTTTCTGTACCTCAGTTTCCTCAACTATAATTTGGAAATAATATTTCCTCCCTCATAGTCATTGTGTGAATTAAATGAACAATGTATAAAGTGGTAAATACTGAACACTTGATAAATGTTAGCTATTATTAAAGGAGAGACTGATATTTAAATGATTACAATACAATGTAATACCTTAGGATAAATACATCAAAAACAACTTTTTTCCTTATTTATTTTACAGCTTTATTACTGATTTCCCTCTAAAAAGAGACCCAAATAAATGTGGAGCGACTCATTATAGAGTAAGGAATCACAAAGTACCATAGTCACGTAACAAAAGCAAAAAAAAAAAAAAAGCAATTGTTTTACCTTTCAACTGCTGATGTTATGTACAATCTATCACAAGAAGCATAGCTGTGCATTCATGAGCTGATTGTATTAACCTCTAGAATTTTAGAAACGAGCACATCTAAGCATGTGGATACTCTCTTACCTTACAAAGTAAAAGCAAGCATTTTCTATTTTAAAATTTTTATATCTGTGTAAAACGAAGAATTCCTGGAGGTCAAATAAGAAAAATATACCAAACTCAAAACACTATTAAGTCATGAAACGAAGACTCTGAGGTAGAAGTCAAGCAATATAATCCACAATTTCAGGTATTCCCAGCAACCATCGCATCTCGCAAGTAAGATGTATTTTTTTTTAAAGTCTCAACTTCCAAAAAATCAATAATCCATTCTGTAAAATCAGATGTAAAACTATGACCGAGCCGGGCGCAGTGGCTCACGCCTGTAATCCCAGCACTTTGGGAGGCTGAGGCGGGCGGATCACGAGGTCAGGAGATCGAGACCATCCTGGCTAACACAGTGAAACCCTGTCTCTATTAAAAATACAAAAAATTAGCCAGGCGTGGTGGCGGGCTCTTGTAGTCACAGCTACTCGGGAGGCTGAGGCAGGAGAATGGCATGAACCTGGGAGGCGGACCTTGCAGTGAGCCGAGACTGCACTCCAGCCTGGGCGACAGAGAGAGACTCCGTCTCAAAAACAAACAAACAAACAAACAAACGACAACAAAAAAAACCAACTATGACCGACAGAAGACACCCAAACTTTTGTCGTGGTAACACAGTAAATGCTTTTACTAAAAGCTGCCAACATTTCTATCGTAAGGGGGCAGCTGGTTGTAACCTTAATGTCCATATTGGTCGGGATAGTAAGGTTCTTGTCTGTGTTGCGGGTAATTGTTACCGCAGGATTGTCCACGCCACTGATTGGATCGATTGTCACTTGGCCACCCCCATCTGCCGTCCCTGCCTCTGAACTGTCTGCTATCTTGCAACCGATTGTCTCTGTTTCTTTGGTTCCCACCAGCTCTGCTATTCCATTCCTCAACAATTGGAGAGGACTCAGGAGGGCGTTTCAAGTATTCCTGATACTCCTCGTCATCTTCTGTGAATCTACTAGCAAACATCTCTTCAAAATTTGGAACAGCTTTGGCAGTGTCAGTCATTCTGAAATTCCCAAAGATTTGAGGCAGCTGTATTGTTTAATGTTTAGGTTGTTTAAATCCGCCAAGGGCTGTGTCTATCTAGCTCGGGCCGAACCCCGCCAGCGAGACACTAAGAGACCGCAGGAGAGGTGGCCTCTGGCCCACCACACCGTGGAACTCCAGACCACCCCAGCTCTCCAATGTAGCGGAGACCCTTCCGCTAGCCATAGAAAATAACTTAAGTCACTTAAGCTGTACTTGGGGTAATCAGGTTATTTAATGAGGTGATAACTGAGGTGACTACAAAAGAAAAGTCTGGGATTGGGTGTGTGAGCAAGGTGCATGGGGACAGTGGTATGTTCTAGGTTGAAGGCTCACCCTAGGCCAAGCACCGTGGCACCTGTTTTACAATATCATAACTTTAATATCACATCCTTGCAAGATATGTAGCTTCGTTTTACTGAGGAAAGCTCAGAAAAGTTAAATAACTCGCCCTTGGGCACACATGACTGGAAAGAAATTGGGATTTTTATTTTAGTAAGTAAGTTGGTCAGGCACAAGGGCGACTCAGCAGAGGGAACTTCAAGGAAGTGTGAGACAACAGCTGGAGCCCTGAGCTGGGAGAGTGGAGGACGAATTATAAAGAGTTTTATGCCTGCCATAATGAGAAGCTTGTCCTTGAACTTGAGGGGAATGCTGAGAGTGCAAAGGACTTTAAGCAGGCCCTACACAGTGGCAGCCAAGCAGGTCATAAAGAGCAAGATGATGCCCAGGCAGATCAGGGATTCTCTTATCTACAGAGCGTCCGCCTACCAGCTCCTTCACAGCAGCGGATTTTGCTGCAAGAGAAGAGGCAGCAGGCCAGGCCTTTTCCTTCGCCCACAGCGCCTACGTCGAAGGCTCCCAGGCTGGTTGCTCCACTGGCTGCTTGAGGTCCCCTCTCTCCAGACCCGCCGAACTGGCGGCCGGTGCTTTGGCCGATCCCGCGCCGCTGCCTCGGGCCTTGGGCGGCAGCGCCCCCCGCCCAACCCGCCTCTGCAGCGTTCCTGGCGTCAGCCCCTATCCTCCAGCTTCCTCCGCCCCAACCTAGGGTAGAACCCCAAACTCCAGTCCCAGTCCACTTCCGCAGCTTCCTCCCCTCAGCATCGCAGGTCGGATCACGTGCGGGTTCTGTCACGTGACATCAGGTCACGTGAGGCCGGT
Organism: Homo sapiens; assembly: GCF_000001405.40. Classification (NCBI taxonomy): domain Eukaryota; kingdom Metazoa; phylum Chordata; class Mammalia; order Primates; family Hominidae; genus Homo; species Homo sapiens. The sequence goes on from NC_000010.11 coordinate 45,727,221, forward strand.
CACGCCCCGGGCAGCTTGGCTGGGGCTAGGCTTCCGGGGCTCTGCGGTCCTCGGCCTGTGCTGGCAGCCTCGGAGCCCACCGAGCCGGGCGGCTGGGATGGTGAGGGCGGCGGGCCGGAGAGGGGCCGGCCTGGGCTGGGGCCGCCGTCCCTGCCGCCCTCAGGCTCAGCCTCTCTTCTCGTTTTTTTCGCTGCAGATGAACCGGACGACCCCCGACCAGGAGCTGGTGCCGGCGTCGGAGCCCGTGTGGGAGCGGCCGTGGTCGGTGGAGGAGATCCGCAGGAGCAGCCAGAGCTGGTCGCTGGCGGCCGACGCGGGCGTGAGAGGCGGGCCCCGGGGACGCGAGAGCGGCAGGGGTGACGCTTGGCTTGCGCGCAGGAGGGCCGGACCGCGACTGCCCCTGCACCTGGCCCGTCCCGTTGCCTGCCCTCTTAGGAACACACGCCCCGTTTAGCCCCCGAGAATGCCACCCTGGCAGTCCCCGGCCACCAGGGAGAGGGGCAGACCCTGACCGTGGCCCAGACGCGACGTTCCCTTCATGGGGTTTCTGGCTCAGCTCCATCCGGAGGGGAGATCCGTTTCCGCCACACTGAGGGATTGCTCGGGCACTAGGGAGGCGATTCCTGTTGGGACCTGGACTAAATGGGGTGGGAAACAAGCCAGTATGTGGATATCCTTTAATGGGATTCTTCAAATCGGGGGCCCAAAAAGCTCAGAACTGTTCGAGTCCCAAATGAATAGGATTTTTGAATAAGAGTGGTGGTTGATTAGCTAACCCTTGGTCTGTGATCTCTGTAGATTGACAACCAAAGAGGACTTTTAAAAGGAGACAGGGTTTTGCCCTGTCGCCCAGGCTGGAGTGCAAGTGGCTCGATCTTGGCTCACTGAATCCTCTGGGGTTCAGGTGATCCTCTCACCTCAGCGTCCTGAGTAGCTGGGACTATAGGCGTCCACCACACCTGTCTGATTTGTTTATTTATTTAATTTTAGTAGAGATGGGGGTCTTGCTATGTTGCCCAGACTGGTCTGCAACTCCTGGACTCTAGCGATAACCCTGCCTCAGCCTCCCAAAGTGTTGGATTACAAGCGTGAGCCACCATACCCAGTGCCAAAAAGGGATTTTAAATTTTTCCAGAAACGAGATAGGTGTCCATTAGCTCACTGCCACTCTTTTGATGAGCTTTCTTAGTGTTTTCCAATGTCACTTGGTTTTAGTACTTGTCAAACCAGCATTCCGGCCGGGCACAGTGGCTCACACCTGTAATCCTAGCACTTTGGGAGGCCGAGGTGGGCGAATCACGAGGTCAGGAGTTCGAGACCAGCCTGGCCAACATGGTGAAACCCCGTCTCTACTAAAAATACACAAAATTAGTTGGGCGTTGTGGCGGGCACCTGTAATTCCAGCTACTCGGGAGGCTGAGGCAGGAGAATCGCTTGAACGCGGGAGGTGCAGTGAGCCGAGATGGCGCCACTGTACTCCAGCCCAGGCAACAGAGTGAAACTCTCTCTCAAAAAAAAAAAAAAGCATTTCTTTCACATTCTAACACTCAAAGGTGAAAGGAAATGGGTTCTTTTTTGATGTGACATGCAGAATAGTTACATGTAACATTGATACTACTGTATGTTTATTTTTTAAAATAGCTACTACAGTTTCTACAGGAATTCTCACAGCAAACTATCTCTAGGACCCATGAAATCAAGAAACAAGTGGACGGACTAATCCGGGAAACCAAAGCCACAGATTGTCGCCTGCATAATGTCTTCAATGACTTCCTTATGCTCTCTAATACCCAGTTCATAGAGAATGTGAGTTATTTAGTTATATTATAATTCCTTTTTTGGGAGTAGGAGATATTGTAATTTTAAATAACTTACTGTTAGGTTCCCTCCTAAATTTTGGTGGAAGTGTGGTTCTTGGTAATTGTAGCTTTTTTCTCTGGGATTAACGCCTCTTTTTTATTTGTAAAGTTTTAAGTCCTTTTTTCCAAGCCTCTAAAAAAGTCTAATGATAAAATTTTCTTATACTTCAGTGCTTCCATCTTTTGTCGTTTTGAGAGTAGTCAGCAATTGTGCTGAATTGTGTGGCACTCACACTGCCTTTGTTGTGGCGTGATCTGTAAGGACAGCTGTTTACCTGGTTAGACCCTCTGGACACCAGCATATGGTTTCAGTTGTTGATTGGGGTCATTCTGTTCTGATAAATTATATTCAGGGGATATATATGTCTGCTTGCAATATTCTCAACTAAAGTTTATGATGGCCGAACTTACAATATGGAATCAACTGTAAACAGATTACTGAGCTTAAATCTATGTGTGATTTCTGTCTATTTACTGTTTCTTCTAGGTGGTAGGAATACATAGGTAAATTAGATAGAGCCTCTCCCTTGGCAAATAGTATAATTCCAGCATACAAAGGAAGTAAGTATGGCTGGAGCAGAGTGGAGACTTAAGAGATGAGGATGGAGAGGAAGCTTAGGTAACAGACCTGTGTTTCTCATAGGGTGTCCCAACTTTCTGAATATCAGCATTCATTTGTGGAAAAAGGATTATTAAAGTAAGCGATCTCCCGAGATTGTTAGATATAAAGTAATAAAATTTTCAGAATCACAAAATTATTAAAAAAGCCCAAGATTTAGAATAGTTAAGAGAATGCCATGTAGTCAACTTGTGCAGCATGTTTGTGCATTTTTTAATAGCTCAAGTTAAATGCCACTTCCTGTCTTTTTTTGGAGAGCTATATATAAAATAAAGACATTAATAAAGGTGTTAGAGATCTCTTTGCCAGTTATTTCCTTTAACAGCAAAGGAGTACTTATGAGTTTGAAAAATAACAAGTATTCGGCCAGGCGTGGTGGCTCATGCCTGTAATCCCAGCACTTTGGGAGGCCAAGACGGGTGGATCACCTGAGGTTGGGAGTTCGAGACCAGCCTGACCAACATGGAGAAACCCCGTCTCTACTAAAAAAATACAAAATTAGCCGGGCATGGTGGCGCATGCCTGTAATCCCAGCTACTTGGGAAGGCTGAGGCAGGAGAATCGCTTGAACCTGGGAGGCGGAGGTTGCGGTGAGCCGAGATCCTGCCATTGTACTCCAGCCTGGGCAATAAGAGCGAAACTCCGTCTCAAAAAAAAAAAAAAGTATTCAAGTAAAATCAGTAGTTTTCTGATTGTTTACACAGAATGTCCATGCTTGGTCCTGACTATCTCACTGGAAAAGTCAGGGACTCTAGACTCAACTTCTCTGGTGTGCACAGCCCCATAATGTTTTCATCAAGATTAATTTGGTGTCCTTTTAAGCACTCCTGTTCTTTTCATTCTGTACTTTTCTTGCTGGATCAGGTAGTCAGCACTTCTCTGCAGTCAGTGCTGCAGCACCAGAGTCCCAAAGGATTTGGGAAGTTTCTTTTTTTTTTTGAGATGGAGTCTCACTCTGTCACCCAGGCTGGAGTGCAGTGGTGCGATCTCCGCTCACTGCAAGCTCCGCCTCCCGGGTTCACGCCATTCTCCTGCCTCAACCTTCCAAGTAGCTGGGACTACAGGCGCGTGCCACCACGCCTGGCTAATTTTTTGTATTTTTAGAAGAGACGGGGTTTCACCGAGTTAGCCAGGATGATCTCGATCTCCTGACCTCGTGATCCGCCCACCTCGACCTCCCAAAGTGCTGGGATTACAGGCCTGAGCCACGGCGCCCGGCAAGGGAAGTTTACTTTGTACCCAGTGTGCCTGTACCAGATTGGTACTAGATTGGTACCAGATCAATACTTCAGTGGGAAGAAATGGGGAACATCATACAATTTTTCTCAATCACAGTCTTAGGTCTTATCTTTTCTCCAGCTCTTTTCTAGCCAAGTTTTCGTAGATTCTGAGTTTTCCATGTTGTAGTTTTTGTGGAGTTTTTTTGGTTTTGTTTTATTGTGTTTTGGTAATTGTTCTTTATTTCTGTCCAATACTGGGGATTTCCTGTTTTCCATCCATCTCTCCATCCCTTTAGCCTTAGCTTTTTTTTTTTTCTTCCGAGACAGAGTCTTGCTCTGTCATCCAGGCTGGAGTGCAGTGACACCATCTCGGCTCACTGCAACATCCGCCTCCCGTGTTCAAGCAATTCTCCTGCCCACACCTCCCATGTAGTTGGGATTACAGGCTCCCGCCACCAGGCCTGGCTAATTTTTTTTCTATTTTTAGTAGAGATGGGGTTTCACCATGTTGGTGAGTCTGCTTTTGAACTTCTGACCTCAAGCGATCTGCCCATTGCAACCTCCGCCTCCCGGGTTCAAGCAGTTATCCTACTTCAGCCTCCCAAAGTGCTAGGATTACAGGCGCGAGCCACTGCGCTCGGCCCTTAGTGTTAAGTCTTGATGCCCCTTCGCCTTCCAGTCTGCAGCCAGAACTCTTCTCCGGATGTGCTGGTTGCCGCTGCCAAATCTTAATTACTTCCCAGACCTTCCATAAGGCCACATGCTATAGGTTTTTTTCATTTGTGGCAAAGCATGATAATACTGAGAAAACAGCTAATGCATAATAAAACTCTGAAAAAATATACTTGCTGATATATATTTGTAAGTGATCTGGCTTTTTTTTTTTTTTTTTTTGAGACGGAGTCTCACTCTGTCGCCCAGGCTGGAGTGCAGTGGTGCAATCTCAGCCCACTGCAAGCTCTACCTCCCGGGTTCATGCCATTCTCCTGCCTCAGCCTCCTGAGTAGCTGGGATGACAGGCACCCGCCACCACACCTGGCTAATTTTTTTTGCATTTTTAGTAGAGATGGGGTTTCACCGTGTTAGCCAGGATGGTCTCGATCTCCTGACCTCATGATCCACCCGCCTTGGCCTCCCAAAGTGCTGGGATTACAGGTGTGAGCCACCATACCCGGCAATCTGGCTTTTTAATGTTTTATTTTCAATCCCTGACATCAGTACTTAGGTGTTACAATTCCAGCTTGAATTATGGTGCCATTTGGTTTCATGGTAATTTATCAGAAACATTCAAAGTCAGATAGGTTTCTGGGTTTTATTAATTAGCCTCAGGGGCAGCCACAAAGTTGCAAACTATATTATAAAGTTAGTGAAACAATCCGTACTTTCTAGGGCGAGAACAGTCAGGACTTTTTAGGGCAAGAGAAATTAGTACCATTAGTAAAGGCTCAAGAGGGGACTTGGAGGGAGAAGAAATACTAATTAACATTGGCCAGTGTTCTAGTGTCTAATTAGAAGGCAACACAATTCTAAAGGCTTAATTATCTGTTAATTTAGGAATTGGATCCTGAAATAGCAAGTGCCATAGTTAATGACTTTAGTTTGTTAAATGAACTGGTGAGGGAGGATTTTTTCTTTTTAAAGTCAATTGTTTCAAAATCTTAGCTTTGTAAAATTAAAAAAAAAATTCCAGAATGAAACAAATTAACCTGTTTATGCCCAAGGTTAGAATTTTTTTTGTGAAAAGCCAGACCTTGGCAATGACCTTGAGCAGTAGGATATACATAATTCTGACAAGCTTAGTGTTCCAATAATGGGACACTAGGCATAAATGGGTTAATTTTCCAGATCATCTTCCTGTTGATTTATAAAAGCTGAATTTTGGTCATTTTTCCCTCCTTTTCTACTTTTCTATTGAAGAAACAGATGGAGTTGCTGAAACTGTCAAGTACTCAGCAATTAGAGAGAAGGAGGTAAAGCCCAAAAGCCTTATTAACATATAATTTCCTGCACAGGTTTTTCCCTCTCCCCCTAGACCTGCTTTATTTTACATAATGCCCCTTGCTTTTGACACTCCAGCCTTCTCATTCCTTGGAGATGCCATATGCCCTGCTGCTACGGGGCCTTTGCTTACATTGCTTCCTATGCCTCTACCCTTTGATTGACATCTGTCTGTCTTCTAGGTCTCTGCTCAATTATATTACTTCCTCCTGGACCCTCTGCACTAGGCACACCCCCTGGATAAAAGCAGCTGAAGCATCACATTCTTTAGTAGACTTCTTACAATTGTAATTTTACAATTATTGATGGGATTTGATGAGTTGGACCCTCCCACTAAATCAAGCCCCATATTTTTAACAACAAATATATTTGAGGGGTCCAGCACAAGCCTGATATTTAGGGATCCAGTGAATATTTGAATGAATGAGAGTACGCATAAATGAAAGGGGACCAGGGCTGTGTATAGTCTGTTACTCTCCAGCCCTGGTCCCTTTTTCCCCAGTTCCCCTCTTTCCCCTTTTACCCTGTCTCCCCAGATGAGGAGCAATACCAAAGATATTTAACAGTCCTGGGTATAGCTATCTGACTGTAAATTGATCACAAAACACATGAAGCTGTGAGTTTAGCAGGTGAGGATGAAAGAAGTTAGCATTGGTTATCTGCTGGATATGAAGTACTTGAGGATGCATAGTCCTGCTCACCCTGAAAAGATCCCATGGGCTTTAGGTCCCATGGGTTTAGGTTTCTTAGATGTCATGTTTGGCTTTCTAGCTGCAGGCTGCTGATGGGTAACCATGGTAGCTGCCAGGTCTTAAAGTCTCACTTTTGAGATTTACTTAACTTTTTGGAGTCCTGACTTTGAAAATTACCAAAGTAATCCCTGATCTTTATAGAGCAATTAGGAAAAGTAAGAAAAAGAAAAATCATGTGAAATTTCCTCAGCTTGAGGGGAGCCTCTCAACGTTTAGCACATATATTCTAAGTCCATTTCCCATGCAGACATCAGGCTTAAAAGAATTGAACCTACAGTAGGCCGGGTGCGGTGGCTCACGCCTGTAGCACTTTGGGAGGCCGAGGTGGGCGGATCAGGAGGTCAGGAGATTGAGACCATCCTGACTAACACGGTGAAGCTCCATCTTTACTAAAAAATACAAAAAAATTAGCCAGGCGTGGTGGCAGGCGCCTGTAGTCCCAGCTACTCGGGAGCCTGAGGCAGGAGAAGGGCATGAACCCGGGAGGCAGAGCTTGCAGTGAGCCGAGATCCCGCCACTGCACTTCAGCCAGGGTGACAGAGCAAGACTCCGTCTCAAAAAAATAATAATAAATAAATAAATAAATAATTGAACCTACAAAAAATCAGCTACCCCAAATTAACCAACCATTGAACTTTTCAGTGTATTTTTTTCTGTTCTTGTTTTTTAACTTTAACCTTTTCTAGATGACTGTGTGTGTGTGTGTGTGTGTGTGTGTATTTTCATTTGCAGCCTACTTTTTTTCTTAATGTGAACTTATTTAACCCATCTTTGAGACTTTTGTGAATTTAATTTTTTTGTTCTTAAACCGTATCATAATTTATTTAATAATCTTCTAATATTAAATGTTATTTATGAAATGTTTCATAAATTTCATAAATGTTTCATAAATAAATAGAAAAGTTCAGAGAGAAACCACAAGTGCTAAGAAAATGTAGCACCTAGCATCAGTGGTTTTGTATCTTGCCACATTTGCTTCAAAGGTGCCTACCCACCATATTCGTCCTTAACTCTAATCATTTTGGGTGGGGATTCCTTGGTATCTCTGCCTTTTTATTCTTTTTTTGTTTTTGAGACAGGATCTCCCTCTGTTGCCCAGGCTGGAGTTCAGTGGTGCAGACAGCTCACTGCAGCCTCAAACTCCTGGGCTCAAGCCATCCTCCCATCTCAGCCTCCTGAATAGCTGGCTAGGACCACAGGTGTTCGCCACCATGCCTGGCCAACTTTTTATTCTTTTTACCTAGAGAGGGATTTCATTTTTATCCCTTATAGATAACCTTTATTGTGTAGTTGTTCTTTTCTTCATTGACTATTATGTATGAATGTTTGTGTGTGTTTATGTGAAAATAAAATCAGGCCTCCATGGAATTGTGGGTCTGTTTCTGCCCTCTGCTGTTTGTTTTGTTTCTCTGCTGTTTGACAGTATCATAATCTTAAATACTGCAGATTTCTAATGTCTTATTAGGGCAAGTCCCCATAATCTGTTTTTATTCAGAATTGTCATGGTTATCAATCTTTGGCTTTTTACTTTTCTGTGTGAATTTGAGGATTATCTTTTACTTATTTATTTATTTTTTTGAAATAGAGTTTCAGTCTTGTTGCTCAGACTGGAGTGCAATTGTGCAATCTCGGCTCACTGCAACCTCTGCCTCCCAAGTTTAAGCGATTCTCCTGCCTCAGCCTCCTGAGTAGCTGGGATTACAGGCACCGGCCACCACATCAAGCTAATTTTTATATTTTTAGTAAAGATGGGGTTTTGCCATGGTTTCACCATGTTGGCCAGGCTGGTCTCAAACTCCTGACCGCAGGTGATCCCAAAGTGCTGGGATTACAGGTATGAGCCTCCCAAAGTGCTGGGATTACAGGCATGAGCCACTGTCCCCAGCAGGATTATCTTACTATATTGTGCCACAGAATATTTTATTAGCGTTTGATTGGAATTACATAGAATTATAAATTTGGTATTTGTGACTTTCTGCTGGAAATCATGATACCATGAACATTCTGATGTTTGCGTTTATGATAATTTTCATGGGAGCTAAATTTCAAGAAGTAGAATTTTGGGTCAGAGGATATGATCATTTAAAAGCAACATTGTTTGATCAGATTGGCAGATACTTAAAGATGGGTGGACAGGAGCCATTGCTGGCAAAGGTTTGGGTAAGGGGCACTTGAGTATGCTGCTAGTGACAGGGAATTCTACGCATTTGTGCATAGAATCTGGGAATGACTATTAAGATTTATTTATTCCCTCTCTAGGTAAAATCCTTCTCTAGGTATATAAATAAATAATAAATAATAAATAAATAATCAGTTTCAGCCAGGCACAATGGCTCACACCTGTAATCCCAGCACTTTGGGAGGCCAAGGCCGATGGATCACTTGAGGTCAAGGAGTTTGAGACCAGTCTGGCCAACGTGGTGAAACCCCATCTCTACTAAAAAAAAAAAAAATGCAGGCCGGGCATGGTGGCTCACACCTGTAATCCCAGCACTTTGGGAGGCCGAGGTGGGCGAATCATGAGGTCAGATTGAGACCATCCTGGTTAACATGGTGAAACCCCATCTCTACTAAAAATACAAAAAAAATTAGCTGGGCATGGTGGCAGGCACCTGTAGTCCCAGCTACTCAGGAGGCTGAGGCAGGAGAATGGCGTGAACCCAGGAGGCAGAGCTTGCAGTGAGCCGAGATCGCACCACTGCACTCCAGCCTTGGCAACAGAGTGAGACTCCATCTCAAAAAAAAAAAAAAAAAAAAAAAAAAAAAAAAGGGCAAAAACAAATTAGCCGGGTGTGGTGGTGCACGCCTGTAATCCCAATTACTTGGGAGGCTGAGGCAAGAGAATCATTTGAGCCTGGGAGGTGGCGGTTGCAGTGAGCCAAGATCCTGCCACTGCACTCCAGCCTGGGTGACAGAGCTAGACTCTGTCTCTAAATAAATAAATAAATAAGCAGGAAGGGTAGGAGAGCTCTAAATATATGCACGTGTTAGCTTATATTTGTGTTCAGAGCCTCAGGAAATGAGCATACACACCAGGCTTAAATTGGGTATTCCAAGGATCAGGTTGGGGATAGGGAGGGAACTATTTTAAAATACATCTCTTTTCCATGTGCCTTTATATTGACTTAAAATTTTAAAAATTGAGATAGAATTCACATACCATAAAATTCAGTCCTTTAAAAAGTATACAATTTGGTGGTTTTTACTGTACTCAAAGTTTTATAATCACGGCCACTGTCTAATGCCAGAAGATTTTCATCAGTTCATTTATATTGACTTCTTATTTCTTTCTTTGTAAAAAATTTTAATTTCATTTCATTTTATTTTTGAGATAGAGTCTCACTTTTTCACCCAAGCTGCAGTGCAGTGGTGCAATCAGGGCTCACTGCAGCCTTTACCTCCCAAGCTCAAGAGTTCCTCCTGACTAAGCCCCACAAGTAGCTGGAATTACAGGTGCACACCACCATACCTGGCTAATTTTTGTATTTTTTGTAGAGATGAGGTCTCACTATGTTGCCCAGGCTGATCTTGAACTCCTGAGCTCAAGTGATCCCCTTGCCTCGGTCTCAGAGAGTGCTGGCCTTACAGGCGTGAGCCACCGCACCTGGCCTATATTGACTTTTTATAACAAGCATGTTGTACTTCGGTAGTTTTTAAAACATAAAAATGATTTTAAAAACCAAGAATCACAGTGATTTGGCAGAGCAGTGGGTCTTTTCTGGAAAAGAGAGTCTTGCCTACCCATGCTGTCAGGGTTAGTCAAATGCCCAGGCTTTCTGGCAAGTCAGTGGTAGATTTTTCTCTCTGCTTTCATACAAATGGGATAATAAAAATTTATCAGCCATTTTAAGCAACTGAATGAAAATAAGTTTTGCCTTTACCATTTTCCTTGTTCAAAATCCTGAAGTTCTAGTTTCCTAGTTGATAAATTACATCAGTTGACATTCTCCATAAGCTGGGGTCAGAATACTGTATCATTGCCCATCAACATTATTAGGTTAAATGAAAAGGTGTGAAAACTGATATCTTACTGTTTTTGCAACTCTTGGTTTACAACGAGGTTAAAGTTTCATCATGTTTCCTAGTCATTTGTATTTAAATTTTTTTTTTTTTTTTTTTTGGTGAATGGACTATTCTTTGCTGTTAGTCCATGACCCACTGTTACGGACACCCACCTGGTAGTGGTCTCAGCCCTTTGCTGAATAACCATTTCCTTCCGCATCTTTGTCCTTAGTTACTGTGTGAATTCTTATATTGTGATTTATTTCCAATGACGTGTTGACCTTTTAACATTGAGTTTGCTTCCATATTTAGCGTGTATATGATGAAGAAGTGGAGGAGCCAGTACTCAAGGCTGAGGCAGAAAAAACAGAGCAGGTACTTGTATAAAATCACTCTTAGCTGAGTTTCTGACTTTGAAAAGTGTGGTGGAGATCGATGTGTTATGTGGGAACTGGGGGATGGTGGGTGGGGTTGGGAAAGGGAGGGACTGCTCCTGACAGCAGCCCAAGAGGGGATTCTTTCCTTTGTTTCTGAAATGTAGTATATTAACTAATACAGAGATCAAATCCTTGAATTCTGATATAAGAATAGAGTAGAAGTCAGCAAACTTCTTTTGTAAAGGGCCAGATAGTACATATTACAGATTTGGAGGGTCACAGAGGTCATTTTTTTCCTGTGGCTTCCTGAGTTACAGATGGACCAGCCTTCTTCCTGAGATCTTCTCACACCAGAGCCCAAAACATAGCTAAGAGGTTCTGGGTCACACTGACTTCTTAGCACTCCAGCAGAGATTTCTTTTTCTTCCACTCAGGAAGGCACATGGACTGTGAATAAGTTTATTATTGGAGTAGCTTTGATTTTGTTCTCATTTATTCAGAAAATATGGATCACCTGTAAAGGTTGGCCCTTTGTCAGCAATTATTACTTGTAACAGATGAAGCTGTTAGACTAGGAAAAGGGTATTCAAAACCAGCTATAGTTCTGCCTGTTGCCAGCATTTTTTTAAAAAAGTTATTTTATTTTATTTTTTATTTAAAAAATTTTTTTATTTTGAGATGGAGTCTCACTCTGTTGCCCAGGCTGGAGTGCAGTGGCACGATATCAGCTCACTGCAACCTCTGCCTCCTGGGTGCAAGTGATTCTCCTGGCTCAGCTTCCCGAGTAGCTGGGACTACAGGCGTGTGCCACCACGCCTGGCTAATTTTTTTGTATTTATTGTAGAGACGGGGTTTCGCCATGTTGGCCAGGCTGGTCTCAAACTCCTGACCTCAAATGATCCGCCAGCCTTGGCCTCCCAAAGTGCTAGGATTACAGGTGTGAGCTACTGTGCCCAGCAGGTTATTTTATTTTTAATAGAACTCAAGGATTTGCTAGCCATTTAAGTGCAGTAGTATCTGGTTATACCAATTCAGGGTTTAATTTGAAGGTGATAGGTATTTAGTGTACTATTTTTAAAAACTGCTATATATTTCATACACATTTTCACAAACTCAGTACAATATTAGCTATTTAACTCAGAATCAAGCATATCCAAATAGAAAAATACACAACCAAGACAAAAAAGTTCAGTTAGAAAGACTTCAGTACTTGAGATAAAAGACTAAAATGCTCGTAGGGTTTTTTTTTTTTTTTGCCTTTGGCCCTCAGAACAACACTGTGTGGTTTGGTTCCTTCTAGAATATTTGTAGAGGGGGAAATGACACTAAATATTTTTCGGTATTTCTCACAATGGCACACTTGTGTCTGTGGGGACTGCCATTGAGAACTGCTGTTGCAGGAAGAAGACACCTGAGGGAGATTCTCAGCCTGTTGGTGATATGAACAAACCTTTTTTCTTGAATGGGGCATTGTTGTAGGGTATACACAGAATAGACCGGAGATGAAAATGACCCCCTTTTGATGTAGAACAGATTTATAAAATAATTGTAATTGTCCAGTTTTTTTTTTTTTTGTCTCTTTAAACTGTAATTGAAAAATGAGACCTCTGTGACCTTCCTTCTAAGTCTTAACACCTAAAATTACCCAAGGGATAACCAGGGCTCGTGGGATAGTCATGGTGAGTCTGAGAGTCTAGGCCCTCCAGCAGTGGGGAAACAGCATGCATTCATTGTTGGGATACTTCTCCACACACTAGTTGTACCTCTGCTTTTGTAGACGATGACCCTTGAGCTCTGGAACCTTAGGTAGTTTGATGCATGTCCAGAAAGGGGCAAACTTGGGATTTAAAACTTGCAGTCTTACTCCAAAGTCTGTGTCAAGGCATTCAGCAGAATTTGACTTTTTTAACATTTTTAATAAGTTTTTTTGGAGCTTGAGGCTAGGCTTTAGAGAACATTCACAGTATTCTTTTGGGGCAGTATCAGTATATTGGAGACCCATACTGCATGGTATTTATTTTGTAGGAGAAGACACGAGAGCAGAAAGAAGTAGATCTCATTCCTAAAGTCCAGGAGGCTGTGAACTATGGCTTACAAGTATTGGACAGTGCCTTTGAGCAACTTGATATCAAAGCAGGAAACTCAGACTCCGAGGAAGATGATGCTAATGGGCGGGTGGAACTGATCCTTGAACCAAAGGTGAAGACATTCAACTTAAATATTTATTGCACAACTATTATGTTTGGGCTACTTTAATTGGGCACACGATTAGTAAGTCATGGACTTAACCTCTGGGAAGTGAGTATGTCACTTAGTAGTCTCACATTGACTCCACCAGAAAGACTCGCTTTACCTGAGCACTGATGGAGTACTTGTGAGGTGCAAGGCAACATGTCAAGTTGGGGTGCAAAGATGCAGAGCATGGCCTCTACTCTCGAGGTGTGTGTTGCAGTCTGGTGGGAGAGAGGAGACATACATACGAATAACCATTGTAAATGCCCTGAGAGAGAATTGATTTCCAGCTGGAATTTTGGGGCAAAGATGATATTTGAATTGGGGTTTGAAGGGTGGGGAGGCTCAAAAGAGACAGAGAGTGTTGGGAACCTGAAATTATGTAGCTTGGGCTAAGGAAGACTGCAGAAGAACTGAAAGGCATTTGGGTTGTTTCCGGTTTGGGCAATTATTAAATACAAATGAAGCTGCTGTGAGCATTCATGTCCAGGCTCCCTCATAGCCTAGTGAGTGTTGGTTGCTTGACACACTTTCTCCCACATTGTTCAAAGAGACAATTGGGGTGACACAGAGTCTCTCGGTAGTGAACACAGAAAGTTACCACAGTGATTTATAGAAAGAGGCCTTGTGACACACAAGGCCTTCCGAATTAAAACATGCCACAGAACCAAACCCTTTTTTTTTTTTGAGACGGAGTTTCACTCTGTCCTCCAGGCTGGAGTGCGTGGCACGATGTTGGCTCACTGCAACCTCTGCCTCCCAGGTTCAAGCGATTCTCCTGCCCCAGCCTCCCGAGTAGCTGGGATTACAGGCGCCCACCACCACACCCAGCTAATTTTTGTATTTTTAGTATAGACAGGGTTTCACCATGTTGGCCAGGCTGGTCTCGAACTCCCAACCTCAGGTGATCCGCCTGCCTTGGCCTCCCAAAGTGCTGGGATTACAGACATGAGCCACCCCACCCAGCCTGAACCACTCTTCTAGTCATTCTGTAGCTGCACATTTCTCTTCCAGTTTGAGCTTTGCTGAGTCACACCAAATTGAGGCAGATCATTTGGCACTGACCAGTACACTTGCTGCTTGGATTTTCACTGTATGCCTTTAAAAGTCAGCAGTGGACTCTGGGAAATGGATTGCCTGGACCACACTTGATACTTCCAAGACACACAGCACTTTCTCCCTTTTTTTTTTCCCCTTGCAGAGAAAGTTGTGGAGGTACACTTTTCTTTTGTAGGAGGATTTGGGGATGTCTTCTGAGTCAGTGAGAATTAGTCCAAATTAACGCTGTCTTTGCCTTATGCTCCATTGGTTGCTGTGACGTCGTTGAACCTTTACTTTAACCTTCCCAATCTTTCTGTTGTTGTGTGAAACGTCAGAATTATTCTCCCCTGCCCCAGAGTCCTTTGACAAGGAAGAGATATCATTGCCAAAGGGCAATGCCTCACAGGGGACAGGGCAGCATTTCCTTCAGCAGTGGAGGTAGGAGGCTGTGCAAGGGTGGAGCACTTTCTTGACCCTATTTTTTTTTTTTTTTTTGAGACAGAGTTTCACTCTTGTTGCCCAAGCTGGAGTGGCGCAATCTCGGCTCACTGCAGCTTCTGTCTCCTGGGTTCAAGCGATTCTCCTGCCTCAGCCTTCCAAGTAGCTGGGATTACAGGCATGTAACATGACACCTGGCTAATTTTTGTATTTTTTAGTAGAGACGGGGTTTCACCATGGTGACCAGGCTGGTCTTGAACTCCTGACCTCAAGTGATCCGCCCGCCTCGGCCTCCCAAAAGTACTGGGATTACAGGTGGGAGCTACTGCAACCGACCAACCCTAAATTTTTAATGTGTGTGTGGTGTGGGACTGACAGGAGTAGACGGCTGACATGGGCAGATCTCCAGCATGTGCTGTTGGGGCCACAGTCTCCTGCCCTCACTCTGTTTTCTCATCTGGTCTTATTTTACCAACTTCACTTTTCTAAATTCAACAGTGTGGAACCACTAGGGGGTATTGTTCTTCTGTTTATTGAGTTATAATCTTTTTTATTTATTTATTTATTTATTTTGAGTCGGAGTTTCGCTCTTGTTGCCCAGGCTGGAGTGGAGTGATGTGATGTTGGCTCACTGCAACCTCCACCTCCTGGGTTCAAGAGATTCTCCTGTCTTAGTCTCCTGAGTAAATGGGATTATAGGTGTGCGCCACCACACCCAGCTAATTTTTAGTATTTTCGGTAGATATTGGGTTTCACCACGTTGGCCAGGCTGGTCTCAAACTCCTGACCTCAAGTGATCCATCTGCCTCAGCCTCCCAAAGTGCTGGGATTACAGGCATGAGCCACTGTGCCCGGCCTAATCTATTTTTATATTAAAATATATAGATATATTATGTCTCATTAGTACTGCTTTTTAGGGGACAGCTCACCAGAATGTTCAGTTTCTTTCCTTGGTCCTCCTCTTCTTGGACCTTATACTAGGAGGTTGTACCCTTTTCCCTGTTTGCTTGCTGCTGATAGACTTTTGGTAGGCTTTTGCCATTTTTGTTAAATTTTGTTAATTAGGCCCTTGGGGAGGGAGATTCTGTGTGATACAGCTTTACTTTGGCATCTTTTTTCTTTTTTTTTTTTTTTGAGATGGAGTTTTGCTCTTATTGCCCAGGCTAGAGTGCAGTAGTGCAATCTCAGCTCACTGCAACACTGTTTCCTGGGTTCAAGTGATTCTCCTGCCTCAGCCTCCCGAGTAGCTAGGATGACAGTTACCCGCCACCATGTCCCGCTAATTTTTTTGGATTTTTAGTAGAGACGGGGTTTCACCACGTTGGTCAGGCTGGTCTCAAACTCCTGACCTCAAGTGATCCACCCGCCTTGGCTTCCCAAAGTGCTAGGATTACAGGCGTGAGCCATGGTGCCCGGCCTTACCTTGACATCTTTACCTAGGATTTGACTTTTAAAAAAATCAGTGAAAAAAAGAATTTTTTTTTTAACTTTTAGTCCTGCTGTGTTTCTTATTCTCCACCTTCGTTATGTAGCTTGTTTGGGATAGTCAGATGGAACAGGGTATCAGGTGGCACATGTAAGTTTGTTTTCAACTGAAATGTTTGACAGCCTATTCCTTTCATCATGTACAGGATCTATACATTGATCGTCCTTTACCATATCTCATTGGGTCAAAGCTGTTCATGGAACAAGAAGATGTAGGTCTTGGAGAGCTGTCCAGTGAAGGTACTTTTCTTCACCAAATAATTTTATTCCTTAACATTTCTTTTTTATTTTAAAATAATTTCAAATTTTACATTAAAGTTTCAAGAATAGTTCAAAGAACTCTCATATACCCTTCACCTGGGTTTACCAGTTAACATTTCACCACATTTGTTAGATTGTTCTCTACATATACGTAATATTTTGTCTTGAGCCTATTTGGGAGACATCATGCTCATGCCCTGTTACTTCTAAATGTTTCTCTGTGTGTTTTCTTTTTTTCTTTTCTTTGTCTTTTTCTTTTTTTGAGACAGAGTCTCGCTCTGTGGCCCAGGCTGGAGTGCAGTGGTGCGATCTCAGCTCACTGCAACCTCCGCCTCCCGGATTTAAGCGATTTTTCTGCCTCAGCCTCCTGAGTAGCTGGGACCACAGGCGTGCACCACCACACCTGGCCAATTTTTGTATTTTTAGTAGAGATGGGGTTTCACCATATTGTCCAGGCTGGTCTCGAATTCCTGACCTCATGATCTGCCCGCCTCGGCCTCCCAAAGTGCTGGGATTACAAGCATGAGCCACCGTGCCCGGCTCTTTTTCTTTCTTTCTTTCTTTCTTTTTTGAGCCGGAGTTTCTCTCTGGTCACCCAGGCTGGAATGCAATGGTGCGATCTTGGCTCACTGCAACCTCCACCTCCTGGGTTCAAGCAATTCTCCTACCTCAGCCTCCTGAGTAGCTGGGATTACAGGTGCCCACCACCACACCTGGCTAATTTTTGTATTTTTAGTAGAGATGGGGTTTTACCATGTTGGGCAGGTTGGTCTCGAACGCCTGACCTCAGGTGATCCTCTGTGTGTGTTTTCTAAGAACAAGGACATCTCTTGTATAATCACAGTAGAATTACAAAGCCAGGATATTTTCCTGGACATAAGGGTATTATCCAATCTGCTGCTATGTTCACATTTTGCCGTTTGTCCCAGTGACACCCTTTACAGTCTCTCTCTTTTGTTCTGTGGTCCGGGACTCAATCCAGGACCAGCCACCACATTTGGTTGTCAAATCTTCAGTTATCTTTTAATCTGATGCCATTTCTCAGCCTTTCTTTGCTTTTTATGACCCTGACATCTTTAAAGAGTACAAGCAAGTTTTTTTTTTATTTGTAATGAATAATTTTTGGGGGGAGAGATACTTCAAGACTACATAAATATGTAATTCCTCACCATAATGACACTTTCAATTCCAGTAAGTGGGTATAGATGGTTTTATCAAGATCTCTGTGATGCTGTTGTATGGTGGTTTGTGATTTTGAGCTAAGGACATTTTCTTGTGAATATTGGTGTGGTGACCCTTATCTCTCTTCTCAACAGAAGGCTCTGTAGGCAGTGATCGTGGCAGTATTGTGGACACTGAGGAAGAGAAAGAAGAGGAGGTAAGGGCTGTTTGGTATGACCAGGTCACGGTGGGCAGCAAGCTTAATTTAAGATGGGCCTAGCAGGCTAAGTAAATAGCATAACTGTGAATTCGTAATCTGCTTCCATAAAGCTTTTAACAGTGATAGAAGCCACATTCTGAGTTTTTTTTCCCAAGGGTTAGATTTCCTTTTTGCCTTATGTACAATAATAGGGAAAGCTGCTTTCATCTCTTCCACTATTATCCTCTCTCCCACCTTGCCACCAAATATCTCTTTCACCCAATATATTTTTGAGAAGGGCAGCTTAGATGTTTTGGTGGAATCTCTGCCTGGGATATAGTCTTTGAGTATATTCCGTCTTTGAATAATTCTAAGGGAAAAAATCTACATTTAGAACTTTTGTAAACTATAAAACCTAGAGCAGGATATACCGAAAGCCACCACTTACATTCTATTTTGCTGCTGCCGCTAGCGCTTTCATATCCACAGAGCATAATTTCATTTCCTTGTCTAGAGTTTGAGTCTGTGGGCCTTGACTACAGTTGAATCTGTAGTTGTTCTTTAGATGGGATATTCGTTATTGGAAAGGACACAGCCATGTTGCAGGAGAGTCCTCGAGTATGGGATTTCCGAAAGGAGACAGTGTTGTGTATGTGCTTTTCTCTTCTGGTTGGTCCCCCTTTCTGCACTCTCCCTGCCCGCCTTTCTTCCAGTCCTCCAAAGAAAAACCTGACAGCAGGAAATGAGCTTTTCTTAAGTAACTTTCGTATAACAAAAGCAGTGCTCATTAGGGGAATCCCTTGCTTTTAGCCACCGATGTGGCACTTCTATGTGGCACTTCATCAATAGTTGCTCGTAGCAACTATTGATGTCCCCTTCTTGGGCCTAATGAAGTAGTTATTTTTATTTTTTATTTTTATTATACTTTAAGTTTTAGGGTACATGTGCACATTGTGCAGGTTAGTTACATATGTATACATGTGCCATGCTGGTGCGCTGCACCCATTAACTCGTCATCTAGCATTAGGTATATCTCCCAATGCTATCCCTCCCCCCTCCCCCCACCCCACCACAGTCCCCAGAGTGTGATATTCCCCTTCCTGTGTCCATGTGATCTCATTGTTCAATTCCCACCTATGAGTGAGAATATGCGGTGTTTGGTTTTTTGTTCTTGCGATAGTTTACTGAGAATGATGGTTTCCAGTTTCATCCATGTCCCTACAAAGGACATGAACTCATCATTTTTTATGGCTGCATAGTATTCCATGGTGTATATGTGCCACATTTTCTTAATCCAGTCTATTATTGTTGGACATTTGGGTTGGTTCCAAGTCTTTGCTATTGTGAATAATGCAAGGAAATAGAGACAGTATAGTCCAAAATGTAAAATAACACAAACTGACTTTCAGTAATTTAGTTAGTTAAATGTGCAACTCTTTAAATCCAAAGGCAAGAGTTGAAAGTGCAGGTGATGTGAACAAATTGTTAGAGGCATTTAAGTGAACCACAAAAATTACATGTTAACTGGAACAACCCTTCACAATATTGCCAGCTACCCAGCTTATCTGCACCTTGATACTTAAGGTGACCAGTAGTCAGTACAAAGAGACTGAGTGTCAGAGCTTTTTCTCCACTTGACATAGAATCAGCCTGCCCCAGAGACTTAGACCTGCAATCATTTCTGTGCTTCTAAGTAAAGCCCATTTAACAACAAAGCCTTTTCTTACCCATAAAGGAGTCAGATGAAGATTTTGCCCATCACAGTGACAATGAACAAAACCAGGTAAGGCTCATATATTGAAATGACTTTGTTTTTACATTTTAATTGAAGCATAGTATATATACTAAAATTACTTTGGAATGATTTATGACCAAGTGAGGATTTTTTCATGTATACAATTTATTTTCCTTTAAGCATTTCATGTATTTAGGCTAACTACCTCCTTTGTATATATTTTTTCCAATTTTGCTTTATAGTTTATTTTTCTTAGAAAAGAAGTTTCAAAGAAGTGAAAAGCACAATTGGAAAACAGAGCCTCTAAAAGAAGACTCAGTTACCCAAACTGAACTACTTTGCATGAGTCCCTCTTCTGTTTTAAAATTGGAGACAATCTAGCAGTAACATTATTGAGTATTCACAAGATGAAAACTTCTTACCCTACTGTCTTAGCACGGTTATCTTAATTTTTGAATATCTAAAGGCGTATTCTTTTCATAGTGTGCATCGTTCATTTTCTGCCATTTTATGTTAACATTTTATAAATGTGTCCTTATTTATTATTATTATTTTTTTGAGATGGAGTTTTGCTCTTGTTGTCCAGGCTGGAGTGCCGTGGCGTGATCTCAGCTCACTGCAACCTCCGCCTCCTGGGTTCAAATAATTCTTCTGCCTCAGCCTCCCGAGTAGCTGGCATTACAGGTGCCCACCACCATGCTCAGCCAATTTTTTTTGTATTTTTAGTAGAGATGGGGTTTCACCATGTTGGCCAGGCTGGTCTCGAGCTCCTGACCTCAGGTAATCCACCCACCTTGGCCTCCCAAAATGCTGGGATTACAGGCGTGAGCCACCATGCCTGGCCTCCTTATTTTAAATAGCCTTTGCAGTTTGCGTTGTAAACTTCTATACTTTTAAACATACTGAGTATGATACTGTCATAGTCTCTAAATGTATAAGGGAAAGAGTTTATTTCTAGAGTTGTATTTTTGATGTAATAATGTATTCAATATTTTCTTTTCTTTTTTTTGAGACAGAGTCTCGCTCTGTTGCCTAGGCTGGAGTGCAGTGGTGTGATCTCAGCTCAATGTAATCTCCGCCTACAGGGTTCAAGCGATTCTCATGCCTCAGCCTCCCTGAGTAGCTGGGACTATGGGTGTGTGGCACCATGCCCGGCTAATTTTTTGTATTTTTAGTGGAGTCAGGGTCTTCCCATGTTTCCCAGGCTGGTCTTGAGCTCAGGCAAACCACCCACTTTGCCCTCCCAGAGTACTGGGATTACAGGTATGAGCCACCACGCCCAGCCAATATTTTCATATATAGAAATCCTTTGCTTCGGTGAACTGTTTCTTCAGAATGAGGTGGTATAGAGTTATGTTAATAACTCTTAATGTCTGGTGGACATTCTAAATTAAGTATTATGCATGTAGATTTTCCTACAATCTCATCACTGGGGTGATTATTTTAAATTTCTTTTAGTTAAAAATTTGCATTTAAATTTCTTAACTGGGAAATATTTTTTTCACAAAAATGTTTAACTATCAAATGAAGGATTTTATACTTTCTGGTTGTTACTGTATTTTCCTGGTTGTATTCATAAATGTGGTTGATCTCTATAATTTTAACGATCAGTCTTTCTTCATAGGATATTTGTTTCTATGGAATTTCCTATTAAGATCTGTAAATGCAAACAGTTTTTCTTTCCTTTTTTTTTTTTTTTTTTTTTTTTGAGACAGAGTCTCTCTCTGTTACCCAGGCTGGAGTGCAGTGGCACGATATTGGTTCACTCCAACCTCCACCTCCTCGGTTCAAGTGATTCTCATGCCTCAGCCTCCCAAGTAGCTGGGATTATAGGCATGTGCCACCATGCCCAGCTAGTTTTTGTATTTTTAGTGGAGATGGGGTATCGCCATGTTGGCGCGGCTGGTCTTGAACTCCTGACCTCAGGTGATCCGCCTGCCTCAGCTTCCCAAAGTGTTGGGATTACAGGCGTGAGCCACCACGCCCGGCCACAAACAGTTTTTCAAAAACAGTACAGTATAGTGAGTAAAAGCACTAGCTTATGCAACAGGTTGGTTTTGTGTGCTGCAGCTAACCTCAAAGTTGTAAGGATTAAATTAGATAATAAAGTGCTTTTAGTAACATGCCTGGCACAGTTCATTGATTCAAACATTGAAAAAAAATTTTTTTAATTATACATAGTAGTGTGTACCTTTGGAAAAATTAGAACTTAACAGATAAGGCTAAGTTTGAGCCTTCCAGTCCTTTCCTTCTCTGCATACTCTTCAGAGGTAACTGGGATCATGCTCTGGGAGCATGTCATTCCAAGTCTGTTTCTTTGCTTTTATAAACACATCTGTTTCCATAGAAATGCTGTAGTGTTTGCAGAGGGGGCGGGGCTTGGTATCATCCTGGATTTGTTATTCTGCGCTTTTTTGCTTGACCTACCTTGGATGGCTCTCTAGTCATTACAGCTTTTACCTTTTAACTATTACTCAGTATTCTTACTAAGGTAAGACTATGCTGATGATGTTTATATTTCTCTAGTAAAAGGCTGGGCATGGTGGCTCACGCCTGTAATCCCAGTGCTTTGAGAATGTAATCCCAGCGCTTTGGGAAGCTGAGGTGGTTGGATCACCTGAGGTCAGGAGTTCGAGACCAGCCTGCCCAACATGGTGAAACCCCGTCTCTACCAAAAATATAAAAATTAGCCGGGCGTGGTGGCGGGTGCCTGTAATCCTAGCTACTCAGAGGGCTGAGGCAGGAGAATGGCTTGAACCTAGGAGGCGGAGGTTGCAGTGAGCCGAGATCACCCCATTGCACTTCAGCCTGGGCAAAAAGAGCGAAACTCCTTCTCAAAAATAAATAAATAAAAATATTTCTCTAGTAACAGCCATTTTTGATATTTTAATATTCTGCTTTTTATATTCTTGTTGTTACATTCTTATAAAGGATACATTTTTAGGCCGGGCTTGGTGGCTCACGCCTGTAATCCTAGCAGTTTGGGAGGCTGAGGCGGGTGGATCACCTGAAGTCAGGAGTTCAAGACCAGCCTAGACAACATGGTGAAACCCCATCTCTACTAAAAATACAAAAAATTTGCTGGGCGTAGTGGTGCATGCGTGTAATCCCAGCTACTCGGAAGGCCGAGGCAGGAGAATAGCATGAACTGGGCAGGCAGAGGTTTCAGTGAGCCGAGATCGTGCTGATGCACTCCAGCCTGGGCCACAGAGCAAGACTCCATCTCAAAAAAAAAAAATATATATATATATATATATTTATATATATATATATTTATATTTTATATATATTTTTATATATTTTTTTTCTTAGATTCAAAGTAAATCTTGTGTATTATTTCTTCCAGCACATCTTTTGCTTCATAACTTGCTGCATCATGTTTATGATTATTATTTTAAAAAGCTGTTACTTCTTTGAAGGAGGAGCCTAAAGGCTGACAGTATCTCTTCTTTAGCTTAATAACTAGTAGTTCTAATTTGGTATTTTATACTCTTAGCACACCACACAAATGAGTGATGAGGAAGAGGATGATGATGGCTGTGACCTTTTTGCTGACTCTGAGAAGGAGGAGGAAGATATTGAGGACATTGAAGAAAATACTAGACCTGTAAGGAAGGCTGTAGTTGCTATCACTTGGCAGAGTTTTAGAACCAATGACTTGTTTTTCTTTTTATTGTGACTTACTTTGTACATCACTCATTTTGGCATATTTGTCATTTCATTTACACTTTGGAAAATAATGGCAAGCATCTCAAATTGCCTCACAAGTACCACTTTCTTGTCCAGATGTTATGATTTTATGAGTCAGATCATTCAGAATATGTCTAGTTCCAGAGTTTGAAGACCATAGTGCTCCTGTCTCTCCACCCATTCACCTTTTTCTTATTTTCGTATTTAGATTTTTAAGTATTAAAGTCAAGTATTAAAAAGAATAAGGAAATAAAGGGCATCTCCCTTTGAAGGAACATTTTATGAGTCCTATTCCTTGGGTGAGCTGTATAGGGTACATATGTTTAAATTCATTTAATTAAACTCTGTTTTCTCCTCAGTTCAATTTCTTTGCTCTTGTATACATAATGTTGTTAGGTGTCCAAAGTGAAGTGTACTAGTTTGTTACAAAAAAGCGATTCTTTTGATTTCTCCTGCTGTAGAAAAGAAGCAGACCTACATCGTTTGCAGATGAGCTGGCTGCCCGCATCAAGGGGGATGCCATGGGTCGAGTGGACGAGGAGCCGACAAGTGAGCCCCAGCCACGTTGATGGGGAGTAGGGGAGGAGTAGTGCAGGGCCCTCTGCTGGCTTCACCAAAGGCGGATTTCTCTTTTTATTAGTAATTACTACATATATTTATTAGTAATTGCTACATATAATTTAAATTGTAGCGCTTATTCCTTTTTTGGTTAATGGGCTCCTTTAGATAACTGAACACTGTGGACCCACAAGAAAAACGTACATGTACACATGTAGATAACCCTTTACATATAATTTCAGGGGATTAATGGAAACTCCAGAGAACCATGGGCAACAGCTTAAGAATTCCTGGCTGAATATTTACTCCTATATTTTGAACACGTAAGAATGTGCTATATAGCATATTCTAGTTATAACAGGGTAGAAAGATAACACAATAATTCTTTCAACAAATACAATCCTGTTATGCACATGAGCCTGGTACGAAAGCAGAAGCCTTCTGCCTTACAAAGAGACTCTTGAGTGCCCACTGTGGGCAGGGCCAGGGAGTTCAGTGCTCTGGTGCAGCTGAGATGAAAGGCAGATGTCTTGCTCTTAGCTGTGAGTTATGAGGATGACAGACGTGGAAAGAACCAGGATGTGTATACTGAGGGAGGACTTAGTACTATTAAAACTGTGAACTGTTCTTCAAGCCTTACCCTCAGGAGAAGCAAAACCTCGGAAGACACTCAAAGAGAAGAAGGAAAGGAGAACTCCTTCAGACGGTGGGCCTTTTCCCTCAATTCTGTTATTTTAGGAGCCTGTTGACTAAGGAATGTTGCTTACATAATTCATGAAGTACTGCTTTACATGCTGTTTTCCCTCTGACAAATGGGTCTGTCTCCATTTACTTTTCTAAAGCCTCTGGGCTGGACGCGGTGGCTCACACATGTAATCCCAGCGCTTTGGGAGGCCGAGGCGGGTGGATCATGAGGTCAGGAGTTTAAGACCAGCCTGGCCAACATAGTGAAACCCCATTTCTACTAAAAATACAAAAAATTAGCTTGGCATGGTGGTGGGTGCCTGTTGTCCCAGCTACTTGGGAGGCTGAGGCAGGAGAATCACTTGAACCCGGGAGGCAGAGATGGCAGTGAGCCTTGATCGCGCCACTGCATTCCAGCCCGGGTGATGGTGCGAGACTCCATCCCAAAAACAAACAGAAGCCTTGGAAGGCATGTTTTGGGGTGCTGGGAGGATATGTGGGTGTGGAGTAAAAATTCCTGTAGAGATTTGATTTATTAGATTTTACAGCAATCATTTCTTGTCTTCCTAGAATTCTTAGAAGTATAGAAACTTAGGAATCTCAAGCATTTGTTTTCAATAAAGGATACACCAGGCCTTTTCCTGCAAACAGCCATGTCGATTACATTAGACTTGTCCCTGTGTCAGTTTGCAGATCCCTTTGTTTATTCTGCCCTTCCTTCCCCCAGATTGGTTGGGGAATGGGTCTTGAATGTGGCGTCTGACCCGAATGCTTGCTTCAGAGTAAATCTAGATCCAGGGTGCTGGCCTAGAGAATGAATGCTGTGTGCCACAGACGTGGACAGACTTGAGAGTGGAGGCCCAGAGAGTCTTTTGAGGGTGTCAGTGGACTGTGCCAGGGGTTTAGTGTGAAATTCATCAGACTGCCTCACACTTTGTTAAATAGTGTCAGATAAACTCCATGCCAGTTTGGAGACACAGCAGATGCCAACCCGGGAATTTGAGTTCTGGACCCATCTTTAATACTCCCTGCAAAACATTGCTTTCTGTTTGCTAGATGAAGAGGATAACTTATTCGCACCCCCCAAGCTGACCGACGAGGACTTCTCGCCATTTGGCTCTGGAGGTGGCCTGTTCAGTGGCGGCAAGGGGCTATTTGATGATGAGGACGAGGAGGTGAGTCCATGGCACCCAGCAACACTCCCTGCAGCTAGCTGTGTCAGGGGTCCACAGGGAAGATATAGGCTTTGCTTGTTTAGTGGGGGAAAAACAGTTTCTCAGTTGGAAGTTGCTTCTATTTTCATATTTTGGGACATTTTGAACTAAGAATCACAGAGTGAGAAATGCCGTATCCTTCTATGCTTTGTTAGGTGAGGAGAAGATGTGCACGTGTTAATGTGAATAATTTACTAGGTGATTGTTTCTTGCCTTATCTGTTGTCTTCCACGTTTGTTTTTAATTCCTGGACAGGCCTAAATTATTTTAGGGTCTGATTTTGCCATAGTTATCACTTTGCAACTGATTTTCTGGCAGAGTAGTAAATATGTAGCTTTAAATCTTGTAGGTTATTTTTCCTTAGGAATCCTCACATGCAGCTATGCTTTCTCCTGGTTTTTTGAATTCTTTGTCATATACCTTATTTCAACCAGAGTGACCTCTTCACGGAAGCCTCCCAGGATCGGCAAGCTGGAGCCTCTGTTAAGGAGGGTAAGCTGGGGCTGGGCAGCTGCGTCTCCGTGTGCAGAGTTCCAAAACTGTCTTTCTCACTAGGAGATGGAACAAGGTTGTTCCCAAGCCTTGTTTCTGTGTCAAGCAAGAAGCTGTTGTTTTTACTGCGGTCCAGTTGAAAGTAATTCATCTTCACTAATTCATGTCTTGGAAAAAACAGTACCATCTGTAAACCCATACCACAGTCTTGCCTCTTTGTTAGGAGAGAACTCATAGAAAGTCAAACAAGAAAAGTACCCTAGAGCAATGTTGAGGATGGTTTTCATTGAATGAAGTTTAATTTAAAGAAACATTTTTAACATTCTGTATATAAGTTGGAGACCAGTAATTCCCCAACCCAGTGTGCATTAAAATCATCTGTGCAGGTTTTTTTGTTTTTTTGTTTTTTGTTTTTGTATTTTTAGTAGAGACAGGGTTTCACCATGTTGGACGGTTGGACAGGCTGGTCTTAAACTCCTATCCTCAAGTGATCACCCGCCTAGACCTGGCAAAATGCTAGGAATACAGGCATGAGCCACTGCACCTGTCCCCTTGGTGCAGTTTTTAAAAAACACAAATATAAATATGTTTTTTTTTTTTTTCTTTTTTTTTAACCTACAAATGTTACTCAATAGGTTTGTGGTAGTTCTTGGGACTTGGGAATTAGTGATTCTAAGTGCCGAGTCTCCCGGGCGCAGGCATCAGAGCTGGGCCTTGGAGGCCGCTCCTTGTGCCTGCTGTGCGGGCTGCTAGCCTGGCTCTCCTCTGCTTTCTGCTGTCCATGTTTTGGCATCAGTGACTTGCTTGGTTTCCCCCTTTGCTCTTATGTCTTTATTTTTTTACTGATGACTCACATGTTTTTGCGGTTCTTTTTCACCCGTTCATTCTCATCCAACTGGAATGGGTAGAGGTGGAACTGTTTGGGGGAGCCCCGGTCATGCTGTCCCTGCCTCTGCTGTGCTCACCTCCTCCCTTGGTGTCCCCCAGCTGACCCACTGCTGTGGCTTGATGACGGTCAGCATGCTCTTCCATTTGAGTCACAGCTCAGATTGTGTTAATCCCAAAAAAAAAGTCCTGACATCGGTAGAGAAGAAAATACTAAGGAATTTTAAAATGGCTTGTTCAGGAAAAAGTAGTTTCAAAAGGTCTGGTACTAGCTGTGTGTTACATTGCACGTATTTCAGGAAGAAAATAGCAAGGAAAGTTATTTCCCTTGTAAAATGGTTACCCCTTGCTTTCTCATTCTAGAGTCTTCATCATCCAAACCTGGAAAGAAAATCCCAGCAGGAGCTGTTTCTGTATTTTTAGGTAACATAACTTAGGTTTGTTTTCTAAAAACTACACAAATACTGTTTTTTGCATTTCAAAATTATCATCTTCTAAAGTCTGGCTGGAGATGAGGAAGTACCTGGGAGCTTCAAAGGGCTTTGAGCATCTTATAGAAAGAGCTCATTTACTGATATTAGCTCTTATTCTCCTAGAGCTCAGTGGCCTTGGACTTTTTTGTGTTTGAGCGACCTGGTGATTCTCCGTTGTGAGATGTTCTGTAGCAGTAATGGATGGAGGCTATTGGGCCCTGTTATGCATTTTGTGGATTAACTGAAATGGAAAGTTTTTGGTGGGTGATAATTTTTTTCTGTAAATTCAACCGGCCCACACTGGCTCACAGCTGTGGCTGTCTTGTCCCTTCACTCACAGGAGACACGGATGTGTTTGGTGCTGCCTCCGTTCCATCACTGAAGGAGCCACAGAAGCCTGAGCAGCCCACTCCAAGGAAAAGCCCCTATGGTCCCCCTCCCACTGGCCTCTTTGATGATGATGATGGTGATGATGATGACGACTTTTTCTCGGCACCCCACAGCAAACCTTCTAAAACACGTATGTGTTCCTGCCTCCGTTTCTAGGACTTCAGCCAGAAAAAGAATGTTGCCTAAAAAGAACATAAGCTCACCTAGTTCTGTATCTCTTACAGTGCCAGAATCCCTTCTCCAGCATTCCTGTCATTGAGTTGTTGTGTCTGTACTTACATAGGTGTGGTGCCTGGGAGGTCTGTTTTATGACCCAATCTTTTCTGCTCTGTAAGCTAATTACTATGATTATTTTCCTTATAGAGAGCTGAAATCCTTTTCTGTATAATTTTTGCTTGCAATTTCCAGTTCTGACCTTTGGTATTGTAAAGTTTTAATCATCCTTTCTTCCAGCCGACCTTAGTCAATTACATGAGCAGCAGGTTGTGTGCCGGCCATTTATTTCCCAGCTTCTCATTTCTCTGCCAAAAAGCTCAGGTGGCCTTGGTCTTTCCTCAGATGATGTTTTCATCCCCTTGGCCACTTTGGCATTCTCCTCTCTTTTCCTCTTAAATGTAAGTCCTATGTCCTGAAGTCATTCCCATAAATCATTTGTTTTTAAATGTGCAGATGAATCTTCCAGGGGCTTTTGTCAAAATGAAGATTCCGATTCAGTAGGTCCAGGGTGGGGCCTGAGAATTTACATTTCCAGCAAGCTTCATGGTCTGTAGATCACACTTCGAATAGCAAGACTTAGATCCATTGACTGCTCTTCCAGAAAAGAAAGGTAGATCCCTAGATCCCTAAGGTGCACATGATTTTCAGCAACTTTAAAAAATAAAAAAGGATGGCATAGGAATGGATGGAACTAGAATGCATTTAGAAGCCGGCTGTCTGGACTCACTCTCTTCCAGTGTTAGGTGTAGAAAGTAAGGATGGAAGCCGAAGTGTGAGGGAAAACGATAGCCTAGTTAATCTAGAAAGAGTGCAAACGGATGCAGAATGCACACAGGTCTCAGTGAAGATGACAATGCACACAGGTCTCGGTGAAGATGACAGTGAATGAAGGTAGTAGTGCTTTTTGTAGCTCCACAGGGCTCTTACTTAGTGGATATCTTTGAGAACTGATTTAGAATCCCTAGTAAATTGATGCTGCTTTCTTTGACAACTCCTAGTCTCTTCAGACATTCATGAGTCAGTGACCTCATTTCAGCAACACATGCCCTATTCGGTACAGCAGTGCTTATGGTGATGAAAGGTTGGAAACCACCCAAATACTTATCAGTAGAGTAAGCTATGGCCCTTCTATTCAGTGGACTATTCTGTGACAGTTAAAAAGAAAGGGGTCTACGCTTGTTGACTTGGGAAGATTTTGTAGGTACATTGAGTGGAAAACACAAATGGTAAGACATTGTTCAAATTATCTTCTTATTTATAGCCTTATTTATAAATAACTAGTGTTAATTCATTAGTACATCCTTTGGGGGAATTAGAAGCATGTATGCTGAACTGTTCCCAATGTTCATCTTGTTTGAGTAGACTGGTGGAATTATGAGGGGATTTCATTATTTGCTTTTATCTGCTTTTGTACAGTTTGATTTTTTTTAAAGCAGGAGCCAAGCCTTCATTTCTCAGATTCCTTAGATGATTGACTTGGTGGCCCTCTTAAATGATCTTTCTTCCTCTAGATCTCTCTTCACCTTGTAAGCCAGTCCAAGCTACTCTAAGCACAGGAAATGGCTGCTTGGATAAGCATGTCAGCCACGTGGATAAACTATCTGTTCTGTCTTTCAACTGAACTGCTACTATGCACTTTGAAAAATTCCAAGGGAAGAGTATAGTTCCACTTACTATTTCTTTATAACTAATCAAGAAACAACATAACTTTTTATGTTTATTCTTTGGGAGGGAAGAATTTTTTAATCTGTGAATTTTGTGATAGGATGTTTGACGTTAGTGTCATTTTATGCCTTGGTATTTTTTACAGGCAAAGTCCAATCCACTGCCGATATCTTTGGTGACGAAGAAGGAGATCTGTTCAAAGAAAAAGCCGTAGCATCGCCAGAAGCCACTGTGAGTCAGACAGATGAAAATAAAGCAAGAGCAGAAAAAAAGGTGAGCAGGAGGGAAGACTTAACGCAGGAGCATTGATCTGCAGCATTTTAATAATTCATCCGGAACCCAGAGGGAAGTACTGTTCCCTTTCACGTTCATATTGAAGAACTTCAAACAGAAAGTGGAAAGAACATTGCAGTGAACACCCAAATAACTGCCACCCAGATTGATCAGTTCTTAGGGTTTTGGCAAACACTTTATGGATGTAAACCTTGTTACATATCTATTTTTTTCCTGAACTATTTGCATGTAAGTTGTTTGAACTGTTTGCTGCATGGAACTGTTTCCATGTAGTCATTGTGACATTCTACCCCTAAATATTTCATTAAGCCTCTCTTGAAAAGACTTCCATATAAGCACAATGCCATTATCAACAGCTGTGAGACTAACAGTAATTCTATAGTAGAATCTAATATCTAGTCTGTATTAGAATTGCTCCAGTTGCCCCAGAATGTCTTTGCAAAATCACCCCAACAAATAGAATACAGATTTAAAATTATCTCGCATATAGTTCATACTGCAATTTCCTCTCTTGTCCCCAAAATGCCATTTACGGCAGTGATCCCCAACCTTTTTGGCATTAGGGATATAAGGAGAGTGCAACCTGCAATCTAGATCCCTCGCATGCACAGTTCACAATAGCGTTTGCCTTCCTATGAGAATCTGATGCTGCCACTGATCTGACAGGAGGAGGAGCTTAGGCAGTAATGCTTGCTGCTCACCTCACCTCCTGCTGTGCGGCCCGGCTTCTAACAGGCCATGGACTGGTCTGCAGCCCAGGGTTGGGGACCCCTGCTTTATAGTATTTTTTTATGTTTTGATTTTTTTTTTGTTCTAAGAAACTCAGGATTCGGACAGTGTGTCTGCATTGCATTTGGTTGTCATGTCTCTTTGGTCTCCTTAATCTAGAGCAACACCTCCCACATCTTTTTTTTTTTAATATCCAGCCACTTGTCTTGTAGAATGTGTCTCGTGAATTTGCTTGATTATTTTCCTATGAATAGATTCAGGGTGAGAAGTTTTGGCAAGAATACAAGCAGGCAGGGTTGTGCACTTCCAGTTGGATCACCTCCCAAGACACATCAGGTCCACTGTCTGCCTCATTCAGACACGTTTGTCACTTGGTTGTTAGGGTGCCCACCACACTGCTTCATTGGAAAGGTACCCTGTTCTCTTTTGCCATTGCTCAGTTGATCTCTAAAGTGATAGTTGAACACAGTGTGAATACCTGTTCTCTCCCAGCCTTTTACTCAGTGTTTTGAAAATCCACTGATGATCTTTTCTTGACTCAGTTAATCTGTTAGCGGGCACAAACCACTATTTTTTTAATTCTATATTTCTTATTAGTTGGCATTCTTCTGAATAAAGTTCTTTCTCTCCCCCTCCTTCCCCGATTTTTAGTATTGCTTTGGGATCATGTATTCATTCTTCAGTGTAGATGATAATCCATTACCATCATTCTTCTTCTTTTTTTTTTTTTTTTTGTGAGACAGGGTCTTGCTCTGTTGCCCAGGCTGGAGTGTAGTGGTACAATCACAGCTCACTGCAGCCTCAACCTCCTGGGTTCAAGCGATTCTCCAGCCTCAGCCTACCAAGTAGCTGGGACTATATGCGTGCGCCACCATGCCCGGCTAATTTTTTGTGGAGACGGGTTTTGCCCATGTTGGCCAAACCATCATTCTTTTTGATGCTCAGATTGACCTGCATTTGGCCAGTGTGTGTGTCCCCAGCAGTCTTTAAGCCCTTCTGACTGCTTGTCCTTTCACTGCTGTCCTGTACAGCTGGTCCCTCCTCTTTCTACAGTTTTGTCTCTTTGTGTCATGTCCTGGCTGTGAAGCCCTGACTTTCTCCTGCCGACCACCTAAGGCCCAGCATTCAGAACCTGTCAGGCCCGTCAGGCAGCCTGTCTTTCCATGCTGTCTCTCATTGCATATGTCCCATCTGTGCACCCATTGACCCAGACTGTGTGTCCTGCTCCCTGATACACCAGATGTGTCCTCTGTTTGTCTTGCTGTTCTCTTAACAGCCCCCTCAGCTTGCTGCCTATCACAGCAGAGACTCCGTGCGTTTTCTCGATTGATTGAGTAAACCCTCTTTTCTGGGTATCTTACGTGTTAATGCTTAATTTTTCTTTTTCTTTTTTTCTTCCCCACCCCCCCCCCACCCCCGACAAAGGTTACCTTATCTTACAGCAAAAATCTCAAGCCCTCATCAGAAACAAAGACTCAAAAAGGCTTATTTTCAGATGAGGAGGACTCTGAGGTATGGAATTCTTTTGCTTAGTTGTGGGTATTAGTCTATGGATATGACATAGAAACTATTTTTGAATCAGGTTTTTCTCAATAGAGTTATAAGACTTTTTGTTAAGTACTCCAGTTCTTTAAAAATTATCTCTAGAGGCAAGGAGTGGTGGTTCATGCCTGTAATCCCAGCACTTTGGTAGGCCAAGGCAGGCGGATACCTGAGGTCAGGAGTTGGAGACCAGGCTGGCCAACATGATGAAACCCTGTCTCTATTAAAAAGACAAAAATTAGCCGGGTATGGTGGTGCGAGCCTGTAATCCCAGTTACTCAGAAGGCTGAGATAGGAGATTCACTTGAACCCGGGAGGCAGAAGTTGCAATGAACCGAGATCACACCATTGCACTCCAGTCTAGGCGACAGAGCGAGACTTCATCTCAAAATAAATAAATGAATAAAAAATAATCTCTTGAGAGCACAGGGGCTTTAGAAAGCAATATGTTTACAATACTTTTCACTTTGGGTTGGACTGTATTTACATTTCCTGGGATGAAAATCCTCTCTCTTTAGGATGCTCAGATTTTAAACTGTTCATGGGCTCATGATGTGATGAGGAGCTTGCACCAGAGTGGAGGTCACCATGCTACTTCCTTTATTCACATTCTCACTAACTAGACCGTGGCTTAATGCTGTAGCAGATGGGTTCTGGCATAGCCATCTGTCTTGTCGAGACTGAGACCACTAACAGCCTCTGGGACCCTGGTTCATAGGTTGCTTTGGTCCCTCCAGGCACCTTAGAACCACCTCTCAGAATTTCACTGCTTTTCCTGAGTCTCTCAGGCCTAGGTCGTCTTAGATCCAATTTTAAGTTGGCCTTTTAGGAGATCGGAGACCTGTATGAGAAATGTAATGGGAAATAATAAGCCCCTTTTACAGAAAAACATGTGGACATGGCAGAAACTTACATGTATTTCAAGAAACTGTGGGCTCTAGGTTAGGCTGTCATGGTTGGGCTTTGCACTCACAGCAAGGATGAACATGGAACCCTTTGGAAGTATAGTGATTGCCCTTGACGTAAAGAATACCTTTGAGGCTATTATTTCATTGAAGGCGAGTGTACAAAACATGGCAATTAACCAAAGTCCAGTCAAGTCACAACCCTGACCCCTGAGAAACAGCATGATGGGGCCTCCACCGTCTTATGCTCATGGATCCCCTGTGTCACCCACACCTGCACCTCGGGGTCTTTGCACCGGCCCCTGCCACTCTGAGGAATGCTGTTCCCAGAATCCAGCTTTCTTCCTCACTCTTCGATTTCTCTGTGAGGCCTCGCTGATGAAATACACACAACAGGAAGCCTGCTAGCACATACCACGCTGTGCTCCTGGTCCTCTTTCCTATTTCACTGTTTACCACAGCACGTGTTGCCAGGGACAGTGTATATTTGCTTATTCATTGTCTCTACTTCCCACTAAAGTACGTGCCATGAGGGCAGGACTTTGTATTCCCTATTTGTATCCCTAACACCCCGTCCTTAATACCTGTGCTTGGCATGTTGTAAGCCATCCAGTAATTGTTGATTAGACAAGAAAACCAAATGTGAGCAATTTCAGTGACTTACGAGATGTTCTGGTTATTTGTTGCTATGAAACAAGTAACTCAAAAACCTAGTGGTTCATAACACCCATAGTTTTGTTGTCTCACAGTTCGAGAGGTTGACTGGGCTTAGCTAGGCCGTTGTCACTGAGGGTCTCTTGTGTCTGAAGGTGGCTGGGCTGAGGGTCAGCTCACTCATATGTCTGGTACCTGGGCACTGGGGCCCCTGGGACATCTCTCACTAGCCCTGTGTGGCTCCCAGCATGTAGTCAGGGAAGCCGGTCCTCTTACATACTGGCTCAGGGCTGTAGGGGAGAGTCCTCAGAGAGAGCCCGATGGAGGCCATGTCGCCTTCTGTGTTCCAGCCTTGGAAGTCAACGGTGGTCCTTTTCCTTCATTTGTTGGTCAAGATGGTCACAATGGCCCATCCAGGTTTATGGGGAGAGGCCATAGGCTCCCCTTCTTGATGGTGGGAGTGTAAATGTACTCTCAGACTTGTGTGAAAACCCTACCAAAGGCTTTGCCCCATGTGTGTCATCATAGAGTGAATGTTTTTATTGGATATTGTTCAGATTCTGAGGCAAGGAGAAGTAAAACTAAGGCAGTCTAAGTAAGAGTTAAAGCTTTGGACCCAAAGGAATGCGTCCTGACTCCTTTCTCTATATCTGAAGTGTGAGGCTGAAGCTTGCCCTGTGAAGTCATTTTGGGGGAACATATTTGAGGTAACGGAAGTGTCTTTTCTTGCAGTACCAAGAAAGGTATCAGTTAAGGGTCCGAAACTGTGATGTTGACATTTGTTTTTGTTCTTTGCTTTGGTTTACTTTCATTTTCTTAGAACAGCAGAACCCTTTCTCTTGCCATTGTGTAACATGCAGGAGGGGCACGGGATGCCTGGAATCCCCCACGTGGCCTCTTCTATCTAAATAAACCCATGGGACTCCGGGGAGCACAGGGGAAAAACACTGTGTGGAGGAGATCTCACTTAGTGAACTCATTAGGTCTATATTTAGGAGTAGACAGCGACCCCATAATTAAAAAAAAAAAAAAACTGTCCAAAGAGGTCTTAGAAATATCTTCTTGTCCTATTTAATTGTTCGGCTCTTGTGTATTGAAGTTTATCTTCCCAAGGGAATAGATGTCCCATTTTATGTTTCTACTTCATGTAGGTCAACTTGCAGGTCTTTCTTTGCAGGATAAGCTGATGTTTTATAACATTTTGAAAATTTCTTGATTTTTATATTTTTTAGCTATTTTGAGATGAAATTATACTCTTTTTGCCTAGGCTGGAGTGCAATGGTGGGATCTTGGCTCACTGCAACCTCTGCCTTCCAGGTTCAAGCAATTCTCCTGCCACAGCCTCCTGAGTAGCTGAGATAACAGGCACCCACCACCACACCTGGCTAATCTGGTATTTTTACAAAATTAATATAGGCTGGTCTTGAACTCCTGACCTCAGGTGATCTGCCTGCCCCAGCCTCCCAAAATGCTGGGATTATAGACATGAGCCACAGCACCGAGCTGAAAGTTTCTTTAGAATCTATCAGGTCTTATCCTGGTTTGCAACGTCATATACCTATAGT
Organism: Homo sapiens; assembly: GCF_000001405.40. Lineage (NCBI taxonomy): Eukaryota > Metazoa > Chordata > Mammalia > Primates > Hominidae > Homo > Homo sapiens. The sequence continues at coordinate 45,762,556 of NC_000010.11, forward strand.
TAAGCTAAGTAGACTAGCAAACATTTAAAAATAAAGTTTAATTTGTATTTATTTAAAAGAAATAAGTCGGCCGGGTGTGGTGGCTCAAGCCTGTAATCCCAGCACTTGGGGAAGCCGAGGCGGGCGGATCACAAGGTCAGGAGATCGAGACCATCCTGGCTAACATGGTGAAACCCCGTCTCTACTAAAAATACAAAAAAATTAGCCGGGCGTGGTGGCAGGCGCCTGTAGTCTCAGCTACTCAGGAGGCAGAGGCAGGAGAATGGTGTGAATCCGGGAGGCGGAGCTTTCAGTGAGCCGAGATTGCACCACTGCACTGCAGCCTGGGCAACAGAGCGAGACTCTGCCTCAAAAAAAAGAAAAAGAAGTAAGTCATAATCTTAGGAGAGGAGGGTGTTACTAAATAAAATAGTTGTAGCTCCATTAATTTGGGAATCTAGCCCCTGTTTCTTTATTGACCCTGTCTAATCTCTGATTCTTTAGACAGTAATGGGAAGCCATGCTTATATATTTATTTTTTTAGCATGGTGTAGGAAATTGATTCAAAAACTTATTCCTGCCTTCTGTCATTCAGGTGGGAATACAGAAGCCCCTGGGCTCTGCGAGCCCACCAGATCCTGTAGCTCTCCTCCTCCTTAGCGCCACTGCACACACCCTGCACAGACCCTGAGGCCTATCCCTTTAAGGACTCTGTCTGAGCCACCTTCCCTCTCAGGAAAGAAGCCTAGACACATGGCAGCTGTCATGTCTGAGTCACTTGTGTTTTATACTGACCTGATATTTTAAAAACTGATATTCCTGTTAACCAGCAACTTTAATTTCAATCCAACAGGATTTGTTTTCTTCTCAAAGTGCGAGTAACTTAAAAGGTGCATCTCTGCTGCCTGGCAAGCTCCCCACGTCGGTTTCCCTGTTTGATGATGAAGATGAAGAGGTAAACATTGTTATTGTAACACTAGATAATTTAGATTAGGAGAAAACGGTTGTTGATGTAACTTTCTACCCAGAGGCTCATATACTAGCAAAAGGTGGTAGGGAAGCAGTCAGGCTACCTGAAGTTTATATAACAAAAATATTTCTGTTTTTATTTCAGTGACTTCTTCCTTATATTTTCCTAGCTGTGCAATGGAGAAGACATTAGATTCTTGACGCAGTTCTTTTTTTTTTTTTTTCCGAGTTGGAGACTTTCTCTGTCACCCAGGCTGGAGTGCAGTGATGCGATCTTGGCTCACTGTAACCGGGTTCAGGTGATTCTCCTGCCTCGACCTCCCAAGTAGCTGGGACTACAGGTACGCACCACCACTCCCGGCTAATTTTTGTATTGTTAGTAGAGACAGGGTTTCACCATGTTGGCCAGGCTAGTTTCGAACTCCTGATCTCAGGTGATCCGCCTGCCTCGGCCTCCCTAAGTGCTAGGATTACAGGTGTGAGCCACCGTGCCTGGCTTCTTGACACAGTTCTTATGGAGTGAAATCTACAGGTTTTATTTTTAGAAATCTGCCTTTGAGAAATACAATTGACCCTTTAACAGTGTGGAGGTTATTTTGACTTCCACATTGCAGTGAAAAATCCATATATAACTTCTTACTTCCCAAAAACTTATCTACTGATAGCTTACTGTTAACCAGAAGCCTCATGGATAACATAAACAGGTGATTAACATATAAATAGTATAATATCTATTTATATATTTTTGTATTCCTGACATATCCAGCTTTTCCTTATTTTTTTTATGATATTTCTAGGCCACATGGTTTGTCTGCAAGATTTTTCAAATTGTTGCAAATGTCCAAAAAAATTTTCAACATATTACTGAGAAAACATTTGTGTAGAAGTGGACCTGTGCAGCTCAAACCTGTGTCATTCAGGGTGAGCTGTACTTTAGTCTAGAGGATGGATCAACATATACCCAATGACCTACAAGAATGTTTTGGATCAAGTGGAGATACAAAGGAGGAGGCAGCCATGTCCTGACCATTGTCTTTCTTTCCCGTCCTGGCTGGAGAGAGCACAGTGGGGAAGAGAAATAAGAGAGAAGACAACCCAAACCTTAACTCTCATGCAGTACTGGGCGGTGGTGAGCTCAAAGGCTTTGCCATCAGACCCCTGGGTTCATATCCCAGCTCCACCACTTGCAAACCAGGAACCTGGGGCAAGTAACTTAACCTTCCTTAAGCTCATGTGGCTTAACAGTGAGTAGGGTCACTGTGGCAGCTGTAACTACTAGTGTGAAGCTCTTGCAGAGTGCCGGCACATAATAAGTGCATAGTGAATGTGAGCTCTGTCATTAGCATCCCCAATGGACACCAGCTCATTATTCTCCTGGCCTGTCCTACATTACCGCACTCTCCTTAAAGGAGACTTCATCCAGGAAGACACTCCCTTCATCCATCTTCACATTCCAGGGCTGTTCACCTGAGTTTGTCCATCCTAACTCAGACTCAGGCCCTCTGATGCTTTTGTTCCCCTTATCTGAATAAAAGCACCTTAATAAATATAACTTTTGGGGAGTGCTTGACCACAGAAGAATTTACAAATGCCATTAAACTTAGTACACCAGCAATTTTATTTAGTAAGCTATTTCTCCACTTTGTATAATCTCTTTGAAACTAATGAGAAACACAAGTCATGCCTTCCCTCCATCCCAGGTGTATGTCTTTCTGACCTGTAAAGGAGTGGAGACAGACCCCCAGTTCTCTCCTTTCAGCCATTGTTCTGGTTTCTCATTCGTGGAGACAACAGTGTGAGTTTCTGGCTGCTGCGGGGGCTCCCGTGCCCATCGCAGGCTGTAACCACCTGAAATGAGCAGAGAGGCACTTGCCCACAGGGTGACTGGATGGGGCTCAGTTTCTCCTTGTACTTCATGATCTCATTTGCATGTTGTTCTCCTGCTTATATGCAGCTGTTCTGCCTTCGAGTTCTATGGTAATCTCTTTCCCTTCTATGGGTGCAGTGAGAAAAGGCTGTAGTTTGGGATTTACTAGCATTTTGCGGTTTTTCCCCGCCAGAGTTGTTATTTGTATACCTGACTGGAGACTTACTTCCTTAAAGTTTGATATAGGAGGACATCCTATGTTTTCTGATTATAAAGTTGTCTTACCTTTCTGCCATTTGCTTTTCTAGGATAATCTTTTTGGGGGTACAGCTGCTAAGAAGCAGACATTGTCTCTACAAGCTCAGAGAGAAGAGAAAGCAAAAGCCTCCGAGCTCTCCAAAAAGAAAGCATCTGCCCTGTTGTTCAGCAGTGATGAGGAGGTGAGCTGAGGTTTCTGCTAAAAAAGAGGGGATTATTTCATGGGATTTAAGAGTTAAAGCCATCCCAAGTCTTTTTCTACCTGTTTTATATCTCGTGATGTTCAGTCACCAAAGGCGATGTTCACAAGATTGTCTTTTCTGAAGGAAGACATTTAATGTAATATATTAATTTAAAGATGAATCTCTTCAAAATGGTTAGGAATAAGTATGACTCCCACACAATAGTGTATGCTCCTTCAAATGAGTTAGGCCGGCTAGGGGGGAAATGATTTCTCAGCCATCGCTAGTTCATGGTCGAGTCCCTTAGAACAAATGACAGATTAACCAGAGAAAAGTGTGCAAGTTTACGTAAGATAAGTTTTACCAGACACAGGAGCCTTCAGAAAGAAAAACTCAAGAGAAACAGGAAATCCTGTGTCAATTTTATGCAGTCTGATGAAGAAGCGGACAGTTTTGGGGGAGCACGATTAGATGAAAGGGGTGTGACCTGATGGGAATAAGCTGGGGGGAGCTCAGCAAGGCCTGTGTGGTCAGATCATTCTCTGCATCTTTACAAATAAGGAGGCTCCTTTCCTCTGGGAATAGGGAGGACTGGAATGAAGGTTTTATGACCTACTCCAGAGAGGGTTAGAGGATTCTTCTATGTCCTGCTTCAGAGGAGAAGGGCCAGGGAAAGGTCAGAGAGACCTTTCTGCTTCTGTTTTCTCAAATGCCAAGGTGTCATATTTTGAGGTAGCATGTCCCGTATACCCCAATGGCCATATATACTAGTATCTTGTTAAATGACTACTGTGTTTCATTAATTTAGAACTATAGTTAGGAGGAGTTACCTATTGAGGTTAAACTCCTTTTTGAGGGAGTCTTAACAATATTTCTGTTTGTGATCTGGATAGATACTACCAAATCAGTTAGTTTAGTTGCTAACTCAATCAGATTTAGTAGCAGGGAATCAGATTTAGCTGTGCAGAAAAAGACTTTAAATATGATGATATAAAAAATCCTGAGTATTAAACATCTTCCTGTGTTATAATAATTCCTCTTTTTTTTAACATTGTAGGCAAGTTAGTAGGGGGTGAAGTGGATATATAAGTCATAGATATGTTCATGTCCTTACTGAAAGCAATTTAAAAATTCTGAAGCAGATTGCAAAAAAAAATGTATTAAAAGCTTATGCGGCCGGGCGTGGTAGCTCACGTCTGTAATCCCAGCACTTTGAGAGTCTGAGGCAGGCAGATCACTTGAGGTTGGGAGTTCGAGACCAGCCTAACCAACATGGAGAAACCTTGTCTCTATTAAAAATACAAAAAAATTAGCAGGTTGTGGTGGCGCATGCCTGTAATCCCAACTACTCAGGAGGCTGAGGCAGGAGAATCACTTGAACCCAGGAGATGGAGGTTGTCGTGAACCGAGATCACGCCATTGCACTCCAGCCTGGGCAACGAGCGAAACTCCGTCTCAAAAAAAAGCTTATGCAACACACATGTGAACAAGACACAATGAAAAACTGCTAGTAATCCTTTTACTACAAAAGTCTGAGTCTGGCCTTTAGAAAGCGTTTAAGGAATTCCCACCCAGCTGTGCTCATGCCTTCACATCAAGGAACTCCCAAGCATATATAATTTGTGTTTTCTACTCAAATGTATGAATTTATGATAGATTATCCAGTTTTTTTCTTTTAAACATTGTCAGTGATTGTTCCCCCTGTAGCAACAGCCAGACATCAGTGTAGTTGCTCCTACTAGAGTATTATAGTGGTTCAGGGAAAATAAAAACATTACCTAAAGCTTGGAGCAAAAAGACATGCAGAAGAAAGACAGCCAAGGTTCTAGAACAGGGGCGTCCAGTCTTTTGGCTTCCCTGGCCCACACTGGAAGAAGAAGAATTGTCTTGGGTCACACATAAAGTGCGCTAATACTAACAATAGCTGACGAACTAAAAAAATAAAAAGGTTCGTGCATAAATCCCATAATGTTTTAAGAAAGTTTACAGATTTGTGGTGGGCCGCATTCAAAGCCATACTGGGCTGTGTGTGGCCCATGGGCCACAGGTTGGACAAGCTTGTCCTAGAACAAAGGCTGTCAACTTCGGCTGCTCATTGGGATCCATGGGGAACTTAAAAGAGTGCTGACAGGCCGGGCACAGTGGCTCACGCCTGTAATCCCAGCACTCTGGGAGGCCAAGGAGGTGGGCAGATCACCTGAGATTAGGAGTTTGAGACCAGCCTGGCCAACATGGCGAAACTCTGTCTCTACTAAAAAATACAAAAATTATCTGGGTGTTGTGGTGCTTGCCTGTAATCCCAGCTACTCAGGAGGCTGAGGCAAGAGAATCACTTGAACCCGGGAGGCAGAGGTTGCAGTGAGCCGAGACCGCGCCACTGCACTCCAGCCCGGGCCACAGAGCAAGACTCTGTCTCGAAAAAGGAAAAAAAAAAAAAAAAAAAAAGAAAGAGAAGACCTAACGAGTGCTGACAGTGGATCCCAGCTCCAGAGATTCTGAATTAATCTGGTTGGGGTACAGCCTCGTCATTGGAGTTTTGTGATACTCTCTAGTGGATTTCAGCGTTTAGTCACTGCTAAACATTGAGGAGCACTTCTCAAACCTTCATGTTTAGGAAATCACCCAGGCACCCTGTGAAATGCAGGTTCTGATTCAGAAAATAGGGGCGGGGCCTGAAATTCTGCATAATCTGCTGCTGGCTTGTGGACTCCAGTTTGGTTTGCAAGACTCTAGACTCCAGAGATAGAGCACTTATGCAAGTGCTTGGGAGTTCTTTGATTTGAAGGGGTGTGAGCATAGTTGAGTAGAATTCCCTTAAATGCTTTCTAAAGGCCACATTCAGACTTGTGGTAAAAGGATTACTAGCAGTTTTTCATTGTGTCTTGTTCACATGTGTGTTGCGTGAGTTTTTACACTTTTTTTTTCAATCTGCTTTAGGATTTTTAAAATTAAAATATTCTTCTCTGGAGTTGGAAGTTCTTGAGTTCTTGGTATTTTTACATTTGGCTTCCTTCTTATAGCCTCTGTAATTAATGTTGATTCCCTGAAATAGACAAGTCGCTTGTAATACAGTGCAGAACCACATTGGGAAGAGACATCGTGGCAGGTGTTGGAGGAGGAAATCATGAGAAGCTCTGTGAGGTCAGAGAGCCCAGCTGTCTAGATTTGAGTTCAAAGAAAAGTCTTAAGCATGAGCTTTCTTCAAGACTGATGCACTAAGTTTAATACTTAGTTTAAATACAACTTAGTTTAACAAATATAAGTTTGATTTTACTCCCCATGTTTTATAATCTAAATTGCCATTGGAGTTTTTTTTCTTTTTTTTGAGACAGAGTCTCGCTCTGTCCCCCAGGCTGGAGTGCAGTGGCACGATCTCCGTTCACTGCAAGCTCTGCCTCCTGGGTTCACTCCATTCTCCTGCCTCAGCCTCCCAAGTAGCTGGGACTACAGGCTCCCGCCACCACGCCCGGCTAATTTTCTTGTATTTTTAGTAGAGATGGGGTTTCACCGTGTTAGCAAGGATGGTCTTGATCTGCTGATCTCGTGATTCACCCGCCTCGGCCTCCCAAAGTGCTGGGATTATAGGTATGAGCCACTGCGCCTGGCCTGGAGTTTTAATATATATTTTATGTTTTAAGGACCAGTGGAATATTCCTGCTTCACAGACCCACTTAGCATCTGACAGCAGGTCTAAAGGAGAACCCAGGGATTCTGGGACCCTCCAGAGCCAGGAGGCCAAGGCTGTGAAAAAGACCAGTCTCTTTGAGGAAGACAAAGAAGATGATCTTTTTGCCATTGCCAAGGACAGGTGAGATAGTCATTGGAAGGAGTCCCTCACTCCATTACCGTGGTAACAAGAAAAGGAATCTGATGCACAATCTAGTTCATCGGGTGATTGCTAATCATGGATCACATAGTGATTGTGCCAGTGAGAATGTCTTTGCTTTTCAATGGCACCATCTTTTCCCTCAGTACCCGGAAATGTTTGTCTTTGTGGATCCTTATCTGATTTCTTCCCCAATCATTATTTTTTAACCATATTCTTTTTCTTTGTTTGTCAGGGATTTGAGTATCTTTTGTTTGTGATTTTTCTCTGGGCTACTCTAAAGTATGTCAGGTTTGGTCAGGATTACTTAAAAGTTACTTTAGGCCAGGCACGTTGGCTCACGCCTGTAATCCCAGCACTTTGGGAGGCCGAGGTGGGCAGATCACGATGTCAGGAGTTCAAGACCAGCCTGGCCAATATGGTGAAACCCTGTCTCTACTAAAAAAATATAAAAATTAGCCGGGTGTGGTGGCACGCGCCTGTAGTCCCAGCTACTTGGGAGGCTGAGGCAGAAGAATGGCTTGAACTCGGGAGGTGGAGGTTGCAGTGAGCTGAGATGGCACCACTGCACTCCAGCCTGGGCAACGGAGCAAGACTCCATCTCAAAAAAAAAAAAAAAAAAGTTATTTGAATAGAAATCTGCTCAGCATTTAACACATCCTGTTAGGAGGAAGTTCCCTGTAGAGCTGTGCAGTATCACTCCAGGGGCTGATAACCCATAGCCAACCTAGGTGCCTCTCCCCATTAATGCTGGAACTGAAGCTGCTAGGATATTCAGAGTGAGCGTGGGCTGTGGTTGGTATAACATGCTGCCAGATTAGCTTATGGGTTCAGAATTACTTCCCTGCAAATACTTTTTTTCCTTTTGAAAGCCTGACATGATTACTTTGAAATTCACCTGAATGTTATTAGCAGAAAGAAGTAACTGATTGGACATGTAAATCCTATGCTTTGGTGTGGTTAAGCGTCATTTGATAGATTCAGAAGTACCTCAGGTTTCTGTCTCCAAATACTCGAATCTTGTCAAGCATCACCATTTCTGCATTAGGCCTCTGTAACTTGACACTCGGATGCATCTTTGGTCTCTGATTTAGAATATAGGCTCTGGAAAGTTGATATTAAATTCTGATTCTGCCAGTTCCTGTCTGAATAACCTTGGGCAAGTTACCTAACTTCCCTGTGCCTCAATTTCCTCATTTGTTAAACAAAAATAAAAACAGCATTTCTCTCATCGGTTTGTTGGGATGATGAGGTGGAATCTAAATGTGAAACGCTGAGCACAAGAGCTGGCACATTCTGAGCCCTCAGGTATTGCCAGTTAGCATCGTGACTGCAGGGAAATAGTACATTCCTTTATTTTTGTTGCTCTCTCCTGGGACATTCTTCTTCCTGTGTTGCCTGGCCACCTTCTTTCAAAACTAAGTGTAAGTTTCTTAAGAAGCCTTCCCGGCTGGGCGCAGTGGCTCACGCCTGTAATCCCAGCACTTGGGGAGGCCGAGGCAGGCAGATCACGAGGTCAGGAGTTGAAGAACAGCCTGACCAACATGGTGAAACCCCGTCTCTACTAAAAATACAAAAATGAGCTGGGCGTCGTGTCACGCACCTGTAATCCCAGCTACTCGGGAGGCTGAGGCAGGAGAATTGCTTGAACCTGGGAGGCAGAGGTTACAGTGAGCCAAGATCTCACCACTGCACTCCAGCCTGGGCAACAGAGAGAGACTCCATCTCAAAAAAAAAAAAAAAAAAAAAGGCCTTTCCTAACTTTAAACAGACAAGAAAGAGAAGAAATAGGGAGTAGAGGGCAGACATGGCTCCACCTTCATACCCCAACACCCTCAGCTGAGCATTTTCTGCACTGTATCCAGGTTAGCTTATTCCCATGAGTGTCCACTACCCCCACCCCACACAAGGTCATAAATCTGGCAGTCTGAACCCCATCTTGTTTGTGGGTCCTGGTTCCAGCCACACACCATACCTGGCTTTCAGGAATGCTTTCTCTGCTCCAGATACATCCTACCTCCTATTGTTCCCGAAGTTGTCTGTCAAGTTTTGTGTATGGAAAGTAATTCATACCTTCATCAGATCTCAAAAGAAGCTTTACACACACAAGAAGAAGTTGAGGTGAGGATGTGGAGGAATTGGAACCCTCATACACTGCTGGTGGGAACGTAAAATGGTGTAGTCACTTTGGAAAGTAGTTTGGCATTTCCTCAAAATGTTAAACATAGAGTCACCATATGACATAATAGTTTCATTCCTATGTATATACATAAGAGAAATGAAATTAGTTGTTCATATAAAAACTTGTACATGAGTGTTTATTGCAGCCTTAGTCATAACAGCCGAAAGTGTAAACAACCCAAATGTCCATCAACTGATGACTGGATAAACAAAATGTATAACCATACGATAGACTGTTCTTCAGCAATAAAAAAGAATAAAGTAGTGATGCATCCTAGAACATGAATGAACCTAGAAAATTTTATGTTACTTGAAAGAAGCTGGTCACAGAAAACCACATATTGTATTGTTCCATTTATATGAAATGTATAGATAAACCACAGAGACAGAAAGTAGATTAGTGGTTGCCAGGGCCTGTGGGGCAGGGGGAATGGAGAGTGATGGCTCATAGGCATGGCGGTTCTTTTTGGGGTCATGATAATGTTGTGCACTTAGGTTGTAGTGATATTGCACAACTCGATGAGTATATTAAAGAAAACATTGAAGTATGCACTTTAAAAGAGTGAATCTGGATTAAGAAAACCATTGAAGTGTACGCACTTTAAAAGAGTGAATCTGGCCAGGTGCAACGGCTCATGCCTGTAATCCTAACTGATTGGGAGGCCAAGTGGAAGGATCTCTTGAGGCCAGGTGTTTGAGACCAGCCTGAGCAACATAGAGCGACCTCACCTCTCCAAAAAAGTAAAAAAATTAGCCAGGCATGGTGACGTGTGCCTGTAGTCGTAGCTACTTGAGAGGCTAAGGCAGGAGATCACTTGAGTTCAGGAATTTGAGGCTGCAGTGGGATATGATTGTGCCATTGCTCTCCAGCCTGGGCAGTAGAGTGAGACCCTGTCTTAAAAAGTAAAATAAATATTAAAAATAGAGTAAATACAAGGTGAATTTTATGGAATGTAAATTATGTCTCGATAACGCTACTAAAAAAAAGAAATAGAAGCCAGGCACAGGGTCATTTCCCAGTGCTAATCCTGGCCCTGTGATCTCTCTTGGCAACCGTCTTCATGACAATTCTGGAAATAGGCACGTCCGCTTTGATTCTTTTTGTGCTATAGGAAGTGGGAGAGAATGTTCTGCTTGGGAAGGCTCAGGCATCGTGTGCCTTGCAGCGGTAACAGCTGATGAACCTGCACTGGATAGTAACAGGAAAGGGGCAACCTGAGGCAGGAGGGACAGAGGCTGGTGATTTGTTGGAGTCAGATTTCATCTATTTCAAAGGTCTTTCCTGTTTGCTTTCAACTGTGTAAGGTCAACTAATGGCTTGGGTGTTTGGGTGGTAGGTGGATTCCTGTAGGTGCAGTCTAGAAGAAATATTGTTGTTATGGTTTTTGTTTTTTTCATCACACTTTTCCTTAATTTGACCTTTTGTTTGTTTGTGTAGCCAAAAGAAGACCCAGAGAGTGTCACTCCTCTTTGAAGACGATGTTGATAGCGGAGGCTCTCTGTTTGGCTCTCCTCCCACATCTGTTCCTCCTGCAACAAAGGTATTCTTCATCTCTTAGTCCCAGGAAATGTCCTTGAGTTTATGCTGCATCAGTAGTGGTACTTCCCCGAATCAGCTCTTCATACCTAACCTTGGAGGCTGAGTCTTATGGAAGACCTTATTTGCCTGGTTTCAGAAAGAGATCTTCTGATTAATAGTATTCTACAGAAGAAGCACACGTGCAAAGCCATCATTCAGTGTCAGGTGTAGGCACAAGGAACTGGGTCTCAGAAGAGGCTTGGGCCCCATTGGCATGGAATTCTGCTAACATTAGACTAGGCCAGTTAAGGCAAAATCATTCCTTTTATGAGTGTGTGTCGAGTACTAACACTGGTCCTGGTTTATATTAGCCAGTCAGTAAAAAGGAAGGAAATTCTCACATGTGCTACAAAATGCATGAACCTTGAGGCCGTTATACTCCATCAGTGGAGAAATGGTCACACAGGTCCTAGTACAGTTAGACTGTGGAATACTATACAGTGGTAAAAAAAAACCCAGGGTGGAGCTTATTGGGATGAAAAACATACTGCAGGCCAAAAAAAAAAAAAAAAAAAAAAAGCGTAAACACGTAAACATGGTGTAATTTAAACTTTACAAAACAAGAAATACACATGAATGCCTGGAAACCGGCCTGAAAGCATCGATAGCACATTGTTACCAGTGATTATGTCCAGGGAAAGGTATGGAATGGGGAACTTCATACTCTCAATGCCTTTTTAAAGCCTTTTTAAGGAAGGCATTTGTGCATTACTGTGGAATTAGAAATAAACTCCAAACAAAAAATATCTAGGAGATATGGAAGAAGACCCTTCCTGTTAAATGGAGTTGCTCAGCTTATACCAGAAGCTCTCAGCCCTGGGCCAGCATGCTGCCCACCCTGGGCCCCAGGCTCCCTGCTGCTGCTTCTACGGGGCTCCTGAGCCTTTCCTTGGGTGCTCTGTACTTACATCTCCCCCTTTAAGGACATCCAGTGGTTGTACAATTAAAGGAGTCAGGAGATCTGATTGGTTTTTCTTTGTAAATTATAAATAAACTACTCTGGAGGATAACTGAGCAATAAATTAATGAATTTTGGAGCCTCTGGAGCTGTAAAACTTCTTTCAACCTATGGTAATTATGATTGTTAAATAAAACAAAAGGTCAAGACACACAACTTAAGTAGCTGAATAGCCTACACGTTTTTGATTATTTGTGAAATATAATCATCTTTAGACAATAGTAAATAAAAGATATTTCTTGTTTACAGATATTTCAGTGTAAGTTAATTGTGACTTGGTTGTAAGCCTATGTTGACCAAAAGGTTAAACCACAGGCAGGAGAACTTAAAGAAATGTAATGTGAGTTTTGTTTTGAGCCAAGCTTGAGAACTACTAGCCCAGTAAAGAGACTCCACACAAACTGAGAATGCGTCCCAGAGTGGGCCACACGAGACACAGCATTTATACATTTCTGTTATATAGAAAATGGGAAAAGGGGGCAGTGAAGCAACGGTGACTTTCTTAATTCAGATTGGTGCTCAATGACATTGAATATAAGATAAAGTAAATATGTGGTTAATGTATTTTCCTCATTAGCCTTTTACCCTAATGAGTACATAGGGGTCGCAGTTGCAGGGTCAGGAGAGGGATGGTTGATTTTGTGCTGCCTTTGTGCTTCATCCAATAGGCAGGTTGTAATCGGTGCCTGTCAGTGTGATATTTGACAGACTCTGGCCTTGCAGGTGAGGTTCAGCTTTCGTTCATAGGCCCGGTTTCTATTACCCATATGGCCAAGATGCAGCCATTTTAGACAATTTTTTTTTCTTCAGACTTTCCTTATTTTCTGACACCTATCAAGAAAGTAAATTTGACCAGGCACGGTGGCTCACGCCTGTAATCCCAACACTTTGGGAGGCTGAGGTGGGTGGATCACCTGAGGTCAGAAGTTTAGGACCAGCCTGGCCAACATGGTGGAACCCCATCTCTATTAAAAATACAAAAATTAGCCAGGCATGGTGGTGCACGCCTGTGATCCCAGCTACTAGGGAGGCTGGGGCAGGAGAATCGCTTGAACCTGAGAGATGGATTTTGCAGTGAGCTGAGGTTGTGCCAGTGCACTCCAGCCTGGGCAACAGAGTGAGACTCCATCTCAAAAAAAAAAAAAAGAAAGAAAAAAACAGGAAGTAAACTTCATGACAAGGATGAGCTTGTCTTCAAGAAGATTAAAACTGGTACTTTGGGTAGCATTTTCTGTGGTTTAAGGACCTTAGTTATATATGAAGGAAGAATATGATTTGCCATACTTAAGTCTCTTTTTGTCTCCCCTATCAACTATTTGCATTGAATTTTTTTTTTTTTTTTTTTTGAGACGGAGTCTTGCTCTTTCGTCCAGGCTGGAGTGCAGTGGCGCATCTCGGCTCACTGCAAGCTCCGCCTCCCGGGTTCACGCCATTCTGCCTCAGCCTCCCTAGTAGCTGGGACTACAGGCACCCACCACCATGCCCGACTAATTTTTTGTATTTCTTTAGTAGAGACGGGGTTTCACTTTGTTAGCCAGGATGGTCTCGATCTCCTGATCTCATGATCCGCCCACCTTGGCCTCTCAAAGTGCTTGGATTACAGGTGTGAGCCACCGTGCCCGGCCTGCACTGAATTTTTATGTAGTTTTCAGTGAGTCCAGGATGTTCCACAAAAGCCTTTTCCTTTGATCACTTCAGTGTTGCCTTATCTCTTCTGAAATTCTTTATGCCTTCCAGTGTTCTTTTATGTCAAGTTCAATGGTTTTGCACTTTACTTATCTCTTCCTAACTAAAAATCCCCTTGCTCTCTTCTTTCTTCATTCATCACATTTTAAAATCATGATTAGCAATGTCCTTCCTTAGTTTCCCAAATCTGCCTTCCTAACTTGATTTAGGCATTGCCTCAAAGCACACTTCCTCGTGTCATATGGTATGATTTGTATCTGTACTATACTATAATAGAGCTTTAGTTTTTTCTCAAGCACTTGTTGATAAGTCACTTGCTGCAAAAATGCCATGAATTCCAGGAAAGTCACAAACCTCAGTTTCCTAGTCCCCAAATCCCTGCCTCCCTGATAAGGAAGAGATGAGAAATGGGCTGAAGTGCTTGCAGACTTGTATTGAACACTGAGTTGGTATAAAACACTGGGACTGTCCATGAAAATATAGTGTATAGTCCTTTCAGATGAACAGACAAACAGATGTGTGCTAGCTGTTATATAAGTTAGGAAGAAAGTCAAGGAAGGGTCAAGTAGAGAGATAAATATTATGCTTATTCAACAAAGCAACTGACACTTAACTGAAGAGGACAGAGACCGTGGGTGACATCTGCGTGGGGGCCCTGCTTGAAGGATGGGGAGGATTTGCACCTACAGACATCGAGGGCAGCGTGGCATGGAAGTTTGAAAGTTTGCAGCGACCTTAAGGAACAGCAGGGAAAGGAGGAGATGCATATGAGTAGAGGGATAGAATGGGGTATCTGCTGAGTGTCATTTGCTTCATGCAAGGAGTGCTGGTTTGGGTTGGGAGAGGACCTGATCCAGCAGGTGTTTTGTTTTAGCAAGACAACGCTGGATAATGTCTTCTAGTTGAAATATAAGAGGAGTGAGGCAGAGAGAGAGACTCATGATCGTCTGGTGGCAGAGATAAGGATCTGAGGGAGGGAGGCATGGGGGTTGACAGACACAAGTAGACAGATACAGGTGATATGGTGGCGTGAAGTGTCCTGTCCACAAGTCCCGGGTGGTGGTGTTTGTTGCTTCTCCCTTTTGGTGCTACCTTCACTATCCTGTCCTCTCTTCCTTGATCACATTTAGCTGAAGCCCTAAGAGGATGGTTTGGGCTTGTTCTGTATATGGCCATGCTGGTCAGACACACTTTTTTATTGTTGTGGATGTCATGTACTCTTCTTTTGGTAGAAAAAAGAGACTGTCTCTGAGGCACCACCTTTGCTGTTCAGCGATGAAGAAGAGAAGGAGGCACAACTTGGAGTGAAGTCTGTGGATAAGAAGGTTGAGAGTGCCAAGGAGTCATTAAAATTTGGGAGAACTGATGTGGCTGAGTCAGAAAAGGTGGACTTTTTTTCTTGTATACTTGAATGCATTTGTCTCTCGTATGTTGTTTCAAACACACCCAACCCCTTAAGTTTTTTGACCACAGAAAATAAATGGCCCATTTGTAGACAGATTTGAAAACATAGACAAGCAGGCTGTGTCCCCACAGTGCAGGAAGCCTCTGCAGGGCCTTTCCTCCCGGCCCTTCTCCAAGACATGTGCGCACTGTGGTGTGCCTGCTCCTGTCTCTGTGGTTACTGTCACGTCATGGCATCTTTGCTTTCTAACTTGTTCTCTTCTGTGCAGTGTTCCTGTTACCCTTGGTCCTCCTTTGGTCCCCAAGTGCACTTGAATTTAAATGTCAGTTTTAAGGAGATTTTAGTTTAGCATCCTTTTACTTTTAGATGATATTGGCAAGGATTACAGAGTAGAGTGAAATTTCTACTCTTTCTAAAACACTAGCTTTCAAGTCCTGGACGGTCTGCCGTCTCTTGCAGGAGGCCTGTGGGTAGTTCTGCTGGCCACACCTGGGCATCCAGCTTTGTGGTTGCCTTCAGTCTCTATATGCCTCTTTTCTTTCTCTAACTTTTCTTATACGCTGTGTGTCCAGCTGCTTAGGTCTAAGATCTCCCAGGGCCTGTGTGAAGAGCGTTGCATTTGCATTTGCTGCTGAGGCTCCTTGGAGCTACAGTGATACAAGCATTTCATTTGTACCTGTGTTCCTGTGTGAAATTCTCTTCCTAGTGGCTGTGTGTGGACCCCAGTCCTATCCCAGTCCTGGTCCACACTTGACTCTGACTGGTTGCTGTACTGCCCTCTCCCTGAGTGTAAGCCCCTTGCGGACTAGGCCCAGTTTGTTTTGCTCACCATCATATCTGTAGTACTGGCATATTACCTTGCACACAGTAGGCACTATGTTATAAACTTTGTATTTCTTTAAAGAAGCATTTTTTTAATAGTTTGAGTACTCTGAAATCGGGATGTACCTCATAATCAATGGTATCTTACCTGAAATGTGCCATTTGTTGAATGAATAAATACTGCATTTTAGAATTATTTCAGAGATTCTTCTTCAATTGCCTATACAGTGTAAGCCTTTTACAATTTGAGGGTCTGATTTTCCTGATTAGATTTCCCCCTTGGGGCTTATGTATTAGTTAAATGCTACGAATTCATGGTCCACTCCCAATGATTGGCACTTGTATTGGTTATCTTTGACACTTAGAAGTTCTTCCTAGTTCATGAGCAACCAGTGTGCATCAGGATTATAGCCGTCCTATCACTTGATAGGAGAGAGGGACCCATGGTCTTAATGCTTGGAAAAGTTATCTTTGGCTACGGATGATTGTACAAGACTGTCTCTTGGAGCAGCCAATCAAGAATTGACCTCAGTGTTTTGTTACTTGGGCACAGATGTGATTCACTGTGCCCTGAGTCATGCAAATGTGGCAGTTACTGAATTAACGAGAAGCTTGGCAGGCTCCATGATAGGATTTGTATTTCCAGGTGTTACTTATTTTTTCCCCCTATTATTTTCATTTTCAGGAAGGACTTTTGACTAGATCTGCTCAGGAAACAGTCAAGCATTCTGATTTATTTTCTTCATCATCCCCATGGGACAAAGGAACCAAGCCTAGAACCAAAACTGTTCTTAGCTTGTTTGATGAGGAAGAGGATAAAATGGAAGATCAAAACATTATCCAGGCTCCACAGAAAGAAGTAGGAAAGGTAAGCAAAAAGCAGTAGTGGTTCAAGTCTCTGGATGAGATAAAAGACTCTCATCTCATGGTTGTCATTCTGTCATGTGAGTTTCTGAAGGAATCTTAACCTTCAATGTAGTGTGTTAATGATTCTGTGCAGTCATTTAGATATTTGGGAATCTTAATCAGGAACTCTTACCTCAAGTAGCAGTGTTAGGATAGGGGATTAGAATTTCACCCCCCTCTTCTGGGATTTACAGACCTTGTTGTTCCTTCTAGCAAAACTTTGCCCCTTGGCCAGTTGTGGGATGTAAACAGCAGGAAAGGGAAGTTAGGCTGGAGCTGTACAGTTAAGTATTTCTAACATTCAGTTTAAGAAAAAGTGTTGTAGATGAACCTTTCATACTGATCAGGTGTCAGCAAACTATTTCTATAAAGGACCATATAATGACTATTTTAGCTTTTGCAGCCTATTTGGGCTCTGTCATAACTGCCTAGCTCTGCCATTGGCAGCATGAAAACAGCCCTAGGAAACATGAAGATGGATGGGCATGACTGTGTTCCAGTAAGTTTTATTAATAAAAATAGGTGATGGTCAGCTGGGCATGGTGGCTCACACCTGTAATCCCAGCACTTTAGGAGGCCAAGGTGGGTGGATCACAAGGTCAAGAGATCGAGACCATCCTGGCCAACATAATGAAACCCTGTTTCTACTAAAAATACAAGAAATAGCTTGGCGTGATGACGCTTGCCTGTAATCCCAGCTACTTGGGAGGCTGAGGCAGGAGAATTGCTTGAACCAGGAAGTCAGAGGTTGTAGTGAGCCGAGATCGCACCACTGCACTCCAGTGTGGCAACAGAACGAGACTCCATCTCAAAAAAAAAAAAAAAAAAATAGATGATGGTCATTCTGTGAGGTTAGTATGACCCTGATATTAAAACTAGACAGCGACATCACCAGAAAGCTAGATATCCTTTATGAATGTAGAGGCCAAAATCCTCAACAAAAATACTACTAAACCCAATTCAGCAAAATATAAAAAGGATTGCACATTATGAGAAGTGAGATTTACCCCTGGAATGCAAGGTTGGTTCAACATCTAAAATTAGTTGATATAATGCACTGTATCAATAAAATACAGAATTAAAAGGCGCATGATCATCTCAACAGATGCAGAAAAAGCTTTTAATAAAATCCAAACCTTTTCATGGTAAAGCACTCAATTAGGCATAGGAGGAAGCTTAATGAACTTGATAAAGGACATCTATGAAATCCCTCAGCTGACATCATACTTAATGGTGAAAGACTGCATGCTTTTCAACCCTAACATCATGAACAACACAACAATGTCCACTCTTGGTAATTCTAATCAACCTTGTACTGGGGATTCTAAGCAAGCCATGTAGGTGAGAAAATGAAATAAAAGGCATTCAGATTGGAAAGGAAAAAGTGAAATGAAGCAATCTGTATTTGCAGATGGCATGATCTTTTATATAGAAAGTCTTAAGGAATCTGCAAAAAACATCCATTGGAAATAAAGTCATTAAGATTGAAGGATGTAAGATCAATATGTGAAAACCAATTGTAGTTCTGTAAGCTAGTAATGAACATTTACTAACTTACAAAAGTTACTACTAGTAACTTTCTTTTTTTTTTTTTTTTGCAATGGAGTTTCACTCTTGTCCCCCAGGCTGGATTGAAATGGCACAATCTTGGCTCACTGCAACCTTTGCCTCCCGGGTTCAAGCGATTCTCCTGCCTCAGCCTCCTGAGTAGCTGGGATTATAGGCACCCACCACCATGCCCAGCTATTTTTTGTATTTTTAGTAGAGACAGGGTTTCACCGTGTTGGCCACGCTGACCTTGAACTCTTGACCTCAGGTGATCCACCTGCCTTAGCCTCCCGAAGTGCTGGGATTACAGGCATGAGCCACTGCACCCAACCTACTAGTAGTAACTTTCATAAGCAATTACCAGCTTATGAATGAAATTAAGAAATCAGTTTCTTTTATAGTAATACCAAGAAGGGTAAAATACTTAGGAGTAAATTTAGCAAAAGAAGTACAAGACTTGTAAACTAAAATCTACAAAACATTGAAAGAAATTAAAGACCTAAAATTGATGGAAAGACATCTTGTGTTTATGGACCAGAAACCTTAATATTGGTAAGGTGGCAATACTTCCTTCCCAAATTGATTTATTGTAATCTCTATCAAAATTCCAGCTTGCTTTTTGCAGAAATGGACAAGCTGATCCTAAAATTTTTATGGAACTGTAAGAGACCAAGAATAGCCAACAGTCTTGAAAAGGAAGAACAAAGTTAGAAGACTCACACTTCCTGATTTCAAAACTTACTTTAAGACAGGATGGTATTGGCATAAGGTTAAAATATATAGATCAGTGAAGTAGAATTGAGAGTCTAGAAATAAACCCTCACATTTACAGTCAGTTGCTTAAGGTGCTAAGATATTTCAGTGGGGACAGAATAGTCTTCAGCAGATGTGCCAGGATGCTGATTATCTACATGCAAAGGGATGAAGTTGGACCCATTAATAAATAAACTCAGATCCAATGTAAGATCCAAATGTAAGAACTAAAACTGTACAACTCCTAGAATCTAGAGAGTATGTGAGTAAATTATCATGACCTTGGATTAGGCAAAGCCTTCTTAGATAAGACACCAAAAGCACAAGTGACAAAAATAGCTAAATTGGACTTTATTTAAATGAAAAACATTGTGCTTCAAAGGGCACCATCTGGAAAGTCAAACGACCACCCACAAAATGGGAGAAAAGATTTACAGATCATGTATTTGATAAAGGACTCAGATCCAGAATATGTAAAAGACTTATAAGTCAATAATAAAAAGACAAATAGCCCAGTTGAAAGAAGGGATAGGCCAGGCGTCGTGGCTCATGCCTGTAATCCCAGCACTTTGGGAGACCAGGACGGGAGGATTGCTTTAGGCTGGGAGTTCAAGACCAGCCTGGGCAACATAGCAAGATCCTGTCTCTACAAAAAATTTTAAAAATTAGCCAGGCCTGGTTGCGTGCTCCTATAGTTCTATCTCCTTGGGAAGTTGAGGCAGAAGAGTCCTTTGAGCCCAGGAGTTCAAGGCTGTAGTGGGCTGTGATCACACCATTGCACTCAGGCTGAGTGACAGAACGAGACCCTGTCTGAAAAAAAATAGGTAAGACAGACATCTGAATAGAGATTTTACTGAAGAAGATAGACAAATGGCCAAAAAGGATATAGAAAGATGCTCAGCATCAGGGAAGCCAAAACCACAGTGACATACCACTTCATACCCGGGAAGAGGACCATAATAAAAAAAAAAAAAAAAAGGGAAGTAACGAGTGTTGGTAAGGATGTGGATAAATGGAAATTCTCATTCCTTGCTGCTGCAAGTGTGGAACAGTACAACCACTTTGGAGAACAGTTTGCTGTTCTTCAAATTCTTATAACATAAAGCTACCACACAATCCGGAATTTTATTCCTGGGTACATATCCAAGAGAAATAAAAACATGTTCACACAAAACTTGAATATGATTGCTCCCAGCAGCATTATTCATAATAGCCAAAAGATGGAAACAATGGCTAAACATAATATAGTATATCCATACAATGGAATATTATTTGGTAATAAAAAAGGCAAAGTACTGATACATGCTGCCACATGGATGAACCTTGAAAACATTCTAAATAAAATAAGCCAGTCATGAAAGACCACATATTATGTGATTCCATTTATATGAAATGTCCAGAATAGGCATATCAATGGAGACAGAAAGTAGATTAGTAGTTACTGGGGGCTGGGAGTAGCAGTGAGCAGGAATGGATAATTACTGCTAATGGTTTGGGGTTTCTTTTGGGGGTGATGAGAATATTCTAAACTTAGATTGTGGTAGTGGATACACAGATCTGAATATACCAAAAAATCATTACATTTTATACGTAAATGGGTAGATTTTATGGTATATGAATTTGATCTCAATGGTGATGTTATGCAAACCAGGTTGGCAGGTCATAGATTGCCAATCCTTTTTATAGATCTAACCAAAGAAATAGTCTATGTTTATTTCTACAAAAAATGTTATATGAATTTTTTTGTTATACCAATACTATAAGCTTATTTATAAATGAGAGCTGCACACAGTGAATATGATTAATTTGATATATTTTCTCCCAGTCTCTTACTGTGTATGGTTTTGTAATATTTTTCCACAGTTGTGAAATATTTAACATTACTTGCTGTGTTAAACTCATTTTTATATGTAACAATAATAATTATTGTTAATGTGATTTATTTTGTTAGAAGTAAGTTTTTCATTAGTTTTTTTGGTTTTTTTGTTTTGTTTTGTTTTGTTTTGAGATGGAGTCCTACTGTGTTGCCCAGGCTGGAGTGCAGTGGCATGATCTCGGCCCACTGCAGCCTCTGCCTCCCAGGTTCAAGGATTCTCCCACCTCAGCCTCCCAAGTAGCTGGAACCACAGGCACACGCCACCACACCCGGCTGATCTTTGTATTTTTAGTAGAGGTGGGGTTTCACCACATTGGCCAGGCTGGTCTCGAACTCCTGGCCTCTGGTAATCCACCCGCCTTGGCCTCCCAAAGTGCTGGGATTACAGGCATGAGCCACCATGCCTGGCCTTTTTGTTAAGTTTTAATCTGTGGCTGTGATAAGGAAATAGGGATGAATTTTAGAATGTCAGGTCTGGAGCATTATATTATCAAACCAATAATGTTGATGGTAACTTTTAAATGTTAGATATCTAGTAAACAAAAAAGGGACTCACTCGGGGTCTGAAAGTAGGGCAGAAGTGATGGACAGCCATAGGAAGGCTTGTGGTCGCACCTGTGCCAGGTCTTTGGCCTGCAGTGCTTACAGGTGAGGGACACATACTTGACCACTCTGTGTAGTTTGTGCTTGAGTCAGCTGCTGTCTCTTCTTCCCTTTGGAAATGAGATGAAGAGAATTCATTCAGTTGTATGTTTTTTACCTTCAAAATGTTTCTCATTATGGAACTAATGGATTGCTTTTCTAATAAAAAATTTAGATACTATACGAAGTTTATATAATATATATAACCTGGAAAGATTATCTCTAAAGCTTGTGCATATATATATATATGTGTGTGTGTGTATATATATATATATATATATATATATATATATATATACACATATATATATATATATATACACACACATATATATATATATGTAAACTTTGTATTTATAAATATATTTTCTGGTATTTTTGGAAGCGCCATAGCATTCCATTTTGTCAATGTTTCATTCCCCTACTGAGTGGCTTTTAGGCTGTGGCCAGCCTTTTGCTAATATAATACAGCTGCAGGGGACATCTTTGTTGTGTCCATCTTTACATATGTAACTTCCTTGAGATAAGTTCTTACAGCTCTAATCACACATGACCTTCCCTCCTGTTCCCAGGGCTGCGATCCTGATGCCCACCCCAAGAGCACAGGTGTCTTCCAGGATGAAGAGCTGCTTTTCAGCCACAAGCTCCAAAAGGACAATGACCCAGATGTTGACCTTTTTGCTGGCACCAAAAAAACCAAGGTCAGTTCCAAATGGTTCCCCACAGTATGACTTGTTATTGTATTGGGTGCTGTCTCAACAGCTCACCTAGTTCTCTTTGTAAATTGTTTTGCTTTTGGATATTGAACTTGGGTCTTGTTTATTCTAGCTGTTAGAGCCAAGTGTTGGGAGCCTGTTTGGGGATGATGAAGATGATGATCTTTTCAGCTCTGCCAAGTCCCAGCCTTTGGTACCAGCCTTTTGTTCTCAATACTGGGTTGTGTGGGAAAGATTCTGGGAAAGGAAACTAACGTCCAGTTAGATGATTAAGGAAAATCCTAGGAGAGTCGTGCTGCTTCCTGCTAAATGAATGGCAAATAACATGCCGAGGGGAGCGTGTGTGGAGGATGCAATGCTTAGTTTCTGTTGTTCCTCATCTTATGTTCCCTATACTAACATTAAAACATTAATAATCCAGGCTCTCTGACTGTACTACACATCTGTGTGATGTTTAAATGGTTGATTGAAAGACCATTGCATACACTGGGGTGGCTAAATATTCGTGCCTTTCAGGTGCAAAGCTTTGAATCTGAGTTTTAGCCTTTCTATGTCATTTTCTCCCCCAGCCCCAGTAGGTTTTTGTAAGTACTCTGTTTTCTTTTTATCATAGAGAGGACTCCTGTGACAGCCACAGTCTTCAGAATGCTATTTCTGAAATGCTACCTTTGAGTTGGTTCAGCCCTCATTTGAGAAAGTATTTTTAAGACTCAGAAGCCAGGATTGTTTTTTGCATTATGATTTTTCCTTAAAACTTCTAAGATATTTGATGCCTTTTTGGTATTTTTTTTCTTTTGAAGGTACAAGAGAAAAAGAGAGTAGTGAAAAAAGACCACTCTGTTAACTCTTTCAAAAACCAGAAACATCCTGAATCCATTCAAGGTAGTAAAGAAAAAGGCATATGGAAGCCGGAAACACCTCAGGTTAGAAATCCTCTTTAAGGATTTTCAGCTCTTGTTTGCATCCCAGTACAGAGAAATTCCATTATGCAGACCCACAGTTATTTAGACTTGTCTGCATTAAGGAGGAAACAGCAACCAGGGCTACAGCTTTGTCTTCACTGCACTTCCCCCGAGTCATCTCCCCTCTCCTCACTCCACACGCCAGAGTTTCATGAATCTATACTTTAATAGTTAGTGTTTTTTGATGCCATGCCAGATTTGACTCTGAAGTGGAGTTAAGGTAGGATGAAGAATCTTCTTCCCACTAAAGAATTTATTTCTCCCTCTGGATTTCCTTGGAATAGAATTAAAATAGAAATAAATATAAATTACATCTGATTTCCTGCCTGCTCTCAGTGTTGCCTCTCCCGAGGTCATTGCTGTTGGGCCGTACTCTGCAGCAGTCTTCTCAGAACGCTGTGGAGCTCCTCCTGGGAACAGCCCAGGACTGGAGAGCGAGTGACAGTTCCACGTGCAGGTGTCCCAGGGTGTCTCACTGAAGCCTTAGTGTCCTGAGCCGTAAACCTGAGGCACTTGGACGAACACATCACCACTGACCCTTCCTGGGGCTCAGATCTTTTGCTTTTAGAGCCAGTGCATTAGGCTATGGTTGAATTTTTGTGTGCTCCTTGAAATTTCTATTTGATAACCAACATGGTAATTTTGCCTGCTGGTCAGTTTTAGGTGCTCTGATAAACTGTGACTCTTGGGAATCTTACTCATCTTGTATTCCTTGACTCCATATCTGATCTGGCAGCTTTCCACTTATGTGACAGAGGAGGAGGCATACGTGAAGTAGTGCTAGTGAAACATCAGGCCCCAGGAGAGATTTGAATGCCTTTCCCATTAAAGAGCTACAGAAAGTGACAGTTTTGCTCCATCACAGATTTATTTACAGGCATAAGAAACACTTGTCTTTCTGTTTCCCAAATGGATTTTTAACTGGATGTAATCTTACACAGGACTCATCAGGTCTCGCTCCATTTAAAACCAAAGAACCATCCACTCGGATCGGGAAGATACAAGTAATTAAAACACTGGAATCTTCATTGCCTGCCCTGTGGCATCTATAAACTTTTTTGGGTTTCCTACTCTTGTCAGCTGCTGCCAAACATCTTCTCATCTCTTCCCCCGCCTCCCCTCCCCTGCACCTAGTTGTTGTCTCCTGTGTGCTGCGTCTTTAACATCTATTCTTTGAGCCCAGTGGTGGGCATAGGTGTAAGACGCTCTGTTTTAATTCTGAGACTAGATTGGGCGATTTTCCTACGTTTCTCTACTCCTCTCGTATTATACATTATGTGTACCGAATCTTGTCATGTGTCACAATAAAGATAATAGACTGCTGTGTTGAAGAACAAATACAGAGTTTCATTTTTCTTCTTTAGGCAAATTTAGCGATCAACCCAGCGGCCTTGCTGCCCACAGCGGCTTCCCAGATCTCTGAAGTAAAGCCTGTTTTGCCAGAATTGGCTTTTCCTTCATCTGAACACAGAAGGAGCCACGGTCTGGAAAGTGTGCCTGTCCTTCCCGGGAGTGGGGAGGCCGGTGTGAGTTTTGATCTTCCAGCTCAGGCAGACACCTTACACAGTGCAAACAAGGTGATGAAACCATCTTTGCTTCCTTGCTCTCTTCTTTTAACCAGAACATGCATATGCTTCTTTCTAGTTTATCAGTTGCATACACAGCAGTCTTTGACTCTCCTTTTGAAGGAGGTGCCTCATCCTTCCTTCAGCCGCTCCCCCCTCCATTCTCCCCACCCCCCTCATCCTGCACCTGCTTTTCCATGGCCTGCATTTGGTACATTTGCATTCTGCTCAGTAGCCACAGTAACGTCTCACCACTTTGGCTGGTGTCTGACACCTGCAGGTTTCCAGCACTGCCACCTGGGGGTCTTCTAACCACAGAGCAGATCATGCCCCTCCTGCTGGCGCTTCCTCACTACTCCAAGGAGAGCATTCGGGCTCCTGGGTTTGGTATGAAACCCCTTTGCAATCGGTGCCAGCCCATGTGTGCAGCTTCCTCACTAGTCACTTCACACTTTCCAGCCTGACTCCAGGCACACCAGGTGCCACTCCCTGAACACACATGGTCTGTTCTGCTGCTGCCCAAGGCTCCTGCTGCCTCCTCACCAGGAATGCCCCTCTCTGTCCACAGCTGTGCTTCCACATCCCCACTTCTGTCACTGTGCCCTGCACTCCCTGCACCAAGTTCCCACAGCAGCGACACTGTTTCATGGGATCTCCTCAATGGACTGTGAACTCTTTGAAGTTTTCCTTTCATTGTAGTTGGGTTTCTTGTTTCTATCCAGTCTCCCTTCTCTAGAAAGCTTTAACTGATCTGCAAGTAAGTGACAGGACACAGAATGACCTACCCTGACAAATAGATTCATTTCAAATGTTTGCAAACCTGTTTCCTTGTGCAAAACAAAACAGCCTTCCTTTTAACGACAATTTTCATTGGCTTTTTTTTTATTAAGTTTAAATTGGCAACTAAAATTGTGACATTCCCCTGAAGTTGACAACACAATCATACTTTGCCCAGAGTAGATTGTAGCTTCTCAAAATTCTACTTGATTGTATATTTTGGAAACTATCATAAACTGCATCATTGCTACTAAGTGATTCATGTTTTGAGATTATATGAAAAGTTCTGATTTCTAAGCCATATTTCTTATGTGGAATATTTAACATTTGAATTCAATGTTTATTGACTTGAAGAAAACAGCACCTTAGATTACCTCTCTTTATTGTGTCATGTTTCTCCCCGCTCCTGGAGCCTGAATTTAGACTAGCCCCCTAACAAAGGTTAGTACCAGAATTCCCCGATTCTTTCTTGTTTTGAAAGATACCCACGTTTCTGTTGAGGGTAGAGTAGGGGCCAAGGGAGGGGTTGTGAGACACAGAGAGCCAACATGCCTACTTTCCAGGTTTCCAGCAACAGATGAAACTTTTTGTGTGAAACTGAACTGAAACTGCCCTGAAAAGATTAAAAAATGGAGAACTCTAAAGGATTAAGAATGACTTAGTCTTGGAGTACTAGGAGCTATTAAACTCCTTCCTTGGAAATCATTAAGAAATAACCTCTTCTATGTTCTTAGATAATATCTTCATTGAAGTAGACCAGATAACCTTACAATATTTTGAGTCACTGATTCTTTGCCATGGTAGCTTTGAACACTTTATTTTATCGTCAGATCAATGTATGTTTTTTTGCCGTTGCAGAGCCGTGTCAAGATGAGAGGGAAGCGTAGACCGCAGACCCGTGCAGCTAGGCGGCTGGCTGCTCAGGAGTCCAGCGAGGCTGAGGACATGAGCGTCCCCAGAGGACCCATTGCACAGTGGGCTGATGGCGCCATTTCCCCAAATGGCCATCGGCCACAGCTCAGAGCAGCCAGTGGAGAAGACAGCACTGAGGAGGCCCTGGCAGCTGCCGCTGCACCTTGGGAAGGTGGTCCTGTGCCTGGAGTGGACACAAGCCCCTTTGCAAAGTCTCTGGGTCATTCCAGAGGGGAGGCTGACCTTTTTGATTCTGGGGACATTTTTTCCACGGGCACTGGATCTCAGTCCGTGGAGAGAACAAA
Source organism: Homo sapiens (assembly GCF_000001405.40). Taxonomy (NCBI): domain Eukaryota; kingdom Metazoa; phylum Chordata; class Mammalia; order Primates; family Hominidae; genus Homo; species Homo sapiens. Next base: position 45,789,230 of record NC_000010.11, read on the forward strand.
ACCCAAGGCAAAGATAGCAGAGAATCCTGCCAACCCACCAGTGGGTGGTAAAGCAAAGAGCCCCATGTTTCCTGCTCTAGGCGAGGCCAGCAGTGATGATGATCTCTTTCAGTCTGCTAAACCAAAACCAGCAAAGAAAACAAATCCCTTTCCTCTCCTGGAAGATGAGGATGACCTCTTTACAGATCAGAAAGTCAAGAAGAATGAGACAAAATCCAGTAGTCAGCAGGATGTCATATTAACAACACAAGATATTTTTGAGGTAATAGGACTTAACACGTTTTTGTGTCTGTTCTAAGTTAAGGAAGGTATCTGATTGGCTTATTTGAGCCATAGATTATGTCTAGCTTGTTGCGTGCATACCCCATAGCCACTTGCTTAGTAATTATAATTAGGCTCTTTTATTAATAAGTCTAACATTGATTCAGAAGTGGTTTTTTGTTTTGTTGCATGTAGAATGTATTTCTTGGCTGGCCATGATCATTGATACTGATCTTGGTTTCTCTAGTTTTTACAGTTTTTTTATTTTTATAGAATATTGTTGTAATCAGCTTCCTGGGCATGCCACTCGGTGACATGGCATACAGCTCCACTGGTCCAGCTTGGGAGTTTAACCTCTGGTTCTGGGGACATTGGCCCTGGCTGGAGCTGACAATGTAGTGCATGCAGGCAATAAGACTTTCAGTGGCATTTGCTCAGCAGATGTTTATTGAGCACCTGGGGACTGCAGGCACAAGGTGAACTCAGAGAAGTGCTAGGCTCCTCAGAGCTCTCTGGGAAGATAATCAAATACAAACAGGGCAATGGATAATTAAGATGTTTTCAAATAGTACTAAGTGTCATGAAGAAAGTAACCTGGGGCAGAGTGGTGGGTAGGGCTGGGAGGTGCTCCTTTAGGCAGGACTGGTAGAGAAGGTGTCACTGCAGTGGCGGCATTTGAGCCGGGGTGAGATGCGCGGGCCAAGCTGTGCAGAGATCTGGGGTAGTGCATCCCAGGCAGAGTGGGCAGTCTCGAGGCCGTTCCACACACCCTGGCCAATTGCATTTCCATAGCTTGTTGACGTGTTTGAGTTTAAAAAGAAAAATTGATTTAACATTGTTTTGTATGTATTTTTGGCTTAACAAGGATGATATATTTGCTACGGAAGCAATTAAACCCTCTCAGAAAACCAGAGAGAAGGAGAAAACATTGGAATCTAATTTATTTGATGATAACATTGATATCTTTGCTGACTTAACTGTAAAACCAAAAGAAAAGTCCAAAAAGAAAGTGGAAGCCAAGTCTATATTTGATGATGATATGGGTAAGTTTGGTTTTCTACATCTGACCTAGAGAATTCTTACCTTTCCATCACTTGGTATTTTTCCTGCTACCTTTTCTTGGCCCTTTTCTGGAAAATGCACCCCAGCGGGTTCACTTCAGTGTAATCCTGAGTTAGGCTGAAGATAGGTAAGAGATGGACTAATTATTTTAGTGAAGTAACTCTTTCCTATGATAGTCATCAAAGAATTTGAAGGCACCCAGAGTTTGATGTTTAAGTATAATTTAACTTTGATCTCAGTGCACCTCACCAATCATCTGTGACACACCCTGATGTTATGTAAGGAGGTTTGATCAGAAATGACCTCACGTGCTAAAGTAGGCTGAGGGGACTGCCTTGGGTGTGATGTGGTTGGTTGAGTCAGAGCTCCAGATGGACAGGGAGTGTCCATGGTTCTGTGCGAGAAGAGAGCAAGTCTAGACCTGGGTGTAGGCTCTACCTCAGGCGTTGCATTTCACTGAGGTCTTTGGTGTTTGGGAACAAGCTTGTCTTCCTTATATGGCACAACTTCTGCTTTATTAGTAGACAAGGCAAATGCCCGAGAACCCTAAATATTGGACTTTTGATAAATCCTGTGGGCTGAGCCACATACACATTTCCTACTCCCCCCGTCAATCTAGACCTTTAGACTAACTGGGAGACAGCTGGTGCTGCAGAGCCACACACTGGCTCTGTGCCTCCAGCAAGCCGTATGCTCTGTCTCCCCTGCTTCCCACCACATGGAATGCAGAAGGGAACTCATTCATTATTTTAAATACAAAAAAAGTAATACATGCTTATTGTAATAGATTCATGCAATTCAGAAAATGTAAAAAGTGAATAACCCCTAGAGGTAATAGTAACAGTTTGGTATGTATCCTTTCAGACACAGTGATATTAATATATGTTTGTGTACACATCAATATATACCCACCTTTTTAAAAAGTAAGAATATATTTCCCTATTCTGCTCTGTCTTTTAGTTACTTAATGTCTTTTCATGTCAGTACGCAGAGATCTCCTTCCTTGTTTTCAGTGCTGTGCACGATTTCTTTATATTTAGCCATTAGCCTGTTGACGGCAATCTCGATTGTTTCTGTTTTCTTTATTACAAATAATGCTGTGGTCTTTACCATTTGTGTACACCTAACTTTATGTATACATGCTAAAATCATGGTTGGATAAAACCCTAGCAGTAACATTACTGGGTAATTACCATAATTAGATAAGACAAGCTTTTGAGTCAGTGAAACACTAAACGAATGCAGTGACGGAGGCTTACAGTCTTACATCGAGATGCCTCAAATCAGTGCATTTATTCTGAAAGAAAACAGGTGGGTCCTATATTGGATTTCCCTTTGCATATTTTTATTGCTCTTTTAAAACCCAGTATGAAAAGAATATCTAAATAAGTCCATTGTCCCTGATGGTAGGGGCGTGGGCTGGTTTGGAGATCAAGTTACCCTTCCCTTTTTTCTGTCCTGCACACGCACATACATACACTTTTGTAGCTGAAGAAATTGTGCTCCAAGAGAAACCTGTGTGTGATCATAAAATTTAATGAGTAACAAACACAGAACCAGAATCTAAGAGGCTTGAGTTCTAGGTTAGTGTTTTAGGGTACTCCATGCTGTTACGAGAGCTGGGTCTTTGGTGGTTTGCTTGCATGTGTCTTAAAAGTACCTTTCTCCACCCCTCTTCAGCAACTGTTTTTCTTTTTTCTTTCTAAAGATGACATCTTCTCCACTGGTATCCAGGCTAAGACAACCAAACCAAAAAGCCGATCTGCACAGGCCGCACCTGAACCAAGATTTGAACACAAGGTGTCCAACATCTTTGATGATCCCCTGAATGCCTTTGGAGGCCAGTAGAGCACACAGGGTATCCACATGTTACCCTGCAGCTACATTGTTGAGTTAGTGATGATATTGTATATGCTCATGGTCTTAACTGGATTACAAAAAGCAAATACTAGAACAGCTAGCTCATCTTTTACCCAATGTACTTAGTATTTTTCTGCACTGGTTTAATCATGCTTAATACTACAAAACAAAAATAAATATTTCACAGTGGTTGGTTTGTTTTGTTTTTAAACCACAGTTTGATTTAGTTAGCCTTGCTGGGGCCATAATATGCTTCAGGGTGTGTAAAAGAAGAAATCTCTTTGTGGCTTTCATGGGCAGGGAATCTCAGAGATAGCAAATGCCACCTGACCAGAAGTCTTTGTTATATGGATGGGAACCCTAACTTAGGGCTTGGGCAGGGGAAAGAGAAAGAAGATGAGAGATTATACTTCATGAGTCTTAGCAATATGGGAGCAGGTTTTCACTGAATTCTGAGGGTGCCTCTGCATGTCCTCCAAGGCAAAGTTTGGCAAACTGTGGCCCCCCCACTGTCATATTTTGTTAATAAAATTTTATTGGAACACAATCACATTCATTTGTTTACTTACTGTCTATTGCTGCTCTCACCCTACCTCCAATGTAAGAGTTGAGTGATTATGACAGAGACTGGATGGCTCACAGAGCCTCAGATGTTTTCTATCTGCCCCTTTATATACAGTTTGCTGACCATTGCTCTAAGGCATCCTTTTCCATCCTTGTCTTGTGGAAGCAGCAGAATGAACCTAGGTAATAGCCGGGGGAAGTGCTGAAGATGGAAATGTCAGCCTCTAGAGCAGCACTGCCCCATAGAACTCCACAGGAATGAAAATGTTCTTTATCTGTATCGACAAAGGCAGTAGCCACTAGCCACCTGGATGGCTGACCCCATTCTAATCTGTGTTTTTTGGTGCTCTGTCGTCTTGCTGCTGACTATGCAGCCTGTCACCACAGCACAGTCTTGTAGGCCGCCCAGGTTGGTCTCAGCGATCGTGGAGCTACTTACTTCTTCCTTGGGCACTGTAAGATCGGAAGGGGAATTACTCATACCCAGAGTCAAACATTTTGTACGGCTTCCACAGGTCAACCATTTGCCCAAGTCTGCTGTGAGAGTGACGTGATAACAGATAAGGGCACTTGCTAGTTGGCCACTCCTTTCCCCTATTCATTTTATGCATCTTCCTTCTGTCCTTAGGTTGAGATCTCCGAGTCGCTGTTGTCAGGCAGACTGCTGTCCTCCAGATTCAGGCCTGTGGGTCTGGGGAGCCCTGGTTGGTCTTGGAGGAGCAAGGGCTGCGCAGGTGACTTGGTGGCCTCAAGTGTATAGGTACCTGGATGGTGCGAGGAGATGCTGGCTCTGAAATATTTCCTAATCCCGCTTGCGGATCAACTGCCGACTAGCGTTTAGGTTACAGACATATTAGATGGTTGATGTGATTCTGTAGCTCGTATTTAGAACTTTAGGGATGTTTTCACATATCAGTAAATGAAGATCTATGTCAACATTTTTTTTTTTTTTTTGAGACGGAGTCTCGCTCTGTCACCCAGGCTGGAGTGCGGTGGCGTGATCCCGGCTCACTGCAACCACCGCCTCCTGGGTTCATGCCATTCTCCTGCCTCAGCCTCCCGAGTAGCTGGGACTACAGGCGCCCACCAGCACGCCCGGCTAATTTTTTGTATTTTTAGTAGAGACAGGTTTTCACCATGTTAGCCAGGATGGTCTTGATCTCCTGATCTTGTGATCTGCCCGCCTTGGCCTCCCAAGGTGCTGGGATTACAGGCGTGAGCCACTGCGCCCAGCCTATGTCAACATTTCTAATGGTAGCTTCACATTCTGGATATCTTTATGTTGGGGAAAAAGTTTTAAAGGTAACTGCTCTTCTGTAGCAAAGCTTTTTTAGAGCAGAGGATGGAGCAAATTCTGAGTTACTGAAATTACGTATTCAGTGCTATTGCCTTGTTTACCTTCCATTTCATCTTTGGAGTTGTGTTTTTAGAACTTTTTCAGAAGGGATGAGATAAATGCTTTGGGAATTTATTTAGAAATCTTTTTGGTGTCATTACTCTTAAGAGCTAGATATATTTTTTAATTGTAAAAAATTATGGAAATACTTTTTTCTCTACCTGCTCCCATTTTTTTTTTTTTTTTTAAAGACAGGGTCTGGTTGTGTTGCCTAGGCTGGGGTGCAGTGGCATAATCATAGCTTGCTGCACCTTTGAACTCCAGGGCTCCAGTGATCCTCCCACCTTAGCCTCCTGAATGGCTGGGACTACAGGTGTGTGCCATCATGCCCAGCTAATTTTTAAAAAAAAATTTTTGTAGAGACAAGGGTCTGTTGCCCAGGCTGGTCTCAACCTTCTTACCTCAAGTGATTCTCCCACCTTGGCCTCCTGAATTGCTGGAATTACAGGCATGAGCCACAATGGCCAGCTTCTTTCTGTTTTCTTTGTTTCCTCTTCCCCTTCTGTTTTCTTCCTTTTTTTTTTTTTAAGCTGTTCTCGCATCATTTTCCATCCCATCTTTAAGTCTTCATTGCCACCTCATTTTCCAAGATCATGAGTCCCACAGTATGCTCAGCTAAGCATGACCACACACCATTTCAAGAAGCCGTTCATGGACCCAGCTTTTATTACTGGCTGGGTCTTTGTTCTCCTGCTGCAGCTTCCATTTGCTCCTCAGCTACCCTCTAGGCATCCAGTCTGGCTTAACCAGATTTCATGGCCTCATTTTGTCCTCTGCTACAGTGATTTCTACTCCTGAGGAGAAGCATAACTATCTTCTAGAGGGAAACATTTTAGCTTTTGGTTATCAACCTTGGTTCTTTTGGGATATTGGAAATTACCCCATTGACTGGACCCAGACTTACGGTGGAAGTTCCAGCACAATTAATGCTGAACGGGGTTATGCTTTTTCTTCTGGCATATAGTTGAATTATCCATTCTCATTATAGGTGAAGGACTTCCAAATCTGTTTGTTATCTTCTACCCTCCCCCAGCCTATTATTTTCAGGGTCTCACTATGGAAGAACACTGTGGTGAAGGAAACAATCCATATTCCTTAGGCAGTTATAGTCACTCATGTCTTTATTTCTGTCATGTGCATTTTGCAGTCCTGACACCTGACTTCTGTTGCTAGAGCTGCACCTGTGTAGGTACGAGTACTGTTGGCTTCGGGGATACACACGCTGGCAACTCTATAGGACAGTCTTATTTGATATAGCATAAGTATGTTTTTAAGAATTCATGTTATCCAAAATTATAAAAGCAGTTGTTTGAATGAGTGAAAGAAAGGGGGTTAAGGTTAGAGAGCTCCATACAAAGTCATATATAAGCAATGCAGCTTTTTAATTTAGCTTTTATTTAAGAGCAATGACCCTTTACCACTATCACCAGCAGTATTATTAGCCTGGTACCTTGTATTACTCTTAATACCCATCATTTTGAAATATGGTGCAACGACACTCAAATGAGCTGCACTACAAGAAACAACTTTCCTTTCTGTAATGCCCTCCCTTTAGGATCACTAGAAGTCTGTACAATGCAATGCAGATTCCCGAATTAATGATCTTTCCTATTAGTGTAATTAAAAACTCATATTATAGCAGATTCCTGTATGTGCATGTATGTTATGAGTTGGATAAACGTTGGTGGACTTCATTTGGAGTGAATCAGAATGGGATTCCTGTGAGAAGCCAACATCCCTCTAAACAAACTTTTGGAGCATGATATGGCTTGGATGTTTTGTCCCCTCCAAATCTCATGTTGAAATGTGACCCCCAGTGTTGGAGGTGGGCCTAGTGGGAGGTGTTTGGATCATGGGGGTGGATCCTCATGAATGTCTTGGTGCTGTCCTTGTGGTAATGAATGAGTTCTCACTCTGAGTTCACATGAGATCTGGTTTAAAAGAACCTGGGGGCCGGGCACCGTGGCTCACACCTGTAATCTCAGCACTGCGGGAGGCCGAGGCTGGTGGATCACGAGGTCAGGAGATGGAGACCATCCTGGCCAACATCTAGAAACCCCATCTCTACTAAAAATACAAAAATTAGCCAGGTGTGGTGGCACGTATCTGTAGTCCCAGCTACTCGGGAGGCTGAGGCAAGAGAATTGCTTGAACCCAGGAGGCAGAGGTTGCAGTGAGCTGAGATCGTGCCACTGCATTCCAGCCTGGGCGACAAGAGGAAGACTCTGTCTCAAAACAAACAAACAAACAAAAAACAACCTCACACGTCCTTCCTCTCTCTCTCTCTTGTTCTCTCACCATGTAACATGCTGGCTCCTCTCCTCTACCATGATTGTAAACTTCCTGAGGCCCTCACTGGAAGCAGATAACAGCATTATACCCCTTGTACAGTCTACAGAACCATGAGCCAAAATAAACCTCTTTTGTTTATAAATTGCCCAGTGTCAGGTATTCCTTTATAGCAACACAAACAGCTAACACAGGATAACCAAATAGTTATTAATGTCTAAAACTTGGATAATACCTTACCTATAGCACAGGTTTATTCTGAGGATCAATTGAAAGACAAAAATATCTGTTCTTTCCTTGAACAAAGCTTTAATGAGTACCAATATGTGCAAAACACTGTGCTAGGTGGTAGAGATCAGATGTGCTCCCTTCAGTTTAGTAAAAAATGAAATTGTTAGGGACCGGGTGCGGTGGCTCATGCCTGTAATCCCAGCACTTTGGGAGGCTGAGGCGGGTGGATCACGAGGTCAGGAGATCGAGACCATCCTGGCTAACACAGTGAAGCCCTGTCTCTTAAAAATATAAAAAATTAGCCAGGCGTGGTGGCAGGTGCCTGTAGTCCCAGCTATTCAGGAGGCTGAGGCAGGAGAATGGCATGAACCCAGGAGGCGGAGCTTGCAGTGAGTCGAGATCATGCCACTGCACTCCAGTCTGGGCGACAGAGTGAGACTCTGTCTCAAAAAAATAATAAAAATAAAATAAAATAAAGAAATTGTTATGGGTGCAATATATGATGTAGGTAGTAGTGTAAAGGGGGTAGGTATAAAAGCTTTGTGGAATAGTTGATATTGGAGCTGAATGTTGAAAGGTGATTAGGTGCTTGTCAGGTAACCATGTGTGCACAAGACAGTAAGTAGAGCAGAGCAGGAGCAACAATATAGAAGCTGATGTGTTCTGAAGCTGCAGATGCAGATGATTAGAGGATAGAAGTACCAGAGATGTTGCAAGATGAGGTGAGGTAGTAGATGGGTAAAATGGGGCCGGAATATGAGGTGCATAATCTTGGGAGCATTTCTAAGGAGTCTGAATTTTATTCTATAGACAGGGAGAAGTCATTATAGCGCCTTGAGGCAAGAAATAACATGATCAGCTCTACGTTTTGAAAAGATAACTGTGCTCCACATTATGTGTCATTAGGGAAATGCAAATTAAAACAGCAGTGACGTACTATTACATGACTGTTACAATGGCTGAAATCCAAAACACTGACAACACCAAAGCTGGGGAAGATGGGGAGCAACAGGAACTCTCATTCACTGCTGGTGGGAATACAAAATGGTACTTTGGAAGATTGTTTGGCAACTTCTTACATATTCTTACTGTATGATCCAGCAATTATGCTCCTCGGAATTTGCCCAAGTGAGTAGAAAACATGTTCACACAAAAACCTGCATACAGATGTGTACGGAAGCTTTTTTCATAATTGCCAAAACTTGGAAGCAACCAAAATGTCCTTCAGTAGATGAATGTATAAATAATCTCTGTACTATACCCAGACAACGGACTGTTATTCAGCACCAAAAAGAAATGAGCTGTATCAACCCATGAAAAGACATGGAAGAACCTTAAGTGTGTGCTACTAAGTGAAAGAAGCCAATCTGAAAAGGCCGTATACTATAAAATCCCGAAATACGTTCTGGAAAAGGTAAAACTATGGAGACGGTAAAAAGTGTAGTGTTTGCCAAGATCTGAGGGGAGAGAGGAATGAATAGGCAAAGCACAGAGGATTTGTAGCACAGTGTATGTATTCTGTGTGGTACTGTAATGGTGAATACATGTCATTATGCATTAGTTCAAATCCATCAAGAGTGAACCCTAATGTAAATTACAAACTTCAATTTATGTGTGAAAATGATGTGTCACTGTGGGGTTCATCAGTTGTAATAAATGTACCACTCTGGTGCAGGTTGTGATAGGAGAAGGCTGTGGGAGTGAGGGGCATATAGGAACATTGTAATTTCTGCTCAGTTCTGCTGCTCAAAAAAAGAAATCTATTCAAAAAGGAGCCTTTTCATGTTTAGACTAACTTAGTTCATTTCCCTCCTTTAGTTCCTTCATTGGTGAGGTTTCATTGCAATGCATTCTCAAGTCGAACATAAAATTATTTTAGAGCTTTGTGTGACTTTTCCCCTTGCTTAAACATCATTGCGGAATAATGTAAAAATATGATACCCTAATCTAGTTTTCATAAACTTTTTTCAAAGTTGAAAAAAAAACTAGCATCATGGACAGATGGGTTGAAAGAGTGAACGGCAAGAATCGAGGATCAAAACTAGGCCATGAAAATTGCTCAGTTGAGAGCTAATGAAGCCCTAAATTAAGTCCTAATCATTGTAGATGGAGTGGGTGACAGATTTAAACAATATTAAGAGGCTGGGCACAGTGGCTCATGCCTGTAACCCCAGCACTTTGGGAGGCCAAGGCGGGCAGATCACAAGGTCAGGAGTTCAAGACCAGCCTGGCCAATATGGTGAAATCCCATCTGTACTAAAAATACAAGAAGTAGCCAGGCATGGTAGTGCATGCCTGTAATCCCAGCTGCTCAGGAGGCTGAGGCAGGAGAATCGCTTGAACCTGGGAGGTGGAGGTTGCAGTGAGCCCAGATCGTGCCACTGCACTCCAACCTGGGTGACAAAGCGAGACTGCGTTTCAAAAACAAACAAAAAACAATATTAAGAAGTCATATTGTCTAGAATTGGTCATTTCTAGGTGTCATGGGGTTGGGGGAAAATCCAAAATGATTGACAGATCATTTTGAGTGATGGCATGAAAGGCATCTCTTTACCAAGATGGGGACTACAGGAAAGCAGGAGGTTTGTGGGAAAAATTATAAGTTTTGAGTACATTGGATTTCAGAGGCCTCTGGAATATCATGCTTATGGAGTGGAGATTACTAACAAAACCACCATCTTTAAAAATAACTGCTTCTTTAAACATGCTTATATTGTAGTGAGTTCAGTGATATATCCTTTGGTAGAAAAAATTGTAAAAAAATTATGTATGGCACATTTCTCTGACGCTTGCACTTTCATAGTGTTCACTTTCTGTTCACCTAGGTTTACTTACTGATATCCTTCTCCCACTCTGAGGCTTTGCCTATCCTGAAATACATCTAAACATTTACCCATGTCAGAAACACTTCCCAACTCATCCTATAAGGCCAATATTACCCTGATACCAAATCCAGACAGACATAAAGAAAACTACAGATCATCTCTTATGATTATAGACACAGAGATCCTGAGGAAATACTTCCAGACCAAATCCATCAACATATGTAAAGGTTACGTACTATGTCCAAATGGGATTTATCCCAGTAATGCAAGGTTGATTTGACACACAAAAATTAATGTAATATATGAATAAAAGAGGAAAGAAAATCACATGATGATTTCAATAGACACTGAAGAAAGCATTTGACAAAATTCACACCCCTTCATGATTAAAAAGAAACCCCACTAAAATAGGAATAGAAGGGAAGCTCCTCAACCTGATAATGGTTATCTATAAAAACCCCACGGTTAACGTTATACCTAATGGTTTCCTTCTACAGTCAGGAATAAGACAAGGATGTCCAGTCTCACCACTTTTATTCAATCTTATACTGAAGGTTCTAGAGCAGGGCAATTAGGCAAGAAAGGGAAATAAGAAGGGCATGGTGGCTCACGCCTGTAATCCCAGCACTTGGGAGGCCGAGGTGGGTGGATCACCTGAGGTCAGGAGTTCGACACCAGCCTGGCCAACTTGGTGAAACCCCGTCTCTACTAAAAATACAAAAATTTGCCTGGCGTGGTGGCGGATGCCTGTAATCCCAGCCACTTGGGAGGCTGAGGCAGGAGAATCGCTTAAACCCAGCAGGTGGAGGTTACAGTGAGCCAAGATTGCACCATTGCACTCCAGCCTGGACAATGGCGCGAGACTCTCTCAAAAAAAAAGTGGGGGAGGGAATAAAAGGGCATATAGATTAGAAAGGGAGAAGTAAAACTCTATTTGTAAATGACATGATCTTGTATATAAAGCTTTTATATAGAAGATCTTTGGGAAGAACTAAATAACTAAATGAACTAAATAAACAGTTCAGCACAGTTGCAGTGTACAAGATCAATATATTAAAATCAGTTGTGTTTCTATACGCTAGCAATGAGCAATCTGAAATTAAGACAGTGATTCCATTTATAATAGCATTTAAAGGAATAAAATACTTAGGAATAAATTTAACAAAAGAGAACAAAACTTGTACTCTAAAAATTGTGAAACATTGTGGAGGTAAATTAGATATAAACTGAAAAATAGTACGTATTTATGGATTAGAAGTCTTAGTATTAAGATTGCAATACTCTCCAAATCTACAGACTTAATACAATCCCTGTCAAAATCCCAGCTAACATTTTTGCAAAATGGGCATACTTAAAATTCGTATGGCAATTCAAGGAGTCCAGAATAGCCAACAATCTAAAAAGAGAAGAACAAATTGGAGGACTCACACTTCCTAATTTCAGAACTTACTACAAAGCTGCAGTAATTAAGATAGGGTGGTACTGGCATAGGTAGATCGCTAGCATAAAGAGTCTGGAAATAAACCTTCACATTTACAAAAAATGGATTTTTAACAAGGATCCAAGACAATTCAATTGGGAAAGAATGATTTTTCTGACAAATGATACTGGAACAACTGTTTATCCACATGCAAAAGAATAAAGTTAGACCCTACCTCTCACCATACACAAAACTAAATTGAAATTGGACAATACACCTAAATATAAGAGCTAAAACTATACAATTCTTAGAAAAATATATAAGTCAATCTTTACTACTTGGGATAGGCCAAGCTTTTGAAGTATGACAAAAGAAAAATAGCCAAATTAGACTTTACCAAAATGAAAAACTTGTGTGTCTCAATAGATGCCATCAAGAAAGTTAAAAGACAACCCACGAACTGAGAGAAAATATTTGCCATTTATATATCCGTTAGTGTTTTTATCTAGAATATGTAATAAAAAAACTCATACAACTCAATAAAAAATCCAATTAAAAATAGACAAAATATGTGAATAGGCATTTCTCCAAAGAATGTATGCAAATGGCCAATAATCACATTAAAATGATGCTCAGTACCATTAGTTTTTAAAGAAATGGAAATCACAACCACAATGAGATACTACTTCACACCCACTAGGATAGCTTTAATCAAAAAGACAGAAAGAAGTATTGGCAAGGGTGTGGAGAAATTGGCACCCTCATTCATTGTTGATGGGACTATAAAATGATCCATACCATTTAGAAAAATTTGGTAGTGCCACAATTTGCTAAACATAAGAGTTACCACATAACCTAGCAAAGCTACTTCAGAGAGAAAGGAAAACATATGTTTACACAAAAACTTGCAGTTGAATGTTCATCTTAGCATTATATGTAACAGCCCAAAATTGGAAATGACTCAAATGCTCATCAACTGATGGATGGATAAACAACATGAGATATATTGCTACAGGGGACTATTATTCAGCAATAAAAAGGAATGAAGTACTGATATATCCTAGAACATGATGAACTTTGAAAACATTATGCTAAGTGAAAGAAGCCAGTCACAAAAAAATCATATATGATCCTATTTATGTGAAATGTCCAGAATAGACCAATTTGGAGATAGAAAGTAGATTAGTGGTTGCCCTAGGGTTGAGTGGGGGACTGGGGGAATTTGGGAGTGTTGGTTACAGGGTATGGGGTTCCTTTTAGAGGTAATGAAAATTTTCTAAAGCAAATGTGGTGATTGTTGCACAACTCTGTGTACATCATAAAAACCAGTGAATTTTAGGCTTTAAATGAGTGACTTTTATGGCATGTGAATTATATTTCAATAAAGCTTTTTTTCTTCTTTTTTTGAGATGGAGTCTTGCTCTGTCACCCAGGTTGGAGTGTAGTGGCGTGATGTTGGCTCACTGCAACCTCTGCCTTCTTGACTCAAGCGATTCTCCTGCCTCAGCCTCCCGAGTAGCTGGGATTACAGGCATGCATTACCATGCCCAAATAATTTTTGTATTTTTTTGGTAGAGACCAGGTTTTGCCATGTTGGCCAGGCTAGTCTCTAACTCCTGACCTCAGGTGATTCGACTACTTCAGCTTCCCAAAGTGCTGGGATTACAGATGTGAGCCACTTCACCTGGCCCTCAATAAAGCTATTTTTGAAAAGGTTTAACCACCTCACCAGAAAGACGTGTATCATTTGTCCTAGTTTAAGTTCAAGGCCCCCATTTACAAATTTTTCACTGATTAATAGTCTTTTCATGTCACTACATAGAGATCTCCTTCCTTGTTTTCAGTGATGTGCACCTCTGGGTCTTTGCACTGGCTCCTGCCACTTTTTCGAACACTGTTCTCAGAATCCAGCTTGTTTCCTCACTCTTCGATTTCTCTGTGAGGCCTCCCTGATGAAATACACACAACAGGAAGCCTGCTAACACATACCACCCTGTGCTCCTGGTCCCCTTTCCTGTTTCACTGTTTACCACGGCACGTGTTGCCAGGGACAATGTATATTTACTTATTCATTGTCTCTACTTCCCACTAAAGTAAGTGCCACATAGGCAGGACTTTTCGTTCCCTGTTTGTATCCCTAACACCCTGTCCTTAATACCAGTGCTTGGCATGTGGTAAGCCACAGGCTCTTGTGGCTATACAACATTTGCTCTGTTCTCAAGTGGGGTGATTCTGTCGATGTCTGGAGAAACTTTGGGTTGCTATGCCTTGAGGATTAACTAGGTGCTACTGACATCCAGTAGCTGGAGGCCAGGGAGGCTTCTGAACACTGTAGAATACACAAGACCACCCTCAACACAAAGAATGATTCAGCCCCAAATGTCAACAGTGCTGAGGCTGAGAAAACCTGTGTTAGACCAGCACTATCCAATAGAAATACAACCAACCGGTCGGGCCCGGGGTCTCACATCTGTAATCCCAGAACTTTGGGATGCCGAGGAGGGTGGATTGCTTGAGCCCAGGAGTTTGAGTCCAGCCTTGGTAACACAACAAGACATTCAACAAGAAATTAAAAGATTAGCTGGGCATGGTTACACATGCCTGTGGTCCCAGCTACCCAGGATGCTGAGGTGGAAGAACCAATTCAGCCCAAGAGGTCAAGGCTGTGGTAAGCCATGATTGCACCACTGCATTCCAGCCTGGGCACTGAGGCCACACTTCCTATAGGCTGCTCCCAGCCAGAACCGAGCATGCCAGGGTACTAGTGCCACTTGTTCCTGCAGGACAAGGGAATCCTCTAACAGTCAACAGTCCACCAGAGACTCCCAACTGATCCGGCCAAACGTTCCTAGAGCTGTGCTGTGTCTCGGACTCCTCCTGCCCTACCTTCCTTCCTTTCCCCTCTCCCCTCTCACACGGCAGTCTGAAGGCTCTCCCTGATCACTCCTGGCCCCTCTCTTAACCTGCACAGGTGCATCCCCAATAAATCTCTGCTGATTTCATTCTAACTTGGTGTCTGCTTCTGGGAGGATTCATACTAACACAGGTTTCAAGGTCAGACAGCATTCAAATCCCACTTCCATCACAGAACCTGAGCCAGTTCCTACCCCTTTCTCAGCCTCAGTTTCCTCAGCAGTGAAAAGAATATTGAAACAGAAACTCTTTGAAAGCTCTTCCTGTCCTGATCTGTTCCAGAATCGGGCTCAGCAGGGTTCATGCAAGGACACAAGTGTAGCTGCCTCTGAGGAGCCCCTCACATGCCCATTTTAGCCAGTTTGTTTCTCCCTGGGCTCCTACAGCACATGTGCCCATCACACAGGGTTGCAAACACCAGTTTTCTTCTCTGATTCCCCAAAGGGTGCTGGACACCTGTAGAGGGGCTCTGTTTTGGTCACTTGTCCATGATGCTCAGAGAATGTTTACAGTGCACAGTGAATGCCGAGCACTGGAAATGCTCAGTGAAGCAAGCCAACACCAGCCCCACCAGATGTCAGCAAGGAGGAGTTCTGTGGCTATAGTCTCTTTGGTTCCATGGAAATGACACCAACAACCCACATAATTGAGGGCCCTGTGCAGGTGCCGGGTTCCCAGCAAAAGTCTTTGCATGTATTTTCTGTTATATGAATCCTCCTGGCATGCTCATTGAGAGGTTCCATTACTACATGCCCATCTTCATAAACTAAACATGAATAAACTGAGGCTCAGGGAACTGGAGTTGATGGTCCCAGCCTGCACAGCTAGGAAGAATCAAGGGGTGAGTTTTGGGTTTTATTTTGCATATTTCAGCAGCTTTACTGAGGTATAATTTACACACCATAAAATTTACTCACAATAAATGTACAGTTAGATCAGCAAATCTATAGATTTGGGCAACCATCAGCACAAGCCAGTTTTAGAACATTTCTATTACCCTGAAAACATTTCTCTTGCCTGTTTGCAGGCAATCTTCCATTCCCACCCCCAGCCCTAGGCAACCACCAATCTGCTTTCTGACTCTACAGATGTGCCTTTTTCTGCACATTCCCTCTTAGTGAAATCATATACTGTGTGGCCTTTATGGTTGGCTTCTTTCACATAGTGTAATGCTTCTGAGGTTCATCCACGTTGTAATGTCCATTGTGGCTTCATCCCTGTCTATTGACAAATAAAGTTCTGTTTCATGGGTGGATCACAAACGTCTACATATCCATTCTTCAGCTGGTGCACATTTGGGTTGTTTCCAGTCTTGAGCCATTATGAATAATGTTGTTATGAAAATGTGTGTATAAGTTTTTGTGTGAGAATATGTTTTCATTTCTCTTGGGTAGATCCCTAGGATTGGATTTGCTGGGTCACATGATGAGAGTAAGTTATACAAGAAACTGCCAAACTTGTCTATGTAAATTGGTTGCCCACCAGCAGCATATGAGGGTTCCACTGCTCCACACAGTAGGGCTGAGATTGGAGGCAAGTCCAGCCCGACCCCAGAACCCCATTACCCAGCTCTTTGGTGATCCTTTCTAACATTGGGATACCCAGCTAAGGAATGAGGATCATAGCTGTGCAGGAATGAGGGCTGTCTGTGAAAACAAGAAGTGCTCCTGCACCAGCCCAGACAAAGACCCCTCACTTATCTCATTTATTTCTTGTCCTCCAAGTGATGCTGGAGCCCCTGGGTTTCCCCACATGCAATCCCTCAAATTTCTGACCCCTGCTATTTATCTTCCATTGAGCCTTAGGTTCCGGTGAGAGTAACAAGGATAGACAAGGGTTCACAGCCCAGGGCTAGGGATGCCCTATACCCTGGTCAGTGACCTTGGAAGGGCTGATTCAGCTGGAACTCAATATTGAAGCACCTAGGATGTGCCTGTTTACACACAGAAAAAAGATAATGCAGAAGCATGGGGTCCCTGATTAGCTGATCTGAGCTGGGGTGGGGCTTGGCAATCATTGGATCCAGTGCTTTTCCTGAAACATGAGCATTGAGTTTCCTGCCCACACAACCCTGGGCTTAATTAAGTCCAAGCAACAAACAGGGTCCTCAGTATGCTTAAAGGATTGACATTGGATGGAAGACAATTCAATGTTTGAGAAATCCCTGCAGACCCTCTGGGAGTGTCTTGAATTCTAAGGAGACCATCTTGCCCTACTTCCTTATTTGACAGAAATGGAAAACTGTGGCTCACTGAGGTGGAGTGAAATACCCCAGGTCATCCAGCAAGGTGAGGGTGGAGCAAAGGCTTGGTCCCATGGCATATATTCATCCATCTCCTTGCCCATCCGTTGTCTTCCAGCAGAATGTAAGCTCTGAGAAGATAAGGATTTTCCTCTCCTTTTCTACAACTGCTGTCTTCCTTGATTCTAGCACAGTGGCTGGCACAGGTTGGGTGCTCAGTAAATATCTGGTGAATGGGCCAGGCACAGTGGCTCACGCCTGTAATCCCAGCACTTTGGGAGGCCAAGGCAGGTGGATCACCTGAGGTCAGAAGTTCGAGACCAGCCTGGCCAACATGGTAAAATCCCATGTCTACTAAAAATACAAAAAGTAGCCAGGCATGGTGGTGGGCACCTGCAATCCCAGCTACTTGGAAAGCAGAGGCAGGAGAATCGCTTGAACCTGCCAGGCAGAGATTGCAGTGAACCGAGATTGTACCACTGCACTCCAGCCTGGGAGACAGAGCAAGAGTCTGTCTCAAAGAAAGAAAGAGAGAGAGAGAGAGAAAGAAAAAAAAGAAAGAAAGAAGAAAATGAAGAAGAAAGAAATGATTCTAAGTTATTGTTTTTAACTGCTGCAGAGTATTCTGTGGTAGGAACATACAATAGTTCATGTAGTTATTCTCCCAATGATGAACCTTTAGATCATTGCCAATATCTCACTGCTACCAGCAATGCTGCTAAGATAATCTTGACTATACTTTCTTGCACACACATGCAAATGTTTTGGTTTTAACAGATATGTCAGATGCCCTCCAAATTGACTGTACTAATATGCACTCCCTTTGGTGGGACATGAGGGTACCCGTTTGTCCAACTCTGGCTAACATTTGTTATCAAAGTTAAAAATACTTGCCAATCTAATCAGTAAAAATAGCATCTCAATGACCTTTTATTTGTATTTCCTTGATAAATGGTGAGATCGAGCATTTTTTCTTTCTTAGCAATTTTAATTTCCTTGAATAGTATTTTCATATGAATTGCCTATTTGCTATTCATTTGATTTTTTTCTTATTGCCCATTTATTATGAACACTCATTTGTTTGGACTTTATTATCTTTGTGTCTTTTTTTTTTTTTTTTTTTTTTTGAGATAGAGCCTCACCCTGTCGCTCACGCTGAAGTACAATGGCATGATCTTGGCTCACTGCAACCTCCGACTCCCAAGTTCAAGTGATTCTCCTGCCTCAGCCTCCAAAGTAGCTGGGATTACAGGTGCCCACCACGAAGCCCGGCTAATTTTTATACTTTTAGTAGAGACAGAGTTTCACCATGTTGGCCAGGCTGGTCTTGAACTCCTGACATCAAGTGATCCACCCTCCTCAGCCTCCCAAAGTGCTGGGATTACAGGCATGAGCCACCATGCCTGGCCTATCTTTGTGTTTTTTATTGATGATGCTCTGTTTCTCTTTTTGTCCCCATTCTTGTTTTCTGTTGGGTTGATTGAAATTTCTTTGTTCCATCTTATTTCCACTACTGGTTTGAAATTTATACATTTCATTGCTATTTTTCTAATGGTTACTCTTAATTTTTTATATCCATATATAATGTTGCCTAACAAAATCTGAAGGTAAACTGTACATATAGACTCTTCCCAAACAAGATAAGAAATGTTCACTTCCTCCCCCTGTTTTCCTTTTTCCCAAGTCTCCTGTTGATATAATCCAGAATTCTAATTCCAAATTGTTATTTTAAGCATCCATGGCAATCAATACTTTAGTCTTAAATAATAGCATTGGCTGATTACTTAGGGAAGTGTTACTTTTTTCGCACTCCTTCTTCCTCTGGTTTCATGTCATTTCTTGCAGGAGGGCTTCTTAAGTAGTTGTTTTCAACAGAATCTGTTGGTGGTAAACTTTCTTAAATCTTGAATGTTCAAAAATGCCTTTGGGCCGGGTGCGGTGGCTCACGCCTATAATTCCAGCACTTTGGTAGGCCAAGGTAGTCAGATCACTTGAGCCCAGAAGTTCAAAACCAGCCTGGGCAACATGGAAAAACCCCGTCTCTACGCAAAAACAAAATACATTAGCCAGGCGTGGTGGTAGGTTCTTGTAGTCCCAGCTACTTGGGGGGCTGAGATGGAAGGATCGCTTGAGCCAGGAAGGTCAAGGCTGCAGTGAGCCTTGATCATGCCACTGCACTCCAGCCTGGGCAACAGAGCAATACCCTGTCTCAAAAAAGAAAAAAATGGCTTTGTTTCACTGTGCCCTTAAGTGATTCTGTAGCTGGGTTATAGAATTCAGCATCAATTAGTTATTTTCCAAAGCTCATTGAAGACATGGCTTCATTGGCCTGTATCTAGTGTTGCTAATGAAATTAATGAGGAAAATCTGATCCTTATTTCTTTGAATTTAAACTATTTTTTTTTTTTTTTTTTTTTTTGCTTTGGTAGCTTTTAACATTTTTTTCTCTATTTTCATAGCTTTCTTCACTTTTGGGGAATTTTTAGCTATTAATTAAATACTACTTTCTCCCATTCTCTCTCTGCCTTTGGAATTCCTACTAGACGAAAGCTTGAATGCGGTCACCCAGACTTTCTGGCTCTTAACCTTTTCACCTTTTTCTCTTTGTTCTTTAACCTGCAAGACTCCCTCAACTGAATGCTCCATTTTGCTAATGGACCCTTCAGTGTGTCTCTGCTGTTACTCAGCCTATCTTTTGAGGTTTTTCTTTCAATAACTTGGGCTTTAATTTTTGAGATCTCTAATTGGTTCTTTTTCATAATTGCTTGGTTTTATTTTCCCCTGTTTTGCTGAAGGTATTAAATGTACTTGCTTTAATTGACCTTTGGTTGTAGAGAAGATTTTTCATTTGCTCTATTTGTTATTTCTCTTTCATAGCAGTGGGCTTCCTCAGACATCTGGCACTTCTTCAATGCACACTAGATTTCTGGTTTCCAATTCTCCACCTGAGTCTCAGGATTCTGCAGCATTCCCAGGTGGGTGCAGACTCAGGTTACCTGGGCCTTGGCTTCTCCCATGGCTTCTTAAGAACTTCCTTGTTTATTTCTGTGATCCCAAGCACTCCCCTTTATGACTTCAAGCCCAATTGTATAGTCAGTAATTTAATTTCTCTATCTGTTCTATCATTTATAAGGGCACAGCATGGAGGGGAGGGCCTTTCAGATATTTTTCTTGCCCCATCTTAAATCCCTAAATTACACTTAAAAAAATACCACCAAAGCTTTTGTCTTTTATTTAGGAAGAATAGAGTACTCAGACATGAGTTTGGAGTAGGCGGGTGTATGTGTGTATGTGTGCCTATGCAGTTTAAACCTGTTCTGTAATGTATTGCAATAAATGTTTCAGTGTCGGTACAGTGAACAATTCAACTTCATAATAGGCCAATCTGGAATCTCCCAGAAAAATTTACTTTGGGTGTTAGTGCTTTTTTTTTTTTTAATCATTAATATCTATAGGAAGACCTAGTAGGAGTGGCTGACAAAGTTTAATAAATCTCATGATAAAATGCTTGTTTTTGATGTGAATGTTGTTCCTCAGTCCATCCTAAAATGAAATTCACAGGGTTGGGTTCGATGTCTTCTTCCACACCTCTCATTACAATCTGCCATAGGAGTGCAGACCGCCCCCATCTGAGGCCTGGATTTAATGCTCAAACAAGACAGATGCCAGCAGGAAATATTTGCCCTGCCTTCGCTGTAAATCTTGAGTCCTTGTCCATGATATCCTAAAAGGCCACCAGATGGAAATGTGATGCCGTGAAAAGAGATGCACTACCCTTTGCAAAGGGGGATTGACCCTGCTGCTCTCTCAAAAGAAATTGTCCTTATTCAATGTAAAACAAGGTTTTAGAAATTTTTCTTTGTTGAATGTAGAATAAAGAGGGCATTACATGAATGCCTATGCATTTCAGCTTTGGAGAGGAATCCTTACATCCATTCTGACAGCATGGAGATAAAAAGTCTGTCTTTCTGTATTCATGTTTTGTTGTCATTTGCTTTCTTTTCTCCCTTCTTGGTCTGTGTGTACCACATCCTCTCTATGTCTTCTCTTTCTTTCTTTTTTTTTTTTTTGAGACGGAGTCTCACTCTGTCACCAGGCTGGAGTGCTATGGCATGGTCTCGGCTCACTGCTACCTCCGCCTCCCGGGTTCAAGCAATTCTCCTGCCTCAGCCTCCTGAGTAGCTGGGACTACAGGCATGCACCACTACACCTGGCTAATTTCTGTATTTTTAGTGGAGACGGGGTTTCACCATGTTGGCCAGGATGGTCTTGATCTCTTGACCTCATGATCGGCCTGCCTCAGCCTCCCAAAGTGCTGGGATTACAGATGTGAGCCACCGCACCCGGCCTATCTCTTCTCTTTTTTGTCCTCTCCTTTGTTACCTGGAACCAACTTTTCATCCCTCTGGCCTTTGTCTCTTCCTATTTTCTGGCCATATGTGGATCAGAAAAATAATTATAAAAATGATTTGTTGTTTTACTTACTACAAATGTATGATTTCTGTTTTCATTGCAAAAGCCAATGGGTAAGAATTTTTACCATTCCTTCACTGTAAAAAATAAAACTGAGGGCCGGTGGCGGTGGCTTATGCCTGTAATCCCAGCACTTTGGGTGAATAAGGTGGGCGGATCACGAGTTCAGGAGACTGAGACCATCCTAGCTAACACAGTGAAGCCCTGTCTCTACTAAAAATACAAAAAAAAAATAAAATTATCGGGGCGTGGTGGCAGGTGCCTGTAGTCCCAGCTACTCGAGAGGCTGAGGCAGGAGAACGGCGTGAACCTAGGAGGCGGAGCTTGCATTGAGCAGAAATTGTGCCACTGCACTCCAGCCTGGGTGAAAGAGTGAGACTCCGTCTTAAAAATAAAAAATAAAATAAAAATAAAAAATAAATAAAACTGAGGCCAGGTGTGATGGCTCCTGCCTGCAATCCCAGCTACTTCGGAAGCCAAAGCGGGAGGATTGCTTAAGCCCAGGAGGGGTTGAGGTTGCAGTGAGCTATGATTGCACCACCGCACTCCAGCCTGGGTGACAGAGCAAGATCCTTACTCGAAAAACAAACAACAAAACACCAAACAAAAAGCTCCTGCATTCTGCCAAAACTAACTGAATAATTTTAAAAGTATTTTATTGAGTTATAATAATCCAACCAAAAATTGTACCTATTATAACTGTATGTCTCACTGATTCACAAATAAAAAACCACAGTCATTTAACCAGTACTCAGATTAAGAACAAGAACATTACCTGTACGCCTGAAACCCCCATCTGTCCCCATCCAGTCTCTACCTTCCTCTTACCCAAGGACAATCATCACCCAGACTTCTAATAGCACAGAATAATTTCACTTATTTTTGTGCTTTATAAAAATGGCATGAAACGTCCTAGTTTGGGTTCCCCTAGGAGCTGCCCTGAGACAAGTATTTGGCGACAGTTCTTTTATCTGGAGGCACAGGGAACACTGAGTGGGGCATGAAGAAGTGAGCCAGGAAAAAGGCAGGCAGCAGCCATAAAGAAAAATGTGTTACCAGGCCAGGCGCGGCGGCTCATGCCTGTGATCTCAGCACTTTGGAAGGCCGAGGTGGGCAGATCACTTGGGGTCAGGAGTTTGAGACCATCCTGGCCAACATGGTGAAACCCTGTCTCTACCAAAAATCAAAAAATTAGCTAGGTGTGGTGGCAGGTGCCTGTAATCCCAGTTACTTGAGCAGCTGAGGCAGGAGAATTGCTTGAGCCCAGGCGGTGGAGGGTGCATTGAGTCA
Source organism: Homo sapiens (assembly GCF_000001405.40). Taxonomy (NCBI): domain Eukaryota; kingdom Metazoa; phylum Chordata; class Mammalia; order Primates; family Hominidae; genus Homo; species Homo sapiens. The sequence goes on from NC_000010.11 coordinate 45,812,056, forward strand.
AGATCACACCACTGCACTAACAGCCTGGGTGACATAGAGAAAGACCCTGTCTCAAAAATAAATAAATAAATAATTTTTTTCTTTCTTTTTTTTGGAGAGACAGTTCTCACTATGTTGCCCAGGCTGGTTTTGAACTCCTGGACTCAAGCAATCCTCCCATCTCGGTTCTCAAAGTGCTGGGATTACAGGTGTGAGCCACCATGCCCAGACATTTTCATCATTCATTTTTTTTTTTTTTTTTTGAGACGGAGTTTTGCTCTTGTTGCTGAGACTGAAGTGCAATGTCACCATCCCGGCTCACTGCAACATCCGCCTCCCAGGTTCAAGTGACTCTCCTGCCTCAGCCTCCTGAGTAGCTGGGATTACAGGCATGAGCCGCCACACCCAGCTAATTTTGTATTTTTAGAGTACAAGGGGTTTCTCCATGTTGGTCAGGCTGGTCTCACACTCCCGACCTCAGGTGATCTGCCCATCTCAGCCTAACAAAGTGCTGGGATTACAGGCATGAGCCACTGCGCCCAGCCCATTTTCATCATTCCTAATAGCCATGGAGCATTCCATTTAATCAACTGTATATGCATTTTTTTTTCCGGGGGCAAGGGGCTCATATTCACACACATGGGAGGCCAGTTGGTGAGAAGGTGGCAGGCGGCATAGCCACCTTATACAGCATGCCATACTGGTCCACTGTCAGACCGGTGATGGCCACAGCTCCATCACCCCCCATGCTGACTCTGGCTCCTGCCTGGCTCTGCCCGGCCACCACAACCCCTCGGGACCATTCAGAGGCATCACTGGAGGGTGTGTGGTTAGTGGAGCAGCTGGTCATGGGGAGGTCTCGTTTCTTTGGTGGAAGGCATTCCTGACTCCTCTCATGAACAGGTTTCATATTGCTTTGTGGTGTTCCTGGAGCCTGGAAGGAGTTGGCTTGCTCCCTGGGGCATCAGGAGGGGCTTCTCGGTAGCTTCCCTGTACCCCTCACTGCTTCTGGCTGGGGCGCCCACATCTGAGCTTCCAGTGGTGCTTCTGAACAGCTGTAGTAAGCGTCCTCCCGGCTGGCTCGGGAGCCAGCCCGTTTCACAGCGCTTCCTGGGATCCACCCGCTCATCCTGCAGCCGCCGCAACTGCAGCCGCCGTCATCCCGGCCCTGGAGCCCCCACACACCCCTGTGTATGCAATATTTGTTAACCATTCCCTTTTGGTGCCCATCTAGGTACAGGTCTCATTTTTCAAGCTAAAGTATCTGTAATACACTGGAAGTAATAGATGTCACCTCCATATTGTATGCCAAACCTAATAAGCAGAGCAAAACTTTTCATCCAAGTGATTTGGTTAACATTTTAGGATGTTTCTAATCTCTCAGTAATACAAATATGCTACAATAGATCTGTGTGCTTATCCTTTGGGCACTTGTGTGTACCTGTGCATACCTGGAGAATAAAGTCCTGTGAGAGAAACTGCCATCCAAAGAGGGTGTTTCAGTCTGTACTGCCACCAACAATGTGCTCGTGCCTCTGAGCTTGCGTTTGGGTCAGGAGAATTTGAAAGTCATCAGGAACCAAACCAGGATATAAGGTTCAGCTGCAGCTGGAAAGTGGCAAACGTTCCAAAGCTAAGACATTGGCTATTCCTGGGCTGTTCACAAACTGTGAGGCCAATTCTAGATGAGATCCAGAAAAAGGGTGAGCAGCTCACTTATTTTTTAAGCAAAACACCTTTTCTTCTCATTTCTGCTAAGAACAAATAGCTTCCAGCAAGATAAATAGGGGATGCAATATTTTTACAAATTATTTCTTTTTTTATTAAAAAAAATTTTAGGTTAAATGCGACTTAAGATATGTTTAACCTCTATGATACTGACTTGCTCATGAGAAGAAAGAGAGAGGGCCAGGCATTCTTGCCCACTACTACCCACTATCAACACTTAGGCCTGACATCAGTCTCTAAATAAATATTCTGGGCCAGGTGCGGTGGCTCACGTCTGTAATCCCAGCACTTTGGGAGGCCAAGGCAGGCGGATCATGAGGTCAGGAGATCAAGACCATCCTAGCTAACATGGTGAAACCCCGTCTCTACTAAAAATACAAAAAATTAGCCAGGTGTGGTGGCGGGCGCCTGTAGTTCTAGCTACTCAGGAGACTGAGGCAGGATAATTGTTTGAACCCAGGAGGTGGAGGTTGCAGTGAGCCGAGACCATGCCACTGCACTCCTGCCTGGGCAAGAGAGCGAGATCCCATCTTAAAAAAAAAAAAAGAAAGAAAAGAAAAGAAAAGAAAAGAAAAAAAATCAACAGAGGCTTCTAGGATGACTGAGCAGTGACTCAGTCTCTCCTTGATCAGATTCTGTAACCATCCAGCAGAAAAGTTTACCTGATCTGTGGGAGAACAGGAAGCAGCTCAGTGGGGGCCTTCCTTGCTAAATTCTTCATCAAGCTGGTCTGTTATCTGCCCTGAGTCCTGCAAGAACATCTCAAGAAAAATCCCAAAAACATGCAAGACAAATGAAGGTCCTCCCTTAGCGTGTTCTTGAAGCACTGAGGTGCCTGAAAACTATATATACTTTCTGGGGAAACAGTTTTTTAGGAAATGTAGCACAGACACTAACTATTCTTCCAGGAGAGCCCCTTCCTGACATGAAAGATCTTAGCATGAGAGAGAAGCATCTGATTCATCATGGGGACATATCCAACCAGCAGCAGGGGCCCCAGTGCCGGTGTCCACCTCAGCAGAGGAGACACAGGGGACATGAAAAGTGTTTCCATTGAAAAAAACTTCACCTAGGGTGACTATAGTTAGCAGGAATGTATTGTATATTTCAAAGTAGCTAGAAGGCTAAGTGTGGTATCCCATGCCTATAATATCAGCATTCTGGGAGGCGCAGGCAGGCAGAACACTTGAGGTCAGGAGTTCGAGACCAGCCTGGCTAACATGGTGAAACCCCGTCTCTACTAAAAATACAAAAAACAAAAAATAAAAAATTAGCCGGGCGTGGTGGCCTGCGCTTGTAGTCCAAGCTACTCAGGAGGCTGAGGCAGGAGAATTGCTTGAACCTGGGAGGCAGAGGTTGCAGTGAGCCGAGATCAAGCCACTGCCCTCCAGCCTGGGCGACAGAGCAAGACTCTGTCTCAAAACAAAAACAAAAACAAAAAAACAAAGTAACTGGAAGAGGGGACTTCAAATGTGTCCAACACATAGTAATACCAAATATTCAAGGTGATGGACACCCTAAACACCCTGATTGATCACCACACATTCTGTGCATGTAATAAATACTCAAATGTACTCCATAAATATGTAAACTATTTTATATCAATAAGGAAATACTTTGCCTAGCGTTTCCATCCAAATGGGAATAAATCCAGGGCTCTACGTACATATTTCATGGCTTTTTATTGAGACTTGGGAAGGGTGGGCCATGGTAGCAGGTGCATTCACTGTCCAAGTTTGCCCAGACTCTCTGCTGCATGGGTGATGGCATTTGTGACTGTGTTGGTCACTGTCTCAGTGACTTCCTTCATCTTTTTGTCCCCTGACTCTTGGGCTTTCTTTATGGCTTCGGCAATGGCTGTTGGAAAGAAAGAAGAAGAATGTCCTAGTGATCCACCCACTGAACTTGTATCCCCTTGAGTGGCCTGTGGGATGTGGCCATCTTAATGGATTAGTCCATGGAGTGGCCCAATGGGACCAAGGGGAGCAGGACTCCTGGCAGAATGAATTTGAATTTGGTTTTAATTTCCCCAACAACTTGTATTTCTTCAACTCTGAGACTGAGCATCTACTCATGGGTACATTGCCTGCTTATCCTTTTTTTCTGGAAAATGCCTGCTTATGTCTTTTGGCCATTTTTATGTTGGGTTGTTATATTGCATTATCATTTCTATTACAAATATTTTTCATAGTTTGTGATTTTTCTTTTGGCTTGGTTTATAGTATTTTTTTTTTTTTTTTGGCTATAGAAAATTTTGAAGTTTTGGATTGTCAAATTTATTTAATATTTCCTTTATGGCTGCTGGGTTTTTTTTCCATAGTTCTAAAGATTCTCCCCTCTCCAAGATTAGGCCAAAGTCTCTTATGTTATTACTATGTCTAAATGTTTATGATGTCTTCCCCCTCAAGACTCATACGTTGAAATCCTCAGCTCTAATGTGATGGTATTCAGAGGTGGGGCCTTTGGGAGGTTGAAATTAGCACCCACATAAAAGAGACCACAGAGAGCTAGCTCCTTCCACAATGTGAGGACACAACTAGGCCCATCCACGAACCAGGAAGACGCCCTCACCAGATGCCAAATCTGCTGGAGCCTTGATCTTGGACTTCCCATCCTCCAGGAGTGTGAGAAATAAATTTCTGTTGTTTCTAAGTCACCCAGTTTATGGTTTGTTTTTGTTTTTGTTTTTGAGACAGAGTCTCGCTCTGTCACCCAGGCTGGAGTGCAGTGGCACAATCTCAGCTCACTGCAACCTCCGCCTCCCAGGTTCAAGGGATTCTCCTGCCTCAGACTCCTGAGTAGCTGGGATTACAGGCATGTGCCACCACACCCAGATGATTTTTGTATTTTTGGTAGAGACAGGGTTTCACCATATTGGTCAGGCTGGTCTCGAACTCCTGGCCTCAGCTGGCCCACCTGCCTCAGCCTCCCAAAGGGCTGGGATTACAGGCATGAGCCACTGTGCCTGGCCTATGGTATTTTATAATAGCCTGAGCTAAGATAGTTATCTCCTATAAGTTAATAAATTCATGTATGTAAATTTCAGTCCTTCATCTACCCAGAATCTATTTTGTTGAAGAGGAATGAGATATACACATGCTTGTACATAGTTCTACTCATAGCTCACACACATCAATTTGACATTTAACATATAATTTTACATGTTAAATGTTTTGTCCCAGTGTGCTGTCACATAGTCTTTTGTGACTTTGTCTTCTTATCATTCCATGGAGAGAACCATCTAGACAGTGCCCTAACATAGTACAGTCTGTGGCCTCTGATGAACATAGATAACTGTCCCAGCCGAGAGGCTCTGAAAGGCTGCAACATTAGGTGCAGAGTTTGACCCGGTTAGTCAAAGAACAGGTTGGCCCAGCACCTAGCTTCCCTTCCTCCCTCCCTCCTTCCATGCCCGACCTCAGCCAGCTGTACCTTTCTCTCCAGTCTCCTTGGCATGTCCCACCACCTCCTTCACCACTTCCTCCATGGCATGAACTGAACAGAGGAGACAAGTCCAGGGTGAGGGCTCAGAGCAGGCCCGCTGCCCCCGAGTCCAGGATGAGGGCTCAGAGCAGGCCCACTGCCCCCACAGCCCAGGGTGAGGGCTCAGAGCAGGCCCACTGCCCTCCTGAGTCCAGGGTGAGGGCTCAGAGCAAGCCCAATGCCCTCCCAGTCCAGGGAGAGGGCTCAGAGCAGGCTCATGTCCCCTGAGTCCAGGGTGAGGGCTCAGTGCTGACCCATTTATCCTCACAATGGACCTATACGTCCCTGGACATCCAAGGTGGGGCTCCGGGATGCCACCCCCAGCCAGGACAGACTGGCTCATTAGAAGGAACTTCCCCCACAGCTGCCTTCATTTGGAGATGCCGGGACACTGGCTGATGGGAGACAAGCTCAGTGAGCCCCATGAGGGCATGGGCCCCTGAAGCCCCTTGGCCCTGCCCAGCCTGGAATGTCAATGATCAGACTGTCTTGCCAGCTGAGACCTGGAGACCAGGCTAGGCCTCTGTGCCAGATTACATCCCTCTCAGGATGTGCTGGCGCCTGCCTCAGGTTAATTTCCAAAGCCTCATCCAGTAAAACCATGTCTCTCAAAGCAATTCCTCCAACAAGAGGGAATTCTCTGCCTACTTCAGAGTTTTTTAAAGTGTGGGTGGTAGTGTGCTAGAACTGAAAGATTTTGGAGTCAGAAGAAATGGTTCTTATTCTAACTCTCCCTTCCACCTCTTGGTTCCCTCATCTTTAGAATGGGAATCTGTTGGGATGATCAGAGCCAACACCAGGTCGTGGGGGCAACAAAGTCCCGCGGAGTCAAAAGAATGAGAAAAAGTTCAAGAGAGAAAGTGGGACCAGGGGGCCATTGCCAGTGTGGAGGCTGCAAAGGCACTGAGCTCTGGGAGCCCATGCTATTTATTGGTGATCTAACAAAGAAACAGGTGGTGAGGATGTGGAGGTTGAAAGGAAACAGTGTAGCAAGTGAATGAGAAATATATGGCTACTTGAGATAATGGGAATGCTGGAATCAAGAAGCCAGCAAGTCTAGCAGACATGCAAGCCCTGCCTCAGCTTCTCTACCAACACTCAGCTTTTCTCCCAACAGGAATCATAGAAAACTCAGAGGCTAGTGAAAGGTTAAAGCAGGTGGTTATCACCAGCTGCAGAGTCAAAAACAAAATACACATCTGCTGCCATGTAGAAAGAGGACACAAACTCAGGCAAGGCTGTTTTTCACATGATGACCCATGAGTGGGGCCTGGCTGGGCCTCCCCACACACAGCTGCTGACCTCTGCATACAAAACATGCTTCGGCCCAGAAGCACGCCAGCATTCACCCACCTGTGGGTATCAGTCAGGCTCCTGGTGGAAGCCAGAGGACATATTCGAATGGGTACTTGAGGAAAAGGGGCTGTTCACAGAAGTGTGGACAGAGTTAAGGGAACCAATGAGAGATGAGAAATGCCCTGGACCAGCAAGAGTGGGAGCTGTTATCTCCCTGGGTCTAGAGGGACAGGAAAGGTGTCCACAGACCCCGAAGAGAGCTGTGGCTGTAGGGGAGGATCATCAGGAGCTGCAGCCATCACTAGAAAGATGTGGCCACTGGCAAACCAGCAAGGAAGAATCTGAGTGAATAACCACCTCTCCTCTCTCTCCCACCTCCTATGACATCCCCCACTGTCTGAATTCCACTAGGGCCAGACAGTGAGGAACCTTGGTGATGCAGTCCAAGAGGGAGTGGGCAGAGAGGAGCCAGTGGGTATGGAGGGGAAACAGAGAAACAGAGAATTCCAGCTCACTCTGCGGGATTTCTGGGTCTGATAGAAACATAGCAGCAGCTTAATTATTATTATTTTGAGATGGAGTTTCACTCTTTTTACCCAGGCTGAAGTGCAGTAGCGTGATCTTGGCTCACTGCAACCTCTGCCTCCTGGGTTGAAGAGATCCTCCTGCCTCAGCTTCCCGAGTAGCTGGGATTACAGGGACATGCCACCACACATTGCTAATTTTTTTATTTTGGGTAGAGATCAGGTTTCAACATGTTGGCCAGACTGGTCTCGAACTCCTGACCTCAGGTAATCCGCCCGCCTGGGCCTCCTAAAGGGCTGGGATTACAGGCATGAGCCACTGTGTCCAGCCTGCAGCAGCTCAATTTTACAGTGTCCCTTTTCTCCTTCTGGAAACTATATAGAGCAACAACAAGACTGAGGAGGAGGAGGAGGAGAAGGAGGAAGAAAAAGCCCATCATCAACATACACATCAAACTCAACTTCAGAGAAATTAGGAAGCTGGGAAGCCACGTAAACCCAAAAGCAGGTGACACCAGCAGAACCAACACAGGAAGCCAGGGAAGTGCAGAAGAACAGGGCATGGGGGGCCACCCAGGGGGAATCTTCACTGTTGCCAGCAACACACACTCCCAGCAAGAGAGGACCCTCAGAGTGAGAACGCAGAGCTGGAGAAGTGAAGAAAAAAGGAACAGGTGGTGTGCGGGGAAGTCCAGGGGTGCGGGATCTGACAGCGTCCCTTCCCAAGAGAGGCAGGAACACTTGGGAAGGCAGGGCTGAGTCCCTGGAGGCTGTATCCGGGAAAGGAAGCTGGCAGTAGAACCTTCCTGAAGCCGAGTTGGTTCTGAGAGGCAGAGGGGCAGTGGTACAGGTGAGGCCGACGCTTCTGTGCAGGAAGGGCAGGCTCCTGAGGAAGGGAGCCCCGAATGCTCTCCACTAGATTCCCAGGGAGTCCCACTCCCTCCACAGGGACCTTGCGCTGACATCTGGGAAATGCCATTCATACTGGAACCTCCGACACACTGCCATGAATGTGAGGGTTTCGTGACTGATGGGGTAGGTTTCTCTTTTCCAATTCAATAGTATAATTTCCATTTATTCCTCCCCCAGCCTCCCTGAACATTCACATCTTAGATAGCCACAGTACGGTGATCAGAACCAGGAAATCCACATTCTCATATTTAACTATATTAAAATTATTTCACAAAATAACCAATTTTGTTAATTTAAATACATTTAAATGACGTTTAAATGTATTTAAATTATTTAACTATTTAAAAATGAACATATTAGCTAAACTAAAGACCTTATTGGAGTTTTGCCACTTTTTCCACTAATGTCCTTTTTCTGTTCCCAAATTCCACCCAGGATCACGCTGCATTTAGTTATTTCTCAGTCTCTCGCCGTTTTGTAGGACTGCAATAACAGTTCCTCAATCTTTCCTTATCTTTCATAACCCTGACATCTTGAACCAGTACTGATCACTATTTGTCAAATGTTCCTCGATTTGGGTGTGTCTGATGTATTTCCATGATTGGACTGAAGTTACACACTTTTGGCAATTACAGCACAAAAATGATGTGGAATCCTTCCCAGTGCATTCCTTCAGAGTTATGGCATTGATAGTTCTTCTTACTGATGATGTTGAACTTGTTCATTTGGTTCAGGTTTCTGCTGGATTTCTCCATTGTAAAGTTACTATCTTTCCCCCTCATAGGGGGAAAGATCTTAGGAGAAATACTTGGAGACTATGAAAGTTTTGTATTTTCTCAAACTTTAAAATTTTTTTTCAGGCCAGGCGCAGTGGCTCACGCATGTAATCCTAGCACTTTGGGAAGCCGAGGCAGATGGCTCACCTGAGGTCAGGAGTTCAAAACCACCCTGATCAACATGGAGAAACCCCATACCTACTAAAAATACAAAATTAGCCAGGCATGGTGGTGCATGCCTGTAATCCCAGCTACTCAGGAGGCTGAGGAAAGAGAATCGCTTGAACCCGGGAGGAGAGGCTGCAGTGAGCTGAGATCGTGCCATTGCACTCCAGCCTGGATAACAAGAGCAAAAGTCCATCACACACACACACACACACACACACACACACCCACAAAAAAAAAAAAAAAAAAAAAAAGGCCAGGCACAATGGCTCACACCTGTAATCCCAGCACTTTGGGAGGCCAAGGTGGGTGGATCACCTGAGGTCAGGAGTTGGAGACCAGCCTGACCAACATGGAGAAACCCCATCTATACTAAAATAAAATACAAAATTAGCTGGGCATGGTGGTGCATGCCTGTAATCCCAGCTACTCGGGAGGCTGAGGCAGTAGAATTGCTTGAACACGGGAGGTGGAGGTTGCCGTGAGCCGAGATCCCGCCATTGCACTCCAGCTTGGCCAACAAAAGCAAAACTCCATCTCAAAAACAAACAAACAAACAAAAAACACCTATTTTGACAGCCGGGCATGGTGGCTCACACCTGTAATCCCAGCACTTTGGGAGGCCAAGGCAGGCGGATCACCTGAAGTCAGGAGTTCAAGACCAGCCTGGCGAACATGGTGAAACCCCGTCTCTACTAAACATAGAAAAATTAGTTTGGCATGGTGGCATGTGCCTGTAAGTTCCAGCTACTTGGGAGGCTGAGGCAGGAGAATCGCTTGAACCCAGAAGGCAGAGGTTGCAGTGAGCCGAGACGGTGCCATTGCACTCCAGCCTGGGCAGCAGAGTGAGGGATCTCAAAAAATTATAATAAAAAAATAATAATTCTATTTTGAATAGTGGTAAAATACACATAAAATTTACTACCTTAACCACTTCTAAGTGGCAGTTGGAACAGGGGTCAAGGAGAGCCCTTGGGTTGGGTAATGTATATTCACATTGCCATGCAACCAATCTCCGGAACTTTCTCATCTGACAAAACCAAAACTCTATATCCACTAAGCAACTTCCCATTTTCTCCCTTCCCCATGTCCCTGGCAACCCCCGTTCTACCTTCTGTTTCTATTAGTTTGCTTACTCAGTCTGGACGCTTCACATAAGTGAAGGAACACCGTATTTGTCTTTTTCTAACTGGCTTATTTCACTTAGCATAATGTCCTCAATGTTCATCCATGTTGTAGCATGTGTTAGAATTTCCTTCCTTTTTAAGGCTGAAGAATATTTTATTGTATGTATATACCACATTTTATCAATTCATCTGCCTATGGACAATTCGGCTGCATCCATCTTTTGACGAGTGTGAATACCACTGCTATAAATATCAGTGTACACATATTTCTATGAGACCTTGCTTTCAATTATTTTGGCTATATACCCAGAAGTGATATTGCCGGATCATTTGGTAATTCTATTTTTAATTTTTTGAGAAACTGCCTGTCCTGTGCTGAGCAGGTCTATATAAACCTATCTGCAAAGGCCAAGGAACCTGAGATACCAAAGAAAGAGGCTGACAAATCCAGTTTCTCAGAAAGAAACATTTAATAGGCGTTTATGAACAGAAGGCAAGTCAGGGATGGCACCAAGATAAGATGGTGGATCCCTGTGCCATCACCCCCACCCCCCCGACCCAGGGCTTCTATAGCATAGGGAAAGGGTAATGCGGGCTTCAGCAGGGATGTGTATGGCCAGACACGGTGGCTCACGCCTGCAATCCCAGCTCTTTGGGAGGCCAAGGTGGGCGGATCACCTGAGGTCAGGAGTTCCAGACCAGCCTGGCCAACATGGTAACACCTCGTCTCTACTAAAAATACAAAAATTAGCCAGGCGTGGTGGCAGGCGCCTGTAATCCCAGTTACTCGGGAAGCTGAGGCAGGAGAATCGCTTGAACCCAGGAGGTGAAGTTTGCAGTGAGCTGAGATTGTGCCACTGAAGTCCAACCTGGGAGACAGAGTGAGACTCAGTCTCAAAAAATAAAAAATAAAAAATAATTTTGTTAAAAAGATAAAATAGAAATCGTAGATGAATTCTTGGAACTGGGATTAATCAGAACATGGCAGATTAGCATCCAACATGGAATTGCTTTATTCTCATTCAAGGTTTCCCTCATTCTTCACTCTCCCCATGCTGGTCACCTTGCTGTTTGTTCCTCAAACACATATGACATGCGTTTCTGTCTTGGCAGTCATCCTGCTACCTGTAATGTCAGCACTGCTTTCTGTTGTCCCTTCAGTCAGGTCACTGTTCAAATAGCTCTCTAGACAGGCTCTTCCTTATCATTCTACTTAAAATAGCCCCCAATCACTCTGTGTCCCTTTAGCCTGCTTCCTCTTCCTGCTATTTCATACTACCTGAAAAAATACTTGTTTGAACTTCCTAGAACATAAGCTCATAAAAGCAAGAACTGTGCTCCACCTCTCCTCTCCTCTACCCCAGCACTCAGAAGAGCAACAGAGTCAGCATCCAGTGAGTGTTCATGAATCAAGTCACTGCTTGGCAGAATTCAGCACTGGGACCACAGCCTCGCCTATCTTCAACTCTTTCTCCTTCTGCTTTTCCTCCTCCCACTCTAGTAGCCACTCTTCTGGGGGCTTGTCCCTTAAATGATTAGTCCTTACTGACCTATTTTCTGTCCACTTTATCTGTTTTTGAGAGAGGGTCTCACTCTGTTGCCTAGGCTGGAGTGCAGTGGCATGAATATGGGTCACTGCAGCCTCCACCTCCTGGGCTCAAGTGAACTTCCTGCCTCAGCCTGCCATGCCATGTAACTGGGGCCACAGGCATGTGCCACCATGTCCAGCTAATTTCTTGATTTTTTTTTGGTAGAAATGGGTCTCACTTTATTGCCCAGTCTGGTCTTGAAGTCCTACACTCGAGCAGTCCTCTCAACTTGGCCTCCCAAAGTGCTGGGATTACAGGCATGAGATACTGTACCTGGTCTTATTTTTTCTTTTCTTAAGATACAGGGTCTCACCATCTGGCCCAGGCTGGACTCAAACTGCTGAGCTCAAGTAATTCCCCCATCTCAGCCTCCAAAGTAGCTAGGACTAAAGGCATGAAAACACCATGCTTGGCTTGTCCCATTTCATTCTACACACTTTCTTGGTATTTAAACAGCTGCTGTTGCTCTTCATTCTGTAGCTCTACATCAGATTCATGCTCTAGTCCTGTATATCAAAATGATGACTAGAGGCTGCCGGCTCCGCTCTTTCAAAGGCACAATGAGCGTAGCCCGTCTACAAAACTCTCCCTTTTCCAATCCAGCTTTCCCTCCTGCATCACCTATCTCTCTACATCTGGAACCATCGGCAGCTGCCTTCATAAGGCACCTCGGTCTGGCATTCGGAAAACAACCCTGTCTTGCCAGAGCCTCCTGGTCTTGGGTAGCAAAAGCTGTATGCAATCTAAATCAAGCTTTCAATCATGAGAAATCACATTCCTTCTTTTCCCTTTGTAATATACTCATGTGTTTTTTTTTTTCCCTTTCTCAATCAGCAAATTGTACCACCATCTTATTCTGAGATGCTCCTTTTTAAAAGCTGTAGATCACATTAATGGAAGTGTTTACTGCTGGGAATATTTTCCATGTGCAATGATCTGTAACCCTCTTTTTCTTTTCTTTTTTTTGAGACCGAGTCTCGCTCTGTTGCCCAGGCTGGAGTGCAGTGGCACAATCTCTGCTCACTGCAAGCTTTGCCTCCTGAGTTCATGCCATTCTCCTGCCTCAGCCTCCCAAGTAGCTGGGACTACAGGTGCCCGCCACCATGCCCAGCTAATTTTTTTTTTTTTAGATGGAGTCTCGTTTGGTCGCCCAGGCTGGAGTGCAGTGGTGCAATCTCAGCTCATTGCAAGCTCCGCCTCCTGGGTTCACGCCATTCTCCTGCCTCAGCCTCCCGAGTAGCTGGGACTACAGGTGCCCGCCACCACACCTGGCTAATTTTTTTTTTTGTATTTTTAGCAGAGACGGGGTTTCACCATGTTAGCCAGGATGGGCTTGATCTCCTGACCTTGTGATCCCCCTGCCTCAGCCTCCCAAAGTGCTGGGATTACAGGTGTGAGCCACCAGGCCCGGCCATGGCCAGCTAATTTTTTGTATTTTTTAGAAGAGATGGGGTTTCATGATGTTAGCCAGGATGGTCTCAATCTCCTGACCTGGTGATCAGTCCGCCTAGGCCTCCCAAAGTGCTAGGATTACAGGTGTGAGCCACTGCGCCCAGCCAATCTGTAACCCTCTTATCTCAACTAACTGACATTATTACTTCACATCCAGTTCAATTTATAAATTAAGAGAGGTGCCATGGGCCGGGCACGGTGGCTCACGCTTGTAATCCCAACACTTTGGGAGGCCGAGGCAGGTGGATCACGAGGTCAGGAGTTCGAGACCATCCTGGCTAACATGGTGAAACCACGTCTCTACTAAAAATACAAAAAATTAGCCAGGTGTGGTGGCAGGCACCTGTAGTCCCAGCTACCTGAGAGGCTGAGGCAGGAGAATGGTGTGAATCCGGGAGGCAGAGCTTGCAGTGAGCAGATATCACGCCACTGAACTCCAGCTGGGGTGACAGAGCAAAACATCGTCCAAAAAAAATAAAAATAAAAATGAAAAAGAGGTGCCATGTGTACAAAAATCAATGCATATTTATGAACTTTATTTCAAATATATTTTCACACATTTTATCTAAATACATAATACAGAAGCCTGTGTGACTTGGGCAATGTGGCCAGGAGGGCCTGAGACTAACAAATCCACCTTGGCAAAAGGACATAAAATACGTCTTATGGTCAGAAAAATCAACATTTTGTGTATTTACTTAGTTTACGAAAAGTACTGAAAATGCTATTATTAGCTGAATTTGTGATTTCCTTTTGAAATTCTGAGTTATCCTTATTTTTCCCATTTTGTTTTTGCACCAAGGAGACTGCAGTCAAATAAAACAGATACTACACACACTTGTCGGGGCAGCCGTACTGCAGAAGCACGTTGATGCACTCCTGGCTGGAGGCCTGCCGGGCGTAGGTCAGCGCTGTGTTCCCGTGGGCATCTCGGGCCATGACGTCCACCCCGTACCAGATCAGGAGCTGCGCCAGGACCACATTCCCCTTGCGGCAGGCCAGATGGAGCGCCGTGCAGCCGTCTCCCTCCCCACAGGTCTCGTTCACCTCCTCACGGGAGCCATGTGCCAGCAGCAGGATGGCTGTCTGCAGGTCCTCATCAGCGGTGGCCCGCAGCAGCTGCTGGCCCAGGGACAGCTCAGTGCAGGGTAGTGGGGCCAGAAAGAGCTTCTCCTCATATTTGGAACGGATCCACCGTTCCTTCTCTTCCCTCGTGGACTTTTCTGAGGGTTTTGTCTGCCCCTGGCTGCTCCCTTCCCAGATGCTGTTGGCTAGGTCATTGCCAATAGATGACATAACCTTCCTGAGCTCAACTGGCCAGTCATCCAGCTCCAGAGATCGCACACGGGAAAGGCGGGTGCCAAGACTGCGGTGGATTCCTGAGCATTCAATACACATGAGGACTCCCAAGTTCAAACTGGCCCACTTAGGATTCTGGGTCTCACAGTCCACACAGTGGGCGTTCCCACGCATGTTTTGGATCGACTGCAGGGCCATGGCCTTGCTCTGGCTGGTCAGCTGGGACTTGCTTTTACTGCTCTCGCATGACTGCAGGCTGGCCAGGATCTGGCTCTGGATGGCTTGGACCCAGGCATCCCGCTCCTCATACGTCGTGGCTTCAAAGTGCCACGTTTGGCCAGTGGCAGACACAATCATAAAGTTGTTGGTGCTTTTCTTCTTTAGGTGTTTCTTTTTATTGGCATGAGGAGAGGGGGGCGGGTTGAGCTTGGGGCTGGTGGTGCTGGAGATACTGGGGCTGAAGCATATGGAGTCACCCAGCCCGGTGTCCATGTCCTTGGATAGGCCATTGCTTTTAGAGGTGGAGATGGGTGTGCAGGCCGATGTGGCTAGGGATGGCCACTTTCCTGGGACTTTGATGGTAGATGTCTGAAGGTCAATCTCTTTTTTATGAATATTCTTCATATAATCACCTAAGCTTGAATAATAGGTGAGCACGCCATTGGAACACAGGGTGACGTATTTCTTTTTCCATGTCTTCAGCCATTTCCCACTTCGCTTTAAGAGCATGCCCTGTTTAATGGGGATGGCTCTGCCGCTCCCGATGGTGTCAGCATGATTCTCCGGGGCTTTCCTCTCTTTGTCTGGGTCACTCCCTTTCTCAGATGTAAACAGGTTGGACCAGCGCATGGACCGCTTGCAAACGGGGGTGGGTGTGTTGGCAGTGGGAGGAACACTGAACTGAGGGTCCTCCTGGCTGGTGCTGGGAGTCGATGGAATGGAGGAGGAATAGTTATTTAAACTCCCACCTCCATTTCTTTTCTTCATAATGTGCACGGTGGAAACCTGTGTGGAACAGAAGGAGGAATGGCTTCAAAAATTGGGTAGTGGCTTGCAGGGTCCTATAGACAGCTCACAATTACCTTTTAAAAAGATACATTTTCTGGGCCAGGCATGGTGGCTCACACCTGTAATCACAGCACTTTGGGAGGCCAACGTGGGTGGATCACGAGGTCAGGAGTTCAAGACCATCCTGGCCAACATGGTGAAACCCTGTCTTTACAAAAAAAAAAAAAGAAAAAAAAATTAGCTGGGCATGGTGGCACATGCCTGTAATTCCAGTTACTCAAGAGGCTGAGGCAGGAGAATTGCTTGAACAGGGACCTGGGAGGCAGAGCCTGCAGTGAGCCAAGATCGCGCGATTGCACTCCAGCCTGGGCTACAGAAAGAGAGTCCATAAAAAAAAAAAAAAAAAAAAAAAAGATACATTTTCTGTTGTTTGGATAGTATATTTACTCATACTAGCTCACTAACTAAACAGAGCTGCAGATCAGTTCTTACTCCAGCACATTCTTTTTACAACACTTAAGATGACTAAATGCAACATGAAATGGGGAAGATTTAAAAAAAGATGGCTTTGACTTCAGCATGAAACAGATACAAGTGTACGATGAAAATACAACCTCAATAAAAGTGCCACTTACCGCAAATGAGTGTAACTGTTCATCAGGTATGCTCAAAGATCTATCTGCATCTCTATAAAATAAGAAAGCGCATTACTTCAAAAACTGTTAATATCTTAGTATAATATTTGTTTAGTAAAATACTGCCTCCTGTGTGCTTTGGTGTTTACTTTACCAAAGCAGTTTTTACGAATTCTTCTCTTGGATCCTGACTTGCAGAGGGTTTCCTGACTTCTTCTTTCTCAGCACATCATGGCCTGTACCGTGAAGTCTTTTATATGATAACCAGTCAGAAATGCCCGTGAGTATTGACTCTCCCTAACAGGCCATGGCAATAAACCAAACATATTTTCACTCTTCTAACCACACATTGAAACACAAGAATGTTCTACAAAGCAGTTGTAGTAAACTTTAATAAATGTAAATGTGATTCAGATTTCCTAGCTTCCTTTCTCTTTAGTTCTCTGTAGTATACTCTCATGATGTATTTATGTACTTTCTGTTGTTTGAATGACAAACTCATCTGCCTTTTTAAGACGCCAGTCTTTGATGAACTTTAAACTTTGTAAAACTAATGCATTGTGCCTGTGTATAAACCAGTGGTTCTCCAAATGTGCTCTGTGGACCTCTCGGGATCCCGAAGACCCCTTCCAGAAGGCCTAAGAGGTCATAACTGTTCTTTTTTTTTTTTTTTTTTTTTTTTTTTGAGACCAAGTTTTACTCTTGTTGCCCAGGCTGGAGTGCAATGGTGTGATCTCGGCTCATGGCAACCTTCGCCTCCCAGGTTCAAGTGATTCTCCTACCCCAGCCTCCCAAGTAGCAGGGATTACAGGCACCTGCCACCACTCCTGGCTAAGTTTTGTATTTTTAGTAGAGATGTGGTTTCACCATGTTGGCCAGGCTGGTCTTGAACTCCTAACCTCAGGTGATCCGCTTGCCTCGGCCTCCCAAAGTGCTGGGATTACAGGCCTGAGCCACTGTGCCTGGCCAACACTGTTCTGAATCATACTAATTAAACCTGAGAAAGCTGATGAAAAATTTTAAAAATTTGTGAAAGTAATACAAAGTCATTGCCTGCTTTTTCATTGACACTTGCCATGATTATATAAAAGCAAAAGTGGGTACAATGGCTGGTTTCTCAGCATAAATCAAGGCAGTGGTACCAATTACATTAGTAGTCATTCTATTCTTCACTGTCCCCTACAGGTAAAAAACATAGCCTGAATTTCTTAAGAATGTCTTTGATGAAGCAGTAAAAATTAATGTTGTTAAATCTTGACATGTCTCTAATATTCTGAATAAGTGGAAAGTTAACCAGAAGCGCTTTTTTTTTTTTTGTTTTTAAAGAATCCGTGATTTAACTGTGAACTGAAAAATCACTTTTTTCACAGAACATCATTTTTATTTAAAAGTACAACTGGGCCAGCGCAGTGGCTCACGCCTGTAAAATCCCAGCACTTTGAGAGGCCAAAGCAGGCAGATGGCTTGAGCTCCTTCAGGAGTTCGAGACCAGCCTAGGCAACATAACGAAACCCTGTCACTGTCAAACATATAAGAAAATTAGCCTGGCGTGGTGCCACACATCTGTGGTCCCAGCTACAAAGGAGCCTGAGGTGAGAGGATTGCTTGAGCTGAGATCATGCCAATGCACTCCAGCCAAGTGACAGAGTGAAACTCGGTCTAAAAAACCAGTTCAACTATCATTCTCAAAAATAAATGAAGTGAGAGGTTGTCACTTCAAGGGAAATACGTATTTGTTCCCAATGATAAAATTTAAGCTTTCCTGTGGACTTTGAAAAACTTGTTCCTTCTACTGTAGGCTTGGCAGCTTTTCAATACTTAAAGGCGTGTTAAAGAAAGATTGGTGGTTAAACTAAAAGTGATTTTTGACACAATAAAACATAAACCAATATATTCCAAGTAACTAATGCATGATATTATAAATGCAAGTATGGAGCAAAAGATCCATTTACTGTGCAAGAAAGATCAATGAGTACTGATGGAATAAATTTATTAATATGTAAAATGCCACCGTAACTAATTTAAGAAACCACCACTTGTGAAGTTTTGATTTAGTGTTAACAAATACCCACAACTGTCTGAAAACTTTAAAAATACACCTTCTACCAACTACATATTTGCATGAGGTTAGGTCATCTTATTGCTTCTTTTTTTCTTTTTTTGAGACAGAGTCGCTCTCTGTCACCCAGGCTGGGGTGCAATGGCGAGATCTCGGCTCACTGCAACCTCCACCTCCCAGGCTCAAGCGATTCTCCTGCCTCAGCCTCCCAAGTAACTGGGACTACAGGCATGCACCACCACGCCCAGCCATTTTTTGTACTTTCAGTAGAGGCGGGTTTTACCATGTTGGTCGGGCTGGTCTCAAACTCCTGACCTCAAGTGATCCACCCACCTCGGCCTCCCAAAATGCTGGGATTACAGGTGTGAACCACTGCGCCCCACCAGCTTATTGCTTTTTTTGTTTGTTTGTTTGTTTAGGCAGAGTCTTGCTCTGTCACCCAGGCTGCAGTGCAATGGCACCATCTCAGCTCTCTGCAACCTCCGCCTCCCAAGTTCAAGCGGTTCTCCTGCCTCAGCCTCCAGAATAGGTGGGACTACAGGTGCGTGCCATCATGCCCAGCCAAGTTTTTGTATTTTTAGTAGAGACGGGGCTTCGCTGTGTTAGCCAGGATGGTCTCGATCTCCTGACCTTGTGATCCGCCCGCCTCAGCCTCCCAAAGTGCTGGGATTACAGGCGTGAGCCACCGTGCCCAACCTCTTATTGCTGCTTTAAAGCAAATTGCAAAGAAAGCTCTAGAGAATCCATTTGTCTCCTATTAAGCTCAACATGAGAGACTTTAAATAATATAAATACATGACGCACTTTTTACTCAACTTTTTGTTGTAGAAAAGTTATTTTTCAATGAAAAAATTCTGTTAACAATACTGTTCTCAAGGAATATTTTCTGTTGTTATAACCTGGGTCATGGGTTACTACTGATATCTAGTTGGTAGAGGCCATGAATACTGCTAAACTCTCTGCAATGCACAAGACAGTCCTCACAACAAAGCATTATCTAGCCCATAATATCAACAGTGGTAAGGCTGTGAAATCGAAACTAAAAATAGATTTTGAAAAAATTTCAATTGTATAATTCTACCACACTAAATATCAATATAATCAATATAAACACATACTCTTTGAGATTCTCAATCATTTAAGAATTATGAGAGTCTTAAGGAACAAAGAAAATACAAATAATTTGCTTCAATATTTTAGTAGGCACAATACAGCTTATGATGTCTAGAGCTGTGACCTAACACTGAGCTTGATATCTTGCAAAGTACTTAGCTAGAATAACAAGACAGGTTTCTAAAAAGCTCACCTTTGTGTGATATGATGAGGTATCTCCAAGGTCACACTGTGGAAGGAAAAAAATTCATAACAATAGATGTTAACATTTGTTAGGCCTGAAGACATTTTTTAAAAGGGGGGCAGAGGAAACTCTCCTAGTGGCCCTGAAATTCAAATCTTCTAGTTCAGAACAGTACCATAAGGGCACTTTGTTTTCATTTCTTTGTTTTTTACAAAAATATGAGAACCAAAATGCAAGGAAATATGCCGTTAGAAGACGCGTTTCTGTTGGTGATTACAATATATAAATAATAACAGATTTCCTTGTTATATGCTTTTCTACCCACGAAACCTTTCGTCCCATGCGATTTATTTTATGTATTTATTTATTTTTTGACCCAGAGTCTGTCTCTCTTGCTCAGACTGGATTGCAGTGGTGCCATCTTGACTCCTCACAACCTCCACCACCCAGGTTCAAGCGATTCTCATGCCTCAGCCTCCCAAGAAGCTGGGACTACAAGTTTGTGCCACTATGCCCAGATAATGTTTTTTTGGGGGGTGGGGTGGATGGAGTTTCGCTCTTGTTGCCCAGGCTGGAGTGCAATGGTGTGATCTCGGCTCACCACAACCTCTGCCTCCCAGGTTCAAGAGATTCTCCTGCCTCAGCCTCCCAAGTGGCTGGGATTACAGGCATGTGCCACCACACCCAGCTAATTTTGTAGAGTGAGGCTCAAAACAACTGAGGGAAGGCAAATCTCAATTCTACTAATAGGTCTACACAATATTAGCACTTTTTAAAAAGCCTGTAACATTAGCAGGTAAGATGGATATGTCTATAGTGCTTCAAGTAGTTTTCATCTCTGAAATAATTTTAAAATCACAGAATTTAAAGTTACATGCTGGAAAGGACCAATGACCTTATGTGACATTTAATTCAACACTCGTTTTACAGATCAGGGAAACAGACCTTAAAACTGACTTGCCCAAGGTCCCACCAAATTGGAGCAGTTTCTCGTCCTAAACTCAAATTAAGCAGTGGCTGTCAAACTTTGCTGCACATTAAAATCGCCTGAGAAGCTTTAATATCTGCCTCATCTTCCACATGAGACATTTTAATTTAATTAGTATTGGGTATGGCTTTGGGCATCAAGGTTCTTGGTAAACATTTCCCAGGTGATTTCAATCAGCAGCAAAGTTTGGAATGATTGAGTTGGGGTGAAAATCAGAATCTTCTGGGATGCTTTTCTTCACAGAAAGATGCCTCACATCCATCCCGATTTTCCTAAAAGGCTTCTCAGTGCCTAGAGATAGAGGGAAAGTGGAGATGGGAAGATACATGTGTTTGCAGACTTGTATTTTGAAAAAAACCTTGCATAAGTGATCTCAGCGAGTTCCACCTATCCCACTGACAACAGTGCACTACTGATTCATGATAAAACATTTTTCAAAATATCTTCTTGAAGCCAATTTGCCCTATTAATTTGTTCAATAACTTTATTTCACCAATAGTGAATACACCAAATGATCATTTCTCAAACTTGCTGGTGGCAAATTAAAACTTACTATACTCTCAAAAGTAGACTTCTAAAAAGTAGAATAATGAGGAAAAAAGCACGAAATTTGTTTCAGCAAAATTAATCTTCAAAGCTGCTTTTGAATTATATGCTAACATATCAAAATCTTTGGAACTCAGAAGAAGCCAGGGACTCTAGTCAAAGTAATTTTTGTGTATGTGTGCTCAGAGATTTAAGAGACTTAGCTGACTACAGACATTTAGTGATTACTCAATAGGTCCCAAAGCTCAGGACTTGAGACAGAGTTTGAGTCCAGTTTTTGTTCGAAACACAATTTCCTCTCAACTATTGTTAAAAGGGAGGGAGGAAAGTGACATTATTATGAGTGTAAACTTTCCACTTTTAATTGAAGTAAAAGTTATTGACAATTGAATTAGTTAAAAAGGCTAGTGCATTTGAAACAAAATTGTTTATAAGCTAGTTATGTGTACAGAATGAAAAGTTAAATTAAAGATAAAGACATTAATATTCTAAATTAGCACTTTCCAAACTGTGTTCTAAAAATCAAGACTAATAACCCAAGAAGATGAGAATAATGTACACTGGACAGCCCCTGTGGAGCTGGTGGTGGTGTTGGTTGTTGTTCCTTTTAAAATAAACTTCATCTCAGGGTGCTCTCAAAGCGCATCTTTGTGGCCCACGAGGTGCTCATGCACAATGGGAGAAATTCAAATGCAGATACACTGTGGTGCCAGAAGAAGAAAAGCTGTTCCTTCTTCCAAGGATAATGTCCAAAGTAGTGCACACTGATTTAGGCCTATGATGCATTGAAAAACTAAGTTTCCACAAAAAACATTCAATAAAGGGAACCTATCCTTCTCACTGTGTTCAACATTGTCTAAAGGCATAAAGGCATCAAAAAGATACACTGTTTCTGGGATTGCTTCTTTGCTAACTGATTTTTCCTTCCACCACGACGTCTAAGATTAAAAGAGAAACTGATACTTAATATTCAGAATCTGGATATCAATATATGGTTGACTCCAATTTCTTAAACTGATTGCTGAAAAGGACAACCAAATGACTGAAATAATTTTAGAATAAAGGAATCTGTCCCTCGGCAGCATAGTTGTACTCACGATATTATTGTCATTGTAAGATAATGCTGGATGGCTGTGCTGTCATCAAGGAATATTGTCGAACACAAGCTGTATTGTTGACTGAAACGCACAGTAGATACCTGAAGGGGAAGGGAAGTGTAAGTCAAACTTATCAAAGTGTATTATTTTCTCAGTTAAAATGTCAAATGACAAAGCACTAAGATATGTCTTACACTCCATGAAATGCCTGAGTGTGGTATCATGTGCACTCTATAGAAAACCCATTGGAGGCTCTCAACTTCCAGAGATGATGTTTAAGATATGGGTTATAAAATGCTGCCCTTAATATGGTACCTGTCATCAAACCTAACAAGGATTTTATGAATTACCGTTAAAAATAATGGGAAAAGTCGGCTTCGCGGGGCACGGTGGCTCACACCTGTAATCCTAGCACTTTGGGAGGTGGAGGCGGGCGGATCACGAGGTCAAGAGATCGAGACCATCCTGGCTAACATGGTGAAACCCCGTCTCTACTAAAAATACAAAAAATTAGCCGGGCGTGGTAGCAGGCCCCTGTAGTCCCAGCTACTTGAGAGGCTGAAACAGGAGAATGGGGTGAACCCAGGAGGCGGAGCTTGCAGTGAGCCGAGTTCGCGCCACTGCACTCCAGGCCGGCAGACAAAGTGAGACTCCGCCTCAAAAAAAAAAAAAAAAAAAAAAAAGAAAAGTTTAAAATAAGATTTCATTTTTTTTTCTGCAGCAATAAAAAGCAGCTGAGAATTTCTATTAATTAATTAATTTATTTATTTATTTTTGAGACGGAGTCTCGCTCTGTCGCCCAGACTGGAGTGCAGTGGCGCGATCTCGGCTCACTGCAAGCTCCGCCTCCCGGGTTCACGCCATTCTCCTGACTCAGCCTCCTGAGTAGCTGGGACTACAGGCGCCCACCACCGTGCCCGGCTAACTTTTTGTGTTTTTAGTAGAGACGGGGTTTCACCGTGTTAGCCAGGATGGTCTCGATCTCCTCACCTCGCGATCTGCCTGCCTCAGCCTCCCAAAGTACTGGGATTACAGGCGTGAGCCACGGCGCCCAGCCCTTCTATTATTTATTTACTACGATAAAATGTAATGTATTAAATAATCCTGCTACAAGAGCATTTTATTGCAGTGAATACAAGACTAATGCATTTACTAAATTACTAATCCTAAATGTATTATTTCAGGTGATATTGTTACAAAAGAAGTGTTTCAGATTCAGAGGCTCTGTGTGTCAGGGCTGCTAGGCCACCAACAAGTGAGGAAGCCATAGGTTTCTCTAGTCCTATTTTCTTATGTGGAGGATAAAAAGAGTATCACTTACATATTCTCTCACACCCTGAAAACAAATGACAACTTAAAAAATCTAACTTTCACTTCATGTTTAAATAAGACTGCCAAGACATGACTCAAATGAGACTCTCGGAGAATACTTTGCATTCACTTCAAAACTTGATCAATTGCATTCTATAAATCATCTGACCTGCACCTAGCCATTTTCCTGCTCTACCCCTGCTCTCTGCCTAGAATACTGCTTTTCTCTTTCCTTGCTTCAGCAAGCTCGACTCCATCTACCCTCTTGGATCTCTTTGTCGGCAGCCACACCAAAAAATGTATTTTTATACACTAATTAGTTGAATTCACCACTGCTTACAAGATGCTAATTCCTGCAGAGTATTCCCCTTGTGAGAAAGTATGCCTCTCCATAAGAGTAAGGGAGGGCCCTTACTCTTCCTACCTCCAGCTGCTGAGCATAGAATTTTGAGTAAATCCAAAACTTCGACAAGTGTTTGACAATTCAGTTATCATTTGGAAGGTAAGTCTTACTACATTTAATTACAGCAAAAACACTACTAACAGTTTACTCTTTATAGGTATTATTTAAGGTAGTCACAAAATAGAAACAAACACTCTAACGTCAGGCAGCATAAATGAGAGTATGAAATTTTACAATATTTAACAAGAAATGGAAGGGGTTACTTAGTAGTTTTAAGGTTTAATGACAAAAACTAGAAAATAATCGTACCTAGTAATTTAGTAAGTCAAAACCAAAGCCTTACCATCAAAGGTGCAGTACCCATTGGATGCGGATGCCCACGCACTGACTTCTTCTGCTGTACCTGCTGCCTCTCATTTTAACCCATTAAAAATACTAAAGTTGTTTTCCTTGTAGACATCTTTCACCTCCTTGGTTAGGTCTATTCCCAAGTATTTTATTTTAGTTTAGTTTAGTTTTGCAGCTATCAGAAAAGGGGTTGAGTTCTTGGTTTGATTCTAAGCTTGGTCGCTTCTGGGGTATAACAGAGCTACTGATTTGTGTACATTAATTTTGTCTCCTGAAACTTTGCTGAATTCATTTATCAGTTCTAGGAGCTTTTTGGAGGAGTCTTTAGGGTTTCCTAGGTATATGATCATATCATCATCAAACAGCAACAGTTTGACTTCCTCTTTACTGATCTGCATGCCTTTTATTGTTTTCTCTTGTGTGATTGCTCTGGCTAGGCCTTCCAGTAGTATGTTGAATACAAGTGGTGAGAGTGGGCATCCTTGTCTTGTTCCAGTTCTCGGGGGGAATGCTTTCAACTTTTCCCCCTTTCAGTATCATGTTGGTTGTGGGTTTGTCATAGATGGCTTTTATTATATTGAGCTGTGACCCTTGTATGCTGATTTTGCTGAGGGTTTTAATCATAAAAGGATGCTGCATTTTGTCAAATGCTTTTTCTGCATCTGTTTAGATGATCATGTGATTTTTTGTTTTTAATTCTGTTTATGTGGTGTATCACATTTATTGACTTGTGTATGTTAATCCATCCCTGCATCCCTGGTATGAAACCCATTTGATCATGGTGGATTATCTTTTTTTTTTTTTTGAGATGGAGTCTCGCTCTGTTGCCCAGGCTGGAATATGCAGTGTGGTGATCTTGGCTCACTGCAACCTCTGCCTCCGAGGTTCAAGCGATTCTCCTGCCTCAGCCACCTGAGTAGATGGGATTACAGGTGAGCGCCACCACACCCGGCTAACTTTTGTATTTTTAGTAGAGATGGGATTTCACCATGTTGGCCAGGCTGGTCTCGAACTCCTGACCTCATGATCCGTCCGCCTCAGCCTCCCAAAGTGCTGGGATTACAGGTGTGAGCCACCGTGCCTGGCCCGATTATTTTTTGATATGCCGTTGGGAACTACAAAACGTTGCTGAATGAAGTCATGGACACAAACAAATGGAAAGACACCCCATGCTCATGAATGGGTAGAATGAATATTGTGAAAATGACCATACTGCCAAAAGCAATCTACAAATTCAATGCAACTCCCATCAAAATACCACCATCCTTCTTCACAGAACTAGAAAAAACAATCCTGAAATTTATATGGACCAAACAAGAACCGGCACAGCCAAAACAAAACTAAGCAAAAACAACAAATCTGGAGGCATGACATTACCTGATTTCAAACTATACTATAAGGCCATAGTCGCCAAAATAGCATGGTACTGATATAAAAATAGGCACATACACCAATGGAACAGAATAGAGAACCCAGAAATAAACTCAAATACCTATAGCCAACTGATTTTCAACAAAGCCACCTAAAACATAAAGTGAAGAAGGTAAACCCTATTCAACAAATGGTGCTGGGATAATTGGCAAGCCACATGCGGGAGAATGAAACTGGATCCTCAACTCTCAGCTTACACAAAAATCAACTCAAGATGGATCAAGGACATAAATCTATGACCTGAAACCATAAAAGTTCTAGAAGATAACATTGGAAAAACCCGTCTAGACGCTGGCTTAGGCAAAGACTTCATGACCAAGAACACAAAAGCAAATGCAACAGAAACAAATAGGTGAGACTTAACTAAAGAGCTTCTGCACAGGAAAAGGAACAATCAGCAGAGTATACAGACAACCACAGAGTGGGAGGAAATCTTCACAGTCTATACATCTGACAAAGGGCTATTATCCAGAATCTATGAGGAACTCAAACAAATTACAATTACAAAAATATGGAACCAGCTCAAATGCCCGTCAATCAATGAGTGGATAAAGAAACCGTGATATACATACATATATATATATATATGAGGAATACCACCTCAGCCATAATAAGGAATAAATTCATGGCATTCCCAGCAACCTGGATGGAAGTAAGACTATTATTCTAAGTGAAATAACTCAGCATGGAAAACCAAATATCATGTTCTCTTTCATACGTGGGAGCTGAGCTATGAGGATGCAAAGCCATAAGAATGATACAATGGACTTTGGGGACTTGGGGGAAAGGCTGGGAGGAGGGTGAGGGATAAAAGACTACAAATTGGGTTCAGCGGATACTGCTCAGGTGACGGGTGCACCTAAATCTCACAAATCATCACTAAAGAACTTAGTCATGTCACCAAATGCCACCTGTTCCCCCAGAAACCTATGGAAATAATAAATAAATAAATAAAGTACAGCATTTTTCTCAGCAAACATAAAATAAAACAAAGACTAAAGTTCATATTTTTCACTCTCCTTTTGGGCAGGACAAATTTTAGATAGGTTTTTAAAGAATTAGTAACTTTTTTCCTTTTTCCGAGACAGGGTCTCCCTTTGTTGCCCAGGCTGGAGTGCAGTGGTGCAATTATAGTTAACTGCAGCCTCAAACTCCTGAGCTCAAGCGATCCTCTGCCTCAGCCTCCTGAGTAGGTAATACGAAAGGCGCATGCCACCAGGCCTGGCTAATTTGTTATTTAACCTTTTTGTAGATATGAGGACTTGCGATGTTGACCAGGCTAAAAATGAACAAATCTTAATTAACTTAAATATTTCTAACACTTTGGGCATTCAGGAAAACAGCTCCATCTATGTTGTGAAGTAATGGGAAGTATATGGCAGTGGATAAACTTTGAATGAAAATATTAAACAAGGCCTTAGGAGAAAAGTGTAATATGCTTATTATAGATACATTAATTTAAAAAATTCTCTGGCTTAATATCATTAATTATACTCAAATTAGACTTTGATTTAAACACAGGTCCTAAATTTGGATTAAATATAATAGATTGACCACAAATTTATTTCGTCTCCCTCCGGAAGCCTCATCAGTCATAAAATAAAGGTTACACCCATGACCAGCACAGAAGGTTGACAGAGATAATTTTTAATAAATGCTGAGACATAAAAAGTAGATAAAGGAGTGGTAAATAACACAGAAACACAACTTTGGTGCCTACAGAAAGTGACTGGAACAGAAGCGAGCCAGTTTGTCTTGCAGAACTAAAGGCAGGTTGTGAACTTACAGGCAAATGGCACTTTGGAAAGTAGGGTAAAATGTGAAAAAAAAAAAAAAGCCAGCAAGGTCAGTTGCAAATCTCTAACTAGAGCCCCAAGTCCACCTGTCCTTCCATCTGACAAGAAACTTAGATGTGTGTTCTCTGGATATATCAAACCTGAGAATTTCTGGCTCAGAGATACCATGGCTTAAACCTGAGATATAAAGAAAACTGTACACCAAAAATGGAACTCCAACTTTCTTCGCTAACTCTGCTTTTCCTTTCCAGGCCTGCTTTTACTTTCCAGGCAGAAAACTGGGAGATCCTTCTCAGAAGAAACTGAAATGTCTTCAAAAAAGATCCCCAGATAATACACTGAGGTCTCCCAAATGAAAAGCTAGTCAGGCTTCTAAGGCCTCACACTGAGTGCTATCAGTTAACAGAAATCCTGCTTCCAAATAAAGCAGGCCAGGAACCACCACACATTGGAGGGAAGCCTCCAAGAAAAGAGATCAAAACAATAGAAAAAAGGAATTGATAGGACCAGTCAAAATCAGGAGCAAAACTTTAAAAAAAAATCTTAAAACACTCTCAAAAAATATAAAATTCAATAGAAATAGTAGAGGATAAAGTCACAGAATATCCCAGAACTAGAATAAAAAGACAAACTGAAAAAAATACAAGGGGAAAAATTAAAAATCAATGCAGGCGTACTGGTCTAAGCAGCCTAGCATCTGAATAACAAGACTATCAGTAAAAAAGTAACAGAGAAAATAAAAAAAAAAATTCTCAAGAAGAGATAGTCTGCAGGTTTAGTAGCCTCAATAAAATGAAAAGATCCCCAACAAGCTGTTATAAAATTTCAGAACCTTAGAGAGAGAGATTCTAAAAAGCTTCCGCAGATAACTAAAACCTGGTTGTAAATAACATATCACACACTGGCAATAGATTCAAGAACAACACTGTAATAAGAGCACAACTGCAAAATGTCTTCAGAACCATACAATTTAGATTCAACCTAGAGGTGTACTCTCTATCAAAGAGGAGGGATTTTAACATCTCCACACAGGAAAATGTGTTCAAGTACAACTAGAGACGATAACAGGACAGAAGGAAACACAGAATCTAGGACTCAGGCGATCCCACACAAGACAGCAGTTACATGAGATACCAAAAGACTTTAAAGAGTTAGCCCAGAAAAGCAGACATTGAGCATATCTAGGGAAACCCACGCTATATTGAACTAGGATGACAAAAGGCCAAAGAAAGTTGCCCCCCACACAAACATAAAAAGGAACAGATGTGTTTTCGCAGATGGAAAATATCTTTGAAAGGCATGTGATAAATGCTACAATACTTGGGGGAAAACAGCTGTTAGAAAACAGGCAAATGAATATAGTCAGAAAATTAGCTTCATGCTAAAAAATAATGGATGTGAAAGCAAACAGAGCACCCAGAGGCTACTTAACGATATTTGGATAGATAAACTAACGTAGGCTAGGAAAAAAGAAGATCCAGGAGAATTGCAGAAGTGCTCAGATTTCAGAACTGTTTCAGAGACAGGATGAAGGACATGGAATGCAGAGGCACAGTGAAAACACCATATGACTTAGCAGTGAATAATATTTGCAGAGTCATAATCATGTAAATATTACTGATTTAATTAAAAAGTGTGCTACAATTGGAAGAAACACAGGGAGAAACATAAGATCATGGTGTAGCGGGGAAGGTATGCTTTTACCTGCTGTGACAGAAAGTCAATAGACAGTGCTGGCAATTAACTTAGCTATTCTATTTTTGTTCTTTCATTAAAAATAAGATTAAATATTTAAGGCAATTTTTTTTTTTTTTTTGAGACAGAGTTTTGCTCTGTCGTCCAGGCTGGAGTGCAATGGCGCGATCTTGGCTCACTGCAACCTCCGCCTCCTGGGTTCAAGTGATTCTCCTGCCTCAGCCTCCTGAGTAGCTGAGATTACAGGCATGCACCACCACGCCCAGCTACTTTTGTATTTTTAGTAGATACAGAATTTCACCATGTTGGTCAGGGTTGTCTCAAATTCCTGACCTCAGATGATCAGCCTGCCTCGGCCTCCTAAAGTGTTGTGATTACAGACGTTAGCCACCATGCCCAGCCTTAAGGCAGATCTTTTGAACCGGACTATTGAAATTTAACTTAAATGTCAGAAATCTTTAAAAGGTGGACACGCTAAACTAAGCACTTTTCTGGATAAATTTAATACTCAGGAAAATAGAAGAGATTTAGAAAATCCACAAAAAGAGGTCCATGCTACCACCACCAGGTCCACATTGTAATTTAAAGAAATCAAGAGAGACATCCTTTTATGTCAAACTATCAATTTCTTAACTATTTGAGTGTTTACTTACATGGTTTGTACAGTTGCTTCTTCTTATTTCTACAACTAAGAATAAAAAAAAAAAAACTGGTCACTTCTGATACAAATACCATAAAATAAAAGTAGTTGTTAACATCTTACTGATTACTCCTATGAAAAATGAGACAAAATTCCATTAAAAAAAAAATTTTCAATAACATATAATTTAAATTATCTGGCATGATTAATTTCATAAGTCAAATCTAAAAACTTAGATTTTCATTTAGTTTACTTTTTGTTTCTATTACACACAAATGAAAGAATCCTCATGTACAAAAGAAAAGGGCAAAAAAATTAGGCCAGATGAAAAATTTAGCTAATAAAAAGTTTAACTGTTGCATATATGAGCCATGATCCATTAGTATTCTCTCATTCTGCATTTACACATAGCTTACTTTAATTATCAGACTCTAAGAGCTAACAGTTCTAAAAACTACTTCCTGACCAGACACCTATCTCTAGATGCAACAGAATCCCTGTAAGCATCTTGAACCACACTTAGTGGTTATCTACTAATATGTCACTAAAAACAAAACAAAATTAAAAAATGGTCTTTACACAACTGGAAAGTAACCTATCTTAAATTTGTTTTCTTTTTTGAGATGGAGTCTCACTCTGTCACCTAGGCTCGAGTGCAGTGGCGGGATCTCAGCGCACTGCAACCTCTGCCTCCCAGGTTCAAGCAATTCTTCAGCCTTAGCCTCCGGACTAGCTGGGACCACAGGCACGTGCCACCATGCCTAGCTAATTGTTTTTTGTATTTTTAGTAGAGACAGAGTTACACTGTGTTAGCCAGGATGGTCTTGATCTCCTAACCTCGTGATCCACCCACCTCAACCTCCCAAAGAGTTGGGATTACAGGTGTAAGCCACAGAGCCTGGCCTAAATTTTGATGTTAAAATAAGTATACAAACCTAATTGGACATGGTGTCTGCAGCACAAAAAATCATTTTTTTTCCCTAAAAAGAGGCCAGAATAATAAAAGCCCCAAGAGGGACTTGGGCCATGCTTTGTTTCCTACACTGCCTCTGCCTTTGATGCTGGGAGGGCCTTGTAGGCAAAAGTTACTACCACTGAAGAGTGAGGGACATGGAATAGCTTTTCTTTTACTGCTTCCATGCTCTCTAGGTGTGAGAAGCCCATGCCTCTGGAAGGAACTGGGAAATACAATTCTGATATGTTTTGGATATGTTGCCCCTCCAAGTCTCATGTTAACATGTGACCCTTAATGTTGGAGACAGGGCCTAGTGGGAGGCGTTTGGGTAATGGCAGTGGATTCCTTATGAATGGCTTGGTCCCATCCCCATGGTAATAAGCACATTCTCATTATGGTAATTTAAAAGACTGTGGTACTGGCCAGGTGCGGTGGCTGAAGCCTGTAATCCCAGCACTTTGGGAGGCTGAAGCGGGTAGATCACTTGAGGTCAGGAGTTTCAGACCAGTCTGGCTAACATGGTGAAACCCTGTCTCTACCAAAAATACAGAAATTAGCCAGGTGTTATGGTGCCCACCTATAGTCCCAACTACTCGGGAGGCTGAGGCAGGAGAATTGCTTGAACCTGGGAGATGGAGGTTGTAGTGAGCCAAGATCGTGCCATTGCACTCCAGCCTGGGCAACAGAGTGAGACTCCATTTCAAAAAAAAAAAAAAAGAGTGTGGTACCTTCCCCCTTCCCCTCTCTCCTCCCTCTTTCACGGTGTGGAACCACCTGCTTCCCCTTTGCCTTTTATCATGATTGTAAGTTTGCTGAGGCCCTCACCAGAAGCAGATGTTAAAGCCATGTTTGTACAGCCTGAAAATCTTTGAGCCAATTAAACCTCTTTTTGTTATAAATTACCCAGCCTTAGGTATCTCTTTATAGTAATGTAAAAAATGAAGACAAATTCTAACCAGAAATAACTGACTCAAGATGGGCAAAGTCTACTCAAACTATAAAAACAAAGGTTACAAACTCCCGTGTTTTACTGTGCTGCATTACTTCGCACATTATAATAGAACCCTCACTTGTGTTCTTGCTGTTTAAGTCAACTGGAAAACTTGGCTGTGTATGGCTTGTTGGCAAATAAATGAGGATTTAATATAACATTAAGGGAAATAAGCAGGAGTAAGGCATGTTTAAATTTACATTATATCAAATGAAAAAGTTAATAACCTAAAACTTTTGAGTAGCGTAAACTTGGATGTGGTAAATGAATGTGGTCAGAGGACTGTGTAAGAGGAGGCCCAAATCACAGATTCAATCCCTGATGATAAACGACTATGTTTTTTAATTTGTTTAAATGAAAACCAAGCTGAAGTTCTATCATTCATCTTTAAAATGTACTTTTTGGAGCAAGGGAAAAGGGATTGTAAATAAAGATGAATCCATTAATTATAAATAAAGATAAATCCAAGAATTATAAAGAGAAATCCATGACTCCTCCATCACATCACAAATTAATTGTGTTGATAAAAAGATGGCAAAATGTATAAACAAAAAGGTTACACGTTTTCACTAACATCATAACAACTAAAGGAAAGTATATCACATATTAAAATAAGACAAGGGAACATGTGAAAAGATGAAAATTTTAAACCAATATGAGTTTTTCTAAATACTTTCTATAACCTGATCAAACAAGAGCTTTTATTCTTTCTCTTGGTGGAAAAAACAATGTCGTCTCACCATCTGTTTGAGAGTTCCTCTGGAATATTGTGCTTGCCTCTGGATTGGCAGAAGGGTTAAACTCCAAAGCTATATGCATAGAGGAAGAAAAGAAAAAAAGATGTAATCATTGATAAAAATTTATCAACTCGTTTATTCGACTGCTGCATTTAGGCTATTTCACTATCTCTACTTTGATTCTTATCCATTGAAATGAATGTATAGACATAAGAGAGAGCCAGGCAAGATGGCACATGCTTGTAGTCCCAGCTACTCAGGAGGCTGAGATGGGAAAATCACTTGAACCCAGGTCAGGAAGTTGAGGCCAGCATGAGTAACATAATGACACCCTCCTTTATTTAAAAAAAAAAAAAAAAAGAAGAGGTAAATTTTGGCTTTGAGTTGTGTAAAATCAACTTTGCATAAAATAAATCAAGATGGCAGTAAGTTTTAAAAGACAGGTCTATTTTATAGGCAAAATATAAGATGTATTCTAGAGTTTTTAAAATTTTTAAAAAGTAAATTCATCATATCTGTCACTTCCATTTCATTCTGAGGACACAGAACCTTAGTTCTCTTGAGTAGCTGTCTTCCATAGTCATGTGATATCTCTAAGTTTTCATTTCTTCGTTAGCAACACATAGGGAGAACATACACAGGCCTTATTTGTATTGGAAAGGGCCAAGTGAGACATACATAAACTGTGTTGTAATCCTAAAGAATGACAATAAAGAGCCATTTTTGGGCTCTCATCCAACACTACCCATCTACTAACTGGTGTGTAACATCCATCAGGCTTTCCGAACATCACCAAGCAGAGTATAAGTTTACACAAGTACTTACATGCTTTGTGTATAAAGGTACAATCAATTAATTCACATAATACATTTGTTTATTCTAAAGCAATCCTTAAATATCTTGAAATGTGAAGATAGTACTTCCAAGTTACAAAGTCACACTCATAATGAGTCTTAATTATCCTACCTCTTTAAAAATTAAGAGCGCAACCAAAGTTTAAATAGAAGAGCTATAAGACATTTCCTCTACAGTGATGAAATCTCTGGCATTTAAATGAAAACAATAAGCCTACTGGATGTAATATGTTTATGATGCAATGTTTTCTATTTTGAAAATTTCAGTTTTTATTCAAGAACCATATTATTACCCAGAATTACTTTTACTTAGATTCATCTCTTTGCAAAATTTTAGAGGCAAACGAACTAATTGTTTTCTCTTTTCTACCGGCTCCCATCCCCTGCCTCTGCCAGCAGTGTAGAGACTAAAAAACTCCAACTTTCTTTCCTTTTTTTTTTTGTGAGACGGAGTCTCGCTCTGTCACCCAGGCTGGAGTGCATTGGCGTGATCTCTGCTCACTGCAACCTCCACCTCCCAGGTCCAAGCAATTCTCCTGCCTCAGCCTTGTGAGTAGCTGGAACTACAGTCATGTGCCACTACGCCCAGCTAATTTTTGTATTTTTTTTTTAGTAGAGACAGCGTTTCACCATGTTGGCCAGGCTGGTCTGGAACTCCTGACCTCAGGTGATCCGCCTGCCACGGCCTCCCAAAGTGCTGGGATTACAGGCGTGAGCCACCAAGCCCAGCCAAAACTGTAACTTTCTTATCTTTGAACAAGATGCTATTGTCAGGAGGGGAAGGGACAAAGGGGGAGCCATGGCAACAAACACTCTTACAGGGAAGGTCTGACATTTTAACCTGCAATCTTTATATTACACATTGAAAGTCTACATTGACGTTTCATGTCTTTTGAAAGTTTTGACCATGAACCAATCCCCACCTCTCTTTTAGAACAAGGAGGTAAATAAAGTCTGTTAAGTCACCAGAATAAATCTGGAGACACATTTTCTGTTAAAGTAAGAACTTTAACAGAAAAGAGCTTCATAGGTAAACTCCTTTGAGAAACCCCAAACACACACACACAACCATTTTTCTGCAGCCCCGGCTGTGACATTTCACACCTTTCACAATTATTTTAAGCACTCTCCTTTTTTCTTTTTCCTTCTGTGTTCAAATTACAGTTAGAAGAAACTAAGCAGCTTCTATCAAGGTGACTTAAAGCAGCCCATTAAGAATACCATATAGCCTCTCCCATGGCAAACTCCATTCTGATTTTAAATAAGAAATCCCCAAATATTTGAATAGGAACTGTCTTGAGATTTGGCTACTTTAACAAAGGAAACAATTAGGCACTTACCTGGTTCCTTCACTTAGGTACCATCTGGATAGGTACAAAGAAAAAATAAGATGGGTACTGAAAAGTTGGGATATTTGAGTTTTTATTGAGAAAAGGAAGAGAATAGCTCAAAGAAGCCTAAACAAAGTCCCACAGGATAATAAACAGAGCTACAGACACTGTTGTCTCACCATCTGTTTGAGAGTTCCTCTGGAATATTGTGCTTGCCTCTGGATTGGCAGAAAGGTTAAACTCCAAAGCTATATGTATAGAGGGAGAAAAGAAAAAAGATGTAATCATTTATAAAAATTTATCAACTCATTTATTCAACTGCTGCTTATTCGACAAGAGCCATAAATAAATGGTCCCATGCCAGCCTGGGAGAATGAGATGAGAGAGCAAGAACTGGGCGATTGGGAGGGGAGGCGAAAAGAAACTGACTGGACTCGGTGGGGAAATACTAAGGGGTGGGAATTCAAGGCAGAGCCAGCTTTTGTTCCTGGCCAGCTCCCGGGAAAGCTGGCTACAAGCAGAAAGGAGCTCGAAGTGGGGGATGCCTCAAAGGGAACCTTGGGGACAGTAGCAGCCAGAGGCAAACCGAGGGTAGATGGCACCTATCACCTCCTCACCTTCAGGCATCTCCCGGTCACGAACGTGGTGCATGTGGAGGTCCTCACCAACTTCAACAGTCACCTCAGCAGGCTGTACAGCAGCAGCCATGGGCGCTCCTGCCATCCTGTCCCCAGCTCCTGCCTCATAGATCTCAGATTCAGAGGGACACACCGACCCCTGCTGCTGGTCAAACTCGAGGCTGACGCTAGGGTGCACACGACAGGTCAGTATGTTCCCCATGGGGCGCCTCTACTGTCTGCCACCACCTGTGCCTCTGCTCACAGCTTTGGCCACGCACTCCCGCTGTCCTAGGCCGAGGCTATGCTGCACTTGCAGAGATGGTCTTCCCGCTCCTCGCCTGCCCACCTCACAGCGCGGCCCCGGGCACCAGCCCTGGCCCTGGCCCTGGCCCCGGCCCCGGCTAGGGCTGCGGGCCAAGGCCCGCACCCTGCTGCCTCCCCTGAGTTGACTTGTCTGGGAGGGTGAAGACCAGCCGGCTTATTTAATAGGTTGTGAACCCAACAAGTGCTGAGAGACACAACAACTGCCTGAAGAGAGAACAGACGGAGCTCCTCCTCCTTCTGTAGTCACCTACAGACTGAAGCCCACTGGCCCCAGGTGGGAGCCCAGGCATGTGGCACACAATGCCCCACCCCACACTTCACAATGCCCTCCCCGACACCTCACAGTGCCCCACCCTGCCTGCCACCCCTCCCCAACAGCTCAGAATGCCCCTGCCTTGGCTGCCCCACCCTGTGGCTTATGATGCTGCTGCTCTCCTGGCCCCTCGTG
Organism: Homo sapiens; assembly: GCF_000001405.40. NCBI lineage: Eukaryota > Metazoa > Chordata > Mammalia > Primates > Hominidae > Homo > Homo sapiens. The sequence continues at coordinate 45,847,900 of NC_000010.11, forward strand.
CAGTGCCATTGGGACTAAGGTTTTCATTCATCACCAGCTTCCTGAGATTTTAGTCCTAAGAAAAGCAAAGGGTAGTTCATTACTTGAAGCCATCTTCCTCTATGAGTTCTATACAAAGCCTCAGTAGAGTGGGTCCAATTAGCAACCAAGTTGAACAACTTTTATTTGCTGACTAAATATAGATACACCTGAATTGTTGACTGCTTTTGTAACTAAACACTCCTCTCCTGTCTTCCAACGAGTGGTCATTTTTGTCCGCAACTTGACCACAGCAATCCCTGGGGCCCTAGCTCTACTCTCAATAAAGAGTTATGGCTGTGTGTTTTGAATGACACCTTAGGACCCATCCTGCCTCCACCTCCTTCTCCATAAAATAGAAACCTAACTTGCCCCTCCAAGCTCTGAAATGCTGAAACTTACCAACTCCCTTTTCTCCCCGCTATTTCTTCCTTCCGTGGCAGGGACTTTCAGGTTTTCTTTCTTTTACTAACAAGGCACTAAGCATGATTTTCTCATACAAAATCGAGAGCCATAAAGTGGCTTACCACAGTCCTATTTCAATAAAGATGAATACTCGACATCTGGCAAGTAGTGTGTGCCTGACAGTGTCCCCACTGTGCTATGCTCATTTAACCCTCAGAAACAATCTCATGTTACAGATTTTGCAGAAGTTGTTGAGACGGAGAAGGTAAGCAACCTCCCCAAGGTCACATGACTGCTAAGGGTGGGGCCATAGTTTGATCCCAGCTAGTCTGAATTCCCCAGTTGCTTAAGCATGATTATCAGAAAGTATAGCAGTCTGTTTTCACACTGATATAAAGAAATACCTCAGGTTGGGTAATTTTTAAAGGAAAGAGGTTTAACTGACTCAGTTTCACATGGCTGGGGAGGCCTCAGGAAACTTAGAATCATGGCAGAGGGGGAAGTCCTTCAGGAAACTTACAATCATGGCAGAAGGGCAGGTCCGACTTCCATGGTGGCCGCACAGAGAGTGGGAACATGTGAAGGAGCAACTGTCAAACATGTATAAAACCATCAGATCTCAGCTGGGCACGGTGGCTCACACTTGTAACCCTAGTACTTTGGGAGGCCAAGGCAGGTGGATCAACTGAGGTCAGGAGTTTGAGACCAGCCTAGCTAATGTAGTGAAATCCTGTCTCTACTAAAAATACAAAAATTAGCTGGGTGTGGTTGTGCATGCCTGTAATCCCAGCTACTCAGGAGGCTGAGGCAGGAGAATCACTGGAACTCAAGAGGCAGAGACTGCAGTGAGCCAAGATCGTGCCATGGCACTCCTGCCTGGACAACAGAGCAAGACTCCATCCCAAAAAACAAAACAAAACAAAACCCTATAAGATCTCATGAGGACTTACTGAATATCACAAGAACAGCATGAGGATAACTGCCCCCGTGATCCAATCACCTCCCCCTAGGCCCCTCCCTCGACACATCAGGATTATGGGGATTATAATTCATGATGAGATTTGGGTGGGGGCATGGCAAAACCATATCAGAAAGTAAAGGTAGAAGTCAAGCTTGGATGGGAAATGACATTGTAGATGATGATGATGATGATTATTATTATTATTATTATTATTATTTTGAGATGAAGTTTTGCTCTTGTTGCCCAGTGAAATTGTTTCTCTAATTTCATTTTCAGATTGTGTCTTGTAGATGTATAGAAATACAATTGATAAATGATTCTGGCTATTAACCTTTTATGCTTCAACCTTGCTGAACACTATTTTTTTTTTTTTTGAGACGGAGTTTCTCTCTTGTTGCCCAGGCAGGAGTGCAATGGCATGATCTTGGCTCACTGCAACCTCCGCCTCCTGGGCTCAAGCGATTCTCCTGCCTCAGCCTCCCAAGTAGTTGGGATTGCAGGCATGCGCCACCATGCCCAGCTAATTTTGTATTTTTAGTAGAGACGGGGTTTCTGCACGTTGGTCAGGCCCGCCTCAGCCTCCCAAAGTGCTAGGACTACAGGCATGAGCCACCGTGCCCAGCCAGATTCGTATATTTTTAAAAGAATTTTTTTTTTATTTTTTTTGAGACAGAGTCTCACTCTGTTGCCCAGGCAGTGGCACAATCGTTGCTCACTGCAACCTCCACCTCCTGGGTCCAGGTGATTCTCATTCAAGTGCCTAAGCCTCCCAAGTAGCTGGGATTACAGGAGCCCAACCCCATGCTCAGCTAATGTTTGTATTTTAGTAGAGATGGGGTTTCACCATGTTGCTCAGGTTGATCTCGAACTCCTGACCTCAGGTGATCCACCTGCCTTGGCCTCCCAAAGTGCTGGGATTGCAGGCGTGAGCCACCACTCCCGAACAGAACAACATTTTTTTGATGTGGATTTTAAAATGCCTCCCCTTCTTTCAACATTGATTAAGTCCCTTCTACATGCCAGGCACTGTATGTGTGAAATAGTCCCAACTCTCAATGAGTGTAGGCAGATACACAAACAAAGCCTTAAGGAGGTCAGTTTTCTGAGACCATACTGCTGGACAGTATATGAACCTGGGATACAAACCCACCTCTATTTGACCTCAAATTTGATGCTGGGGTGGTTTTAATTTTATTCTGGGAATTTCAGTCATTGAACCATGAAAAGGTGAAAAGTCTCTGTCAGATGTGTGTGTAGTGGTCTGTATAATAAGGACTGAAGGAAGCAACCAAACAAATTAAGAGACTTTCTCTAAAGGCAGAGTAATGCTAAGGGCAGTGGCAGTGACAAAAGCGGAGGAAAAAGTCTGTGATCATTTGGGAGACAGAATAGGAAGTGCTTGGTCATGAGATGTGAAAGAAGAGGGGAAGTAGAAGGAAAACAGAGCTGCTCAGGCTCTGCTGGGGAAGACTGGGTATGTAGCAGTGCCTTCCTCCTGGCCAAGAATGTAGGAAGAGAAATAGGTAAGGAGGAAAAGACAGTTTTTTACTCTCAGTGTCACATTAAAATGGAACTCTCTGGTCAAAAGTTGAATATAAATCTCTGTAGGCTAAGTCCATTTGTGACATCCCAACATATGTTTTCAAAAATAACATACATACTAAATCAAGCCATTAAGCGTAACTGGGGAAATTTCCTAAAATTTACATGCTAAAAAATCACCATTTTTCATTTATTAGTTTCATGGAGCAACTTTGAATCTATGGTTACAGCAATTGAGGCACCTTGTATAAAATAAAGCTAATACATGAAAAAAAAAAGCCATTTAAAATTCTGTTGTTCTCAGAGAATGGAGAAAGCAATTGAAGCCATGGGTGTGGAGGTGACTGCCCTGAGAAGCTGTGTATAGTAAGGAGAACTGGGAAGAAAGAAGACCTGGAGAATAGGGTGATTTGCACGGCATTAAGTGAAGCTTGCAAAAGTGAGCACTGAGACTCAAGAGACCTGCATATGAATCAGGAATGGCTGCTCCTGTGAGTTGTTAGAAAGGAGATGATGCCTTCTTTTCATATCTATAACAGCAGCACCTAGCACAGTGCCTGTTCAATAGGTACTCAACATGTATTATCCCAATGCAGAGTCAAATTTTGCCAGGAGGGCAGGAAAGCCACAAATTAGCTATGGCAACTTAGTGATTGGGCTTGTGTGTGTGTGTGTGAGCGAGCTGGATGTCAGGCAGTGGGTAAAGTAGTGAACTGGAGGTGAGAAAACAATGACACAAACTCAGGGCTTCTCTTCCCAAGTATTTGGCTGAGAAGAGAGATGTAGTATTAAAGGGAGATATGTGGTAAAGGAAGACTTTTATTCCAAGATTCAACAAAAGCGTGAGTATACTTCTATGTTAAAGGGAAAGAGCCAACAGAGAAAACACATTTTTGAGGTTAGAAGAGAAGGAAGAACTAATGCAGAAGGGCCCCAAAAGGCACAGGTGCCTGCAATCTGGATCAGGGACAGATTAGCTTTGGACTCCTACAAAAGCAAGAAGGGAGAAAGGACCATGTGACTCTAGAGATATTTCTGGTAAAGGAAAGGTTTAGGAAAAGATCTTTTGATGACCTTTATTTTAACAGACTTTTTTTTTCTTTTTGAGATGGAGTCTTGCTCTGTCACCCAGGCTGGAGTGCAGTGGCACGATCTCGGCTCACTGCAACCTCTGCCTCCTGGGTTCATGCCATTCTCCTGCCTCAGCCTCCTGATTAGCTGGGACTACAGGCACCCGTTACCATGTCCAGCTAATTTTTTGTATTTTTAGTAGAGACGGGGTTTCAACGTGTTAGGCAGGATGGTCTCCGTCTCTTGACTTCGTGATCTGCCCGCCTCGGCCTCCCACAGTCTGGGATTACAGGCGTGAGCCACTGCACCCGGCCAGACTTTAAAAAAAAAAAAAAAAAAAAAAAAAACTACTGTGGGAAAAAGGATATTATGTATAGAAAAGTCTACACTTCTTGATACAACTAACTAAAAAAAGCCTGATACACTAAACAAAACCCAAATAATGTCTTCCCTAAAAGTGGGTAACTTGAAAAGCAATTTGAGCAAAAATCAAGGAGTTCAATTATAAATAAGTATATCAACAAAGTGAAAGATGGGTTTAATTTTTCCCACAAAAAGTTAAAAGAAATAACAGCAGGTTTAGAGGAAGAGGAAAAAATAATAAGAAAATTATATGCAGTTGCAAAATGTGTGACTATTTACAAACTCTAACATATAACTACAAAATGGACCAGAAGAATCATTATCATAGGAAGCAAAGGGTCATTTCAAAAATCAGAGGAGGGATGATTCATATTTAATTTAATTCTGTGGAAAAAATTTAAGTAATGTTTGAGGACAAAAATAGGTGATGTGTTGAAATGCGGGAAACCACAGTGGAAGGAAAAATAATTCAAGAAAGCTCAGTTTCAGTAACCAGTATCTAGTAAAATCTTCAGGACCTAGAGGCTACAATCTGCATTAATAGTGTCTGAAGACCTAGAAATGTCATTAAATACCATTTTGGATAATTCTTGTAGACTTGAGATGATGTCTATTTAAAGTTACAAAATAGTGCCCATATTTCTGTATTCATTACAGAAAACAATTGGATATGGAAAAGAAACTAACATGCTATGCCACAATCTCTAAAGAAAGATTAGGGAAGTTTCAGCTTAAAGCAAGAATAATCACAATAAAGTTTTACAACCCTTTGCAAGCATATATGAAAAACTTACAAAAAGTCTGTAATGATCTTTTCTTAAGCTAAGAGAACAGAAAAAATGAGAAAAATTAAATTATAAAATGAAACTTTGGTTTAGAGGTAAGAAACATTTGATGACAGTCAAGAGATCAGGGTTGTACAGTGTATTATGTGAATGTTGTGACTCATTGGTTTCATCTTGGATATCATAACTTGACATTTTGTAAAAGTGATTTTTCATGGGAGTTTCTTCAGGTGCCCTATGAAGTCCTGTCCCTTTAGAAGCGAATAATAGTCTTCCACATTCTTGAGATATCTTAATGAATAACATCTTCTACAGTCTTCCATTGTTTAGACCTTGGAGAGACACGCATTAGTGACTGTTAAGGTACCTGGGTTATTAGGTGCCTGTAGACTATGCCCAGTGATATGTGCATTAGGTACATGCTCCCTAGCTGTGCTGACACTGACTGAAGCTGTGAGGTTTCACAATGACATGTCAGCCAAATACATATGCTCAGATTTACCATTTATCAAGAGGTCTTCACACTATCAATTGTGCAATTATCATTCTACACACAGGCAGCGATAAAGGGAGTAAAAAAACACAGCCATGGATCGGGAGACCAAGGTACCTCCAGAGGAGTCCAGTGGGTCCAGAAGCCCTTTGGATGTTGGTCAGAAGCTCCTCTTGGGCAGAGATCACAGCAGCAGCCAACAGGTCTGGAGAAGACCTTACAGTTCTCATGGACAAAGTTTGTGAAGGCATCTTAGACAAGATCTTGTCTTTGCTGGTTTTATGATCCTCTGCAGATGGGTCTATTCTCATTACCTCAGCCACCTTTCACTTCCTATCAGTTCAGTTCAGGTCTCTCATGATCCCAGGCAGCAGTAGTTGTTATCACGTAAGTTCATTCATATATGTTTATCTCTGGGGATGGGGGGACAACTTCACTGTGGACTTAATTCTACTGGAGATGAGTGACCCCATTTTAAGACAACAGGATCACAAATTATTATCACATATCAGCAGGGCAGACAATAGCTACGACCTGGGGCTGAAAGCAGGTAACTCTATTTATTCTGCAAAAATTCTGTCTTGATTATGGTGCCAGTTGCTGTGAGGGATTTCCTTTCTAGAACCTGTTTTTCACAAGGTTTGAGTCTGAACTGTTAACATTCTACTGATTTCTGGGTGAAGGGACTGACTGCACCATCCTAGCCTGTCAGAGCACTTGCCCCAATACTTCCACTTTAAGAGTTTTCCACCTTGTCCAGAACTACAGTCCACTAATCCCCTCATTTTCTCTCTTAAGAGAATAAACAGGCCAGGTGCGGTGGCTCACGCCTGTAATCCCAGCACTTTGGGAGGCTGAGGCGGGTGGATCATCTGAGGTCAGGAGTTCGAGACCAACTTCGCCTACGTAGTAAAACCTCGTCTCTACTAAAAAAAAAATCACAAAAATTAGCCGGGCGTGGTGGCAGGCACCTGTAATCCCAGCTACTCGGGAGGCTGAGGCAGGAGAATCCCTTGAACCTGGGAGGCAGAGGTTGCAGTGAGCCAAGACTGTGCCACAGAACTCCAGCATGGGCGACAGAGTGAGACTCCCTCTCAAAAAAAAAAAAAAAAAAAAAAAAAGAGAGAAAAAGAGAGAGACAGAGAATAAACAACCCATGTCAAGTACACACCCACATCCCTCTTATCCCAAATACCAAACACACAAAAATCCAATCTGTCTCCTTCTACCTAAGCAATTGCAGATAGTCACATTCCCATAATTACCTTAAGCTCCCTGACTTGCTGCTCGTCCTTTCTCTGGCAAAATCTCATCCTTGGATGAGCCCGACTTTGTGTTTGCTCAATGACACCACTCACCTGAACCAGAAAAAATATCAAAAAGTGGTCAGAGATATCATCATAAATTCAAATTACTTACATAAAAAATTGGCCCTAAATGTTTCCAGAAATCAATAAAAGTTTTGTTTCTCCAAAGACATCATTTCTTCAGAAACCCAACGTGTATAACCTATTTTTTCTATGTTCTTCTAACATTCATTCAACTTCTCTCATCTGATATCTTGCCAAATCATTCAAAGAGAAAATATATCCCATTAGTCAAGAGCCAACCATATTCCCATCACCTGAGAAAATCATATGCACAGGATGCGCCCACCTCACCTTTCTCTGCCTCATGTCAGAAAAAGTACCCCTCCTTTTGTCACAAGGCAAACCTGAGATAAAAGATTTAGATGGCCTGTAATTCCAGCACTAAGGGAGGCCAATGCATGCAGATTATTTGAGTCTAAAAAAGAAGCCTAAGCAACTTAGGGAAACTGCATCTCTCAAACAAATACAAACCATTAGCCTAGCATGGTGGTGTGGTGGCACATGCCTGTAGTCCCAGCTACTCAGGGTGGGGAGCACTGAGGTGGGAGGATCACCTGAGCTGGAAGGTTGTGGCTGCAGTGAGCCGTGATCACGTCACTGCACTCCAGCCAGGGTAACAGATATTTTTTAAAGGATCTTCTCTGTTAAAAATAATCAAATAAACAGGTGGCCATGAGGCTGAGGTGGCTGCAGTGCACTCAATTCCTCCTTAAATAACCCAAAACTTGACTCAGTGTAAATAATAAAAGGAAACTTAAGTTTAACCAGTCAGAAACCACCAACTAACATCTAACTAGAGACCTTCCACTGTAATGTTCCAAATGAGGCCACTGCTCCACTTCACCCAATCAAGTATTTTCTTTTTCTTCCACATTCACCATATAAAATTCTTCCCCCACCCTCCCTAAGCCTCTCTGTGGGACCTCTGAGCTGCTTGCAGTCTGGGGCTGCCTAGTTTATACATTTCTGAATGCTCAAATATATTTTCTAATGTTTCAAAGTGGCTCTGGTGTAGGAGGTTGTTGGTGGAGTGACCCGAGAGTATACAGGAATTGAGGCCATATGAGATCTCTGGACCCTGTACTCCATTTTGCTGTACACTCAATACTACTCTAAAATAATAATATATCTTTAAAAATCTATAACTATCACGTAGCCCTTTTCAAGTCTCCAACTGGTTGGAGCCAGTTCGATTAAAGCTCAGAAAAAACTGGTTAATAAGCTAGTTCTGACCCAACTGGCAAGAAGCGGCAGGAAAGACCCAGGCCAGGGGAGCATATTGCACATGCATGCACCAGGAAACTGGAGGAAGCTTGGAGGCCCTTTAGCCTGGTCCTGAGCCCGCTGAAACTGCAGTTACAGGCACAGATGCCTGGGGCACCAATCTGAATCTGCCAACATCCAAGGCCACATGAACACAAATGCACAGTCTCCTCTGCGATCGGTAGCTAAGGATGTTAGGCCATGATTGGACTAGGATGGGAGATGAACTGAGAACTCTGGATTCTGTAGGTTGTTGTTGTCTCTTCCCACCCCCAAGCAACAAGTGATGAACACACACACACACACACACACACACACACACACACACACATCCCGTAGTGACTAACAGGATCTCCCTCCAGGGGATTTGCAGGAAGGGGAGCAGAAAACATCCCAGGGGCCTTTCACAGCTACTTCCTTGAGCCCCCTTTCAGACAGTGCTGTCTAGACCTGTCTCAGCCCAAGCATCACCACCCTGATACGCAGAAGCTGGCATCCTTACCTGAAATTCAACATCAAGAAATGATCTCTTCTACTCAACACTGATAGAAATACCTCTAAGCAACGTCCTCATTGGCAGGGGTGGAGTGGGGGAGTTTCTTAAAAAGTGAGGCCTCTGCCTACCACCTAGAGAACCTGGAAATTTCCATCTGTGCCACAAAGTCCAAATCACTGGCCACTGCCCCAGTGTATGGCAGATTAGAACATCTCTCCATTGGATCTGGGTTTCTATTCCATTGAGTGAAATGCCTTTTCTACTACAGGAACAGAATAAGGGATCAAAAGGGTCTTACAACTGAACTCCAGTGTACAGTCTGCACAGACACTAGGCTTGTGCAAATATGACACAGCGAGGCCCCAGGACCCTTAAGCCAGCTGAATGTACTGAGTTTCAGGAAACAGTGAGATACATTCAGCAAAACAGTGGGCTTCATGCTGAAAGAAGTCAATCCAAGTAAACACACATCTCACACACACACACACACACACACACACACGCACGCACGCACGCAGACACCCTAGTGGCCAATAGGTCCTCTCACCAAAAACCTGCGATCAGGAGAGCAGAAAGCCTCCCAGGGCTCCACCACTGCCCTTTCTGTAGCCCCTTATCAGACGGCCAGCCTCAGGACAGCACTGTCTGATCCTGGTCCAGCCCAAACCGCCATCACCCTGTGATGTGGGAGCAGGCCACTTCACCAGAACCTCTGTGGCAGAAAAATTTCTTTCTTTTAAAATGATGAGGGGGAACCTTCAGACAGTGTCCTGATTAGGGTGGGTGGAGAGGGGGGTTTCCCAGAAAGTCAGGCAGGGCAGGGCAGAAGCCCTCTGGGTTAACTGTGTGCTTTTGATATGAAGGCAGGTAAGACTGGACAGGTGGGGGTGTTAGTGAGGGGATGGTGTAGGGTGCTGAAGAACTCCACTTGGGCTCTGCGCACCAGGGAAAATGACCACAAAACATCCCATCTTCACTGCTCAGAGAAGGCTAGATCTGCTGTGAGCTAGGAAGCCATGTGGGGGCAGCTGATGAGTCATCAAATGGGAGAAATCTGAGAGCCATGTGTTCCACAGGCCTCTGGTCCTTGTTCAGGCAGCAGGGCACTGTGAGATGTGGCTCCTTGGCCCTTTCCAGCCACCACCTTGATTGCCTGCTGCAAGGAAAGAGACTGAAGCCCAAGAATGGGGTCTTGCTCACCATAGGATGATGGCTCAGTGTGCAGAGCTGAGCTATGGCCCAAGAGGCAAAAGGTGGGGATGACCCAGGCTGAGCTGGGGGATCCAACTGAACATGCACTTGCTAAGAAGCTGTGGGCTATGATGCCTTGGGACCCCAGTCTGGGTCGAGAATTGTAGCAAAACAGGCTACTGGTAAAAGTTCTTGGGAAGCCAACTCACTTTTGCTTTCATCCGTGGGCAAACAAACCTCTGATCAACCACACCACAATGGTGTCACTCTGTAAGGCACAGGCAGACAAGGCATCCAGCCTTGCACACTCCAGGGCCCACACATGTCCAGAATACAATGGTTCTTGTTGAGACTCCACTCTTCCAACTCAGACAGAAGCTCCCCAATCTCCTCAGCCACTCCCAACAACTGGAGGTCTGAAAACTTTCATGCATGCCGCTATGGTCTAAACCACTCGTGGTGGTTTTGATTTTCATTTTCCTGATAATCAGTGATGCTGAGCACCTTTCCATATGCCTTTTCACCAACTGGATATCTTCTGTGGCTAAATGTCTATTGAAATCCATTGCCCATTTACAAATCTGCTTTTTTGTGGGCTTCTTGATGTTTTTCTTTTTTTTTTTCCTATTTATTTATACAAGTTCCTTAGATATTTTGGATATTTTTAAAAATGATTTTCAATTCCATTGCCCAGTTATAAATCTTTTTTTTTTTTTTTTTTTTTTTTGAGACAGAGTTTTGCTGTTGTTGTCCAGGCTAGAGTGCAATGGTGCAATCTTGGTTCACAGCAACCTCCACCTCCCAAAGTCAAGCAATTCTCCTGCCTCAGCCTCCTGAGTAGCTGGGATTACAGGCATGTGCCACCATGCCCGGCTAATTTTTGCATTTTTAGTAGAGGCAGGGTTTCTCCATGTTGGTCAGGCTGGTCTTGAACTCCCGGTCTCAGGTGATCTGTCCACCTTGGCCTCCCAAAGTGCTGGGATTACAGGCATGAGCCACTGTGCCCGGCCAATTATCCCTTTTTGTGGTTTTTTTTTGGGGGGGGTGGGGGGAAGAACAGAGTCTCGCTCTGTCACCCAGTCTGGAGTGCACTGGTGTGATCTCGGCTCACTGCAGCCTCCGCCTCCCAGATTCCAGCAATTCTCCTGACTCAGTTTCCCGGGTAGCTAAGATTACGGGCGCGCAACACATGCCCAGCTAATTTTTGTATTTTTAGTAGAGACGGGGTTTCACCATGTTGGCCAGGCTGGTCTCAAACTCCTGACCTCAGGTGATCCACCCACCTCCCAAAGTGTTGGGATTACAGGCGGGAGCCACCACTCCCGGCCCCATTTTGTGTTTTAACATCAGTCGACACTCGTATTTTAAAATAATAACAATGAATGGCGGTACCTTAGAACAAGGTAATTATACATCTTTCTCTTGTCCTAGTGCAGACATTTTGTCTATAAAATGTTATTCACAGATGAATTCATGAAAACATTACTGTGAATTTTAAATCCATATACAAGTGTATGCTTGTTCATGAATACTTCAATAAAATAAAACTAATAGCAAAAAAGAATTCCAGAGTTGAAGCAGTTTCAGGAAAAAGGAGTTGGCAGTATGAAGTAAAATAGAAAAAAATGGGTTTTTTTTTAAATGGGTATATTTGTGTCTACAACTTTTTTTTAATTATAGCATTAGACAATGTGTATATATATATACATATATAAAGCAATGGAAGTGGCATTGTTTTCATACTAGTCTAGGATATTAAAATATATGTAATATGTGATTGGCAAAATAATGGCCCCCCAAAGATGTCCACAGATTCCTAGAACCTTACATGAAAACGGTACATCATGCATGTGATTCAGGTAAAGACCTTGACATGAGGAGACTACCCTGGTGCTATGGAATGAACGTTGTGTTCCGTCAATGTTCATGTGTTAAAATCCTAACCCTCAAGGTGATGGTATTAGGAGGTTAAGCCTTACGGGAGACTCTGCCCTCATGACTGGGATTAGCACCTTATTACAGGCACAAGGGAGCTTGTTTGTTCCTCTCACCATGCGAAGACACAGCAAGAAGGAAGCCTCTATGAGAAAGCAGGCCTTCACCAGACACCAAGACTGCCGGCACCTTGATCTTGCATTTCTCAGCCTCCAGGACTGTGAGAAACGAAGTTCTGTTATTTATAAGCTACCTGGTCTAATGCATTTCCTTGTAGCAGCCTGTATGGATTAGGACAGTGGGCTCATGTGGATGATGACGGTGTGTCCATTCAGGACTAAGTAAGCACATGAGTCCTTAACAGTGGAAGAGAAGGGGGAAGGAAAGAGCCACAGAGACATGTGGCCACAGAAGAAGGGTCCATGGGATGCAAGGTTGCTAATGGTGAGAGTGGAGAAGAGCCCAAAGCCAAAAAATGCAGGCAGACTCCAGAATGTGGAAAAGGCGAGAAAAAAGATCCCCTAGAGCCTCTAGAGATGAAGGTAGCCTTTCCACCACCTAGATTTTAGCCCAGTGAGATCCACATCATACTCTGACATACAGGAGTGTAATAAATTTGTTTTATGCCCTGACATAGTGGTAGTTTGTTGTAGCAGCAATGGACTAGTAATATATAAATATATATATACACACACACACACAAACACTACCCCCCCACCACACACACACACACACACACACACACACACACACACACACACACATAACTATATATATCCTACCCTTCAAAATTGAAGCAGATAAACTACACATTAGCATTAACTTAGCTGGGTGTAGTGGATCATGCCTGTAGTCCCAGCTACTCAGGAGGCTGAGAGGGAGGATCATGTGAGCCCAGGAGTTTAAGATCAGCCTGGGCAAACACACTGAGGCCACATTTCAAAAACAAACAAACAAACAAAACACAACAAATCTTTGATTAAGCTCATTTCCCAAATTTGAAGAGGAGACAATTATTAGATAAAGAGGAGAAAAGAGAAAGGTAGAGCTGCTGACTTTTGTGGCGGAAGCAGAGGCACAGGCCCAAACATACTCCTTTCCTCCTGGCTTTCCTGTCCCTTCTCATAAGGGACACATGAACCTCTCAAACTGAACCATGGATCACAGACCCATACTCAGAACTCAATACAGTTTTGTTCTATGATTTTTTACATGTCTGTGTCCTTGCTTCTGCCTCCCATTCCCAACTCCCTTACTCTAGTTAGAAAAAAATGGCTATTACCAAATATGAGTACATCCTCATATACTAATGCCAACTGATCATCACCTGGTTTTCTTCTTTTACAAAGTCATAAATCTTTAGACTTTAACACATCTTCCAAGCAATAGAATGTTATTTTCCAGTCCATTAACACAAATTCTATATTTAAAATGAAGACTTCACAAGTTGATTTAAATAACATATTAACCAACATAGACTGGCCATGGTTCAAACTGACATTTTAATTAAATGTGATGATAGGTTGAGTAACCTAGCAGTACTCTAAAATGACTTTTGGTTATGGCTTTTTCCATATTATGTTTAGGCTGAGGCATCCCTAAATGATTCAACTGTAATTCCTCTTCTTAAACATGAGATTTATCTTTACAAAATAATTTATTTTCTTAAAATTACAAGTTAATTCTATAGTTCATGCATACATAATCTCAGCAGATATCAGCTGTATGTGTACACACATACATATAGGTATTTGTATATACACACATTACATAATTTTTTTAAAAACTTATTAGTAGGGTAGAACCACGAAGACAAAGAGGCTTTGTGTAATGTGATGGAAACACATTTGCAGGACGAACAACAGGCTGCTGTGAGGGCTGCATTTACCCTTTCTACTGTAAGACTTGGAAAAACATGGATAGTGGATATTTAATCCGCATAACAGAAATTTCAGGGTGCAGAAAACTTCCCACAATTTTTACAGACAATGTCAACAGACAGGCATTCAATGCAGGGAATACACAGTGTGACAGTATACAAAAATAAGCAGGTTGATGGTTTAGATTTATGAGACAAGAGAAAGAAATAGATGATGCCATAATTCTCCTTTTATGGAGTTATGAAAATTGTTCATTTTATATAAGGTCAGGTGCTTTCAAATGTCAATGAGAAAAATATTTAAAGGAAGAATCAAATCTAAGACGTGGAGAGATCTTTATAAAAATGACCTTCAGGCCAGGCACGGTGGCTCACACCTGTAATCCCAACACTTTGGGAGGCCAAGGTGGGTGGATCACAAGGTCGGGGGATCGAGACCATCCTGGCCAACATGGTAAAACCCCGTCTCTACTAAAACACAAAAAATTAGCCGGGAGTGGTGGTGTGTGCCTGTAGTCCCAGCTACTTGGGAGGCTGAGGCAGGAGAACTGCTTGAACCCGGGAGGCAGAGGTTGCAGTGAGCTGAGAGCACCACTGCACTCCAGCCTGGCAACAGAGCAAGACTCCATCTCAAAAAAAAAAGAAAAGAAAAAAAATTACCTTCATTCTGAGAAGGTATAATCATCAACACATTCTTGAGCAAAACTACGCACATACACACTTCCAAATTCACAAACCATGCTTGTGCACACACTGATGTCTCTAGATTCCTTTTTTGAAGAGATGGCAACTTGGTGTGTCACCCAGGCTGGAGAGCAGTGTTAGGATCATAGCTCACTGCAGCCTCAAACTACTGGGGTCACGTGATCCTCCTACATCAGGCTCCTCAGTAGCCTGAACTATAGGAATGAGCCACTATGCCCAGCCAATGTTTTCATTTTTTTGTAGAGATGAAATCTTGCTATATTGCCCAGGCTGGTCTTGAACTCCTGGCCCCAAGGAATCCTCCTGCCTTGCCCTCCAAACGTGCTGAGATTACAGGTGTGAACCATTGTGCCCAGCAACTGTATTCTTTATTAAGAAGAAAATTTGTTTGCTGACATGTAGGCAATGAATTGATAAGTAATAGTTCAGAAATTACTAATTTACAAGTCAATATAAATGAGGTGAGTAAACACAAAAATAACAGCATAAATAAACAGTTCATGACTTCACGTTTCTTTTTCTCCTTTAAAATGTAGCTCTGACAGAGACTACTACTTGTCCATTCCATGGAAAAGTCAGAGGTGGTTAAAATGTCAGAGGTACACTTACTAATACTTTGATGCCTTTTGTGTAGCTTCTTCTCAGTACTTCACCAGCTGGGATTGACACACCTCTACAGGTGGGTTCAGGAGCCAGACAGCAGCACACAGAATGGGGAATCCAAAGCCATCTCTGACACTAAAAGCAATGAAAACAAAAATAACCAAACATATTATCAAGAAATGAACAAGAGATTGATATCAAGTAAAGCAAGAAGAGAAGAAAGCATTTAATCTGCCAGGCTTTCATTCTGACAAAATAATTTACAACATGCATGTCTCTATCTGACATGAGTGAATAGAAAAAGAACCCAAATACCCAGTTGAATTGCAAGATGAAAATGAAAAAGAACTCTTGCTTATTCGCCAGGGTACAATCTAATCTGGGCTACTAAAACACTTTCATGCACTGATTCTATGTAACACATGCTTTATTGCCATTTGGAAATGGGATTTCTTGCTTTGATTTAAATATACTTCCTTGGATTTCTGCTTTAAGTATACTTTCTTAAACATATTCACAGCTACATTCTCAGTACAAATTTTCAGGTGTAAGTAACTACTTCTGCTTTTGATAGTATAATTGGTGAAATAAGCTATACTTCCATGTAAATGTGAGAGTACAAGGTAAGATTCCAGAGTCAAGTAAAACATAACAGTCAAGAAAATAAAAAGGTGAGAGTAACTGGGCAGTGGGGAAATCTTGTGTGTGGAAAGAATGAATCTGTAAAACTGTTCTTTCCTAAGAGAGTTCAGCAGGATTTGGATGATAGAGAGCTTTGTGTACAAGGGTTCCAGTTCCACATAGTTTAGGTCTAATTTCAAAGGCAACTTCTAGTGCAACCTGTGACTCACGCTGTCCTAAAGTGCCAAATGTAAAGGGTCTGGAGATAACCCACAAGCAGCACTGTGAACCCCTGACAGCAAGCCTTTCCAGATAAATACCTGTCAGTGTCTATAGCTGATGACAGAGCAGAATATCTGAAAAATAATACTTCTTCGGCCAATGGACTGCCAGTCACTATTATTTAGTGTAAAATACTATATTACATATGTGTAATTTTTTAAATTGCAGTGTTTCACATCGAAGCAACTAAATATAAAAACCAAATGTTTATTCAGCTTAAAGGCAACTTAGAAATACTGATCCCAGATAGAAAGATGCTTTAGTCCCAAGTCAGCTGTTCTAAAATGCCACAACTAAACCAACGAAGGGATCTTGAAGCATAGTAAGTGTTCATACCTTTTCAGCTATACCTCTGCTTGTCTTGAATATAAAAACCTAAGCTGCAGTTATGCCACAGCACAGAATGTGTTATATTTTACATCACTGAGCCTTAGTTTTACAAATGGTAAAAAAATAGGGAAGGTAAACTGAGGTTTTCTTAAGGAGCTGTTACATCCAAGAGACTCGTGAAAATCTTTGCCAAATGTCCCCGGTACATAGCTCCTCCCCACTGATGGGCTCAACGGGGAGAAGCTATGCACATGTCTCAATCTGCATATGCTCAATGGCAATACAGGATTCCTAGGATAAAGTAAGGGATATAAATGACACAGCACACTGAAAAGACTGTAATGTTACTTCAGAATGTTGCAAAATAAAGATTACAGATGAAAGTTTTAGTTCACTGAAGCATGTAGTCATGTATATTTCATTTGTGTGTTTTAAAGTCTTATACTGCTTACATTCTCTTTTTTTGTTTGTTTTAAAATAATTATATTTGGCTACAAAGATCAATAACAAGGATGATGTCAGTCCAGGTTGGACAGGCAGTTCTGGGGCAGATGTTCTTGCAGTATTTTTTTTTTTTTTTTTTTTTTTTTAGTATTTATTGATCATTCTTGGGTGTTTCTTGGAGAAGGGGATTTGGCAGGGTCATAGGACAATAGTGGAGGGAAGGTCAGCAGATAAACATGTGAACAAGGGTCTCTGGTTTTCCTAGGCAGAGGACCCTGCGGCCTTCCGCAGTTTTTGTGTCCCTGGGTACTTGAGATTAGGGAGCGGTGATGACTCTCAAGGAGCAGGCTGCCTTCAAGCATCTGTTTAACAAAGCACATCTTGCACGCTCTTAATCCATTTAACCCTGAGTGGACACAGCACATGTTTCAGAGAGCACCGGGTTGGGGGTAAGGTCATAGATCAACAGCATCCCAAGGCAGAAGAATTTTTCTTAGTACAGAAAGAAATGGAGTCTCCTATGTCTACTTCCCTCCACACAGACACAGCAACAATCCGATTTCTCTATCTTTTCCCCACATTTCCCCCTTTTCTATTCAACAAAACCGCCATCGTCATCATGGCCCATTCTCAATGAGCTGTTGGGTACACCTCCCAGACGGGGTGGCGGCCGGGCAGAGGGGCTCCTCACTTCCCAGAAGGGGTGGCTGGGCAGAGGCGCCCCCCACCGCCCAGACGGGGCGGCAGCCGGGCGGAGGCGCCCCCCACCTCCCTCCCGGACGGGGTGGCTGGCGGGGCAGGGGCTGCCCCCCACCTCCCTCCCGGACGGGGCAGCTGGCCAGGCGGGGGCTGCCCCCCCACCTCCCGGACGGGGCGGCTGTCTTGCGGAGACGCTCCTCACTTCCTGGACGGGGCGGCTGCCGGGCGGAGGGGCTCCTCACTTCTCAGAGGGGGCAGCTGCTGGGCGGCGGGGCTCCTCACTTCTCAGACAGGGCAGCTGCCGGGCGGAGGGGCTCCTCACTTCTCAAGACACGGCGGCTGGGCAGAGACGCTCCTCACCTCCCAGACGGGGTCGCGGCCAGGCAGAGGCGCTCCTCACATCCCAGACGGGGCGGCGGGGCAGAGGTGCTCCCCTCACCTCAGACGATGGGTGGCCGGGCCAAGACGCTCCTCACTTCCTAGACGGGATGGCAGCCGGGAAAAGGCGCTCCTCACTTCCCAGACTGGGCAGCCCGGGCAGAGGGGCTCCTCACATCCCAGACGATGGGCGGCCAGGCAGAGACGCTCCTCACTTCCCAGACGGGGTGGCAGCCGGGCAGAGGCTGCAATCTCGGCACTTTGGGAGGCCAAGGCAGGCGGCTGGGAGGTGGAGGTTGTAGCTAGCCGAGATCACGCCACTGCACTCCAGCCTGGGCAACATTGAGCACTGAGTGAACGAGACTCCATCTGCAATCCCGGCACCTCGGGAGGCCGAGGCTGGCAGATCACTCGCGGTTAGGAGCTGGAGACCAGCCCGGCCAACACGGCGAAACCCCGTCTCCACCAAAAAAATACAAAAACCAGTCAGGCGTGGCGGCGCGCACCTGCAATCGCAGGCACTCGGCAGGCTGAGGCAGGAGAATCAGGCAGGGAGGGTGCAGTGAGCCGAGATGGCAGCAGTACAGTCCAGCTTCGGCTCGGCATCAGAGGGAGACCATGGAAAGAGAGGGAGAGGGAGACCGTGGGGAGAGGGAGAGGGAGACCGTGGGGAGAGGGAGAGTGAGAGGGAGAGCCAGAATTTCCTTTTTACAGGCAGAATAATATTCTATGTATATACCACATTTTTCTTTTTTTGAGACAGGGTCACCTAGGCTGGAGTGCAGTGGCATGATCACGGCTCACTGCAGCCTTGACCTCCCCAAGCTCAAGTGATCTTCCCACCTCAGCCTCGGGAGTAGCATGTACCACCATGCTTAGCTCATTTTTTGTATTTTTAGTAGCTATGTTGTCCAGGCTAGTCTCCAACTCCTGGGCTCAAGCAATCTGCCCATTTGCCTGCATTGGCCTCTTAGAATCTATCTTTTTTTTTTTTTTTTTTTCTCACTCTGTCGCCCAGGCTAGAGTGCAGTGGCACAATGAAGGCACACTGCAGCTTTGACCTCCTGGGCTCAGGTGATTCTCCCATCTCAGCCTTCCCAGTAAGTGGGACTACAGGTGCCCACCACCAAGACTGGCTAATTTTTTGTATAGACAGGGTTTCACCATATTGCCCTTACACTCCTGGACTCAATCTGCCCACACTGGCTTCCCAAAGTGCTGGGATTATAGACATGAGCTACCACACCCAGCCTGTATGGCTGTTGTGAATAATATGCTGTTATGAACATGGGCACACTAAACACCATTCAACTTAAAAAAATAATCAAAGCCTTAAGAACTGAACCAAAATGGCTTAGGTGAAAATAAAATACCAAACTCTGCTCTAAGAAAAGGAAAGAGCATTCACTGAATTATACCTTCAGCAATAAGCACTTAATGGAACTTGTTTCATTTAAAATGCACCACAATCCTGTAAATTGATAATCATACCGCAATTTTATAGATGAGCAAGGTATTAGGCGGACCTTTTTCAAAAGGTCATACAGCTAGTGACAAATATTTCCAAATTTTTCATAACATTTCTTTTTTTGAGACGGAGTCTTGCTCTGTGGCCCAGGCTGGAGTGCAGTGGTGCAATCTCGGCTCACTGCAAGCCTTGCCTCCCAGGTTCACGCCATTCTCCTGTCTCAGCCTCCCTAGTAGCTGGGACTACAGGCACCCACCACCATGCCCGGATAATGTTTTTGTATTTTCAGTAGAGACGGGGTTTCACTGTGTTAGCCAGGATGGTCTCAATCTCCTGACATTGTGATCCTCCCGCCTTGGCCTCCCAAAGTGCTGGGATTACAGACGTGAGCCACTGTGCCAGGCCTAACATTTCTGTTTTAAATAGCTTAATTAACTACACATGTTCTATATTCTTGCCTCTGAAAGGCAGCTTTTTTTGTTGGGTTGGTTTATTATGCATCAGACACTTGATTTGCTGAGGAATTCTGTTTTTCAGTAATTCATCCACCACAAATATCACGTAGCATTTTGACTCCACAGACCTAAGAGTCTTAAGTCTTAAAAGGATTGTAAAATCTAAGTTTTTCTGAGATATCTGAGAGTAAGAGGCTTTTTTCTATTGAAAATAGGTTGCATTTCAAACTTTATCTGTAAGAGCTCACAACACTTTCTCCAACATGCATGCCCATGTGATCACTTAAACAGAACTCTGAGTGAGACAGTAAATACCTCATATGCCCTTGAAAATTTTACCTTGGCATAGAAAAACCTTGTTAAGAACCTAAAAATAATTTCACTTTGAAAGTCTTTAGGGTTAGACAAATGTTAAACTTCAATTGGCAGTACAAGGGCAGCACTCAAGCCAGCAAGAGTTTTGTTGGGCCAAATTATGTTGAAAAAGATCAAATATTTTAAAAACAGGAGATTTCACATAAAAATCTGGGATTCCAGCTTCTTCTGAATAAATGAGGTACACTAATTATGCAGAGTGGCAAATGGCTGGAGTTGAGTGGGAGGTGTTTCTAGCCCAACAGATAGGCATGGAAGCTCCAGCTCAGCCCCCTCCACTCCATTTTCTTACACAAGGGAAGCCACTATGGTATAGCATCTAACTTAAGGCATATTATATGTATTCTTAAGACAGAGGAAAAGGCTGAATATTTGATATTGTCAAAAGAAATGAGAGTCTAACTTTCTGTGGCAAGGACCTTCTTGCAGTAGTCACATAACATAGTCTGGAACACCTCCAACATAAATTATGAAAAGAAAGCTCTTGGCTCAGAAGAGAAAAAGCAAAAAAGAATACTCATTAATTCTATGTCACAGGACAAATAGATTTCAATTTCCATTGCAATTGTAGAAGAGGTAAATAATCTGCTGACCCAGAATTCCAACAGGGACTCACACTTCCTGTCTTAATAACTCGAAACACTGAAATCACTCTAACAAAGGCAAATCAATGTCTTATTAATTTCTGGTTAAAAAATAGACCCAAGAAGACAGGGCACAGACATAAATTTTGTGTGGTGGGAATACGAATATAACTTCAACGTCCAGATTCATGGATTTGGAAATGACCTTGGGCACTCTAAGTATAGCACCACTGAAGTTTACATTTAGGGAATGGCTAATCCCTGCTGATCTAAACTATTTCCAATCCCCAATGTACTCTTTAAATACAGAAATTTAAAAAAAGAGGGGGCCGGGCGCGGTGGTTCACACCTGTAATCCCAATACTTGGGAGGCCAAGGCAGGGTGGATCGCTTGAGCTCAGGAGTTTGAGACTAGCCTGGGCACCATGGTGAAACCCCGTCTCTACAAAAAACACAAAAAAATTAGCCAGGCATGGTGGCGTGTGCCTGTAGTCCTAGCATCTTGGGAGGCTGAGATGGGAGCATCACTTGAACCCAGGAAGCAGAGGTGGCAGTGAGCCATGATCACACCACTGTACTCTAGTCTGAGACCCTGTCAAAAAAAAAGGAAGGGCTCAACATAGTAGGTACAGAGCTATTTTAATAGAAAGATCATGAGGGAAAAACTAGCAGCTGTCAGATAGAGAGTAATTTATTTTATTCATTTATTTATTTTTATTTTTATTTTTTTGAGACAGAGTTTCGCTCAGCTGCCCAGGCTGGAGTGCAGTGGCGCGATCTTGCCTCATGGCAACCACCATCTCCTGGGTTCAAGCGATTCTCCTCTCTCAGCCTCCCAAGTAGCTGGGATTACAGGCACCCGCTATCATGCCCAGCTAGTTTTTGTATTTTAGTAGAGATGGGGTTTCATCATGTTGGCCAGGCTGGTCTTGAACTCCTGACCTCAGGTGATCCACCTGCCTCGGCCTCCCAAAGTGCTAGGATTACAGGTGTGAGCCACCACACCCAGCATTTCATATTTCATTTCTTTCATTTCAAGATGGAAACTCACTCTATCACCCCGGCTGGAGTATGCCACTGCACCTGACATTTCATTATTCATTTCATTTCATTATTTCATTTCTTCATTTCATTGCACCCAGCATTTCATTATTCATTTCATTATTTCATTTCTTCATTTAGTTTCATTTCATTTCGAGATGGAAACTCGCTCAATCGCCCAGGCTGGAGTGCACCACCACACCCGGCATTTCATTATTCATTTACTTCATTTCATTTCGAGACAAGAGACTTGCTCTATTGCCCAAGCTGGAGTGCGCCACCGCACCTGGCATTTCATTATTCATTTCATCATTTCATTTTATTTCATTTAGAGATGAAGACTCACTCTACCGCGCAAGCTGGAGTGCACCACCACACCCAGCATTTCATTATTCATTTCATTATTTCATTTCATCATGTCATGTCATGTCATGTCATGCCATGTCATTTCATTTCGAGACAGAGACTCGCTCTATCACCCAGGCTGGAGTGCGCCACTGCATCTGGCATTTCATTATTCATTTATTTCATTTCATTTCACCCAGCATTTCATTATTCATTTCATCATTTCATTTCATTTCGTTTCATTTCCAGATGAAGACTTGCTCTATTGCCCAGGCTGGAGTGCGCCACCGCACCCGGCATTTCATTATTCCATTTTATCATTTAGTTTCATTTATTTCATTTCATATTTCATCTCATTTCATTTCATTTCGATGGAGACTCGCTCCATTACCCAGGCTGGAGTGCGCCACCACACCCAGCATTTCATTATTCATTTCATTTCACCCGGCATTTCGTATTTCATTTCATCATTTCATTTCTCACTTCATTTCATTTCATTTGTTTCATTTCATTTCGAGACAGAGACTCGCTCTATCGCCCAGTCTGGAGTGCGCCACCACACCCAGCATTTCATTATTCATTTCATTTCACCCGGCATTTCGTATTTCATTTCATCATTTCATTTCTCACTTCATTTCATTTCATTTGTTTCATTTCATTTCGAGACAGAGACTCGCTCTATCGCCCAGTCTGGAGTGCACCACCACACCCGGCATTTCATTATTATTTCATTTTTTCATTTCATCTATTTCATTTCATTTTTCAATTTCATGACGTAGACTCGCTCTAACACCCAGGCTGGAGTGCACCCAGCATTTCATTATTCATTTCATATTTCATTTCCCATTTCATTTCATGACAGAGACTCACTCTATCACCCAGGCTGGAGTGCGCCACCCACATTTCATTATTAATTTCATTATTTCATTTCATCATGTCATGTCATTTCATTCTGAGATGGAGACTCGTTCTATTGCCCAGGCTGGAGTGCAGTGGTGTGATCTCTGCTCCCCGCAACCTCTACCTCCTGGGTACAAGCGATTCTCCTCTCTCAGCCTCCCGAGTAGCTGGGATTACAGGCACCCGCTATAATGCCCGGCTACTTTTTGTATTTTAGTAGAGACAGGGTTTCACCATGTTGGCCAGGCTGATCTTGAACTCCTGACCTCAAGTGATCCGCCCACCTAGGCCTCCCAAAGTGCTAGGATTACAAGCGTGAGCCACTGCACCCAGCATTTCATATTCCATTTCATATTTATTTCATCATTTCATCTCCTTCATTTCATTTCAAAACGGAGTCTCACTCTATCACCCAGGCTGGAGTGCATCACCACACCCAGCATTTCATTATTCATTTCATTTCATTATTTCTTCATTTCATTTCATTTCACCTGGCATTTCATTATTCATTATTTCATTTCTTCATTTCATTTCATCCCATTTGAGATAGAGACTCGCTCTATCACCCAGGCTGGAGTGTGCCACTGCACCTGGCATTTCATTATTCATTGCATTATTTCATCATTTCATTTATTTCATTTTTTCATTTCATTTCATTTCACCCGGCATTTCATTATTCATTTCATTATTTCATTTCATCATTTCATTTCATTTCATTTTGAGACGGAGACTCCCTCTATTGCCCAGGCTGGAGTGCGCCACTGCACCCAGAATTTCATTATTCATTTCATTATTTCATTTCATCATTTCATTTGATCATTTCATTTCATTTCAAGACAGAGACTCGCTCTATCACCCAGGCTGGACTGCGCCACCACACCTGGCATTTCATTATTCATTTCACCCAGCATTTCATATTTCATCTCATCATTTCTCATTTCATTTATTTCATTTCATTTCAAGACGGAGACGCGCTCTATCACCCAGGCTGGAGTGCGCCACCACACCTGGCATTTCATATTTCTTCATTTCATTTATTCCATTCCCATATTCCCATTCCCATTCAATTTCAATCCATTTCATGACAGAGACTTGCTGCATTGCCCAGGCTGGAGTGCACCACACGCATTTCATTATTCATTTCATTATTTCATTTCACCATGTCATGTCATGTCATGTCATGTCATTTCGAGCCAGAGGCTTGTTCTAACACCCAGGCTGGAGTGCAGTGGCGCAATCCCTGCTCACTGCAACCTCTGCCTCCTGGGTTCAAGCGATTCTCCTCTCTCAGCCTCCCAAGTAGCTGGGATTACAGGCACCCGCTATCATGCCTGGCTAGTTTTTGTATTTTAGTAGAGATGGGGTTTCATCATGTTGGCCAGGCTGGTCTTGAACTCCTGACCTCAGGTGATCCACCGTCCTCAGCCTCCCAAAGTGCTAGGATTACAGGCGTGAGCCACCGCACCCAGTATTTCGTATTTCATTTCATTTCATATTTAATTTTGTTTCATTATTTCATCATTTCATTTCAAGACGGAGTCTCACTCTATCACTCAAGCTGGAGTGCATCACCGCACCCAGAATTTTATTATTCATTTCAATATTTCATTTATTTCTTCATTTCATTTCATTTCATTTCACCCGGCATTTCATTGTTCATTATTTCATTTCATCCCATTTCATCTCATGTCATCTCATTTCATTTCGAGACGGAGACTTGCTCTATTGCCCAGGCTGGAGTGCACCACTGCACCTGGCATTTCATTATTCATTTCATCATTTCATTTCATTTCACCTGGCAATTCATTATTCATTTTATTATTTCATTTCATTTATTTCATTTATTCTCTTCATTTCATTCCATTTCATTTCGAGACAGAGACTTGCTCTATTGCCCAGGCTGGAGTGTGCCACCACACCCGGCATTTCATTATTCATTTCATCATGTTATGTCATGTCACGTCATTTCATTCTGAGACAGACTCGCTCTATCGCCCAGGCTGGAATTCAGTGGCGCGATCTCTGCTCACTGCAACCTGAGGTCGGGAGTTCGAGATCAGCCTGACCAACATGGAGAAACCCCGTCTCTACTAAAAATACACAAAATTAGCCGGGCATCGTGGTGCATGCCTGTAATTCCAGCTACTGGGGAGGCTGAGGCAGGAGAATCGCTTGAACTCAGGAGGCAGAGGTTGCTGTGAGCCAAGATCATGCCATTGTACTCCAGTCTGGCCAACGAGAGTGAAACTCTGTCTCAAAAAAAAAAAAAAAGTGATGGTAGATGCTCACACTGGCAAACGTTAGCAAGTACTAGAAGGGTCATTTGGCAGTAGTCATTCACGTTTTAAGCATGCAGATAATTTGCTCAAATAACTTAATTTTTAGCAATTTATCCTACAACTAAAATGTATGTGCAAAACTGTATGTACGACAGTGTTTAAGAGAAGGCCTCAAAGAAAAGGTGGTATCTGAACAAAGATGGACAGATGATGCAGCATTTGAGGTAGGTATCTGGAAGGATTGTTCTAGGAAATGGTAACAGCAAGAATAAAGGCCCTGAAGTGGGAGTTAAAAGACAATGGGAATAGGAGTAGAATCTGGAGTCATCAAAGTGGCAAGGGAGCAAATTACAGAGAAGATAGAGCCACTTTAAAGAATCTGGCTTGGCCCGGCCTGGTGGTTCACGCCTGTAATCCCAGCACTTTGGGAGGCTGAGGTGGGCAGATCATGAGGTCAGGGGATCGAGAACATCCTGGCCAACATGGTGAAACCCCGACTCTACTAAAAATACAAAAATTAGCTGGGCGTGGTGGCGGGCATCTGTAATCCCAGCTACTTGGGAAGCTGAGGCAGGAGAATCGCTTGAACCCAGGAGGTGGAGGTTGCAGTGAGCCAAGATTGTGCCACTGCACTGCAGCCTGGCGACAGAGCAAAACTCCGTTTAAAAAAAAAAAAAAAAAAAAGCAAAAAAAAAAGCTTAATTGGATTTTGATTGCTACCTTCTAAATATCAGCACTTTCATTTAATCATAAGCCTCAAAGGGTTTATAAAACTTCTAAAGAGTTAAGTTTCATAATTCTCCTAACGAGAGTCTACACATACTGAGATGTTAATGCAGGGTTTAGAAACTGTCAAAAACTTTCATAAGACCCTCAAAGAGATCTAGGACAATTCCTCCCACCCACAGAAAAGCAATCACCCAAACAACTGAGAATCAGTGGCAAAAAAACTCTCCTAAAAGGACACAGTACTATGGGGAGTCAAAAACAATTCAGACAGCTGGGCACAGTGGCTCATGCCTGTAATCCAGTAACTCAGGAGGCTGAGGTGGGAGGATTGCTTGAGGCCAGCCTGGGTAACATAGCAAGACCCCATTGCTAAACAAAAAAAGAAACAATGAAAAAAATTAGCTGGGTGTGGTGGCATGCACCTGTAGTCTGAACCACTGGGCAGGCTGAGGTGAGAGGATCCTTTGAGCCCAGGAGTTCAAGGCTGTAGTGAGCCATGATGGCACCATTGCACTTTAGCCTGGGTGACAGAGCAAGACCCCAACTCAAAAAAAAAAAAAAAAAAAAACAAGGGAAACATTTTAGTGAGTTTAGTCTTGCCTGGAAGAGACAAGTAAGGGACAGATGGGGGCAGTGGTGAGGGAGCCCAGGACAGCTAGCTGCTATGCTATTCAAAGTCACATATATTGCTTCCACAATATAACAAAACAGAGAAAGAAACCACCAAACAGCAAACCGTCTTCTAGTGATCCCATCATTTTTTTTTCTTTTTTTTTTTTTTTTTTTTTTTGAGACAGAGTTTCACTCTTATTGCCCAGGCTAGAGTGCAGTGGCGTGATCTTGCCTCACCGCAACCTCCACCTCCCAGGTTCAAGCAATTCTCCTGCCTCAGCCTCCCGAGTAGCTGGGATTTCAGGCATGTGCCACCACACCTGGCTAATTTTGTATTTTTAGTGGAGACCGGATTTCTCTATGTTGGTCAGGCTGGTCTCGAACTCCTGACCTCAGGGGATCCACCCGCCTCAGCCTCCCAAAAATGCTGGGATTACAGGCGTGAGCCACCGTGCCCAGCTGACCCAATCATCTTTCACTTCAACCTTTTCCTCACCATCTCTTCAACTAATACTTTTCCTGGACCATTTTGACTTTAGGCTTCTACCTCCAATCTATTTTATCTACCCACTACTTCTAACTTAATCTTCCTCAGAGATAATTCTAATACTCTGTCCAAAAACCTTTGATGACATGCTGCCTTTCTATGTAATTTTAAGCTTCTTACCTTAGCTTTCCATGCCATAAGCCTAAACTATCTTCCCAGACTTTTCTCCCACACCTTCCTTATATGTATCGTATAATCAAACAGATACATCAGAAAATTCAGTCCATCCTTAAGGTCTGGCTCAACTGTTATTTATTACTTCTTTCCCTTTTCTAGAAATTTTCCTGATTTCTCTGTCCTGGAGGTAATTTGGTTTGGTGAGAAAGACAACGGGCTTTGGACTCAGACTAGAGTTTGATGCACTAGAACATGACAGAGCTGTGTGAGCATGTGGAGGTAATTTAACTTGTCTGAATTTTAGTTTCTTTGTCTATAAAACAAGGGAGTACCAGTCTACTACCTTCAGAGAATGGTAAATGAGCTGACCTATATAAAGGATGTGACCTCCTTTCTACTTTAAGCGTATTTTGTACAATTTTTAGCGGAGTTAACACAGCTTTCCTCTTGGAAGTCAACAGACAATATGTAAGACTGAAAAGTCAAGAAAAATCAAGATAATAATATTATTTAAAAACATGAAAATAAAAAATAATGAATTAAAGCAGCCTAGGCATGGTAGCTCACATCTGCAATCCTAGCACTTTGGGAGGCTGAGGCAGGATGACTGCTTGAGCCCAGGAGTTCAAGACCAGCCTGGGCAACATAGTGAGACCCCATCTCCAAAAAAGAAAAAAAAAAAAATAATTAGCTGGGTGTGGAGGCGTGTGCCTGTAGTCCCAGCTACTCAGGAGGCTGAGATGGATCACCTGAGCCCAGGAGGTCAAGGCTACAGTGAGCCTTGATTGTGCCACTGCACTCCAGCCTGGATGACAGAGTGAGACTCTGTCTTAAAAAAAAAATTAAAATAAGCTGGGAGTGGTGGCTCACGCCTGTAATCCTAGCACTTGGGAGGCTGAGGAGGGTGGATCACCTGAGGTCAGGAGTTTGAGACCAGCCTGACCAATATGGTGAAACCCCGTCTCTACTAAAAATACAAGATTATTTTTAGTACAAGATCTTCTTAGGATTATTTCCTGGACAGTATATAGTGATGTTACAACCCCAGTGATTTAAAGCAGATCTCTCAAAGCAAAGGAGGAATGAGCTTTTGTCAGGATGCTAGTGGCATGTCCTTAGTATTAGAGGAAAACAAAGAACTAGATTCCTTTTGTTTGCCCCCAAATCCTTTAACCTCTGAGACTTACTATAAATGATTTACCTGTTTACACTATGTCATTGTGTTCTCTCTGGGTAAGGCTCTTAAGGCCTTCCACCCAACTGAATCAGGCCCACCCAGATTATCGCTTACTTAATGCAAATTGTATTGAATGTGGCTAAGCACAGTGGCTCATGCCTGTAATCCCAGCACTTTGGGAGGCCGAGGTGGGGAGATCACTCGAGGTCAGTAGTTCGAGACCAGCCTAGCCAACATGGTGAAACCCTGTCCCTACTAAAAATACAAAAATTAGCTGAACATGGTGGCAGGCACCTATAATCCCAGCTACTTGGGAGGCAGAGGCAGGGGCATCACTTGAACCCAGGAGGCAGAGGTTGCAGTGAGCCAAGGTCACATCACTGCACTCCAGCCTGGGCAACAGAGTGAGGCTTTGTCTCAAAGGAAAAAAAAATGCTTATTGAATGCAATAAGATTAACTCCTTTACTTGTAGACTTTGATCACATCTATAAAATACTTTCACAGCAATACCCGAATTAGTGTTTGACAGAATAACTGGGGGCTGTAGCCTAGCTAAGTTGACATTAAAAAAAAAAAAAGACTATCACAAAACTAAAGGTGGAAACAATCCAACTATTGATAAAAAATTAACAAAACATTTGCCACGATCACACAAAGGAATACTCCTTAGTAATAAAAGGGATAGAACCACTGACACATTAAAAAACATAGATAGATCTCACATTACGCTAAGCAAAAGCAGCAAGATACAGAAGTGTGTATGACATATATTTACATGACATTCTAAAAAAAAGAAAAAAGTAATTTATAATGAAAAGAATAAAAATTATGGTTGTTTCTGGGGTTGGGGACTGACCAGAAAAGGGCTCAAGGGAATTTTCTGAGGTGATAGACATGGTTTTTTTTTATGTCTTGATAGGGGTGTGGGATATAAAAGCATATCAATTTGCCAAAACTCACCATATTATCCACTTAACATTGTATACTTCAATGTGTGTAAATTTTACTTCAAAAATAAAAGAACTGTAAACAAGTAATGAACTCTATTTAACAGGTTTACTTTTTGCAGTGGCATGGTTTAGAAGTTCTGAAATCACCTTTTGTATATATTAGGCTTAAACAAATGAGAAAAATTGAAGATATTGGGAACCACATTCTTCATTGTTGGAGAAGAGAGTTCCAATTATGGAAAGGGGGAAAGACTATAATATAGGCTGTGATGCTGGTTAAGAATGGGAGGTATCAATATAAATTCACAGTTGTATATGTGTGTGTGTGTGTGTGTGTGTGTGTGTGTGTAACATATATGTTCTAGTTCAAATCTTGGCTTCCAAAACTAACTAAAATCCAGGACCACCTGCAGAAATGGCTGATTCCAGAGCTGGTGCAGGGAATATACAAGATGAGCCTACAACATCTTTTTGTGCTAAAAAGATGGAGATGCTCAAAGAAGAAAGTGCATTAAAGAATGATGGGCACATGTCAAAGGCACACAATAGTTAACTTGAAGGCATTCCCACTGATGGAATATGGGACAATTTAGCACCAAACAGAAAATAGCAATGGATCATAATCCACTGAATACAATAAGAATGCAAGTGTCTATACTTGCATATATATTAATAAATAATAAATATTAATAAATAAGTATACACAAATAAGGAAAAAGGGAAAATTCTTCCTTATAGTAGAATGCCAACTACTAAATGTAGAAAGAATGGGAGTTTAAAAAATTAGCAATGACTGCTAAAATTAGTAGGTGAAGGTTTTATGAGGACAAGATGTTTACAGTTTCAAAGTATATAAAATATATAGCGATACATTAATTACAGAATGAAAAAGTATAACCTGACAGTGGAGGAACCTGGTCAACCCAACTTAACCAAGTCATTACACTGGTGTCACAAATATTGGGACAAAGTGCTATCACATGTCTCCTCAAAAGATATACTAAATAGAACACAGTATCACTTCAGTGGGATTCCTACCGAAATGAATAACCTGAACCTAATTAGGAAGAAGCAGTGGGCAAACACAAGAAGGACAATCTACAAAATAACTAGCCTATCCACTTTAGAAATATCAAAGTGAACAAACACAAGGAAAAGCTGAGAAATGGTTCCAGTTTAAAGAATACCAAGGTATGAGCCTGGACTAATTGAAGACTGGAAAGAAAGCTACAAAGGTCATAATTGGAATAACAAAATTATATTATAATATAGATTAACTAACAGTACTGTATCAAATTAAATTTCCTGATTTTGATAACTAACTGTGCTGTGCTGATGTAAGACAATGTCCTAGTTCTTAGGAAATATACAACAAAGTATTTAGGGATAAAAGGGCACAGTATCTCCAACATATTCCTAAACAATTCAAGAAAAGAAAATAGAGAAAATGATGAAGTAGATGGGACAAAAATGTAAACTGGTGAATCTGAGTAAAGAGTATATGGAAATTCCATGTATTATTCTTACAACTTTTCTGTGAATCTGAGTAAAGAGTATATGGAAATTCCATGTATTATACCTGCAACTTTTCTGTAAGTCTGAAATTTCATATACATACACATAAAAACACGTAATATAAGGCCGGGCGGGGTGGCTCATGCCTGTAATCCCAGCGCTTTGGGAGGTCGAGGCGGGCGGATCACAAGGTCAAGAGATCGAGACCATCGTGGCCAACGTGGTGAAACCCCATCTCTACTAAAAATACAAAAATTAGCTGGGCGTGGTGGCGTGCACCTGTAGTCCCAGCTACTCAGGAGAGGCTGAGGCAGGGGACTCACTTGAACCTGGAGGGTGGAGGTTGCAGTAAGCTGAGATTGCGCCACTGCACTCCAGCCTGGTGACAGAGTGAGACTCTGTCTCAAAACAAACAGAAAAACACACAATAAAAACCACATAATATAAATAAAGCTATGAAAATACTCTATTTTCATATATGATTAAAAATTTCCAGAATCAAAAGTTCCAAGATTTAAACTCAATACTAGAGTTTCCAGTCTATTATTTAATATACTACTTCTAAAAATAATTTGTATTTTAATTATTAGACATTTATCTAGAATTTTGGACAAGATATTCATGCTAAAAATCAAGAAAATAACTAGAAAATTTATGTTATTTCTTTTATGAAGCATTCCTTGACACCATAAGTAGGGTTGATTGTTCTTCCTCCATGCTCCCAAGGTATTTTGCACATAACATTGGTAGAGCACTTAGCATATTGAATTGTAATCTGAAAATCAATTGCATTTCCACATAGTAGCAATGAATAATTAAAAACAGAAATTTTAAAAACTTACAACAGCAACAAAATTATGAAATACGGATAAATCTGACAAAATGGGGAAGAATTATACAATGAAAACCATAAAATACTAATATAAAATACTAGTGAGTAAAACTGACATGAATAAACAGAGACATACATCCTAGACATGTGTCAAAGACAAAACATTGTTAAGATGTCAATTCCGAGGTGGGCGGATCACCTGAGGTCGGGAGTTCGCGAGCAGCCTGACCAACATGGAGAAACCCCGTCTCTACTAAAAATACAAAATTAGCCGGGCATGGTGGCACATGCCTGTAATCCCAGCTACAAGGGAGGCTGAGGCAGGAGAATCGCTTGAACCTGGGAGGCAGAGGTTGCGGTAAGCTGAGATCACGCCATTGCACTCCATCCTGGGCAACAAGAGCGAAACTCCGTCTCAAAAAAAAAGTCAATTCTCCCCAAACAGATCTACAGATTCAAAGCATTCTCAAAATTCAGCAAGCTGTTTTGGTAAACATTGAAATACTGATTCTAAAACTTGGCAAAATGACTCTGAAGGAGAAAAAAGTTGAAGGACCCATACTACCTGATTTTAAGACTTATTATAAAGCTATAGCAACCAAAACAGGAAGAAAGAAAACAACACATTAATAAGCTTACTTCAAAACTTAAAACTTCTGTGCTTCAAAAGTCACTGTGAAGAGAATGAAAAGACATGCTAGAAATATCTGATAAAGGATTTATATCCAAAATATATAAAGCTTTCAAAACTCAATTAAAACAAAAAACAATGAAAACTTAAACAAAACATAGCTTCATGGGTGTAGTCATACGTCCAAACTTACATAATTGTATAAACAAATAGTTTATTTTATGTCAATTATACCTCAATAAATCTGTCTTAAGAAATGGAATCTGACTCCCTCACTAGACTCTCAGCTCCTCAAGGGCAGGGATTATAAATTATAGGCGGGGTGTGTTGGCTCATGCCTGTAAGCCCAGCACTTTGAGAGGCCGAGGCAGGAGGACTGCCTGAGCCCAGGAGTTTGAGACCAGCCTGGGCAACAGAATGAGACCTTGTCTCCACTGAAAATTAAAAAAAAAAGTTAGGTGGGTGCAGTGGTGTGAGCCTGCAGTTCCTGCTACTCAGGAGTTTGAGGTGGGAGGATCCCTTGAGCTCAGGAATTTGGGGTAACGGTGAGCTAGGATTGTGCCACTGTACCCTAGCCTGGGTGACAGAGATCCTGTGTCTAAAAAAAGAAAAAATAAATAATATTTTTATCTACATTAGCATCTTGTAATGCAAGAATATAAAAGCAGTTGAGTAAGAACTTGCCGAATAAACATAATAATTAATGAGCCAAAGAAATTTAACTGATGATTAAAACAATGAGTCCAGAAATAATCCGAAGGCACTACATAACTGACGCATACTAAAAATTCACATCTACAATAAATGCATGGTATGGTAAAAAGAGCACTGCACTGAGATTAGGAAACGTGAGAAACTCAAAGTGGATCTTCACTAGCTAGGTGACCTTAGATAACCAAACCTCACTGGACATCATTCCATCATCTGAAATTCAGGGTTCTTAATAATTCTTATTTTGTTTACATCATAGAATTCCTTGGGAAACTAAATAAGACAAGTAAAAAATTCATTCAAACCCACAAAGCCATCAGTATTGGTGTCATTAGAAATAAATTTTTTAAGGGGGTAGAGAAACCACAGATACGTGATTCTATTTACTCGAGGGTGAAAAGCAACCTGGTCTACTTGCCTGATAGGAACCAAGACAGCAAGGACTACTCCTTCTTTTCTGTTTTCTGCCTAGCGGTAGACAAGCCTCGTTTTTCCTGTTCATAAAAAGACAAACTGCCTATTCTGATCTGTTAACTCGGAAAACAAATACTTGTTCTGTCTTTTTAAAAGAAAGTGGCTGAAAAATATAACATATCAATTATCATGTTTCTACTTCATGTTAATATAGTTTCAGTGTTCTTCTCTGAGAGGAACAAGGTTAGATTTACTTCCTTCCCTCCTTCATGGGAAATAAAAAATACACATACAAACACTTTTGTACTAAACAAGTTAAACCCTGGGTTTTCTAAGTAGACACCTTTTAACATGCCAACTGTCTCCTTCGAAAAAAGTGAATGCCCTTAACTTGTTTAAAATTTAAATTAATGAACTATGATGAAAATATAAAGGTAAACTGGTAACAGCTACTGAGACAGAAGACTGAATGACCTTTGTGATAGCTCTCACTAGGGATGGGCCTTTAAGACTTCATAGTCAAAGACCTTCACTTAAGGAAAAAACTAGAAGGAATCCATTAAAATCTTATGAGGAATTCATGACCTCTTCATGATTTTTTAGATTTAGTAGTAAGAAACATGGTTATTTTCCCTTATTAGGAATAAGAGTTTGTAACGATCATGGGAAAAAACATTCGGAGATTAAAAAAAATTCTACTTACCAATGGATTGTTCCCTTGGAAAGCAGGTTTATATAAACACCATTTTACCCAAATTTTATTAGCATCACTCAAACAGTAGTGATTATGCAGTAAATAGAAAACTCTTGCTTTTAATTCTAATGATTATTAAAAACTTAGAAAAGACAAGCATAAAAACGTTTAATTTCCAAACATTTTTGGAAAACTCCAACTGAATTTGGACCTTTCCCAATGAGCTGGTGTCTTGACAGGCACCTCTAGTACTTTAACTCTAGAAGATGTCACCAGTACTATAAGCAATGGTGTCTACTTGTTATCATTTCTATCAGCTCTGCTGACATTTGGAAAAGATGTAAAGATTTGTGATGTCTGGGATAATCTGATTCACTAGAGGCAGGTTTTACGTTAAATACAGGAATACTCTGCCCAGTAGGTTTCATGTCTAGGCACCTGGTTTATGTGCTCACCAAACAGAAGCAGAAAAACAACTCTCAGAAAACTTAACACCCTTTAGTATTGAAACTATTTTCTGGATGTTGTACAGAAACAAGTAAGAGAAGACAAAAAAAAAAGAAGAAATGGGAAGATTGGAATTTTAACTCTTTCCCTCTATCTATACTTACTGAAAGGTTTTTAACTCATGGCTGCCCCAGGCAGGATCACAACAAACAGAGGGATAACACTGTCTGTATAAAAGTATTTGCCTGTTTGCATGACCTGTTTCATATTCTTTTAAAATAATGATACCAACCAGATGTCCCACAATGATGATAAATTTAATTTATTTCCAATTTCTCAAACTCTTCTACAGATTCAGGCAGCACAGTCACAGCCATTAGCTCACTGAGCTGGATGCATCATTGAAGGAACAGAATTGATCAGGCAGATAGATTGCAGTGCATGGCTAAGAGTCTCCTAAGGAGGGAGATGGCAGAAATCCAGACATCAAATAGATGATGAAATGGCCATTTCCATTAAGGTAACATCACATCACAGATATTAATTAGGAGGCACTATAATAAAGTTAAGTGGATGTGGGGGGAAAATGCTGAGTTAAAAGTCACCCCATATGTCCTTAGCCTGAGGTAATTACAGATCTGAAGGTGAGTCATGGATCTGCAATTTTCCATTCATTTTACAATAGCTGCAGGAACGTTTAGAGATTACGTAAAAGGAGATTAGAATCCTTTTTTAGACTGGGGACAAATTATCTTTAAAAAAAGAAAATATTCTTATGTTTTCCTTTTAACATTCCTGTTTTATTCCCAAGGAAAATGACATCCTTTATTTACATTAACATTAATGGAGGATGACAATGTACTGACTACTTTCTTCTTCTTCTTCTTCTTTTCTTTTTTTTGAGACGGAGTCTCACTCTGTCACTCAGGCTGGAGTGCAGTGGCACAATCCCGGCTCACTGTAACCTCTGCCTCCCACGTTCAAAAGATTCTCCCACCTCAGCCTCCTGAGTAGCTGGGACTACGGGCACACACCACCATGCCTGGCTAATTTTTTGGATTTTTAGTAGAGATGGGGTTTCACCGTGTTAGCCAGGATGGTCTCAATCTCCTGACCTTGTGATGCCCCCTGCCTCGGCCTCCCAAAGTGCTGGGATTACAGGGGTGAGCCACCTCGCCCAGCCCAGTTCTTACTACTTTCTAGAGAAATTAAGCAAATGAAACAAGTTAGCTTTAAGTTTAAATGCATTTTACCAAGTTTTTTATTTCAAGAATGTAAATTCATCTTAAAAACTGATGGGATATTTTGTTCTCAGTGTTCAATCCAAATCTACCTTAAGAGCTAAAAAAAAAAATTTTTTTTTTTTTTGAGACAGTCTCGCTCTGTTGCCCAGGCTGGAGCACAGTGGTGCGATCTCGGCTCACTGCAAGCTCCGCCTCCTGGGTTCACGCCATTCTCCTGCCTCAGCCTCCCAAGTAGCTGGGACTACAGGCACCTGCCACCAGGCCCAGCTAATTTTTTTTTGTATTTTTAGTAGAGACGGGGTTTCACCACGTTAGCCAGGATGGTCTCAATCTCCTGACCTCATGATCCGCCCGCCTCAGCCTCCCAAAGTGCTGGGATTACAGGCGTGAGCCACTGCACCCAGCCGGAATAACAATCTTTTAAAGTATTATTTGATGTACGTAAATGATGAAGACAGCCATATTCCAAACCTGCAGAGCTTCCCTACAATAGTATGAGACCAATAGCCAAAGTGCTGGTTGCTCAACAATAGATTTATGCCAGTTTTTTTTGTTCTGTAATTCCTTGCAATCTTATCTCCCCTAGTACCTTGCCCAATTATATACCTCCCACGTGCATCCATGATAACTAACAAATGCAGACAGATGGCCAAAATGTGAGTTGAGGAAGTGTTGAGTACAAAAGGAGTTTATCTTTCCATTTCAGTATAATTTGGATCATAATCTCAGAATTCTGAATGCAGTACTCCAAGTCACTAACTTCAAATGGCTGACTGAGGCTCTGTCCAGGAAAAAAATTCCTTTGCGGAAGTTCCAATCTTAATTTCCTACATAAACTCAGACAATTTACAATTTTTTATTTTTTGCCTTACTTCACCAAAAAAGCAGAATCACAGGGATAAAAATTTACATAGGATGTCTAAATGATGTAGAATAACTCATTGAAAGCTCCTTTATCCACGGGTGCTTACAAAAGATAAAAAGATATCAGTAAAAAATGGTGCAGTAAAAACCTCTGAAAACTCTCTCCTCCATGAAAGCAATGTGAACACTGTGATGAGCACTGTGAGAATCAACTGAAAAGTAGCCAAAGGCTTGCAGCAATCCAGGGAGTGCTTATTCAAGAAAAACCAGCTGAATCTTGGTAAAAACAATAAACTTTGCAGTGTTTTATTTGCCTTATTCCCATCCCACTCTCCCAAGCTCCATCTCGGCCTTAAAAACTAACCTTCCTGAATCACAGTGAAAATCAGAAGCCATCAGAGGGGGCAAAAGAAAGCTGAAGCTCCTTCAAAGCCCAATTCTCAGAGAACTGTCATTATTTGACCTGTCTGGTGGTCCCCTGGAGGGCCCCGCTCAGAAGGCTGTCTTTACTTTACAGGACTTGGAGCTTGGCCAGTAGGAAAAGCATAATTCTTTTGAGGGTTTGATGAAAACAATTACAGGGATTGTTTAACACTGAAACTTCTTGAGGTGGTGGCAAACAGCTGGGGCAAACAATAGGCTAACCAAAAGCTTCAAAGGAAAAACTGAAGAATGAGAATGTCCACAAAGGGCTTTGAAAAGTTCTAATATATTAAAACAAGAAGGAATCTAGAGGGCTCATGCGTGCCCATGGCCATATGAATGCTCAGGAAAAACTAGAGAAAGCCCTCAGCTCTCTCCTCTGCCTGACCTTGACAGGAAGTGAAGGCTAAGGCAGAGGCATCAACTGCTTAGTGCAGTGTTGAAGGTAGGCTGCACCTGCACATACAGCCCTTCAACAAAGACTATTAGACTTCGTTGAGACTTATTAGTTTCAGGCATCTAAGGAAATCTGTTCAAGCATTAGCTGACTACTAATCTAACAAGCAGGGACTTCACTGGCCACACACAGAAAGAACACAGACATCACAAAATTAGTTTAGAAAAGTCATTGAAAAAACAGCAAGAAGGATGAACTGTGATGAAAAGAGAAAATCTGATTTCCAGGGTCACATTACATTATTTTAAATGTCCAGTTTTAAATGAAAATTAGAAGACATGGAAAGAAATGAGAAAGTATGGCCCATACTCAAAAAAAAAGCAGTCAGTAGTAACTGCCCCTGAGGAGCCCAGATGTTGGACTTAGTAGACAAAGAATTTACATCAGCTATTTAAAATATACTGAAACAACTAAAGAAAACTATGTCTAAAAAACTAAAGTATAAGAATGATGCCTCTCAAATAGAGAATATTAATAAATAAAGGGATAGAAATTATAAAAAATAAACAGAAATTTGTAATTGAAAAGTACAATAACTGAAATAAAAAATTCACCAGTGAGATTAAAAGCAGTTTAGAGCAAGCAGAAAAAACAACCAGTGAACTTGAAGACAGGGCAATTGAGACTGAGCCTCAGGAACAAGAAGAATAAAGAATGAAGAAAAATAAACAGAGCTTCTGAGACCTGTGGAACATCAAGTGAATCAACAAACACGTAATTTGGGAGTCCCAGAAGATGAGGAAAGGGGAAGAACAAACATTTGAAGAAATAATGGCCCAACATTTACCAAATATAACAAACATTAGAGAGGTTCAAAAAACTTCAAGTAGGATAAAGTCAAAGAGATCTGCATGTAGACACACCATATTCAAACCATTGAAAGTCAAAGAGAATCTTAAAAGCAAAACATAAGAAAATATACTCTTCTGAAGGTTGTCTACAAATCTATCTGAGGCACAGTGTGGCTTCAAGATTAGACTTTGGAGTCGGTTTTGTCATGTATGTCTTTGGAGGTAATGCGGTTGGGTACACATTTTATATAACTCATGGGGAAGGTTTTTCTCCTATTATAATTTTTGGGAATAACAATAAACTAAATTCTACAACCCAGGTGAGTGTTTAGACCCCGAAACTCATCTCCAAGCAGTAACAGATTCTAAGTGGAAATAAAAAATCCACTTTTTCAGGAAAAAAAAATAGTACCAGCAACTCATGGTGCATTAACGGCACTTATGTGGGAATATTCTTTTACGTACTTGAATAAAAGACTCAACTTACATATGGTGCCTGATTAAGAGTTTCTTAAGAGATATGAGGTAATCATCATTTTTCTTGATAGCTTATTCAAAGAAAATACTGTTACATAGTGATCTCAGTCTGAAGAAACAAAAAAAAATTAAATCTCTATAACAGACCTAAAGCATACACGTGACTAAATTTCCCCCCTCCTCCTCCCATATTAGCGTAAAGAAATCAAGAAGAACAAGAAGAAACACCAAGATAATCAGACTTTTTTTTTTTTGAGATGGAGTCTTGCTCTGTCGCCCAGGCTGCAGTACAGTGGCGCGATCTCAGCTCACTGCAACCTCTGCCTCCCGGGTTCAAGTGATTATCCTGCCTCAGCCTCCTGAGTAGCTGGGATTACAGGCACCCGCCACCGTGCCTGGCTAATTTTTGTATTTTTAGTAGAGACGGGGTTTCGTCATGTTGGCCAGGCTGGTCTTGAACTCCTGACCTCAGGCCATCTGTCTGCCTTGGCCTCCCAAAGCGCTAGGATTACAGGCCTGAACTATCGCGCCTGGCCATGATAACTGAACTTTTTCTTTTAGGATTCAAAATAGGGTAAACAAAAGGTTACTGATTTCTCTAAATACTGTTCCTATGCTTCTTATATTTACACAATGTCTTCATACTAAAGTACAAGAAACCACTTGAAAATTATTTTTAATAGAAACAAATCACTCTCAAATGGAAGAATTACAACAGAATACATACTAGAGGCATATCACTATGTTCTTCTTAAGAGCATTATTATGTCATAAAATTTCAAACTGCCAAGCGTGGTGGCTCACACCTGTAATCCCAGCACTTTGGGAGGCCGAGGCGGGCGGATCACCTGAGGTCAGGAGTTCGAGACCAGCCTGACCAATATGGAGAAACCCTGTCTCTACTAAAAATACAAAATTAGCCGGGTGTGGTGACGCATGCCTGTAATCCCAGCTACTCGGGAGGCTGAGGCAGGAGAATCGCTTGAACCTGGGAGGAGGAGGTTTTGGTGAGCCGAGATTGCACCATTGCACTCCAGCCTGGGCAACAACAGCAAAACTCTGTCTCAAAAAAAAAAAAAATTCAAACTGTGGGGTAACTGAATAGTTTTTAATCCCTCTTCCTCAGATAAAGATGCCACGAAAGAAAGAAAAGGTAAAAATAAGATGTCTTACTTAAGATTAGGAAAATAAGGCTGTAATAATTTCAAAAACTAAGTATAAATTAATGGATAAAAATATTGGGACTGATGCCCATGGAAGATAAAAGCTATACTGGGTAGTCTCTAGTCTTCATGACAGATATTCACAGATGGGGAAGACTACCCCATTTTCCAGGCTTCCCAAAACTAACCTGTGATAATTAGACATTCATTGTGATCCAGCACCTCAGTGAAGAGCCGTGAAATAATCAACTCAGGATTGATTAAAAAGCGGATTTCTTCTTGCACAAGTCCTGCACTGGTTACACCACCTCCAACAAAATGATTTGCAAAATCCACCTGTTGGGGAAATGTGACATTAAATAATGGTCAAAAATACCTACACATATGATCAAGAAGCACATAGTCTCTAAGCTCTCATCTTTTCCTCTCCCATGAAAATCAATCCCCAAATAAGTAATCTTCCCAGGAAGGGCAGATTTTGGTTGCTTAAGCTCTTTCCACCTCACTGCAGTTAACATCTCTGCACATTTTTCTGGATCCCAGAACCAGAGAAGCAATCTGGAAAATGGAGCTTTTAGGCAAAATATTATGAATCATACAGACTCTTGTTTATAAACCTATTTGTGTCTCATGGGCCACAAATCAAGGGAGGTCTTTATCTGGGAAGGTTTCAAAGTCATTCTCCCCCATTCACTACTCAACTTCCCTTTATGTATTTCACGTGACTTTAATATAATTAAACTTTTCTTATGTAATATGGTAACCAAACACTTGCCCTAAAGAACTGAAAAGTTTAGTAATCAACTTTTTGGGTAACCTTTTCCAACTTTATTGTAAGAATAAAGAGATCGAATTTTTGTCCTTCTAAATTCAACCCCAAACCCCAAACTACATGAACATTACAAACTACTTTTTAAAAATATAACTAAGGAAAAAAGGAAGAAAGAAAACCCAGTATAGCAACAAAGATTCAATTAAAGTAATATTTCCAATTAGGTTGGAAACTCTTAAGCTTTATGTGGAGTAGTATGATGGGATCCCCAAATGCCTACTAATAAAGAAGAATTACACAATCCTCCAGAGAAAGCAAACTCAACTTGCTG
Source organism: Homo sapiens (assembly GCF_000001405.40). Classification (NCBI taxonomy): domain Eukaryota; kingdom Metazoa; phylum Chordata; class Mammalia; order Primates; family Hominidae; genus Homo; species Homo sapiens. The sequence goes on from NC_000010.11 coordinate 45,889,080, forward strand.
GCATTATTTCCGTTTGTCCAGTGTGTCCAGCACTATGCCAGCCTCATGAAGCAGTATGTAAGAAATAGCAACCATCTTTTCCTTAGTGAGACTATCTGAGGAGTTAGATCACACACACACACACACACACACACACAACTTGTGTATATACATAGTCATACACACAAGTAAAATAGGATTTACTAAATACCATGAGGCTTATATTCTTTCAAACTATTTTAAAATATACGATTTCTTAAAACTTCAGTGTTCTCTAAAGCAACTGATACTAAATGACAATCTGAAGCCTATTTTACAAAATAGTAAAACAATAGTATGAATCGTTTGATATGTAAAAATATATGTCAAAAGACAGAAATTAATAGAAGGCGAAGCAGTCTTCTTTTACCACAGGAGAACTTAGAAAATACTAAAACATACCACTGAGGAGTTCTTCAATTGAGCTACCAGAGAGAATCATATATTTGGATTTGTGTTCTGGAGTACTAAAACCAATGCTAAAAAACCAGAGTAACTCTTTAGCTTAAATAGGAAAATAATTTTGGTGAAACCAGTCTGTTGATTAGAATTAGCTACCTACTACATATGAGGTCTATGGGCACTGGGTGATTCATGGCTTAAACTGTCCAATTCAACAACTATTTACTGAGTATTGTGCTGGGAATCACTGGATACAAAGATGAATAAGATATGTATGGTTCCTGGCCTCACGGCATTTGCAATTTAGATGGCAGTCAGAATGAGCATAAGCAGAATGAGAAGATGATTATTGAAGAGCTTGTTACTATGTATTTGATACTTTCTAATAATACAATTAACTAAAATTGGAGCATGGGAGGAAGATAGGAAAGCTTTACAAGGGGATGTGGCAGCTGACATGCAGGCTGAGGGCATAGCTGCACAAGGACACAGGGCAAAAAAAAAAACAAATGTAAATCACTGTATGAGGGGAATGGTAAACAGATTCATTGTGCTTGCCTGCAGTGTAGAGTAGGTGGAGGCTTACAGTTGGTGATGAGGTGGTCTGAGGTCTAGGGAATTTTTACTCAATTTCCCTCTGAAGGTTCTGGGAAAGATTCAAGTAACACCTGGACCTATGTTTTAGGAAGATAATTCAGGCTAGAGTTTAAAGAATAAATGGAAAACTGTAAAACTAAAAGTAAAAATGCTGGTTAGGTGAGTACTAAATAGTTTATACAGGCACTACTAGGGCCTCAAACAGGAAAGTGGTAAAGTAAAGGAAAGAGAAGAAACTCGGTAAAGAAATAAAATGGACTGTACTTGAGAACTAAGAGACTGGCTGAGTGCCTAAAAGTATAATGATATTGTGACTACAAATGAGAAACAGATGAGGTTTAAGATTGGCCTAACTTAATTTTTACTGGAATAAGGTACATAACAAAAATAAAAAGATAAGCTCTATCCAACTTATGTACTACTTGATAATGATGATGAAATACATTCAATGTGTATGTTATTGTTTACTCTTTGAATAAAAGGCCCACATTTTTAACTTGAAAGGTGTACACAGAAATAAAGACACTAAACTCAGTATGCCTCTAAATGCCAGAGTCTTTTAGAAAACCAAAGTTTTACTACTTAAAAAAGTTCTTAACAATAAAGACCCTCTACAACAGTTGAGAGACCTGTTCCAGTACATGAAAACAAGAATGTGAATGCATCCTTATTTTTAGCCAGTTATTTTCCAAGTCACTTTAAAGCTACTCATTCAGATTACTCAGCTTCTGAATTATAACTTGATGAAAAGACAGGAATGATAAAGCTCCTCAGAGAGGTTTTGTTGTTGTGGCCATTCAGCATCATGTAATTTATATGCTACACAAGGAGCTCTGTAGCATTGCAATACAATATTCCCCGATCTCCTGCGGAGACATGGCATGGGTAGGGAGAACAATTAATAGAAAGAAGCCCTTACGGTATTCTCTAATCTACCGAGGTCTCACATTTCCATCTATAATATATTCCAAGGAAGTGGGGAGGATCTCAACCTTAACTGTTGTTAAATAATTCCTTGTTGAATTGTATTGTAATGAAAGGTCAGCATTCCTGTGGTGCTAACTAGCAGTAACTTTGTTTAGTTCATGTGTATTAAGAATCTCTCAGTTTATCCAAGACTTTAAAGATGGAAAGAACTTCATCAAGAGGGGAATGTGGGGGAAAAAGTGATACTAATTTGAACCAATATTTAAGCATATTTTAAGATTATTTTTTAAACAGAAAAAAGGTATAGGAGTAAATGCAAATTTAAATATGTTTTGTTTTTGTTTATAAGCTCAAATAACCACTGGGAGAAGGTGATTTAGAATAAAACATAGTTTGTCTCTTTGAAGATTTTAATTACAAATATGTCCAAATAAAAGGCCATTTAAAAAAGAATCTCAGTTTCATTTAAATAATAACTAGACGTAAATTTTATAGTGAGCATTAAGTTATTCAAACAAATCAGTCCATTTTCAGGCAACTGCTTTCTTTAGATTCTGAACCAATATAAGCACCAAATAAGAATCTAAGAAGAAAAATAAACTATTATCAGTATAAATGAGATGGTATACAAGCTTCTTTCAAAGAAAACTCAGTTTACAATGCTCTTATAAATGGGATAAGAACACAAAACACTAACATTAGTGAATTTTAAAGAAGCATTATAAATCAAAAGATTAGGTTAGATATTACTATATTTTAAACACGGGGCTTTTGTTAACCCCCTTCTCCAAAAATACTTTTTAAAGGTAAAGGCGGTAACAGATTATTAACAAAGATTGAGAAGTGGACCAGAATTACCTGCTTTTAACAGGGAAAAGACATAGCAAACAGCTAGCTCACGTGCGTGAAACTGTTACATATGAGAGAGAGGCCTTTCTTATCAATCAGTTTTAGACGTCTGCCCCCTCAACCTAAACAAAGCTGTTGGTGGCAGAAAAACATCTCCATCTGGTCATCAACTGGGGCAGAGCAAGAAGAGCCTTTAAGGAAAAAGAATAAAAATGCCTGGTGACAGTCTGTCAAGACTATACCCTGGGAACTTCCTCCACTGTCAACCTACTATCAATGTCTGAACCAAGAGGCTGATGCTGTCCAGATCTTGGGATTTTCTGTCAAAGGCTTTTTAGAGAAGCACATATAAGAAACAGAGAGTATACACTGGCAAATCACAACATTACCAAGGCTGTCAAAGTGATCTGTTTGGTGTTTTTCTTCATTCTGCTATCATGCTTCTTTGCATTAAATCAGTTTAGGAGACAAATAAACAGTTTTTCAAATTTCTTTTGCTGTCAGAAGCTTGACAAGAAAAAGTCCTAACCATACACAGACACTACTAAGATTCACCTACCTGTAGCATGCCTCGGCCATTTTCTTCTATGGTACCTTCGTAAGTGACATGCAATCGTGTCAAGGGTTTTTCACATCTACAATATAAAAAGACATTCCCTTATTTATTATTTTAATGACAAGTTGTTCACTGCGGACAAAAGTGAAAATATAGGTAACTATTCAAAAACCGAAACCACCCCAAATCTCGAAAGTCAGAAACAGATGCCTACTGTTAACATTCTTGGTATTGATCCTCCTTTATTCAAACATGTAAATATACATATTTAAATTAAAATTGGATAACATAGTTTGAAACCTGATTTTCCTCTAAATAATATGAAAGTTTTTCTTCTTTAAAACAGTTGAAAAACATTACAAAATATTAAAAAAAATTAAGATCTATGAAATTTTGTTATGGCTAGAGTTGGCAATCTGAGGAAAAATGTAGAAAAATTTGGCAATAAATCATATATGATTCTCTTCTGGCTTCCATTTTCTATTTTCACTGTTTCATAACCGTGTGTGTGTGTGTGTGTGTGTGTGTGTGTGTGTGTGTGTGTGTCTTGATGAAAATACCTGCCACAGAAATTCTGAACAATGGTATTTTTCTATTAATAAGGTTAACAGATAAACTTAGTACCTGTAATTTAGAAGGCATAATTATTTTCTTTCCCTTTCAACCATGGCCACTGAGGTATTTACTTGACTTATGTTATATTAACAACAAATTCCATTGTATTAAAAGTATTTGTTAACATTATTTGCCTTATTAGATATTTTTCCCCTGATCACTTACTGAATAAAAAATATAAATGAATGAAACAGAGGAGATCCAAAGTTCTAACTCACATAAGAGTGCCCATAATCTTTTTTGGGAGGGAGGAGATGATTATATTTTTAGAAAATAGTCTAGGAGGTTAGCTGGAAAAGTACTGAGAATTGTTTGATTCCTTCCTGGTTTCAATGAGTTTAAATACATTTCTGGCAAAACTCCAGCCCAACAGGCTGATAGCTTTAACTCAGAAGGTAATTCTGCACAGGTTCTGTCTAAGAGCCTTATTTGTATTAACTCATTGAATCCTCTCAACAACCCTATTACTATCTCCTTTTATAGACGGGGAAACAAAGCACAGAACATCTAAGTAAGCTAACCAAGACTAGTGAAATAAAGCAGCAGAGATGTGAAACTAGGTAGACTCACTCAAGCTCTGAATCAGTATGCTACACTTTTAGAAAAATTACTTTCCCAGTCTCTTGTAGAAAACAGTACGGTAAGTTTGATATATTTTTTTAACTTCCTTTTTTTGGTCCTACTTTCCTAGCCATTTTATTCAGAGGAAGACCCCTGTAAGCATACTACTAAAAAGATAAAGAAGCATAATCTAAAAATCTCTGGGCTGTCAGTCAGGACTTCAGAATGGGAATTCCATCTGTTGTCAACTATTCTCCATGACTGAAGCTAGAAACTTTATAGTATAGCTCTTAATAAAATCACGAAATTGCTAGAAACTTTTTCTTGGTTTTGTTTTGAAGCATTTTCTAACTTCCCAGTAGGTCATCCTCTACACCCCCGCCCCAGGAGTCAGAGACGTAGGTGATTCTGGCTCTCTGTGATTAAGCCTGGCTAAAGTATTTGCTGATAATCAAAGGGTTAACTATAACATGCCAGAAACATGGAATTCAGGAAAGCCTCTAAGTTCCTGGACCCATTTAGCCCCTTACGCTTGGGAACACCAACAATCCTTATCTTTTCTTCATTCTCCCTCTTTAAGTGAATGCATGTTTCTGGTTCTGTGGAGTCTGGGAGACTGGTTTTAATTATATTCTCCAACTCACTTATAAAGCAACTAAAACAAAAAAGAGATCAATGAAATAAAAATAAGTCAAATTCTGCCTATCAAAATTAAGGGGACAATCTTCGTCTCACTTAGAGGCAAAGTTACTGTGTCTCATTGACACAGCAGCCTTGCCAGTCTCTGCATTTTGACCTGTCCCTTCTCTCCCACATGGTGGTATACAAATGGGTGTTCTTTCACATTAGTGCCAAATGAATATCAGATGCAAAGTAGAGATCCTGGATGACTTAAAAATAAGCCCTCAGATTGATCTATAAAATCTACACCAAAGTAACAGGAACAAAACATATGCATTCCTATTAGAGATTAATAGAAGAGTGAAGAAAAACAATCCTCTGCACCATAGAGATGACACAGCAGAATGGTACTTTTAATTCCAGGTACTATATTTTAAGAGGGCCCAATGAATGGGAGTATGTTAAGAGCAGAGATAAAGGGTTTAGAATCCATATTACATGTGAAATAGAAGAAACGAATCAGTTTAGTATGAACTTGTATGCACTGTTAGAGAGGGAAGTAGGTTAAGAAGCCATTAAGATACATGAAGGAGGGTCAAATGTTAAAGAAAACTAGAAATTCAGATTTATTTATGTAGCTCCAGAAGGAAGAACCAGGAATGGTGGAGAATGAATGTAGAAAACATTTTTAGTGAATGAAAGCATGAGATGATAACACAAGCAGCCACCAATGGAACAAACTGATACGAAACAGCGGATCTGCCATCACTGAAGCTATCCAGTCTTCTGTCTGTTGCAGGTATTACAGAGCTGATCAAGAGTTTTAGCAGGCGGCTGGGGTTCCTTTCAGATCTAACATGCCATGATGCCAAAATGCTGTACATGTTCTCATCTTTTTCTGGCTCATTTTTTTTTCTCTCTTCAGGTCGCTTAACCTTTTATCTACTTCCCTCTATTAATAATCATCTAAACCACGCACTCAGTCTTCTGAAGTAAATTTCTTTATCTTTCACTTCACAAATAAACATCTTTGATGGATGAAAACACTGCAGGAAAGCCACCTAAGCAGATATGACTTCTCAAGTTAACGTTTTTTTAAGTGATTTCCATTCATCACTAATTCCAAACAAAACAATTACAAACTATCATAAAATTATTAGAAAGTGAAAATGGGAGGCATTGGTTAAATATGTATTTAGTATGCTTCATCATGTCCTCAAACATATTTAAAAAGTTAATCTACACTTCTTTAAGTGTCCTGGGGGACTTGCTTTAGATTAAGAAATATGTTAACTATTTCAGGACCCTTCTTTAAGTATATTGGGAGACTTGCTTTAGATTAAGAAATATGTTAACTATTTCAGGACACTAAGGACTTTACAAATCTGAATTAGCTCATATTGGCTGCTATCTCCTCAATATTTTCTGATAAATAAGAAACAAACAGTAAATAGCAACTTCCACAAAATCTACCAGTAGTACACAAGGGCAGCCAAACTTCAAAATTCTTGCCACTCGACGAACTCTAGATGGTTACTGTTTACTAAAATGTAAATAATAAAAAGACTTTTCTCAATCTTGTCCTCCAGAAAGAAAAGCCATAAAGTTCAAACACTAACCAAAAAAAAAGGGTAAGGAGAAACATTTAAATATTGGTGTTCCTTTTATTAGTGTCTTCACATACAACACTTCTCAATTTTAAACAGGACTTTGTTTCAGAAGACAAAACCAAGACAAAATGGTAGAAATCAAAGGGTTATAGACTTTGATTTAAAAGGCATAACCTTTTCAAACATGAGAGCTATCAATGAATCATTTATGAGAAGAAATTCCCTGGCACTAGGATAAATAGAGGTTGGAAAACCATCTTTCTAGGTGCTATAAAATAGAATCCTCTCATGGTGCAAGAGTCCTTCTATTTCTAGGGGGTCTAGGATTATTTTTATTATTGTTGTTACCTTTCCCATTCTGGAAAATCTTCAAGACTCTGTCTTGTAAATGTCACCAACCCAGTAGGTTCTACAGAAGCAATAAAAGAAAAACATACCCAAAATAAGTTTCAATTTTGAAAAGATTATACACACACACACACACACACACACACACACACATACACACACACACTCGGTAAAAGAATAGGTCTAACATTGGCTATAAAACTAACCAGGAAATACAAAGCCTAGCATTGGAAAATAACAGAATATTGATTGAAAATAATATCCTTACAGTAGAAACTCCTTCTATAAAATAATAAGACTTCACTAAACGAAACTATACAAATAACAGCACAACAGTAGGATTTGAGTGCTGGTATTTTTGGTAAAGTTTTTGAAGCTGAATACACTTTTTTTTAAAAAAAAAAGAGCATTGAAAAAAAGGATGTATAACTGGTACAGCTAATGCAATAAAGACAAAATTGAATTCAAATTTGTAGACTCCTTTACAAAGAAAGGACTTAACCCTACATTCAAAGACTGGAGAATAAATACACATTTATGTACTATATGGTAAAGTGAAATGTCACAGATTTAAAAAGGAAATCATTTGCACATCCTCTGGAGTTAGTACAGCTAAGTCTCAGGCTTAAATAGTGGGCAATCACTCTACTTGTTAGTAGCAGTCGTAGCCAGAGGAGAAATTACTGGTTCTAAGAGTTTACAGAACAAAGATGACATATTTTTCAAGGAGCAATAAATTTGGGAGGATCTAAATGAAGTACTATTAATGTAGTCAATAATTTTAGAGGATGAGATCCTTTTCTAGTCAGATTTATTTATTTATTTTTTCAAGCTAGTAGCAAAAGAAACAAATAAATCAGCTGGCCAGAAGTAATTTGTCTGATTCAAATCAAAGAACAAACTAAAAAGGCCATGCCGTTTCTGTTTTCTTGAATACAAAAAAGCTCTTAAGGAAAGAGAGAGATGTCAGGAACTATTAGTGATGACAGTGTATAACCCAGTGAAAGCCTGGCCATCATTTCATTCCTGTGCACAATTCCACATTTCCTTGTTCTCAGTCAAAAGCAGGAACCACTCAAAAACCATATGGAGCAGTTGCAGTAGAAAACAAATTTTTTTGTTAAGATGGGTCTTACGTCTTTTAGATACCTAACTTTAAGATAAATGGATAACATATTTAAAACTCACAAGTAAGTGGTCAAACAACTCAAACACTAGTGAAGCAATTCCATGAATATAATAGAAAACATCTCTCTTGTCATTCGGTAACTTAGCAGAGAAGAACATCAAATGTCCTTAATATATACTAAGAGATGCTAAAAGAAATTCATAAACACTGCTGGCAAAGCAAGAAAAGGCAGAAGAACATGGTTTCTTAGATTAACAAAAATGCCTTGAGAGCACGTCTGTTAGCGTTTTTTCGTAACAAGGCAACTTTCATCTCAGAATAGGATACTTTGATTAATCAAATACTTCCCATCATAAAATCACAATATATACTATATACAGGTCATAAATTTTCAAAAACCTGATCTATAAGACACTTTATCTAAAACTATATAGAAAGTAATTTAATTCAGAAGGCTTTTTAAAATACTTCAGTCTCAAGATCTTCATCAGATATAAAATACACATGTTTAACAACACTGAAAAGTTGGTCCTGATGGAATTCTAGTTTATCAATTCTAAAAGGCATGTTTTTTCACATGTTACATTTCTGAAACTGGAATACATCTTTTATAATGGAGGTATCTTACCATAGGTGTAGACTAGAGGTGAATTTTCCCAGAGAAGATGTGCATCTGCTTCTGCTGTCGTCTGGGAACACTATCAGCCTGATACCATCTGAATTAATCCTTTGTGGCAGGCCTTTGTGGACCACACTGGTGGTAAGGCTGCACACTCAAAGCTTAGGGCTTGTGGTTCAAATTCTCAGAGAAATGTTTTTTTCCTTTCTCTATTTAGTGTCAAGGTTGAGACTTGCACGTTTCTTTATGGTCCCTTTCCTGGAAGGTCAAGTTAATTTCTCATTTATCCTTAGGTGTACCAGCCTTGTGGGTCATGTCTCCTACTAAACTCCCTGTCCTGAGTGTTTTTTCCTTCTTAGAGGTATATAATATAAGAGCATTTTTAAAAAGTCATCTATGACATCTCAGATTCGATGAAATATGGTACCTTAAATAAGCTTCTGAAGTCTATTGAGTAGGCTCCAGAACTTCTACACAACCACTCATTATACTGCAACCTCTTTTATTCTCTTTAGTATTTCCTCTTCAAACCATTAGCTTTACACACTGAAGACCAAGAGCAATGTTGTACTGTATTTCTACAAAGAACTTAATTAACATGTACAGTGAAAAAGTCAGAAAATAAAATGTCTAGTTATAATTTATTTCTTCAAATTCCCAATACTTATAATGGCATATACATTTCCAGCTGAAAAAACAAACTTTAAGCTTTTTCCTCAAAGTATCTGAAATCCTAAAATTTAGAAAGCCAAGTTAGTTTTTAGAGAAGACATACATGATTTGACTCCCAGGACAAAAAAGTAAACTCTGTACTACTTAGTTATAATAATTCTACTTAAAACGGCAACTCAAAGTACTGTAAAAACAAAACAAAAAAAAACAATAGTAATAATTCTAATTAGACCTAGAATGGCCAAAAAAAGCAGTCATTTATTTATTTTTTTAGACAGAGTCTTGCTCTGTCGCCCAGGCTAGAGTGCAGTGGCACAATCTCAGCTCACTGCAACCTCCACCTCCTGGGTTCAAGTGATTCTTGTGCCTCAACCTCCCGAGTAGCTGGGATTACACTCTCCCGCCACCGCGCCTGGCTAATTTTTGTATTTTTTAGTAGAAATGGGGTTTCACCATCTTGGCCACGCTGGTCTGGAACTCCTGACCTCGTGATCCACCCACCTTGGCCTCCCAAAGTGCTGGGATTACAGGCGTGAGCCACCGTGCCTCGCCTTACGTAGTCATCTTTTTAACAAGTCATTACAAATTCTAATTTGATTTTGTGTCTCATAGGTCCAAATGATTCTGCATTTTAATATTTCATTCAGTACAGGGCACAAAACTGAAATTCAATAAGCTATGAGGTAATTCCATATCAGAGAAGCATGTAATTTTCCCTTAAATATCAAAATCCTGATAATTGATTTCATTCTAAAAATTTAACAATGTCCAATAGCAATACATTCAAGGGGGAAGATGCCAAGCACATTGTAATGCAAGAGTAAAAGAAGGATATGAGAAAAATGACCTTAAAATGATTCAAAGACATATTTTAAGACAATCCTATGACCCAGAACTGAAAAAAAGCCATTTCACTTGACCAGGTTGACCTTACCTACTTAGCACAAAGGAACTTTTGAGGTGTTCTGGTTTACATCCACTTGTAGGAAAGGCTACCCATTGATAATAGCTTACATTTATTAAGCATGTATCTTCTTGTTTAATATCTATAACTACCCTGTAAGGTAATGGCCGTTATTATATTATTTCATAGGTGATAAAACTGAAGCTTAGAGGTGTCAAGAAACTTGACCATGGTCATTCAGCTTCTGAGATAAGAGTGGCAATACCAATCTATTATCAGCTGGTCATTACCAGTATTTGTTGGACATTTACTATTACTGTGTTAGCTGCTATCAGTTTTTGGGGAAGCAAGAATGTTAAGGTTCAATAGAGGAAGATGGAGATATAAAACTCAGTACAAAACAGTTTTATAAGAACTCCACAAAGGGCTTAGGGGGGCACAAAAGAGAGGAATGGGTAGAAAAGCAATGCGTTAGTTGACTTATGCAAATAAACTAGTGAATACTTCTTTAAATAAAGAGCATCCAAAATTTATTTCCTGGTCAATATACTTTCTCTGGTTTTTATTCATGAAAATCTTTTGATGTATATTACAGATTTCAGAGAATATGGGTCCGATTTCAGAGTATGTAAACCCCGCCCCCCCTACATTTAGCACACGTTTATGCTTATACACAACATAAGCATAAAATCTAGGTTATATTGTCGCATCATTACTAGTGTTTCAATGTGGTTGGGACAGGAAGGTTTACGTTAAACACAAAATGTTCCTCACATGTCACTTGACTTGAACTGTTCCCATCAGCAAGAAAAATTACAGTAAGAATGAAAGGAATTTACTTTTCTCTGTGACTCTTCTAAAGTAGCAGAAGAGCGTTTTAAGTTTCTCCGGTTTCCTTGATGAACGTCCCTCAAACAATCTAAAAGAGATAAAAAATAAAAGAGAATGGAAGATAAGTTAAAATGCCTTAATGATTCACAAAACTACATCCATATTGCTACCAAGTAATACAAAGAAATAATTCTTCCAGAAGACAATTCTGTAATGATAAGAACTGGAAAATTGGTTTAGATTCAAATGGCATCTGGAAAGAACTGAAACCAACTAGAACCAGACTTCTTCAAAGCTGCTCAAATCAGACATCATTTACTACCAACCACATTTCTCCAACCTATCTTCCACCACAGAGAAGGCACCATCCAGCCCTCCCAGTCAACTGGGGTCAGTCAGTCAGTGCACAGCTACTTTCTCAATGGCTAATAACATTTATAATTCATAATGTTACTACGTAGTTTGATAAGTAACAAAAACGGTATCAAAAAAAATCCTTATCTGAGTGTTTGTGAGGAAATGAGAGTGGAGGGGAATGGGGGTAGGGACACAGGCAGGTATAACAAGATATCAGGGCTCAACAATCCTTGTTAAACAACTAGATTCTTTTATGGACTGAATGTTTGTGACCTCTCAAAATTTATATGTTGAATCCTTAATCCCTAATATAGCTAAATTTGGAGATAGGGCCTGTGAGCAGGTAGTAACAGTTAAATGAGGTCATAGGGGTGGGACTCTAATCTGATAGAACTGGTGTCATTTTAAAAAGCAAGGTGAGACTACAGTACTCTCCCTCTGCCATGTGAGGACAAGATGCCAGCCAACCTATAAGCCAGGAAGAAAGCCCTCATCAGGAACCAAAGCAGCAGCACCCTGATCTGCAGCTTCTAGCCTCCAGAACCATGAGAAAATAAATTTCTGTTGTCTAAGCCACCCAGTTCTATGGTATTTTATTATGGCAGCCCAAGCTGACTAATAGAGATCCTTTGCATGGTAACCACAACAGTGCCTACCCTGTGTCATCTAGTTTTCAGCAACCCGGACTTGGATTACTTAATTCCGTTTTCTTTGAAATGATGTGGCATTGTTATTGGTAACATACAATTCAGTTTATTCTGAGGAAAGAAAAGCAGGGCTTTAAAAGCATTATGACCTGAGTAAGTAGCTCACTGAAAGATTTCTAACACAAAAGCATGCTTTTGAGCATAAGATCTAGCTTTCCAAAGGCATTTAAAAATTATAGAGACTCAGTGGCTATGAATGATGAGGTACTCTTCATCTGCCTCTAGTCATGTGCTCTGACTTTAAAACCAGAGACCCTTCAAGTAAAGTCCATGTTAATAAGTGCTGAAATGGGTAATTATTTTTCATGATTACAACAGCAAGCTTATGTAACTACGCTGAGAGGGAAAAGTTAATTCCATGAGAAAATCCTATTGAGCGACTGAAATAAATTAGGAAAAGGAAAGGAAATGCACATTTCAAATGGTTCCGTTTTCAATGATCTGAAATCTGTATTCAGGGTCAATTTCTGGAAAAACAATTTATATGAATATTTATTTCCTAAAAAGAATACTAATGTATGCTAGTATTTTAACCAAATCTAAAATCAGATCTCTTTTTAAAAATAGTTTAAGACAGCCTGTGTGATAATTTTTATTTAAAGAACCTATCTTTCTAAAATATTTAATACACATACTCTTATAATCCAGTTGCCAGCTGAAAGAAAGGCTCTTTGAGGGTGCAGGTTTCAGCATGGCTTCTTCTAGAATAGAGTTTATTTAAGTCAAAATGAAGAAGCCACATGGCAGTTTAATTAAACATCCTATATCAATAAATATGATTTACTAAATGAATACCTAAGGCTCCACTGCAAAATCTCTTTCTAGGCTCACTATGCACTAGAGGAAAGCAATATGAATACAAAAGTAGCCACCACCTTTTCCTAGAGATGAATTGATGTACTATACAATTCAATTAAAGGATAAAAGTTCTTCTTCAATAGAACTATTGCATAGTGAGGAGAAAATGGCTGTTGCTCTTAAGAAATAATTCTCTAAAACATAGGAAAAGTGTCCCTAGCTTCCATATGCGGTCATCTGTATAAAATCACATAAAAGGTCACATACTTCACAACCATGATGACAAATTATTAACTTTAGGAGCCTCGTGAGACTGCAGATTTATTATCCTGGCGAGACAGACTTTCCTGGAAGATTTTATGGCTGTTATTATCACCCACTACAAATGAACACCACTGTTTATTTTGTAGGTACAAATCTTAAAGGTACAAATCAAGCAGAATCTCAATGTACTCTGTTTATTCACTGCTCCAATCCTAACTTCAAATCACTGTGTAACCAAATACACTTTCCCATCTTCCTGATAGAGCAGGGGGAAGTGGGGGAAGTGTCGTGGTGGGTGTCGGGGGTAAGAAGTGGAGATAAAGTCAGAGGAGATGAAGCAGGTTTAAAATCCTTGTGACAATTCTCAGACTTGGCTGTTGTGAAATTTTAAAGTTGTATGCACAGCCACTCAAATAAAATGAATTATCCTGATATGGAAGCAAGTAAAAATAACATAAATAGACAGGCAAACAGCATGAATGAAAGTCATCCCAGGAGTGATATACAATCTGAGGGACAGCTTTTGGGAATGAGGAGGAAAACAAAAGGACTGAGGCTGGAGCCCAAGAAACGGGTGAAGGGGGAGAAGAAAGATGGGGCAGGGAAGATAGAGAGAAGAGAAAGGCTGATAGAAATGGGGTTAGAGAAAGAGAGCATGAGAGACAGACACACAGAGAGAAAGACATACACAAACAGGCTCAGAGAAAGTGAGGCCTTCTCATAATCATTAAGCATCATTCCCCCGCCCCCACTTTTTTTGTAAACTTCCCAACACCTTTCTTTTTTAATTTAGATTTTTCAAGTCCTGGGTATGTATATTTGAAGGCATATTTTAAGTCAGCAGTGTGCACACAAACCAGGCCACAATAACTCCTCTACATGTAGGGAGGACATTTGGGCATTTAATTGAAAGATAATTACAGATTATTAAAGAAATCAAACACAAAAAGCCAGTCAGGAAATCTTACTTTGTTCTAAACAAAACTGTTGGTATTTTCAAAGACAGACATCAGTCAAAGGTCAGACACTTATTAGCTGGTGTTTTTCTTTGCATACTTATAAGGAGAAACAGAGTTGAATAAAATCTTTCCCTGAATGGAATACTGATAACATTACTGGAATTTTATTCTAGGTATATCCATCCCCACCCCCACCATGACCCACTATGCCATTTCAAGTTAAGTAATAATCCCATTAGTATACAGTAAATCAAACCCAAAGCACTACAACCTCCATTTTAAAATACGAGCAAGTGATAGTCCGGAACCCAGCCAGAAAGTCATTCCTGGCTCTTCTGTGAGGCACTCTGCCATATGGCCCCAGCAGCATTTTCAATACAGGGAAGAGGCAGATGTAAAAACCTCCTGGGCTGACCACTGCTGAGACCCACAATTTATCTCTGACCATCTAGTTTCCATGCAAACTCAGAAGCATCGATGCTAATCACATTGGAAGCCTTTATATGAATGTTTAGGACCTGAAAGGCAAGCAGGGAAAAAGGTCAGGGGTATTTACCATAACTAAGCAGGGCTTAAAGAACACAGCAATAAATAAAAAAGGGAAGACATATTCAATTTATTGACTTCAGCCTCCCACCACATACTCTTACCATTTTTCTTATTCAACTAGCTAGCCATACCTCTCTTTTGAGATTAAATACACTCTCACACACACAACTCCCCACTGCTAGAAACTATAATCATAAGTAGAAACTATGCATAAAAGGAAATAACACAATAAAATGCTACATAATCAGCTTAACAAATGGCTCATCAGATTACGTACTGGATCTTTCAGAAGCCACATAAAAGTGGGGGGACTTTCAGTTGTTTGGCATTTCCGGAGCACTCAGAGCATTTTGCTCATGACAGGCTTTGAGATATAATAAAAGAACACTGAGTTTGAGTAGAAGACAGTGATCAAGTTCCAGTTGTGCTAACAATTCATTTATTCTCCCTGAACCTTATCAGTAGAGAGGCTTCCCTACCTAGAAAATTCCATAGACAGAATCAAAGCAAGCCATCAAAAGACAGTATCAATGGTGATGTACAGTTGTTGTTCCTATTATTTGCTAGCTTAGGCTCATTAAAACACACACCATCTCACAGTGAAAGGCAAGTGCAGACATCCTGGCTGCTTAGGATTCTCTACAACATTGTGGAGACTAACACTAGGTTACCTGCCTTAATTCATTTTTCATGTTCTGCTATCCAAAAGAACATCCATCACCTAGGAAGACAAGAATATGCCTGATTTCAAATCTTCAACGGAACTACTTAAACTCTTATTTGGTGAGAATGCTATTTGCTGCAAGCTTAAATCCGTCACGGTCACTCTGGACTTAAAAATGGCTTTAATTCATTTAATAGATCAATAATTATTTCTAAAAATAGTTCTAATTTTTGACTAGTCATGAGGTAAGAATTATTAATTCAGTTCATTCAAAGGGAGACTGTGTAGCAGAATGGTTAAGGGACACAGCTTCTCAAAGGAGACTACATCCTGCGTTTGAATCTCAAGTCTACTAGTTACTGTGTTAACTTGGTGAAGTAACCTCCCCTCTCTAAACTTCCACCTCATTTTAAAAATGAGTGTAACAACAATTCCTAATCAATATTCTAATTCATATGGTTAATGTGACAAGTAAATGAATTTCAGATAATGCTGAGTAAGCTAAGGTACTTGCGCTAAAATAAGGCATTACATAATGCCCAGGCCAAAAAAATCAACATTCATTTACATAAAGCAGTTGCATTGTTCTAATTAATATTCCCTTCATTTAAAAAAATGGCCCAGCCTTGATTCCCATCAAGCCCAACATGCTGACTTTCAGCGCTAACCAGCTCAGTCTTCAGGATAAATGACCATGTACAATGAAAAAGATAAACCTGCCATCGCCAAGAAGCCCCAGGCTTCCCCACTCAGAAGGTTGGCTGAAAAACAAAGGTCTTTTAAAATTAAAATATATAATAAAATTGGCCGGGTGCGGTGGCTGATGCCTGTAATCCCAGCACTTTGGGAGGCCAAGGCTGGTGGATCACGAGTTCAGGAGACTGAGGCCATCCTGGCTAACACAGTGAAATCCTGTCTCTAATAAAAACACAAAAAATTAGCCGGGCGTGGTGGTGGGTGCCTGTAGTCCCAGCTACTAGGGAGGCTGAGGCAGGAGAATGGTGTGAACCCGGGAGGTGGAGCTTGCAGTGAGCCGAGATGGCGCCACTGCACTCCAGCCTGGGCGACAGAGCGAGACTCTGTCCCAAAAAAAACAAAAACAAAAACAAAAAAGATATATATATGAATGTAAATTCTGGTAATTGGTTACAGGAAATTGGAAGTCACCAAAGCCAAGCCTTCCCAAGACATCTTGACCTCTGCCTGTCAGCCATCCAGCAGCGATGGGTCTTTGCTCCCTACAGAACTCTGTGGATTCTATTTCTTCCATAAGAAATAAAATGCTATATGCTGAATAAGTAAAATAGGGTGAAGTAGACACAATGACAATGTGTCTATGGAGGAGTAATTGGAAAGAAGCTATCCACACTAGCTTTTTTGGAAAAGCCTCAAAAAATCTGTGAAATTCCACCCTCAAAATCAAATTACAAAAATTGTCCACTCTTATTAACTTTGTGTTCAGCTTGATTTCTGACAACTGACTTGTTCTTCCCTGAACTATTTTTTCTTCTGCACGTAAAAGTAATATATGGGCTGGGCGCAGTGGCTCACGCCTGTGAAACAGGTTTTTTATATAACTGCAATTGCAGATTCCAATGCTCTGTGTTTTCTCTCAATTCTACCCCAATTACTAACGAAATCAGAAGTAAAAGCTATGTTTGATTATATGTGGCTTAAAAATAAAACATCTCGTAATTCCTAAGACTAAGACATAATATGAAAAGTAAAAGACAAGAGACTGAGAACAAAGGGTCTAAATTATAGTCTTAGCACTCTGCCACTAACCAGCTCCATTACTCAAAACAAGTCACTTAATTCTCAAATATTTCATCTGTAAAATTTCTTTTCATTCATTCAAGAAGCATTTATTGAAGGCCTACAATGCATGAGACTTTGTGAAAATAACAAAGACAGTTAAGATCCCTGTCCCACTGAAATGATTAAATAAGCAATTATGAAGTAGTCTAGGTAGTACAGTAGGAAAAGTAGGGGACAGTAAAGGCACACATCTGGCTGTACAAACCTAAGGAGTACCTTGGATGCCTCTCTCTGCCCATCTACCAATCCTGTCCATCACCATCACTCTGGCTACCCCTTCAAATGTCTCCACACCTCTGTCCCCTCCCCTACACTATCCCAGCTACCATCCTCTTTCCCGGTGCATTGCAGTAGCCTCTCCAATTGGGTAAACTCATGTACTCTGGCCCCTCTCTGCTTGATTCCCACATTACAGCCAAAATAAACTTTTGAAAATGTAAATCTGAACACATGTGCTAGTCTCCCTCTACCCACATATCTAATCCTCCAATGACTTCCTGTTGTTTTCAGATGGCCTAGTGAGGCACAGCATGGTCCAGCCTCCAGCTACTTCTGTAGCCTCTACCATCTCCATGCTCCTTCTCACTCTCTGTGCTGCAACCACACTGTCTTCTCTCAGTCTCTGGACATGTCAGGTCCTTCTTGCAACAGTGACTTTACACATACTTTTCCCCTGCCTAGAATGCAACCACCTCTCCTTCTCCTTGGCAAAACTCTTATTCACCCTTTTGTACTTAATTCAAAAGTTGCGCTGGGCATGGTGACATGTACCTGTAGTCCTAGTTACTTTAGAGACTGAGGTGGGAGGATCTCTTGAGCCCAGGAATTTGAGACCAGCCTGGGCAACATAATGAGACCCAGTCTCAAAACAACAACAGCAAGAAAAGTTATTTCCTTGAGGAAAGTTTCCTTTATTAAATTATATCTTTCTTTAATAAAACGTCATGGTGCTGTGCACCTCTCCAGAGGTACACACAGGCTAGCATAGGAACCTGGAGTAGCAAACCTATCCTAGCAGAATCTGAGACACCAGAAAAACTGATACGTGAACTGAGTACTGGAGGAGGAATAAAAGCCACGTGGAAAAGAGAAGGGCATCTGTGACGTGAGGTTTGAAAATGAGACAATACTACATAACAGTAAGAACTCAGAAACTGGCTTCTCCTTTCTCTGTAACCTTATGGCACTTAATACACTGTGGGGAATATTGCAGTTGCTCATTGTACATTTGAACTAAACATTGACTAAATACCAGTATCTAAAAACAAACTTACCTACTGTACAAACTTGAAAAATAGATTAAAAATATGCCCCTTGCAACTAATATTTATGTAACCAAGGAGCATATTATATATTAAAAAAAAACTATCCTGTTTGCTAACACTAGGATTTTAAAGAAATTTTCTTAGATAACATTATTTTTCATTCTTTGCTGCCCCTTTCTTAGTGTTGATAGTAGAGGGTAACCATATATAATAACAAATTATCATCAATATTTTAATGTTTGAAGGTCATAAAAATATAACCCAAGAATTATGACAGTCTAAGAGCAGCTTATATTCAAGTCATCTGCTATACTTTCATCTGCTAAACACACAATAAATGCACCGAAATGTCTAGTTTTTAAGTTTAATTAAAAATTTACATTAGGAACTAACCAGCTGAATTCTAGAATTCTTCTCATCTTAAGAGAGTAAAACATTCTCCAATTTTAAAAGGCTAAAAAATATGGTCTTCGGGGCTGACACTCTGATATTGGAGAGAATTGTGAATTCATTTCTCTGCTGCCATGTGGAGTTATAAGGAATGCTGCCCACATAAAGTAAGTTGCATTAGAAACAATGACACTCTAGCAGCAATGAGCACACCTATCACCTAGATGTTGGTCTCTAAATACCGTTGTACAATAAAAGAGACCAGGAATCCTTGAGAAAATGGTTCATTCCAGGATTGAGGCATGGAAAATGTAAGATGAATCTGGAACAATGTATGATTCCAGAATGAAAGTTAATGCTCAAAAAAAGGATAGGGCTTATCAAAAGAACATAGGAGTCAACCTAAAGGAGCCCTAATGGCCAAAGCTAGAATAATTAAAGCAGTAAAATAAATAATACTGTTTAATTTAAACTGACACAACAAAATAAATATCCATGAGTCCATTCTGATATTTTAAAAACGGGGGAAAAGGGATAGCTCTTCCTTACAATGGAATTTCAATTAGCAAATGTAGAAGAGGGAAGCAGAAAATTCACAACAGGCAAACACTATGGTAATAATCATTGCAGACAAGATGCACCAATGGATGCCAAAATTAGTAGGGATAAATGTGAGGCAAAACAACATTTGCATAGTGTTTTATCTTTTGGAAAATATTTATTAATCACAAAAGGAAATATGGTAACTTTATAGTGGAAAAAGTCAGCAGACACTACCTTTGCCAACTGATCACCAGTAATAAGAAGTATCATGATCCCACTGATATGGTGCACTGAGAAGGACACAGGATCATTTCTGTGGTATTCTCCCAAAAATGCATGACCTCATTCCAATCCTGAAAAAACATCAGCCAAACCCAGACTGAGAATATTCTCCAAAATAACTGTGATGAGTACTCTTCAAAACTGTCAAGATCACGAAAGAAAAGAAAAAACAAGGAACATGTTGGAGGAGACTAGGTAATTAAATGTAACTGGGATGCTGGGTAGGATCCTGGAACAGAAAAAGGATACTAGAAAAACTGGTAGAATCAGACTGGGTGCAGTGGCTCACACCTGTAATCCCAGCACTTTGGGAGATAGAAGCAGGCAGATCACCTGGGGTCAGGAGTTCGACACCAGCCTGGCCAACATGGTGAAACCCCGTCTCTACTAAAAATACAAAAATTAGCCAGGTGTGGTGGCATGCACCTGTAAGCCCAGCTACTCAGGAGGCTGAGAAAGGAGAATCGCTTGAACCCGGGAGGTGGAGGTTTCAGTTGGCCAAGATTGCGCCACTGCACTCCAGCCTGGGCAACAGAGTGAAGCTCCGTCTTAAAATTAAAAAAAAAAAAAAAAAAAAAAAAGTGATGCTACTGATCATTCTACTTCAGAGACAAAAGCAGTATGGCAAACAAAAGTGGGTTTTGTTTGTGTATCCGCTCTATGACTTTATCTCCTACTCTGCATACTGCCCTACCCTCAGAGGCAGGCTCTGGGTGACCAGAGGCAGTGAAGGGCATTACACACAGCCTGCTGGGAAAGGGGCACAGATTATAGCAATTTTCTCAAGTCTCACACTGAAATCAGGGAAGAAAACTCACATATTCTATTCATGGGTCCTATAAAGATAATTCTCAAGTGAAGAAAGAAACAGAGGTGGGGATATGGGAGTAGTGAGTAGGAGGGAAGAACAAACATTAATTTGCCAAGAAGATTCTTTAAAATATTTTTGTTTGTGTAGAAGATAGAGAAAGTAGTCACCTGGGAAAATGGCTGGAATCTAAAACTTTATCAATACCTTCACACTGTATTAATTTAGTCGAGCAGTTTGAACATTCTTTTGTTTTTCTTTTAAAAATATTACACTGATAAATTAACCATGTCTATAAAGGGTCAAAATCACCTTTCACTTTTCATCAAAACAATTACACTTTTCAAGTCTCATAAGACAGCTCATGACTTTAGACTCTCATTTTATAAGACCTTTGTAGAAAGGAGGACTTTTCCTCTACCTTTCACAGTATTTCAGCATTAAGGAATATAAGCACAACAAAAGTTCTCGTGAATAATCAAACTGAAGAGGCATGTGGAGTCCAGAGAACTGGGGAATCATCTGAGAGGACAGAAAGAACATGGGCCCTGGAGTAAGACAGGCCTGAAATAAAATCTCAGTTCTGTGACTTACTAGCTCCTGGATCCTAATCAAGTTCTTTTAACCTCAATGAACTTTAATCACCTTGCCTGCAAAATGGTGAAAATGTCACTTAAGTACTGTAAAAATTAAATAAGACAACTGCATATAAAATGCTTGGCCTATGGAATTCATTCAAGAAATATTATTAGTTCCTTCCACCTTTGTCTTTTTCATTGTTAAAGAGGTGTTTTCTGAAAACATACCGATTGAAGTTAATGTCTGGGTAACTAGAATACTCCGATTTCATCTGAGCATTTCATCGTGGAAATGTGCAGAAGAAAGCATTAGCTAAAAGACTGGCAATCTGTTCCTGCGACATTGTGATGGAATGATTCATCTTCTGTTTCAGGAGTGGTATTGGCTGATAAAAGAAACAAAAAAATACAGACGAGAAGAGCAATAATTAGTTTAGCAATTTCAAAAGCAGAGGCACCAAATTGCATTTGCTAAATTAAGGCAGAAATAATTTCAGGCCATTCTTGAATCCTTAAATCAGCAATATTGTAAAAGTCAAGGGCTGTTTATCAGGGATGATTCAGAAAATGCACTTATTTGACAAACTGCAGATTTCTAATCAATAATAATGATAGTGAAGAGAATATAAAACATTACTTATTAGTGAAAAACAAGATTGCTTCAGCAAGTAAATAAAAACACATTGCCCATGTAATGAAAAATTAGAACAAAAGATGAAACAAAAATATATAACATTGTTTAAGCTAAATTTTGTTCTTATTTATATTAAAAATTATTGGCTAGAATAATCTTTCTTAGTCCTCAATAAAATGATCTAAGATAATTCAACAAATAAGTCTTAACCCTCCCTCTTATTCCAAATTACACTTCATACTCACAATTTCTTTATAAGAATCAAATCTAACTTCATTAAAGCTATTAATAGAACATGTAAAAACCACCATACGGACATGTATAAGTTGTAAAAAGATAAGACATTTCTTACATAACCAAACATTCCAAGTCATGGAAGATGTAAGACATTTTTCCTTCAAATCTTTTATGTCTAAAATGTCTTCTAGTTATGCCACCAAATTCACTTACCTTTTATTTCAGTATAATCCACACGACCTGAGTATTGTGTTCAGTGGGTTTTATTCTGTTTGTAAACCAAAAATAAAGTTCCAAGCCCCCCAACCAACTGAATGAACCCCTCCTCTCGACCAAGGGGATTCCAAAGTTAACCTGAAACACTAGTCCACACCATGATAGGAAGTGTGGGTCTGACACGCCTCATTATATGCTCCTCACTTTAGAATTCAGCACAAGTGACCAGCATTAACAAGAAAACAGAGACCTTAAAACTGATGAAACAAATCTTTTTATAATAATAAGACTCAACTCCAGCCTGACTCGAGTATAGCATCACATGACAGATAGCATACCTTGAAAGAATTGAAGTATTTTACCCCAAAATATATTTCTTTGACATATTTTGAAATAGCCCTGCAAAGCTGTCTGTTGGGAAAATGTACGTTCTGTAAAGAATCTCTATTCCTTTCCAGGTGAGAATTAAGAAAGGGTGTGGTACCTTTTTAGATCTGATAAAAGCTCTGAAGCCTGTTACAAGGTTTCATCCACATGATAAAACCTTGGTCTCCACAAACCCTTATCTTAACCCAGATATTCCTTTCTATTGATTCCAGGTCTTTGACTCTTCCAACCAATTGCCAATCAGAAAATCTTTGAATCTACCTAAGACCTGTAAGCCCCCCTTACATGTATTGATTGATGTCTTATGTCTCCCTAAAATGTATAAAGCCAAGCCTGACCATCTTGGGCACATGTTCTCAGATCTCCTGGGGCTGTGTTACAGGCCACTGGTTACTCCCATTTGGCTCAAAATAAATCTCTTCAAATATTTTACAGAGTTTGACTCTTTTTGTTAACATATTTTAAATGTTAAACTATGTTTTTAAAGACATGCTGATAAAATCAAAGACCAACTACCAGTTTATCCTTCTGCTGTTAAGTTTCAAAATGCTCCCACAGAATATTTAGAGATGCATTTCATTCTCCCCTTCAGTAAGACCCAGAACTAAGAGTTTCGGGTAACTGCACTCATCTCAAAATGGCATGCCTAGAGCAAACTGTCCTGATCATACCTCAGGAGTGGACACCCAGAATGAACCTGAGGAAAGGGCAGGCAAGACAAACCAAAACTGCGGTGCTGAATAATGAATGCTTTTCTAAGTACAGAAGTACACACCACTGCTAGAATAAGAGTTTGCCAGAAAAAAGAACAGATTAAACTTGTAATTCAACTATTTCTCTTGGAAAAATTCAAAGGTAAACAAATAAGCAAAAGGTAAAGAATGTATTTTCACTATGTTTACAAAATTCTCTCCCCTTCAGGTCTTAGCAATCACCATTTCTGAGAAAAATAGAGAGCTCATATTGATCTCCATTTTCCATCCTGTGCATTTGTTCACAACCAAGCAACGAGTTTAGAAAAGGTGACAGTGCATCAATGGCTTCAAGCAAAGTGCTGCTTGGTTTTAGGAAGAAATGAGTTTTTAACTACCATTTACCAAGTTATTCAGAAAAATGATTTTAAAAATTAATGGTAAATATTTCAGGCTTAATGGACTTCAAACACAAACATTTCTTGTCTCCCAAATAAACAAATAGTATAATTTTAAATAGAGTTAATGATTTCTCCTCTCTTGGTGAGGAGAAATGCCTAAAAACTCATTATTTGGAGAAATCAGGAGATGTAAATCTTACTGTCAAGCAATCGGCTCAACAAAATAAGAGGCTGGTTACTGTGAACCAAGATATTTCAAAAAGTTCCTGACCAAATTTGTTTCCTTTAATTTTATTTTGATAAATCTAAAATTTACCCTTTAGATTTGGCCTAGAGTACTTCAATGTGATAAATTATTAAACACCAACATATACAATTTAACTTGCCACAAGACGTATTTTGATCTCAAATAAAAATCTTAACTTTCACAGCAGAGATTGACTTTTCAATAGGGGGCAAAGCACAGAATTTCCATGCCTACCCGTTGATATGCTAATGGAGAAGAAAGTCACTGAGAGAAGCCAGGACAAAAAGCTGAGGACTCAGGGGTCTGATTTTGGTTCCAAGGGACTTGTTATAGCTTACAAAGTCAGATACCTTTGAACAAAAATTTCTCATTAAATAAAATATGGAAACTCTCATATGCACGAGGGGAAGAGGATTAAATGGCCCACACCCAAAGGCTACCTACTACCTATTATTGATTATGAACTACATATTGAATTCAAAAAGCATATAATTAAGCACCATGCAAACCAGGGACACAAAGAGGATCTCCCTTTAAGGAGACTATAATCCAGTGGCAAGAGATATATAATGACAAGAATTACAAAACAATGATTTGAGTGCTTCAAGAGGGATGAACCTTGCCTGGGAGGCAGGGAAGGCTTCACAGGGGAAGTAACAGACAGGCATACCTAGGAGGTAGGGAGAGAATTTACTAAGTAAGGAGAGAAAGGAAAAAGAACAAACATGGAATATGATCAAGCAAATAACTTCCAACAGAAACAAGAAGATATGTTTTAAAATATATTTCCCCTGCCCAATAGTAAAACTTATTTCAGGCACAATGCATTACTGAGGTGAAATTAAAGTTACATAAAATTGAAAACATCACACTGGAAAACATTTCATGGGTCTCAACTGAAGGTGGCATAGTCCAGGAAGGCATTTGGACATGTATGGGTTGTTTTCTGGTTGCCCCAGTGACCCTATTTGTGGTTTTTGGGGTGTCCTAATGACATATTGCAATGCATGGGACCATTATACACATTCAGAAATTGTTCCACCCAAATGTCCATAGGGCCCCTGTGGAGTAAAATGCTAGCAGAACCCTGGCTAGCAGCCATGCAGCAAGAGGCGTTGGCCCTAGAAATAAAAGACAAAGGCAAATTCAAGCACGGTTGTGAGAAACACAGGAATAAAATTATGAACAAAACAAACCCTGTGGAGGTTTGAAAATACGTTCACAAATTCTTTGATGCTCCTCTCTTTAAGAGGTGGAGTCTTGGGCACGGTGGCTCATGCCTGTAATTTCAGCACCATGGGAGGCAAAGGCGGGCGGATCACATGAGGTCAGGAGTTCGAGACCAGCCTGGCCAAAATGGTGAAACTCCGTCTCTGCTAAAAATACAAAAAAATTAGCCGAGTGTAGTGGCACATGCCTGTAGTCTCGGCTACTCAGGAGGCTGAGGCAGGAAAATCACTTGAACCCAGGAGGCAGAGGTTGCAGTGAGCCAAGATCATGCCACTGCATTCCAGCCTGGGGGACAAGGATGAAATTCAGTCTCAAAAAAAAAAAAAAAAAAAAAAAACAGGTGGTCTAATACCCCTCCCCCTGGGTACTGGCTAGCTTCCAATGAACAGAAAAACAGCAGAAGTGATGCTAGGTACCTTGAGAAAAATAGGTCATAGAAGACACTGCAGCTTCCTTGCTCTCTCCCTTGGATTGCTTGCTCTGGGGAAGTTAGCTATTATGTCATAAGGACAATCAATCAGCCTATAGAGAGACCCATGTCAGGGCGTTCTGCCAACAGCTCTGTAAGTAAGCCAACTTAGAGGTGTGTCCTTCAGCCCCAGGCAAGCCTTCAGATGACTGAAACCCTGGCTGACATCCTCACCGCAACCACGAGAGAAATCCTGATCCACAACCACTCAGTCAGCTAATCTGCTCCCAAAGTCAACAGAAGCTGTGAGATAATACATGTTTATTGTTTTAAGCCATTAATTTTGACATAATTTGTTATGTAGCAATATATAATTAATGTACTCCAAACAAAATAAAATACAGGATTCTTTATTTTTAAAAGTTAAGGCTGGCACAGTGGCTCACACCTGTAATCCCAGCACTTTGGGAGGCCAAGGCATCATCTGAGGTCAGGAGTTTGAGACGAGCCTGGCAAACATGCTGAATCCTCGTCTCTACTAAAAGTACAAAAAGTAGCCAGGTGTGGTGGCGCACGCCTGTAATCCCAGCTACTTGGGAAGTTGAGGCACAAGAATTGCTTGAACCCAGGAGGCAGAGGTTGCAGGGAGCTGGGATTTGTGCCATTGCACTCCAAAAAAAGAAACTTAGCCGGGTATGGTGGTACATGCCTATAATCCCAGCTACTTGGGTGGCTGAGGCAGGAGAATTGCTTGAATCCAGGAGGTGGAGGATGCAGTGAGCCAAGATTATGCCACTGCACTCCAGCCTGGGTGACAGAGCAAGACTCTGTCTCAAAAAAAGTTAAGAAAGTATCATTAACTCATTTGTTGTAGAATTTGGGGGAGGGTGAGGAAGGAGTGGGTCGTATTAAGCCATTTTGAAAATACGCTATTCCAAATCCACTAGTATGTTTTGAAATAATGAATACTTTTTTAAGTTAGAGGTTATTTAAACAAAGAGAGAAAAAAGTCAAAGTAAACAAGCTTCAACAGTGTAAACAGAAGCTGAGGAATGGAATGCTGCATTTTTAATGTCCTTTTGTAGTACTCTCTACCCTCTAACCTTTTCCTTAATACAGCAAAATTACTATACTCTTTGGCAAAAACTGTTTCCCATTTCTTCTCTTCTCTTCTCTTCCTCTCTCTCTCTCTCTCTCTCTGTCTCTCTGTCTCTCTCTCTCTCTCTGTGACCCTGGCCATTCAAGTTTAAGGGAAATTCAATTGTCAGTCTCAGGGAAGCTACTGAGGAAGCTACATCCACTAACCTGGGTGCAAATATTTGGCAGACAGAGTGCAATTTTCACCATATCAGGCAAGATGGACTGATATAAATGTTGAGCTTCTGTTTCTTCAAGTACCTGAAAACCAATAAAATAAGTTATGTGAATAACAATAACCAGTAAATATAATAACCAATGAATATGTTTGTTATGAAATTAAATTACATATCTGCTTTTCATGGAACCCCATAAAGTGGCACCCTATCAGCATCACCAAACACATGTACAAATGCATCAACAGGTGTATACAAATAAACTTACAAATTCATTTCCAAATGTATATTTGGCATTAAGGCAATTCACCTTAATGCCCTCTGAAAAAAATGTAAGTATCCCAAATATCAAATATCCCTCACACAACATTCACAATAAAGTAAAAACACTTGCAAATGGAAAACAGTACATTCTGCCCTTGGTTATATCAACTAGAAACTGCTAGACACCAGGGACTTTCTTAGAAGCCCCCAAGGACCCATCTAGTTTCAATGGTCTACAATTGAAGAAATCTCCATAAAAGCCACATTAATTACTTCAGAGCATACTCTATGGGTCAAATCTAATCTGTTGGGTAATAAACAATGAGGTTTCTGATGGTCTTAGAATTTCTCTTTTCCAGACACCCTTGGAAAGTGAAAACCACAATTCCCATATAAAAATTTGAAGCACAACAAAGATGCCATGCATGGTCCATTTTTGTCTTTTATAAAATTTCCCCTCTCTATAACACCTTTTAATCTAATGTCTTTCTAAACATCAGGGTATTTCTTTAAAAGTACTGGAAATGACAACACTCTTAATTTAGAGATACTACATATACAGTCAGGACTGAAGTAAATACTTTATCTACTTGAAATCACATTTTAACTAGAAGAGGCCTCAGTTATAATCTAGTCTGAGCTTGTCACTATTACAGAGAAAACTGAGGCCAAGGAGGTTACCTGATCATCCTACATTGAGGTCAATTAAAACCAAATCAGAACAAGAACCTAAGTGTTCTGGTCTCTATGCCACAGCTCTTCCTACTTCCCTATGTGACCAATGTTTGGAATCGATGAAGAAACAGACTCTTGACAAAAATCAGGAACTAAGCTGAAATAAAGGTAAAACCATTTGTTTATCTGCAGCCGGACAGGGTATGTGTGTAAATAGAAAAAGTAACAAAGAATATTTGCCCTGATTTTGCCAGAAAATTCTAACACTAAGAATTTTCTTTACACCAAAACTCTAAAACCCAACCTATGTTTACTTCTCTTTTAAAATTAAGATAATGAGTAAACACATTCAGAATGAACAGAAGGATATTTGTAATTCAGAGAGTTGGAAATTCAATTAGTCATAAGCATACAGAAAATTAAACAAAAGACAATTATTAATTCTGGAGAAAAAGAGTTGTTTAAGAGAGGAAAAGCAATCACAGCCCATATATGAATAGTGTTTATACTATCCAACTGAAAAAAGACTACTGATGTAATTGAAATGAATATGAAAACTATAGTGAGAAAATGCAGAGGTAGAAATGAGGTTTGCATTTATGGTAGTGGAGAAAGTGAGAATAAGAGCTAAATCCTAATCTTCTAAAGTGGGACTTGTTTTAAAAAGACTTTAGAGTAGTCAAATGACTGCCTCTTTATAATCTGCCTCTTTAACTCTGTTAAAAATTAAAAAACTAAATTTTTAAAAAATCATATATTCATAGATGACATTCTACTATTTTAGAGGTATGCACTAAAGATACTGGCTTCTCTATACCTGAAAATATATAAAATATATTAATGCATTTGTTTAAAATATTCAAACTCTTCCTGTTTATAATTTATCTTTTTTTTTTTTTAATAGAAACAGGGTCTTGCTCTGTTGCCCAGGCTGGAGTGCTGTGGCATGACCATAGCTCACTGTAACCTTGAACTCCTGGGCTCAAAAAATCTCTTCCTGCCTCAGCCTCCCGAGCAGCTAGGACTATACAGGCCTTTTTGCTTTTTAAAACTATGTATTCTGAAATAATTATAGATTTACAGGATGTTACAAAAATACTACAGAGGTACAGTATACCTCTCACCCAGTTTCTCTCAATGGTTACATTTCACATTACTATAACATACTAAAAACCAGGAATACCTGTACAATGTGTATCATTCTATGCCATTTTATCACACATACATTTCTGTAATCGCCACCAAAATCAAGATGCAGAACCATTCCACTGCAATAAAGATCTCATGCTACCCATTTATAGTCACACTCAGCTTCCTTCCTCTCGCTATTCCTAACACCTAACACCCACTAATTTGTTTTTCAGCTGAAAAATTTTGCCATGTTACCTACATGGAAACATACAAGTCTTTTGAAATTGACATTTTTTACATGGCTTAATGCCCTTAAAAGGCATTCAAGTTATTGCAAGTATCAATAGTTCACTCCTCCTCATTACTAAGTAGAATTCCATGGTATGAATATAATATTATATAATATTCCATGGTTTGTTTAGCAATTTCACCTACTGAGAGGCACTTTGGTTGTTTTCAGTTTTGTACTATTATAAATAAAGCTATCTTTAGTCTCAACCTATCTATATTGTTGTCTGAAATCACTTCCTATAAACAGCACAGTGTGTCATTTTTAAAATTCACTCTGCACATCTGTCTTTTAACAGATGAATTTAGGTCATTTATGTTTAATGTAGTCTTTGATATGTTGAAACTTAAATCTGTTATTTCATTTTATTTCTTTTATCTGTTTTCTTTTCCCTTCCTCCTTATGGGTTACTTGAACATAGTTTAAAATTCCATTTTTGTTTATCTAAAATGTTTCTGACTGCATCTCTTTGAATAGATTTTTTTTAAAGTAGCTGCTGAAGGACTGCATTACATATAACTTACCAACATTTACTGGTGTCAACATTTCACCAGTTCCAGTAAAGTGTAGACTTTACCTTCCTTTAAATTCCTTTACCCTTCTCCATTTATAATCTTCAATATTTCCTCTACATACATTGATAACTATACTATTTTACAATATTTGAAAACAGTGAAAAAAGTCAAACATAATTTACAACACTCAAAAAAGTTTTTAAAAAGTCTATTATATTTACTATATTTTTACTCTTTGTTGTTCTTTCTTCTTTCCTGATGTTCCATGATTCCTTTTTTTTATAATTTCTTTTCTGTTTCAGGAAATTTCTTTAGACATTACTTTATGTTAGGTCCACTGATGTCAAGTTCTGTTTTCCTTCACCTGAGAACACTGTGGTTTCCTCTTCCTTTCTGAAGAATATCTTAATTGGATATGGAATTCTGGGTTGACAATTCTTTCCTTAGTCCTCAAAATTTTGTGTCACTTCTTTCTGGTCTCCATGTTTGCTGCTGAGAGATCCGTTGTCATTCAAACTGTTTTTCTGTATAGGCATTGTGTCATTTCTCTCTTGCTGCTTTCAAGATTTTTTCTTTGCCTTTGGTTTTAAGAAATGTAATTATAGTATGTCTTGGTATGAATTTCTTTGGGTTTATCCTACTTAAGTTTTGGTCAGCTTCTTGAATCTGTAGATTTATGACTTTTGTCAAATTTTGGAAGTTCTCAGCCATTATTTCTTTGAATATTTTTTCAGTCCCACCCTCTTTCCCCTCCCTTTCTGACCACACAAAGACACAAATGTTATATCTAAACTCTGGGTTTTGTTTTTTCATCTATTTTCTCACTGCTGTTCAGACTGAGTAATTTCTCTTAATTTCTTCCAAGTTCACTGATTCTTTCCTCTATCATCCCCATTCTCCATTAAACCTGTCTATTCCATTTTAAAAATTCAGTTATTATATTTTTCAGTTCTAAAATTTCCATTTGGTTTCTCTGGATAGTTTCTTTTTCTTTGCTGGGACTTTCTGTTTTTTTCATTTGTTTCAAGTATGTTTATAATTGCTCAGCCTTCTTGTGATGGCTACTTTAAAATAATTGTCAGACAATTCACATCTGTATTCTCCTGGTGTCTATTGATGTTCATTTTTCATTTCAGTTGAGATTTTCCTGATTCTTTTCTGGTCATGAGGGACATTTTGTTGAAATTTGGATATTTGGGGTATTATAAATCTTTAGATCTTATTTAAATCTTCAGCCAGAGCAGGCCTTCTGTGATACTGTGCCAGCAGGGGAATGGGATAGCTACTTCATTACCAGCAATTGAGGGTAAAAATTCATGTTCCCCAGTCAGCCTTTAGTACCCAAAGTGGAAAGTGAGAGAGGTACCTCGATAGTGCTGGGTTGGGGTGAGAGTTCCAGCTCCCCACTAGGTCTTTACTGATACCACTTTGGTGCCATGTACTCTCCTAGGGTCCCATAGTCCCTGCTGGTCAGTGGTCTTCTACCTTTCAGAGTCTTATGTTTGTTTTACATACAAGGTCCCCTGTTTTTCACTGTAATTAGTGGGAAGGACAGACAGAAGTGCCTATTCAACCATGTTAAACCTAAAGACATGAAACCTTAAGTGTCTTAACAAGCTGACACGTCTCCTTTGGGTATCCATCTTTGTCTTTTAAAACTGACATGAGTGGCTGCTGCAGTGCTCTGCTGACAAGCTTTACAATATTGCTTATTTATCTGATGAAGCATTATTGCACTGTACTTCTTCACAACTGTCAACACTCCAGACCTATGTCTAATGCTGCTTTGGAAACACAAAAAGGGAACCTAAAAATGTCATTTAAGAACATAAGCGACTCAACTACTGTTTGAGATGGAATGCATAATCTAAAATATCACCATGACCTTATAACCTGTACAATGCAAACTGGGATGCAAGTAGGGAAAAGTTATTTAAGATGTACATCATTTCTTAACTTCAAGAAAAGCAAGAGCCATTGGTCAAATCTTCTATAACAATTAAAGAAAAATAAACATACATTACTTATTATGATGATAATGATGATTATAAGGGAGGTAAGCATTTACATGATGGTAAAAAAAGAAAGTTGTATTAAATTCTCCCACAAGTAAAACCCTGCCCTCTACTGGATAGTCTGCATAGATAATTACATACAGCAAGTGTTTTGATCTGTGCGTGTGCGCGTGTGTGTGTAGCAACTTTTTATTCTAGTCCCACAAATTGGCTGTATATATATGTAATATATATTATACATATATTTCAGTCAAAATTGATACAATAAATTTCAAAATTATACTGCTATTTTGCCTATCTCCTTTCCTTAGATTATAGATATGTTCATTCATTCGATTGGCTGATAAACAAATACCTGAGGAACTATTATGTCTCAGGAATTGTGCCAGAAGATGACAGAAGAGTAAACAGTTAACAGACGTGGTCACTGACCTCATGAATCTCATGGCACAAAGCCCTATCCTCTCCCTGTGACCCCCAATACATCAGCCCTAACCTAGGAGGGCAGTAATAACTGCAACCACATCATAGTGACTGTGGACAGGCTATTTTTTTTTCTTCTCTCCACAAATAGAAACAAGCTACTAAAATAAAGGAACTAAATCTGCCAAACATCAAAACGTTATAAATATTTAAATATCTACAAACATCCAAACAGAAAAGAGATATTTACTTATTTCTTCTTTCTTTGAATATCTGATTAACTACATACATCTGTTAAATGTGCTCTAATATTTATGAAAGACATATTTATACATGACTAAGTACCATACCTGACATATGGAAAGTATTAAATATTGACTACTGAACTTTGAATTAATAAGTGAAATCTGTAGCTCGCAAAATGAGAAGACCAGTGTTATTTCAATAAAAGAAAATATTTCCATAGATCTTTTTCAAACAGTTTAGGGCAAACAGCTTTAAAAAAGTAATCAGGCCGGGCGTGGTGGCTCATGCCTGTAATCCCAGCACTTTGGGAGGCCAAGGCAGGCAAATCACCAGGTCAGCAGATCAAGACCATCCTGTCTAACATAGTGAAACCCTATCTTTACTAAAAATACAAAAAATTAGCCAGGCATGGTGGCACATGCCTGTGGTCCCAGTTACTCGGGAGGCTGAAGCAGGAGAATCGCCTGAACCTGGGAGGCAGAGGTTGCAGTGAGCCGAGATCGTGCCACTGCACTTCCGCCTGGGCGACAGAGTGAGACTTTGTCTCAAAAATAAATAAATAAATAAATAAATAAAAAATAAAAAAAAATCACAAATTAATGAATATAAGAAATAGCACAAGCTGCTCCGTTTTCTCTATTGGTCTAAACCTAGTTAGATCCTAAAAAAATTGTGAAAAGTTACTAACAATCCTCTTTAATAAAAAAAAAATGAAATCTATATGAAACGTCTAGGATGTGAAATTTTAGACAATTTTTCAATAAGAAGTAC
Source organism: Homo sapiens (assembly GCF_000001405.40). NCBI lineage: Eukaryota > Metazoa > Chordata > Mammalia > Primates > Hominidae > Homo > Homo sapiens. Next base: position 45,922,416 of record NC_000010.11, read on the forward strand.
ACCACTCCAAAAGCTAAATAGCAAAGAGGATATATCCTCATAATCCTATGGTCCATATATATATATATATATATATATATATATATATATATATATATATTTTTTTTTTTTTTTTTTTTTTTTTTTTTGAGATAGATCTCACTCTGTCACCCAGGCTGGAGTGCAGTGGCATGATCTCAGGTCACTGCAACCTCCACCTCCCAGATTCAAGCGATTCTCCTGCCTCAGCCTCCTGAGTAGCTGAGACTACAGGCACGCATCACCACACCTAGGTAATTTTTGTATTTTTAGAGATGGGGTTGCGCCATGTTGGCCAGGCTGGTCTCAAACTCCTAACCTCAGGTGATCCACCTACCTCAGCCTCCCAAAGTGCTGGGATGACAGGCATGAGCCTGTAATACTGAAGATGAGTGATGGAAACAGGGAGGTTCATTACCCCATTTTATTTTTGTGTATGTCTGAAATGCTTCTTTAAAAAAAAATTTCCTGGCCGGGCGTGGTGGCTCACACCTGCAATCCCAGCACTTTGGGAGGCTGAGGTGGGTGGATCAACTATGTTCCTAATAGTAACATAACCAATATTTATACCTAAGTTTCTTTTTCCTTTTACATAGGTGCATTTATCAGTGGAAATTATGTTGCTCAATTTAGTATTTTTTCTCACCAAATATGACAAAAAGGCATTTTTTACATCACTAAAGGCAAAATGTTTTTTAAAATGTCATGTATTTTCACTGAAGAAAATTAATATAAACAAAAAGAAAAGAAATATTACCCACAAGCCCACTGCCAAGATATCCTCTTCTCAGATATAAACAGATGCGTATTTCCTCCCCAAACTTCTTCTGAGAACTTAGGTGTGTGTGCATATAAACACACAGTTTTGTGTTACCTTAATTTTTAAAATATTATATTTTTCTACAACTTGTTTTTGCCTTAAGAGAAAGCCTAAAAAGTCTTTCCGTATTATACAATGACAAATGCTACACAGTATTCCAAAGTAGAGAAGTACAATAATTTTTGTAATCATTCCCCTTTGAGAACCATTTTTCCCAACGTTTTTAAAAATTTCAAAAATATGGTGAAGTTAAAATAACTATACACTGAATACCCAAATACTATTTGGTTTCTATGATTAACATTTTATATTTGCTTTTGTCATGTTGTCATCAGTCCATTCTTCTGACCACATATCAATGCATTTTTTAATGCGTTTTGAGGTAAGTTGCAAGCATTCCACCCCATCACTTCAGTTTGCATATCAGCAACTAGAGTTCACGCCAGGCATGGTGGCTCACCCCTGTGATCCCAGCACTTTAGGAGGCCAAGCCAAGTGGATCACTTGAGGTCAGGAGTTCAAGACCAGCCTGGGCAAGATGATGAAACCCCATCTCTACTAAAAATACAAAAATTATTTTATTGTATGAATACACCCACAATTTGTTTATTCATTCTCTTGTTGATAGATACCTGGGCTGTCCCCAGGTTTTGGCTATTATAAGTAAAACTGCTATAAACATTCTTCTACAAATCTTTTTGTGTGCATATATTTTCATATCTCATAGGTAGGTATAGAAAGAAATGAAATTAATGGGTAATAGGGTAAGTATATGTTCAGTTTTCTAAAAAACAGCCAGACCTTTTTCCAACATTGTAGTACATTTTAAACTCCCAACAACAAAGTATGAGAGTTGCAACTGCTCCATATCGCTACCTACATTTGATCTTTTAGTCTTTCTAGTGCCTGCAGGCTAATATCTTTTCTAGTTATAACTGGCATTTCTCCAGTGACAAATAATATCAAGCATTTTTTAATGTGCTTATTGGCAATTTGTATACCTTCCTTTGTGAAATCCTTTCAAACTCTTGCTCATTTTCTAGTGAGGTTGGCTGTCTTTTTATTTTTCAATTGTAGTTCTTTATATATTCTGGATACATGTCCCTTGTCAGATAAACATTTTGCAAATATTTCTCCGTCTTTTAAAATTTATTTATTTCTATTTATTTATGTGAGACAGGGTCTCACTGTGTCGCCAAAGCTGGAGTGTCATGATGCAATCACATCTCACTGCAGTCTTGACCTCCCAGGCATCAATCCTGTCACCCTCAGCCTCCCAAGTAGCTGGGACTATAGGTGTGTGCCAACATGCCTGGCTAATTTTTGACTTTTTTTTTTTCCTTTTTTTTTGAGATGGAGTCTCCCTGTGTCGCCCAGGATGGGGTGCAGTGGCGCGATCTTGGCTCACTGCAAGCTCCGCCTCCCAGGTTCACGCCATTCTCCTGCCTCAGGCTCCCGAGTAGCTGTGACTACAGGCACCCGCCACCACGCCCAGCTAATGTTTTTTTTGTATTTTTAGTAAAGACGGGGTTTCACAGTGTTAGCCAGGATGGTCTTGATCTCCTGACCTCGTGATCCACCCGCCTTGGCCTCCCAGAGTGCTGGGATTACAGGTGTGAGCCACCATGCCTGGCCTAATTTTTGGATTTTTAATAGAGACCATTGCCATGTTGTCCAGACTGGTATTGAACTCCTGGGCTCAAGCAATGCATCTACCTCAGCCTCCCAAGCTGCTGAGATTACAGGTGTGAGCCACCACACCTGGCCTCCAAGTGATCCTTCCACCTCAGCCTCCCAAGGAGCTGGGACCACAGGCATGTGCCACCATGCCCAGCTAATTAATTTTTTTTTTTTTTTTTTTTTTTGTAGAGACAAGGTCTCCCTATGTTGCCCAGGCTGGCCTTGAACTCCTGTACTCCAGCGATCCCTCTGCCTTGGCCTCCCAAAGTGCTGGGATAACAGGCATGAGCCAATGCGCCTGGCATCCCTGTCTTTAGCTTGCCTATTTTCCTAATGTGTTTTCGTCACAAGTATTTATAAGTTTTTTTCTTTTATAGCTAAGGTTTCCCATTAGCTATAAAAGCTGTAGGTCCTAGGAAATCTTTGTCGACTCCTAAGCTACAAAGATGTTTTCCTCTAGAAGCTTTATAGTTTTTGCTTTTTCAGTTAGAATTTAGAATTATTTTCTATGTATAGTATGTGGGAAGGGGCAATTTTTTTTTTTAAGCCCACATGGAAATCCAGTTTCGCCAACACCATTTGTTGAAAAGACACTTCTTTTCCCTTGTTGTATTGCTTTGGCACTTTTGTTGAAAACCAAATGACTGTATAAACATGGGTCTGTTTCTGGGTTTACCACTTGGTTCCACTGATCAATTTGATTGTTATGTCAGTATCATATTGTATTCATTTCCTTGAGCTGCTGTGACAAAGAACCACAAACCAGGCGGCTTAAAACAACAAAAATGTATTATCTCACAGTTCTGGAGTCTAGAAATCTGGAACCAGTTGTTGGTAGTATCACGCTCCCTATGAAGGCTCTAAGGCTCTTCCTGGCCTCTTCCTAGCTTCTGGTGGCTTCTAGCAATCCTTGGGGTTCCTTGGCATGCAGATACATCAGTCCAATCTCTAACTCCATCATCATATAAGCGTTTTCCCTCAGTGTCTTTGTCTCTGTGTCCTTTCCTTCTCTCATAAGGACACCAGTCATTGATTTAGGATACACCATAATCCAGTGTGGCCTCATCTTAACTAGTTACATCTGCAAAGACTGTATTTCCAGATAAAGCCACATCCTGAGAGTCCAGGTGAACATTAATTTGGGGGGACATTATTCAACTCACCACACATACTGTCTTGTTTACTGTAGTCTTATTGTAAGTATCCAAAGCAATTCACGTAAGTCTGCAAACTCTGCCCTTCTTATTTACAATTTCTTTGTAAATAAGGGTCCTTTGTGTTTCCATATAAATTTTAGTAATCAGCTTTGCATTTTCTACAAAATGCCTGCTTGGTATTATGATTGGAACTGCATATAGGGAGAACTGATATCTTTTTATTTTTTTGAGATGGAGTTTCACTCTTGTTGCCCAGGCTGGATTGCAACGGCATGATCTCGGCTCGCTGCAACCTCCGCCTCCTGGGTTCGAGCAATTCTCCTGCCTCAGCCTCCTGACTAGCTGGGATTATAGGCACCCACCACCACACCTGGCTAATTTTTTTGTACTTTTAGTAGAGATGGGGTTTCACCATGTTAGCCAGGCTGGTCTTGAACTCCTGTCCTCAAGTGATCCACCCACCTCAGCCTCCCAAAGTGCTCGATTACAAGTGTGAGCCACCGCGCCCGGCTGAGAACTGATATCTTAACCACACTGAGTCATCCGGTCCATGAGCATGGTAGATATTCTTTTATTCAGGTTTTCTTCAATTTCTCCCAGCAATGTTTTACAGTCTTCAAGATACTGGTCTTACACATTTTTTGTTAAATTTATTTCTAAGTATTTTATGGTTTTTTAACACTATTTTTAATGAAATTTTTAAAATTTCATTTATGGTAAGTATATAAAAATATAATGATTTTTGTATACTGACCTTATGTCTTGCTAAATAAATTAGTTCTAATAGTTATTTTTTAGGTTTCTTGGGTTTTTCTGCATAAACAAACACTGTCAACTACAAATAGAAACAGTTTTACTTCTTCCTTTCTGATTTTCAAACATTTTATTTCTTTTTCTTGCCTTACTGCATTGGCTAGGATTTCTAGTACAATGTTAATAAGAATGAAGAGCATGGCTGTTCTTGCTTTTCCCCCAATCTTTGGGAAGAGTATTTCATATTTCACCATGAAGCATGATTTTAGTAGTAGGTTTTTCACAGATACGCTTTATCAGATTGAGGACATAGTTGTTAATAGTTTTGTTGTTGTTGTTTTGTTTTTGTTTTTTTTTTCTGGAGACAGTCTTGCTTTGTCACCTAGGCTGGAGTGCAGTGGTGCGATCTTGGCTCACTGCAACCTCTGCTTCCTGGATTCAAGCAATTCTCCTGCCTCAGCCTCCCGAGTAGCTGAGACTACAGGTGCATGCTACCATGCCCAGCTAATTTTTGTAATTTTAGTAGAGATGGAGTTCTACTATGTTGGCCAGGCTGGCCTTGAACTCCTAACCTCAGGTGATCCACCCGCCTTGGCCTCCCAGAGTGTTAGGATTACAGGCATGAGCCATCACTCCCGGCCTGCTAACAGTTTTTCACTCTGAATGGTTACTAAATTTTGTCAGGTGCTTATTCTGCATTTATCACAATAATCATACAGCTTTTAAAATATAAATCCAATCCTGCATTTCTGAGATGAACTCTGCTTAGTAATCATGTATTATCCTTTTTACATATTTCTAGATTTCATTTGCTAATATTTTATAAAATCTTTGTCACATACTAGTATGAGAGGTATATATATATGGCTTTATAAATGAGTTGGAAAGTGCTCCCTCCTCCTCTCTTATTTGAGTTTCTGTGAACTTAGTATTATATCTTCCTTAAATGTTTCGGAGAACTGATCAGTGAAAACATCTTGGTCCACATAGTAACCAATGTTTAATTAGGCATATTTTACTAGGTATTAATCCTTTGTCTCATATATGTTAAAATAGTCTCCCCTGTCTGTCATGAAACCACTAGTTTTATTATTTTTATTTTTTAATATCTAGAATATAGCATACTTGAGCCCCTTTTTCAGTTTTATCTTTATCCTTTCTGTTGCTTGTTTGCTACTGTCCAGTGATACTTAACCATTTGCACCTCCCTAATGTACCATACTGACTTCATTAAATACTATGATCAAATCACAACCTTTTGAACCTATTTTCTTACTTATAAAATGAAAATATCTTGCAGAGATGTGGTCAGAATTATAAGCTTTTCAACAAATAACAGCTAGTATTATGATGATGATGATGCATTATTTTACCCTCTGCCTTGTTTAACATTTTACTACCATTAAACCACGAATTATGCTTCAGGACTCAGTTCCCATCTCCCTGGGAAGCCTTCGCTGATTGCCTGACTGCCCCTTACTCTATGACTCTAGAGCCAAATGTACATACTTGTATTAGAACACTTACTGCGGTTATTACAATTATTTATCTGCATTTCCTGTCCTCTGATCTGTGAAACACACAAATTTAAACATCTTGTGGCCCCCCAGTACTAAGCATAGTATTTAGTGCTCATTATTTGCTGAATAAAGAGTTGATAAAACCAAAAACATTGCATTTTATCTTCAAAGTATCCTTGCAAGATAGAAAGGATAAGGGCATCTAGAGAGACTAAAGCTCCAAGAAATAAGCAATTTGTCCACATTCAAAAACCCAGTGGTGGTTGGGGGCAGTGGCTCACACCTATAACCCCAGTATTTTGGGAGGCCAAAGCAGGTGGATCACTTGAGGTCAAGAGTTCAAGACCAGCCTGGCCATCTCTACTAAAAATACAAAAATTAGCTGAGCATTGTGGCCCACACCTGTAGTCCCAGCTATTTGGGTGGCTAAGGCATGAGAATCGCTTGAGTTCGGGAGGTGGAGGTTGCAGTGAGCTGAGATCATGCCACTGCACCTCCGGCCTGGGTGACAGAGCAAGACTCTGTCTCAAAAAAAACAAAAAAAAAAAACAAAAAGACATTGGGACTAGATGCCAGAGTTTTTCTTCCCAGGTTCACAAGGAAGGATATAAAAGAAATACTGGCCAAGAAACTGGAAGACTAGTTATAGGCCTAGATCGGCATTTACTCTCATATTAACCACAGAAAAATCCCTAAATTCTTTATTTCCTCATCCATAGTAAGGATAATTCTACTATAACTTTAACTTACAGAGTTACGAAAGCTTTCAGATATAATAGGGTTTTATGAATTCTAAAGCTCCATATAAAAAGTATTAATGTCTAATGGGCCAGTAATTCACAAACTTTCTGGAGCCTCCTTCTTCTTTGATCACCCCCATATCAATTAACTGCCAAGTCCTATATTGATTGATCCAGCAGGATCTCACATATTTATTACCTCATCTTAATCACTACTAAACTACCCTCAGCCCTCATCCAGTCTCATCAAGATTACTACAATAATCTAACTGCTGCCCTGCTGATAGCCCACCTTCAGTTTCTGCCCAAGTAGACTATGATGTGCTTCTGCTCCACTTCAAAGCTTTCAATGGCTTTCTGCTGCCTTTTCAATACAGAACAAATCCCTTGAACTAACAGTCAAGCTCCCTTACCCTAGATTCTTATCTAGTCTCATTCAGCACATATATATAACATACACACACTCACAAACTCTACCTTCTGTGCAGCCTACATACTAGAAACTCAGAAATTCATTTTTCTATAGCATCTGTTTGTGCTGCTACAGATACGATCCTGGAATATCTTTCCTTCTTAACTCCAAAACTTATCCAACCTTTTGATCTTGCTCAAACAATAGTTTGCTTCAAGTCTATCCAAATTTACTCTCCAGCTAAAAAGTAATTCTCCCTCTTGTAATTTATTTGAACTTTTTTTCACAAGACACTTAAGACTTTCTGCTTTCTGTTGTTATTTATGAACGTGCCTTCTAGCCCTTACTAGAAGCTCCTTTAAGACAAGATTTATGATTGATTCACCATTCCTACAACAGTGGTGTTCATATGTAAAACTGTCAATAAAAATATGTTAAATTAACTGACACTTTCTATCTGGATTAGCTGATTTTACAAAGCTCATCCTCCTCCTCTCCATTGCCTTTCAGAATCTCTATTACTTAGCAAAAATATTATAGTTTTGTGTAAGTTGATTAAACTGTCTATAGGCTAAGCTTTCTATACTGGAACTACCTCTAAGTTTTCCCAACTCTAAAGCACAAGCTCACATTTCAAAAATTAAAAGTACAAAAACATTAAATGTTAGAGGAAAAACAATCATACTACTAAATTATGTAAGGGTAAAAAAATCAACTGGAGAAGGTGAAAGTTTCTAACATTTATCTGTGCACAACTCAGGCTGACACTTTGAAGAGAAGAATGTGACAGCTTACAAGAAAACAAACTCACTCATTCCCCTTAATTTCTGAAGGCTCATGAAAGTCTGACAGGCCAGCCACAGGGTGATCTCTCATGTGTATCGCCCATGACAATTATGGCTTCAATAAAAATGGTCTCTATTTTTAATAAACTCCAACTGGTTTTCAGGAAATAGCCAGGCTAACATGGTCATATTTAAGAAGGCATATTTCACCAATTAGCAGCTAACTTATTTAGTTCATGGACCTAAATAAGACTGTGCATGGAGAGGTACAAAATCAGTGTGGTAGCAGAGGGCAAGGTGGTGTGAAAGGCTGAGTCCAGGGGTCAGCTGTGGTGACACATACAAATGGCTGTGCTGAGGATCACCTTGCCCCTCTACTTTCTTTTGGTTTGATTTGGTTTTCCTCTTTAAACAGCTATTAAGAGTCTCCCTATGAATTTTCAAAGTGTTTATGACTCAAATCTGGGAAATACTGATAAAAATCACAGCTCATTATAAGCATTTGAAATGATTTGCCCTAACGATAGATAAATGAAATATAACGAGTTTTTAAAGTACTCTGTAATTCACACTGGAAATAACCTGCAGTTGTCCTTATATTAATTTGACAGTTGCTTAATATGAAATAATCGGGCTGCTATACAGACACTTTGTTTCCTCCCCATCAAGGATTGCCAGCAGAAGGGGGAAAAGAGGAAAAGAAGTGCTAAGCAATGAAACCTCCTTTCATTTTTAGTCTCCACTCCTATGGCCCAGCTCTTATCAGCTAGTGCAGGACGAAGGAGGAGGAATGAAGGGAGAAAGAGTCCTCCTGCCAATTCTCACCACAACCCTACTTCCAATCTCTCCTAAGCACTGCTGTGTTTCTAGTGACAGAAATCTGCATTAGTTTTTCACTTCAGAAAACAAGCCATCAGAGGTTTAAAATTCACAGACTTTCTGGATGTGGTGGAAATTTCCCCATCATGACTCCTAATTCCAAATAATTAACAACTAGTCTGGGAACACAATCAGTTTAGGAAGAAGATCTTCATCCAATTCTTGAAACAAAATATGCCTCTAATCAAAAACAGTCACACTATTTTCCTACACAAACTTCATTAAACATGAAGAATAGAATTGTGTAGGTTTATAAAACATGAAGGAAGTTCTTCTTTAAACAGTATTTATTGCACAATCATATCGATTTTCATGCTAATAATAAACAGCAGAATTCTTACTTTAGAAAAGACAAAACATAATAATACATCCTTATTATCCTATGCCGCCAAAGAATTTACTTCTCAGTACTATTATGGTAAATGATTATTCCTTAGGAAATAAACCCACACTGGCACAAGACGCTCTGACATGTCTTTCCTATTTCTCACTTCTATTACTGTACGACTACATGGCCATATCCATCAATCACTTTTGTAAACACCACCAAACCACATTGCTATTATGTCCAAGCCAATGGATACTTTCAATACCACATAGTCACATTATTATCCATCTTTATAGACAGGCAATCAAACTCAACATGACAAAATTTCAGAGAAACAGCTAATGGTGATATAAGTTTTCTAGCCCTAGAAGTAAAATGGATGTAATTTGTCCAAGAAATACAGGTGAGCAATAACTTCAATCTTTTATTATAGTTTATACTTTTAAATAATTAGCAGGTTTTTTCAACTCTAAGAAGTACCCTGAAAAATACTTATTTCTCAGTAATATATATTTTTAAGAGATGGGGGTCTCACTTTGTCACCCAGGCTGGAGTGCACTGGTGTGATCATAGCTCACTGCCACCTCGAACTCTTGGGCTCAAGGGATCCTCCTGCCTCGGCCTCCCAAGTAGCTGGGACTACAGATGCATGCTACCACACCCAGCTAATTTTTAAAAAAATTTTTGTAGCGATGGGGTCTCACCATCTTGCCCGGGCTGGTCTTGAACTCCTGGGCTCAAGCAATCATCCCACCTCAGCCTCCCAAAGTGCTAGAATTACAAGCACGAACCACCACACCCAGACTTAAGTAATTTTTATGGTAGTTCAATGACAGCTTAGCACACTCACAGCGCTATTATAAAATGTGCCATGCAAATCAAGTAACGTGCATACATACATATTATAGTGCTTAATTCTTAATTTAATTAAATTATCCAGTATGAAATAATAATATTATAGTCTGAACTTCACTCTTATTAAGGATGAAACAAAACTAATTTTCCTAAAAGGCTTGAGGACACTCTCTGGAAGCGCACTCTTTGGAGAAAGAATAAAAATGCAAATACATTTGTAGTTAAAACAAATGCTATTACAATGAAAAGATCTTTATTAAAAATGGACAAGTTCTACTCAACAACTCAATTATTTGAAGTAATATCCAATCTAAAAAAATTCAAAATGCAGTCAAACAATGTTGAGAAATCTCAGAAGTCCCTGTGAGCAGGTTTCCCAGTAGAAGGATATCAGATGCAGAAGGATCCTTAGGGATGACCTAGTACATTTCTATTCAGTCTAACTTTCTGCAGTGATGAAAATGTTCTATATCTGTGCTGTCCAGGATGGCAGCCGGCAGCCACATGTGGCATTTGAAATGTGGCTACTGTGACTGAAGAACTGAATTTTAAATTTTCTTTCATTGTAATTAATTTTTATTTAAATAGCCTATGTGGATAGTAGCTAGTGTTTGGACTCCACAGATGTAGTCTTTCTTGATACGCTACTCCAATGAAACAGTCACCAGGGCAACCGAAAGAAGATTCAGGGGTTTTCAGACATATGTAGATACAACTACAGATGATTAAATCTGTAGCTTTTTGTTTAGAGATTTTAAAATACACTTAATTTTATTCAACTGCATCAGGCTACTTTTGGTAACTCCAATTCATTTTAAAAGAAGGATGAAAATGGTCAAATATTCCTCTTGAAGTAATTTTGGTTTTATAGCCCATATAAAAATGAAGGCATATGAGGACTGATGTGGCACATAGCTATATCACATAAAACATTAAGAGGTCAGGTTCAATCTATCATCTAAGGCATTCATCCTCCTTTTGCATGCAGGGAATTAAAGAGGTAAATGGGCCCCTGAAGCGTGAACTTACGGAGCTCAGAAATACAAGAAATAGAACAGCCTCTCCCTTTTACTGAATTCTAGTCACATATTGCTACTTAGTCCAAACACATATTGAACACCCACTTTGTCCAGGACATTAGATTGAGCACTGTGAAAAATAAACACCAAGACAAACAATACAAGGTGTCTGTCCTCTAGAAACTTACTACTTTTTAGGGTAAAAATGCTACACAACAACTATAAAGCCTGGGCACAGTGGTTCATGCCTGTAATCTCAGCACTCTGGGAGGCCAAAGCGGGAGGATTGCTTAAGGGCAAGAGTTTAAGACCAGCTTGGGCAACATAGTGAGACTCGGTCTCTACAAAAAAAAAATTTTTTTTTTTTTTGAGACGGAGTCTCACTCTGTCGCCAGACTGGAGTGCAATGGCGCGATCTCGGCTCACTGCAACCTCTGCCTCCCGGGTTCAAGTGATTCTCCTGCCTCAGCCTCCAGAGAAGCTGCAACTTACGCGCCACCACGCCCAGCTAATTTTTTATTTTTAGTAGAGACAGGGTTTCACCATGTTCGTCAGGATGGTCTCGATCTCTTGACCTCGTGATCTGCTTGCCTCAGCCTCCCGAAGTGCTGGGATTACAGGCATGAGAGCCACCATGCCCGGCCAAAAAAAATTTTACTTAGGTAGGTGTGGTGGTATAGACCTATAGTCCCAGCTACCCTGGAAGCTGAGGTAGGAGGATCTTGCTTAAGCCTAGGAATTTGAGGTTGCGATGAGCCATGATTATGGCACTGCACTCCAGCCTGGAGGACAGAGCAAAGCCCTGTCTCTGGAAAAAAAAGAAACAAAAAAGACTATAGTAAAGGTTATGCATACTGGCCTTACCTTTTCTCTCTACCAATCACCAGTCGCAAATGGTCAACTATCACCTTACACAAAATAATTCCTAAATCTCTCGGTAAGTGATTGTGGTTCAAGGCCCACATTTTTGTGTGCTGGACTACTCTCCCTGAATATCCTGAACTCAGTTCAAGAAACATTAACTGTGCATTAGCCATGGGCTAGAAAATAGTAAGATGCCCTGGAAAAATTGGGCCTCATGAATATTCAGACATTTCGTGGCTATATGATGCCTAATGTAACAAGCACATGGAGTTGTGCACAGGTACTACTGTGAGCACACAGAGGAGTTTTTAGTAGCGGCTGAGAGGACAAAAAAGGATACTCAGAGGAGATAAAAACTGAGCTGAGTCTTGAAGGCTGGATTAAGAAGCAGGCAAACACCATGACAGAGAACCACAAGTAATTTAGAGTCATTAGACCATCAGGTTTCAAGCAGGAAAAGTGGCATGAAATGATGCCAGAGAGGTGGGCAGAGGCAAGGTCATGGAATGCCATAAATATCACCAATAGAGTTGAAAAGAGATGAAATGCCATGGAAGGTTTTAAGATCTATGCTTCAGATAGTTCACTGTGTGTAAGCAGCATGAAGGATGGATTTGAAGGGATCAACTGCACACAGGGGTCGGCTAGGTGATTGTTACAATATACTAGCTGAGTCATGACGATGGTATGGAGGAGACAAGTGTAACAGAAATAGAGCCGAAACTCAAGAAGTATTTAGGAAGTAAAATTATGACATCATACTGTAAGATGAGGAAATGGTAGATGAGCAGAAAAAGGTGGCTGAGGCAGAATAGGGCAGCTAAGATGATTAACAAGTTCTGGCTTGAGTGAATGAATAGATAAATGGTGGAATCATTCACTGACAGAATGTGGAAGAGTGGTGACAAGGATAGTTTTAGGTACTTGTGGCATATCCAGGTGAATAAATCCAATAGTCAATTAGAAGATGGCAGAGAGAAAGAGCAAAAGAAAAAAGATTTGCATATAACCTGCATTAAGTGGTATTGAAAGTTCTCACTATGTTAAGTGCTAGGAACATAACAAAGAACAAATCACAGCCTCATACAAGGAAGCTTATAGAAGATGACTGTAAAACATCAATTACAGAACTTTGAGTGGTAATGATGTGTCAAGGTAGGTTCATCAATTGTAGCAAATGAACCACTCCGGTGGGGGATGTTGATAATGGGGGAGGGTGTGCATGCCTGGGAGTGGGGGATATATGAGAAATCAGTGTATTTTGCTATGAATCTAAAACTGCTCTAAAAAAAGAAAGTCTAGGTCAGGCACGATAGCTCATGCCTGTAATCCCAGCACTTTGGGAGGCCCAACGTGGGCGGATCACCTGAGGTCAGGGATTTGAGACCAGCCTGGCCAACATGGTGAAACCCCATCTCTACTAAAAATATAAAAATTAGCCCGGCAAGGTGGTGCGTGCCTATAATCCCAGCTACTCAGGAGGCTGAGGCAGGAGAATCGCTTGAACCCAGGAGGCGGAGGTTGCAGTGAGCCAAGATCATGCCACTGTACTCCAACCTGCACAACAGACCAAGAGAACATCTCAAAAATAAATAAATAAATAAATAAAGTCAATTGCAGAAGTGATAGTCATGCTGAACACTAAAAGTCAAGGAAGCACTAACCAGGCAGCAGGGAAAGAGGGACAAGGCCAGAAAAGAAACAGTGACATATGTATCCTAAAGTATAATTGTTTTGGACATGCTGCCCTTGAGGAATGGAATAAGACGAGCTTTTCCTTTGAGATAACAAGAAAGAGAAGCATGAGGTATGTTGAAAACCTTAAAATAAAGAAACTTAAAGAATTTACCTTTTAGATGTCCTCAAATCTCTCCAAGAGGTATTAAGTAGGAGCAGACTGATAGTGGAATGTCAGTAAATGTTACAAAACAATGAAAAGGTTTGGAATCCTAGAGTAATAAGGAAATATATAAAAGATGGCAACAGGAAACAAAGGCCTAGTTAAGATTGAATAACATGAACTCTTAGCAAGGCCTATCAGTAAGATTTGTTATTCCCTCTCTCCCTCCTTCCCTCTCTCCTCTCGCCCTTTATTTCTTCCTCCTTCCCTTCCTTCCCCATTACAACTGTGCTCTGCAAAGTGTGCTCCATGGAATACTTGCTACAAAGGAAGTCAAAAGCTGTTACATGGAAGCTGTTTATAAATAAGTTTGAAAAAAAAGAGGTTTAATTAAATAAAGCTAAGCATGTTTCTTTACTTTAAGACTCCTCAGAGCTATTCCCAGAAGAAGGATATAATACCCAGTACATTCCCCCAACTTAACTATTAACCCTTTACTTACGAAGTGTTAATATTTGCGTAATACAACCTGGGACACAGTGGACCAGAAGAAAAGGGATGAACGCAGTGGAGACTCAAAAAACAGAAAGCACAGTAGGAATAAGGGAGTAGAAAACTAGGAGGCTGTGGTGGGAGAAGAATTCTGAGCTCATGGCTTTAGAGAAGGAGCTGGCCCACGGGATAATCAGGTCCAAGCTCTGGTCATTTGTGGTCACATGGGTTAATAAAGTAGAAGGTCTCACACACAGACTGGGTTTGACTAGTAAATGGTTCATCAACATGAATATCAACTGAACCGAAGTTGCCCAAGGCGATGCCAAGTAACAGGAGAGAGGAAAAGAGGTGTCAAAGATGGGCAGATAACAAGAATGGGAAGAGGGAATATAACCAGATGGCAAAGGATTCAAAGGAACGAAGACTGTTGGAAGCTGGTAGGTACTTTCCCTGAGGCTGTGATGCTGCTGCTTTTTTTTTTTTTTTTTTCCCAGTAGAAACAGGGTTTCACCATGTTGGTCAGGCTGGTCTCAAACTCCTGACCTCAAGTGATCTGTCCGCCTCAGCCTCCCAAAGTATTGGGATTACAGGCGTGAGCCACATGCCCAGCCATGTGGTTCTAAATGATGCCAGATCTAAGGCTATGGGCCATTAAGGCCGACTTTTGCTAGAGGGTTTTCTTCTTCTTTCTACCTTGAATTCAAATATTTGAACTTATTGGGCCTCCCTAGTTTTACTCAATTAGTTTTTATGATGAATCTTCCCTTTTCCCTAGCCATTTTCAATTGACCTAATGTTTGGGTAGTATGTTTAATCTGATTCAGCTTCTTTCCTAGGTGCTATGTCAAAGACCGACTCTGACAGCATGTGCCACAGTCCATAGATAAAAATGAGATGTCAGTTACTTAAACTCCCTAAACCTTGGTTTTCCATTCTTCATTTGTAAAACAGAAATATTAATAGCATCTAACTCATGAGGTGGTTGTTAGAATTAAATCAGATAAAGCATACTGCTGACACTATAGTTGGTACATAGAAAACTCTCAGTAATAAGCACTACCACCTCCATCGCCAAAGATAACCAAATAAGATGATCCAGCAAACACAAAGAAGATATGTACAGGGAGGATCTTGTAGAAGAGGTGAGTCTGGGATGAGACAGGCCTATGCCTGCAACAGATAGAAGTGTCCAAGAGAAGTGAGGCTGGAATAGTCTGCAACTTAAGCAGCAGGCATGGAAGAAGGAAAGGATTACAAAGGGAGACAGGAGCCAACTATCAGGAAAGAGGCTATGCATATGGTTACTTAAGGCAGTGAGCAGTTCCAACATTGCACTCCCAGTGGAAGATGCCCTTTGTTTATCTTAGAGCTAGGCTTCTCAGGACTGAGGCAGATTAGACCAAGAGCAAGACCTCAATACATATCACTTTGGAGTTCATTTGAAAATATTCCATATTTCATTATGCTGGAAATGGCCCTTGCTGCAGAAAATGTCTTTTTGTAACACTTTTCATGTAATCAAAGAGCATTTGTGGTGACAAGGCACTATGTCACTCAGCGTACTAAAAACTTTGTTAACACACTATAAAGAAAAATTATTTAGCCTGCTTAGAATCTGACAGACTCTTGTAGTAAATCATTACCTGTCATTATCATCACAATAAATCGAGGATGAGTATTTTTCTCTACTAGTACTAATAGTAAAATAAGGAGAAACACCATTGGCTTAGTCTTTGGTAAACCACAGCACTAACAGCACCCCCTCATATAAAAGGACCAATGGACCTATTTAGTCTTTGATGAGCAAGTTTACCGCTTGTTTAGATAGGCTACACACTGAAACAATATATAAATTTGAAAAACAGATCTAACGTTCTGTTTTTATTTACTCATTATTTTTACCTTCAGATAAAAATACTACAATAGTCCTTCCAGGGTTAAATATGCAATGTTACATGTAGATAAGTGTTCAAAGCATACTCAAAAGGACTACAGAATTTATTTTTATGAGTAGGAACATAAGAAGAATAAATGCAAATTAACAGGAATTATAAATCAAGGCATCATGTTTAACTGTGTTAATAAAATACAAACAAAACAAAACAAAACCCAAAACACTTCAGAGCTAGCTGATAGAGATATAAATCATGGGCAAGATTAAAACACAGAATTATTTTCACTCCTCTAACAGTAGATTTTTGGATAATGAAATCAACACCACAGCAACATTTAAAAAGAATAACTTCTACTGCTATTTGACACAAATGAAGGGTTAGAGTTATAGGACAAACTAAGTACTAGCTTAATTTCATTATTAGAATATAAGAGAAAGTCTACTGAATGAATTTTCACTTTTGAGTATCTATAACTTCTAACCTCTTTGTCCACCACATAAATAAATACAATCCAGATAGTGTTTTGCAAACACAAAATAACAACTCCAACTTCATCAGTGATCTAGTGCATAGAGGGCTCAACTAAGACTGATATTCCATGGTAACTCATCAAGTTTATAAAAGCAAAGTGCCTAGTTCCAATTGGAGTAATCTGTCCTTTGGGATATGCACTATTTAGAAATCATAAATCATAAATATGAGACCCTCAACATATGTCCCCATTCAAAAGCACTCATTAACCAAACCAGGGAGAGAAATTCCACATATTCCATACAAATCTAAAAGTCACAATTGATCTGTTTCAATATTTTAGTGATTCTGATTAGCTCCCTTTTGGCTCCTATAGTTCTCATGAATTAAATTGAGCTGTAAAGTAATGCAGACCTTATGATTCCAGAGACTGTGAGTCACCAAGGGAAGAGGTCCAAAAAGGTTAAATTTCCACTGAACTCCAAATCAGAGGTTCGAAAGCTAGAGAGATAAAGACATTAGCTTTAGTCTTATGAAACATTCAAGGCTGCTTTCATTTGATTAGGAGTTTGGTACAGGCTCTTTGTGACAAATATAACAAAGACACTTGATATTTTTTAAGCTTTGAAGAAAATCCCAGAAAACAGATTATCTACGAAGAATGTTAAATCAAGCTAAGTAATAATGTGTTTATATACATTCAGAAACTTACTTCAGTGTTATCAAAAAACCAAACCAAAACAAAACAAAAAATGACCACCAAAAGGCTATCATGGAAGGAGGCCACATTCCTTCAGTTACTGAATAACGAAATCTGTTGTGATTTAAAAAGGTAGTTATAACAATTTACCGCCTTAGGTCAGCTTTTCCCAAACTATTCTAAAAAGCACTAACCCTACATGAAATGTTTATAGACAGTCTGGGGATAAAGGGGTGGGGATAGGAGGAATGAAGAGAGAAGAAAGAAAAATCCTCTAACAATATTTTTGTTCTAAAATTTTTAATACACAAAAATACTGAGTATATTTGATACAGTTAAAATTACCATGAGATAAGCTACTCATAATAGCATGCCACACCTCAGAAAGCCAGGATGTCCACAGTATACCACATATGCTTGAATGCATTGATGCTCAAGTGATGCATAAACATACAACTATTGTGTTTTACGTTATTGAATCATAGCTGATTTGTGCTGTGATTTTTGCCTAATAATTTCAACATATATTTTAACTTTTTATTATATAATAAAGGCATAAATCAAAACTTAATTTCTTCCAGCCATTACTTTGTGTATGTGAAATAACTTTTTGTAATCTATTTTAATACAAGTTTATGTTCTTTTTTCTGAGTTTCTACTGATGCTCTGTCAATACATTATCATTTTTAAAGTTTTCCATAATCACAAGTTCAAAAACTGTTATTTTAGCTAAACACAGCTATAATAATACATGCCTCAATTTTGGAGACAATGAATTATGTTGTACCTGTTTTTAAAATTTTAAATGGCCTTTCTCTTTCTGCCAACTTGGAGCCTGTGGAGGCCTGCTGGGAACAGGAATACTAAAAGGAAGTATGTCTGGAAGGCTGTGGTCCAAGGCCATTTTTGCTGAGTATAAGTGGGGTCTCCAGAACCAAAGACAGCACACAGCTCTTTTTAAAATAGAAGGTGCTTATGCCCAAAATGAAACAGAATTCTATTCGGGCATAAGATGTGCTTATATATACAAAACAAAGAACAACAAAGTGACTCCTGGTGGCAAACCAAACAAAATCAGAGTAATCTAGGGAAAGGTAACTCGGTCCCAGGGAAATAGTGGCATGGTTCACGCCAAATTCTGAAGCAATCTTCCTGCTAAGGCCACTGGACACAGAATCTGTGTGATGCTGTACCCCTCAAGCATTTAAATTAATGAAAAGTAAATAAATAAAAGTGGATTTGTGCTCTTGGAAAAAAAAGTAAAAAAAAAATTTAAATGACAGAAACAGTTCTGAAGAAAAAGACAGATGTAATAACATGATCAACTTAATTTGCATCATTCAAAACTCAATATGATGTCCCATTTACCTTTTAAATTAAGTAGCACATAAATAAAAATGCAAGTTCAATACTAATAGAATTACACACTCTTATTTACAGTGATAGAGGCTTTAAACAGTCTTTCTCTGACAAGTCATAGGACAAGAGCTGATAGGAGAATGCGTAGTCGATATTTTAATAACTACAGCGAAGACAAAAGATGCACAATTTCTAAGTTGCAATAATCTATTTTGTATGTATGATTTGAAGTAAAGACTTTATGCTATACATCTATATTTAAATTGTGGTTTACAAAGAGAAACATATTACTAGCCTCATCACAGCAACATAATCATTCTAAAGTCTAGGTTTTTCATTTTTTACTTTTAAATGTCCTCTCCTTCCTGTACTCCTATCTCTCACTCTCTACCTTTACCAGCCACAGATGCAAAAAACAAAAGCAAAACCAAAACCACTTCATTTTGTTATTTATGACAGCCTTCATGGAAAAACCAATGGAAGGATGAAACGAAAGGCTTATACATTTCTATCTTTTCAATTCCAGACATAAAACTCAACATGGAAAGGAAGATGAAATAGTCACTAAAATCCTTAGGCTTCCTTTCAACAATTAATCCATTTTCTTAAGAAGTTTGCTACATAAATCAATTGCAGATTTAAAGCTCTTTATAATAACATTTTATGCTTACTGTGAATATTCAAAAAGTACATAAAAATATATATGTATAGTCTAATGAATAAATATAAAACAAATATCCAAGTCCAGAAATAGAAGCCAACATTGCAGAAACAGAAGAAACCCCCTTAAAAATACATCCCCCATGCCCTTCAGTTACTACAGCTTTAATGTAAATTTCACAAGTTAACACACTATAAGTGAAATGAAACAGTGCCACAGGTGTTGTAAAAGAGGAGTATTTGGCTGGGCACGGTGGCTCATACCTGTAATCCCAGCACTTTGGGAGGCCAAGGTGGGTGGATCACCTGAGGTCAGGAGTTCGAGACTAGCCTGACCAAGATGGTGAAACCCTGTCTCTACTAAAAATACAAAAATTAGCCTGGCGTGGTGGTGGGTGCCTATAATTCCAGCTACTCAGGAGGCTGAGGCGGGAGAATCACTTGAACCTGGGAGGCAGAGGTTGCAGTGGGCCGAGATCGTGCCACTCCACTCCAGCCTGAGTGACAGAGAAAGACTCTGTCTCAAAAAAAAAAAAAAAAAAAAGAGAAGTATTTAAAAATTCCTCCAAGATGCATTGATAGAGGACTTTTATAACATATAGAACATTTTGTTCAACTTTCCAGTGAAAAATGCCAGGAGTAAGTACATTGATTCATTTAGAATATAAATTACAGAAGTGTTTGAATTTAATTTTGTGAAACACCACACAGGAGGGCCATAAAACACAGATTGTGTGTTTGTAGCACTTCCAGCAGCTGGCAGTGAGGAAGACCAATATTAGCCCTGAAGTTGCAGAAAACACTAAATAACAGCCATTTCGACTCAGTAGCATCTAAATATATAATTATAAATAACAAATTAACAGATTGGTCTCTGTGATCTTTGCTGGTTTCTGAAAAACTAATAAAAGCTTAGGTAATACTCCTTACTTCCATTCCAGTAGAGGTGCTCACACACCAGGGTGGGCTTCTGGGCACCTTACCTCCTGTGCTAGAGACCAGAATGTACATAATTATGGTACCATGGATTCACAATGACTGTTGACATGAACTCCTCTTGTTGTAAGGTAGTTTGGGTTACAAAATCCTTTACTTACAGAATTAATCAAAGAAAGGTTTTAAGGAGATAAATATCAACAGCTTCAAAATAAACGTAACTGCAAAATATTAATCTTAATACGATGTCAAATTTAATTCTTTTCCTTAATAAAACAAGCCACTCAGAGTTCAATGTGACATTTAAGTAAAGAATTTCCAAATTCTGGCTGGGAGCAGCCGCTCACACCTGTAATCCCAACACTTTTGGAGGCCGAGGTGTGCAGATCACTTGAGGTCAGGAGTTCGAGACCAGCCTGGCCAATATAGTGAAACCCTGTCTCTATCAAAAATCCAAAAATTAGCCAGGTGTGGTGGTGCATGCCTGTAGTCCCAGCTACTCAGGAGGCTGAGGCACAAGAATTGCTTGAACCTGGGAGGTGGAGGTTACAATGAGCCGAGATCATTCCACTGCACTCCAGCCTGGCCAATAGAGTGAGATACTGTCTCAAAACAACAAAAAATTAGAAAATAAAAATTGAAAATATTGCCAAACCCTGCTAATAAACAATGTTTAAGAACCGTTAGTTTAAGGTCGAGCGCGGTGGCTCATGCCTGTAATCCCAGCACTTTGGGAGGCCGAGGCGGGCGGATCACGAGGTCAAGAGATCGAGACCAACATGGCCAACATGGTGAAACCCCGTCTCTAATAAAAATACAAAAATTAGCTGGGTGTGGTGGCGCACGTCTGTAGTCCCAGCTACTCGGGAAGCTGAGGCAGGCGAATGGCTTGAACCCAGGAGGTGGAAGTTGCAGTGAGCCGAGATTACACCACTGCATTCCAGTCTGGTGACAGAGCTAGAATCCATCTCGAAAATAAAGAACGCTTTATAGGCCAGGCACAGTGGCTCATGCCTATAATCCCAGAACTTTGGGAGGCTGAGGAGTGAAGATTGCTTGAGCCCAAGAGTTCAAGACCAGCCTGGGTAACAATGGTGAAACCCTGTCTCTACAAAAAAATACAAAAAACTAGCCAGGTGTGGTAGCACATGCCTGTAGTCCCAGCTAAACGGGAGGCTAAAGTGGGAGAATGTATACAGCCCCGGAGGTTGAGGCTGCAGTGAGCTGTGACAGCACCACTGCACTATAGCCTGGCTTTAAATAAAAAAATAAAAGAACCCTTTATAAACAAGCATTCCTAGTACAGAACATAAGACACTGAAAATGCAAACCAAATATAATTTATTTTCAACTTAAAACCAAACCAAACAATTGTTTCCCTTGCGCTAAAAATCTTTTCTTCCACCAATCCCACCTATATAGGTATGTCTGACACTTAATTCTCACTAACCACTGCAAGTGTGGGCAATGTTGTCCCTGTGGGTCATGACTTGCTAAAGTTCTAGAATAATATCTGGAGATTTGATGGATAGAAAAATAAACAAGTGTATTAAACATCCAAGGTATTTTGTTAAGTACACTCATAATGACAGAATAGCAAACAATCACAGGGAGAACCACCTTCAAATCTCTAGATAAGCTTTACACAAATTTCCTCAAATCTCCAACAAACACAGGAATGGATGAACAGACAATTTATCAATTTGATGGAATATTATTGCAACCATTAAGGCTAAACATTATAAAGTTATATAACACAGAAGATTTTATAATACAGCATAAATTTTAAACATACATTTATATCTAGCTATAAGACATCATATATATGGGCAAAGACTTAAAAAGAATACAACAAGAAATAAATACTTAGTGTAGTTGTGGGGACTTCTCCAACCCTCCATATGTTTACAAAGTAAATACAAATCAGAAGGTCTGGTTGGGGGCGGTGGCTCACACCTGTAATCCCAGCACTTTGGGAGGCCGAGTTGGGTGGATCACTTAAGGTCAGGAATTTGGGACCAGCCTGGCCAACATGGCAAAACCCCATCTCTACTAAAAATACAAAAATTAGCCGGGCAACGTGGCGGGCACCTGTAATCCCAGCTACTTGGAAGGCTGAGGCAAGAGAATCGCTTGAACCCGCGAGGCAGAAATTGCAGTGAGCTGAGATTGTGCCGCTGCACTCCAGCCTGGGTGACAGAGTGAGACTCCATTTCATAAATAAATAAATAAATAAATATTAGAAGGTCGAAAACGCAAGGACTCTTCTCCCTAAAGAACTGTAAAACCATCATCAGCACCTGAGTAATCATCTCATATTTATGATCTACACTAAACACACCAAAACTTGCTATATGTTACCCGTTTCAGGCATGCTTCTGGGCAAGGTCACCAGATAAAGGGGAAACAAGGTCCTGTCTGAGTATTCTGATTAAGAAGAGAGAAAAAAATGACTACTTCATAGCAAGGTGACAGAGGTATTGTAACCAACGGCATGTTTTACTGCCATCTCAAGGTATTAAATTATACATTACTTCTTACCCCAATTAACCATCATATCCAATTTAAGCCCAGAAACTTACAATACAAATGTTATGTCCTGATAACTTAAGTGACAAGGATAATGATTATATCGGTTTGATCTACTTTTCATCATATCAGATATTACATTGCTGTTACAGTGAAAGACATTTAGATTCAAGGATATCTGAGATATCCAATTTCCAGACACAAGGATAAGTCTTCCATTATTTATGCCTGCCTTGTAAAAGCCATATGGGTCAAAAGCTCAATAAGATAATTCTGAAATTACTGGCACTACCTCGAAATGCAGAATTAGTTTGGATTCTATTAACGTGATGTAAGAATTGCCCTTAGCACCTAGGTTTTTTGCAGAAATTAACAAATTAATCCTAAAATTCAGAGTGAAATGCAAAGAATCCAAAAACAGCCAAAACAAATTTGAAAAAGACCAAAGTTACAGGACACACACTTCCTGATTTTAAAACTTACCACAAAGCTATGGAACCAAGACTGTGTGGTACTGGCACAAGGACAGACATACAGATCAGTGTCGTAGAACTGAGAGGCCAGAAACAATCCTTACGTCAACTGGTTTTGAAAAGGTGCCAAGACAATTCAACACGGGATAGAAGAGTCTTTTCAACAAATGGTGCTGGGACAACTTGTTATCCACATGCAAAATAATGAAGTTGAACTCCTACCTTATACCACATATGAAAATTAACTCGAAATGGATATTCACATGGAAAATAATAAAATTGGACTTCTAATTTACATCATATACAAAAATTAACACAAAATGGGTAATGGTCATAGTGTAAGAGCTAAAGCTATAAAATTCTTAGAAGAAACATAAATCTTCATGAACTTAGATTAGCTTCTTAAATATGATCCCGAAAACAGAAGAAAAGAAAAAAAATAATAAACTGACTTTGTCAAAATTAAAAATTTTTGAGCTTCAAAGTGTAACATCAAGAAAAAGAAAAAAAAAAAACACAAAATGGGAGAAAATATTTGCAAATCATATATCTGGTAAGGAACCTGCATCTAAAATATACAAAGAATGCCTAAAATTCAATAATAAAGACAAAAAATTTGAATAGGTATTTTTCCAAAGAAGATATAGAAATGGCCAATAGACAAATGAAAAGACTCTCTCTGCTGATGGTACTATGAAAGTGATATTCTTATCCACTACTGGCAGCATAGTAAATTGCTACAATTAATCTGTGGAAAAATGATTTTATGGCAAAAGTTTTTAAAAGATTTTTAAACAAATGTTTTGTGCCCTTTGACTTAGTCATCTAATTTCTGGAAATCACCTAAAGAAACAATATCAAATATGGGAAAATATATATACATATATAATGATGTTGCCACTATGTAACTGAAGGTAAAACTGGATGCAACCTGTATGTTTGAGAATATAAGAACCATTATATTCTCAAAATCTAGTCATGGACTATTATACATTCCTTGATAATGCTGATAATGGTATGAAAATATAACAGAAAATGTGTGTTCTAAGAGATGAAAACAAAATTCAATATTAACTCCTAATTGTATTTACCTAAAACATACATATAAAATAACAGCAAATTTATAAAACTAAAAGATAATTATCTTAGCGTGGCAGAATTATGGGTATTCTTCTCAAACCTTCTTATTGAGTTGTCAATAATATTTTCATAAAGAAATAGGGATACTTTTACCTTATCCCAGAAATCGATCAAAGCTGTAAAGTCCCATTTCTTAGAATATGCCACAGTGTATTTCAGAATAGCATCCTGTGGAAAATGCAGAAACAAAACGTCATGGTATGGCCAAGTGAATGACCTATGAAGAGCCTGTCTCTTATGAATTACCTCCAGTATATTTCATAATGTTAGACAAGCTTCCGACTACCTCCCCCTGCTACTGATATGGACATCAGTAGCTACAGACAAACAGAATGATTACTAATTTATTACTCACTTTAAAAAATGAGATTAGAACGGTCAAGTAATAGGTGAAAAAACACAATTACACCCTAAAGCATGCATTCTAAATAAGGTGATATACTCCAAATAGACAAAAACTGTATCTTGAGGGGTAAAAAATAAACTTAGTTATCACAATTGTTGGTGGTCCTTGAAAGCATCAGATTATATATACACAGACATACACAGCAGATTTGTAGTATGAAAATTTCATGGGTCAGTTAATAGGGTTGAGGCATAAATTTTTTTGTAAAAAATAAAAAATAAAAATTTCATGGGGACGAGGAGATTAGGAAAAAAGTATTTAAAAACTGTCTTTTTTCCTTTACTATAAAGTATTTTTATACTATATATAAATTATTATCTTCCTCCAGCAGTTCACATAAATTACACATTTATGTAGAATGAAAAGTCAAAATATTATGCCATCTACTGGTGTAGCTTTTAACTGTTTGAATAGGCAATACTATACATCTGGTTTCCAGAGTCAGGTATGCATAAGACAATCCACTAGATGTGCAGAAACAACTATTTATTTATAATTATCTTTTATCTCATCCTTTTAAATATCTACTTTGGTTTTATTTTATACTGTACATATTACATTAATAAAGTAATAGATATGTAGAATTTATAAATGACTATTTATATTGGTAATACACACTCAAAATTTTTTTACTGAGGCACACAGGTCTGAAAACCACTGTTAGATTATTACTATAAATCTTCCAAATTTCGTTATCATTGAATAAGTTTTTAAAAAATTAATACTCTGTCAAAGCTTCCTGAATAGTACTTCATGCCATACTAAGTATCTAGGTTAAAAGATGAGCCAACAAAATGTGTCTTATTCACTTGGAATCAGGGGACATCCAAGTTCCTTAAGAAAAGAAAAGAGAAGAGAAGAGAAGATAAAAGAAAAGAAAAATCTTCCGTAAAATAAGATAGCAAGAAAGAGTGAAAGAGTCTTTATTTTTCACTCACAAGTCATACATAACATTTTCCATTAAGAATTAAGAGATTTTAGGCTGACGCAGTGGCTCGCGCCTGTAATCCCAGCACTTTGGGAGGCTGAGGCGGGCGGATCACAATGTCAGGAGATCGAGAGCATTCTGGCCAACATGGTGAAACCATGTCTCTAATAAAAATACAAAAATTAGCTGGGTGTGGTGGCATATGCTTGTAATCCCAGCTACTTGGGAGGCTGAGGCAGGAGACTCACTTGAACCAGGGAGTCAGATGTTGCAGTGAGCCGAGGTCGTGCCACTGCACTCCAGCCTGGGTGACAGAGCGAGACTCCGTCTCAAAAAAAAAAAAAAAAAAAAAAAGAATTAAGAGATTTTGGCCTGCATGGTGGCTCGCGCCTGTAATCATAGCACACTCTGGGAGGCCGAGGCAGGTGAATCGCTTGAGTCCAGGAGTTCGAGACTAGCCTGGGCAACATGACAAGATCCCTAGAAAAAAATACAAAAATTAACCAGGCATGGTTGGTGCATGCCTGTAGTCTCAGCTACATGAGGGTGCTGAGATGGGAGGATCGCTTGAGCAAAGGAGGTTGAGGTTGCAGTGAGCCGAGATTGGACCACTGCACTCCAGCCTGGGTGACAGAGCAAGATCCTGTCTCAGAAAAAAAAAAAGAAAGAAAAAAAAAATTAAAAGATTTTAAGGATTTTTTTTCCAATCACTGGTATCTAATTTCAAAACTTCATAAAGTATTAAACAGAAATGTGTATCAATAGGTGAAGGAATAAACAATGCATATACTGGAGCAAACTATCAATACATTGAACAACATGGATGAATCTCAAAATTATCTTCATTTTGAGTGAATGAAGCCAGACACACCCACTATGATTCAATTCATGCAGAATGTAAACTATAGTGAAAAAGAACAGATTAGTAGTTGTCTGGGGCCAGAGCAGAAAGTGGAATGGACTGCAAAGTGGGGAGAGGAATCTTTGGGGATGATACAAACATTCTGTATCTTGATTATAATGGGAGCTTCATGGTATGTGTAAATGTCAAAACTCATCAAATGACACACTTTAAAAGGATAAACTTTCTTATCCATATGTTATTATTCCTCAAAGTTGGTAAGGAAAAAAATTTTAAGTAGCAATTGCATTCTAATTCTTCACTGTAATTCTCTAATTATTTTAGTGTTTTATAATTAGCATTAAGCTTTAGCTCGTATTTATTTTTACTTCAGTCTTCAAGTCTCAAAAGTAGTCCACCATGAGGTTGCCTGTCATTAGAAAAACTGGATACTACTCTGTACTCTTGAGTTATCAACTACTGAGTAAGTTCTTTATAGTTCATAATTCACAATAAGCACAAAAAATTCTTTCTGTGCAAATTATCACACACATTATTTATATAAGTACTACTGTGTAAATCAACTTTTGAGGACACTATTACTTTTTAAAATTCTGAATGTCTCTAATCCCTCTAAATCCAACATTAAATGGTATATGAACAGCAAAAAAATCATTATATTCAATTAGAGGGGTTTAATGTTTCCCTCTTCCTCTCTCAAAGCATTCTTTCAGCAAAGGAAACAATTACCATAAGCAGACAGAAAAATATCTCGATGGATTACTCTGTTCTATTGAATCTACCATAAGAGAAACACAAAAAGGAAATTCAGATTAAAGCAATTACCCCTTCCTGAAATAATCATGGTGCACTAAGGAATTGCTAGAGAGGTAAGCAGACTGTGTAAGTTAAAACACTATAGTTATTCTTTTCCTTTTTTTCAAATATGGAGTTTCGCTCTTTGTTGCCCAGGCTAGAGTGCAGTGGCATGATCTCGGCTCACTGCAACCTCTGCCTCCTGGGTTCAAGCGATTCTCCTGTCTCAGCCTCCTGAGTAGCGGGGATTACAGGCACCCGCCACCATGCCCGGCTAATTTTTATATTTTTAGTAGAGATGAGGTTTCACCATGTTGGCCAGGATGGTCTCAAACTCCTGACCTCTGGCGACCTGCCTGCCTCGGCCTCCCAAAGTGCTGGGGTTACAGGCTTGAGCCACCGCACCTGGCCTCACTATAATTATTCTATTTGCAGTTGAAGAAATATAAAAATTCTTAAAAACAGCCTCTGTTTAGAAGAATAAAAATAAAGAACCTAAGATAGTGTTCATCAAATGGACTCCGGGTAGTATTCCTGGGCAGCCTGTTTCTATGTGAGTTTATAATTTTGTTTTTAGAAAACAACAGCCAAATAACAACACGCTGTACGAATGAAGGCTGGTACTATTAATAGACAAAAACAGTGAAAAGATTGAGCTGTCCTACTATACACCACAGTACAGGTATGTTAAATTCTAACGAACCTTCATCCAGATGTGGTAATTACATGCCTGTAATCCCAGTACTTTGGGAGGCCAAGGCAGGTGGATCACTTGAGCTCAGGAGTTTGAGACCAGCATGGGTAACATGGCAAGACCCAGTGTCTCAGCCAAAAAATATAAAAAATTAGCCCAGTGTGGTGGCATGCACCTGTGGCACATGCCTGTAACATTATACTAAAATCAAGTAAACTCTAGCAGAACTTGAGATTTTTTTCCAGCTACTCAGGAGGCTGAGGCACGAGAATCGCTTGAGCCAGGGAGGTGTAGGTTGCAGTGAGCTGAGATCGTGCCACTGCGATCTGATGTTCTATTTAAGGATCCCATCTTTGTATCCACCAACACCCCTCAACTGTTCATGATTAGTAGGAAAAGTAATAATTGCAAAATAATTTCTTCTTTATGTAGTATTTTAAAGAATTTCTCAGCATACTATTTTGGGGTTTGGATCAGCGGTTTGAAAATTTCTGTGCAAAAAAAGGAATAATGACTACAAATTGTTTTCACTGTGATAATAAATACAAATCAAATGATGGTTCATTATACCTGAAATTAAAAAAGAAAATCAAACTGATATAGCTGTATAAGCACTACAGGTATAGGGAGTTAGCTGGGAGCAGTGACTCATGCCTATAATCCCAGCCAGCACCTTGGGAGGCCAAGGCCAGGTGGATCACTTGAGCCCAGGAGTTGGAGACCAGCCTAGGGAACACAGAGAAACCCTGTCTCTACAAAAAACTAAAATAAACAAAATTAGTCTGGGCATGGTGGCATACACCTGTAGTCCCCGCTACTCAGGAGGCTGAGATGAGGATTGCTTGAGTCTGGGAAGCAGAGGTTGCAGTGAGCTGTGATCACCCCACTGCACTCCACCCTAGGTGATGGAGCAAGACCCAGCTTCAAATTAAAAAAAAAAAAAAAAAAAATATACACACACACACACACACACACACACACACACACACACATATGGAGTTTATATTTAGTTTTATGTTTGTATACACATAATTAACATTATACTAAAACTAAGCAAACTCTAGCAGAACTTGAGATTGTTTCCATTTAAAGAGTTTGCTTTCTGTAGTTGTGAGCCTGAGTGGTTAGCGTATTGCTGGTATTGCTGGAGGCAGGGTTGATCCCTCACCTGATACTTGCGTTCAAGATAATCTAAATTGTGTTAGGGAAGGGACTGACTGTACTCATGGCTAACCTGATATATTAAAATAAGGCTGCCCCTAAAACCTTCTTAGTCACACAGGATCCCTGTAGCCAAAACAGTATATGTTCCAGCTGCAGAGAGCAGACTGCTCTCAGCTTGCACAGCACCTTAGGTGTGGGAAGAATATATGGATAGGGAATGGGGTGGAGAAAGAAGGACGGAAATGTTGTCACCCAGGTGGTTTTAGGGTCTAAGGAGTGGAAAAGGATGGCACTGGGGAGGTCTTCATGG
This sequence comes from Homo sapiens, assembly GCF_000001405.40. Lineage (NCBI taxonomy): Eukaryota > Metazoa > Chordata > Mammalia > Primates > Hominidae > Homo > Homo sapiens. The sequence continues at coordinate 45,951,903 of NC_000010.11, forward strand.
ATCTGTGTAGGAGTTCCCTGTAGATAAATCACTGATCCCCCATCTACTATCCCCAGTATGTAATGGCTGAATTAATACGTAATCAACTGCATTGTATCTACAGCCTTAGAACTAGTCAGGTGCTCCTCCCACCTAATACCATTTCTTACCCCGTAATCCTACCTGATTTTTAACAAACCATTAATAATTCTAATGATAATCTCTATTTTGTTTTGTTTTTTTCTAACTGTTTTAAATAAATCAATTTGTACTGTAAAAAAGAAAAATAAACAGCCTGCTTTTTTTTTCTTTTTTTAAAAAAAGAGCCCATTAGAAGATTGAGAAACACTGTCCCCAAGGAATAAAGCCTTCAAAATACATTATGGTATAACATATCAATGTTTTCCATGTAAAGAAAAAAAACAGGAGCTACAGAAAGGTATAGAAAGTTTAACAATAACTTGCAAGTATCAGTAGAAAATATTAAGAAAGCTGAGAAACTATACACAACAAATTAAGTCTCTGAAAGAAAATAAAACTCATTTTCATAGAGGTACAAAAAATTCTGTCACTGTTTATATTTATAAAAACATGAAAAGTTTTCATGGCTATAGTGTCCCCAAAATATAAATATATATATATATATATATATATATATATATATATATATATATATATACACACACACACACACACACACACACACACTCACTCATATTTTAGATATTAGAAAAACAATCTACTAGTTACCCTTGCAGTCATAAATGAAATATAAATATATCAAAAATAAATTATTGCCAAAATATAAGATGAGTAAATTATTAAACTGCTAGGAGCTATATTAAGGGCAGAATTGGGAAACTCAGCTTCCCTTTGGGCAAATATTGCTGAAGTCATAATTCTTTCCTGATTTACTTTTAAAGATATTTCAGAAACATGATAATTTTAAAACAAAAAAAAGAAAGAGAAGCTTGAACTGAAGGAAATCGGATGGGGAATCAAGAAACAGAGGTATTATTCCTGGTTCTCCAAATTATTCTGTGTGGCTCCTGGCAAGGCATTTGCAACTCTCAGTTCTTCTCATTTCCTAGTAGAATGTCTCTAAGGAGCCTTCCTTAGTGCCAGGAAGCAAGCACTCTGCATCTAAAGAATGTTGCTACCTGAGTCTATTAAGACCAAAAAGTCTTCGAAAGAGGAGACACAGGGCCCATAAAGAGGCAAGCATGGTAAAAACAACATACCTTCAAGTTTTGGGGTCGTGTAAATTTGTTGAGAAGTGCAGTCTGAATGAGCTCCCACCGGCTCCCCGCAGTTCGCTCACCATTCTTTTGGAAAAAAGAAAAACGTATGAGGAAGCTATTCTAAGTTCTTTTGCATCACAGAATCAAAGGTCAAACAAGCAAGTACCAAACCATTTTTCAGAGACTAAAAGAATCTCGGTTTTGTTCTTCCCTCATCTTCCACTGGGTACAAATTTTGTTCTGAACAAGGCATTTTAACATGCTTGTTATCCCACAAATCTTTATAATGTGTTGGAAAAGGTTTAGGAACTTCTCCTGCTCGCAAAAGATCTACCTGAAATTGAGGGTAAACAAAATTGTCAGTGCATAAAAACAAAATGTATCTTCTATAAAATAATCCTAAGTAACCAAAGCAAATGCTATAAAATAGAGACCAGCTCCCAGGCAAGAAATCACCAAAGAACCCTTCAGTTCTTCCCATTCCTCACCTCCATTCAACCAGGTTCCAAGTCACCAGATATAGTATATATTCTAGCTCCATATTCCCTAGGAATCCTTCCTTGCCTCAGCTTTTACTGTTTCCTATCCTTCTCCCTAACTCCAGCTGTTGCTAGACACATCTAGCCCCCATAAAACCCTTTCTAAAGAACTCCCAGGCTTCTAATGCTATAACGCCTATACTCTGATTCTAAATGTCATCCTGATTTTCATATACTTTCTTATCAGAACACCATTCATTCCAAACAAGTCTTAAACAACACTTAAAATTCCTTAAACATAGCAAATTCATTTTCATATTTATATGCCTGTATACATACTACTGTGGCCTCTCTTTTTAATACCACTACTACCAATTGCCACCTCCCCCACTGTATCTGGTTAAATCTCTATTGTCACCTTCATAGCTCTGCCAGATTTTCATTATCTTTATGAAGTCTTTAGAAACTTCAAAGTAGGCAGCTATTTATCTTGTTTTGTTAGATTATTATCATGCTAGAGCACACTTGTCTTCCTCTCCCTCACTAGATCCCAAACTTCCTGAAAATAACCATATTAACTTTGTATTCTGAATATGTAAGATAGAACCTGGTATGTGTACATGTGTACGTGTATACATGCAAATATATATATACACACATATGCTACTATAATAACTATTAAGTAAATGTTTGAGGAAGTGGTACAGTAGGTAGCCAGTCAGACATGAGCAGGGCAGGACAGGGCCCCTACCACTACCAGGAATGTCAGACAACCCTCAAGTGATGCACAGGGAGTTGTGAAACTGCCTCTCTAAAATAATTGGAAGCAGCCGGCGCCAGGGAAAGGAGTCACCCAATAGATAGAAAAATCTGAAATTGGTGATCAGCAGCTTCCTGTTAAGATCTTAGGAGTTGGGCAAGTCAGCTCCAGCATGTGTACTAGGGAGCAAAATGGCAAAGTTTAACTGGTATATGACCTTATAAGAACACTCAACTGGTAAGGGAAGAATACCTCAAGCAAGCATGTGTACAACTCCAGTAATCACACCGCGCATGCAGACAGCCCATCTCAAGGGAAGAATCAGGGGAGAAGGGGACACAACCCCCTGGAAGCATGCCAACATATAAAACCTCAAGTCAAAGGTCAAACTGTGTACTTGATCTCTCAAGTCGCCCGCTTGGCCCTCTTCCAAGTGTACTTTACTTCCTTTCATTCCTGCTCTAAAGCTTTTTAATGAACTTTCACTCCTGCTCTAAAACTTGCCTTGGTCTCTCATTCTGCCTTATGCCTCTCAATCAAATCCTTTCTTCTAAGGAGGAGTATTAACATTGCTGCAGACCCATATAGATTTGCCACTGGTAAGAGAAAGAGATTATGGTTTAAAGTTTAACATTATGCCTATTCTGGATATTTCATATAAAAGAAATCATATAATATGTGGCCTTTTGTGTCTGGCCTTTTTCACTTAGCATAATGTTTTCAAGATTAATCCATGTGGTAGTATGTATGAGTACTTCACCGCAGAGCATAATCACATAAATATATAATTTCACTTGTAATATGTTATGAATATGAGGAACACTGTGTTATGAGACCAGCTCAGATTTAGTTTATCTGGTAAACTTAGGTAAGGCTTCCTTGAGGAAGTGGCAACTGAGCTTAACTCTAAAGGCTAAAAAATTAACAAGGAAAAGGGTGAAACAAAAATAAAATTCTAAGCCCCCCAACCAACTGAATGGGCCCCTCCCTCAGCCAAGGGCATTCTAAAGCAAACCCCATACACTAGTTCAGGCCATGATGGGAACGGGTGGTTGGACATGCTTCATTATACCTTCCTCCCTTTGAAATTTAGATGTGACTGACCAGCATTAACATTAAAACAGGTACTTTAAGACTGACAAGGCAGACTCTTTATAGCAATTAAGATACCAACATGACAGATACCAAGCTCTGAAAGAAACGGAAGTATTTTACCCCAAAATGTATTTATTTGAAATATTTTGAAATGGCCCTGCTAAACTGTCTCTTGTGGGTAAAATCTACATTCTGTAGAGCAAGGGTCCCCAACCCCCCGGAATCCAGACAGGCATGGACTAGGGGTCTATGGCCTGTTAGGAACCAGGCCGCATAGCAGGAGGTGAGCAAGGCTGAGCTCTGCCTTCTGTCAGGTCAGTGGCAACATCAGATTCTCATAAGACGAAGAACCCTATTATGAACTGTGCATGTGAGGGATCTAAGTTGCACACTCCTTATGAGAATCTAACAAATGCCTGATGATCTGAGGTGGAACAGTTTCATTCTGAAACCATCCCCCAACCCATGGAAAAATGGTCTTCCATAAAACTGGTCCCCGGTGCCAAAAAGTTGGGGACTGCTGCTGTAGAGAATCCCCTTCCCTTTCCAGGTCTTCCCTGATCCAGTCCAGGAGAGAAGTAATGAAGCATCTGGTAAGAGCTCTGAAGCCTGTTACCTACAAGCATCAACTGCATGATAAAACCTTGGTCTTTAGAAACCCTTCTTAACCCAGACATTCCTTTCTATTGATTCCAGGTCTTTAGATAATAACCCTTTTAACCAATTGCCAAGCAGAGAATCTATGACCTGGAAGCCCCTTTCGAGTTGTCCTGCCTGCTGGACCAAATCAATATGCATCTTACATGTATTGATTGACGTCTTATACCTCTCTAACACATATAAAACCAACCTGTAGCCTGACCACCTTGGGCACATGTACTCAGATCTCCTGGGGCGGTGTCACAGGCCATTGGTCACTCATATTTGGTTCAGAATAAATTTCTTTAAATATTTTACAGAGTTTGACTCTATTCACCAACATTCCTTAAAAAGGGAAGAACTATGGAAAGAAGACTGTCAAAGAGGCAGCTTCATAAAAACATCTGCTGAGACAGAGCAGGGAGCCCTCTTAGGGGCCTGCCAGGAGGGCCCTCAAGCAAGGAAATAAAAGAAAATCTCGAATCCCTTTGTTAGGAATAACGCTCAAAATCCTAAGGAAATTGAACACTCGAACAAAGGATTCTTAGCAAAGCAATTTTACTTCTGCACAGAGGAGTGCCTCCTTGGCCAGTCGCCATGAGAGCACACCTGAACAAAGGGGCACAAGAGCCTTTATTCCTGACGCAAGTCCTGCCCCTGTACCCTTTCCCCATTGGCTGGGGTTGGGTCGTACAATCTAAACTAATTCCAGTTAGCTAAACATTTGATTCTTTTAGATAAGGTGGGCATGTGAAAGAAAGCGGAGAGGAAAGGGGAAGGCATGTCTGTAATAAGCTAGAAAGTTAGTTCTCTTTCCAAATAAGGAAAGGAATGTGAGCTGGTATTGATAACGCTTGGTACTGTGACGTGCCTGGGCATCTAACAAAGGCAAAATGGAAGAAAGGAGAAAAAGGAAAAAAGGAAGGGGGGCACTATGAATTAAAGAATAAAAGACTGATCAGGTTATTTGAAGAGAAACCTCATCATATCTGAAACCTTCAAGGGAAATTCCAGGCACCTATCTAGCCTTGAGAAGTAAATGAGCCACCAGATAAGCAAGGAGGTAATAACAGCTTAAACCAATAGCCACTCATGGAAGTCAGAGCCACAAGATGTGTTGCTCCCTATAGAAAATAAAGATAACATCTTGACATAGGTCCCTGAGTTATTTTTCAGAAACTCAGACCCCCGCCAAATGGAAAGTGCCAACCACCATCATCACATAAGGGGGAACTGAAGACTGAACTCTGACTGACGTTCTTCATTCTAAATTTCTTCCTGAGGGGCCCGGAGACAGTGACACCCACATGCCAAACCTTAACATTCCTTTCCACTGATCCCAAGTTTCTAGACAAAGCCTTGCTTCCTTAAACAATCGCAAATCAAAGAATCTCTGAATCCTGCAACCCCACTTCAAGATATCCTGCCTTTTGGGACCAAACCAATATATAACCCCCACGTATTGATGTATGATTTTGCCAATAACTTCTGCTTTCCTAGAATATATCTCTGCCTTTAAAAAATCTTGCTTGTAAGCCATTGGGGAGGTCAGGTTTTAAGCAATAGCTACCTTATTCTACTTGCTTGGTGCCCTGCAAACAAACACCCTTACTTCTCTTGCTACAGACGTCAGTGTCGGTGTTTGGCTTTACTGCACTGGGTGAGTGTACTCAGGTTCAGTTTAGTAACACTGCAACTTAAGAAAAATAAACCTGGGCAGGGGGTGGTGGCTCATGCCTGTAATCCCAGCACTTTGGGAGGTTGAGGAGGGTGGATCACAAGGTTAAGAGATCGAGACCTTCCTGGCCAACATGGTGAAACCTCATCTCTACTGAAAATACAAAAATTAGTTAGGCATCGTGGCGCACGTCAGTAGTCCCAGCTACTTAGGAGGCTGAGGCAGGCGAATCGCTTGAACCTGTGAGGCAGAGGTTGCAGTGAGCTGAGATTGTGCCACTGCACTCCAGCCTGGTGACAGAGCAAGACTCTGTCTCAAAATAAAGAAAGAAAGAAAGAAAAATAAACCTGTGAGTCATCTATATAGGTGATCACTAAAACCACAAGGGTGGGTGAGACCAACCAGAGAGAGACAGAAGAAAAAAGGACCTATGAAAAAGGCTTGAGGAACTCCAACAACACTTACTTGTCACATACAGAAGAACAGCCTAAAAGGAAAATAAGAATTGGCTGAGGAGGAAGAAAGAAATTTAGGATTATATTGTGTCACGGAGCCAAAGGATGAGTATATTCCAAGGAGAAAAGAAATGTCTATGGAGTCAAATGTGGCCAGGCACAGTTGCTCACGCCTGCAATCTCAACACTTTGGGAGGTTGAGGCTGGAGGATCACTTGAGGCCTGGAGTTCAAAATCAGCCTGGGCCAACATAGCTACAAATTTAGAAAATTAGCCACGTGTGGTGGCACATGCCTGTAACCCCAGCTACTCAGGAGGCTGAGGTGGGAGGATTGCTTGAACCTAAGAGTTGGAGGCTGCAGTGAGCCAAGATCACACACCACTGCTACTGCAATCCAGCCTGGGTGACGGAGTGAGATCCTGTCTCTTTAAAAAAAAAAACAAAAACAAAACAAAAGAAGGCCAGGAGCAGTGGCTCCCACCTGTAATCCCAGCACATTGGGAGGCCCAGGCGGGTGATCACCTGAGGTCAGGAGTTTAAGACTAGCCTAGCCAACATGGCGAAACCCCGTCTCTATTAAAACTACAAACATCAGCCGAGGTTGGTGGTATGCACCTGTAGTCCCGGCTACTTGGGAGGGTGAGGTAGGAGGATCGCTTGAACCCGGGAGGCAGAGGTTGCAGTGAGCCGAGATCACACCACTGCACTCCAGTCTGGGTGACAGAGCAAGACTCCATCTCAAAAAAAAAAAAAAAAAAAAAGCCAGATGTGACAGAATCAGCAGTTATGCTGAAAGTATTTTCACCCTCATAAGAAGGTCCCAAAGGTGATTTTATAAGGACGTTCCATATCATCTGATAAAACAGCATAGGTACCAGTTGAGCTTCACAAAAGGGGAACATACATGTAATATGCTTTGTGTGTGGCTCTGTGTTTGCATGCACGCACGTATGCATGTGTTTGTTGGAAATCGACCACTAAGTGCAATTTCAGATTGCCTTACATTTCTAAAGCTAAATGTTGGTTTTATTTTTAAGAAACAGGGTCTTACTCTGTCATCCAGGCTAAACTGCAGGGCTCAAGTAATCCTTCTGCCTTAGCCTCATGAGTAGCTAGGACTACAGGCATGTGCCACCATGCCTGGCTAATTTTTTAACTTTTTGTACAGATGGGCTCTGCCTATGTTGCCCAGGCTAGTCTTGAACTCCTGGCCTCAAGCGATCCTCCTGCCTTGGCGTCCTAAAGTGCTGGGATTACAGGTGTGAGCTATCATGCCCAACTTTCATTTTACTATTTCAAAATCTGTAACTATTAATATCTGGAATCTTAATAATGTAACTAAACACTGCTATTAAGTAACTGTTAATTACATTTATATCTTATTATCATATTCAGGAATAAGAATCTAGAAGAAAATACAACAAACTGTTAAACTCTGGGAATAAGACTGACAGATGGGTTTTCTGAGTTACATGCTTTCATATAATAGTTGCATATTTTTTACAATAGTCTTGCATTGCTCTTGTAATAAAACAGAAGATTTTAAAAACTCAAGGGTCCTGGGTATCTAAGAAAGAAACATTAACTATAGAGATTATTTGATGGTAGAGATGGTAGATATTAGAGAGATATAATGACGGTACAGGATGGTTTGGGTTTTCTTTGTGGGAGGGTGGGAGAGAGGAGGAAGAGAAAAAGCTAAAATATCACTTAACACCCTCTGTCCATCTTTTCTCCAGTTCCTCACCATTAACATCATCTCAGTAATCCAGACTAAGAACCTTAATTTTACATGCATTATCAACAACTCCTTTTTATTTGTCACCCATATTTAGGAATTCACCATATTCTATCAATTTTACCTCATAATAATGCAACCTTCTATTTTCTTTTTTATCCCCATGATTATTATCTCAGTGATTTTCAAGCTTTTTAAAATAGCAGAATCCCTTTTTTCCCTAAGAAATTTGACATAAAGTAATTTAAAGTCACACCAAAGCTATTTTTAGAAATACAGTTTTTGGCCGGGCGCGGTGGCTCACGCCTGTAATCCCAGCACTTTGGAAGGACAAGGTGGGCAGATCACCTGAGGTCGGGAGTTTGAGATCAGCCTGACCAACATGGAGAAACCCCGTCTCTACTAAAATACAAAATTAGCCAGGCGTGGTGGTGCATGCCTGTAATCCCAGCTACTCGGGAGGCTGAGGCAGGAGAATTGCTTGAACCCGGGAGGTGGAGATTGCCATGAGCCGAGATCGTGCTGTTGCACTCCAGCCTGGGCAGCAAGAGCAAAAAACTCCATCAAAAAAAAAAAAAAAAAAAAAGAAATACAGTTTTTATAGTAACTTTTACTTACTCTAATATCAATAAGTGATGATGAGACAGTTTTAAATACAAAATTTGAAAGTAGGAGTTAGGGATGAGAGTTAAAGCTTACATCAATCTACCATTTAGTTTACATTTATCTCTCTTACACATTATTAAGAAAATCCTGATTCATCCATCTATACAGTTGCAAATGGTAACATTTTACAAACTTTATTTTGATATTAAGCTAACTCTTCAGATAAATGGTAGCAAGGGAACCTTGGCTCTATCGTCTGCACAAAAATGGGTTATCTTGGCAAAAACAGCTGGTTCAAATGTGGAATTAAGCATCTTCAAATTTGATTGTGCAGTTCTTTTTTAACAAGTTTTTCACTGTTAAAAATATAATTTAGAAATGAAATTTGCATCAAACTTCAAAAGAACCCCTGAAGCACCTCTATGTGGCACAATTCGGTACATACTGTTACCTTACTTAACTCTTATCTGGGCTCTTACATTACCTCTCCTGTCTCCCAGTGTATCCTCACTTCTGTTTTCCTTACATGCAGCTGTCTGATTAATCTTGCTACAGCACAGATACTGTCTGCACAGACATGACTTAAGTCTGGTTCCTGGCACTTGAAGCCCCCTGTGATATGAAGCCAATCCAATTTTCAAGTCTCTTCCTCATTCCCCACCCAAATTCCACACTCCAGCAAAGGCACTGTTTTCCATTTCTAAAACAGATAGTTTTCAACCACACAGCCTTTTCTTATAAACCTTATATATCTGTCTGGAAGTCTCCTATCTTACTAACTGCACCTCAGAAATTTATGCTTATCTTTTAGAGCTCAGCTCAAACCCCATAACTCTGCTCAATGTTACTCTCACCTCTAAATATGCTAAAGAATTCTGAATTTCAAAATAGTTAATCACATCTACACTAAATTGTATGTTAAAAGGGATCATGTCAATTTTTTTTAGTACTGCGTGTGAAATCTATATAAAACCTGACTAATAAATGAGATGAATGTTTAAAACTACCCAGCAAGTGATGGAAATCTAAAACTGGATTATGGTGATGGTCACATAGCTCAAAAAATGGACTCAATATCACCAAATCGAGCACTTAAAATGGGTGAATTTTTATATACCTCAATGAAGTTGTTTTTTAAAAGCAAGAACACACAAAAAGTACAAAAGAGGTTACTAAGAACTAGGGGAAGCAGGGAAGGAGGTTTAATTATTTAATATGTTTAATATGTACAGTTTCTGTTAGTATAGTGTTATGATATTCACATTGGTTTTTGTCCAGGTTCTTGGCTTGTAACTCCCATAGCCCTCGTTATAGTCTTTTGTTATAATGTTAGTCTTTTGTTATGTTTTGTTACAATGTTGTTATAATGTTATAATATAATGTTAAAACAAACATGGTAACAGCCCTTTCCCAAAAGAAACCCCCTTCTTGCCTGGGGACTAGAGTGCCACTGTAGGACTAACAAAATAGCCACAAGATTAGAAATAATGGTTTAGGAGTCATGCAGCTGGAGGCTACAAGATTCTGACCCACCCTAAACTGCTAAGATCAGTGCTTGGGATATTTTGCAGACCCTGCACTTGATGGATCAGCTGGCATCACCCAGATGGATATACTGGCTCATCTGATCTTGTCCCCACCCAGGAACTGACTCAGCACAAGAGGACAGCTTCAGCTTCCCATTATTTCTTCTTCTGACCCAACCAATCAGCACTCTCGACTCACTGGCCTTCCCCAACCCACCAAATTATCCTTAAAAACTCTGATCCCCGAATGCTCGAGGAGACTGATTTGAGTAATAAGAAAACTCTGGTCTCCAGCAAAAAAAAAAAAAAACAAAAACAAAAAAAAGGCACAACTGGATAATGATTTAAGGACACTAAACCATACGTAATTTTGAAATTTAGGGACGAATGCAGGATTCTGCAGTCAGTACACAATACTATCAACTGAGTAAAAAGAAAAAAAAAGAATCCAATGAGGTTTCTTAAAAATACTGGAAAAAAAAAAATTATCTTCACCATCAGCTGATAATGATTGCTAATGATTGCTAATTTGTTAAGTTCTATACTAAGTAAGTTATCATTATATTGCTCCATTCTGTAGAATTCTCAGTATTTTATATATGCAGAAAACAGAAGAACTTTCTAAGCCTTGGTCTGTTTCTCACTTAATAAATATCACAATAAATAAGGACTTCCAGTCTTCTCTCATCATAGATAAGAGGTGCTACCTACCCAAACAGTTACTGTGTGATTGGCAGATGGTCTCAAGAGAGGCAGCCGGATCCCACACTGAGGCATTCTTCTCATCTCCTCAATGGGAGTTCCAAGCCACTTCTTATCTGGAGAAAGGTGAGGCGGAACGTATTTAGGGATCTTCCTTTCTGTTCTTTGATGTTTGGTTTCCCATTGTTCTTTTCTAAGGTCAAGACAAATGTATTTAGTCACAAATTATTTACTGTTTTAATTCCCTTAGATACACAAGCACAAAACTTACCCAGACGTTATTGTTTAAAGTATGCCATACTTGGTCACTCACTTCGTTATGTTTTATATTTACAATCAAAAGAAAAACCTATAAAGCTTATAAAACTCAAGAGCTTATTTTCAACAGTCTGTGGAAGAAAGTTCCAAACACATGTAAATCACCTTCTCAAAACAGAAATGAGTCATGGTTCACAGTATCATCTACACAGTAATTTTCAATGAAGTGAACTCACTATTGCATGCTGATTGCACTATCTCAGGAAACTCAAATCACAGAAATCATGGATGGGATTTAAGATTCCATATGGGGTAACGGCAAAATATAAGCTTTGTAATAGGACACACCTGGATTTAAATCCCAGCATTACCACTCAGAAGGTACATGATTCCAGTGAATTCTCTTACCCAAATCTCAGTTATCTCATTTAGTGAGTATAATACCATCTGTCTGCCTGTCACGGCATTAAACAAAGTGTTAAAAAAAAAAAAGTGTAATATACAATGGTCTAGAAGAATGTCTGGCTGAAGAAACAGTAGCTACTATCAACCTAGTATTTTCATGTTCTAGTAATTCCCATAAATACCAAAAGGAAACTCATGAAACTAAAAATCTGATTTCTAATATTTATTTTATTTCTTGTTTTCTGTTTCTAGCCTTTTTAGAGTTTAAACTTTGGAGCCTAGGTTTAAATTTAGCATAAGTAGTTAACAAGAAACAAAACCATTTCTTTGCTTTACTAGAAATCATAGCTTCGTTAAACTCCCTTACAAAACTATAAAGCATATTATGCTATTGGAGAGATACTCCTGACAGAAAATTACCTTCTGTCCTCTGCTTTGGGCAGTCTCATGAAATGATCTGTGATTTTAGAATCCTTTTTTCCATGTTGCTTAGAATTTCTGCATTCTACATTCAGGCTAGAAATATTTCCAGGTAGTTTAGCATTTAAATCATTCATTCCAGTGTGACTCTCTCCTCCTTCAAATTGGAAATGTAATCTAACTTCACCGCCCTTAGTAGAGTACCGTTTCCTGAATTCAATGTCAGCGTCTCTTGCTTGGAACCTTGAAGGTTTATTTGCTGTTTGGGAGGAACTACCATCTTCTTGTTCATCAAAACCTGGACTTGTCTCCTCATCTGCTTCTGAGTCTTGACAACTATTTTTAGAATTATCCACATCCATCGGTGATTCGGGTTCACTTTCCTTCTCAAATGGAGGAGAATTTCCTAGGCAACTTTCTTGTCTAATCAATTTGTTGTCATTTTTTGACCCAGTACCAACATCCTCAGAGCCAACATCTGACAATGGACTCTTTGGCACCACGTCTATCTCATCTTGCTGACAACTTGCACAGTCTTCCCCAGGATGGCAAGACTTGCTGCACTTCTGGTGGCTTTTGGCTTCTCTGGCGTGTTCATCTTCCGTAGTCTGCTTTGCATTTGCAAGCTTTACAGTTGTGAGAAACTGTTGATTGTCTCTATTCTCTTCACTATCTGTGTCACTGTGATCATCATTTTGAGGTGACCGATCAATGTTAGCATTACTAAACTGCTCTGGTACCAGGGTTACTGTTTGAGGTTCACTTTCCAAAAGCTGCTCCGTGTGTTTCCCTTCATTTTGCCACTTACACATTGCTGCAGTCTGATGCTGGTTCAAATACTGTGTACTTTTTTCAGTGAGTGACTTATCAAGACTTAGCTGAGAAACATTTTCTAATTTTTCTACATTATGTTGGTAAAAGTTATCTTCTTGTACAGAACTCATCATGGATTCTATTATTGTATTGTTGTTTTCTTTACTATCCAAACTACAAGAGAACAGAAGGAACTAAAAACAACTTATAATACAAACAAGTCACTTATCCAATCATACCTCCAGTGTCACAGCAGTAATTAAACTCCCTGTGGTCAGCTGAGCACACAGCATGTCTTCCATGACTCCATGTCTTTGTATGTGATCCCTAATGCCCTCCCTGCAGCTGTGTGTCTGGCAAACACCCGCCTTTCCTTCAAGTCATAAATGTCACTCACCTCTCTGTGCAGTCTTCCTTTAGGGACCAAAGGTAAAGTTGAACATTTGTTTCTTCTACACACTAACCACCACTGTGCCTTGCTCATACCTTTACTATTGCATCTATCACACCAGGCAGTAATTATGTGTTTTTGTGTCTGTGGCCACTGCTACACTGTAAGTATCTTAAAGACACAGACTGGCCGGGCGCAGTGGCTCACACCTGTAATCCCAGCACTTTGGGAGGTCGAGGCAGGCAGATCACGAGGTCAGGAGATCGAGACCATCCTGGCTAACCCGGTGAAACCCCATCTCTACTAAAAATACAAAAAATTAGCCAGGCGTGGTGGTGGGCGCCTGTAGTCCCAGCTACTTGGGAGGCTGAGGCAGGAGAATGGCGTGAACCCAGGAGGCAGAGCTTGCAGTTAGCCAAGATCACGCCACTACACTCCAGCCTGGGCAACAGAGTGAGACTCCATCTCAAAAAAAAAAAAAAAAAAGACACGGACTATTCCTCTCTCATCTCGGTATCTCAAGTATACAGGACAGTCCCTGGCACACAGGACTCTCTAAAAAATTACTTATAAGTTGATTTTGAATTAACATAGATAAAGGAGAACAGAAAAGCATGAACAAAGAGAGAAAATATTAAAGCAACAAGATAAAACATCCATGTATTATTATTCATTTCTCTACATAGGAATGTTTCTATACCTGTCTGATTCCGCTGTCTTGATTCCTTCAGTGTCCATCCAACTGGTAATAGTTTTTTGTTTGAAAACTATAAAAAAAATGTATATTCATACATTCCTTCCAATAGAAAACATATACAGCATATTGTACATGCAAGGAACTATGCTAGGTTCTACGGGTTAAACAAAAGATTAATAACTCAAGTATTTGCCCTCAAGTATATGGGTAAGACAGGAACATAAATGTTAATACATATGACACAGGGTAGAAAATGACTGGTGCCTAAAAGAGTTGGTATGGCCTAATGGATAAGAGCATAGGCTATGGAATCAGAACATCTGCATTCAAATCCTGATTCTCCCATTAGCTTCCTATGTTACTCTGTGAGGGGTCATTTCTCTGTATCTCAGATCCCTCATTTGTAAACATGCAAAATAACTATCTCTCATGAGATAAGGCTTAATTAAGTAAAAATAGTTCATGTAACGCATTTAGGGCATTATCTGGTTTACGCTTAGTAAATGTTGATTCTTAATTATCATGATTATTAAAAGAGGTCCTGATAAAGGAATTAAGGTTATTTCTGAGGAAGACACTACTTCAGTGAACAGGAGAACATGGGCATAATCGGTAAGATTTCTTCGGAAAAGGTAAGGCTTGACTTATGCCTTGAAAAGTAAACATGCAGTCACATAAAGAGAAAATTATAAGCAAAGGCACCAATATCAGGGAAATATAAAGAACTTAAAAAGAAAGCAAAAGAAAATAGGGTTGAAAAGTCAGCCAGGATCATACCATACAATAGGATCTTGAATGACCCACAAAGAGAAGCACAAAAAACGTGTTGAAAGACATGATTCCTCTCATCTAGGAGGCTCACAGTCATGCATGACAGCCTGGAGGATAAATTTGAGGGGCAAGAGGGAAGAGCGTATTGCCAGAAACTAGGGAGGAAGCTACTAGTCCAGGTCAGTGGTTCCCAAACTATCTGGATCATCAGGAAGCCAGCCACACCCCAGTCCTTCTGAATCAGAATCTATATGTGAGTAGGATGAAGGCATGAGGGGAGCTGGAATCTATTTTTTTTTTTTCCAAAAGTGATTCTGATGATCCACTAGATTGAACAGTTACTTGCCAAGAACATAAACTAGTCCTTGTGAGAGTAGTAAAAGTGAGGAGAGTCATTACAGACTTCACAATAATAGGGGAAGTTAAAAGTGACTTTAAGCTTTGAGCTTGAGAGACTTGAAAAGTGATGACAGCCTTAAGTAGAAATATGGAATACAAGAGAATTGTGTTTAGGGAAGAAATACGATTAGGTCAATTCTGCCTATACTAAATTTGAGATGCCAAAGAAGTAACTAGATAGAAAACCATATCACTACTTCTGGCTTCCTAAGGTTTCCTTCCCAACACACCAGCAGACAGTAGCAAAAGTAGAATTGATAGCTCAGGAGAGGGAGATTAAATATAAATAAATACAAGCCACATTTTATATAATCATTAGAAATAAGTATGCTGTCAAAATTTAACATACTGAATAGGGATTAAATGTACATCATATTTTAGTATCAGAAATAAAATCTTAAACATTCGCAAATGTTTAAGATTTGAGATACTCACTAAATTGCAATGTAAGAATCTTAGCATCCTAAGTCACAGGATCTTTCTTATTTACCTACCTCTCCTCAAACACCATATGGAGCAAAACAGATGCAGGCCAAATATACGAAAATCAATGGTTTATTTTTCATTGAAATAATGGCATAATCGAAATACATTTCAGATGGGGAGAATTTTATACCAGAAAAATATTCAATTGCTATATAATCTTTACCTTCCACAAAATACTTATAATCCAGCTAGTAAAAATCTTTGATTAATGTTTCAAAAATAGTTTCTATCACAAAAAAGTAATCACGCATAGTGATTTCTTATTGTTAAACACCATTACTTCCACGATTTTATTTAGCATTTCTGCAGCAGATCAGGCTTCAGAGAAAAAATGAGCTTCAGTCAGAGGGAGTAAGAGGATAAACCATTTGATTCTGAAATTTTTTCTACAGTTCTGTATTCTCTATTTATTTTCTTTATATCAAATACAGCAAGTATAGTTTAGAAAATCCTCAAATTGGGCCGGGCACAGTGGCTTACGCCTGTAATCCCAACACTTTGGGAGGCCGAGGCAGGCAGATCACAAGGTCAGGAGATTGGCTAACACGGTGAAACCCCGTCTCTACTAAAGATACAAAAAATTAGCCAGACGTGGTGGCGGGCGCCTGTAGTCCCAGCTACTCGGGAGGCTGAGGCAGGAGAATGGCGTGAACCCGGGAGGTGGAGCTTGCAGTGAGCGGAGATCGCGCCACTGCACTCCAGCCTGGGCGACAGTGTGAGACTCCGTCTCAAAAACTAAAAAAAAAATCCTCAAATTACAAACCAGTAATATGCCAAAACATTCATTTTTTGAGTTGGTTTAGAAGTTAAAACATCTTTTTTCCATAAATGTAAGGATTAATGTTAAGATGCAATGACTAGGTTCCTATAACACACACGAAGCATGTACTCCCGTGATAAGTCTAAAGAACCTAAAGACCGCACACATCATTTCATGAAAAACCAGGAGTGTTCCAGTGATGGCAAAGAAGAAGAGAGCTCTCTCCCGTAGCCCTGACCCTGAGAATGTGTTCTCTCTCCAGTTTCAGGCTTCCTGAAGCCTGGGGAAGGGATGAAGGAGGAAAAGCAAGAGGTAAGGAACCAGTATCTTCTGCTAATAAAACATTGATCAGTCCTTCTTAGGGCCTCAGAGAAAGGACTGCTTACTGCTCTTTGCAATATCACTTCGTTAAGCCTTTATTTCCTCACCCAGAAAATGAAGCTAACAACACCTACTTCTAAGGGTTATGTGGATCAATTACAAAGCAAAAATTAGAGAAAATATTGTGTTCAGCCTCACAAAGCACTCAATATGTTATCTCTCGACATTTCCACCCAGTCTTTTTTTTTTCCACTGAGATCAATAATTCTCCAACTTTGACTTCACACCATTTACATTTACTCTCATCAGCAACATTATTCAGTACCCAGTATATTTTAATCAGCAAGTCATTCAATTAATAGCTATAGATACAGCCAAAAGGCACAAAATGCAATAAAATTCACCTGCATGTCAAAGGAACATTCCACTTTCACAAAAAGTCTATAGCAACACATCTGGATAAACCTGCGTCATCACAATGTGAATAACATGCTGAGTTCTGCCAATATGCAGGTTTGCAGATTTTTTTTTTCTTTTTTCAGAAGTGGGGTCTCGCTATGTTGCTCAGGCTGGACGGGAACTCCCGGGCTCAAGTGATCCTCTTGCCTTAGCCTCCCAAGTAGCTGGGACTACAGGTGCATGCCCAGCAAAATTAGCGATTTCAGTCAATACAAGAAATATGTCCAGGAAGATAAAGAATATAAAATTTAAAGATACTGAATAAATATCCATTTCGCTACCCCGCCTACTTGTCCTAAGATAATTATATATAAAAATTTAAATACCAAGTTCCTAAAGGAATCCCAAAAATTCAAACAATGGGCTTTTGATACAAATATAGTCTTTGAACATTCTGTTAATTGGTGTCCTGTGCCAGGTATACAGAAAACATTTAAACATGCGAAATACAGCCCCAAGTATTCATTTGGTACCTCTTCTGCAGAAATCTTAATTAAGATCCAACCAGTGAGGACTGACTGCCCTCACCCCTATTTGCAACTAACTCCTCCTCCTTTACATGCAAATAAGGTTAATGAAACCACAAACTATCCAGTCACAGAAGCTGAAGTACACCTGAACATATACCTGAAGTTCACCTTCAGTTCCCTCTCCCCTATACCAAGTTCTCTGAAATCTACATCCTAAATTTTAAATCCATCCCTTCCTCATACTCTTTAAACACATCGCTTACTAGACAACTGCCATTTGTTTCTTGCAACTAGTCTCCCTGTCTACAGCCTTGACTATCCAGTGTTCTACAAACTACAAATGACCAGTCATTTTTCAATGAAATAACACAGACAATATAAGAATGCATCACACATAGAAAGATTAAGTATTATTTCATGAAACATTTATTTCAGTTATAAATATGGCTTATTTGCCAGGTTACATATATTTCTTACTCTGTGTACTGGATAAAATTTATGCTGTGGGTTGCAGTTAGGAAAGTCCAAAAGCCACTTTTCTAAAATATTAACCAAATGGTATTCCCACGCTTAAAAGCTTTTTAGTGGTTTCTCCATTAACCACAGAATAAGGTTGAAATTCCTTAAAATGGAATTTGAGTTTCTTCATAAGCTCCTGTCTGCCACCCAGCCTCATCAGACACTCCTCTGTCATCTTATGCTCCAGTCTTACCAACTTTTGCATGTCTTATTCCCTCTGCGTGTATAATTCTTTCTCCTCTTGATTTATACAGCAAATCTTCCTCATCCTTCAAGGCCTAGTGCAAGTCTACTTGGTACTGTCCCTAAGTTCGAAGACATCTAAGTGTACACTCTTCACCAGAGAACTGCCCGAGCTCTGCCCAGCCTCTTACACTGTTAATGAATGCATCCTTTTTGAAATGCTCTCCTTTGTCTGACACAACACGAGCCAGGCTTTCCTCCCACCTCTACAGCCGCTTCTCTTCAGTCTACTCTTAAACTTTGGTGTTCCTAAGGCTTCTGCCCTAGGTCACCTTTACTTTCTCTACATGTTTATGTTATCTATGCCCATAGCATCCATTATAATGTTTATGCCATGAACTCCCCAATCTACTTCTCCAGCACAGAAATATTTCTTCTCAAGTATCCCATTCTTTCATGAATCCATCCCCTTCCCTATTGCCAGCATCCAGGCCTAAGCTACAATTATTTCCAACCTAGATTAACTCCTTAACTGAGTCTTGATGCTCCACTTGAGTTCCTTTTCAATCCATTCTTTATTTTCCACACACCAGCCACACAGACTTTTCAACAAATAAATAAGTCTAATCAAGTCACTCCCCTACTAAAAACCCTTGAGTAGCTTATCAATGCCCTTAGAGTTCAAAATCCTTAGCAATGTCTACATATCCAATTTGATCTGACTTTTCTGTACCACCCTGCAGCCTCATCTCTCACACTCTCTTGCGTTCACTCTATATATCAATTGCACTCCTGTTTTTGTTTTGTTTTGTTTTGTTTTGTTTGAGGCGGAGTTTCGCTCTTGTTGCCCAGGCTGGAGTGCAATGGTGCCCTCTCGGCTCACTGCAACCTCCGCCTCCCGGATGCCAGTGATTCTCCTGCCTCACCTGCCTCAGCCTCCGGAGTAGCTGGGATTACAGTTGCCCGCCACCACGCTAGGCTAATTTTTTGTGTTTTTAGCAGAGACGGGGTTTCACCATATTGGTAAGGCTGGTCTTGAGCTCCTGACCTCAGGTGATCCACCCGCCCCGGCCTTCCAAAGCGCAGGGATTACAGGCAAAACCACCGCGCCCGGCCTCCATTGCACTCCTGAAACACTTCTTACTTCCTCTTCATCTAACTCCTACTCATTCTACAGTCCTCAGAATAAGCATCTCATCTTCTGGAGGACTATTTTCGATTCCATAAATTCAGTTAGGTAAAACAATCTGTCTTTCATCTATCAGAACATCCATTACCTTTTATTATATTAACTTTTGCTATCGTCTATCTCTCCAGATAGATTTTAAGGTATGAAGGCAGAGGCCAAGTTTCTCTCATTCAACACTGTATACCAGGGACGGGTACAATGCCAGCTTAGACTAATAGCTCTGCACCCTGGGACCCAGAATCTGCACAAGTGAAGTTGTTTTCTTCCTATCTAGAGGCTGAAGCGCCCTACTGTTTTACATACACAATTAGATCTCCTTGACGACTAAGGCAATTTCTCAATCAAACCTGAAGAAGCAAACAGGTGGTGGAGTCTCCTGCCATTTTCCGCCCTGTGAGTGACTGCTCATCAGAGTTTCTCACATCAATCGCACTGGGAAAAATGCGGCCCCATTCACCCACTAGTGGCTTTGGTAGCTCAGCAAGTGGACCTCAGAGTGATGATGCACACAAGACCAGAAAGGAGTGACTGGAGTCCCTGAGACCAGAAGGTTCGGGCCGAGGCGAAGGACAAAGATTTTTATTTTCCCACGTACCAAGCGAGGTGGCGCTGCCTCTGTGCTGTCCCGCCTGCCCTGGGACGCAGGCTGGCGAGGACGGTGGGACCCTGAACTGCACGTGAGCGTCCTTGGGGTCGAGGACGCGCCTCTGCCTGCTCGGAAAGCTCCGGGCGTCCGAAGCAGCCGGCGAAGTTGTAGCGGCGCCCCAGCGGGGTCGCTTGGTGCAGGGTTCACAGCCGGGGCCCGCATTCATGCTGGGACCAGCAGCGCACTGTCCCCGGGCCGGCCCCGGGCGGAGAGCCTCATTTCACTAACCTGAGAGAGATGGACTGCGCGTCCTTCTCAGCGCCTGCCTGCACCATTCCCTCTCTGCCGCTGCCTGCTTCTGCAATTGCTGATCCGCCGGCCTCCCAAGTCAGGCCGTAAACACTCGCCTGCTTTCTCTCTTCCACTGGCACCCCACCTGCCTCAATGCGCCGCTTTGATTCGGGATTCGTTCACTTTCCCACCACCGGAAAGCTGCCGTCAGGCGCTTCCAGCTTCCGGGGCGCACATTGCCGCAAAGCGGAAGTGTGGCGCTTAACGGGAACCGGCGCCCGGAAGGTCAGCGTGTGAAGTAGGCGCTGGCAACGCGGGGTTACCCGCTGTTATTGAGGAGTAACGGCCCAGCGGACCACCCAGGCTTGAGGCAGCGGCGGGAACCACTCGGTTTGCTGCGATACCATGGAAGGAGGCGGGGGAAGCGGCAACAAAACCACAGGGGGATTGGCCGGCTTTTTCGGAGCCGGCGGAGCAGGTTACTCGCACGCGGATTTGGCTGGCGTCCCGCGTAAGTATGGGGCCTAGCTTGCGATTATTTCTGACTGGTTTTTGCGTCTACACTAAGTTGCGCGTCCCATGTTTTATGTTGTTGTTTTTTTTTTCCTTGCTGGCATTTACAAGCTTAAGTACCAGTGGTGGGGTTAGTGTATCTGCATGGCTGCTCTTTCAAGATAGAAAGGCCTAAAAAAGGGCCACGGATCTCCTGGGGAAGCTGTCCGTGATTGACCTGGACTCGCGAGATGATGCATGTTTTCTTAGGTTTATATCCAAGCCTCCTACGTTTTGTGTGTGGTGGGCCGTGTGATTGACCCTTGATTAAGAGTAGAGCCGAGCTTTGGGAGTAAATGTATTCCAAATAGCAAGCCCGTAGTTAACTTTTTAGTACACAGCGACATATTCTGAGCCTCCAAGTAGCCGTCAGGGCAGAATATTCAGTAATATTGTTTGTAAGTGAGAAATAAATGACTTGGGACAGGCTAGGAAACCTTCTTTAGGAGCTAGGAAGTAAGCTGAACTTTAAAGGTGATATATAGACATGAAGAAAGAAGCCAGGTAAGAATTATAGAAACGGAAATAGGCAACATCAAGGTATACAGAGGCATAAATATCTTGCCTTTGCCTCTCCTCGGTCTTGTGAAAATGTTTTCCAGAACTTTGGTACTTTGTAACTGTGGTTGTTCAACTAGATAAATACAACTTGGACCTAAAGATAGGCAGTTGGTCGTGGATAAAGCCTTTACGAAAGTACTTTCTTTTTAGAGAATCCTTGTAATATTTCTCTAGGTATTTTATACTAAGGAACAACAACAACGAAATATGTTCAGACTGTAGTGCAAAAAAATATAAAAGACCTTTCATTTCCCTGGTGTCACCTTTGTCAAAAAACTGAATCTACAACACATGGTGTTTTGTTTCGTTTTTTTGTTTGTTTGTTTTTAGAGTCAGGACCTCGTTCTGTCACCCATATTGGGGTGCGGTGGCATGATTATAGTTCACTGAAGCCTCGCACTCCTGAGCTCAAACAATCCTCCCCTCTAAGCCTCCTAAGTAGCTGGGACTCTAGGTACGTACCACCACGCCTGGCTAATTTTTTTTTTTTTTTGACTTATTGTGGAGATGGGGTCTCCCTGTGTTGTCCAAGCTGGTCTCAAACTCTCGAACTCAGGCCATCCTCCTGTCTCGGCCTCCCAAAATGCTGGGATTCCTAGGCCTGAGCTACTACTTTACCTGTTTAGAACACAGTTTCATATTAATCTTAGTATCTCTGAGTTTCAGAGCACAAAGGGCATATACACTTCCTTAATGTGACAATATTGTTAAATTAATTTGATTAAGATTTGAAGGTAAATTGGGGGACCAGGGAATGAACACCATTTACTGAGCTTTTACAGTGTGCTAGCTACTTTTCTGGGGGCAGGACTATAGTGGTTTTTGTGGGGGTTTTTTTTGTTTTTTTTTGAAAAGAGGACTCTTGCGCTCACAGAGCTTACATAATACTGAGGTAAACCAACAAACATAAATTAAAACATTGCCGTTAGTGATAAGTGCTGTAAAGGGAATAAAGCAGAGTCTTGAGATTGTGATGGAAGCAGGATGCCATTTTAGAGCCGGTTAGGGAAAACATCTCAAGGGAGTTGACATTTGAGCTGTGACCCAAATACAGTACAAATGCTTGGGAGGCAAGTATCCAGGAAAATAGCTAGTGCAAATGTCCTGAAACAAAACAAATTTGGCAGGTTTAAGGAACAGCTCTTAGGCCAGTCTGTCTTCGTAGTTACAAGGGAGTTGGATCCATTGAAGTTTGTGAAATCAGAGAGGTAGGGAATGACAGCTAATGTAGGATTTTGTAAGTTATGGTAAGGAGTTTCGATTTTCTTAAGACAAATCACTGTAGTTGCTATGTAGACAGTGAATTGAAGGGGTAAGAGAAAGCAAGGAGTTAGGAAATTGTTGCTGTGAGATATGATGGTTGGACTAGGATGGTAGCAATAGAGAAGATAAGTAACACAATTCAAAATAGATATTAAAAATAGAACAAGCAGGACTCCTAATTGATGAAAAGATAGAGGCATGGGTGATGCATAGGTTTGTAAATAACTGCTGAGATACAGAAGGATCCAAAGATGATAGGTTTTACTGTTTTCAATGTTAGTGAATTCAGGTCTGGCCCTCTCAAAGTTTGTGTTTTCTTTTGCACAGACCCACATACCTGTGGTAATGACCCAAGGATTCTCAACCTTGCCACAGTAAATCAATCGTTAATAGTAATATGTGAAGGAACTGCCTTGAAATAGTTAGATACAACATGTACACAGTCAGAAAACCCAACCCAACCACTGTTTTTCCCATGGAATTGATTAGTCTTTTTTCAGTCTTATTTTGTAATTTACATAGTCACCAAGCATTCTTGGAGTAAAGTGAAAGAAATTAGCTTTGTAAATGGCCTGGACTACACTTCCTGTAAGTTCAAAAATCAGATCTATGACACTGCAATTATCTTATTGGTGTAAAAGCCTGAGCCACCAGTGGAAGACCTGGTTTGGGATTGAGGGTCTCAGGATGAGTCAGCCCCCAAACTGACAGATAGGGAGGATAAAATGGGAAAAAATTTTCCGCCTTCAGTGAGCCTATAAAAATTGCAAACACATGTAACAGTCAGGAGCTGGATTAACTCTAACTGGATTAACTTAAAGAATTTTGTTGCAATGTGACATTTTGTTTTCTCTCTAGTAACTGGTATGAACCCTCTGTCTCCTTATTTAAATGTGGATCCACGATACCTCGTGCAGGTAAGATTAAGATTTTACTAGTTTGGTGCATTATTTTACCATTTTAAAAAAAACGCCAAGTGCTATGCTGACTTGAACTATGACATACACTTTTGGAGGCAGTAAGTCTCTGGTCTCCATTCACCCTTTTTTCCTCACAAACACCAGGAGCTTGGCCTGCATCTCTCTGAAACCAGTTAACTCCCTTCAAAAGCTTATTTTTTAAAACCAGAGCAGAATTAATTTTTGAAAGCACCCCAATAAAAGTATTGGGATGCCTAGTTACAAAGTGTGTGGGGTTTTTTGTTTGTTTGTTTGTTTGTTTTTGAGCCAGAGTTTTGCTTTTGTCCTCCAGGCTGGAGTGCAGTAGCGCGATCTCTGCTCACTGCAACCTCAGCCTCCCAAATTCAGGCCATCCTCCTGCCTCAGCCTCCCAAGTAGCTGGGACTACAGGCGCCCACCACCACGCCTGGCTAATTCTTGTGTTTTCAATAGAGACGGGGTTTCACCATGTTGGCCAGGCTCCCAAAGTGCTGGGATTACAGGCAAAGTGTGTTTTAAAGCTCAGTTTACAATATCAGGGTTTTTTTGACTAAGCATCAAAAGTTTCAAAGAGTATCTTTTTGAATCCAAGATATATTAGGAAATATATCTTGGGTATATTAGAAAAGCAAGGTTGATTTAACATCTGAAAATTAATGTATTGTGCCATATCAATTTATAATAAAGCAATCAAGGAAAGAATATAGTACAAAGACCACATGCTTATCTCAATAGATTCACAAAAATCATTTGACAACATCCAACACCCCCTTTAATGATTATAAAAACAAACTAGGCTGGGCGCAGTGATTCACACCTGTAATCCCAGCACTCTGGGAAGCTGAGGTGGGCAGATCACTTGAGGCCAGGAGTTTGAGACCAGCCTGGCCAACATAGCAAAACGCTGTTTCTACTAAAAATACAAAAATTAGCCAGGCGTGGTGGTGCCTACCTGTAATCCCAGCTGCTTGAGAGGCTGAGGCACGAGAATCGCTTGAACCCTGGAGACAAAGGTTGCAGTGAGCTGAGAACACCCCACTACACTCCAGCCTGGGCAACAGAGTAAGACCCTATCTCTAAATAAATAAATAAAACTAGACATAAAAGGGACTTCAGCCTGTTAAATGCCATCTACAGAATATCCAAAGCTAACATAATTTAATGGTGAAAGACTGAATGCCTTCTCCCTAAGATCAGGAACAAAATAAGTATATTTACTCTCATTTATATTCAGCATTGTCTGGCCAGGGCAATTAGTCAAGTACGTTAAATGGCATTCAAGTTGAGAAAGAAGTTAAACTATCTGTTTACAAATGACATGATCTTATCTATAGAAAATCACAAGGGAAATCACAAAAATCTGTTAAAACTAATGATCGAGTTCAGCAAGTTGCAGAATACAAGTTCAATATACATAAATCAAATATATTTCTAGACAGTTGCAATGAACACTACAAAAATGAAATTACAAAAAACAGTTGATTACCAATAACATCAAAAAGCAAATACTTAGAAATAAATGGACCAGGTGCAAAACATATTCTGAAAACTATAAAACATTATTGAAATTAAGTGGAAAGACACATGCTATGATCCTGAAAATTTTAATATTAAAATGGCAGTGCTCACCAAATTAACCAACAGATTTAGTGCAGTGCCTGTCAAAATCCCAGCTGGCTTTTTTGCAGAAATTGACAAGCTTTTATCCTAAAATTCATATGGAAATTCAGGGGACATAGAATGGCCAATGACCTTGAGAAAATAGATTGGAGGACTTGAACTTGCCAATTTCAAAACTTTCTACAGAGCCACATCATGATAGTAACATAAGAATAAATCCATAGTTAATGAAATACAGAGTCCAGAAGAAAGACCTTACAATATATGCAGTCACTTGCTTTTCAGCAAGGATGCCAAGATAGTTAAGTCAGGGGAGACGTTAGGACAACTGGAATCCATATGCATAAGAATGAAGTTGAACCCTAACCCTGCACCATATGCAAAATGTTACCACCAAATGGATTAAAGACTTAAATGTAAACTAAAGCAGTCAAACTCTTAGAAGAAATCATGGGCACAAGTAGTTGTGACTTTGGATTAGACTGTGATTTCTTGGATGTGACACCAAAAGCACAAGTGGTAAAAAGAAAGTTGATAAATTGTATTTAATCAGAATTTAAAAATTTTGTGGTTTAGACAATACCAACAAGAATGGAGGCCAGGTGCAGTGGCTCATACCTGTAATCCCAGCACTTTGGGAGGCTGAGGTGGGTAGATCACCTGAGGTCAGGAGTTCGAGACCAGCCTGGCCAACATGGTGAAACCCCATCTCTACTAAAAAACAAAAATTAGCCAGGCGTGGTGCTGGGCGCCTGTAATCCCAGCTACTTGGGAGGCTGAGGCAGGAGAATCACTTGAACCTGGGAGGCAGAGGTTGCGGTGAGCCAAGATCGCGCCACCCGCACTTCAGCCTGGGCAACAGAGTAAGACTCGGTCTCAAAAAAAAAATAAAAAAATAAATAAAGAATGGAAAAAGTCCTGGCGCAGTGGCTCGTGCCTATACTCCCAACACTTTTAAGAGGCTGAGGCGGGAGGATCACTTGAGCCCAGGAGTTTGAGACCTGCCTGGCCAACATAAGAAGATCCCATCTCTCCAAAAAAATACAAAAATTAGCCGGGTGTGGTGGTGTGCACCTGTAGTCCCAGCTACTAGGGAGGCTGAGGTGGGAGGATCACTTGAGTCCAGCAGGTCAAGTCTCAGCATAATCAAACCACTTAACTCCAGCCTGGGTGACAGAGAGAGACTTTGTCTCAAAAGGAAAAAAATTGGGAAAAGACAATCCACAGACTGAGAGAAAATATTTGCATATTATGTATCTGATAAGGAATTTATATCTAGAATATTTAATTTTTTTAACTCTTGAAACATTAATAAAAAATAATTACAAAATGGGCAAAGGATTTGAGTAGACATTTCTCTATGAAGATATACAGATGTCTAATAATGACATGAAAGCTGGTCAGTAACATTAATTAGAGAAATAAAACCACAATGAGATACCTCTTTACACCCACGGGGATCACTATAATCAAAAAGAAAATAATGAGTATTGTTGAGGATGTAGAGAAATTGGACCTCTGTACATTGCTGGTGGGAATGTAAAATGATACAGCTGCTTTTAGAAACAGTCTGGCAGTTTCTCAAAGTGTTAAAAATAGAGTTACCTTATGACTGGCAATTTCACTTGCGTATACTCCATACTCAAGAGAATTGAAAACCTCTGTGCACATAAGTTGTAAATGAATGTTGCTAGTAGCATTATTCATAATAACCAAAAAATGGAAACAAACCAAATGTTTATCCACTGATGAATGGATAAAAAAGTGTGGCATATCCATACAATGGAATATTATTTGGTAATAAAAAAAGAATTATTAAATTGTGCTACAATATAAATGAACCTTTAAAACTTCCTAAATGAAAGAAACCAGTCACAAGAGACCACATATTGTGTGGTTCCATTTATATGGAATGTCCAGAATAGGCAAATATATGGACAAGAAAGTAGATTAGTAGCTGCCAAGGGTTAGGAGTAAATGGGCAGTGACTGCTAATGGGTATGTGATTTTTTTGGGGGGTGATGAAGATGCTTTAAAATTTATTGTAGTCTTGGTTGCACGACTCTGAATATACTAAAAACCACTGAATTGTACGCTCTAAGTAAGTGGATTGTGTGATACATGAGATACAGATCAGTAACTCCATTTTCTCTCTCTCTTTTTTTTCTAAGAGACAAAGTCTCCCAGACTGGAGTTGCAGTAGCAGCATCATAGCTCACTGTAACCTCAAACTCCTAGGCTCAAGCGGTCCTTCTGCCTCATCCTCCCAGATAGCTAGGGCTGCAGATGAACACCACCATGCCTGGCTAATTCTTTTTTTTTTTACATTCTTTGTAGAGATGTGATCTGACTTGGTTGCCCAGGCTGGTCTCTTAACTCCTGGCCTCAAGTGGTCCTTCTGCCTTGGCCTCCCAAAGTGCTGGAATTACAGGCATGAGCCACCATGCCTGGCCTTTTTTTTTTTTTTTTTTTTTTTTTTTAAGCATTATGGTTGGAACCTTTTATTTCACAGTTGAATCACTAACGGCATCTGACAGCTGCTGCATTTCTTGTTTGCGTTAAGTGTTCAAATTGAAGCAAGTTGATGGTTCGGACCTTGCCAATTTAAAGCTTCATTATTTTTGAAATGTTTTTCAAATGTTATATTTTAACATTGGGTGTTCATTGATTTTTTTACTTTAAAAGTACTCCTTTGTCAGTTTACTCAAAATTTCAAAACTAGCTGCATGTATTTTGCTTTAATGTTGAATCTACACTTAGAGGTTGTACTCTAGATCTAGTTAAAATTCAATATCATTGTGGCCCTGCATTGCTAGGTGGGGCTTATTAAGGTTAGACATAAAATATTTCATATCCCCCCAAAAACTTGTGAATTCATTCTTCATCATGAACATTTAATCTTCCATTGGAATTCTAGAGGGACTTCAGACTTTAAAAAGTGTTTTATAAACCTCATCTGTTATTGGAAATAATTCTGGAGACCTTAAATTTAAAGATAATAGAAATTACATTTTGTAAAACTTTTATTTATACTTTTGAAGGTTAGAGACATCTTAAAGAAAATAGTACCTGTCAACTCACCATGTCGTGACTTTGGCAACAACTTTTTTTTTTTCTTGTTTAATAGTAGACACAGGGTCTCACTGTGTTGTCCAGGCTGGTCTGGAACTCCTGGGTTCAAGCAGTCCTCCCACCTTGGCCTCCCAAAGTGCTGGGATTACAAGCGTGAGCTACTGTGCCTAGCCAACTTTTATCTGATACAGTATTGTAGTTTCTCTTACTAATGCTTTTGTATTGTCACTACTCTTGTATCCTTATTGATTTTTTTTTTTAAATTGTGTCAAGTAATAAATTTTTTTGTTAGCCCAGGTGAACATCTGGTACAAAAATAAGGAAAATTTAAATATTTTTAACATCCATAGTGTTAAACACGCAAAATTATAAATTAAAAAAGTTTTTTCTTTTCCCCCAGCAAGTACATTGATACCCATTCTTGGATTTATCTTCCATGTCAGCAAGCTCTGGTACTTGGGATTTTAGTAATACTAGTGTCCTGGAGTGTCAGCAGAACAGGTTTAACAAGAGGTTTTTAGTAAATCTTCTATACATTCAATATATTAACATACTTTGATAACAACCTTGTTTGTGTGTGAATTGATGGACGTTTGCTTGCAACCCTTGTTATATTTTTCAGTTGATACTAGCAGGAGAATGAGTTGGTGCTAACGTGCACTTTTGCTTGCTTGATAATGTTCATCACAGCCTTTTTTTTTTTTTTAAGTTTTCTTTTCTTTTTTTTTTTTGGAGATGGAGTCTCGCTCTGTCACCCAGGCTGGAGTGCAGTGGCGTGATCTCAGCTCACTGCAACCTCCACCCCCGGGTTCAAGCAATTCTCCTGCCTCAGCCTCCCAAGTAGCTGGGACTACAGGCGCACACTGCCACGCCCAGCTAATTTTTTGTATTTTAGTAGAGACGGGGTTTCACCATGTTGCCCAGGGTGGCCTCGAACTCCTGAGCTCTGGCAGTCCACCCGACTCGGCTTCCCAAAGCGCTGAGATTACAGGCGGGAGGCACCGTGCCTGGCCAAGTTTTCTATTCTTAATTAGTAATCTGTTTCTGTATTGAAGGATAATTTTTTTTTTCTTCTCAGCAACCATGGCCTGAGACTGAAGAATAATTATTTACCTTACCACATTGAATCTAGCATTTCTAAAAACTCAAACAAAAAGCAGTTTAATACTAAGTCATTATTTAAAAGTTGAAGTACCCAAAATTTATAAAACTCTATACAATTATATTATGACATGGGATCTATTCAGATTTTATTATTGCCCAACAGACCATTCTTATGTGATGAGAGTGGATGTGTTTGTTTACTTTTGCAATTTTTGGTGAGGATGTGTGCACATGCCAGAAAGAAAAAACCAAGGCAGAACCACAGTTTTCTGATTAGGAATACAATTTTCTGAATCAACGTTCAGTATTTGCCACAAGGATGTAGGAGAATGTTAATTGTCAGTGGTCTTTACTATGTTAAATGTAACACACTATGTGTCTTTTTGCCAAGGGTGTGACCTAGCCATTAGAGGCTTATTTTAACCATCTTTGGTTGGAAAGCTTGCCAAAAATGAGTGTGATTTTATTTTTTTAATCCAACATGGTGATAAAATTTTGTTTGTTTTTTTGAGTGTGTTTTTCATAAAGGTGCATTGACTCTTCAAAATTGGTAACCATATTTTGCTCTTAAGAGTGTCATTTCTCAGTCTTAGTATTTTGGATGACCTTCCAGGGGTTCATGCCACATTTTGTGTATGCAATTACTAGAAATAGGGTCTATAGCTTTCTGAGAGTATCAAAGGAATATATACTCCTTAAACAGATAAGAATTATTAAAGGGGGTCATTTGCCCTTGCATAATTGATCCAAACTGTTGTACTTTATTAGTTTTTGCTCATGTTTGTGAACATTTGGCTTTATACATAGAAAAATGCACAATAAATAGCTGCTACAGAATGAAAGTTATTTGTTTCTTCCAGACTGATTGTCTGTTCTGTTCTTCTCATAGCTTTCAGTGTTCCTTTCTCTAGAGCTGTCCTTTCTAAACACTTTTGCACAAATCTATCAGATTTACGTTTTGAAGGAAACAAAGTCTTTAATGAGACTCCCTTCTAAGAACTATGTTTCGTATTTCATTTCACTTTGATTTAGGTGTTACTGCTGCAGAAAGTTTTATTTTTGTTTAAGTATAGGTTTGAGTTAATTTAAGGTTTATTTTCTGTGAAAAACTACTTTGAAATGTTAAAAAGGCAACTTTACAAGATTTGTGTCTTGAGGGACACTCAGCTTGGTTTTCATTATTATCCTTTTAGGATACAGATGAGTTTATTTTACCTACCGGAGCTAATAAAACCCGGGGCAGATTTGAGCTGGCCTTCTTTACGATTGGAGGATGTTGCATGACAGGTGAGTGTTACATACTTTTTTCTCAAGAGTGCTCAGTTCAAGTAGTTGAGGGTGCGTAAAATCAAAAGCAATTAGAATGTTGGTTTCAGGGTTTTTTTTTTAATATTTACATTTGTCTTTTTCTATTAAATAAAAATGAAAAAGAATCAGAAGTGTAGTTATGCAGATTTGAGTTTGTTTTTTTAATATAAAGCTGTCTTTATCTGGGTGAATTGTTATGATTTACCAGGGGCTGCGTTTGGTGCAATGAATGGTCTTCGGCTAGGATTGAAGGAAACCCAGAACATGGCCTGGTCCAAACCAAGAAATGTACAGTAAGTCTCTTGTAACCATCTGATGTAGTGATACTTGAATATTAAGCTCTGTTGTATTGGTTTGATGAGTACAACCTTGAGATTACAGATGGTTAGCATAGTTATGTGCTTTTTTGTCTTTGTTTTTTAATCTTAATCAAAATAAAAGCAACTAAGGAATCAGATTACTGACTCTAAGCTTTTAAAAAGGAGTGATTTTTTTAATCAGTGTCCCTCAGTCAGCTAGTGCTATGCCAGCCTGACTTCTCAGCTGCACCTGTTACATTCTCCAACCCTATGTGACTTGCTTTTCAAATTGTTGAGTTGCTAATGGGAATTTTGGATTGTTTGGGGGCATGCAGATCCATAGGAAATGGTAATGAAGAATAAGCAGCTCATGAGAGTGATGGCTCAAGCTGCCATCATTTAACTTGAAGTTCTTACTGTCTTGACTTTATGTTTCCGAAATGATGAGCCAGATACATTTTAAATAAAATTTTTAGAATTAGAGTTAATTCCAAAAGGATAAGACACAGTTTTCTGTTAGAACTTGAAGTTACAGAGAAGGGAAAGTACAGTTAAAAGGATCGGAAAGTATGTTTTCACCCAACTTAAGAAGTAAACATGGCCAGTCCCTCTTGATATTCCTTAAACAATATGTTTAGTTTTGCCCATTTTTATGCTTCATGTAAGTGGAATCATGAGTATGTATTCTTCGATGGCTACTGTTTTGTTTTAGGACACTTTAAACTCCATCTTCCTTTCATATTGTTCAGCCAGCAGATGGCACCAGATGTGCTAGAATTAGACCATGGGAAACTGGAAGGCCTGTTAAATTGTGTGGTTTTTTGAGAGACAGGGCCTTGCTGTGTTGCCTGAGCTGGAGTGCAATGGCGCCATCACAGCTCACTGTAGCCTTGACCTCCTGGGCTCAAGTGATCCTCCCACCTCAGCCTCCCGAGTAGCTGGGACTACAGGCACATGCCACCATGCCCAGTTAATTTTTTAATTTTTTGTAGAGACGGGGTCTCACTGTATTGCTCAGGCTGTTCTCAAACTCCTGAGCTCAGGTGATCCTCTTGCCTCAGCCTTCCAAACTGCTGGGATTACAGATGTGAGCCACTGCGCCTAGCCCTGTTAAGTTTTTTATATTCCTGTTACTGTGTGGATCTCTGTCCATGCTTTACCAGCCTAGATCCTTCAATATTTTTATTACTTGTCCCTCGCTTCAATAATATTTTTAAGTTTTTGTATTATGGGGAATTTTGAATATATAAAAGTAGACAAAATACATAGCATAGTGAACACATGAACCATAACGCATCCTCAACAACCATCAACCATGGCCAGTTCTATCCCATTTCCTTCTCCTCTCCCATCTTATTTTGAGACAAAAACCCCAATATCATATTAAATACAAATTTGGAAGTAGATCTCCTAGAAAAGACAACTTGCTTCCTTTCTTAAAACAAGTTATTAAAATGCTTGTTAAAAATGAAAAAATGATGGCTGAACTTAAAATATGTTAGTAAATATGTAACATAATTAGAAACAATATACTTCTGTTTGTAAACATTACTGATTTTTTAAAACAATCTTTTAGAAAATACAAATTTTTGTTTCTGTAGAACATTAATTGAGTCGTTTAATAATTAAACTGAATGAGTTCCTTCACTCTTTGTTACTGTATTTCCATAATTTCCAGCAGTAGTCAGCTGTCTGGACAGAACCATTCCTGGGATCATGTTACACTGCTGGGAGAAGAATGTCTTCTCTTCATCCAGTTGCGTCCATCACTGTTCTGGTGGTGTCTGGCACTGGTGCAAGGCAGAACTGTGCTTCCTTGAGAGTGTGCTGAGCATTCACCTTGGCTGCTTGGTTCTAGTCTAGGAGCAGACACAGGGTGCTTTCCCCATGTATTCTAGTTAGATGGCTGATTCCTTCTCTTTAATTCTACTTTATATTCTGTACTTTGATATTCTTTACTTTATATTCTGTACTTTGATATTCTTTACTTTGATTATCTTTAACATTCTAAGCATATGTTCCCCTCCCAAAAAGAACCTTTTAGAAGCTAGCTCGCCATAGTTAACAGTGGCATTTTTTACATAGATTAGTTTCTGTAAACCTCTGTAAGATACATTCCAGGCTGTCATTCAAAGCCTTATATATATTTAATGTGTATTCATTATATTATACATTTAATAATAAGAGTTTTCCTTATTATTATTATTAAGGACTTATATAAAAGTCCTTAAGACTTTTGCCTAAAGTTTTGAAAGTTTTAACCTAATTTTCACTTATGTAGAGTAAAAACCATCCTTATTGAAATCGGAGATATTAAGATGTATTTTAGAATTTAAAAAACTTTGCGCCCTGGGTCTAGACATGTTAAATAGCCATTATTGTTTTTAAAGGTTACTAGAGAAATAATGATTCTAAATACAGATTCTTTCTCTTTCTGCCCTGATAGGATTTTGAATATGGTGACTAGGCAAGGGGCACTTTGGGCTAATACTCTAGGTTCTCTGGGTAAGTAGAGATCTCATTTGATAATAAATTGTTAAAGAAAGAATGCACAAATATCATGAACAATTTGATCAACCCATATTCTGGTCCTAGGATATGAGACAATTATGTTTAAACCCATTCCAATGCATAATGTAGATACTACTTAGGGAAAGACCATGAACTAACTTATGAAATAATCTCAGGTGCTAATACCGTTCTGAATACCATTGCTGAATTTTTAAAATCTTTTGGACACTGCACACTCTCCTTTCCAAGCACAACACCCAATAAAATCATGTTTAAATGAAATCCAGGTAATTTAGGTCCAAAGTAAAGAGCTTTGTATGTTAGGCAAGGTTCAAGGTCCTGTAGTGATACATGATAAATTAATCCAGCCCTCTTGCTATGTTTTCTTAATAGCCGGTTCATTAGTCTGTTTACCTGAGTAGATTTCAGGCACCTAATTGCCACAATTGGAATAGGTTCCTTGTAGATAATGAAAACGTTTGCAGTTCTAGGCAAAAGGTAACTTAGTAGTGCTTAGTCAGAGCCTTATGCTTTCATACCATATTGTTTATGAATGATTGATCACTTACAATAGATCTCTTATGGCTTATGTCCTGACATCCAAAATTTTCCTACTGTATGAACTTAGTTGAAAATCTCAATTTAAATTGTGGCAGATTAAGGAGGGGAAGACATAGAAAACTCATTGAAAACATAGAAAAAGCGTTTGTTATGGCAGGGTAAGGTCCTGCCTTGTCACAGAATTTGGAAGCAGTACATCTTCACACTGTAAAGCTAGTTTTCACACTTTGGATCCTAAGAGATGGCTGCTTTCATATGTTGCTGATGTCTGCATTCCTCCCACCCTCCTACAGAGTCACCCCGCTCTGTTTCTTTTAATTGCTTGTATACCTAGAGTAGTCAGCTGTCCTTGTCTGCGTAGGACTGTCAGAGAAAAGTCCAAGAAACTATGTTCCAATAATCACCCCCCGCCCACCCCGCCCCACAGTCCTGGACAAACTAGAATGGCTGGTCACCCTCTGTGTACCCATTGTGGTATGATCAAGAAGGGTGTTCTGCTCGTGATCAGTTTCAGTTAAATAAGTTGAAGAGGAAGATGAGCTTTCATAGAAGTATAAAAATACTGCAGTAGAGGAGTTGTAAGGCTGAGCGCGGTGTATTGTTGCAAGGGGCAAGTGTAGCTATAATTTTGAGAAAGAGTTTAAAAGTTTAACATTCGTTCCAGATAGGAATCTGCAAGAGCATAGAAGGATGGCTTGGGGGAAGATACTTTAAAATGAAATGGTGCTAGTGTTATAATACGTGAGAATCAAACCTCACTTTTTTTTTAATCTATTTTTTCTTATACTAGAAATACGTGTGTGTGTGTGTGTGTGTATGTGTGTGTCTTTAATCTGAAGTATAGCAATTATGGGTAGCATATAAATGAAAATTTTAAATATTCTTCCTGAGACTTCCTAGCGGTACTTTCTAGAAATAGCTACTATTGATGTTTCTTCTGAATTCTTCCAGGCGTTTCTCTGCATAGCCAGTCAGTCGTGTACCATGTGCACATGTCCCTGATTTACTTATTAGTGAAAATGATTCTTCTGGTTTTTAAGTGACTGTATAGTATTCCATTATATGAAAAGTCCCTCTCTGGATCAATTCAGATGGTACAAATGCTCTTGATGGGCATTTTATTTGTTGCCAGGTGTTTGCTATTAGAAACTGTTCTAGTGATCATTCCATGTATATCTTTGGATAAATTTTTCTAAATATAATTGCCATACTGACTTTTGTGTTGAAAAAAAAAAAACAGTTTTTCCTCTGCTCTCACACTACAACAGTCAACATAGGATAGTTCTGTGACCAGTTATGTGGGAATATTTCCCCACATACCAAGTAATCTCTCTTGCAGTGGACACCAGTTGGGTGTCCACCTGTTTCACTTCTGCCTGGAGATAGCATTAGATCAGCAGGTTGAGCACTCTGTCCCACAAAACTGAGCCCCACTTTGGATACTTCTGATGCTGATAGCAAGCTCCAGGTTATTTTACCTGTGCTTCTGACCAACCAGCTTTGTCAGGGTTTCCCACAACCCACTCTTTGGGTTTGATTAATTTATTGGATTGGCTCACAGAACTCGAGGGAACACATACTTAACATTTGCGTATTTATTATAAAGATTTTTTTTTTTTTTTTTTTTTTTTTGAGACAGGGTCTTGCTCTGTCACCCATGCTAGAGTGCAGTGGAGCTCACTGCAACCTAGACTTCTGGGCTTAAGCAAGCCTCCCACCTCAGCCTTTCAAGGAGCTGGGACTACAGGCAACATGCACCACCATACCAACTAATTTTTTTTTAAATTTTTTTAGAGAAGGGGGTATCCCTATGTTGTTGCCCAAACTGGTCTCTGACTCCTGGGCTCATGTGATCTTCCCACCTCGGCCTCCCAAAGTGCTGGGATTACAGAAACTTTGTGAGCCACCACACCTGGCTGGATATTTTTAAAGGATACAAATAGCCCAGTCAAGGAATACATAAGGTGAGGCCTGGATGGGCCCTGAGTGCAGGAGCTTTCATTTCACTGGAGTTGGGGTGCACTAGCCTCCTGACACGTGGGTGAGTTCTTTCTCACTTTCCTGCAAGTCCCATGAGTTCAGCTGTCCAGAAAGTCCTCCGACCCCATCCACTTGGGCCTCATGTGGAAAATTGATTGGATAGGCATGACTGAAGCATGGACAACCTTATAGAACTGTGATTGGACAAAAAGGGCATGCTCTACTACTAATAGACTGGGCACAGAAACCCAGCAAGGCCTGCCTGCCCAGATTCTCCCTTGGCCTTTCTGTGCAGCATTTCTTCTTCCTGGGTATGGGGTACGATCTTTTCTGAAATGGGGGTCTTACAGCCTGCAATCAGACAAGGTAGGTCATAGAATTTCTTTATGGCCAGTTCCAAGACAGAAAGGTGTGGGGAAAGATTAGAGTCCTGCTGTGGGGAGAAAAGGGAGTAGGTGAAAGGAGGGCAGGAGAAGGTCAGAGAGAGAGATTCTGTTTCTGAGGCTGCTTCTGAGGCCTGAAGTGCCCCAGTAATACAACAAAAGACCTTCACCTTTGTCCCTCTGAAGCTGTTCCAAAGCTGATTCCAGAACCAAGGACAAATACCTTAACAAGTGATTGTTTTAGTCACTTAGGAAGGGCTATGGGAGTTATGAGCTAGGAACCATGGATGAAAACCAATATATGTATATCATAATATCACACTTTATCACTGTTTTGTCACTGAGCACTTCCATTTCCTCTTTAGCTTTGCTCTATAGTGCATTTGGTGTCATCATTGAGAAAACACGAGGTGCAGAAGATGACCTTAACACAGTAGCAGCTGGAACCATGACAGGCATGTTGTATAAATGTACAGGTGAGTACTGTTGAATGGGGAGCCATCTCTTAATACACTTGAAGTGCGCTTTTTAAAATTCATGGTTTTCAAGGAAATTACACTCTGTTGCAGTATAATCTAGTGTTCTAACTTTATGGTTATTTTGGTTTGGTTTGGTTTTTAATTGTGGTAAAATAAACATAAGATTTACCCATCTTAACCATTTTTAAGTATACAGTACATTAGTATTATAGTCACATGATTATATAACCAATCTCTGGAACTTTTTCATCTTGCAAAACTGATACTCTGTACCTATTAAGCCTCCCAATTTACCACTTCCTTAGCTCTTGATAATGTTACACTTTCTGTCTCTGAATTGGCTGCTTTAGGCACCTCATATAAGTAGAATCATACAATATTTGTCCTTTTTTGATTGGCTTATTTTACGTAGCATAATATCCTCAAGGTTCATCCATGTTGTTGCATGTGCCAGAATTCCCTTCCTTTTTAAAGCTAAATAATATTCATTCTGTGTATGTATACCACATTTTGCATGTGCGTTCTTTTATCAAGGAATATTTGGGTTGCTTCTACCTTTTGGCTATTGTGAATAATGCTGCTACGAATATGGATGTACAAATATCTCTTCAAGGTCCTTCTTTCTTTTTTTGGATATATGTGCAGAAGTGGAATTCTTGGATCATATGGTTTATGGTGGTTTTTTGACATTAAGAATATAAGATTCTTTTCTGTATTTTTCATTCATTTTAGTTTAGTTTTTTTAATCTTGGACAGACTAAGCAATAGAATATTCAGAATTGTTGGTTTTGTTTTAAACAATAGTTTGACCTGTGACATCAGCATATTAAACTATCACAAGACACACACAAGGTCAAAGCCCAGGAATGGCTTCCCTGTAAGTCAATTTAGAGCATCTTATTCCTATGATCATCTTACTCTACTGGGAGATCAACGTGTTGCTGTCAAGGGTCAGATAATTCTCTTCTGTGATAAGTTTTACTAGTTTAGAAGCATACATTCAAGTAATGCCTAATTTAGCTTTTTTATTGTGTTGATACATCTTTGGCTACTTAATTTTTATTTTTATCAAAATAATCCACATACGTGATTTTTTAAGTCAAGGTTTTTATCTTAACATCTAAAAGATTTTAATGATGTTTAATCCACATACATGATTTTTTAAGTCAAGGTTTTTATCTTTTTAACATCTAAAAGATTTTAGTGATGTGCAACAGTGTTCTATACGTCTCACCTTAATTCCCTTTTCCCAAAGGCAACTTTTAATTTTTTTTTTTTTTTTTTTCTTTTTTGAGACGGAGTCTAGGTGTCACCCAGGCTGGAGTGCAGTGGCATGATCTCAGCTCACTGCAACCTCCACCTCCTGGGATCAAGCAGTTCTCCCATCTCAGCTTCCTGAGTAGCTGGGACTGGAGGCACATACCATCACATCTGGCTAATTCTTGTATTTTTAGTAGAGACAGGGTTTCACCATATTGGTCAGGCTGGTCTCAAACTCCTGACCTCAGGTGTTCCACCCTCCTCAGCCTCCCAAGTGCTAGGATTACAGGCGTGAGCCACCACTCCCAGCTTATTTTAATTTTTTTTTTAAGACAGAGTCTCACTCTGTCATCCAGGCTGGAGTGCAGTGGCACAATCAAGGCTCACTGTAGCCTTGACCTCCTGGGCTCAGGTGATCCATCTCAGCCTCCTGAGTAGCTGGGACTACAGGCACACGCCTCCACACCCAGCTAATTATTTTTTTTTTTCTTTATCGGAGATGGGGTCTCACTGTGTTGCCCAAGCTGGTCTTGAACTCCTGGGCTCAAGCAGTCATCCTGCCTCAGCCTCCCAAAGTGCTAGGATTGCAGATGTGAGCTACCATGCCTAGGCTGCTTTAATTCATTATTTTTTATTTTCATGTTTTTAAATAATATTATTATCTTGATTTTTCTTGACTTTTCAGTCTTACATATTGTCTGTTGACTTCCAAGAGGAAAGCTGTGTTAACTCCGCTAAGAATTGTACAAAATACGCTTAAAGTAGAAAGGAGGTCACATCCTTTATATAGGTCAGCTCATTTACCATTCTCTGAAGGTAGTAGACTGGTACTCCCTTGTTTTATAGACAAACTAAAATTCAGACAAGTTAAATTACCTCCACATGCTCACACAGCTCTGTCACGGTCTAGTGCATCAAACTCTAGTCTGAGTCCAAAGCCCGTTGTCTTTCTCACCAAACCAAATTACCTCCAGGATAGAGAAATCAGGAAAATTTCTAGAAAAGGGAAAGAAGTAATAAATAACAGTTGAGCCAGACCTTAAGAATGGACTGAATTTTCTGATGTATCTGTTTGATTATACGATACATATAAGGAAGGTGTGGGAGAAAAGTCTGGGAAGATAGTTTAGGCTTATGGCATGGAAAGCTAAAGTAAGAAGCTTAAAATTACATAGAAAGGCAGCATGTCATCAAAGGTTTTTTGGACAGAGGATTAGAATTATCTCTGAGGAAGATTAAGCTAGAAGTGGTGGGTAGATAAAATAGATTGGAGGTAGAAGCCTGAAGTCAAAATGGTCCAGGAAAAGTATTAGTTGAAGAGATGGTGAGGAAAAGGTTGAAATGAAAGATGATTGGGTCAGCTGGGCACGGTGGCTCATGCCTGTAATCCCAGCACTTTGGGAGGCTGAGGCGGGTGGATCCCCTGAGGTCAGGAGTTCAAGACCAGCCTGACCAACATAGAGAAATCCGGTTTCCACTAAAAATACAAAATTAGCCAGGTGTGGTGGCGCATGCCTGAAATCCCAGCTACTCGGGAGGCTGAGGCAGGAGAATTGCTTGAACCTGGGAGGTGGAGGTTGCGGTGAGGCGAGATCACGCCACTGCACTCTAGCCTGGGCAATAAGAGTGAAACTCTGTCTCAAAAAAAAAAAGAAAAGAAAAAAGAAAAAAATGATGATTGGATTACTAGAAGACTGTTTGCTGTTTGGTGGTTTCTTTCTGTTTTGTTATATTGTGGAAGCAATATATGTGACTTTGAATAGCATAGCAGCTAGCTGTCCTGGGCTCCCTCACCACTGCCCCCATCTGTCCCTTACTTGTCTCTTCCAGGCAAGACTAAACTCACTAAAATGTTTCCTTTGTTTTTTTTTTTTGAGTTGGGGTCTTGCTCTGTCACCCAGGCTAAAGTGCAATGGTGCCATCATGGCTCACTACAGCCTTGAACTCCTGGGCTCAAGGGATCCTCTCACCTCAGCCTGCCCAGTGGTTCAGACTACAGGTGCATGCCACCACACCCAGCTAATTTTTTTCATTGTTTCTTTTTTTGTTTAGCAATGGGGTCTTGCTATGTTACCCAGGCTGGCCTCAAGCAATCCTCCCACCTCAGCCTCCTGAGTTGCTGGATTACAGGCGTGAGCCACTGTGCCCAGCTGCCTGAATTGTTTTTGACTCCCCATAGTACTGTGTCCTTTTAGGAGAGTTTTTTTGCCACTGATTCTCAGTTGTTTGGGTGATTGCTTTTCTGTGGGTGGGAGGAATTGTCCTAGATCTCTTTGAGGGTCTTATGAAAGTTTTTGACAGTTTCTAAACCCTGCATTAACATCTCAATATGCGTAGACTCTCCTTAGGAGAATTGTGAAACTTAACTCTTTAGAAGTTTTATAAACACTTGGAGGCTTATGAGTAAATGATTAGAAGGTAGCAATCAAAATCCAATTAAGCTTTTTTTTCCTTTTTTTTTTTTTTTAAACGGAGTTTTGCTCTGTCGCCAGGCTGCAGTGCAGTGGCACAATCTTGGCTCATTACAACCTCCACCTCCCGGGTTCAAGCGATTCTCCTGCCTCAGCTTCCCAAGTAGCTGGGATTACAGATGCCCGCCACCACGCCCAGCTAATTTTTGTATTTTTAGTAGAGTCAGGGTTTCACCATGTTGGCCAGGATGTTCTCGATCCCCTGACCTCATGATCCGCCCACCTCAGCCTCCCAAAGTGCTGGGATTACAGGCATGAACCACCACGCCGGGCCAAGCCAGATTCTTTAAAGTGGCTCTATCTTCTC
This sequence comes from Homo sapiens, assembly GCF_000001405.40. NCBI lineage: Eukaryota > Metazoa > Chordata > Mammalia > Primates > Hominidae > Homo > Homo sapiens. The sequence goes on from NC_000010.11 coordinate 45,992,889, forward strand.
TGTAATTTGCTCCCTTGCCACTTTGATGACTCCAGATTCTACTCCTATTCCCATTGTCTTTTAACTCCCACTTCAGGGCCTTTGTTCTTGCCGTTACCATTTCCTAGAACAATCCTTCCAGATACCTACCTCAAATGCTGCATCATCTGTCCATCTTTGTTCAGATACCACCTTTTCTTTGAGGCCTTAAACACTGTAGTACATACAGTTTTGCACATACATTTTAGTTGTAGGATAAATTGCTAAAAATTAAGTTACTTGAGCAAATTATCTGCATGCTTAAAACGTGAATGACTACTGCCAAATGACCCTTCTAGTACTTGCTAACGTTTGCCAGTGTGAGCATCTACCATCACTTTTTTTTTTTTTTTTTGGAGACTGAGTTTCACTCTCGTTGGCCAGACTGGAGTGCAATGGCATGATCTCGGCTCACAGCACCCTCTGCCTCCTGCCTCCTGAGTTCGAGCGATTCTCCTGCCTCATCCTCCCGAGTAGCTGGAATTACACGCATGCACCACGATGCCTGGCTAATTTTGTGTATTTTTAGTAGAGACGGGGTTTCTCCATGTTGGTCAGGCTGATCTCGAACTCCCGACCTCAGGTTGCAGTGAGCAGAGATCGCGCCACTGAATTCCAGCCTGGGCGATAGAGCGAGTCTGTCTCAGAATGAAATGATGTGACATGACATGACATGATGAAATGAATAATGAAATGCCGGGTGTGGTGGCACACTCCAGCCTGGGCGATAGAGCAAGTCTCTGTCTCGAAATGAAATGGAATGAAATGAAGAGAATAAATGAAATAAATGAAATGAAATAATAAAATGAATAATGAAATGCCAGGTGAAATGAAATGAAATGATGAAATGAATAATGAAATGCCGGGTGCAGTGGTGCACTCCAGCCTGGGCAATAGAGCAAGTCTCCATCTCGAAATGAAATGAGATGACATGAGATGAAATGGGATGAAATGAAATGAAATAATGAAATGAACAATGAAACACCGGGTGAAATGAAATGAAATGAAGAAATAAATGAAATATTGAAATGAATAATAAAATTCCGGGTGTGGTGGTGCACTCCAGCTTGGGTGATAGAGTGAGACTCCATCTTGAAATGAAATGATGAAGTAATGAAACAAAATTAAATATGAAATGAAAGGAAATACGAAATGCTGGGTGTGGTGGCTCACCTGTAATCCTAGCACTTTGGGAGGCCGAGGCAGGTGGATCACCTGAGGTCAGGAGTTCAAGACCAGCCTGGCCAACATGACGAAACCCCATCTCTACTAAAATACAAAAACCAGCCGGGCATGATAGCGGGTGCCTGTAATCCCAGCTACTTGGGAGGCTGAGAGAGGAGAATCACTTGAACCCAGGAGATGGTGGTTGCCATGAGGCAAGATTGCGCCACTGCACTCCAGCCTGGGCAGCTGAGCGAAACTCTGTCTCAAAAAAATAAAAATAAAAATAAATAAATGAATAAAATAAATTACTCTCTATCTGACAGCTGCTAGTTTTTCCCTCATGATCTTTCTATTAAAATAGCTCTGTACCTACTATGTTGAGCCCTTCCTTTTTTTTTGACAGGGTCTCAGACTAGAGTACAGTGGTGTGATCATGGCTCACTGCCACCTCTGCTTCCTAGGTTCAAGTGATGCTCCCATCTCAGCCTCCCAAGATGCTAGGACTACAGGCACACGCCACCATGCCTGGCTAATTTTTTTGTGTTTTTTGTAGAGACGGGGTTTCACCATGGTGCCCAGGCTAGTCTCAAACTCCTGAGCTCAAGCGATCCACCCTGCCTTGGCCTCCCAAGTATTGGGATTACAGGTGTGAACCACCGCGCCCGGCCCCCTCTTTTTTTAAATTTCTGTATTTAAAGAGTACATTGGGGATTGGAAATAGTTTAGATCAGCAGGGATTAGCCATTCCCTAAATGTAAACTTCTTCAGTGGTGCTATACTTAGAGTGCCTAAGGTCATTTCCAAATCTATGAATCTGGAAGTTGAAGTTATATTTGTATTCCCACCACACAAAATTTATGTCTGTGCCCTGTCTTCCTGGGTCTGTTTTTAACCAGAAATTAATAAGACATTGATTTGCCTTTGTTAGAGTGATTTCAGTGTTTCGAGTTATTAAGACAGGAAGTGTGAGTCCATGTTGGAATTCTGGGTCAGCAGATTATTTACCTCTTCTACAATTGCAATGGAAATTGAAATCTATTTGTCCTGTGACATAGAATTAATGAGTATTCTTTTTTGCTTTTTCTCTTCTGAGCCAAGAGCTTTCTTTTCATAATTTATGTTGGAGGTGTTCCAGACTATGTTATGTTACTACTGCAAGAAGGTCCTTGCCACAGAAAGTTAGACTCTAATTTCTTTTGATAATATCAAATATTCAGCCTTTTCCTCTGTCTTAAGAATACATATAATATGCCTTAAATTAGATGCCATACTATAGTGGCTTCCCTTGTGTTAGAAAATGGAGTGGAGGGGGCTGAGCTGGAGCTTCCATGCCTATCTGATGGGCTAGAAACACCTCCCACTCAACTCCAGCCATTTGCCACTCTGCATAATTAGTGTACCTCATTTATTCAGAAGAAGCTGGAATCCCAGATTTTTATGTGAAATCTCCTGTTTTTAAAATATTTGATCTTTTTCAACATAATTTGGCCCAACAAAACTCTTGCTGGCTTGAGTGCTGCCCTTGTACTGCCAATTGAAGTTTAACATTTGTCTAACCCTAAAGACTTTCAAAGTGAAATTATTTTTAGGTTCTTAACAAGGTTTTTCTATGCCAAGGTAAAATTTTCAAGGGCATATGAGGTATTTACTGTCTCACTCAGAGTTCTGTTTAAGTGAGCACATGGGCATGCATGTTGGAGAAAGTGTTGTGAGCTCTTACGGATAAAGTTTGAAATGCAACCTATTTTCAATAGAAAAAAGCCTCTTACTCTCAGATATCTCAGAAAAACTTAGATTTTACAATCCTTTTAAGACTTAAGACTCTTAGGTCTGTGGAGTCAAAATGCTACGTGATATTTGTGGTGGATGAATTACTGAAAAACAGAATTCCTCAGCGAATCAAGTGTCTGATGCATAATAAACCAACCTAACAAAAAATGCTGCCTTTCGGAGGCAAGAATATAGAACATGTGTAGTTAATTAAGCTATTTAAAACAGAAATGTTAGGCCTGGCACAGTGGCTCACGTCTGTAATCCCAGCACTTTGGGAGGCCAAGGCGGGAGGATCACAATGTCAGGAGATTGAGACCATCCTGGCTAACACAGTGAAACCCCGTCTCTACTGAAAATACAAAAACATTATCCGGGCATGGTGGTGGGTGCCTGTAGTCCCAGCTACTAGGGAGGCTGAGACAGGAGAATGGCGTGAACCTGGGAGGCAAGGCTTGCAGTGAGCCGAGATTACACCACTGCACTCCAGCCTGGGCCACAGAGCAAGACTCCGTCTCAAAAAAAGAAATGTTATGAAAAATTTGGAAATATTCGTCACTAGCTGTATGACCTTTTGAAAAAGGTCCGCCTAATACCATGCTCATCTATAAAATTGGGGTATGATGATTATCAATTTACAGGATTGTGGTGCATTTTAAATGAAACAAGTTCCATTAAGTGCTTATTGCTGAAGGTATAATTCAGTGAATGTTCTTTCCTTTTCTTAGAGCAGAGTTTGGTATTTTATTTTCACCTAAGCCATTTTGGTTCAGTTCTTAAGGCTTTGATTATTTTTTTAAGTTGAATGGTGTTTAGTGTGCCCATGTTCATAACAGCATATTATTCACAACAGCCATACAGGCTGGGTGTGGTAGCTCATGTCTATAATCCCAGCACTTTGGGAAGCCAATGTGGGCAGATTGAGTCCAGGAGTGTAAGGGCAATATGGTGAAACCCTGTCTATACAAAAAATTAGCCGGGCTTGGTGGTGGGCACCTGTAGTCCCAATTACTGGGAAGGCTGAGATGGGAGAATCACCTGAGCCCAGGAGGTCAAAGCTGCAGTGTGCCTTCATTGTGCCACTGCACTTTAGCCTGGACGACAGAGTGAGACCCTGTGTCAAACAAAAAAAAAAAAAAAAAGATAGATTCTAAGAGGCCAAGGCAGGCAAATGGGCAGATTGCTTGAGCCCAGGAATTGGAGACTAGCCTGGACAACATAGCTACTAAAAATACAAAAAATGAGCTAAGCATGGTGGTACATGCTACTCCCGAGGCTGAGGTGGGAAGATCACTTGAGCTTGGGGAGGTCAAGGCTGCAGTGAGCCGTGATCATGCCACTGCACTCCAGCCTAGGTGACCCTGTCTCCAAAAAAGAAAAATGTGGTATATACATAGAATAGAATATTATTCTGCCTTTAAAAAGGAAATTCTGACAGATGGTAAGACATGGATGAACTCTGAGTACATTATGCTAAATAGGCCATCTATAAAAAAAAATGGTGTGATTCTACTAATGTGAGGTACTTAGAATAGTCAGATTCATGTGAGGTACTTAGAATAGTCAGATTCATACAGAAAAAAAGTAGAATGGAAGACGGCTGGGATGGGGTGTAGTTATTGCTAAATGGGCAGAGAGTTTCAGTTTTGCAAGATGAAAAGAGTCCTCTGAAGATAGATGTTGGTACACAGAGCACCGTGGCTCACGCCTGTAGTCTCAACACTTTGGGAGGCTGAGGCAGGAGGATTGTTTGAGCCCAGGAGTTCAAGACCACTCTAGGTAATATAGGGAGACCTCATCTCTACAAAAAATTTAGCCCGGTATGGTGGTGCATGATTGTAGTCCTACCTACTTAGGAGGTTGTTGTGGGAGGATCACTTGAGCTCAGAAGGTCGAGGCTGCAGTGAGCCTTTACCAAACCACTGCACTCCAGCCTGGGCGACAGAGCAAGACCCTGTCTCAGAAGAAAAAATAAAGGAAAAGTAGATGTTGGTAATAGCACAGCCGTGTGAATGTACTTAATGCCTCTGAAATGTACACTTAAAAATGGTTAAGGTGGTAAAATTTATGTTACATGTATTGTACCATAATTCTTAAAAGAATAAAGTTTTTTTAAAATTTTAAGACAGCTGCTGACAGTCCTCAACAATGGCATTTAGTAGTCATGTTAGTATGTAGGTAAGGCTGTTCCTATAGAACAGGAGCCACCAACTCCTGCTGGCCAGCTGCCTGTTTATTTGCTGTGAGAAGGCTAAGAATGTGTTTTACGTTTTTTAGTTACGTTTTAAATGGTTATATAAGTACCTACATAACAATAGCCTTTGACCCTCAAAGCCCAAAATGTTTACTATCTGGCCCTTTTAAAAAAGATACATGTTAATCTGTGCTTTAAAGTCATTGTCATTTGAATGCATTAGTTCTGCCACTAATCAACCCTATATCCCACAAACAAGGCACTTAAATATTCTGGGCCTCATTTTCTCATGTATAGAAGAGGTGGTGCTTGCCTATCGCTTTGGAAGAACTACATAAGGATCCCAAAATACAGGAGGTAAAACTGAAACACAAGTCATATTTGCTTTGCTTTATAGAGATTGACCATTGGCCTTATTTGGTTACTCTGTTCAAAGCAAGTACCTTTGCTTATCAACTTCCTGTGCTTAGTTGTGTAGAGTTGTTTGAGTAAAGAAACCCTAGAGACCCTTAAACTTGCAAACACATCAACCAATTGGGAAACCCTGGAATTAACGGAAACAGTTACAATTAGAACATGGCTGGTATGTGGTAAAAGGCCACCCTTGAGTAAAGATGCTATGTGATAAGTACAAACACCAATGTTTAGTGTCTTGTTGGAGTTGATTTTTTTTCTCTCTGGCTTTTAAGAAGTAACTTCATCGATTTGAACTAAGTTTTTGATTCATTTGGCAAGAAAATAGAAAGCTTTTGGGGGAGTAAATTATTTAATATGTTACTGGTGTCCCAAATATCTTTTTTTTTTTTTTTTTTTGAGACAGAGTCTTGCTGTATCGCCGAGGCTAGAGTGCAGTGATGCAATCTTTGCTCACTGCAACCTCCACCCACCAGGTTCAAGCAATTCTTTTGCTTCAGCCTCCCACATAGCTGGGATTACAGGTGCCTGCCACCACACCTGGCTAATTTGTGTATATTTAATAGAGATGGGGTTTCACCATGTTGGCCAGGCTGGTCTTGAACTCCTGACCTCAAGTGATTTGCCCACCTTGGCCTTCCAAAGTGCTGGGATTACAGGCCGTGAGCCACCATGCCAGGCCTTTTTAAAATTTTTTTTTATTTTTTGAGACCAGGTCTGGCTTTGTTGCCCAGGCTGAAGTACAGTGGCACGATCTTGGCTCACTGCAACCTCCACCTCCTAGGCTCAAGCAATCCTCTCACCTCATCCTCCCAAATATCTGGGACTACAGATGCATGCCACCATGCCTAGCTAATTCTTTACATTTTTTTGTACAGATGGGTATCGGGGAACCTGCCCCGATAGTCGCGTACATTCTTTTCTATTTTCCTTAAGCGTCAGCCAGCTTGAGAAATAAAGGGACAGGGTACAAAAGAGAGAAATTTTAAAGCTGGGCATCCGGGGGAGACATCACATGTCGGTAGGTTCCATGATGCCCCACAAGCCGCAAAAACCAGCAAGTTTTTATTAGGGATTTTCAAAAGAGGAGGGAGTGTGCGAATAGGTGTGGGTCAGAGACATCAAGTACTTCACAAGGTAATAGAATATCACAAGGCAAATGGAGGCAGGGCGAGATCATAGGACTACAGGACCAGGGCGAAATTAAAATTGCTAATGAAGTTTCGGGCACCATTGTCATTGATAACATCTTATCAGGAGACAAGGTTTTGAGAGCAACCGGTCTGACCAAAATTTATTAGGCAGGAATTTCCTCTTCCTAATAAGCCTGGGAGCGCTATGGGAGACTGGGGTGTATTTCACCCCTACAGTCTACAGACCATAAAAGATGGCCACACCCAGGGGGGCCATCTATAGACCTATACCCCCAGGCGCGTATTCTCTTTCCCAGGGATGTTCCTTGCTGAGAAAAAGAATTCAGCGATATTTCTCCCATTTGCTTTTGAAGGAAGAACAGTATGGCTCTGTTCCACCTGGCTCACTGGCGGTCAAAGTTTAAGGTTATCTCTCTTATTCCCTGAACATTGCTGGTACCCTGTTCTTTTTTCAAGGTGCCCAGATTTCATATTTGTTCAAACACACATGCTCTACAATTTGTGCGGTTAACGCAATTATCACATGGTCCTGAGACGACATACATCTTCCTCAGCTGACAGGATTAAGAGATTAAGGTAAAGACAGCGGCATAGGAAATCACAAGGGTATTGATTGGGGAAGTGATAAGTGTCCATGAAATCTTCACAATTTATGTTTAGAGATTGCAGTAAAGACAGGCATAAGAAATTATAAAAGTATTTGGGGAACTAATAAATGTCCATGAAATCTTCACAATCCATGTTCTTCTGCCATGGCTTCAGCCGGTCCCTCCGTTTGGGGTCCCTGACTTCCCGCAACAGATGGGGTCTCACCATGTTGCCCACGCTGGTCTTGAACTCCTGGGCTCAAGCAGTCCGCCCACCTTGGCCTTCCAAAGTGCTGGGATTACAAGTGTGAGCCACCACGTCCAGCCCCCAAGTATCTTAAAGCCTTATAGATTCCACTGTCACTATGTTACCCCTAGTGCATATGCCAAAGAGGATTCCCAGGGAAGCTTGTTATTTGATGGCTGAGAACTAATGTGAGAATCCTTCCACAAGGGCCAAGTAGATACCATGTTCTTAGAATGCACAAAGCAAAGAACCAGCTAGAAGCAGTGGTTTTGCAGCTCTTTCCAAAGCCCATGGACTGACTTCACAGTCCTGTGGATTATTGACTTATAGGTTCAGGGGAGTTAATCTGAAGTTGAATGTGTGGTTATAGGAAATAGTGTCTGCAAAAGTATTGTGTTTTCAATTACCGGCCCACCAGCATTTTTCCACTGACAAACAGCAGTGAGGGCACCTTGGCTATTGCTTGGTCTTACATTCAGAATGGGGTTTTGAGTTACTACATTTTGGCTACCTGCTTGGAAGAATCCTTATTACACTCAAAATTAGATCTAATAACTGAGCGATAGCAATGCTGTTGCAGATACCTTTAGCATTTATTCTCCTGTGCCTCATGGCTTATTTTTTCCACATTAGGAATTTGGTCTAGTTCACTTTCAGCTCTGCAGCTTTTTACTGATTTACTAGGCAGAGACATGAGGTCGATCCTTATTAAACTGAACAGATTATTTTGAGTATACACTATTTTCCAATTAGTACAATTTTTCAACCACATTGAATACAGTTGGAAGTTTAATTGCTGTGCCTACAGTCTGAATATGGCAAGTTCACAAAGAGATGATGTGAACTTCAAGGAGATACCTCATGTTATACTTTTAGTGGGGTTTTTTTGGGTTTCTTAAAAATGTTTTTGGTCCCCCTACATGACAGCTGTTTATAGATAATGTCTGCAGTTTCTGTTTGAGAGAGATAATTATGACACTTAGCATTGGAAAACTAAGAAGAACGTAAGCAGGTCAGCTATCAGAAGTCTTCAGACTGGAGAGATTCCTGGAGGGGGAGTGGCCCTTTAATCCATCAGCTGAAGCCATCTGGTAGGACGCTCGTTGCAGAAATGGTTAGTTCTGAAATGTTGTAACTCAGCAACATCACTGAATGTCACAGAATTGACAGGCACGGAGCTAAAAGGGCCTCTAGCCACCCCCACAACTCCGCTCTACCTCTGTCTCCCTAACACATGACTTGGAACAAATACACTCTAGGTACAAAGATGGCTACCTGAAGTTTATGATCCCTACTCATGGAGCTGCTTGAGGACTTCACATTTTTTAAAAAGCTGCTTTGGGCACCCCCATTCCTGAGGAGTTTTGTAGCTTGGTTTCTCTTTGCCACATTACGTTTGTAAGACTAACATTTTATAACCATAAGCAGTTAGGCCTTTTTATTTTGAGAAATTTATCTGTAGCTTCCTTTTATTTACACTTGGGGACTATTTTTAAGTAACCGATTGAAATATTTTTGTTTCTCCATTGCAAGTGAAATCCTTGTTGCTAATCTTTTGCCACATGTAAAATTGTTCACTTGTTATCAAGCAGGTAGTTCAATATCTGTAATTCTTGAGTTCTTTTCAACTAGCATGATGCTAGGTGTCACTCACTGTTTTTTAATTGTGGGAGATTGATGCGTCAGTGCATGAAGTGGGGGGTGGTCACCAGCATCTAACTCAAAGTGTGATTATAGCTATCTTACCACATTTTTTTTTTCTTTCTCACTCTGTCACCCAGGCTGGAGTGCAGTGGTGTAATCTCAGCTCACTGCAGCCTCGACCTCCTGGGCTCAAGCGATCCTCCTACCTCAGCCTCCCAAATAGCTGGGACCACAGGCGCATGCCACCCCACTAAGCTAATTTTTCTATTTTTTGCAGAGACAGGGTTTTGCCGTGTTGCCTAGGTTGTTCTCAAACTCCTGAGCTCAAGCCTGCCTCAGCCTCCCAAAGTGCTGGGATTACATGTGTGAGCCACCATGCCTGGCCGTCACTAATCTTCAAGGTTAATATTTGGAGGACCCATCCAGAGTCCAAAGGTTGTTAATACTCTTTCCAAATAGGGTGTCACCTTGTTTACATTACAGACTTAAATCCATTGACAGTGCTAGTGGAGTTCTAAATCATATTACTAGCAGGAAACGACTGTTCTAGTTGGAACTCCGTAATAAACTGCCATAGGAACAAATTGGAAAGTAGGGGGAAAAAAATTATGAATATGAAAATGTTAAGTCATATGTATTACACAAGTGGTATTACTTTAAAAACGTTGTCTCCTTTTTGAGATGGAATATTGATTTATTTTTAAAATGGTCTCTCCATTTCATAGTATTTTTTTTTTTTTTTTTTTTTTTTGACGGAGTCTCACTTGTCTCATCCTGTCGCCCAGGCTGGAATGCAGTGGTATGATCTCAGCTCACTGCAACCTCAGCCTCCTGGGTTCAAGTGATTATCCTGCCTCAGCCTCCAAGTAGCTGGGACTATAAGCACACATCACCACACCCAGCCAATTTTTTTGAATTTTTAATAGGGTTTCACTATGTTGGCCAGGCTGGTTGAACTCCTATCCTCAAGCGATCCACCCACCTCGGCCTCCCGAAGTGCTGGGATTACCTGAGCCACCGTGCCCAGCCCATTTCACAGTACTTTTTATTTAACCCTATCGTGCTAGGGCACTATGCAATATACAGCTATTTCATTTTCCTTTTGTCTCTGTTTCCCAGGTGGTCTTCGAGGGATAGCACGAGGTGGTCTGACAGGACTAACACTTACCAGCCTCTATGCACTATATAATAACTGGGAGCACATGAAAGGCTCCTTGCTCCAACAGTCACTCTGAAGATTTTGCCAACTCATGAATGGAGGACACTTCAGTAGTCATCTAGATCCTTTTATAAGACAGTTTGGAGTTATTCTCTCTCTTCTACCTACAATTAGTTTGAAAAATTGGAGATTTTGATTTGCTGTGATGAAAATCCTGGATGGCTGACCAAGACTGGCACTTGTTCCAGCCATTAGTGAGTTGAAGCCAAAGCCCTTTGGTGACTCACTGAGTACCATGGTTCTGTTCTCCTCTGGAGATCTTGCACGTATCTGTTTTCCTCCCCCATGAACTAGAAAACCACTTACTCCCAGAATTCAGGTCGTGCTTGTTAGTACTATATCACCAAGTCCATTCATTTAATGATCCAAAACTGTAATGTTGCACTGTATTCCAAATAAAGGGTAAAAACAGAACCAAAGTTATAACTCCAACACACAAACATAGTGGTTGTCTCAATTTAAAAGTATCTACCTGGGTATAAAGTGAAAGGTACCCTTGGCATTTTTTGTCCCAGTGGGCAAAACAACATCTTCGTGTTTGTGTTAAAATGAGCTACTTGGTGGCCGGGTGTGGTGGCTCACGCCTGTAATCCCTGTACTTTGGGAGGCCAAGGCAGGTGGATCACCTGAGGTCAGGAGTTTGAAAATCAGCCTGGCCAATATGGTGAAACCTTGTCTCTACTAAAAATACAAAAATCAGCTGGGTGTGGTGGGTGTGCACCTGTAACCCCAGCTACTCAGGAGGTTGAGGCTGGAGAATCGCTTGAACCCAGGAGGCGGAGGTTGCAGTGAGCCCAGATCATGCCACTGCACTCCAGCCCAGGTGACAGAGTGAGACTCCATTTCAAAAAAAGAAATGAGCTACTGGTGGCATTCACCAATAGAGCTGGTACTAAACCACCTCAAGGTATTTCAGGTCAGCCGTTAGACTAGTATGCTAGAACAATCTTTCCAACAATCCTGCTTCATTCCATACATATTAACTCACACCTTACTAGGAATAATTAAGAGCTAGGTTTTTTTTTTTTTTTTTTTTGAGACAGGGTCTCTGTTCCCCAGGCTGGAGTGCGGTGGTACAATCTCAGCGCACTGCTGAGATTACTTGAACACCTCCCGGGTTCAAGTAATTCTGCCTCAGTCTCCCAAGTAGCTGGGATTACAGGCACTTGCCACCATGCCCAGCTAATTTTTGTATTTTTAGTAGAGGCGGGGTTTACTATGTTGGTCAGGGTGGTCTCGAACTCCTGACCTCAGGTGATCCACCTGCCTTAGCCTCCCAGAGTGCTGGGATTACAGGCGTGAGCGACCGTGCCTGGCCAAGAGCTAGATGTTTTTCAAGGAAGCCTTGGGAAAACTAAAGGACATGAGGCCAAATTGTTTAATTTCTGAGTTTGTTTTCTCATCCACCATATGAAGTTAATCATGTATAATTGCACTACAGGTTATACACATAAATATTACTGTATTAAATACCTGGTGGCTATATGATTGGAGAAAGTAAACTAGGGCCTCTTCGGATGCATCTAGTAAGAGGAATCCAGTAGAAAGGCACTGAATCTTGGCTGAAGTCCCATAGGTTTTTTTTTAATAGATGTGAATAGTTTTTATAAAAGACTGAAAATGGAGGTTAATATACCTATTGTTTGCTAATTTTTCATAAAATACACTGATGTTATTTTTATGTTCAAGCTGTTTCTCAGCTGGATTACTAACCAAAAGTTACCACGTTATGTGGTACCACACCACACTTTGTGACAAATAGTTTTAAAAATAACACGCAACAACTATGGCTGTTATGCTTTTAATGGAAGCAGATACAAAATTCATCAATGCAAAAGAATGTTTTACATACTCATTAACATAGTGATTAATGTAAATTATATTTTGACTTGTAAAATACAGTGTGTTTGGCCTCAAGAAACTACAGAGCTGCAACTCAAGATAACTGGAAAGGCTCCTTACATTGTTTTTGCCCACCACCTTTATATAATACTCCTAAATGATATCTGGGGAGGGAATTAAAAAATAATACAAAGCTCTTTTCAGCTGTGGTTCAAAGAACTCTAGTGAAGCTGTATGGCAATGACATTTTGGGACCATGAAGTTTCCCCAGAAGTATTTCCGGTAAGAGGCAGTTAAGAAGCTTAATAGTTTCAAAGTCTGGAAAGCAGCAAAGATATCTTAGAGAAAACATTATAAACCCCACTTCTCTCCTACACAGACATTTTAAAGCATGGACGTAACTTTAAGGAGACTGAGAAAACATCAGTAGTTTTCACAAAGCTTCAATGAACACCCCAAGGCACAAGTGTTGAAAACGGCCTGTTCACTAAAACGTCACTTTTGGAGGTACAGGTATGCTGTGCTTGCAGTGAGAGGATGACTTTATCCCTACTTAAAAGCACCAGGTGTCAAGCTCAGCTTCCATTTACACAGGATGCACCAATTATCCCTATGATAGTGACTGTTTCAAGTACTATACTACATTTCCAACATGTCTTTTGCCTATTTGCTTAGTCGGTACTGGGGTTCTTTTAAGCCCCGTAGGTCTGTAGAATATTTTAAAAGGCTAGAATTACCTCAAAAATAGTCTTGAAATAATACTGAGTCCTTCTAAAGAGCTCACTGGATATTTTAATAACATTTACAGAAAGACAAAATTTGCAGTAGCTGAGTTTAAGTGAAGAATAATGTAGAACTAACGTGGGCTAAAATGTTTCATAATTAATGTCAAAAATTGCCAAGATTATTAATATATATTTTGGTAATCACTATTGACCAGGTTAATTTTTTTGTGCAAAATACACTATGTATTAATAGAACAGGAAAATAATTATTTCAGACCACTAACAAAAGAAAACCCACAGCAAGAGAAGCATCTGTAGGGCAATTAAACGTTAGGGAAGTTTACTAGCTTTAGAATACATCAATATACTTCGATAAACAAGAGTGTTTTAATGTACTTTTAGTAACGACCCAATCTAAGGAGCCTTGGAGGCTTGTGAAAAAGACGTCCACAAAGATGCTGCATTTCTAGTGTGGGGTGAATTAAAATACTTCTGTAAGAAGGAGGGAACTGAATCACCTCAGCATGAATAAACAGCATTTTTCTTTTAAACAGTAACTCATAATCTGATGACTCACTTTGCTTTACTAGTTCAAAATTAGGCAGGAGAAGAACTAAGCTAATTGGTCAGACCCAGAAACACAAAGATTTGGCAAGCTGCAGTCACTCAGCTCATGATGTGTGATAATCAGCAGAAAGGCTGCTCAACTCTTGTCCATTCCTTCACATCTGTAAAGAGACACCCACAGATGATAAGTTACTTCAATGAAGAATAAAAGCAAATTTTCCCTGCCTTAAAGCTCCGACTCATTTCCCAATACAGGTATACCCTTGTTACATTGTATTTTTTACAAATTAAGCATTTGTGTCATGAACTATGCCCATTAAAGATGGTAAACTTTTCATCAATAAATGTCCTGAATGCCCACCAAACAGCCTTTCCCTATTTCTCTTCTCTCTCCTCAGGCCTCCCTGTTCCCTGAGACAAAACAAGATTGAAATTAGGCCAATTATTAACCCTACAATTGCATCTAAGTGTTCAACTAAAAGGAATAGTCCCCATCTCTCACTCTTCTTTAAATCAAAAGCCAGAAATGATTAAACTTAGCGAGAAAGTCATGTTGAAGGCCACGAGAGGCTGAAAGCTGGGCAGGCCTTTTGGACCAGCCAAGCTGTGAGCACAAAAGCAAAGTTTTTTGTTGTTTTTCAGCTTCTCATTCTCTGGCTGAAAAGTTCTTGAAAAAAACTAGAGGTGCTACTCCAGTGAACAGATGAATAATTTAAAAAGCAAACAGCCTTATTTCTGATATGGAGAAAGTTTTAGTGGTCTCTATAGGAGATCAAACTAGCCACAACATTCCCTTAGGCCAAAGCGTAACCCCAGAGTAAGGCCCTAATTCTCTTCAATTTTATGAAGGCTGAGAGAGGTCAGGAACCAGAAGTCATGTTTGAAGCTAGCAGTGGTTGGTTCATGAGGTTTAAGGAAAGAAGCCATCTCCATAGCAAAAATGCAAGGTGAAGTAGCAAGTTATCCAGAATATCTAGCCAAGATCGTAAATGAAGTTGGCTACACTCAACATTTTCAGTGCAGACAAAACAACTTCCTATTGGAAGAAGTAGTCATCTAGAACTGATAGCTAGAGAGATAAGTGAATGCCTGGCTTCAAAGGACAGATGGACTCTCTTGTTAGGGACTAACACAGCCAGTGACTCTTTTTTTTTTTTTTTTTTTTTTTTTTTTTGAGACAGGGTCTCCCTCTGTCAACCAGGCAAGACCGCAGCAGAGCTATTATAGCACACTGCAGCCTTGACCTCCCAGACACAAGATTCTCCCACCTCAGCCTCCTGAGTAGCTGGGACTATAGCACGCTCCACCATACCCAGCTAATTTGTTAATTTTTGTACAGACAGGGTCTCTGTATGTTGCCCAGGCTGGTGTTAAACTCCTTGGCTCAAGCAATCTTCCTACCTCTGCCTCCCAAAGTGCTGGAATTGCAGGCCTGAGCCACTGCACCTGGCCACTGGTGGCTAAGTTGAAGCCAGTGCTTCAATCCTAGAGCCCTTGAGAATTATGCTAAATCTACTCTGCCTGTGCTCTAGAAATGGAACAACAAAGCTTGGATGACAGCGCACCTGTTCACAGCATGGTTTACTGAATATTTTAAGCCCTCTGTTGAGAACTACTGCTCAGAAAAAAACATTCCTTTCAAAATACTACACCCATTGACAGTGCACTTGGTCACCCAAAAGCTCTGATGGAGATGCAGAAGGAGATTAATGTTTTCATGTTTGCTAATAAAACATCCATTCTGCAGCCTATGGATCAAAGAGTAATTTCAACTTTCAAGTATTATTTAAGAAATACATTTTTTAAGGCCCTAGCTACCTAGGTTCCTCTGATAGATCTGGGCAAAGTAAACTGAAAACCTGGAAAGGATTCACCATTCTGGGTGCCACTAAGATCATTCATGATTCATGAGAGGAAGTCAAAATATCAACATTAACAGGAGTTTGGAAGAAACGGATTCCCACCCTCATGGATGGCTTGGAGGAACTCAGGACTTCAGTGGAGGAAGTAACTGCAGATGTGGTGGAAACAGCAAGAGAAGTAGAATTAGAAGTGGAGCCTGAATATGTGACTGAATTGCTGCAATCTCATGATCAAACTTAAACGGATGAGCAGTTGCTTCTTACGGATGAGCAAAGAAAGTGATTTCTTGAGATAGAATCTACTCCTGGAGAAGATGCTGTGTATTGTTGAAGTGACAACAAAGGATTTAGAATATTAAATAAACTTAGTGGATAAAGCAGCAACATGGTTTGACTCCAATTTTGAAAGTTCTACTGTGGATAAAATGCTATCACACAGCATCACATGTTAGAAATATTTCGTGAAAGGAAAAGTCAATCGATGCAGCAAACTTCATTATCTTATTTAAAGAAACTGACAGAGCCATCCCAACCTTCAAGCAGCTACCATCCTAATCAGTCAGCAGTAATCAACATCAAGGCAAGAACCTCCAACAGCAAAACGATTATGTGTTAATGGCTCAGATGACCATCAGCATTTTGTAGTAATAAAATACTTTTTAATTGAGGTATGTACATTGGTTTCTTCTTAAGACATAATGTTATTGCAGACTTAACTATAGTGTATTATATACAACTTTTATATGCAATGGGAAACCAAAGTATTTGTGTAGCTCTCTTTATTGGGATATTTGCTTTATTGCAGTGGCCTGGAACCAAACCCACCTTCGAGGTAGGTATATAAACTACTAGAATCCACATGGGATCTGAAAATTCCCAACGGTTACATCTTGAAAGTTCATTTTGAAGTATGCCTAGTTAGTTAATAAAGCAAATTCAATTAAAATACATCAACTTTTTATGAGCTCCCCCGTCCCACCCTCACTTGCCTAATATACATACTATTAAAAGGGATATGGTTCAGTGAGCCAAGTATGACTTCATATGTAAGACAAAACATTTATTTTATAAATAGCTATAATCTAATTTTCATGCTGGTGGCATGTACCCACCTGTAGAGGAGTTCGATATAACCACTTCTCTTTATCAACTTTAAGCTGCATACAGGCAAAGAGATCACAAACTGCAGGGAGGCCATAATGGTCTGGGGGGAAGTTATGTTCCTCCTGTAGAGGTGAATTAAGTAATACTTCCTGCAATAAAAGAAAAGAGTAGGTTGCTTCATGAAAACAAGGAGGCATGAGACCAACTTATCTTCCAAATAGGGTCTACAGAGAATAATTTAAATGTTGGCCATTCTCTGTAACAACCAAAAACAAAGGTGACAATTGTTATTTCTACCCCAAATATTTTCCATAAATAGCAATAAAACAGGCTAGATTCTTTTCTTTCCTGAAGGATGGGGCTTAGGCCTGGAAAATGCACAAAAAAATCATAAATCCTCCATTCCAAATTTAGTATTTAACATATTTAAGGATCTGGCTGGCCGGTTTGCAAGGTTTGGGATTATGAAATATGAAACTCTAGGCTGGGTGTGGTGGATCACGCCTGTAATCCCAGCAGTTTAGGAGACCAAGACGGGCAGATCGCTTAAGCTCAGGAGTTCAGAGACCAGCCCAGGCCAAAACCCCATCTCTACCAAAAATACAAAAAATTAGCCAGGCATGGTGGTGCACACCTATGGTCCCAGCTACTCAGGAGGCTGTAGTGCGGGCAGGGGGATGGCTGGAGCCTCGGAAGGGGAGGTTGCAATGAGCTGAGATCGCACCACTGCACTCCAGCCTGAGTGACAGAGACCCCATCTCAAAATAAATGAATAAATAAATAAAACTCAAACCAGTGCTATTTTGATGTTTATGCTCACCTGGGCCTTCTTTCGAAGCAGCCACTTGTCTTCTCCAGAAGATAACTGGCTGAGGTTGCCCATCTTCTTTCCTGGCAGGACCCAGTCAGCTGTGTTAAAGGAACACCAGGAAGTATTCATGGGGCTTTTAAACTTCTGTTTGCCAGCTCTGTCTTCAGTACCAGGCACTTCCTTGGGACTTCCTTCTTTGTATGGGGGCCTGATAAGCCACTCCGACAAGGGGCTGTTCTTTATGACTTGGAAGGAATCAGCAATTCTAGAAGGAGTCATTGCCTTTGGTGCTTTAGTTTGTTCTATTACTTCTTTTCTAGGACAGAGCCACATATTCAGGGAATCTTTATGCTTCTCAGGCTCAGGTTTGGGTTCCACAGGCATCCCATTTTTATCCTTTCCTTCTTTCTTCAGAAGCCACTTATACAGAGCCTCCTTCTCACAATTCTCATCACACACACACTCTGCAAAGCTTGTGCAGGGCTCATTGGCTCTGCACACCTCCTCTACCTTACATGGGTCCTGATGGTTCTGGACAAGCCAATCCTCTGTAACCATGCTGGGGGTGGACAATGGTTTCTTGGCCTCCAAGTGGTCATTCAGGCACTTCAGATTGCCCAGGTTTTCAATCTCCACACCTTTGGGCTGGTTTCCCTGACAGTTGGTACAGGAGTCAGTCTTGACAAGCCAATCATTCACATTATAGGACTGGAATAAGAGCTTAAACTTCTCACTGGTTTCACGACTGCCATTCTCAGGCTTCCGCAGCTTATGGGATTCCTGGGGAGTCACTAGCCAATCTGATAGGTCCATCTCATCTTGATCAGGAAGCTCTTGATCTCCAACCTTTTCCATTTCAATGGAGAAAGAACTAGTAGTGGAATGGCTGTTACACTTTTGATAACTTGATTTTTCACTCTTGAGGAGCCAGTTTTCTAAGCCCTTTAGGTTTCCCCCGACATTATTGAAGAAATTGCAGGCTCTGGAAGAAGTCTACACAAAAAGTACACAGTATTAGTTTGCCAGAACAATTATGACTGCTTTGGAGATTCTGTCTGCACTTTTTCTTTTTTTGAGACAGTCTCACTCTGTCGCCCAGGCTGGAGTGCGGTGGCACAATCTCAGCTCACTGCAAGCTCTGCCTCCCAGCTTCACGCCATTCTCCTGCCTCAGCCTTCCGAGTAGCTGGGACTATAGGCGCCCACCACCACGCCCAGCTAATTTTTTTTTTTTTTGTATTTTTAGTAGAGACGGGGTTTCACCGTGTTAGCCAGGATGGTCTCGATCTCCTGACCTCGTGATCCGCCCACCTCAGCCTCCCAAAGTACTGGGATTACAGGCGTGAGCCACCACGCCCGGCCCTGTCTGCATATTTACTGTCTTGCCCAGTGTTTTGAAATTTAAGTACACAAAGCCAAAAGGCAAGGGATTTCTCTATTTAGATACTCTTATCTGATAGAAAAGGGTGTAATATGCCTTTACAAATAAAGCACAAAAAATAAGCAAAGGATATGATCAGGCAAGTCATCAAAGAAGCCTAATAAACATGAAAATACTTGGCCGGGTACGGTGGTTCACGCCTGTAATCCCAGCACTTTGGGAGGCCGAGGCAGGCAGATCACAAGGTCAGATAGAGACCATCCTGGCTAACACGGGTGAAACCCCGTATCTACTAAAAAATAAAAAATATGCAAAAAATTAGCAGGGTGTGGTGGCAAGCGCCTGTAATCCCAGCTACTCAGGAGGCTGAGGCAGGAGAATGGCATGAACCCGCAGGACGGAGCTTGCAGTGAGCCGAGATCCCACTACTACACTCCAGCCTGGGAGACAGAGCAAGACTCGGTCTCAAAAAGAAAGAAAAAAAAAAAAAAAAAAAAAAAAAAAAAAAAACGAAAAAAGAAAATACTCAACCTCCTTACTAATGGAAGAAAAAACAAAAGCAAAATTGCTATTTTGTGTCAAATTCAGAGCAAAAAACCTAAATGACTATTACTCTTAGGTTTCAGGGAAGCAGGTACCCTGAATATTCTGCTGGTGAGACTATAAACTGTTGGCAACTTCCTGGGAAGCCAAATTGGCAATATGTATCCAAAGTCTTAAAGCGTAAGCAGAATTATAATCTAGGAATGCAATTTCTATAAATGTACTCCTAAGGAACTAATCAAGAATGCACACAAATAATTGGCTCCTGGATGTTTAGGGAATCCTTTTTTATATCCAGAAAAACTTGAATTTAAATTACAGCCAATCAATTATATACTACTAAATACTTTACAGAAGAAATTAAATGACAGAGAAATATGTTAATGTTATCCTGGTGAAAAAAAAAATCTACCTACCGAAACAGGACTTACAGAATGGTTCTTTTAAAATATGTATGTATAGAAAACTGAAGTATATAAATACTTCACTTTTATTGTTACAGTGTTTTTCTCTTTGTGTTGAGATTATGGGTTTGTGGGCTTTTTTAATATAAAATTCTTTATTTTTAAAATTTTCTATGATAAAGAGTTCCTTATTTTCTAAACTTTCTATGATGAAGAGACTATTAATAAATATGTTTCCAGACTGCAACCAAAAAGTTAACAATGACACATAGTACTACTGATTAGTAACTAACTCCACCTACTGCTGTGTCTACTGTAGAAACAATAAAAGCAGCAACAGACCTGACTGTTCTCCAAGGTCTGCTTTTGGGTAAGCCAGTCCTGGGGGTCGGTGCTGGGTATGTAAGGAGCTTGATAACCACTGGCAGGTTTGCTTCCAAGGAGCCATTCGCTGAAAGGGACAGCTACAATACCGGATGCTGACTTCTGTTAATCACAAAACAAGGAATGTCAAATGCAGTAGAAAGTTCACCAGAAAAAGAGAAGAGCCACTCTCTAATCTTGGCTTGCCACTGACCCTGGGCAAATCATGTGCCTTCCAAGAGCCTCAATTTTCACAATTATAAAACAAGAGACACACAGCTGATCTCTAGGGCTCTTCTCAACTAAAACATATAGAAACCTTTATTCACATTGCCATTCCTTTAGAAATAAATCATCTCTACAAATTATAAAGAGGATCGCTCACAGAGAACCAGTATCAGTAAGACAGCTAATGATAATTTCCTGTGAACTGATTGATAATTACTTTTTCTGTTAATCAGCCCCGACAAGACATCTAAATTTCTATTTGGCATTAGGTCTCAAGGGAAGCATTCAATTTCATAAACTAACTCATTGCCACTGGTGCCTTTTTACAAATAGTAGCATTTTTTTAATGCTATATAAAACCCAAAGGAAGTATAAGCCAAGTAATGACTCAATTACCAAAAACAAAATGATATTTTACCTGCTCTGGCATGGAGATACAGCCTCTCTTCTCCAGGAAGGGCCCAATATTTGCTGAACTAGCATGAGCCATCAAGTGCTCAGGAATTTGCTACAAAATAGAGATAATTTAATCATGTTATTTATGCTATGCTGCCAAAAAAGTGAAATTATAATTCCAAATTTCAAAAATGTTAAAGCATTACCATTTCATTAGAAATACTGTTCACACTAAATTCCATGACTTACAAAGTAGTTATCAAATTTGAGAATACTCTACCACATAACTATTATATAAAAAATCTTTACCAGAATTGGTTGTATTACCACTTTTAACAAGACCCAAACGTTTCGTTCTTTATTAAAAACTATTCAAGCCATAAATTTTACAAAAAATATTTCAAAAGTATTTAGAGAGATACATGAGGCATTCCAAAGAGTATCACTGAGTCTGTACTACATTCCAAGAACTACCAACCTAGGCAACTTAATCAGAATATGAATTTTTTTTTTTTTAGGCGGAGTCTCACTGTTTGTCGCCCAGGTTGGAATGCAGTGGCACGATCTCAGGTCACTGCAACCTCCGCCTCCCAGCTTGAAGCGATCCTCCTGCCTCAGCCTTCCAAGTAGCTGGGATTATAGGCGCCCAGCTAATTTTTTTGTATTTTTAATAGAGATGGGTTTTCACCATGTTGGCCAGGCTGGTCTTGAACTTCTGACCTCAAGTGATCCGCCCTCCTCGGCCTCCCAAAGTGCTAGGATTACAGGCGTGAGCCACCACGCCCAGCTGAGAACATGAAATTTTTGAAGCTAATCAAATTCTCAAGAAAGTCACTATTCATAGCAATTTTTTTTAAGACCAGCTGTGAGGCCACAGATATGAGAAGTGCCCAGTGAAGCATATGAGATTACTCACAATGGTTTTGAGAGACCCAAATGTGGTGATGGTCTGGCGCAGAGTAATTGTGTCAGCTTCAAAGAGCAGGACAGTTGAATCTTCAGGCTTAAGGGTCAAACTGCCCAGTCTGGGGAAAAAAAAACAAAATTGGCTATTTTTAAGGAATATCTGTTTCATCAACTTCATCTAAAACAAAAGCCAAATTGTGAGTAATTTTAAATGATTACACTTCTCTAAGAAACTCAACCAAAGATAGATGGCTTATTCATGTATCAGCAAGTATAATATTAAATACATGAAGCAGAATGATCTTATCCTAGCAACACAGAAGTTAAATATAACACAAGCAATGAGTTACAAAATCGACTTTCTTTTAGTATACCAAAGTTCAAGAGTCAAAAGTTAAAATACGCAAAAAGGGTCATTACCTCTCCAGGCACACAGAGACTTGATTGGCTAGATCTTTGTTTTGGGTACACTCCAGTTGATGAGTAAGACAATTGAACTGGCCCAATAACTAAAAGAAAAATGAAACCAACTAGCCACAATGACACCAAAAGCACCAGATATACTCAAGTTACCAAACAGCACTTGAGATTAAACTTCTATCTGATCTATATTAACACTGCATTACAAGGAAGATACTCTCTGGCAACCAGAAGCCATGCTCAAACCAATTCTAGCCATGCAGTCACCTTACCGAGTAGAGCTGCTGAGCCTGCTGTTGAAGTGTCTCCTCTTTAAGCTGATAAATAAGGTCCACCTGTTCATACAGCCATACCTCACGGCTTCTAAGACATTCCAGGTGACGGCTTATGCAACTGTGAATCTGAGCTTTGACCTAGGAAACACATACATGTTAGCTTCCTAGTGTTAATCCCAAAGAATGATGTTTCCCAAAGAATAGTGAGTTTCTAAAACTTTTTTTGGGGGGGTGGGGTTGGGGGGACCACAAATCCTTTTAATTATCCAATGACATCTATGAAGTATCTCCCCAGAAAAAATGTATATTTTCAAGATTTTACCTATAATTTCAGGGTTTAGTGTTCCAAAGCCCACCCAAGGACCCACTAAAGCCCTATGGACCCCAATTTAAGAATCCTAGCCATAAAGGCATACCTAAACTCTAAAATCCTTCTTCAATACCCAGCCTTCTAAGAGGATTAGGTTTAATTTGGGTGTCCTAATCAAGAGAAAATACAAGAATGTACCAGGAAATACTGACCCCCTCAGTTTTCCACATAATTTAAAAACCTACGGTTTTACAAGTTTATCAGCAGAATAAAGACAGAGTATTAACTTAATAGCTAGCCCCTTATCTCTTTTCTCACCCCACAGAATGAGCGGTCCATTTACAGGAGGCCAATTTAGTAAAGAGATGTGCCACCACATGTCAACAGCTAAAAGACCATTAGGGTAGACAATTTAAGTAAAATTATAAACTAATATTTCTGGAAGCATAAACAGTGATTCAAACAGGGCTAAATATAAAAATCCCAAGGGAAAAAGTCAAAACAGGCCATAAATTATCCGTGACAATATACATAAGAAACTGTATTTTAAAACACATTTTTTTCTGTTTAATAAAGTTGTGTTTCAAAGTCATGTAATACTTGGTCTAACACACACAACAACAAAATACTACTGGAACCAACAACAGATTTCACTCTGGCTTGCCCTAACAGATAGTCATTTACAGAACAATGCCATTAACCAGCTAAAAGATGATGGGGAGGATGCTCAAGTGCATCCTTCATGCAATCAAGAGGATGCAGCTGAGAGGATACTGCTCACTCATTTCATATTTTTACTGGTCACAGTGCCTGAGGAATCACACAGAGGAGTAATCAAAAATCTAAGTAGTTAGTAATCTAAGTAAGCTGAATAGAATTTTCTAGAATGGCACAGGGTTTTCCAGACTCTTCTAGCATCTGCCTTATTTCCCCTTGGGATGAAAGGCACCAGTATATCAGGCAACTGACGGGGACCAAGTAGACCACGCAAGGCATGGGGTGAAATTTTTTGCTGGCACGGAGAGACCAAGTCCTTGGCCATGCTCAAATCAGCCCTGTGTCAAGAGTCCAGACAACAGAAGAGAAAAGCACATGTCACACCTCTCGCAAGTTATCTTTAATTTGCTGTTCAGCCCGGAGAACTCCACCAATAGCAAGCTCCAAGTCCCTCCGTGCATCACTACACCTCAAAAGGGGTTCTCTATTACTGGAGCTGCCACTCTGGTCTTGGAAGGTATTCATTCTCCTCACTGCTCCTTTAAAAGAAAAAAATATATATAAATAGCACCATAATTACAACCAAAAACCACCTTTGAATCATCCCTCAAATGATCATTCCAGCCAACTCCCATTACTAACTACTTAGATTACTTTCCAACACCAAACCTAGCACATAAGATACTCTTAATAAATATTGTCTCCTCCCTTCCCTCTACCACTGTTCCTGCCATAAAACTCTATAATCTACTTTAGTGACACTTTACATGTGAATAGCTATTTCTGGAAAAATACACTAATTGTCCTGAATCAAAGAGCATACAGTGTCCTGAAAAGTTAAAAGAACATTAGAATATCATTTTCTATTTATAACACACATATAGTCATATGAGGCATGTGTTCCTCTTTGTAGATTTAGAGATGAAGACTAAAAGGTACAGAAGGATCTTTGATTACTTTCAAAATAAGCTGCAAACAATCAAGTTTAGAACACTTTGTTTAGAAGACGGAATTTTTAATTTCCCCCTTTTAGGTAGAACTTTTTTTTTTATTTAGGAAGAACTTAAGAATGACTTCACAGCTAGGAAGTTCTCAAAAATATAACATAGGGCCGGGCACGGTGGCTCACACCTGTAATTCTAGTACTTTGGGAGGCCAAGGTGGGTGGATCACTTGATTCCAGGAGTTCGGGACCAGCCTGGGCAAAATAGCCAGACCCCGTCTCTACAAAATATAAAAATTAGCCACATGTGGTGGTGTGCATCTGTAGTCCCAGCTACTTGGCAGGCTGAGATGGGAAGATCACCTGAGCCCAGGAGTTCGCAGCTGCAGTGAGCCGTGATTGCACCTGCACTCCACCCTGGGTAAGAGGGTGAAACTCTGTCTCAAAACAACAACAAAAAAGAATATAACAGATATAGAGATACATGTTTTATATAGAGAGAATATATGTAATATATAATATATAAAAGAATGTGCATTATATGTAACAGATTATATGTGACAAAATGATTTCATGATTCTCATATAAAGGAGACACAGAAATTGGTGTGGGTAAATACAGAGTTCTCTAAGAAGCTTGGGTTTAGGAGCGAAAGGAAACACAAATGGGAAGAACAGCATATAATGATAAAATGAGACTGTAACACATGAGTGTCAGTAAAGCCATAACGTAAAACTTGACAAAAGCTACTGCAAGAACAATGACATGATTTTTAAACACTGAGAAAATGACAGCAGTGATTACTAGAGCTCAGAATAGGTTCACTAAGCCTTGTGATACCAGTTATTTCCTTTTGGATTGTTTTACTAAACTGGCAAGTCAAGGTAATGCTGTAGACACAAAGGGATGACAGAAGACTTGTGGCAAGACTATATGTTATCACTGTGGAAAAAGTGAATATTAGCTAAAGAGAAGCACAATTAAACTGAATAATAAGATTATTTTTTACAAAATACTCAAAGGATGACAGACTAAGGCCAGTTTGTAAAGTTTTGAGAGGCACATCCCTGTTTTTCCTAATTACCTGTATGAAAACACACAAGACAAACATTAAAGCTGGAGGTAACATGGGGCTGTGACAGAAACAGATCCCAAAACAATCTCTACATAGCTGTTCAATTTTACAAAACAAAATGTAAGTTTTTTCACTTTAATTAGGGAGGGCAAGGAAGAGAATAATTCCTTTTTAAAGGGTGGAAATTTTTAACCGAAAGTAAATTCTCTATGAATTCGCAGTGTGCTGGGTCTGTGGGAAAAAATAACTTACACACTATTTGACTACATTTACCAAAAGTATAGTGTTTGTCACAGGATTAGCCTGTTCCATGTTTATTAGACTAAATTCAAAACTTATTTCTGAGTAACACACTTTAGAAGAGGACACTTAGAAAAGGGAGAGAGGCCTCAAAACCATGAAACACTTCTCCAGGAAGGAAGGCTGTTTAGCCTAGATAAGAGACGTCTCCAGGAGGACATGATTACCATTCTCAAGTATGTGGAGACCTGTCAACTAGAAGAACTAAATTTGTTTGGAACAGACACAAGGGGGTAAAAAACATTAATAGGAGGCATGTTAGGCAATATATCAAATAACTTCCTAACAGTCCTGAAAGCAATGACTTTCTTGGAGAAGCCAGCTTTGGGGTGAAAAGTGGCCTACCCAGTGTAGAGTCCTCCAAGTGGCTTGACTGCCCATTTCAGACAAAGGAACTTTGCCAGGCCTTGACTGCATCTTTAAGACTAAGTTTAGGGCCAGGTGCCTAACTGAAAGCTGGCTAGAGACAAAAGTGGTGAGTTCTTCCCTCAGAAATAATGTATTCTGAGGGAAGTGGGAAGAGCAGCAAAACAAACTTTCTGTACACTATCTCAGCAAAAGACTCAGATTCAGGAACTAGAGTTTCCACAAGAAACTGAACAATTCAGGAAATTTTTTAACTTCCCCTTGCTGATTTTGTTTCGTCAGTCTCTTTTCTCCATAATCATCTATTAAAAAGAAAGGGCTGCCTTAATTGGATTTCACAGAAATCCCTGTGGAAATTTTTCTAACCCTGGACACACCAACAGTGGTTACTTTGCAGCCTCCTTTTGCATGCCATAAGCTGCCTGTGTTAGGCAGAAGCATTAGTGTGCACTTGGAACTCACTGCAGGGACTATGAAAAATACCTGTATCACATGGGTGAAATGCCGGCTCCGATTTGGAGAGCTGGAGCGTGATGGGCTGCTTCACTTTGCACTTAGGCCAGTCATGCAAGACCTGTTTAGCAGTCTTTCAAATGTGTTACCCAGCCTTCTTCACCTGTGCCAAATTTCTCACTTTTAGCTTCTCACCATTTGTGTGGAATGCCACAATGCCTGGCACAGTGTAAAATTGAATCAATAAAATTAAATTGTTGCTTCACAATGTCAAAACTCCAGAATTCCGGAACATACGGGAGACAAACTCAAATACATACAGTGCTGACTGTATTACTAGATTCCTAAAGCAAGTCCTCTCAATTCAATCACAAGTATTAATATTACACAATAAGAGTAGACTACAGCAAGAGTTCACACATTGGACTTTGCCCTTATCAGCTATAGACAGAATGTAGGATGAGATTTAAAAGTTACAAAACTGATTTTTCCACACACAGTTATCACATTTTTTTCAAATTAAAAGGAGTGTTATCCTTCAAAAGTCATCTTGAGAACTCATCTGTCAGCCACGAAGAAAATCTGTTTCATTTCTTTATGGTAAGTCCCAGGATGCTTGCCCCTTTGCTGCCTTTGGCTCTCTCTGTCCCTCCTCCTCCCTGTGGCGCAGTTAGAGCACTGTCAGCTTTCAGAGCCCAGATGCCAAGAAAGGAGCTATGCAAAGGCTTGCCCTCTTGCACTGTGATGAAGAGGAAGCCTTCAGAGCGGAAATGAAGAGCCCCAACCATGGGTGAATTCAAATCACAATGAGCCTAAGCCAGCTGTACGAAATGTTACATCCAAAGAGACTTGTATGAGGTAACTAGTTCACATGGCCATTTTCAACAGTTATTCACCATTTGTTTCAGGTTCAAGAGCCAGAGTAGCAAGCATGACCGTTAAGAGGTCACTCTGGAGTCTGACAAACCTGAGTTATGGCTGTGTCTCCAAGCTTGAGACCCCTGAGCTAGTAACATAATCTCTCTGGGCCTCAACTTCCTCAGGAAAAAGGGAGACAAGGATGGTTGCTACAGAGGGGCTGCAGTAAGGTTAAAGTGAGATATTATATGTCTACCGGCACTTAGCCTAGCACCTGCACACCGTAAGCCCTCCACATTGCAGTGGTTATTGTTATCAGGTTTAGCTGACAGGCTGTGAACAGGACCTGACAGAATCCTTTAGCCATTTATCAGGGCTATGACCTTGCACCATTTGCCCTTGTGGAACCTAACTTCCTAATTCATATGTGAGGAATATAGACTCACAGACTTAGGGGTAAGGAGGTCGTGCTTATTTAATAAATATTAGATTTCCATCTAGTCTTTCACTATACAGCACAGCAAAAGGCAATCTTTTATTTACTCCAAAAACTCAATAGTCTAAATCCTCTAATATATACCAAGTATGGATATTTTTGACTGTTTTCTTACGTGTAGAAAGATTGGACCAAATCAGCTCTGATCCTAATATTCAAATCAATAAAAGATTACTAAAAATGTCTTTTTATCTTCACCATTATAATCCAAAATATTGCCTTGCCATCTTCAAAAGAGGACTGCCTTAAATGTTTATGTTTTGAGACAACATTAAAAGTTTAAGTGCTTTCTAAAACTTCCCTGCCTCTAGTATCCCTGTCCTAAATTTGGGGGTGGAGGAAGTAAAGGAGGAGGAAACACACATACCCTTCAAACGAATAACAAAACCTGGAGTTTCCGCAACAAGGAATTCTTTAAACTATATATGCCATGCTTACACAATGCTTTGCACAAATCTATTTGTGAAGTCTGAAGATCATGGCACCAGAATTGAGCAACTAACCACAAATGAAGTGGTTATGTAATGAAGCTAAGTCATTACTGTATGGCTTAACCATAAAATTTCCAAAGAGCTTTAACTCTTGTGACCCACACAAACTACAATTTAAAGCTGAAAAATAGCTCCTCACAAGCCTCTTTAAAAAAATAAAAAATAAAGCTGGAAAAAATCTTGGTCATCTCTTTAATATAACACTCTCATTCTACATATGAAGCCACAAAAGCCCAGATAGTTTAAGTGACCCATCTGAAGGGCCACAGCCAGAAGGGGTAAGATTTGGGTTTAGAACTACAGTTTCCAAGGTCTAGTCCTGGGTTCTCTCTCCCAGATGAGCTTGTTCTTCCTTTAGTGTATTATCACCTGTAAAGTATTTTTACTTGCCAACACTAGTGATTAAAATTAACATTCCAATGGATTACTATTGAAATAACTTCCGTTAAGATTTTCAGTCAATTTTCATAGTCCTCAGTAAATTATAACCACAATTGTTCAGAATCTTCTGCCTTGGATAACACTAACAAAAATAGTACTGGCCGGGCGCGGTGACTCACGCCTGTAATCCCAGCACTTTGGGAGGCCAAGGTGGGCGGATCACCTGAGGTCAGGAGTTCGAGACCAGCCTGACCAACATGGAGAAACCCTGTCTCTAATAAAAATACAAAATTAGCCGGGCGTGGTGGCGCATGCCTGTAATTCCAGCTAATCGGGAGGCTGAGGCAGGAGAATCGCTTGAACCTGGGAGGCGGAGGTTGCAGTGGGCCAAGGTCGCAGCCATTGCACTCCAGCCTGGGCAACAGGAGCGAAATTCCATCTCAAAATAAATAAATAAATAAATAAACAGTACCCTTGTATGTCATGATAGGCTCAGAAAAACCAAAACACTGCCAAATACCAATGCAAATAGTTTTGATTCAACGTCTGTATCACAGCCACTCCAGGCTTCATTCGTCTGTAAGAATGAAAGCTCAGACTAGATCATCTGTAACCTCACCTTCCAACTCTCACATTCTCTGCCCCCCTTGCCACCTGCCCCTGCCCCTCCAAAGACCTCTACTTTTTACTTATTTGCCTGGCATCCTAGTCATTGCTAAAAGGCCAAGCGCAGCATCTATCCACAGGATACCTATGTGTTCTATGAGTACTACACTCGAAATACTAACTGAACAATTTGGTTATCTTTGATGAGACAACCTGCATTAGACCGTCTGTAAAGCTTTTAGTTTAAAAAAATTATGTTAAAAAATATTTTGCAATTTTACCTTGAGACTTTTTTCACTTCACACGTTCTTTCTTCCGTCTTTTTTTTAAAGGTTGGTTTTGGGTTTTTTTTTTGTTTTGAGACGGAGTCTAGCTCTGCCGCCCAGGCTGGAGTGCAGTGGCGCGATCTCACTGCAAGCTCCACCTCCCGGCTTCATACCATTCTCCTGTCTCAGCCTCCCAGGTAGCTGGGACTGACTACAGGCGCCCGCCGCCACGCCCGGCTAATTTTTTTGTATTTTTAGTAGAGACGGGGTTTCACCGTGTTAGCCAGGATGGTCTCGATCTCCTGACCTCGTGATCCGCCCGCCTCGGCCTCCCAAAGTGCTGGGATTACAAGCGTGAGCCACCGCGCCCGGCCTAAAGGTTGTTTTTTATACAACTCATTAACTCAAGGATTATATACATCTTACCTTAGCCCCAGCCCATTTTAAATTCCTTATCAAGACAAGCAGTTTCTGAAATCCAGAATCTGGTTCTCTGTAATCTTTTTAAAACCACACAAACAAACGTTAATATCGCAACAGATTTAAAATAAGATAATAATAAATTCACTATTGAACATTTTAAGATTTAACACTTCAGAGTTTACTAGGCTCAGATTTGTCCACCTTTATACAAGCAACTGAGGGCAATAAATCCCAGCACATCAATTTTCTAAAGTAGTAACTGAAAACCGACCGCAAGGCATTTCTAATTCGAAAACAAGGCATTTCTAATACGAAAGCAACAGTGACTCATGCGGCTTTCTAGACTTCCCAAAAGCCCTTTCCAAGCGGCCTCAGGAGCCCTTGCCCTCGCCCCGGTCGCCGATTCGCACGCAGTTGTGCAGTCAGCCGCTGCGACCCGGCTCCTGCCCGGCGCCAGCCCTGCAAGGCTACCGGCCTCAAGGGCTCCCGCTACGGCCCCTGGGCTGCCAGACGTACCTCACAGGCCAGGTCACCGACTCACCAGCTGCCCGGCAAGCGACAGGCTGCTTTACCCCTGACCCGAGTGCGAAAGGTCCCCGAGCCCGGGCCTCGTCCCGCCCACGCGTCACACGGCAACTCCAGTTCGCCCGGGCCACTAGCGAGCTGGAGCGCTCAAGCCAAGGGCGGGGAGGAGCGGAAAACTCCGCCCATTGTTGCCCTGCTCCCAGCCAGTCCCCGCTGGCGCTCGCGGCCCCCCTGCAGCTCCCTCCCCGCTGGGCCTCCCTGCTAGACGCCTGCTGCCCCCGCCCGGCCCCCAGGGTAAGGCCAGCTAGAAGGACCTCGGATGGCACCTGGGGCTCCTCTCCAGCCTCTCCTCTCCCCACTTGCTCCACCCGATAATGGGCCCAACTCAATGAGAATTATATATGAACTATAATGAATTACATGAATTAAAATGTTTAGGACAGTGCCTGGCAATATAGCCCTACCTACCTGTGACTATCATGCTTATGGTACTTCTAGCTTTCCCTTTTCTCCAAGATAATCCTCATAGCCTGCATATGCAATCAGGCCAAAAGATGAAATCTAGACAATGTTGTAATTCTATTACCTTTCAGTCGATTTTTTGAATGTAAAATACTTGCTGTTGTCTATGCATATAAAGCTGTTTTTGTTAATATTAAGAGTAAAGCAAAATCACATGAGAAACACCAAAGGGGAACACTAAGGAGCCATTACCCTAAATTAAGTATCCCTTAGATTTCAGATGAACAGAGTGGAAGTGCCTGCTTTGTCTGTGATGCATACAATTTCTGGGACCCCAATCCAGGCATTCATTATCAAAAATAAGAAAATTTCTCCCTAATTCCAAAAGCCCTCCTTGGATAATACATTTCGTAAAGACACAAAAAAAACAGACATACTTCTGAATGACTAAAGTTACAATTTTATGGTCCTTTGTACTAATTTACATCAATGGCAACAAAGAAGGAATTCTATTAAAATATAACTCATGTCAGGAACTTTCATCTATTTTATGTGCCTCTGAAAAATGGCTGATCACAATGTAAATACAAAGAAACTTTGTTGGCCGTCACCTACTTAACCAACGGTCTCTGTTCTCTCTCTAAAAGATCCTGACCAACGCCCCAGCACAGTAAAGTCTTCAGCTACTCCCCTATGTATATGTTCACTGAGTTTCACAGTTATATTCATTTGTGTTTCTCTCCTCAAGCCAGCTGTAGCTGTTACTATAATGATGTGATTTATTAAATATTACATAAACATAAAAAGACTAAGGAGAAAGAAAATCACAAAAATCTAAAATTCTGCACTCAGACCACTTTACATGTAGCTTTTTACTCCCTTATGCTTCAGTATTTGCCCTTGTGTCTTTATAAAATGTTTAGGTTCTAAAGGGGAAAAATGCATAAGGTATTTTACCTCTCTTCTGCTTCAAGAATTTCTATGCTGTCTCAAAACAACAACCAACCATCCCAAGTAGATCATCTCATCTAAAGCAGCGTAGCTCTCCTATGGCTCCCCATTTGCCTACAGGATAAAGTCCAAATTTCTTTTAAAGGCAATAAGGCTCCTGAGTTAGGGTTCTCCAGAGAGATGGAACATTATATAGACAGACATAGATATAGACATAAAGATATATACAGATATAGATATGAGAGGGGATTTATTAGGGGAACTGGCTCATGTGATTAGCAGGCTGAGACATCCCATGACAGGCTGTCTGCAAGCTGGAGACCCTGGGATGCCAGTACCATGGCTCAGTCCAAGTGCAAAGGCCTCAGAACCAGGAAAGCAGATGGTGTAACTCTCAGTCTGAAGCCAAAGGCCTGAGAACCCAGGGGGCCAATGATACAAGTCCTGAAGCCCAAAGCCTGGGGAGCCTGGAGTTCTGTTGTCCAAAGACAGGAGAGGAAGAATGTATCCCAGCTCCAGCAAATAGATCTGCCTTTTCAATGTTTTTGTTCTCTCTGGGCCCCAGCAGATTGGATGGTGCCCACACACACTGAGGGTGGATTTTCCCCACCTAATCCACTTGGATTCACACCCCAATATCCTCTGGAAACAGACACACCCCAAAATAACATTTTACCAGGTTTCTAGATGTCCTTAATCCAGTCAAGTTGACACCTAAAATTAACCATCACAGCTGTCTATTTCCTGGCCTCACTCTGACTCTCCTGCTGTCTCCCAGAACAGCTCCCACACCCTAATCTACTGGACAGCTTTTCTATGCATAGGATAGTTTGGTTTATCTTGTGCAGCTTGGCTATGCCAGTTCTGTCAGCAATGCCAGTCTCTCCTCTTCTCCCTACCTATCTGCTTTTCAAGTCACCATCACTAACTACAAAGCCTTTCCTGACTGAGCACCTCACTCCTCAATACTTTTGGCCAATAGAGTTGGCTGCTCCCTCCTGCATTACCACTGTAATCTGTATGGGTTTCCGGCAGGACGCCTGTAACATATGTTACCCTATTGTTACATGCCTGCCTCCTTAGCCTGAGGGCTCCATGAGAGAAGAAACCATGTCTTATTTATGAATTAATAGCTTTGTACATCCTAATACTAAGCAGACAACCTGGTATCAGTACCTTGTCATTACCAACCGTTCACATTCTATGTGTGCCACTGAATCGACATAAAGAGAAAATGTCCCTGGCAATTGTACAATGCTTCACCCTAAATTCAACAGAGGCCTAAGACATTTTGGACAAACGGATGAATATATGATAAATTAATGTTTAGGTTCAGACTAGCCACAGTAAGTATGGTATAGTTCTGCTTTAAACATAGATAATCAACTTGATGTCCCACTAAGGCCTGTATTAATGCAGGAAGGTTTTTTCAGAGAAAGAAAATGTTTCTAGCACAACTATTACTTTTGGCTTTTTTCAAACAAGACAAAGCTGGCAAGGGTGTTGCCACTGAAAGTATGATCCCAGAATAAGTGCTGAGATAGTGTCTTTCCTGCTGCCAGAACCACAAAGCTCAGCTTCATGGATTCACACAAATAGCAGCAAGATTGTGGGTTAAAGGGGACACATTTACTGTATTTTACAGCCAACTCTGGATTTTTTCTTCAGAGTTGGCAGTACCACAGAAATTCTAACTGAATTTCAAGTTGAATATTGGGGGGACTATATTCAACTTGAAACTTCTTGCCATAATAGAGTCAAGGATAGGAAAATATGTTAACTTACCTACTATCACAGTAATAATGCCATTTTATCCTGATTTTATATGGCAAACACTTTGTGGTTCTCCCCATAGAAGCCAACAAGTGATAAAATATTAATATTTTCCCTCCTTTAAAGCCTAGAGGACTAACAATAATGCCAAAATAAAGCTCAAAACACACCTGAGATTATCTTCTTTTGAAAGCTGAAATTGTCTCAGTATTAAAAGACTTAACTTCTCACCCATGACCAAACTGACAACAAAACCTTTTAACCTATTTTGTGAGCTACTCACTACTTCACTGAACCAAACTGCCATATTTGTAGAGCACTTAGGTAATGCTGCATAAGAGGAATATTAAGCCCCAAAGGTGCCCCCAAACACACTGCTAACCCCAAAGAGGAACATCTTGATTAATCAAGCCAAGCAAAATTAGGGATGACAACTTGGGATAAGAATGACTAAGAGTGGTCCGGGCGCGGTGGCTCACGCCTGTAATCCCAAAACTTTGGAAGGCCGAGGCGGGCGGATCACGAGGTCAGGTCAGGAGATCAAGACCATCCTGGCTAACACGGTGAAACCCCATCTCTACTAAAAAACACAAAAAATTAGCTGGGCGTTGTGGCGGGTGCCTGTAGTCCCAGCTACTCGGGAGGCTGAGGCAGAAGAATGGCGTGAACCCGGAAGGCGGAGCTTGCAATGAGCGGAGATCGCCCACTGCACTCCAGCCTCCTGACAGAGCAAGACTCCGTCTCAAAAAAAAAAAAAAAAAAAAGAATGATTAAGACTTAAGACTGTAGTCATTCATATCAGAAGTTAAGCATTGCAATGTTATGATTTAACAATCAAAGAAGATAAGCTAAGGACAATATGGCAGCTCCTCTAACTGACATGCATGGAGATAGTATTAATGCCTACCAGCTAGAGCAAAAGTGGTCAACTGGGCCCCCATTCCAGCCTAGACCTCCACATTGTTCATGTGCGTTCTATGTTGAAGCAATGTGTCCAGACATAACTGTATGAAAACAAAGTCAAGATGAAAACCTTGGATGAAAATTTTAAAAGGACTAAAAAGTAGCAAGAAGAGTAATAAAAAATGCCATGGCCTTCTACAGTTCTTCCATGAAACTGAACTTAACCCAATGCATACATACTGGTTGGGTGGTCTGTTATCGACACTTTAGGCTTGCCTTTGCAACCTAACCAGTATGTGAACAGAGGCAGTGAATTCACTGCTGATTTCAGTACTGCTTGAGAAAGTGCTCTCTGAACCAGCAGCACATTCCACTGTATATCCTAAAGAGTGACAAATCTTCATTTTCTGAGGCTAGGTATACTTTCTTGGAAAGATCTGATGACTAATATATGTAAAGCACTTAAAATAGTGCCTGATGCACATTAAGAGCTATAGAAGTATTACCTATTTTTATTACTTTTAGTCAAAGAACAGGATATAACAAAGAAAGACATAAAGTTCATCAATTTCATTACCATCATCTCTCTCCAGGACTCTTGCAGAAACCTCATGACTGCTACCTACTCTTCCCCTCTACCCTTACTCTTCTCCTCCTGCTGCTCCTTTAGCTTAACAAGGATGCTTCTGCCTCAGGGCCCTTGCGCTTTCCTCCAGGTATCCTCGAGCCCAGGCCTTCACTTCCTTCAGGTGTCTGCTCAGAGGTCATCTTCTCATTGAGGCCATTCCTCACCATCTTTTATTTTTAAAAGTCTTGCCTCCAATCCCCCTTAATATGCTTTATTACTCTCCATAGTACTAACCACAGTCTGGCACGTAGCAACCATTTATTTTCTGATCTCCCTTCAGAAAACATACTAGAAGGTAAGTTCCACATGGCGGGGACTTTGTCTTTTTGTTCACTGTTGTATAGTAGGTGTTCAACAATTAATTACTGAGTAAATGAATTCAGTAAGTATTTACATCTAGTCTACTATGTGCCGAGCCTTTTTTTAAAAAACTCACTATCTCAATTAGCCCTCATTAAAGTGGCTATTATCATCACCATTAATTAAAAAAAAAAAAAAAGCAGACTTGACAAGGTTAAATATATTACCTACAGTCACAAACTCCCAAGTAGAAGAGCCAAGATTTAATCCCAGATCTGAGTCCAAAGTCCCTAACCACACCTGGTATGTTGAAGGAATCATTAAGTATTAAGGTATTATGTATTCATCCAACAACTATTTATTGAGTACCTAAACTGACACTACTGTGATAGTCCCTGAGAACACAATGGTGAGCTTGCCACCTAGAGGAGAACTCGTGTCATAGATTCACCAACCAAGCAGAAAATACTAATTCTTTGAAATAAGAGACTGAGTTCAAAGTCCATCAGCAGCAGCAATGACTGGCTCTGAATGCTAACACTATGTGAGGGAAAGTATTATAAAACACTAACTTAGGGACTCTCAACCGGGGGAGGGATATGTGTCAGGATATCCTATGGAGTTTTATGAAACCCCTACACCGGATCCTGAGATTCTGGCACAGCTATACTGATTTAATAAAAAAAAAAAAAAGGGGGGGGTGAGGGGTACTATGTAGTTCTAAAATATCTTCTCTCCCTTTGAGAAGGACATCTTCCTCCCCTTCCATAGCTCAACATGTTTTTCCATTTCCGAAATGCCTGTTTGCACAAAGGTAATAATGTAATTGTAGAGATTTATTTAGATAAAAACTACCACAAAACTTTCAAAGAGTAGGATTTTCCTTAGAGACCCAAGGACAAAGGCTCCCTGGAAGGCAGGAAAGGAGAAAATGAAAGGAACGTTATTGTGCTGGACTTTACATACATAATCTCATTTACTTATCTGAACAAATCTGCAAGCTAGCAAATCTTCAAATGAGAAAACCAAGTAAATTGCCTAAGCCACTGCATCCTTAGGGTAAGTCTTTCTCAAACGGTCTCAAGTACTTTAAAGTTTGGAAATGTCACACTAGGATCTCGGTATAAAAATGGGCCAACTATGACTTCCTGTGCCATCCTCATTCCAATAAGTAACTCAAGAGTCTCTATAAACTTAGTTCCAAATTACCAAGTGCGTGGTGGAAAGCTAAGTCCATCCAAAAGGCAATTACTGTGGTGAACCCGACCCTGATTAGAAAGTGACACAAAAAGGCACAGTTAAAAGTAAAAAAGCTCTGCCTTTGGGGTCAGATAAATTCAGCACTCTGACTTCTGTCATTCTACTTCTGCCATTCTTGATGGCATCATTCCATGTTAAATCCCGTGCCACGTAAGATTATGATTATTGTTTTCCCCACAACAAGAATTTAGTTCCATGAGAATTAGGTGTCCATTTTTTTCATTGCTATCCTCAACATCCTGAACATACAGGCACCAAATAAATGATTGCTGGTGGAATGAACCAATGAATGAGCAAGCCTTACTCTTCTCAGCTGTAAAACAGAGATAATCAAGCTACTTTTCGGGATTATTGGGAGAATTAAATGTGACAGTATGTGTTTGGCACACAGAGGGCCAAAAAAACCCAATATCTTCTTTGCATTTCCACCTGACAAGCTAGAAATGGATTATGTTCTGTGCCCGTCCGGCAAAACAGACCTCGCCTCGCCCCACATCCAAGCAAGAGGCGAGAGAAACAGGAAACTTGGAGCTGTCACACCTAAAGAGAGGGGAAGGCCGGCGGGGAGCAGGAGGTGTCCGAGCCGGGTGTGAGGAGGGTCGGGGAGGAAAGGACAGGCCCACGGCCGGGCACGAGGAGGGTCGGGGAGGAAAAGACAAGCCCGGGCCCGGCGTGTGGCGGGAAGGCGAGAACGTAGGCCCGGGCCCGGCGTGTGGCCGGAAGGGGAGAAGACAGGCCCGGGCCCGGCGGGCAGGCAGGAAGAGGTGCCCGGGCCTGGCGTGTGGAGGGGAGGGAAGGGAAGGAGAAGGCAGACCGGTCCCGGTGTCGGTCGGGTCGGGAAGGGGCGGACAAGCCCGGGCCCAGCGGGCCAGCGGTCATCGAGCCTCCACCCGGCCCACAGCGTTCTTACCAGGTCCGAGTGCCTCTCCAGGCGATCCGAGGAGACCTTGGGTGGACTGAGACACGGCCCCACACTAACCTACGGCCCAAAGGCAGAGTTCTCGCGACAACACAATCTTCCTCCCACACCTCTCGCCATACGTCTGACAGTCTCGCGAGATCTCCGCTCGGGTCAGCCAGAAGCCCTTGACTGCCCTCTAGGAGGCGCAGAGCGCAGGCGCACACTCCCTCCCCGCCCTTGCAGTGTCCTTTAGTCCTTCGTGAATAAATCGAAATTAAATGAAGCAAATGCTTTTTTGAAGGCAAATTTGGTGCCAAGGACCATCCTAAGTGATTCAGATGGCCTCACAAGGTAGATATTATTTAGTTTGAACATTCAGATGCAAAAATGAATATCGTAAGACACAAAAGGCCATATGTTGTATGATTCCACCTTTGCCACATTTGTTTTTCTAAGGATTGAGTTAATAGGCCGGGAGCAGTGGCTCACGCCTGTAATCCCAGCACGTTGGGGGCCGAGGCGGGCGAATCACGAGGTCGGAAGATGGAGAGCATCCTGGCTAACACGGTGAAACTCCTTCTCTACTAAAAATACAAAAAAATTAGCCAGGCGTGGTGGCTCGCGCGTATAGCCTCAGCTATTCGGGAGGCTGAGGCAGAACTGCCTGAACCTGGGAGGCAGAGGTTGCAGTGAGCCGAGATCGCTCCACTGCACTCCAGCCCGGGCGACAGAGCAAGACTCCGTCTCAAAAAAAAAAAAAAAAAAAATTGAGTAAATAAATAAATGGCAGAACCCAGATTCTTTTTTTCTTTTCTTTTTTCTTTGAGACAGGGTCTGACTCTGTCGCTCAGGCGCAGTGGCGCAATCTCGGCTTGCTGTAACCTCTGCCTCCTGTGTTCAAGCGATTCTCCTGCCTCAACCTGCTGAGTAGCTGGGATTACAGACATGCGCCATGATGCCCGGTTTTTAAATTTTTTTGTAGAGACAGGGTCTTGCTGTGTTACCCAGACTGGTCTCAAAGTCCTGGGCACAAGCGATCCTCCCACCTGATCTAGGATTACAAGCATGAGCCACCACGTCCAGCCTACAGCCCAGATTATAACCCACATTATTTACTTGTGACTAGATGTTAAATAGCACTTCTTTCTGTCTCAGTTTTGACAGAGGTCCTCCATACTCAGTTGCCAACTGCTTCCCCACATTCCGCAGCAAAGGAGGTGATCATAGCAGGGTTTTATGGATCTCATCCAAGAGTGACTCTGCTACAAGGGGCAAGGCAACCTCATTAGAAAACAATAGGAGACATAGATTACGATGCAGAAGCTAAGATAACAGTCATAGGCTGTGAGTGGAAGGGGAGCTGTGGAGAGAGAAGCCCACAAAAGTCCCATGAGGAAGTCAGCCTAGAACATGACCTCAGGCAGAAGGAGCCCTTAACTCTCCTGTCCCCCATTCCCTCTCAATTCAGATGCAGCCCCTGGAATGAGACTTTGTGTAACTCAAAATGTAACTCAGACCACTTTTTTAAATTATCTGAAGGTGAACAAGAAAGCTAAGGGACCTGTCTAGATTGCTCAACTGGCCCACATAGCATGTTTAAACAGATAGGGGACAGGGGAAAATAAAGCTCTTTATCAGTTGCCCACTGATTGTTCAACAGATGACTGTTTGCTCATTTCTGATCTGTCACGTACACACAGCTGAGTCCAAGCCCCAGGAGAACAGGGTTCTCTCCTGAAATCTCTCTGGTTCACTGCTGTATCCCCAGGTCTAGAGCACTGCCTGGCCCAGGTGCTCAGTACAGACCTGTTGAGTGAACAGATGTTCTTTAACACAGAAACAGTTAAAAGAGAATCAATGTTGTCGTTGTCTTAAGCCACTAAGTTTTCGGTGGTCTGTGTGTAGCAAGAGGTAGCTGATGCTGGGGCCTTGCACCCAGGCCACTCTCCATCTGCAAGGCAGAGCCCCTGGCCTTTAATTCCCCTCGGGCTGCATGTGGTCTTGGGGGCACTTTCTTCAGGCTTGTTCTAAGCTGTTTTACAGGCTTGTTCTAAGCTGTTTCTTGTTCTAAGCTGCTTTGACCTCAAGCAAACACAGAGGAATGTGGGGGACACATCATAGAAGACACTTCCTGATGAAGAGGAAGGAGGGATAAACAGGAACACCGTAAAGAAAAGAAGGGATCTAATTCCAGCTTGAAGACACACATTTTTTTCATCGTTCACCAGACAGCAGGACACGGGCAGCAGAGTGCAGACATCAGAAACAGTAAGAGTGGCAGTGGTCCCCTGAGTAAGGGATGCACAATGACCTATTATAGAGTTTAGGAAAAATAGAACTTTTATTCATATGTATTTTGTTTTGTTTTGTTTTGTTTGGGTTTGGGTTTGTTTGTTTGTTTGCTTGTTTTTTGAGACGGAGTCTCACTCTGTCACCCAGGCTGGAGTGCACTGATGTGATCTTGGCTCACTGCAACCTCCGCCTCCCGGGTTCAAGTGATTCTCCTGCCTCAGCCTCCCGAGTAGCTGGGACTACAGGTGCCTGCCACCACGCTAATTTTGTATTTCAGTGGAGACGGGGTTTCACTATGTTGGCCAGGCTGTTCTCGATCCCCTGACCTCAAATGATCCGCCTGCCTTGGCCTCCCAAAGTGCTGGGATTATAGGCATGAGCCACTGTGCCCGGCCATTCATATGTAGTTTTGTCTCCCTTTTTAAATGTTTTGTATTCTTTATAATGTGTATTAAATCAATGCATACATAAATTATAAATTAAAAGGACACACATATTCAAGTGTTTGCTCAAAAATCTTTTTACTGATAGGCATGGCTACACAATCATTGACTATTAGAGGCCAGAGGAGAATGAGGCCTGGCCTGGGAGCCCTGTGCCTACTAGAAGCACATTAGATTATCCATTCACTGACAGAACAGGTCTTTTTTGGGTCCTTCTTCTCCACCACGATATACTTGCAGTCCTCCTTCTTGAAGATTCTTTGGCAGTTGTCTTTGTCATAACCCACAGGTGTAGAAACACTGTCATTGAGACAAAACTGGGGCCTGTTAGAAGAGAAAGGACCCCGAGCACCCCCTCCCCAGTGCCAGCTCTGTTCAGGAAGTCACCCACACTCCAACTTAAGGGCACCCTTTGGCTGGCAGCCCCAGAGTGTGACCTCCAGGAACCTGGACCAGTCTGTACCATAGAGTCACACAGCTCACCCCTACATTCCATCCTGCAGGCACAGAAGGTCATCAGTAGGTGCTGACAGGCCCAGGGGCAAGTCTGGCTACTCTAGAAAGTGGCAGCTTGTTCCATGCTGGCTCCTCCCACCCTCCCTGTTCAGGAAGTGGCCAGCATATTGTTGCTAGAATGTGGAAAGGAAACAAATCCCAGCCCTGACTTGGAGGCCTGTTGGCAAAGGAGCTCTCTCAACCAACCAGAGCAATGAGTCACTCCAGGCCAGTGTCATGGAGCCCAGGGAGAAGCTGATGAAAGTCAGAGACCACCTCTAATTGAGCTGCAGTACATACAAATATTTTGAAGAGTTCTGATGAGATGAGATGATACTAATGCTAGAATATTTATGTATTATTACTATTATTACTTTAATTTTTTGAGATGAATTTCACTCTGTCACCCAGGATGGAGTGCAGTGGCACGATCTCAGCTCACTTCAGCCTCCGTCTCCCAGGTTTAAGCGATTCTCCTGCCTCAGCCTCTTGAGTAGCTGGGATTACAGGAGCACACCACTACACCCAGCTAATTTTTATATTTTTAGTAGAGATGGCGGGTCGGCGCGGGGGAGGTCTCACCATGTTGGCCAGGCAGGTCTCGAACTCCTGACCTCAAATGATCCACCCACCTTGTCCTCCCAAAGTGCTGGGATTACAGGCGTGAGACACCATGCCCAGCCCAGTGCTAGAATATTAAGTGGAAAAATCAGCCCACAAAACTGTGATATAAAATTTGATATCCACTATGTAAAAGAAAAAACATATAGAAAAGAGACATAAAGAAATGATGATAGGGCCGGGCGCTGTGTCTCACGCCTGTAATCCCAGCACCTTGGGAGGCCGAGGCGGGCGGATCACGAGGTCAGGAGATCGAGACCATCCTGGCTAAACCGGTGAAACCCCGTCTCCACTAAAAATACAAAAAATTAGCCGGGCGTGGTTGCAGGCGCCTGTAGTCCCAGCTACTCAGGAGGCTGAGACAGGAGAATGGCGTGAACCCAGGAGGCGGAGCTTGCAGTGAGCAGAGATCACACCACTGCACTCCATCCTGGGCGACAGAGCAAGATTCCATCTCAAAAAAAAAAAAAAGAAAATAAATGATGATAGAAGCCCAGGCATGGTGGCACATGCCTGTAATCCCAGCTACTTGGGGCTGAGGTGAGACAACAGCTTGATCCCAGGAGTTTGAGACCAGCTTGGGCAACATAGTGAGACCCTGTCTTAATTTTTTTAATACAAATAAATAAATAAATAAAAATAGAATGTTAATAGTTATTACCTTTACACAGTTGGGATTATGAGTAGGTATTTCTTCTTTTTTCTCTTATGCTTCCCAATGATTCTATAATTCATATGTTTACTTAGAAAATTGGGAAATATCATTTAAAACCTTTCATGTTTTTCATGTTTAAAGGTGATTGCTGGCTGGTAGGAATGTAAAATGGTGCAGCTGCTGTGGAAAACAGCTTGGCAGCTCCTCAATAAGTTAAACAAAAAATTACCATATGACCCAGAAAGCTACTCCTGGGTATATATCCCAAAAGAATTGAAAGCAGGGACTCAAACATTATATGCCAATGTTTGTATATTGACAAACACTGTATGCCAATGTTCAGAACAACATTACTTACTTTATCCAACAGGCAGAAGCAACTCAAGTGTTCAACAAATAAATGGATAAGCAAAATGTGGTATGACCATGCCATGGAATATTATTCTGGCAGAAACAAGAATGAAGTACTGATACATGCTACAACATGAATGAACCTTGACAACATGCTGAGTGAAATAAGCCAGACACGAAAAGACAAACACAGTGTGATTGTATTTATGTGAAATATCTAGAGTAGGCAAA
The DNA here is from genome assembly GCF_000001405.40 of Homo sapiens. Taxonomy (NCBI): domain Eukaryota; kingdom Metazoa; phylum Chordata; class Mammalia; order Primates; family Hominidae; genus Homo; species Homo sapiens. Next base: position 46,035,605 of record NC_000010.11, read on the forward strand.
TTCATAGAGACAGAAAGTAGACTTGAGATTACCACAGGTTTGGGGGACAGGGAATCTGAGTTATTGTTTAATGGATATAGAGTTTCAGATTGGAGTCATTAAAAAGATTTGGAAATAGTGTTTATGGTTGCATAGTACTGTGAATGTACTTAATGCCGCTGAATTGTATGTTTTAAAATGGTTACACTGGCACATTTTATGTAGTATACATTTTACCACAATAAAAAAAAAAGGTTAAAAATAAAGTGGTGTTTGTTGAAGAGATACAATTCTTTTAGTTCATGGTAGGAAGTGAAATGGTGAATCTGTGCTGCCTGTGTGCAAATACAAGTTGGTAAGGCAAAAGGCATATTACTGCATGCTTATTTCAATGCAAACCAGACTTAGCTCTATAGAGGAAACAGCAGAGAGAGAGAGGGAGGGAGAAACTGTCAACATCGGGTATTCAGCTAACCAGAGTCAGTGGCTGGATGACCTTGGCCTTTTGTCTCCCACTCCCTTTTCCTCACCCAAGTCAGGGAGCCAGCCCTGGGCCCGGGCAGCGTGGAGCCCAGGACATCTCCCATGCCCTACCTGGGAGCCTCTGCCTGGGCCCCCAGCCTCAGGCTCCACTGCCACCGAGCACCTTGAGATCTGGGCAGCGTCCCATAGAGGGTGCAGTGGGTCCAAAAACTTCTTCCAGAAAAAGCTTAATCAAAGTCTGTATTTTTCCATGGAGGAGAAAAAAGTTCATGAGAAAAACAAAGGAGGTGAGGCAATTCCAGGGAAGAAGGTGTTGATTCATTTCCCCTGCATGGAGCAGTGTGCCAAATGGAACAGGCAACATGGCAGTAGAAACCTTGAAACCTTGAAACCTGACCAGGTGTCAGTTACTGTCCCAGGATCACAGGACACAGAATTGGCACAGAGAAGGCATTAAGTGTTTGTTGGGTTAAAGAATATATACACAGAATCTCATTTAATTATCATAGCCACATAATTATAATGTGAGGAAACAGAGGCTCAGAGACATTCAGAAACTGACTCAGGGTCACACAGCTAGTATACAAGGGAATGGAGATTCAGACTCAAGTTACTCTGACTCCAACAGTGAGGTTCTTCCCTCTTCACTGCAAGGAGCAGCCTGGCTCGTTTCCACACCAGGACCACGAGAATCCCAGCCTACAGTGGAGAATCTTAGAAGAGGGCAGGGATGCCAAATCTGGGTGACATGGACATTTTAGCCACCAGGGAGCCACGCTCCTATGTGAGGGAGGGACCAGTCACCAGTCCTTCACCTGGCTGGGATACAATCACACTCCACCAGAGTGACATCAACACTTGATATAAAGACAATGTCAAATTTCTGGAGCCACAAAATCAAGGTTCAGCTGTAATACCCAGTGATCTGGCCAATGCGATGCCCAGGAGCCTGCTCTGAGCAGCCAGCCATCTCCCAGTCCAATATTCCTCTGTTCCATTAGGCACCTAGCATGAGGCCTGCTCGATAAATGTGGCTGGAACTCTCCAGGCACTTCAAGTTCAGTAGGACTCAGGTGTTCTGCTCTAAGTCAAGTGCTTGCTTCTTTACTCGCAGTGTCCTCATAAGACTCTCGAGGCACCTGTTAAAATTCAGATTCCTTGGCCCCTCCCCTACAGATTCTGATCAATCAGTTCTGGGATGGAGCCCAGGAATCTGTATTTCATCAAGCTTCCCAGGTGAGTCTGTGATCAGACAAGTTTGCGAAATGCCCCTTGACACCAATGCTCTGCCATCAGATCCATTCCTGTTCCTGCAGAACACTACAAGCCAAGGCTACATGAAGAGGTTAGATGGATTTGGGGGGTTGGGAGTTAGGTAGCTGTTATGGACATAGCTGCTGAGGAAACAGGTAAATTAGGACGGCACTGCGGGTACTCTGTGTTCCGCCTGCTCAAGTTCTAGACTTCTGGTGTCCATAGCAACCCAGCAGAAAACATCTGCATAGCCTTTGGGCTGACGTGAGTTAAACTTGAGCAGTGAAGCAGCATAAGTTTTATGGTGCAAGGCACACTACAGATCCTCCCTTACCCCTCACATCTGATCCCTCTGCCTATGCTCAGAGCCACTGCTATTTCTACAAATCTACAAGGCCCAGACTGAGGTGATGACCGGGCCAATCTCTGGAATAGTGTCAGACAATTAGATACTCTTTCCTGTCTTCAGGAGCCCATCTGGAATAAAGCTACTTATCAAGTTTCAAAAACAACAGAAAAGAAATGAGATTGAGGTGGAAAACAACCCAAGTGTTCATCAACAGATGAATGGAGATGCAAAATGTGGTCTCTCCATATTACAGAACATGATTCAGCCTCGAACAAGAAGGCAATGTTGATGCAAGCGTCAACACAGATGAACCATGAGGATATTATGCTAAGTGAAATGAGCCAGTCTCAAAAAAGCAATTACTGTATGATTCCACTTATATGAGGGACCTAGAGTAGTCAAAATCATAGAGACAGAAGTGAAATGGTGGTTGCCAGGGGCTGGGGAGAAGGGGATGGAGAGTGACTGCTTAATGGGTATAGAGCTTCAGTTTTGCAGGATGAACAAGTTCTGGAGGTGGATGGTAGTGATGCCACAACAATGTGAATGGACCTAATGCCACTAAAGTATACATTTAAAATTGTTAACATGGTACATTTTACGTTACGTATATTTTACCGCAATTTTTTTTTTTTTTAGACACAGTCTCGCTCTGTCGCCCAGGCTGGAGTGCAGTGGTGCGATCTCGGCTCACTGCAAGCTCTGCCTCCCGGGTTCACGCCATTCTCCTGCCTCAGCCTCCCAAGTAGCTGGGACTACAGGCACCCGCCACCAAGCCCGGCTAATTTTTTTGGTATTTTTAGTAGAGACGGGGTTTCACGTGTTAGCTAGGAGGGTCTCGATCTCCTGACCTCGTGATCCGCCCGCTTCGGCCCCCCAAAATGCTGGGATTACAGGCGTGAGCCATTGTGACTGGCCCACAATTTTTTAAAAAGAAAGAAATAGGACTGAAAACTAACCCCCCAATACCACAACACCAAGAGGAAGCCCTAACATAAACTATGGACTCAGGTGATAATGATGTGCAAGGTAGGTTCATCAGTCATAACAAATACACCACTGTGGTGGACGATGTTGATAACGGGGAGGTCGTGCATGTGTGAGGGCAGGAGGCACATGGGAAATTTCTGTACCTCTGCTCAGTTTTGCTGTGAATCTAAAACTACTCTATATAAAGTCTATAAAAAACTAAAACAAAAACTAAACCCCTGAAGATTGGAATTTTGCAAGACGGAGTAGCTGTTCCTCAGAGAACAGCTATGTCCCCCTCTTGGCCAGCACTGGCTTGAGACTTACAGGGTGCAACATGAAATTTCTGTTTCGTAGCAAGTGCATGTCTCACAGTTGTCAGTCTGCCACTCCGAGTTTATTGGGTGTTTGTTTCCTTTGAGATCCATGCATTCTAAAATAATACACACAACATCATCAGTGCAAGTCATGCAATGAGAACAAGGCCTATCAGGACATTGAGTCCTGCCCCTACTATCTACACCCCTCCCAGAGAGAGAGGAGCTCAATTATTTTAAAGGTATCTAAGAATGGTGCTCCTGTATTCACCCACGGCTAATTCCAGTACTGTTCAGTTCATGCTACTGATAATGTTTTCTTACAGAAAGCTTATATCCTTCTAAGTTTTATTTCAGAACAGATATTTCAAGAAAAAATAAGGCCCTTTTATTGAATTAGATAGCCATGTGAGCCTGTGGGTACTTGGGACCACATTTTTTCCTACTGGATTATCTCTGGATGAGAATCTCACTTCTACACTTCCCTTTGCTTTGCATCGGTGGTTTTCAACCCTGGGTGCACATGTGAAACATCTTGGGTACTTGAAAGCCACCCATGTCTCAGCCTTACCCTAGAACAATGAAATCAGTATCTCTGGGTACAGGGCCCAGGCTACTGTGTTCTTAGAAGGCTGCCCAAGTGAGGCCAGGCACAGTGGCTCACACCTGTAATCCCAACACTTTGGGAGGCTGTGGCGGGCAGATGACCTGAGGTCAGGAGTTCGAGACCAGCCTGGCCAACGTGGCAAAGCCCCATCTTTACCAAAAATACAAAAATTAGCCAGGCATGATGGCACACACCTGTAGTCCCAGCTACTTGGGAGGCTGAGGAGGTAGAATCACTGGAACCCGGGAGGAGGAGTTTGCAGTGAGCTGAAATGGTGCCACTGCACTCCAGCCTGGGAGACAGAGCATGACTATCTCAAAAAACAAAGAAACAAACAAACAGAAACACAAAGGCTTTCATCTGCAGACAGGTCCATCTACCAGGCTGCAATAACATAATAAACATTGAAAAGCCAAGACTTACTCCTGGTTGAATCTCCTGGAACTCCCTCATTAGGTATGAAATAGCATGATGCATTGCATAAAGTCACGAAGGTGGCAAAGATCACAACGCTGCCCAGGAGAACATTCTGTAATGTGAAGAAAGGTCAGGGTGGAGAATGAATTAATTCAAAGGATAATCCTTGACTGAGTGCTGTGTACCAGGATCTCGGCTGGGCTCTGCTGAGAGGTTATGATGTGGAGCTCATAACTGAACAAACCAGTTAATCTAGGCTGAAATTGTAGAACAAGGAAAAGTATCTAGTTGACTTTGTCATCTTTTTGAGATGAGCTAAATAAACAAACAAACCTTAACATGGTAATTTCTGGGAACTTTTGAAAGGGAAGATGGTGTTAAAAAAAATGTTGAGGAGGCCATTTGTTTGGACTGAGCTGCACTGGGCCCAACAGACCAAACCAAAATGCAGTCGCCCATGCTGAAGTTCTCTGCCACTAAGCCAAAACTAAGTTGCTTAACCAACCTTCTAAGAAATTAGAAGAGAGTGAGAGGTAATAGCCAAATGCCCAACAGGCCAGTTTTAGCTGACATGATGAGAAAGTCCCCTCTGCTTTAACTTATAAGCAAAGTCACTTCGAAAAGACCAATTTGCTTTTTGTTCTCTGTTTCTGCTTTTTCTGGCTCTTTTCTGTCTATAAAGCCAAACTTCTCTGCCAGGCACGGTGGCTCACGCCTGTGATCCCAGCACTCTGGGAGGCCAAGGCGGGTGGATCATGAGGTCAGGAGATCGAGACCATCCTGGCTAACACGGTGAAACCCCGTCTCTACTAAAAATACAAAAAATTAGCCGGGTGTGGTGGTGGGTGCCTGTAGTCCCAGCTACTCGGGAGTCTGAGGCAGGAGAATGGCACGAACCCAGGAGGCGGACCTTGCAGTGAGCCGAGATCTGGCCACTGCACTCCAGCCTGGGTGACAGAGCGAGACTCCGTCTCAAAAAAAAAAAAAGCCAAACTTCTCTGGTCAGCTCTGCAGAACACTCGATCTATTTTATGGAATGAAGTGTTCCCTGATTATAGACTCACAAGTAAAAGTTAATTGAGGGCCAGGCGTGGTGGCTCATGCCTGTAATCCTAGCACTTTGGGAGGCGGAGGTGGGTGGATTGCCTGAACTCAGGCAATTGAAACCACCCTGGGCAACATGATGAAACCCATTCTCTACTAAAATACCAAAAAATTAGCTGGGCGTGGCGGCACACGCCAGTAATCCCAGGTACTCGGGAGGCTGAGGTGGGAGAATCACTTGAGCCTGGGAGGCGGAGGTTGCAGTGAGCCAAGATTGTGCCACCGCACTCTAGCCTGGGCAAGAGAGTGAGACTCCGTCTCAAAAAAAAAAAAAAAAAAAAAATCAATTAAGATCTTTAAACTAAATTTGTTGTAATTTTGTCTTTTGACAATGGGAATGAAGGCATTTATTCTGTAAGATTGCTAAAATTAATTATGAAGTGACGCTACTTGAAGTAGTATGTTACTCATATATGAATAGAAAGATAGGGAGGGCACAGTGTCTCAATTCTGTAATCTCAGCAATTTGGGAAGCTGAGGCAGGCACATCGCTTGAGCTCAGGAGTTCAAGACCAGCCTAGGCAACATGGTGAAAACCCATCTCTACAAAAAGTACAAAAGTTAGGTGGGTATGGTGGTGTGTCCCTGTAGTCTCTGCTACTTGGGAGGCTGAGGTGGAGAATCACTTGAGCCCAGGAAGGTTGAGGCTGCAGTGAGCCATGATAGCACCACTGCACTCCAGCCTGGGCAACAGAGTGAAACCCTGTCTTTAAAAAAAAAAAGGCAAACACAGAGATCAAAATAGAAAACCCAGAAAATTCCAAAGGTAGTTGGATAGGGTAAAAAAGAAAAAAACAAAACCCAGAAAGTATAAATATATGTAGAAGTTTATTATAAAATAAACATGTTCTTTGAGATCTGTGGAGAGCGATTATTCAATAAATGCTATTAGAACAAGTGGTGAACTATTTGGGGAAGAAAAAAAGTTAATTTCCTATTTGAGTCCCCATTAGTGAAATAAATTCTAAAAGGATTCAAGGTTTAAGTTTTTACAATAAGATCATAAAATAATCACAGCATATATACATAAATACTTATTCTAAGCATAAAAGAAAAATAGATTTGAGAATATAAACGTCATAAGAACATAACTGAAATTAGAAAGATATCAAATTTTCAGAACAATATCATTACATACCAATGGGAGAAGAAAAACATCTTAAACAGAAAAAGGGCAAGAGAAATAAAGTGGCATTTCACACACAGACACACACACACAGAAATGATGAATAAACACATGAAAAAGTTCAACTTACTGATAACAAAAGAAATGTAAATATGTAGCATGAAATAGAAGCATAATGGGATGGTGAGAATAATCATTTAATTTATAATACCCAGAGGGAAATAGAGGTATCTATGGGAGGTGATATGCACAAGAATGACTTACTTTGAACAATCGTTAAGGAGAACAATTTGCTACTATATATCCACATTCTTAAAACCGTTTACAACATTTGATTTCACCTTTTCATCTCCAAGATGTGATCCTAAAAATGGCACAGAGACAGAGACAGAGACAGACTCCTCCACAACGATGCTCACTGCAGTGGAAAAATGGAAAGAAACAAAATGCCCAAGAACAGAGCCAGTGGAGAACAGTGACTCAGAAAAACACCTGGTGAGCCAGCAAGGTAGAAGGTGAAGTCACATGAGCAATTGATCACCACATGTCACGACATGAAATGAAGCAGGCTATGAAATACATGATGCGGAGAGAGATGCTCAGAACACACTGAGGGTTTTGTACCAAATAACAAGTCATCTTTGGATGGGGAGATTATGACAATTTTCTTCTTTGGACTTTTCCTCTTATTTTCTAAATTTTCTACAATAAAATATATGAGTTTTATAGCCACAAAGAAAGAAAGATTCTTTAAAAATGACACAACGCCTTGATACATTCAGCTCAAGCCAGGACTTGGAGTGGCACTTGTTCTGTTTCATTCTTCTGAGTAGCCTTCAGCTCGAAATCATTGTGGAAACCTAAACTTTTCCCCCCAAAAAGCCAGCCTTGTTGACAGCATTTTTACTCCCTTCATGCAGAAAGAGGGCTCCTGGGGTACTGGGGATCACTGGAATCTTGGGGATCTGGTTTCACTGAGTCACAAAGCAGGAGAGTCAACAGGGACAAGCAGGGCTGCATCCCAGGACAAGTGACATGTGCAAAATCCCCAAGTCTCCTGCAGCTCTAGAGCAGAGGCAGGAGATTGAACCACTGGGGGAGAGCCCAAACATGGTGACAGCAGAGAGCAAATTATTTAATTTTGAGATTATCCACTTGACAGTATCTCAGAAATAGCCTAATGCTGTCTCTCTCTCTCTCTCCCTCCCTCCCTCCCTCCCTTTCTGTCTCTCTCTCTCTCTCTCTCTGAAACTCAGTTTTCCTTCCCTGTAAAAAGAGGGGTTCTCCCATTTGGGTGACCATTAGAGTTATCCAGGGAGCTCATAGGAAACACAATCTAGGAGCCAGTGCCTCAGTGTCTTTACCTAGTCTCCCAGGTGAGAACCCAGGAACAATGACCAACCCAGTGCTGCTTTAATGTGCATATAAATTCCTGGGAGTTTTTTTTGTTTTGTTTTGTTTGTCTGTTTGTTTGTTTCTTTTTGGGACGGAATCTCGTTCTATCGCCTAGAGTAGAGTTCAGTGATGCAATCTTGGCTCACTGCAACCTCCGCCTCCCGGGTTCAAGTGATTCTCCTGCCTCAGCCTCCTGAGTAGCTGGGATTACAGGAGTGCACCACCACACCTGGCTAATTTTTGTATTTGTAGTAGAGACGTAGTTTCATCATGTTGGCCAGGCTGGTCTCAAATACCTGACCTCAAATGATCCGCCCGCCTCGGCCTCCCAAAGTGCTGGGATTATGGGCGTGAGCCACCGCGCCCAACCAGACAGCCTGTTAATTAACCTGCAGATTCTGCTTCAGTAGGTCTTTAGACTTACACGGAAGCTCCCAGGTGATGCCCACGCTGCTGGTCTGAGGTCCACCCCTGAGTAGAGAGGCTCTAAAGCTTTTTTCATTCCTGTCTTCTATTCTGCCACCAGCCTTCCTTCCCTTTGTGTCTTCCTTTCCTGCATTTAGTAACCCTGAGCTCCTGATGTGTGCAGGAGATTACACCACGACGCCAGAATGGGCTAGGATTTTCTAGATGGTACAGCGAGCCTTGAGGTGAAGCAGGCTGGCAGTATCCTTAGAAGTTGTGTCTCTTGGCTGGGCGCGGTGGCTCACGCCTGTAATCCCAGCACTTTGGGAGGCCGAGGCGGGTGGATCATGAGGTCAGGAGATCGAGACCATCCTGGCTAACATGGTGAAACCCCGTCTCTACTAAAAATACAAAAAATTAGCTGGGCGTGGTGGCGGGCGCCTGTAGTCCCAGCTACTCAGGAGGCTGAGGCAGGAGAATGGCGTGAACCCGGGAGGTGGAGCTTGCAGTGAGCCGAGATTGCGCCACTGCACTCCAGCCTGGGCGACAGAGAGACTCCGTCTCAGAAAAAAAAAAAAAAAAAAAAAAAAAAAAGTTGTATCTCTTTAGGTAAATTACTGCTCCTGGAAGGGTTATCCCATGATCAAGAGTTGGGGGTCTGGCCAGGCATAATTTCTCACACCTGTAATCCCAGCACTTTGGGAAGCCAAGGTGGGAGGATCACTTGGGCCCAAGAGTTAGAGACCAGCCTGGGCAACATAGTAAAAACTCATCTCTACTACAAATAACAATAATAAAATAAATAAATAAATAAATAAAGAGTTGGGGGTCCTCAGGATCTTAGGCAGGCAGAGGTATTGCCAGCTCTGCAGCTTGCTAAGTTCACTGTGAGGCTGCATAGAGTATAGGCTGGAGGAGCCTGTCTAGTGGAGATGGGGAGGACCTCCCACCCCACTGTTGTTTTACCATCCCCAGTTCTGCCTCCGGACAGTTTCTGAGAGCAAGTTTGTCTTGCCGAGTGGCCCAGAGGAGGCCCGGGGTCCCCTCCTGAGGACCCTCTCCCACCTCCCTTGGCTCCTCCCACTTGGCTGGCTGTTTCTTGCCTCATCTCCCTTGCAGCCCCCAGAGCAGCCCAGTTCAGTCCCCAGCGTTAGTAAAGAATGTTTTAAGAAAGATCAAGTTTAAGACACAAGAAAAGCCTGCATGGGTTTTTATAAATTTTGAAGCAAAATTCTTTCTTGGCCAGGCACAGTGGTTCACACCAGTAATCCCACCACTTTGGGAGGCTGAGGTGGGCAGATTGCATGAGCCCAGGAGTTCAAGACCAGCCTGGGCAGCATAGCAAAATCCTATCTCTAAAACAAATACAAAAATTAGTCGGGCATGGTGGCACTCGCCTGTGGTCCCAGCTACTTGGGAAGCTGAGATGGGAGGATCACCTGAGCCCAGGAAGGTCCAGGCTGCAGTGAATCATGACTGCACCACTGCACTCCAGCCTGGGCAACAGAGTGAGATCCTGTCTCAAAAACAAACAAATAAACCAACAAACACAGCCCCAAACCCAAGATTTTTCCTTAACACATGATACAGTGAAAAGGGCCTAGGGAAATGGTTCCCAAACTTGAGTATTAAAATGACCTGGGCAGCTTTTTAAATTGATGCTCTGTTCTCACTGCAGCCCAATTAAATCAGAGTGTCGGGGTGGAAGATGGGTGTCAGTGTTCTTCAAAATTCCCCCGGAGTTTCCACTGCACAGCCAAGTTTGGGAGCCCCTGGCAGGGAGAGAGGAATGCCTGGGTTCCTATCTCAGCTCATTCACAGGCTTGCGGTGAGACCCCAGTGGCAGCTTCTTCCCCTCCCCAGGCTCAGTTCCCTCATCTCAAAAACGATGCAGTCATGTAGCTCTGAAATTATTTTTAATTTCAAATTACTCACATAGGACCCAAGAATTAGAGACACTTATGAAATCTAATTGAACCCCAGAATTACTGGAAGGAAAAACAACTTAGATCTTAGAGAACAGAACTAGTGCTAAACTCATTACAATTTTCGCAAGCTCTCAGACTCTCATACTCTGCACATTGAATTGCAGGTAATAACATAAGGTTCCTAACTAGGTCACATTTACCATTCAATGCTATGTGGTAGAAGCACACGCATATTAAAATAGGAATACATATTCTCTTTTGCTTTTCTAGCCTTTATATATAAAACCAGTTACCTACCATTGTGATAAGCAGGACTCCTTATAGACAGGTACATCCAGGCAAAGCTGCATCAAACTTTTATACTGGAGAGGGCAACCACGCATTCGACATCATTGGGAATGATAACAAGGTGAGAACACATTGAGTGTTTACAGAGGGTTGACTATCAAAAGGAAAGTATGGTTTCAGATGATTTATGAGTTATTAATCAATCACATCTCCACCCAAGTTATGTGTTTACCTTGTCCCCACCCCGATCTGCATTTGCTGCTGACCTAAAAGAGCAGAGGAGGAGAGAACTTCTCTTTGCTGAGCCTTCGCCCTATGCTGGTGGATTGCTAGCACGTGATGTGTCCTTATTCGATTTTATACACAAAGAAACAGCCTCAGCGATGCCAGTCACAACAGCCAGGTGGTAAAGGTGGGTTTCCTGAAGGCATAAGAATAGCCCACAGGTCAGCCCACCAGGCCCACCGGGCCTGGGTCTGTGGCCCAGATGACCCTGCCCTTAGGGTCTGACATGAGAACAGAAATGGGTCAAGCCATCCTGCAGGGCACAGGAGAGCAAGAACTACATACAGCTCGGGGTTCCCTGACAAGCTGAATTGCTGGACCTTTCTAGAGCCCTTCTTGAATCTGTAGTCTACTCCCTGCTGCATCAAGCAAGCCTTGTTTCTCTTTGTTCCACAGTGGTCTCCTCCCAAACAACCGCACCTGCCCTCATCATGGCTAGGATGGCCTTTGGGGAATGGCAACAAGCAGAACCTCCTAGGGTGCTGGAGGGACTTACTACTTTATCTGTTTGCTCTGCCACCACAACAAAACACTGCAACTGGGTGGCTTTGACTAAAGAAATTTATTTGCTCACAGTTCTGGAGACTAGAAATGTGAGGTCAAGCCATTGGGGAAGGCTTGTTTTCCTCTGAGCCCTCTCTCTTTGGTTTGCAGATGGCCATGCTCTTGCTGCCTCTTACATGGCATGCATCCCTGGCATCTCTCTCTGTGTCCAAATTTCCTCTTCTGATAAGGACACTAGCTGTATTGGATTAGGGTCCACTCTAACTATCTCATTTTACCTAAGCCACCTCTTTAAAGGCCGTGTCTCCATTACAGTCACATTCTGGGATATTGGGGGTTAGGGCTTAAACCAATGAATTTTTAGGGGATGCAATTGAGCTCATAAGACAATTTTATCCCAAAAAGTCCCCTCACTCCTCGCCACAGCTTGCTACAGTTCCTAAAATTTAACCTGAGATCCCTCTGCCCACAGATGAGAGTTCATGCTCCTAACCAGGGGATCCTTGAAGCTCATCTGAGCTGGCCACAGTGGCCCTTTCCAGCACCATCCTCTACCCTCCCTAAAATCAGCCTCACCACCCCTAACACAGCTTGAGGTCACTCTCCTGCTCCTTAGAAGAGCTGTAGTGCTGTCTGGCTGCCTCCTCACTCACCAACGGTGCCACACACTTCTGCCTTTACCTGCATAAGTTAAGTGTTCATCGACTCTAAGTTCCAGGAAATCGGGGCACATTCATCATGCACTGTAGCCCCTTGGATTCTTTTAAAACTCCAAGTTTGAAGAACTTCCCACAGTGTGAAGTGGGAAGTTCTGCCTTACATTGAGAGGAACTAGGATTTGCTGCCCTCACCTGCTTACCTCCAGGGTACAGGCACAAACCTCGGCTCCACAAACACTCTCCTCTCAAAAAGTCCTCTTCAGAGAGGGTCCAAGGACACTGGCATCATGCAGAATCTCCCTAGGAATGATGGTGTGGAGGGTTCTGGCTCTTAGGGCAAGGGTTTCTTGGAGTCCAGTGTGCAGTGTCAGTGCATGGGGGCTGTGACTGTGACTGGTAGCAAGGTGGTCTTGCTGGAGCCAAGCAGCAGTGTGGTTTCAGTGCTCTACCTGAACTTGTGCCAAGAAAGCCTGTGTCTCTGGCCGTTAGTAGAGGCTTGAATTCTCTAACAAATCTCTTTCCACCTCAAATGACCTAGAGTAAATTCTATTGTTTGCAGTTAAGAACTTTGTGACCCAGACAGTGACTGTGACCTATTCCTGTCTGTGTGCCTTCCAGTGACCAGCAGGGTGCCTGGTGCAAAGCAGCTGCCCAGAACAGGATTTCACCTGGGTTATCTCAGGTATTCCCAAGTAGAAAGTATCCTGGCAAGACCAACCCATATCACTGCTGAAATGAGCTCATCTACTGCTCCCCAGGGGTTGAGAAAGGGATGCTCAGAGCAGGTGTGGCCAGCTGCCCACAGGGAGGAAGGCAAATGAAATGAGCAGTGCTCTCCGGGTGTGTGACAGCCAGCTCTGTCCAAACCTGCCTGATCAGTTTTCAGTGTTGATCCTACCTCAACTGTCATCCTTATAGATGGAACCAACTTAATTTCTTTTAATTATTTATTTTTCTTTTTATTTATTTTAATTTTTTTTAAAGACATAGTCTTGCTCTGCTGCTCAGGCTGGAGTGCAGTGGCACCATTATAGCTCACTGTTACCTCCAATTCCTAGATTCAATTGATCCTCCCACCTAAGCCTCCCAAGTAGGTGGGACTACAGGAGCGTGCCACCACACCCAGCTAATTTTTAGATTTTTTTTGTAGAGACAGGGTCTTGCTATGCTGCCCAGCCTGGTCTTGAACTCCTGGGCTCAAGTGATGCTCCTGCCTCCTCCTCCCAAAGTGTTGGGATTACAGGCATAAGCCACCATGCCCAGGCTGATTATCATTTTAATGGCTACATTTTATTCCATGGAATGATATGGACCATCATTTATTTGGTCAGGTACCTCTTGTTGAACACTCAGGTTGTTTCTGACTTTTTTTTCTATAATTAGAAACACTGGGCTGGGCATGGTGGCTCACACCTGTAATCCCAGCACTTTGGGAGGCCGAGACGGGCGGATCACGAGGTCAGGAGATCGAGACCATCCTGGCTAACATGGTGAAACCCCGTCTCTACTAAAAATACAAAAAAATTAGCCGGGCGTCATGGCGGGCGCCTGTAGTCCCAGCTACTCGGAAGGCTGACGCAGGAGAATGGCGTGAACCCGGAAGGCGGAGCTTGCAGTGAGCGGAGATCGCGCCACTGCACTCCAGCCTGGGCGAGAGAGCGAGACTCTGTCTCAAAAAAAAAAAAAAGAAACGCTGTTGAAATCCAGGTCCTTCAGATAAAAATTTCCCACACTTATACTAATTTCTTTAAGATAAATTCATAGAGGCCGGGTGAGGTGGCTCGCACCTGTAATCCCAGCACTTTGGAAGGACGAGGTGGGTGGATCACGTGAGGTCACGAGTTCGAGACCAGCCTGACCAACATGGAGAAACCCCGTCTCTACTAAAAATACAAAATTAGCCGGGCGTGGTGGAGCATGCCTGTAATCCCAGCTACTCCGGAGGGTGAGGCAGGAGAATCACTTGAAACCGGGAGACGAAGGTTGCTGTGAGCTGAGATCACGCCATTGCACTCCAACCTGGGCAACAAGAGCGAAACTCCATCTCAAAAAAAAAAAAAATCACAAAGGTAGAATTTCTGGGTAAAAGAAAATTATAATTCTCTTAGATTATCACCTGTTACTATGATATGTGGGAAATGCTTTGTCTTAATTTATTTTTCTTTGCTAATTGGCAAGATTAGACCTTTTTTTTTTTTTTTTTTTTTTTTTTTGAGACGGAGTCTCGCTCTGTCTCCCAGGCTGCAGTGCAATGGTGCAATTTCAGCTCAGTACAAGCTCCACCTTCCAGGTTCACGCCCTTCTCCTGCCTCAGCCTCCCGAGTAGCTGGAACTACAGGCACCCTCCATCACACCCGGCTAATTTTTTGTATTTTTAATAGAGACGGGGTTTCACCATGTTAGTCAGGATGGTCTTGATCTCCTGACCTCGTGATCTGCCCCCCTCGGGCTTCCAAAGTGCTGGGATTACAGGCGTGAGCCACCGTGCACAGCCTAGACCTTTTTTTGTATATGTATTGACCAATTGTTTTTCTTCTTTTGTGAGTACCCTGTTCACTCATGTCCTTTAGCTATTTTTCTGTTTGGGTTATTTATATTTTTCTTCTGGATTAGTTAAGGCTTCTAATATTAAAGATATTAATCTTCAAGTGTCACACATGTTAAAATATTTCCCTGATTTTTTTCATGGTCAGCACACCCATTCTGGAGTTAGAACTAAGGAATGAGAAATTTTCCTCATTTATATTTTTACCTCTCAAATGATATGTTTTGACATGTAGAGATTTTAAACTTTAACTGACTACAGCCACACTATCCCCACCTGTGGGTCAGCACTACAAGCCCCAAAGAACACCTCAAGATCCATGGAGTCACACAGCCCTTGGGCTGATGCTGTGGCAGGAGCTGCCATTCATTTCCAGGGTTTTTTGTTTTGTTTTGTTTTTTGTTTTTTTCTGAGACAGAGTCTTGCTCTGTCGCCCAGGATGGAGTGCAGTGCTGCAATCTCAGCTCACTGCAACCTCCACCTCCCGGGCACAAGCGATTCTTGTGCTTCAGCCTTCCCAGTAGCTGGGGCTATAGGCATGCACCACCATGCCTGGCTAATTTTTGTATTTTTAGTAGAGACAGGGTTTCACCATTGCCCAGGTTGGTCTTGAACGCCTGACCTCAAGTGATCTGCCTGCCTTGGTCTCCCAAAGTGCTGGGATTACAAGCATGGGCCACCGTGCCCTGCCATCATTCCCAGTGTTAAAAGAACGTTAGACAAATTAAATTTAACAGAGTTTGATTGAGCAAAGAACCATTTGTGTGAATCAGGCAGCCCCCAGGCAAAAATAAGTTCAGAGAGACTCCTGCACTGCCTCATAGTCAAAGATTTATGGACAGAAAAAGGAAAGTGATGTACAGAAACTGGAAGTGAGGTACAGAAACAGACGGATTGGTGATGGCATGGTGCTTGGCTTATTTGAGTCCAGTTTCAACAGCTGGCCGCCTGTGAGTGGTTGAAGTCTGGCTGCTGTGATTAACTGAGACTCGGCTACTTGGTACGAGAGTAGGTGACAGCCTGTTTACACGTGCAGTTAGCTTACAGTTCACTATGTACAGAGAAACCATTAGGGTGAATTTAAAATATGTAAGGAGAAGGCTTTAGGCTAAACTTGATTTAACACCAGGATCGGTGGGGTCTCCCCTTACCAGTCTTCAAGCTGATGACTTATCTCTCATCCACTTCCTCTCCCATCGTGCTCTAGAGCCTTTCCAAACCATGATCTCTTCTCTTAAACCTCTCACCCAACTGCCTACTTCATACGCAGAACACAATCTTATTTCGTATCTCACAGAGACCAGAGGTGAAAACTGCACCCCCACCCCTACCCTGCACATTGCCCTCCACCGGCTCCTGTTCTTTCCACTTTCCCTCTGGGTCCCTTCCTCACCCCAAATACGCAATACGGATCCCATTCCCCTCCCCATCGGCCCCCATTCCTTCCCAGGGACCCCTCCATAAAAGCCAGCCTCCCCAAGACAAGCAGGCATGAAGGGACAGATGGAAAAGTGTTCAGTGTTCGAGGACTGCCCAATTCCCAGCCTGGCATAAGCCAGCCTCCCTGAGGGTCCACTTATACCCTGGCAATTTTACTTTGTAGAGCCCAATCTTTGTGATACCCTGTGGCAGGACCCGTTTTGGTATTCGTCAGGATTCTGTTCTGTTGGAAACCGAACTAAAATGAGCATGGGCAAAAAGAGACGTTTTCAGCTCAAGTGTTAAGTCCAGAGGTGGACCAGCTTCTGGACTGCGGGGCTTAGTCTAGGACAGACATTATGAGAGTTTTCACTCTGCAGAAACCAGAAAGACAGACTCTGCCCCCACCCATGGATTCATTTCTGCATAATCTCTTGCTTCAAAAATACAATAAGACAAATTCTCCATGCCAAAGGATGCAGTAGAGGGTCTTTTTACAGCAACAGAAATGCTGTAGGATGAACCCCCTATATGGAGTGAGGGTGACGGTGGGATAGAGATCCTGGATATCCAGGCAAAGAACTGGGTTGGAAAAGGAAGCCACTAATAGAATAGCGAGAAAGAACACTGTAAATGCTGTGAGCCACAGCTACTCTGGATACAGTGTCACAAGAGTGCACTGGAATGCATTGAGGCTGACAAGCCAGGGACCAGGAAGACTGCTGGTGAATAATCTTTCTGGTTTTCTGTAAGGAACTTGGAAAGCTTATCCAGAGAGGTGTGAAAACAGCAGAAAAAACACTGGGACAAAGAAACGGGGCAAAAGCAAACATGTTCCAGATTAGCCGCTGAGAAACCTAAGAAACAAAACCAGGTTTTGTCCCAGAGAAAAGGGAGACTTGGGCATCCCCTTGGAGGCCCGGAAGCTTCTTGTTTGTCAAGTGGATTAAAGGGTATTTGGTCAAGGATTGTGTGTTTACAGCTTAAAGCAACTATGCACAGAACCCAGGAACTACCTGCCTCTCACGCTTTCAATGGATTGTCCCAGAGACTGCTCCCTTTTGTGAAGCTGATGTTTGTCTTGTGTTGAATGTAACACAGTCACAAGGAGGCTACCGTGACAGGGAGCTTGTATTTTCTTTCTGGATGTGGTATTCAAAGTGTTGAACAACCAGTATGGCTCAACCACTGACCCTTCAGTTCAGCTGCCAGAAGTCAGTCTGGGGGACCCTACTGTGCGAGGCTCTATTCCTTCTGTTTCTGGATGATGTTGAGGTCTGGAGGGGCCAGGATCCAACATGCTGAGTGGGGGCACTCAGGAGTGTTGGGCAGCAGCCACGTACCCACCAGTATATCTGAACTGATCTATACCAGCATCACAGGCCCTTATTCTCCTCATAGAGCACATGCTAAGTAAATGCAGCCACTGAATCAGACAGAAGAACGCCAGCCAGCAACCTTCTGTCCTTACCATGAGCAGTGCCTTCCAGAACCACCCCAGGGTGGAGGGCTGAGAGGTGGGAAGGGAGCTGGAGCCTCTCATGTCCACACATGCATTACCTCAGGGATTTCCCAGCAACACAACAAAACAGGCCTTCTCTCGCCCACTTTACCAGTGGGGCATTGAGGTTTCAGGATGGAAACAACTATTCAGGGTTTTCAGATGGTGAGAAAGAGTGAGAATTTAAACCCAGGCCTGAGATGAAGCAGGGACCTGTGCCACCACCCCGAACGCCACCATCAAGCATGGAAATAAAGGAAAATCTTGAGTGCCTTCAAGGGAAATTTCAGGCATCCAGCTAGCCCTGAGAAGTAAGTAAGTAACTTGTTAGGCAGGAAGGTAATAGTAGCCCAAAACAATAGCCAAGGAAGTTAGAGTCCGGAGATGTTTAGTTTTAGGAACTAAAGATAACATCTTAACACACGTCCTTGAGTTTGTCATTCAGAAACCTGGACCTCCATGTGGACCCCCACCAAACGGATCTGCTGGCCTGCAGACCTCAGATAGAGGGAGCTGAGGACTGCACTCTGACCACCTTCTTTCATTCTAAATTTCTTCCGGAGGCTCCTGAAAGCCACACCCATGAGCTAAAGCTAATATTCTTTTCTGTTAACCCTGAATTTTCAGGCAAGGCATCGCCTCCTGAACCAACTACAAATCAAAGAATCTCTGAATCCACCTATGACCTGTAAGCCCCTGCTTCAAGATATCTCACCTTTTTTAGGCCAAACCAATGTGTACCCTTCATGTACTGATTTACAATTTTATCTAACTTCTGCTGCTTTCCTGAAAATTTACCCCGCCTTTAAAAACCCTTACCTGTGTGAAAGGAAACTATGTTGGCCCTCCCAAATCACTAAGTTAAAGAGAAAATTCAAGCTGGGAACTGCTTAGGGCAAATCTGCCTCGCATTCTATTCAAAGTCATCCCTCTGCTCACTGAGATAAATGCATATCTGATTGCCTCCTTTGGAAAGGCTAATCAGAAACTCAAAAGAATGCAACCGTTTGTCTCTCACCTATCTGTGATCTGGAAGCCCACTGCCTGCTTCAAGTTGTCCTGCCTTTCCAGACCAAACCAATGTTCATTTTACATATGTTGATTGATGGCTCATGTCTCCCTAAAAGGTATAAAACCAAGCTGTGCTCTGACCACCTTGGGCACATGTCGTCAGAACCTCCTGAGGGTGTGTCACGGGGGCATGTCCTCAACCTTGGCAAAATAAACTTTCTAAATTGACACTTGTCTCAGATTTTCAGGGTTCACATCTGCCAGCCATCAGAGAGTTCAGGTTTTGAGCATGCGCTGCCTGGTCCCCCTTGCTCAGGGCTCTGTGAATAAACACCTTCCTTTCTAGTGCTGCAACTTCAGTGTGGATATCTGGACTTAACTGCACTGGGCAAGCCGACCCCAATTTGTCAAGCACGTCCATGTGAAGAAACCACCAAACAGGCTTTGTATGAGGAATAAAACTTTTAATTCACTTGGGTGCAGGTGGGCTGAGTCCGAAAAGAGTCAGCAAAGGGAGATGGGGAAGGGATTGCTTTATAGGAGTTGGGTAGGTAATGGAAAGTTACAGTAAAACGTGGTTATCTATTGTTAGCAGAGGAGGGGGTCACAAGGTACATAGTGGGGAGATCATAAGACTCATTGTCCAGAAGAAGAATGTCACAAAGTTGGTTGATCAGCTAAGGTAGGGCAGGGACAAGTCACAATGGTAAAATGTTGTAATTTTGGTTACTCAGTTAAGGCAGGAACTGGCTGTTTTACTTTGTGGGTTTTTTGGCTGCTCCAGACTTCTTGGTTCCTGCAGGCCATCTGGACATATATGTGCAGGTCACAGGGGTTATAATAGCTGAGCTTCAGCTCAGAGGCCTGACACAATTCAGTTATATAATAGTCCTAATGACCCAAAAGCCAGTACTCTCTTTTTTTTTTTTTTTTTTTTTTTTTTGAGATGGAGTCTCGCGCTGTCGCCCGGGCTGGAGTGCAGTGGCGCTATCTCAGCTCACTGCAACCTCCGCCTCCTGGGTTCAAGTGATTCTCCTGCCTCAGCCTCCTGCGTAGCTGGGATTACAGGTACATGCCACCATGCCCAGCTAATTTCTGTATTTTTTTTTTAGTAGAGATGGGGTTTCACCATGTTGGCCAGGCTGGTCACAAACTCCTGACCTCAAATGATCTGCCACCTCGGCCTCCCAAAGTGCTGGGATTACAGGCGTGAGCCACCACGCCCAGCCAAGCCCCTGCTCTCTTTACAGCCAGGGCTGCCTCCCTCACACACCTGCCCAAAGGGCTGGCAGCATCTGCACTCAAGTGAAGAGATCTAAGCACCTTTGAGCCCCAGAGCAGCAGGTGGGGGCTACCACCAGCATGGGGCCTTTCATGCGGGAGATCCCACAGCCCTTCTCCTTCCCCTTCCTCCTCCCTTGACAATGTGTTCAGGTCTCCCACAGCCTTTGGCACCAAGAAATTCCAATAGATGTTAACCAGCCTGGTAATTTAGTACAGCGTTAGCACCAAGTCGCCAAGGTTGAGGATATGCTACCGTGACACACCCTCAGGAGGTTCTGACAACATGTGCCCAAGGTAGTCAGAGCACAGCTTGGTTTTATACCTTTTAGGGAGACATGAGCCATCACTCAACATATGTAAAATGAACACTGGTTCAGTCTGGAAAGGCAGGACAATGTGAAGCAGGCAGGGGGCTTCCAGATCACATATGTGAGAGACAAACGGTGCTATTTCCAAATATTTCCAAACTACTCTCTTTTCCAGCTACTCACCAGGAGGAAAGTAAATGCCTGTCAGACATGGTTACTAATCACCGCCGGTGGGTGGGATGAAAAGGAGCTTACTGATGACTGGCCAGGTGCTCACCCTCACCAGGTCTCAGATTCCTCTTTGGCTAATGAGGGAGTCAATTCTCTATTGGGGGTAGCAAGTTCAAATGCTCGGGGCAAGTCAGGTAACACAACCCAGTGAAGCAGGTATGATGTTTGTATATGAAGTACTTATGAGCCTCACTTTCCTAAGTAAATAGGCTTTCTCCTATTTTCCTTGAAATGCATACCACTGCCAGTCTGTTTCTCTTTATCCCAATTTTGACAGAGACATATGTATAAAAAATACATTTTTAGGCCAGGAGTAGTGGCTTATACCTATAATCCCAGAACTTTGGGAGGCCCAGGTAGGAGGATTGCTTGAGGCCAGAAATTCAAGAGCAGCCTGGACAACACAGTGAGAACTCCATCTCTACAAAATAAAAAAATTAGCCAAATTGGAGGCAAAGGCGGGTGGATGGCCTGAGGTCAGGAGTTCAAAACCAGCCTGATCAACATGGTGAAACCCCATCACTACTAAAAATACAAAATTAGGCAGGGCATGGTGGCTCATAACTGTAATCCCAGCACGTTGGGAGGCCGAGACGGGTGGATCATGAGGTCAGGAGATCGAGATCATCCTGGCTAACGTGGTGAAACCCCGTCTCTACTAAAAATACAAAAAAAGTTAGGTGTGGTCGCGGGTGCCTGTAGTCCCAGCTATTCAGGAGGCTGAAGTAGGAGAATGGCGTGAACCCGGGAGGCGGAGCTTGCAGTGAGCCAAGATCACGTTACTGCACTCCCGCCTGGGTGACAGAGCAAGACTTTGTCTCAAAAAAAAAAAAAAAAAAAAAATTAGCCAGGTCTGGTGGTGCATACCTGTAATCCCAGCTACTTGGGAGGCAGGAGCATCACCTGAACCTGGGAGGTGGAGGTTGCAATGGGCCGAGATCATGCCATTGCACTCCCGCCTGGGCAACAAGAGCAAAACTCCACCTCAAAAAGACAGGACAGGACACGACACGACACAATAAGACGAGAAGAAATATTATGTCTTTCACAAAAATCTTTCAGAAAATAAAAAAGGATAGATCATGTTCCAACTCCTTTAATGAGGCCAGTGTTACCCCAATATCAAAGCTAAACAAACACACCAAAATAAACAAAAATTATAGAACAATATCTCTCATGAATAGAGATGCAAACATACTCAATAAGATATTAGCAAACAAAAATCCATCAACATGTACAAAAGATTATACACCATGACCAAGTATGATTTATCCCAGAAATGCAAGGTTGGTGTGACATCCAAAAATCAAGTAATGCTTTCTCTAGTATATGGTGAGGTTTTTAAAATTAATTAATTAAAAACAACAAAACCTCAAAATCAGTGAATGTAATGTACTAGATTAATAGACTAAAATACATCACATTGTCATTTCAATAGATACAGAAGCATTTGACAATAGCCAACATACATTCGTGGTAAAAACTCTCAACAAACTAGGAATAAAAGTAAACTTCTTCAATCTGATAGAGGGCAACTACAGACAACCTACAGTTAATGTACTTAATGATGAAAGACAGAATGTTTCCCACTCAAGATTAGGAAACAGGCAAGAATGTCTACTCTTACCACTTCCATTCAACATTGTACTACTGGTCATAGCCAGGGCAACTTAAAAAGGGGGTAGAGGGAGAAAGAGAGAGAAAGGTAAATTAAAGACATCTAGAATGAAAAGAAAAAAGTAAAACTGTGTTTATTTGTAGACCACATGATCTGTATGCAGAAAATCCCAAGTAATCTATCAAAAAATTTTACTGGAATTAATAAATGAGTTTAGCAAACAAGGTTCAAGTATATAAGGCCGATATGTAAAAATCAATTGTATTTCTACATACTAGTAATAAACAATGTGAAAATGAAATTAAGGAAACAAAATTTCATTCACAGTAACACCTAAAAGAATAAAATACTTAGAAATGAGTTTAATGAAAGAAATGCAAGACTTACAATAAAAACTATAAAACTTTGCTCAGAGAAATTGAAGAAGTTCTAAATTAGAGGCAGCAAACTACAGTCCATGGCCCTGAACTGGCCCCCTGTTTGTTTTGTAAATAAAGTTTTATTGAAACACAATTTTTTTTTTTTTGAGATGGAGTTTTGCTCTTGTTGCCCAAGCTGGAGTGCAATGGTGTGATCTCAGCTCACTGCAACATCCACCTCCCAGGTTCAAGCGATTCTCCTGTCTCAGCCTCCCGAATAGTTGGAATTACAGGCGTGCGCCACTATGCCTGGCTATTTTTTTTGTATTTTTAGTAGTAACGGGGTTTCTCCATGTTAGCCAGCTGGTCTTGAACTCCTGACCTTAGGTAGTCCACCCGCCTCAGCCTCCCAAAGTGCTGGGATTACAAGCATGAGCCACCGCGCCGGGCCAACACTGCTTTTACACTACAAAGCAAAGTTGAATATAGCCCACAA
Source organism: Homo sapiens (assembly GCF_000001405.40). Lineage (NCBI taxonomy): Eukaryota > Metazoa > Chordata > Mammalia > Primates > Hominidae > Homo > Homo sapiens. The sequence continues at coordinate 46,058,446 of NC_000010.11, forward strand.
TACCACAAATATTTTTACTATCTGGTTCTTTGCAGAAAATTTGCTAATCCCTGATTTAAATAATCCCATGTTCATAGATTAAAAGACTCTATTGTTAAGATGACAGTCCTCCCCCAATTTATTGATAAATTTCTGCCAATTTAAAAAAAATTAATGTCGTTCCTAAGAAAGTGAGTCCATTCCAAATACTGCGAAATCAAGGGAAAAAATTAAAAAGTCAGTCCTGGCTGGGTGCAGTGGCTCACGCCTGTAATCCCAGCACTTGGGAGGCCGAGGCAGGTGGATCACCTGAGTTCAGGTGTTCAAGACCAGCCTGGCCAACATGGTGAAACAGTGACTCTACTAAAAATACAAAAATTATCTGGGCATGGTGGCATCTGCCTGTAATCCCAGCTACTAGGGAGGCTGAGGCAGGAGAATCGCTTGAACTTGGGAGGCGGAGGTTGCAGTGAGCCAAGATTGTGCCACCACACTCCAGCCTGGATGACAGAGTGAGACTTGGTCTCAAAAACAAAAACAAAAAAAATAGTCCAGCAGGTTTTTGTGGAAATTGATAAGCTTTTGCTAAAATTTATATAGAAAAGCGAATGACCTAGGATAGCCTAAATATTCTGAAAAAGAACAAAGCTAAAAAAAAAACTTACACTATCCAATTTCAACACTTGCTATTGTTAAAGAAAAATTTTGCACCAGACACTTGTCAAAAATGTCAAGACAGATTTTATTCAGACTACTGTGGCAGGGAAGAGACACTTCAGCATTAACTGAGCTCAATTCTACCAAACCAGAAGGCAAGAGGCTTTTTAAATGCTAGGATGTGTTAAGGGAAAAGTACTGAAGGATGCTAGTTGAGGGGAGGGAGGTTTGGTCAATGAGTACACTGACCAGATTGTGAACTTGTGCTTATCAAATTGTGAACTGGTGCTTATCAATATCAGGGTCCTACCCTACCACCAAGATTGGGAGACAGAGGCTCTGTCCTACCTAATGATTACATTTCGAAAGGATGGCTCCCAGGTCCTTGGGAAAGACATTCCTGTGTTATAGAAGATACATTTCCAAGAGACAGAGAAAGGATTTCTAACTGCCAGTTTTCTAAAGTAAATCCTTTAGGAAAAGGGGGTTCGGGGGCCTATATTCAGGTTTTGCCTGGAACAAATCATAAATTCTTTGGGCAGCATTGAATTTTATTAGGCAGAAACTTAAGGGGGCTGAAGTCATCATCCTAAGGATGTGGCCATGAACTGTTAGAAACAACAGTGTTTGTTGAAGTCTCTTAGTGCCAGAGGTGGATGAAATCATTTGTGCTGAGAGTCTGCAGTTTGCTTTTTTATTTATATTTTATTTTTTATTATTTATCTTTTTTTTTTTTTTTTTGAGACAGGGTTTTACTCTTGTTGCCCAGGCTGGACCCAGGCTGGAGTGCAGTGGCGCCATCTCGGCTCACTGCAAGCTCTGCCTCCCGGGTTCACGCCATTCTCCTGCCTCAGCCTCCTGAGTAGCTGGGACTACAGGCGCCTGCCACCACGCCCGGCTAATTTTTTTTGTATTTTTAGTAGAGACGGGGTTTCACCACGTTAATCAGGATGGTCTCGATCTCCTGACCTCATGATCCACCCACCTCGGCCTCCCAAAGTGCTGGGATTACAGGCATGAGCCACTGCGCCCGGCCCATTTTTTTTTTTTTTTTAAGTATAACATATCTCTATTAAGTTGAATAGAAACACTAACAAAGACTAGTATGCATAGTGATTATAGATGTAGACAGATAAAAAAGAAAAAGGGATACAAGGGCGCATTGAATTTATGACAATATTGTCTCAGTACCACAGCAGGAGCCAACTCACCCCAGGGCTGGCTTCCCAAGACCAGCTCCGGGAAGCCTGATCTGCTCAGCCTTGATTACTGGTTGACCGGGACTGGGGATCCAGCTGGCAGGACAGGCTGTAGCTCTCACCCTCACTGGGCTGCTCTCTGACCCAGAACCAGGCCCCCAGTTCCTCCCCAGGATGAAGGCTGTAATGATTTGCAGCCACCTGAGCAGCTGGGTCTCCTTTTCTGGGAGTCCATCATATTCTCATCCACATTACCATTCATCGCAGTGTCCAGCATCACCAGGTCGGTGAGGAATGTGCCAAGGACAGGGACAATTCCCTTCTTCTGCTGCTGCCACCTTGCATGGGCTCTGTGGGGGCTTGCCTCCAGGGTGGCCGACTTGGAGGTCCCCACACTGATGAGCAGATCCCTGTTCGGTGGCTTGTCTTTGCTGCACAGCTTTGGACATTTTTCTGTTGCTTTATCTTGGCCACTCAGAGCAGAGCAGCCACAACCCCCCACCCCACAGTGCCTGGGCCAAAGTGGCCCAGGTTAGGGTCCTTGAAAGACGAGACACCAGAGAGTTCCCTCTCCTTCTCTTTCCCTCTGTCCCCCACACCCTCTTTCCAGGAGCACAAAGAGGTCATGTGAGCACGCAGTGGGAGGGTGGCCACATGTGAGCCAAGAGAGGGGCCTCAGAATGAAGCCTGCCTTTCCTGCACCTTGATCGTGGACTTCCAGCCCCCAGAACTGTGAGAAATGAATTTCTGTTACTTAAGCCTCCCAGTCTGTGGTATTTTGTTATGGCAGCCTGAGCCAACTAATACAACAGGAAAGAAACATTCCAATCTCCGTAAATTCATTTTTAAGTTCATTAATGTTTAAAGTGATTAACAGTGGGTACACTTTGTAAACCATCAAGATCTCATACAGTCATATTTTATGATTCCCCATAATTAGTTGGTCATGGTTTGTAACTCCTGACAAACATTGTTTTTAGTTTTAGAGAGTTTTTATCCTTTTACATTGAATAAAAGAAAAATACAACAGAGGGAAAGTTGTCGCTTAATAGACCAGAGTCAGGTTCCGTCTAATTTGCCCCTTGCCTCGGATTGATTAGTTAGTCTCATTTTTGCCTTGCCTCGGGTTGATTAGTTAGTACATGAACTTTCTGCTCAGTTTCCTGGGCTTAGATATTCTGTATCCTCAACACAGAGAGGTGATTCACAATATTTGGCTTGAACAAAAATACTTTTAGGTCCAAGAGATTTGTTTTATACTGTATTCTTTCATTAAACTTTTCTTTTTATCTTTCCTTATGTATGTATTCATTTTATTAAAAAATTGAGATGAGGTGTCACTTGTTGCCCAGGCTGGTCTTGAACTTCTGGGCTAAAGTGATCCTCCTGCCTCAGCCTCCCAAAGTGCTGTATTATAGGCATGAGCTACCACACCCTGCCCATTAAACCTTTCTTAAAGAGTTTTATTTTCAAAGACAGGGCATTGATTGATTGATTGAGAGATGGGGTCTTTCTATGTTGCCCAGGCTGGTCTTGAACTCCTGGGCTGAAGCAATCCTCCTGCCTTGGCCTTCCAATGTTGAGATTACAGGCATGATCCACCATGCCCAGCTGGACAGGGCATTTTAAAATGCAAATGTGTACTGACCTCATTAGTAGGAGGATGCATTCTGGCACCCCGTTCTTCACCTGTCCCCCAATCCTTAAAAGGCCATACTGCATAAAGTCAACAACAGATAAATGTTTGCTGAATTAAAGGATGGATGAAAAAAATTAATAATGAATTTTTGCATAATCCAATTTTCTCTTTTATATTTCTAGAAGAAGTTTCTTTGAGCCTATTAGATCCCGGGAATCTTTTAGGTGAGCATGATTAGAGAGCTTGTAGGTTGCTTTTACATATATCTGGCATATTTGAGTCTCGTATCAAAACAATAGATTGGTAAAGGTGGTATTATTGTATTGATAAGTAAATAGTCTTGGAGGGAAAATGCAATTGATCTAAGTTTAGATATCCTCAATGGTCAGCATTCAGAAGTTTAAAGAGCATAGGCTAAGTTCATCAGACATAACTGGGCTCAAATCTTGGCTCTGCCACATACGACCTTTGACAGGTAACAACCTTTTTGCACCTGTTTCCTCATTTGTAAACTGGGTACATTTGTGGCTAGTCCTCAGGCTTGTTGAAATTAAAACAATACAGGTAAAACTCCAACTCACTGCACGCTATACATATCACATTTCTTTCTTTTCGTTCCGACTGTAAGTCCAATGTCTTTCCCAGAGTATCAAAGGGCCTGTCTAAGGGATGCATCTGACAGGTTGCACCAAACAAACTTGTGTATGTCAACAGCTGGGAAACTTTGACTTTCACAAGAATGTCACAGCAAATGGACACACACACACAAACAAGGATGTGCATCTTTGTGTAGGCAAGTGTACTCAAGAAGGCAGGCAGGGGAAGCAATATTCTGTTTCTCAAGTTTTAAGCAACCTAAGGCAGAGTTTCCAGTACAGGAAGAGAACTTGGGAGATGAATTCAAGTCTGTGAAGCCTTCGGCTAGCTTACATAACAATGAGTTAAACATGTACAGTGCTTTACAGCTTCCTCTCCATTGCCTTTTTGTTTTTGTTCTGTAGGGTGATTACACCCACTGTGCAGATGGGCATGCTGAATGACCTTTAAGGTGCTAGTTAATTACGAACTCAACTCTAGTTCTCCTTTTTTCAAAATCAGATTTCCTCTCAAATCCCATCCTGCTTCTCCATTCTATTAAAGTGCCTGGAGATCTCCTTCCCTCACACTGTTTAAAATCATGCCTCAGATCTCACCACAGGGAAATGAAGACTTCACAATCCCTAAGATCCAGCCAACACTCCTGAAATCTGGGGTAGATACCAAGAAACGATCCACAAAATTCGGGAGAAGTGAAAATGGTATTAGAAAGGAAACTTTCCCTTTTCACAAGATGGCGCCGAAAGTGAAGAAGGAAGCTCCTGCCCCTCCTAAAGCCGAAACCAAAGCGAAGGATTTAAAGGCCAAGAAGACAGTGTTGAAAGGTGTCCACAGCCACACAAAAAAAGAAGATCCGTACGTCACCCACCTTCCGGCGGCCCAAGACGCTGCAACTCCCGAGGCAGCCCAAATATCTTTGGAAGAGCGCTCCCAGGAGATACAAGCTTGACCACTACGCTATCATCAAGTTTCCGCTGACCACTGAGTCACCACGAAGAAGATAGAAGACAACAACACACTTGTGTTCATTGTGGATGTTAAAGCCAACAAGCACCAGATCAAACAGGCTGTGAAGAAGTTCTAAGACATTGATGTGGCCAAGGTCAACACCGTGATTTGGCCTGATGGAGAGAAGAAGGAATATGTTTCACTGGCTCCTGATTACGATGCTCTGGATGTTGCCAACAAAATTGGAATAATCTAAACTGAGCCCAGCTGGCTAATTCTAAATATGTGTATATCTTTTCACCATTAAAAAAAAAAAAGGAAACTTTCTCGGCCAGGTGCGGTGGCTCATACCTGTAATCCCAGCACTTTGGGAGGCTGAGGTGGGTGGATCACCTGAGGTCAGGAGTTCAAGACCAGCCTGACCAACATAGTGAAACCCCGTCTCTACTAAATACAAAAAATTAGCCAGGTGTGGTGGTGGGCACCAGTAATCCCAGCTACTTGGGAGGCTGAGGCAAGAGAATCGCTTGAAACTAGGAGGCAGACGTTGCATTGAGCCAAGATTGTACCACTGCACTCCAGCCTGGGTGATAGAGCGAGACTCCGACTCAAAAAAAAAAAAAAAAGGAAACTTTCTCTGCCAGAAAAAGCTCCTGCTTGTTGTATTTGTTGTGCCATAAACATGCCTTGGGTGAAGACGCAGCCTCTGTTTCTCCGGGGTTAATCCCACACAGTTCCCTCAGCACAGCCACCCTTTTCTTCAATGCTCGCAAAGTTCCATTCCTTCCTTGCCTGAGCACACAGCCCATCATAGGATCTAGCCCTCTTTTGCCTTCTCCAGTCATCTTTACCTTCCCACCTGCCACACTACCAGAAAAATAAAATAAAGTAAAATGTCAATAAAGACATTTCTTTATCTGGCTTGTCTTAAAGTCAAAAGGAGGAGGGACTAAGGCAGGATCAATATTTAGTTTGTCCTACAGTCAAAAGGAAGAGGAATTAAGGCAGATAAATATTTAATTTGTTCAACATTAAAAGGAGGAGTGATTAAGGTAGATAAATAAGGATAATATTTCAGGCAGATAAACATGAAATCCTGTGTTTATTTCCCCCAGACTAACTGCACAATAATGGGCTGGTGTCCACAGGATTAGTCAACAAGGTTTGCCCTGTCCTTCCACCCTACTCTCCCACTTGGTGCCCCTGGGCTCAGGGAGAGTGTTTTCTGAAGAGATTCCCAAAGGAATGCCCTAGGCTGGGCACTGTGACTCATGCCTGTAATCCTACCACTTTGGGAGGCCGAGGCAGGAGGATTGCTTGAACTCAGGAGTTGGAGACCAGCCTGGGCAATATGGCGAAACCCTATCTCTATAAAAAATACAAAAATTAGCCGGGGGTGGTGGCACATACCTTTAGTCCCAGATACTCAGGAGGCTGAGGTGGGAACATCACTTGAGCCTGGGAGGTTGAGGCTCCAATGGAGCCATGACTGCATCACTGCACTCTGGCCTGGGCAATAGAGTGAAACCCTGTCTCAAAAATAAGTAAAATAAAATATTTTTAAATGCAGAATTTAATCTAATCACAAGGAAACTGCAGACAAACCTATTTTACAAAGTAACTGGCCTAAACTCTTCAAAAATATCAAGGCCACTGAAGAGAGAGAAAGGTTGAGGAGCTGTTTCACATGAAAGGTAATTAAAGAAATCTGATGAGTAAATGTAATCTGTGATCCTGGACTTGAACATAGAATATTGGGACAACTGGTGAAGTTTGAATATGGACTATGGATTACATAATATTATTTTATCAACATTGAGTTTTCTGATTTTTGATAAATGTTCTGAGATCACATTAAAAAAAGTCCTTGTTCTCAGGAACTCCACATTGAAGTGTTCATAGATAAAGGGACATGATGAATGCAAATTACTTTCAAATTGTTTTAAAAAAAAGTGTATAAGTGTATATGCGTGGGGGTGAGGGGAGAGAGAGAGACAGATGCTGGGCACAGTGGCTCAAGCCTGTAATTTCAGCACTTTGGGAGGCCAGGCAGGCAGATTGCCTAAGCTCAGGAATTCAAGACCAGCCTGGGCAACAGGGCAAAACCCCATCTCTACAAAAAATACAAAAATTAGCCAGGTATGGTGGCGCATACCTATAGTCCCAACTACTTGCGGGGCTGAGGTGGGAGGATCTCTTGAGCCCAGGATATCAAGGCTGCAGTGAGCAGAGGTTGCACCACTGCACTTCAGCCTTAGAAAGAAAAAAAAAAGAGAGAGAGAGGTCAGACATGGTGGCTCAGGCCTGTAATCCCAGCACTTTGGAAGGCCGAAGTGGGCGGATCACAAGGTCAGGAGATCAAGACCATCCTGGCTAACACGGTGAAACCCCATCTCTACTAAAAGAAATACAAAAAATTTGCCGGGCGTGGTGGCGGGCTCCTGTAGTCCCAGCTACTCAGGAGAATGGTGTGAACTCGGGAGCCAAGATCACGCCACTGCACTCCAGCCTGGGCGACAGAGCAAGACTCCGTCTCAAAAAAAAAAAAAAAAGAGAGAGAAAGAGAGTGAGAGAGAGAGGAAATAATAGCTGAAATGGAGCAAAGTGTTAACGCTGGAAAATCTGGGTGAAGGGTATATAGTTTTTTGTTTTAACTATTCTGTAACTTTTCTGTACATGTGAAACTAGGTCAAAATTAAAAGTTTTTTAAGGGTCCTCTACTGGCCAAGAAGCACATAAAAAGATGTTCAATGGCCAGATGCAGTGGCTCACACCTGTAATCCCAGGACTTTGGGAGGCTGAGGCGGGCGGATGTCTTGAGGTCACGAGTTCGAGACCAGCCTGGTTAACATGATGAAACCCTGTCTCTACTAAAAAATACAAAAATTAGCTGGGCATAGTGGCAGGCACCTGTAATCCCAGCTACTCGGGAGGCTGAGGCAAGATAATTGTTTGAACCTGAGAGGCAGAGGTTGCAGTGAACTGAGATTGCACCTCTGCACTCCAGCCTGGGCAGCAAGAGTGAAACTCTGTCTCAAAAAAAAAAAAAAAAAAAAAAAAAAAGATGTTCAATATCATCAGGCATTCAGGAAAGTAGGGAAGTGCAAATCAAAATCACAATGAGCTACCACTTCACACTCACTGAGAAGACTACAGTCAAAAAGATAATAGCCAGCCGGCTGCGGTGGCTCTTGTCTGTAATCCCAGCACGTTGGGAGGCTGAGGCGGGCAGATTACCTGAGGTCAGGAGTTCGAGACCAGCCTGGCCAACATGATGAAACCCCGCCTCTACTAAAAATACAAAACTTAGCCTGGCGTGGTGGCACACACCTATAATCCCAGATACTTGGGAGGCTGAGGCAGGAGAATTACTTGAGCCCAGGAAGTGGAGGTTGCAGTGAGCCAAGATCGTGCCTCCGTACTCCAGCCTGGCCAATGAAGCAAGACTCTGTCTCAAAAAAAAAAAAAAAAAGATAGCCTATGTTGATGTGAAGGTGTAGATATTAGAACTGTATGGCAGTTCTTTAAAAGGTTAAACGTGGCCTGGCGCGGTGGCTCACGCCTGTAATCCCAGCACTTTGGGAGGCCTAGGCTGGCGGATCACGGGGTCAGGAGATCGAGACCATGGTGAAACCCCGTCTCTACTAAAAATACAAAAAATTAGCCAGGCTTGGTGGCAGGCGCCTGTAGTCCCAGCTACTTGAGAGGCTGAGGCAGAAGAATGGCGTGAACCCGGAAGGCGGAGCTTGCAGTGAGCTGAGATCACGCCACTGCACTACAGCCTGGGCGACAGAGCAAGACTCCGTCTCAAAAAAAAAAAAGGTTAAATGTGCAGTTACATTTAACCCAGTAATTCTATTCCTAGGCATACACCCAAGAGAATTAAAAACAGATACAAAAACACATACTTGTACACAATTATTCATCGCAGCATTATTCACAATAGCCAAAAGGTGGAAACCATCCACATGTCCGTGAATGAACAGGAAAATGTGATCTAACTATACAATAGAATATTATTCAGTAATAAAAAGCAAAGAAGTACTGATACATGCTATCACATGGGTAAACTTTGAAACTTTGAAACTTTGAAAACATGATGCTAAGTGAAAGAAGGAAGCACAAAAGACCACACATCATAGGATTCCATTTATATGAAATGTCCAGAATAGGCCAAAATATAAAGACAGAAAGTAGATTAGTGGTTGCCTAGGGCTGGGGAGGATGGAGAATAGCAGGGTTATATTTAAAGGATATAGAGTGTCCTTTTGGGAGAGATTAAATATTCTAAAATTGATTGTGGCAATAGTTGAACAATTGTGAATATATTAAAAATCACCGAGGTGCAAGGTTAATTGTATGGTATGTGAATTCTATCTCAACAAAGCTATTACTCAAAAAGTGTTGTTTTTAAAATTTTTTTCCTCTTGAACTCCCATAATTCCACCAAAAAGTGTTCTTGTTTGTTCTCCAAAGCGTTCCAGTTTGTATAATAAATTGTATGATCACTCTACTTAAGTTTTATATAGGACTCAAAAGCAAGCCTGATTTGATAATGGAGTTTTGCTCTTGCAATAGAAAAAGGATATGAAGGAGGGGAATTTTCTTTCAGAGAAGAAGTGGAAAGCCTGGCTCTTTTGGCCTGGAGGAGTCAAGAAAGGAGAAAACAGCAGCATTAACAATAACAAAGTATCAATAAAAAGAATAACAATAGCAAACTTCTATTGGGTGCTTACTCTGTGCCAGCATAGTGCTAACTGCTTACATAAATAATCTCCTTTGATCCTTACAGTATCCCTATGAGGGATTCAGACCTTGCATCCTTTCCCATTGTCCATGCTCCTCGGGGAAGCAGTGGTCAAACAGTGGTTCCTAATCTCCCCTTTCTATTCCAAAGTCCCAAAGGGGGAAGTGGGTGGAGGACATGAGGTGATTACTCACAAGGTGCCCCCAATTTCCTTCTCCCCAGTAACCTCCTCCTGAAGAGGCTGGAAAACCAAATACTCTCTTTCTCAGCCTTCCTTGAGAATAGAATGTGACTTAGTTTTGACTGATTAGACGTAAATTTCCTCTAGAGCTTCTGGGGAAGACATTTTGTTTCAAATGAAAGGGACCAGCACAAAAGAAACGCTGCCTGCGCTCGTTGGTCTCACCTATACATTCCTTAAACACAAACGTGATGGGTGGAGCTGAGGCAGCCATTTTATGATGATTAGCTGAAAAGGATAAGAAAAATAGGCCAAGTATAACAGAGGGACAACACAGAGAGGCTCTTAATGACCTCACGGAGTTGCCAAACCATTGATACCACCTGCTCCAGGACCTTATGAAAACCCTTATGGTTTATGTCACTGTTAGTTAGAGTTTCTGTTACTTGCAGCCAAAAACATTCCTAGTCAAAACAACATGTTAGATTAAAGGAAAGCCAACAACAAAGGGGCTCTGTCCATCTGAAGTCCTGGCAGGGTTTTCTGCTGGGGGCCTGCAGCAAGCTGGAGATGAAAGCACAGCAATGGCAGAGAGCAGTGGCCGACACCAGAGCCCATGTGTGATGTGCTGGTGATGTTGAGGTTCCAAGTCCCCTGAGAGGCAGGGAGCACAGAATGTAGCTAACTCTGGCTGGAGCACTTGGCAAAGCAGGCCTTCCTGGAGGGGTGAAGTGGACCTCGCTGAACAGGAATAACAACCAGAACTCTAGGCAGCAGCATCACAAGACCACAGTGGGGCCAATTCACAGGGAAGACTACCAGCCTGAATGAGTCAAGACCAGACCACTAATTCACACCAAATACACCAAGATAAGGGGCCCAGGAACCCCAGCAAACTTGGCTCTCTGTAAGACCATCAAAGGCACTAGGGATCCCTGGCTTGTACTATTGGAATTGGACAAAGGAAGGAAGAGGCAAAGACAGAGGAACAATTGTGGATTTCTCTGGAAGAGATTGAGTCCTCCTGAAGAGGCTGTTTAAATTGGAAAAAAATGAGATTGGCAAGTGTAAAGTCCACTTTTGGCCGGGCGCAGTGGCTCACACCTGTAATCCCAACACTTTGGGAGGCCAAGGCAGGCGGATCACGAGGTCAGGAGATCGAGACCATCCTGGCTAACACAATGAAACCCCATCTCTGCTAAAAATACAAAAAATTAGCTGGGCGTGGTGGCGGGCACCTGTAGTCCCAGCTACTTGGGAGGCTGAGGCAGGAGAATGGCGTGAACCCGGGAGGCAGAGCTTGCAGTGAGCTGAGATTGGGCCACTGTAGTCCAGTTTGAGCGACAGAGCGAGACTCCATCTCAAAAAAAAAAAAAAAGAGTGAAGTCCACTTTCACCTTATACTTGCCCTGCTCCCCCTCTGGATGGAGGCTCATAAGATTAAATCCACCATAGAGGAATAAAGAAGTGTTCTGCTGGGTGCAGAAGAGCATGTGTGAGCTATGGTCTGGGTAATATTGGGCTCTGCTGCACAGTCTTCAGTCTTCGTAGACTTCTGTGAGTGCAGCCAGGCCAAAAGCAGGGGAGGGTTTCTCCTACTGGTCAAAATGAGTGTTTTCTGTTTGGGCTTTCCAATATAAGTGAGCTAGAGGCCCAGGTTAGAATAACAATAGCTTCACTTTTTAAAACTCTTGCACCCAGACATTGTGCTAGTTGCTTTGCACGTACAGCCTCATTCTAATCATCACAACAATCCAGGAAAGAAGAAATAACTGCCCCATTTCACAAACGAGGAAACTGAAGTTCAGAGAAATGAGTCGCACAGCTACTCTGTAGTGGAATTTAAACACTGATCTTCCAGATGCCACCACATGACAGAAACCATGCTTTATGAAGAATGGTGAGGGAAGTCGGCATGTGGACCCGGAGGGAAGACCTGTTGGGCTCACAGTATTCAGGTTTATCACATCATTATCACATCACATCACATCATTTATCATTCCATAGGAAGAGTTTGTTCTGGAGGTCTGCAAGGTAGAGGTATATGGGCAGCAACATTTTCAGTTATCACAAATTTTTTCTTTCCTTTCCTCTCATTCAGCCATGGAGTCAGATGCTCTAGTGCATTGGGGAGACAGGAAGCAAGGCAGAAAGCCTAGCTAGCTAGTAATGCTCCTTGGCTTTCATTTTTAAGGAGAATGAGAAAGTTTTCAGAAAAAGTCAAAGGGAGAAGAGTGCTCCAGGGAAGGATCAGTGGTGCTGAAAGGAAGCAGGATTGTGAATCCCAAGGAGAGCAGAGGGAAAGCTGGAATTCTCAGCAAAGGGGGATCTTAGCCTCTCTTTCCAGAGGCCCCTTTGGACATGGAAGGATCCCAGAGAGGAATGAGTGAGGGATGCATCCAGGAGATGAGACCAAAAGCCCCAGGGCTCTCACTTTTCTAAAGGAATCCTATGTCCCGGGATCTCGAGGAAGCAGCAAAGAGTCACTGGATACAAAAGGGACTATATGGGCAGAGACAACGAATATCTCTCCAGAAACACGAGGAGACAGAAGACGACATAGCAGCTGGATGTGCTGACTCACACTTGTAATCCCAGTACTTTGGTATGCCAAGGTGGGAGGATTGCTTGAGCCCAGGAGTTCAAGGCCAGCCTGGACAACATGGCAAAAGGTCATTTCTACAAAAAATAAAAAAATTAGCTAGGCATAATGGCTCGTGGCTACAGTCACAACTACTTGGGAGGCTAAGACATTAGAACCACTTGAAGCTGGAGATGGAGGTTGCAGTGAGCTGAGATAGTGCCGTTGCCCTCCAGCCTGGGCTTACAGAGTGAGACTCCGTCTCAAAAAAACCCCCAAAAACCCACAATGTGGTACTGATATAAAGATAGACATATAGACCAATGTAACAGAATAGAGAGCCCAGAAATAAACCCTTGTACATATGGTCAAATGATCTTTAGCAAGGGCACCAACATCTCACAATGGGAGAAGGACAGTCTCTTCAGCAAATGGTGTTGGGAAAACTATATCCACATGCAAAAAGAATAAAGTTGATAGCGGGGAATGGTGGTTCATGCCTGTAACCTCATATACAAAAATTAACTCGACACTTTGGGAGGCCGAGGCGGGTGGATCATGAGGTCAGGAGATCGAGACCATCCTGGCTAACAAGGTGAAACCCCGTCTCTACTAAAAATACAAAAAATTAGCCGGGCGTGGTGGCGGGCGCCTGTAGTCCCAGCTACTCGGGAGGCTGAGGCAGGAGAACGGCGTGAACCCGGAAAGCGGAGCTTGCAGTGAGCCGAGATTGCGCCACTGCAGTCCGCAGTCCGGCCTGGGCGACAGAGCGAGACTCCGTCTCAAAAAAAAAAAAAAAAAAAATAACTCGAAATGGATTAAAGGCTAAATGCTAAGATGTAAAACTATAAAACTCTTAGAGGAAAACCTAGGGGGAAACTTCATAAGATGAGATTTGACAATGATTTATTGAATGTGATACTAAAAGTACAGGCAACAAAATCAAAAATAGATAAATGGGACTACATCAAACTTAAAAACGTCTCTCTGTCAAAGGAAACAATGAGCAGAGTGAAAAGGCAACCTATGGAATGGAAAAAAAAAAACTTGTGAATCACATATCTGAGGAAGGGTTAATGTCCAGAATACATAAGGAACTCTTACAACTCAACTACAACAAAAACAAATAACCCAATTTAAAAATGGGCAATTGATTGAATAAACATTTCTCCAGTGAAGATATACAAATAGCTAACAGGCCTATGAACAGATGTTCAACATCACTAATCATTCAAGAAATGCAAATCAAAACTACAATGAGACATCACTTCACACCTGTTAGGATGTCTAGGATCAAAAAAACAGAATAACAAATGCTAGCAAGGATGTAGAGAAACTGGAACCCTTGTGCTTTGTTAATGGGAATGTAAAATGGCGCAGATGCTATGAAAAATGGTAGGGAGGTTCCTAAAAAAAATAAAAATAGAATTACCATATATTCCAGCAATCCCCCTTTTGGGTATATACCCAAAAGTATTGAAAGCAGGATCCCAAAGAAATATTTGCACACTCATGCTTGCTGCAGCATTATTCACAATAGCCAAGAGGTGAAAGCAACCCAAATGTCATTAATGGATTTTAAAATGTACTTATACATAAAATGCAATTGTATTGTTGTAAATATTATTCAGTTATTATAATGATATATAATTATTAAAATTGTAACATTATTCAGCCTTAAAAAATAAGAAAATACTGTCACATGCTACGACATTGATGAACCTTAAAGGCATTGCACTAAATGAAATAAGTCAGTCACAGAAAGACAAACACTGTATGATTTCACTTATTTGGTATCTAAAGTAGTCAAATCCATAGACGGAAAGTAGAAGGGTGGTTGCCAGGGGCTGGAATGAGAAGGAAATGGACAGCTGTCCAGTGAGCACAGAGTTTCACTTTTGCAAGATGGAAAAGTTCTAGAGATCTGTTGCATATCAATGTGAATAAAGTTACCACTATTGAAACAAACACTTAAAAATAGTTAAGATGATAAATTTTGTATGTGATTTTACCACAGCTTTTTCCTTTTTTTTTTTTTTTTTTTTTTGAGACGGAGTCTTGCTCTTGTCACCTAGGCTGGAGTGCAGTGGCCCGATCTTGGCTCACTGCAACCTCCGCCACCTGGGTTCAAGTGGTTCTCCTACCTCAGCCTCCCAAGTAGCTGGGATTACAGGCATGCACCATCACACCCAGCTAATGTTTTTGTATTTTTAGTAGAGATGGGGTTTCACCATGTTGGCCAGGCTGGTCTCAAACTCCTGACGTCAGGTGATCAGCCCACATCGGCCTCCCAAAGTGCTGGGATTACAGACATGACCACTGCGCCTGGCCTACCACAACTTTTTTATAAAAAGGAAGGAAATATTGATATCTGTTACACTATGGCTGAACCTTGAAAACACTGTGCTAAGTGAAAGAAGCCAGTCATAAAAGGCCATGTATTATATAATTCCCTTTAGATAAGCTATCCAGAATAGATAAATTCATAGAGACACAAAGTAGATTAGTGGTTGCTTGGAGATGGGGGAATAGGGGACTGGGGTGATAGCTAAAGGTTATGGAGTGACTTTTTGAAATGATGAACAGTTCAAACATTGGTTGTGATGATGGTTAGACAACTCTGTGAATATGCTATAAAGCAGTGATATATACAGTTTAAAATGGTATTTTTTGGCCAGGCATGGTGGCTCATACTTGTAATCCCAGCATTTTGGGAGGCCAAGGCAGGAGGATCACTTGAAACCAGGAATTCAAGACCAGCCAGGACAATATAGCAAGATCCCATCCCTACAGAAAACTACAAAATTAGTTGGGTGTGGTGGTGTGTGCTGGGACAATATAGCGAGATCCCATCTCTACAGAAAACTACAAAATTAGTTGGGTGTGGTGTAGTCCCAGCTACTGGGGAGGCTGAGGCAGGAGGGTCACTTGAGCCCAGGAGTTCCATATTACAGTGAGCCATGATGGAGCCACTGCTCTCCAGCCTGGACAACAGAGTGAGACTGTCTCTAAAAAAATAAAATAAAGAAACAAAATAAATGACATATTTTATGGTATTTGAATTATATTTCAATAAATATTTTATTAAAATTAATAAAGAACACAAAGATAACTTGATTAAATCAAAAGGCATATTCTGTTCTTGAATAGGAATATCCAAAATCATAAAGATGTCAATTGTTCTTAAGTTGATCCATAAATCTTTCTGGAAAAGACCAACAAGGTACTTTTGGTACTAGACAAGCTGAATCCAACATTGAAAAATAAGCAATAGTGGACTGAATAATTCTGAAAAAGAACAAGAAGGGGTTTATCAGGCATCAAAAGAGAGTATAATAAAATAATTAGTTGGGAAAGCAAAATGGAAGTGGGGTTGTACAAAACTGGGAGCCAGCCGAACCACAGTGCTGGCCAAGTGGGCTAGCGCCAGCTATGGGGTTGCTAGGTGTTGGAGTCGCTCAAGAGTAATTTTTTTTTACACTGAAAGTTATGAAATATTTGTTTTTGACCTACAAAACCAGTAGTTTAAAGTGATTCAATTTACTACTTGAGGTGACCAAATGAGGGAAAAATAGAGTTGAATTCAAAGCTTTTTGTCAATGGTCAATGGCAAAGAAACCATGTATCCACGTTGGAGGGCCTTAAAAACTAGTCCTAGATTCAGAAATGCAATTCAGGATTGTTAGGGGATGCAATTGAAGGGGAGCTGAAGCTGGCTTGGACATAACATGAGGAAAGCCCCAAGTAACAGCTGTGGCACACCCTGGGCTATCTGGGGCTTTCTTTGATTGGTAATGTGGTGGTAGGGGCTGGGCAAAGTACAGTGAAAGACACTGGTTTTGGCTTAACCATGCAGGATCAGAGTTGATCACAGAGACCCATGTGGAAAAAGGGAATTGTACTGGATGTGAAATGCAGTTGCCATTAGGCAATTTATATGGGTCAGTTCTCAGACTGGAAGCCAAGCATGTCATTATCAGGCATGGGCACATAAATTCAATGCAGCATCCTTGATTGAATCTGGGACTGCAGAAAAATCACTATAAAGAATGTCACTGGAACAATTGGGGAATTTTGAATACCTATGTTAAGAAATAGTGTTGTGTGCATATTAAATTTTCTGAATGTGGTAATTATAAGTAATTATATTATGGTTATGTAAGAGAATATTTTTGTTCTTGGTAGATAGAAACTGAAGTAGTCTGAGATGAAGTGACATGATGTCCGTATCAAATTGCTTCTGAAAAAAATTTAAACTGACAAAAAGTAAATGTGGCAAAATGTTAACAGTGGTTTATTCTAGATAATATATGTTTGGTATTTTTTTCTTTTTTCTTTTTTTTTTTTTTTTTTTTTTTTTACGAGGTTTCACTCTTGTCGCCCAGGCTGGAGGGCAATGGTACAATCTCAGCTCACTGCAACCTCTCTGCCTCCTGGGTTCAAGCAATTCTCCTGCCTCAGCCTCCTGAGTAGCTGGGATTACAGGCACGTGCCACCGCACCTGGCTAATTTTTGTATTTTTAGTAGACAAGGTTTCACCATATTGGCCAGGCTGGTCTCGAACTCCTGACCTCAGGTGATCTGTCCGTCTTGGCCTCCCAAAGTGCTGGGATTACAGGCGTGAGCCACCGCACCCAGCCAGCATGTTTCAAAATCAAAAAAAAAAAAAAACAAACCTGAGAGAAGGCCTGGGTGTGATGGCTTATACCTGTAATCCCAGTGCTTTGGTGGGCCCAGGTACTTGGAAGGCTAAGACAGAAGGCTTTCTTAAGCCCAGCAGTTTGAGGCTACAGTGAGCTATGATCACACCATTGCACCCCAGCCCGGGTGACAAAGCGAGACCCTGTCTCAAACAACAGCAACAACAACAAACTTGAGAGAAAAGAATACTAGCATACATTTGGTCAGCTGGATTTCTGTTTCTCTGTCAGACTGCAGGGGACACTTACCAAAAACAGACAGGAAGAATTAGGTACATGATCACTGGTGAACATGCTTTAAAAGGTAGATGCTAAAATGGAACCAACAGGGAAATACGGGACCTAAGGGTCAGAAGTCTGCAGTTACCTGCTGGGGCCTTGTATTTGTCCTTGTTCTCCAGTTCTCTAAGGGCGGGGAGCATTGACCCTCGGTCTGTTTGTTCTCCCTAAGCTTGTTCTCATAAAATTCCTTTATAATGTCACCTGTGGGCAACATCCTCCTGTCCTTGCCTCCATTCCCTTGTGCCTTGGGGCACTGAAGCCTGTTCTGTTTTGTTTTTTGAGATGGAGTTTTGCTCTTATTGCCCAGGCTAGAATGCAATGGCGGGATCTCGGCTCACCACAACCTCCACCTCCCGGGTTCAAGTGATTCTCCTGCCTCAGCCTCCTGAGTAGCTGGGATTACAGGCACCCGCCACCACTCCCAGCTAATTTTTGTATTTTTATTAGAGACAGGGTCTTACCATGTTGGCCAGGCTGGTCTTGAACTCCTGACCTCAGGTGATCCATCTGCCTCGGCCTCCGAAAGTGATGGGATTACAGACACGAGCCACTGCACCTGGCCTGAAGCCTGTTCTTTGGTTTAGAGTCTAAGTAAATAATTACAGCAAGGTGGGGGAAGGGGTGGCTCACACCTGTAATCCCAGCACTTTGGGAGGCTGAGGTGGGAGGATCACTTGAGCCCAGGAGTTCAAGACCTGCCTAGGCAACATAGTGAGACCCTATCTCTACAGAAAATGTCAAAATTAACCGGGTGTGGTGGTGCATGCCTGTAGTCCCAGCTACTTGGGAGGCTGAGGCAGGAGGATCTCTTGAGCCCAGGAGGTTGAGGCTGCAGTGAGCCATGATGGTATCACTGCACTCCTGCCTGGGTGATGGAGTGAGACCTTGTCTCAAAAAACAAACCTGCTGGGCGTGGTGGCTCACACCTGTAATCCCGGCACTTTGGGAGGCCGAGGCGGGAGGATCACGAGATCAGGAGATCAAGACCATCCTGGCTAACACAGTGAAACCCCGTCTCTACTGAAAATACAAAAAAATTAGCCAGGCATGGTAGTGGGCGCCTGTAGTCCCAGCTACTCGGGAGGCTGAGGCAGGAGAATGGCATGAACCCGGGAGGCAGAGCTTGCAGTGAGCTGAGATCGCGCCACTGTACTCTAGCCTGGGGGACAAAGCGAGATTCCGTCTCAAAACAAACAAATAAACAAACAAAACCTATAGCTGTGGTTCTTCACCTTGCCTACGCAGGATGTGTATAAAGTGAGTATTTGTCTTAGCTGTACTTATGTCAGGGAAAAGGCATGTGGATTTAAGCAGCATTTTAAAAAGCTCGCTTAACATCTCAAACACCTGGAGCCACTGGGAAACTGAGAGCTGACAGTGCCGGAAATCACAAAATGACAATTACCCACATGGTGAAGGGAAGAGCTGAGAAGAAAACATCAGCTACCCTGCTTTCCTGCCTCTTTCGTAATAGTCTCAACTGCTTATTTATGAGATGTGGTTTGTCAAGATAATGAAAGGAGCTGAGAAGATTGGGAAAGATGCTAAAACATGAACAGGCATATTCTTATGTGAACCTTTGTGATTTCCTATGAGCTCTTCCTGCTTCACCATGAAGCTGGTGGGCATCATGAAGCCAGTGAAATTTCCTAAGAGTTTATGGACCCAATATTCTTTTTCATTTCTTATTTACTGAAGACACTAATGAAGCAATGATTGCTAAGAGGGCGTTCTGGTAGCAGTCACTATCAGGGCTATAATAGCTACCCTTAGTGGAGTGCTTAGTGTCAGGATCTGTTTCAGGCATTGAAATACATTAAGTCTTGTCATCCTCAGCACAGAACTGTAAGCCAAGCATCACTATCCCCATGATACAGATGGAGAAACACACTCTCAGTGAGATTAAGGAACTGGCTCACGCATATAACTAGTGCAGGCAGAGTGGGGTCTTTACCACTCATGCAGTGTGGATATCTGTCCCTCCAGATCGCATGTTGAAATGTGACCCCCAGTGTTGGAGGTGGGACCTAAAAGAGGTGTTTGGGTCATGGGGGTGGATCCCTCATGAATAGCTTAGTGCCTTCCCTGCAGTAATGAGTGAGTGCTCTCTCTACTAGTTCACAGAGATCTGGTTGCTAGTCTGGGGCCTCCCTCCTCCTACTCTCTTGCTCCTTCTGTGGCCATGTCACAGGTGGCTTCCCTTCCCTTCAGCCACTACTGGAAACTCCCTGGAGCCCTCCCCAGAAGCAAATGTTGGCACTAAGGCTTCCCGCACAGCCTGCAGAACCGTAAGCCAAATAAACCTCTTTTCTTTGTAAGTTACCCAGCCTCAGGTATTCCTTTATAGCAATGCAAAATGGGCTAAGACACCCATTGAGTTCTGCTGCCCAGAATGGAGAAGTATGACTGGCACTGCTGCACATATTCATTCAATGAGAAAATATCTCGATTACACCAAGCATCTAGTTGTAGAAATGAGAAGAGGTGCCTGCTGAACATTCTGGAAACTCACTCCTTTTTTGTGCTGTGAGTTCAGACTGAACAGGATCAGCAAGCATAACTGTATCTGTGTTCCATGCCTTATCCTCCAGCAAATACCAGGAACATTCTGGAGTTGAAGCTGTTTCCACTAATAGCCAGAGAACAGTCCAGTTCTAACAGAGGTGCCAGGGATGCTCTCTCCTGGAGAGCACTGAATTTCCTGGAGACAAAGTCTTCTGGGAGTATTTCTAGGAAGAATAACTTTTTTTTTTTTTTTTTTGAGACAGAGTCTCACTCTGTCGTCCAGGCTGGAGTGCAGTGGCGCGATCTCGGCTCACTGCAACCTCCACCTCCCGGGTTCAAGCGATTCTCATCCCTCAGCCTTCCAAGTAGCTGGGACTACAGGCGCGTGCCACCATGCCTGGCTAATTTTTTTTTTTTTTTTTTTTTGTATTTTTAGTACAGACAGGGTTTCACCGTGTTAGCCAGGATGGTCTCAATCTCCTGATCTTGTGATCCGCCCGCCTCGGCTTCCCAAAGTGCTAGGATTACAGGCGTGAGCCACTGCACCCCGCCGGAAGCATAACTTTTCAACGTTTGTGCAGATAACACCCTGAGGGGCCTGGCCCATGACTACAGAGGAAGATCATCTATGATTGAAATAATTAAAAGACCGGAGTTCCCTGCTAACTTTGAATATGATTTGGCCAAGTGCCGGGTCCTAGAGAAAACAAGAGCCCATCAGCAGGCAGGTCTTTATGGGGAAAAGGTGCCCCTCCTTGTGCTCTCTATAAAGACAGGGAGCCTTAGCTGGTGGACTTGTCAAGGGATGAGTTCTCCAAAAGCAACCAGTGAGATGGAGTTTGAGGCGCATGATACTTATTAGAGATCCACACCTAGGAAGGGAAGGAGGAAAAACTGATGGGGCAGAGGAAAAAACTGAACTGTGTTGTGGGCCCAGCACAGCCTCAGTCTACCTGGAGGGCACCCTGGAGCAACGGTGTTCATCAAGAGTGTCCACTTCAGGCCGGGCACGGTGGCTCAGGCCTGTAATCTCAGCACTTTGGGAGGCCAAGGCGGGCAGATCACGAGGTCAGGAGATCGAGACCATCCCGGCTGACACGGTGAAACACCATCTCTACTAAAAATACAAAAAATTAGCCAGGTGTGGTGGCGGGCGCCTGTAGTCCCAGCTGCTCTGGAGGCTGAGGCGGGAGAATGGCGTGAACCCGGGAGGCGGAGCTTGCAGTGAGCCAAGATCGCGCCACTGCACTCCAGCCTGGGGGGCAGAGCGAGACTCTGTCTCAAAAAAAAAGAGTGTCCTGTTCAGACTGGAATATTGGGGCCTGTGTATCCTGCTTCACCCAGTCACTGGATGAGGCTGCCCCAAGACGGCAGCAACCTTGGGTGACCCAAGATCACCCCACAGACCAAGGACCCCCAAAGAGCCAAAAGCTAGAGGCCACCCATTGACTGCAAGCCCTGCAGCTAGGCTTCACATCCTCCTTGGTGGGGAAGATGGAGGAAGGGGTGAGTCGGGCAACTCCATGTCTTCCACAGTCTTCTACCTAGGTTCTTCCAAGCTCCCCATAGCATCATCCTCTTAGGCAACATCTTTTACTAAATATTGCATTAGATACTAATGGCATCGGTCCCATATCCCTTCAGCCCTCCCTGTTTTATCTGCAGCTGTGGTTGACAGTTTTTGTGCAAGCTAACAGCTTCTCCTTTTTGCCACTGGGGTCAGTTAACTTTCAGTTACAGACAAACCTGTTTAAAACACAAACAGGCATATACCTCTTAGAAGAGAACAAAAATGTTGCCTTTTCAGATCTCAGACTTTAAGAAATTTTGGAACCAGGAATTGACAAACAGTGCTTGGAATTCAAGGAATGAACTGACCCTAGGCACTTCTAAAATAAATTCCAGCTCAGTAGAAACAATAATTTGAACTTGCATTTCCCATGAGCAAACTTTCATGATCCTGTAGCTATAACACGACTGGATGGTGAGAATGTAACCACTGCTGGTATCATCCCAACTTGTCAGCCCACAGTGTTAGCCTTTGGGCTTCCTGGGATATCTGAGTGGCAAGTTACCCATGAAATACATTAGGCAAACAGGATTCGATGAAAGGAGGAGGAAATTATTCCTACACATTGGATGTTTATATTTTAGATCTAAATTGCAGCAGGTACATATTGGTTCTTTCCTTAATCATTGGCTTATGTTGAAGTTCACATTAATAATGGAATGTTTCCTTTATAAAGAAAGACAACCCTGCTGATTTCCTGCTGTAGGACAGGCTATCCTGGAACTGGTGTAGGCTGGGCAGTTGTCTACACCCAACCCTGATCCTCTTAGTGCCATCCTTCAGATGTTAGGCCAGCACCTTCAACTACAAATTAGGCAAAGCTAAGAGACATATATGATTAATTTCATATATTAATTTTATATATTCCTATATTAATTTCCCAAAAATATTTTAAACAAAGGTTATACAATGAAGCTAATCAAATAGAAGTGGCAAATCAAGATAAGGAAAGAAAACCCAAGAATTCATGGGAGCAAAAGGGCTGTTGTAACTGCATCAGAATGTGGGCATGAGGTTCCTAGTTTCCAGAGCAGTAAAAACAAAACAAACAGCAACAGCAACAAAAACAAACCCACATAAAACCACCAAGTTACGCAGTTCTCATCAGAAAGAGGAAAGCATTCCAGATTCTTAGCAGAGATGCATTTTCCCTCCCAAATTTCTAAAATTTAAACATAACAAATTTGTTTTTTATTTTTTTATTTTAAGTTCTGAGATACATGTGCAGAACGTGCAGGTTCATTACAGAGGTATACGTGTGCCATGGTGGCTTGGTGCATCTATCAACCTGTCACCTAAGTTTTAAGCCTCGCATGCGTTAGCCATTTTCCCTGATGCTCTCCCTCTCCTCGCCCCTGCTTCGACAGGCCCCTGTGTGTGTCGTTCCTCTCCTTGTGTCCATGTGTTCTCATTGTTCAGCTCTCACTTATGAATGAGAATATGCAGTGTTTGGTTTTCTGTTCCTGTGTTAGTTTGCTGGGGATGATGGCTTCCAGCTATATCCATGTCCCTGCAAAGGACATGATCTCATTTATTTTTGTGGCTGCATAATATTCCATGGTGTATATGTACCACATTTTCTTTATCCAGTCTATCATTGATGGCATTTGGGTTGGTTCCATGTCTTTGCTATTGTGAATAGTGCTGCAATAAACATGCATGTGCATGAACCTTTATAATAGAATGATTTATATTCCTTTGGGTATATACCCAGTAATGGGATTGCTGGGTGAAAGGTATTTCTGGTTCCAGATCCTTGAGGAATCGCCACACTGTCTTTCACAATGGTTGAACTAATTTACATTCCCACCAACAATGTAAAAGCATTCCTATTTCTCCACAGCCTTGCCAGTATCTGTTGTTTCTTTTTTAATAATTGCCATTCTGACTGGCATGAGATGGTATCTCACTGTGGTTTTGATTTGCATTTCCCTAATGATCAGGAATGTTGAGCTTTTCTTCATGTGCTTATTGGCTGCAAAAATGTCTTCTCTGGAGAAGTGTCTGTTCATATCCTTTGCCCACTTTTTGATAGGTTTATTTTTCTTGTAAATTTGTTTAAGTTCCTTGTAAGTTCTGGATATTAGACTTCTGTCAGATGGGTAGATTGCAAAAATTTTCTCCCATTCTGTAGGTTGCCTGTTCTCTCTGATAATAATTTCTTTTGCTGTGCAGAAACTCTTCAGTTTAATTAGATCCCATTTGTCAATTTTGGCTTTTGTTGCAATTGCCTTTGGCAATTTTATCATAAAATCTTTGCCTATGCCTGTCTTGAATGGTATTGCCTAGGTTTTCTTCTAGGGTTTTTATGTTTTTGGGTTTTACATTTAAGTCTTTAATCCATCTTGAGTTAATTTTTGTATAAGGTATAAGGAAGGGGTCCAGTTTCAGTTTTCTGCATATGGCTAGCCAGTTTTCCCAGCACCATTTATTAAGTAGGGAATTCTTTCCCATTGCTCATTTTTGTCAGGTTTGTTGAAGATCAGATGGTTGTAGATGTATGGTGTTATTTCCAAGGTCTCTATTCTGTTCCATCGGTCTATATGTCCGTTTTGGTACCAGTACCATGCTGTTTTGGTTAGTGTAGGCTTGTAATATAGTTTGAAGTCAGATAGTGTGATGCCTCCAGCTTTGTTCTTTTTGCATAGGATTGTCTTGGCAATGTGGGCTCTTTTTTGGTTCCATATGAATTTTAAAGTAGTTTTTTCTAATTCTGTGAAGAATGTCGATGGTAGTTTGATGGGAATAGCATTGAATCTATTAATTACTTTGGGCAGTATGGCCATTTTCACAATACTGATTCTTCCTATCCATGAGGATGGAAGGTTTTTCCATTTGTTTGTGTCCTCTTTTATTTCCTTGAGCATTGGTTTGTAGTTCTCCTTGAAGAGGTCCTTCACGTCCCTTGTTAGCTATATTTCTAGACATTTCATTCTCTTTGTAGCAATTGTGAATGGGAGTTCATTCATGATTTGGCTGTCTGCTTGTTTATTGTTGGTATATAGGAATGCTTATGATTTTTGCACATTGATTTTGTATCCTGAGACTTTGCTGAAGTTGCTTATCAGCTTAAGGAGTTTTTGGGCTGAGACGATGGGGTTTTCTAAATATAGGATCATGTCATCTGCAAACAGAGACAATTTGACTTCCTCTCTTCCTATTTGAATACCCTTTATTTCTTTCTCTTGCCTGATTGCCTTGGCCGGAACTTCCAATACTATGGAAGTGGTTTTTAAATTTTTAAATGCCTAATTAAAAAATAAAATCTGGCCAGGTGCAGTGGCTTACTCCTATAATCCAGCACTTTGGGATGCCAAGGCTGGTGGATCACCTGAGATCAGGAGTTCGAGACCAGCTTGGCCAAGATGGTGAGACCCTGTCTACACTAAAAAAAAAAATACAAAAATTAGATGGGCATGGTGGTGGGCACCTATAATCCCAGCTATTTGGGAGACTGAGGCACAAGAATCGCTTGAAACTGGGAGGCAGAGGATACAGTGAGCCGAGATCACGCCATTGCACTCCAGCCTGGGTGACAAGAGCGAAACTCCGTCTCAAAATAAATAAATAAATAAAATCTAAAATTTCGAAGGTAAATTTCGCATGTGGAACTTTACTTTTCAGATACTGATTGATAATGCGTGATACTGATTGATGTAATGCGTAACAATTTTCCAGCTAGACAGAAGTAAATTTTCCATAGCTTGGCTGGGCATGGTGGCTCACACCTTAATCTTAGCAATTTGGGAAGCCAAGACGGGAGGATTGCTTGAGCCTAGGAGTTTTAGACCAGCCTGGGCAACCATAGCAAGACCTCATGTCAACTTTTTAAAATAAAAGAATAAATTTTTTAAAAAAATATATATCTCCTTCAGCTCTTATAGGGGAAAGAACATGGGTTTTGTTTTCAGGAAGACCTGGGTTTAAATCCCAACTTCACTAGTCACTATTTGAAGGATCTGGAGAAATTGTTTACTCTCTTTGAAGTTCAGTTTCCCTCTCAGGGGAGCAGAGATGATAAAATCTTCATCACAAGGTTGTCACAAGGATTACATGCAATAACATACGTAAAACTCTAATCTGGCATTTAAGAGATGTGATTTCCTTTTCCCATACTGGTATGCCCTCTTTTTTTTTTTCTCTTCGTGTATCAGTCAGAGTCCTGCTAGAAAAAAGATTGCAGAGCTGTAACATGTAGAACCAGGACCGTTTTCAAAGTTGTAGATGTTTATGGGATGGCGATGTTCCCAGAGGCTTGCAGTAACAGGGAGCCATTCTCACCTGAGCAGTAGGGATGGGACCCATCATCAGAATCTGGGGAGAGAACTGTGGCCAGGGGAGAGGGAGGGCCCCTGACAAAAGCTTTGGTAAAGGCATACCATTATTGCTAAAACCATGGCCTGTTGGGGAAGGAGCCAGGGAAATCCAGGCCGCAGGCTCTCTCTCCTCCTACATCAACAGCTGCTGCTACCTCCATCAGCCTAACCCAGCTCGAGGCCAGGGGGAGAGGTGACCTAAGTGATGTGGTCTGTAGAAGTCGTCCTCCCAGGGCACAGAGCAGGGTGGGGAGGAGTAGAATGGATCTAAAAAAACAGTCCAAGACTATCCAGCACACATGGATGAAAACCTTAATGCAAAAGGCAAAAGCAGGTCATGGAAGTACAGTTAACTGAAAGGGATTTTGTGAGGATTTGGAGTTTTCCTGTGATGACTCAGAGTAATTCCAGGGAGTACATGTATAAATAACGCGCATCTTGCACCAGTCTGGCTTTGGGATGCAGAGAGCACACAATGAAAACTGCTCTACAAGGGCCAGCCTTGCTGTAGCTTCACACTCCTCCACACTTTAGAAAACCTGCAGGTGACGGGCAGGGTGGATGAGTCTGATGTTTCCTTCTGCACCCCATGTCCACCAGAAGTGGCTCCTCCAGGCTCTGCAGGCTGAGTCCATAGACTCCCGGAGAGTTGGTACTTCGCTGACTGAGGCCCCACGTCACAGGGGTGGGCCAAGGTCAGTGAAACCCTGCACACGTTCAAAGAAGCTATTTCCACTTATCACCACCACGGGGGAGAAACAGGAATGTTTCCCCTACTGTGAAATGAGTAATGAATGGACGAATAAATATTTCCAAATAGCATACTCTTCATGTAAACCTACCTTGCTAAAATAGCTGAAAAAGTTTAAAACACATACACACATTTCTTTTTTAATGTTTTATTTTGGTCAAATATATATAACATAAAATTTATCATTTTAGGCCAGGGGCGGTGGCTCATGCCTGTAATCCCAGCACTTTGGGAAGCCGAGGTGGGTGGATCACCTGAGGTCAGCAGTTCGAGACCAGCCTAACCAAAATGGTCATAAGAGTTGAAGGAGATATAGAATTTTTTTAAAATTTTATTTTTTTGTTTTAAAAAGTTGAAATGGGGTCTTGCTATGTTGCCCAAGCTGGTCTCAAACTCCTAAGCTCCTATGGCTTTTTTTTTTTTTGAAATGGAATCTCTCTCTGTTGTCCAGGCTGGAGTGCAGTGGCGTTATCTGGCTCACTGCAACCTCTGCCCTCCAGGTTCGAGCAATTCTCCTGTCTCAGCCTCCCAAGTAGCTGGGATTACAGGCGCCCACCACCATGCCATACTAAAAATTTTGTATTTTTAGTAGAGATAGGGTTTCACCACATTGTCCAGGCTGGTCTCGAACTCCTTGACCTCAGGTGATCCACCCGCCTTGGCCTCCCAAAGTGCTGGGATTACAGGCATGAGCCACCACACCTGGACCCCTTCTTTCAATTATTTTTGGTAGATACCTAGAAGCAGAATTGTGGGATCATATGGTAATTCTATGTTTAATGTTTCGAGGAGCTACCATACTGTCTTCCACATCGGTGTGCCATTTAACATTTCACCAATAGTGCACAAGGGTTCTAATTTCTCTACATCCTTATCAACACTAGTTACTTTCTGTTTAGTTATTTTTGATTTTTGATAATAGTCATCCTAATGGGTGTGAAGTGGTATCTCAACATGGTTTTGATTTGCATTTCCTTAATGATTAGTGATATGGAGCATCTTTTCATGTGCATATTGTCCATCTGTGTATCTTCTTTGGAGAAATGTCTATTCCAGTCTTCTGCCTTTTTTTTTTTTTTTTTGAGATGGAGTCTTGCTATGTTGCCCAGGCTGGAGTGCAGTGGCATTATCTTGGATCACTGCAACCTCCACCTCCCAGATTCAAGTAGTTTTCTTGCCTCAGCCTCCCAAGTAGCTGGGATTTCAGGAATGCACCACCACACTCAGCTATTTTTTGTATTTTTTGTAGAAACGGAGTTTCACCATGTTGGTCAGGCTGGTCTTAATCTCCCGACCTCAAGAGATCTGCCCACCTCGGCCTCCCAAAGTGCTGGGGTTACAGGTATGAGCCACCACACCCAGCCTTCTGCCCTTTTTTTTTTTTTTTTTTTGACATGGAGTCTCGCTCTGTTGCCCAGGCTGGAGTGCAGTGGTGCAATCTCGGCTCACTGCAAGCTCTGCCTCCCGGGTTCATGCCATTCTCCTGCCTCAGCCTCCCGAGTAGCTGGGACTACAGGCGCCCACCACCATGCCCGGCTAATTTTTGTATTTTTAGTAGAGATGGGGTTTCACCTTGTTAGCCAGATGGTCTTGATCTCCTGACCTCGTGAATGGCCTGCCTTGGCCTCCAAAAGTGCTGGGATTACAGGCGTGAACCACTGTGCCCGGCCTCTGTCCATTTTTTAATTGGGTTGTTTCTTTTATATAATTTAGTTGTAGGAGTTCTTTATATATTTTGGTTATTAATGCCTTATCAAATACACGATTTGTAAATATTCTCTCTCATTCTGTGGGATGCCTTTTCACTCTGTTGATAGTGTCCTTTGAGGCACAAAATTTTTCAGTTTTGAGGAAGCCCAATGTAACTGTTTTCTCTTTTGTTGCCTATCCTTTCGGTGTCATATTGAAGAAATAATTGCCAAATCCAATGTCATGAACCTTTTCCCCTATGTTTTCCTCTAAGAGCATTACAGTGTTAGGACTTAATTTAGGTATTTGATTCATTCTGAGTTAATTTCTGTATCTGGTGTAAAGTGAGGGTCCAACTTCATTCTTCTGCATATGGATATTTAGTTTCCACAGCATCATTTGTTGAAAAGACTGTTCTTTTCCCATTGAACGATTTTAACACCCTTGTCATTTGACTATATATCGAAGGGTTCGTTTCTAGGCCTTCTCTTCTATTCCATTGGTCTATATGGCTAGCACCACATGATTTTGATTACTGTAGCTTTGTAAAAAGTTTCTTTTTTTTTTGAGACAGAGTCTCGCTCTGTCACCCAGGCTGGAGTGCAGTGGTGCAATCTCGGCTCACTACAATCCCCGCCTCCTAGGTTCAAGTGATTCTCCTGCCTCAGCCTCCTGAGTAGCTGGGATTACAGGCGCGCACCACCATGCCTGGCTAATTTTTCTATTTTTAGTAGAGACGGGGTTTCACCATGTTGATCAGGCTGGTCTCGAGCTCCTGACCTCGTGAAATGCCTGCCTCGGCCTCCCAAAAGTGTTGGGATTACAGGCATGAGCCACTGCGCCCGGCCAAAAGTTTTGAAATAAGGAAGTGTGAGTCTTCCAACTTTGTTCTTATTTTAAGATTGTTTTCGCTATTTGAGGTCCCTTGAGATTCCATATAAATTTTAGGTTTGTTTGTATTTCTGCAAAAAAAGTTACTGAATTTTTTATAGGAATGGCACTGGATCTTAGCAATGTTAAGTCTTCCAATTCATAACCATGGGTGTCTTTTCATTTATTTGTGTATTTAATTTCTTTCATAAGTGTTTTGTAGTTTTTAGTGTTCAAGTCTTCACACTAAAGTAAACCAAGGAAGTTATGTTCACTCCTAAGTATTTTATTATTTTTGGTACTATTGTAAATATAATTTTCTTAATTTCCTTTTTAGATTGGTCATCATGAGTGTATAGAAACTCAACTGATTTTTGTGTGTTGATTTTGCATCCTATAACTGCTTAATTCAATTATTAGCTCTGACAGGTATTTTGTATAATTTAGGGTTTTCTACATGTAAGATCATGTCACCTGCAAACAGAGATAATTTACTTCTTCCTTTATAGTCTGAATGCCTTTTATTTATTTTTCTTGCCTAATTAGTCTGGTTAAAACTTCTAATACTATATTGAATAGAAATGGTGAAAGTGGGCACCCTTGTCTTGTTCCTGATCTTAGGGGAGAAGCTTCCCATTTTTCTCCATTGAGAATAAAATTCTCTGTGGATTTTTCCTACATGGTCTTTATTATACTGAGGACACGTACACTTCTTGAGTGCTTTCCATGTGCCAAGCATTTCTAAATGCTCTGTATATATTATTTCCTTAATTGCACATAACTCTGAAATAGGCTCTATTATACCTCTTTTTTTCAGATGAGAAAACTATTGCACAGAGAGGTATGTTCTCCCTATAAATGAGATGATGTCTGTGTGTGGATTTTATTTTTACATATGGCATGTTGGTTTTATTAAAATAATGATTTATTTAGTTAATTAAACTTTAATTTTAAACAAACCAACTTTGTAGCATTATCACCCCATGTTGTGAATTTAGATCACACAATCACTTATTAGATGATAGACTGCTGCAGTACAATGCTAAAGGTCATGATTACTACATATCCTACTTAGAACACAACTGTTTGGATTTTTCTTTTATTTTTTGAGACAGAGTGTCTCTGTGTCACCCAGGCTGGCGTGCAGTGGCATGCAACCTCAATTTCCTGGGCTCAAGTGATCTAAGATTCTTAACAAACACCTTTCCGCTTAAAAATCTAATATATAGGCTGGGCACTGTGGCTCATGCCTGTATTCCCAGCACTTTGGGAGGCTGAGGCAGGTGGATCACTTGAGGTCGAGTTTGAGACCAGCGTGGTCAACATGGTGAAACCCCGTCTCTACTAAAAATATAACAATTAGCCAAATGTGGTGGCAGATGCCTGTAATCCCAGCTACTCAGAAGGTTGAGGCAAGAGAATCGCTTGAACCCTGAAAGAGCAAGATACTGTCTCAAAAAAACCCAAACAGTTTTTGTTGTTGGTTTTTTTTTTTTTTTTTGAGACAGAGTCTTGCTCTGTCGCCCAGGCTGGAGTGCAGTGGTGCAATGTTGGCTCACTGCAACCTCCACGCCTCCCGGGTTCAAATGATTCTCCTGCCTCAGCCTCCTGAGTAGCTGGGACTACAGGCACGCACCACTGTGCCCAGCTAATTTTTATATTTTTAGTAGAGACAGGTTTTCATCATGTTGGCCAGGATGGTCTCAATCTCTTGACCTCGTGATCCGCCTGCCTCCGCCTCCCAAAGTGCTGTGATTACAGGCGTGAGCCACTGCAGCTGGCCTATATATATTTTTTTAATCTGACATATTAATGTAATTTTTAATATTTGTAAAAATCATTAAAAACCTTTCCAGAGGCCGGGCGTGGTGGCTCACACCTGTAATCCCAGCACTTTGGGAGGCCAAGGAAGGCCAATCACGAGGTCAGGAGATCAAGACCATCCTGGCTAACACGATGAAACCCCATCTCTACTAAAAAATACAAAAATTAGCCGGGCGTGGTGGTGGGCGCCTGTAGTCCCAGCTACTCGGGAGGCTGAGGGAGGAGAATGGCATGAACCCGGGAGGCGGAGCTTGCGGTGAGCAGAGATCGCGCCACTGCACTCCAGCCTGGGCAACAAAGCGAGACTCCATCTCAAAAAAAAAAAAAAAAAAACCTTTCCAGGTAAGAACAGCTACTACCACTTTGTTACATGCAATAACTCAGTTAAACAGCTTAAGAACTCACTGTAGTTTAGTGGTTAAGACCCAGCACTCCAGAGCTAGACGATCTGGATTCAAGTCCTGCCTCTATTATATATATGTGTGATTAAGCCACTGCACTCCAGCCCGGGCAACATAGCGAGACACTGTCTCACGAAAAAATATTTTAAAAAAGAATGATGAAAATGTAATATGTCATTTGGGAACATGTCTTAATAATGTAATAACATATATGTAGAATAAGTTCATTTTTATAAAGCAAGCATATAATTCCATAAGAGTACAAAAGAATGGCCAGGCTTGGTGGCTCATGCTTGTAATCCCAGCATTTTAGGAGGCTGAAGTGGACAGATCACCAGAGGTTAGGAGTTCGAGACCAGCTTTGTCAACTTAGTGAAACCTCGTCTCTACTGAAAATACAAAAAAATTAGCTGGGTGGGCATGGTGGCAGGCACCTATAATTTCAGCTACCTGGGAGGCTGAGGTGGGAGAATTGCTTGAACCTGGGAGGCAGAGGATGCAGTGAGCCGAGATCATGCCACTGGACTTTAGACAGGGTGACAGAATGAGACTCTGTTTCAAAAAAAAAAAGCGGTAGCAGGAAAGGCCAGCTTGGTATCCTGTGCTGAGCAACCAGACCTGGCCCCACTCAGGGCAAGCATCGGGTGCTCTCCCACCACTAAGGCCAACAGCAGCTGCTTCCAAGTCTGATGCTATCAGGCAACACTCTCAACATCTTCCTCGCTCAGGTGTCCAAAGGGCCCTGGCCAGCCGGACACTGGGCTCAGTGTGCCCGGGAGGGAGCAACTGGGCCTGTGGCCTGCACCCCTTGGTCAGCCCAACTCGGCCACCCTGAGCAGGACTGAGGGCTGCCCCAAAGCTTCATAATCGGGGTGGTTGCAAATTACATTCTAGGCTGTGTTAGGACTACGTATTGCAAACATTTTTTTTTCCCTTTTTTGCAAGGTGGATGGATGAAAAGAGAGAGAGAGAGAGAGATAAAGGAGCATGGGCAAACATTCACTGTAAAATCCCAGTGGTGGATATAGGTGTGTTTGTGTTCATTGCACAATCCTTTCCACTCACCTATAGGTTTGAAAATTTCAACAATAAAGGATGGAAGAAAACCAAATAACTAAAGAAGAAAATTATGCTTAGACATAGACAATCAGAAGTCATGATACATCCTGGGTGACAAGTGACTGATGAGAGGGACAGACCAAGCCCTTGGGCTGCAGGGAGTCAGAGGGGCTGGTCATCAGGGAAGGCTTCCAGGATGAGGTGCCCTATGAACAGGGCTGTGAAGGACAGGTGGGCTCGGCCCTTCAAGGTGAGGCAGGGCTTGCAGGGTGCCTACGCCCCACCTGGTCCCACCTCTGCACAGGGCGCCCAGAACAGGAAGTGGCTCCTGGAGGGCCTGGGGGTTCTGCTAAGAGCCTCAGACACCTGCCAGGCTTAGAAGGGAGGCTCCTGCCAAAACCCTCCAGCCATGTGTGGGGGATGGGCTCAGGACTGGCCTGGAGCAGTGAGCCCAGCAGAGGCCTCTGCCAGGCTGCATATGAGGCCTAGGACTGAATGGGGGAGTCTGGGCTGCGTGCCTCCCTCCCTGGCCTCCTTCCTGGGCTCCCTGGAGCCCTCCTGGTTTCTTGGTGGCAGCCTGCTGAGAGGGCTTATTCTGTTGCATTTAGGTTCCAGGTTCCTGCCTTGGCCTTTCCCTGCTGTGACTGTCACCCTCCATGTGGGGCAGCTTTGCCCAAGTCAGCCAACAGCTGACAGGTCAGGGCTGTGACTGCCGGGCCACGTGAGCAGAGGCAGAGGGCTGAGCTGGTGGGCAGAGGGCACCTGTCACCTCAACTCAGCTGCCACCAGGGAAGAGTGACGACTCACATCCTCACCTGGGGTTGACAGGACTGCTCAGACGCCACAGCCTGTGCATGTCCAGGGGACATCGTCAGAGGAGCACAGCTAGCACACTGGCTGCACGACTGAGCAGCTTTAAACCAGGAGCAGCAGAAAGAGACCCCAAGTGGGAGGGGAGCTCTCTCTACTCCACCCCCATCCTCAGCTCTGCATCGGGGAGAGGTGAGTGGGGTCAGAGCCCAGGACCAATCATGGAAGTGTCAGCACAGCTCCTGTTTCTGGGACCTACCAGCTCCCAGCCCTGTGCCAGTCCCTGCACAGCTCAGTGCCCTGGGACTCACGACAGGCCTGACAGCATCCTTTCTGTTCATGGGAGGCACCTCTGGAGCTCGCTGACATTGGACAATTTGCTCCTGGTCGTGTGCCCATGGAGAGCAGAGCTGACATGGACGGTGTGTCTGTCCTCACAGCCTACTGCCAGGGCACCCTGCAGTGAGGAACTGGGAGGCCAGAACCCAGCTGCTGCTCTGGGCCAGCAGCACCCAGTCTCGTGCTGTCCCCATGGAGGGAGGACACCCAGGGCTCTCTTCCTCTCCAGCAGCCGCATTTGCATAAATGCCGGCCATGCGGAGTCCCAGTGCGCACAGGTGGAGATCAGGACAGACAGGGGTCATCACAGAGGACCACACAAGGCTGTCACCACCCATGCTGGGTACCCAGATGGCATGAGGTCACCCTTAATTCCAGACAGTAGGGACAGATGCTGGGATTGATCTTGTGGGACTGAGGTGAGCCGAGGGTGTTTGTGTGGACACCTTTGTCGGGCTATGGAGGTTTCCTTCTGCTCCCAGGGTGCTGTGGCATGTTGACGCCCCCACTTCTTGTTCTTCATCCTCTGAGATAACCGCTTGGTTCCTGTTTCCCGTTTTGTTGATGTGGTAAATTTCACAGCTATTTCACCTTCTGCACCTGCCTGGCCTTCCTGGGAGGAGCCCTGGCTGCTCCTGCCCTGTGGTCTGGGTTAGCTGCTGCTCCATGCCATTTGCTAGTGTTTTCCTGTGAGCTTCTCACACATGTCTTTTCTTGCTTTAGGGTTAAACTTATTGTTGTGAGGTAACAACACACTAATTGTACACAAGTACTCACACTGCCACCTCTGCATACTCCCCCCACACCAATAGACACTCACATTCACACTCATGTGGGCCACACATCCACACCCACCCACCCATGCACACTGGACCACAAACACACTCAACCCACCCTATACCACACACATCACACCACACACCACACACCCGAAGCACACACACCCACACACCACACACATACATAAATAGCAAACACACATACACCAAAAATACCAAAGACACACCAAACATCCCATACACACACCACACACATCACACATGCACCACACACTCCCCACTCCCCCAACACACACCCAGCACACCCCACACACACAACATAAACAGCAAACACATATACAGACACCATACACACACAGCCATGGCACACACACCCACCTCCCACTGAATGCACACACAAACTATACATACATGCCATTACACCATTTCCTTCCCTACATGCCACACGCACAAGATATCCCCATGTAGACACCCACAAATGACACACACAACACGCCCAAACACTCTAGTCCCACTGTACACACACACACCACAGACACACATAAATAGTAAACACATATACACCACAAACAGCAAACACACACCACACATCCCATACACACACACCACACACAAGCAGTCCACTCCCGACTCCTCCACACAACAAACACACACTAGACACCACACACCAGGTACCCTTCCCACACACTTCCACAGCACCCCAGCTTATGCCACATACTCTGCACATAACCCACACACGCATGCATATATGCCCCCTACACACACTCACACCCCCACACATATACAGCACATACCTCCTCGGCTCCCACACCACATACACCCACAATACAACACACACAGATGCATCACTCATGCACACCCCACACACACCACACTCACAGCACATATACACACCCCACACACAGATCACATACACATTTACACAACACACAGACCACATATTACCCTCCCCCACAGACTTCACACACATCAAGCTTCCCACAGCACAACTTCCCACACATACTACACATACTGCACCCACACAAACTACATACACACATACCACACACACCAAACACATACACACCACATACACACACCACACTCACACACTCCCCACACACATCCTCCCCCACACATACCAAACAAATGCACACACTCCATACACACATGCACTAGTGCACACCACCCTTTGGCTACCCCAGGGCCTCCGCAGCTCTCACCTCCTACACACGCAGAGGAAGGCTCCACCGATGTCACATCAAGACAGGTCTTTGACGTGAGCTGGAACACAGGAGGGGTGGGGCGGGGCAGGGAGAGTGAGCCAGGCCCCCAGCCCCTCATCTCCACCCACTCACGGCATCAATGGTGCTTCTCAGGGCCTTGAAGCCATTCTCCACTGCAAACACATGGTCCGGAATGCCTGCCATTGCTGTTATCTACAGAGAGCAGAGCTAGCTTGGACCCCCAGCCCAGGGGTGAGGATGCAGCAGACCCCCAGCCCAGAGGACAGCGTCCTGCTCCCATGCTTTGGGGGCAGCAGAATGCCAGGCTCTGAGGGCCACAGCTTTCTCCAGCCAGCAGCCCACTCTCAGGGAGTGTCTTCCGCCCTCCCCTCTGGTGTGGTGGGATTTATACGACACGTGTCATTTCTGCAATAGTCATGGGGTGGCCCAACTCACTTGGGGCAGATTAGATGACCCTTCCCAGGGTGGCCCTGGAAAAGCCACCTGGGATGCCTTTCCCTACTCTAACCCTAACCTGATCACAAGGCTCCATATTGGTGCCTGGTTAACCTGTTTGGAATTACTGGGTCTTTCCTATAATCAGCCACACCCAGGGTGTAAATGGTGGCCCCCAGGCTCTAAGCCCTTTCAGCATAAGGGAAAGAAGGCATTGAGTATTAATTACCAAAATACATGAAGCAAAATGCTGATAAATATGAACTGAACTCACTTCTTTGAGAGTGTCCAAAAATGGATGTTTCATCATTGTTCCATTGGTCATTGCAATAATCATGCTGGAAACCTTGTTGTCTGCAGGAGAAGCAAGGAGTGGCCTGCTTAGCAAAGGCCCCAGAAGTGACCTCCAAAAGCTCTTGTGTTGGGAGAAGAGCTGAGTGTTGGGAGAAAAGCTGGGGCAGGGCTTGCATGTTTGCTAGACTTGCTGGCTCCTTGCTTTTAGCACTCCCATTATCTCAAGCAGCTGTATGTTTCTCATTCACTTGATACACTGTTTCCTTTCAACCCCCACATCCTCACGGGTTCTTTGTTTGAGCACCAATAAACAGCATGGGCTCGCAAAGCTCAGGGCCTTTGCAGCCTCCACACTTGCGGTGGCCCCCTGGTCCCACTGTCTCTCTCAAACTGTCTTTTTCTCATTCCTTTGACTCCGCCAGACTTTGTCGCTCCCACGATCTGGTGTTGGGTCTGATCACCCCAACACTCCGGGACCCCTGTGGGATGC
Source organism: Homo sapiens (assembly GCF_000001405.40). Lineage (NCBI taxonomy): Eukaryota > Metazoa > Chordata > Mammalia > Primates > Hominidae > Homo > Homo sapiens. Next base: position 46,095,314 of record NC_000010.11, read on the forward strand.
TGGGCCTGTAGCACTGATCACTCCAGGGCATGTCCAGGTGCCTCCACCTCATCCTCCAGGGGAGAGGCTGCCAAGAGCCAAGCACCTGCTACCCAGAGACCCCTAGAGTGAGGGAGGTCTCAGCCCAGCACCCATTTTACAAAGGAGGAGCTGAGAGGGGGAGGCCCCTTCTCATCAGGCTGTCTGAACCCTCACCCGCTAGCAGCCTGCACTACCTCTGCCTGAGGGCAGCTCCAGCCAGGACTCCACAAGCACAGGCCTGTCGCACAGGCAGGGGGAGGAGCAACTGGGCTCTCCTGTGGGCAGAGCCTGTGGGCAGCCCTACCGGCATCTCTGGGACCAGGAATACAGGACTCCGGGTCAGTGGCACCGGGGCGGGAGACCCCACGGCCACCTCAACGCCTTTCCCCACCAACCCTGCCTTTTCCTGACAAGAGCTGCAGGCACACAGTGGGGAGGGGAGTCAGCGGCTGTGGACAGCCTTCTGCATCATCTGAGACACACTCAAGGGATGCAAGTCACTCAGAGGGGAAACGAGGAAGGGAGGAGGAAGACTAAGGTGTGTGCAAGGGGGCAAACTCCTTGGCTCTTCTCTTGTCCTTTTCACACAGCCCAGCTGGAGGGCAAGCACCTCAGGGTTATGAGCACCAGAACTGCACACGCAGGATCCCACACAGTTCTCAGAACTCCATGGGGCGAGGGCTTACTATGCTCATTGCACCAGGGAGGGACCTGGAGCTCAGAGCAGGTGAGCAACTTGCTCCAAGAGGCAGGGCAGGTGTGGCCTTGCAGAGTCTGCACACAGAGCTCTCTGAGGCTCACGCCCAGCTCTGTTCCCCCTACAGGACCACCATGGGGACAGCAGGTGCTTAAACCTGGAGTTGAAATTTTCTAACTGCCGAATTGCCTGCAAGAAAATGAAGAAATATCTAGCCTGGACAGTGAAATGTTCCCACTGATGCTCTAAGACCTTGTCAACTAGAATCGATTCTTGGAGCTCAAGGGTGGTATACATTTCTAAATCCTGCCTGCATGGACGTGTGTCCTTCAGGCACCATTTTCTGAAGCTTGTCGAGACCCTCTTTTATTTTCTTCCTTAAAAAACTCCAAAAAGGTGGTTGACGTGGAAAGACATGGACTGTTAAAAATTAGCTCCCAAGCTCTCTGGGTGCCACTGTTAACTGTGCAAGGCCTCCTGGATGGAGGAGGAGGCCAAGCAAGGGCTCTGCCCTGCTCATTCCTCACTGTGACATTGACCATAGACTTCAGGCCTTGTGATCTCATCCCAGTTCCAGGGAATGCAGGCCTGGGGAATCTCACCAGGGCCCCACTTAGACCATCTCTGGTGACAGTGGGAGCTTCCGATGGATGAGCAACTGTGAGTCAGCAACTGCAATGGGGCCGACATTCCTAACCCTAACCCTAAGCCAGAACCAGGAATGGGCAACTGAGAGTCAGCGACTGACAATGGGGTTGACATTCCTAACTCTAACTCTAACTCTAATCTTCATGCTAACCCTAACCCTGAACCGGGGATGGGCAACTGAGAGTCTGCCACTGACAATGGGGTTGACATTCCTAACTCTAACTCTAACTCTAACTCTAACCCAAACCGTAACCCTAACAAGGGTTCTCTTGTGTTGGACACTCGATCCTTTAACAGGTAGGGCTGCATTTGGGAAAAGTCATCCTGCTAAGCCCCCAACCCTACACCCAGCCCCCATGGCCCTAGACTCCTGAACCTGATTCAGTTTCCTCCTCTCTCTTTACCCTGCTACAGGAAATACCAAATCTGCTTAATTAGACTGCCTGGCCTCTTTGACTTCCTGTGCCCTTGAAACAAAAAGACCAAAGGCTGGAGAGGCAGCCCTGATGGCTGTGCATGCACGGTCTGAACACTGATCTGCAGACTGGCTGGGGGATATAGCCTGTCAGCTGCTGTTAAAACAGACAAAATGGGCTGGGGCAGCCAGAACTGGCTCTGGTGGCAGGACTGGGACAGGCTGGGGACTTAGGGTCAGGCTAATCCAATGTGACAGGCTGAGCCTGCACAGCAAGGCTGGGCAGAGCATGGACCCTGAAGGCTGGCTTCCCACTGCGGGCAGAGAGTCCCTGCCATGGCCGGAGCTCTGAGAGCCCTGCCTGCCCAGCTCAGGAGGGGAGGAGGCCAGGTCCATCCATACCCAGAAGAGGCCATGCCCAAACCCGGCTCCCCGTCTGGGTCACCCGCCACAGTCCTCCCCCATAGACTTGCTTTTTACCACCTCACACCCACTCCAGTCTCTCTGCCAAACCCACAGCGCAGGACACACAGATCCAAGCCTCCCCCTAGCTCAAGATGCGGCAGCCCACCCTGTATCCCCTTGAAGCTGCAAGTGGGGTCCAGGCCCCCATCCAGTACTCAGTGTCCTCACCTCTCTCCTGCGCTTCAACTTCTGTGGGCCCAGTTCTGGGCATGTGCATTGGAAGCGCTCTCACCTCCCGCCAAACAGGAACTCTGCAATGTACCCTGCTGGGCCTGGGCACCTCTCTAGGCCACCTCAAGCCACCTGAGCTTGCTCCTCCTACCTCCCTCCAGTTTCCCAGCCTGGCCTGGAGCTCAGAACCCCATCCAGGGACTCCCGTCTGGGCCTGCCAGCATCCCTGCGCTAAAGTCGCACGACTCTCACCACCGGCTCTGACACTGTCTCCCTCCTGCACTGGTCAGGGCAGGGGGAACAGGCACAGAGCAGCAGCCAGCAAAGGTGTGTGTTCAAAGGACACACACCCCCGCCCTGCCAGCCCCTGCACCCCGGGAATCCTCACAGCCACCTCCCAGGGAAGGAGGCAGGGCAGAGAGAGGGCAGGGGAGTGTGAAGTAGGGAGGCTGAGAACTTCTGGAGCACAGGGGCCTGCAGGTAACCTTGCAGCCATGGGTAGGAGGATGCAGGGGAGCCGGGGCTAAGGTCAGGGTGGGTACTGTGAGTTGCCCTGACCGGCCTGCCCTGTGTGCTGTCAGGCTCCCAGCCAAGGTCTCTGGGAGCCCCTCAGCTCCCTGGAGGTCCCTCTGGCTCAGTTCATCAGGCCTCCCTTTAGGGCTCAAAGCAGCACTCACTTGTCTGAGGTGAGCCGGCAAGACGGTGTTGCTGTCCGTGGAGTAGGTGACGAAGGACATCCGCTTATTTGGGCTGAGACAGAATCAAGTACTGGTGAAAAGCCGGAGGCACCAGCTCAGAAGCCAGGGTGAGTGATGCCAATTCCCCACCTCCCACCCCAACTCTGTTATGAATTCCCTATTGTGATTGACAGGAAGGCTGACATGGTGACTTTGCGAACTGCAGCTCTTCCCAATGTCCTGCATGTTGACAACACCAGGGGGAGGCACAGGACCTGTGGAGGGGCTACAAGAGGAAGCCTCCATTTCCCTTATAACAGCCCTCACAGGGTCCCTTAAAACCACTAGACCCTGCCATTTGTTCACTGGAAGAGTTAGCCCAGGTGACTTAGGTGAGGACATTGCTGTGGATGAGGAGGTCAAGGACTGGGAGGCCAGAGTGTTGGCAATGGGAGGTTATTTGTGTGACACTGAAGTCCCCCAGGAGATGGCAGATCTGAAAGGAGATGGAAACTGTGGTGTTGCCAGAGTCTTTGTGAATGAGGGACATTCCGGTTCTCTACTGCTGTGTAACAGACCACCTACATTTAGAGACACAGAACAGGCCCATTTTATTACGCTCACAGGTTCTGAGGATGAGGCACTCAGGGCGAGTTAGGAGGGCTCCTCATGTCTGGGGCCCCATGACTTGAAGGATTGGGCACTGGAATTATCTGGAGGCTGCTCCACTCACAAGTGTGGCTCCTGGGCAGGAGGGCCCAAAAGCTGGGCTCAGCTGGGACTGTGAATGGAGACCCTGCATGTAGCCTCCTCGTATGACCTGGGCTTCCTCCCAGCATGGCAGCTTCAGGGTTCTTGGGTTTTTACAGGTGGCCCAGAGCTCCAAGAGTGAGTATTTCCAGTGAGCAAGGTAGAAATTGTAGAGCCTTTTATGATATCACCTTGGAAGTCACATAGTGTCACTTCCACTGTACTCTATTGGTCCAAGCAGTCACAGCTGCCAAAAGTCAATGGGAGAGAACACAGGCCCCCTCTCTAGGGCAGGAGTGTGGATGAGTTCATATCCCAGTGTCAAAACTGCTGTATGACCAACGCTTTGAATGGCAGAGATGTGTGGAAAAATGTGGGCACTGATGATGGGATTCAAGTTGGACTCAGGAAAGTTAGACTGTGATAGTTAGAAATACCTTAATTTTATTTTCTTCATTTTTGTATGCAGAAGTGATATATGATTAAAAATCTTTCTTCAATAAGTCTAAAATAGATCTTTCAACATATTTAACAGAAAAATTACAAGTGATAGCCAGGCAGGGTGGCTCATGCCTGTAATCTCAGCACTTTGGGAGGCTGAGGCTGGCAGATGACTTAAGGTCAGGATTTTGAGAGCTGCCTGGCCAGCATGGTGAAGCCCCATCTCTACTAAAAATACAAAAATTAGCCAGGCGTGGTGGTGCACATCTGTAATCCCAACTACTTGGGAGGCTGAGGCAGAAAAATCACTTGAATCTGGGAGGCAGAGGTTGCAGATTGCAAGATTGCGCCACTGCATTCCAGCCTAAGACTCTTTCTCAAAAAAAAAAAAAAAATTACAAGTAGTAAAAAGCACTGGGTTAGTGGACTTTGGGGGTTTTTTGTCTTGCTTTGGAGTGGTGTTTAAAATAATGGATCATTTTAAACAAGTGGTATTTTAGAATGGGTAAAGTTGGTGTAATTCCTCCGAAAGCATATTAGGTTTTCTTTCTTCACATCCTTCATGACTCTTGGTAGTGCCATATTTTATATTTTTTGATTTCTAATTATGTTTTGATGTCTAATCAATAGACAAAAGTATTGACTTAATTTGCAGTTTCCTAATTACTAAAGGGTTGTTCATCTGTTCACAGGATTTTGGGTCATTCATGTTCCCTCCTTTGTGAAGTGCCTATTCATGCCTCTGTGTCCATTCTTGATTTGGGTGTTTGTCTTTTGCACATTGATTCATTCACATTCTTTAAATTCTGAATACTAATCCTTTATCAATTGTTGCAAATATCTTCTTGCATGGTGTGGCTTGTTCTTTCACTCTATTTGTTGTCTCTTAGTAAAGCAAAAGGTGTTCATTTTAATCCAGTTGTTTGTCATTTTCTTTTTCTTTTTTCTTTTGTTGTTGGTATTTTTTGTTTGTTTTATTGTTTTGTTTTGTTTTGTTTTGTTTTGAGACAGAATCTCACTCTGTTGCCTAGAGTCCCACTCTGTTGCCCAGGCTGGAGTGCAGTGGTGTGATCTCGGCTCACTGCAACCTCTGCCTCCTGGGTTCAAGCAATTCTCTGCCTCAGCCTCCCAAGTAGCTGGAATTACAGGTGCCCGCCACCACGCCCAGCTAATTTTTGTATTTTTAGTAGAGATGGGGTTTCACCATCTTGGCCAGGCTGGTCTTGAACTCCTGACCTCGTGATCAACCCGCCTCGGCCTCCCAAAGTGCTTTAAGTTTTCTTAAACTTTAAGATTTGCTGTTTTGTATCTTAAGAATTTCTTCCCTGTTACAGGTGAAATACATTTTGTTTTACAAGTTTTAAAGATTTGCCTTTCACATTGAAGTCTTGATTCTACCTAGAATTAATTTATAAGTGTGATTTGTGCCAGATGTTTGATTTCATTTTTTGCCATGTAGATAACAAATTGTCCCAGCTTCATTTGTGGAAAATTCCATCTTTTCCCCATTGATCTTGTCACTACTTGTGTTTCAAGTTCCATATAGATTTGAATCTGTTTTTATTTATTTATTTATTTTGAGATGGAGTCTCTCTCTGTTGCCCAGGCTGTGTAGTACAGTGCCACCATCTCAGCTCACTGCAACCTCTGCCTCCCAGGTTCAAGCGATTATAATGCTTGAGTAGCTGGGATTATAGGCACTCACCACACTGCACCTGGCTAATTTTTGTATTTTTAGCACAGACTAGGTTTCGCCATGTTGGCCAGGCTGCCAATCTCTTTATCTATTGGCTTATATTGATAGCATCCATACCACATTATCTTAATGACTATATGGGGCAAGACTGTATTACTGTCCATAACTGTCCGTTTCCATTTAAGGGAAGGACTGTGCTTCCTGCCATGTTTGTGGCAGGTTTTGATTGACCAATGGAATGTTAACAGAAGTAATGTGTGCCACTTCTGGACAGAAAATGTTTAAGAGTCTAGGTATGACTCAGGTGGCCCCAACAGCCTGGTGCCTGAGCAACTAGGATGTATGGCGTTCCCTTGGGAACCTGGGATGGATACGTGGGAGAATGATATATACACATGAGAAATATAGTTTGTGCTTTTCAGATGATTAAATGGGGAGAGGGAAGGGGGTAACCAGAAGATAACCTAGACTCATCTGACACATACACAAAGTTCTACAGCAAGTCTTCACACAATACGGTTAATCATTCACCTTTTTTTTTTTCTGGTAATTGTTGGCTATTTGCTCTTTGACATAAATTTTAGAATCAGCTCATCAAGTGTCCTCTCCCTCAAAAACTTCTTAATATTTGATTACAATAACATTTAATTTTTTTAAAAAAATTTAATTATAATTTTTAATTTATAATTTTATATATATATATTTTTTAAAAGAATAAGAATTGTGCTGACTAGTTCTCCAATCCAATGTTGACTAGTGAAGGAGGCACTCTTGATTTTAAAGAGAATGTTTCTAACATCACAATTAATAATATTCATTGAAGGCTTTTGGTAGAAATTCTTTATCAGATTAGAAAGTTTCTCTACTAATCTTGGTTTGCTACAAGTCACAAATGAGTGTTGAATTCTATCTAAATGCTTTTTCTGGTATTTTGTGATGAACATGTATTTCTGTCCAGTAACCTAAATTTAGTATGTTTAGATACATTAATGCATGCAAAACCAATTTTAAAATGCTATAAATAAACCTAACTTGGCCACCATATTTTAAAACATGCTAGAGTTTAGTCATAATTTAGAACTTTTTGTTTATCTATGATCATGAGAGAGATGGGTCCATGCTTTCCAATTTCTGTGCTGTCCTTATTTGTTTTTGGTATTAGGTCATAAGAGACTCATAAAATGCACCTGGAGGTTTGCTCTTTCTCCTAGGAAAGACTTTGAACATGATAAATATAATCTGCTCTTTGAATATCTGGTATGATATCATCCTTGTGTTTTCTTTTGGGAAGACTTTAAAATGATATAATTTAATAGTTCCTGGATGTTACTAATTCTGTCTCCCCCAAAATGGGTATGTTGAAGCCCTAACTGGTGATGTGACTGTATTAGGACATGGGGCGTTAAGGAGGTAATTAAGGTTAAATGAGGTCATAAGAGTAAGGCCTTCATCAAATAGGACTGATGTCCTTACAAGAAGAGAAAGAGACGCCAGAGTTTTCTCTTCAAGCATGCACAGAGCAAAGGCCATGTGACAACTCCATGAGAAGGTCTCTGTTTGCAAGCCAAGAAGAGGAGTCTCATCAGAGACCAATCCTGGTGGCACCTTGATCATAGACTTTCAGCCTCCAGGATTGGTAGCAAATAAATTTTTATTGTTTAAGTCCCCCAGCCTGTGGTATTTTCTTATGACACCCAGAGCAGACTAACACTTATTTATTGATGATGATGATGATGATTATTATTATTATTATTATTTTTGAGATGGAGACTCACTTTGTCGCCCAGGCTGGAGTGCAGTGGCATGGTCTTGGCTTACTGCAACCTCTGCTTCCCAGGCTCAAGCGATTCTCCTGCCTCAGCCTCCAGAGTAGCTGAGATTACAGGGGCGTGCCACCAGGCCTGGTTAATTTTTGTATTTTTAGTAGAGACAGGGTTTCACCATGTTGCCCAGGCTGGTCTTGAACTCCTGATCTCAAGTGATCAGCCTGCCTTGGATCCCAAAGTGCTGGGATTACAGCCATGAGCCACCATGCCCGGCCCTAACACTTATTTAGTGTTTCTATTTCTGTCAATTCATATGACATATTTTTCTAGGAATTTGAACATTTATTAGCATGCCTTGTTATAAAGTTGTTCAGTTTATAGTTTATGTTTTTTTGTTTTATTTTATTAGGTGCATGCAAGTTTAGAATTGTTATGGCTTCCTGGAAAATGCAGCTGATTAGGAACTGATCCTCTTAACCCCTGGTCACACTTTCTCTGTGCTGAAGACTCCCACTTCCTTTTGGTTTCCCCAGCATCCCGGCCATATCTCCGTTATCTTTTCCCATCCTTTTATGTTAAACTTTTTTATGTCCTTATGTATTAGATATGTCTCTTTTTGAAAGTATATAGCCAGTTTTTATTGCTGCTTTTTTTTTTTTTTTTTTTTTTTGAGACATGGTCTCACTCTGTTGCCCAGGCTGGAGGGCAGTGGTGCGATCTTGGCTTACTGCAACCTCTGCTTCCTGGGTTCAAGACATTCTCGTGCCTCAGCCTCCCGAGTACCTGAGACTACAGGTGCACACCAACACTACCTGAGACTACAGGTGCGCACCACCACATCCGGTTAGTTTTTGTATTTTTTTGGTAGAGATGGGGATTCACCATGTTGGCCAGGCTGGTCTCGAACTCCTGACCTTGAATGATCCGCCTACCTTGGCTTCCCAAAGTCCTGGGATTACAGGCGTGATCCCACCGTGCCCAGCCAATTTTTTTTTTTTAAGAGTCAGGGTCTCACTCTGTTGCCCAAGCTAGAGTGCAGTGGTGCACTGATAGCTCACTATAACCTGGAACTTCTAGGCTCCTGCCTCCCACAGTCCAGTAACTAGGACTATAGGTGTGCACCACCACACCCAGCTAATTTTGTTTTTTGTGTTTTTTTTTTTTGAGAGAAAGGTTCTTGCTATGTTGCACAGACTGGCCTCAAGCAATCCTCCCGCATCTGCCTCCCAGAGCTATGGAATTACAGGCATGAGCCACGGTGCTGGATTGCATTTTTTTTTCTTTTTCTTTTTTTTTAGCAGACAAATTCTGACTTTAAATGGCAAGTTAAGTACATTGTGGGGAGCACGAAACTGCACCAATCAGATCTGTGACTGTGGGGAGTATGACTGGGAGAAGGGAGTGTTTTGGGAATCCATTCTCTACCACCACAATGGGCCACCACATTCACGGAAAGACCACACCCCTCACAGGCTTCTTCTAGCCAGAGGCCAGCAGGGATATGAAGACAGGCCCATGCCTAGGAAATCTCAGACTCCTCAGATGGCTCAAGGTCTCCCCATCTGCTTGGATAAACTTTCCTGGAACTGGTCTCCCCTCTGAAATTATTCTTTCATTTTCAGAAAACTCCCCATATTGGTGATGGTCATTATTTTCTGTATCTAGCCACTCACCTTAATCAGCGTGTTCCCAGCTTCTTTGCTCACCATTGTTTGTTGAACTCCACTCTTATGAGTTGTTTCCTTCTTTCTGAAATACATTCTTATCCTTTCATCAAGGTTGTACAGGTTGTAAACTCACACTTTGCACATCTGACAATACCTTCATTTTGTGCTCACACTTGATTTATATTCCAGATAGATACAGAATTCTATTTTTGAGGCACCCAAGGACATATCACTGGTGGCTGTGGCAACTTTATCATTGGTTTCACCACCAGTCTTTCCTGGGTAATCTGTGTTTTGAGTTTGGTGACTTTCAAATTGTTTTCTTTGTCTCTGATGTTCTGCATTTCGGATTTGATGTCTCTCTCTATTCCTCAATGTTCTCTCTTCCATAAAAGAAAAGTTTTGCTTCAGGACTGTGAGAGGCAGTCAAACCAGAGCGACTCCATTTTGAGTGAGGGCTAGGAAAATGAGGAGGGGACTTGCTGGGCTGCGTTCTCAGAAAGCTAGGCATTCCTCGCCTCTAGATGTTCACAGTTAAGGGAACAAATTAATAATGTTTACTAAACAGACCCAGACTTGGGAGTGTCCAGATATCAAGATATCTGGAGAACAAAGGCATTCCTAATTTTGCTTTAAAGATAATATTGATGCTTGCAAAATACAGTAATTAAGAAAATGAATCCTTTATCACAAACTCTTTTGCAGAGCACATCTCCCCATCTACACAAGCGTTGTACCTAGGATGGGGGCTTTACTCCTCTTACTTTCGGGAACGTCCCACTCTGTCTATGGAGTAGCTGCACTCTGACCACTTGACTTTCTTAATAAACTTGCTTTTGCTTTGCACTGCAGACTCGCCCTGAATTATTTCTTGCGTGAGATCCAAGAACCCTCTCTTGGGGTTTAGATGGGGACCTCTTTCCTGTAACAGGACCATCTCTAAGGTTTGATGTATGTTCTGAACCCAGCTTCCCCTCCTCAGACTTATGTTTGTCCTTGAGGATCTCATCTTTGCAACAGACCCTCCAAAGCCTTGGAGAGAAACTCAGCGCTTCCTCACGGTATCTCCGCGCACCCACTCACCCCTACCACGTCAGAACACCCACTGAGTGACGGAATTAATCAATGAGGGAGCAGGGACTCAGGGTGGTTTTCCTTTCAGTACTTGAAGAATTCTCCCTTCTCCAAACGAAGCTGCTTTGCACCCTACGCTCAAGCAATGTGACCCATGCACACTTGCCTGCAACAGCACCAAGAACTGCGATTACCTGAGACTCTATCCCATCTACCCTCACTCCCCCACTGCAGGGGAAACCCCAGGTCCTCCGAGTCCCAGCGCAGTCTCCACCCACCCCACAGTCATTCCGTCCAGACCACGGCCCTTCTGCCCTGGCCCCCTCCCACCCTCCAGGGGCAGTTAAGCCCCCAGACACCTCTGTGTTGTAAGGGTCGCGGAGCCCCCCTTCCTGGCAAAGTGCTGCGCGGTCACAGCTGGGGCCAGGGGAGCGGGGGCCAGGAGAGCGGAGGCGGCGGGGCGCTCCTGGAGGATCTGGGCTACTTGGGCGCTGGGGAGGTGCCGCTAGCGGGGCCGCCAGGTCGCGCGGGGAGGGAGGGCTGGGAGGCCACGGGGGTCGTCCGCGAAGAGGGAGCCACAGGCACGGGGCGCATCGCCGCGGCCCCCAGGGCCCAGGAGCGAGAGGTAGGGGAGCCTAGAGCCAGAGGGCGGCGGCGAGAGCTGGAGCCGCCTTCAAAGGACGCCCTCGCCCTCCCGCAGGCGCCGGCGCCCGGCCCAGTCCGAGCCATCAGAGGGCTGTCTGCCGAGCTGAGCCCGGGGAGGACTGGGCTGCCCAGCTGATCACAGGCTTTCTACCGGGTTGCGGGTTCTCCGGCCCCGGCACCCTCCCGCGCCGGGGCCGCCCACCCACAAGCCCTGCCCGGAAGGCGTGTGCGGCCAGGAAGGCGGGGCCTGGTGTCCTCAGGGCTCTGGCGCCAAGTTCAGAGCCGCGCGCTGGGCGCTTGGCGGTGGCGGCCGCGTCTGCACCTCCTCCCTGCGCGCCGCCTGACAGCCTGGGAGAGAAGCGCCCTCAGGTCGGCCAAGACCAAGACCGAGAGCAAGCGGGCGCGGGCAGCGGGGCCCATCTCATTTCCACTGCCTTTCCCCACAGTAGCGCTCTTGAGTCCTGACTTTGGCTGTTGGGTCCTTCCCTTCCCTCTGTCGCCAGCTTCCTCCCGCATTCTCCCAGGTCCTCTCTGAGTCCCATTCCTGTTCCTGTCCCCTGCCTTTCTGCCTCTTGTCTCCTTGTCCCGTCCCGTTTCTTTCTCCTCTCATCTCTCCCTTTTTTGTGTGTGTCTGCTTTATTGGCTATTTCTCTGTCTTGTCTCTTTTCCCTCTCTCACTGTCTTTTTCTCTCTCCCTATCCTCCGCTCATTTTTTGCAAGCAAGAATTCTCCCTTTGATTTATTTTTCTCCTAGAGAGACATGTTGGGCCGCGGTTCTCTTCATCCACCCATCCCTCCGTTCATGACATATTGCTCCATTATCTTCTTGGGCTGGCTGCTAGGGTAAGAACCATGCATCAGACCCAGATCCTTTCTCCAATAGATTATATCCAAAGATCTGGACATGTAACCTGTTCAGTGCCTTTTCTGGGGGAAAATACATAGATGATCAAATTATGAATCTCTGACTTTTCAGAGTTACCTGAAAGAAAACATCTGGTTTTAGAATCACAGCTTGATTGCATTCTTTCCTTGACCTTTTGCCTTTTACTAATAGGCACAGACATTGCAGGAGTAAGCTAAGCCTCGCAGAAGCATTTAAGGGACACTCACACCTTCTGTGCAATGCCAGGTGCAGGGGAGGGAGGGGGCAGGATACAGAGCTGGGTTGTGGGAAGACAGTGGGAGGCCAGGGCTTTGAACCTGAAACATTTGAGGAAGCCTGGAAATAAGAAAATAACAGTAAATTTCTAAAATATGTAGTTGCCCATGCCACTGATGTACGGAAATGAAGTTGCCTAATTACTCCTGAGAGTGACATGAGACATTTTATAACAATAATTCTAGGCCAGGCGCGGTGGCTCACGCTTGTAATCCTCGGCTTTGGGAGGCCGAGGCGGGCGGATCACGAGGTCAGGAGATAGATACCATCCTCGCTAACACTGTGAAACCCCGTCTCTACTAAAAACACACAAAAAAATTAGCTGGGCATGGTGGCGGGCGCCTGTAGTCCCAGCTACTCAGGAAGCTGAAGGAGGAGAATGGCGTGAACCCAGGAGGCGGAGCTTGCAGTGAGCGGAGATCGCGCCATTGCACTCCAGCTTGGGCTACAGAGCGAGCTGGACCCTCATAGGGATGGATGCAATCCCATCACCCACTCAGATGCCTGAGACTGTGCAGAAGCAGGGCCAGTGAAAGCAGAGGGCAGATCCAGCAGTGCTTCAAGGGGCCCTGCTATGCGGATTTAGAGTCGGCCATGGACATGGCTGAAGATGGCCAGGACATAGAACAGGGAGCAACAGCAGTACTCATTGCCCGTTGGCAAACAACGCCATATTGCTATACTTTCTGATAATCATGCTTAAGCAATTGGGGAATTCAGACTACCTGGGATCAAACTATGGCCCCACCCTTAGCAGTCATGTGACCTTGGGGAGGTTACTTACCTTCTCCGTCTCAACAACTTCTGCAAAATCTGTAACATGAGATTGTTTCTGAGGGTTAAATGAGCATAGCACAGTGGGGACACTGTCAGGCACACACTACTTGCCAGATGTCGAGTATTCATCTTTATTGAAATAGGACTGTGGTAAGCCACTTTATGGCTCTCGATTTTGTATGAGAAAATCATGCTTAGTGCCTTGTTAGTAAAAGAAAGAAAACCTGAAAGTCCCTGCCACGGAAGGAAGAAATAGCGGGGAGAAAAGGGAGTTGGTAAGTTTCAGCATTTCAGAGCTTGGAGGGGCAAGTTAGGTTTCTATTTTATGGAGAAGGAGGTGGAGGCAGGATGGGTCCTAAGGTGTCATTCAAAACACACAGCCATAACTCTTTATTGAGAGTAGAGCTAGGGCCCCAGGGATTGCTGTGGTCAAGTTGCGGACAAAAATGACCACTCGTTGGAAGACAGGAGAGGAGTGTTTAGTTACAAAAGCAGTCAACAATTCAGGTGTATCTATATTCAGTCAGCAAATAAAAGTTGTTCAACTTGGTTGCTAATGGGACCCACTCTACTGAGGCTTTGTATAGAACTCATAGAGGAAGCTGGCTTCGAGGAATGAACTACCCTTTGCTTTTCTTAGGACTAAAATCTCAGGAAGCTGGTGATGAATGAAAACCTTAGTCCCACTGGCACTGCACGAGGGGCCAGGAGAGCAGCAGCATCATAAGCCACAGGGTGGGGCAGCCAAGGCAGGGGCATTCTGAGCTGTTGGGGAGGGGTGGCAGGCAGGGTGGGGCACTGTGAGGTGTCGGGGAGGGCATTGTGAAGTGTGGGGTGGAGCATTGTGTGCCACATGCCTGGGCTCCCACCTGGGGCCAGTGGGCTTCAGTCTGTAGGTGACTACAGAAGGAGGAGGAGCTCCGTCTGTTCTCTCTTCAGGCAGTTGTTGTGTCTCTCAGCGCTTGTTGGGTTCACAACCTATTAAATAAGCCGGCTGGTCTTCACCCTCCCAGACAAGTCAACTCAGGGGAGGCAGCAGGGTGCGGGCCTTGGCCCGCAGCCCTAGCCGGGGCCGGGGCCAGGGCTGGTGCCCGGGGCCTCGCTGTGAGGTAGGCAGGCGAGGAGCGGGAAGACCATCTCTGCAAGTGCAGCATAGCCTCGGCCTAGGACAGCGGGAGTGCGTGGCCAAAGCTGTGAGCAGAGGCACAGGTGGTGGCAGACAGTAGAGGCGCCCCATGGGGAACATACTGACCTGTCGTGTGCACCCTAGCGTCAGCCTCGAGTTTGACCAGCAGCAGGGGTCGGTGTGTCCCTCTGAATCTGAGATCTATGAGGCAGGAGCTGAGGACAGGATGGCAGGAGCGCCCATGGCTGCTGCTGTACAGCCTGCTGAGGTGACTGTTGAAGTTGGTGAGGACCTCCACATGCACCACGTTCGTGACCGGGAGATGCCTGAAGGTGAGGAGGTGATAGGTGCCATCTACCCTCGGTTTGCCTCTGGCTGCTACTGTCCCCAAGGTTCCCTTTGAGGCATCCCCCACTTCGAGCTCCTTTCTGCTTGTAGCCAGCTTTCCCGGGGGCTGGCCAGGAACAAAAGCTGGCTCTGCCTTGAATTCCCACCCCTTAGTCTTTCCCCACCGAGTCCAGTCAGTTTCTTTTCGCCTCCCCTCCCAATCGCCCAGTTCTTGCTCTCTCATCTCATTCTCCCAGGCTGGCATGGGACCATTTATTTATGGCTCTTGTCGAATAAGCAGCAGTTGAATAAATGAGTTGATAAATTTTTATAAATGATTACATCTTTTTTCTTTTCTCCCTCTATACACATAGCTTTGGAGTTTAACCTTTCTGCCAATCCAGAGGGCAAGCACAATATTACAGAGGAACTCTCAAACAGATGGTGAGACAACAGTGTCTGTAGCTCTGTTTATTATCCTGTGGGACTTTGTTTAGGCTTCTTTGAGCTATTCTCTTCCTTTTCTCAATAAAAACTCAAATATCCCAACTTTTCAGTACCCATCTTATTTTTTCTTTGTACCTATCCAGATGGTACCTAAGTGAAGGAACCAGGTAAGTGCCTAATTGTTTCCTTTGTTAAAGTAGCCAAATCTCAAGACAGTTCCTATTCAAATATTTGGGGATTTCTTATTTAAAATCAGAATGGAGTTTGCCACGGGAGAGGCTATATGGTATTCTTAATGGGCTGCTTTAAGTCACCTTGATAGAAGCTGCTTAGTTTCTTCTAACTGTAATTTGAACACAGAAGGAAAAAGAAAAAAGGAGAGTGCTTAAAATAATTGTGAAAGGTGTAAAATGTCACAGCCGGGGCTGCAGAAAAATGGTTGTGTGTGTGTGTTTGGGGTTTCTCAAAGGAGTTTACCTATGAAGCTCTTTTCTGTTAAAGTTCTTACTTTAACAGAAAATGTGTCTCCAGATTTATTCTGGTGACTTAACAGACTTTATTTACCTCCTTGTTCTAAAAGAGAGGTGGGGATTGGTTCATGGTCAAAACTTTCAAAAGACATGAAATGTCAATGTAGACTTTTAATGTGTAATATAAAGATTGCAGGTTAAAATGTCAGACCTTCCCTGTAAGAGTGTTTGTTGCCGTGGCTCCCCCTTTGTCCCTTCCCCTCCTGACAATAGCATCTTGTTCAAAGATAAGAAAGTTACAGTTTTGGCTGGGCTTGGTGGCTCACGCCTGTAATCCCAGCACTTTGGGAGGCCGTGGCAGGCGGATCACCTGAGGTCAGGAGTTCGAGACCAGCCTGGCCAACATGGTGAAACGCTGTCTCTACTAAAAAAAAAAAATACAAAAATTAGCTGGGCGTAGTGGCGCATGACTGTAGTTCCAGCTACTCACAAGGCTGAGGCAGGAGAATTGCTTGGACCTGGGAGGTGGAGGTTGCAGTGAGCAGAGATCACGCCAATGCACTCCAGCCTGGGTGACAGAGCGAGACTCCGTCTCACAAAAAAAAAAGGAAAGAAAGTTGGAGTTTTTTAGTCTCTACACTGCTGGCAGAGGCAGGGGATGGGAGCCGGTAGAAAAGAGAAAACAATTAGTTGGTTTGCCTCTAAAATTTTGCAAAGAGATGAATCTAAGTAAAAGTAATTCTGGGTAATAATATGGTTCTTGAATAAAAACTGAAATTTTCAAAATAGAAAACATTGCATCATAAACATATTAAATCCAGTAGGCTTATTGGTTTCATTTAAATGCCAGAGATTTCATTACTGTAGAGGAAATGTCTTATAGCTCTTCTATTTAAACTTTGGTCGGGCTCTTAATTTTTAAAGAGGTAGGATAATTAAGACTCATTATGAGTGTGACTTTGTAACTTGAAAGTACTATCTTCACATTTCAAGATATTTAAGGATTGCTTTAGAATAAACAAATGCATTATGTGAATTAATTGATTGTACCTTTATACACAAAGCATGTAAGTACTTGTGTAAACTTATACTCTGCTTGGTGATGTTCGGAAAGCCTGATGGATGTTACACACCAGTTAGTAGATGGGTAGTGTTGGATGAGAGCCCAAAAATGGCTCTTTATTGTCATTCTTTAGGATTACAACACAGTTTATGTATGTCTCACTTGGCCCTTTCCAATACAAATAAGGCCTGTGTATGTTCTCCCTATGTATTGCTAATGAAGAAATGAAAACTTAGAGATATCACATGACTATGGAAGACAGCTACTCAAGAGAACTAAGGTTCTGTGTCCTCAGAATGAAATGGAAGTGACAGATATGATGAATTTACTTTTTAAAAATTTTAAAAACTCTAGAATACATCTTATATTTTGCCTATAAAATAGACCTGTCTTTTAAAACTTACTGCCATCTTGATTTATTTTATGCATAGTTGATTTTACACAACTCAAAGCCAAAATTTACCTCTTCTTCTTCTTTTTTTTTTTTTTTTAATAAAGGAGGGTGTCATTGTGTTACTCATGCTGGCCTCAACTTCCTGACCTGGGTTCAAGTGATTTTCCCATCTCAGCCTCCTGAGTAGCTGGGACTACAAGCATGTGCCATCTTGCCTGGCTCTATCTTATGTCTATACATTCATTTCAATGGATAAGAATCAAAGTAGAGATAGTGAAATAGCCTAAATGCAGCAGCCGAATAAACGAGTTGATAAATTTTTATCAATGATTACATCTTTTTTTCTTTTCTTCCTCTATGCATATAGCTTTGGAGTTTAACCCTTCTGCCAATCCAGAGGCAAGCACAATATTCCAGAGGAACTCTCAAACAGATGGTGAGACGACATTGTTTTTTCCGCCAAGAGAAAGAATAAAAGCTCTTGTTTGATCAGGTTATAGAAAGTATTTAGAAAAACTCATATTGGTTTAAATTTTTCACCTTTTCACATGTTCATTTTCTTATTTTAATATGTGATATACTTTCCTTTAGTTGTTATGATGTTAGTGAAAATGTGTAACCTTTTTGTTTATACATTTTGGCATCTTTTTATCAACACAATTAATTTGTGATGTGATGGAGGAGTCATGGATTTCTCTTTATAATTCTTGGATTTATCTTTATTTATAATTAATGGATTTATCTTTATTTATAATCCCTTTTCCCTTGCTCCAAAAAGTACATTTTAAAGATGAATGATAGAACTTAGGCTTCAGCTTGGTTTTCATTTAAACAAATTAAAAAACATAGTTGTTTATCATCAGGGATTGAATCTGTGATTTGGGCCTCCTCTTACACAGTCCTCTGACCACATTCATTTACCACATCCAAGTTTACGCTACTCAAAAGTTTTAGGTTATTAACTTTTTCATTTGATATAATGTAAATTTAAACATGCCTTACTCCTGCTTATTTCCCTTAATGTTATGTTAAATCCTCATTTATTTGCCAACAAGCCATACACAGCCAAGTTTTCCAGTTGACTTAAACAGCAAGAACACAAGTGAGGGTTCTATAATAGTGTGCGAAGTAATGCAGCACAGTAAAACACGGGAGTTTGCAACCTTTGTTTTTATAGTTTGAGTAGACTTTGCCATCTTGAGTCAGTTATTTCTGGTTAGAATTTGTCTTCATTTTTTACATTACTATAAAGAGATACCTAAGGCTGGGTGATTTATAACAAAAAGAGGTTTAATTGGCTCAAAGATTTTCAGGCTGTACAAACATGGCTTTAACATCTGCTTCTGGTGAGGGCCTCAGCAAACTTACAATCATGATAAAAGGCAAAGGGGAAGCAGGTGGTTCCACACCGTGAAAGAGGGAGGAGAGAGGGGAAGGGGGAAGGTACCACACTCTTTTTTTTTTTTTTTTTGAAATGGAGTCTCACTCTGTTGCCCAGGCTGGAGTGCAATGGCACGATCTTGGCTCACTACAACCTCCATCTCCCAGGTTCAAGCAATTCTCCTGCCTCAGCCTCCTGAGTAGTTGGGACTATAGGTGGGCACCATAACACCTGGCTAATTTCTGTATTTTTGGCAGAGACAGGGTTTCACCATGTTAGCCAGGCTGGTCTGAAACTCCTGACCTCAAGTGATCTGCCCGCTTCAGCCTCCCAAAGTGCTGGGATTACAGGCTTCAGCCACCGCACCTGGCCAGTACCACAGTCTTTTAAATTACCGTAATGAGAATTTGCTTATTACCATGGGGATGGGACCAAGCCATTCATAAGGAATCACTGCCATTACCCAAACGCCTCCCACTAGGCCCTATCTCCAACATTAAGGGTCACATGTTAACATGAGACTTGGAGGGGCAACATATCCAAAACATATCAGAATTGTATTTCCCAGTTCCTTCCAGAGGCATGGGCTTCTCACACCTAGAGAGCATGGAAGCAGTAAAAGAAAAGCTATTCCATGTCCCTCACTCTTCGGTGGTAGTAACTTTTGCCTACAAGGCCCTCCCAGCATCAAAGGCAGAGGCAGTGTAGGAAACAAAGCATGGCCCAAGTCCCTCTTGGGGCTTTTATTATTCTGGCCTCTTTTTAGGGAAAAAAAAAATGATTTTTTGTGCTGCAGACACCATGTCCAATTAGGTTTGTATACTTATTTTAACATCAAAATTTAGGCCAGGCTCTGTGGCTTACACCTGTAATCCCAACTCTTTGGGAGGTTGAGGTGGGTGGATCACGAGGTTAGGAGATCAAGACCATCCTGGCTAACACAGTGTAACTCTGTCTCTACTAAAAATACAAAAAACAATTAGCTAGGCATGGTGGCACGTGCCTGTGGTCCCAGCTAGTCCAGAGGCTAAGGCTGAAGAATTTCTTGAACCTGGGAGGCAGAGGTTGCAGTGCGCTGAGATCCCGCCACTGCACTCGAGCCTAGGTGACAGAGTGAGACTCCATCTCAAAAAAGAAAACAAATTTAAGATAGGTTACTTTCCAGTTGTGTAAAGACCATTTTTTAATTTTGTTTTGTTTTTAGTGACATATTAGTAGATAACCACTAAGTGTGGTTCAAGATGCTTACAGGGATTCTGTTGCATCTAGAGATAGGTGTCTGGTCAGGAAGTAGTTTTTAGAACTGTTAGCTCTTAGAGTCTGATAATTAAAGTAAGCTATGTGTAAATGCAGAATGAGAGAATACTAATGGATCATGGCTCATATATGCAACAGTTAAACTTTTTATTAGCTAAATTTTTCATCTGGCCTAATTTTTTTGCCCTTTTCTTTTGTACATGAGGATTCTTTCATTTGTATGTAATAGAAACAAAAAGTAAACTAAATGAAAATCTAAGTTTTTAGATTTGACTTATGAAATTAATCATGCCAGATAATTTAAATTATATGTTATTGAAAAATTTTTTTTTTAATGGAATTTTGTCTCATTTTTCATAGGAGTAATCAGTAAGATGTTAACAACTACTTTTATTTTATGGTATTTGTATCAGAAGTGACCAGTTTTTTTTTTTTTATTCTTAGTTGTAGAAATAAGAAGAAGCAACTGTACAAACCATGTAAGTAAACACTCAAATAGTTAAGAAATTGACAGTTTGACATAAAAGGATGTCTCTCTTGATTTCTTTAAATTACAATGTGGACCTGGTGGTGGTAGCATGGACCTCTTTTTGTGGATTTTCTAAATCTCTTCTATTTTCCTGAGTGTTAAATTTATCCAGAAAAGTGCTTAGTTTAGCGTGTCCACCTTTTAAAGATTTCTGACATTTAAGTTAAATTTCAATAGTCCGGTTCAAAAGATCTGCCTTAAGGCTGGGCATGGTGGCTAACGTCTGTAATCACAACACTTTAGGAGGCCGAGGCAGGCTGATCATCTGAGGTCAGGAGTTTGAGACAACCCTGACCAACATGGTGAAATTCTGTATCTACTAAAAATACAAAAGTAGCTGGGCGTGGTGGTGCATGCCTGTAATCTCAGCTACTCAGGAGGCTGAGGCAGGAGAATCACTTGAACCCAGGAGGCGGAGGTTGCAGTGAGCCAAGATCGCGCCATTGCACTCCAGCCTGGGCGACAGAGCGAAACTCTGTCTCAAAAAAAAAAAAAAATTGCCTTAAATATTTAATCTTATTTTTAATGAAAGAACAAAAATAGAATAGCTAAGTTAATTGCCAGCACTGTCTATTGACTTTCTGTCACAGCAGGTAAAAGCATACCTTCCCCGCTACACCATGATCTTATGTTTCTCCCTGTGTTTCTTCCAATTGTAGCACACTTTTTAATTAAATCAGTAATATTTACATGATTATGACTCTGCAAATATTATTCACTGCTAAGTCATATGGTGTTTTCACTGTGCCTCTGCATTCCATGTCCTTCATCCTGTCTCTGAAACAGTTCTGAAATCTGAGGACTTCTGCAATTCTCCTGGATCTTCTTTTTTCCTAGCCTATGTTAGTTTATCTATCCAAATATCGTTAAGTAGCCTCTGGGTGCTCTGTTTGCTTTCACATCCATTATTTTTTAGCATGAAGCTAATTTTCTGACTATATTCATTTGCCTGTTTTCTAACAGCTGTTTTCCCCCAAGTATTGTAGCATTTATCACATGCCTTTCAAAGATATTTTCCATCTGCGAAAACACATCTGTTCCTTTTTATGTTTGTGTGGGGGGCAACTTTCTTTGGCCTTTTGTCATCCTAGTTCAATATAGCGTGGGTTTCCCTAGATATGCTCAATGTCTGCTTTTCTGGGCTAACTCTTTAAAGTCTTTTGGTATCTCACGTAACTGCTGTCTTGTGTGGGATCGCCTGAGTCCTAGATTCTGTGTTTCCTTCTGTCCTGTTATCGTCTCTAGTTGTACTTGAACACATTTTCCTGTGTGGAGATGTTAAAATCCCTCCTCTTTGATAGAGAGTACACCTCTAGGTTGAATCTAAATTGTATGGTTCTGAAGACATTTTGCAGTTGTGCTCTTATTACAGTGTTGTTCTTGAATCTATTGCCAGTGTGTGATACGTTATTTACAACCAGGTTTTAGTTATCTGCGGAAGCTTTTTAGAATCTCTCTCTCTAAGGTTCTGAAATTTTATAACAGCTTGTTGGGGATCTTTTCATTTTATTGAGGCTACTAAACCTGCAGACTATCTCTTCTTGAGAATTTTTTTTTATTTTCTCTGTTACTTTTTTACTGATAGTCTTGTTATTCAGATGCTAGGCTGCTTAGACCAATACGCCTGCATTGATTTTTAATTTTTCCCCTTGTATTTTTTTCAGTTTGTCTTTTTATTCTAGTTCTGGGATATTCTGTGACTTTATCCTCTACTATTTCTATTGAATTTTATATTTTTTGAGAGTGTTTTAAGATTTTTTTTTAAAGTTTTGCTCCTGATTTTGACTGGTCCTATCAATTCCTTTTTTCTATTGTTTTGATCTCTTTTCTTGGAGGCTTCCCTCCAATGTGTGGTGGTCCCTGGCCTGCTTTATTTGGAAGCAGGATTTCTGTTAACTGATAGCACTCAGTGTGAGGCCTTAGAAGCCTGACTAGCTTTTCATTTGGGAGACCTCAGTGTATTATCTGGGGATCTTTATTGAAGACATTTCAGTTTCTTCTGAGAAGGATCTCCCAATTTTCTGCCTGGAAAGGAAAAGCAGGCCTGGAAAGGAAAAGCAGAGTTAGCGAAGAAAGTTGGAGTTCCATTTTTGGTGTACAGTTTTCTTTATATCTCAGGTTTAAGCCATGGTATCTCTGAGCCAGAAATTCTCAGGTTTGATATATCCGGAGAACACACATCTAAGTTTCTTGTCAGATGGAAGGACAGGTGGACTTGGGGCTCTAGTTAGAGATTTGCAACTGACCTTGCTGGCTTTTTTTTTTTTTTTCACATTTTACCCTACTTTCCAAAGTGCCATTTGCCTGTAATTTCACAACCTGCCTTTAGTTCTGCAAGACAAACTGGCTCGCTTCTGTTCCAGTCACTTTCTGTAGGCACCAAAGTTGTGTTTCTGTGTTATTTACCACTCCTTTATCTACTTTTTATGTCTCAGCATTTATTAAAAATTATCTCTGTCAACCTTCTGTGCTGGTCATGGGTGTAACCTTTATTTTATGACTGATGAGGCTTCCGGAGGGAGACGAAATAAATTTGTGGTCAATCTATTATATTTAATCCAAATTTAGGACCTGTGTTTAAATCAAAGTCTAATTTGAGTATAATTAATGATATTAAGCCAGAGAATTTTTTAAATTAATGTATCTATAATAAGCATATTACACTTTTCTCCTAAGGCCTTGTTTAATATTTTCATTCAAAGTTTATCCACTGCCATATACTTCCCATTACTTCACAACATAGATGGAGCTGTTTTCCTGAATGCCCAAAGTGTTAGAAATATTTAAGTTAATTAAGATTTGTTTATTTTTAGCCTGGTCAACATAGCAAGACCTCATGTCTACAAAAAGGTTAAATAACAAATTAGCCAGGCCTGGTGGCATGCGCCTTTCGTATTACCTACTCAGGAGGCTGAGGCAGAGGATCGCTTGAGCTCAGGAGTTTGAGGCTGCAGTTAACTATAATTGCACCGCTGCACTCCAGCCTGGGCAACAAAGGGAGACCCTGTCTCGGAAAAAGGAAAAAAGTTACTAATTCTTTTTTTTTTTTTTTTTTTTTTTTTTTTTGAGACAGAGTCTCGCTCTGTCGCCCAGGCTGGAGTGCAGTGGCGGGATCTCGGCTCACTGCAAGCTCCGCCTCCCGGGTTCACGCCATTCTCCTGCCTCAGCCTCCCAAGTAGCTGGGACTACAGGCGCCCGCCACTACGCCCGGCTAATTTTTTGTATTTTTAGTAGAGACGGGGTTTCACCGTTTTAGCCGGGATGGTCTCGATCTCCTGACCTCGTGATCCGCCCGCCTCGGCCTCCCAAAGTGCTGGGATTACAGGCGTGAGCCACCGCGCCCGGCCTAAAGTTACTAATTCTTTAAAAACCTATCTAAAATTTGTCCTGCCCAAAAGGAGAGTGAAAAATATGAACTTTAGTCTTTGTTTTATTTTATGTTTGCTGAGAAAAATGCTGTACTTTATTTATTTATTTATTATTTCCATAGGTTTCTGGGGGAACAGGTGGCATTTGGTGACATGACTAAGTTCTTTAGTGATGATTTGTGAGATTTAGGTGCACCCATCACCTGAGCAGTATCCGCTGAACCCAGTTTGTAGTCTTTTATCCCTCACCCTCCTCCCAGCCTTTCCCCCAAGTCCCCAAAGTCCATTGTATCATTCTTATGGCTTTGCATCCTCATAGCTCAGCTCCCACGTATGAAAGAGAACATGATATTTGGTTTTCCATGCTGAGTTATTTCACTTAGAATAATAGTCTTACTTCCATCCAGGTTGCTGGAAATGCCATGAATTTATTCCTTATTATGGCTGAGGTGGTATTCCTCATATATATATATATGTATGTATATCACGGTTTCTTTATCCACTCATTGATTGACGGGCATTTGGGCTGGTTCCATATTTTTGTAATTGTAATTTGTTTGAGTTCCTCATAGATTCTGGATAATAGCCCTTTGTCAGATGTATAGACTGTGAAGATTTCCTCCCACTCTGTGGTTGTCTGTATACTCTGCTGATTGTTCCTTTTCCTGTGCAGAAGCTCTTTAGTTAAGTCTCACCTATTTGTTTCTGTTGCATTTGCTTTTGTGTTCTTGGTCATGAAGTCTTTGCCTAAGCCAGCGTCTAGACGGGTTTTTCCAATGTTATCTTCTAGAACTTTTATGATTTCAGGTCATAGATTTATGTCCTTGATCCATCTTGAGTTGATTTTTGTGTAAGGTGAGAGTTGAGGATCCAGTTTCATTCTCCCGCATGTGGCTTGCCAATTATCCCAGCACCATTTGTTGAATAGGGTTTACTTTCTTCACTTTATGTTTTAGGTGGCTTTGTTGAAAATCAGTTGGCTATAGGTATTTGAGTTTATTTCTGGGTTCTCTATTCTGTTCCATTGGTGTATGTGCCTATTTTTATATCAGTACCATGCTATTTTGGCGACTATGGCCTTATAGTATAGTTTGAAATCAGGTAATGTCATGCCTCCAGATTTGTTGTTTTTGCTTAGTTTTGTTTTGGCTGTGCCGGTTCTTGTTTGGTCCATATAAATTTCAGGATTGTTTTTTCTAGTTCGGTGAAGAAGGATGGTGCTATTTTAATGGGAGTTGCATTGAATTTGTAGATTGCTTTTGGCAGTATGGTCATTTTCACAATATTCATTCTACCCATTCATGAGCATGGGGTGTCTTTCCATTTGTTTGTGTCCATGACTTCATTCAGCAACGTTTTGTAGTTCCCAACGGCATATCAAAAAATAATCGGGCCAGGCACGGTGGCTCACACCTGTAATCCCAGCACTTTGGGAGGCTGAGGCGGACGGATCATGAGGTCAGGAGTTCGAGACCAGCCTGGCCAACATGGTGAAATCCCATCTCTACTAAAAATACAAAAGTTAGCCGGGTGTGGTGGTGCTCACCTGTAATCCCATCTACTCAGGTGGCTGAGGCAGGAGAATCGCTTGAACCTCGGAGGCAGAGGTTGCAGTGAGCCAAGATCACCGCACTGCATATTCCAGCCTGGGCAACAGAGCGAGACTCCATCTCAAAAAAAAAAAAAGATAATCCACCATGATCAAATGGGTTTCATACCAGGGATGCAGAGATGGATTAACATACACAAGTCAATAAATGTGATACACCACATAAACAGAATTAAAAACAAAAAATCACATGATCATCTAAACAGATGCAGAAAAAGCATTTGACAAAATGCAGCATCCTTTTATGATTAAAACCCTCAGCAAAATCAGCATACAAGGGTCACAGCTCAATATAATAAAAGCCATCTATGACAAACCCACAACCAACATAATACTGAAAGGGGGAAAAGTTGAAAGCATTCCCCCCGAGAACTGGAACAAGACAAGGATGCCCACTCTCACCACTTGTATTCAACATACTACTGGAAGGCCTAGCCAGAACAATCACACAAGAGAAAACAATAAAAGGCATGCAGATCGGTAAAGAGGAAGTCAAACTGTTGCTGTTTGATGATGATATGATCATATACCTAGGAAACCCTAAAGACTCCTCCAAAAAGCTCCTAGAACTGATAAATGAATTCAGCAAAGTTTCAGGAGACAAAATTAATGTACACAAATCAGTAGCTCTGTTATACCCCAGAAGCGACCAAGCTTAGAATCAAACCAAGAACTCAACCCCTTTTCTGATAGCTGCAAAACTAAACTAAACTAAAATAAAATACTTCGGAATAGACCTAACCAAGGAGGTGAAAGATGTCTACAAGGAAAACAACTTTAGTATTTTTAATGGGTTAAAATGAGAGGCAGCAGGTACAGCAGAAGAAGTCAGTGCGTGGGCATCTGCATCCAATGGGTACTGCACCTTTGATGGTAAAGCTTTGGTTTTGACTTACTAAATTACTAGGTACGATTATTTTCTAGTTTTTGTCATTAAACCTTAAAACTACTAAGTAACCCCTTCCATTTCTTGTTAAATACTGTAAAATTTCATACTCTCATTTATGCTGCCTGACGTTAGAGTATTTGTTTCTATTTTGTGACTACCTTAAATAATACCTATAAAGAGTAAACTGTTAGTAGTGTTTTTGCTGTAATTAAATGTAGTAAGACTTACCTTCCAAATGATAACTGAATTGTCAAACACTTGTCGAAGTTTTGGATTTACTCAAAATTCTATGCTCAGCAGCTGGAGGTAGGAAGAGTAAGGGCCCTCCCTTACTCTTATGGAGAGGCATACTTTCTCACAAGGGGAATACTCTGCAGGAATTAGCATCTTGTAAGCAGTGGTGAATTCAACTAATTAGTGTATAAAAATACATTTTTTGGTGTGGCTGCCGACAAAGAGATCCAAGAGGGTAGATGGAGTCGAGCTTGCTGAAGCAAGGAAAGAGAAAAGCAGTATTCTAGGCAGAGAGCAGGGGTAGAGCAGGAAAATGGCTAGGTGCAGGTCAGATGATTTATAGAATGCAATTGATCAAGTTTTGAAGTGAATGCAAAGTATTCTCCGAGAGTCTCATTTGAGTCATGTCTTGGCAGTCTTATTTAAACATGAAGTGAAAGTTAGATTTTTTAAGTTGTCATTTGTTTTCAGGGTGTGAGAGAATATTTAAGTGATACTCTTTTTATCCTCCACATAAGAAAATAGGACTAGAGAAACCTATGGCTTCCTCACTTGTTGGTGGCCTAGCAGCCCTGGCACACAGAGCCTCTGAATCTGAAACACTTCTTTTGTAACAATATCACCTGAAATAATACATTTAGGATTAGTAATTTAGTAAATGCATTAGTCTTGTATTCACTGCAATAAAATGCTCTTGTAGCAGGATTATTTAATACATTACATTTTATCGTAGTAAATAAATAATAGAAGGGCTGGGCGCCGTGGCTCAGGCCTGTAATCCCAGTACTTTGGGAGGCTGAGGCAGGCAGATCGCGAGGTGAGGAGATCGAGACCATCCTGGCTAACACGGTGAAACCCCGTCTCTACTAAAAATACAAAAAGTTAGCCGGGCATGGTGGTGGGCGCCTGTAGTCCCAGCTACTCAGGAGGCTGAGTCAGGAGAATGGCGTGAACCCGGGAGGCGGAGCTTGCAGTGAGCCGAGATCGCGCCACTGCACTCCAGCCTGGGCGACAGAGCGAGACTCCGTCTCAAAAATAAATAAATAAATTAATTAATTAATAGAAATTCTCAGCTGCTTTTTATTGCTGCAGAAAAAAAATGAAATCTTATTTTAAACTTTTCTTTTTTTTTGAGATGGAGTCTCACTTTGTCTGCCGGCCTGGAGTGCAGTGGTGCGAACTCGGCTCACTGCAAGCTCCTCCTCCTGGGTTCACCCCATTCTCCTGTTTCAGCCTCTCAAGTAGCTGGGACTACAGGGGCCTGCTACCACGCCCGGCTAATTTTTTGTATTTTTAGTAGAGACGGGGTTTCACCATGTTAGCCAGGATGGTCTCGATCTCTTGACCTCGTGATCCGCCCGCCTCCACCTCCCAAAGTGCTAGGATTACAGGTGTGAGCCACCGCGCCCCGCGAAGCCGACTTTTCCCATTATTTTTAACGGTAATTCATAAAATCCTTGTTAGGTTTGATGACAGGTACCATATTAAGGGCAGCATTTTATAACCCATATCTTAAACATCATCTCTGGAAGTTGAGAGCCTCCAATGGGTTTTCTATAGAGTGCACATGATACCACACTCAGGCAGTTCATGGAGTGTAAGACATATCTTAGTGCTTTGTCATTTGACATTTTAACTGAGAAAATAATACACTTTGATAAGTTTGACTTACACTTCCCTTCCCCTTCAGGTATCTACTGTGCATTTCAGTCAACAATACAGCTTGTGTTCGACAATATTCCTTGATGACAGCACAGCCATCCAGCATTATCTTACAATGACAATAATATCATGAGTACAACTATGCTGCCGAGGGACAGATTCCTTTATTCTAAAATTATTTCAGTCATTTGGTTGTCCTTTTCAGCAATCAGTTTAAGAAATTGGAGTCAACCATATATTGATATCCAGATTCTGAATATTAAGTATCAGTTTCTCTTTTAATCTTAGACGTCGTGGTGGAAGGAAAAATCAGTTAGCAAAGAAGCAATCCCAGAAACAGTGTATCTTTTTGATGCCTTTATGCCTTTAGACAATGTTGAACACAGTGAGAAGGATAGGTTCCCTTTACTGAATGTTTTTTGTGGAAACTTAGTTTTTCAATGCATCATAGGCCTAAATCAGTGTGCACTACTTTGGACATTATCCTTGGAAGAAGGAACAGCTTTTCTTCTTCTGGCACCACAGTGTATCTGCATTTGAATTTCTCCCATTGTGCATGAGCACCTCATGGGCCACAAAGATGCGCTTTGAGAGCACCCTGAGATGAAGTTTATTTTAAAAGGAACAACAACCAACACCACCACCAGCTCCACAGGGGCTGTCCAGTGTACATTATTCTCATCTTCTTGGGTTATTAGTCTTGATTTTTAGAACACAGTTTGGAAAGTGCTAATTTAGAATATTAATGTCTTTATCTTTAATTTAACTTTTCATTCTGTACACATAACTAGCTTATAAACAATTTTGTTTCAAATGCACTAGCCTTTTTAACTAATTCAATTGTCAATAACTTTTACTTCAATTAAAAGTGGAAAGTTTACACTCATAATAATGTCACTTTCCTCCCTCCCTTTTAACAATAGTTGAGAGGAAATTGTGTTTCGAACAAAAACTGGACTCAAACTCTGTCTCAAGTCCTGAGCTTTGGGACCTATTGAGTAATCACTAAATGTCTGTAGTCAGCTAAGTCTCTTAAATCTCTGAGCACACATACACAAAAATTACTTTGACTAGAGTCCCTGGCTTCTTCTGAGTTCCAAAGATTTTGATATGTTAGCATATAATTCAAAAGCAGCTTTGAAGATTAATTTTGCTGAAACAAATTTCGTGCTTTTCTCCTCATTATTCTACTTTTTAGAAGTCTACTTTTGAGAGTATAGTAAGTTTTAATTTGCCACCAGCAAGTTTGAGAAATGATCATTTGGTGTATTCACTATTGGTGAAATAAAGTTATTGAACAAATTAATAGGGCAAATTGGCTTCAAGAAGATATTTTGAAAAATGTTTTATCATGAATCAGTAGTGCACTGTTGTCAGTGGGATAGGTGGAACTCGCTGAGATCACTTATGCAAGGTTTTTTTCAAAATACAAGTCTGCAAACACATGTATCTTCCCATCTCCACTTTCCCTCTATCTCTAGGCACTGAGAAGCCTTTTAGGAAAATCGGGATGGATGTGAGGCATCTTTCTGTGAAGAAAAGCATCCCAGAAGATTCTGATTTTCACCCCAACTCAATCATTCCAAACTTTGCTGCTGATTGAAATCACCTGGGAAACGTTTACCAAGAACCTTGATGCCCAAAGCCATACCCAATACTAATTAAATTAAAATGTCTCATGTGGAAGATGAGGCAGATATTAAAGCTTCTCAGGCGATTTTAATGTGCAGCAAAGTTTGAGAGCCACTGCTTAATTTGAGTTTAGGATGAGAAACTGCTCCTATTTGGTGGGACCTTGGGCAAGTCAGTTTTAAGGTCTGTTTCCCTGATCTGTAAAACGAGTGTTGAATTAAATGTCACATAAGGTCATTGGTCCTTTCCAGCATGTAACTTTAAATTCTGTGATTTTAAAATTATTTCAGAGATGAAAACTACTTGAAGCACTATAGACATATCCATCTTACCTGCTAATGTTACAGGCTTTTTAAAAAGTGCTAATATTGTGTAGACCTATTAGTAGAATTGAGATTTGCCTTCCCTCAGTTGTTTTGAGCCTCACTCTACAAAATTAGCTGGGTGTGGTGGCACATGCCTGTAATCCCAGCCACTTGGGAGGCTGAGGCAGGAGAATCTCTTGAACCCGGGAGGCAGAGGTTGTGGTGAGCCGAGATCACACCATTGCACTCCAGCCTGGGCAACAAGAGCGAAACTCCATCCACCGCCCCCCCCCCCCAAAAAAAAAAATTATCTGGGCATAGTGGCACAAACTTGTAGTCCCAGCTTCTTGGGAGGCTGAGGCATGAGAATCGCTTGAACCTGGGTGGTGGAGGTTGTGAGGAGTCAAGATGGCACCACTGCAATCCAGTCTGAGCAAGAGAGACAGACTCTGGGTCAAAAAATAAATAAATACATAAAATAAATCGCATGGGACGAAAGGTTTCGTGGGTAGAAAAGCATATAACAAGGAAATCTGTTATTATTTATATATTGTAATCACCAACAGAAACGCGTCTTCTAACGGCATATTTCCTTGCATTTTGGTTCTCATATTTTTGTAAAAAACAAAGAAATGAAAACAAAGTGCCCTTATGGTACTGTTCTGAACTAGAAGATTTGAATTTCAGGGCCGCTAGGAGAGTTTCCTCTGCCCCCCTTTTAAAAAATGTCTTCAGGCCTAACAAATGTTAACATCTATTGTTATGAATTTTTTTTCCTTCCACAGTGTGACCTTGGAGATACCTCATCATATCACACAAAGGTGAGCTTTTTAGAAACCTGTCTTGTTATTCTAGCTAAGTACTTTGCAAGATATCAAGCTCAGTGTTAGGTCACAGCTCTAGACATCATAAGCTGTATTGTGCCTACTAAAATATTGAAGCAAATTATTTGTATTTTCTTTGTTCCTTAAGACTCTCATAATTCTTAAATGATTGAGAATCTCAAAGAGTATGTGTTTATATTGATTATATTGATATTTAGTGTGGTAGAATTATACAATTGAAATTTTTTCAAAATCTATTTTTAGTTTAGATTTCACAGCCTTACCACTGTTGATATTATGGGCTAGATAATGCTTTGTTGTGAGGACTGTCTTGTGCATTGCAGAGAGTTTAGCAGTATTCATGGCCTCTACCAACTAGATGTCAGTAGTAACCCATGACCCAGGTTATAACAACAGAAAATATTCCTTGAGAACAGTATTGTTAACAGAATTTTTTCATTGAAAAATAACTTCTCTACAACAAAAAGTTGAGTAAAAAGTGCGTCATGTATTTATATTATTTAAAGTCTCTCATGTTGAGCTTAATAGGAGACAAATGGATTCTCTAGAGCTTTCTTTGCAATTTGCTTTAAAGCAGCAATAAGAGGTTGGGCACGGTGGCTCACGCCTGTAATCCCAGCACTTTGGGAGGCTGAGGCGGGCGGATCACAAGGTCAGGAGATCGAGACCATCCTGGCTAACACGGCGAAACCCCGTCTCTACTAAAAATACAAAAACTTGGCTGGGCATGATGGCACGCACCTGTAGTCCCACCTATTCTGGAGGCTGAGGCAGGAGAACCGCTTGAACTTGGGAGGCGGAGGTTGCAGAGAGCTGAGATGGTGCCATTGCACTGCAGCCTGGGTGACAGAGCAAGACTCTGCCTAAACAAACAAACAAAAAAAGCAATAAGCTGGTGGGGCGCAGTGGTTCACACCTGTAATCCCAGCATTTTGGGAGGTCGAGGTGGGTGGATCACTTGAGGTCAGGAGTTTGAGACCAGCCCGACCAACATGGTAAAACCCGCCTCTACTGAAAATACAAAAAATGGCTGGGCATGGTGGTGCATGCCTGTAGTCCCAGTTACTTGGGAGGCTGAGGCAGGAGAATCGCTTGAGCCTGGGAGGTGGAGGTTGCAGTGAGCCGAGATCTCGCCATTGCACCCCAGCCTGGGTGACAGAGAGAGACTCTGTCTCAAAAAAAGAAAAAAAGAAGCAATAAGATGACCTAACCTCATGCAAATATGTAGTTGGTAGAAGGTGTATTTTTAAAGTTTTCAGATAGTTGTGGGTATTTGTTAACACTAAATCAAAACTTCACAAGTGGTGGTTTCTTAAATTAGTTACGGTGTCATTTTACATATTAATAAATTTATTCCATCAGTACTCGTTGATCTTTCTTGCACAGTAAATGGATCTTTTGCTCCATACTTGCATTTATAATATCATGCATTAGTTACTTGGAATATATTGGTTTATGTTTTATTGTGTCAAAAATCACTTTTAGTTTAACCACCAATCTTACTTTAACACACCTTTAAGTATTGAAAAGCTGCCAAGCCTACAGTAGAAGGAACAAGTTTTTCAAAGTCCACAGGAAAGCTTAAATTTTATCATTGGGAAAAAATACGTATTTCCCTTGAAGTGACAACCTCTCACTTCATTTATTTTTGAGAATGATAGTTGAACTGGTTTTTTAGACCGAGTTTCACTGTCACTTGGCTGGAGTGCATTGGCATGATCTCAGCTCAAGCAATCCTCTCACCTCAGGCTCCTTTGTAGCTGGGACCACAGATGTGTGGCACCACGCCAGGCTAATTTTCTTATATGTTTGACAGTGACAGGGTTTCGTTATGTTGCCTAGGCTGGTCTCGAACTCCTGAAGGAGCTCAAGCCATCTGCCTGCTTTGGCCTCTCAAAGTGCTGGGATTTTACAGGCGTGAGCCACTGCGCTGGCCTAGTTGTACTTTTAAATAAAAATGATGTTCTGTGAAAAAAGTGATTTTTCAGTTCACAGTTAAATCACGGATTCTTTAAAAACAAAAAAAAAGCGCTTCTGGTTAACTTTCCACTTATTCAGAATATTAGAGACATGTCAAGATTTAACAACATTAATTTTTACTGCTTCATCAAAGACATTCTTAAGAAATTCAGGCTATGTTTTTTACCTGTACGGGACAGTGAAGAATAGAATGACTACTAATGTAATTGGTACTACTGCCTTGATTTATGCTGAGAAACCAGCCATTGTACCCACTTTTGCTTTTATATAATCATGGCAAGTGTCAATGAAAAAGCAGGCAATGACTTTGTATTACTTTCACAAATTTTTAAAATTTTTCATCAGCTTTCTCAGGTTTAATTAGTATGATTCAGAACAGTGTTGGCCAGGCACAGTGGCTCAGGCCTGTAATCCCAGCACTTTGGGAGGCCGAGGCAAGCGGATCACCTGAGGTTAGGAGTTCAAGACCAGCCTGGCCAACATGGTGAAACCACATCTCTACTAAAAATACAAAACTTAGCCAGGAGTGGTGGCAGGTGCCTGTAATCCCTGCTACTTGGGAGGCTGGGGTAGGAGAATCACTTGAACCTGGGAGGCGAAGGTTGCCATGAGCCGAGATCACACCATTGCACTCCAGCCTGGGCAACAAGAGTAAAACTTGGTCTCAAAAAAAAAAAAAAAAAAAGAACAGTTATGACCTCTTAGGCCTTCTGGAAGGGGTCTTCGGGATCCCGAGAGGTCCACACAGCACATTTGGAGAACCACTGGTTTATACACAGGCACAATGCATTAGTTTTACAAAGTTTAAAGTTCATCAAAGACTGGCCTCTTAAAAAGGCAGATGAGTTTGTCATTCAAACAACAGAAAGTACATAAATACATCATGAGAGTATACTACAGAGAACTAAAGAGAAAGGAAGCTAGGAAATCTGAATCACATTTACGTTTATTAAAGTTTACTACTACTGCTTTGTAGAACATTCTTGTGTTTCAATGTGTGGTTAGAAGAGTGAAAATATGTTTGGTTTATTGCCATGGCCTGTTAGGGAGAGTCAATACTCACGGGCATTTCTGACTGGTTATCATACAAAAGACTTCACGGTACAGGCCATGATGTGCTGAGAAAGAAGAAGTCAGGAAACCCTCTGCAAGTCAGGATCCAGGAGAAGAATTCGTAAAAACTGCTTTGGTAAAGTAAACACCAAAGCACACAGGAGGCAGTATTTTACTAAACAAATATTATACTAAGATATTAACAGTTTTTGAAGTAATGCGCTTTCTTATTTTATAGAGATGCAGATAGATCTTTGAGCATACCTGATGAACAGTTACACTCATTTGCGGTAAGTGGCACTTTTATTGAGGTTGTATTTTCATCGTACACTTGTATCTGTTTCATGCTGAAGTCAAAGCCATCTTTTTTTAAATCTTCCCCATTTCATGTTGCATTTAGTCATCTTAAGTGTTGTAAAAAGAATGTGCTGGAGTAAGAACTGATCTGCAGCTCTGTTTAGTTAGTGAGCTAGTATGAGTAAATATACTATCCAAACAACAGAAAATGTATCTTTTTTTTTCTTTTTTTGATGGACTCTCTTTCTGTAGCCCAGGCTGGAGTGCAATTGCGCGATCTTGGCTCACTGCAGGCTCTGCCTCCCAGGTCCCTGTTCAAGCAATTCTCCTGCCTCAGCCTCCCGAGTAACTGGAATTACAGGCATGTGCCACCATGCCCAGCTAACTTTTTTTTCTTTTTTCTTTTTTTTTTGTAAAGACAGGGTTTCACCATGTTGGCCAGGATGGTCTTGAACTCCTGACCTCGTGATCCACCCACCTTGGCCTCCCAAAGTGCTGTGATTACAGGTGTGAGCCACCATGCCTGGCCCAGAAAATGTATCTTTTTAAAAGGTAATTGTGAGCTGTCTATAGGACCCTGCAAGCCACTACCCAATTTTTGAAGCCATTCCTCCTTCTGTTCCACACAGGTTTCCACCGTGCACATTACGAAGAACAGAAATGGAGGTGGGAGTTTAAATAACTATTCCTCCTCCATTCCATCGACTCCCAGCACCAGCCAGGAGGACCCTCAGTTCAGTGTTCCTCCCACTGCCAACACACCCACCCCCGTTTGCAAGCGGTCCATGCGCTGGTCCAACCTGTTTACATCTGAGAAAGGGAGTGACCCAGACAAAGAGAGGAAAGCCCCGGAGAATCATGCTGACACCATCGGGAGCGGCAGAGCCATCCCCATTAAACAGGGCATGCTCTTAAAGCGAAGTGGGAAATGGCTGAAGACATGGAAAAAGAAATACGTCACCCTGTGTTCCAATGGTGTGCTCACCTATTATTCAAGCTTAGGTGATTATATGAAGTATATTCATAAAAAAGAGATTGACCTTCAGACATCTACCATCAAAGTCCCAGGAAAGTGGCCATCCCTAGCCACATTGGCCTGCACACCCATCTCCAGCTCTAAAAGCGATGGCCTATCCAAGGACATGGACACCGGGCTGGGTGACTCCATATGCTTCAGCCCCAGTATCTCCAGCACCACCATCCCCAAGCTCAACCCGCCCCCCTCTCCTCATGCCAATAAAAAGAAACACCTAAAGAAGAAAAGCACCAACAACTTTATGATTGTGTCTGCCACTGGCCAAACGTGGCACTTTGAAGCCACGACATATGAGGAGCGGGATGCATGGGTCCAAGCCATCCAGAGCCAGATCCTGGCCAGCCTGCAGTCATGCGAGAGCAGTAAAAGCAAGTCCCAGCTGACCAGCCAGAGCGAGGCCATGGCCCTGCAGTCGATCCAAAACATGCGTGGGAACGCCCACTGTGTGGACTGTGAGACCCAGAATCCTAAGTGGGCCAGTTTGAACTTGGGAGTCCTCATGTGTATTGAATGCTCAGGTATCCACCGCAGTCTTGGCACCCGCCTTTCCCGTGTGCGATCTCTGGAGCTGGATGACTGGCCAGTTGAGCTCAGGAAGGTTATGTCATCTATTGGCAATGACCTAGCCAACAGCATCTGGGAAGGGAGCAGCCAGGGGCGGACAAAACCCACAGAAAAGTCCACGAGGGAAGAGAAGGAACGGTGGATCCGTTCCAAATATGAGGAGAAGCTCTTTCTGGCCCCACTACCCTGCACTGAGCTGTCCCTGGGCCAGCAGCTGCTGCGGGCCACCGCTGATGAGGACCTGCAGACAGCCATCCTGCTGCTGGCACATGGCTCCCGTGAGGAGGTGAACGAGACCTGTGGGGAGGGAGACGGCTGCACGGCGCTCCATCTGGCCTGCCGCAAGGGGAATGTGGTCCTGGCGCAGCTCCTGATCTGGTACGGGGTGGACGTCATGGCCCGAGATGCCCACGGGAACACAGCGCTGACCTACGCCCGGCAGGCCTCCAGCCAGGAGTGCATCAACGTGCTTCTGCAGTACGGCTGCCCCGACGAGTGTGTGTAGTATCTGTTTTATTTGACTGCAGTCTCCTTGGTGCAAAAACAAAATGGGAAAAATAAGGATAACTCAGAATTTCAAAAGGAAATCACAAATTCAGCTAATAATAGCATTTTCAGTACTTTTCGTAAACTAAGTAAATACACAAAATGTTGATTTTTCTGACCATAAGACGTATTTTATGTCCTTTTGCCAAGGTGGATTTGTTAGTCTCAGGCCCTCCTGGCCACATTGCCCAAGTCACACAGGCTTCTGTATTATGTATTTAGATAAAATGTGTGAAAATATATTTGAAATAAAGTTCATAAATATGCATTGATTTTTTACACATGGCACCTCTTTTTCATTTTTATTTTTATTTTTTTTTGGACGATGTTTTGCTCTGTCGCCCCAGCTGGAGTGCAGTGGCGTGATATCTGCTCACTGCAAGCTCTGCCTCCCGGATTCACACCATTCTCCTGCCTCAGCCTCTCAGGTAGCTGGGACTACAGGTGCCTGCCACCACACCTGGCTAATTTTTTGTATTTTCAGTAGAGACGTGGTTTCACCATGTTAGCCAGGATGGTCTCGAACTCCTGACCTCGTGATCCACCTGCCTCGGCCTCCCAAAGTGTTGGGATTACAGGCGTGAGCCACCGTGCCCAGCCCATGGCACCTCTCTTAATTTATAAATTGAACAGGATGTGAAGTAATAATGTCAGCTAGTTGAGATAAGAGAGTTACAGTTCGGCTGGGCGCAGTGGCTCACACCTGTAATCCTAGCACTTTGGGAGGCCTAGGCGGACTGATCACCAGGTCAGGAGATGGAGACCATCCTGACTAACATCATGAAACCCCATCTCTACTAAAAAATACAAAAAATTAGCTGGGCATGGCCGGGCGTGGTGGCTCACACCTGTAATCCCAGCACTTTGGGAGGCTGATGCAGGCGGATCACGAGGTCAGGAGATCAAGACCATCCTGGCTAACATGGTGAAACCCCATCTCTGCTAAAAATACAAAAAAAAAAAAAAAAAATTAGCCAGGTGTGGTGGCAGGCACCTGTAGTCCCAGCTACTCGGGAGGCTGAGGCAGGAGAATGGCGTGAACCCAGGAGGCGGAGCTTGCAATGAACTGAGATTGCACCACTGCACTACAGCCTGGGCGACCAAGCGAGACTCCATCTCAAAAAAAAAAATTAGCTGGGCGTGGTGGCGGGCACCTGTAGTCCCAGCTACTTGGGAGGCTGAGGCAGGAGAATGGCATGAACTCAGGAGGCAAAGCTTGCAGTGAGCAGAGATTGTGCCACTGCACTCCCGCCTGGGCAACAGAGCGAGACTCGGTCTCAAAAAAAAAGAAAAAGAGGGTTACAGATCATTGCACGTGGAAAATATTCCCAGCAGTAAACACTTCCATTAATGTGATCTACAGCTTTTAAAAAGGAGCATCTCAGAATAAGATGGTGGTACAATTTGCTTATTGAGAAAGGAAAAAAAAAACACATGAGTATATTACAAAGGGAAAAGAAGGAATGTGATTTCTCATGATTGAAAGCTTGATTTAGATTGCATACAGGTTTTGCTACCCAAGAGCAAGAGGCTCTGGCAAGACAGGGTGGTTTTCCGAATGCCAGACTGAGGTGCCTTATGAAGGCAGCTGCCGATGGTTCCAGATGTAGAGAGATAGGTGATGCAGGAGGGAAAGCTGGATTGGAAAAGGGAGAGTTTTGTAGACGGGCTACGCTCATTGTGCCTTTGAAAGAGCAGAGCCGGCAGCCTCTAGTCATCATTTGGATATACAGGACTAGAGCATGAATCTGATGTAGAGCTACAGAATGAAGAGCAACAGCAGCTGTTTAAATACCGAGAAAGTGTGTAGAATGAAATTGGACGAGCCAAGCATGGTGGTTTCATGCCTTTAGTCCTAGCTACTTTGGAGGCTGAGGTGGGGGAATTACTTGAGCTCAGCAGTTTGAGTCCAGCCTGGGCCAGATGGTGAGACCCTGTATCTTAAGAAAAGAAAAAATAAGACCAGGTACAGTATCTCATGCCTGTAATCCCAGCACTTTGGGAGGCCAAGTTGAGAGGACAGAAATGAACCCCGGCTAGGTGCCAAGCACCTAGGCACACACCTCTTCTGCCACCCTCCTTGTGCCCTGTGTCCCCCCAGGGCCCTCAAGAGTGGGAGGAAGGGAAGGTTACAATGATTTCTCCCTCAAGAGTGGGAAGAAGGGACCTAGCACTCAGTGCTCAGTCTCCCAGGCTCTCTCCGGCTCCAAAGCTGGTGCAGCTCAGTGGGGCTCGGGGGACTGCGTGGCTTCAATACCCTCTTTTGGTCCGTCTCGGTGACACCATGGGGTCAAGCTTGACTGGGTAATCTGGAAGGGAGGGTCCCTCTGGATGGGACAGAAGCTCACAGCCAAGTCTGCCAGCTGCCCCAGTGCCCACCTGGAGTGAGGAAATACCACTCAGGAGGGGAAACAGGCTCAAGGCAGGACGTGGGCACAGGTTGGTGGGTGAGGGGTGCCAGGGTGGGCATGGGGACAACACAACATGCCAGAGGCCCTTGGTGACAGGGGACATGATGGATGATGATAAAATGGTTGGCTGATCCAAGGGGTCCCACAGGAGCAGGCGGGGGTGACTTGGGCCTCAGGGCTCTGGGCTGGAAGGATTTAAAGTGCACCCAGCTGATCCCAAAGGCATCCGGGGTTCGGAACGACTGATGTGGAGGGGCAGGAAGGGCTGGCCCAGGAGAGAGTCCTGGGGAACAGTTCCGGGAGGCAGAGGAGAGACCAGAAGGAATGGTGAGGGGCACTGGGGATCCCTGTAGCCAGGAGAGGAAGGAGAGTCAGACAGAATGTGGGTCATGGGCTGCCAGAGCTGGTGAGACAGGCCTGAGGAGGGGATGTGAGCACAGGCAGGGAAATGGCCACAGAGGGGCCACCCTCTCCCACAGCCTCACTGTGCCCCGTGGGCCTCAGCGGCTGTGTCTACTGCTCTTGGCAGCACTCCTTGGAGCGTGTCTCGGTCTCGGGGCTGGCATTTCTCTCTGGGCTCTGCCCGGGGCTCCCCACACTATGGCTCCTTTGAGGGAGCCCATCTCAGCTCACCTTCATAACTGGACTTTGGCCAGACCCTTCTGGAAGGGACCCACCCCCTCCCCCAAGACTCATTGTCCCCAGACACCTACACGTGGCTTGGTGTGGGCACGCCCCTATGTGCATGTGTGGGGAGCGGCTGAGCTTCTGAGAATGCCACCAGTGAGGGCACCTTTGTCCTGGCCCACAGGACAGGGCTCCCAGAAGGGTAGCGAGCCCGGGTGCCCAAAGGCCTGGAATGGGCCCTTCATCAGTCCCGGGGCACGGAGACAGCTTCCATCTTCCTCTCTGGAGGGCATCTCACAGCACCATGTGCAAGATGGCTCCCAGCTCTGGGGGCAGCTCTGGGCAGTGGCTATGTGCCCCGGGCATGGCTGCCTCCCCTGGCCCAGCTGGTCCAGCTAGTCCCTACAAACCCCAGCCCACACCTCCAGGAACAGCCTGGGGATTCTATGTGCTTAGAGCGAAGGGCACTGGACCAGAGGTCAGGACAATAAGTGCTTCGCATCACAGGACATTCTTGTCTGTTACCTCCAAGGTTGCACTGGATGAGAAAACAAATCACTCCCCACCCAAGATGTGATTCCCTCAGGGCTCCAGGAGCCATGGGGGTTCTGGGAGTCCCATGGCAGCCTTCCTGAGATGAAGGGGCTGGTCCTGGACGTAGGATGTGTTTGCTGAATGGTGGGAAGGACACAGCCAGTTAGGAGGCGGCATGGGGAGGGTGGTGCTGGGGGAACATTCCCGGCAGGGACCCCAGGGTGGGCAAATCCTGGAGTGGCAAAAGTTAACCTCTGCCCAGGAGGATTCCTCCTCCTCTTGGCAGCCAACATCTCCTGGGGGCCCACGGGAGAGCAGGAACCTGCAAGCCCAAGAGACCTGGGGGATCGCAACTGTACTTCCCACAAGAGGTGTGTTTTGGGCAAATTGTCTCAACCCTGGAGGCTCCGTTTCTTATTCTCATACACCGAACCCATCCCTACTTCTCGGGAGTGATTAAGAGGTGTCTAGACATGGCCATTCCACTGAAGGGAGGATGCTGTCACTCTGCGTCCTTTGCTGAGCTCCTCATTGTGTCAATTGTGTACAAGCTGCACAATAAATGGAAGAGACACAATCTTTTTGATGTGATCAAGGTCTAGTAAAAACAGTGGAGAAACCCTGTGTCCTCTAAAAATACAAAATTAGCTGGGCGTGATGGCTCATGCCTGTAATCCCAGCTACTCAGGAGGCTGAGGCAGGAGAGTCACTTGAACCTGGGAGGTGGATGTTGCAGTGAGCCGGGATCGTGACATTGCACTCCAGCCTGGGCAACAAGAGCAAAACTCCGTCTCAAAAAAAAAGGATGATGAAAATGTCTGGGCATGGTGGCTCACACCTGTAATCCCAACACTTTGGGAACCCAGATGGGAAGATTGCTTGAGTCCAGGAGTTCAGAACCAGCTTGGGCAACATAGTGAGACCTGTCTCTCCAAATATATATATATAATTAAATATATATATAATTAATTATATATATTTAATTTTATATATATATAATTAAATATTTAATTATATATATATAAAATTAAATATATATATTTAATTTTATATATATATAATTAAATATATATATATTTAATTATTTATTTATTTATTTTTGAGACAGGGTCTTGCTCTGTCACCCAGGCTAGAGTGCAGTGGCATGATCTCGACTCACTGCCCCCTCCGCCTCCTGGGCTCAAGCGATTCTCCTGCCTCAGCCTCTCAAGTAACTGGGATTACAGGCACCTGCCACCACGCCCAGCTAATTTTTGTAGTTTTAGTAGAGACGGTGTTTCACCATGTTGGCCAGGATGGTCTCAAACTCCTGACCCCAAGTGATCTGCCCGCCTTGGCCTTCCAAAGTGCTGAGATTATGGGCGTGAGCCACCATGCCAGGCCAAAAAAAAATTTTTTTTAAACTTAGCTGGGCTACTCAGGAGGCCGAGAGAGGAGGATCCCTTGAACCCAGGAGTTTCAGGCTGCAGTGACCTGTGATTAGGCCACTGCACTCCAGCCTGGGCAACAGAGCAAGACACTGTCTCACGAAAAAATATTTTAAAAAAGAATGATGAAAATGTAATATGTCATTTGGGAACATGTCCTAATAATGTAATAACATGTATATGTAGAATAAGTTCATTTTTATAAAGCAAGCATATAATTGTATAAAAGTACAAAAAAATGGCCAGGCATGGTGGCTCATGCTCGTAATCCCAGCATTTTGGGAGGCCGAGGTGGGTGGATCACCAGAGGTCAGGAGTTCAAGACCAACTTGGTCTACTTAGTGAAACCTCGTCTCTACTAAAAATATAAAAAAATTAGCTGGGTGGGCATGGTGGCAGGTGCCTGTAATTCCGGCCACTTGGGAGGCTGAGGTGGGAGAGTTGCTTGAACCTAGGAGGCAGAGGATGCAGTGAGCTGAGATCGTAGCACTGGACTTTAGCCTGGGCGACAGAGTGAGACTCTGTCTCAAAAAAAAAAAAAAAAAAAAGAGTAGAATAAACCTGGTATCATATATGTA
Organism: Homo sapiens; assembly: GCF_000001405.40. Taxonomy (NCBI): domain Eukaryota; kingdom Metazoa; phylum Chordata; class Mammalia; order Primates; family Hominidae; genus Homo; species Homo sapiens. The sequence goes on from NC_000010.11 coordinate 46,136,977, forward strand.
GCACGCATATTACCAGTGATCATCTTTGTGATTCTGTGGGAATATGGGAAATCCTCATTTTCTACATTACATATTTACATGATTCTTGAACTGAAGAGAAAACCAATACCGATATATTTTTAATTGTGGTTGTGGAGGGCAGTACTAGCTTATTCAAGATTATTCCTAGTAAAGGGCCACTCAAAATTTACTGATTTGAGACCTTTGTTATCATATGATAATTGAGAGCATTTGGGAACTTTTACAGCAAGTTGACATTGCCCAGACTTCCAGAAGTGTCATTAGTAGATGGTTCTTGTTGAACAGGGTATAGACCGCCTTGGGTTACTGAACTTGCATGGCTAGTTGCATGTAAACTAGTCACATGCAGTAAAACCACGTACTACACCAGGGGCAGTGGCTCAGACTTGTAATCCCAGCACTTTAGGAGGTCGAGGCGGGCAGATCATCTGAGGTCAGGAGTTCGAGACCACCCTGGCCAACATGGTGAAAACCCGTTTCTACTAAAAATACAAAAATTAGCCAGGTGTGGTGGCATATGCCTGTAATTCCAGCTACTTGGGAGGCTGAGGTGGGAGAATCGCTTGAACCTGGGAGGCAGAGGTTTCAGTGAGCCGAAATTGTGTCACTGCACTCCAGGCTGGGTGACAGAGAGAGCCTCCGTCTCAAACAAAACAAAACAAAAGAGGGATGCCAAATCAAACATAAAGTTACAGATATCTATCATAGGATAGCCGGGCACGGTGGCTCATGCCTGTAATCCCAGCACTTTGGGAGGCCGAGGCAGGCGGATCATGGGGTCAGGAGATCAAGACCATCCTGCCCAACATGGTGAAACCCCGTCTCTACTAAAAATACAAAAATTAGCCAGGTGTGGTGGTGGGCGCCTGTAGTCCCAGCTACTCAGGAGACTAAGGCAGAAGAATCACTTGAACCCGGGAGGTGGAGGTTGCAGTGAGCCGAAACTGCGCCACTGCACTCCAGCCTGGGCAACAAGAGCGAAAACTCTGTCTCAGAAAAAAAAAAAAAAAAAGAAATCTGTCATAGGATTATATGAAGAGACCAATTTTATTTATGTAGGAAATACCTGTCTTTTGACTAGATCTCTGAGCTCTGGGCAGAGCCCACACTGAATCCTGAATCTCCCAAAAGGGAGAATTATTATGAGGCTAGACCATGTGATGCTTTTTCAGTGCACTTAAAATTTTTTTTTAAACGAAGACACTTCTAATGTGTAAACTACACTCTTCCTTAAAAACCAGAGTAGGCTTTGGTGCAACAACCCTTTTAGTCAATAAGTCAGGTAACACAATACAAAAGCAGGCAATTTAAGAGCTGAGATGAACTTATCTGCTTACACTCTTGGGGTTTCATAAGGAAAAACAGGTTTCTCCCCAAAAAGGAGTCTGGTGCCTTCTCTGCTTTCTTGAAGGAAAGCCAGGCTATTATAAACTATAATAGTTTAGGTCCCTCAAGCAGCAGAGGGTGCAAGAGAAAGGAGAGGCAGCAGAAGTAAATAAAACAAAACAAAACAAAACAAAAAACAGAACTCAGTCAACTGAGAAAAAAAAATCTTTAACTAAAAAAGAAAAAGAGAGAGACAAGGTCCTAGGAGAAAAAAAAAAATATGTGAAGGCCTTTTCAATACAAACACACACACATACACACACACACACACACATGCACAAACACATACACACACACATCTTGGATGTTAGCTTTTAGTTAAGCTGACTTTTAATCATTGAGCTCCTTTAAAAAAATCTTTTAAAATCTCATTACCATAATTCAGCTAGAACAAATTGCTGCTATTTCAGAAGTACCAAGTATCAAACCGAAAATGGCTTGATTTAGGAACCACACCCAAGCTGTCGTGGTGGAAAAAAAGAAGCCAGAGCCCTTAGCTATGGAACTGCAGTATGGAGTGACAGCCATTGCTCTTTCAGTTTGGCCTGGCTAGCAAAAAGGTGGCCTTGTTATGTAAATAAAGCCCCTTAAGTAGTCAAAGTAAAAAATCTTCCCTGTTTTTTTTTTTCCCCCTTTTTTGGCTGTTTTTCTCCCCCACCACAGTGTGGAAATTTAGCCACTTCAGAGGTCTTGTTCCCCATAATTTGGAAGTTTCCTTTGGATTTGATCAAGTCGGATAGAGTTGATCAATCCCAATGGCAAAAAAACTGAAACAACAACAAAAACAGAAACAAACAAACAACAACAACAAAAACAATTAAGCAAAACAAAGATGGCACAACTTATCCAACTACTGAGTGCTCTAATGGTAAAGAGAAATTACAACCAGCTGGTTGTTAATCTTAACTTTAGCCAAGACAACCCCCAGTTTAGTTACCCATCCTTAGGTAAGGGATGGGTCTCAGGCTGAAGACTGCTCTTTACCATCCTAGTGTAGCAGGACGAGCTGCAGACAAAACTCCTCAGACACCGAATTAAAGAAGGAAGGGGTTTATTTGGCCGGGGGCATCGGCAAGACTCCTGTCTCAAGAGCCGAGCTCCCCAAGTGAGCAATTCTTGTCCCTTTTAAGGGCTCACAACTCTAAGAGGTGCGTGTGAGAGGGTCATGATTGATTGAGCAAGCAGGGGGTATGTGACTGGGGGCTGCATGCACCAGTAATTAGATTGGAACAAAACACGATAGGGATTTTCACAGTGCATTTCTATACAATGCCTGTAATCTATAGATAACATAACCGATTAGGTCAGGGGTCGATCTTTAACTACCAAGCCCAGGGTGCGGCGCCAGGCTGTCTGCCTGTGGATTTCATTTCTGCCTTTTAGTTTTTACTTCTTTCTTTGGAGGCAAAAATTGGGCATAAGACGATATGAGGGGTGGTCTCCTCCCTTACTAGAAGAAGGAAGAAACTCACATTTGTCTTCCCCGTTGGAAGCAAGCTCAAACTCCATAAAGGAGTTACCTGCATTTCATCGTCATCAAAGCAGGAAAAACTTGCCTTTCTTGCGTTGGAAGATAGTAAAACTCCAAAAAAAAAAGGAGTTGTACTGCAAAATAAACTTTAGATCTTGACCAAATTTTGAAAGATCAGTGATTCTCTGGAGGGGGTGCTTCCAGGCCTGTCTCGGCAAATTGTTCTATTGGTTTGAGCCATAAAGATAGTTCAAGCTGGTACCGAGCACTGATAGGAGATTTGTCAAAGGTCAGGGGAGCCTCCACCCAGAATCCCTTCATGGTTGCCAAAATGTGAGCCTTGAATATCTGAGAAGGGTCTCAGTTAATTTAGGAAGTTTATTTTGCCAAGGTTGAGGAGGCACACCTGTGACACAGCCTCAGGAGGTCCTGATGACACGTGCCCAAGGTAGTCAGGGCACAGCTTGGTTTTATACATTTTAGGGAGACATGAGACATCAATCAATATATGGAAGATATACATTGGTTCTGCCAAGAAAGGTGGGACAGCACAAGCAGTGAGAAGGCTGCCAGGTCACAGGTAGGTGAAAGACAAGTGGCATTCTTCTGAGTTTCTGATTAGCCTTTCCAAAGGAGGCAATCCGATATGCATTTATCTCAGTGAATGGAGGGATGACTTTGAATAGAATTGGAGGCAGGTTTGCCCTAACCCTTTTCCAGCTTGACTTTTCCCTTTAGCTTAGTGATTTTGGGGCCCCAAGATTTATTTTCCATTCACTGTGTGTGTGTGTGTGTGTGTGTGTGTATGTATATATATGTGTGTACATATATACACACACACAAATAAATAAAATGAAAAATCTCATTAAGAACAGCAAGCAGTATGGTATTTTTAACTTGCCCTATTCTAGTCTCATCCTCTCCTCGCTGGCTCCACTGCAGCCTTGAAAATTAACAGCCCATAATTACAGTGAAGACCAATAGCCTGGCAGCCACTGGAAAGACAGAATGGGGCTGGATTTCCTTCAAAGCCTCATTCCCAGAGAACTGTCATTTGACTTGGCTGGTGGTTTTCAGAAACATCCCACTGCCAGGATGTCTTTTTCTGTCCTAAGAGCTCACTTAACGAAAAAGCCTTTTCCTTAATGGCATTTGTCAAAAACATTTAAAGGCCGTTATTCAAGTTGGTGCCTGTATGAGGTTGTAGATAACATTTTGGGCAGACAATAGGCTAACTAAAAAGCTTTAAAAGTAAAACAGGAGAATGAGATGTCCATAAGGGCTTTGAAAATTCCAACAGAATGATTCCTAGAAATCTATGAGGCTACTCCCAAGTGTAGGCCTGCGTACATGTTCAGTAAAGACCTGGGAAGGCTCAAAGCTCTCACCTCTGACTGGCCTTGAGGCTCTGGGCAAGCAGGAAGTGAAGGCTAAGGCAGAGATGTAAACTGCCTGGCTGAGTGTTGAAGAGTAGTCCCAGACTACAAAATTATTTCAGAAAGCTCATTAGACACTGAACAACAATAACAGCAGCAACAACAGCAACAACAAATAGGGGGTATAGAATCTGATTTCCAGAGTTGTCACATTAGATCGGGGTCCCCAACCCTGTGGGCCATGGACTAGGTCCATGGCCTGGTGAGGAACTGGGCCACACAGCAGTAGGAGCAGTGAGTAAGCAAGCGAAGCTTGATCTGAATTTACAGCTATTCCCCATCACTTGCATTACTGCCTGAGCTTTGCCTGCTGTCAGATCAATGGTGGTATTAGATTCTCATAGGAGCACCAATCTTAATGTGAACTGAACATGTGAAGGGTCTAGGCTGCACGCTCCTTATGAGAATCTGATGTCTGATGATCTAATGCAATCCCCCTGCAGTGTGTGCATCTGTCACTGTCTCCCATCATTCCCAGATGGGACCTCTAGTTGCAGAAAAACAAGCTCAGGGTTCCCACTGATTCTACATTATGGTGAGGTGTATAATTATTATATATTACAATGTAATAATAATAGAAATAAAGTGCACAATAAATGTAATGTGCCTGTGCCGGGCATGGTTGCTCACACTTGTAATCCCAGCACTTTGGAAGACCAAGGCAGGTGGATCACCTGAGGTCAGGAGTTTGAGACCAGCCTAGCCAACGTGGTGAAACCCCATCTCTACTGAAAATACAAAACTTAGCCAGGTGTGGTGGCAGGTGCCTGTAATCCCAGTTACTTGGGAGGCTGAGGCAGGAGAATTGCTTGAACCTGGGAGGCGGAGATTGCAGTGAGCCTAGATTGCGCCACTGCACTCCAGCCTGGGTGACAAGAGTGAGATTTCATCTCAAAAATAATAATAATATAAATAAATAAATAAATGTAGTGTGCTTGAATCATCCCAAAACCATCTTCCCTACACCACGGTCCATGAAAAAACTGTCTTCCATGAAACTGGTCCCTAGTGCCAACAAGGTTATGATGAACTAATTTACACTCCTACCAACATAGACCAGGTGTTCCAATATTGGAGGATAAGAGAAGATGGATGTCCCAGCTCAAGAAGACAGATTAAATTCACCCTTCCTCTGCCTTTTTGTTTTATTTGGGCTCTGAAGAGATTGAAGGATGCCCATAGATATTGGTGAGGATGATCCTCTTCACTCAGCCTACCTATTCAAATGCTAATTTCTCTGGAAACACAGACATACTCAGAAATAATGTTTTATCAGCCATGTGGGCAACCCTTAGCCCAGTAAAACTGACACATGAAATTAATCATCACAGGGAGGTCTGGGACAATTCACGTCTTTGTTAATTTAAATAGACACATGAAGAAATTATTTTTCCTCTATCTTTTTTCCTTCTTCTTTCTCTTTCTTTCTTTCTCTCTTTCTCTTTCTTTTTGTTTTTAACTAAAGGACATTTTGTAAGCACATGAAACCAGAGAATTGCAGTAGCCATATGGCTACTATGAGGTGAGAAAAAAGAAAGTTTTTGCATCCTGCAGATCTGCCCCATCTATGGTCTTTGTGTTAACTGAGACGACAAATACGTTACTACCTAAGCTTCCTTTAGTAACGTCTTCCACTACCTTTAGGTTAAAACATTTTAAAAGATAAAATTAAAACTATAAAATGTTGTACTTTTAGAGTGGAATAAAGTTGGCTTCCATAAGCTCAGATGTGAATTTTACACTGATTCTGGCCAAATTTTTCAGATAATTTTAGAAAACTGTCTAAAAATACTCTGTAAATCTAGTGTTAATTATTTGACATTACTTTTTCAAATGTTATTAATATTATAGTGTTAGATGAAGAAAGTGTATAATCACTAGGGATGAGTTTAATTTTCTTAAGAAAGACAGATATTGGGATCCTCTAATAATACATTAAATGCCCACTAAAGTCAGAGGTATGTATTTGATAATGTACCTTACTATATTCTTGTGGACAAGAAGGAGCAATATGGATTACGTAATGGAATAATTTGGTAAATTATTTAATGGTTAATAGTTACATATTACTAACAAGTAAAATGGTTTTAACCGGAAAAATTCATTTTTGTTTATATTCTGGTAACATTTTCATCAGTGTTTTAGACATGTTCATCTGTCAAACACATGAAAATTGAAACAACTCTAAGGATTAGCTAATAGGTTGAATGATAAAATAAAAACCTATATAGATGTCTGTGTATTATAATTATGAAACAGCTTTTAGTCAATAAAACTAAATAGGAAAGATCCTTAAATATTACATATTCAACAATAAACCACACACATGTAATGACAATGCTAGGATGAGAGACATATGTTTTAAAAAGCAAGATTTTACTACAACAAGCAGTGTTTAGCTAGCCAGGCTGTAAACCAAGGGTTGGCAAAGTATGGCCTGCAAGCCATATCCAGCCAATAGACTGGTTTTGTAAATAAAGTTTTATTGCAGCATGGACACACTCATTCATTTGTGTATCGTCTGTAAATGCTTTCTCACTGCAACAGCAGAGTTGAATAGTTGTATAGAGATTATATGGCCCACAAAACCTAAGATCTTAGCCTCTTTCCCTTTACAGTAAAGGTTTATTAATCCTGCCTAAAAACAATTTAGCGGAATAATTTGGCTACAAGGAAAATAATGATTTTCTCTTATAAGTTTAATGTCTGGACAAGGTTAATGAGAGCTACGTTTTTCTCCAGGTAGAGTATCCTGGACGTGCAGTTTTTTTTGAAAAAAAATACATCACATTTTTGAGAGTCTGTCACTTGAAGGCATGGTTTAGTCTAATCTTGGTTTATCTCAAATGTAAGTTCAGAAATTGTGGATGTTACAGCAAGACATAATTTGACTCTGAATCAGCAAGTACTTTCAAATATTCAGAACTATCTGGAAGTGAAAACAGCTTCCTCTGTAGACAGACAGCAAGTTTCTTATCCCAGAACCCTGTAGATAGACCATCTGTGAAAGTTATAATCAGGAGATTCACAAATGTGATAATGATGACACAGTCACATTGACAATGAGGCTTTTAGTCATACAGATTAAATATGTACTCTATTGTGCAAACCTCCTAGTAATTGAGAATAAACTTAATCTTGGGCTACAAGTAGGTACAAAGTATTCCCAGTTAGATTTTATATGTATACATTTTGAAACTATTACTTTTTTAAAAATAAAGCAATGACTTTTTTAAATTATTTATTTGTTTATTTATTATTTATTTATTTATTTTTAAGGAGTCTCACTCTGTCACCCAGGTTGGAGTGCAGTGGCGTGATCTCGGCTCACTGCAACCTCTGCCTCCGTGGTTCAAGCAATTCTCCTGCCTCAGCCTCCCGGGTAGCTGGGACCACAGGCATGTGCCATCATGCCCGGCTAATTTTTGTATTTTTAGTAGAGACAGGGTTTCACCATGTTGGCCAGGCAAGTCTCAAACTCCTGACCTCAGGTGATCTACATGCCTCAGCCTCCCAAAGAGCTGGGATTACAGGCATGAGCCACTGCACCCAGCCAATTTTCTCATTTTTGATACACTAATTCTAAAGTAAACTTTCCCCTTCATTACTTGAAGATTTATTTCAGGTGTTTTTCAATTCCTCCTAATTTCAGCTCCTCAATTCAAATTTGGCTCACATTAATGATGGTTATCTGTTCTTGGCACATAGAAAATACAAATATAGGACTTTTACTGAATTCCATTTTTTTAAAAAGTTCTAAGGAAAAAGCTGTTACATCCACATATATGTGTAAAATGAAACGTGGACCTAAGAACTACTGTGGATAAATAGCTTGACTTTTAATACAAGAGAGTATATTGAATTTAAAGCTAAGAATCTGGGAATTCTTGAGTACTGCCTGCTAGGAACACTATTATGTCAAAAATAACCAAAAGGGTTATTTGACATGATTTGCTGATCACTAAGCCCACTGAGGGAAGCCCTCCAAGGTTTATGTGAGAAGTAGCCAGTTTTTTACTGGTGTAGAAGAAATGCTTTTTATTGCTCCAAGGATGGCACTGAGCCCCACAAAGCAACCACCTGGGAATATCAGGTAAATAGCATGAATCTGTGGTTATAAAACAAGCACACTGTTTTAAAAACATATTTAAAGTAATTTGTGAGTTGGATGTTTCCTGATAGGTATACTTTTTAGTTTAGGCATTTAAAAAAAAGTCTGCAGCGTACCTTTATTTTCACTTTTACTTTGGTGTTTTGATGTCTATAGAAATGAGCGGTTTCTCTACTTCTTTCCCAGAAATTTATCTCCAATGCTGACATGAGCACAAAGACCTTATGTACTGTGCTGGGAAATATCTTGTGTCTTAAGAATAAAAATTTTCATTAGAGTTAGTCCATGCATCACAGATATTATCCTTCCTGATAAGAGGAACACTGAGGCACAGACACTGTGTTGGGCTACAGTTCTCAATGGAAAAATTAAGCTTTTCAAAATGTTAGTCACTGCCATGCTAGATGTTTAAGTCATTTTTACAATCTGTTTTGATAGATACTAAGAATCAGTCTTACATTGTATTTTTCTATGGCTTACTGTTAAAATCTTATTCATAAAAATAACTATCATGCATGGAAATAGTATATACCAACATCATAAACCAGAAAGTAATTTATATTTAACCCTCATAACAGTACTTCAAAGTAGAAATTATCTCATATTGTAGAGGAAACACAGGCTCAGATAGGATATAAATTGCCCATATCACAAAATTAGTAAGTGATGGAGCTAGAATACAAACAAGATCTGCCTATTTACACAAATCAATAATTTTTCCTCTATAGCATGTTGTCATTACATGCCTTTGGTTTTTAAGTGAAATGCACTCAACTTCGCATTTTAAAATATGCCACAAATGTACCCATAAAGTAAGTGAACATGACTATTGAGTGGGACCACAATTATTAAAAAGTTTGCCTTGGGACCTTTGAAACAAAGACAATATACTGACCCTCAGGGAACTGAGTTACATGCCCAAAGGGGACATGTGCCATCTACCTGGGCTCAATGGGGGTTTCCCAGTGGATTCTTTGTAAATAGGTGTTGCACATATTTCTGGGTTTTTTTAAGCTTTCCTTTATAATTTCCAGACCTAGTTCTGATGGTGATAAACTTCTTTCAAAACCTAACCCTAGATATGGGGTCAGCTTTAGGCAAAATTGAGAGTTGCTAGCTAACAAAAGTAGCTAATATTTTAATGAAATGTCTTATTATTAAGCTAAATGCCAAACACTATTCATTACATGTATTAATCAGTTATCACAATTTTATGAAGTAGATATGACCGTCATTTTTATTTATCAGTTGAAGAAACTAAGACTCAGAAAAGTTAAATACCTTACCCAAAGTCATGTTGCTTGTGGAGAAGTTGCAATTCATCTTGGTTATCTTGACCTAGAGTCTGCGTGCTGGATGACTATTTTAGACTGTTACGTGTGCATGCAGAGCTCAGTGTTTGTCTGGTCCCACTCCCTCCTATCCTTCTGTCCCCTAGTGACTTCATCCTGTTCCCTACTTCTCAAGACTACTCCTCTTCTTGGACACTTTTTCATATTCCAGAACTAACCATTCTGTTTCATTTTTTTCTGCTCATCATGCAAAGTTAGCAGGGCAGCTGAAATAAAGGAATTCATACTAAAAAATGGCATGCTCAGTTTGTAAAATTTTCCAGAGTTAAATAGGTAGAGTGAAATGCGCAATTTCTTCTTTGAAGAAAACAATGTTGAATTTTACTTAAATGAATGATAAATATAATTTTGACATGTATTTGTGATCTGTATGAGTAATATCATATCCTATCCTGCTTCACATTCTCACACTCTTATACCATTAATGATCTCTACATCTATCCCCAATCAGCTACCACCTCTCTTCCTCAGCTGTGTTATGTCAGGTCTGAAAATTAAATTTTAAAAGTAGTTCCTAAGTTTTCAACATTCTTAAAGTTTTTTTCCTGGAAGGACATGATGAGTAACCTGATTGTCAGCAAATGCCTTAGGTATTAAGGAGAACAATCATAATGGCAATAGCTAATATTTTTTGGCAGAGCCAAGTTTCAGTATCTCTTTGCAACTCTGTGACATCATGATCATATTAATTCTTATTACAAACCTGTGAAGTGGCTATCCACTTTATTTTAATTTTATAAGGGAAAAAACAGGTCCTTAGAGAGTCTAAGTAACTTGGCTCTGGATTTGAACTTCAATCTAGCTATCTCTGTAACTTGACCTTTAAACATTATACCACTTTATATGTCAAACTTACCTTGAAAACCAACAAGCAAACCAAATAAATAGAACAATAAGAACAACCTATAATAAAAAGCCTTCTCAGCCAGGTGCAGTGGCTTACACCTGTAATCCCAGAATTTTGGGATGATGAGGGGGGAGGATGGTGTGAGCCCAGGAGTTTGAGACCAACCTAGGCCACACAGTGAAACCCTATCTCTACAAAAAAAAAAAAATACAAAAATTATATAGGTGGACATGGTGGTGCTCACCTGTAGTCCCAGCTACTCAGGAGGCTGAGGTAGAAGGATTTCTTGAGCCCAGCAGGCAGAGGCTGCAGTGAGTCAAGACAGCGCCACTGCAATCCAGCCTCAGTAACAGAGAGAAGCCATTTCTGAAAAAAAAAGAAAAAGGACTTATCATTATCTAATTCAATATATTCTGTAATAATCAAAAAATACCATTGAATGAATGGGGAAGAAAATTAGATCAACTGCTGTGAAGACACTTGTTTACTTCTGATCAAGAAATAGCAGCAGATTATACCTCTGTGGTATTAGTAAAACATATCTTTGCGCCAGGCGCGGTGGCTCACGCCTGTAATCCCAGCACTTTGGGAGGCCGAGGCGGGCGGATCACAAGGTCAGGAGATTGAAACCATCCTGGCTAACACGGTGAAACCCCGTCTCTACCAAAAATACAAAAAATTAGCCGGGCATGGCGGCGTGCGCCTGTAGTCCCAGCTACTTGGGAGGCTGAGGCAGGAGAATGGCGTGAGCCCAGGAGGGGGAGCTTGCAGTGAGCAGAGATTGCACCACTGCGCTCCAGCCTGGGTGACATCTCAAAAAAAAAAATTTAAATTAAAAAAAAATATGTATCTTTGCTTTGGTTCCAAATATATTTTTTAAATGTTTGATACATGGGGACACATCACAGTGTATATTATCAAATTACTTTGAGTTATAAATAGAAGAGGAAAATCAAAATAGGAAAATTACAATAGCCTTAAATCTCTCAGTTGATGTTAAAAGTACTAAATTCTGGCAGCTAGGGTAAAATTAATATAATAAAAGAATAGATACAGCACTCACTTTTTCTATACCCCCAAGTATTTTAATTATTTCTATATTTGGAAATGAATTCATAATCTATTAGTCACATTATTTGAAATTTCAAATTATAATTTTATTTATTTCAGATAAAAGCCTCATCCTTTAAAAACATACCTTTGGGTGAATAAACAAAGCAAACTTTCTATGACTTTCATATAAACTACTTTATCATCCTGTATTGCTCCATTGAGTTAGTGAGGTCAGGGTTTTGATAGAATGAGAATATTCATACAGTGAATTGCAGACATATTTGCAGGTCTTTAAAAATGATGTTGGCTTTGTCTAGGGCTGAGGGTGATGTTGCAGGGCAAGTGTAAAGGACAGAGTCACATAGAGACTCCTGAGAACTAGAAAGCAACCAGTGAGTCCCAGCATCTTAAGGGCAAGGAAGTGTCAACGTAGTTCCATATAAATTTAGTAAAACATAAGGCAAGCACTCAATTGTTTTCCAACACAATATGCTAATTGGAGTGGCAGAATTGTATGGTAGAAAGAACATACAATTGACAAATATATTCACAACACTGTGCCAAGTGCAATGAGAGGTACAGTGACATAAAGACATGCATTTTCAGACCTTATAGTCGGTTTGAGGATTTAATATATTAATCATGTACAGAGATCTAAAATTTCCTTGAGTACGTATTATGCATGCCGAATGGTAGGAAATGTGTGTTAAGTTTTTTTTTTTTCTGGATTCTCTCAAATAAAACTGACCTCATAGCTCTGAGTTAAGTAATTTTATATTTACCACATAAGAAAATTGGAGTACAAATGAGGAAATCGAGGTACAGACAGATTAAGCAACTCGTCTAAGACTATACAGCTGCTACGCAGAGCATCTGGGATTCAAATCTAGGAATGAGTGAAGAATTTTATTACTAATCGCATAAGTAAATACATACGTCTAAGCCAGTCATATATTCTTTGTTGGTTCTATGACCCAATATTGCAGAAAATAATTATAGAATTAGATTTTCTATTTGAGTACAAAATTTACTTCACAAAATTATAATTCTGTTGCTTAAATATTGAATGTATAGTATGAATTATTATCTAATAGTAGTATCTATTTTAATGTCACATATTGGTAAATATTGCCTTAATAATGATTATGAGTCAGGAACTGTTCTTAGTACATGTTATATCAATGAATCTTTTCAAATAGTTAATGTGGTAAGTGTAGACCAAATCAACCAATAATTAGCTAAGCCTCAGAGGATTTGAGTACTGTATCTATATTTACATGGCCAGTGAGTAGAGAGGTTGTCTTAATTCCAGTGATGTGACAGCAGTGATCTCATTTGTGTGTATGATTCCAGAATCACTGTGAGAGAATGTGAACCCATATTTAGACAATGTATAGTTCCCAGCAACAACTAGAGTCTTATCTTGCTCTGGGAGTGCAGAAAATACATTATGATAACTTGGTAATATTGTAATGTGAAAAGCGTAAAGAGAATAACTCACAAGAAAAACATTAAGAAGTTTTCTGAAGCACACTTCTGTTGTGGCTTCCAGATTAATGTGCTTTCAAATTCTAAGCAGTGTTTTCCACAGACAGATTTTCTGTGTAAGCAGAAATTGGCTTAATTTAAGGAGATACAAAGGATGGTACAGTATTTTGTGTTTACTACAGAGGTTGGCTGCCATTTGTTAGTGCAGTAAAATTTTGTAAAGCTGCTCTGAGATTCTTTGAAATTCATTTATAACAACGAGACTGGATACTTAACATCTGCTGCAAATGTTTTCTAGGAGACTTAGTTACTCCTGCTCCCTACTTTCTGTAGTTTATTTCCATTCTATGATTGTTTATCTTTTGAAATAATTTCAACAATTGACTCTGTTTAATTTGTCTGGTTCTGAGAAAACATTAGCTAGATGACAAATTTAACAGTTTAATCCAACAGGCCTTGAGTGGTATATATGTGCATGTGTTACCAAAGGAGTCAAGAAATTAACTCCAGCTCTTAAACATTGAAAAAAGAAAAAGAAGGTAGGGGAGGGAATCTTGATAGCCACTTCGGTAATGATGCAAAGTGAGAGAAAATACCATCCTGGAGCTCAACGGTGAGCACACTTAATGGCAAAAGAAGTGAGAACTGACCATCTGCTCATCCACATGGTGAGATATGGACAAATACCTCTTCTTGAGAATGAATGAGTGGCTATATGAATGAATAGGTAAATGAGCAAATGAAGGCCTATCTGTGAATAACCAAACTGGAAACCCACAGTCAGCTTACAAGCCTCTTGAGGATATGATCATAACTTGAATATCTCACTGAGAGCTAACCCTTTATATGAACTTAGCTCATTTACTTTTGCATTTGTTGTTGAAGGTCCTTCGTACCCTGCTCAAAGGCTGAATTCTTAAAAATATACTACCACCATTAAAAAAGAACAAAAGAAAATTTTTGGAGGTGAATAAGTATGTTCAGTACCTTGGTTGTGATGATGGTATTGGTGTATGCACACATGTCCAAACTCATCCAAGTGAATATATTAAAGGTGTATAATTTTTTATATCAATTATGCCTCAGTAAAACTTCTAAAAAATGATTTAAATCTAAACAGCAACAGCAACAAAACACTTAGGAAACAATAGAAATTTCTGTCCCTGTTCTAAATGTTAACTTTAAAGGTTTGATTAGGAATTTATTTTTTAGTGCAGAAACATGCTTTTCTTTTTCAAAACACAAACATTATAATACAGAGCTAGTTAAAATCTACACATTTCCCTTATAAAGGCAGAGGCCCTCATGCAACCATCATCTTTAGAAATAGAAGTCCCTGTAAAACCACAATGCGTAGCTTTTTGACTGTTTATGCATTAACAGCATTTTTTGTTTTTAGCCTTGGAAATACATCAGAAATAGATCTCCTGACTGTGTTTGCATGGGTCCCTTAGAAATGACTTAAATATAAGCAAACCATATTACTTAAACAATGTTAAGCTACGCTATAGCACTGTATTACTGCTTTGAGAAATTCATGTAGTTCAACTGAGTATTGTAGCAGTAATTCATGTTCATACAAAAATCAATCAAAGGTTTTGACAAGATTGAGGCACGTAAGGAAATGAAGGTCAGGCATTGTATTGCAAGTTCCTTATTCTAAATTGTAGTTCTTACAAATAGGCTTCTGAGGTCCCATAGCTTTAGCAGGCCTCTTACATATGCCTTCATTGTCTGTTCTTTCCATGACATTTAGACATTTATTTCTTTCTCCCTCCCATTGTGTCCAAGTCCCTCACACTGTTGAACTTGTGCCTCTCTCGCCTCTTCCTTCTGTCTCTCTTTTTAATACCTTGATGCAGCAGCAATGGATGGTGGGATGCATTTTATTCAGCTCTCAAGGCAGTCAGAGTTCCACTTGAGTTTCTGTAGCATCTGTTATAACAAGGTTAAAATTACAGAAAGTACACGATTTTATTCCCTTTAGCTGAAGGACAACAAAGGTGGATTTTCATGTTTCCTTGTAAAGTGCTGCTTCCGAGAAAGCACATTTTGGTATCCACTAATCCCAAGTAAAGTGACTTGGTTTCTAATGTTGGTTTTGCCATTAGCCTTTGTTAGGTTATTTATTTTCTTTAAGCCCATCAACCCTTCAGTTAGTCTCCATTCTGCCTATTTGTTGTTGAAATTTAAAAGGCCTCCTAGTAGCTCCAATAGTTATAGTATAATAGAAACAAGCAAATACTCTTTTAAAAAAATTATATAAGGGTAAAAACACTTGGATTCAAAAGTGAGTTTGGACAATATCTACCAAGTGGTAATCAGATAGACTTTTAAACTAAAAATACACCACAAGACTATTGCACACTCCTACTAAGGTCCCAAGAATTATTGAAAAGTAGAAAGAAAAAAAATAGTGGGAACTTCTTTTAGTTAAAATGTACATCTTATCAGGATTACCATAATAATAGTAATTGTGAGCTTTAGTTTGAATTTCTTTTCTGGAAATATGAAGTCTTAGGGAATTGTGATATAAATCCCAAGGCTAAAATAGGTGTCCAGTGATCATTCTGATTTTTATTTGATAATAGTCTTCCTCAATAGACTATTATAAAATGGAAGGAGCAAGTTGGAAAACTTAAGAAAACTCCGCAGAGCAGGCATTTCTAATTAGGAAGCTGTAGGAGAAAAGGCTTATGACTATCCAAAGCACTTAGGCATCTGATGTATTATATGGAATGTCTTTCTCTTTTCCCTCAGTTATCAAAGAGAGAACAAGTTTAATGGTATTAAAACAAGAAAAAATGGTCTTAGTTGGATTAAATAGGCCTTCAAAGGGCTCTTTGACAGATACACTCATGAAATTATGACACAACTCTGCAAACTTAATCTATGTGAAATAGAAAACACGTAGAAGACACAAAATTCTAAGGGAAACTCAAGGATTTTCTAACATTGCTTTACGTAACTGCTTCTTTTTTCCAAACTTTACCTTCTCTAACGACAAGCCATGATATAACAGTGTCAAAGGCTAGACAGTCCAATGGCAAGAATGCTGACAAAGGTAGTTGTATAAGAAAGAATGAGTCATATTTTGAATGACAAAATGGTTAACACCTTCTTTCTTGCTTTTTTATATTGGCAATTTTTTGTATGTTTTAGAGGAATTGTGGATTAGAAGGTTATTTATGAGAGTAAGACTTGTAAGAGTATAGGTAAATTTAACTTAATTCATTAAATAGTTATTGAATCTGCAAAACATTGTGGAGGATATAGAAAATTGTTACAGTATGAATCTTATCCTCAAGGAGCATAATCTTCACCCAATATGAAGTTTAAGAGACTACCAAAAAACAGTCTTCTTGTTAGAACAGGTTTTTTATAATGGATTTTCCTCCTAAATCCAATGTAATAATGGCAGATTTAGAAACTGAGATAAAAATGTGAAATAAGACTTAGAACTTATTTGATACAAAACTTTACTGGGCAAATCTATTGACAGCAGATATTATGCAGAATTTAAATTCCCCTACCTCAGCTGGAAAGTAGTTAAGGTCTCATTATTATCTTATGCTCATGCAATCCAGTGCGTTTTCAGTTAACCCTTGAACAACACAGTGGTTAGGGTGCTGACCTCTATGAAGTCAAAAATCACTGTATCACTTTTGACTTTAACTGCTGGTAATATAATAATAGCCTACTGTTGATCAGAAGCCTTTCCAATAACATAAACAATTAACATATGTCATGCATGTTATATGTATTATACACTGCATTCTCACAATAAAGAAAGTGAGAGAAAATGTTATTAAGAGAATTACAAGATCTTCACTATTCACTGAGTGGAAACGGATCATCATAAAGGTCTTCATCCTCATCATCTTCATGTTGAGTAGGCTGAGGCACAAGAAGAGGAGGGATTGATCTTGCTGTCTCAGGGATGGCAGAGGCAGAAGAAAATCCATGTATCTGTGAACCCATGCAGTTCAAACCCATATGGTTCAAAGGTAAACCGTATATGGAAATTATAGAGGGGGAACACAATTAAATTAACTAACTTAATATTTAAGTAAATAATTTAGAGACACAAAACCAAGAAGAGGGTAATACACAAATCTACACAAATGAAGAATTGTTTGGAGTGTGGGGTGTGTGTGTGTGTGTGTGTGTGTGTGTATGTGTGTGTGCGTGTGTGACAGAGGGAGAAAGAAAGAGATTACATGAAAATGGAAATGTGGATCTTTTCATAGTAATACAGAGGTTAAAATGTCCAAAAATAAATTTGCTAACTTCTGAGTAAACTGAAATGCACATATGAAAGCTTTGTAATTCATCCATGAACTTATAAGCACACATATACATAGACTCCCCTCCACACACCACACACACATTTATGCACTTGTAGAGACACAGATAAATAGGCAGATAGATACAGACCACTTCTGTAGTAGTTAAAATCATTACCAATAGTAAAATATGAAAAAATTGTATGGTGAGAAGAAGAAGATATTTAATTAAATTAATTATTATTAGAAATATATAGAGAGAAGCAGTAATGAGAGCATGTAACTACCAGAATAAAAGTTGCTTCAGTTTCTAAATTTCAAATCCCAAACTCTATGTTTCCCAGAAGGCTAACCCTTGAGTGCCAAATAGTATCATCTTAGAAATGACATACCATCACTACTGGCATATTCTACTGGTCATATAGATGAACCCTGGTACACTGCGGGAGGCAACTATACCAGTGCATGAATACCAGGAGGTAATGTCCATTGGGGTCCTTCTTAGAGGCCGGTTACTGTAGACTGCTCTCTGGCTCCAAGTAATGCACACACCTCACTAATTGTATCCTAAGTCTACCAAAGCTTCATCTCATCACAGCATTAGTTTGAAGTCTAGAATCTTGTCATTTAAATCAGGTCTAGCTGCAAATACAACTCCTTGAGTACAGTTTGTCTTGATTTGAAGACCTTTGAAACTAAAGAAACAACTTACCTATCTTTCACACATCTATCATAAAATGATGAGACAGGCATAGAATAATCATCATAGGCACTCGGACTTAATAGAGGAAAAAGGGAGACATACAGAAGTCAGCAGTCAATGAGAGTTCTGAAATCTAGCTGGGAAAATGTTAATTTTTTCTTTTTTTTTGAGGGGAATTTAATCCTATTCCTACCAATCAATGGCTATTTCTTGATTCCACTGTCTGGTCTCAGTCCTATCCTTTGAAATAGCCCTACTTTTTCATAAAAGTTAGAACATATTTAACTCTGAGTAGTTTACTCAGCCTGCTATCTGCTTAAAGAAACTTGGGTGGCCCACTTTAAAATGAATCTGGCTTATTCAGTTTAAATTATCAATATTTTTACATATGTAATTTACCTTCAAATTTTTGTAGGTTTACTGTGAATCTTACTGAGATTCACTCATACACAAAGGGTAACTCAGTAATATTTTCAGAAACATGCCCTTCTCTTTCTTGAACTTTTGTTGAGGAGGCTGCAGAGCAATGCTGTGAGCTTCCTGCAGGTTCCATTGTTCGATTGAGTTATCTGTGTATCATATACTTTATATTTTAGAGGACCGTATGTCTAACTAAATGGCATTCCAAAGCACAACCTTTGATCTTCCTGCAACATATGGAAAATTTTACAGTTATCTTTTTGGCTACAATTTTGGACCATACTTTCCTGGCAGTGCCCTGGATTCTATCTTTGCTTGAAAGCTATTTATTCATTTCAGCATCATTTGCCATCTGGTGAATCTCAGAATTTTCAAAGCCATTATATCCATTATTTTTAAGTTAATATAATTTATTTATTTATAAAAACAAAGGGAACATATATGCAAAAATAGAACCTTTTGAACTCTACAGAATGTTTTAATCAAAACTAGGTTAACAGGTAATTGTTGAGCATCACTTTTATGTTATGCAATCTATTCTGTGATGTAAAAAGAGATACAAAGTACTTACTCCCATAGTGATTGCATTATATTTGATGTAGACAATAAGTAAATTTGTATTTTTTGGATTTTAGCAAGTACATTCAATAAACAAATCGGGGGCAATAAGAGTACTGACTGGTAGTCTCTGTTTCAGCTAAGATAGTCAGGGAATGAACATGATGATTGTATTAGTCAAGGTTATCTAGAGGAACAGAAAAAAATGTGTATTTATACACATCCATGTATATTCAAAGTAGGCAGCCCTCATCCACTCAAGGACTTTGCTTCCTCTTCTAGGGAAGGGGTTAGTGCATTTTTGGTTGCCACAGGATAGTTGTATCACATCAGGCAGAATTATGACCTTGCTATTTTCTTTAATTGACAATTAAGTATGGTTTTAGGAGACACATGGCTGCCAGGTTGACAGGGGATGAACTTATAATAGCTAATTTTACGTGTTGATTTGACTAGGCTATGGGTACCCAGATATGCTGACAAATGATATTAAGTGTATCTGCAAGGATGTTCTAGATAAGATTAATATTTAAATTCATGGAGTGAGGAAAGCAGATTGTTC
This sequence comes from Homo sapiens, assembly GCF_000001405.40. Taxonomy (NCBI): domain Eukaryota; kingdom Metazoa; phylum Chordata; class Mammalia; order Primates; family Hominidae; genus Homo; species Homo sapiens. Next base: position 46,156,671 of record NC_000010.11, read on the forward strand.
TCTCTAGTGTAGGTAGCCCTTATCCAATCAATTGAAGAGGTGAATAGCACAAATAAAGTTGATTAAGAGAGGATTCCTTTTCAATGTTTCAAATAGAAACATTGTCTTTTTTGGGTATTGAGCCTGCCAGCTTTTGGACTGAATCTTACTCTACCAGCTCTCCTGGTTGTCATGCCTTTGGACTCAAACTGGAACTACATTTAATCTCTCCTGTGTCTCCAGCTTGCCAACTACAGATATTGAGACTTCTCAGCCTCTATAAGGATGGTGTGAGCCAATTTCTTATCCTTTCTTGCTCATCATATGTTTCTCTAGATAACATTGAGTAATAGAGTCATCATGTCCATTCCATGACTATCTTAGCTGTGTATACTGCTCTCAATATTGAGAGAGAGAGAGAGAGAGGGAGAGAGAGAGAAAGAGAGATTACAAGAAATTGGCTCACATCTTATGGAGGCTGATAAGTTTCAATATCTGCAATTGGCAAGCTGGAGACACAGAAAAGCTGAAATTTAGTTCTAGTTTGAGTCCAAAGGCATGAGAACCAGACCTGATAGTGTAAGCTTCAGTCCAAAGGCTGGCAAGCTCAATACCCGAGAAAATCCATGTTTCCATTTGAATATAAAAGCAAGAAAAGACCAATGGCCCAGCTCAGGAAGCCAGGCAAGAGGAGTCCTCCCTTAATCAACTGTTTTGTGCTATTCAGGTCTTCAATTGACTGGATAAGGCCTACCTACTTTAGAGAGAACAATCTGCTTTACTCACTCTATGAACTTAAATATCAATCTCATCTAGAACATCCTTGCAGATACACTCAATAGTATTTGTTTCCATATCTGAGCACTCCATGGCCTAGTCAAGCCAACACATAAAACTAGCTATTATAAGTTTATTCTGTGTCAATGTGGCACCTATATGTATCTTTTAAAACCATATTTAATTTTCAAATAAACACAATAGCAAGGTCATAATTCTGCCTGACAGGATACAACTATCCTGTATACACCAAAAATTGCACTAATCCCTTCCCAGAAAGAGGAAGCAAAGTCATTGAGTAATGTTTACTCTTCTTGATATCCCCTAACTTAAATACTATGATGTAAAATTAGGATTACTTAAATACTATGAAACAAATTCAGTACATCTCATATTATATGATAAAGTCATGAAAACAGGAAGCAACCATCTTGCTACTGAGTCACTACAGGTAAGTAATAGTGAACTCTGTCACTCTCATTTACACTCCTTCATTCCTGGAGCCATGAATTCTGCTATGGTAAAAACAGCACCATATATTGAATGCTGATTCAGAGCATATACAGCCTTCTGGAGAATTTGTCCCAATTCTGCAAGACATTGCCACCTAGCTGGTGCTGCAGCAGAGTTTTTAACAGGCTATTCCACCATTCTATCAATCCAATTGCTTCAGAGTCATGCGGAACATGGTAAGACCATTGGATCATAAGCGTGGGCCCATTGCTGACATCTATTGCTAGGAAGTGACTTATTTGATCACACGCAATGGTGTGTGATACACTGTGATAGTGTATAAGGCATTCGTAAGTCTCTTATGGTAGTTTGGGAAGAGGCACTGCATGCAGGGAAGGCAATCCGTATTCAAAGTAAGTGTCTATTCCTATAAGAACAAAATGCTGCTACTTCCATGATGAAATTCATACCATGTAATCAGCCTGCCCCCAGGCAGCCAGCCGATTACTCCAGGGAATGTCACCATATCAGGGGCTCAATATTGTCCTCTGCTACTGGTAGACTGAGCAATCAAGTCAGGCTTGGTGAGTGGAAGTTCATATTGTTCAATATATTTTAACACAGTTAGGCACACCAGCTGCTGCAGCTGGGACAGGCAGCTCCAGGTGCCAGCATGAGTGCTAGCTCACTATAAGGCTTTGGCTGGACCAGACACACCACAAGCAGCTTCCATGGCTGTTACAAGGGAACACAGTTGTACCTGGAAGCTTGCAGACTCCAGGAACCACAGGGTCCCATAGCGGGAGTCACAGCTCTGGCCTGGGGAGCTCCCAGGTCTGGGTTCCCATAGAGCCACAGCTCTTTTTTTCTTCTCTCTTCTTGTCATCCACAACATGGTGAGCAAGGGGCATGTTTCAACCTTGTTTGTGTTACAGCATTTTTAGTCCTGTCATTTGGCAAGTCCCAAGTTCTTGTGCTACCTCCAGGAAGAATGAGGTATATAGACAAGTGGAGAGTGAGCAAAGAGGAGCTATATTGAGTGACAGAATAACTCAGAGGATGTCCTGGAGTGGGCACCTCCATTCTGCAGCTGGGCATCCCAATATCTGCATCTCTCAGAAGAGATGAGGCCCTGGAGTGGGTAGCTGCTCTCTGTAGCTGGTTGTCCCAATGTCTGCTCAGTTCTGGCTGAGCCTGGGGCTTTTATAGGTCTCAGAAAGGAAGAAATGCACACTGATCAGTCCATGAGAGGCCATGGATGGCCCCAGAAAAGGCATCACAAGTTTACACTCTGGTTCACGGGACTGGCAGCCCAGACCCCAGCCTTCACACCCATCCTGGCCTGAAGGAAAGGCCTCACCAAGGACCCACCCCCTTCTGTGCAGGAGCCTGTCTGCCTCCTGCTGCCATTCATGGCACCCAGGCTATTTGTGCCAAAGGATGCCTGCAGGCCAGTGCCAAGCTGCCCTCAGCATCTCCTCAGCTTCCCTCCCATGCTTGTCAGTGCCCAAAGCCTGGGCAGGGGCCAGAGACAGTATGGTACTGGTGTATCAGCACTGCCTCAAGCATGTGCACACCCACCAGGCTGCAACAGCACCTGAGCCTACCCACAACCTTGCTCCAAGATCAGAGCAGATGTCAAGAGTGGGGAGGAGCCAGGCAATGGGAGCAGAAGATACCTCCAAGTCTGCAAGGGCCTGGGGTTTTTTCCTGTGCCCCCAAGAGTGTAGAGATGCCTGACTCTGCAGCCGTGGCTTGGGCATCTGTAGTTGCATCTTGAAGGACAGGTGTCCTGTGTGCTCCATGGAATGGGAGGCCCAGATCTGCAGCCACTACTTGGGCTGCTGCAACTGTTCCCAGGAAGCTCTAACTCCACCAACTCAGAAGGGGCATGTTTCCCACTTGTATCCAGCTCTTTACCATGTTTCACCGCTGTAGCTGATGTGACGGCAGTGGCTGCTCCAGATGGGGTGCCACTGCCATCTTTGTAGCAGTAGATAATTATACTACAGTGTATTTTTACCAGGTAAAGTAAGGTTTTTATGGTTCACTGAGGACAATCAATGCCTTCATAAACTAGAACCTGAAGACTGATCTTCTGAGAACATCAAAGAAAGACTGTCATTGGCATGCACACTACAGTAAAACTTCAGGACCTTGAACCTTGGGTTCATAATCTCACAACTGAGAAGGCTCCCTTTACACTCTTGGAACTGTACACCCATTAGAAGCCTTAAAGAAAAGCTAACCAGGGGGGTTTCTCCCCAGAAGATGGCATCCTTGACTGTGAACAGGTTTTCCCAAGATCATGGATCAAGAATTCTCTACTATCATGAGACTCTTATCTTTGATTATTTGTCCCTTGCTTATGCTTCTATGAATAATAGAAGTGAAAGGGTTCTCTTGTGTGCATTTATGGGGTATACTTTTATTTGTGAAGGATTTTGCAGCCAGCCTTATACATGGATAACCTTATACCTTAATAGACAAAAATGAAGGCCCAATGTAGATGAGAAACTTTAATGGTACGTACATTGCCTCATAATCAGTCAGAAACAGAACATTGATTTACTCCTCTTAACCCACATCATGGGTTAAGGAGAACATCGCTGGGAGGCTTTCACTCTTCTAAAAGGGCATCATTTGTTAGGTCCTTTTTCCATAGTTTGGAATAAAAGCGGCAAAGATTAAAAATGTATTCCTCATGATAGGCTCTGAAGCAGATTCTACTGTAAAGGCTATGGTTACACAATAAACTTTAAATTCTCTTGTGAAAGTTATGCTAAATAATAGAATTGATCTGGATAAGTTACTAGCTAAACAGAAGTATCTGTACAGCTGCTGGCACTTATGGCCTATGGGGAAAACATCACATATTATAGATTTAGTTGTAGGGGATTAATGAAGAGACTCTTTTTTTTTTTTTTTTTTTTTTGAGACGGAGTCTCGCTCTGTCGCCCAGGCTGGAGTGCAGTGGCGGGATCTAGCCTCACTGCAAGCTCCGCCTCCCGGGTTCACGCCATTCTCCTGCCTCAGCCTCCCAAGTAGCTGGGACTACAGGCGCCCGCCACTACGCCCGGCTAATTTTTTGTATTTTTAGTAGAGACGGGGTTTCACCGTTTTAGCCGGGATGGTCTCGATCTCCTGACCTCGTGATCCGCCCGCCTCGGCCTCCCAAAGTGCTGGGATTACAGGCGTGAGCCACCGCGCCCGGCCGAGACTCTTTAGTTAAGTGAGTAGACTCTTCATGTAGCTCATCCTTTGATCTATTTAATTTTGGGTGGTTTGGTTTATGGGGACCCCGGGTAAGGAGCACACTCCAAACTCTTGGTATTATCCTACTGATAGTCATAATAATAGTCTTTCTGGTGTGCTATATTCTCTTTAAAAGTGTTAAATGTTTGCATGCAGACATCTCTAGCATGTCAAATGGTCTCTCTTTAACTGGAATGACAAGAGCTGAAAGAAATGTGCAGCCATGAGGACACCGTAACTTATGAATGACATGCTGAGACCAGAAATCCACAATGATGGTAACTGAGAGTGGTGCTAAGGCCCTAAGTTTGGTCACACTCTCACCTAAGTGAGAACATGACCTAAAAAAAAGGGGATTCTTTTAAATGAAATTATGGGAGGCCATTGTTTTGGACTGAGCTCATGCACTAGGCCCCAACAGACCAAACCAGACAAAACTGGGGTTGCTTGTGCTGAATGTAACATAATCAAACTACGTTTGATCATGGAAAACATAGCAAACAGATTCTAGAACAGACCAGGTTTTGTTTTTCTTCTGTAAACAGAATGTTCCAACATATGGACATACCCTCTACTCGGTCCTTGTTCCCATCTTTGCCAAACTCACTGTTCTGCTCTTTCCCAGTAAGTTTCAAGAGCCATGGTAATAGTAACATCAATAACTAAAGTTTTGGTCAATATCTCAAGATTGAGAAAATGACCCAAAGAGGGAAATTGTTAAATCAAGTTTAGCCTAAAGCTGCCTCCTTACATATTAAAGTTCAACCTAAAGGTTTTTCTATACATCGTGAACTATAACAAGTGAAGTTGTAAACCAACTGTAGCCCACATCTGTACCAATCACTGAGTTTTGGCCAAATGTAGCTAACAGTTCCAACCATGTTCAAATAAGGCAAAGACCCAGCTGCAACCAATCCAGTTGCTTCTGTACCTCACTTTCCTTTTGCTGTCCATAAATCTTCTTCCACCACGTGGCTGCGCTACAGTCTCTCTAAATGTGCTGTAATTCTGGGTGCTGCCTGATTCTCCCATCATTCATTGCTCATACTACTTTACATTTAATTTGGTTGAAATTTTTCTCTTAACGACAATCATAGAATCAGTGTAACAATCTGTCTTGAAAAGTAGTAAAGTGTGTTACTTCTATAGGAGAAAACAAGACATCTGTAATGATAAGCCAGAATGGTCACTGCAAACAGCAAGATGTATATTTAACTCAGCCTATTCTTTGTGTAAAATATATATATATATAAAATTTAAAGTAGTTTGAGCAATGAACGATGGGAGAATCAGGCAGCTCCCAGAATTACAGCAGATTTAGAGAGACTGTAGCGCAGCCACGTGGTGGAAGAAGATTTATGGACAGCAAAAGGAAAGTGAGGTACAGAAACAACTGGATTGGTTGCAGCTGGGCCTTTGCCTTATTTGAACATTGTTGGAACTGTTAGCTACATTTATATATATATAATCTATTTATATATTATTAAATATATTTACATTTTTATATATTATATATTATTAAATATATTTATTTTTATATATATTATATATTAAATATATTTATATTTAGATATATTATATATTAAATATATTTATATTTAGATATATTATATATTAAATATATTTATATTTAGATATATTATATATTAAATATATTTATATTTAGATATATTATATATTAAATATATTTATATTTATATATATTATATATTATTAAATATATTTATATTTAGATATATTATATATTATTAAATATATTTATATTTAGATATATTATACATTATATATTTACATATATATTTATATCTTTTTATATATAATTTTAAATTTATAAATATTTATATATAATATATATAATATATTTATAACTTTAAATTTATAAATATTTATTTATATATAATATATAATATATTTATAAATGTTAAATTTATAAATATTAAATTTATTTATATTTATTTATATATAATATATATTTATTTATATATTATGTATATTTATATATATGGAAAACACATTTTAACTAGCTTCTTCACTCTCTCTTTTATCACTTTTTTACTTAGATTTAGAACAATGTGAATAGTTCATGAGCTCAAATGTTCTCCCAAGTTCAGTTAATAACACCAGCTTGAGGTTGCTGTACACACTTAAGGAAATGTGCTAATATTTAATAAAACTAATATTAATAATTACCTCATAGACCCTCCACTCTTTCTCTTTTTCATAATAAGCAAATCTCCTCTTTTTATAAGGCTCACATTGGAGGGTTTATGCCATATTTATTTTAATACACCGACTTTGTGAAGATATCCTGAGTTCTAGAATTTTTTACATCAACATTTTTCAGATTGATTTGTCATGAATGTTATTCCCTGTCCATCTTTTTTTCATCTGTAACTGTTTATTAGGACTTGTTATGTACCAGACATTTTGCTAGCAACTTTATAAGCAGTATCCCATGTAATCCTCAAAATACTCTATGAGGAATTTTTGTTATTTATTCTCCTTTACAGGCAAGGGAATCTAAATCTCAGGGAAGTTCATTACCTGTTCCAGTGTTACAGAGGAGAAAGGTGATGGAACTGGGATGTTAGTTGCATCCAGGCAATCCTACATCAGCTCTCACTTTTAATCTCTTCCCAACTTTGTCTCTCTCTATTTCTTTTCAGCTGTTAATGATTTCATATGTATGATTGATTTTGCCTGACTGAGCCAAACTATATTAGCATGTTATTAGATTAGAATAACTTAATCTCTTTACTTGGAGAAAAAAAAAACAAATCAATTAAACAACTGCACTGATGAGACAGAGGAACTGTTTTAGGCATAATGTAGTCTAGAAGTTTTTTGAGTGTGATCAACAGACCAACAGCATCCACATCATACACAAATGTATTAGAAATGCAAATTCCTGGGTACCATTCCAGCATGAATGAATCAGAAACTAAGGAAACAGCAATCTGTCTTTTAACACATCTTTTAAGTGAATTTTAAATTCTAAAATATATTAACCACTGCCATAACAAAGGGGTCAGCAAATTAATGAACATGAGTCAAGCTTAGGCACCTCCTATTTGTTTGCTTTTTAAAATTTCAATATGATATACATACATCATTTAAAAATTTTTAAGTGTATAATTCTATGGTAGTAATTACATGCAAAATGTATAAACATCAGAACTATCTATTTCTAAAATTAGCTCATCACTCCAAACAAAAACTATACTCATAAAACAGTAACACCTTTTAACTCTCCCCTCACATCCTAGTAATCACTAACATATTTTCTATCTCTATGACTTTTCCCATTCTAGATATTTCATATGTTTGGGATCATACAATATTTGTCCTTTTGAGTCTGGCTTATTTCACTTAGAAAATGTTTTTAAGGTTCATTATGCTGTAGTGTGTATCAAAACATCATTCTTTTTTATGGCTGAATAATAATCCTTTGTATTTATGTACAACATTTTTGTTCATCTATTCATTGCTTAAAGATTCATCTGTTAGGGTTTTTCTACCTTTTGACTATTGTAAAAAATGCTGCAAAAAAAAACACTGGTGTACAAGTATCTGTTTGAGTCACGCTTGAATTATTTTGGGTATATACCTAGAAGTGGAATTATTCTATGTTTAGCTTTTTGATTAACCTCCAAATTGATTTCCACAGTAAGCGCACAATTTGATATTCCCACCACCAATGTAAGTGTCTTTAACTTTATCCACATCTTGGCTAACCCTTTTTCCTCCCCCTATTCTCTCTCTCTATTTATGTATTTATTTATTTTTATTACTGTCATCATAATAGTTGTGAAGAAGGCCAGGTGTGCTGGCTCATACCTGTAATACCAGTACTTTGGAAGGCTGAGGCAGGCTGATCACCTGAGGTCAGAAGTTCGAGACCAGCCTGGCCAACACAATGAAACCCTGTCTCTACTAAAAATCTGAAAAACAACAACAACAACAACAACAACAACAACAACAACAAAATTAGCCGGGCGTTGTGGCATAAGACTGTAGTCCCAGCTGCTCGGGGGGCTGAGGCAGGACAATTGCTTGTTGAAACAGGTGTCCTTTCCTCACTTTGTTTTTGTTTACTTTGTTGAAGATCGGTTGGCTGTAAGTATTTGGATTTATTTCTGGGTTCTCTATTCTGTTCCATTGGTTTATGCTCCTATTTTTATACCAGAGCTTTTGCACTGCAAAAGGAACAGTCAGCAGAGTAAATAGACAACCCGAAGAACGGGAAAAAATATTCACACTCTGTACATCTGAGAAAGGACTAATATCCAGAATCTACAATGAACTCAAACAAATCAACAAGAAAAAACAAACAATCCCATCAAAAAGTGGACTAAGGACATGAATAGACAATTCTCAAAAGAAGATACACAAATGGCTGACAAACATATGAAAAAATGCTCAACATCACTAATGATCAAGGATGGGTACACCAGAATCTCATAAATCACCACTAAAGAACTTACTCATGTAACCAAACACCACCTGTTCCCCAAAAAACTATGGAAATTAAAAAAATAGGTTCTTTGTCTTCTGTTATTGAGTTTTAAAGATTCTTTATATATTTTGGATATTAAATCTTTATGAGATATATGATTTGCAAATATTTTTTCCATTCTGTAAGCTATCTCTCACTTTCTTCATAATAATGTCCTTTGATGAACCGATGTTTTCAACTTTGATAAAGTTCAACTTATCTAGTTTTTTGTTGCTGTGGTATTTTTGGTGTCATATTTAAAAATCCATTGCCAAACCCCAGTTCATATTTATCCCTAAGAGTATCATGGTTTTGGCTCTCATATTTGAGTCATCGATTCATTTTGAATAAATTTTTGTATATAGTATGAGTAAATTTTTTACACATGGTGTGAGTTAATTTTTGTATATGGGATGAAGCCTAACCTTAATTTGCCTTTGGAAATTCAGTTGTCCTAACATCATTTGTTGAAGATTTTTCTTTGCCCATTGAATAGACTTGGCAGGCTTGTTGAAAATAAATATTTCATATTTATATTATGGAAATATAAATATTTCCATAAATATATGGTTTATGTCTGGATTCAATTCTATTCCATGTATCTATATACCTATCCTATGCCAATTCCATGCTGTTTTAATTACTGTAGGTTTTTGATAAGTTTTGAAATGGTAGAGTTTGAGTCCTCCAACTTTGTCTTTGTTTTTTAGGATTTCCATGTACAATTCTAGGAATTTGAGAATTGGTATTTCAGTACCAATTCAGTACTGTTTCAGTAAAATGACTGTTGGAATTTTACTAAATATTGTATTGAATCTTTAGACAGCTTTGGTAGTTCTGCTATTTTAGCACTATTAATTTGTCTTCAAATCCATCAACACAGGGTTGCTTTCAATTTGTTTAGAACTTCTTTAATTTCTTTCAGTGATGCTTTGCTCTTTTCAGTGTACAAGTGTTCACATTTTTCATTAAATTTATTCTTAGGTGTTTTGTTCTTTTAGATACTATCATAAATGGAATTTGTTTCCTAATTTTGTTTTTGGATTATTTATTTCTAGCATATAGAGACATGAATGAATCTTGTGTGTTGACCTTGTAATATGCACTTTTGCTGAATTTTTTATTAGCTCTAGTAGCTTTCTGATGGATTTTCTTCAGATTTTTTTTATATATAGAATTATGTAATCTGAAAGGAGAAATAATTTATTCCTTTCCAGTTTGGATACCTCTTATTTGTCTTTCTTGCTGATTGCTCTGCTAGAAGTTGCAATGTTCACTAGTGATTAAAGCAGACATCCTTGTCTTGTTCCTGATTTTAAAGAAAAGTGTTCAGTCTTTCACCACTGAATAGGTTGTTAGCTGGGGGTATTTTTAAAATGTCCTTTATTAGGTTAAGGAAATTCCCTTCTATATGCTCAGTGACTTTTATCATGAAGGTGTGTTGAATTTTGTCAAACGCTATTTCTGTGTCAATGAATTGATCTTTTTCTTCTTCTTCTTTGCTCTATTACATCGGTAATTTCAGTGTGCTTCTTTACATTGATTGGTTTTCTTATGTTGAACTACTTTTGCATTTATAAGATAAATTCTTCTTGGTCATAGGGCACAATCCTGTTTAGGAATTTGGTTTCCTAGTATTTGGTAAAGATTTTTGCATTTATATGTGTAAAAAATATTCTCCTGTAATTTTCTTTACTTGTGATCTCTTCATCTGAACTTACACTAGGGGAAATGCTTGTCTCATAGAATGAATTAATAAGTAATATCTCCATTTCTGTTTTTGGAAAAGTTTGCCAAGCAATTTCTGCCAGTTCATCTCTAAATGTATCCTAGAAGTTACTATTAAAACCATCTGGTATTCGCGGTAGCTCATGCCTGTAATCCCAGCACTTTGGGAGGCCAAGGCAGGCGGATCACGAGGTCAGGAGATCGAGACCATCCTGGCTAACACGGTGAAACCCCGTCTCTACTGAAAATACAAAAAATTAGCCGGGCGAGATGGCGGGCGCCTGTAGTCCCAGCTACTTGGGAGGCTGAGGCAGGAGAATGGCGTGAACCCAGGAGGCGGAGCTTGCAGTGAGCCGAGATCACGCCACTGCACTCCAGCCTGGGTGACAGAGCAAGACTCCGTCTCAAAAACAAAAAAACAAAAAACAAAACCATCTGGTAGGTATCATAATTTTCTTGATTGGGTGGGTTTTTTACTACAACTTCTATTTCTTTACCTGTTATTGGTCTGTTGACATATATTTATTATTTCTTCTTGAGTGAGCTTAGGTAATTAGTGTGTTTCTAGAAAATTCAACAATTTCATCTAGGTTATCTAGTTTATGGCCTAATTTGGTCATATTATTCTCACAATCATTTTTATTTCTATAAGGTCAGTAGTAATAGCCCCAGTTTTATTTCTGATTTCAGTTATTTATTATCTCTTTTCTTCTTTATCAGTATAGATTTGTCAATTTTGTCGATTTTTTCATAGAATCAGCTTTTGGTTTTATTATTTCTTTCTCTATAATTCCTGCCCTGTATTGTATGTATTTCCATTTTAATTATCATTATTTCCTCCCTTCTACTTGTGTTTAATTTGCTCTTCTTTTCTGGTTCATAAAAGTTCGAAGTTATATTATTGATTTGAGATCTTTTGTACATTTTTAAATGTAGGCTCTTACAACTATAAATTTTCATCTGAGCACTGCTTTTGCTTCATCTCATAAGTTTAGTATGTTGTGTTATTACATATCTTCAGATATTTGTAATTTCTCTTCTTCGATCCATTGCTTGAAAAGGCACTCATGGTTTAATTGCCATATATTGTACATTTTTCAGTTTTTCTCCTGCTGTTGATTTAAAGTTCCATTCCATTGTGTTCTGAGAAGATGCTGTGTATAAGTTTAATGTTTTTAAAATATACTGAAGAATTCTTTGTTGCCTAACACATGGGCTATCAGAGAGAACATGTATTCTGCTGTTGTTGGGTGGAATGTCCTGTGTATGTCTATTAGGTATAGTTGATTTATATAAACACTATACTTTAATTCCCCTATTTCCTTGTTGCAGATTTTCTATCAAGAATTTGAAGTGGCCTATTGATGTCTCCAACTATTATTGCAGAACTACACATTCTTTCCCTAAATTTTGCCAATGTTTGCTTTGTATATTTTGGGGGCTCTGTTGTTTAGTGTGTGCATATTTATAACTGTTATATCTTCTTGATAAATTGATCCTTTTATTAGTGTTTAATGCCCTTGTTCCAATTGTAACAGTGGTTAAAGTCAATTCATGTCATATTAGTAGAGCCACACCACCTCTCTTTTGGTTACCATTTGTATGGAATATATTTTTCTGTTTTTCACTTTCAATTTATTTGTGGCTTGCATCTAAATTGAGTCTCTTATAGAAAATATGTAGTTGTATGATTTTAAAAATCCATTACACTGATTTTTGCCTCTCAATTGGAAAGTTTACTTCATTTACTTTTATAGAAATTATTGATGAGAATTACTACTGCCATTTTGCTTTTTGTTTTCTATAATTTTTTGTTCATTTCTTCCCTTAATACTTTTTTTGTGATTAGTTGATTTTTATAGTGAAATGTTTTAAAAAGCTTTGTCATTTTCTTATGTGTGCATTTTAAAAAAATTGTCTCTAACTGCCATAAGGATTCTATTTAATAAATTTATAATCATCTATGTTTTAATTAATGCGAACATAATTTCAATAGCATGAAACACTCCATATCTATGTAGTCCCCTTACCCATTTCATGTTGTTTCACAAATTACATTCATATACATTCTGTGCTGAATAACATAAATTTATAATTATTTTTATAAATTTTTTTCAACACATATAGAAAATAAAAATGGAGTTATAAACTAAAAATAAAATAATGCTAAGTTTTATAATTGCCCATGGACTTACTTTTTCCAGGAAACCTTTATTTCTTCATTCATCTTTAAGTTATTGTCTAGTGTCTTTTCATTTCAACCTGAAGGAATCTGTTTAGCATTTTTCACTGGACAGGTCTGCAAGTTATAAACTCCTTCATCTTTTGTTTCTCTTTAAATGTATTAATTTTTTACTCATTTATCACAGAATGTTTTGCTAGATAAAGAATTCTCAGTAAGTAGTTGTTATTGTTTTTGGTCTTTCTTTCAGGACTAAAACATGTTATTCCACTATCTTCTCACCTCCATCATTTATAATGAGAAATCAGCTATTAATCTTATTGAAAATCCCTTGTAAATAATAAATTGATTTTCCCTAGCTACTTGCAAAATTGTCTGTCTTTAGCTTTCAATAATTTGACAACTGTATGTCTCAGTGTGGATCTCTTTATCTTACTTGATGTTTATTCATGTTTCTTGAATTTGTATATTTATGTCTTTCATCAAATATGGAAAGTTTTCAGCCATTATTTCTTCAAATATTTGTCCTGCCTTTTCTCTCTGTCATCTTTTTCTGGGATTCTCCTTCATATGTTGGTCCCCTTGATGGCATTTCACAAGCCCCTTAGGTGCCATTTACTTTTCTTTATTATTTTTTTTTCTACTTCTCAGACTTGATAGATAGAATAGATAATTTCTATCACCCTATTGTGAATTTCCTGATTTTGCCTTTTGGCTGGTAAAATTTGTGTTGAATTTCTCTATTTAATTTTTTTATTCCAGTTTTTATACTTTAAAGCTCCAGAATTTTTGGCTCCTTTTATAGTTTTTCTTTATTGATATTTTTATTTTGTTCATTTATTATATTTCTGATTTTTCTTATTTGGTTGTTCAGGTTTTCCTTCAATTATTTGAGCATGTTTAAGATAATTTTTAAAAATAATCTTTTTGCCGGCAATTACAACATCTAGACATTTTTAGGGATGGTAGTTGTTAATTTATTTTGTTCTATTAAATAAGTCTTATTTCCTATTTCTTTGTATGCCTTGTGATTTTTTTGTTAAAAAAATGGACACTTGAATATTACAATGTGATTCTGGAAATCAAATGTTCCTACTTCTCAGGGTTTGCTCTTTTGTAATTATTGAAGGCTGTAGTAAACTCTTGGTATAATGACATTTCTCTACTGTTTTTCAGCAAATATATTTGTTGCATATATTGTGAATAAAGTTTTTGTTCTTTGGCTTTTTTTGTTCAGCTAATGTTTGACAGAGTTTTCTTGAACACCAGGAACTAAAAAAAACAACAACCAACCAAACAACCTCTCTCTGTCTTTACTGTTTGGCTCTGTCTGAGTACCTCTTTAAACACTTAGCCAGACTTGCATTAAGGTTAGGGATATGTAGACTAAATAAAGAATATGTGGTACATATATACCATGGAATATTATGTAGCCATAAAAAGGAACAAGATTATGTCATTTGCAGGGACATGGATGGAGTTGGAAGCCATTATTCTCAGCAAACTAATGCAGAAACAGAAAACCAAACACTGCATGGTCTCACTTCTAAGTGGGAGCTGAACCGTGAGAACACATGAACACATGGGGGGAAACAACACACACTGAGGCCTGTTAAGGGTGGTAGGGGCTGGCAGGAGTGAAAACATCAGGAAGAATAGCTAACGGATGCTGGGCTTAATAACTAGATGATGAGTTGATCTGTGCAGCAAACTACCATAGCACACATTTACCTATGTAACAAACCTGCACATCTGCACATGTACCCCAGAACTTAAAATAAAGGTTGAAAAAATAAAAGTTTAGGGATCAGTATCAGACAAAACAAAGATCCAAAACACTATAAAACTTAAGGACTTCTTAGGTATTTTTTGAACATGCACTGTATAATTGGCATGTATGAGGCTTTTCAAATCTCTCCTAACTCATGGGTGTTTTTTATTACCCTAATTTTCCAAGGAATATCTCTGTTCTTATTGTGTTTCCAGGCCTTGGATATTTGTTTATATATCTTAAATGTCTTTTGCCTCAAGCTTAGGTTTCTTAGGAGTCCAACAATATATTTAAGCAACTCCCACCACTTTTACCGCTTGGATATGCTGTGCAATAGACAAAACAGATGAAAGCACCTTACATCATTCCTCCAGGTAGCCCCCATAGAGGTTAAAACGGGCCAAAATAATTTGCAAATGAAGTTGTCTCTTCTACCTCTGGAAACAGGGACTATTCTCTCACACTGGGAACGTGGGCTGCTGTCTGCAAGACTGCTCTTCAACTGGGGAGTGGTTATAGAAAGGGAAAGTAAAACTGCCACAATGATTTTTTATTATTTTTACATTGACATTTTATTGCTTTAGTGTTCACTGTGTTGCTATAAACCTGTCTGTTTTCCAGTGTTCTGACAATGTTGATTCTGATGGCTTCTACTCATTTTTCAATATTTCTATGGAGGGACAGAAGCTTGGAGTTGCCAAATGCGACATCTTGCTTATGTCACTCCCTCCTATCTGTTTTAGTAAACTTTTTTGTGTGCGTGTGACAATACAACAATTTAAATTTATTGCATATACTCGTGGCTGCTGTTTTGCTACAATGAGTTGAGTTCAACCAAGATTATATACCCTACAAAAAACTAAAGCACTTATTATCTGGCCAATTGAAAAAAAAAACATTTTCTGACCTCTGCTCTAGACTGGTAAAGTTCAGATTTCACAAATTTCAAATAGATAACTTCCTTTATAGCCACTTTGTTTTTATAGTCCGCCTTCACATTTAATGAGTCTACATTTATTACTTAGTACTTGGTATATACCAAAAATTCTTGATCTCTTTCCTGAAATTTTACATCTACTTTAGAGTTAAAAAAATAACTAGAACTCAGAGCATCTCAGAAATGTTCAGTCTCAGCAAGCTAGTGAATGTTTTACTGTGAACAGATTCACAGGCTTTACTGATTCCAGAGCCAAAATGCTAATAAGTTTAAACATATATTTTGGATAAAATTGATCTGCCTCCATAACAAAGGCACTGGTCTTACAGTTAACCTGTAAATCAGTTGTGGATGTAAAGGCATTATTGCCAATTCAATTTGGTTGAGATGAGCTTTAGTATTCAATCCTATTGTTCTGAGTGTCAATTAGAGCCAAGAGTGAGCCTACAATGTTATCGATGTTATCGATTCTCCTCCAGCTGAGAACAAAGTTCTAGAATGGCCAGCTCATTTTTCTGGTCTTTATTAACCTAGGCAGCCTACACCTGCATTTATATTTAATTATCATAATGAGCTTCTTTTTAAAATAGTATCACAGAGGGGGATCAGAGTGTTTGTTCATTAAATCTCTAATGAAACATTGTATGTAGCATAAATGTATTATTCTGGATTATATTACATCACATCAAAGTACAGAATTTAACAGAATGTATCCCAAACTCCATAATAGTTTGGCCAGATACAGAAACAATTTCCTTCATCCCTACTGAGAGCAGACTGAGTTGTGGAATTCCCAAATATAGCTTTCATTGAAATGGATGGGACTTCTAAGATCAGTAGTAGCATTTATATGATGTTATTCTTCAATTGTAAGCCATTAATTTGATTAGTTATCCATTTGCATTTTTACTTGTTATACTGATTTCATTGCAAACTGGAGAAAAAATAAAGGAAAAACAAGCAAGAAGATTTAACTTTACAAATGTTTCATTTCCACTAATTTCTACTATTTAAAAAAAGAAATGTAAATTGAAGCAGCATAACTTAGGCAAAAAGCATTGGATTCATATTTGGAGTCCTGGATTCTACTCACAACTCTGATAATAATTAGCTGCTGCTTCTTTTTTTTTTTTTTTTTTGAGACGGAGTCTCACTCTGTTGCCAGGCTGGAGTACAGCGGCACAATCTCTCCTCACTGCAACTCTGCCTCCCAGGTTCAAGTGATTCTCCTGCCTCAGCCTCCTGAGTAGCTGGGACTACAGGTGCGTGCCACCATGCCTGGCTAATTTTTTTTTTTTTTTTTTTTGGATTTTAGTAGAGATGGAGTTTCACCATGTTGGCCAGGATGGTCTCGATCTCCTGACCTCATGATTTGCCCGCCTGGGTCTCCCAAAGTGCTGGGATTACAGGTGTGAGCCACAGTGCCTTGCCTAATAATTAGCTTCTTAAGCTTGGGCAAGTAATGACCATTGTGTTTCACTTTAAAATTAATGATAAAATTAATCATTTTATCAGTGATACAATTAATCATTTTATCAGTGATAAAATTAATGTGTAAGAAGGTATTGTCTCTGCTTCAGAAAAATATGTGCTGTATGTTATTGTTTTCACTGGGAAAGAATTGGCAAATTCCATATTTTATATTAAGCTCCTCAAATTTTATGTTCCTCATTGTGGGTTCATTCTGTACTTAACCTTGTATTATAAGACTTGCTATTGTGGATGCTGTGGATGCCAAGGCCCTTGTCCCACTGTGGTTTTACTAAAAATCTAGTTGCAAAAGGCAGATTAGGAGGAAAAAAAGACTTAGAAATTCATTTAATGAGTATACACGGCAGCCTTCCAAATGCAGACCCTAAGATACAGGGGAAATTAACAAAGTATGGACAGCTGTGTAGAAATACTATTGGAAGAAAGGTATATGACCTAATAATGCTAATAGACTGGGTAGGGAAACCCAGCAAGGCCTGTCAGTCTAGATTTTTCTTGACATTTCTAAGCATGTGTTTTTTTCTTCTTCTGGTTATGGGGCAGCAACATCTTTGGAGTGGGGGTCTTAAGATGTTCAGTCAAACGAGGTAAGTCAGATAATTTCTTTATGGCCAGTTTTCACACAGATAAAGTGGAGGAAAAATCAGAGTAATATATTTAGGTTTTATGGCTAGCTTTAAAGAAAAGGGGTTCTAGGGGTTCTGTTTACTATGACCCACTGTTGTGGAAGAGAGATTCTAGTTTCCATGGCCAGCCTTATGGGAGAATAAAACTGAGAGACAAGAGGACAGGAGAAGGTCAGAGAAAAATGTTTGTTTCTGAGGCTGCTGCTGAGCCTTTCATTTGGGGGTTTTGTTTTCTGATCCCCAGAACTATCCTACATTGTAATTGCCTATTTACTTGTCTGAGTTCCCTAGTTAGACCCTGTGCTCCTTGAAGGCAGTGAGTAGTTTTTAAATACTATTTTACTCAATTGCAATTGCTTAATATCTGGCACACAGCAGGACCTCTACAAATATCTGTGCATGAAAGAATATAATTTTCATCACTCATTCTATTCTGAAATGCACACACACACATACACACACTGATGAATCAATCAATGGATAAACAGACAGGTAGATAACAGCTAATAGAAAATAATGACTGCAGGTTGTATAACACAATCAAAGTGTTTGTTGTTGTTTATTTTCTTTGAAATTAACTGGCATGCTCGATCTCATTGACACTAGCATCAAAATACCTGATATTATTAGCCGTGACATATGTTAACTAGTGGTTTCTATGACTGCTTCCCATCACTACTCCCCACCTCAGTGATCCTTAGTGATCCATTTGCTCATCAAATTGAAACTAATTTCCCCAAAGCAAGGCTATTATGAATTTGAAAAAGTTGATTATTTCCGAGCAGATAACTTTAAATGTCATGGAGCCTATTTAAAGACAGCTTTATAGCACAAACCTTCTGTTCAAGCCTTAATGTACAACCAAATGGACCAAATGAGGCAAACAGAATCAGGCTTCCAAATATAATCATAATTCTAGATTAGCTCTCAAAATAAGACTGCAGTTCATATATTCTACAAAGTATGTTTTGACATTAAATGTAATATACTGAGGATTATTTTTCTGATTTACACTTGCTTTGGTTTCTACCTTTGGGTAGGTGGCTCTGACTGTGAAAAAGTCGCTGTGAGCCTGCCAGGCTACATCTCCCTCCCAGAGGTGAAATCATGCCCTATTCTCCACATTGCCTTTGCCTTCAGATTCTTATTTACATACTAATGTTTCACAATGTTTTTTTTTCTCTTCCTTCTAAACCTAAGCAGAGATATTTCCTCTACCTAGTGTTATTCATTGTGAGGAGAGGAATTTTTTCTTGCAGGTGGGAGAGTATAGATAAGGGTAATAAAATTCCCATAGTTTTTTGTTTTGTTTTTGTTTTTGTTTTTCTGGGCATGAACTAGTAGTATTTATTTTCTTTTAAATCACAAAGTATGATTGTTGTAGCACTTCTTCTCAGTTCTATTTTCTTTTTTAAAAAACAACTGTAAATTCAATTGTACAGGCAGTTTCAAGTAATCAAAACGTAATGTATTAATCTTGACATCTGTGGTTTGTGGATTCAAATCCCTACATTCTCTAGCTTGTAATGTTTATGAGGTAGTGGATGTGAAGAGTTCATAAGTCAAATTCACATTTAATTTGTACTGGTTTCATCATTCATCACAAAATATGCTACTGAACAACAGTGAGTATGCTGTTGATATGTAAATGCACAAATATACATGCACACAACATATAACAAAGCAGTTTTTATGATGTACCTCTTGCATTACAATACTCTTATGTAGCTATACAACTCCTACAAGACATAAAGTAAACACAAAAGCTATTTTCTTCACTTGCATGTATGTAGATGTATCCTAGAGAAATGCTATTGTTCCTCAGAAATGGTATTTGTAAATGAATTTTTTTTAATTAGACAAACCCAAAGTACTATACTATGGAGTAAGTTTGTCTTATTTTGTTTTTAATCAGTGAATATAGATGACTAGTTCATTCACTTAGTCTTTCAGAAGAGTTTTAATATCAAAATTATCATATGGTCTGACTTTTTTTAAAGCCCAGTTCTTACAAAACAATAAAATCAGACCTGGTGAGGTTCTGACAACTACGAGAGAAACTTAGTACCAAATACATATGCTATTTCTCCATTTGCACAAGACAGCTAATTTGTAGAAAACAGAAGACTAAAAGTTGGTAAATCAAATGTGTTTTATAATTACATCTGTGAGAGAAGAATCCTCTTATGACTTCTGGAAATATCAAAATCTGAAATGACTAAATAACTGACATGCCAAGGAATTTGTATTCTCTTGTTCTTTTACACATTAGGGGAGAAAATAGTAAAAACTAGCATAATTGTGTGGCAAAATATCCATGAAATAATATTTTGAAAGTTAAAATATGGATTTAAATTAAGACAAATGGATGTGTTTTTTAGATGTGTATGCCTAAAAGATGGATACTGTGGATATCTGATGGCTTTCTTGATTAAGCCACAACCGGTGGACCTCACAAATGTCAAATATGTTATTCCAAAATGTCAGTTGTTTAGACTCATTTCTCAGCTTGTTATTGATGAGTTTCCTTTCACATTTGGAGGAATCCTGTTGGGGAAACTGAAGAACAGATGTTAAGTGTGAAGTGTCTCCCTCCTTAGTTCATATTCATATCACATTGTTTGAGCTGCCACATGTAAACAATATAGACACTAAGCCAACTGGTCCTCTGCCTACTGCTGATGTGGCAGAAAATATCTAGGAGGTAGCCAGAGGGGCATATGTATACCTGTTAAGTGGCCTGGTTCTCCAATAGTCGTGCAAGTATTGCTAAATTTGTTTCGCTCCTGGGAATTCAAGCTTCTATTTCAGATTCCTAATCCACAGCATTAATTATCTTTTTTGAATACCCGAAGCAATTTATGTTGCTTAACATATAATAAAGTTAAGTCCATTATTATTCCTGTCTTATAATTGAGGAGACTAGAGTCTAGATTATTTAAGCAACCAAAATCACACAGTCAGTCAATGACAGAGCCCATGACTAAAATTCTGTCTGTCCCCAGATTTGTGCTCTTCAGATAATGACATTTCTGCACAGTTATTAATCTGAGTAAATAGAGTCCATAGTGAATTATTAGCTGATTTCAGGAGATTCCATGCAAATAAAAGTCTGTCATATCATGCTCTGCCAGTCTACATTAATACAAATCACAACAACAAGGCAGTTTATTTAAAAATATTAAAAGTAATAGAAGATTGAATGGAAGGATGAATGGATGGATTGATTAAGAGATAGATAATAAATAAATTGATGAGAGAGAGAAACACACAGAGAGAAAGATAAAATTAACCACACTAATAAAAGTATGATTTGGTATATAACAGAAAAAGTTCTTTAGTTTGTTTGTTTGTGTGTGTAGGTATTCTGTCATAAAAACACAATTATCTAAAACATAAAGTCTCAATCTTTTGCTTAAGAAATATTTTTAATTTAGGCTGGTTACAACTGTGAATTAAATTTTATTTTTATTTTTTATTTTATTTTATTTTGATTTTTTTTTTTTTTTAAGATGGAGCATCGCTCTATTGCCCAGGCTGGAGTGTGGTGGCGCGATCTTGGCTCACTGAAACCTCTGCCTCCTGGGTTCAAGCGACTCTCCTATCTCAGCCTCCCAAGTAGTAATTTTTGTATTTTTAGTAGAGATGGGGTTTCACAATGTTGCCCAGGCTGGTCTTGAACTCCTAACCTCAGGTGATCCGCCTGCCTCAGCCTCCCAAAGTGCTTGGATTATAGGTGTGAGGCACCATGCCCTGCCCAATTGTGAATTAAATTTATATCTAGAAAAGGTGAGAAATATTATTAACGAAGACATTTCTTTCTATGATACTTAAGTTATACATGTGTAGAAGGTGCAGGCTTATTGTATAGGTATATGTGTACCATGGTGGTTTGCTGCCCATCAACCTGTCATCTACATTAGGTATTTCTCTTAATGCTATCCCTACCCTTGCCCCCCACCCCCCGACAGGCCCCAGTGTGTGATGTTTCCCTCCATGTGCCCATATGTTGTCATTGTTCAACTCCCACTTCTGAGTGAGAACATGTGGTGTTTGGTTTTCTGTTCCTGTGTTAGTTTGCTGAGAATGATGGTTTCCAGCTTCATCCATGTCCCTGCAAATAACGAACTCATTCTTTTATATGGCTGCATAGCATTCCATGGTGTATATGTGCCACATTTTCTTTACCCAGTCTATCATTGATGGACATTTGGGTTGGTCCCAAGTCTTTGCTGTTGTGAATAGTGCTGCAATAAACATATGTGTGCATATGTCTTTATAGTAGATGATTTATAATCCTTTGGGTATATACCCAGTAATTGGATTACTGGGGCAAATGGTATTTCTAGTTCTAGATCCTTGAGGAATCACCACACTGTCTTCCACAATGGCTGAACTAATTTACACTCCCACCAACAGTGTAAAAGTGTTCCTATTTCTCCACATCCTCTCCAGCATCTGTTGTTTCCTGACTTTTTAATGATCACCATTCTAACTGGCCCGAGATGGTATCTCATTGTGGTTTTGATTTGCATTTCTGTAATGACCATTTCTGTAATGATGAGCTTTTTTCATATGTTTTTGGCCACATAAATGCCTTCTTTTGAAAAGTGTCTATTCATTTCCTTCGCCCACTTTTTGATGGGGTTGTTTTTCTCTTGTGAATTTGTTTAAATTCTTTGTAAACTCTGGATATTAGTCCTTTGTCAGATGGATAGATCGCAAAATTTTTCTCCCATTCTGTAGGTTGCCTGTTCACTCTGATGGTAGTTTCTTTTGCTGTGCAGAAGCCTTTTAGTTTAATTAGATCCCATTTGTCATGGGAAGACATTTCTAACCAGCAACAGGTCCAGTATCAGGGCCTTTATGTCTTTGTCCACAAAGTGAGTATGTTCTGCACAGGGCAGCAGTGTTTAAGGATATATTCTCTTCATGGAGTAACACCCAACTCAAACTTTAATGGTAACACTTTAAATCTTTCCAAGCTCTAAAAGCAATTTCTTCTGCTTAATTGCTTTTTGGGGACTGTAATACATGTGGGTATTCTTACTCTAAATATAATTCTCTGCATTTATTTTCAACATTTCTTTTATGGCCACTTAAGTGACTTTTCTCTGGTTATTTATGCAATATAGGTGACAATCCTATTTGGTTTTCTATTTGAACATTCTGTAAAAGCTGAATAACAACTCCAAAATACAACACAAACATGCAGATACATATACAAACACTTACTGTATTTTATTCAATTAACAAGTGTGTTCACTTTAATTCACACACAACTATACCTATAGGCATGCCCACACATACAAACACACATACACTGTTTCTCATTCCTATTTCCTTTGTCTGTACTTGGTTTAGTTATGGCACTTTTGTTTTGCCTCTAACATTTTTATTTTAAAAAGAAAATTAAAATAGGTTATTGGGATCAAAGATATAAGCTTTTTGTTACTTTGAATGATTTTTGTAATTCAGAATATGCACTTGTTATTTCAGTTCTTATTTTTATAATTATTGGAAGAGTTTGTCTAATTACCCTATAAATCCCTAGAGAAAGGTAGCCACCATATACTTTATTTCTTGGTTATATGTATAAAAATCAGTAGGCAATGTAAAAATGTTTTTGTGTGAATTTATGTGAGTTATAATTCTAATTCTATGTCAATATTCACCTCAGATTACCACATGAAAGCTTAGTCACCAAGTATGCCTCATACTGAAATACCCACTGATTAAATCAGTTGACGACCAGCTCCTATCTTACATTCAAATCACCAGGATCAATAGAATATTTTCTTATTATCCAGATTCTCAATCCATTGCTTCTACTCACAAACTTCTCCCCATGATAAACATACACACATACATACACATCTCCCAGATAAATTCTTATGGTCATGACAAGGTAATCCCACTGCTTCCATTTATTAAATAATTGATTGAAAATATTTAGGTGAGAAAAATGGTTGTGTAAGAGTAATATTGTTAGCAATTGCTAAAACTGAATGTCTATGTACCTTCAAAATTCATATGGTGAAACCCTAGTTCCCAGTGTGATAGTATTCAGTGGTGGGCCCTTGGGGGGTAATTAGTTGGTGAATGAGATTAATACTCTTATAGGAAGAGACACCAAAGAGATAATCTCTTTCTCTTTCTCAGTCTCTGCCATGTCAGTATATAATGAGAAAATGGCCACGTGCAAACAAAGAAATAGGCCCTCATCAGTCACTGGATGTGCAAGCACCTTTATCTTAAATTTTCCAGCCTCTGGAACTGTGAGAACAAGCGTTTTCTGATTAAGTCACCCAGTCTACGGTAATTTGTTTTAACAGCCTAAAGTAACTAAAACTGCAATTATCTCATGAATTTGGAAATGGTCTGTGTACACATTATTAGTAATTAATTTTGGAAAATTTACTTTTTTTTTGGTAAATCTTAGTTCTCACTAAAGAATAGGGATGATAACAATACCCTATCCCCAGCATGTCCATGAAAATTAAATGGTAGAATGAATCTAAAAAGCCCGATGTATAATGGGTATAAAGTATTCAATACATGCTGATATTTACTTCTTTTCCCCTTTACGAGTACATGCAATACGGTCTGATGAGGTCTTTTTAAAACTGTTCACAATAATTGACATTTTACAAGTCATATCATGTGATACTTTTTGCCAAACCTGGTCTCTGGCTTGATCAGTTTTATTTTACATTTGAAATTTGTACTTAGACTTGTGGGACTACTTTCTTCCATGAAAGATCTAATACCCTACAACCAAACACTTCATTATTTGGAATTAAAAAGCGAAATTCTTTGATTATATCTAAGCTAATTTAAGTATTTTAAGTATATAATGTTTAACTGTTAAGTAGTTTACTTCAATTATTAAAATGACTGAGTCAGAGTAACCGATTATACTTCCTAGGCACACTAGGCCAGATGTCAAGAATCAAGGACTTCATTTTCAGAGCTGGCACTCATTAGCTCTGGGTTTGGAGAATTCACTTATTCTCTTCATTCTTTCTGAATAGTTTAGCATTGTTTTCTAGATGTGATTGAGTTTAAATGCACTATTTGGAGGCTTATAGGTTCCATTCTTTTAGGGAAAATAATTTTGAAAAAGAAAGAATAAAAAACTCTAGGTCAAAAGGGATCTATGGCTGTCTCACAGCAAGAGTGAAACACTGAGATGCCTACATGGTATATAAATATTAAAATAAAGAAGGCAAGCTGACTATGAAAAACAACAGCTGAATTATGGCAACAAATGAAAAATGTCAGTAGTATCTCTACTGGGGACACTATGGAATGGTGGGGACTGAGGATAATTAGAGAAGACAACCTGCCTACACATGGCAGCATCTACTAAGACTTATGACTCTGTTTATGAAGAATATGAGTAAATGTCCTGATATTTAAACACATACCAAAAATTAAGATGTTCATGTATTTTGCTAATTTGATTATTTTAAAGTAATAATATTTTTTATTCAAACAAATATATTGTCAGTTTAAAGGCCACTGTTTCTTACGTAATAAAATTTGCTTTTTGATTTGATGCTTGAATTTTTTCTATGACATCACAAGAAAGTTATTGGTTATACATGAACAAATGCATGAATGGAATTATTATTACTTTCATTGACAAATGCTTTTATATATGTAAAATTTTCATCTTAGAAAGTTATTTTATGTGTTTTTAGAGAACTATCCTCTCTTCCATGATGCATCTTTGTTAGTTCTATTTCTTTAAGTAACATTGAAGTTATTTATTTTTCTGTTTTTGTATATCACATTCTTATTCCACTAAAATACCTATATTTTCTTCAGTTATGTATGATTGGATTTTTTTAACCATCCAGATACATGTCTTGTGACATAATAGAATCTTTTTTATTCTTAGAATGAAAGAGCTAAACCATAGTCAGAAAACTTATGAATTTACTATATCACAGCTACTATGGTGTGGTATGTAAATTATGTTTATGAAAATTTATGATTATTCAGATTAAGTCCTGCATATGTAATGTTAAGATTTTTTTACTTTATTTTTCTGAGAACTTGATTTACTAAAAGGTAAATAAATCACACTAGGATATAAATATATCATTATTATTTTAAAAGGTATGCCCCAGTCCTCTTCTTACTGTTGGATAAGCTCGTTCTGAAACCACAGTTCCAGACTCTTCTCCTGAGTAAATAAACATATTTTAAAGCAGTGGTAAATATCTGTTTTGTCTGCAACTCCATCTCCAACAAGTAATTTGTTCAACAATTGTCAGTATGAAGTGGATGTCCTTTACATCAGCTCCCTAGATTTTTTCAAGTCCATTGGTGCTTCACAACATTTTTTCAGAGGTTATATTCTAGTCACTTTCTTTATTGTCCATTCAAAACACTTGCTGAGACCTAGGGTGTCAGATTCTATTTTGCCTGTTATTTGACATTCCCTTCTCTTCCCAGGCCATTTAGCTACATATTTCCTATTGGACTATCTGCTTTGGCATTTAGTAAATAAATACCGTAAGTCACTGAGGGTATGGGAAGAAATATTGAGTCATAGATACCATTTTCTCTTAGGGAATTTTCCTCTGAAGGCTTGCAAGTGTGGTATAGTTCAGTGTAGTGCTACCAGCTTCTGTTCTAAGGACACAGCTAATTGGGTTCCTAATCCAAGATAATTTAAACAGATTATTTAACCTTTTTATGTTAGTGTTTCTATTTTGTATAGTGGTTATAATAAAACCATTTACTACTTAAGATTAAGATCCTCATAGATCTGAAGAAATATTGTACTAGAATGCTTAGTGAAAAATGTCTGACACATAATAAATATTCCATACATTTTGGCCTTTGCTCTCATTGTTATTTTTACCATCAGCTCTCTCAACCTTGAAACCTGGCTCAGCCCCTGTGGAACTGTAGTATATCACCCCTGTCCCAAAACGAAGACCTAGAATATTTACCCTTACATGGTTCCTATATCCGAGGTCCCAGAAAGGTAGAAGGGGGAAATGTCACAATAATATTCAAAATATCTGAAAGCAAACTGTTATTGTTTTAGTGTGAGAATAGAGCTTCATAGAATTTGACATTGTATTTCCCTAAAATATTAAACTTGTATATTCTCAACAGTTATATTATAAATATTTATTCAGGTATACTCAAAATTTATCCATATTAATGATAATTATTTAAATGCTCTTTAGCTGTTCATCACCATATTAATACTAGGAATAATGACAGCTAATTTTAATTGAGTACTTCCAAACTGTGGCCCAGTTACAGTAAAATAAACACTATTAGATACACTCCATCAATTATTACAGCAAGTCTATGAAACATACTGTATTACTAAGCCAGTATTAGAAATGAAAAACTCATGGGAAGGATATATATAAAACTTGCTCAAAGTTACCCAGCTAATAAATGGCTAGGACACAATTAAACACCTATGTAGTTTTCTTTCCTGAGCTGAAATCCTAAATCCTTGGCTGTATGGCCCCTCATTCAAAAGCCCTAAATTGGCTAAAATTTATATAACAGAAAATTCACAGAATCATTTCCTTCTACTTTTCCACTACCAGGGCTGTTAACAGTCCCAAGTAAAAGGGCAAAATTTTTTCTACTTGAGATAAGAAAAATACAGAGTGTGACAGGTGTTCCACCAATATAAAAACACTTTACCAGAAAAACTGAGAAGGGGGCTGTTAACCTTCGGGGAAATGTGGGTCTTCAGTGGATTCTTGCTAGAAACATAAAAACGTAGAGAGAAGATTTTCATTTAAAAGCCTCCTCCCTTCAGCAAAGTATATTCTGATTCCATTATTGTGTTAGGCTCCTATATAGTTATAAGTAACCCCATGTGGTTTTAGAATTCTTAAATATTCACACACATAGTCATCTGAAGAATGAATAAATCCATGAATGACTAAACCAAGTTTATTCCTATATCATTTTCAATATCCTTAAATTATGCTTACATCCTTAAATCGGTTGCCTCATTCTCAAAGCACATAGTCTGTAACTCGTAAACACCTGTCGGCCGGGCACGGTGGCTCACGCCTGTAATCCCAGCACTTTGGGAGGCCAAGGCGGGCATATCACCTGAGTTCGGGAGTTTGCGAACAGCCTGACCACCATGGAGAAACCCCGTCTCTACTAAAAATACAAAAAATGAGCCGGGCGCGGTGGTGCATGCCTGTAATCCCAGCTACTTGGGAGGCTGAGGTAGGAGAATCACTTGAACTCAGGAGGTGGAGGCTGCGGTGAGCCAAGATCATGCCAGCCTGGGCAACAATAGCAAAACTGTGTATCACAAAACAACAACAACAACAACAACAACAACAACAACCAAAAAAATATATATATATAAAATTCATTTAGTACGGAAGAGTGTGAGGAAACAGAAAGTTAAAAAAAAAAATTGAAAGACCAGCAATAATCTCACTTTTTCAAGAATTTGTTAGCTCTTTCTGAGCTCCACTTAACAGTTACTTTCCCATTCTTCCCTGCACACCGTCAACACATAAGGACTCAAATTAAGATGATGTATATGTTTACACTCCAAAATTTTTAAAGAAAAAGGAGAGAGAGAGAAAAAAGTAAAAGAAAAGAAACCCAAAAGGGAAAATATAGCTAAGGTGAACTGGTGAGTTTCTACTCAGAATCCTTATTATTGAGCATGATGTATTTTGTTTTCTTAATTTATGTATAATGAAAATGGAAGAGAAGAATTATAAATCATAGTTCATTTTTATGATCAGTACATAAATAAAATTTGAGTCTTTCTTGGCATTCATTACTTTACCTTAAAAACACAAGAGTATTTACTTTTTGTGTGGCAAAGAAGGCCTAATGGGGAACCTTGACCTTCACCTCAACTTGACAGTAAAAAAGAGCTGCTTCCTTCCCCTTTTGCTTGCCATGTGTCTGAAAAAGACTAGTAGCAAGAATATATAAAGAACTTTCAAAACTTAGGAGTGAACAAAGTCAAATTAGAAAGTGGGCAAAAGACATGAATATACATTTCACTGAAAAGAATATATGTTTGGAAAATCAGAGCATGAAAAGATGTCAACATCATTAGCCATTAGGGAATGAAAAATTAAAACCCCAATGGGATTTCAATATATACCCAATGGAATAGTTACAATAAAAAATAATGATAATACTGAGTGCTAGCAAGGCTGCAAAGAAACTACATAACTGCTGCATGGTTGATGGGAATGTAAAATAACAAAGCCATTCTCTATAACAATTTGATACTTTCTTTAAAAAGCAAACAAAGAGTTTAACAGGCAATGACATTATGATGCAGTAATTTCACTCCTGGGCATTTACAGCAGGGTAATTTTTAAAAACCACGTTAATTCAAAAACTTTATACAAATATTCAGAACAGCTTTATTTTTAATAACCCCAAACTGGAAACAACCCAGACATTTTTGAAGGAGTGAATAAGTTTAAACAAAATGTATTACATTCATGCAATGAAGCACTACTTAGCAACAAAAAGAAACAAGTTATTGATATAGACAACAACCTCCATAAATCTTCAGAGAATTATGCTGAGTAAATAAATCTAACCACAAAAGATTATATGATATAGAATTTCCCTTGTAGAACATTACTGAAGTGATAAAATTATGAGAATGGAGGAAAGATTAGTGGTTATCAAGGGTTAAAGATGAGGTGAAAGAGGAAAATAGATGTGGCTAGGAAAGAACAACATGAGGGATTCCATGGTAATGGAAATATTCTGTATGTTGACTATATCAATCTCCACATATTGCTTATGATATTGTACTATACTTTTGCCAGATGTTACCACTGGGAGAACTGAGATAAGGTTACAAGAGATCTCTCTATATTATTTCTTATAACTGTAAGTAAATCTACAATTATATCAAAATTTAAAAGTTATTTTAAAAAGAGAGTTCTTAAATTAATAATTCATTCTCCCAACCTTAGAAATTAGAAAAGGAAGACTAAACTGAGCACAAAGCAAGAAAAACGAAGAAATAATACAGATTAGAGCAGAAATCAATGAAATAGAAAATAAAACAAAAAACAATAAAGAAATTTAAAGATCCAAAGTTTGAATCTTTGCAAAGATAAACAAAATTGAGAAATATTTAGATGATGAATAATAAAAAATGCCGGGCACAGTGGCTTACGCCTGTAATCCCAACACTTTGGGAGGCTGAGGTGGGTGGATCACTTGAGGCCAGGAGTTTGTGACTAGCCTGGCCAACATGCGGAAACCCCATCTCTACTAAAAATACAAAAATTAGCCAGGCATGGTGGCGAGTGCTTGTAATCCCAGCTACTTGGGAGGCTGAGGCAGAATTACTTGAACCCAGGAGGTGGAGGTTACAGTGAACCCAGATCCTGCCATTGCACTCCAGCCTGGATGACAGCAGCGAAACTCTGTCTCAAAAAAGAAAAAAAAAGAAAGAAAAAAGAGATAATGTGCTGACTACCAAAATCAGGAACAAAGGTTACTACTACCAATCCTCCCCCATCCCATCCAAATATATTAATTATAAGGGAAATACTATGAAACACTTTTGATCACAAATTATACAACTTATATTTAAGGTAGAAAGTCTTAAAAACATATAAATTACCACAGCTGAAACAAAAATGAATAGAAAATCTGAATAAATATATCGAATTAGCAATTAAAAGTCTTTCATAAGGAAATATACAGGACTTCACTGGTAAGTTATTTCACATATTCAATGAAGAAATGATACACATACTCAGAAAATAGAAAAAGAGAGAAACTTCCCAATTCATGTTATAAGGCCTATATTCAAAGGCAAAAATAAAAAAAGAAAGAAAAAGAAATTTAAAAAATAAAAATTAAAATTAAATTACAGATCAATATACCTCACAGATATAGACACAAAAATCTCCAATAAAATATTATCAAACTAAATTCAACCATATATAAAAATGATTGTACTCCATGACTAAGTGAAATTAATCCCAGAAATGCAAGATTGTTTTTGTATTTTAAATATAAAATGTAATGTAATATACTGTGTTATAAAATAAAGAACTAAAATGAAATGATTATCTCAATGATGCAGGAAAAGGATTTGACAGAATCTAACATGAATTAATAAAAAAAAATAGAATGGAAATTCTTCAACCTGATAGAGGACATCAACAACAACAACAACCAAAAACACTACATTTTACAGCAATATCTAATGATGAAAGATTGGATATTTGCCCCTCAAAATTGGCGACGTGCCAAAGATGTCTATAATGTTTACTCACTAATTCTATCCAATATTGCACTGGAAGTTATAGCCAATACAATGAAGAATACATTGATAAAGCCCTCAGGAAATGGAAGTGGCTGGGCTCAATAGCTCAGGCCTGTAATCCCAGTGCCTTCGGAGGCCAAGTCAGGAGGCTTACTTGAGGCTAGGAGTTCAGATCCAGCCTGGGCAACAAAGACAAATCCTCTTCTCTATGAATTTATTCATTTTTTTAAATTAGCCAAGCATGGTGGCATTCACCTCTCCGTCTTAGGTACTCAGGACGTTGAGGCAAGAGGATTGTTTGAGCCCAGGAGTTCGAGGTTGCAGTGAGCTATCATTGCAAGTTACTGCACTCCAGCCTGGTAGATAGAGAAAGACACTTTATCTCTTAAAAAAATTAAGAAAATAATTATATTCACAATACTATACAAATAAACCCTTGGAAATAAATTTAGCAAAATGTGTGTAAGGACTGTATGCTGAAAACTAATAATCTAAGCAAATGGAAAATCATTCCATGCTCATGGATTGGGAGACCTACTATTGCTTTTCTAGTAATTCTCCCATCATAGATCTATAGATTTAATACTATTGTTACCATACATTAGCCATATTATATGAACATAAATATTTCATTTGTGAGCCTCATATCTAATTATTTGTTATTTACATATAAAATAATTATTTTAATATGAGCTCTTTGAAAAGCACTTTAAAAATGGTTCCCTGAGACCTTGGCTTTCAAGTTCTACTTAAACTATTCAGTATGAACTAGAAAATTTAGTAAACAAAGTGTCATCTTCTGCCTCATTATCTTTTTATTTGGAAAACTATGTTAGACTCCAAGGTATTCTCTCTTTACTTCAATGTAACAGAAGTAACCAGTTTAATTGTTCAGAACCTGACATTTATTTAATCATGTCTTCTTAGTGTTCAGGTTTATTGTCTTCAATGACTGGATGCCAGTCTGCTTCCTTTTTGACTTTCCTAGGCTCGGATTCATCAGATTCTCTACTTGTGCCATTTGGAATGGAAAGACCCTCCCACAGGGTAGAGGTTATTCATTCTCTCTCTCTCTCTCTCTCTCTCCACCACAATTTTTGCCAAGAGCAAGTCAGGTTTTTGGTCAAGCTAAATTTTTACTGCATGCTTTCCTTCAACTAAGTGTGAAAGAAATCTATTAAATAATATTTAATTTGGTCTCAAATGTGAACCATACTCTCCAACCTAGTTTTTCTACCAAATAACCATGAACTGAAATTTACTTCATAGTTTTGACCTTCATAAATTGTTTGTTTCCCCATTTATCTTCAATTCTTATATGTTTTGAAATTATTGATATCAACTCTGGAGAAAAGAGTAAGTCTTACAACCGGCATAACAACAGGTACAATTAAAGAAGTATGTTCCTTAACATGAGAAGAATGTTAACCCATTTCAATCAAAAGTATTTCATTTTTCCCATGAGTAACACTATGCTGTGCATTGTGGAGTTTACAGAGGAGGTGAGATATGGTCCTGACTTCGTGGTATACAATTTCATTTGATAGGGCAAGGCATATGTGGTATAATAAAGATATAGATGTTACTGACGTACATGAGAGCCTTGTGGGCTGAGTTCCCTTATAGAAGTGGAGTCTGTGCAATCTTGAAAATGGGTAGCATCTGGATAAGAAAAGAGTCAATCAAGTAAGAGAAATGCCCCAAAATTGCTTCTATGATAGTAGAACAGCTTCTTTCAGAAAAAGCTACATAGACATTTAAATTTAAAATTATAGCATCTTACAAACAAATATATAAATACCATTTACTTTTATGTCTAATACATTTAGGGAAAGTATCTAAGTCAATGTTAAAAATTCTATTTCAAATCCTCGCATGCATCTCCTTTCACTAATTAAATAATAGTGAACTGTGTTTTGAAATCATCAGACACTTCAAAATTAGTTTTCTTTTCAAATAATGCAACGTAGTAAAATGGTGGACTTGCAAAGTTCTTATTTTACTGTGATTCTTCTATGAAAATAATGTAGGACTATTTAAAATTTTTCCTTAAACTTTCCACAAGTGTAAAGTAGGTAAAACACCACAAGCAATATTTGCTGAATTATTACAATATATTATATGTCTTTTACTTAATATGAGTTATACACTGAGAACTTTTTTTTTCACAATAATTCTCCGAGATGAAGATAAAGTGGATGAAAAGTTGAAGTAAAGATGTATTCACCCTACAAGACTTAATAGTGAGTCTATGCTTAACTCAAGATTGCACTGGCCAAGGGATTAAAGAGGCAGAGGAGAAACTGCTTCCAGCGTTGTTTCCCAATAAATCAATAAAACTTGTCAGGTGTTTTCATCCAAGGAGAGAGTAACACTAACCTCTATCTTCATGTATACATTTTTTCCAGGCTTTTGGAGCTTGTCAATGATTCCTAAACTTGGCTTTATATTAGATTCACCTGGAGACCCATTACAATCCCAATGTCACCAGGCATGGTGGCTCAAGCCTGTAATTCAAGCTACACGAGAGGCTGAGGCAGAAGCATCCCTCAAGCCCAGGAGTTTGCGGCTGCAGTGAGCTATGATCATGCCACTGTACACTAGCCCAGGTGACAAAGTGAGACCCTGTCCCCTTCTCCCCAAAAATCCTGATGTCCAGGTTATCAAATTAGAATTTTTGAAGGTAGGATTGAGGCAGTGCTACTAAAAGCAATGACAAAAAGAAGCAAGCAAGCAAACCACTTGATGATAATATGGAACAAAGGTTGAGAACCACCAGATGGAAAAAGAAAACAAATTCATTAATACTGATCGTCTATTACCTTTAAATAACCTAGATCTCAAGAGATCCCAATATACAAAAGCTTTGGCTAGGACCTGAGAATCTATTATAATTAGCATTTTCATTAATCTTAATATCTCACTCATATCATGCACAAAATTCAATGTAAGATGGATCACAGACCCAAATATAAATGCTAAAGCTTCTAGAAGAATACTTTGAGGAACATCATAATGATCTTGAGTGAGATAAATAATGATTTTTTTTCGAGAGCACAAAATGTATTAAACATAAAAATAAAAATTGTTAATGTTTTTACTATATTAAACTTATATTCATTTATTCAAAAAAACCTCATTACATATATAAGGAACTCCTAACAACAGAAAAAAATAACTTAAAAAGGGAGGCAAAATGATTGAATAAATTTTCTTCAAAGACATACAAATAGCCAAAAGGTATATGAAAAGATGTTCAACGTCACTAATGATCAAAGAGATACAAATAAAAACCAAAATATGATATCACTTACCACTTATTAGGAGGGGTAATTTGGAATTTCCATTCCAAAAGAATGGAAATCAGGATGTGGTAGAGTTACCTGCATACCCATGTTCTTTGCAGCATTACTCACAAAACAACAAAATCTGAAAACTTAAATGTCCATCAGCACATAAATGAATAAAGAAAATGTGGCGTATAAATACAATGGAATATTTTCAGCTTTAAGAAGCAAGGACATTCTGCCATCTGCAAGAACATGAATGAACCTGGAGGATATCATGCTAAGCGTGATAAGCCAGTCACAGAAGGATAAATTCTGCATGATTTCACACATATGAGCTTTCTAAAATAGTCAAACTCATAGAAATAGAGAATAGAATGGTTAGGGGAAGGAGGAAGAAGGGTTGCTGTTCAACAGGTATAAAGTTTCAGTTGTGTAAGTTGCGTAAGTTCTAAAGATTTTCTGTGCAACATCACGCCTATACTTAACGGTGCTATAGTGTACATTTAAAACCTTACTAAGAGGATAGATCACAAGTTATGTTTTTACCTCAATGAAAAATGAATAGAAATGTCACAGTGAGATAACACATTTGAAATACACAGACCTGACAAAATATTTCTATGGAAAGTAAATAAATCCTACAAATTGTTATGCAGAAGATACATCACTCAATTAGAAGTGGGCAAAAGACTTGAACGGTCAGTTCATAAAAGAAGACAGCCAAATGGGGAATCAGGAAAAGAAAATGTGCTGAACATAGTTGGTCATCAGAAAAAATGAAAATAAAAACCTCAATGAGATGTCATTACATATCCAAGAGAACTGGTAAAATTAAAATGGCTAAATACCTGGAGACCGATATGGGAGGATAGCTTGAGCCCAGGAGTTCAAGGCTGCAGTGAGCTATGATTGTGCCACTCCACTCCAGCCTGTGTGATGGAGCAAGACCCCATCTCTTAAGAAAAAAAATTGGGGACTGAATATAGCAAGTGTTGAAAAGGCTATGAAACAAAGAAAATCTCATACATTCGTGGTGGGAGAGTAAATTTACAGCTATATTTTAAAGAAGTTTGGCAATTTCTTATAAAGTTAAACTGCACAAATACCCAATGACATCGTGATTCAATTTATAGGTATATACCAAAAATAAATGAGGGTGTGTATTCACACAATAGAGACAGATATAAAATTATTCATGGCAGGTTTTTTTTGTAGGCAAAAACTGGATGGAACATCTATAAAGTGGAGAAGAGATAAACAAATTATAATATTGACTTACAGAGTAATAATACATAGCAATAGAAAATAAAATATTGACACATAAAACAGCATAGATAAATCTCCAAAACATCATGTTGAGTAAAATAGGTCAGATACAAAAGTGTAAAATCTGTATGATTCCAGACAAATTTGACCAGTGGTTGTTACTGACTGGAATAAAGCACCAGAACATTTTCTGTGGTAGTGAAACTGTTCCTTACCTTAACATGGCTGGTGTGAATATGAGTGCAGAAATACATAAAGTTAAGGTATACATCTTAAATTTATTCATTTTATGAAATATAAATTTAGTCTTGGTAATGCACTTCCAAAATTTTTTATTAAGGCTATAATTAATTTTATATTTTTATTTATAAAAATGAGTGATATATCACATTATATTTGAATATTTTTCTAATAGAAGACCTTATGGCTTAAAATTAAGTATTCTCTTTAATAATTATCATAAATTTATAATTTAATAAGTGATTTATAACTGCACAATAACATAACAACAATTTTATGCTTAGGTAAAATTGTCTTTATTTTAAATTTAAGTAGTACAGCAACTTTACATGGCTTACCTAAACCACACAGTTATTAAGTGATATAATTGGGACTCTAATCCGGGGCTGTTTCTAAGTAATATGTTCATTTCTCTTTGAATTTATAACTTGAATACATCTTTTTAAAAAATTATTAATTTTTAAAATTTAATTAATTAGTTAAGATACTCTCAATTTATTGAAGATTATGTGGTTCTTGTAACACTAGATGGGTTAAAGTCATACTTTTGACTTCTATTATTTATGTGATTTTATGTGATCTTGGCCAGTCAGCCTTTTTTTGGTAAAAGGGGAATGATAATATCTCTCAAGAGTATTGCAAGATTCAAATGAAATTAAATGTGTTGAAAGCTTCTGTAAGAAATGTACACAGTACACAGAAGAATCTCCATTTTTATAATTTCTCAATTTTCCCTTTACATTTTCATTCTTACTGTCATCTGTCTCTCACTGATGCTGCTGCTTCTCATGTAGCCCCCCAAGTGCAGACTAGTTCTCACCCTCAGCGCTCTAACCACTGCCTCTAGAAGTAGAATAAGTGTCCTCTTGCAGAATACTTCTACTTCCTTCTCCTCAAACCCCTCCAGCTTGGAATCTCATACCATTTGATTATATTGATCACTCTCCCAATGTTTAGTCACTTTCCCTCATTCTTTGAAGTCTTTACAACCTGACTTACTGCCATTATTTTGATATCTCATTTAAATTACTTATCTTCTTTGACATTTGACCTCGTCATTTCCAACGTACTTGCTATCTTCAGTATCTAGCTATTCAATCTCATGATCTCAGCTCAAACCATGTTATTACTCCTAATTGCAAATTTTTACAATCTAACTTTTAAGTTTCCTGCCTTCTGAACATTAACTTCTATCTTTCTAGTTCATTCCATTTACTACAACTTCAAAAATACTGTGACTCATCCTGGATCTACAATCTCATACAATATACAATACAGTCCTTATACAATTCTCAATCCAATAATCTCCACACATCCTTTACTTCTCAGCAAACCTACCTTCAAAACATTTAAATAATTTTTACTACTGCTGTTATCCACCCAGGCCTAGCCAACATCATGTCTCATCTGAATTTTTATCCCCCTTCCTGCTTCTGCATTAGCCCTCACCTTCAGTCTATTCTCAATACCCAAGCAAGAATATAACATAATATCATAGAGATCATGCCACTCTGCTCACTCACTTTTAAGGACTTCTAATTCCACTCTCAGTCATTATTGTACAGATTATACAGCTCTACTCATGCTCCCCACCAGGCACACCTCTTTGATCACAGCCCTGTTGCTCTTCCCCTTGTGCCTCTGTTCCATCTTTACTGCACCCAACACTTCCTGGTGCTCTTTGGGCAGCCTGGGAATTGTCTCTGTGTTAGTCCATTCGAGCAGCTATAACAAAATACCATAGACTAAGTAGCTTATAAATGACAGAAATTTATTTTTCACAATTCTGGAAGCTAAGTCCCAGATCAAAGTGCTGACATATTCCGTATATGATGAGGCCCTATTTCCTAGTTCATAGACCCATCTTATTCTTCATATGGTGGAGTCATCATATGGTGGAAGGGACAAACCAATCCCCTCAGGCATCCTTTATAAAGGCACCAATCTCCTTCATGAAGGCTCTGTATTCATGACATAATCACCTTCCAAAGACCTTAACTTTTAATAGTATCATACTGGAATTAGACTTCAACGTATGAATTTGGGGGGGTTGTCAACATTCAGACCATAGCACTGTCACGTTAGATGCTTTGTACATGGTTTCTCTGACTGAAAACACCTGTCTTCAAATTCCCCCCTGGATTGTTTCCTTACCTCCTGGATTAGTTCCTTCTCATGCCGCTAATAAAAACATATCCTAGACTGGGTAATTTATAAAGGAAAGAAGTTTAATTGAGTCACAGTTCTGCACAGCTGGTGAGACCTCAGGAAACTTACAATCATGGTGGAAGGGGAAGCAATACATCCTTCTTCACATGGTGGCAGCAAGGAGAAGTGCCAAGCAAAATGGGGGAAAAAACCCTGATAAAACCCTCAGAGAACATGAGAACTCACTCATATCACAAGAACAGCAGCATGGGGGTAACTGCCCCCATGATTCAATTGTCTCCCACCAGGTCCCTCCCATGACACATTAAGGGATTACGGGAACTACAATTCAAGCTTTAGATTTAGTGGGGGACCCAGTCAAACCACATCACCTTCTTCAAGTCTTTCACTCAAATGCTACTGTCTCTGTCATGCCTTCCTTATTTCCCTACTTAAAATTGTATCTCCTTCTCGTGTTCTTTATTTGCTTTGTCTGCTTTACTTTCCTCCATAGCACTTAGCAACACTTAACATATTATATAGTTTAATTTTTTATGTTATTATATATCTCCTTCCAAGAGAATGTAAGCTCCAAAAAGGCATATATTTTTTTCTTTCCTTTTTTTCACAGGAAAAAAGGAAAGGCCCTGTGTTATATCCACAGGGCCTACAACAGAATGTGGTACAAGGTAGGAGCTTAATGTGAATGAATGAATGTTAGTCTTATTACCTTTTAAGTTTACCTAATTTTCTAATTTTCTACATTTTCTACCTTCCTCCGTCCTTTCCACCTTCCTACCTCCTTTGGGATGTGCATACAGAAAGCAGCAACATTAAGGTAAGAAAGTTTAACCTTTGGATTAATATTAAAACCTTGAGACAGTTTTGCTTTTCTGTTGCCTTTAGCAAAACCACATTCCTGCTGCTGTCAGTTATGACGCACTGAGAAATCTTCAGAGACCTAAACTTTTTCCACAAGATGACTGGAGAAAAATAAATCACCAAATATCATAAAGATACTTGCATGTTTTGTAAGTGATTAATGACTGCTTTCTCATAACAGTAAAAACTATTTTGTTTTGTATGAGAGGATTTTTCACTCTAACTTTTAAAAAAATCATTACATACAAATATATCACATCAAACCCAAAAGCCATTGCTAGCACACTGGTTCCTGTCTTAATATTAAGTATGAGACAAAAGGCCTTTATCTTCCAGAAAGTTGTTTATAACATGCCAAATATGTGAACACCCAATAGTCAAAGGACATTATCTCTGTGATGCAATTTTGAAAGTTGGTAAAATAATTTTTTATCAATTTCATCCTACAAGCACATAATTTAAACCATTCTTTTAAAGTGGATTTTAGAAGATTGGAAGTTTTAGAAGTCAGTCCCTCCACAAAAACTGCCATTAAACTGCAAAAAATAAGAATTAACCTTTTTGGAACTCTGGATCCTAATCAGATAAATAACAACCATTAGTAGAGTGCTTGATGCTATTGGTCTTTAGTAAGAAAGTGGCTGCATGCACACGCCAGATAACATCACTCATTCTTATTCACAAGAGTCAAAAAGTGAAAACAAACCTGTATGTGTGGATAAACAAAATGTGGCATGTACATACAAGGGAATATTATTTAGCCATAAAAAGGGAATGATGTTCTGATACATGTTTACAACATGGATAAACCTTGAAAACATTATGCTAAATAAAATAAGCCAGACACAAAAGGACAAACAGTATATGATTCTACTTATATGAAAGATCATGAATAGTCAAATTCATGTAGAGGGAATGCAGATTGCATGTTTCCAGAGCATGGAGGCTGGGGCAAGGGGAATGAAGAATTAGTGCTTAATGGTACAGAACTTCTGTTTGATGTGATACAAAAGTTATGAAAACAGTGTTAATTATACAACATTGTGAATGTATTCAATATCACTGAGTTTTAGAATTGAAAATGATTAAATGGTACCTTTTATGTTATGTATATTTACCACTGGGTAATAAAATTGTATTAATGTAGGTGAGGCAATTTTAACAGTTGTACCACTCTGGAGGAGGATATGATAATGAAGGAGGCCATGCATGTGGAGGCAGGATATATTACATATATAATATATATTTATAATATATATAATTATATATATATTATATATACACATTATGTCAGGGTGTGTGTATATATATATTTTATATATATAAAAAAACATACACCCTGCCTCCACATACATGTAAGACATATATAGTAATATATGGTATATTA
Source organism: Homo sapiens (assembly GCF_000001405.40). Lineage (NCBI taxonomy): Eukaryota > Metazoa > Chordata > Mammalia > Primates > Hominidae > Homo > Homo sapiens. The sequence continues at coordinate 46,196,863 of NC_000010.11, forward strand.
TCATATATAATATATATAACTATATATATATATATATGGTAAATCTCTATCTTCCTCTTAATTTTTCTGTGAAACTGAAACTGCCCTAAAAAATTCAAGTCCTACAAAAATGAAAGTGAATTAAAGTACTTTTTCTGGAACAAATAAACTTAGCATAAATAGTTAAAATATTAAGAGTTGTAATTAAGGGAAATTTCCGCTCAATGTGACTTCAACAGTTTAAAAAACGTATTACTACAATAAGACCACGGAGAGAGGAATTGGGAGACCCAGAATTGATTGGGTCAGAAATTGAAAATGATATTATCAGTGACCCAGGTTTGAATGTCTCTCTTCACAGCATTGACTTCACTAATGGATGTGACCTGGTTGGCAGCAGTAGCTTGGACAACATGCTTGTTTGCAGTGGGTGGTAGAGAGAGGCAGGTTTTGCTTTCCCAGAAACCCTGAAAAAGGTCATCAAACCTAAATTTCCTTAGCCTTCTTCCATGAGCAAATCACTAGCAGATGATTGCTAGCAAGGTGTTACTATTACAATGAACCCCTAAGTATCATAGAAAGAGTTAGTTTGGGGAAATATCCTCTCCACCACAATCTTAGTCATTTAAGTCAATTTAACAATATATTGAAATATTTTTCTTAGAAGTTTAAAGTTCCATTAAAGAGTAACGATTACAGAAATTATAGGTAGCCTTTAGTTCCACAAGTGACATCTCAAGAGGAAGATGATTCATCAATTTCAAACTTTCCTTGCAAGTAATACTGGATGAAAATTAACTTGGCAAACATAATTAATAATCATGGGTTATTAATTACTTCCGCAAGGTGGGTGTGCTGATTTTAAAAGGCTTGAATAAAACATAAATTTCCTTAATTTGATACTGTAAATGGAGTAATTTGGTGATGTAAATGGAAATATTTAAGTGATTTTTGCGTCAGATCTTACAACTTAAAATATTTTTCTAAAATTAGTTTTTGTACCATCTCTCCAGCATGTTCCAGCCTATATCAGTCAGTCCAGGCTTCTATAACAAAATATTATGGACTGAATGGCTTACACAACAGACATTTCTTACAATTGTAGAAGCTGGAAAGTGCAAGATTAAGGTACTAGCAAATTTGTTTCCTGGTAAGGGTCTTCTTCCCGGTTTGCTGTATCCTCAAACAGCAGATAGAGAAAGAGAGAGAGAGAGCACTCTATAGACTCTCTTCCTGTTCTTATAAGGACACTAATTCCATTGAAGAGGGCCCTACACTCATGACTTTGTCTAAACCTAATTAATTCTCAAAGGCCTCACTTCCCAATACTGTCACATTGTGGGGCAGGGCTTTAACATATGAAATTTGAAGGAAAAGGAATATTCAGTCTAGAACAAAGCCCCATAAATTTCAAAAAGCTGTGGGACAGGAGGGAATGGGGATGGTATTCAATAGTACCACATCCAAGCAAGTCTTGTGTGGTTAAAACAAATCAATACAGTAACATGAAATTTTACACAGAAACCTATCTAATTATAAATTGTATGCTTACCATAATCAACACTGTTATACATTGTTTTAAAAATACTTAATAATGTTTTTTGTTTAACCAAATAATAGAGGCATTAACTAGTTTCCCAGTGCTGCCAAAAGAAATTGCTACAAAATTTGTGGCTTAAAATAGTAAAACAAACAAACAAACAAACAAAAAATTCTCTCTCAATTATAGGAGGCCAGAAGACCAAAATCAAGGTGGAGGCAGAGGCATACTTCCTCTGATGCCTCTAGGGAAGAATCCTTTCTTGCCTCTTCTAGCTTCTGGTGGCTCCTGGCACTCCTTGGCTTGTGACAGCATAACTCTAACCTTTGTCTCTATCTTCACATGACCTTGCTTGTGTTTCTGTGTCCCAACTACCCATGACTCACTCTAAATTCAGATGATCTCACCCTGAGTTCTTTAACTTTATTATATCTGTAAAGCTCCTATTTCAAAATAAGGTGACATTTACAGGTACTGGAATGGGAGAGGGTCTAGGACACAGACACTCCCTTATGAGGATACTACATGACCCATTACAAGGCACAAAGTAATCACCATAGGCAAACCGCTAGTGAGAGCTCACTCCAGTTCGGAATATATTCATGTTTCTATGTAAGAGAAAAATTCATCCTTGCTTCAGTTCATCTTGGCATCAGTACAAGGGTGGGATTCAGAGACATATAAGTGTGGAATACCAGATCCCACCACACTTAAAAAGCTGGCATACTAAGTTCATAAACAATGTAGAGTGTGAAGTTGAGTTGAAAATGCTTATGCCATACAGTTTATGTATCTTATAATAGCCTTAATCACACTTCCAGTAATGTTCTCCACCACTGGATGCTAAAAAAATAAAGTTAGTTAAAGAATTAGATAGTATAAAAAATATATATACCTCTTTGAGTGGAAAAATGCTGTCAGCACATTTTGTTATTTTATTCCATTGTATAAAGTCTCACTAGTGCCCTCTTCATAAATGTATTGAAGGTTTGGCTAAATTGTATCAAATTTGTGATTAAATACAAATGTGAATACTATAAAATATTACAAAGGACAATCTGTATACTATGCTATGCCAGTTTTACAATTTTACAATGACTTACAGATGCCATAAATATTTACTTTAAGGGAGTAAAATAAGTTATAAAATCATATTTAAGGACACCTAAATCCTTGAATAAGTTTAAAATGGTATTATTATTTACATATGAAGTCAGCTGACTATTGAAAGCTTATTTTTCAATAACAGAAATATATGCATTATCTAAAACACATATTCCAATATTTTCAAGAAACAAAATACTGAATTAAATCATCTGTATTTAAATGTTTATCTATTTTCGTTATAAATGTCCATGAAAATGCTTAAAATTGGTTTATTTGATCTAAAAAGTTAATATGCAATTTTTATTTTTAATATATCATTTTTCCCATTTATTCTTTTCTAAATAACACGTTCATCCAAAGTAGATGACTGAAGAAACAAAATGCTGTTTTCTTTATGAACTTGTAATACATTTCAAAAATAATTAAGATATTGTTCAAGGTGTTGAAGTGTACAATATAACAAATTGCATTTGCAGTTGAATAGTAGCAGAGTAGAAGCTGAAAAAATAAATCATGTATCAAAGTAGCTTAAAACAGATGATAGCAGAGCAAAGAGTTTCCTGCCAACGCCCTCTAAACATCGGTTCTTTTAGGCTTTTGTGCTGGTATTAGGTTTCAGTTATAGACAAGACATATATATCTGACCTTTTCCTTTCCTTTTCTACACCTTGGAGTCAAAGTCTCCTATAAAAGGACATTTGCAGCAAGTATTTTCAGCTGGAGTAGGAGGAAAGGGCAGGAGTAGGAGAGCGTTATGATCACCTCTTGCCAAAGCAGTTTCACTTGATTTGCAACTGGTGTTTGGTAAAGAATTTTGCTATGCAAAAATAGTGTCTTAATTGGATTATTTTAAGACAAAGTATGCATTTTTCATGTCGTACTAGTATTTTATTAATAAGGCTAGGGAAACCTACTAAATCCCTATACTAAAGTGAATTTGATTCTCTCCATAGAAACTTAAATCCTCAGGGTGATACAACTCAGTCCTTCTACTGCAGCAGCTCTTTTATAAATGCCTCCCAAAGCTCCAAGAAGGAACAAAGAATGTGACCAGTAAGCTCACACCATGAGTCTATATTGCAGAATATAGACTTTGTTCAACAAAACTGCAGATGCTCTGTTGAATCCACTGGAGATTGTCCTGATACTAAGGACAAGTATGTAAGTTAATGATTTTATTAATTTTAACATTTTTAAATGTTTTCCTTTGGGGAATTCTAATTTATATATCAATATTCAGGTAATATTTGCTGAAAACACAAACTCTGAGAATCAAAATGATCTGCATTCACATTCTCATTTTCTATTATAACATAGAGACAACTACTTTATTATCTTTTTAGAAACTTTCGCAACTACTTTAGTTTCTTCCTAATTTTATAAATTAATCTATCTCAAAAAACTTTGCTCAAAACAGTTAGTAATAGCTATCAACTTCAGAAAAAGTGAAACTTTAGGCCGGGCGGGGTGGCTCACGCCTGTAATCCCAGCACTTTGGGAGGCTGAGGCAGGCGGATCACGAGGTCAGGTGATCGAGACCATCCTGGCTAACATGGTGAAACCCCATCTCTACTAAAAATACAAAAAATAACCCTGTCTCTACAAAAAATTAGCCTGGCGTGGTGGCGGGCGCCTGTAGTCCCAGCTACTCGGGAGGCTGAGGCAGCAGAATGGCGTGAACCCGGGAGGCGGAGCTTGCAGTGAGCTGAGATCGCGCCACTGCAGTCCGGCCTGGGCGAAAGAGCGAGACTCCGTCTCAAAAAAAAAAAAAGAAAAAGAAAAGAAAAAGAAAAAGAAAAAAAGAAAGAAAAAAAACTTTAAAGATAACTTTTAGAAGGAAAATGAAATACAGAAATAATACATCTCATTTACACTTAATTAAAAATAATATGAATTGTCACTATTTCCTATGAAAACATCTCATGCCAAGTTCTTTTATTAAGCTTGGATTTTAAATGTTATATTTGAGTTGAAACTGGTAGAATCTTAGTAAAACTATAACAATAAGAAATTTTTATATTATATATGTAATATACAATAATCACATTTAATTCCATTTGTTAGTCTATTCTGATTCTTTAGCAGGTTGATTCATAATTTACCAACTTGGATCAGAAATATTTTCTATTCTTAGCTTTTGCTGTCAGCAGAGATAATAATAATATAGAGCCTGAACAACAAAGGATTGTGTATTGTTTCAATTTAATTAAAGTTGATTCGCTGCTTTAAGAGAGACTCACATTTTATATTTTATATTTTTTAATTAAAAAGAGAATGTAGATATTTGCTTTTCCAAATTTCCCATAAGATAAGAAAAACATATTTTTTCTTAATTACACCCTTGCTAAGTCACGCTAGCTGCCTGACCTTGGACAAAATTCTTAACCTCTTTGTGTCTCATTTTCAGTAACTGTGAATTAAAGATAATAACTGTAGTATATTTCTCAAGGGATTATTGTGGGAATTAAATAAAATAATCCTCTAAAATGCTTAGTACAGATTCTGGAACATAATAAGCAGAAAAAATTAATAACAATTATTATTTTTATTTACTGTATTATGTGACATACTTTTTCTTTATGACCTTCAGGAGAATTTCTACTCATCTTAAAAATGTATATAGATATTGATCTGCAGAGAAATATATCTGTTATTTCAAGGTCTGTGGATTACATAATGGTCAACTCTGATTGATTTACTGATTAAACAAAATTTTAAAACAAAAATAAAAATATTGCAGCTATGTTGGTTTTAACCATTCTAAACTCTGATGAAATTTGCTTTCTGTTTGGTTTGTGACTAGGAAGATAAACATTATTTATTAGGAATAAAAATTTCTGGTGTCTAAAAAATTTCAAGAGGAAAACTGTTAGATTCTATTACAATTAAATCTGTTAAGATTTAATTGCAAATATGTAAATAATGCAAATATATCTTAGGGCACAATTTTTGTTCTCATTAACTTACCCATTTTACATTTTGAGAACAGTAATAGATGAAATACTTGTCAAAGAGAAGATCTAAGATGGTTTAAAGAAAATATTAAATGAAATCAAACTTACTTGTCAAGCTCCATAGCACAACTTACAAGTCATAAATCACACTCTGTATGACAGCTACGGAAGGGATCTGGGTAGTAAAACAAAATGATGGATTTTATCTTTCCTGTTTTTGAGTTGTTTTTTTAAGAAAATCCTTTTCAGTAGATTTGTTAACAGTACATAATGAAAATCCTATAGGCATAGGCCCCCCAAAAAATCACAAGGTATACAACACTTGTGTCATGCATCACCCAGAAAAAGAATCACATACAATCCCACAGCTCTGAAATACAGGAATCCATGATTCTTGAATGCAAACACAACCTACACAGCCTCTCTGTTTCCAAAGACATGCACTGAACCTCCCACATCTCCCAGAATACAAAATACAGAAGCCACATAAACTCAAATACACAAAGAACCACAAACTATTTTTATCAAATACATATAAGTCCACCTCACGAACTCTGAGAACACACATATGAGTGGCAACACCAAATTCTGCGAGTATTTCACTTCACAACAGACACAGAGGACCACTAAGTCTTAATATACCCAAAACCCCTCATATACACACTCGCAAACTACCCATGAATACACACCCCACCCTCCCAGATAAAACCCATACAATGCAAAAAAAACCCCACAAAAACACCAATAATACTCTAATATACGCACACAACTTTCATATACCCATGGGCACATAAAAACTCACAAAAATATCCCCAATCCCTGAGTGTATAAATCCCCCGAAACACTATCCAATCAATATGCTGCATCTCCAGAATACAACCTCCTCACCTCATCCCCTAAACATGCCCAAACACATGTACGAACATCCTAGCATTCTCCAAAGAAATACACTTTAAATACTAACAATCCCGTATTCTATAAATAGACTTAGATAATTCGTCTATCTGCTGATAAATATACACACAAACCAGCATATACACCCAAGATGCATGGAAATATCTCCAGCATATCATTTATAAATACCCATAAAAACACTTCCCAATCCCAAATTATCCCAATCTAGTATGAACCAGCTCCCACATTGCCAAGTACTAACCAATAACCATATCACATACCTCTAATACATATAAATTCAACTCTCCCACTCTCCTGTATAAAAAGAGAACCCCATCTCTCTATCAGACACACACATACTAAATTCCCAGAATATATAACCCTAATAACCACTTACTGCAAAACAGAAGCACATAGCTCCACAAAACCTTCATCTAAACTGCCACGCCCTTAAATGCACACACAAACTCAATACTCATGTAGTTGTCTACATGCCCTAAATATACCCGTGATTAACTAACACGCCACAAATATGCAAACATGCCACCTCATATCCCCAAATACACATACAGTTCCACAATACTGCCCAGCCCAGTTATGACCTTCTTTAATCTGCAATCTCCACACAGACACAACCAACCCACACACGTGAATACATATTAGATTCTCACCAATTAAATACATATCAAATTCCAAACTAAGAATTCATATAAACACATTTTCACATACACAAAACCACCCCCACAAATCTCACACCCTCCAAAATCCAAAATAAATCTTCCTGACATTCTCAAGAACACACTAACCCAACCACCCAAGATAACACACGTGTGTGCAGTAAATTTTAGATACATGTGTAGCCTACAATTTACAAATAATATACCACTACTTTTTATTTGTAAATTCCACATAAGTAAGCGATTCTCATGGAAGCTTTTCTTGACTTTGGCCACACTCTTGCATCCACAACCAACTTGTGCTACCAAGTGAACAAACTATGACTAAAGGCCTGTTCTTCCACTTTGCAGCTGCTCCTATCAGTGACAAATCAGCGTATTAGAACATGTATGCTGGCTGATCATTCTGATCAAGTCAACAAGCTTCACAACTTACTCAATGAGGTCGTCCGTGAGAACTTCACTGTTTTACCAGGACAGGAGCTACTTCTTTGCTGAACTGCATCACGGTTTCAACTGCTGAGGTTTTCTTCAAGCTTTTGCATTGTTTGGAATGTGAAAGGCACGGCTGAGACACACTTCGGCATTCCCACTGCATTGTTACACCTCCCCCATCACTTCAGGTCCAGGTGAGCAAGGGAAAGAAGCGCGGCCTGGGCGTCCCGCAGGGCCCCCGCTAGGAAAGCTATGAACGCTCCCGCCTTGAGCGCAGCCACAGGCCTGCTCTGATCACAATGTGGGGTCGCCCCGCGGACACTGGTGACCAGTGGGAGCATGACCAGGAGGTGATTACCTTCTGATCACCCTTGGCTTTATTTTTAGGTAACACCAAGGACGCCATGATGGCACATGCCTGTGGTCCCAGCTACCCCGGAGGCTGAGGCAGGAGAATTGCTTGAACCGCGGAGGCAGAGGTTGCAGTGAGCCGAGATCACGCCACTGCACTCCAACCTGGGTGACAGAGTGAGACTCCTTAAAAATAAATAAATAAATAATAAATAAACAAATAAATAATTTAAAAAAGTCATTGCTTTATTTTTAAAAAAGTAATAGTTTCAAAATGTATACATGTAAAATCTAACTGGGAATACTTTGTACCTACTTGTAGCCCAAGATTAAGTTTATTCTCAATTACTAGGAGGTTTGCACAATAGAGTACATATTTAATCTGTATGACTAAAAGCCTCATTGTCAATGTGACTGTGTCATCATTATCACATTTGTGAATCTCCTGATTATAACTTTCACAGATGGTCTATCTACAGGGTTCTGGGATAAGAAACTTGCTGTCTGTCTACAGAGGAAGCTGTTTTCACTTCCAGATAGTTCTGAATATTTGAAAGTACTTGCTGATTCAGAGTCAAATTATGTCTTGCTGTAACATCCACAATTTCTGAACTTACATTTGAGATAAACCAAGATTAGACTAAACCATGCCTTCAAGTGACAGACTCTCAAAAATGTGATGCATTTTTTTTCAAAAAAAACTGCACGTCCAGGATACTCTACCTGGAGAAAAACATAGCTCTCATTAACCTTGTCCAGACATTAAACTTATAAGAGAAAATCATTATTTTCCTTGTAGCCAAATTATTCCGCTAAATTGTTTTTAGGCAGGATTAATAAACCTTTACTGTAAAGGGAAAGAGGCTAAGATCTTAGGTTTTGTGGGCCATATAATCTCTATACAACTGTTCAACTCTGCTGTTGCAGTGAGAAAGCATTTATAGACGATACACAAATGAATGAGTGTGTCCATGCTGCAATAAAACTTTATTTACAAAACCAGTCTATTGGCTGGATATGGCTTGCAGGCCATACTTTGCCAACCCTTGGTTTACAGCCTGGCTAGCTAAACACTGCTTGTTGTAGTAAAATCTTGCTTTTTAAAACATATGTCTCTCATCCTAGCATTGTCATTACATGTGTGTGGTTTATTGTTGAATATGTAATATTTAAGGATCTTTCCTATTTAGTTTTATTGACTAAAAGCTGTTTCATAATTATAATACACAGACATCTATATAGGTTTTTATTTTATCATTCAACCTATTAGCTAATCCTTAGAGTTGTTTCAATTTTCATGTGTTTGACAGATGAACATGTCTAAAACACTGATGAAAATGTTACCAGAATATAAACAAAAATGAATTTTTCCGGTTAAAACCATTTTACTTGTTAGTAATATGTAACTATTAACCATTAAATAATTTACCAAATTATTCCATTACGTAATCCATATTGCTCCTTCTTGTCCACAAGAATATAGTAAGGTACATTATCAAATACATACCTCTGACTTTAGTGGGCATTTAATGTATTATTAGAGGATCCCAATATCTGTCTTTCTTAAGAAAATTAAACTCATCCCTAGTGATTATACACTTTCTTCATCTAACACTATAATATTAATAACATTTGAAAAAGTAATGTCAAATAATTAACACTAGATTTACAGAGTATTTTTAGACAGTTTTCTAAAATTATCTGAAAAATTTGGCCAGAATCAGTGTAAAATTCACATCTGAGCTTATGGAAGCCAACTTTATTCCACTCTAAAAGTACAACATTTTATAGTTTTAATTTTATCTTTTAAAATGTTTTAACCTAAAGGTAGTGGAAGACGTTACTAAAGGAAGCTTAGGTAGTAACGTATTTGTCGTCTCAGTTAACACAAAGACCATAGATGGGGCAGATCTGCAGGATGCAAAAACTTTCTTTTTTCTCACCTCATAGTAGCCATATGGCTACTGCAATTCTCTGGTTTCATGTGCTTACAAAATGTCCTTTAGTTAAAAACAAAAAGAAAGAGAAAGAGAGAAAGAAAGAAAGAGAAAGAAGAAGGAAAAAAGATAGAGGAAAAATAATTTCTTCATGTGTCTATTTAAATTAACAAAGACGTGAATTGTCCCAGACCTCCCTGTGATGATTAATTTCATGTGTCAGTTTTACTGGGCTAAGGGTTGCCCACATGGCTGATAAAACATTATTTCTGAGTATGTCTGTGTTTCCAGAGAAATTAGCATTTGAATAGGTAGGCTGAGTGAAGAGGATCATCCTCACCAATATCTATGGGCATCCTTCAATCTCTTCAGAGCCCAAATAAAACAAAAAGGCAGAGGAAGGGTGAATTTAATCTGTCTTCTTGAGCTGGGACATCCATCTTCTCTTATCCTCCAATATTGGAACACCTGGTCTATGTTGGTAGGAGTGTAAATTAGTTCATCATAACCTTGTTGGCACTAGGGACCAGTTTCATGGAAGACAGTTTTTTCATGGACCGTGGTGTAGGGAAGATGGTTTTGGGATGATTCAAGCACACTACATTTATTTATTTATTTATATTATTATTATTTTTGAGATGAAATCTCACTCTTGTCACCCAGGCTGGAGTGCAGTGGCGCAATCTAGGCTCACTGCAATCTCCGCCTCCCAGGTTCAAGCAATTCTCCTGCCTCAGCCTCCCAAGTAACTGGGATTACAGGCACCTGCCACCACACCTGGCTAAGTTTTGTATTTTCAGTAGAGATGGGGTTTCACCACGTTGGCTAGGCTGGTCTCAAACTCCTGACCTCAGGTGATCCACCTGCCTTGGTCTTCCAAAGTGCTGGGATTACAAGTGTGAGCAACCATGCCCGGCACAGGCACATTACATTTATTGTGCACTTTATTTCTATTATTATTACATTGTAATATATAATAATTATACACCTCACCATAATGTAGAATCAGTGGGAACCCTGAGCTTGTTTTTCTGCAACTAGAGGTCCCATCTGGGAATGATGGGAGACAGTGACAGATGCACACACTGCAGGGGGATTGCATTAGATCATCAGACATCAGATTCTCATAAGGAGCGTGCAGCCTAGACCCTTCACATGTTCAGTTCACATTAAGATTGGTGCTCCTATGAGAATCTAATACCACCATTGATCTGACAGCAGGCAAAGCTCAGGCAGTAATGCAAGTGATGGGGAATAGCTGTAAATTCAGATCAAGCTTCGCTTGCTTACTCACTGCTCCTACTGCTGTGTGGCCCAGTTCCTCACCAGGCCATGGACCTAGTCCATGGCCCACAGGGTTGGGGACCCCGATCTAATGTGACAACTCTGGAAATCAGATTCTATACCCCCTATTTGTTGTTGCTGTTGTTGCTGCTGTTATTGTTGTTCAGTGTCTAATGAGCTTTCTGAAATAATTTTGTAGTCTGGGACTACTCTTCAACACTCAGCCAGGCAGTTTACATCTCTGCCTTAGCCTTCACTTCCTGCTTGCCCAGAGCCTCAAGGCCAGTCAGAGGTGAGAGCTTTGAGCCTTCCCAGGTCTTTACTGAACATGTACGCAGGCCTACACTTGGGAGTAGCCTCATAGATTTCTAGGAATCATTCTGTTGGAATTTTCAAAGCCCTTATGGACATCTCATTCTCCTGTTTTACTTTTAAAGCTTTTTAGTTAGCCTATTGTCTGCCCAAAATGTTATCTACAACCTCATACAGGCACCAACTTGAATAACGGCCTTTAAATGTTTTTGACAAATGCCATTAAGGAAAAGGCTTTTTCGTTAAGTGAGCTCTTAGGACAGAAAAAGACATCCTGGCAGTGGGATGTTTCTGAAAACCACCAGCCAAGTCAAATGACAGTTCTCTGGGAATGAGGCTTTGAAGGAAATCCAGCCCCATTCTGTCTTTCCAGTGGCTGCCAGGCTATTGGTCTTCACTGTAATTATGGGCTGTTAATTTTCAAGGCTGCAGTGGAGCCAGCGAGGAGAGGATGAGAATAGAATAGGGCAAGTTAAAAATACCATACTGCTTGCTGTTCTTAATGAGATTTTTCATTTTATTTATTTGTGTGTGTGTATATATGTACACACATACACACACACACACACACACACACTGAATGGAAAATAAATCTTGGGGCCCCAAAATCACTAAGCTAAAGGGAAAAGTCAAGCTGGAAAAGGGTTAGGGCAAACCTGCCTCCAATTCTATTCAAAGTCATCCCTCCATTCACTGAGATAAATGCATATCGGATTGCCTCCTTTGGAAAGGCTAATCAGAAACTCAGAAGAATGCCACTTGTCACTCACCTACCTGTGACCTGGCAGCCTTCTCACTGCTTGTGCTGTCCCACCTTTCTTGGCAGAACCAATGTATATCTTCCATATATTGATTGATGTCTCATGTCTCCCTAAAATGTATAAAACCAAGCTGTGCCCTGACTACCTTGGGCACGTGTCATCAGGACCTCCTGAGGCTGTGTCACAGGTGTGCCTCCTCAACCTTGGCAAAATAAACTTCCTAAATTAACTGAGACCCTTCTCAGATATTCAAGGCTCACATTTTGGCAACCATGAAGGGATTCTGGGTGGAGGCTCCCCTGACCTTTGACAAATCTCCTATCAGTGCTCGGTACCAGCTTGAACTATCTTTATGGCTCAAACCAATAGAACAATTTGCCGAGACAGGCCTGGAAGCACCCCCTCCAGAGAATCACTGATCTTTCAAAACTTGGTCAAGATCTAAAGTTTATTTTGCAGTACAACTCCTTTTTTTTGGAGTTTTACTATCTTCCAACGCAAGAAAGGCAAGTTTTTCCTGCTTTGATGACGATGAAATGCAGGTAACTCCTTTATGGAGTTTGAGCTTGCTTCCAACGGGGAAGACAAATGTGAGTTTCTTCCTTCTTCTAGTAAGGGAGGAGACCACCCCTCATATCGTCTTATGCCCAATTTTTGCCTCCAAAGAAAGAAGTAAAAACTAAAAGGCAGAAATGAAATCCACAGGCAGACAGCCTGGCGCCGCACCCTGGGCTTGGTAGTTAAAGATCGACCCCTGACCTAATCGGTTATGTTATCTATAGATTACAGGCATTGTATAGAAATGCACTGTGAAAATCCCTATCGTGTTTTGTTCCAATCTAATTACTGGTGCATGCAGCCCCCAGTCACATACCCCCTGCTTGCTCAATCAATCATGACCCTCTCACACGCACCTCTTAGAGTTGTGAGCCCTTAAAAGGGACAAGAATTGCTCACTTGGGGAGCTCGGCTCTTGAGACAGGAGTCTTGCCGATGCCCCCGGCCAAATAAACCCCTTCCTTCTTTAATTCGGTGTCTGAGGAGTTTTGTCTGCAGCTCGTCCTGCTACACTAGGATGGTAAAGAGCAGTCTTCAGCCTGAGACCCATCCCTTACCTAAGGATGGGTAACTAAACTGGGGGTTGTCTTGGCTAAAGTTAAGATTAACAACCAGCTGGTTGTAATTTCTCTTTACCATTAGAGCACTCAGTAGTTGGATAAGTTGTGCCATCTTTGTTTTGCTTAATTGTTTTTGTTGTTGTTGTTTGTTTGTTTCTGTTTTTGTTGTTGTTTCAGTCTTTTTGCCATTGGGATTGATCAACTCTATCCGACTTGATCAAATCCAAAGGAAACTTCCAAATTATGGGGAACAAGACCTCTGAAGTGGCTAAATTTCCACACTGTGGTGGGGGAGAAAAACAGCCAAAAAAGGGGAAAAAAAAAAACAGGGAAGATTTTTTACTTTGACTACTTAAGGGGCTTTATTTACATAACAAGGCCACCTTTTTGCTAGCCAGGCCAAACTGAAAGAGCAATGGCTGTCACTCCATACTGCAGTTCCATAGCTAAGGGCTCTGGCTTCTTTTTTTCCACCACGACAGCTTGGGTGTGGTTCCTAAATCAAGCCATTTTCGGTTTGATACTTGGTACTTCTGAAATAGCAGCAATTTGTTCTAGCTGAATTATGGTAATGAGATTTTAAAAGATTTTTTTAAAGGAGCTCAATGATTAAAAGTCAGCTTAACTAAAAGCTAACATCCAAGATGTGTGTGTGTATGTGTTTGTGCATGTGTGTGTGTGTGTGTGTGTGTATGTGTGTGTGTTTGTATTGAAAAGGCCTTCACATATTTTTTTTTTTCTCCTAGGACCTTGTCTCTCTTTTTTTTTTTTTTAGTTAAAGATTTTTTTTTCTCAGTTGACTGAGTTCTGTTTTTTGTTTTGTTTTGTTTTGTTTTATTTACTTCTGCTGCCTCTCCTTTCTCTTGCACCCTCTGCTGCTTGAGGGACCTAAACTATTATAGTTTATAATAGCCTGGCTTTCCTTCAAGAAAGCAGAGAAGGCACCAGACTCCTTTTTGGGGAGAAACCTGTTTTTCCTTATGAAACCCCAAGAGTGTAAGCAGATAAGTTCATCTCAGCTCTTAAATTGCCTGCTTTTGTATTGTGTTACCTGACTTATTGACTAAAAGAGTTGTTGCACCAAAGCCTCCTCTGGTTTTTAAGGAAGAGTGTAGTTTACACATTAGAAGTGTCTTCGTTTAAAAAAAAATTTTAAGTGCACTGTAAAAGCATCACATGGTCTAGCCTCATAATAATTCTCCCTTTTGGGAGATTCAGGATTCAGTGTGGGCTCTGCCCAGAGCTCAGAGATCTAGTCAAAAGACAGGTATTTCCTACATAAATAAAATTGGTCTCTTCATATAATCCTATGACAGATTTCTTTTTTTTTTTTTTTTTTCTGAGACAGAGTTTTCGCTCTTGTTGCCCAGGCTGGAGTGCAGTGGCGCAGTTTCGGCTCACTGCAACCTCCACCTCCCGGGTTCAAGTGATTCTTCTGCCTTAGTCTCCTGAGTAGCTGGGACTACAGGTGCCCACCACCACACCTGGCTAATTTTTGTATTTTTAGTAGAGACGGGGTTTCACCATGTTGGGCAGGATGGTCTTGATCTCCTGACCCCAAGATCCGCCTGCCTCGGCCTCCCAAAGTGCTGGGATTACAGGCATGAGCCACCGTGCCCGGCTATCCTATGATAGATATCTGTAACTTTATGTTTGATTTGGCATCCCTCTTTTGTTTTGTTTTGTTTTGTTTGAGACGGAGGCTCTCTCTGTCACCCAGCCTGGAGTGCAGTGACACAATCTCGGCTCACTGAAACCTCTGCCTCCCAGGTTCAAGCGATTCTCCCACCTCAGCCTCCCAAGTAGCTGGAATTACAGGCATATGCCACCACACCTGGCTAATTTTTGTATTTTTAGTAGAAACGGGTTTTCACCATGTTGGCCAGGGTGGTCTTGAACTCCTGACCTCAGATGATCTGCCCGCCTCGACCTCCTAAAGTGCTGGGATTACAGGTCTGAGCCACTGCCCCTGGTGTAGTACATGGTTTTACTGCATGTGACTAGTTTACATGCAACTAGCCATGCAAGTTCAGTAACCCAAGGCGGTCTATACCCTGTTCAACAAGAACCATCTACTAATGACACTTCTGGAAGTCTGGGCAATGTCAACTTGCTGTAAAAGTTCCCAAATGCTCTCAATTATCATATGATAACAAAGGTCTCAAATCAGTAAATTTTGAGTGGCCCTTTACTAGGAATAATCTTGAATAAGCTAGTACTGCCCTCCACAACCACAATTAAAAATATATCGGTATTGGTTTTCTCTTCAGTTCAAGAATCATGTAAATATGTAATGTAGAAAATGAGGATTTCCCATATTCCCACAGAATCACAAAGATGATCACTGGTAATATGCGTGCTACATATATGATACCAGGTTTATTCTACTCTTTTTTTTTTTTTGAGACAGAGTCTCACTCTGTCGCCCAGGCTAAAGTCCAGTGCTACGATCTCAGCTCACTGCATCCTCTGCCTCCTAGGTTCAAGCAACTCTCCCACCTCAGCCTCCCAAGTGGCCGGAATTACAGGCACCTGCCACCATGCCCACCCAGCTAATTTTTTTATATTTTTAGTAGAGACGAGGTTTCACTAAGTAGACCAAGTTGGTCTTGAACTCCTGACCTCTGGTGATCCACCCACCTCGGCCTCCCAAAATGCTGGGATTACGAGCATGAGCCACCATGCCTGGCCATTTTTTTGTACTTTTATACAATTATATGCTTGCTTTATAAAAATGAACTTATTCTACATATACATGTTATTACATTATTAGGACATGTTCCCAAATGACATATTACATTTTCATCATTCTTTTTTAAAATATTTTTTCGTGAGACAGTGTCTTGCTCTGTTGCCCAGGCTGGAGTGCAGTGGCCTAATCACAGGTCACTGCAGCCTGAAACTCCTGGGTTCAAGGGATCCTCCTCTCTCGGCCTCCTGAGTAGCCCAGCTAAGTTTAAAAAAAATTTTTTTTTGGCCTGGCATGGTGGCTCACGCCCATAATCTCAGCACTTTGGAAGGCCAAGGCGGGCAGATCACTTGGGGTCAGGAGTTTGAGACCATCCTGGCCAACATGGTGAAACACCGTCTCTACTAAAAATACAAAAATTAGCTGGGCGTGGTGGCAGGTGCCTGTAATCCCAGTTACTTGAGAGGCTGAGGCAGGAGAATCGCTTGAGCCCAGGAGGTGGAGGGTGCAGTGAGTCGAGATCATGCCACTGCACTCTAGCCTGGGTGACAGAGCAAGACCCTGTCTCAAAAATAAATAAATAAATAATTAAATATATATATATATTTAATTATATATATATATATATGGAGAGACAGGTCTCACTATGTTGCCCAAGCTGGTTTTGAACTCCTGGACTCAAGCAATCTTCCCATCTGGGTTCCCAAAGTGTTGGGATTAGAGGTGTGAGCCACCATGCCCAGACATTTTCATCATCCTTTTTTTTTGAGACGGAGTTTTGCTCTTGTTGCCCAGGCTGGAGTGCAATGTCACGATCCCGGCTCACTGCAACATCCACCTCCCAGGTTCAAGTGACTCTCCTGCCTCAGCCTCCTGAGTAGCTGGGATTACAGGCATGAGCCATCACGCCCAGCTAATTTTGTATTTTTAGAGGACACAGGGTTTCTCCACTGTTTTTACTAGACCTTGATCACATCAAAAAGATTGTGTCTCTTCCATTTATTGTGCAGCTTGTACACAATTGACACAATGAGGAGCTCAGCAAAGGACGCAGAGTGACAGCATCCTCCCTTCAGTGGAATGGCCATGTCTAGACACCTCTTAATCACTCCCGAGAAGTAGGGATGGGTTCGGTGTATGAGAATAAGAAACGGAGCCTCCAGGGTTGAGACAATTTGCCCAAAACACACCTCTTGTGGGAAGTACAGTTGCGATCCCCCAGGTCTCTTGGGCTTGCAGGTTCCTGCTCTCCCGTGGGCCCCCAGGAGATGTTGGCTGCCAAGAGGAGGAGGAATCCTCCTGGGCAGAGGTTAACTTTTGCCACTCCAGGATTTGCCCACCCTGGGGTCCCTGCCGGGAATGTTCCCCCAGCACCACCCTCCCCATGCCGCCTCCTAACTGGCTGTGTCCTTCCCACCATTCAGCAAACACATCCTACATCCAGGACCAGCCCCTTCATCTCAGGAAGGCTGCCATGGGACTCCCAGAACCCCCATGGCTCCTGGAGCCCTGAGGGAATCACATCTTGGGTGGGGAGTGATTTGTTTTCTCATCCAGTGCAACCTTGGAGGTAACAGACAAGAATGTCCTGTGATGCGAAGCACTTATTGTCCTGACCTCTGGTCCAGTGCCCTTCGCTCTAAGCACATAGCATCCCCAGGCTGTTCCTGGAGGTGTGGGCTGGGGTTTGTAGGGACTAGCTGGACCAGCTGGGCCAGGGGAGGCAGCCATGCCCGGGGCACATAGCCACTGCCCAGAGCTGCCCCCAGAGCTGGGAGCCATCTTGCACATGGTGCTGTGAGATGCCCTCCAGAGAGGAAGATGGAAGCTGTCTCCGTGCCCCGGGACTGATGAAGGGCCCATTCCAGGCCTTTGGGCACCCGGGCTCGCTACCCTTCTGGGAGCCCTGTCCTGTGGGCCAGGACAAAGGTGCCCTCACTGGTGGCATTCTCAGAAGCTCAGCCACTCCCCACACATGCACATAGGGGCGTGCCCACACCAAGCCACGTGTGGGTGTCTGGGGACAATGAGTCTTGGGGGAGGGGGTGGGTCCCTTCCAGAAGGGTCTGGCCAAAGTCCAGTTATGAAGGTGAGCTGAGATGGGCTCCCTCAAAGGAGCCATAGTGTGGGGAGCCCCGGGCAGAGCCCAGAGAGAAATGCCAGCCCCGAGACCGAGACACGCTCCAAGGAGTGCTGCCAAGAGCAGTAGACACAGCCGCTGAGGCCCACGGGGCACAGTGAGGCTGTGGGAGAGGGTGGCCCCTCTGTGGCCATTTCCCTGCCTGTGCTCACATCCCCTCCTCAGGCCTGTCTCACCAGCTCTTGCAGCCCATGACCCACATTCTGTCTGACTCTCCTTCCTCTCCTGGCTACAGGGATCCCCAGTGCCCCTCACCATTCCTTCTGGTCTCTCCTCTGCCTCCCGGAACTGTTCCCCAGGACTCTCTCCTGGGTCAGCCCTTCCTCCCACTCCACATCAGTGGTTCCGAACCCCGGATGCCTTTGGGATCAGCTGGGTGCATTTTAAATCCTTCCAGCCCAGAGCCCTGAGGCCCAAGTCACCCCCGCCTGCTCCTGTGGCACCCCTTGGATCAGCCAACCATTTTATCATCATCCATCACGTCCCCTGTCACCAAGAGCCTCTGGCATGTTCTGTTGTCCCCACGCCCACACTGGCACCCCTCATCCACCAACCTGTGCCCACGTCCTGCCTTGAGCCTGTTTCCCCTCCTGAGTGGTGTTTCCTCACTCCAAGTGGGCACTGAGGCAGCTGGCAGACCTGGCTGTGAGCTTCTGTCCCTTCCAGAAGGATCCTCCCCTCCAGATTACCCAGTCAAGCTTGACCCCATGGTGCCACTGAGACAGACCAAAAGAGGGTATTGAAGCCACACAGTCCCCTGAGCCCCACTGAGCTGCACCAGCTTTGGAGCTGGAGACAGCCCGGGAGACTGAGCACTGAGTGCTAGGTCACCATGGAGAAATCATTGTAACCTTCCCTTTCTCCCACTCTTGAGGGCCCTGGGGGAACACAGCGCACAAGGTGAGTGGTGGAAGAGGCATGTGCTTGGGTGCTTGGCACCTAGCCGGGGTTCATTTCTGTGGGTTCCCAAGATCCCAGCCACATGTCCCACTCCTGCCTCACAAAGTGACAGGAACTCCCTGTTCTGGACCCTGAGCTGAGTGTCAGATGCTGACCATGGAGACCCTGACTTTGAGGGGAGCACAGACTATCAACACAGTCCTGTGAACACAGAGAGAAGAGTACAGGAGGATGCTGTTTGGAGCACAAAGGGTGTGGTGTCGTCTACTCTGGGACCTGGGTGTTGGAGGAGGCTGCTGTGAAGAAGGAACCTTCCGCTGGGCCCTGGAGAATCACAAGCATCATAGGAGTTAGCCAGGTGGAGGTTGGGGGTGGAGGCATGGGGTGGACATGGCGGGAAGTGAAAGTGAGGTAAGGGAGAACTTGAGGGCCCTTCTGCACTGACAGGGTGAGTGCATGGGACAGGGTGAGTGTGCACTGGAATGGAGCGTGGGTGCAAGAGACAAGGCATGTGTGCACAGGAGGGAGCATGTGTGCATGAGGGTGGAGTGTGTGCACAGGGATGCTGTGTGTGTACATGAGGATGGAGTATGTGCAGAAGGATGAAGCATGTGCACGCAGGGCCAGGGCATACGTGCATGGGGTGTGTGTACCTGGGGACTGAGCATGGTGTCCAGCCTGTTCCTCCTAAGTAGTGGGCACCAGCTGATTCCTCAATGAATAAATGTCAGCCAGAAAGAGAGGAGATGCACCTACAGGCTCACAGCAGGAGAAGCATAATGCATTGGTGAGCGTGTTTCCACAGGGGACAAGGAGGGTGGCGGAAGAGGCGTATGGGTGGGGTGCTGGGTACCTAGCCAGGCTGTGTTCTGGTGAGTGAGCCCAAAGGGTCTGAGATCAGCTGCAGGCATCCTCATCTCTGCATCTGGACCACTGGACCTCAGACATCTCAGGGAGCTGTTGAGTAGGCAATTGGAGAGAAACTTCTGGAACTCAAGAGGAGGATGGGGGTGGAGCCATGGCCTCAGGCATCATCCCAGGGGTAATAGTGAAGCCACAGATGTGCCTGAGAGCTGCCCAGAGAGAAGCCAAGGCCATCCAAGGCAAAGAGCAGACACTCAGAAAACCAGGGGAGCACTCCGCTGGGAAAGACAGGGCCAGGGGTTTGCAAGACACAGCAGAGCGCAGGCTACGTCTGACCAGTGGCTGGTGAGATTCACAGACAGGGGCCACTTTGGGCCACTGCAGGATGTGGAGGGTGCTGGGCGTCAACGGGTTGCCCTGGAGGGTAGGAGGGAGGCAAACAGCTCCTGTGGGCAACAGCGGTGGGGCAAGGGGCTGGGGTGGTGGCTGTACTGGAAGGGGTGAGGGCCAGAGGACAAGGAGGGAGCACTCTGGGAGTCCTGGAGAGGAGAGTGTGAAGACACAGGAGAAAGAGGGAAAGGAGATCAGGCAGGAAAGATGAGGGAGGGGAGTGGGAGCCAGGGCCTGACTGGAGACTCGACTTCTGACTTCCGACTTCCGACTTCCGACCTCCAACTTCCGTTAGGAAGTGAAACAAAGGCGAAGGCCCTCTCTGTCAGGGTACTCAGAGGAAAGGTCAGGGAACCAGGGCATGTGGGAGAAGAGTGGGAGTCCTCCCAGTGTTGTGGGGAAGGTGTCTGTTTAGCTGGAGGTGAGATTCTAGGTCCGGTGTCGGGGAGGTGGTGAGTGTGGAGGCCGGGAGATTAGAATTAGTCATTGTGGTGCAAAAGGGAAATTAACCTACAGAAGCTGTCCAGCGCCAGCGTGAGTATCAGTCAGAGGCTTTGAGCAACCCAGTGCTCTAGAGGAGGTAAAGTGAAGGCTTCCCTGGTCTCTGACATGAACTTGTTCTGACTCCCCTTGTAGAGGCCCAGGAATGTGTCCTGCCTTGTCCACAGGGGAAGGCCTCCACCCTGCTCAGCCTGCCTGGCAGAAATGTCCCCCAGCCCTCCTGGAGCCTTAGCCCCCTGAATGTGCCCCACAGCAGACAGCTATCAGATTCCTCCACAGGTGTTCACTCTGTGGCCGGGCAAGTCAGCCAATTTAAACCGTATATGTTTGCCTGTGTGTATATGTTTATGTGCGTGTGCTTTGGGATGTATGTTTGCCTGTGTGTCGATGTGCATGTGTGTGCGTATTATGTATGTGTGTGTGTGTTTGCTGATGTGTGTGTGTTTGTGATTGCATATGTTTGTATGTGTGCATGTGTGTGTGTGAGTGTGCATGTGTCAGCTTTGCCGTCTTTCCTTCAACCTCTGGCTGCTGCAGATGGTGGAGTGAGCTGAAGATGCTAGAGTGAGCTGAGGCTGGTGGAGTAAGCTGAGGCTGATGGAGTGAGCTGAGGATGCTGGAGTGAGCTGAGGATGCTGGAGTGAGCTGAGGATGCTGGAGTGAGCTGAGGATGGTGGGGTAAGCTGAGGATGGTGGAGTAAGCTGAGGCTGGTGGAATGAGCTGAGGATGCTGGAGTGAGCTGAGGATGCTGGGGTGAGCTGAGGATGGTGGAGTGAGCTGAGGATGCTGGAGTGAGCTAAGGATGGTGGAGTGAGCTGAGGCTGGTGGAATGAGCTGAGGCTGTTGGAGTGAGCTGAGGATGCTGGAGTGAGCTGAGGATGGTGGAGTGAGCTGAGGATGGTGGAGTGAGCTGAGGCTGTTGGAGTGAGCTGAGGATGCTGGGGTGAGCTGAGGATGGTGGGGTGAGCTGAGGATGGTGGAGTGAGCTGAGGCTGTTGGAATGAGCTGAGGATGCTGGGGTGAGCTGAGGATGGTGGGGTGAGCTGAGGATGGTGGAGTGAGCTGAGGATGGTGGGGTGAGCTGAGGATGGTGGAGTGAGCTGAGGATGGTGGAGTGAGCTGAGGCTGTTGGAATGAGCTGAGGATGCTGGGGTGAGCTGAGGATGGTGGGGTGAGCTGAGGATGGTGGAGTGAGCTGAGGATGGTGGGGTGAGCTGAGGATGGTGGGGTGAGCTGAGGATGGTGGGGTGAGCTGAGGATGGTGGAGTGAGCTGAGGATGGTGGGGTGAGCTGAGGATGGTGGAGTGGGCTGAGGATGGTGGGGTGAGCTGAGCATGGTGGAGTGGGCTGAGGATGGTGGAGTGAGCTGCCCTGCTAGACACTCCTTATCTGCTCCCAGCACACAACATCCTGTTTCTGGTTTCCATCTCGGTCAGTGGGGCTGCAGGGCAGATGCTGCTCAGATCTGTCTTTGGAGTTATTCCACTTTTTGTCTTGAACTTTCTGGTTGTGTTTCATTTTTCATTAATGCATTTTAGAACTTCGGTCCTTTTAAAACTCTGCATTTGTTATAATTAGCTGTTCTTGTCATATAGTTTTATTCCTTTATCTTTTTTTGAACATTTTATACACCCTTATTTCAATGTTCCTTTTAGATCACTCTATTCTCTTTACTCTCTGGGCTTTGAATCTCCTTGTTTCTTGTATCTGCTGCCTCTCTTTGGGATACCTGGGAGTTTTTCCTCTGACCTCGTCTTCAGTAGGAAATGATTTTCCATGAGAATCCTGGTTCCCCTGGATGAGGACGGTGTCTCCTGGGGAGAATGTCCTGTTTGGTTTTGCTGGAGCCTGGCAGGTTCTCTCAGTTGCAGATGGGTGTAATGTTAGCTCCTCAGCTCAGAGTTTCTGCACCAGCTCACCGCAGACTTGGGCCCTGGTTTCCCACAGATGCCCAGGGCAGGGGGCCTTCCTCTGTGCTAGGTGCTGCTCCGTGGTATTTGTTCCACGAGTCTGCAAACATTGTTTTGAAGTCAGTTTGTAACATCTGCCTAGTAAACAAAAGTAACACTTGTGTCTCCTGGAAAAATGGACTGTCACCACCCCCTTCTCTTCTTCATCCCAGTCCTCAGGGAGGCCCCTGAGCCACTGATGTCTGAGGCCACCAAGGCAGGAAGACCCTGGGGAGAGGGTAAATGGGAGATGCCTCTCAGCCCCTGTGCCTGCTGTCCCCTGGGCCCCAGGGTAGAGCTTCTGCAGACTTTGTTCCTTCCCATTTCTGAGACAGCCTGAGCTGGGGCCACCCTCCCCTTCATGGAGTCCCAGCTGTCAAACAAACACCTCCAGGGCCATCTGTTCTCTGAGCAAGAGTTTTCCTCCTGGGATGCCCCCACCCACCCACAGAAGCAGGGATATAGGGAAGGAAGGACCAGGATTTCTGGTTGCAATAATTGTATCCGTGAGTTTGAGACTCCCAGGTTACCTTTGGACTTATGAGCTGAACTGCTGGGCATTCTGGCCTGGATGTCCCTAGAGCCCCAGAACCTCCACAAGGATCATGAGCAGGGGGTCACTGCCCCAGAACCATGAGGGCACCCACATGGTCTACCCTGGCTCCTCACTCATCAGAGGAAATGACGAGATTCCAAGGTCCCCTCCGGTATTGCAAGCTGGCCTGAGCCATAGGGTCCTGTCCCAGCATGGCATCAAATGCCTGGAGCTCATCCTGCAGGAGCAGCCATGGCGGAGCCCCCAGGTGTGCTGGGCAGGGAGGATGTGTGGAATCTCATTCACTCTGGACAGCTGTGGCCCCCAAACTACCCATAACGATGCAGTCCAGCCGGAACTGGGGCCTTTTGGCTTCATAACATGTTGGAGTCTTTCCCCAGAGCCCCATTGTCTTTTAGAAATTACCACTTAGAGAGGGTAGTGCTTCTGATAAAGACAGGCATGCACTGAATTGTGTCCTCCCCAAATTTATATATTAAAGTCCCAACCCCTGGTTCCTCAGAATGCAGCTGTACTGTGGTTGGAGAGGATTTGTAAAGGTTAAATTAAACAAAGTCATTAGGGTGGGCCCTAATCCAGTACGACTGGTGTGCTTATAGGAACAGTTTAGGAAACAGACATGCACAGAGGGTAAAGCATGGGAGGACACAGGAGGAAGGTGGCTGACTCGGAGGAAACGACCCTCCCCACACCTTGACCTTGGACTTGCAGCCTGCAGAATTCTGAGAAAAAAATGTCTGTTTTTTTGTCACCCAGTGTGTGGGACTTTGTTTTGGCCACCTAGTGGACTAATACAATGGCTTTGCTGTTAACAGCCCAGACCCACGTTTCCTGCACATAAGGCATGGGACTCACTCATCCCCTCTGCCCAGGCCCAGCCCTGGTCTCCGAGCTGAGTTCACTGGGTAGGCTGCAGGCAGCAGGCAGGAGTGGGGCCTGATGGAACGGGCGATGCTGAGGCAGTGAGGGCGGCAGAGGGATGCTCACTGGCTCATGTGGCTCAGCTTCGTGGAAGCATCAGGAGCAGGAGTGAAAGAAGCAGGTGACAGGGGCCACTCATGGGGAGACAGATGGGCAGGCTCCTCCACATGCTGGAGACAACTTTGGGGGCACCTGCTCCACCTGTTGCCACATCCTCAAACTTCCCCATACCCCATGCTGGATCCAGCAGCAGCCCTGATTGTATGGTATGACCTTGGTGGTCAGATCAGGCATGGACAGCTTGACCCAGACTATGGGATCAGAATCTCTCCCCAGCAACGTGGCCATGGGGTCATCTGAACAGAGGATGAGCAACCGCAGACTTCAGGGCTACTAGCAGCCAAGTACACAGAGAGGCAGAGGTGGGGAGAGGGGAGCAGGTGCAGAGGGAGAGAAGGGGCAGAGCTGAGGCCGCATGGCCCAGGGAGCAGGGAAACCTGAAGGAGACCCCAAGCAGGGGTCCTGTGGGCTTTCCAATGTCTGGTCCTGCTGAGGCCTGGCTGCCCTTGTGATCATGAGCTGGCAACCTACAGTCACTACAGCCCTGTCCTTCTGGTCTCCTCTTGGGTCCTGCCTCTGCACAGCCTGTAGCCAGGCTCAGGCTGGGATCTCCCATATGGACCCTAAGACGGGCTTTCCTATACTTCCCATGGAAATTCTCCAGCTGATAGAAGAAGTGAACACTGATAGAAGATGAACAGCTGATAGAAGAAGTGTGGGGGTTTTCTCAAGTGGTCTGTAAAATTTTTGCAAGGTTTGTGGTTCATCTCAAAGATTCGTAATTTCGAAATGGAAGTCTTAATAGTTAGGGAAATTTTTCACATACCCCGAAGGGCTCCTCTTTCTCCAGGGTTGGGTCAAAGTCTTGTGTCCAGAAGCCCCCTGGTCGGCAGTCCTCTTGGCTTCCCCTATCACCCAGTGTCCAGCCTGCATGGGCCCTTCAGTCCCAGGGGCCATGGTGAGGCTGGGTCCCTGGGCCTGGCACCATCTAGACACCCCTTGGTGGTCCAGTGATGTGCAAGCTACATCTCTAACCCCCTGACCTCTGCCTTCTCTACCTCCCTGCCCACTCCCTCATTCAGAGACACTGAGCGTCACCTCTCAGGAGTTTCCATCTTAACGCAAGATGGAAGAGAGTTTCACTTCAGGCCACTGTTGCCCACTGTATCTTAGTCCATTTGGGCTGCTCTAAAGAAACTACCACAAACTGTATACTTTTCAAACAACAGGAATTTATTTTAAACAGTTCTGGAGTCTGGGAAGTCCATATCAAGGCAGATTGAGTTTCTGGTGAGAGTCAGCTCTCTGGTTCATTGTTAGCATCTTTTGGCCAACAATGTCTCCTGTGTTCTCCCACAGTGGAAGGGGTGAGGCAGCCCTCTGGGGCCTCTTTTATAAAGACACTAATTCAATCCATGAGGCTCCACCCTGGTAACCTAATCATCTCCCCATACTCCCACTTCCTACCATCCCTTTGGGTTTAGGATTTCAACATATGAATCTTTAGGGGACACTAACTTTCAGGTCATAGCATTTGGACTTACACCATTGCCTCACCCCCGCCCCTCTAATTCTTGGGCCTTCGGACTCAGACTGAGTCACACCACTGACATTCTTCTTTCTCTAGCTTGCAGATAGCAAACCATGGGACTTCTCGGTCTCCATAACCACATGAGCCAATTCTTAATAATAAATCTCCTCTTACATATACATATACCCGTATATATCCTATTGGTTCTATTTCTCTGGCTATCCCTGGCTAATACACACTGCAAGCACCTGTGCAATACCAAGGGCCTGGCCATCTGCTTGAAATGTAAAATAGAAAACACACCCCCCCACACAGAGAGAGGGAGAGAGAGAGAGAGAGAGAGACCCTGTCCAGAGCCACCCACCCAGTGCCTGTCCCTAGACCAAGGCCCAGTCCCCTTCACCTGTCTCCATCATAAGCGTCACCAGCCTGTCTGACAAACTGCCCAGCAAAGTTATTGACATTGGCCTGGCCGCCTGGGGATGCAAGGCCCTGAACATTGTAGAGAATGAGATGCCAGGCCTGATGCACATGTGGGAGCTGTACTCGGCCTCCAAGCCACTAGAGGGCAACCACAGTGCCAGCTGCCTGCACATGACCATGGAGATGGCCATCCACATTGGGTCCCTCATCACCCTGGGTGCCCCAGCAGCAACATCTTCCTCACCCTGGACCATGTGTTGGCTGCCATTGCCAAGGCTGGCATTCCAGTTTACACCTGGAAGGGCAAAAGAACGCAGAGTACCCATGGTGCATCGAGCAGTCACTGTAATTCAGGGATGGGCTCTCAACATTATTCTGGAGGATGGGGGTGACCTTGCCAACCTCTTCCACACCAAGTACTCACAGCTCTTGCTGGGCATCTGAGGCACCTCCAAGGAGACCATGACGGGTCCACAACCCACACAGGATGATGGTCAATGGGATCCTGAAGGTGCCTGCCATCAATGTCAATGACTCCCTCACCAAGAGTGAGTTCAACAAGCTCTATGGCTGCTGGGAGTCCCTCATAGATGGCATCAAGTGGGCCACAGTGGTGATGATTGCCGGCAAGGTAGCGATGGTAGCAGGCTATGGCAATGTGGGCAAGGGCTGTGCCCAGGCCCTGTGGGGTTTCGGGGCCCACGTCATCATCACCAAGATCGACCCCATCAATGCACTGCAGGCTGCCATGGAGGGCTATGAGGTGACCACCATGGATGAAGCCTGTCAGGAGGGCAACATCTTTATCACCACCACAGCCTGTGTCAACATCATCCTTGGCCGGCACTTTGAACAGATGAAGGATGATGCCATTGTATGTAACACTGGACACTTTGAGGTGGAGATCAATGTCAAGTGGCTCAGTGAGAACCCTTGGAGAAGGTGGCCATCAAGCCCCAGGTGGCCGGGTACTGGATGAAGAATGGGCGCCACACCATCCTGCTGGCTGAGGGTCGGCTGGTCAGCCTGGGTTGTGCCATGGGCCACCCTGGCTTTGTGATGAGTGACTCATCAACCAGGTGACTGCACAGAATGAGCTGTGAATCCACCCAGAGAAGTACCCCATTGAGGTTCATGTCCTACCCAAGAAGCTGGATGAGGCAGTGGCTGAAGCCCACCTGGGCAAGCTGATCATGAAATTGACCAAGCTGACTGAGAAACAGGCCCAGTACCTGGGGCATCTCCCCTGATTGCCCCTTCAAGGCTGATCACTACCGCTACTGAGAGCCAGGCCTGCATTTCACCTTCCAGCTGCTGTTCTTGCCCAGGCCCTGCCTCTCCTTCTTAAGAGCGAATGGCACCAACTTTGTGATTGGTTTGTCAGCATCCCCCATGGACTCCCCAGGGCCGTTCACTCAGTTTTTGGCTTCTGCTGCACCCCTCATACTATTCCAAGTGAGTCAGGGGAACTGAGAGTCCCCTCCTCAAGCCTGGTCATGGTGGAAGTATGAGGGAGACAGCCACAGGGAACTGTGAGCTCAATGGTCTTGGAACTGCTCACTAAGTCAGTCCTTCCTTAACCTGGATGTCAGCAGTGGAGTCGCAAAGCCCACGTACTTTACCATCTAGGCCTTCACCTGGCCTGTGGACTTATACCCTGTGCTTGGTTTATGGTTCAGTCATTCCTCAGCCCGTGACAGATGAGAAGGAACTGTATTGAAGGGCAAGGAGGAACTGTTTCAATTTTCCTGAGAGCTTGGCTTAATGCTGGACCTTCTCTTAAACCTCGTAACAATGAGATTGGTACTTTCAGTCCCTGTTTCACAGGGATTAGAATACACTCTTAAGGGACAACTGAGAAAGAACAGAGAAGTGACAGCCAGAGGTTGAGAGGGGCCAGAAAAGCATAAAAGCAGGCACAGATCAGCCACCACTTTGTAACAAGAGGGTTCCTATCACAACCTTGGGTCAAAAAGAGAATAATTTGGCTTATAATGTTTATAATGTTAAAAGAAAGCAGGAAGGTAGGTAAATAAAAATCTCAATGCCATTAAAAAAAGAAGGAAAGAAAAAAGAAACAGAGAGGGAGAACACAAAACGGAATGAATGTTTCAATAGATATCTGACCAGGTATGCAAATTACCCAGCCCAGCACAGGCAGAAGCACTAGGCAGTGCTTGAGACATGGAGTTCCCTTCTGCCCCTCTGTCTCCCTCTACATGCTGGGCCTACTCAGGGAATCCTGGTGAGAGATGGAGTTCCCTTCTGCCCCTGTCTCTCTCTACATGCTGAGCCTACTCAGGGAATTCTGGTGTTTACAGAAGGGGTCAGAGGAACTGCATGAAGACCACAGCTTTGTGTAGACACACAAGCTTCAACACAGGCATGTAGATGTGTGGTTGTATATGTGTGCATGCGAGGAGTTTTGCAGTCATGCCTGGTGGGAGTCTGGGGGAGGCTCCTGGCTTCAAAGAGCCCAAGCCATTAGCCCAGGCTTGGAGACTTGAGCTGAGTGATTGGAGGGAGGGGCTGAGCAGCAAGCTCAGGAATAGCCCAGGCCGGCCAGGAGGACAGTTTACCTAACCGTCAGTGGTGAGGGAGCCTCGCCCCAGCCCAGAGCTGGGTCCACTGGCCAGCCAGGTGGAGGGGTTCCTTCAGGCTCTAGTGATGACCTGGCAGGAAGCTGGGGACATGCTCTAGGCTGTTAGCCTCTGTGAGAGGCAGGTGGATACTTCCCCCATATCCCCACTCCTGGTTGCAGATTCTGCACTTGCGGACAGGAACCGAGTGCCCAGTACACTTCTGCAGACAGCTGCTCTGCATTGACTCCTGCTTCCTCCACTTAAAAGTTGTGGGATGTTAAGCAAGTTGCTATAAATTCTCAGACCTGTACTTTCCTAATCTATCAAATGTGAAGAAAGCAAGCCAAGGTCACAAAATATTAGTGAGTCTACAACAATTCACCCGCGGTGATCAGCAGCACATACCCAAGGAGGATAAAAGAAAGTTGATAAAACTCCCCGGTGTTCTGATGTGACGTCCCCACCTCCTAGGACCAAGGGTCTAGCACAGAGTAGAAGCTTAGGATGTATCAAGGCCCCATTGAGCTCTGGGAGTTCTGGCTCTGCCCACTTTAATGATAAATGATCAGAGTGCTGCACTAAGGCAGCTTCACCATTAAGCAGCCATCTGGGAGGGCCTGGTGGTTCAGCTCCCAACTGCGGAAGGGGGCAACCTGGGGAAGTGCACAGGGCTCTGGACTAGAGCCAGAAGACTCAGCTGCTAAAGCCCAGCCCAGCCCTCCTACACTTTCCTACACTTCAACCCACCTGATGCCTCCTCTCTTGGAGGCTCGAGCCCCTGGTGGTGGGTGTGGGGTGGGGGATCTAAGGGCTCACCTTGTCACTAGGCAGTCCCTGTCCCAATCACCTCCATGCCTTTTTGCTGGGGCTTGTGGGTTGACAGTTGAAGTTTCAGGACCCCAGGAAAAGTGCCTTAAATAACACATTCCTGCAAACGGATAGCCATTTATTTTCCCATTGATTGGAGATGGTTGCGGTAGCACATCCTATGTGGGTCTGGTTCCTGCCGTTATTCTCTCCCTCACCATGGTGTTCCCCAGAGGACTCCCTAACAAAAGAAACCTCCTACGTGTACATTTTCCTCTCCAGTCTGTTTCTAAGCCCCTGTGAGGAGTTCAGCTAATACAGGTGTGCAGACTGGGTGTGCACATCTGCCTCCAAAAGTCCCACCAGGGTCTTGCCATGAAGGGAGCCTTCCCTGGTAGGTTAGGAAAACCAGTAGGAGAGCTAAAGCTCCAGGGTCCTTGCCCTCAGTGATTGGTGCCCTAGCGGGGACTGGGCACTGTCCACAAATCTATCCCCAACTCCTTCTTGGATGCACAGCTACTAAATTGTAGCCTCCCCTGCAGCTCAGCGGGCTGTGTCTGAGCTCATGGCAGTGGCAGGTGCACATGCCTGTCACCCAGCCTAGCCCTGCTCCTTCTGTCTGGCTGATAAGAAGCTGATCTCAAAAGAATGCTCTTGCCTGGCAGAGCTTCCCCTGCATATTGAGGTCCCTGAATGACCAACGGAGGCCTGCAGTGCCCCTGGGGGCCTGGACCCTCTCTGTGCCATCCCAGGGGTGAGCAGTGCCCTGGCTTCTTGTGAGCTTCCATGTGGGGCTACTCGTTACCTCACCTGCTCTGGCTCATTCCAGCTCTACAGGGGTGCTTAACGTGACATCCATTGGACTCTCAGAAATGTGTGTTCTTATAGTTCTGGTCTAAAATAAGGAATAAAAATTGCCCACCGTGTTCCCTTTTGTACACTTTGGTTTTGGGCAGCTCTGATGTGAGACTTGTTTTCTGAAATTATGCTGCCCCTCCCCCGAGGAGGGGGCAATGGAACAGTGGCAGCCAAGGAGTAGAAGTAGTTAGTTGGCACCTCTCAGGCATCAAAAGAGTGAGTAAATACTAACACTTCAAACAGATCCTCTAGGAGAGCACGCTGAAATTCACCAGAGACATGATGGGAATCAGACAGCAGAGGAGAGGGAAGCCTGCCGAGCTGGGACCCCCATGGAGCGGAAAGGGGCTCCCTAACACAGGGAAGAGGTGAGCAAGTGAGAGAACCCTGAAATTTCACAACTCCACCATGGACCTTCACAATCCTAGTCACAGGGAGCCCTCTCATTGCCCCCGGGCCTCCAGATGAACACAGGGAGCCTGCTGGAGACTGTGCAGAGGCACTGCTCAAGCCTACATGGATCCCACAGGCTTTTCATCCCTGATCTGCCTGGTGCAGCTGCTGCTGCCTGCCATGGAGGGGAACTGGGCACTTTCGTGTGCCCCAAAGACAGATACTGCAGCTGTGGTAAGGAGGAGTGGGTAGACAAGGCTTCCCTCTGCTGCTCCTCTCTGCCAAACGGGACTTGCCTGCTTTGGTGACAGGCTGCCAGTGCCACCGCCCACCCCTGACTGAGCATGACAGCCACAGCTCACTGTTCCCCTGAGAACCCAACCCCCAGAGGCTGCCCATTAGCCCGTTCCACCACAGGCTTGCCTCTGCTGCCCCAGGCCAGGAAGGGAGCAGGAAGGTCAGGCACCTTCCTGAGCTCCTAACAGCAAAATCCAGCTTTGGGAGAGAAGTGCAAGTGGACCATGAGCCCAACAACTATCATTGCTCATTGCCCCAGCTGAAGATTCCTGCCCTCCTGGGTGAACGGTGCACAGCACAGCCACCCTGCTATGCCTGAACATTGCAGCTGTGGCCTGGAGCCCTTCGGAAAGCCCAGCCCCCACAGTCCTGTGATCTGTTCTCAGGCTCCAGGGGATCAGCCCACCCCTCCCTATCACAGCCAGCACCTGAACTCTGGGCTGACTAGATCCTGGTCCAGCCACATCAGGACTCCTACATGCCATCTAGTGGGTCACTGAGAGGTGTGGGAGTTGGGGAATTACCTAGCCCAGTCCAACATCGCTGGCACCTGACTACCCTCTGGACCTGAGTTTGGGCCCACCCAAGCAGCCAACACTAGCCATGACTCCCACCCACATGGCTGACAGGCAGAGCCATTCTCCCTCTCTCCATGGGGTGGCGGCATTACCACATTGGAGAACAGGCGAGCCATACAACTGCCTGCATTGGGCTGAGTGAAGAATTTCCACCCTGAAGCCACTCCTGCGGAGAGGCACAGGACAGGCATTTTCCACGTCTCTCAGCCACACTGTGGCCTGCAGATAGACCACAGTGTGCATCTGAACTGAGACACCAGCCCCAGAACAGGGGTGTGATAGGGAAGCAGATTGCATTCCTGCCTATCTAGACGTGGAGCCAGTGCAGCCCCCTCATCCCACCACAGAGACCTCTGTGCATGTCATCAGGAGCTCCCCCAGCCACCCCTATCATGGCTGGTGCCTACGCTTATCATTTGGGGTATTTGTGGGAAAGCCAGGGTTCCAGCTCTGCCCAGCTGCAACCTCTCTTCCACCCTCCCAACCTACTCTTAGCAGGAAGCTCAGGGAACCTGGCATTCTGCTGTCCAGTCCATCAGCTGAAACAATAGAGAGCACCTCAGTGAGCAAAGGTCAGATATACACCCATGCGCTTATGCCACAGCCAGTAGTTAGTGAGAATCTCTCAGGCATCAAAATAGTGAGTAAATACTAACACTTCAAATAGATCCTTTAAGAGAGCATGCTGAAATTCACCAGAGACATGACAGGAATCACAGACAGCAGAGGAGAGTAAAGCCTGCACAGCTGGGACCCCCATGGAGCGAAAAGAGGTTCCCTAACACAGAAGTGCCCCCTACTGGCCTGCAGGTTGAACTGCACAGCCCAATAAAAAACAGAAGTGCACAGGGCTGCAGGAGAAAGGCCATAACCCCTACAGTGACACCCTCAAGGCGGGGGGAGGGAGAGATAACAGAGAAAATATCCCACATAAATGAAAATAAATTTGAACATAAGAAGTGTCAGCTCCTCCAGATGAGAAGGAACCAGTGTAAAAATTCTAGCACCATGAAAGATCTGAATGTTGTGACAACATCAAATAATCACACTAGCTCTCCAGCAATGAGCCCCAACGAAAATGAAAACCCCAAAATTACAGATAAAGAATTAAATGTATGGATTGCAGGGAAGGTAAATGAGAGCCAAGAGAAAGTTGAAAACTAACACAAAGAAACCATGAAAGCAAACCAGGAAATGAAGGAAGAGATAAATACCTTTAAAACAACAACAGAACTTCCGGAAATAAAAAATACACTTAAAGAATTTCAAAATACAGTTAAAAGCTTTAATGATCCAAGCAGAAGAAAAAATTTTCAGATCTTGAAGACTGGTATTTTGTTAACATAGTCAGACAAAAATATAGAAAAATGAATTTTAAAAAAGAACAAATAAAGATGGGATTTTCACCAAACCTATAACTTATAGACATTCCTGAGAGAAAATAAGAAAAAGTAAGCAAAGCTGGAAAACATATCTGGGGGAATAATTCAGGAAAATTTCCTTAATCTTTCTAGAGAGGTAGACTTCAAAATATAAGAAACTCAGAATACACCTATAATTTACAGAATGGGAGAACATATTTGCAAATTATGCTTCCAACAAAGGACTAATATCCAGAATATATAAGGAAGTCAAACAACTAAACAGAAAAAACCAAAGAACTTCATTTAAAACTGAGCAAAGGATATGAACACTCATTTCTCAAAAGAAGAAATATAAGCAGCAAACACATGAAAAAATTCTCAACATCACCAATTATTAGAAAAAGGCAAATTAACACCACACTGAAATATCATCTTATACCAGTCAGAATGGCTATTTTTAAAAAGTTAAAAAACAACAGATGTTGGTGTGGATGTAGAGAAAATGAAACATTCATACACTGATGGTGGGAATGTAAATTAATTAAATATCTATGGAAATCAGCTTGGAGATTTTTCAAAGAACTAAAAATAGAACTACCATGTTACTCAGTAATCCAACTACTGGGTATCTATCCAAAGGAAAAGAAATCATTATATAAAAAAAGACATCTGTACTCGTACATTTAACTCAGCACTATTCACAATAGCAAAGTCATGGAACCAATCTAAGTATCCATCATTGGTTGGCCAGATAAATAAAATGTGGTATATATACACTATGGAATATTATGCAGCCATAAAAAAGGAAATTATGTTCTTTGCAGCAACATGGTGGAGGTGGAGGCCATTATCCGAAGCGAACTAACTCAGAAACAAAAAATCAAATACTGCATGTTCTCGCTTATAAGTGGGAACTAAACAATATGTATACATCGACATAAGGATGGAAATAAGGTGGGAAATAAGAGGGTGGGAGGGGGATGAGGGCTGAAAGACTGCCTATTGGAAACAATTTTCAGTATCTGGGTGATGGCTACGCTAGAAGCCCAATCTCCACCAGTACACAATATATCCTTGAAACAAACATGCACATGTGCCCCCTGAATCTAAAATTTAAAAAGGCAGCCCACCTGCAACTCAGTCCACCTGCATGACCAAGGGTTGTGCCCCCTTTTCTCCCTTCACTAGGGTGAGGAGCTTCTGACTGATGCCAAACCAGGGAGATCAACTCAGCTGGAGTGGAGGAGGCAGGGCTGGAGTGGCCCACAGAAGGGTGGCTGGCAAAGTTCCCTCTGCCTGCTCCTACTGTCACTGTTCAACACAGAAAGCCTGGGAGGGTCCCTGTGGGTGGCCAGGGTGGAGGGGTTCTCCCCTCTGATGTCCTCTAAGCTCGCCTTCTTAATCTATGACTTCCTCCCTTGAGGGATGAGGAAGGATGACAGGCCCTAACTTGAGTTCACATTGGCTAAACTCCAAAGGCTCTCAATCCCCATTAACAAACGTATGTTGATTTCACCAGGATCACATACAACTCTTCATGAAATTGCACATGCATTTCTCCTTATGGGGTCTCAGAGCCACAGAGATGGAAAGCAGCATCTTCATGTTTACACATGGGTTAACACAGGAGCACAGGCCAGCTGCAGAGAAGTGGGCTTGAACCTCCCAGGGCAGAAACATAGTTGTCATTAATTAGAGACAACCCAATCTGAGGAAGAGATAAAATCTCTCTACACTTTTAGGTTATTTTAATTCCCTTTCTTTTTCCTATCTATCTATATATCTTTTTATTTATTTATTTATTTATTTATTTATTTATTTTGAGATAGGTTCTCACTCTGTTGCCCAGTCTGGCGTGCAGAGGCTAGCTGCAACCTCCACCTACTGGGCTCAATCAATCCTCCCACCTCAGCCTCCTGAGTAGCTGGGACCAGAGGCAGGCCATCATGCCTGGCTAATTTTCATATTTTGGGTAGAGACGGGGTTTTGCTATGTTGTCCAAGTTGGTCTTGAACTCCTGGACTCAAGCAATCTGCCTGCCTTGGCCTCCCAAAGGCCTCCCATAAGCCACCATGCCTGACTTCCCTTTCTGCCTAATGAAAGCTTCCCCACACTTTTCCTGGTGTCATAAGTATAATGAACATTTTGTCCCTGAGTCTTGAGAGACACACAGTTCCAGGCACCTTGTAAAGTTGCGTTGGCTGCTCTGGCACATTTGTATGTGGCTGTAGGCATTAGGCAGCTGGGCCAGGCAGTCTAGAGCCAGAGGGTGCACTGTCTGGCTGTCCATCCATTTCCACACCTGCACAGACATGTGACCCACCTCTCTGGACCCTGCCTATGGGGCCGCACACAGGCCATGCACCTGCTGGCCAGGCACCAGGCACCCTTGTCATAAATATCTCCACCTGTCCAGCAATGAGGTGGGAACACTCAATTCTTTGTGAAAATCTCTGTATTTACAATACCAGAAGTGTGTGTATTTTGTGAAACAAAAACTCTCTAAAAAACAAAGCAAGACAAAAAATTGATGAAGCCAGGCCTCCCATTGCAGGAAGAATGTTGAGAAGTGAAGTGTGGAGGGGTGGCATGTTCTCTTTAGCACCGACGGTTGCTCAGGGAATGAGCCTCAAAATGGAGAAAAACCAAATGACTGAGTCCCATCCACCCCCAGGGCTCCAGTGCTCTCCTCCATTTCCTCAACATTGACCTGGCTTATTTCTCTGGACGCCTTGTGCAGGGTGTTGTGTGCCTGGAAAAGCCTCTCATAACCAGCTTGGGAGATAGATGTGCAGACACAGAGGGGAGAGGCTGGGGAAGGGTGGGAGAGGCCTGTTTCCCAACATCGCAGCTGGCAGGACCCAGATGCGGAGTCCAGGCTGCGGCAGGACAGGCGGGTGCAAGACGGAGAAGGGGGACAAGAAAGAGTAACTCCTCGGGATGACGGCATTGAAGGTCAAAGTCATGCAACCTAGAGAAAGCCCCCAAAGCCCTACACATATAGGCAAGCCATTGTGTTGAAGCCTAAAAAAAAAAACGAAACATGGAGCGGGGACATTGCCATCCAAATTAGTCAATACTGTTTAAAACCTAAACCTGTTATATTTTTAACTTGTACTTACCTTTCAAAAATTCTACGGAAAAGCATAAATATTGCATTCTAGTAGATGGGGGAGGTGGAGAGCAGTTGATTTACTCTCAAGATAGATTAGGTATGACTGGACAACCTCAGCCACAGCCCCCCAGGTGGTCCCCTCCTCATGCGCTCAGGGGCCCCATGTGAGGTGCCCTTGGCCTGTGTGGGTGGCACCTCGGGCTGTCCTGTAGCCACTGTCTGCACACACTGGATGGTAGGATCCTGCCTGTTGACACTCATCTCTGTTGGGGCTGTGCTTCCTTCTTTGGGGACAAATGACTAAGAGGGGAAGTTTATCTTCTGTAATGAAATGAGGAAAATTTGCTGAAGTTTGCTTGGGGGGACAGTGTGGGGTATCTACAAAGAGAATTCACATTTTCCGAAAGACACTCATTGCCTTCTGGGATACATTCAGAATTTGAGTAGCCAAAAAAATGGAAAGCAGGGACAAGGGTGTGAGGAGTATAGGAAATAAAATACACAAGTATTTTTCATTGCAAAAAAAGCTAGGGAGGGTGATACAGCATTGAATTCATATTTCAAAGACTTTGGGGGCTTTTTTTTAGAGAGGAATTTGGCCTAAGACCTCATGGTCCCACCCTTTGGTGACAGATGAAGTTGGGGCTGTTAGGAGTGGAATGAATCCATGTCTGGCATCCCCATGGCACCAGGGTGCTGTGTTCTGGCAGGTGCAATATAAATCCAGCTCATTCAGAGGACAAGCTCCCTGGTGACAAACTCTTTGGTTGATCAGCAAGAATTCAACTCCTTTGACCATAAACAAAGGCTCAATGTATATGTCCAGTTCAGCAACAAAGGCCTGTTCATCTTGGGTGTTTGGTGCCTTAGAAGTTGGGCTCTAGGGGAGGCAGTGACAAAGGGGGTTCTGCAGTGTGCCTGAGAAGAGCAGGGAGCAGTGGCAACATCCTGGAGGGAGGCCTCGGGCACCTAGTGGGGAGGAGGTGGCACCTGGGGGAGCAGGTGATGGGGAGGCACTCTCAGCTGGGTTGAAGGCAGCTCTTTGCATTGCAGAATCTGTGCTTGGGAAAAGTACTCCCGGCTGTGTCTCAGGCACATCCTTGGGCTGCAGGGAGCCTGTGGTAGGGAAAGGCACTCCTGGCTGTGTGGAAGGCAGATCCTTGGGCAGCAGGGACCCTGTGTGCATTGGGACTGTGCAAGGGCTAAGCTGAGGTACCTTCTCCATAGGGAAGAGAAGAGAGAGAAGGTCACTGTGATGGCATTGGAATTGGGCTCAGAAGGCTGCGGTTGCCTGGCTCAAGGGGTGGGGCCAGGACCCATCGAGACCCACAGTGTGGGCCTTGCTGTGCTCCTCCTCTCTCCCCTGGGTGCTGCCTCCAGCCTAGACTCCTCCTTCCAGACCTAGCTCAAGTGTCGAATGTCTCCCCTGCCTCTCCAGGCAGCCCTGGGTCTCTGACTCTGGACTCCCTCACTTGGGGTTGAACTTGTCTTCTTCTCCCTGGTAGCCAGGAGGAGCCCCCAGTTACCTCTGTAACCCAGCATGGCCTGGAAGGCTCTAGTGAGCATATGGAAGGGATGAGCACTCACCACAGCCCTCAAGGCTGGCTCCAGGGACCCTTGGGCGGGTGACGAGCTGAGAAGGCAGCAGCTCCACGGTTCCCTTGGTTTGGGAAGAGGATGATCCAGACCCGTAGGAACAGCTAATTCTGTCTTGCAAAAGCAGTTGCTTTGCTTTCATCCTGGGCACACACCGGTGTAGCCAATCCACCACCCACACAGCTGCAAGCCACACAGAGATTGTCTTTGTGTTCGTCTGCGATGCCTTCCTCTCTGCTGGCTTCTTATGCTCATGATCGGGGCAACCCTGTCTGGAGACTTGATAGGGCCTTTCAAAAAGGCCCTCAGGGTCACTCTAAGTAAGGTCAAAGAGACTGGGGTTCATTCCTGCCTCTAACCACAGGCAAGTCAATCAGCCTCTTGGGAATGGCTTTTCCATCTCTCAAATGGGTCCAGCAATACTAAACACGGATTGGTCACCCCAAGTCCATTCTTCCTGTCTTCCTTACTAACGAAGCCTGCTTTTGTTAAGAGAGGAAACGTACTCAGCTGTAAAATGACCTTTTCCTGGTCTCCCTTGCTGAGCAGCATAGCCATGTGAATGCACTCTGGCAATGGAGTATAAATAGGAATTGTTGGGCATTGCTTTAAAGAAGGCTGCTTTCCCTTTTTCCTTCTTCTTTCTGCCTGGAGTATGAGTGTGATGGCTGGAGCTCCAGAAGCCATCTTGTAAGCATGAAAGCAAGTTGAAAGCCTGGCCTTTTCAAAGAGAATTGTTAGGTTTCCCCAAGGCTGTTCTCTTGGGGGCTTAGCAGGCAGCGAATTAGATAACAATCTTTCTCAGAGCCCCTCAGCTTTCCATTTCTTAATTTGCCTAAGCTGTCCTCTGTTTCTGGAATGCTCTTCCTAACCTTGTCTGCCCAGTGAACTGCTGCTCACCTTTTCAGACTCAGCTCCAGAGTGGCCTCCTCCAGGAAGCCCCTTATCCTTGCTCCCAGCTAAAGTACCACCCTTCTTGGTCTTTCTGGTCATCTCCTGGCTGAAGGCTGAGCCTGTTGTGGGAAATGCCATGTCCTTGTAGATGTGCCTGTCCCTGCTCTGCAAGCATGAGGACTGTAACTGCATCCCCTTCAGCACCTGTGGCTGGAGGGCTGCAGCAGGCTCCCAGAATGCCAGTGGGCATATGCCACTTTGCCTCGACCTCCCCATCTGTGATGTGGTGCTGATGATGCCCACAGACCACAGCAGAGGCAGCAGCCCATCAATGCTTGTGGTTTCCCTGGCATGGGGCCTGTTCAGCTCCTTCTGTACTCAAGGCCACCCTTCCCAGGCTGCCTGGAATCCCAGGGGTCTCCTGCCAGGCCAGTCTCAGCCTGATGGTCCCAAGGAAACCCTCTATTCCTCACAGGTGTTCCCCAGAGCATGCAGACTTTGAGCTTGCTTGAACCTGTCATTCATGCAGAAAGCCTCCCCTTGGGCATGTGAGTGGCAAATGCCTCAAATGCTGGATTCCCTTACGGAGACGGTCTCTCTCTTACTGAGAGGGACCCTTCTCCCCTCTAGGCCCCGTCCTGGGATCTGCCCTCTCCTGCCCCTGCCCTGCTAGTCCCCATCCAGGATGATGCTGACTTTCCCCTTGTGCCCCCTCAGACCCTGTCCTGAGCCACCTGTGTCTACAGCTGCCTGTCCACCCTCCTCCATGCCCGATTGGGCTCCTGCCACCTTTTCAGGGATTCAGGCTTCCTTCTTAGTACAACCCAAGTGTGTCAGCCTGCTCTCCCTGGCTCCACCCATTTAGTCCTCCCAGGACCATCTTCCCTCCCAGCTCACACCCTCCAGAGAAGCTCTACACTGCTGGCAGAATCCAGTCCCTCCACCCAGCCTGCATGTCAGACCGTCCCTGCCAGGCTCCTGGGGTCTCCACACCCTGCCTTCAGGCAATCAGAGCCCAGCTACAAGAAGAACTGGCCATGCCCTGGCACCTTCCCTCGCTCCTCTGCCTTGAGGGCTCTGTTCCTCTGCCTTAAGGGCTCTGCTCCTCACCTCTCCATGTTGCACATCCAAGCCCAGCCATCATGTGCCTCAGCCTCAGCTCTGATGCTGCCTCTGACAAGCTGACTTCCCTGAAGGGGAGCACCCTGGTCCCAAAGCCCCAGAGCACTAGAGCTGAGCCTCTTTCTCTTTCTCCAGACAGCCTCTCTCTCTCCTTGCAGCACAGAGTTGGGGACTCCTTCCCATCATGAAACCCTCAACTTCCCTGCCCCAGGTCACACACCAAGTTCAAGGCTGAGCACAGAGCAAAAGCAACCAGAGAGTCCATGGGCTTGGCCCAGACCTCAGCCTGGAGGCACAGGGACAATTTCTCTCCACTTCTCCTTTGAGCCCAAGAAGTCTCAGCACCATATTCCATCTGCCACTGCCCCCTGACCACAGGCCAACTGGACCCAGAACACAGGACACTTCATCAGGATGTCTGGGCCACAGTCCCGGCCTCACAGAGGTGGCTCGTCAGGGGGGCTCAAAGCCCCACCTCACTCTTCCTGGCACCATCCAGACTATAAGGCCCAGACAAGATCTCACCTGCTGTTCAGTGCTCTCTTCTGTCCACCCAGGCCTCAGCTTCAACCCTCTTGCCTCTGAGCAATCCCTGTGTGCAGTGAGGCCATTGTGTTCAAACCTTCTTCTGGCATGGTTAGGAGGCATAGTGGGAACCAGAAAGGATAATGCCACTCCCAGAAGGAGATGGGCCCTCCTCCTGGCACTGCCAACCCAGCCTGGGGGATCTGTGCTGACATTGTGAGGGGCTGCCTGTGCTAGTTTTTGTGGGAGGGGAGGTGCCAGCTATGGGGTTCCAGGGTGCCGGGGGCCTGCTGACTGCCGACCACTCATTTCTCCCTGCCGTATATCAATTTTGACACCAGTGCTGAAGTCCTCCCAGGGACATTCCAACTTCAGACCCTGTACTGTCTTCCTTCCTTCTCCTAATGTTTGTCTTTCTTTATTTCCAGAGCTCCTCTTTCTTTTTCTAAGCTAGGCGCTTTACACACCTATTCTTCTTTACTTCTCAGAGTAAAGCCCTGCAGAAACACTGAGACACAAATAATGGGTGATCAATGCTTTTCCTGGGTTGGGGGCTAAGATGGTCATCTTTCCAGGTGTGAGGAGAGAGGGTGAGGCAAGGTGGGGACACAGCGGGCCACCTCCTCTCCACAACAGGATGAGAGATAAAGGGTAGGTTCCCCTCTCAGTATTCTCCCTGTCAAGCACTAAGAGGAGTCTGGCATGCATTTGCACAGGAGGTTCTTAGATGTGCTGGTGCTCTCCTAGTGTCCCGGACAGCTGATGAGCCAGAACTGTCCACATCCATCCTGATGCTGGAGTGGGCAACTGCCACCAGGTGCAGACCACTGGCAGACAGGCCTGGATTGGATCTGGCTATACAGGCTCACCTTGCCATTCCCTTAGCCTTGCCATAGCATAGCCTAGCATTCTTTATGTCTCCATTTCATTTTATCCTTATTTTTGAGACAAGAAAGATGAAAGTTGGAGAAGCTAAACCACTCTGAGCCATGTTCTTCTATGATTACCCTTGGAAATGCCAAAGGGGTTTCTCACTTCTCCACAGTTAGGCCCAAAACAGATTCCTGTTCATACATGTCATATCTGAAATGTTTCCTTGTGAAGCAGAAAAACAACCAAAAGTATATTCAAAGGACCGTGTCTCACTAGAAATACTCATTCATTCATTCAACAGAGAGCCCTGTATCTGTGAACCCAGATGCAAGACAACAACTACTTGTGGAAAACATACTCCTGTCAACACTGACCTGCAGGGCTGGTGCGTGCCTGTCTTCCACACCCTGCATCCGTGTGACACTGACTATCATCATGAACAGATTGACAAGGACAATATTTGATTTCCTACCTTTGGTTCACCAACTCCAAGCTGCCCCAAAATATTCACACTGGCTGTATCTTCTGCTTGAAAGGAATCCCCCAGATTTTTACTCCACTGACTTCTTATCATTTTTTCTCAGTTTAACTGTCACTCCCTCCCTCTTCCTCTCCTTTTCTCCCAAAAGAGTCTTCTCTGGCCAACCAGGCATTTGTTGACACATTAATGACTTTCAATCCTTTGGACAGTATCTGTCACCATATGACTCTCCCTAAGAAAATGTAAACCTGCCATGAAAGTGAGACATTCTTCATCTGGTTCATTTTGTCATCCCAGCACCTGATGTGGAATACATTTTTGCTGAATTAATGAATATGAATAAATCTGTGAATATTTTCCTTTGAACATTTTTCCTTGTGACAAAGCTGGTCTTGAAATTAAAGAAAAAATAAAAAAATTTCCACTGCTTTTATGCTTATCTAGACCTCTAGAATAAGGATTCATGGATAATGAAATCAAACTTGTATTTATTCTAGTTATTATTAGTAATTATATATGTGTATATATATAATCTCATATATATTTAAATTATTTTGTATATATTTTAGTGTATTATGAAATCAGGCTTTTATTTGAGCTTTTCCCCAATAGCTTGCCAAAGTTTACAAAAACATTTGTGTTAAATCAAACTAAATTTGACCTAAGAAAACCTCTGTAATTGCATACTTGAGTTCTCACACATGAACTGCAACCTAACAAACTGAAACCCTAAATGAGAAGTCTGCTTCTGTAACAATAGCTGAGTCTTAGCCAATCACAGCAGCCATGCTTCAACCACTCATAAGGAGCCAATTGTTCAAACCATGTTCAAATAAGGCAAATGCCAAGGTGTAACTAATCCAGATGTTTGTACTTCACTTTCATTTTCTGTATGTCATTTCTTTTTCTGACCATACATCATATCTGACCATATGGTAGCCACAGACCCTCTCTGAATCTGTTCTGATTCTGATGTTGTCTGAGACACATTTTTTTCTTGATCAGTTAAACTCTGTTACATTTAATTTGTTTAAATTTTTCTTTTGACAGATTTGGTGTCAGAAGATAAGTAAAACTGCAAAAGGCTGGAGAGGCTTCAAGATGGCTGACTAGAGGCATCAAGAACTCACCTCCTCCACAAAGAAAAATAAAAATAGCAAGTAATCACACTTCAAGAAGAACATCTAAGAGTGAACGCTGGAATTCAATAGATAAATGATGGGAAATAACTGAGGCATGAAAATGGAAGAAAGTGAGGCAGCAAGCTTGGCTGGGATTGGCTGGGAACCCAGAGTGGCTCCCTAGTGCAAGAAAAAGGTTAGTGAGAGATCCACAGCGGTTGACATTCTGACCATGGATTTTATAACCATAGCCAAAGGAAAACCCCTCAACCCTCATAGGCCCTGAGACTAGCGTAGGAAGGTGCCTAGAGACCATGTAACAGCACTGCTTCAGAGGGAGCTCATGTGGGTCCCAGTCCCCAGGTCTTAGGCAGCTGTAGCTCTCTGCCATTTGGAGAGCCCAGCCACCACCAGACTGCATCCTGCACTGGAAACCAACAGCCCCTGCATTTCCACATCTCTAGAGTCCCACTGACATCTCCCTGTGTTCACCTGTAGGGCTTCAGTAGTGCAATGCCAGTTGGACCCAGCAGAGCCTCCCTAGCACTCTAGCACACACAGTGTCCTGCATCTTGGGGAATGGACAGTGCAGCACAATAGGGAGGCTGCCTCCCCAGTGTGCTGAGAGGCTGCCCTCAGAGAAAAAGGAGCCAAAGTGTGGGTTTCTTAGAGCTTGAAAACTGTCTACCTGGGGCAGTTATCATGGACAGCAACCCTGTTCCCACCCCAGCAGTAAGGCTGCCATGCACATGCCTTGAGGGCAGGGTCTGCTACTGCTCACTGCATCTGTTGTTGCTGTCACTGGGGCCAAAGCACATGCCACTTGACAGTGACTTTGCCCTTTTTGGGCAGCAGAGCCACGCATACTTGCATCCCCTTTACTACTGGTTTTCCCTGTTGCTGCTGCTACCACTGCTGCTGCCACCCCTCAACAGCTAGGGGCTGAATCTCACACTTCCCAGATCCTGAGAACTCCTGCCTATGGCTGGAGCCACTGTAAGCAACCTGCCTATGGCCCAGCCATTTGCACATACCCTGAGGACAGTTTCCCCTGGCCCACTGCTGCCACTGCCACAGCCACTTGAGCACTCTGCCAGTGGGCCTGGGGACCCCTCCATTTTGCCAACCACAGCCATCACCTGAGTGTTCCATTGAGGGGCCTGAGGATACACCCACCCACCTTGACACTGCTTACCTCAGTGCCCAAGCACACTGCCTGGGGGCCTAGGGATTACCCCCACTCTGTTCACCATTGCTGGCCTCTATGTACTCCTCCTAGGGGCCTGATGATGGACCCACTCAGTCTACCACTACCACCACAGCCAGCATCCATTTGCATGTACCACTTTGGGTTTAGGGAACTGGCCTACCCAGCCATCACTAACACTGATGTGTGTTGCTTCAGAGCCTTAGAGTTGCTGTGTTGTTGCTATTGTCAACACTCACTCCACACATGCTGCCAAGGGAAGGACCTGCCCGCTGGCCAGGCCTACCACTATGACTGCCAGCACCCAAGCCAGCCACATGGAGGCCTAAGAACTGGCCCATTTGTACCTGCTGACACTAGTGCCTGTGTACACTGCCTGGGGTCACAAGGAGAGGTACATTTACCCTGCCACTGCCACCATCAGGGTTTGAGGGCACACCCACCTAACATCCCCAACCGCAGCAAAACATCATCATAGCCTCCACTAACAACCACAGCCTAAGCCACTAGGGAAATCACACACCACTGATACTGCTTAGAGGTGAAGAAATCATAGAGACACTACATTACTTCATACACTTAGAAGCAAAGCTAAAGTGTCCTACCCAATAAAAACCATGGAAATATCTTCAGGAAAAAGCCAATCCAAAATGTATGAAGAAGCAACTGTTACAAAAGATGTGCAGATATCAATGTAAAACGCAAGAAACATGACTAAACAAGGAAATATGACACT
Organism: Homo sapiens; assembly: GCF_000001405.40. Classification (NCBI taxonomy): domain Eukaryota; kingdom Metazoa; phylum Chordata; class Mammalia; order Primates; family Hominidae; genus Homo; species Homo sapiens. The sequence goes on from NC_000010.11 coordinate 46,241,686, forward strand.
TCCAAAAGATTACAATAATTCTTTAGCAACAGATTTCACTGGAAAAAAAATTTATGAAACGTGGGAAAAATAATTTTTAAAAATGATATTATAAAAGCTCAGTAAGACACAAGAGGACATAAACAATACAAAAAGTTAGAAATCAACTGAGGATATGAATGAAAAATTCACCAGAGAAACAGATATAATAGAAAAAAGAATCAAACAGAAATTCTGAAAGTGAAGAATTCAATGAACAAAATAAAAATTTATTCAAGAGCTTCCACAGTAGAGTGGAGCAAAAAGAAGAAAGCATCTCAGAACTTGAAGGCAGACCTTTTGAAATAACCCAGCCAGAGCCCCCGTCCCCATGCCCTACTCACACAAAAGAATAAAAAACAATGAACTAAACTTACAGAACATACGGGACACTATAAAGCAACCAAAAACAGAAATTTGGGGTGTTCCAAATGGTGAAGAGACCCAAGGTATAGAAAACCTGATTAACAAAATAATAGCTGAAAACTTCCCAAATTTAGTAAGAGATTTAACATTCAGATACAAGAAGTTTAGAAATTCACAGGTAATTAAAAACTCAAAAGGTCTTTTCCACAGCACATTATAGTAAACTGTCAAAAGTCAAACAGAGAATTCTAAAAAGAGTAAGAGAAAGGAAAAAGCTCTGGTCACATATATAGGAAGCCCGATCAGAAGAACAGTTAATTTCTCAGCAGTAACCTTATAGGCCAGGAGAGAATGGGATAATACAGGAGAGAATGGGATAATATATTTCCCCCCTAAAAAGGGGGCCAAAAAACCTGTCAGCCAATAATACTATACCTAACAACATTATTCTTTATCTTTAAAAAATGTGAAATAAAGTTTTTTCCACACAAGCAAAACCTGAGGGAATTCATCATCACTAGACCAGCCTTAGAAGAAATACTTAAGGGAGTCCTATGCCTGGAAGTGAATGAATGATAGCTACCGTCATGAAAACATACAAAAGTCTAAAACTTGCTGGTAGAGTAAACACAGAAATAAGAAAAAGAACTCAAATGTTACCACTATAGAAAACCAGCACACCATAATGATAAACTACAAGAGAGAAAGAAAGGAAAAATATACAAAACAATCAGAAAACATTTAACAAAATGACAGAAATAAGTCTTCATATATCAATAATAACCTTGAATGTAAATGGATTAAATTTTCCACTTAAAAGATAAAATCTGGCTGAATGAATTTTGAAAATGCCCCAACTATATGCTGCATACAAGAAACTCACTTCACATGTAAACACATGTAGACTAAAAGGAAAGGAATGAAAAAAGATATATCACACAAATAGAAACCAAAAGTGAGTAGAAGTAGCTATACTTATATCAGATAAAACAGACTTTAAGACAAAAGCATTAAAAAGTGACAAAGAAGGTCATATTATATAATGATAAAGGGATCAATTCAGCAAGAAAATACAACAATTCTAAAGATATATGCACCCAACACCAGAGCCCCCATATACATAATGCAAATATTATTAAATCTAATAGACTTCAATACAGTAATTTTTGGGGACTTCAACAGTTCACTCTCACCATTAGACATGTCATCCACAAAGAAAACCAACAAGGAAAAAATAAATTTAACCTACAGCTTAGAACAAATGGACCTAGGAGACATCTACAGAATATTTCATCCAACAACTGCAGAATACATGTTCTTCTAATCAGCAAATAGAACATTATCCAAGATAGACCATATGTCAGGTCACAAAACAAATCTCAATAAATTTTTAAAATATCAAAATCATACCAAATATCTTCTCAGACCATCATGGAATAAAGCTAGAAATGAATAACAAGAGGAACTTGGAAAATGTACAAGTACATGGAAATTAATCAATGTGATTCTGAACAACCATTGTGTCAATGAGGAAATTAAAAAGGAAATCAAAACATTTGTTGAAGCAAATGAAAATGGAAACACAACATACCCAAACATATGGTATACAGCAAAAGCAATGCCTAAGAGAGAAGTTTGTAGCAATAAAGACCTACGTCAAAGAAGTAGAAACAATTCAAGTAAGCAATCTAATGACGTACTTCAAGGAATTAGAAAAGCAAGAGCAAACCAAACCCAAAATTAGTGTAAGGAAAGAAACAATGAAGATCAGATCAGAGTAAAACTAAATGAAATTGGCTAAAAATACAAAGAATCAATGAAAAGCAAAGTTGGTTTTTTGGAAAGATAAAATGGATAAACTGCTAGATAGGCTACCCAAGAAAAAAAGAGATAAGACCCAAATAAACAAAATCAGAAATGAAAAAGGAGACATAGTAACTAATACTACAGAAATACAAAACACATCAAAAACTATTGTGAACAACTATTTACCAAAAAACTGGAAAACCTATAGAAAATGGATAAATTCCTGGACACTTACAACCTACCAAGATTGAAACTAGAAGAATCAGAAAACGCGAACAGACCAATAATGAGTACAAGATTGAATCAGTAATGTGAAAATTTACCAACAAAGAAAAGCCCAGGACTGTATGGCTTCACTGCCAAATTCTACCAAACTTATGAAGAAGAACTAATGTAAATTCTCCTCAAGTTATTCTAAAAAATAGAAGAGGCCTCATTCTATGAGGCCAGCATTATTCTGATACCAAAACCAAACAAGAACGCACCAAAAAAGGAAAACTACAAGCCAATAACCCTGATGAACATAGACACAAAATATCCTCAACAAAATACTAGCAAATTGAGTGAAACAGCACATCAAAAAGATAATCCCGCCATGATCAAGTGGGATTTACTCTGGGGATGCAAGGATGATTTAACGTACACAAATCAATAAACATGATATATCACATCAACAGAATGAAGGACAAAAACCATATGATCATCTCAACAGATGCAGAAAAAGTATTTGATAAAATAAAAAAAAGCTTTTTGACAAAAACTCTTGACAAATTAGGCATAATAACGGCCTCATATGACAAACTCACAGCTAACATCATATGAAATGGGGAAAAGCTGAAAGCTTTCCCTCTAAGAAGTGGAACAAGGCAGGGATGCCCACTTTCACCACTCCTATTCAAAATAGTACTGGATATCTTAGCCAGAGCAATCAGGCAAGTGAAAGAAATAAAAGGCATCCAAACTGGAAGAGAGGAAGTCAAATTTTCCCTCTTGGCAAATGACATGATTTTATACTTAGAAAAACCTAAAGACTCCACCAAAAAACTTCTAGATCTGACAAACAAATTCAGTAAAGTTGCAGGATACAAAATCAACATAGAGTCTGGGTGCAGTGGCTCACATATGTAATCCCAGCATTTTGGTGGAAGGATTGCTTGAGCCCAGGATTTCGAGACCAGCCTGGACAACATAGTGAGATGCTCATCTTTATTATAATTTAAAAAAATTGTTAAATCAACATACAAAATTCAGTAGCACCAATAATAACAGCTGGAAAAGAAATCAAAAAGGCAATCCCATTAACAATAACTACAAAAGAAATACCTAGAAATAAATTTATCCAAGGAGGTGAAAGATCTCAACAAGGAAAACTATAAAACACTGATGAAAGAAATTGAAGAGGACACAAACAAATGGAAAGACATCCCATTTACACAAACTGGTTGAGTTAATATTGCTAAAGTGATTGTACTACCCAAAGCCATCTGCAGATTCGATGCAATTACTAAAAAAAATACCAATGCCATTTTTCACACACCAACTCCACACAGACAGTGACCTCAGCCGGGAATGGATTTTTTTCTGATCAGCATCGTCATTTCTCACTCAGTGTTCAGATGACGTTGAATGAAATGACGTTATTCAAGGACCTGCTGTGTGACATTTTGCACTGTAGAGAGATGCACTTGCAGGTGTTTCCATAGATCACTCTGACAGCAGGATATGGGGCGGAACCTGACTCAGACATGAGCCTCCCCTCAGGTCAGTTCATAGCCCGGCTCTACCACTCAACAACCCTGCCACGTTGAGCCTATCACTAAACATCAGAGCCTCGGTGTCCACAGCTGCGAAATGTAGACAGTAGTGACTACCTTGCAGGACAGAGAGGTGGCCATGCACACAGTAAGGACCTGGAGCCAGGCTGTTGGATGCTGGTCCTATTGCTTCCTGGCTGTGTGACCCTGGGTAGGTTACCTAACTTTCTAGGGCCTCTAGCTTCCTCCCCACAATAGAGTTATGGCATATATTAGTTTGTGGAATGTAGTTGCAACAGTGTCTGGCCCACCTTAAGATCTATATGAATGGCAGCTATGAGCCTTCCTGGGTGTTGTGAGAATGAAATGAGATCCAGTTTCTAAAGGGCCTCCTGCTGTGGTGCGCACACGAATTAAACTCACTGGAAAGGCTGTTATATCATTGTGGGCACTATATTTGGTGACAGAGAGTAAGGTTTCACACTATTAGCCTGACTTTCCTGATGGATCGAGTAATATTGTTTCCCATTAACATAATGAGCATCCACAGGATAAGGTGAAGGAGAATCCTCAGCATGGATGGGAGGTAGAGTCTGGCTCAAGAGCCTCTGAATCTTGCTGCTTCATTTTGTATGAGTGTGTAGTGGGGATGGCCTGGAAGAGGACACTATCAAAAAATTTATTCAGGGAACTGAAGGTGATGGAGCAGGGAGACACACTCAATTTAAAACAAAAAAAAATTGAAATTAAACAAGACTGACTGCTTTTGCCACAAAAATGCTGAGGTTTTTGGTAAACTGAGCCTTGGAGAATTTCCTGCATTATTATGTGCTGAAATGCAAAATGTTTGGATTTGCTGAAACAATAAACTAAACAAGGTTTTAAAAGGCAGCAGCTCCTCTAAATTCGACAGCACACTCCAGTCGAAGAGGCTCAACTTCCCGAGCTTATCACACCCCCAGGTCAGCCCACAATGCCAAGTCAGGAAGAGGAGTTTGGAAATAGCCTCCTCACAAGGCCGGGCATGGATGGAGAAAGAGGCATGCACTGGTTCTGTCAGGATCCCCCAACCTGCTGAGGGCCTGAGTGAATCCCTGTCTGAGGGGAGATCCTGGAAGAGGGGTGTGCAGCACACAGGTGGCCTCTTCACTCTGCAGTGAAGAGACAGACAGCCTATGCCTGTCCTGGCAGGACGTCTCACTGATGCCTCCACAGCCCTGCAGTTGCAGTTGGGCTGCCTGGCTGGGGCCGAGCCACCCATCCAAGCCTGGTCTCCAGCGGGTTCTCACTGAGATGCACTCTCTCTCCTCCAGCCTCAGGGCTCCTTCTCACTCAGGGAACCCCTGGCTCAGGCAGGAAGGTCACATTCCCAGTGTCTCCAAGCAGAAAGCTGCTGAGCTCACCAGCAGCCTGGCTGGTGTCTGGCTCTGTACACTCATGACTAGGCTTACAGTCTGACCCTGTGGCTCTGAAATGGGCTGAAGGTCTCAGGGGGACGCGTCCTCTTTAGTGTATGATTCACGTTAGACCCTGGGGCCAGCACACCAAAGGCTTAAAGAGGAGAACAGGAATTCCTGTCAGCCTGTCTGAATTCTTGGGTACCCGACAGAAATCCTACAAGACACTCAGTCGGGTGTTCACGACTACAGTTGGGAAGGACAAGGTCAAATTAGATTGTGGCAGAGGAGCTAGAAGGGAGCCCAGGTCTACAAGCCACAGCTATGGGCCTCCCTGGGTTAGGGACAGATCTGGGGTTGATTTCTGATAGCCCTGGAGACAGCCACTTGTGGCCTTGGGCAACTTTCTGGGCCACTCTGGGCCTCTATTTTGCCATTAGTAAAATACAGATTGTCTCTCCTGCTGGAGAATTTCAGGGTGAACTTCACACAGTGACAGCGGAAAGGGCCTGGCAGAGCCCTGGGCAGTGTAATTGCCCTCCTTAATACAATTACTCTGCCACCCTCCCCCAAACTTTAGCTGCTTTTGGGAATGGGACAATTTCAGAGACTTGCTCCATCCCCTATCTCACCACACTGGGCAGTAAGGCCATTTCTGGCCCTTTCCCATGCCCACCCTCCCGTCTCTTGCCTTCCCTCTGCTTGAGGTGCCCGTTTTCACACCCCACAGTCGAGCTCTGTCCCTTCTGACTGAGCCTCTCGCTGTTCAGTGCATAAATCTGGACTAGGCTGTGGACTGGAACTGGGCTGTGGCAACGTGGAGAGGCCTTATGGGACCTCAGATGGAAAGTGGGCTTCTGTGCAAGCGTGGCTGGGATTGAGAGCCCTGTGCAGAGGCACAGAGCCAGGAACCCAGCAGCTGGAGCAGCCCTGCCTGCCTCTGACACCAGCAATGCCCTGCCAGGTGTCAGCACGCCTCCCAGGGCCTCCCGGCCCGTTTCTTATCAGCAGCGTCCAGAGGCTTGCAGCCTGCAAGGCCTTCTCAGTGCGCAGCCACCTGGCCACTGAGAGCGTATGCTGACCTGATGCAGGAGGTCTGGCCAGTGCAGGTCCCTCTATAAACCCTGGGGATGAGATCATCTTCCAGGTGTAAAAGGCTGGACTGTGGGAGGCACAGGGAGATGAGCCCCAGGCCCAGCCAGTAGCAGGGCTCTCCAGGGACCCAGGGCCTGAGCAGAGAAGCCCCTTGGTGCTGATCCGAAAGGAGAGCAGTGCAGAGTAAGGGCAGGAGCCAGGCCCAGGGCACATCCAGCCCTATCACTCGCGGGCTTTAGGAGCAAGGACATGCCACTTAATATCTCAGCGCTTCAGGCCCCTTCAGTAAACTGGATAATAATAGCACGTAGGTACAGTTACTGGGAGGATGAAAACAGTGAAAGCATGGCCTAGGCTAGCAACTGGCCCACAGAGGACTCTGTATATTACTGAGGCCTCGTTAGTAATTATTAGTCCTCATTCATAATAAGTTACAAAGAGAAAATCTTAACAATTTCGTCCTCCCCATGGTCCCAAGGCAATGATACAGGAAGGAATCCTTATTCCCTGTTAGAACCAATGTTGCCCCGACAACGCTGTCAGCCATCCCAACCAGCACTTCTGACCCCAGGGGACCAGCAAAGGAAGCACATAGTCCCAAGTCCAGAAACGGGCTGGGAGGCCCATGGGCACCGTTTCTGTGTGTCTTGTGCCGTCCTCTTTGGCAGACGCCTGACATGGCTCTCTGAGCCACAATCCCAGAGGACAGCAGTCAGGGAAAAAGCAGTGGCCTTCTGTCCATCAAGTGTGTCCCTGTGCCCCAGCTCACCTGGCCCCTGTGCTGACACCACATCCATGGCACCTGGCAGCAGCTTGGGTGAGAGAGGTCACGGAAGATATCCAGATTGCCCTGAAAAGCAACGTGGCCATGATGAAGCCATGCAGCCTGGATGCCTTCTCAGGACCCCCCGGCCCGCCATGGCTCTATCCCAAGGAACACACGCAGACAAAGCTCCCATTTCCCCCTGGGGGAGGGGCCTGGCAGGGTTGCATGTTGGAGACATGGTCACTGTGGCCACAGAGAGTTTTGGAATCTGGACAAAAAAGTATTTTGGTTGTAGGAAGAAGAAAAGCCAGGGGCAGATTCATACAAAAAGTCCAAAGGCGGGAGGAGCCTGTGGTTCCAAGCAGAGGTCCTGAAGGGGAGCATGAGTTAGGCCTGGGGGCCCAGCATGGGGGCCTGGGCAGGGAGAAGGAGCCTTGCTGCTGGGGCACACAAGGGGAAGGCAGGTGAGAGGACCATGCCCTGCTCAGGGAGTAGGTACCTGACACCAGGGAAGAGAGAAGAGGAAGGCAGAGAAAAACAGGCCAGAAAGCAGCCCAGGACCCACGGCGGGCAGCCCCTTGGCCACTCGGCGCTGCAGTCAGGCCTTTCTGGGCTCCGGTGGGGATGGGATGAGGGCCGTGTGTTGCAAGGCAGTGCAGGCCGCTGGCAGGTGACTTCCTCCCCCTGGAGACATGTGCCCCACACTCTGAGGAGAGACAGGCCTGGCTTCCCCAGATGCCCACTGAGGCTGCAGAGGAGCCTGACCCTCCCAGGAGGAAGCAAGAGATCCGACCACAGACAGAGCCAGGACCAAGGGGGAGAGGGGCAGAGCCAGGTAGGAACTCTGGGGTCCTTCTCCCTCAACATCAGCCACCCAGGCGCCCTCTCTACCCCTGTGCAGGGCCCCCTGCTGCTGCCTGGCTGGGTTCCCCTCAGCAAGATGGGCCCTGGACCCGCCCATGAAGGAGGTTTCCTCAGGGAGAGTGGCTGTTGTGTTGGCTCCGGGGCTCAAGCTCCTGCACAGGTGTCTTGTGAGGGCGCTTTCAGGCCTCCACCTCCTCCCCTCCCTGCAGCACCTGTCAGCCCATTACAGCAGGCGACAAGCCCACTCAGTGACAGCTTTTCCTCACTGCCTGAAGATCCTGCTGCCCGGGCTGGCAGGTGCCCCTGGCATCCTTGCAGTGTTCGTGGTGGTGAGAACGTGTGTCAGGACTGGTCATTTCTATTTTTTTTTCTTTCTGATCTGCATGACCTTTTGTGACTCAGGTTGCCTGACCCATGCACCTGCAGGCAGGTGGTCTAAAGCCCAGGGCCATTGCCAGAGCTGAGGCACCCCTGTGGAAACCAGGGACTGGTCAGACATCAGAAGCTGCCACTGTACAGAAACATGGATCCTTCTAGAGAGGGAGTTCAATGTGTGGGGACAGACCTGGTGGTGCAGAGGACAGGAGCCCTCATATATGCCTGCCACTGGGGCACGAGGCTGAGGTGGCCATCTGGTTGCTCTTGGCATCACGTGTCTAAAGTCCAGCCCCTGTAGAGCCTGCCTTCCTCCAGGGCCCAGGTCTCCACAGTGGGACCCATCTGCCCCCTCCTCCCACAGTTCCAGGCTGGGGGTCGCAGCCCCTCTCCACTGTGCTTCTCACCTCTATCCTTCTCATCCAGAACACTCCTTGACACCTACAGCAACAAACAATCACAGTGGGGCAGGTGTTTACAGGAGCCGGGGGCAGAGGCAGTGGAGGCAGAGTTTGTGGTGGTGGAGATGATGGTATCTCCTGCTCTAGCTCCTAAAAAACAATGGTCTGCTGACTTTTCAGACAACTCTTAAGAGCAAGGGTATGGTGTCATTGCCTCAGCCAGCACCGGGCACAGTGCCGGCCACTCCCAGATGTGTGTCTGGGGAATGAAAGGACCAGTAAGAAGCCCACACCACAGGGGACCATCCTTCACGTGAGAAAAAAGCAAACTCCTCCTGGTTTGCAGACATGGCTCTTCCCCTAAATGCTAACAACTTCATCCCGGTCGCCTTGGTTCTCCCAAGGCCAGCCTTGTTGGAGGAGGCCTGCCCTGGGAGCTGTGCAATGGTCCCAGCATTTGCAGGTGACTGTCCGCATCCACCTGGTTGCAGATGCAGCCTCCCTGGGCCCACTCTGCAGCACCTCAGAGGCCACCCTTGGCCAGGGAGGCCTGTTCCCACCCCATCCCAGGCTCAGGGCCTCCTACCTCAGCTACTCACCACTGCCTATGGCCCCTGGTGTGGGTCCCCAGCCCAGGTGAGCCACAGCCTGCTCCCCGACTCCTGGCCCCTGTGTTCACTGGGCTGGTGTCCCTCCCAGCTGGGTGCTCGCCAGGCCTCCTTCACCCCTCAGCCCTGCAGTCCCTAGAAGCTAACCCCAGCCAGACCCTTGTCCCTGCCAGGAAACAGGGATCCAGAGAGGCCAAATGGAGCCACACCTGCATCCGGAGCCTGGGGATGGGGCTAAGCTCTGTCCTCTCCACCCTCTGCTCTGTCCTCTGTCTGCAGCTCTCCGGGCTGGCTTCTTCCACCCCAGCTTCCAGCACCCCTGACACTCTCCCCGCCCCAGCCTCCATCTCTGCTTTTGGCTCCTGCTCTGCCTTACAGGGGGCCCTTCCCACTTCTGTGGGGTGGACATTTCAGCCTCAGCCACAACAAGCCAGGACTGTGAGCTGCCTGTGGGGAGCTTCATTTCTGTCCCTCACCAGCCCAGCATGGGGCCCAGGGGAAGCTGGAGCTCAGTAAAGACAGATGAAGGAATGGGGAAGGCACCAGACATGTGCTGAGATCCATGCTGGTTCCTCAAGGCACAGACAGCTGGGGGTTACAGCACTGTCCTCCATTTGGGCCCTCAGGACCTCATGGGGGCCCCTCTCTTCCTCCCTCCACACAAAGGCTGCCTCCTGGCCCTTGTCCATCTGTGGCTTCCAGAAGTCCGGATTGTTGAGGCAGCCCTGGTTTCAGGGGTTCTGGGGTCACTTCTCTCTAGGAGCCAGGGCAGGCTTCAGCCCCATGTCCAGGACATCCCAGGCCAGCTCTCTGTGGCCAGCCCGGGGCAGGAGGCCCTGCAGAAGCCCAGGTTTGCTAGGCTCTGGGAATGTGTGGACAGGTCTGCGACTCCCCGGGCTCATGTGATGAGCTGGGAGCTGAGGGAAACTTCCCACAGGCGGGATCATGGGGCAGTCACATGTTAGAGTCCCTCAGAGGGTGGGCCTGTGCCTGGGCCCCAGAGCTGGGTGGGCAAAAATCACTTGCCTTCTTGCGGCACAGCCACCAAACACAACACAGCAGCAGTGGCGCAAGCAGCAGGGGCGGCACAAAATAGAGCCAGTTGCAAAAAATGCCCTGGCTGAGAAAGACAGCAATATGAACCACGCCTAAGGGACAGAGGAATGCCAGGCCTGGGAGGGCCTGGGTAGCCTCATCCTGGTGCCCACCACTTGGAGGCCCATCTGCCCATTCTCCCTTCTCTACAGGTGGTCCCACCTCAAGGCACAACAGTGGGGCCGGGGGTAAGGGATGCTTCCAAGGGAACTACAAACCCCTCCTCTGGCCCCGCTGAAAGTCTCTGCCCAAGAGCCCTGCCAAGAAAGTCCCGGAAGCTTCCACTGTCTGACAAACCCACCCTCACTGCACACCTCGCCTGCAGCACAGGGCTTCTGTGAGGACCACAAAATCTCCAGGTACAATGATGGGCAAGGGTGGGGGTGCTGCAGCCAAGAGAGGTGCAGGCGCAGGAGCAAGGACAGGAGACCCGGGTCCATCCCCACAGCCTCTATCCCCAATTCCAGGCTCTGCACCGTGGGCACATCCACACAGAGCTCTGAGCCTCAGCCTCCACACCTCTGCAAAGAGAACGGGCCTCCCTCCCTGGGGGCACTTGTGAGGTTTAGAGAGCTCAGAGAAAGACCTGGCTCAGAACCAGGGCCACATGGGGTGTAAGCAACCAGAACTCTTCTCTGGGTGTTCTTCACAGTAAAGGGAACGTGGGCAGCATCCGTGGGAATACAGGCTGCCCAGGCCTTCCCCAAATCCAGAGTTCTGTTTAGAGAGAAAGATGGGGAAGGCAGGGGAGGGCAGGGAGGGGAGGGGAGGGGAAGGGAAGGCAGGAGAGGGGAAGGGAAGGGAGGGGAGGGGAGGGGAGAAGAAAGGAGGGGAGAGGAGGGGAGGGGGCCTGTGCTGAGAACCTGGCTGGCTGAAGGAGAGGAACCACCGAGGCTGAGCATGAAGGCCGCCGGTGAGGCTGGAGCCCCAGGGCTGCTCCTGATGTGCCTGTCACTGTGGAGCCGTTAGTGGGTGGATTCCTGATGGGGAATGTGTGCGTTCAGCCTGCTAATCCATGCGTGGATATGCAGGGACAGGCAGGGGTAGACCCAGAGGGAGGACTGTCAACACTGGTGCGTCCTCACAAATAAGACTGGACACAAGGTGGTGGAGTGGGCTCAGGCCTCCCGCCTGTCCCTCCAGCACATCCTCCTCCCTATGCGGCCCTGGGCCACGCTGCCCAAAGATGTGGAGCTCTGAAAAGCAGGCACTGGGGGCACAGCACTTCCATTCTCAGGGGCCTCTCGGAGCTGAGCCCGGGTCCCAGTGCCCAGAGCCTCCCCTTCAGCAGCAGGAGGGGACGAAATGCAGGACCTGGTGAGGGAGCAGGGAGGGACATCTCAGGGGCCCGAGCAAGGAGGAGAGGCAGAAAGGAGGTTCAAGGCATCTGGGCAATGACAGCAGGTTACAACCAGGCAGGCTCAGGGGCCAGGGTCATGAGCAGGTTCAGGACCAGATCAGCAGCTGGGGCACCAGTTCAGTGGCACACGCACCCTGATGGCAGTGTGTGGAATCCTCCAGAGCTCCTGGGCCTGGGAGGTCCACGTGGAGAAGGTGGACACCCAAGAGGTACTGGACTCTAAGCTCCTGGCAGACAGCCTCCCAGCTTCAACCACCTGTGCCAGCTGGAAGCCGGGTTGGAGCAGCCTCAGGTGCCTGCTGCACACGCTACTTTCTGGGACTGCCTGGAAACTGTCTGCCCTTTCTGTGCTCCCCAGGGTGTATCTCCTTCTAGTGCAGGGACTCTGGACAGTCCTCATACGTGTTTGCAGCCCCATGCTGGTACTCACACATGTGGTGCTGGTGATGCTGACATTGCTCTTGAATGTTTTGCCGTTGTTCAAGCTGACTTCAATGAAGTACTCCCTAAAGCACAGAAAACACAGACGGTGAGAGCCAGCCCAGAGAGATGCAGTTCTTGACCTTGGCCAGTGGACAGCGTGGGTAATGAGAGGTCATTCCCCAAACGCTTGCAGGTAAACTCAGCAATGATGACCAAAGGGTAAGTGGGTCAGGCAGCGAGGGGCCCTGCATGGGGTCTCATGCCATTGTGACCGTGTCCTAAATGACCAGGGACCACTGCTTGGTGTCACCATCCCAGCTGTTCTGTATTTACAGAGTCTGTTGGCTTAACTCTGAGAAGCAACCTGGAGCAAAGGTACCATTCCTCAGGCAATCATCTCCTGCATCCTGTCCTCCTCACAGACCCTAGGATGCTGCAGATCCCTGAATACCTTGGGGGCGGCCACCAACAATAGAAGGTGGAGAGGGTGCCCTTAACCCAGTGGCAGACACGTGCCGCCCCAGCAGTGGGGGTGGCATCCACATTCTGTACAGCTCACAGTGCCCAACCCTGACCCCCTGGCCTCCTAACCTATAGGGCCTCCTGCCAGGTTTTTCTATCTTTGGTCCAGGGCAAGTTTTGGAAGTCTTGTCCATACTGATTGGATGTTCATCTAAAAGGAAATGACATGGGAAGAATGTCGATGCACTTGTCTGACCAGTGTCTCTCCCCATGTCTGTCCTCAGCATGCAGAGCTGACCCTGAGGCCCAGGACCAGCATCTGGGCTCTGCCTTCCTCTTACAGAGACCCCTGTGAGCACCCACCATACCCAGGCCCTGTGCAATGCTCTGCTGTGTAACAGGAACAGGCAGGCAGAGTCCCTGCTCTCAAGGGACTCACATTTAGAGATTGCATGGGACACAGAAAACAAAATTAAAAAACAAACAAAAAAAAAACCAGGACAGAACAGATGACAGAGAGTGCAACGTGCTGTGATGTCCATGACCAGAGGAGGTGAGGGGACCAGAGGGGCAGGGACAGCCACTTCATTATGTGTGACTTCTCCTATCTTGTAGAGCCACAATTTCTGGTCTAGAGGAACATGAAATAATGCAAGGCCAGGGATTTGCTTCAAAATACTCTGTGGTAAGGGTTCCAAGGAAAGCAGATGGGGGCAGGTTGAGAATTATTGAAAGTAGGTTTATGGCACAATTCTTGTTATTTTGTATACTGTTGAAAACTTCCATGAATAATAAATTCTCTCTGAAAAGGTGACATTTCAGCTGAAATTAAAAAGATGAGGAGCCAGCCAGGCAAAGATCATGTGCCAATGCCCTGGGCAGTGACTCGCTGACCTTGTCAAGGAGGGAAAGAGGTGATCCAGAACAGGGGGCAGGGCCTCGTGGGCCCTGGAAAGGGGTTGGGGTTTTATTTCTTGTGCAGTGAATCTGTCCAGGTTGGGCAGATCCAGGATGTATTTTGCACATGGAGGCAACAGGACTTGCTGGTGGGATGGATGTGAGGAAGAAGCTCAGAGGAGTCAAAGATGACATTTGAGTGTTTGACCAGAATAACCGGGTGGACAGTGACACCATTTACCAAAAGGGGGAAGCCTGAGGAGGTAACTGGGTTTGTTTGTTTTAAGTCTGTAATTTTGTTTCCCAATTTTTATTTCTTTATATATTTATTTATTTATTTTTTGTGGGAGTGTGGTGGGCTCAGGAGAGTTCTGTAACATGTAGACATAGAACCTTCTCATCCTGAGCCCACATCCTTTTCATGCCTCCTGAAGTGTTGGGGAGGGCACGGGCCCTGCTGCATCTGCCTGCTGGCCTGGCTCCAGCTCTCTACCCACTGGGCTTGGCTGCCAGGACCCCGGCTTCCCAGGGCCAGCAACTGCCTGGCCAACCTAGGACTGCCAGAACCCGTGGTATCGACGTTTTCGCCAAGGATGATTTCAAAACAATTATGGCATCTTCCTCATTTTCCTTTGAAAACCTTTCTCTGCTTTTTTTTCACCTCCCTAAATATGCACATAGTTTACTCTGGCATGTGTTTTCCATGCCTTATTCCTGAATAAATAGCACTTCAGTCTCTGTTTGTTATTTTGGTTGATAAAAATCGTATCCAGGCACTTCCCAGAAGCCAGAACTAGGCTCTGCCCCTGCTTCCCCATAGGGACATATGCAGGACAGAGGGAAGTCTCTCCCTGACCTGCACCTCCGGTCTGGCATCAGCCACCAGGGAAGGCACGCTGCCATCTAGTGGGGGGTGCAGGGGAGACGTGTTCAGTGGTGGCCAACACTCCAGGGACATGTTCCGGGGATATCTTCCTAATAGTGAAAATAGGTTTAAAGGTTGTTCTCAATTATTTTAAAAAATAAGCTTCCTTTTACTCCTGGATAAGCCATCAACCAGGAGCAGAATGGCCATCTACGCAGGTGCTCACAGCTGTGGCATGGGCTCCCCACTGTGAGACGTCGGTGCTGGCCTGTGTATGGAGAGGTAGATGGTAACCTCCAGGGTGGGAAGCCAGTACACCCACAGGCCCACAGAGGAAGCAGCTGAATGCCCTTCACGGAGGTAGGCTGGGTACCCCCTTTCCCAGGAGCTGCCACCACAGGGAGGCAGAAGGCCCTGGTAGGGCAGGAAGATTGCCTGGGTCTGCTTTCCTGCCCTGCAACATGAACTGTATGGCCCTGGGCAGGCTCTTCCATCATGCTTCTCTCTAGTTCTCCATCCATACGGGAAAGTTGTCAGAACTAAAATGGAGTCATTTGTGTTAAAAAAATAAAATAAAGTCCATGACAGTTAGGGCTAAGAAAGGCTACAAAGAGAGGGTTTTATGCCTATATGCCTGATAACAAAAATATCACAAAAGACTTTGCAAAAACCACAACCTTGCACAAAAGCCATTGCAGACTTAACACAAAAAAATACTTCTACAGGAACATGTGCCCAAGAACTGCCTGTCCAGCCTTGGACTAGTGTCACCCTTGTAACTGATCTTTTTAGGCAAGAGTAATGGTCTCAAAACAATTCCCTAATCTTCATTTCTCCTTTAAAAGCCTTTGTCTTCTTTACCTCCCTGATTATGCACATTACTATGGCACACATATTCCCAGTGCCGGGCACCGTTCCTGAATAAATACTGTTTTCTTTTAGAGAGAAACTCTCTGTCGTTCAGGTTGACATAAATGGTGTCCAGAAGTAGGACCTGGAGTAGGACCACTACTTGAAGAAATCAGCCACTCTTGGAATTGGTGTGCAGTCCTCACTTGAGCCCTTGGAGCTCCCTGTTTCTGTGACTTGCTTTCTCTGCCCTGGAGAGTCTTCTCTCAGGCTGAGCCTCCTACTTTTGGGTGGAAGCTCTTGACTTCATTCAGCATCTGATTTGGATAAGGCCACCGTAAGCCAAAGAGCTTACATCCCTCCTGAAATGATAACAATTTTTTGTCTTTTCCAGTAATTCTTTCTGGTATAATGACAAATGTTTTTCTGATTTGAGCACCCTAGTTTCTACATAATTTACATTTGTTTGTGAGGCATGTCTTTTCTGGCAAATTCACTTTTAGTTCTGCATGCCTAATTAAATATTTGTTTGATCTGTATACCCGGGTTAAAATATCTGTGAACAATGACATTGGTTTGGTTCCATGTGTCTGTAAGTCATATGGAACCAAAAAAGCCCACACAGCCAAAGCAAGACTAAGCAAAAAGAACAAATCTGGAGGCATCACATTACCCAACTTCAAACTATTCACATGGCTATAGTCACCAAAATAGCATGGTACTGTTATAAAAACAGGCACATAGACCAATGGAACAGAATAGAGAATCCAGAAATAAACACAAATACTTACAGCCAACTGATCTTTGACAAAGCAAACGAAAGCATAAAGTGGAGAAAGGACACCCTATTCAACAAATGGTGCTGGGATAATTGGCAAGCCACCATGTAGAAGAATAAAACTGGTTCCTCATCTCTCAACTTATACAAAAATCAATTCAAGATGAATCAAAGACTTAAATCTAAGACCTGAGACTATAAAAATTCTAGAAGATAACATCAGAAAAACTCTTCTAGACACTGGCTTAGGCAGACACTTCATGACCAAGAACCCAAAAGCAAATGCAACAAAAACAAAAATATTTGTGGGGGGGTAAATTGATGAAAAAAATTTTGCATGTAATTGACTTGGTAATAATCAGAATAAAATTATTTATAAGTCTTCATAAAGATTGAGCTCTGATATTAAAAATACAGTAATACTAAACTAAAAAATTGGTCTCCTATATTAGAACACCAAAGTTTTCTTGAAATATTGATTTGCTATTAGTAAAATTGCAAGAGGTTTTGATTTTTAATTCTGACTGCTGTTTTCTTTAACAGCCATCTTCTAAACTGCAGGCAGTTTCTATTCCTGGCACATTTTTTCCTGAGATCCATTTAATTTCCCCAGTTTCAGATAAGGAATGCAATCTTTTTCATGAAGAATGGTAATTTTATTCATTAAGGTATAAAATTTATTTATTTATTAAATAGAAAGTAATTTTATTTATCATAAGGTAAATAAATAAATGGTATTTATTTAATAAGGTATTTATTTTCCTCAGGTTCTTATTTCAGAAGTTCAATTTCTGCTGCATCCCACTGCACATGGTCTGCAGGCCATACACCATAGCCTGTAGCGCTCCTACTCCCTTCCTCCGAAAAGTTACAGCTTTTTGGTTGGCTGAGGTGATAACTCTCTTCTCCAACTTTTTCATCAGCTGCTCCAACTTTTTTCCTCCAGTTCTAACTTGGCTTTTATGGCCTGGCACTATAATGTTTATCTTGAAGGCCAAGAAAAGCAATGTTTTCCGCCAATATAACTAGATTATGTACTCTTGGCTTTTCTTGATATGTCTGAATTGTTCCATGTTACCAAGAAACTTCACGTGGTTTTACTTTATCTAAGAGCTCTACATTCCTCTGCTCAAGGTACTAGTCTTCTTGTTTATACTCTCCTATAATATGAGTGTACATTCATAACACTTGGATATGTTCTTTTATCTCTAATTGAATTTAAGGACCCTTTCATCAGGTTCAATTCCAAGACTGAACAGGCTTCCCATGAGAAGAAGCAATTACATTGCAGGAGATTTTTTTTACCTTTTGGTAACTGACCTAAAAGACAAACAATTTATATATTTATATTTTACCAAGATAATTTTCTGTGTTGTCTTTATCAAATTTTTGATTACTTAAGAAAACTGAGCTTTGAACAGGTTAAGGTTTTAAAATATTTGTAACTTTCTGTATTGCTTTTGAAGTTTCCTGATAATCACTCGAGTTAAATGAATGGCTATTATTTAACAGTGACCTGTGATTCTATTTTGATCTATGGCTTTGAATCTCTTGATATTTTTGGTGGGCTTCTCCTGGATCAAAATTCTAAATTAAGTCCTTTTGAACTACAATTAATTTTGAGATTTTCCAGTTGGGCCCTTGGAGAATATGCAAGAAGATATATTTTAATTTATAGAGGTATTAAATGATTAGGCTTATTTGGTAAATTATATGACAAGCATTGTCAAATGAGAAGTGAGGCTACATCTTCTTTTAGTCACATTTATGGGTAGGTTATTGATAGGAATGTTCTAAAAATTATATGACAAAATCTAATATATTATAAGTCATAATTTTGGTTGTTATGTTAAAACTTCTTTAAAGTTGTATTTATTTGGCTGTGTTATTGATGTGAGTATTCTAAAGATTATAGGAAATTTATAAGTCTGATACTTGTGATATGATGCTGTCAGTCATGATTATGGTTAATATCTTAAATTCCTGCAGGTAATGGAAACAACTAAATTTTCTTGTCGATTGTGAACTTTTATCAGATTTTTAACCATGGCTATTCTAAGTTTTTTGGATTCTACTCAAAAAGCATTTGTAGTCAGTTGTTGTCCAAGTTCTTGTTATCTGTCTATAGAGTAGACCACATCCCGAATTCTTCTATGTTCCACCAATCCAGCCTTCTTCCATGGAATTACTATAAATGGAAAACTGTTCTGTTCCAAAAGCCCTATAAGCTGAAACTAGATGAATTTTAAGAAAGCAGCCTTGTGCCTGATGTATGGGCCACATAAAAAGTTTACAGTGGCTCACGCCTGTAATCCCAGCACTTTGGGAGGCCAAGGCGGGTGAATCACGAGGTCAGGAGATCGAAACCATCCTGGCTAACATGGTGAAACCCTGTCTCTACTAAAAAATACAAAAAAAATTAGCCAGGTGTGGTGGCACGCACCTGTAGTCCCAGCTACTCAGGAGGCTGAGGCAGGAGAATGGCGTGAACCTGGTCGTGCCACTGCACTCCAGCCTGGGCGACAGAGCTAGACTCTGTCTCAAAAAAATAAAATAAAATAAAATAAAAAATAAAGTTTACCAAACCATTTGATGCCATGACCAGAGACAAACTGCAAATCAGGATGAGAAGTTGACCTTTGCACACTATAGACAGCTTTTTTCAAGACATTGGAAAAGACTCCATAGTATAATGAGACTCCTACACTCCTTAAGGTTACCTTTCTAACTTGGCAAGATAATGGAGTAATTGAAATTTCACAATTACTACCTTCTGCTTGTAAGTTGACAGAATCTGACCTAAGAGATCCTTTGGTATACATTGACTAAATAAGAAAATGTCTGTACTATTGCTAATACTGCATGCCATCCCTGGATAAATTCCTCTTGGAAAGTCAATACCAATATACACAAAGTAAGAAAACAGGCCACATGGTTAAAACAGATCTCACCTAATTCCTTATGATCATTTGATTTATTCAGTGGGTTACTGATGTGGTTTGGCTGTGTCCCTACCCAAATCTCATCTTGAATTGTAGCTCCCATAATTCCCACTTGTTATAGGAGAGATCCGGTGGGGGATAATTGAATCATGGGGGCGGATTCCTCCATGCTGCTCTGGTGGTAGTGAATAAGTCTTAGGAGATCTGATGGTTTTATATGGGGTTTCTCCTTTGGCTTGGCTCTCATTCTCTCTTGCCTACCACCATGTAAGATGTCTCTTGCTCTTCCAGCATGATTGTGAGTCCTCCCCGGCCAAGCGGAACTATGAGTCAATTAAACCTCCTTCCTTTGTAACTTACCCAGTCTCAAGTACGTCTTTATTAGCAGCATGAGAACAAACTAATACAGTTGCCTTTAAGCCTAGGTTCATGGATAAAAACTATTATGCAAATTGTATTTTCCATTTTTAAACTTTTTATATGTTACTTGTTAAATTTTTGCAGAAGTACAACTTGTAACCATAATGCTAGCCCATCACTTTGAGATAACAGCAAGACTATGGAACTCACAAAATTGAACTTAATAATGGACTCAAGATAGACTTAGCCCGAGAGTCACTCCTTTCAAACATCCTTTAAAGGTCAACTGTGACTAAAAGGGATTGACACTTACTCCAAGTTGCCAATTGCTCCCTCCAAAATGGACCAAGACCTGCAACCAGGACAGGCCCATCCCATTATCCAGGGACAGTCAAAACCTAATTACAGAATGATTGATTAGTGAGGTGTTTGCAGAAAGATCTTGATCAAAAGGGAGAAATTGTGAAAGTTCTCAGAATCAAAATGGAGTTAACATGTTAAAAAAACAACAAAAAAATCCTGGCAAGCTGAATTGGGGAAGTTTATGAAGAGAAGATTCACATGCTTGTATACCTGATAACAAAAACTATCACAAATCTCTACCAAACTACAACCTTTGCAAAGACCATTGCAACCTTACTCAAAAATACTTCTGCAAGGACATCTGACCCGCAATTGCCCATGCAACCTCACATTGGGGTCACCTCTATTATTATTGATCTTAGTAGCCAAGAAGAACTAACTCAAACAATTATGTAATCCTTCTCACATCTCCTGTAAAATCTAACCTTCCTGAATATGCATGTAGTTTACTATGGCATGCGTATTCCCACTGTGATGCCCTATTCTCAGATGAACATCATTTTCTTGTAAAGAGCCCTTGTCTGTTTGTTATTTAGGTTGACACATACAAAAGAATTTCTGTAAGTCGGCTTTGAGGATTCAGGGAGATAGTGTGCATAAGGCACTTGGCACAAAATCTGATTTAAGTGCTCAATAAGCATTAGCTTTCCTTAGAAAGGGGCTGCTCAGTCCCTAAGACACTCCCGAGAAGGTATAACCCAATGAAAACCAAATTCCCTGAGACCATCCACACAATGCTGATGAGTGGGAATGTGGGGATGACAGGCTCAGCCCCTTCCTATGTACCCACAGAAAGGAGGAAAATGGCCAAGAAGCCTCTTGGAGGAAGAGAAGTCATCCTGGGATTACCATATGGCCCTGGAATTAGATTTCAGTGAACATACTATCATCAGATCAAATGAATGTATCAAGGGGCCACCTGGGAAGATCAAGGAGGATCCAAAAATCCAACTGCACCCCAGGCCCTCAGTGGGGAAGAGCACACCCTACCCCCAGCACCCAGGGCACAGTGTCTGCCTGGACTATGCGCTTCCTCAGGCCATTCCACCATCACAGAGGTCTCCTGATGCCTAATTATTGCCAAATAATAGGGGACTTTCAAACAAATGCTATAGCCTTTCCATGAACCAACTGCTCTACACATGTGATTTTGCTTAGTTAGGTACAACTGTGGCTGACCATCTATAATATGAAAATCCACACCCAAAATGCTTCAAAATCTGACACTTCTTGAGCACCAACATGATGTTTGAAAGAAATGCTCATTAGAGAATTTCAGATTTCAAATTTTAGGATTAGGGATGCTGAAACATAAGCATAATGCACACATTCCAAAACCTGAAAAAAATCTAAAAACTAAAATATTTGTGGTCCCAAGCATTTCAGTTACAGAATACACAACCAGCACCATATTAGCTCCATGTTAAATTGAGAAAATAGAGGCTCAGAGTAGAACACTCATCTGGTCAAGGTGACACAGGCAATGTGTGCCTGAGCCAGGATTCCAGGGCCCAGGCCTACAGGCTGGCATCCTCCCTCAGTGCAAGGTAAACATACCCCTCTGGGCAAGCTACTGGTGCACCTGGCCAGCCAGACTCAGACCTCCGGGGTTGCCAACATTTCCCAGGAGCAGCCTTGTGGGCTTTGGGTCCTGGGCTCTCAAGGGAAGGGGAAACTGAGGCTAAGGTGGGCAGATGCAGCTGTGATCACAGACCCAGTCCTAAACCCAGCCTCACTGAGGGGGAAGCCCTCGTCTAAGATGCTCTTGAGGCACAGGTGGATTTTTTACTTCCCCACTTGGCAGATGAAGGGAGGGGTGGCCGGCCTTCCCAGTGCCTCCTTCCACTTGTCTTCATGGCCTCTAACCCCACAGGGTCCACAGGGAATGGTTGGCAAGGGCTGGGAGGCTTGGCTGGCTGTGGGAAAAGGCAGCATTGTGTGGGAAATACGTGACTCAGAGGCACCGAGGAGACAACTTACCAATGATAGTGCTTTCACTGAAGATAAATCTGCAAATAACTTCATCCCGTTTCTTTAGATTCTGAAAGCCATTTCCATGAATAACCACATGGTAGGATTCTGCAAGGACAGCATTCAAAAGGTTGAATGTGGAAGAGTGGAGGGCTGCCTCTCCTCTGACCTCCCTGTTCCTGGAGATCCTCCCCCAAAACTCAACTTGCAGATACTCCTGTAAGGAAGGAGCAGTGTCTGACCAACATCTATGTGTCCACTGGGTCAAATCTTCATCTGGTGTCACTGAGGGTCCAGGGGGAGGCAGCTGGGCCTTGAGCACACTCAAGGACCCTCTCCCTACCATCCCTGAACCAACACGCTCAGGAAAGGCCTTGGTCCTTGCACAGGGCAGGCTCAGAGTACTATTCCTGCCCTGAAATCTGTGGTGCTCCCTCAGGCCCCAGGGGTACAGGCGGTGCACTCAGCCAGGCCCTCCCTGATGTAAGGTGTAAGTGGAGCCACAAGGCTGCCTGAAGACACCATGTCTCATGCCTCAGCTGGGCACCCAGGCCTTGATGCCTCCTTCAGGGCTGCTGAACACTCGGGGTCTCTCCTCCCTGTCTTTCTGTGTGCCTGTGGCAGGCAGGACACCCACAGGGGCAGGGGCAGGGCCAGGACTCGGGTAGGACAGGTGAGGCACCTACGACCCTGCTCAGGGCAATCCATCACAGAAGTCCTGTTTTAGCTGCGATTCCAGAGACCTACAGGTAACTCCTCATCTCCTGCTCTTCCTGATCCAGCAAGGACCACAGGGCACCCACCCTGAGGCTCAGGGAGTGTGTCCTTCCACCACTGTGGCTCCTGCCCTGAGACAAACACCACAGGGGACACAGGGCAGGTGGGGCTGGCCTCAGGAGTCAGCAGACCGCAGGTCTGCAGCTGCCAAGGGCATTGGCCTCCACCCCTGCCTCCTGGCCCAGGCCCCACGCATTCCAATCCCTGCTGATGCCTGGGGTGCCCCCAGTCCATGCACCCGAGGAAAGCTTCCTCTGAACCCTGCTTCCTGCTTTCCTGCAGCGTCACACCTTCAAGGCAGGCTGTCGGTGAAGCTGGCCTGCTGACATACTTTCTGAGGCTTTCAAGTATTTTCAAAAATGGGGGCTCACAGTTGAAAGCCTGAACATTTCCCCTAAATATCCAGATTTCTAGCTTTCTTAGGAAATGGGAAATGCAGGCCTCAGTGGGTTTGTGTTTCTCCGTGTCAGCTCCTGGCTGGGACCTAGGGAACCATGCTCCTCAGATGAGGAGCTCCCAGGCCTGCCTCACTTCAAGGCCCCACACACTGACTGCTGACATCAGCCGGCTGGGCCTGGCCTGCTCCTCCTGCTCAAGGTGCCAGCCCAGCCCTTGTGGGCACCCACTTGATGGATACTATGCTGTCCTCAGAAAACCCTGGGCCTGGTGGGGGCACTGAGGCTGTGAGAGAGCAGGAAAGGCCAGCTTGGTGCCCTGTGCTGAGCAACCAGACCTGGCCCCACTCAGGGTAAGCATTGGGTGCTCTCCTACCGCTAAGGCAGACAACAGCTGCTTCCAAATCTGATGCTATCAGGCAGCATTCTCAACATCTTCCTTGCTCAGGTGTCCAAAGGGCCCTGGCCAGTCGGACCTGAGCTCAGTGTGCCCGGGAGGGAGCAACTGGGCCTGTGGCCTGCGCCCCTTGGTCAGCCCAACTCGGCCACCCTGAGCAGGACTGAGGGCTGCCCCAAAGCTTCACGATCAGGGTGGTTGCAAATTACATTCTAAGCTGTGTTAGGACTACATATTCTATGTATTGCAAACATTGTTTTTTTTTTTTGCAAGGTGGATGGATGAAAAGAGAGGGAGAAGGACAGACAAAGGAGCATGGGCAAACATTCATTGTAAAATCCCAGTGGTGGATAGAGGTGTGTTTGTGTTCATTGCACAATCCTTTCCACTCACCTATAGGTTTGAAAATTTCAACAATAAAGGTTGGAAGAAAACCAAAGAACTAAAGAAGAAAATTATACTTGGACATAGACAACCGGAAATCATGATACACCCTGGGTGACAAGTGACTGATGAGAGGGACAGACCAAGCCCTTGGTTGCAGGGAGTCAGAGGGGCTGGTCATCAGGAAAGGCTTCCAGGATGAGGTGCCCTATGAACAGGGCTGTGAAGGACAGGTGGGCTCGGCCCTTCGAGGTGAGGCAAGGCTTGCAGAGTGCCTGTGCTCCACCTGGTCCCACCTCTGCACAAGGTGCCCAGAACAGGGAGCGGCCCCTGGAGGGCCTGGGGGTTCTGCTAAGAGCCTCAGACACCTGCCAGGCTGGAGAGGGAGATGCCTGTCAAAACCCTCCAGCCATGTGTGGGGGATGGGCTCAGGATGGGCCTGGAGCAGTGAGGCCACCAGAGGCCTCTCCCAGGCTGGATAGGAGGCCCAGGCCTGAATGAGGGAGTCTGGGCTGTGTGCCTCCCTCCCTGGCCTCCTTCCTGGGCTCCCTGGAGCCCTCCTGGTTTCTTGGTGACAGCCTGCTGAGAGGGCTCATTCTGTTGCATTTGAGTTCCAGGCTCCTGCCTTGGCCTTTCCCTCCTGTGACTGTCACCCTCCATGTGGGGCAGCTTTGCACAACTCAGCCAACAGCTGACAGGTCAGGGCTGTGACTGCGGGCCACATGGGCAGAGGCAGAGGGCCAAGCTGGTGGGCAGAGGCAGAGGGCCGAGCTGGTGGGCAGAGGGCACCTGTCACCTCGACTCAGCTGCCTCCAGGGAGGAGTTACAACTCACATCCCCACCTGGGGTTGACAGGTTGACAGGGCTGCTCAGACGCCACAGCCTGTGCATCTCCAGGGGACATCATCAGAGCACAGCTGTCACACTGGCTGCATGGCTGAGCAGCTTTAAATCAGGAGCAGCAGAAAGAGACCCTGAGGGGGAGGGGAGCTCTCTACTCTATCCCCACCCTCAGCTCTGCATCGGGGAGAGGCGGTGTCGGGGACAGAGCCCAGGACCAATCGTAGAAGTGTCAGCACAGCTCCTGTTCCTGGGTCCTACCAGCTCCCAGCCCTGTGCCAGTCCCTGCACAGCCCAGTGCCTAGGGACTCACGACAGGCCTGACAGCGTCCTTTCTGTTCATGGGAGGCACCTCTGGAGCTCGCTGACATTGGACTATTTGCTCTGGTCGTGTGCCCATGGAGAGCAGAGCTCAGACATGGACCGTGTGTCGGTCCCCACAGCCTACTGACAGGGCACCCTGCAGTGAGGAACTGGGAAGCCAGAGCCCAGCTGCTGCTCTGGGGCCAGCGGCACCCAGCCTCGTGCTGTCCCCATGGAAGAGAGTCACCCAAGGCTCTCTTCCTCTCCAGCAGCGGTAGTTGCGTAAATGCCGGCCATGCGGAGTCCCAGCGTGTGCAGGCGGAGGTCAGGACAGACGGGTCATCACAGAGGACCACACAATGTCACCACCCATGCCGGGACCCCAGATGGCAAGAAGTCACCCTTGCCACATTCCAGACAGTAGGGACAGATGCTGGGACTGATCCTGTGGGATTGAGGTGAGCTGAGGGTGTTTGTGCGGATGCCTTTGTTGGGCTATGGAGGTTTCCTTCTGCTCACAGGGTGCTGTGGGATGTTGACGCCCCCACTTCTTGTTCTTCATCCCCTGAGATAACCGCTTGGTCCCTGTTTCCCGTTTTGTTGATGTGGTAAATTATACAGATATTTCACCTTCTGCACCTGCCTGGCCTTCCTGGGAGGAGCCCTGGCTGCTCCTGCCCTGTGGTCTGGGTTAGCTGCTGTTCCATGCCATTTGCTGGTGTTTCCCTGAGAACTTCTCACACATGTCTTTTCTTGCTTTAGAGTTAAACTTATTGTTGTGAGCTAACAACACACTAATTGTACACAGGTACTCACACCATCACCCCTGCATATTCCCCCCACAGCAATAGACACTCACATTCACACCCATGTGGGCCACACATCCACACCCACTCACCCATGCACACTGCACCACACACTTAACCCACCCCATACCACACACATCACACCACACACAACACGCCCGAAGCACACACACCCACACACCACACACACACATAAATCGCAAACACACATACAGCAAAAATACCAAAGACACACCACACATCCCACACACACACCACACACATCACACACGCACCACACACTCTCCACTCCCCCAACACACACCCAGCACACCCCACACACACAACATAAACAGCAAACACGTATACATACACCATACACACACAGCCATGGCACACACACCCACCACCCACTGAATGCACACACAAAATATACATACATGCCATCACACCATTTCCTTCCCTACATGCCACACGCACAAGATATCCCCATGTAGACACCCACATATGACACACACAACACGCCCAAACACTCTAGTCCCACTGTACACACACACACCACAGACACACATAAATAGTAAACACACATACTCCACAAACAGCAAACACACACCACACATCCCATACACACACACCACACACACAAGTAGTACACTCCCAACTCCTCCACACAACAAACTCACACACTAGACACCACGCACCAGGTACCCTTCCCACACACTTCCACAGCACCCCAGCTTATGCCACACACTCTGCGCATACCCCACACACACCACACACACATGCATATATGCCCCCTACACACACTCACACCCCCACACACATACAACACATACCCTCCTCAGCTCCCACACCACATACACCCACAACACAACACACACAGATGCATCACTCATGCACACCCCACACACACCACACTCACAGCACATATACACACCTCACATACAGATCACACACACGTTTACACAACACACAGACCACATATTACCCTCCCCGCAGACTTCACACACTTCAAGCCTCCCACAGCACAACTTCCCACACATACTATACATACTGCACCCACACAAATTACATACACACATACCACACACACCAAACACATACACACCACATACACACACCACACTCACACACTCCCCACACACATCCTCCCCCACACATACCAAACAAATGCACACACTCCATACACGCATGCACTAGTGCACACCACCCTTTGGCAACCGCAGGGCCTCCGCAGTTCTCACTTCCTACACACTCAGAGGAAGGCTCCACAGACGTCACTTCAAGACAGGTCTTTGACATGAGGTGGAACACAGGAGGGGTGGGGCAGGGCAGGGAGAGTGAGCTTCTGGCCACAGGAGCCAGACCCCCAGCCCCTCACCTCCACTCACTCACAGCATCAACAGTGCTTCTCAGGGCCTTGAAGCCATCCTCCACTGCAAACACATGGTCCGGACCGCCTGCCATTGCTGTTATCTACAGAGAGCAGAGCTGGTTTGGACTCCCAGCCCAGGGGTGAGCATGCAGCAGATCCCCAGCCCAAGGGAGAGCGTCCTGCCCCCATGCTTTGGAGGCAGCAGAATACCAGGCTCTGAGGGCCACAGCCTTCTCCAGCCAGCAGCCCACTCTCAGGGAGTGGGGAGCTCTTCCACCCTCCCCTCTGGTTTAGTAGGATTTATATGACATGCTGTCATTTCTGCAGTAGTCATAGGGTGGCCCAACTCACTTGAGGCAGATTAGATGACCCTTCTTGGGGTGGCCCTAGGAAAGCTGTCTGGGACACCTTTCCATACTCTAACCCTAACCTGACCACAAGGCTCTATATTGGTGCCTGGTTAACCTGTTTGGAATTACTGGGTCTTTCCTATAATCAGCCATACCCACGGTATAAATGGTGGCCCCCAGGCTCCGAGCCCTTTCAGCTTAAGGGAAAGAAGGCATTGAGTATTAATTACCAAAATACAGGGAGCAAAATGCTGATAAATACGAACTGAACTCACTTCTTTGAGAGTGTCCAAAGATGGATGTTTCATCATTGTTCCATCAGTCATAGCAATAATCATGCTGGAAACCTTGTCATCTGCAGGAGAAGCAAGGAGTGGCCTGCTCAGCAAAGGCCCCAGAAGTGACCTCCAAAAGTTCCTGTATTGGGAGAAAAGCTGAGTGTTGGGAGAGAAGCTGAGGCAGGGCTTGCATGTCTGCTAGACTTGCTGGCTCCTTGCTTCTAGCACTTCCGTTATCTCAAGCAGCTGTATGTTTCTCATTCACTTGATACACTGTTTCCTTTCAACCCCCACATCCTCACCACCTGTTTTTTGTTTGAGCACCAATAAACAGCATGGGCTCCCAGAGCTCAGGGCCTTTGCAGCCTCCACACTTGTGATGGCCCACTGGTCCCACTTTCTCTCTCAAACTGTCTTTTTCTCATTCCTTTGACTCCACCAGACTTCATCACTCCCACGATATGGTGTTGGGTCTGATTAGCCCAACACTCCAGGACCCCTGCGGGCTGCTGGGCCCACAGCACTGATCACTCCAGGGCATGTCCAGGTGCCCCCATCTCATCCTCCAGGGGAGAGGCTGCCAAGAGCCAAGCACCTGCTACACAGAGACCCTTAGAGTGAGGGAGGTCTCAGCCCAGCACCCATTTTACAAAAGAGGAGCTGAGAGGGGCAGGCTCCTTCTCACCAGGCTGCCTGAACCCTCACCCACTAGCAGCCTGCACCACCTCTGCCTGAGGGCAGCTGCAGCCAGGACTCCACAAGCACAGGCCTGTCCCATGGGTAGGGGGAGGAGCAGCTTGGCTCTCCTGTGGGCAGAGCCTGCGGGCAGCCCTGCCAGCATCTCTGGGCCCAGGAGTACAGGATTCCAGGTAAGTGGTACCTGGGCAGGGGACCCCACATCCACCTCAATGCCTTTCCCCACCAACCATGCCTTTTCCTGACAAGAGTTGCAGGCACACTGTGGGGAGGGGGTCGGCAGCTGTGGACAGCCTTCTGCATCATCTGAGACACAGTCAAGGGATGCAAGTCACTCAGAGGGGAAATGAGGAAGGGAGGAGGAAGACTAAGGTGTGTGCAAGGGGGAAAACCCCTTGGCTCTTCTCTTTTCCTTTTCACACAGCCCAGCTGGAGGGCAAGCACCTCAGGGTTATCAGCACCAGAACTGCACACGCAGGATCCCACACAGTTCTCAGAACTCCATGGGGCGAGGGCTTACTATGCTCATTGCACCAGGGAGGGACCTGGACCTCAGAACAGGTGAGCAACTTGCTCCAAGAGGCAGGGCAGGTGTGGCCTTGCAGAGTCTGCACACAGAGCTCTCTGAGGCTCACGCCCAGCTCTGTTCCACCTATGGGACCACCATGGGGACGGCAGGTGCTTAAACCTGGAGTTGAAATTTTCCATCTGCCGAATTGCCTGCAAGAAAATGAAGAAATATTGAGCCTGGACAGTGAAATGTTCCCACTGATGCTCTAAGACCTTGTCAACTAGAATCGATTCTTGGAGCTCAAGGGGTGTATACATTTCTAAACCCTGCCTGCATGAATATGTGTCCTTCAGGCACCATTTTCTGAAGTTTGTCGAGACCCTCTTTTATTTTCTTCCTGAAAAAACTCCAAAAAAGTGGTTGACGTGGAAAGACGTGGACTGCTAAAAATTACCTCTCAAGCTCTCTGGGAGCCACTGCTCACTGTGCAAGGCCTCGGGGATGGAGGAGGGGGCCAAGCAAGGGCTCTGTCCTGCTCATTCCTTACTGTGACGTTGACCATAGATGACAGGCCTTCTGATCTCATCCTAGTTCCAGAGAATGTAGGCCTGGGGAATCTCACCAGGGCCCCACTTAGACCATCTCTGGTGACAGTGGGAGCTTCCCATGGATGAGCAACTGTGAGTCAGGAACTGCAATGGGGCCGATATTCCTAACCCTAACCCTAACCCTGAACCGGGGATGGGCAACTGAGAGTCAGTCACTGACAATGGGGTTGACATTCCTAACTCTAACTCTAACTCTAACTCTAACTCTAACTCTAACTCTAACTCTAACTCTAACTCTAACTCTAACTCTAACTCTAACTCTAACTCTAACTCTAACTCTAACTCTAACTCTAACTCTAACTCTAACTCTAACTCTAACTCTAACTCTAACTCTAACTCTAACTCTAACTCTAACTCTAACTCTAACTCTAACTCTAACTCTAACTCTAACTCTAACTCTAACTCTAACTCTAACTCTAACTCTAACTCTAACTCTAACTCTAACTCTAACTCTAACTCTAACTCTAACTCTAACTCTAACTCTAACTCTAACTCTAACTCTAACTCTAACTCTAACTCTAACTCTAACTCTAACTCTAACTCTAACTCTAACTCTAACTCTAACTCTAACTCTAACTCTAACTCTAACTCTAACTCTAACTCTAACTCTAACTCTAACTCTAACTCTAACTCTAACTCTAACTCTAACTCTAACTCTAACTCTAACTCTAACTCTAACTCTAACTCTAACTCTAACTCTAACTCTAACTCTAACTCTAACTCTAACTCTAAACTCTAACTCAACTCTAACACTCTAACTCTAACTCTAATCCAAACTCTAACCCAAGAAGGACTCTCTTGTGTTGGGCACTCCGTCCTTTAACAGGGAGGGCTGCATTTGGGAAAAGTCATCCTGCTAAGCCCCCAGCCCTGCACCCAGACCTCACAGCCCCAGACCCCTGACCCTGACTCAGTTTCTTCCTCTCTCTTTACCCTGGTACAGGAAATACCAAATCTGCTTAATTAGACTGCCTGGACTCCTTGACTTCCTGTGCCCTTGAAACAAAAAGACCAAAAGCTGGAGAGGCAGCCCTGACGGCTGTGCATGCAGGGGCTGAACACTGATCTGCAGACTGGCTGGGGGATGTGGCCTGTCAGCTGCTGTTAAAGCAGACAGAATGGGCTGGGGCAGCCAGGACTGGCTCTGGTGGCAGGACTGGGACAGGCTGGGGACTTAGGGTCAGGCTAATCCAATGTGACAGGCTGAGCCTGCACAGCAAGGCTGAGCAGAGCATGGACCCTGAAGGATGGCTTCCCACTGCGGGCAGACAGTCCCTGCCATGGCCGGAGCTCTAAGAGCCCTGCCTGCCCAGCTCAGGAGGGGAGAAGGCCAGACCCATCCATACCCAGAAGAGGCCATGGCCTGGCCTTCCTCTGGCCATGCCCAAACCCCACTCCCCTTCTGGGTCACCCGCCACAGTCCTCCCCAATAGACTTGCTTTTTACCACCTCACACCCACTCCAGTCTCTCTGCCAAACCCACAGCGCAGGACACACAGATCCAAGCCTCCCCCTAGCTCAAGATGTGGCAGCCCACCTTGTATCCCCTCGAAGCTGCAAATAGGGTCCAGGCCCCCATCCAGTCCTCAGTATCCTCACCTCTCTCTTGCACTTCACCTCCTCTGGGCCCAGTTCTGGGCATGTGCATTGGAAGTGCCCTCATCTCCCGCCAAACAGGAACTCTGCAGTGCACCCTGCTAGGTCTGGGCACCTCTCTAGGCCACCTCAAGCCACCTGAGCTTGCTCCTCCTACCTCCCTCCCACCAGTTTCCCAGCCTGGCCTGGAGCTCAGAACCCCACACAGGGACTCCCCTGTCTGGGCCTGCCAGCATCCCTGCACTAAAGCCCCATGACTCTCACCACTGGCTCTGACCCTGTCTCCCTCCTTCACTGGCCAGGGCAGGAGGAACAGGCACAGAGCAGCAGCCAGCACAGGTGTGTGTTCACAGGACACACACTCCCACCCTGCCAGCCCCTGCACCCCAGGAATCTTCACAGCCACCTCCCAGGGAAGGAGGCAGGGTAGAGGGAGGGCAGGGGAGTGTGAACGGGGAGGCTGAGAAATTCTGGAGCACAGGGGCCTGCAGGTAACCTTGCAGCCATGGGTAGGAGGATGCAGGGGATCCGGGGCTAAGGTCAGGGTGGGTACTGTGAGTTGCCCTGACCGGCCTTCTCCATGTGCTGTCAGGCTCCCAACCAAGGTCTCTGGGAGCCCTTCAGCTCCCTGGAGCTCCCTATGGCTCAGCTCATCAGGCCTCCCTTTGGGGCTCAAAGCAGCACTCACTTGTCTGAGGTGAGTGGCAAGACAGTGTCGCCATCTGTGGAGTAGGTGACAAAAGACATCCGCATATTTGCGCTGAGAAGGAATCAAGTACTGGTGAAAAGCCGGAGGCACTGGCTCAGAAGCCAGGGTGAGTGATGCCAGTTCCCCACCTCCCACCCCAACTCTGTTATGAATTCCCTGTTGTGATTAACAGGAAGGTTGACATGGTGACTTTGTGACCTGCAGCTCTTCCCAGTGTCCTGCATGTTGACAACACCAGGGGGAGGCACAGGACCTTTGGAGGGGCCACAAGAGGAAGCCTCCATTTCCCTTACAACAGCCCTCATAGTGTCCCTTAAAACCCCCAGACCCTGCCATTTGTTTACTGGAAGAGTTAGCCCAGGTGACCTAGGTGAGGACATTGCTGTGGGTGAGGAGGTCAAGGACTGGGAGGCCAGAGTGTTGGCAGTGACAGGTCATTTGTGTGACACTGAAGTCCCCCAGGGGGTAGCAGATCTGGAAGGAGACGGAAACTGCAGTGTTGCCAGAGTCTTTGTGAATGAGGGACATTCCGGTTCTCTACTGCTGTGCACCAGACCACCTTCATTTAGGGACACAGAGCAGGCCCATTTTATTATGCTCACAGGTTCTGAGGATCAGGCACTCGGGGCAGAGTGGGAAGGGCTCCTCGTGTCTGGGGCCCCAGATGGGAAGGCTTGAGCAGCCCAACATGACTTGAAGGATTGGGCACTGGAATTATCTGGAGGCTGCTCCACTCACAAGTGTGGCTCCTGGGCAGGAGGGCTCAAAAGCTGGGCTCAGCTGGGACTGCGAATGGAGACCCTGCATGTAGCCTCCCTGTGTGACCTGGGCTTCCTCCCAGCATGGCAGCTTCAGGATGCTTGGGCTTTTACAGGTGGCCCAGAGGTCCAAGAGTGAGTATTTTCAGTGAGCAAGGCAGAAATTGTAGACTTTTATGATATCACCTTGGAAGTCACACAGTGTCACTTCCACTGTACTCTATTGGTCCAAGCAGTCACAGCTGCCAAGAGTCAATGGGAGGGAACACAGGCCCTCTCTCTAGGGCAGAAGTGTGGATGAGTTCACATCCCAGTGTCAAAACTACTGTATGACAAATGCTTTGAATGGCAGAGACGTTACAGTGTGTGGAAAAACGTGGGTACTGATGATGGGATTCAAGTTGGACTCAGAAAAGTTAGACTGTGATAGTTAGAAATACCTTAATTTTATTTTCTTCATTTTTGTATGCAGAAGTGATATATGATTAAAAATTCTTCTTCAATAAGTCTAAAATAGATCTTTCAATGTATTTGACACAAAAATTACAAGTGATAGCCAGGAAGGGTAACTCATGCCTGTAATCTCTGCACTTTGGGAAGCTGAGGCCAGCAGATGACTTGAGGTCAGGATTTTGAGAGCTGCCTGGCCAGCATGGTGAAACCCCATCTCTACTAAAAATACAAAAATTAGCCAGGTGTGGTGGTGCACATCTGTAATCCCAACTACTCGGGAGGCTGAGGCAGAAGAATCACTTGAATCTGTGAGGCGGAGGTTGTAGATTGCAAGATTGTGCCATTGCATTCCAGCCTGAGTGAGACTCTTCCTCCAAAAAAAAAAACAAAAAATTACAAGTGATAAAAAGCACTGGGTTAGTGGACTTTGGGGGGTTTCTGTCTTGCTTTGGAGTGGTGTTTAAAACAATGGATTATTTTAAATAAGTGGTATTTTAGAATGGGTAGAGTTGGTGTAATTCCTCTGAAAGCATATTAGGTTTTCCTGCTTCACATCCTTCGTGACCCTTGGTAGTGCCATATTTTATTTTATTTTATTTTTAATTATGTTTTGACATCTAATCAATAGACAAAAGTATTGTCTTAATTTGCAGTTTCCTAATTACTAAACAGTTGTTCATCTGTTCTCATGATTTTGGGTCATTCCTGTTTCCTCCTTTGTGAAGTGCCTGCTCATGCCTGTGTGTCCATTCTCTGATTTGGGTGTTTATCTTTTGCGTATTGATTCATTCATATTCTTTAAATTCTGAATACTAATCGTTTATCAATTGTTGCAAATATCTTCTTCCATGGTGTGGCTTGTTTTTTCACTCTATTTGTTGTCTCTTAGTAAAGCAAAAGTTGTTCATTTTAATCCAGTTGTTTGTCATTTTTCTTTTTCTTTTGTTTTTTTGTTGTTGGTGGTGATGGTGGTGGTAGTGGTGGTTTTTGTTTGTTTGTTTGCTTTGTTTTGTTTTGAGACAGAGTCTCTCTCTGTTGCCCAGGCTGGAGTGCAGTGGTGTGATCTCGGCTCACTGCAACCTCTGCCTCCCGGGTTCAAACAATTCTCTGCCTCAGCCTCCCAAGTAGCTGGAATTACAGGCAACCCCCACCACGCCCAGCTAATTTTTGTATTTTTAGTAGAGATGAGGTTTCACCATCTTGGCCAGGCTTGTCTTGAACTCCTGACCTCGTGATCAACCCGCCTCAGCCTCCCAAAGTGTTGTCATTTTCTTAAACTTTAAGATTTGCTCTGTTTTATATCTTAAGAATTTCTTCCGTTAGAGGTGAAATACATTTTATTTTACAAGTTTTAAAGATTTGCCTTTCACATTGAAGTCTTGATTCTACCTAGAATTAATTTATAAGTGTGATTTGTGCCAGATATTTGATTTCATTTTTTGCCATGAAGCTAACAAATTGTCCCAGCTCCATTTGTGGAAAATTCCATCTTTTGCCTATTGATCTCGTCACTACTTGTGTTTCAAGTTCCATATAGATTTGAATCTGTTTTTATTTATTTATTTATTTTGAGATGGAGTCTTTCTCTGTTGCCCAGGCTGTGTAGTGCAGTGGCACCATCTCAACTCACTGCAACCTCTGCCTCCCAGGTTCAAGCGATTATAATGCCTCAGTCTCCCGAGTGGCTGGGATTACAGGCACTAGGATGTGCAGCGTTCCTTGGGAACCTGGGGTGGATACGTGGGAGAATGATATATACACATGAGAAATATAGTTTGTGCTTTTCAGATGATTAAATTGGGAGAGGGAAGGGGGTAACCAGAAGATAACCTAGACTCATCTGACACATACACAAAGTTCTTCACATACACACTGCGCCTGGCTAATTTTTGTATTTTTAGTACAGACTAGGTTTCACCACGTTGGCCAGGCTGCCAATCTCTATCTATTGGCTTATATTGATAGCATCCATACCACATTATCTTAATGACTATATGGAGGAAGACTGTATTACTGTCCATCATTGTCCCTTTCCATTTAAGGGAAGGGCTGCGCTCCCTGCCATGTTTGTGGCAGGTTTTGATTGACCAATGGAATGTTAACAGAAGTAATGTGTGCCACTTCTGGACAGAAAATGTTTAAGAGTCTAGGTATGACTTAGGTGGCCCCGACAGCCTGGTGCCTGAGCAACTAGGATGTGTGGCGTTCCCTTGGGAACCTGGAATGGATACGTGGGAGAATGATATATACACATGAGAAATATAGTTTGTGCTTTTCAGATGATTAAATGGGGAGAGGGAAGGGGGTATCTGGAAGATAACCTAGACTCATCTGACACATATACAAAGTTCTACAGCAAGTCTTCACACAATACGGTCAATCATCCACTTTTTTTTCTTCTGGTTATTGTTGGCTATTTGCTCTTTGACATAAATTTTAGAATCAGCTCATCGAGTCTCCTCTCTCCCAAAAACTTCTTAATGTTTGATTACAATAACATTAAATGTATGGATTCATTTGGAAGAAACAGGTCTGCAGTGAGAGTTGTCCTATCAGTGAATATGACACATGGCATATGTCTGTTTATACAGGTCTTTTCCAGTGCCTTTCAGATAAATTCCCCTATGAAGATTTTGACCTCATTGGTCCAGTGCCTTCCCAAAATACACTACATTTTACTACTATTGTAAATGATAATTTAAAAGTTTTTAAACTGTGTATCATATACAGAAATGTACTTACATGTTTATATATTGACCCACCTCACTAAACTCTCTTCTATGAATTTATCTGTAGATTCATTTTGATTTCTTGTAAAATATAATTTTTTTTAAAAAAAGAATAAGAATTGTGCTGACTAGTTCTCCAATCCAATGTTGACTAGTGATGGAGGCACTCTTGATTTTACAGAGAATGTTTCTAACATCACAATTAACAATGATATTCTTTGAAGGCTTTTGGTAGAAATTCTTTATCAGATTAGAAAGTTTCTCTACTAATCTTGGTTTGCTACAAGTCACAAACAAGTGTTTTATCTAAATGCTTCTTCTGGTATTTTGTGATGAACATGTATTTCTGTCCAGTAATCTAAATTTAGTATGTTTAGATACATTAATGCATGCAAAACCAATTTTAAAATGCTATAAATAAACCTAACTTGGCCATGATATTTTAAAACATGCTAGAGTTTAGTCATAATTTAGAACTTGTTGTTTATCTATGATCATGAGAGAGATGGGTCCATACTTTCCGATTTCTGTGCTGTCCTTATCTGTTTTTGGTATTAGGTCATAGGAGACTCATAAAATGCACCTGGAGGTTTGCTCTTTCTCCTAGGAAGGACTTTGAACATGATAAATATAATCTGCTCTTTGAATATCTGGTATGATATCATCCTTGCGTTTTCTTTTGAGAAGACTTTAAAATGATATAATTTAATAATTTCTGGATGTTATGAATTCTGTCTCCCCCAAAATGGGTATGTTGAAGCCCTCACTGGTGATGTGACTGAATTATTAGGACATAGGGGCTTTAAGGAGGTAATTAAGGTTAAATGAGGCCATAAGATTAAGCCCTTAATCAACTAGGACTGATGTCCTTACAAGAAGAGAGACGCCAGAGTTTTCTCTTCAAGGATGCACAGAGCAAAGGCCATGTGAAAACTCCATGAGAAGGTCTCTGCAAGCCAAGAAGAGGAGTCTCATCAGAGACCAATCCTGGTGGCACCTTGATCATAGACTTTCAGCCTCCAGGACTGGTTGCAAATAAATTTTTATTGTTTAAGCCCCCCAGCCTGTGGTATTTTCTTATGACACCCAGAGCAGACTAACATTTATTTATTTATTTTTTATTATTATTTTTGAGATGGAGACTCACTTTGTCGCCCAGGTTGGAGTGCAGTGGCGTGATGTTGGCTCACTGCAACCTCTGCTTCCCAGGCTCAAGAGATTCTCCTGCCTCAGCCTCGAGAGTAGCTGAGATTACAGGGACGCGCCACCAGGCTCAGTTAATTTTTGTATTTTTAGTAGAGACAGGGTTTCACTGTGTTGCCCAGGCTGGTCTTGAACTCCTGACCTCAAGTGATCAGCCCGCCTTGGATCCCAAAGTGCTGGGATTACAGCCATGAGCCACCATGCCTGGCCCTAATACTTACTTAGTGTTTCTGTTTCTGTCAATTCATATGACATATTTTTCTAGGAATTTGAACATTAATTAGCATGCCTTGTTATAAAGTTGTTCAGAATGTTTTTAATTCTTATATTTCTGCTCTATCTGTAGTTACATCTTTTTAATTCCTATTATTGCTTAGTTGTGCCTTCTCTTTTTCTAGGCATTCTAAACAGGGAGGATATTGTCCCTAAAGGAGTGAAAATTAGCCTTGTGTGGGTCTTACTCTTTTAAAATATAAAACGCAGATATGTATACAGTACATAAAGGGCAATCTAGTATATATGTGGAATCAAAATTTCATGGGGGTTAACGAGGAGATACTATTAAGAAAAATAAAGCCTAAAACATTTCCCAGGATGGGGAGATTAGAATGAAAAACAGAAAAGGATAGGAAGCACTGTCTTGTTTTCTGATCAATTTCACTAGCGTATTGTCTATGTTAGCAAACCTTTCAAATAACCTTTAGATTTGTTATTACTCTCTATTGCATTTTTTGTTTTCTATTTATAGTTATTTATTTAATATCCTCTACCTTTCACTTTCTGTGGGTTCATTTTGCTACTCTTTTTCTCATATTTTCATTTAGATTATTAGCTCTTTATTTTCAACCCTCTTTGCTGCAAAATAAACCTAATAGGCCGCAAATTTCCCTCTAAGTTTCTCTTTCACTGAATCTCATAAGTTTTCATATTTAATATTTTATTATCAGTTGATTTTAATTTCAGTGTTGATTTCTACTTTGATACATTCAATTTTCAACTTCCAATTTTATGTGGTTTTAAAAAATTCTTTTTGTCATTGATTTCCAACCTAATCGCATTATAATCAGAGAACATGGTCTGTATGATACTGTTTCTTTGAATTTTATTGAGATTTGTTTCAATACATGATTTGGGGGAGGATTCTTTAGAAGACCATTAAAACCAAGTTTATTAATTGTGTTGTTCAAATCTTCTAAGTTTTTAGTAACACTGTGTCTACTCAACACATGCGTGTTGAAATTTCTCAAATACATGGTGGGTTTCACAATTTCTCCTTATAGTTTATGTTTTTTGTTTTATTTTATTAGGTGCATGCAAGTTTAGAATTGTTATGGCTGTCTAGAAAATGCAGCTGATTGGGAACTGATCCTCTTAAACCCTGGTCACGCTTTCTCTGTGCTGAAGACTCCCGCTTCCTTTTGGTTTCCCCAGCATCCCGGCCACATCTCTGTATCTTTTCCCATCCTTTTATGTTAAACTTTTTTATGTCCTTATGTATTAGATGTGTCTCTTTTTGAAAGTATATAGCTGGTTTCTGTTGTTGTTGTTGTTGTTTTGAGACATGGTCTCACTCTGTTGCCCAGGCTGGAGTGCAGTGGTGCGATATTGGCTTACTGCAACCTCTGCCTCCTGGGTTCAAGACATTCTCGTGCCTCAGCCTCCCGAGTACCTGAGACTACAGGTGCACACCTACACATTCGATTAGTTTTTGTATTTTTTTTGGTAGTGACGGGGATTCACCATGTTGGCCAGGCTGGTCTCGAACTCCTGACCTCGAATGATCCGCCTACCTTGGCCTCCCAAAGTCCTGGGATTATAGGTGTGATCCCACCCTGCCCAGCCAATTTTTGTTTAAGAGTCAGGGCCTCACTCTGTTGCCCAAGCCAGAGTGCAGTGGTGCACTCATAGCTCACTATAACCTGGAACTTCTAGGCTCAAGTGATCCTCCTGCCTCCCACAGTCCGGTAAGTAGGACTATAGTGTGCGCCACCACACCCACCTATTTTTGTTTTCTGTGGTTTCTTTTTTTGGTTTTTTTTGTTTGTTTGTTTGTTTGTTTGTTTGAGAGAAAGGTTCTTGCTATGTTGCACAGACTGGCCTCAAGCAGTCCTCCCACATCTGCCTCCCAGAGCTATGGAATTACAGGCATGAGCCACGGTGCTGGATTGGATTTTTTTTTCTTTTTCTTTTCTTTTTTAGCAGACAAATTTTGACTTTAAATGGCAAGTTAAGTACATTGTGGGGAGCACGAAACTGCACCAATCAGATCTCTGACTGTGGGGAGTAGGACTAGGGGAAGGGAGTGTTTTGGGAATCCACTCT
Organism: Homo sapiens; assembly: GCF_000001405.40. Lineage (NCBI taxonomy): Eukaryota > Metazoa > Chordata > Mammalia > Primates > Hominidae > Homo > Homo sapiens. The sequence goes on from NC_000010.11 coordinate 46,280,970, forward strand.
CTACCACCACAATGGGCCACCACATTCACAGAAAGACCACATCCCTCACAGGCTTCTTTTAGCCAGAGGCCAGCAGGGATATGAAAACAGGCCCATGCCTAGGAAATCTCAGACTCCTCAGATGGCTCAAGGTCTCCCAAGCTGCTTGGATAAACTTTCCTGGAAGTGGTCTCCCTCTGAAATTATTCTATCCTTTTATTTTCAGAAAACTCCCCATATTGGTGATGGTCATTATTTTCCGTACCTAGCCACTCACCTTAATCAGTGTGTTCCCAGCTTCTTTGCTCACCGTCATTTCTTGAACTCCACTCTTCCAAATTGTTTCCTTCTTTCTGAAATACATTCTTATCCTTTCATCAAGGTTGTACAGGTTGTAAACTCACACTTTGCACATCTGACAATACCTTCATTTTGTGCTCACACTTGATTTATATTCCAGATAGATACAGAATTCTATTTTTGAGGCACCCAAGGACATATCACTGGTGGCTGTGGCAACTTTATCATTGGTTTCACCACCAGTCTTTCCTGGGTAATCTGTGTTTTGAGTTTGGTGACTTTCAAATTGTTTTCTTTGTCTCTGATGTTCTGCATTTCGGATTTGATGTCTCTCTCTATTCCTCAATGTTCTCTCTTCCATAAAAGAAAAGTTTTGCTTCAGGACTGTCAGAGGCAGTCAAACCAGAACGACTCCATTTTGAGTGAGGGCTAGGAAAATGAGGCGGGGACTTGCTGGGCTGCGTTCTCAGAAAGCTAGGCATTCCTCGCCTCTAGATGTTCACAGTTAAGGGAACAAATTAATAATGTTTACTAAACAGACCCAGACTTGGGAGTATCCAGATATCAAGATATCTGGAGAACAACGGCATTCCTAATTTTGCTTTAAAGATAATATTGATGCTTGCAAAATAGAGTAATTAAGAAAATGAATCCTTTATCACAAACCCTTTTGCAGAGCACATCTCCCCATCTACACAAGCGTTGTACCTAGGATGGGGGCTTTACTCCTCTTACTTTCGGGAACGTCCCACTCTGTCTATGGAGTAGCTGCACTTTGACCACTTGACTTTCTTAATAAACTTGCTTTTGCTTTGCACTGCAGACTCGCCCTGAATTCTTTCTTGCGTAAGATTCAAGAACCCTCTCTTGGTGTTTAGATGGGGACCCCTTTCCTGTAACAGGACCATCTCTAAGGTTTGATATATGTTCTGAACCCAACTTCCCCCTCATCAGACTTATGTTTGTCCTTGAGGATCTCATCTTTGCAACAGACCCTCCAAAGCCTTGGAGAGAAACTCAGCGCTTCCTCACGGTATCTCCGCGCACCCACTCACCCCTACCACGTCAGAACACCCACTGAGTGACGGAATTAATCAATGAGGGAGCAGGGACTCGGGGTGGTTTTCCTTTCAGTACTTGAAGAATTCTCCCTTCTCCAAAGGAAGCTACTTTGCACCCTACGCTCAAGCAATGTGACCCATGCACACTTGCCTGCAACAGCACCAAGAACTGCAATTACCTGAGACTCTATCCCATCTACCCTCACTCCACCACTGCAGGGGAAAGCCCAGGTCCTCCGAGTCCCAGCGCAGTCTCCACCCACCCCACAGTCATTCCGTCCAGACCACGGCCCTTCTGCCCTGGCCCCCTGCCACCCTCCAGGGGCAGTTAAGTCCCTGGACACCTCTATGTTCTAAGGGTCGCGGAGCCCCCCTTCCTGGCAAAGTGCTGCGCGGTCACAGCTGGGGCGAGGGGAGCGGAGGTGTCGGGGCGCTCCTGGAGGATCTGGGCTACTTGGGCCCTGGGGAGGTGCCGCTAGCGGGGCCGCCAGGTCGCGCGGGGAGGGAGAGCCGGGAGGCCACGGAGGTCCTCCGCGAAGAGGGAGCCACAGGCACGGGGCGCATCGCCGCGGCCCCCCTGGCGCAGGAGTGAGAGGTCGGGGAGCCTAGAGCCAGAGGGCCGCAGCGAGAGCTGGAGCCGCCTTCAAGGGATGCCCTCGCCCTCCCGCAGGCGCCGGCGCCCGGCCCAGCCCGAGCCATCAGAGGGCTGTCCGCCGAGCTGAGCCCGGGGAGGGCTGGGCTGCCCAGCTGATCAGAGGCTTTCTCCCGGATTGCGAGTTCTCTGGCCCGCGGCACCCTCCCGCGCGGGGGCCGCCCACCCACAAGCCCTGCCCCGAAGGCGTGTGCGGCCAGGAAGGCGGGGCCTGGTGTCCTCAGGGCTCTGGCGCCAAGTTCAGAGCCGCGCGCTGGGCGCTTGGCGGTGGCGGCCGCGTCTGCACCTCCTCCCTGCGCGCCGCCTGACAGTCTGGAGAGACAACTTAGCTTGAGCCCATTTTACAGATGGAAACCCGAGGCTCAGAGAGGTTGAGTGCTTTGCTCAGGGTTACTGAGAGGAGTGAGGTTTCTGCATCTGCCTCTTCGGAGGCATTGGCTGAAATTCATCTCTGATGTCAGGCACCCCCTCTGAGGAATCTGCTCGGAAAAGGCATCGGGAGCTGCAGCACGTGGTTTGCATCCTCTCCATGCAACAAAGGACCTAGACTTCCAGGAGTCACAGGGTAGTCTGCAGGGCAGGGTAGAGATGTTCCACAGAAGCTGGTCAAAAGCTGGAATATCATTAAAGATCACAATATACCACAACATCAGGTTCCATTATTTCTGAGGAGGCAAAGCAACTACATATTTTAGAAATTTACTGTTAATTTCTTATTTCCAGTCAGTCTCACCCAAATGTTTCAAGTGCAAAGCCCTGGCCTCCCACTGTCTTCCCACAACCCAGGTCTGTATCCTGTCCCTTGCCTCCCCTGCACCTGGCATTGCACAGAAGGTGTGGGTGGCAATGTCCCCTAAAAGCTTCTGCAAGGCTTAGCTTCCTGCTGTGCTGTCTGTGCCTCTATGAGTAAACGCAAAATGTCAAGAAAAGGATTCAATTGTCTTGTATCTAAAACCAGGTATTTTTTTCAGGTGACCCTGAAAATTCAGAGATTTATAATTTGATCATCTATGTACTTTTTCCCAGGAAAGGCACTGAACGGGTTACATGTGCAGATCTTTGTATATACTCTGTTGGAGAAAGGATCTGGGCTGAAGACGCCAGCACCTAGCACAAGCCCTGGATGAGAATAATGGGGCACTACAAGATGAACAGAGAGAGGGCTGGGGCGGGGAGGGGTGGATGCAAACGATTATGGCCAAGAAGTCACCTTAGGGGAAAAACATAAGAAGAATTCTTGCTTGCAAGAGAGAAGGAAGCCTATAGGGAGAGTGAGGGGAGAGGCCGAAAGAGAGAGAAGGAAAAAGGATAAAAGAGAAATAGCCAACAAGGCGGACACAAGAAAAAGGGAGAGATGAGAGAAACAGGAGAGGACAAGGAGACAAGAAGCAGAGAGGCAAGAGACAGGGACAGCAATGGGACTCGGAAAGGACATGGGAGAGAGCTGGAGGAAGCTGACAGAGGGAAGGGAAGAACCCCCCGCCGTCAAAGGCAGGACTCAAGAACGCTGCCTTTCGTGCAAGTGAGATGGGCTCCGCTGCCCGCGCCCGCTTGTTCTCGGTCTTGGCCGACCTGAGGGTGCGTCTCTCCCGGGCTCTCCAGAGGCGCGCAGGGGGGGAAGTGCAGACGCGGCCGCCACCGCCCAGCCCAGGGCGCGGCTCTGAACTTGGCGCCAGCGCCCAGAGGCCACCAGGCCCCGCCTTCCTGGCTGCACCCGCCTTCGGGGCGGGGCTTGCGGTTGGGCGGCTCCGGCGGGTAGGGCGTCGCGGGCCAGAGAAACGGCAACCTGGGAGAAACCCCCCTATTGATCCGTTGGGCGGCCCGGCCCTCCCCCGGCTCAGCTCCCCGGAGCCACCCCCAGCTGGCTCGGACCGGGACTGGCGCCTGCGACTATGCCTGCGGGAGGGCGAGGGCGTCCTTTGGAGGCGGTTCCCTCTCACGCCGCCGCCCTCTGGCTCCTGGGCCTGCCGGGTCTCGGCGATGGGCGAGGGCTGTGCCCGGTGCCTGCGGCTCCCTCCGCGCCGTGGACCCCCGCGGCCTCCCGGCCTTCCTTACCCCGGCGGCCTGGCGGCCCCGCGAGCTTCACCTCCCCAGCATCCGAATCGCGCAGCTCCTCCCGCGAGCGCCCGCCGCCTTCGCTCCCCAGGCCCCAGCTGAGACCGCCAGGAAGGCGGGCTCCTCGACCCCAGATCATAAGAGGTGTCTGGGAACTAAGGGTGGGAGGGGGCCAGGGTAGAAAATGTCAGTTCAAGTACGTTAAAATTAAGAACTTAGGCTTTGTTTAAAAAACAATAAATGAAGTGAAAAAAACAAGCCACAGAGTAAAAGAAGATACTTGCAGCAAGTGATAAAGGATTAGTATCCAGGATATATAAAGACTGTTATTGAGTCAATGTGAAAGAGAAAAACACCTGAAGCAAAGAATGGATGCCGGCATTAAATAGGCACTTCAAAGAGGAACCATGAACGACCAAAATCAAGTGAGTAGGTGACCAGTTCCCATTAGTAATTAGGAAATAGCAAATTAAGACCACAAAGAGGGCAGTGAGGGTGGCTCACACACCTCTAATCTCAGCGCTTGGGAGTCCAGGGCCAGAGGATCCCTTGAGGCCAGGAGGTGGAGTCTAGCCTGGGAAACATAGCAAGACCCTGTCTCTACAAAAAAATAAATAAATAAAATAAGAAAAAAGTAAACCACAAGGAGATGACTTACCACCAGGCAAAAATATTAAAGTATGCTAATACCAAGTATCAAGAAGAATGAAGCAAGATAGCTCAAATATGCTTTTGAAGGAAATATACTGGGCTTCATTCATTCTGAAATACCCCTTATTTAAGATACTCTATTATATTAAATACAGTTCCAAAACAAAAGAAATCAAAGAACAAAAAACTAACCCAATACTTTTATCACTTGTAATTTGTATATTACACATATTGAAAGATATATTTTAGACTTATTAGAGAACGATTTTTAATTGGATATCACTCTTGTGCATACAAAATAAAATAAAATTGATTAAGGTGTTTCTAACAGTTACAGTCTGACTTTTCTGAGTCCTGTTTGAGTCTCACTCATTGGTGCCTACGTCTTTCCACACACTGTAACCTCTCTGCTATTCAAAGCGTTGGTCATACAGCAGTTTTGACACTGGGATGTGAACCTGTCCACATTCTTTCCCTAGAGAGGGGGCCTGTGTTCCTGCCCATTGACTCTTGGCAGCTGTGACTGCTTGGACCAATAGAGCACAGTGGAAGTGACACTGTGTGACTTCCAAGGTGATGTCATAAAAAGCTCTACAGTTTCTGCCGTGCTCACTGAAAATACTCACTCTTGGACCTCTGGGCCACCTGTAAAAGCCCAAGCACCCTGAAGCTGCCATGCTGGGAGGAAGCCCAGGTCACACGGGGAGGCTACATGCAGGGTCTCCATTCACAGTCCCAGCTGAGCCCAGGTTTTGGGCCCTCCTGCCTAGGAGCCACACTTGTGAGTGGAGCAGCCTCCAGATAATTCCAGTGCCCAATCCTTCAAGTTATGGGGCCCCAGACATGAGGAGCCCTCCTAACTCCGCCCTGAGTGCCTGATCCTCAGAACCTGTGAGCATAATAAAATGGGCCTGTTCTGTGTCCCTAAATGTAGGTGGTCTGTTACACAGCAGTAGAGAACCGGAATGTCCCTCATTCACAAAGACTCTGGCAACACTGCAGTTTCCATCTCCTTCCCGAACTGCCATCTCCTGGGGGACTTCAGTGTCACACAAATAACCTCCCATTGCCAACACTCTGGCCTCCCAGTCCTTGACCTCCTCACCCACAGCAATGTCCTCACCTAACTCACCTGGGCTAACTCTTCCAATGAACAAACAGCAGGGTCTAGTGGTTTTAAGGGACACTGTGAGGGCTGTTATAAGGGAAATGGAGGCTTCCTCTTGTAGCCCCTCCAAAGGTCCTGTGCCTCCCCCTGATGTTGTCAACATGCAGGACATTGGGAAGAGCTGCAGGTCACAAAGTCACCATGTCAACCTTCCTGTCAACCATAACAGAGAATTCTGTCCCCAGGGTGGGGGAAGGGCCAGGCAGGTAGCTGGAAGCAAGTCTCCCAGAGCCAGCTGCTGACCCTAGTCCCTGCGATCTGGGGAGGTACCTGGTGGAGGGCCATAGTGTGCACTGGTGAAAGGGCAGGAGGAGGGGTGTGGCCCCGGGCATAAGGGGAGGCGGCAAAGAAGGGGCCTGTGCTCAGCCTCTCTGGGCCCTGGCACAGGCACCCAAGAGTGAGGTGGGGTCACAGGGACAGCCAGATAATGGGGAGCCATGAGTCCCTGGGGCCCTACTTCCTGGTCTTCCTGCTGCTGCTGCTGCTTCCTCCACCGCTTTTTAGAGCAGGAAGCCTTCGGTACCATGGACCTGACTGGAGAATATTTCACCGCCTGGCCCTGGGCTCCAGGAGAGCCCACCACCACCATGGCCCAGGATGGAGGCAGCACTGGCGCCAGGGGCAAGCAGGTCACAGATGCCAGGGCTCATTTGACCTCTACTTCATCTTGGACAAGTGAGTGTCCCTTCTAGCTCTGGCCCTGGGTCACCCTCAGGAGCCACTGTCTCTTTTTCACTAGGGACAGGACACCACTCAAGGAGATGCAAGCTTCCGTCACAGAAGCAGGGCCAAACTTTGGTCAGACCAGACCTAGGCCTCCTGTTTTTCTGAGGCAGAAAGAATGCCCTGGCTTTCTTTTCCCTGGTGCTTCATCTCCTGGATGAGGAAAAAAGCCACCAAAGGGGTTCTGGACGATTCCCTACCCCTCCATCAGCTGGGTCAGCATCCTCATCCTCACGCTGCTGCAACAGATGATTGCTCGGACCTGCCTCTCAGCAGTTCTCAGATGCTCACTGCGGATGTTTGGGGTTTCTGTGTTGTTTTGCTTGTTTGTTTTTTCACGCAAATGACTTCTATTTTACTGGGCCCCACAGAGATTGCTTTGTTGCCTGTGTTGGGCATTCTAATGTCACTGCTTAGAGAAGGCCTTTGGTTGGCTGCTTCTAAGTGCCTCTTCTGCAACTTGGAGAGCCACGCGATAGTTCCTACACTTTCAGAACAGTTTGGTCTGTTTCAGGCTGGCCCTGGGGAAGCTGGGCTACGTATTAGGCACCTTCTGGCTCACCAGGAAAGAAAAGAGGCAAATGTTCAGCTTTGGAGAGATTGCCTTGGTTCCCTTTCCTGCTCCTCCTGCTGGGTGGTAATACTCTGTGCTTATTCAGTAGCAGCAGTGGTGCAATCTTCAGGAGAATGTTGCAGCACTTTCTGGCCTCCAAAGCCCTTCCCCTGCACTCCTGGCACCTCACCACAATCCTGGGCTGTGAGTAGTACAGGTATTTTTCTATCTGGTTCCTGGACAAGGGTGGCTCCTGGAGGTTGGGGAAGCATCCAGAGACAGCTAGTGTGACAAGACTCCGGCTTCCTGTGCTGCACACTTTCCAGCATCGCAGGTTGAAATTCCTCTGATTTTTCTCATTCCTCCTGGATACTAATGGTTAGGGGACGTGTACCCCAGCCCACCAATTCCCATGGTTTCTGACTGTTCTGCTACTCTTGGGGAAGGAGCAACTCAGTTCTGGAGACAGGCAGAGTCCACTCACTAGCCACATAGTCTTGGGCAAGTTGCTTCATCATTCTGTGCCTTCGTGTCCCCCATCTGTAAAAAGGGTATCTTCATTTTCACCTTGCCAAGTGTGATGAGGATGAAGGGAGAATTTGCAGGTCAGAGGCGATGACAGAGGATGGGGATGAAGGGACCTGCCAGGCAAGGCAGAGCCACAGGCTAGAAACTCACAGGAACTGCAGAGGCCCTGATGTAATCCCAGACAGACTGGATGAGGGGGAATGCAGAGGGAGTGCCTAGAGTGGATGTAAAGGGAGCAGACAAAAGCAACCTTAATGAGTCTTCCTAACAAGGCTGGGGGTAAAGGGCATTGCCCCATTCTAAGGAGGAGGCAATGAGCCAGGTCATGGCCAGGGAATGACCCACCACAGCCTCCAGATAGACCATGGTGCTGAATTGAAACTCTGGATTTTGTGACTCCAAAGCCCATCCAAAGACCACGCAGCTGGGCGGGACCCTGAGAAACTTGCGGTAATCCTCCAGGCAGAAACAACATCTACTGCCTGCAGGCAGGCTCTTTGGTCATTAGCGTCCAGCTTATTCATGAGACTCATTATTCACTTGTTCATTGATTGGATTGAGCTGGAAGAAAATGAATCAGCCTCCCATGCGCTCCTATTCTTGGCCAGGTGACATTTGAGGGCTCTAAGTGGGAATGACCCCTTGTATTTTTTGAGTAATTTTTTAATTGTGGGAAAACATACATAACAAAAATTTACCATTTTTAAGTGTACAATTCAGCGGCATTAAGTACATTCACAGTGTTGTGCAATCACCACCATCCATCTCCAGAAATGTTTCATCATTGCGTATTGAAACTCTATTCTCAGCCGGGAGCAGTAGCTCCCTCCTGTAATCCCAGCAATTTGGGAGCCAAGGCAAGAGGATCGCTTGAGTCTAGGAGTTCAAGATCAGCCTGGGAAACATGCAAAATCCTGTCCATACAAAACATACAAAAATTAGCCAGGCATGGTGATGTGTGCCTCCACTCCCAGCTACTCAGCCTGAGCTGAGGCAGGAGGATCGCTTGAGCCTGAGAGGTCAAGACTGCTGTGTGTCAAGATTACACCACTGCACTCCATCCTGGGCGACAGAGTGAGACCCTGTCTCAAACCCCATCCCCATCAAAACCCAAAAAACTTCTATTTCCATTAAACAATAACTCCCCATTCCTCCCTTCCCCAAGCCCTAGTGACCTTTAGTGTATTTTCTCTATCTATGAGTTTGCCTATTGTAGGTACTTCATGTAAGGGGAGTCACACAATGTAATCAAGCAAACATATAATATTTGGCCTTTTCTGTCTGACCTTTTTCACTTAGCATAATGTTTTCAAGTTTATCCCATGTTGTCGCATCCATCAGAATTTCATCCCTTTTATGGCTGAATAATATTTCTCTGTATGTATATGTACCACATTTTCTTTATCTTTTTTTTTTTTTTTTTTGAGTTGGAGTATTCTGCTGCCTGGCTGGAGTTCAGCGGCGCGATCTCGGCTCATTGCAACCTCCACCTCCCAGTTTCAAGCGATTCTCCCTGCATCAGCCTCCTGAGTAGCTGGGACTACAGGGGCATGCCACCACGCCAGGCTAATTTTTGTATTTTTTAGTACATACAGGGTTTCACCATATTGGACAGGTTGGTCTTGAACTCCTGACCTCGTGATTCCCCGGCCTTGGCCTTCCAAAGCGCTGGGATTCCAAGCGTGAGCCACCTCGCCCGGCCTGTTTATCTTTTCGTCTGTTGATGGACACTTGGGTTGCTTCTGCCATTTGGCAATTGTGAATAATGCTGCTATGAACGCTGGTGTATACGTATCTCTTGGAGTCCCTACTCTCACTTCTTTTTGGTATATGCCAGGGAGTGCAATTGATGGATCCTATGGTGATCCTATGTTTAGCTTTCTGAGGAAATGCCAAGCTGTTTCCCACAGTGATTGCACCATTTTGCATTCCCACCAACAAAAGCCCAACATTTGCTATTTTCTGGTTTTTGATAATAGTCACCCCAATGGGTGTGAAGTTGTATCTCCTTGAGGCTTTCATTGGCATTTCCCTAGTGACTAGTGATGTGGAGCATCTTTTCATGTGCTTATTGGCCATTTGCATATCTTCTTTGAGGAAATGTCTATTCAAATCCTTTGCCCATTTTTTTTGTTGCATTTTTTTGTTGTTTCTTTTTCGTTGTTGTTGTAGGAGTTCTTTGTATATTCTGGATATTAATCCCTTATCAGGTATATGAGTTGTAAATATTTCCTCCCATTCTGCAGGTTGTCTTTTCACTCCTTTGGTAGTGTCCTTTGATGCACAAAAGTTTTTAATCTGGATACAGTCTCAACTTTTCTATTTTTAATTTTGTTGCCTGTGTTTTTGGTGCCATATCCAAAAAAATCCCCAAATCTAATGTCATAAAAGTTATGTTTTCTACTAAGAGCTTAAAAGTTTTAGCCTTTACATTTAGGTCTTTGACCCATTTTGAGTGAATTTCTGTAATGGTTTACAGAAGGGTCCAACTTCATTCTTTTGCACATAGACATCCAATTTTCCCTGCACCATTTCTTGAAACTACTGTTCTTTCCCACACTGAGTGTTCTTAGCACACTGGTTGGAAATCGTTTGACCACAGACATGACAGGTTATTTCTGAGCTCTCTGTTCTGTTCATTGCTCTACATGTCAGTCCTTACATCAGTGCCATAATAGTTTGATTACTGTAGCTTTGTAATAAATTCTGAAATCAGGAAATGTGTATCCTCAATCTTGTTCTTCTTTTTCAGATTTTTTTTTTTGCTGTATGACTAATGTCCCTTGAAATTCCATATGAAATCTAGTGCAAATTTTTTTATTTCTGCAAAAAATGCTGTAGAGATTTTGATACAGATTACATTGTTATCTTAACAATATTATTATTGTGCCTTCTGATTCATAAGCATGCAATATCTTTCCATTTATTGTGTCTTTAAATTCTTTCAGCAATGTTCTATAGTTTTCAGTACACATTTCTTTAGCTTCCTTGTTTAAATTTATTCTTAAGTATTTTGTTCTGTTTGATGCTATCATAAATGAAACTTTTTTGGTTGATTTTCTATATTTGGATTGTTCACTGGGGGCTTTTCCAACCAGTACATTCTCTCCCATTTCCACTCTACACAGTGCCCCACCTAACCTGATCAGCCACCTGGATGGCAACAAAAGCCCCACATCCCAGGAAGCTCCTCAGTCCCAGGCAGATGGGGCTGGGTGGTCACCTTATGCTGACCACTCAACTGGTGAAACTCATGACCTCGGATGATCCAGTGGCCACTGGGGGTGTACCCCAGCCTCAGCTGTGCTGGGGTCAGGAGAGCTTGTTAAGAGCCTGCTGGGAGGCTGGGGGCGGGGCAGACACTTGCCCATCGGAGAGATGCACTCATCTCCCTGACCCACATCTCCTTTTGTTTTAGGTCTGGCAGCGTGAACAATAACTGGATTGACCTTTATATGTGGGTGGAGGAAACAGTGGCGAGGTTCCAAAGGTACAGATCTCTGCATGGCAGCCTCCCCTGAGCTGCAGAGAGCTTTTCTTCTGGAAGGCAGGCAGAGGGCACATCCCATCAGATGGGGTGGGCGTGGGAGTCCTTCAGTGGGGGACACAGAGCACAAGGTGGCATTCTGAAGCAGGAATGAGGCCAGCACTCACTGGTTCCATGGGGTCTCAGCGGCCTTGGCTGGCTCCTGCCTGTGAGCCCAGACATATTGCAGGGGAGGCAGTTTGCCCTTGGGGACATCACACGCTGGGAAGGGACAATAGGCAGGGAAACCAGTGACTCAGTCCTGGAACTCCGAGTTGCTGAGGGTTCAAGTAGGGGGCAAAGAACTCCGTGGAAGGTTAAAGGAAAAAACAGGAACTCCTAAGGACAAAGTCAAGGATGGCTTCCAAGGATGTGGGTCTTTGAACTGGGTCTTGCAGGATGGAAAAGACAGGGGACCTGTGGTGGCGTGAGTGGTCTGACTTGGCTGGGAATGAGATTAGCTCAGGGAGGGCTGGGAGAGGGCTGGGCAGGTCAGCTTGAGGCCAAAGCCACAGGGGCTCATTATGCCAGGCCAAGGAGCTGGGATTTCCTGCTCTGAGCCATAGAGAGCCAGAGAAGGCTCTTGAGCAGGGGAGTGGCATGATCAAGATGGCACTTAAGGAAGAAAAGTCTGATGACTGTGGGTAAAATGAATGGGCAACAAGGGCAGGAGCCATGGGGAGCTCCGCTGGGGACGTATGGCAGCACTGTCGCTGAGGGCCACTGAGGGTCAGCCGGCAGGAAGGAGGGTCAGGGAGAGGAAGGGGAGGCTGTGTGCATGGCTGCCAATAGGGAGAGTCACTTGTCTGAGATGAAGGAGGGATGACGGAGAGGAGAGGGAGGAGGGAATGGGGTGAAGAGGCAAAGAATTTTCCAGTAGAAGGGAGGCCAGCTGGGAGGGCTGTATGTGCATCTCCCTGCCTGTTCATTATAAGGTATGTGTGTCTGTGTGTGTGTGTGTGCAGGTGCCTGAGTGTGGGTGCCGTGTGTGCGTGTTCATATGAGTGTGTGCATGTTCAGGTGCATGTGTGTGGGTGCATATGTGTGTGACTGTGTGTGTGTGTGAGTGTGTATGCATGTGTGTGGGGGGGTGTGTATACCTGTGCGTGTGTGAGAGTGTGTGCGTGTGTGCCTGTGTGTGTGTGCGTGTGTGCCTGTGTGTGAGTGTGTGCGTGTGTGCGTGCATGTGTGTGCATGTGAGTGTGCCTGTGTGTGAGTGTGTGCCTGTGTGTGTGAGTGTGTGCCTGTGTGTGGGTGTGTGCGTGTATGGGTGCATGTGTATGGGTGCATGTGTGAGTGTGTGTGTATGCATGTGTGTGGGTGTTTGTGTGGTGTGTGCACCTGTGTGTGTGTGTGCCTCTGTGTGTGCATGTGTGTGCATATGTGTGTGAGTGTGTGCCTGTGTGTGCGCGTGTGTGTGTGCAAGTGTCTTTGGGGTGTTGGGAGTGTGGGGATGCAGTGAGTTGCCATCCTGACTCTCCCTTCTATGGAGCCCTTGTCTCCACAGGCCTCAGAGTCCTTCACTACATTTATCTCACCTCCTTGTGTCCAGCAAGGGGCTCCAAAGCGGAAGAGTTGGGGTGGGAGGTGGGGAATTGGCCTCACCACCTTGGCTTCTGAGCCTGTGCCACTGGCTTCTCACCAGCACATGATTCCTTCACAGCCCAAATATTCGGATGTGCTTCATCACCTACTCCACAGACGGCCAGACTGTCTTGCCACTCACCTCAGACAAGTGAGTGCTGCTTTGAGCCCCAAAGGGAGGCCTGATGAGCTTGGCCAGAGGGAGCTCCAGGGAGCTGAAGGGCTCCCGGAGACCTTGGTTGGGAGCCTGACAGCACACAGGGCAGGCCGGTCAGGGCAACTCACAGTACCCACCTGACCTTAGCCCCGGCTCCCCTGCATCCTCCTACCCATGGCTGCAAGGTTACCTGCAGGCCCCTGTGCTCCAGAAGTTCTCAGCCTCCCCCACTTCACGCTCCCCTGCCCTCTCTCCGCTCTGCCTCCTTCCCTGAAAGGTGGCTGTGAGGATTCCCAGGGTGCAGGGGCTGGCAGGGCGGGGGTGTGTGTCCTGTGAACACACACCTGTGCTGGCTGCTGCTCTGTGCCTGTTCCCCCTGCCCTGACCAGTGTGGGAGGGAGACAGGGTCAAAGCTGGTGGTGGGAGTAGTGGGGCTTTAGTGCAGGGATGCTGGCAGGCCCAGACTGGGGAGCCCCTGGGTGGGGTTCTGAGCTCCAGGGCAGGCTGGGAAAGTGGAGGGAGGCAGGAGGAACAAGCTCAGGAGGCTGGAGCCCAGGCCCAGCAGGGAGCACAGCAGAGTTCCTGTTTGGCCGGAGGTGAGGGCACTTCCAATGCACATGCCCGGAACTGGGCCCAGAGGAGATGAAGCACAGAAGAGAGGTGAGGACACTGAGGACTGGATGGGGGACTGGGCCCCACTTGCAGTTTCGAGGGAATACAGAGTAGGGGAGCTTGAGTCTGTGTGTCCTGCGCTGTGGGTTTGTCAGAGAGACTGGGTGGGTGTGAGGTGGTAAAAAGCAAGTCTATGGGGGAGGACTGTGGCGAGTGACCCAGACGGGGAGCGGGGTTTGGGCATGGCCAGAGGAAGGCCAGGGCATGGCCTCTTCTGGGTATGGATGGGTCTGGCCTCCTCCCCTCCTGGGCTGGGCAGGCAGGGCTCTCAGAGCTCCGGCCATGGCAGGGACTCTCTGCCCACAGTGGGAAGCCATCCTTCAGGGTCCATGCTCTGCTCAGCCTTGCTGTGCAGGCTCAGCCTGTCACATTGAATTAGCCTGACCCTAAGTCCCCAGCCTGTCCCAGTCCTGCCACCAGAGCCAGTCCTGACTGCCCCAGCCCATTCTGTCTGCTTTAACAGCAACTGACAGGCCTCATGCCCCGGCCAGTCCGCAGATCAGTGTTCAGCCCCTGCATGCACAGCTGTCGGGGCTGCCTCTCCAGCCTTTGGTCTTTTTGTTTCAGGGGCACAGAAAGTCAAGGAGGCCAGACACTCTAAGCAGATTTGCTACTTCCTGTATCAGGGTAAAGATAGAGCAGGAAACTGAGTCAGGGTCAGGGGTCTGGGGTCATTGGGCTGGGTGCAGGGCTGGTGGCTTAGCAGGATGACTTTTCCCAAATGCAGCCCTACCTGTTAAAGGACGGAGTGCCCAACACAACAGCGTCCTTGTTAGGGTTAGAATTTGGATTAGAGTTAGAGTTAGAGTTAGGAATGTCAACCCCATTGACAGTGGCTGACTCTCAGTTGCCCATCCCTGGTTCAGGGTTAAGGTTAGGGTTTGGGTTAGAGTTAGAGTTAGAGTTAGAGTTAGAGTTAGAGTTAGAGTTAGGAATGTCAACCCCATTGTCAGTGGCTGACTCTCAGTTGCCCATCCCTGGTTCAGGGTTAAAGTTAGGGTTTGGGTTAGAGTTAGAGTTAGAGTTAGAGTTAGAGTTAGAGTTAGGAATGTCAACCCCATTGTCAGTGGCTGACTCTCAGTTGCCCATCCCTGGTTCAGGGTTAGGGTTAGGGTTAGGTTTAGGAAAGTCAGCCCCATTGCAGTTCCTGACTCACAGTTGCTCATCCATGGGAAACTCCTACTGTCACCAGAGATGGTCCAAGCAGGGCCCTGGTGAAGTTCCCCAGGCCTGCATTCTCTGTAACTCGGATGAGCTCAGAAGGGCTTGAAATCTCTGGTCAAAATCACAATGAGGAATGAGGAGGACAAAGCCCTTGCCTGGGCCCCTCCTTCATCCAGGAGGACTGGCGCAAAGAACAGTGGCTCCCGGAGAGCTTGGGAGCTGATTTTTAACAGTCAATGTCTTTCCAGGTCAACCACCTTTTTAAATTTTTTTCAGGAATAGAATAAAAAACGGTCTTGACCAACTTCAGAAAATTGTGCCTGACGGTCACACATTCATGCAGGCAGGATTTAGAAAGGTATAGACCCCTTGATCTCCTAACCCTAACCCTAACCCTAACCCTAACCTACAAAATCTTAGAGCATCAGTGGGAGCATCTCACTGTCCAGGCTCAATATTTCTTCATTTTCTTGCAGGCAATTCAACAGATCGAAAGTTTCAACTCCGGAAGTAAGCACCTGCCGTCCCCCTGGTGGTCCTGTAGGGGGAACAGAGCTGGGTGTGAGCCTCAGAGAGCTCTGTGTGCAGAATCTGCAAGGCCACACCTGCCCTGCCTCTTGGAGCAAGTTGCTCACCTGCTCTGAGCTCCAGGTCCCTCCCTGGTGCAATGAGCATAGTAAGCCCTCACCCCATGGAGTTCTGAGAACTGTGTGGGATCCTGCGTGTGCAGTTCTGGTGCTCATAACCCTGAGGTGCTTGCCCTCCAGCTGGGCTGTGTGAAAAGGACAAGGGAAGAGCCAAGGGGTTTGCCCCTTGCACACACCTTAGCCTTCCTCCTCCCTTGCATGTCTTCCCTCCGAGTGACTTGCATCCCCTGACCCTGTCTCATATGGTACAGAAGGCTGTCCAGGGCCCCCAACTTCCCTCCCCACTGTGTTGCTGCAGCTCTTGTCAGGAAAAGGCAGGGCTGGAGAGGAAAGGCGTTGAGGTGGCTGTGGGGTCCCCTGCCCAGGTGCCACTGGCCTGGAGTCCTGAACTCCTGGGCCCAGAGATGCCGGCAGGGCTGCCTGCAGGCTCTGCTTACAGCAAGACCTGGCCCCCTGGGAGCCTCCCTGAGCCTGTCTGTTACAGGAGGGCCCAGCAGCTCCTCCCTCTGCCCGTGGGACAGGCCTGTGGTTGTGGAGTCCTGGCTGGAGCTGCCCTCAGGCAGAGGTGGTGCAGGTCGCTAGTGGGTGAGGGTTCAGGCAGCCTGGTGTGAAAGACCCTGCCCCTCTCAGCCCCTTCTCTGTAAAATGGGTGCTGGGCTGAGACCTCCCTGACTCTAGGAGGTCTCTGGGTGGCAGGTGCTTGGGTCTTGGCAGCCTCTCCTCTGGAGGATGAGGTGGGGGCACGTGGCCATGCCCTGGAGTGGGCAGCGCTGTGGGCCCAGCCATCTGCAGGGGTTCCGGAGCTTCTGGAGGTCACTCCTGGTGCCTTTGCTGAGCAGGCCACTCTTTGCTTCTTCTACAGACAAGGTTCCCAGCATGATTATTGCTATGACTGATGGAGAACTGGTGGCACATGCATTTCAGGACACTCTCAGAGAAGTGAGTCCAGTTCATACTTACCAGCATTTTGCTCCATGTATTTTGATGACCAATATGCAATGCCTTCTTTCCCTTAGGCTCAAAAGGCTCGGAAACTGGGGGCCAACGTTTACACCCTGGGTGTGGCTGATTATAATCTGGATCAGGTAATTCCAAGCAGGTAACCAGGCGCCACTTTCAAGCCTAGTGGTCACTTTCGAGCCAACCGTCCCGGGCCACCCCAAGGACGGTTGTCTAAGCTGCCCCAAGTGAGTTGGGCCAACTCATGGCCACTGCAGAAGTGATTGACAGCATGTTGTATAAATCCCACCATGCCAAAGGGGAGGGTGGAAGAGCTCCCCGCTCCCTAAGAGTGGGCTGCTGGCTGGAGAAGTCTGTGACATTCAGAGCCTGACATTCTGCTGCCCCCAAAGCATGAGGGCAAGACACTGTCTCCTGGGCCGGGGGTCTGCTGCATCCTCACCTCCTGGTGGGGAGTCCAACCCAGCTCTGCTCTCTGTAGATAACAGCAATTGCAGACAGCCCTGGCCACGTGTTTGCAGTGGAGAATGGCTTCAAGGCCCTGAGAAGCACCATTGATGCCGTGAGTGGGCAGAGGTGAGGGGCTGGGGACCTGGATCCTTTGGCAGGAAGCTCACTCTCCCTGTCCCGCCCCACCCCTCCTGTGTTCCAGCTCACGTCAAAGGTCTGTCTTGATGTGACATCGGTGGAGCCTTCCTCTGAGTGTGTAGGAGGTGAGAGCTGCGGAGGCCCTGGGGTAGCCAAAGGGTGGTGTGCATGAGTGCATGCGTGTATGGAGTGTGTGCATTTGTTTGGTATGTGTGGGGGAGGATGTGTGTGGGGAGTGTGTGAGTGTGGTGTGTGTATGTGGTGTGTATGTGTTTGGTGTGTGTGGTATGTGTGTATGTAGTTTGTGTGGGTGCAGTATGTGTAGTATGTCTGGGAAGTTGTGCTGTGGGAGGCTTGATGTGTGTGAAATCTGCGGGAGAGGGTAATATGTGGTCTGTGTGCTGTGGAAATGTGTGTGAGATTGTGTGGGGTGTGTATATGTGCTGTGAGTGTGGTGTGTGTGGGGTGTGCATGAGTGATGCATCTGTGTGTGTTGTATTGTGGGGTGTATGTTGTGTGGGAGCTGAGGTGCTGTGTAATATGCATGTGGGGGTGTGAGTGTACGTAGGGAGCATATATGCGTGTGTGTGTGTGGTGTATGTGCACTGTGTGTGTCTGGCATGAGTGGGGGTCTTGTGGGAGTGTGTGGGAAGGTTGCCTGGTGTGTGGAAGGCTGCTGGTGTGTGGGAAGGGTGTCTGGTGTGCAGGTATGTGGTGTCCAGTGTGTGTTTGTGTCGTATGGGGAGTTGGGAGTGTGTTGCTGATGTGTGTGGTGTGTGTATGGGATGTGTGGTGTGTCTTTGGTATTTTTGGTGTATGTGTGTTTGCTATTTATGTGTGTGTGTGGTGTGTGGGTGTGTGTACTTCGGGTGTGTGGTGTGTGGTGTGATGTGTGTGGTATGGGGTGGGTTGAGTGTGTTTGTGGTCCAGTGTGCATGGGTCGGTGGGAGTGGACATGTGGCCCACATGGATGTGAATGTGTCTATTGGTGTGGGGGCAATATGCGGGGGTGGTGGTGTGAGTACCTTTGTACAATTAGTGTGTTGTAACCTCACAACGGTAAGTTTAACTCTAAAGCAAGAAAAGACATGTGTGAGAAGCTCTCAGGGAAACACCAGCAAATGGCATGGAGTAGCAGCTAACCCAGACCACAGGGCAGGAGCAGCCAGGGCTCCTCCCAGGAAGGCCAGGCAGGTGCAGGAGCTGAAATGTCTGTGTAATTTACCACATCAACAAAATAGGAAACAGGAACCAAGCGGTTATCTCAGGGGATGAAGAACAAGAAGTAGGGGTGTCAACATCCCACAGCACCCTATGAGCAGAAGGAAACTTCCATAGCCCGACAAAGTCGTCCACACAAACACCCTCAGCTCACCTCAATCCCACAGGATCAATCCCAGTGCCTGTCCATGCTGTCTGAGACGTAGCGAGGATGCCCTCTTGTCAGCTGGGGTCCCAGTATGGGTTGTGACAGTCCTGTGTGGGCCTCTGTGATGCCTCTGTCTGTCCTGAGCTCTTTCTGTGTAGGCTGGGGGTCTGCATGGCCGGCAGTTGCACAACTGCGGCTGCTGGAGTTGAAGGGAGCCCTGGGTGTCCTCCCTTCATCACGAGAGGACATTACTAGGCCCTTAGCAAGACCACGAGGCATCCAGCAGCTGGGCTCTGGCCTCCCTGTTCCTCACTGCAGGGTGTCCTGGCGGTAGGCTGTGGGGACAGACACACCGTATATGTCTGAGCTCTGCTCTCCATGGGCACACGACCAGGAGCAAATTGTCCAATGTCAGTGAGCTCCAGAAGTGCCTCCCATGAACAGAAAAGACGCTGTCAGGCCTCTCGTGAGTCCAAAGGCACTGGGCTGTGCAGGGACTGGCACAGGGCTGGGAGCTGGCAGGTCCCTGAAACAGGAGCTACGCTGACACTTCCATGATTGGTCCTGGGCTCTGTCCCCGACCCCGCCTCTCCCCCATGCAGAGCTGAGGGCAGGGGTGGAGTAGAGAGGGCTCTCCTCCCCCTCGGGGTCTCTTTCTGTTCCTCCTGATTTAAAGCGGCTCAGCCGTGCAGCCAGTGTGACAGCTGTGCTCCTCTGATGATGTCCCCTGGACACGCACAGCCTGTGGCGTCTGAGCAGCCCTGTCAACCCCAGGTGAGGATGTGAGTCTTCACTCCTCCCTGGAGGCAGCTGAGTCGAGGTGGCAGGTGCCCTCTGCCCACCAGCTCGGCCTTCTGCCTCTGCTCACGTGGCCCGGCAGTCACAGCCCTGATCTGTCAGCTGTCGGCTGAGTTGTGCAAAGCTGCCCCACATGGAGGGTGACAGTCACAGGAGGGAAAGGGCAAGGCAGGAGCCTGAAACCCAAATGCAACAGAATGAGCCCTCTCAGCAGGCTGCCACTGAGAAGCCAGGAGGTCTCCAGGGAGCCCAGGAAGGAGGCCAGGGAGGGAGGCATGCAGCCCAGACTCCCCCTGTTTAGCCCTGGGCCTCCTATCCAGCCTGGGAGAGGCCTCTGGTGGCCTCACCGCTCAAGGCCCATCCTGAGCCCATCCCCCACACATGGCTGGAGGGTTTTGACAGGCATCTCCCTCTCCAGCCTGGCAGGAGTCTGAGGCTCTTAGCAGAACCCCCAGGCCCTCCAGGGTCCACTTCCTGTTCTGGGCGCCCTGTGCAGAGGTGGGACCAGGTGGAGCACAGGCACTCTGCAAGCCTTGCCTCACCTTGAAGGGCCGAGCCCACCTGTCCTTCACAGCCCTGTTCAAAGGGCACCTCATCCTGGAAGCCTTCCCTGATGACCAGCCCCTCTGACTCCCTGCAGCCCAAGGGCTTGGTCTGTCCCTCTCATCAGTCACTTGTCACCCAGGGTGTATCATGACTTCTGGTTGTCTATGTCTAAGCATAATTTTCTTATTTAGTTCTTTGGTTTTCTTCCACCCTTTTATTGTTGAAATTTTCAAACCTGTAGGTGAGTGGAAAGGATTGTACAATGAACACAAACACATCTCTATCCACCACTGGGATTTTACAATGAATGTTTGGCCATGTTCCTTTATCTCTCCCACCCCCCCTCTCTCTTCATCCATCCACCTTGAAAAAAAAAAAATGCTTGCTTGCAATACATAGTCCTAACACAGCCCAGAATGTAATTTGCAATTATCCTGTCCATGGAGCTTTGGGGCAGCACTCAGCCCTGCTTAGAGTGGCCAAGTTGGGCTGACCAAGGGGCGCAGGCCACAGGCCCAGTTGCTCCCTCCCGGGCACACACTGAGCCTAGTGTCTGGCTGGCCAGGGCTTTTTGGAAGCCTGAGTGGGGAAGAAGTTGCCTGGCAGCATCAGATTTGGAAGCAGCTGCTGTCAGCCTTAGCTGTGGGAGAGGACCCCAGGCTTGCCCTGAGGGGCCCATGTCTAGTTGCTCAGAACAGGGCACCAAGTTGGCATTTCCTGCTGTCTCTCACAGCCTCAGTGCCCCCACCAGGCCCAGGCTCTTCCAAGGGCAGCATAGTATCCATCAAGTGGGTGACTACGAGAGCCAGGCTGGCACCTTGAGCAGGAAGAGTAGGCCAGGCCCAGCTGGCTGATGTCAGCAGTCAGCGTTGAGGGCCTTGGAGTGAGGTGGGCCTCGGAGCTCCTCATCTGAGGAGCATGGTTCCCTAGGTCCCAGCCAGGAGCTGACATGGAGAAACACAAACCCACTAAGGCCTGCATTTCCCATTTTCCAAGAAAGCTGGAAATCTAGATATTTGTGGTTAATGTTCAGGCTTTTAACTGCAGGCTCCCATTTTGAAAGCCTCAGAAAGCATGTCGGTAGGCCAACTTCACCCACAGCCCGCCTTGAAGGTGTGACACTGCAGAAAGGCAGGAAGCAGGGTTCACAGGAAGCTTTCCTTGGGTGCATGGACCGGGGGCGCCCCAAGCATCAGCAGGGATTGGAATGCGTGGGGCCTGGGCCAGGAGGCAGGGGTGGAGGCCAATGCCCTTGGCAGCTGCAGACCTGCGGGAACCCTGGCTGGCTCCTGGGTCCAGCCGTCACCTGCATGTGTCCCCTGTGGTCTTTGGGTCAGGGCAGGAGCTACAGTGGTGGAAGGACACACTCCTTGAGCCTCAGGATGGGTGCCCTGTGGTCCTTGCTGGTTCAGGAAGAGCAGAATATGAGAAATCACCTGTAGTTCTCTGGAATCACAGCTAAAACAGGGCTTCTGTGATGGATTCCCTTGAGCAGGGTCCTAGGTGGCTCGCCTGCCCCACCTGAGTCCTGGCCCTGATGCTGTGGGTGTCCTGCCTGCCACAGGCACACAGAAAGACAGGGAGGAGAGACCTCGAATGTTCAGCAGCCCTGAAGGAGGCATCCAGGCCTGGGTGCCCAGCTGAGGCATGAGACATGGTGTCTTCAGGCAGCATTATGGCTCCGCTTACACCTGACATCAGGGAGGGCCTGGCTGAGTGCACGGCCTGCACACCTGGGGCCGAGGGAGCACCACAGATTTCAGGGCAGGAATACCACTCTGAGCCTGCCCTGTGCAAGGACCAAGGCCTTTCCTGAGCGTGTTGGTTCAGGAATGGTAGGGAGAGGGTCCTTGAGTGTGCTTAAGGCCCAGCTGCCTCCTCCTGGACCCTCAGTGACACCAGATGAAGATTTGACCTAGTGGACACATAGATGTTGGTTCAGACACAGCTCTTTCCTTACAGGAGCCTCTGTGAATTCGGTTTTGGGGGTGGATCTCCAGGAATAGGGAGGTCAGAGGGGAGGCAGCCCCCTACTCTTCCTCACTCAGCCTTTTGAATGTTGTCCTTGCAGAACCCTACCATGTGGTTATTCATGGAAATGGCTTTCAGAATCTAAAGAAACGGGATGAAGTTATTTGCAGATTTATCTTCAATGAAAGCACTATCATTGGTAAGTTGTCTCCTCTGTGCCTCTGAGTCACGTATTTCCCACACAATGCTGCCTTTCCCCACAGCCAGCCAAGCCTCCCAGCCCTTGCCAACCATTCCCTGTGGACCCTGTGGGGTTAGAGGCCATGAGGACAAGTGGAAGGAGGCACTGGGAAGGCCGGTCACCCCTCCCTTCATCTGCCAAGTGGGGAAGTAACAAATCCATCTGTGCCTCAAGAGCATCTTACATCAGGGCTTCCCACTCAGTGAGGCTGGGTTTAGGACTGGGTCTGCGATCACAGCTGCATCTGCCCACCTTAGCCTCAGTTTCCCCTTCCCTTGAGAGCCCAGGACCCAAAGCCCACAAGGCTACTTCTAGGAAATGGTGGCAGCCCCGGAGATCTGAGCCTGAATGGCCAGGTGCACCAGTAGCTTGCCCAGAGGGGTATGTTTACCTTGCACTGAGGGAGGATGCCAGCCTGTAGGCCTGGGCCTTGGAATCCTGGCTCAGGCACACATTGCCTGTGTCACCTTGACCAGATGAGTGTTCTACTCTGAGCCTCTATTTTCTCAATTTAACATGGAGGCAATATGGTGCTGGCTATGTATCCTTTAACTGAAATGCTTGGGACCACAGATATTTTAGTTTTCAGATTTTTTCAGGTTTTGGAACGTGTGCAGTATACTGATGTTTCAGCATCCCAAACCGCAAATTTGAAATCTGAAATTCTCTAATGAGCATTTCTTTCGAACATCATGTTGGTGCTCAAGAAATGTCAGATTTTGAAGGATTTTGGGTGTGGATTTTCATGTTATAGATGGTCAGCCACAGTTACACCTAAGTAAGCAAAATCACATGCGTAGAGCAGTTGGTTCATGGAAGGGCTATAGTATTTTTTTTAAATCTCCTATTATTTGGCAATAGTTAGGCATCAGGGAACCTCTGTGATGGTGGAATGGCCTGAGGAAGCGCATAGTCCAGGCAGACACTGTGCCCTGGGTGCTGGGGGTGGGGTGTGCTCTTCCCCACTGAGGGCCTGGGGTGCAGTTGGATTTTTGCATCCTCCTTGATCTTCCCAGGTGGCCCCTTGATACATTCATTTGATCTGATGTTAGTATGTTCACTGAAATCTAATTCCAGGGCCATATGGTAATCCCAGGATGACTTCTCTTCCCCCAAGAGGCTTCTTGACCTTTTTCCTCCTTTCCATGAGTACATAGGAAGGGGCTGAGCCTGTCATCCCCACATTCCCACTCATCAGCATTGTGTGGATGGTCTCAGGGAATTCAGTTTTCATTGGGTTATACTTTCTTGGAACTGTCTTAGGGACTGAGCAGCCCCTTTCTAAGGAAAGCTAATGCTTACTGAGCACTTATATCAGATATCGTGCCAAGTGCCTTATGCACACTATCTCCTTGAATCCTCAAAGCAGCCTTACAGAAAGTCTTTGTATGTGTCAATCAGAACAACAGAGAGTTTCTCTCTAAAAGAAAACAGTATTTATTCAGGAACGGTGCCCGGCACTGGGAATGTGTGTGCCATAGTAATGTGCATAATCAGGGAGGTAAAGAAGACATAGGCTTTTAAAGGAGAAATGAAGATTAGGGAATTGTTTTAAGACCATTACTCTTGCCTAAAAAGATCAGTTACAAGGGTGACACTAGTCCAAGGCTGGACAGGCAGTTCTTGGGCACATGTTCCTGTAGAAGTATTTTTTTGTGTTAAGTCTGCAATGGCTTTTGTGCAAGGTTGTGGTTTTTGCAAAGTCTTTTGTGATATTTTTGTTATCAGGCATATAGGCATAAAACCCTCTCTTTGTAGCCTTTCTTAGCCCTATTTGTCATGGATTTTATTTTATTTTTTAACACAAATGACTCCATTTTAATTCTGACAACTTTCTCATATGGATGGAGAGCTAGAGAGAAGCATGATGGAAGAGCCTGCCCAGGGCCATACAGTCCATGTTGCAGGGCAGGAAAGCAGACCCAGGCGATCTGCCTTCTGCCTCCCTGTGGTGGCAGCTCCTGGGAAAGGGGGTACCCAGCCTACCTCCGTGAGTGGCATTCAGCTGCCTCCTCTGTGGGCCTGTGGGTGTACTGGCTTCCCACCCTGGAGCTTACCATCTACATCTCCATACACAGGCCAGCACCGACGTCTCACAGTGGGGAGCCCATGCCACAGCTGTGAGCACCTGCGTAGATGGCCATTCTGCTCCTGGTTGATGGCTGGCCCAAGAGTAAAAAGAAACTTATTTTTTAAAATAATTGAGAACAACCTTTAAACCTATTTTCACTAATAGGAAGAGATCCCCGGAACATGTCCCTGGAGTGTTGGCCACCACTGAACACGCCTCCCCTGCACCCCCAACTAGATGGCAGTGTGCCTTCCCTGGCGGCTGATGCCAGCCTGGAGGTGCAGTTCAGGGATCTCTGTCCTGCATCAGTCCCTGTAGGGCAGCAGGGGCAGAGCCTGGTTCTGGCTTCTGGAAGCGCCTGGATGCAATTTTTGACAACTGAAATAACAAACAGAGAGAGTGTCTCTAAACAGAAATGCTATTTATTCAGGAACAGGACATTGCAATGGAAAATACATGCCAGAGTAAACTATGTGCATATTTAGGGAGGTGGAAAAGAAAAGCAGAGAAAGCCTTTTAAAGGAAAATGAGGAGGATGCCATAATTGTTTTGAAATCATCCTTGGCAAAAAAGTCAATACCACGGGTTCTGCCAGTCCTAGGTTGGCTATGCAGTTAATGGGCCCTGGGAAGCCGGGGTCCTGGCAGCCGAGCCCAGTGGGTAGAGAGCTGGAGCCAGGCCAGCAGGCAGATGCAGCAGGGCCCACGCCCTCTCCCGCACTTCAGGAGGTGTGAAAAGGGTGTGGGCTCAGGAGTGAGAATGTTCCATGTCTACACATTACCGAACTCTCCTGAGCCCACCACACTCCCACAAAAATGAGTAAATAGATACATAAATAAACAAAAATTGGAAAACAAAATTACAGACTTGAAAAAAAAAACCCAGTCCCCTCCTCAGGCTTCCTCATCTTGGTAAATGGTGTCGCTGTCCACCCAGTTGTTCTGGTCAAACACTCAAATGTCATCTTTGACTCCTCTGAGCTTCCTCTTCACATCCATCCCACCAGCAAGTCCTGTTGCCTCCATGTGCAAAATACATCCTGGATCTGCCCAACCTGGACAGATTCACTGCACAAGAAATAAAACCCCAACCCCTTTCCAGGGCCCACAAGGCCCTGCCCCCTGTCCTGGGTCACCTCTTTCCCTCCTTGACAAGGTCAGCGAGTCACTGCCCAGAGCATTGGCACATGCCACTCTCTCAGCCCCAAGCACCTTTACCTGGGATCTTTGCCTGGCTGGCTCCTCATCTTTTTAATCTCAGCTGGAATGTCACCTCTTCAGAGATAATTTATCATTCATGGAAGTTTGCAACACTACACAAAATAACAAGAATTGTGCAATGAACTTAAAGAAGCCATCACCTACTTTCAATAATTCTCAACCTGCCCCCACCTGCTTTCCTTGGAACCCTTACCACAGAGTATTTTGAAGCAAATCCCTGGCCTTGCATTATTTCATGTTCCTCTAGACCAGAAATTGTGGCTCTACAAGATAGGAGAAGTCATGCATAATGAAGCGGCTGTCCCTTCCTCTCTGGTTCCCTCACCTCCTCTGGTCATGGACATCACAGCACATTGCACTCTCTGTCATCTGTTTTGTCCTGTTTTTTATTTTGTTTTCTGTGTCCCGTGCAATCCCTAAAGGTGAGTCCTTGAGAGCAGGGACTCTGCCTGCCTGTTCCTGTTACACAACAGAGTGCTGCACAGGGCCTGGGTGTGGCGGGTGCTTGCAGGGGTCTGTGCAATAGGAAGGCAGAGCCCACATGCCGGTCCTGGGCCACAGGGTCAGCCCTGCATGCTGAGGACAGACATGGGGAGGAACAGTGGACAGACAGGTGCACTGACATTCTTCTCATGTCATTTTCTTTTAGATGAAAAGCCAACCAGTATCGACAATAATTCCATGAATTGCCCTGGGCCAAAACTAGAAAAACCTGGAGAGTAAGTGCCCCTGGCAGGAGGCTAGAGGGCAAGAGACCAGGGAGTCAGGGTTGGGCACCTTGAGGTGTACAAAATGTGGATGCCCCCCACCCCCTGCTGGGACAGCACATATCTGTGGCTGCGCAAAGAGCACCCTCCTCCCCACATCCCTTGTTAGTGACCCCCAAGGTATTCAGGGATCTGCAGCATCCTAGGGTCTGTGAGGAAGGCAGGATGCAGGAGATGATTGCCCAAGGAATGGTACCTTTGCTCCAGGTTGCCTCTCAGAGTTAAGCCAACACACTCTGTAAATACAGAAGAGCCAGGATGGTGACACCAAGCAGCAGTCCCTGGTCATTTAGGACGCGGTCACAATGGCATGAGACCCCATGCAGGGCCCCTCACTGTCTGACCCACTTACCCTTTGGTCATCATTGCTAAGTTTACCTGCAAGTGTTTGGGGAATGACCTCTCATTACCCATGCTGTCCAAGGGCAAGAACTGCATCTCTCTGGACTGGCTCTCACCATCTGCATTTTCTATGCTTTAGGGAGTACTCTATTGAAGTCAGCTTGAACAAAGGCAAAACATTCTTCAAGAGCAATGTCAGCATCACCAGCACCACATGTGTGAGTACCAGCATGGGGCTGCAAACATGTATGAGGACTGTCCAGAGCCTCTGCACTAGAAGGAGCACAGAAAAGGCAGACCGTTCCCAGGCAGTCCCAGAAAGTAGCGTGTGCAGCAGGCACCTGAGGCTGCTCCAACCCGGCTTCTGGATGGTGCAGGTGGGTGAGGCTGGGAGGCTGTCTGCCAGGAGCCAGAGTCCAGCACCTCTAGGCCAGGACCTCAGGCCCAGGAGCCCTGGAGGATTCCACACACTGCCGTCAGGGTATGTGTGTGCTGCTGAACTGGTGCCCCAGCTACTGATCTGGTCCTGAACCTGCTGATGACCCTGGCCCCTGAGCCTGCCTGGTGGTCACTTGCTGTCATTTCCCAGATGCCTTCAGCCCCCTTTCTGCCTCTCCTCCTTGCTCAGGCCCCTGAGATGTCCCTCTCTGCTCCCTCGCCAAGCCCTGTAGTATGTCCCCTCCTGCTGCTGAAGGGGAGGCTCTCAGGCACTCGGACCCGAGCTCAGCTCCAAGAGGCCCCTGGGAATGGAGATGCTGTGCCCCAGGTGCCTGCTCTTCAGAGCTCCATGTCTTTGGGCAGTTTGGCCCAGGGCCGCATAGGCAGGAGGATGTGCTGGAGGGACGGGCGGGAGGCCTGAGCCCACTCCACTGCCTTGTACCCAGTCTCACTTGTGAGGACACACCAGTGTTGAGAGTCTTCCCTCTGGGTCTATCCTTGCCTGTCCCTGCACATCCATGCATGGATCTGCAGGCTGAATGCACGCATTCCCCATCAGGAATCTACCCACTGATGGCCCAACTGTGACAGACACATCAGGAGCAGCCATGGGGCTCCCACCTCGCCAGCGGCCTTCATGCTCAGCCTCAGTGGTTCCTCTCCTTCAGCCAGCCGGGTTCCCAGCACAGGCCCCTGCCCCTTCCCTCCCCTCCCCTCCCCTCCCCTCCTCTCCACTCCCCTCCCCTCCCCTCTCCAGCCTTCTCTTAAGTAGAGCTCTGGACATGAGGAAGGCCTGAGCAGCCTGCCTTCCCACGGATGCCGCCCAAGATTCCTTTATTGCGAAGAACACCCAGAGAACTGTTCCCGTTGCTTATACCCCATGTGGCCCTGGTTCTGAGCCAGGACTTGGAGCTCTCTAAACCTCACAAGTGCCCCCAGGGAGGGCGGCTCATTCCCTTTGCACAGGTGTGGAGGCTGAGGCTCAGAGCAGTGCGTGGATGTGCCCACGGTGCAGAGCCTGGAAGTGGGGAGAGAGGCTGTGGGGGATGGACCCGGGTCTCCTGCCCCTGCTCCTGTGCCTGCACCTCCACCCTCACCTGTCTTTGTACCGGTAGATTTTGTGGTCCTCACAGAAGCCCTGTGCTGCAGGCGAGGTGTGCAGTGAGGGTGGGATCATCAGACCATGGAAGCTTCCGGGACTTTCTTGGCAGGGCTCTGGGGCAGAGACTTTCAGCAGGGCCAGAGAAAGGGTCTATAGCTCTCTGGGGCCCAGCCCTGGCCGCTGGCCCCACTGTAGTACCCGGATGCGGGGCCAGCTAGGGAGAGTGAGGAGTGGGCAGATGGGCCACCAAGTGGTGGGCACGGGGAAGAGGCCACCGAGGCCCTCCTATGGTGCTCTCTTTCTCCACCAGGGCATTTTCCGCAACTGGCTCTATTTTGTGCCACTCCTGCTGCTTGTGCCACTGCTGCTGTGTTGTGTCTGGCGGCTGTGCCGCAAGCAGGCAAGTGCTCCCTGCCCGCCCAGCTCTGGGGCCCAGGCACAGGCCCACCCTCTGAGGGACTCTAACATGTGACTGCCCCCCGTGATCCCGCCTGTGGGAAGTTTCCCTCAGCTCCCAGCTCATCACGTGAGCCCAGGGAGTCGCAGACCTGTCCACACGTTCCCAGAGCCTAGCAAGCCTGGGCTTCTGCAGGGCCTCCTGCCCCGGGCTGGCCACAGAGAGCTGGCCTGGAATGCCCTGGACATGGGGTTGAGGCCTGCCCTGGCTCCTAGAGAGAAGTGACCCCAGAACCCCTGAAACCAGGGCTGCCTCAACAATCCAGACTTCTGGAAGCCTCAGATGGACAAGGGCCAGGAGGTGGCCTCTGTGTGGAGGGAGGAAGAGAGGGGCCCCCATGAGGCCCTGCTGGCCCAAATGGAGGACGCTGTAACCCCCAGCTGTCTGTACCTTGAGGAACCAGTGTGGATCTCGGCACATGTCTAGTTCCTTCCCCATTCCTTCATCTGTCTTTACTGAGCTCCAGCTTCCCCTGGGCCCCATACTGGGCTGGGCAGGGACAGAAATGGTGGCTACCATTCCCCACAGGCAGCTCACAGTTCTGTCCTGTCATGGCTGAGGGTGAAATGTCCACCCCACAGGAGTGGGAAGGGCTCCCTGTAAGGCGGAGCAGGACCCAAAAGCAGAGATGGAGCCCGGGGCAGGGAAGATGGAAGGGGTGCTGGGAGCTGGGGTGGACGGACCCAGCTCAGAGAGCTGCAGACAGAGAACAGAGCAGAAGGAGGAGAGCGCAGAGCTCAGCCCAGGGAACACACAGGGCTCATGTCTGCATAGGGAGCTGCAAGGGGAGGAAGCCCGGGACTCAGCCATGAGGCTGGGAGGTCAGGGAGGGCTCCTGTAGACAGACAGGCTCTCCCTAAGGAAGGGAAGTGGGGCGAACGCTGTCTTCTCCATGTGGCTGTGGGCAGAGAAGGACACTTGTAGGGGCTGGGCCTCACTAGGGACCTGGTCCCTGGCCTGGCTGACCCCTAGGAACCCCACAGCGGCGGTACAGGGGTTCCCCTTTGGTAAGGTTGGAGGCTGAGGCCCAGGAGGAGGAGCCTGCCGGGTACAAGTTCACAGGCTCAGGGTGGCCAGAGTGACACCCCAAAGGCAGTGCTCTGTCCTGGTGCTCCAGGCCAGGGTCCCAGCTGTGTGCAGGGCCAAGGCAGAGCCCGCCCACCCCCATCCAGCCTGTGTTTGTCTCTTTTGAACATTCTAGACTGTCAAGGAGCCACCACCTGTGCAGAAGCCAGAAAAGGTAAGTTGCAGTTCTGGTCCCGATATTGTCACATCCCAAGGAGCCCACTGACCTTCACCAAGAGTGCCATGAAGCCTGCGCCCCATGATCTCCATCTGCTTGAGCAGAGAAGTTGACAGAGGGGCAGAATGGAGCCTGAGAAGATGGGGGACTCACAGTGATGTCCCCAGCATGCCCTTTCCGCTCCCTGCACCCCTTAACATAAGCCTTGTCACCAGTTCGCAGCCTGGGGTGGCCAGTTTCAGCAACTGTGATGATCTGTCCTGAATAAATGGGGCTCTCTGTCAAGGACCTTTTGTAAGATGCTAAGGACAGAGGCGCTCTGGAAAAGGAGCCCCGTGTTTCAGGGACCTGGCCCTGTCCCCAGGCTCTAGAGGCAGGTGTGGCTCCATTTGGCCTCTCTGGATCCATGTCTCCTGGCAGGGACGAGGGGCTGGCTGGGGTTAGCCTCTCAGGACTGCAGGGCTGAGGGATGGGGGAGTCCTGGTGGGCACCGAGCTGGGAAGGACACCAGCCCAGTGAGCACAGGGGCCAGGAGTCCGGGAACAAGTTGTGGCTCACCTGGGTCGGGGACCCACCCCAGGGGCCATGGGCAGTGGTGAGTAGCTGAGGCAGGAGGCCCTGGGCCTGGGATGGGGTGGGAACAGGCAACCCTGGCCAAGGGTGGCCTCTGCGGTGCTGCAGAGTGGTCTAGGGGAGGCTGCATCTGCAACCAGGTGGATACGGACAGTCACCTGCAAATGCTGGGACCATTGCATAACCCCCAGGGCAGGCCTCTTTCAACAAGGGCAGCCACGGGAGAACCAAGGGGACAGAGACAAAGTCGTTGGCATTTACGAGAAGAGCCATGTCTGCCAACTAGGAGGAGTTTGCGTGTTTTTCACATGAAGGACCCTCCACTGTGGTGTGGGTTTCTTTCTGGTCCTTTCATTCCCCAGACACACATCTGGGAGTGGCCAGCACTGTGCCCTGCCAGCACTGTGAGCAGACAGTTGTTTTTCTTTTTTTAGGAGCCAGAGCAGGAAAAACCACCATCACCACCACCACCGCCTCCGCCTCCACCACCTCCACTCCCGCCTCCGCCCCCAGCTCCTGTAAACACCTGCCCCACTGTGATTATTTGTTGCTGTGGATGCCAAGGAGTGGGCGGGATGAGAAGGATAGAGGTGAGAAGGGCACAGTGGAGAGGGGCTGTGACCCCAGCATGGGACTGTGGGAGGAGGGGGCAGATGGGTCCCACTGTGGAGACCTGGGCCCTGGAGGAAGGCAGGCTCTACAGGGGCTGGACTTTGGACACTTGATGTCAAGAGCAACCAGATGCCCACCTCACCCTCGTGCCCCAGTGGCAGGCATATATGAGGGCTCCTGTCCCCTGCACCACCGGGTCTGTCCCCACACATTGAACTCCCTCTCTAGAAGGATCCATGTTTCTGTACAGTGGCAGCTTTTGATGTCTGACCAGTCCCTGGTTCCCACAGGGGTGCCTCAGCTCTGGCAGTGGCCCCTGGCTTTAGACCACTTGCCTGCAGGCGCATGAGTCAAGCAACCTGAGTCACAAAAGGTCATGCAGATCAGAAAAAAAAATAGAAATGACCAGTCCTGACACATGTTCTCACCACCACGAACACTGCAAGGATGCCAGGGGCACCTGCCAGCCCGGGCAGCAGAATCTTCAGGCAGTGAGGAAAAGCTGTCACTGAGTGGGCTTGTCGCCTGCTGAGATGGGCTGACAGGTGCTGCAGGGAGGGGAGGAGGTGGAGGCCTGAAAGCGCCCTCACAAGACACCTGTGCAGGAGCTTGAGCCCCGGAGCCAACACAACAGCCACTCTCCCTGAGGAAACCTCCTTCACGGGCGGGTCCAGGGCCCATCTTGCTGAGGGGAACCCTGCCAGACAGCAGCAGGGGACCCTGCACAGGGGTAGAGAGGGCGCCTGGGTGGCTGGTGTTGAGGGAGAGGGACCCCAGAGTTCCTACCTGGCTCTGCCCCTCTCCCCCTTGGTCCTGGCTCTGTCTGTGGTCGGATCTCTTGCTTCCTCCTGGGAGGGTCAGGCTCCTCTGCAGCCTCAGTGGGCATCTGGGGAAGCCAGGCCTGTCTCTCCTCAGAGTGTGGGGCACATGTCTCCAGGGGGAGGAAGTCACCTGCCAGCGGCCTGCACTGCCTTGCAACACACGGCCCTCATCCCATCCCCACCGGAGCCCAGAAAGGCCTGACTGCAGCGCCGAGTGGCCAAGGGGCTGCCCGCCGTGGGTCCTGGGCTGCTTTCTGGCCTGTTTTTCTCTGCCTTCCTCTTCTCTCTTCCCTGGTGTCAGGTACCTACTCCCTGAGCAGGGCATGGTCCTCTCACCTGCCTTCCCCTTGTGTGCCCCAGCAGCAAGGCTCCTTCTCCCTGCCCAGGCCCCCATGCTGGGCCCCCAGGCCTAACTCATGCTCCCCTTCAGGACCTCTGCTCAGAACCACAGGCTCCTCCTGTCTTTGGACTTTTTATCTGAATCTGCCCCTGGCGTTTTCTCTTCCTTCAGCAAAATACTGTTTTGTTCTAGATTCCAAAACTCTCTGTGGCCACAGTGACCATGTCCCCAGCACACAAGGCTGCCAGGCCCCTCCCCCAGAGGGGGATGGGAGCTTTGTCTGGGTGTTTTCCTGGGCACAGAGCTGTGGGGGGCTGGGGAGTCCTGATGCCTTCTGGAGGCAGTGTCCAAGCTGCATGTCTTCCTCATGGCCACGTTGCTTTTCAGGGCAATCTGGATACCTTTTGTGACCTCTCTCACGCAAGCTGCCACCAGGTGCCATGGATGTGTTGTCAGAGCAGGGACCAGGTGAGCTAGGGCACAGGGACACAGTTGATGGACAAAAGGCCACTGCTTTTCCCCTGACCACTGTCCTCTGGGATTGGGGCTCAGAGAGCCATGTCAGGCATCTGCAAAAGAGGACGGCACAAGACACACAGAAACGGTGCCCATGGGCATCCCAGCCAGTTTCTGGACATGGCATCAAAGCTCTTCCTTTGTTCATCACCTGGGGCCAGGAGTGCTGGCTAGGATGGCTAACAGAGTTGTTGGGCAACAGTGACTGGTTCTAACAGGGAATAAGGATTCCTTCCTTGGTTCATTGCCTTGGGACCATAGGGAGGACCAAATTTTTAAGATTTTCTCTTTGTAACTTATTATGAATGAAGACTAATAATTATATAATTATTAATGAGGCCTCAGTAATGTACGCAGTCCTCCCATGGGCCATTTGTTAGGCTAAGCCATGCTTTCACTGTTTTTATCCTCCCAGTAACTGTACCAGTAGGTGCTATTATTATCCAGTTTGGTGAAGGGGACAAAAGTGCTGAGATATTAAGTAGCATGTCCCTGCTCCTAAAGCCCACGAGTGATAGGGCTGGATGTGAACTGGGCTGACTCCTGCCCTTACTCTGCACTGCTCTCCTTTTGGATCAGCACCAAGGGGCTTCTCTGCTTAGGCCCTGGGGCCCTGGAGAGCCCTGCTTCTGGCTCGGCCTGGGACTCATCTGCCTGTGCCTCCCACAGTCCAGCCCTTTGCACCTGGAAGATGATTTCATCACCAGGGTTTATAGAGGGACCTGCACTGGCCAGACCTCCTGCATCAGGCCAGCATAGGTTCTCAGTGGCCAGGTGGCTGTGCATGGACAAGGCCTTGCAGGCTGCAAGCCTCTGGATGCTGCTGATAAGAAATGGGCCGGGAGCCCCTGGGAGGCGTGCTGACACCTGGCAGGGCACTGCTGGTGTCAGAGGCATGCAGGGCTCCTCCAGCCGCTGGGCTCCTGGCTCTGTGCCTCTGCACAGGGCTCTCAATCCCAGCCATGCTTGCACAGAAGCCCACTTTCCATCCGAGGTCCCATAAGGCCTCTCCACGTTGCTACAGCCCAGTTCCGGTCACATGGCACTAGTCCAGCCTTATGCACTGAACAGGTGAGACACTTAGGAGGGATAGAGCTTGACGGCCGAGTGTGAAAACAGGCACCTCAAGCAGAGGAAAGGCAAGAGGTGGGAAGGTTGGCGTGGGAAAGGGCCAGAAATGGCCTTACTGTCCAGTGTGGTGAGACAGGGGATGGAGCAAGTCGCTGAAATTGTCTCATTCCCAAGGGCAGCTCTTTGAAGCTAAGGTTTAGGGGTGGGGTGGTGGGGGGCAGAGTAATTGCATTACAGAGGGCACTTACCACTGCTCAGGGCTCTGCCAGGCCCTTGCCACTGTCATCATGTGAAGTCCACCTTGCGATTCTTGGAAAAGGAGAGACAATCCCTGTTTTACTAATGGCAAAATAGAGGCCCAGAGTGGCCCAGAGAGTTGCCTAAGGCCACCCAGATAGTAAGTGGCTGCCTCCAGGCTATCAGAAATCAACCCCAGATCTGTCCCTAACCCAGGGAGGCCCATAGCTGTGGCTTGTAGACCTAGGCTCCTTTCTAGCTCTTCTGCGACAACCTAATTTGACCTTGTGCTTCCCAACTATAGTCCTGAACACCCGACTGAGTGTCTTGTAAGATTTCTGTCGGATACCCAAGAATTCAGACAATCTGGCAGGAGTTCCCCGTTCTCCTCTTTAAGCCTTCGGTGTGCTGGCCCTAGGGTCTAACATGAATCATGCACTAAAGAGGATGCATCCCCTTAAGACCTTCAGCCCGTTTCAGAGCCACAGGGTCAGACTGTAAGCCTAGTCATGAGTGTACAGAGCCAGACACCAGCCAGGCTGCTGGTGAGCTCAGCAGCTTCCTGCTCAGAGACACTGGGAATGTGACCTTCCTGCCTGAGCCAGGGGTCCCTGAGTGAGAAGCAGCCCTGAGGCTGGAGGAGAGAGAGTGCATCTCAGTGAGAACCCGCTGGAGACCAGGCTTGGATGGGTGGCTCGGCCCCAGCCAGGCAGCCCAACTGCAACCGCACGGCTGTGGAGGCATCAGTGAGACGTCCTGCCAGGACAGGCATAGGCTGTCTGTCTCTTCACTGCAGAGTGAAGAGGCCACCTGTGTGCTGCACACCCCTCTTCCAGGATCTCCCCTCAGACAGGGATTCACTCAGGCCCTCAGCAGGTTGGGGGATCCTGACAGAACCAGTGCATGCCTCTTTCTCCACCCATGCCCGGCCTTGTGAGGAGGCTATTTCCAAACTCTTCTTCCTGACTTGGCATTGTGGGCTGACCTGGGGAGTGTGATAAGCTCGGGAAGTTGATGAGCCTGTTTGACTGGAATGTGCTGTCGAATTTAGAGGAGCTGCTGCCTTTTAAAACCTTGTTTAGTTTATTGTTTCAGCAAATCCAAACATTTTTGCATTTTGGCACATAATAATGCAGGAAATTCTCCAAGGCTCAGTTTACCAAAAACCTCAGCATTTTTGTGGCAAAAGCAGTCAGTCTTGTTTAATTTCAATTTTTGTTTTAAATTGAGTGTGTCTCCCTGCTCCATCACCTTCAGTTCCCTGAATAAATTTTTTGATAGTGTCCTCTTCCAGGCCATCCCCACTACACACTTATACAAAATGAAGCAGCACAACTCCGAGTCTCTTGAGCCAAACTCTACCTCCCATCCATGCTGAGGATTCTCCTTCACCTTATCCTGTGGATACTCATTATGTTAATGGGAAACAATATCACTCGATCCATCAGGAAAGTCAGGCTAATAGTGTGAAACCTTACTCTCTGTCACCAAATATAGTGCCCACAATGATATAACAGCCTTTCCAGTGAGTTTAATTCGTGTGCGCACCACAGCAGGAGGCCCTTTAGAAACTGGATCTCATTTCATTCTCACAACACCCAGGAAGGCTCATAGCTGCCATTCATATAGATCTTAAGGTGGGCCAGACACTGTTGCAACTACATTCCACAAACTAATATATGCCATAACTCTATTGTGGGGAGGAAGCTAGAGGCCCTACAAAGTTAGGTAACCCACCCAGGGTCACACAGCCAGGAAGCAATAGGACCAGCATCCAACAACCTGGCTCCAGGTCCTTACTGTGTGCATGGCCACCTCTCTGTCCTGCAAGGTAGTCACTACTGTCTGCATTTCAGAGCTGTGGACACCGAAGCTCTGATGTTTAGTGATGGGCTCAACATGGCAGGGTTGTTGAGTGGTAGAGCCGGGTTATGAACTGACCTGAGGGGAGGCTCATGTCTGAGTCAGGTTCCACCCCATGTCCTGCTGTCAGAGTGATCTATGGAACACCTGCAAGTGCATCTCTCTACAGTGCAAAATGTCACACGGCAGGTCCTCAAATAACGTTTCATTCAACGTCATCTGAACACCGAGTGAGAAATGATGATGCTGATCAGAAAAAAATCCATTCCCAGCTGAGGCCAATGTCTGTGTGGAGTTTGCATGTTGTTGCTATGGCTGCAGGGAATTTTTCTGGGTACTTCAGTTTCTGCTTACATCCCAGAGATGTGCACATCAGGTGGATTGGCGTGTCTCTATGGGTGCTGTGTGAGTGTGTGGGCATGTGAGTGCACACTGCAAGGACATGACATCCTGTCCAGGGTTAGTTCCCACCTTGCACCCTGAGCTGCTGGGATAGGCTCCAGCCTCCTGCGACCCTAAGCTGGAATAACTGAGTAAATAATTATGTTATTTGCTTTTATTAACTTTTCTTAAAGGTGTGTATAGCTCACATTTATTTCAATGTTTAATATTAGAAGCATTTTGGTTTTTATTTAGAAGTTTGATGATGCCTTCATGACTAGATATATGCCACAGGACCTTAATTTACTAATATCAATTAATCTATGATCCAGTCTGTTTTCTTGTACACTGTTTCACTGGAAGTCATGATTTCCAAGAAACTATCAACAGCTTCTAATGAGAATTTACTGAAATTTACACATGATACATTTGTGAATATTAATATCTTGATTTCACACTGTCACTTGCAGACCTCCTTCTAAATTCGTACTCATGTTTGCTGGGATAGTTGTTCTGGGTAACAATTGGAGCTTAATGCAGACGGGCCTTAGGATGCATTCATGACCATGGAGCTCCTGAGTTCTCCTCCTGGCCATATGCCCGTGGAGGGCACTAGACCAAGGGACAGGGGTGGCAAAGCCAGGCTGGCTGTGGCCTCCAACTGTCCAGGAATCCCAGCTTGCAGCTGTTCTTGAAGCCAGTGCTTTTTGGGAAAGTTTCAGATCATAACTTTGGTATTGCAATTACAGAGAGCCTTCCCTTCGACTCCTCAGCACCACCCCTCCAACCCCAAAACACATGCACACACACACACACACATTTCTGTAACATAATCGGGAAATACAAAGATTGAGCCAAAACTCCAAAGCACTGGCAATTAAGGTTTCTGATTGTTTGCCAATCACTTCAGGAAATGTCCCTTTACCTTAGAGTGGTTGAGCTGATGTGAGAAGTAATTAGTTGCTGGCTTAGATATCTGCAATCAGTAGAGAGGCAGTGAGGAAGGAGACCCTCTCAAACTCCAGGAACCTCCTCACCACCTTACACTTACCCCACAGATTCAGGGGGCAGCCACCTGGAGGTCTCCTCTACTGTGAGGCACCCCAACCCTGCTCCTCTTCATCAGTGCAAGTGTAGACCCATACCTCAGAGCTCCCTGGATCTCCTGGGATAGACTGGGGCAGAGGAGGGGAGGTGGCCTCAGTGTTAGTGCCCGGGGTCCTGCTCCGGAGGATCCCTCAGCAGTGGGTAAACACTAGGTCTGGAATGATTGTGGTAAGTTTTTACTGGAATGTTTTGCAATAAATAAGTAGAAACAAAGGAGGTGGAAATAAACATGAAAGATTCCTTTCTCTTTACAATAGCAATAAAAAACAAAATACCCATATATAAGTGTAACACAAATATGCTGACCCATGATGAAAAGAAACTATAAAACTTTACTTATTGGTACAAGAGAAATTTGAAAATATAAGAATCTAGAGCACAATGTCAACTTTTCCCAGAGGAATTCATGAGCTTGCTATGTTATTTTAGTGAAAATTGTAATGAAACATTTTTAGGGAATTTGATCAAAACGACAAGTTCACTCGAAAAAAATAGACAGTTAAGAATCATTAAGAAATTTTTAATACAGAAAAGCAGTGAGAGAAGACTTGCCTTATCCAATGTTAAACATTAAGCTCCAAAAATTAAAATAATGAAAAACAAGAGGCTGACAAAATAATGGCCCCAAATCGAGCAAACAATAAATAGAGTATATAATTGTGGTGATAGCCCCTGGTACTGACAGTGTGTATGCAGGTGAGCTCAAGTGCACTTATGGATGTTTAAGGATTGTTTAACATATGTCAAAAGAAAAACATCAGGCAAATTAAATGTAACGGAGTTGAATTGAGCAGAAAAAACAAAACATGATTCCAAATAGGGCAGCCCTCAGAATCAGGACAGACTCAGAGAGTTTCCAGGGCTACCACAGGGTCAGATAAGATTTTGGAACAGAAAAGGGAAAACGACATAGAGAAAACGGAACTGAGGTACAGTAACAGCTGAATTGGCAACAGCTCTGTGTGTCCTCATTTCAACAGTTGGCTGCTGTGAGTGGCTGAAGTGTGGCTGCTGTGAATGGCCAAGGCTCAGCTCCCATTATAGAAGTATACTCCGCAGTTGGGTTTTCAGTTTGTTTATGTACTGAGTTAGGCTGTGGTTCATATGTGAGAACTCAAGTATGTGAGTATGGAGGCTTTCTCAGACCAAAATTTAGTTTTATTTAACAATTTCACTCTTTTGAGTGGCCTCTCAATTTGGGGAGGTTGACCAAAACTTTGGGCATTGATGCCACTCTCTGTCACCATCAAAAATGAGTTACTTGATCTCAGTATGGAATTCACAAGTCACAACATCATGCCACTTCAATACTTTTGTATGCTCTTGCTGACTTAGTAGAAGTGAGACCACTTATGCTCAATGGATGGTTGCATACAACACATCGAAGATTTTAGAGGGTTCAGTGGACCACGGGGACTATTAGGATGACTACAAAGAGGATGATATCAAAAGACCAAAGTGAACTCCTTAACAATGTTTCTTATGAAGCAAACTGACCCAAATCAATCAAGTCAAGGTTCAGGCAGTCTAGGCAGCTCAACAGTGTTTAAGTTGATTAGTCATAGTCTTTGTTCAGGGTGTACAGGCCATAATTCACTGTAAAATGGCCTGATTTGTAGAGGCATTCATCTTTGTTGTTAGCCTGGTAACACAAGCATGATAGCCTGGAAAGTCGCTAGAATAAATATAAAGATTAGAAAACCCAAGTTTGTCATCCACCATTTAGGATGCCTGCAAACCAACTGTCAGTTGCTCCCATAAACACATTATGTGTTCCTTTCTCTTGAGAGATTTTCTTAATGTATTTGGTGGCAGAGTCTAAGAAAACAGTAATACCAGCCAGCCACCTTTTAAATTAAACTTTCTGTAGTAACAAAATCAGAGGAGAGATAGGTGTAACATTCACTTGTGTTCAATACCAAACACAAGCCCTCAACTGTAGCAAAAAGGAGATGTGAAGCTGCATGATGTTCCATGT
This sequence comes from Homo sapiens, assembly GCF_000001405.40. Taxonomy (NCBI): domain Eukaryota; kingdom Metazoa; phylum Chordata; class Mammalia; order Primates; family Hominidae; genus Homo; species Homo sapiens. The sequence continues at coordinate 46,320,002 of NC_000010.11, forward strand.
GAATGTATATGTCATCACCTCTCTTTTGGAGTATGGCTTTTACTCATGGTTCACATCTGGCTATTTGATATGGCTAACTCCTGCCTTTCAAATACCTTCCCATGAAAGTTCCCATGATAGGTCCTGTGATCAGAAGCAAAAACAGTCAATAACTGAAGTTAGCACCAACTTTGAAACAGACAAAGAGAAGCTAGTTTCTACTGAGTAAAGATTTCAGTTGGTTTCCTGGGGGCTCACTCTTGCTGGTAGTGGGGAACCCACTGTATGAAATTTAGAGCTAATCATTAAATTGGGAAAATTCTTAAATTTTGTAGCCAGACAGACCTCCCAGGAGTTCAGCATAATGGAATAAGCACATTCTCTACTGACCCAATATAGGCCCTTAGGGGTTGGAGAAGTGTCCATTTAGTTGTATTTGAGCAAGGGTTTGTTACAATTGTTCACCCATGGCCGGGTGCAGTGACTCACTCCTGTAATCCCAACACTTTGGGAGGCCTAGGTGGGCATATTGCTTGAGTCCAGGAGTTTGAGACCAGCCTGGCCAACATGGCAAAACCCCATCTCTACTAAAAATACAAAAATTATCTGGGTGTGGTGGCACATGCCTGTAATTCCAGCTTCTTGGGAGACTGAGGCATGAGAATTACTTGAACCCAGGAGGCAGAGGTTGCAGTGAACCAAGATCATGCCACTGCACTCCAGCATGGGGTACACAGGGAGTCTTTGTCTCAAAAAAAAAATTGTTTGCCCATCAGTCTGCATAAAAGGAAGTTTGCTTTTTTGTACCTCCCTTATAATATGTTGTAAAGGTATATAACCACATTTAGTTTTTAAAAAGTACCCTACTGAATTTAATCTGGTGACATTATACAAGCAATTACTTGTACCCACGTAGATAATTCCCAGGTCTTGAGAGACTAGTGCCTGGAAGCCAAATATACCTTTTGCAGGTATCACTTGAATAGGTTTTGTATATTTGGTAACAATCAGGTTATTAATTGGAAATGTTAGAGTGTTGTTTCTAGCAAGTGCAGGAAAGAAAGTAGCAATTATGTTTAGTGTATCAAGGACAACTTTCCACTCATCCTTTGGAGTTTCAAGGTGATTCTCTTTGGGAACGTAGACACTGGCATTAATGGAATTGTTTCTTCATTTTTTTGGTTTTAGCCCACAAACCCAATTGCTCGGGTTTTATGCTGGAGCAGAAGCTTGAGCTAAAGCCATCCACTGATTATGGTCCCATGAATTTTCCTGTAGAGAAAAGGAAAGGATTAGGACAGCAGGAGATGAGGGGAAAAGACAAAAACTTAAGTTTTCCATGATGTCAGAGAAATCTTAATTTATGATCTTTGAAAAGTTGTCCATTTCTAGGATGTTGTCTGCTTCTGGGGAGAAATTTCTCTCATCAGGTTTACCTGAAAGTCTGCAATATATATACAGTCCCAAGAGTCTGAAGGGGCCTTTCTGAGTTGTGAAATGCAGACCCAAGGTCCAAGGCCCTGAAGCCTCACTGCAGTGTGGGTGGTGACAAGGACTCGGTATGGTCCCTTCCAATGAGGTTCAAAGCAATTTTCCTCTGACATAATTTCCAGAAGACCCAAGCTACAGATTCTACACCATGAAAGGTTTGATTATCCTCAGTCAGTGCATCATAAAAAGCTTCCTTTACCTGGTGAGAATACACTTTGACATAATGCATTAAAGCCTACCAAGTTTAAGCATATCAGAGTTTAGGAGAGTGGGAGAGGCATGCGGTTCTGTTACTAGGGGCATATGCTTTCCAGTGACTATTTCGTAAGGTATCAACTTATGTTTTCCAGTAGGAGCGTATCTGATTATCATCAAAGCCAATGATAGTACCTTTGGCCAAGGCAACCCAATTGACTCAGTTAACTTTGTCAATTTGAGTTTTAAGATGTCATTTGTTCTTTCAACTTTTCCAGAAGACAGAGGGCTAAGGACAATGATAGTGCCATCATGTCCATAATATCTTAAGTGCTTTATAACTTGCACAGTAAAATGAGTTTCCTTATTGCTGGAGATTTCTCCAGCGAGTCGCCAGAAGGAAACACATTTTCTGATAATTTCTTGGCTATTGTCATTGAATCAGCTTTCCCACATGGGAAAGCCTTTACTCAACCAGAAAACATACAAACTGCTACAGGGACATACTGATACCCCGTTGAGGTTGGCAACTGAAGGAAGTCCATCTGTAAGTGTCCAAAAGGAAGGTGGATCACAAGGTCAGGAGTTTGAGACCAGCCTGGCCATATGGTGAAACCCCATCTCCATTAAAAATATAAAAAATTAGCCAGGTGTGGTGGCGTATGCCTGTAGTCCCAGCTACTTGGGAGGCTGAGGCAGGAGAATCACTTGAACCTGGGAGGCAGAGGTTGCAGTGAGCCGAGATTGCACCACTGCACTCCAGCCTGGGTGACAAAGTGAGACTCCATCTCAAAAAAAAAAAAAAAAGAAATTGCCCATCAAGTGGTGAAAATATACTACCTGAAGTTTTTATTGTTTTCCCAGGATTATGAGTTTGATAAACCAAACATTGATTATAAACCATTTTAGCAACTTTGAAACAGTCATCCCACCAGTATTTCTTCATAACATGGATTCTGTTTCAGGACAAGTTGTGGGATGCAGAGCTTTTAATAGTAGAAGCTTCAAAGACTCAGGAAGGGCCAGGCAGCCATCTGAGCCCTCTGTGAGTCTATGCTTAACATTGAATTTACATCCTTTAGATACCAAATTTGTTTTTCCAAATCAAGTGCATTGCAGTGTTTACTGAGTAGGTCATCATGAGAGAATTGACTTGGATCAATCTTATGGAGTTAATTTAAATCGTATATCCTAATAGTTTCAGCACTAGCTGATTTGGCATAAATACCTTCTAGAGCATTCCTTTTATATTCAGGTTCAGTTTTACAGGTATGAGCTTCAATCTTAATAATGGCCATCTCTGATGGTAACCAGGTAGCAGAAAGGAGTTTATCTATTTGGAGTCCGTTTATTTAATGAGGATCCCACTAGAAGTAAGAAACCCTTTGTTGTTTCCATAAATGCCAAAATTGTGTACTACTCCAAAAGTATGTCTTCTATTTGTGTAAATATTTACTGACTTGTCCTTAGCTATAGGACAGACTTGGGTGAGAGCAAAAAGCCTGTGGTTTGAGCTGACTTAAGTTGAGGAAGAATTCCCTCCTCTATTAGCTCATTTTGGGTGGTAATGGCATATCCTGCCTGATATTTTCTTTTGAGTTTTTGGCATAGGACCTATGAACAAAAAAATAATAACTCAGGATTAGCCAATGTACTGTCTCGTAAATTAACGCAAGAGGCCACTATTTCCAATACTGCACTTACACAATTGTGGTCATCACCAGAGTCAGGAAGAGTTAATACAATAGCAGCGTTAAGTAGGTTGCAGCATTTTAGATGGAGATTAGAAGACATCGGGAAGAATTTCATAAGATGCTAGATGGCTTGCTGAAAAATGCTGTGTTTGGTTGAAACTTAATAGACTTTTCACAGCATGTTGGACTTGTGAATTGAGTTCATTCCCTAAAACAAGCTCGGATGAAGCTTCCAACTTGGCTGCTGCTACATCTGCTTTTAAATGATTAGAATATTCCCTAACTACTGGGTCTAATTGCAGACTGGAATATGCAGTGGGCCTATGTTTCCCCCATGTTCTTGAGTAGGAACTTCTAATACCTGATTGTTGTGTTCATGAACAACCAAGGTAAAAGGTTTAGTGTAGTTTGGAAGTCCTAAAGCTGGAGGCTGTCATAAGGCCAGTTTCATGGTTAAAAGCCTGGACTGTCTTTCCGAGGTAAAGATTCCCATACTGCATTTCTAGTGAGCTAAAACAATGGTGAGGCAATTAAGGGAAAATTTGCAACCCAGGATCCTCAATATCCTGTGAGTCCAAGAAAACCTCTTAAATGTCTTTTGGTTCCAGGCCAAGGAAAATGTTGAATAGTTTTGAATTCTCCCAGGTGAAAGGGAAATCCCTTCAGCAGTCAGGTCATGTCCCAAATAGTGAAATATTTCTCTTGAAAATTGAAGTTTTTCCATCAAGGCCTTGTGACCTTTATGTGTGAGTTGCTATAGAAGGTAAATTGAGCCAATTTCAGAGCACTGTTGAGTGGGAGAGCATAACAGGTAATCTACATACTGAGTAACAGTAGAATGTCCAGAAGACTGTAGGGTTATTAAGTACTGAGGCAATGCCTGGGAAAAATAGAAAAGGCCAGGTGTACTGCTGATTTTTCTGAGTAAAAGCAAACAAATGTTGACTCTCTTTATGAACCGGAATGCTAAAGAAGGCTGAGCAGAGGTCTATTACCATGAACCACTTTAAATCAGTGGGTACGTTAGGTAATAAAGTATTTGAATTTTGGACTATGGGAAATCTTGGTATTATAATCTTATTAATTAGCTGTAGATCTTGAACAAATCTTCAACCTCATCCATTTGGCTTTTTAACTGGTAGGATGGAAGTGTTAACAAGGACTGGTACATGGAATTCTAAATCCTAGTTTAGTTAAATCTCCTACAATTGTTGAGAGCCCTTTAATTTCATTAGGTTTTAGCGTATATTGGAGTAATTTAGGAAAGACTTAGAATAACCAGTTTGGACCTTTATAGACGCCGCACTTTTAATTATTTCTCTATCATTTGAGGAAGAGACCCATAAATATTCAGGTGTTTTAGAAAGGTGTTTCATTATGGGCCTGAGTTTTGATCTTATCGATTTGTCTGTAGAGAGCATAACCATTCTGGTTCAGGAGAGTCAGGAAACTCTACGATTGCTTCTCCCTCTGAGGAGAATTGTATGTGTCCTTTCAACTCTGAAAGTCCTACCCTGGCAAGTTTACTGGATCACTGTTACATAGTAGAAAGGTATATTTTCTTGCAAATATCCTCAAGTTGATTAGGCGGGTTCAGATATGGAAGCCTCTTGAACTTGATTCGAAACCCTCACCACAGAGATGATCCTTTCACGCCAAGAGATTTGTTGGCTTTTTAAAGTAGGGTTTATGCTGGATAAGGCGACCCTGGTATACACCAGCATTGCACAGGATTCCCAGCTTACATCTTGTTTTTCTATGTTTATTTAAGGGTGTTTTGGGGAGAGTTTACTAGAGAATCCCTGAGCCCTGTCTATTTTTATTATTCTGAGCATTAAAATCTCTTGGGTCCCCTCTAGTGGTGAACCAGTCCAGCCTAAAGGGAGGAGCCTTGGTGGTAGACTGAGACAAAAGTCAACAATCTCCTTTCCCAGTGTCCTGGGTGTTTGCAATGAAGGCATCTACCTTGGGGTAAGGAATTCCTTATTCTGCACCTCTTGCTTGTGATTTAAAATAAAAATGAGAAGGTCCCTTTGGTCTTGGCCCCTGTAACTGGTGTAATTGGAGAGGCATAAGATTGTTAGCCTTTTGGGTTTTTTCTTGCTCTAGAGTCTTCTCAAAATGTTCAGCTAAGGCCACCAATTCAGTCATGTCTGTAACTTTCCATCCTGGCTTATGGGTTTTAATTGAACTGCCAAGTTCAGGACGGAGCTCATTTGTAAATACAGCAGTTAATGCCATTCCAGTCTCTGAAGGAAATACTCCTTGCTATATTTTGAGCACAAAATATTTCAGAAACAGTGTTTCTAAGCAAGTTCTGTAATCTGAAACTGGTTCCTCCTGCTTTGGTCTGCAGGGTTGGATGATGCACCAATCAATTTTTTCTGGAACAATCTTAGGAACTGAATGTAAAATGTGTTCAGCATTTTCTCTAGCTCCTTTTACCTCTTCTCATGCAGGGGTTTTTGAGGGTCTTTAATATCCTCCTCAGGTCCACCCCATTCTGCTGCTGCCATCCATTTCTTAGCTTCACCAGGCCCCAATATTATGTGAATAAATTGGTTAAGGTCAGGGAGCCATTCGAAATTCCTCAGTAAACCCTTGAGCCTTCACCCTTGGGTTAGGGAAGTCCTTTACAGTGGCTCTAAGCTCAGTTTTAGGCCATGGAGTAAAGGTATTTATCACAGGAAGGCCTGGCTGATCAGAAGGTCTTTCTTTGTAAGGCATCTGGGTTTTTTTTTTTTTTCATCTTCATGCTAAAAGGGTTATTTATTAAAAATGTTAGTGGACTCATAGTATGTGAGTAGAGATGGATAAAAAGAGGAATAGCTGTGAGTAGAGATGGATAAAAGGAAGGAACAGGGGCTGGGCAGGGTGACTCACCCCTGCCCTCACCCAGCACTGGTGTTAGGGATGATGGAAGGCAGGGAGAAATGAGTGGACAGCAGTCAGCAGGCCCCTGAGCCCCACAGCTGGCACTTCCTCCTCCCACAAAAATGAACGGAGGCAGCCCCTCACAACATCCCCACAGATCCCTCAGGCTGGGTGGCAGTGCCAGGAGGAGGGGCCAACTCCTTCTGGGAGTGGCATTATCCTTTCTGGTTCCCGCCATGCCTTCTAACCATGCCAGAAGAGGGTTTGAGCACAATGGCCTTGGCTGCCCCTAGGGATTGCTCAGAGGAAAAAAGGTTGGGGGCTGAGGCCTGAGTGGACAGAGGAGAGCACTGACCAGAAGCCAAGATCTTGCCTGGGCCTTATAGTCTGGGTGGTGCCCAGGAGGAGTGAGGTGGGGCTTCAAGCCCCCATGACAAAGCCACCTCTGTGAGGCCTGGACTGTGGTCCAGCACATCCTGATGGAGTGACCTGCACTCTGGGTCCAGTCGGCTTGTGGTCAGGAGGGCAGTGGTGGGTGGAATACAGTGCTGAACCTTCTTGAGCCCCAAGGAAACGTGGAGAAAACATCCGTGTTCCTCCAGGTGGAGGTCTGGGCCAAGCCCATAGACTCTCTGGTCGCTCTTGCTCTGGGTACGGCCTTGAGCTTTGTGTGTGACCTGGGGCAGGCAGGGTGAGGGTGCTGTTATGTGAAGGGACCCCAACTCTGTGCTGCAAGGAGAGAGACAGGCTGTCTGGAGAAAGAGAAAGAGATTCAGCTCTAGTGCTCTGGGGCTTTGGGACCAGGATGCTCCCCTTCAAGGAAGGCAGCTTGTCAGAGGCAGCACCAGAGCTGAGGCTCAGGATGGCTGGGCTTGGGCGTGCAACATGGAGAGGTGAGGAGCAGAGCCCTCAAGAGGAGCGAGGGAGGGTGCCAGGGCATGGCCAGCTCTTCTAGTAGCTGGGCTGTGATTGCCTGAAGGCAGGGTATGGAGACCCCAGGAACCTGGCAGGGGACGGTCTGGCGTGCAGGCTGGGTGGAGGGACTGGATCCTGCCAGCAGTGCAGAGCTTCTCTGGAGGGTGTGAGCTGGGAGGGAAGATGGTCCTGGGAGGACTAGATTTGGGGATGGGTGGAGTCAGGGAGAGCAGGCTAACACACTTGGATTGTACTAAGAAGGAAGCCTGAATCCCTGAACAGGTGGCAGGAGCCCAATCGGGCATGAAGGAGGGTGGACAGGCAGCTGCAGACACAGGTGGCTCAGGACAGGGTCTGAGGGGGCACAAGGGGAAAGTCAGCATCATCCTGGATGGGGACTAGCAGGGCAGGGGCAGGAGAGGGCAGGTCACAGGACGGGGCCTAGATGGGAGAAGGGCCCCTCTCAGTAAGAGAGAGACCATCTCTGTAGGGGAATCCAGCATTTGAGGCATTTGTCACTCACATGTCCAAGGGGAGGCTTTATGCATGAATGACAGGTTCAAGCAAGCTCAAAGTCTGCATGGTCTGTGGAACACCTGTGAGGAATGGAGCGTTTCCTTGGGACCATCAGGCTGAGACTGGCCTGGCAGGAGACCCCTGGGATTCCAGGCAGCCGGGAAGGGTGGCCTTGAGTACAGAAGGAGCAGAACAGGCCCCACGCCAGGGAAACCACAAGCATTGATGGGCTGCTGCTCCTGCCCTGGTATGTGGGCATCATCAGCGCCACATCACAGATGGGGAGGTCGAGGCAAAGTAGCATATGCCCACTGGCATCCTGGGATCCTGCTGCAGCCCTCCAGCCACAGGTGCTGAAGGGGATGCAGTTACAGTCCTCATGCTTGCAGAGCAGGGACAGGCACATCTAGAAGGACAGGGCACTTCCCACAATGGGCTCAGCTTTCTGCCAGGACATGACTGGAAATACCAAGCAGGGTGGTCACTTTAGCTGGGAGCAAGGATAAGGGGCTTCCTGGAGGAGGCCACTCTGGAGCTGAGTCTGAAAAGGTGAGCAGCAGTTCACTGGGCAGACAAGGTTAGGAAGAACATTCCAGAAACAGAGGACAGCCTATACAAATTGAGAAATGGGAGAGCTGAGCAGCTCTGAGAAAGATTGTTATCTAATTGCCTGCCTGCTAAGCCCCAAGAGAACAGCCTTGGGGAAACCTAACAATTCTCCTTGAAAAGGCCAGGCTTTCAATTTGCTTTCATGCTTATAAGATGGCTTCTGGAGCTCCAGCCATCACACTCATATTACAGGCAGGAAGAAGAAGGAAAAAGGGAAAGCAGCCTTCTTTAAAGCAATGTCCAACAATTCCTATTTATACTCCATTGCCAGAATGCATTCACATGGCCATGTTGCTCAGCAAGGGAGACTGGGAAAAGGTCATTTTACAACTGAGCACATTGCCTCTCTCTTTTTTTTTTTAATTTTAAGTTCCGGGATACATGTGCAGGATGTGCAGGTTTGTTACATCGGTAAATATGTGCCGTGGTGGTTTGTTGCACCACATTGCCTTTCTTAACAAAAGCAGGCTTCGTTAGTAAGGAAGACAGGAAGAATGGACTTGGGGTGACCAATCTGTGTTTGGTATTGCTGGGCCCATTTAAGAGATGGGAAAGCCATTCCCAAGAGGTTGAGTGACTTGCCTGAGGTCAGAGGCTAGATTGAACCCCAGTCCCTTTGACCTTACTTATAGTGACCCTGAGGGCCTTTTTGAAAGGCCCTGATCAAGTCTTCAGACAGGGTTGCCCCGATCATGAGCATAAGAAGCCAGCAGAGAGAAAGGCATCACAGATGAACACAAAGACAATCTCTGTGTGGCTTGCAGCTGTGTGGGTGGTGCCTGGCTACACTAGTGTGTGCCCAAGATGAAAGCAAAGCAGCTGCTTCTGCAAAACAGAGTTTGCTCTTCCTACGGGTCTGGATCATCCTCTTCCCAAACCAAGGGAACCGTGGAGCTGCTGCCTTCTCAGCTCATCACCCACCCAAGGGTCCCTGGAGCCAGCCTTGAGGGCTGTGGTGAGCACTCATCCCTTCCACATGCTCACTAGAGCCTTCTGTGCCATGCTGGGGCACAGAGGTAATTGGGGCCTCCTCCTAGCTACCAGGGGGAAGCAAACAATTTCGACTGGAGGGCTGAGGGAGTCCAGAGTCAGAGACCCAAGGCTGCCTGGAGAGGAAGAGGGGACTTTGAACGCTGGAGCTGAGTCTGGAAGGAGGAGTCCAGGCTGGAGGCAGCACCAAGGGGAGAGAGGAGGAGCACAGCAAGGCCCACCCTGTGGGTCCCGATGGGTCCTGGCCCCATCCCTTTGAGCCAGGCAACCGCAGCCTTCTGAGCCCAGTTCGAATGCCATCACGGTGACCTTCTCTCTCTTCTCTTCCCTACAGGGGAGGTACCTCAGCTTAGCCCTTGCACAGTCCCAATATGCACAGGCTCCCTGCTGCCCAAGGATCTGCTTTCCACACAGCCAGGAGTGCCTTTCCCTACCACAGGCTCCCTGCAGCCCAAGGATGTGCCTGAGACACAGCCGGGAGTGCCTCGCCCTCAAACAGGCTCGCTGCAGCCCAAACATCTGCCTGAGACACAGCCAACACAGCAGGGAGTGCCTTGCCCGCAAACAGGCTCCCTGCAGCCCAAGGATCTGCCTGAGACACAGCCCGGAGTACTTTTCCCAAGCACAGACTCTGTGCAACCCAAAGAGCTGCCTTCAACCCAGCCGGGAGTGCCTCCCCCTCACCTGCTCCTCCAGGTGCCGCCTCCCCCCAGCTAGGTGCTTGAGGCCTCCCTCCAGGATGCTGCCGCTGCTGTCCCCACTGCTCAGGCACACGGCAGAACCCCCTTTGTCACTCCCCCCCTCAGAGCCCAACTTCTAAGGCACCAAACACCCAAGATTAACAGGCTTTTGTTGCTGAACTGGACATATACATTGAGTCTTTTCTTGCGGTCAAAGGAGTTGAATTCTTGCTGATCAACTAAAGTTGATTGTGTTTGACACCAGGGAGCTTGTCTTTTGAGTGAGCTGGATTTATACTGCACCTGCCACGACACAGTGCCCTGGTGCCGTCGGGATGCCAGGCATGGATGCATTCCACTCCCAACAGCCCCGAATTCATCTGTCATCAAGGGCTGGGACACATGAGGTCTTAGGCCAAATTCTCCATTTAAAAAGCTCAAAAAGTGTTTGAAATATGAATTCAATACTGTGTATCCCTGCCTAGCTTTTTGTTGTTGTTATTGTTGTTGTTGTTATTGTTTGAGACAGAGTCTCGCTCTGTCGCCCAGGCCCAGGCTGGGTGCAATGGTGTGATCTCAACTCACGGCAAACTCCACGTCCTGGGTTCAAGTGATTCTCCTGCCTCAGCCTCCCGAGTAGTTGGGATTACAGGAGCCTGCCACCATGCCTGGCTAATTTTTGTATTTTTAGTAAAAATGGGGTTTCACCATGTTGGTCAGGCTGGTCTCAAATTCCTGACCTCAGGTGATCCACCCACCTCGGCCTCCCAAAGTGTTGGGATTACAGGCGTGAGCCACAGCACCCGGCCCCTCCCTAGCTTTTTGAAAGGAAAAATACTTGCATATCTCACTTCCTGTACTCATCTTCTTGTCCCTGGTTTCCATTTTTTGGCTACTCAAATTCTGAATGTGTCCCAGAAGGCAGTGAGGCCCTTTCTGGAAATGCTAATTATCTTCCCAGATACCCCACACCATCCCCAAGACCAGGCAAATTTCAGGGAATCCTCCTCATTTCACGAGAAAAGGTAAACTTCCCTCCTTAATCATTTGTCCCCATAGAAGAAACCACAGCCCCAACAGAGATGAGTGTCAACAGGCAGTGTCCCACCGCCCACTGTGGCACATGGTGGCTGCATGACTGCCCAAGGTGCCACCCACACAGGCCATGGGCACCCCACATGGGGCTCCTGAGCAAGTCAGGAGAGGGGAGCTATGGCTGAGGTTGTCCAGTCATCCCTAATCCATCTTTGAGAGTAAATAAACGGCTCTCCACCTCCCCCATCTACTGGAATGCAATATTGATGCTTTTCCACAGAAATTCTGAAAGACAAGTACAAGTTAAAAATATACCAGATTTGGATTTTAAACAGTATTGACTAATTTGACAGTGATAACCACACTGTCCCCCCTCCCATGTTTGTTTGTTCGTTTCTTTGTTTTAAGGCTTCAACGCAATGTCTTGCCTCTGTGTGTAGGGCTTTGGGGGGCTTTCTCTAGGTCACATGACTTTAACCTTCAGTGCCATCATCCTGAGGAGTTACTTTTTCTTGTCCCCCTTCTCCGTCTTGCACCCTCCTGTCCTGCTGCAGCCTGGACTCTGCATCTGGGTCCTGCCAGCTGCCATGATGGGAAGCCTGCCTCTCCCACCCTTCCCCAGCCTCTCCCCTCTGTGTCTGCACATCTATCTCCCAAGCTGGTTATGAGAGGCTCTTCCAGGCACACAATGCCTTGCACAAGGCATCCAGAGAAATGAGCCAGGTCAATGTTGAGGAAATGGAAGAGGATGCTAGAGCCCCTGGGGGTGGACGGGACCTAGTCATTTGGTTTTTCCCCATTTGGAGGCTCATTCCCTGAGCAACTGTGGGTACTCGAGAACATGCTGCCCCTCCACACTTCACTTCTCAACGTTCTTCCTGGAATGGGAGGCCTGGCTTCATCAATTTGTTGTCTTGCTTTGTTTTTTAGAGAGTTTTTGTTTCACAAAACAAAACACCTCTGGTCCTGTAAATACAGAGATTTGCACAAAGAACTGAGCGTTCCCACTTCATTGCTAGACAGGTGGAGATATTTATGACAAGGGCACCTGGTGCCTGGTGAGCAGGTGCATGGCCTGTGTGCAGCGCAATGAGACAGGGTCCAGAGAGGTAGGATGCATGCCCGCAGGTGTGGAAGGGATAGCCAGCCAGACAGTGCACCCTCTGGCTCTAGACTGTCTGGCCCAGCTGCCTAATGCCTACAGCCACATACAAATGTGCCCAGGGCAGCCAAGGCAACTTTACAAGGTGCCTGGGACTGTGTATCTCTCAAGACTAAGGGAGAAAATGTTCACTGTATTCATGACACCAGGAAAAGTGTGGGAAAGCTTTCATTAGGCAGAAAGGGAGTTGAAATAACCTGAAAGTGTACAGAGACTTTATTTCTTCTGTGTTACCCATGTGGAAACATGAAGATGTTGCTTCCCGTCCCTGCAACTCTGAGACCCCATAGGAAGAAATGTATGTGCAATTTCATGAAGAGCTTTATGTGATCCTGGGGAAATCAACATACTTGTTTGTTAAGGGGGATTGAGAGCCTTTGGAGTTTAGCCAATATGAACTCAAGCTAGGGCCTGTCATCCTTCCTCATCCCTCAAGGGAGGAAGTCATATATTAAGAAGGTGAGCTCAGAAGTCATCACAGAGGAGGACTCCACTGCCCTGGCCACCCACAGGGACCCTCACAGGCTTTCTGTGTTGGACAGTGATAGCAGAAATAGCTCTAGTGTCATATGGTCCTTTCTCCCTTCTTGCTTTTGTAGGAATCCAAAGCTAATCTGTCCCTGATCCGGATTGCACGCACCTGTGCCTTTTGGGGCCTTTCTGCATTAGTTCTTCCTTCTCTTCTAACCTCAAAAATGTGTTTTCTCTGTTGGCTCTTTCCCTTTAACATAGAAGTATACTCACGCTTTTGTTGAATCTTGAAATAAAAGGCTTCCTTTACCACATATCTCCCTTTAATACTACATCTCTCTTCTCAGCCAAATACTTGGGAAGAGAAGCCCTGAGTTTGTGTCATTGTTTTCTCACCTCCAGTTCACTACTTTGCCCACTGCCTGACATCCAGCTCGCTCACACACACACCCAAGCCCAATCACTAAGTTGCCATAGCTAATTTGTAGCTTTCCTGCCTTCCTGGCAAAATTTGACTCTGCATTGGGATAATACATGTCGAGTACCTATTGAACAGGCACTGTGCTAGGTGCTACTGTTATAGATATGAAAAGAAGGCATCATCTCCTTTCTAACAACTCACAGGAGCAGCCATTTCTGATTCATACATGTCTCTTGACTCCCAGTGCTCACTTTTGCAAGCTTCACTTAATGCCGTGCAAATCACCCTATTCTCCAGGTCTTCTTTCTTCCCAGTTCTCCTTACTATACACAGCTTCTCAAGGCAGTCACCTCCACACCCATGGCTTCAATTGCTTTCTCCATTCTCTGAGAACAATAGAATTTTAAATGGTTTTATTTCATGTATTAGCTTTATTTTATACAAGGTGCCTCACCTGCTGTAACCATAGATTCAAAGTTGCTCCATGAAAGTAATAAATGAAAAATGGTGATTTTTTAGCATGTAAATTTTAGGAAATTTCCCCAGTTACGCTTAATGGCTTGATTTAGTGTGTATGTTATTTTTGAAAACATATGTTGGGATGTCACAAATGGACTTAGCCTACAGAGATTTATATTCAACTTTTGACCAGAGAGTTCCATTTTAATGTGACACTGAGAGTAAAAAACTATCTTTTCCTCCTTACCTATTTCTCTTCCTACATTCTCGGCCAGGAGGAAGGCACTGCTACATACCCAGTCTTCCCCAGCAGAGCCTGAGCAGCTCTGTTTTCCTTCTACTTCCCCTCTTCTTTCACATCTCATGACCAAGCACTTCCTATTCTGTCTCCCAAATGATCACAGACTTTTTCCTCCACTTTTGTCACTGCCACTGCCCTTAGCATTACTCTGCCTTTAGAGAAAGTCTCTTAATTGGTTGGGTTGCTTCCTTCAGTCTTTATTATACAGACCACTACACGCACATCTGACAGAGACTTTTCACCTTTTTATGGTTGAATGACTGAAATTCCCAGAATAAAATTAAAACCACCCCAGCATCAAATTTGAGGTCAAATAGAGGTGGGTTTGTATCCCAGGTTCATATACTGTCCAGCAGTATGGTCTCAGAAAACTGACCTCCTTAAGCCTTTGTTTGTGTATCTGCCTACACTCATTGAGAGTTGGGACTATTTCACACATATAGTGCCTGGCATGTAGAAGGGACTTAATCAATGTTGAAAGAAGGGGAGGCATTTTAAAATCCACATCAAAAAAATGTTGTTCTGTTCGGGAGTGGTGGCTCACGCCTGCAATCCCAGCACTTTGGGAGGCCAAGGCAGGTGGATCACCTGAGGTCAGGAGTTCGAGATCAACCTGAGCAACATGGTGAAACCCCATCTCTACTAAAAATACAAACATTAGCTGAGCATGGGGGCGGGATCCTGTAATCCCAGCTACTTGGGAGGCTTAGGCACTTGAATGAGAATCACTTGGACCCAGGAGGTGGAGGTTGCAGTGAGCAATGATTGTGCCACTACCTGGGCAACAGAGTGAGACTCTGTCTCAAAAAAAAAATAAAAAGTAAAAAAAATTCTTTTAAAAATATACGAATCTGGCTGGGCACGATGGCTCATTCCTGTAGTCCTAGCACTTTGGGAGGCTGAGGCGGGCCTGACCAACATGGAGAAACCCCGTCTCTACTAAAAATACAAAATTAGCCGGGCATGGTGACGCATGCCTGCAATCCCAGCTACTCGGGAGGCTGAGGCAGGAGAATCGCTTGAGCCCGGGAGGCGGAGGTTGCAGTGAGCCAAGATCAGGCCATTGCACTCCAGCCTGGGCAACAAGAACGAAACTCCGTCTCAAAAAAAAAAAAAAAAAAATAGTGTTCAGCAAGGTTGAAGCATAAAAGGTTAATAGCCAGAATCATTTATCAATTGTATTTCTATACATCTACAAGACACAATCTGAAAATGAAATTAGAGAAACAATTTCACTGGGCAACAAGAGCAAAACTTCATCTCAAAATAATAATAATAATAATAATAATAATAATAATAATAAATAATAATAATCTACAATGTCATTTCCCATCCAAGCCTGACTTCTACCTTTACTTTCTGATATGGTTTTGCCATGCCCCCACCCAAATCTCATCATGAATTATAATCCCCATAATCCCGATGTGTCGAGGGAGGGGCCTAGGGGGAGGTGATTGGATCACAGGGGCAGTTATCCTCATGCTGTTCTTGTGATATTCAGTAAGTCCTCATGAGATCTTATAGGGTTTTGTTTTGTTTTGTTTCTTGGGATGGAGTCTTGCTCTGTTGTCCAGGCAGGAGTGCCATGGCACGATCTTGGCTCACTGCAGTCTCTGCCTCTTGAGTTCCAGTGATTCTCCTGCCTCAGCCTCCTGAGTAGCTGGGATTACAGGCATGCACCACCACACCCAGCTAATTTTTGTATTTTTAGTAGAGACAGGATTTCACTACATTAGCTAGGCTGGTCTCAAACTCCTGACCTCAGTTGATCCACCTGCCTTGGCCTCCCAAAGTACTAGGGTTACAAGTGTGAGCCACCGTGCCCAGCTGAGATCTGATGGTTTTATACATGTTTGACAGTTGCTCCTTCACATGTTCCCACTCTCTGTGCGGCCACCATGTAAGTCGGACCTGCCCTTCTGCCATGATTGTAACTTTCCTGAAGGACTTCCCCCTCTGCCATGATTGTTAAGTTTCCTGAGGCCTCCCCAGCCATGTGAAACTGAGTCAATTAAACCTCTTTCCTTTAAAAATTACCCAACCTCAGGTATTTCTTTATATCAGTGTGAAAACAGACTGCTATACTTTCTGATACTCATGCTTAAGCAATTGGGGAATTCAGACTACCTGGGATCAAACTATGGCCCCACCCTTAGCAGTCATGTGACCTTGGGGGGGGGGGTTACTTACCTTCTCCGTCTCAACAACTTCTGTAAAATCTGTAACATGAGATTGTTTCTGAGGGTTAAATGAGCATAGCACAGTGGGGACACTGTCAGGCACACACTACTTGCCAGATGTCGAGTATTCATCTTTATTGAACTAGGACTGTGGTAAGCCACTTTATGGCTCTCGATTTTGTATGAGAAAATCATGCTTAGTGCCTTGTTAGTAAAAGAAAGAAAATCTGAAAGTCCCTGCCACAGAAGGAAGAAACAGCGGGGAGAAAAGGGAGTTGGTAAGTTTCAGCATTTCAGAGCTTGGAGGGGCAAGTTAGGTTTCTATTTTATGGAGAAGGAGGTGGAGGCAGGATGGGTCCTAAGGTGTCATTCAAAACACACAGCCATAACTCTTTATTGAGAGTAGAGCTAGGGCCCCAGGGATTGCTGTGGTCAAGTTGCGGACAAAAATGACCACTCGTTGGAAGACAGGAGAGGAGTGTTTAGTTACAAAAGCAGTCAACAATTCAGGTGTATCTATATTCAGACAGCAAATAAAAGTTGTTCAACTTGGTTGCTAATGGGACCCACTCTACTGAGGCTTTGTGTAGAACTCGTAGAGGAAGCTGGCTTCGAGGAATGAACTACCCTGTGCTTTTCTTAGGACTAAAATCTCAGGAAGCTGGTGATGAATGAAAACCTTAGTCCCACTGGCACTGCACGAGGGGCCAGGAGAGCAGCAGCATCATAAGCCACAGGGTGGGGCAGCCAAGGCAGGGGCATTCTGAGCTGTTGGGGAGGGGTGGCAGGCAGGGTGGGGCACTGTGAGCTGTCGGGGAGGGCATTGTGAAGTGTGGGGTGGGGCATTGTGTGCCACATGCCTGGGCTCCCACCTGGGGCCAGTGGGCTTCAGTCTGTAGGTGACTACAGAAGGAGGAGGAGCTCCGTCTGTTCTCTCTTCAGGCAGTTGTTGTGTCTCTCAGCGCTTGTTGGGTTCACAACCTAATAAATAAGCCGGCTGGTCTTCACCCTCCCAGACAAGTCAACTCAGGGGAGGCAGCAGGGTGCGGGCCTTGGCCCGCAGCCCTAGCCGGGGCCGGGGCCGGGGCCGGGGCCAGGGCTGGTGCCTGGGGCCGCACTGTGAGGTGGGCAGGCGAGGAGCGGGAAGACCATCTCTGCAAGTGCAGCATAGCCTCGGCCTAGGACAGCGGGAGTGCGTGGCCAAAGCTGTGAGCAGAGGCACAGGTGGTGGCAGACAGTAGAGGCGCCCCATGGGGAACATACTGACCTGTCGTGTGCACCCTAGCGTCAGCCTCGAGTTTGACCAGCAGCAGGGGTCGGTGTGTCCCTCTGAATCTGAGATCTATGAGGCAGGAGCTGAGGACAGGATGGCAGGAGCGCCCATGGCTGCTGCTGTACAGCCTGCTGAGGTGACTGTTGAAGTTGGTGAGGACCTCCACATGCACCACGTTCGTGACCGGGAGATGCCTGAAGGTAAGGAGGTGATAGGTGCCATCTACCCTCGGTTTGCCTCTGGCTGCTGCTGTCCCCAAGGTTCCCTTTGAGGCATCCCCCACTTCGAGCTCCTTTCTGCTTGTAGCCAGCTTTCCCGGGGGCTGGCCAGGAACAAAAGCTGGCTCTGCCTTGAATTCCCACCCCTTAGTCTTTCCCCACCGAGTCCAGTCAGTTTCTTTTCGCCTCCCCTCCCAATCGCCCAGTTCTTGCTCTCTCACCTCATTCTCCCAGGCTGGCATGGGACCATTTATTTATGGCTCTTGTCGAATAAGCAGCAGTTGAATAAATGAGTTGATAAATTTTTATAAATGATTACGTCCTTTTTCTTTTCTCCCTCTATACATATAGCTTTGGAGTTTAACCTTTCTGCCAATCCAGAGGCAAGCACAATATTACAGAGGAACTCTCAAACAGATGGTGAGACAACAGTGTCTGTAGCTCTGTTTATTATCCTGTGGGACTTTGTTTAGGCCTCTTTGAGCTATTCTCTTCCTTTTCTCAATAAAAACTCAAATATCCCAACTTTTCAGTACCCATCTTAATTTTTCTTTGAACCTATCCAGATGGTACCTAAGTGAAGGAACCAGGTAAGTGCCTAATTGTTTCCTTTGTTAAAGTAGCCAAATCTCAGGACAGTTCCTATTCAAATATTTGGGGATTTCTTATTTAAAATCAGAATGGAGTTTGCCACGGGAGAGGCTATATGGTATTCTTAATGGGCTGCTTTAAGTCACCTTGATAGAAGCTGCTTAGTTTCTTCTAACTGTAATTTGAACACAGAAGGAAAAAGAAAAAAGGAGAGTGCTTAAAATAATTGTGAAAGGTGTAAAATGTCACAGCCGGGGCTGCAGAAAAATGGTTGTGTGTGTGTGTTTGGGGTTTCTCAAAGGAGTTTACCTATGAGGCTCTGATTACTTTAAAATTCTTACTTTAACAGAAAATGTGTCTCCAGATTTATTCTGGTGACTTAACAGACTTTATTTACCTCCTTGTTCTAAAAGGGAGGTGGGGATTGGTTCACGGTCAAAACTTTCAAAAGACATGAAACGTCAATGTAGACTTTTAATGTGTAATATAAAGATTGCAGGTTAAAATGTCAGACCTTCCCTGTAAGAGTGTTTGTTGCCGTGGCTCCCCCTTTGTCCCTTCCCCTCCTGACAATAGCATCTTGTTCAAAGATAAGAAAGTTACAGTTTTGGCTGGGCTTGGTGGCTCACGCCTGTAATCCCAGCACTTTGGGAGGCCGTGGCAGGCAGATTACCTGAGGTCAGGAGTTCGAGACCAGCCTGGCCAAGATGGTGAAACGCTGTCTCTACTAAAAAAGAAAATACAAAAATTAGCTGGGCGTAGTGGCGCATGACTGTAGTTCCAGCTACTCACAAGGCTGAGGCAGGAGAATTGCTTGGACCTGGGAGGTGGAGGTTGCAGTGAGCAGAGATCACGCCAATGCACTCCAGTCTGGGTGACAGAGCAAGACTCCGTCTCACAAAAAAAAAAGGAAAGAAAGTTGGAGTTTTTTAGTCTCTACACTGTCGGCAGAGGCAGGGGATGGGAGCCGGTAGAAAAGAGAAAACAATTAGTTGGTTTGCCTCTAAAATTTTGCAAAGAGATGAATCTAAGTAAAAGTAATTCTGGGTAGTAATATGGTTCTTGAATAAAAACTGAAATTTTCAAAATAGAAAACATTGCATCATAAACATATTAAATCCAGTAGGCTTATTGGTTTCATTTAAATGCCAGAGATTTCATTACTGTAGAGGAAATGTCTTATAGCTCTTCTATTTAAACTTTGGTCGGGCTCTTAATTTTTAAAGAGGTAGGATAATTAAGACTCATTATGAGTGTGACTTTGTAACTTGGAAGTACTATCTTCACATTTCAAGGTATTTAAGGATTGCTTTAGAATAAACAAATGCATTATGTGAATTAATTGATTGTACCTTTATACACAAAGCATGTAAGTACTTGTGTAAACTTATACTCTGCTTGGTGATGTTCGGAAAGCCTGATGGATGTTACACACCAGTTAGTAGATGGGTAGTGTTGGATGAGAGCCCAAAAATGGCTCTTTATTGTCATTCTTTAGGATTACAGCACAGTTTATGTATGTCTCACTTGGCCCTTTCCAATACAAATAAGGCCTGTGTATGTTCTCCCTATGTATTGCTAATGAAGAAATGAAAACTTAGAGATATCACATGACTATGGAAGACAGCTACTCAAGAGAACTAAGGTTCTGTGTCCTCAGAATGAAATGGAAGTGACAGATATGATGAATTTACTTTTTAAAAATTTTAAAAACTCTAGAATACAACTTATATTTTGCCTATAAAATAGACTGTCTTTTAAAACTTACTGCCATCTTGATTTATTTTATGCAAAGTTGATTTTACACAACTCAAAGCCAAAATTTACCTCTTCTTTTTTTTTTTTTTTTTTTTTTTTTTTTAAATAAAGGAGGGTGTCATTGTGTTACTCATGCTGGCCTCAACTTCCTGACCTGGGTTCAAGTGATTTTCCCATCTCAGCCTCCTGAGTAGCTGGAACTACAAGCATGTGCCATCTTGCCTGGCTCTATCTTATGTCTATACATTCATTTCAATGGATAAGAATCAAAGTAGAGATAGTGAAATAGCCTAAATGCAGCAGTCGAATAAACGAGTTGATAAATTTTTATCAATGATTGCATCTCTTTTTCTTTTCTTCCTCTATGCATATAGCTTTGGAGTTTAACCCTTCTGCCAATCCAGAGGCAAGCACAATATTCCAGAGGAACTCTCAAACAGATGGTGAGACAACATTGTTTTTTCCGCCAAGAGAAAGAATAAAAGCTCTTGTTTGATCAGGTTATAGAAAGTATTTAGAAAAACTCATATTGGTTTAAATTTTTCACCTTTTCACATGTTCACTTGTCTTATTTTAATATGTGATATACTTTCCTTTAGTTGTTATGATGTTAGTGAAAACGTGTAACCTTTTTGTTTATACATTTTGCCATCTTTTTATCAACACAATTAATTTGTCATGTGTTGGAGGAGTCATGGATTTGTCTTTATAATTCTTGGATTTATCTTTATTTATAATTAATGGATTTATCTTTATTTATAATCCCTTTTCCCTTGCTCCAAAAAGTACACTTTAAAGATGAATGATAGAACTTAGGCTTCAGCTTGGTTTTCATTTAAACAAATTAAAAAACATAGTCGTTTATCATCAGGGATTGAATCTGTGATTTGGGCCTCCTCTTACACAGTCCTCTGACCACATTCATTTACCACATCCAAGTTTACGCTACTCAAAAGTTTTAGGTTATTAACTTTTTCATTTGATATAATGTAAATTTAAACATGCCTTACTCCTGCTTATTTCCCTTAATGTTATATTAAATCCTCATTTATTTGCCAACAAGCCATACACAGCCAAGTTTTCCAGTTGACTTAAACAGCAAGAACACAAGTGAGGGTTCTATAATAATGTGCGAAGTAATGCAGCACAGTAAAACACGGGAGTTTGTAACCTTTGTTTTTATAGTTTGAGTAGACTTTGCCCATCTTGAGTCAGTTATTTCTGGTTAGAATTTGTCTTCATTTTTTACATTACTATAAAGAGATACCTAAGGCTGGGTAATTTATAACAAAAAAGAGGTTTAATTGGCTCAAAGATTTTCAGGCTGTACAAACATGGCTTTAACATCTGCTTCTGGTGAGGGCCTCAGCAAACTTACAATCATGATAAAAGGCAAAGGGGAAGCAGGTGGTTCCACACGGTGAAAGAGGGAGGAGAGAGGGGAAGGGGGAAGGTACCACACTCTTTTTTTTTTTTTTTTTTTTGAAATGGAGTCTCACTCTGTTGCCCAGACTGGAGTGCAATGGCACAATCTTGGCTCACTACAACCTCCATCTCCCAGGTTCAAGCAATTCTCCTGCCTCAGCCTCCCGAGTAGTTGGGACTATAGGTGGGCACCATAACACCTGGCTAATTTCTGTATTTTTGGTAGAGACAGGGTTTCACCATGTTAGCCAGGCTGGTCTGAAACTCCTGACCTCAAGTGATCTACCCGCTTCAGCCTCCCAAAGTGCTGGGATTACAGGCTTCAGCCACCGCACCTGGCCAGTACCACAGTCTTTTAAATTACCATAATGAGAATGTGCTTATTATCATGGGGATGGGACCAAGCCATTCATAAGGAATCCACTGCCATTACCCAAACGCCTCCCACTAGGCCCTGTCTCCAACATTAAGGGTCACATGTTAACATGAGACTTGGAGGGGCAACATATCCAAAACATATCAGAATTGTATTTCCCAGTTCCTTCCAGAGCCATGGGCTTCTCACACCTAGAGAGCATGGAAGCAGTAAAAGAAAAGCTATTCCATGTCCCTCACTCTTCGGTGGTAGGAACTTTTGCCTACAAGGCCCTTCCAGCATCAAAGGCAGAGGCAGTGTAGGAAACAAAGCATGGCCCAAGTCCCTCTTGGGGCTTTTATTATTCTGGCCTCTTTTTAGAGGAAAAAAAATGATTTTTTGAGCTGCAGACACCATGTCCAATTAGGTTTGTATACTCATTTTAACATCAAAATTTAGGCCAGGCTCTGTGGCTTACACCTGTAATCCCAGCTCTTTGGGAGGCTGAGGTGGGTGGATCACGAGGTTAGGAGGTCAAGACCATCCTGGCTAACACAGTGTAACTCTGTCTCTACTAAAAATACAAAAAACCATTAGCTAGGCATGGTGGCACGTGCCTGTAGTCCCAGCTAGTCAGGAGGCTAAGGCTGAAGAATTGGTTGAACCTGGGAGGCAGAGGTTGCAGTGAGCTGAGATCCCGCCACTGCACTCGAGCCTAGGTGACAGAGTGAGACTCCATCTCAAAAAAAAAAAAATTAAGCTACGTTACTTTCCAGTTGTGTAAAGACCGTTTTTTAATTTTGATTTGTTTTTAGTGACATATTAGTAGATAACCACTAAGTGTGGTTCAAGATGCTTACAGGGATTCTGTTGCATCTAGAGATAGGTGTCTGGTCAGGAAGTAGTTCTTAGAGCTGTTAGCTCTTAGAGTCTGATAATTAAAGTAAGCTATGTGTAAATGCAGAATGAGAGAATACTAATGGATCATGGCTCATATATGCAACAGTTAAACTTTTTATTAGCTAAATTTTTCATCTGGCCTAATTTTTTTACCCTTTTCTTTTGTACATGAGGATTCTTTCATTTGTATGTAATAGAAACAAAAAGTAAACTAAATGAAAAACTAAGTTTTTAGATTTGACTTATGAAATTAATCATGCCAGATAATTTAAATTATAAATTATTGAAAATTATTTTTTTAAATGGAATTTTGTCTCATTTTACATAGGAGTAATCAGTAAGATGTTAACAACTACTTTTATTTTATGGTATTTGTATCAGAAGTGACCAGTTTTTTTTTTTTTATTCTTAGTTGTAGAAATAAGAAGAAGCAACTGTACAAACCATGTAAGTAAACACTCAAATAGTTAAGAAATTGATAGTTTGACATAAAAGGATGTCTCTCTTGATTTCTTTAAATTACAATGTGGACCTGGTGGTGGTAGCATGGACCTCTTTTTGTGGATTTTCTAAATCTCTTCTATTTTCCTGAGTATTAAATTTATCCAGAAAAGTGTTTAGCTTAGCGTGTCCACCTTTTAAAGATTTCTGACATTTAAGTTAAATTTCAATAGTCTGGTTCAAAAGATCCGCCTTAAGGCTGGGCATGGTGGCTAACGTCTGTAATCACAGCACTTTAGGAGGCCAAGGCAGGCTGATCATCTGAGGTCAGGAGTTTGAGACAACCCTGACCAACATGGTGAAATTCTGTATCTACTAAAAATACAAAAGTAGCCGGGTGTGGTGGTGCATGCCTGTAATCTCAGCTAGTCAGGAGGCTGAGGCAGAAGAATCACTTGAACCCAGGAGGCGGAGGTTGCAGTGAGACAAGATCGCGCCATTGCACTCCAGCCTGGGCGACAGAGCGAAACTCTGTCTCAAAAAAAAAAAAAAAAAAAAAAAGTGCCTTAAATATTTAATCTTATTTTTAATGAAAGAACAAAAATAGAATAGTTAAGTTAATTGCCAGCACTGTCTATTGACTTTCTATCACAGCAGGTAAAAGCGTACCTTCCCCGCTACACCATGATCTTATGTTTCTCCCTGTGTTTCTTCCAATTGTAGCACACTTTTTAATTAAATCAGTAATATTTACATGATTATGACTCTGCAAATATTATTCACTGCTAAGTCATATGGTGTTTTCACTGTGCCTCTGCATTCCATGTCCTTCATCCTGTCTCTGAAACAGTTCTGAAATCTGAGCACTTCTGCAATTCTCCTGGATCTTCTTTTTTCCTAGCCTACGTTAGTTTATCTATCCAAATATCGTTAAGTAGCCTCTGGGTGCTCTGTTTGCTTTCACATCCATTATTTTTTAGCATGAAGCTAATTTTCTGACTATATTCATTTGCCTATTTTCTAACAGCTGTTTTTCCCCCAAGTATTGTAGCATTTATCACATGCCTTTCAAAGACATTTTCCATCTGCAAAAACACATCTGTTCCTTTTTATGTGTGTGTGGGGGGCAACTTTCTTTGGCCTTTTGTCATCCTAGTTCAATATAGCGTGGGTTTCCCTAGATATGCTCGATGTCTGCTTTTCTGGGCTAACTCCTTAAAGTCTTTTGGGATCTCACGTAACTGCTGTCTTGTGTGGGATCGCCTGAGTCCTAGATTCTGTGTTTCCTTCTGTCCTGTTATCGTCTCTAGTTGTACTTGAACACATTTTCCTGGGTGGAGATGTTAAAATCCCTCCTCTTTGATAGAGAGTACACCTCTAGGTTGAATCTAAATTGTATGGTTCTGAAGACATTTTGCAGTTGTGCTCTTATTACAGTGTTGTTCTTGAATCTATTGCCAGTGTGTGATATGTTATTTACAACCAGGTTTTAGTTATCTGCGGAAGCTTTTTAGAATCTCTCTCTCTAAGGTTCTGAAATTTTATAACAGCTTGTTGGGGATCTTTTCATTTTATTGAGGCTACTAAACCTGCAGACTATCTCTTCTTGAGAATTTTTTTTTTATTTTCTCTGTTACTTTTTTACTGATAGTCTTGTTATTCAGATGCTAGGCTGCTTAGACCAGTACACCTGCATTGATTTTTAATTTTTCCCCTTCTATTTTTTTCAGTTTGTCTTTTTATTCTAGTTCTGGGATATTCTGTGACTTTATCCTCTACTATTTCTATTGAATTTTGTATTTTTTGAGAGTGTTTTAAGATTTTTTTTTAAAGTTTTGCTCCTGATTTTGACTGGTCCTATCAATTCCTTTTTTCTATTGTTTTGATCTCTTTCCTTGGAGGCTTCCCTCCAATGTGTGGTGGTCCCTGGCCTGCTTTATTTGGAAGCAGGATTTCTGTTAACTGATAGCACTCAGTGTGAGGCCTTAGAAGCCTGACTAGCTTTTCATTTGGGAGACCTCAGTGTATTATCTGGGGATCTTTATTGAAGACATTTCAGTTTCTTCTGAGAAGGATCTCCCAATTTTCTGCCTGGAAAGTAAAAGCAGGCCTGGAAAGGAAAAGCAGAGTTAGCAAAGACAGTTGGAGTTCCATTTTTGGTGTACAGTTTTCTTTATATCTCAGGTTTAAGCCATAGTATCTCTGAGCCAGAAATTCTCAGGTTTGATATATCCAGAGAACACACATCTAAGTTTCTTGTCAGATGGAAGGACAGGTGGACTTTGGGCTCTAGTTAGAGATTTGCAACTGACCTTGCTGGCTTTTTTTTTTTTTTACATTTTACCCTACTTTCCAAAGTGCCATTTGCCTGTAAGTTCACAACCTGCCTTTAGTTCTGCAAGACAAACTGGCTCGCTTCTGTTCCAGTCACTTTCTGTAGTCAGCAAAGTTGTGTTTCTGTGTTATTTACCACTCCTTTGTCTACTTTTTATGTCTCAGCATTTACTAAAAATTATCTCTGTCAACCTTCTGTGCTGGTCATGGGTGTAACCTTTATTTTATGACTAATGAGGCTTCCAGAGGGAGACGAAATAAATTTGTGGTCAATCTATTATATTTAATCCAAATTTAGGACCTATGTTTAAATCAAAGTCTAATTTGAGTATAATGATATTAAGCCAGAGAATTTTTTAAATTAATGTATCTATAATAAGCATATTACACTTTTCTCCTAAGGCCTTGTTTAATATTTTCATTCAAAGTTTATCCACTGCCATATGCTTCCCATTACTTCACAACATAAATGGAGCTGTTTTCCTGAATGCCCAAGGTGTTAGAAATATTTAAGTTAATTAAGATTTGTTCATTTTTAGCCTGGTCAACATAGCAAGACCTCATGTCTACAAAAAGGTTAAATAACAAATTAGCCAGGCCTGGTGGCATGCGCCTTTCGTATTACCTACTCAGGAGGCTGAGGCAGAGGATCACCTGAGCTCAGGAGTTTGAGGCTGCAGTTAACTATAATTGCACCACTGCACTCCAGCCTGGGCAACAAAGGGAGACCCTGTCTCGGAAAAAGGAAAAAAGTTACTAATTCTTTAAAAACCTATCTAAAATTTGTCCTGCCCAAAAGGAGAGTGAAAAATATGAACTTTAGTCTTTGTTTTTTTTTTATGTTTGCTGAGAAAAATGCTGTACTTTATTTATTTATTTATTATTTCCATAGGTTTCTGGGGGAACAGGTGGCATTTGGTGACATGACTAAGTTCTTTAGTGATGATTTGTGAGATTTAGGTGCACCCATCACCTGAGCAGTATCCGCTGAAGCCAATTTGTAGTCTTTTATCCCTCACCCTCCTCCCAGCCTTTCCCCCAAGTCCCCAAAGTCCATTGTATCATTCTTATGGCTTTGCATCCTCATAGCTCAGCTCCCACGTATGAAAGAGAACATGATATTTGGTTTTCCATGCTGAGTTATTTCACTTAGAATAATAGTCTTACTTCCACCCAGGTTGCTGGGAATGCCATGAATTTATTCCTTATTATGGCTGAGGTGGTATTCCTCATATATATATATATATATATATATATATATATATATATATATATGTATGTATATCACAGTTTCTTTATCCGCTCATTGACTGATGGGCATTTGGGCTGGTTCCATATTTTTGTAATTGTAATTTGTTTGAGTTCCTCATAGATTCTGGATAATAGCCCTTTGTCAGATGTATAGACTGTGAAGATTTCCTCCCACTCTGTGGTTGTCTGTATACTCTGCTGATTGTTCCTTTTCCTGTGCAGAAGCTCTTTAGTTAAGTCTCACCTATTTGTTTCTGTTGCATTTGCTTTTGTGTTCTTGGTCATGAAGTCTTTGCCCAAGCCAGTATCTAGACGGGTTTTTCCAATGTTATCTTCTAGAACTTTTATGGTTTCAGGTCATAGATTTATGTCCTTGATCCATCTTGAGTTGATTTTTGTGTAAGCTGAGAGTTGAGGATCCAGTTTCATTCTCCCGCATGTGGCTTGCCAATTATCCCAGCACCATTTGTTGAATAGGGTTTACTTTCTTCACTTTATGTTTTAGGTGGCTTTGTTGAAAATCAGTTGGCTATAGGTATTTGAGTTTATTTCTGGGTTCTCTATTCTGTTCCATTGGTGTATGTGCCTATTTTTATATCAGTACTGTGCTATTTTGGTGACTATGGCCTTATAGTATAGTTTGAAATCAGGTAATGTCATGCCTCCAGATTTGTTGTTTTTGCTTAGTTTTGTTTTGGCTGTGCCGGTTCTTGTTTAGTCCATATAAATTTCAGGATTGTTTTTTCTAGTTCTGTGAAGAAGGATGGTGGTATTTTGATGGGAGTTGCATTGAATTTGTAGATTGCTTTTGGCAGTATGGTCATTTTCACAATATTCATTCTACCCATTCATGAGCATGGGGTGTCTTTCCATTTGTCTGTGTCCATGACTTCATTCAGCAATGTTTTGTAGTTCCCAACGGCATATCAAAAAGATAATCGGGCCAGGCACGGTGGCTCACACCTGTAATCCCAGCACTTTGGGAGGATGAGGCGGACGGATCATGAGGTCAGGAGTTCGAGACCAGCCTGGCCAACATGGTGAAACCCCATCTCTACTAAAAATACAAAAGTTATCCGGGCGTGGTGGCGCTCACCTGTAATCCCATCTACTCGGGTGGCTGAGGCAGGAGAATCGCTTGAACCTCGGAGGCAGAGGTTGCAGTGAGCCAAGATCACCGCACTGCATATTCCAGCCTGGGCAACAGAGCGAGACTCCATCTCAAAAAATAAAAAAAAGATAATCCACCATGATCAAATGGGTTTCATACCAGGGATGCGGGGATGGATTAACATACACAAGTCAATAAATGTGATACACCACATAAACAGAATTAAAAACAAAAAATCACATGATCATCTTAACAGATGCAGAAAAAGCATTTGACAAAATGCAGCATCCTTTTATGATTAAAACCCTCAGCAAAATCAGCATACAAGGGTCATAGCTCAATGTAATAAAAGCCATCTATGTCAAACCCACAACCAACATAATACTGAAAGGGGGAAAAGTTGAAAGCATTCCCCCCGAGAACTGGAACAAGACAAGGATGCCCACTCTCACCACTTGTATTCAACATACTACTGGAAGGCCTAGCCAGAGCAATCACACAAGAGAAAACAATAAAAGGCATGCAGATCAGTAAAGAGGAAGTCAAACTGTTGCTGTTTGATGATGATATGATCATATACCTAGGAAACCCTAAAGACTCCTCCAAAAAGCTCCTAGAACCGATAAATGAATTCAGCAAAGTTTCAGGAGACAAAATTAATGTACACAAATCAGTAGCTCTGTTATACCCCAGAAGTGACCAAGCTTAGAATCAAACCAAGAACTCAATCCCTTTTCTGATAGCTGCAAAAATAAACTAAAATAAACTAAAATACTTCGGAATAGACCTAACCAAGGAGGTGAAAGATGTCTACAAGGAAAACAACTTTAGTATTTTTAATGGGTTAAAATGAGAGGCAGCAGGTACAGCAGAAGTCAGTGCGTGGGCATACGCATCCAATGGGTACTGCACCTTTGATGGTAAGGCTTTGGTTTTGACTTACTAAATTACTAGGTACGATTATTTTCTAGTTTTTGTCATTAAACCTTAAAACTACTAAGTAACCCCTTCCATTTCTTGTTAAATATTGTAAAATTTCATACTCTCATTTATGCTGACTGACGTTAGATTGTTTGTTTCTATTTTGTGACTACCTTAAATAATACCTATAAAGAGTAAACTGTTAGTAGTGTTTTTGCTGTAATTAAATGTAGTAAGACTTACCTTCCAAATGATGACTGAATTGTCAAACACTTGTCGAAGTTTTGGATTTACTCAAAATTCTATGCTCAGCAGCTGGAGGTAGGAAGAGTAAGGGCCCTCCCTTACTCTTATGGAGAGGCATACTTTCTCATGAGGGGAATACTCTGCAGGAATTAGCATCTTGTAAGCAGTGGTGAATTCAACTAATTAGTGTATAAAAATACATTTTTTGGTGTGGCTGCCGACAAAGAGATCCAAGAGGGTAGATGGAGTCGAGCTTGCTGAAGCAAGGAAAGAGAAAAGCAGTATTCTAGGCAGAGAGCAGGGGTAGAGCAGGAAAATGGCTAGGTGCAGGTCAGATGATTTATAGAATGCAATTGATCAAGTTTTGAAGTGAATGCAAAGTATTCTCCGAGAGTCTCATTTGAGTCATGTCTTGGCAGTCTTATTTAAACATGAAGTGAAAGTTAGATTTTTTAAGTTGTCATTTGTTTTTAGGGTGTGAGAGAATATTTAAGTGATACTCTTTTTATCCTCCACATAAGAAAATAGGACTAGAGAAACCTATGGCTTCCTCACTTGTTGGTGGCCTAGCAGCCCTGGCACACAGAGCCCCTGAATCTGAAGCACTTCTTTTGTAACAATATCACCTGAAATAATACATTTAGGATTAGTAATTTAGTAAATGCATTAGTCTTGTATTCACTGCAATAAAATGCTCTTGTAGCAGGATTATTTAATACACTACATTTTATCGTAGTAAATAAATAATAGAAGGGCTGGGCGCCGTGGCTCACGCCTGTAATCCCAGTACTTTGGGAGGCTGAGGCAGGCAGATCGCGAGGTGAGGAGATCGAGGCCATCCTGGCTAACACGGTGAAACCCCGTCTCTACTAAAAATACAAAAAGTTAGCCGGGCATGGTGGCGGGCGCCTGTAGTCCCAGCTACTCAGGAGGCTGAGTCAGGAGAATGGCGTGAACCCGGGAGGCGGAGCTTGCAGTGAGCCGAGATCGCGCCACTGCACTCCAGCCTGGGCTACAGAGCGAGACTCCGTCTCAAAAATAAATAAATAAATAAATAAATAAATAAATAAATTAATAGAAATTCTTGGCTGCTTTTTATTGCTGTAGAAAAAAATATGAAATCTCATTTTAAACTTTTCTTTCTTTTTTTTTTTTTTTTTTTGAGACGGAGTCTCACTTTGTCTCCCGGCCTGGAGTGCAGTGGCGCGAACTCGGCTCACTGTAAGCTCTGCCTCCTGGGTTCACCCCATTCTCCTGTTTCAGCCTCTCGAGTAGCTGGGACTACAGGGGCCTGCTACCACGCCCGGCTAATTTTTTGTATTTTTAGTAGAGACGGGGTTTCACCATGTTAGCCAGGATGGTCTCGATCTCTTGACCTCGTGATCTGCCCGCCTCCACCTCCCAAAGTGCTAGGATTACAGGTGTGAGCCACCGCGCCCGGCGAAGCCGACTTTTCCCATTATTTTTAACGGTAATTCATAAAATCCTTGTTAGGTTTGATGACAGGTACCATATTAAGGGCAGCATTTTATAACCCATATCTTAAACATCATCTCTGGAAGTTGAGAGCCTCCAATGGGTTTTCTATAGAGTGCACATGATACCACACTCAGGCAGTTCATGGAGTGTAAGACATATCTTAGTGCTTTGTCATTTGACATTTTAACTGAGAAAAAAATACACTTTGATAAGTTTGACTTACACTTCCCTTCCCCTTCAGGTATCTACTGAGCGTTTCAGTCAACAATACAGCTCGTGTTCGACAATATTCCTTGATGACAGCACAGCCAGCCAGCATTATCTTACAATGACAATAATATCGTGAGTACAACTATGCTGCCGAGGGACAGATTCCTTTATTCGGAAATTATTTCAGCCATTTGGTTGTCCTCTTCAGCAATCAGCTTAAGAAATTGGAGTCAACCATATATTGATATCCAGATTCTCAATATTAAGTATCAGTTTCTCTTTTAATCTTAGACGTCGTGGTGGAAGGAAAAATCAGTTAGCAAAGAAGCAAACCCAGAAACAGTGTATCTTTTTGATGCCTTTATGCCTTTAGACAATGTTGAACACAGTGAGAAGGATAGGTTCCCTTTCTTGAATGTTTTTTGTGGAAACTTAGTTTTTCAATGCATCATAGGCCCAAATCAGTGTGCACTACTTTGGACATTATCCTTGGAAGAAGGAACAGCTTTTCTTCTTCTGGCACCACAGTGTATCTGCATTTGAATTTCTCCCATTGTGCATGAGCACCTCATGGGCCACAAAGATGCGCTTTGAGAGCACCCTGAGATGAAGTTTATTTTAAAAGGAACAACAACCAACACCACCACCAGCTCCACAGGGGCCGTCCAGTGTACATTATTCTCATCTCCTTGGGTTATTAGTCTTGATTTTTAGAACACAGTTTGGAAAGTGCTAATTTAGAATATTAATGTCTTTATCTTTAATTTAACTTTTCATTCTGTAAACATAACTAGCTTATAAACAATTTTGTTTCAAATGCACTAGCCTTTTTAGCTAATTCAATTGTCAATAACTTTTACTTCAATTAAAAGTGGCAAGTTTACACTCATAATAATGTCACTTTCCTCCCTCCCTTTTAACAATAGTTGAGAGGAAATTGTGTTTCAAACAAAAACTGAACTCAAACTCTGTCTCAAGTCCTGAGCTTTGGGACCTATTGAGTAATCACTAAATGTCTGTAGTCAGCCAAGTCTCTTAAATCTCTGAGCACACATACACAAAAATTACTTTGACTAGAGTCCCTGGCTTCTTCTGAGTTCCAAAGATTTTGATAAGTTAGCATATAATTCAAAAGCAGCTTTGAAGATTAATTTTGCTGAAACTAATTTCGTGCTTTTTTCCTCATTATTCTACTTTTTAGAAGTCTACTTTTGAGAGTATAGTAAGTTTTAATTTGCCACCAGCAAGTTTGAGAAATGATCATTTGGTGTATTCACTATTGGTGAAATAAAGTTATTGAACAAATTAATAGGGCAAATTGGCTTCAAGAAGATATTTTGAAAAATGTTTTATCATGAATCAGTAGTGCACTGTTGTCAGTGGGATAGGTGGAACTCGCTGAGATCACTTATGCAAGGTTTTTTTCAAAATGCAAGTCTGCAAATACATGTATCTTCCCATCTCCACTTTCCCTCTATCTCTAGGCACTGAGAAGCCTTTTAGGAAAATCGGGATGGATGTGAGGCATCTTTCTGTGAAGAAAAGCATCCCAGAAGATTCTGATTTTCACCCCAGCTCAATCATTCCAAACTTTGCTGCTGATTGAAATCACCTGGGAAACGTTTACCAAGAACCTTGATGCCCAAAGCCATACCCAATACTAATTAAATTAAAATGTCTCATGTGGAAGATGAGGCAGATATTAAAGCTTCTCAGGCGATTTTAATGTGCAGCAAAGTTTGAGAGCCACTGCTTAATTTGAGTTTAGGACGAGAAACTGCTCCTATTTGGTGGGACCTTGGGCAAGTCAGTTTTAAGGTTTGTTTCCCTGATCTGTAAAACGAGTGTTGAATTAAATGTCACATAAGGTCATTGGTCCTTTCCAGCATGTAACTTTAAATTCTGTGATTTTAAAATTATTTCAGAGATGAAAACTACTTGAAGCACTATAGACATATCCATCTCACATGCTAATGTTACAGGCTTTTTAAAAAGTGCTGATATTGTGTAGACCTATTAGTAGAATTGAGATTTACCTTCCCTCAGTTGTTTTGAGCCTCACTCTACAAAATTAGCTGGGCGTGGTGGTACATGCCTGTAATCCCAGCCACTTGGGAGGCTGAGGCAGGAGAATCTCTTGAACCCGGGAGGCAGAGGTTGTGGTGAGCCGAGATCACACCATTGCACTCCAGCCTGGGCAACAAGAGCGAAACTCCACCCACCCTCCCCCCCAAAAAAAAATTATCTGGGCATAGTGGCGCAAACTTGTAGTCCCAGCTTCTTGGGAGGCTGAGGCGTGAGAATCGCTTGAACCTGGGTGGTGGAGGTTGTGAGGAGTCAAGATGGCACCACTGCAGTCCAGTCTGAGCAAGAGAGACAGACTCTGGGTCAAAAAATAAATAAATACATAAAATAAATCGCATGGGATGAAAGGTTTCGTCGGTAGAAAAGCATATAAAAGGGACATCTGTTATTATTTATATATTGTAATCACCAACAGAAACGCGTCTTCTAACGGCATATTTCCTTGCATTTTGGTTCTCATATTTTTGTAAAAAACAAAGAAATGAAAACAAAGTGCCCTTATGGTACTGTTCTGAACTAGAAGATTTGAATTTCAGGGCCGCTAGGAGAGTTTCCTCTGCCCCCCTTTTAAAAAATGTCTTCAGGCCTAACAAATGATAACATCTATTGTTATGAATTTTTTTTCCTTCCACAGTGTGACCTTGGAGATACCTCATCATATCACACAAAGGTGAGCTTTTTAGAAACCTGTCTTGTTATTCTAGCTAATTACTTTGCAAGATATCAAGCACAGTGTTAGGTCACAGCTCTAGACATCATAAGCTGTATTGTGCCTACTAAAATATCGAAGCAAATTATTTGTATTTTCTTTGTTCCTTAAGACTCTCATAATTCTTAAATGATTGAGAATCTCAAAGAGTATATGTTTATATTGATTATATTGATATTTAGTGTGGTAGAATTATACAATTGAAATTTTTTCAAAATCTATTTTTAGTTTAGATTTCACAGCCTTACCACTGTTGATATTATGGGCTAGATAATGCTTTGTTGTGAGGACTGTCTTGTGCATTGCAGAGAGTTTAGCAGTATTCATGGCCTCTACCAACTAGATATCAGTAGTAACCCATGACCCAGGTTATAAAAACAGAAAATATTCCTTGAGAACAGTATTGTTAACAGAAGTTTTTCATTGAAAAAAAACTTTTCTACAACAAAAAGTTGAGTAAAAAGTGTGTCATTTGTTTATATTATTTAAAGTCTCGCATGTTGAGCTTAATAGGAGACAAATGGATTCTCTAGAGCTTTCTTTGCAATTTGCTTCAAAGAAGCAATATGAGGCTGGGCACAGTGGCTCACGCCTGTAATCCCAGCACTTTGGGAGGCTGAGGTGGGCGGATCACAAGGTCAGGAGATCGAGACCATCCTGGCTAACACGGCGAAACCCCGTCTCTACTAAAAATACAAAAACTTAGCTGGGCATGGTGGCACGCACCTGTAGTCCCACCTATTCTGGAGGCTGAGGCAGGAGAACCGCTTGAACTTGGGAGGCGGAGGTTGCAGAGAGCTGAGATGGTGCCATTGCACTGCAGCCTGGGTGACAGAGCAAGACTCTGTCTAAACAAACAAACAAAAAAAGCAATAAGCTGGTGGGGCGCAGTGGTTCACACCTGTAATCCCAGCATTTTGGGAGGCCGAGGTGGGTGGATCACTTGAGGTCAGGAGTTTGAGACCAGCCCGACCAACATGGTAAAACCCGCCTCTACTGAAAGTACAAAAAGTGGCTGGGCATGGTAGTGCATGCCTGTAGTCCCAGTTACTTGGGAGGCTGAGGCAGGAGAATCGCTTGAGCCTGGGAGGTGGAGGTTGCAGTGAGCCGAGTTCTCGCCATTGCACCCCAGCCTGTGTGACAGAGAGAGACTCCGTCTCAAAAAAAGAGAAAAAGAAGCAATAAGATGACCTAACCTCATGCAAATATGTAGTTGGTAGAAGATGTATTTTTAAAGTTTTCAGACAGTTGTGGGTATTTGTTAAAACACTAAATCAAAACTTCACAAGTGGTGGTTTCTTAAATTAGTTACGGTGGCATTTTACATATTAATAAATTTATTCCATCAGTACTCATTGATCTTTCTTGCACAGTAAATGGATCTTTTGCTCCATACTTGCATTTATAATATCATGCATTAGTTACTTGGAATATATTGGTTTATGTTTTATTGTGTCAAAAATCACTTTTAGTTTAACCACCAATCTTACTTTAACACGCCTTTAAGTATTGAAAAGCTGCCAAGCCTACAGTAGAAGGAACAAGTTTTTCAAAGTCCAGAGGAAAGCTTAAATTTTATCATTGGGAACAAATACGTATTTCCCTTGAAGTGACAACCTCTCACTTCATTTATTTTTGAGAATGATAGTTGAACTGGTTTTTTAGACCGAGTTTCACTCTGTCACTTGGCTGGAGTGCATTGGCATGATCTCAGCTCAAGCAATCCTCTCACCTCAGGCTCCTGTGTAGCTGGGACCACAGATGTGTGGCACCACGCCAGGCTAATTTTCTTATATGTTTGATAGAGACACGGTTTCGTTATGTTGCCTAGGCTGGTCCCGAACTCCTGAAGGAGCTCAGGCCATCTGCCTGCTTTGGCCTCTCAAAGTGCTGGGATTTTACAGGCGTGAGCCACTGCGCTGGCCCAGTTGTACTTTTAAATAAAAATGATGTTCTGTGAAAAAAGTGATTTTTCAGTTCACAGTTAAATCACGGATTCTTTAAAAACAAACAAAAAAGCACTTCTCATTAACTTTCCACTTATTCAGAATATTAGAGACATGTCAAGATTTAACAACATTAATTTTTATTGCTTCATCAAAGACGTTCTTAAGAAATTCAGGCTATGTTTTTTACCTGTAGGGGACAGTGAAGAATAGAATGACTACTAATGTAATTGGTACCACTGCCTTGATTTATGCTGAGAAACCAGCCATTGTACCTACTTTTGCTTTTATACAATCATGGCAAGTGTCAACGAAAAAGCAGGCAATGACTTTCACAAATTTTTAAAATTTTTCATCAGCTTTCTCAGGTTTAATTAGTATGATTCAGAACAGTGTTGGCCAGGCACAGTGGCTCAGGCCTGTAATCCCAGCACTTTGGGAGGCCGAGGCAAGTGGATCGCCTGAGGTTAGGAGTTCAAGACCAGCCTGGCCAACATGGTGAAACCACATCTCTACTAAAAATACAAAACTTAGCCAGGAGTGGTGACAGGTGCCTGTAATCCCTGCTACTTGGGAGGCTGGGGTAGGAGAATCACTTGAACCTGGGAGGCGAAGGTTGCCATGAGCCGAAATCACACCATTGCACTCCAGCCTGGGCAACAAGAGTAAAACTTGGTCTCAAAAAAAAAAAAAAAAAAAAAAAAAAAAAAGAACAGTTATGACCTCTTAGGCCTTCTGGAAGGGGTCTTCGGGATCCCGAGAGGTCCACACAGCACATTTGGAGAACCACTGGTTTATACACAGGCACAATGCATTAGTTTTACAAAGTTTAAAGTTCATCAAAGACTGGCCTCTTAAAAAGGCAGGTGAGTTTGTCATTCAGACAACAGAAAATACATAAAAACATCATGAGAGTATACTACAGAGAACTAAAGAGAAAGGAAGCTAGGAAATCTGAATCACATTTACATTTATTAAAGTTTACTACTACTGCTTTGTAGAACATTCTTGTGTTTCAATGTGTGGTTAGAAGAGTGAAAATATGTTTGGTTTATTGCCATGGCCTGTTAGGGAGAGTCAATACTCATGGGCATTTCTGACTGGTTATCATATAAAAGGCTTCACGGTACAGGCCATGATGTACTGAGAAAGAAGAAGTCAGGAAACCCTCTGCAAGTCAGGATCCAGGAGAAGAATTCGTAAAAACTGCTTTGGTAAAGTAAACACCAAAGCACACAGGAGGAAGTATTTTACTCAACAAATATTATACTAAGATATTAACAGTTTTTGAAGTAACGCGCTTTCTTATTTTATAGAGATGCAGATAGATCTTTGAGCATACCTGATGAACAGTTAACTCATTTGCGGTAAGTGGCACTTTTATTGAGGTTGTATTTTCATTGTACACTTGTATCTGTTTCATGCTGAAGTCAAAGCCATCTTTTTTTAAATCTTCCCCATTTCATGTTGCATTTAGTCATCTTAAGTGTTGTAAAAAGAATGTGCTGGAGTAAGAACTGATCTGCAGCTCTGTTTAGTTAGTGAGCTAGTATGAGTAAATATACTATCCAAACAACAGAAAATGTATCTTTTTTTTTTTTTTTTTTTTTTTTTTTTGATGGACTCTCTTTCTGTAGCCCAGGCTGGAGTGCAATCGCGCGATCTTGGCTCACTGCAGGCTCTGCCTCCCAGGTCCCTGTTCAAGCAATTCTCCTGCCTCAGCCTCCCGAGTAACTGGAATTACAGGCATGTGCCACCATGCCCAGCTAATTTTTTTTTCTTTTTTCTTTTTTTTGTAAAGACAGGGTTTCACCATGTTGGCCAGGATGGTCTTGAACTCCTGACCTCGTGATCCACCCACCTTGGCCTCCCAAAGTGCTGTGATTACAGGTGTGAGCCACCATGCCTGGCCCAGAAAATGTATCTTTTTAAAAGGTAATTGTGAGCTGTCTATAGGACCCTGCAAGCCACTACCCAATTTTTGAAGCCATTCCTCCTTCTGTTCCACACAGGTTTCCACCGTGCACATTACGAAGAACAGAAATGGAGGTGGGAGTTTAAATAACTATTCCTCCTCCATTCCATCGACTCCCAGCACCAGCCAGGAGGACCCTCAGTTCAGTGTTCCTCCCACTGCCAACACACCCACCCCCGTTTGCAAGCGGTCCATGTGCTGGTCCAACCTGTTTACATCTGAGAAAGGGAGTCACCCAGACAAAGAGAGGAAAGCCCCGGAGAATCATGCTGACACCATCGGGAGCAGCAGAGCCATCCCCATTAAACAGGGCATGCTCTTAAAGCGAAGTGGGAAATGGCTGAAGACATGGAAAAAGAAATACGTCACCCTGTGTTCCAATGGCGTGCTCACCTATTATTCAAGCTTAGGTGATTATATGAAGAATATTCATAAAAAAGAGATTGACCTTCGGACATCTACCATCAAAGTCCCAGGAAAGTGGCCATCCCTAGCCACATCGGCCTCTGCACCCATCTCCAGCTCTAAAAGCAATGGCCTATCCAAGGACATGGACACCGGGCTGGGTGACTCCATATGCTTCAGCCCCAGTATCTCCAGCACCACCAGCCCCAAGCTCAACCTGCCCCCTTCTCCTCATGCCAATAAAAAGAAACACCTAAAGAAGAAAAGCACCAACAACTTTATGATTGTGTCTGCCACTGGCCAAACGTGGCACTTTGAAGCCACGACATATGAGGAGCGGGATGCCTGGGTCCAAGCCATCCAGAGCCAGATCGTGGCCAGCCTGCAGTCATGCGAGAGCAGTAAAAGCAAGTCCCAGCTGACCAGCCAGAGCGAGGCCATGGCCCTGCAGTCGATCCAAAACATGCGTGGGAATGCCCACTGTGTGGACTGTGAGACCCAGAATCCTAAGTGGGCCAGTTTGAACTTGGGAGTCCTCATGTGTATTGAATGCTCAGGAATCCACTGCAGTCTTGGCACCCGCCTTTCCCGTGTGCGATCTCTGGAGCTGGATGACTGGCCAGTTGAGCTCAGGAAGGTTATGTCATCTATTGGCAATGACCTAGCCAACAGCATCTGGGAAGGGAGCAGCCAGGGGCAGACAAAACCCTCAGTAAAGTCCACGAGGGAAGAGAAGGAACGGTGGATCCGTTCCAAATATGAGAAGAAGCTCTTTCTGGCCCCACTACCCTGCACTGAGCTGTCCCTGGGCCAGCACCTGCTGCGGGCCACCGCTGATGAGGACCTGCAGACAGCCATCCTGCTGCTGGCACATGGCTCCCGTGAGGAGGTGAACGAGACCTGTGGGGAGGGAGACGGCTGCACGGCGCTCCATCTGGCCTGCCGCAAGGGGAATGTGGTCCTGGCGCAGCTCCTGATCTGGTACAGGGTGGACGTCATGGCCCGAGATGCCCACGGGAACACAGCGCTGACCTACGCCCGGCAGGCCTCCAGCCAGGAGTGCATCAACGTGCTTCTGCAGTACGGCTGCCCCGATGAGTGCGTGTAGTATCTGTTTTATTTGACTGCAGTCTCCTTGGTGCAAAAACAAAATGGGAAAAATAAGGATAACTCAGAATTTCAAAAGGAAATCACAAATTCAGCTAGTAATAGCATTTTCAGTACTTTTCGTAAACTAAGTGAATACACAAAATGTTGATTTTTCTGACCATAAGACATATTTTATGTCCTTTTGCCAAGGTGGATGTGTTAGTCTCAGGCCCTCCTGGCCACATTGCCCAAGTCACACAGGCTTCTGTATTATGTATTTAGATAAAATGTGTGAAAATATATTTGAAAAAAAGTTCATAAATATGCATTGATTTTTGTACACATGGCACCTCTTTTTCATTTTTATTTTTATTTTTTTTTTGGACGATGTTTTGCTCTGTTGCCCCAGCTGGAGTGCAGTGGCATGATATCTGCTCACTGCAAGCTCTGCCTCCCGGATTCACACCATTCTCCTGCCTCAGCCTCTCAGGTAGCTGGGACTACAGGTGCCTGCCACCACACCTGGCTAATTTTTTGTATTTTTAGTAGAGACGTGGTTTCACCATGTTAGCCAGGATGGTCTCGAACTCCTGACCTCGTGATCCACCTGCCTCGGCCTCCCAAAGTGTTGGGATTACGGGCGTGAGCCACCGTACCCGGCCCATGGCACCTCTCTTAATTTATAAATTGAACTGGATGTGAAGTAATAATGTCAGCTAGTTGAGATAAGAAGGTTACAGTTCGGCTGGGCGCAGTGGCTCACACCTGTAATCCTAGCACTTTGGGAGGCCTAGGCGGACTGATCACCAGGTCAGGAGATTGAGACCATCCTGGCTAACATCATGAAACCCCATCTCTACTAAAAAAAAACAAAAAATTAGCTGGGCATGGCCGGGCGTGGTGGCTCACACCTGTAATCCCAGCACTTTGGGAGGCCGAGGCAGGCGGATCATGAGGTCAGGAGATCAAGACCATCCTGGCTAACATGGTGAAACCCCATCTCTGCTAAAAATACAAAAAAAAAAAAAAAAAAATTAGCCAGGTGTGGTGGCGGGCACCTGTAGTCCCAGCTACTTGGGAGGCTGAGGCAGGAGAATGGCGTGAACCCAGGAGGTGGAGCTTGCAATGAGCTGAGATTGCACCACTGCACTCCAGCCTGGGCGACCAAGCGAGACTCCATCTCAAAAAAAAAAATTAGCTGGGCGTGGTGGCGGGCACCTGTAGTCCCAGCTACTTGGGAGGCTGAGGCAGGAGAATGGCATGAACTCAGGAGGCAAAGCTTGCAGTGAGCAGAGATTGTGCCACTGCACTCTGGCCTGGGCAACAGAGCGAGACTCGGTCTCAAAAAAAAGAAAAAGAGGGTTACAGATCATTGCACATGGAAAATATTCCCAGCAGTAACCACTTCCATTAATGTGATCTACAGCTTTTAAAAAGGAGCATCTCAGAATAAGATGGTGGTACAATTTGCTTATTGAGAAAGGAAAAAAAAAAAAACACGAGTATATTACAAAGGGAAAAGAAGGAATGTGATTTCTCATGATTGAAAGCTTGATTTAGATTGCATACAGCTTTTGCTACCCAAGACCAAGAGGCTCTGGCAAGACAGGGTGGTTTTCCGAATGCCAGACCGAGGTGCCTTATGAAGGCAGCTGCCGATGGTTCCAGATGTAGAGAGATAGGTGATGCAGGAGGGAAAGCTGGATTGGAAAAGGGAGAGTTTTGTAGATGGGCTACGCTCATTGTGCCTTTGAAAGAGCAGAGCCGGCAGCCTCTAGTCATCATTTGGATATACAGGACTAGAGCATGAATCTGATGTAGAGCTACAGAATGAAGAGCAACAGCAGCTGTTTAAACACCAAGAAAGTGTGTAGAATGAAATTGGACAAGCCAAGCATGGTGTTTTCATGCCTTTAGTCCTAGCTACTTTGGAGGCTGAGGTGGGGGAATTACTTGAGCTCAGCAGTTTGAGTCCAGCCTGGGCCAGATGGTGAGACCCTGTATCTTAAGAAAAGAAAAAATAAGACCAGGTGCAGTATCTCATGCCTGTAATCCCAGCACTTTGGGAGGCCAAGTTGAGAGGACTGCTCGAGTGTAGGACTTCAAGACCAGACTGGGCAATAAAGTGAGACCCATTTTTACCAAAAAAAAATCAAGAAATTAGCTGGACATGGTGGCACATGCCTGTGGCCTCAGCTACATGGCATGGCAGGCTGAGGCAGGAAGATCACTTGAGCCCAGGAGGTGGAGGCTGCAGTGACCCATATTCATGCCACTGCACTCCAGCCTGGGCAACAGAGTGAG
The DNA here is from genome assembly GCF_000001405.40 of Homo sapiens. Taxonomy (NCBI): domain Eukaryota; kingdom Metazoa; phylum Chordata; class Mammalia; order Primates; family Hominidae; genus Homo; species Homo sapiens. The sequence goes on from NC_000010.11 coordinate 46,361,000, forward strand.
ACCCTCTCTCAAAAACAGATAAAGTGGACAGAAAATAGGTCAGTAAGGACTAATCATTTAAGGGACAAGCCCCCAGAAGAGTGGCTACTAGAGTGGGAGGAGGAAAAGCAGAAGGAGAAAGAGTTGAAGATAGGCGAGGCTGTGGTCCCAGTGCTGAATTCTGCCAAGCAGTGACTTGATTCATGAACACTCACTGGATGCTGACTCTGTTGCTCTTCTGAGTGCTGGGGTAGAGGAGAGGAGAGGTGGAGCACAGTTCTTGCTTTTATGAGCTTATGTTCTAGGAAGTTCAAGTATTTTTTCAGGTAGTATGAAATAGCAGGAAGAGGAAGCAGGCTAAAGGGACACAGAGTGATTGGGGGCTATTTTAAGTAGAATGATAAGGAAGAGCCTGTCTAGAGAGCTATTTGAACAGTGACCTGACTGAAGGGACAACAGAAAGCAGTGTTGACATTACAGGTAGCAGGATGACTGCCAAGACAGAAACGCATTTCATATGTGTTTGAGGAACAAACAGCAAGGTGACCAGCATGGGGAGAGTGAAGAATGAGGGAAACCTTGAATGAGAATAAAGCAATTCCATCTTGGATGCTAATCTGCCATATTCTGATTAATCCCAGTTCCAACAATTCATCTACGATTTCTATTTTATCTTTTTAAAAAATATATTTTTTATTTTTTGAGACTGAGTCTCACTCTGTCTCCCAGGTTGGACTTCAGTGGCACAATCTCAGCTCACTGCAAACTTCACCTCCTGGGTTCAAGCGATTCTCCTGCCTCAGCTTCCCGAGTAACTGGGATTACAGGCGCCTGCCACCACGCCTGGCTAATTTTTGTATTTTTAGTAGAGACGAGGTGTTACCATGTTGGCCAGGCTGGTCTGGAACTCCTGACCTCAGGTGATCCGCCCACCTTGGCCTCCCAAAGAGCTGGGATTGCAGGCGTGAGCCACCGTGTCTGGCCATACACATCCCTGCTGAAGCCCGCATTACCCTTCCCCTATGCTATAGAAGCCCTGGGTCGGGGGGGTGGGGGTGATGGCACAGGGATCCACCATCTTATCTTGGTGCCATCCCTGACTTGCCTTCTGTTCATAAACGCCTATTAAATGTTTCTTTCTGAGAAACTGGATTTGTCAGCCTCTTTCTTTGGTATCTCAGGTTCCTTGGCCTTTGCGGGTAGGTTTATATAGACCTGCTCAGCACAGGACAGGCAGTTTCTCAAAAAATTGAAAATAGAATTACCAAATGATCCGGCAATATCACTTCTGGGTATATAGCCAAAATAATTGAAAGCAAGGTCTCATAGAAATATTTGTACACTGATATTTATAGCAGTGGTATTCACACTCGTCAAAAGATGGATGCAGCCGAATTGTCCATAGGCAGATGAATTGATAAAATGTGGTATATACATACAATAAAATATTCTTCAGCCTTAAAAAGGAAGGAAATTCTAACACATGCTACAACATGGATGAACATCGAGGACATTATGCTAAGTGAAATAAGCCAGTTAGAAAAAGACAAATACGGTGTTCCTTCACTTATGTGAAGCGTCCAGACTGAGTAAGCAAACTAATAGAAACAGAAAGTAGAACGGGGTTTGCCAGGGACATGGGGAAGGGAGAAAATGGGAAGTTGCTTAGTGGATATAGAGTTTTGGTTTTGTCAGATGAAAAAGTTCTGGAGATTGGTTGCATGGCAATGTGAATATACCCTACATTACCCAACCCAAGTGCTCTCCTTGACCCCTGTTCCAACTGCCACTTAGAAGTGGTTAAGGTAGTAAATTTTATGTATATTTTACCACAATTCAAAATAGAATTATTATTTTTTTATTATAATTTTTTGAGATCCCTCACTCTATTGCCCAGGCTGGAGTGCAATGGCGCCGTCTCGGCTCACTGCAACCTCTGCCTTCTGGGTTCAAGTGATTCTCCTGCCTCAGCCTCCCAAGTAGCTGGAACTTACAGGCACATGCCACCATGCCCAACTAATTTTTGTATGTTTAGTAGAGACGGGGTTTCACCATGTTCGCCAGGCTGGTCTTGAACTCCTGACTTCAGGTGATCCGCCTGCCTTGGCCACCCAAAGTGCTGGAATTACAGGTGTGAGCCACCATGCCCGGCTGTCAAAATAGGTGTTTTGTTGTTTTTTTTTTTTTGAGATGGAGGTTTGCTTTTATTGGCCAGGCTGGAGTGCAATGGCAGGATCTCGGCTCACAGCAACCTCCACCTCCCGTGTTCAAGCAATTCTACTGCCTCAGCCTCCCGAGTAGCTGGGATTACAGGCATGCACCACCATGCCCAGCTAATTTTGTATTTTATTTTAGTATAGATGGGGTTTCTCCATGTTGGTCAGGCTGGTCTCCAACTCCTGACCTCAGGTGATCCACCCACCTTGGCCTCCCAAAGTGCTGGGATTACAGGTGTGAGCCATTGCGCCTGGCCTTTTTTTTTTTTGTGATGGACTTTTGCTCTTGTTATCCAGGCTGGAGTGCAATGGCACGATCTCAGCTCACGGCAGCCTCTCCTCCCGGGTTCAAGCAATTCTCTTTCCTCAGCCTCCTGAGTAGCTGGGATTACAGGCATGCACCACCATGCCTGGCTAATTTTGTATTTTTAGTAGGTATGGGGTTTCTCCATGTTGATCAAGCTGGTTTTGAACTCCTGACCTCAGGTGATCCACCCACCTCGGCTTCCCAAAGTGCTAGGATTACAGGCGTGAGCCACGGCGCCTGGCCTGAAAAAAAATTTTAAAGTTTGAGAAAATACAAAATTTTCATAGTCTCCAAGTATTTCTCCTAAGATCTTTCCCCCTATGAGGGGGAAAGATAGTAACTTTACAATGGAGAAACCCAGCAGAAACCTGAACCAAATGAACAAGTTCAACATCATCAGTAAGAAGAACTATCAATGCCATAACTCTGATGGAATGCACTGGGAAGGATTCCGCATCATTTTTGTGCTGTAATTGCCAAAAGTTCGTAACTTCAGTCCAATCATGGAAATACATCAGACAATCCCAAATCGAGGAACATTTCACAAATACTGATCAGTACTGGTTCAAGATGTCACGGTTATGAAAGATAAGGAAAGATTGAGGAACTGTTATTGCAGTCCTACAAAACGGCGAGAGACTAAGAAATAACTAAATGCAGCGTGATCCTGGGTGGAATTTGGGAACAGAAAAAGGACATTAGTGGAAAAAGTGGTGAAACTCCAATAAGGTCTTTTGTTTAGCGAATATGTTCATTTTAAATCAGTTAAATTATTTAAATATATTTAAACATTAGTTAAATGTATGTAATTAAATTAATAAAATTGGTTATTTTGTGAAATAATTTTAATATAGTTAAATATGAGAATGTGGATTTCCTGGTTCTGATCACCGTACTGTGGCTATCTAAGAGGTGCATGTTCAGGGAGGCTGGGGGAGGAATAAATGGACATTATACTATTAAGTTGGAAGAGAGAAACCTACCCCATCAGTCACAAAACCCTCACATTCATGGCAGTGTGTCGGACGTTGCAGTATGAATGGCATTTCCCAGATGTCAGCGCGAGGTCCCTGTGGAGGGAGTGGGGCTCCCTGGGAATCTAGTGGAGAGCATTCGGGGCTCCCTTCCTCAGGAGCCTGCCCTTCCTGCACAGAAGCGTCAGCCTCACCTCTGTACCACTGCCCCTCTGCCTCTCAGAACCCACTCGGCTTCAGGAAGATTCTACTGCCAGCCTCCTTTCCCAGATACAGCCTCCAGGGACTCAGCCCTGCCTTCCCAAGTGTTCCCGCCTCTCTTGGGAAGGGGTGCTCTCAGATCCCACACCCCTGGACTTCCCCGGGCACCACCTGCTCCTTCTTCACTTCTCCAGCTCTGCGTTCTCACTCTGAGGGTCCTCTCCTGCTGGGAGTGTGTGTTGCTGGCAACAGTGAAGATTCCCCCCTGGGTTGCCCCCCATGCCCTGTTCTTCTGCACTTCCCTGGCTTCCTGCGTTGGTTCTGCTGGTGTCTCCTGCTTTTGGGTTTACGTGGCTTCCCAGCTTCCTAATTTCTCTGAAGTTGAGTTTGATGTGTGTATTGATGATGGGCTTTTTCCTCCTCCTCCTCCTCCTCCTCCTCCTCCTCTTCCTCCTCAGTCTTGTTGTTGCCCCATATACTTTCCAGAAGGAGAAAAGGGACACTGTAAAATTAAGCTGCTGCAGGCTGGGCAGTGGCTCATGCCTGTAATCCCAGCCCTTTGGGAGGCCGAGGCAGGTGGATCACCTGAGGTCAGGAGTTCAAGACCAGCCTGTTCAACATGGTGAAACCTCATCTGTACCAAAAATACAAAAATTAGCAAGCCATGGTGGCATGTGCCGGTAATCCCAGCTACTCGGGAGGCTGAGGCAGGAGGATCTCTTGAACGCGGGAGGCAGAAGTTGCAGTGAGCCGAGATCATGCTACTGCACTTCAGCCTGGGTAACAAGAGCAAAACTCCATCTCAAAATAATAATAATAATAATAATAATAATAATAATAATAATAATAATAATAATGCCGTGTTTCTATCAGACCCAGAAATCCCGCAGAGTGAGCTGGAATTCTCTGTTTATCTGTTTCCCCTTCATACCCACTGGCTCCTCTCTGCCCGCTCCTTGGACTGCATCAGCAGGGTGCCTCACTGTCTGGCCCTAGTGGAATTCACACAGTGGAGGACGTCATAGGAGGTGGGAGAGAGAGAGAGAGAGGAGAGGTGGTTATTCACTCAGATTCTTCCTTGCTGGTTTGGCAGTGGCCACATCTTTCTACTGATGGCTGCAGCTCCTGATGATCCTCCTCTACAGCCACAGCTCTCTTTGGGATCTGTGGACACCTTTCCTGTCCCTCTAGACCCAGGGAGATAACAGCTCCCACTCTTGCTGGTCCAGGACATTCCTCATCTCTTACTGGTTCCCTTAACTCGGTCCACACTTCTGTGAACAGCCCCTTTCCTCAAGTACCCATTCGAATATGTCCTCTGGCTTCCACCAGGAGCCTGACTGATACCCACAGGTGGGTGAATGCTGGCGTGCTGCTGGGCCCCTCTTCCTCTGGTGACTGGCCAGCCAAGTCTCCAGGAGTCTCGTTAGGGTGGGCAGGCGGTGGGCACAGCATAAACTGTGAGCTCAAATCCACAGAACAAAAGTGGGAGAAGACACTGGCAGGATGGACCGCCACAAAACTCTTGGCATTCGTGACGTCTGTCCTTTAAATCACGCAAGGCATCATCATGCTTCAGACATGAGACAGCCTAAGTATTTAAGTGTTTCAAATAAACAAATTGTTTTTCAGAATTGGTAATTGCTAAGTTGGCAAATTGCTATTGGAAACATTGGCTGTCCTCGACTCAATGATTCAGCCAGCTAGTCCCTTGCCAAACTAGTTTGTTGGGCAAATTCCACCTTGAGAATTTATCTGCTCCTGTCAAAGCCAGATTCTCCCTGCCTGAGGGGAGGCTGGACTTGACCTTCTGACTCAGGATATGCTGACTTGGGTCCCTAGGTCCAAGGGCGGCCCTCTTGGGCCCACTGTGGGCTGGACCTCTTCCATGATGGGGTGGTGGAGGGCAGGCCCCACCTGATTCACACTTGACCTCATCCAGGCAGGTGAAGTTCCCTGCAGGAGTCACCTGAGCCCAGCCCCTCAGACCAGGATCCATCATGTTTAGGAGGATTTGGGGCTATCTCATGTTCTTTGGCTAGAAAGGGGTCCCACTCTTAGGGGTCTGCCCTCTGTGGGGCACAGATGGCTTGCTGGGGCCCATGGACGGGGCTGGGTGAACGGGAATCTGGTCACAGCAGCAGCAGCTGGAAGGCCAAGAGGGAGGGCACCAGGGCCTGGGACCCATGTCTTGTCCTGAGCCTCCCCGGGCCTCTTGCCTTCTCCCCAGCAGGCATTTGGGATCTGTGTCTGGACCCAGCCTCACCCAGAAGGCCATGGTGTGTTGTCATTAGAATCACAGTGCTCACACCAAGGCAGTGCATTAAATTAGCAGGGCAGGGTCTCATGGGCAGGGGACCATGTGGAGGGGGTGGGGGGAAGGGCAGTTGTCCCCAGAGGCCGTGGTGGGCCTGGCTCTGGGCTGGGCAGTGGGCCAGGGTCCTGCTGTGTGGATGAGCTCTGACAACAGGCTGTCTGGGTCTGGTGAGCTCCTGAAAGCGCGGACTGGTGGAGAGTACCCTAGGGTGGGAGCTCATGAGGAGGGGGTCTGTGGGGTCTGGAAGCCATTCTAGAGCAGGCAGATGACATTTATCAGGGGAGCAGGCATAGAAAGGACCCTTGTGCGAGTGGGGGGGACACAGCCTCAGAAGAAACAGGGAAGGGGCTTTGACAGGTCCAGGGAGAATCCCTGAGGTTTCCTAGAACAATTCCCACCAGCCATGTCCCAGGTGTCGCCCCATCCCCCAGGCCTCTGCAGTGCCAGCCCAATGCCCTGGGCAAAGCATCCTGGACTCTGGCTGTTACAAAAGGAGGACAGGGTCATCTGGACCCGCCTGAGCTCCAGGCCCCCGACTTTCACAGCCCCTTCTGGGTCCAGAAGTTCATACGTATATAAATGAAAAATGTGCAAGAATCATATTATTGTATTCTTTTTCATAAAGAGGCCCCTCTAAATTGTTGAAGCCCCGATTCACCCCTGCCCAAAGGAGACAGCAATGGCATGTGTGGGGCCACAGTCTTGAGACCCAGAGGTCCTGCTGCCCACGATACCCACTGTCCACCCTAGGGTTACTGGCCGTAGCCCTGGAGCCCGCAAACACCATGCAGGAATGCAAGAGGGTCTCAGCTCCAGAGTCCCAGGCTGGGAGGGCCCACAGTCCAGTAAACTAATCAGGCCCTGACACATCCAGGAGAGCAGCTCCAGGAGCCTGCATTGGGGAGACAGCCTCGGACCCCTGCCACAGGCCTGCACCCCAGAAGTAGGAGCATGGGAAGACCTCTCCTTGGCTCCTGGCCAGCAGAAGTCACATTCCCCAGCCCTCTGGCTCCAAGGCAGCCTCACGTCCCAGTCACTCCTTGGCACACCCTACCGGTTGGTCAGAGCTCACTGCCAAAGGGCACCTCAATGATGAGTGGAGGGAACAGGTGTTTACCAGGAGCTTGCATGCTTTGTCTCAGGGATGATTAGGGACACAGCCAAGAAGGCACGCTATGCCCATTTTACAGATGAGGAAACGGAGGCTCAGGTTGGGCTGGTGACTAAGGGAAGCAGCATGTGGCAGGTGGCTTGAGGCATGTCTGTCCATCATGAGTAACTAGGGAGCAGCCCTGCCACTCCTCATGCGATGCACCAGGAGCCAGGGAAGCTGCTTTCTAGGGGATTCTAGCTAAGGCCAGAAGCATCTCCCTGAGTGGTGGTGGAGGCCTCTGTCTACTCCTCCAGGACTGCCAGGGGATAGGAGGGCACCGCTGACCTCACAGAGCCTCTTGGGTGAGTGAGCATCAGCTGAGTGACACCAGGTGACTACGCTTCTGCCCAGTGCTGTGCCCCCCTCTGACTCAGGCAAGGCACCACCCTGAACGGCCCACCCTGTCCCATGGAGGCCGCAAACTGCTCTGCAGAGCCAGGGTCTCCAGGAATGGGGAGGGCAGTCACCCTCATTCCACTTGTGTTCATGACCCAAAGGACTGCCCAGGTCTCCAGGCCCATAGAACCCCCAAACCTCTTACTAGGCCACACTGGGGACCTTGAGCAGCAGGCTTGGAATCCTAGGCCTTGTCTCCAGGTACATATCAGTACCCAGGCTTGGGAAGCTTTGGTCTCAGGGGGGCTGGCACTCAGGCCCTCTGCCTCAAGGAAGAAGCATGTCCAGATCTCTACTGTCCAGCCCTGCTCCCTGCCCCTATCCTTCACGGGGTCCCTAGGACAGGGTTACAGAAGCCTCATGCTGTCAGGGGATGCTGCCACCCTAGTTCCAGGGTGGCTCCGCCCAGCCCCTTCCTGCTGCCGCCCTCACTGACTCACCTGTCCAGCCTCCTACTGGGCTGGGGTGAGGGCTTATTGCCCCAGAGCCTAGACAGGCACCAGAGGCAGCTATAAAAGCATGTTGGGCCAGTCCTCAGCATCCTAGTTTGCCACTGTCTGCTGCCACACGATGCTGGGAGGCCTGGGGAAGCTGGCTGCCGAGGGCCTGGCCCACCGCACCGAGAAGGCCACCTAGGGAGCCAGTGAGGACCCGGGGCTCCTTTCTACCTGGGCTGGGGGGATCTGGGGCAGACTGAGTCTGTGGGAGGCGGATCTACGTAGGCAGGCGAGGACCTGCGGAGAGGCCTTGGCCCCTCAGGAACCCTGGTCTCCTGCTCTACCAAGTCAGCACGGAGTTGAGGGGTGCAGACCTGGGGAGGTCTCCTGGGGGCAGGGCATGAGTCCTGGTGCTGGGTGAACACTGGCAGCTTGGACCCTTCCCTCTGGAAATCTGGGGAGCCTTTCTTGTCAAAACAGCCTATTCTGAATAACCTATGCAGGAAAAGGAAGATGGATTTTTATTTTTACCATAACTTTAAAGCTTCAAAGATTTCTTAACAAGTCACCAAGTCTGTTCAAAGTCAAAAAGGGCATTTTCAATTTCATCCAAGTCCCCTAAAGCATGTTTATTTTTATTTGTATTTGTATTTGAAATGGAGTCTTGCTCTGGCACCCAGGCTGGAGTGTAGTGGTGCGATCTCGGCTCACTGTAACCTTTGCCTCCTGGGTTCAAAGTGATTCTCATGCCTCAGCCTCCTGAGTAGCTGGGATTACAGGCACCCACCACCACGCCCGACTAATTTTTGTATTTTTAGCAGAGACGGGGTTTCGCCATTTTGGCCAGGCTGGTCTCAAACTCCTGACCTCAAGTGATCCATTCCTCTTGGCCTCCCAAAGTGCTGGGATTACAGGCGTGAACCACTGCACCTGGTCCCGAAGTGTATGTTGTATTCAGAGGTCAGCAGGTATGTGTGGGGAGGCCCAGCCAGGCCCCACTCATGGGTCATCGTGTGAAAAAGTCTTGCCTGAGTTTGTGTCCTCTTTCTAAATGGCAGCAGATGCGTATTTTGTTTTTGACTCTGCAGCTGGTGTGGACCACCTGCTTTAACCTTTCACTAGCCTCTGAGTTTTTTATGATTCCTGTTGGGAGAAAAGCTCAGCGTTGGGAGAAAAGCTGAGGCAGGGCTTGCTAGACTTGCTGGCTCCTTGCTTCTAGCACTGCCATTCTCTCAAGTAGCCATATGTTTCTCATTCATTTGATACACTGTTGCCTTTCAACCTCCACATCCTCACCACCTGTTTCTTTGTTAGATCACCAATAAATAGCGTGGGCTCCCAGAACTCGGGGCCTTCGCAGCCTCCACACTCGCGATAGCGCCCTGCTCCCATTTTCTCTCTCGAACTGTCTCTTTCTCATTCCTTTGACTCCGCTGGACTTGCCGCCCCCGTGACCTGGTGTTGGGTCTCATCATCCCAACAGATTCCCATTCTAAAGATGAGGGAACCAAGAGGTGGAAGGTAGAGTTAGAATAAGAACCATTTCTTCTGACTCTGAAATCCTTCAGTTCTAGCACACTACCACCCACACTTTAAAAAACTCTGAAGTAGGCAGAGAATTCCGTTTTGTTGGAGGAATTGCTTTGAGAGACCTGGTCTTACTGGATGAGGCTTTGGAAACCAACCTGAGGCAGGCGCTAGCACATCCTGAGAGGGGTGTGACCTGGCACACAGGCCCAGCCTGGGCTTCATGTCTCAGCTGGCAAGACTGCCTGCTCATTGCCATTCCAGGCCGGGCAGGGCCAAGGGGCTTCAGGGACCCATGCCCTCATGGGGCTCATTGAGCTCGTCTCCCAGCAGCCAAGGCCCTGGCATCTCCAAATGAAGCCAGCTGTGGGGGAAGGTCCTTCTCATGAGCCAGTCTGTCCTGGCTGGGGGTGGCACCCCAGAGCCCCATCTAGGATGCCCAGGGATGTATAGGTCTGTTGTGAGGATAAGCCAGCCCTGAGCCCTCACCCTGGACTGGGAGGGCAGTGGGCCTGCTCTGAGCCCTCACCCTGGACTGGGAGGGCAGCGGCTCTGCTCTGAACCCTCACCCTGGACTCGGGGGCAGCCGGCCTGCTCTGAGCCCTCACCCTGGACTTGTCTCCTCTGTTCAGTTCATGCCGTGGAGGAAGTGGTGAAGGAGGTGGTGGGACATGCCAAGGAGACTGGAGAGAAAGGTACAGCCGGCTGAGGTCGGGCAGGGAAGGAGGGAGGGAGGAAGGGAAGCTAGGTGCTGGGCCAACCTGTTCTTTGACTAACCAGGTCAAACTCTGCCCCTAATGTTGCAGCCTTTCAGAGCCTCTTGGCTGGGGCAGTTATCTATGCTCATCAGAGGCCACAGACTGTACTGCGTTAGGACACTGTCCAGATGGTTCTCTCTGTGGAATAAGAAGACAAAGTCACACAAGACTATGTGACAGCACACTGGGACAAAACATTTAACATGGCAGGGCGCGGTGGCTCATGCCTGTAATCCCAGCACTTTGGGAGGCTGAGGAGGGTGGATCACGAGGTCAGGAGATCGAGACCATCCTGGCTAACACGGTGAAACCCCGTCTCTACTAAAAATACATAAAAATTAGCCGGGCATGGTGGTGGGTGCCTATAGTCCCAGCTACTTGGGAGGCTGAGGCAGGAGAATGGTGTGTACCTGGGAGGCAGAGCTTGCAGTGAGCCTAGATCATGCCACTGCACTCCAGCCTGGGCTACAGAGCGAGACTCGGTCTCAAAAAAAAAGAAAAAAAAAATTTCTGGGGGCGGTGGCTCACGCCTGTAATCCCAGCACTTTGGGAGGCTGAGGTGGGCGGATCATGAGGTCAGGAGATCCAGACCACGGTGAAACCCCATCTCTACTAAAAATACAAAAAATTAGCTGGGCACGGTGGCGGGCACCTGTAGTCCTAGCTACTCGGGAGGCTGAGGCAGGAGAATGGCGTGAACCTGGAAGGTGGAGCTTGCAGTGAGCCGAGATCGCGCCACTGCACTCCAGCCTGGGCGACAGTGTGATACTCTGTCTCAAAAAAAAAAAAAAAAAAAAAAAAAAATTTAACATGTAAAATTCTATGTTAAATGTTAAATTGATGTGTGTGAGCTATGAGTAGTACTATGTACAAAGCATGTGTATATCTCATTCCTTTTCAACAAAATAGATTCCAGGTAGATGAAGGACTTACATTTACATAAATGAATTTATTAACTTACTAGGAGATAACCATCTTAGCTCAGGCTGCTATTATAAAATACCATAGGCCAGGTGCAGTGGCTCACGCCTGTAATCCTAGCCCTTCGGGAAGCCAAGGCGGGTGGGCCACCTGAGGTCAGGAGTTCGAGACCAGCCTGACCAATATGGTAAAACCCCATTGCTACTAAAAATACAAAGACCAGCTGGGCATGGTGGCACATGCCTGTAATCCCAGCTACTCAGGAGTCTGAGGCAGGAGACTCCCTTGAACCTGGGAGGTGGAGGTTGCAGTGAGCTGAGATTGCACCACTGCACTCCAGCCTGGGTGACAGAGCAAGACTCTGTCTCAAAAACAAAAACAAACCATAAACTGGGTGACTTAGAAACAACAGAAATTTATTTCTCACACTCCTGGAGGATGGGAAGTCCAAGATCAAGGAAGGCACTGGCACATTTGGCATCTGGTGAGGGAGTCTTTCTGGTTCATGGATGGGCCCAGCTCTGTCCTCACATGGTGGAAGGAGCTAGCTCTCCGTGGTCTCTTTTATGTGGGTGCTAATTTCAACCTCCCAAAGGCCCCACCCCTTAATATCATTACATTAAGACTGAGGATTTCAGCATATGAGTTTTGAGGGGGAAGACATCATAAACATTTAGACATAGTAATAACTTCAGAGACTTTGGCCTAATCTTGGAGAGGGGAGAATCTTTAGAACTATGACAAAAAAATCAGCGCCATAAAGGAAATATTAAGTAAATTTGACAATCCAAAACTGAAATTTTCTATAGCCAAAAAAAAAAAAAACACTATAAACCAAGCCAAAAGAAAAATTATACACTGATGAAAAATATTTGTCATAAAAATGATAATCCAGTATAACAACCCAATATAAAAATGGTCAAAAGACATAAGCAGGCATTTTCCAGAAAAAAGGATAAGCAGGCAATGTACCCATGAGTAGATGCTCAGTCTCACTCACAGTTGAAGAAATGCAAGTTGTTGGGGAAATTAAAACCAAATTCAAATTCATTCTGCAGTAATCCTGCTGCCCTTGGTCCCATCGGGCCACTCCAGAGACTAATCCATTAAGATGGCCACATCCCACAGGCCACTCAAGGGGACACAAGTTCAGCAGGTGGATCACTAGGACATTCTTCCTCTTTCCAACAGCCATTGCTGAAGCCATAAAGAAAGCCCAGGAGTCAGGGGACAAAAAGATGAAGGAAATCACCGAGACAGTGACCAACACAGTCACAAATGCCATCACCCATGCAGCAGAAAGTCTGGACAAACTTGGACAGTGAGTGCACCTGCTACCACGGCCCTTCCCCAGTCTCAATAAAAAGCCATGACGTGTACATTGAGCGCTGGATTTATTCCCATTTGGATGGAAACACTAGGCAAAGTATTTTCTTGTTGACATAACATATTTTACATATTTATGGAGTACATTTAAGTATTTATTACATGCACAGAATAGTGATCAATCAGGGTGTTTGGGGTGTCTATCACCTTGAATATTTGGTATTACTATGTGTTGGGTACATTTCAAGTCCCTTCTTCTAGCTACTTTGTTTTTTTGTTTTTGTTTTTGTTTTTGTTTTGAGACAGAGTCTTGCTCTGTCGCCCAGGCTGGAGGGCAATGGTGTGATCTCGGCTCACTGCAACCTCTGCCTCCCAGGTTCAAGCAATTCTCCTGCCTCAGCCTCCCAAGTAGCTTGGACTACAAGCGCAGGCCACCATGTCCGGCTAATTTTTATTATTATTATTTTTTATTGTTTTTATTTTTAGTAGAGATGGGGTTTCACCATGTTAGCCAGGCTGGTCTCAAACTCCTGACCTCAGGTGATCTGCCTGCCTGGGCCTCCCAAAATGCTGGGATTATAGGCATGGGATACTGTACCTAGCCTTCTAGCTACTTTGAAATATACAATACATTGCTGCTAACTATAGTCACCCTAGGTGAAGTATTTTTCAACAGAAACACTTTGCATGTCCCCCGTGTCTCCTCTGCTGAGGTGGACACTGGCACTGGGGCCCCTGCTGCTGGTTGGATAGGTCCTCATGATGAAACAGATGCTTCTCTGTCATGCTAAGTAAGATCTTTCATGTCAGGAAGGGGCTCTTCTGGAAGAATAGTTAGTGTCTGTGCTACATTTCCTAAAAAACTGTTTCCCCAGAAACTATATACAGCTTTCAGGTGCCTCAGTGCTTCAAGACATGCTAAGGGAGGACCCTCATTTGTCTTGCATGTTTTTGGGATTTTTCTTGAGATGTTCTTGCAGGACTCAGGGCAGATAACAGACCAGCTTGATGAAGAATTTAGCAAGGAAGGCCCCCACTGAGCTGCTTCCTGTTCTCGCAGAGATCAGATAAGCATTTCTGCTGGACAGTTACAGAATCTGGTCAAGGAGAGACTGAGTCACTGCTCATCATCCTAGAAGCTGCTGTTGATTTTTTTTTTTTAAAGACGGAGTTTCACTCTGTTGCCCAGGCAGGAGTGCAGTGGCATGTTCTTGGCTCACTGTAACCTCTGCCTCCTGGGTTCAAACAATTCTCCTGCCTCAACCTCCCCAGTAGCTGGGACTACAGGTGCCCGCCACCACTCCTGGCTAATTTTTTGTATTTTTAGTAGAGATGGGGTTTCACCATGTTAGCCAAGATGGTCTCGATCTCCTGACCTCATGATCCACCTGCCTTGGCCTCCCAAAGTGCTGGGATTACAGGCGTGAGCCACTGCACCTGGCCCAGAATATTTATTTAGAGACTGATGTCAGGCCTAAGTGTTGATAGTGGGTAGTAGTGGGCAAGATGCCTGGCCCTCTCTCTTTCTTCTCATGAGAGAAGGTGGAATGCCTTCCACCAAAGAAACGAGACCTCCCCATGACCAGCTGCTCCACTAACCACACATCCTCCAGTGATGCCTCTGAATGGTCCCGAGGGGCTGTGGTGGCTGGGCAGAGCCAGGCAGGAGCCAGAGTCAGCCTGGGGGGTGATGGAGCTGAGGCCATCACCGGTCTGACAGTGGACCAGTATGGCATGCTGTATAAGGTGGCTGTGCCGCCTGCCACCTTCTCACCAACTGGCCTCCCATCTGTGATGAATATGAGCCCCTTGCCCCCGGAAAAAAAAATAATATTGCATATACAGTTGATTAAATGGCATACTCCATGGCTATTAGGAATGATGAAAATGGGCTGGGTGCGGTGGCTCACACCTGTAATCCCAGCACTTTGGTAGGCCAAGGTGGGCAGATCACCTGAGGTCGGGAGTTTGAGACCAGCCTAATCAACATGGAGCTGTGTTTACTGAGTGGGGCTTTCGCAGGCTGGAGCTAAGAATTTCCAGTATGCGTAACAGCCACAGCCCAAATATCTGCCAGTGAGTTGTGTAATTCCCCAGAGCAGGCCTGGGCAGTGTCTGGGTGGGGCCTGGGAGCCACAGGAGACGCCCAAAGCCAGGCAGAGCCCGGGGGCGAGGGGGCGGCAGGCAGGTGTAGCGCTGCCCTGGGAGGGCTTGCACCCCCACACCCAAGTGAGCGGCCTGCTCACTCCTCAGCTGCAGGAGCCAGACGTGTGGAGTCCCAGCAGAGGCCAACCTGTGTCTCTTCATCTCCGTGAGAAAGGTGCCCCCGAAGTGAAAGAGATGGCCTGGTGGAAAGCCTGGGTAAGTGGGAGCTGGCAGGAGATTTGCGTTCCTGCATGGTGTTGGGTGCTGGTCACCAGGGAGTCCTGAGAAATGTAAAGTCGCCCTTGGCTGGGAGTGGCTCAGTCTACATTTGGCTGCCTCCTGGGCCAAGCATGGAGGGTGGGAAGGGGCCGAGAAGAAACAGTCCCAGGCCTAGAGTGCCCACGGCAGGGATGGGACCTGGGCCGGGAGACAGGCTGATGAAGAAATCTAGAAATGCAAGGGGGAAGCTGAGGTTTGAGAAGAGTCCAGGGGAGGGACCCTTGCAGGGGTGGGGCCACTCAAAGGAGGGGGTATCATGGTTGAGCCTTGTGTGTAAATGTGTATGGGGTGCACACACGTGTGCATTTGGGGAGAATCAGGCATACTGCTCCTGGCAGAGGGAACTGTGTGCAGAGGGTCAGAGGGCGGGGAGCTTGGCTTTGAGGGAAGCTGCTCAGCACAGCTCAAGGGTCCTGGTACCGGAGGAGATGGACCTGGGGAAGCAGGCAGGGCCAGGTCCTGAAAGGCCTTGCCTGGCAGGCTGAGGAGTTAGGCTTTACCTTAAGAGAAGTGGGAAGGCACTGAAGGGCTTTGAGCATGAGAGTAACCTGAACCTGCTGTTGGGGACCCATCAATGCCTTCACCTCAGGGATCAATGATGTTCATTTGTCAAGACTGGAGAGGGAAGAGGGGAAGCAGGAGGACCTAGCCTGCTAGAGCCTGGAGGAACCCGGGGCTCAGGGCAGCCCATGCCCAGCAGAACTGATGGGTTCTCGGGAGCTTTCTGTCTATGGTTGAGCCTGAGGCCATCGCTGTGCTAAGGAGTTGAATATCCAGAAGGGGACAGAGGTGACATCTCCCGGCTCCCGGCTCTGCACACCCTTTTCCTTTCCTCCCAGGCAGCCTCAGGATGTCAGGGCTGCACTTTCTGTTTTGCAGATGATGAAATGAAGGCTCAGAGACACTGAGTGACTTGCTAGGGTCCAATGGCCAGCAGGCTCCAGTCAGAGAGCAGTTGGGTCTCTCTGCCCAGCCCCAGGTTCTCTGTGAGCTTTTGTGGGATACCCAGGCTTGTACAGCTTCAGGGAGTCTCTGGATCATAGATGTCGCAACCCAAGCAAGTGTCCTCAGGGTCAGACATGCTAGGTTCTGGACAGGTGGGACAAAGAGGAAGCCAGGCTGAGGTGGGGCAGCTGTCCTGGCCCCCAGGGAAGCAGCCTTCTTCCAGGACAAGGGGCCATGGAGGCCTGCAGCTTCAACCAGACTGCTGGGAACCTGCCTTTGAGGAGGTGGACATGGCAGGGAGAGCCCAGTGCTGGGTGGTTTCCAAAGTCAGTTGCTGGCCAAGGCAGTCTGGCACTGGGCCTTGCACCCAGTGCAGCAGGACAAAGGGCTGTCCATGTAGGGACCTGCCAAATTGACAGGATCACTGTGACACTCACTGAGTCCCTACTCTGTGGCCGGACCCTTCTCTAAGCACCTCACATTCAATATCTCCCTTGAACCTCACAAGGAGTCTATGAAGTAGACACCAGTATCCTTATCCACAGATGAGGAAACTGAGGCACAAGTAGGCTAGGCAGGTGCCCGAACTCACTAGTAAGTGTGAGAGTCTAGGTGAGAATCTGAACAGCCTGACTCCAGGGCCAAAACCATACCCTGGTCGTCCATACCCCATGTGAGAGCTGGCTCGGGGTAGCAAGTTCACAGGTAGACCCCACCTGCAACAGCTGAGCTGCTAGCGAAGACCCAGTGTCCTCTAGGCACAAAGCTGGGCCAGGAACGGGATGGGAGGAGATGAGGGAGCCACTGGAGAGAGATCTGTCTGCAGGCAGGGCCCATCTGCACCTCTCTTTTTGGTGTTGCCTTTTCCTCTGTGTCTCTCATAGAGACAAACCCATCTCCCAGGCCTCTGGGCAGCCACGTAGCAGGGGAAGGCCAAGGCATGGCAGCTCCCCTGTGCCTGTCACAGAACAAGTTATATTAATAGATGTAGTCACAGGCTGGTCTGAGTCACCTTTTCAGTGAAAATGTGCCTGTCTGGACTAGCACGGCCCTGGGCAAGACCCTGCAGGAGCCTGAGGCTGACCCTTCCTTCTCAGCAGGAGGTCTGGAGCTCCAGGACTCCACACTGATAGCCAGGGCTCCGATTCCCAGAACACTTATTTTCTAAAACCTTAGAGTGGGAAGTGAGACAGAGGCTTCTCAATGCAGCAAAATCAGAACCAGCCAGGGAGCTGCTTACAAATGCTGCACCTGAGACCTACCGCACCCCTGCGGGACTGCATGCTCCTCAGGGATGTGGTTACACAGCCTGGCCACTCGCTGGTGCACCACAGCCCCCGAGTGCTGGGGCAGAGGGAAGCCGGCAGGCACTGAGAGCTGAGATGCCTCCCACATTCCCAGACGACCTGCGTTCCTGTGGGTGAAGCTTCCTTCAGTGGAACGTTCCAGGAACACTCATTGTCTGGGAAAGGTGGAGTCATCAGTAGGGCAGGGGAGGTAGATAGAGCTCAGCTTCTGAGTCAGGCTGGGGAGTCCCAACAGCATCACTTACTAGCTGTGTAAGGGAGTCCAGCTCCCTTTCTGTAAAGTGAGGCATCAGTACTTACCTAGCACAACTGTTGAGGAAGCCATGACATAAGCATTGCTTCTAAAGCACCTGGCCCAGGTCTGGCACACACAAGGGGCTTGAAGTGCTAACAGGAGTAATAGCAGAGCGTGACTCCACAAGCAAGGGATATCGTGTGTGTGGACACCGATGAGCAATATCTGGGACCACACTGGCTCTCTCTGGATGGAATTTCCATAGGAATTATTTCTAACAATTTCTGCTGTGAAACATGGTGCTAAGAAATGACTCAGGAAGATCTGTCACCAGACATTTGAAATTAAAGCAAAGAGTTCAGAAAGATGCCTTACCTCTTACTCAAAGGAAAGATACTTACAGATATACCATCCATTGGAATCTCTGTATTTTCACAATCTAACCCAGGGCTTCGATGGATGGATGGATGGATGGATGGATGGATGGATGGGCGGGTGCATAGATGGATGGGTGGGTGGATGGATGGATGGATGTGGTAGTCAAATGGGTAAGTGCGTAGGTGGGAAAGTAGATGGGCAGATGATGGAGGTGATGGAAGGAATAAGTGAACAGGTAAATGGAAGACAAGACTGGATGGGACTAAACTCTTTTTCATCCTGGAGGATCTCTGAGTCTCCCTCTAATTCAATACCTATCTCCAATATCCCTCCATTCTCTACCATTCCTCCACCCAAAACACACTTATGTCCATGTTAATCATCTGAGAAATTCTGCAGGGCACAAGTTTAAAGAGCCCTCAGGCAAGCCCTGAACTGGAGGCTTGGAAATCAAGGGCTCAGGCACTTGGTTATCTGGTTTATTTCACAATCTGCAGAGCATCGTGCGGGTTTTTCTAAACCTGACGCTCTGAGCCCCATGGGCCTGTGGACTTGCAAACACCCTGAACTATCAATATGCTCAGCTGGGCCCCTGCCCTCTAAGTTGCTGTAAGTCCCAACTCCCCAGGAAGAGGGCAGACTGAGCTCAAACCATTCCTCAGAAAGGCAGAACCATGCTCAGCCTTCCAACCTCATCTGCACACTCTGAAGGTGGTGCATGCAGCTCCAGGAAGCCTTTGCTTCAGTGTTCTTTCCCCTCCTAACTTTGGGTGAGTTTGTCCCTTCCTGCTGCTGGTGGGTGATGCTGGAAGGAGCTGGGTGTGGCTGGGGCTGCTGTCTGCAGTCAGATGGCACAGACAGGGACAGGAAAGGTTTTGTGGCTTCTCCCCACAAGCTCTGGCTCTGGCTACTCCACCCTGTTGGCCAAGGGGCTGAAGGGCAGAGCACTGGCCTGCAAGGGCTGAGCAGATCTCCGTGCCCAGGGAAGGGGCTCACCCTGTCAGGGCGGGCTACCAGATGGGCTGGGAGCCTGCTCTGCCCTCCCTGTCCCTGCCTGCTTTGAGCAGGCCTGGTTCTCTTGCAGATTGAACAGGAGGGTGTCACAGTGAAGAGCAGCTCCCACTTCAACCCAGACCCTGATGCAGAGACCCTCTACAAAGCCATGAAGGGGATCGGTGAGTGGGTGTTGGCAGCCTTGCCACCTCTGCTCAAGACCCCTCCGCTCACAGCCCTGGAAAGCGGGTGCCAGGGGACATCTGGGGAGCTGGGGTGTCCCATGATACTCTGAAACTGATTCCACTACCCAGAGAATCACACAGCCCTCTGTTTCTGCAGTGAGGTCAGCACCCACCCTGCAAGACTGGACAGGAGGGTGCTGCTCTTCCCTGGGTAATGGGGGTGGGGAGGTGAGCTGTGTGTCTCTGTGAGTGACTTCCCATCAGTCTCAGCTTTCTCACTTGTAAAGTGGCCCCAAGAATTCTTGGCCTTGTGTGTCACATGAAGTGTGAAGGGGGTGGTGCTTTATGATGCCAGGCACAGAGCTGCCAGGGGTGTGAGGTGTTGGGAGTTTGTGGGGCTGATTCAAGGCCCCCTTGCCCCATGTCGATGGCCATGGAGCCGGCTCCCTTCCCATCTCCTGCACTTGCCCAGTGCTGCCCTCAGCACTACCGTGAGTGGGCGAGGGCTGGCCTGAGGCCAGATTTAAACAGCTTGCCCAGAAAGCCCTCCTGACCTGAGAGCAGAGCATGTACCCTGACCTCACCCCAGGTGGGACTGACCCCTTAGCCGGCTCTGCCTGAGGATCAGGGGCCTTAATGAGAACTGCCGCTCCTGACAAGCCCAGAAAACGTTCTCATGCCCTCTGCTTTCTGTGAAGCAGAAAGTTATCTCCACTTCCCAAATGAGAAAACGGAGGCCCAGGGAAATGAGGCTGGCTGCCCAATGCCACGCAGTTGCTGGGCCAGGCCTCGGATTCAGGGGTTGGACTCTTAGTCTTGACCTTCCCCTACTGCGACCAACACAAAGGAGGGCAGGGCCAGAGATCTCACTCGGCCAAGCTCCAAAGGCCCGGGCTGATGTCCAGAGCCACCCAGACCTCAGATTCCATCTTGTGAGGCTGGCCTTGGGCACGCCCCAACATTGTGGGGGTGTGGGGTGGGAAATGGGGAGGCAGATTTCCTAAGGGTCTTGTTTACACCACGAAAATGGTCTGGGGGTTTGGAACTATCCAGGTGTCGGGTCCCAACTGCTCAGCCACCAAGCAGCTGCCTTCGCCTTCCCCTCCTCCGCCCTCACCAGTGTGTCACCCTGGGGGCAGCAGGGTCACTTGTGCTGTAACCCTGCAGGGACCAACGAGCAGGCTATCATCGATGTGCTCACCAAGAGAAGCAACACGCAGCGGCAGCAGATCGCCAAGTCCTTCAAGGCTCAGTTCGGCAAGGCAAGGGGAAGGCTGGTGGGGGTGGGGATAGGTGAGCCTTGGGGTTGGGGGTACAGCCTGGGAGGCAGCTCCATTCTGGACGACTTTCCCCTAGAGCCAGCCCACTGGTAGCATGGGCACATGGAACCTGTTTGCATGAAAACAATTGTTCTTTATTGAAATTCAAATGTAACTGGCTGCCCTGTGTTTTATCTGGCAGATCTACTTTTAGGTGTCAGAGCCCGGGCCGGGGGCTGGCCTTCCTTGCTTCCTTTCCTGCCTCTTCTCTCACAGCATTCCTTCTCATGCACCCAACAGGCCCCACTGGAGGTCTGTCTCCCTGCCCCCAGGCTATCTCGCCCTGCCCTCTGAGCCCAGACCACCTTCTCTTTTCCATGCCCCAGGCATGCAGGCCTGGCTTTGCTCTGTTCTGGGGCGTGGGCATGCTTTCCTCAGTCGAGCTGCTTGCACCCACACCTCGTCCCTTCTGCCACCTGGGAATTCTAAGAGCCTGGAGTAAGCATGCCAGGCCCTTTGTTTCTCCTCCCACCTGCACTCCACCCCTAGGACAAAGCCTGACATTTGGGGGTACACAGTAAACACAGGATTAAATATGTGCACAGCCATGGTTGCCTCAAGCCTCTAGTGACTCATATCATTAGTTTGGAGATGTAACGAAGGAAGATCAGCTCAAATATTCTCTTGGAGAACCCAGTATGCATTTTTACAGTTTCCCTCTCTTAGTCCTCACAGTGATACATTCTTTGTATTCAAACATTTGGGGAAACTGGCACTCAGAGAGGTTTTAAGTTGCCCAAGGTCCCAGAGCCTGTAATCAACAAGGTGGGGATTAAAATCCAGGTCTGACAAAGCCCTTGATCTCTCTGCTGCTCTGTAGATCAGCTGATGTAGCCTGGTGGCTCCTCGTAGCAACATGTGACCTTAGAAGGAGGCACATGTGAGACGAAGTCTTTAATTCAGGCATGCATTCATTCATTGAGTGCCAAGTGACAGGTATTTTATGGTGATGCCATACTCAGAGCTTGCAGTCTAGCTAGCAATACCAATTTCATTTTACTGAGAGCTTATGATGTGCCCAGCACTGCACTGAATGCTGAATTGAGTCACACACAACCCCCTAAGCAACGGGATGAAGCAGGAGCACGTTTCTCTCCGTGTAACCGGTAAAGATACTGATGCTAAGAGAAGCTAAGGAGCTGGCCCAAGAAACCCAGCCAGCACGTGGCAAGGCCCATGCAGAATCCAGCCCAAGCCCCTGGACCCAGCCACCACTCCGCTGCCTGCACTCAGGTGGGCCTGGCTTATGACAAATATCACCTTTCCCTGTTCCCGCATTAGGACCTCACTGAGACCTTGAAGTCTGAGCTCAGTGGCAAGTTTGAGAGGCTCATTGTGGCCCTTATGTATCCGCCATACAGATACGAAGCCAAGGAGCTGCATGACGCCATGAAGGTAACCAGGCAGACAGGGCAGGGGAGTGGCAGGGGTGCTCACATGACTGGGTAGGGGCAATGCGGGGACCGGGAACCTACAGCCCAGAGCTCCCCTTGAGCCACTGTTTGGAATGGCCATATGGGCCATAACTGGGCCCAGTGAGCAGGCAGCCTGCTGCTCAGACTGCACCCAACACCTGGAGTCACTGGTGCCTGATTGACACGTTGAGTGGCCGTGATGAAGCCAAAATCAGTACTTCTCAGAACCTCACGAGCTCAGGTGTACAGTGGTATTGGAAACCCACCTCTACAGTCCCAGGCACAGCCCCTTGGGTTTCCCTTTACCTCTCACTACTCTTTGCTTTTGCAGATTAATAAGGATGGGGACCCAGTAACTATAGTCATTTTGTTTGGAAAGACACTTGCTGCATGGGCACTGCCAGGCATTTTACACCCACGCTCCCTAATCTATCTTTGGCGCAGGGGAGGCTTCTTATTCCTGTTTATGGATCGGGATGCTTAGGCTCCAGGACATGGAGCAGCCTGTCTGAGACCACCCAGCTAAGGAGGGAGAGCTGAGACAGGGCTTCCCCGTCACAGCACTTGCCCTCAATGTTCATCACTGAAGACAAGCATGTGATTTTCTCATCACATCCTCCCACTTCAAGTGGGGCAGGGCAGTGAGGTCCTTCCTGAGGCTCAGGCATCTTGAGAAAAGAAGGTGTGGACAGAGCAGAAGGTCATGGCAGAGCACTCCAGCAGGCAGAGGTTTCTGTCCACAGGGCTTAGGAACCAAGGAGGGTGTCATCATTGAGATCCTGGCCTCTCGGACCAAGAACCAGCTGCGGGAGATAATGAAGGCGTATGAGGAAGGTAAGGGGTGGCACAGATGGAGGGGCTCAGGAGTGGCCACAAGCTTTGGCAGCCTGGCAGGGAACAAGGATCAAGAATTAACCTGGGCCACACTAGAAAGGACCCTTTGGGGACTTTTTTACCCACAGGTGCTGAGCACCTACCGTATGCCAAGATCTGTGCCTGATGGTGACACTGAACATGATTCAGACTTGATCTGTAAGCTCACCAGCTCCTCTTACAGGGGAGAGAGGCCTGTGACCAACTAAAATCTCTGCCCTTGAGGACTGTGGTAGTAGGGGGTGTGGACCCCAGGCTAGCAGAGGCCAGTCAGTCCTCCACATCATGTACCTAGTGGGGAGTTTTCCTGGAGGCTTTGGCTTTGCCAAGCCTTGAGATGAAATGGAGCTTGGTTGGCAGCCCCTAGCCTGGCTCTCTGACCTGGTCCATCTTGTGCTTTGAGCTTGGTTGGGTACGCATGTCGCTTCTAGTTGTGAAGCACCACCCAGGCGACAGCCACTTGGACACCCGGGCATTGCATCCATGCCCTGTGCCAAGGACTTTCTTTCCTAGAAGGCTTTAATAAGGAGAAGTATGGGGAACAGGGCTGGAAGGAGGAAAGCAGGCCCCGGGTAGGCTGTGGGCCTCTGCTTGTGCCTCATGGTCCTGTTTCCCTGCAGACTATGGGTCCAGCCTGGAGGAGGACATCCAAGCAGACACAAGTGGCTACCTGGAGAGGATCCTGGTGTGCCTCCTGCAGGTGTCACAGCCTAGGCTCTTGGGAGTGCCTTGGTTTGGGAGTCCCAACAGCTCCACCCCAGGGAGCAGCCCTTGAATAGCGCCACAAGAGTCAGGGTATGGGCATGGGATAGCCCAGCAGCCAGGGCTCATTGGGTGTGTCTCAGCATGGTTAGAGGGTCCCAACTGCAGAGCCCCCACACTTGTCCTTACTCAGCCATGTGAGAGCATCCTGGAAGCGGGAGGAGAGCAGGTCCTTCGTGCAGACCTCATGCCAGGCACTTTGCTTACCTTAGCTCACTGAATCCGCCAAGCCTTATGAGGCAGTCCTTACCACCCCCGTTGTACAAATGAGGAAACCAAGGGCTGAAGAGAATAACTGGCTTGTCGAAGTTTCCACAGCCAAAGAGCAGCAGAGCCATGCCTACCCTCCAAGCCCAGGATCCCCCCTGTGCCCTTAATGCTCTGGTCAGCTGGCCTGCCTTACAGAGCCACCTCCTCTGTTCCTAGGGCAGCAGGGATGATGTGAGCAGCTTTGTGGACCCGGCACTGGCCCTCCAAGACGCACAGGTGAGGCTGCGCCCAGCCGGCCATGTGGCCCCACCCCCTGCCATCTGGACTCCGGCTCCTCTGCCCACGGGGGCTTTCTCTGACACTGGGCTGGGACCCACCCAGCTCAGCTCCCTATAGGCCTTTGTCCTGTGGTGTCTGGGGAGGAGAGTGAGGGTGTTGGGAGACTCGGGAGGAAGGAGTGTGACTTGGGGGTGGGGGAGCACTAAAGCTCTGTCCTGGCAGGAACAGCCCATGAACCCGGGGGCGCTAGGCCCCAGTGCTGGACACAGGTGTCCGGGTCTCTGTAGGTCTGCCTGCTGGCAGAGGGAAGTCTGGGGACCAGGCAGTTCCTAGAGCAGCTTGTGGCCCAGGATAGAGAAAATATTCTAAGCCAGAGCTGCTAGAGAAAGGGGAGCTCCCTGTCAGAGACGACCAAGCAGGGGAGCATGCTGGCCTGGCAGAGTGGACAGGGCCAGGCCATGGCCACAGCTCTGGGACTCTGGGGCTCAGTCCCTCACCTCCCTGGTCTCCCTCACTGGCTTATTGTGGGTGTCCCAATGCTAGGATCTGTATGCGGCAGGCGAGAAGATTCGTGGGACTGATGAGATGAAATTCATCACCATCCTGTGCACGCGCAGTGCCACTCACCTGCTGAGAGGTACCAGGGAGGGAGGGGCTGGGGCCGGGGCCACAGGGGTGTCCTGGCCATGAGCCTCTCCCTCGTGCTTCTGCCTTGTCAAGTCTAGAGTTAGGGAGAGAGCCAGGGAGCCCAGGACTGTTTCCCCAGCCACCAGTGGGAGGTCAGGGCGGCAAATTGATGTGCGATCTCTGATCCGAGACACTGAGGGGCATCACGAGGAGGTCTGACCATCCCCTGAGCAGAGCCCTCTCCACAGTGTTTGAAGAGTATGAGAAAATTGCCAACAAGAGCATTGAGGACAGCATCAAGAGTGAGACCCATGGCTCACTGGAGGAGGCCATGCTCACTGTGGGTAAGAGCTCAGACTTGCACGTTTTTCAGGCCACAGGGCTCACCGTGGGGCAGCACCAAAGAACAAAGGGCCTAGGGATGCGACCACAAGAGAAAGAATCCCTGTGTCACCTTCACGGGATGTCCCCCCGACTCACACTCTGCCTGTCTCCCTCACCCAGGGACTGCTCCACCTCTAGAGTCCCAGTGTGTGCTGCCAAAGATTGTTCTCTGTGCTGCCCACGTGGTGCCCAGTGCTGTGTGGGTGTGTCTGCATGAGTGTGTGTGTGCGTGAGAGTGTGTGTGCCTGAGGGTGTGTGTGCATGACTGTGGGTGGAATGTGAGTGTGTGTGTGTGAGACAGACAGTGTGTGTGTGTGCGCACACAAATGCATACGCCAGTGATTATGCCAGCCCCAACCCTGTGTGTACTCATGGCAGCCATGCAGGGAGCACTCTGGCTGTGGTTGTGAAGCCCTGGCCAGCACAAAGTCATCTTTCTGGACATGAACCAGGGGCCTGGCCCCTGCCTTCATTGCCAGTTGAAGAAACAGTGATGTGTGGCTTGAGTCCAAACTGAGTGACGGATGGTCTGATGCTGAGAAACACTGGGGATCTTCCCCACAGCAGGAAGTCAGGGCCACTCAGGAGGACCCACTCCAGAGCTCTCATGGGTTCCAGGGCTGAGATCACAATGGGAAGAGTCACTGCAGAGTAAAGAGCTGAGGCCCAGGGCAGAGGGACGTCTCTTCTCCCACTTACACACAGAGCCCAGGTCCGGACTCCTGGCCTGCAGCTCTCACCTCCACACCAGGCTGCCTCCGTGCAAAGCCAGCAGCCAGCAGGCTCCCTGCTGTTTCCTAGCCTCTCTGGGTGGACAGGGCCATCTGAGACACCCCAGCTGGCCTTGGATGCTGTGATACAATCCGGTCTATGTCAGGACATCTAATCACACCCCTGCTCCAATCTCAGCTTCCACCCCTGGATCTGGCCTGAACCCACCAAGAATGAAGTCTGCCAGCAGGGAATAGTGAAGCCATGCAGTGCTCCGTCATGCTGGGCCTTCCTATTCACTTCACCTTGAAGCCTCGCATCAGTCTCACTTCCCAGATGAGTCAGGGAGGTTGAGTAATGAAGCCATACTGCACCATCAAGGCAGGAAGTGAACACATGCCTACCTCACTCAAAGCCCATGCTCCTTCTGCAGCCCTAAGTGAAAATGCCAACCTTCCCCACCCAGATGCCAAGTCTCTGAGCAGTACCCATGGGAGCAAGCATGGGCCCAGTCTCTGGACCAGACGCCCCCAGGTGCCTTAGTCCTGTGGGGCCAAACTCCACTTGTCACATGGGAATTCAAAATGCAGGGTTTCTGCTGATAAGTGTGAGAGAGAGGGCACTCTGAGGCCAGCAGCCACCATCCCATGGTGCTTCTGTGGAGCTGAGAGGCTGGATTTTTGGTGGAGGTGTCTCTGGGTTGAGAGCCCAGGGCCTGTCCTGAGTCTGAGCTGCCCTTGGATGGGCTTGAGCTGGTGTCTTCAGACGAGCCCCACAGTCTGGTGCATTTCACATCTTACCCTTTTGCCTGCCTGCTTGGGCCTTTGGAGCTGTGCCCAGTGCCCCGGGCTACCTTCCCTGTCCCACGCCACCTGACACAAAGCCTCTCACATTGGGAAAGGCACGGAACAAAGAAATATGCCAAGCCTTGCACAACACTGACTCTTAAGACCTAAGGCAAGACATAAAGTTGTAGGCAGTGCCACCTACCAGCTCCAGACATTAACACAGCTTTCTTGTTTGCCAGTGAAATGCACCCAAAACCTCCACAGCTACTTTGCAGAGAGACTCTACTATGCCATGAAGGTAACTGTCCTGTCTTCTTCTTCCTGACGCTCACCCTACATAGCACCAAGTGCAAAGCCAAGGAGCTCAAAGCCACCACGATCCTCCACACGGGGGAGTTATCTTACCCAAACCTGTCGTGGATCAGAAAGGTTTTAGTTCTCGGAGGTGAAATTGAGTCTGGGAAAGGGACGCTGCATCTCCAGAGGTGAATAATTCCCTGAAACTAAAACCATTGCCCGTTTTCTCTGATTGATGGTTGCTGATATCCCCTGAAGTTAGTTCCACACCCGAAACCCAAGCCCTCTGGCCACTTCTGCCCAGGAAATGAGAGAGGGCATGCGATTCCCTTGGCCATGTGGCCCCAGCTGACATGAGACTGGTCAGGGATGAAGGTGAGCAGGAAGGCCCTGCCTGTGAAATTCCTGGCTGAGCTGATTGCTGCCATTGCTCTAGTAGGAAGTCTTGTTCCTGGAGCAGTGAGTATTTTGTGTCTAGAATCTGATGTGGCAAACCAAACATACTGCAGTTTGGAGCACTTGGCATCATAAAGGAAGAGTTCTGGGCAGTGGGTGAGAAGGAATTAAGGGAGTGGACACCCTAAGCCACCAAAGCTTCCCTCCTAATGCTTCCCTGGCTGAAGCACAGGCTCCTTCCCACATCTCCCTCCCTCTAAAAGCCCCAGAACCCAACCACACAGATCCGTCCATCACTCAGAGATGGACAGGAAAGGTGAGGCAGGATTGTTGATGGCTGCTGTCTTGCCCAGGGAGCAGGGACGCGTGATGGGACCCTGATAAGAAACATCGTTTCAAGGAGCGAGATTGACTTAAATCTTATCAAATGTCACTTCAAGAAGATGTACGGCAAGACCCTCAGCAGCATGATCATGGTAAGCAGGCATTCCCAATGCTGAGGCCAGCCTGAAACCCAGACATTCAGGGAAACCTGGAGGCTGTGGCCAACACTACGTGAGCCCCTCCCTTCCCAGTGGGCACCATGTGCTTGCATTCATGACCATGTGGTGTGTGCAGGGAACAGCAGAGGTCAGTGTGGCTGGATCCCAAGGGGAATGGGGGGCAGAGGGGAGATGCAGAGACCAGGGCACAGAGGCTCCCCTGTGTCCCACTCAGAAAGTTGGTTTCACATTTAAGTTATGGTTGCTCCTTGGAAAAGACACCAAATCCTTGCAGAAGAAGCCACCTCTGAATAGTCAATGAGATGAACTAGTCCGGTAGGAATCGGGCCCACCGCTCAAATCCAGATTTAAGTAGTCCTGGCGGCCAACTTCTAAGGAGATAAGTCAGATGAGCGCCAATAGACTATCTAACCAGATTCCAATTAGCAAAAGTTCTGGAGCCTTCAAAACACAGACTGATTATCACGCTGCGATAATTGGGAGAAACAGCTCTTCTGGGGGTGTCTGCAAATTGAGGTCTTGATGATTTCATTAGCAGAAGTCACATTAGGACAAATGTATCCCCAAGTTTTCTTTGGCTACTAAGTCAAGTCTCTAGCTCTTCTGCAAATGTCGTTGTTAAGTGCACTTTTCAAGAAACACATAGCTGACAATAGGTGGAAAAGACATTTCTGTTTCCAGATGTTTCAAGATGGCAACATCTTGAAACAGGTGGGCAGGGGCAAGAGAGGATTGGAATTATTCTTGGTTTCACTTGAGGCTCCCCAGCCAATCTTGTCGGGAGACAGGAGGGCAAGGCACACACCAGCCTGGACTGTGCTGTCACCTGCAGACAGTCTGAGCTGATTGTCATTAACCCTTTTAACCACACATGGTAACTTACGGCATCAGAGAGATTTCTACAGATACATGAAGCCACCCTCTTCAAATTTTATCTAATGTTGTTACTTAAGAAAATTGAGTTAGAATCATGAATACATTGACCAAACATTTTCTTTTTAGTGTAGACCACAGATGTCATTAAAGCAAAAATGGTTTTCAACACTAATATGAGTTAAAAACTCCTGCATTGAAATTAAGAGGCAAATGTATAAACACTTCAAGTATAACTCATGTATTTGAAAAAGTAAACAAAATTAATGCTTTTCTTTCTAAAAACTATTAGAAAAATTGTCTTCAAAATAATAAAAATCACCAGGCGTAGTGGCCCACACCTGTAATCCCAGTGCTTTGGGAGGCCAACGCAGGAGGATCGCTTGAGCCCAGGAGTCCAAGGCTGCCGTGAGCTAGGACTGCATCACTGCACTCCAGCCTGGGTGACAGAGTGAGACCGTGTCTAGAAAGGAAAAAGTTAAAAAAATTTCATTGTAGTTTGAAACCCGTAATGAGATTTCAGGCTCAAAGCAGGCAAATTTTACTAAATGGTGAAAAGTAGACAATAACCATGAGACCTAAACTGGTCCAGAGTGTGGAAAGTGGGTCTAGCCCCAGTCTACCCCTTACTCACCATGCCGTTGTGAATGAATTCACTCCCCTCTCTTGGCCCCGCTGTCCTCAACTGCATGAAGAAGAATCTGGGTGATCTGACCTGGCCCATTTCCCAGCTCTGTATGCAGACCCCGGACTAGCCAGTCCCATCAGGACCTACCAGTATCTAAGAAACAGGGCTCCTCAGTCATCGGACCACAAGGTCAGTCTCATCAGGAGACAAACACTGTGGACCCGATGTGAGCCAGATGCAGGGCAGACCAGCTCGCCTTCCTCCTGCTGTACCCTCACCACGTCTCAGCAAGATGCACAGCAGCACAGCATTGATCTCATTTCATAGATGAGTCCCACAGAGGTGAAGGGGCTTGCCTCGGCCACACCGTCAGGGTGCGATGGTCCAGGCTCCCTCCACCCCCGGCCCTGCTCCCAGGTGTGTGCTGATGCCTCACTCTCAGCCTTGATTCCCAAGCTGCCACAGCAGGTGTTGAATAATGATGCATCGTGTTGTGTAAATGAATGGCTGGGCACCCTGGCTCCCGAATAGAAGAACCCTGGGACAGCTGACCCCTTCCTTGTTTAGGAGTGGAACTGTCTCTGATTCATTTTCCACATCAATCCTGCATGTAGTTGGTAAGAGAATCAAAAGGAAATGTAAAGGAATAGCCTGAAATTAAAAACCAGGAAAGAGGGGTGATGGCACAACCCCTGCGGCTAGGAACCCTGGAGGGCCGGGCCAGGTGCAGGCCAGGGGCACACCTCTTAGTCATAATAACACAGCCGCCACTGCCGAGCCAGGCACAAACAAACCCCTTCTCACGCTTATGCGCCTCCTACCCACAGGAAGACACCAGCGGCGACTACAAGAACGCCCTGCTGAGCCTGGTGGGCAGCGACCCCTGAGGCACAGAAGAACAAGAGCAAAGACCATGAAGCCAGAGTCTCCAGGACTCCTCACTCAACCTCGGCCATGGACGCAGGTTGGGTGTGAGGGGGGTCCCAGCCTTTCGGTCTTCTATTTCCCTATTTCCAGTGCTTTCCAGCCGGGTTTCTGACCCAGAGGGTGGAACCGGCCTGGACTCCTCTTCCCAACTTCCTCCAGGTCATTTCCCAGTGTGAGCACAATGCCAACCTTAGTGTTTCTCCAGCCAGACAGATGCCTCAGCATGAAGGGCTTGGGGACTTGTGGATCATTCCTTCCTCCCTGCAGGAGCTTCCCAAGCTGGTCACAGAGTCTCCTGGGCACAGGTTATACAGACCCCAGCCCCATTCCCATCTACTGAAACAGGGTCTCCACAAGAGGGGCCAGGGAATATGGGTTTTTAACAAGCGTCTTACAAAACACTTCTCTATCATGCAGCCGGAGAGCTGGCTGGGAGCCCTTTTGTTTTAGAACACACATCCTTCAGCAGCTGAGAAATGAACACGAATCCATCCCAACCGAGATGCCATTAACATTCATCTAAAAATGTTAGGCTCTAAATGGACGAAAAATTCTCTCGCCATCTTAATAACAAAATAAACTACAAATTCCTGACCCAAGGACACTGTGTTATAAGAGGCGTGGGCTCCCCTGGTGGCTGACCAGGTCAGCTGCCCTGGCCTTGCACCCCTCTGCATGCAGCACAGAAGGGTGTGACCATGCCCTCAGCACCACTCTTGTCCCCACTGAACGGCAACTGAGACTGGGTACCTGGAGATTCTGAAGTGCCTTTGCTGTGGTTTTCAAAATAATAAAGATTTGTATTCAACTCAAAGTATCTTTGGATGTTTAGCAGGGACCAGTGTAGGACCAATTTAATTTGTCAGAAACAGAGCTTTGGGGAGCCACGAAGCCTGAGCGCCTCGTGGGCATCTCCCAGTGGGAACACTGGATGGGCTGTACCTGAGCACCTCGTGGGCATCTCCCAGTGGGAACACTGGATGGGCTGCAGCCACCGCTGCCCTGGGGACAACTCTTGCAAATGAGGGTAGATTCTATTCACCTCCTGATGTGTAGGCTACATCCTTGTATCTCAGGGTTAGAGAGGGATTTAAAGTCAGCTGGTGCTGTTCCGACCTGTGGCCTGACTACCCCCTTGGCATCCACCCAGGGGTGGTCCTTGGTGTGCTTGGGGTGCACTTGGGTACTCAGGGTGTACTGGTGATACTCAGGGTGCAGTTGAGTACTCCGGGTGCACTTGGCTGCCTCCAAAGATGGGACTCACTGCGTCCTTTGACAGCCCAATCTTTTTCCAATGGATGTGACCAGCAAAGTTCTTGTTTTACCTGAACCAAAATCAGCCGCATCAAGCCCACACCTCTGCCATCTAGGGCCACAACACTTATTCCCTCCCAGTAACAACATTTTGGATATCTGAAGAAGGCCCACAAATTCTGCGATGACCTCTGTCAAAGCCCAGTGTCCCCAGTCCCTTCAGTGGTCCCTCCTGGAGCCTGTTTGGGGCCATCACCCCTGAACATGCTCCAGTTTGCAAACTTCCCCTCAAGTGGCCCTGAGGGGTAAGCGTGTGCCCAGGAACCAGCCTGATCAGGGAGATGGGAATAGCGTGGGCTCTGAATTCACTTGGACGGGAGGCAGATTCTGGCTCTGCCCTGCACCAGCTCCATGACTTTGACTGTGTTAGGCTATTCTTGTGTTGCCATAAAGCAATACCTGAGTCTGGGTAATTTATTTAAAAAGGGGGTTTAATTGGCTCACAGTCCTGCAGGCTATATAGGAAGCATGGTGCCGGCATCTGCTCAGCTTCTGGGGAGGCCTCTGGAGGGACCTTACAGTCATGGCAGAAGGTGAAGGGGGAGCCAACATCACGTAGCGAGAGTGGGAGCAAGAGAGGTGGGGGGAGGTGCCACACACTTTTAAACAGCCAGATCCTGTCAGAGCTCAAGATGGTGAGGACAGCATCAGGCCATGAGGGATCTGCCCCCTGACCTAAACACCTCCCACCAGGCCCCACCTCCAACACTGGGGATCACATTTCAACATGAAATTTGGAGGGGATATCCAAACTATATCAGTGACTGAGTCACTTACTCTCTCTCTGAGCCTCAGTTTCCTCACATTTCTATACAGGGTGGGCTCCCAGTTACAACTGCTGCCTTTCGAACCACCCCAGAGCCAGTAGCATAAAATCCTCATGTATAATGTTCACAGATTCTGTGGGTCAGCAGTTCTGGAGGGCACAGCAAGGTGCTTGTCTCTGACCCAACAAGTAAGACGACTCAGTCTCAGTTGGGAAGACCTGAAGGTTGGGGTGACTCTAGGGCAGAGGGGTGCAACCATCTGGATGCCTCTTCACTCACATGTTGGGCCCCTGGTGAGATGGCTGGAAGGCCAGGCTCAACTGGGACTGTCCCCTGCGCTCCTACACGTAGCTTCTCCAGCAAGGTGGCCTCAGGGTAGCAAGTGGTAGGGCTCCACCGTCTCCCAGTGGACAAGAAGGACACCACATTGCCTTCTGTGAGTTAGCGTCAGGAGTCACATGGCATCACTTCCCCGGTGCCCTATCAGTTGAAGACACCACAAGCCACCCCAGCTTCAAGGAAAGGGGACACAGACCCAATCTGTCAATGAGAAGAGTGTCAACGAATCTGGGGGCTGTTTTTAAATCCACCACAAGTGGTGCTCAGAATATTTAACAACTGGTGCAGCACAACCCACTCACCTGAATGGGTGCTGTCTGCAGGGGTGGAGCAGAGCTCGAGTAGCGGCCCCTGCAGGGCCAGGCCTCAACCCTTAGTGCTGGATGGCAGGGTGTCTGTGGGGCCCCAGGGGAGGCTCCTGGGTGTTGGGGATGCAGCAGCTATTCACCAACATGTCTTAGTCTTTTCAGACTGACATACAAAATACCATAAATAGGTGGCTTAAATAACAGACACTTATTTTGCACAGTTCTGGAGGCTGGGAAGTCTAAGATCAATTCAGTTCCTGGGGAGGGCCTCTTCCTGGCTTGCGGACGGCTGCCTTTTTGACACGTCCTCCCATGACCTTTCCTCTGTGCTTACACCTGGTCACGGGGGGAAGAGCTCTCTCTCTCTCCTGCTCTTTTCATAAGATCACTATACCATCATGAGGGCCCCGCCCTCATAACCTCATCTAATCCTAATTAGCTTCCAAAGGCTCATCTCCAAACACCAGCAAACTGGGGGTAAGGGCTTCAACAATACACAATCAGACTGTAACACAGCAAGGCAGGGGCCCTTCGGGAGTTTAACAACCTTTTAGTAGTTGTATCAGTGTGCGTCTCTTGGATCCCAGCCCTGGGTGAGAATTCTTATTCCTTTTCTTTCAGTTCAAGTCCTGCTTTGTGTGCAGACTTGCTTTCAGTTCTGAGCCATTGCCTAGCTGCTTTCTGCCAAAGCTCTTTAGAAAGGACTTAGAGGGGCCAGGCGTGGTGGCTCAGTCTGTAATCCCAGCACTTTGGGAGAACGAGGCGGGCAGATCACGAGGTCAGGAGATCGAGGCCATCCTGGCTAACACGGTGAAACCCTGTCTCTACTAAAAAATACAAAAAAATTAGCTGGGCATGGTGGTGGGCCCCTGTAGTCCCAGCTTACTCGGGAGGCTGAGGCAGGAGAATGGCGTGAACCCGGGAGGCAGAGATTGCAGTGAGCAGAGATAGTGCCACTGCACTCCAGCCTGGGTGACAGAGCGAGACTCTGTCAAAAAAAAAAGAAAAAAGAAAGAAGAAAGAAAGGAAGGAAGGAAGGAAGGAAGGACTTAGAGGATCTCTCTGCCCTGCAAGCTCCCCTGACCACTGGTTCGATGGGTTCTTTTGCAGCCCACCCCAAAACAGGCCTCATGTGGCCAAACAGGAGCCTTGAGAAGAGCTGCAGCCAAGGAAATTTGGTCAAGTCCAAGTACATGCCCAGCAAGGGGATCTGCTTAAGCAGAGTCATGAAGTTGATCATCTCCCCTGATGGGGCAGAATGGACATCACCCCCACTGCCTCCCTGCCAGCAGAGAAATGTGGGACAGGCCTGGAAGCAAGAGGTCTCCTCAGATTAGAGGGGAAGCTCTCTCTGCCTGGGGTCAGAGCTGGAGCAGCATGGGTGTAAGGGGTCACGGCCCCATGTGCTGACTCCCACCAGGTGACCCCCATGGCACCTGGGGAAGGAAGCAAAGGGGCCCTGGCCAGGACACCAGCAGCATCCACAGCACCTGCTAATCATTTTTGCTGGAGTAACCTTTTGGGCACTTCTGGTAAAGCAGACACGCTCCACAGGTGCTTTTGCAATTGCTCTTTGGAATTTGTTAAAAACACACCTATGTTTTTAAAGATAATTTGGAGTCTGCCCAGTTTAATTTCAGCATAGGGGAAAAATAAGGGAATAGTGACAAAGTTTCTTTGCTTGAGCAAACTTGAGTCAGGCTCCTGAACCTTCTAGGCTCATCTGTGTACTTTCTTGTAAAATTCAATTTGAGCAAGAATCCCACTAAGTCAATTCAGCAAGAACTCCCCTTGTTCCTATCTGACCACTCCCAATATCCGATCAGGGTCCTCATCCTCCACCTTCCCAGGTGATGTCTGGTCACCCTGGCCTTTCTTCAGCAGGTCTCCTGTTAGGTCAGTTTAGCCAGCATCACCCTCACCCCTGGCATTTCCTCTTGGTAATTTTCCATCTTTCAACTCCTACCTGCTCCATGGCTCCAAGTCTCAACTTCTCATGCTGTTTTTAGAATCAGCCTGACTGTATATTGAGGTCTCTTTTCGCTTATTGCAATAGTCCTGAATAAAATCTGGTTTTACTACTTTATCGTCTAGCTCTGGTTTTTCTTTGCCATAGGTATTCCCTACCTGTAGCCTTGCCATAGCTCTATCATCGTTGCTTTTTAATTCCCTCCAAGAGATGATATCTACATATACTCCTTCTCTATCCTCAGATCAATGTTTTGCATTTCCTAGGAGCTGAATTCCTTTTCTTCCATTGCAGCACTGGCTGGGAGAGAAGGCACAACATGGTCCAGCATACTGAGCCCCAAGTTTGTCCTGCAGCATGATTTGAGACACAGTGTTCGTGCCGCACAGAATTCTGTGAGCCGTCCAATAGCCTTTCATACATTTGTTTTCTGCTTAAACTACAGAGTAGATGCTCTTGTCAGCACCTAAGAACACCCTCTATTACACAGAACTACACCCTAATGACATTTTATCTGTTTACGTGTCCTCTCAGAAAAGCTGTGAGCCCCTTGAAGGCAGGAACTTTATTTGTTTTTAAACATTCAGGGCCTAGTAGATAGCAGGCTTTCAACAAATATTTTTGAATAACAACAAACAAGAGTATGGACTTTGGGAACAGGAGAGCCTAGTAGCCAGCGAGCCTGAGCCAATCCTTGATGGCCTCCAATTCTGAGAAGAATCTCTGGGCCCCCTTAGGCTCCCTGTGGAAGAAAGCTTACCCAGTCAATCCTAATAAAAATACTTCTGAGACAGATCTAACAGGACAAAGTGGAGTCTCTCCACTCTTTCAGTAGCTCCTTCACCCCAGGTGCTGTTTGGGGTTCTGACACTGCCATGGCATGGCCAGCAGGATGGCCCCTAGGGCTCCTGGGGCTGCTCTATAAGAGCTTCCCACCCCTGACCTGCAGTCCATGAGGGCAAAGCCAGATCCGGGCACATGCCCATCCGTGTTGTTCTCATGCTCTCAGGGGGTAGAGCTAGTGTGTTGGACTTGGCATGTTTAGGGTCACCTCCCTGAGGGTTGACAACCTGAGCAAAATCAGCATTCCCTTGGCAAGGAATAAAGGGGGAATGGATTTGTGGTCAGCAACCCACCGCCAAGCATTCTGCCTGCAACAGGGTGGGGCTGGCCAGGGGAGGCTCCTCAGGGAAGGTGAAAGCTGTGCAGAGTTTTGCAGGATGACTCAGTGCTTATCAGGTAGACAGATAAGGAAGAACATTCCAGGGAGAGGGAGGAATGCTAACAACAGCAGGGGATCTGGTCTGTACTAGACATGCCAAAGGAATGGTGTGTCCATATCAACAGAGGAGGGAGAGACAGAAGAGAAAGAGCTTGTCAGGGCCTGAGTCAGAGCGGGCTCATGCTGTGGGGCTAAGAAGCTCAAATGATTTCCAGAGACAGTGGGGAAGCTTTACAGGGACAGGCAGGGGAAGATCTTAACCCGGCTTTCGTAGGCCTCTGGCTTGAGTATAGAAGGTGAGTCTGGGACAGGGAGCCCAGCGCCGAAGTGTTGCAACACTATAGGGAGACATACAGACCAATTCCCTCCCACCTAACAGCTCTGTGCTTTGGGGTCCTGGGTTAGTTTCCTGGGAGAAGGCTGGCCTTGGCTACCTCTGTCCTTGACCAAGGACATCGTTTTAAATATTTGTGATGTGTCCTAGGCCACTGCATCTCTGTCCCTGTAGCGAAGAGAAGATACTGATTCCTAAGCTCCTACTCTGAGAACACAAATATCTGCAATACCTCGGTAAGCCCTAGGCCTGAGTGTGAGGTTGCAGGCACTTCCATGGCCCCATGCAGGTGTCTAAGTTCCCTCGTGGTATTTGGCCAAGGGGGGCCCTGTGTGATGCCCTAGCGCGGTGACTACCCGTGTTCCTGGCCCATGGGCATCTTCCACGGAATTCTGGGCTTAGCCTGGGGATTCATGCGGGCGCATCTCTGTGATCTGCTCTGGAGCAGGATGTACATCAGGTCTCTCAGACCTGAGTCCCTGGTGCCTGGCGCTCAGCCTTGACTGAAGTGCTCGGCCCACCCTGCTGGGCCAGCCAGCTCCTGCTCAGGGCCACAGCCCTGTAACCACGGCTTCCTCCCCAGGACTCAGGAATTCTCCCACTCCGGAATGCCTTGCTGCTGGGGTGACCAGGTCTTCACTTGTGAAACAGGAGTCAGCCACCTCAGCCCTGCGCCTGGCCTGGTGGAACATGGGTCACCGCCCCAACCTGGGGCAGCCGCCCCATCCCAACGCAGTTGCTGCCGCTCTCCATGCCTCCCTGTGCCCAGCTAACTGGGGGACTTGTCCCCTGGGAAAACCTGGGTACCCAGGCTGCCTTTGGTTTCAGCCCCTACTCCTCTTCCCGGGCTGCCTTTGCTCCCCGGAAGACCCCTTTCCCCGGGCTGTGTTCACATCGGCTGGGAAGGGTCCCTTGCAGACAGATCTTGGACGAGGTCGCGTCCCCCCTCGTGACCAGCAAACTCCTAAAAGCGGCCCTTG
The DNA here is from genome assembly GCF_000001405.40 of Homo sapiens. Taxonomy (NCBI): domain Eukaryota; kingdom Metazoa; phylum Chordata; class Mammalia; order Primates; family Hominidae; genus Homo; species Homo sapiens. Next base: position 46,398,204 of record NC_000010.11, read on the forward strand.
CCCCAGAGCCCCTGTAGCCTCCAACCGGCAGTCAGGAGGCAGCGCCGTCTCAGCGCCGCTTAGTGGCGCCAGGCGTGCCTGGAAATCCGCTTTCGCAGCGCCCCCTCGTAGCCGCCTCCGCCCGCAGAAAGGCGTTCCCTGGACAGAGAAGCGGGCGCGCGGGGGCGGGCGCGCGGGGCCTTGCCGGAGAACCTGACTCTCCGCAGCAGCAGTGGAAGCCGGAGTGACGCGTTGTGTTGAACACCAGTTTTCTGGAGCGCTGTGTGTTCTTAACAGCTGAGCAGTCTGTTTCTCCAATCAGGTTTCAAAGCCACTTCAACTGCACTGGCCCCTGTGGGTCACTGCTGCACCGCCCTGACCCATGTGGGTCCCTGAGGAGCGACCTGCCGGGGCCACCTGGCTGGACGAAAAAGACACACCTTGGACTTAAGCCGTGAGAAAAAAACTTCATCAGTAAGAAGAATGAATAAACAGACTAGGTTGAATCCATACAATGGAATGTTAGCAGACAATAAAAAGAAAATGAACTATTGATGTCCCCTACTGCACAGCAGAAGCTCTGAATCGTGTTCCTGAATGAAAGAAGTCAGGTATGAAAGAATAAACATTGTATGATTCCATTTATATGAAAATGAATCTGTGATTTAAAAATCAGACTAGTATTAGGTTGGTGCAAAAGTAATTGCGGTTTTTGCCTTTTTTTTTTTTTTTTAATAGTTGCTTTGGGGTTTATGGATGGAGTGGCATGGTAGAGGTTAGCTGAAGGGGGCATGAAATAACTTTTTGGGGGTGCTAGAGTGTTGTAAATCTTACAGTGGGGGAGGGACAGGAGTGCAGGCATTTGACAAAACACATTGAATTGTGAAATTTAAGATTTTTGAATTTCTTTGTATGTAAATTACCTGCCAATAAAAACATGACGAATAGAGCAGTTATGAGCATTTGTGTGTAGCTTTTTGTGCAAACTTAAATTATAATTTCTCTGATAAAAGCCCAGGAATGTGATTGTTGAGTAATATGGTAAGTGCATGTTTTTTGAGAAACTGTCAATCTATTTTTGGGAGTGGCTGTGTGTATCATGTTATATTCTCACAAGCAAGGGATGAGAAATTTGGTTTCTCTGCATCCTTGCTAGCATTTGGTTTTATCATTATATTTTTATTTCAACTGCTCAAATAAGTGTGCAGTGATTTCTCATGATCTCAATTTGCATTTCCCCAAAGGCTAATGATGTTAAATATATTTCCACATGCTGATTTGACTCGGCCATGAAATGTCTCTTCATGTCTATTGCCCAATTTCTTATCAGATTTTTTTTTTTACTGTTGAGTTTTGAGAGCTCTTTATGCATTGTAAATGTGAGTCCTTTGTCAGATATGCAGTTTGCAAATATTTTCTCCCCTCCATAGCTTGTCCTTTCATCATCTTAACAGAATATTTTGCAGAGGCAAAGTTTTTAATTTTGATGAAGTCCAATTTATCAATTCTTTCTTTAATGAATCGTACTTGGGTGCCATGCCTATGAACTCATCCTCAACTCCTAGGTCCAGATGATTTTCTCCTGTGTCTTCCTATCATAGCCAGAAACTAGAAAAGAACCAAAATGTCCCTCACTAAGTGAATGCTTAAACTAAGTGACACATCTATGCCAATATTCAGCAATAAAAAGAAACATTATTCATGCAAATAACTAAATGGATGGATCTCAAGAGCATTAGGCTAAGTGAAAAAAACCAATCTCAAAAAGTCACATACTGTACGATTTCACTTGTATAACATTCTTCCAGGGGCAAAATTATAAACAGTGAAAACAGATTAGTGGTTGGCAGGCGTTAGAGGCGGTGGTGGGGAAGTGTGACTACAAAGAGGTAGCAGGAGAGATCTTGGGATGATGGGATAGTTTTGTGTCTTGGTGGTTACAGGAATCTACACATGTGATACAATGTAATAGAAGAACACACATTGTGCTAATGTCAGTTTCTTTGTTTTGATATTGTTTTGTAGAATGTAAAACGTAAACAGTGGAGAAACTGGGTGAAGGATATTGGGACCCCTTCACAAATTCTTGTCAATCTATGATTATTTGAAAATTTAAAAGTCTAAACATACATAAAATAAAAACCTAAAAGGCAAAAAAGTAATGCACGCACTTGATAAAAATCAAGTAGTACAAAAGAGTAAATGGTGAAAATAAATCTCTGCACCACTCTAGAGACCCCAGCCAAAGTCCTCTCCAAACTCTCTCACAGTTATTAAGTTTCTTGTATATGCTTCTAGAAATTCATCTTGCATATGCTTCTAGAAAATCAAGTAGTACAAAAGAGTAAGTGGTGAAAATAAATCTCTGCACCACTCCAGAACCCCCAGCCAAAGTCCTCTCCAAACTCTCTCACGATTGTTAAGTTTCCTGTATATGCTTCTAGAAATTCTCTAGGAATACGCAAAAATATATGTACTTTCCCTACTTCTCTAGCTTTTGTCTAATGCTAGTCTTCTTTCTATTTTTAATTATATGTATTTAATATATCTTTAGGAAAAATTAATACTTTTTAACAGCAGTGTAAGATTTCATTGTGAATGTACCATAATTTATTTAACCAATCTCTACTCATTTAATCTGTTTTTGGTTGTTTAGGCTGGTTTCGGTAGCTTGTTATTGGAAGTTATTGCAATAAACATTCTTATATTACTTTGTATCATCATAGGATAGACTCCTAAAATATTGTGTTTAGATCAAAGGGCATGTGGAATTGTACTTAAGATAGATTTTGTCAAGAAGTCCCCATTCTCATCAGTACAGAAGGAAAATACCAATTTCCTAAACCTCTTACTAAGACAGTACATCTTCAAAATTTGATCCTCACTCATCTGGTGGACAAAGTATAGTAATTCAGTGTTTTAGTTTGACTTCCCATGATGACAAGTGAAGCTTTAAACATGATGCTTTTTATATATTTAAAGGCCTTTTGTGTCATTTTCCTGTGAACTGTTGGCTCAGGTCCATCCTTCAGTGGAGTTTAGTGAATCTGCCTCATTTCCCTAATCAATTCTGTCTCTTACCACTGGAAAGGAATACCACAGTTGTTTACCCATTCGTTGACGGACATTTGGATTGTTTCTACTTTTCGGGTGTTATGAATAATGCTGCTTTGAAAACACTTGTACAAGATATTGTGTGGATATAGGTTTTCAGTTCTCTTGGGTATGTATCTAGGAGTGGAATTCCTTGGTCATATGATAATACTACACCCAACTTTTTGAGGAACTACCAAACTGTTTTCCAAAGTGACAGCACCATCTTATGTTCACACCAGCAATGAACGGGGTTTTCAATTTCTCTGCATCTTCACCAACACTTCTTATTGCCTGTCTTTTTCTATGAAAGCCATCCTAATGGGTGTGTAGTTGTATCTTATTGCGGTTCTATTTGCACTTTCCTAATGACTAATAATGTCAAGCATCTTTTCAGGTGCTTTTTGATCATGAGTATATCTTCTTTGGACAAATATTTATTCAAATCATTTGCCCATGTTTTAATTAGGTTATTGTCTTTTATTGCTGAATTGTTAGAGTTCTTCATATATTCTGGATACAAGTGGCTTATCAAATTTTATATATATATATATATATATATGTATATATATATGATTTGCAAATACTTCTTCCCATTCTGTGGGTTGCTTTTTGACTTTCTTGATGGTGTCCTTTGAAGCACAAAAGCTGTCAATTTTGATAATGCCCCACTTATTTTTTTTTGTTTGGTCACTTCTGCTTTTGGTATTATATCTAATAATCCTTTTACCAATCCAAGGTCATGAACATTTGCCTCTATGGTTTTATAGTTTTAGCTCTTACATTTAGAACTTTGGTCCATTTTGAGTTAAGTTTTGTACATGATGTAAGGTAAGTGTCCAGCTTCATTCCTTCACATGTGGAAATCCGGTTGTCCCAGCATCATTTGTTAAGGCTTTTTTTTAATCCTCTTGAATTGTCTTGACACCTTTGTCAAAAATCAGTTAACCATAAATGTGAAGGTTTAATATTGGATTTTCAATTCTATTACATTTCTAGTATTGGGCTATCTTGATTACTAGATGTTGGTAGTAAGTTTGGTTTTCTTTGGGGTTTGGGGGGGTTGTTTTGTTTCATTTTGTTTTTGAGATAGGGTCTTGTTCTGTTGCCCAGGCTGGAGTGCAGTGCCTTGATCATAGGTCACTGCATCATAGACCTCTTGGGCTCAAGTGATCCTCCCACCTCGGCCTCCCAAGTTGCTGGGACTACAGGCACACACCACCACACCCAGCTAATCTTTTTTTTATTTTTTGTAGAGATGGGGTCTCATTATGTTGCCCAGGTTAATCTCAAACTCTGGGCTCAAGCAATCCTCCCAACTTAGCCTCCCAAAGTGCTGGCATTACAGGTGTGAGCCACTGCACCCAACCTGTATTAAGTTTTTAAATCAGGAAGTGTAGTCCTCTCTCTTTCAAGATCATGTTGGCTATTCTGGGTCTCTTGCATCTGCATGTGAACTTCTGAGAAAAAGGCACATAATCTTTCAATCAAGATTGCATTGAATCTGTAGACCAATTTGGGAAACATTGACATCTTAACAATATTAAGTCTTCCAAATCCATGAACATAGGATGTTTTTTCATTTATTTAGGTCTTCTTTAATTTCCTTCAGTGGTGTTTTATTGTTTTCAGTACGTACAAGTCTTAGACTTATTTGTTGAATTTATTCATAAGCCTTTTATTTTGTCTGATGCCATTGTAAATGGAATTCTGTTCTTAATCTTATATTCAGATTATTCATTGCTAGTGTGTAGAAATACAATTGTTTTTCATATTGTTCTTGTATCTGCAATCTTGCTGAACTCATTTATTAGTCGTAATAGTTATTTTGTGAATTCCTTAGATTATGTCATCTGTAAATATAGTTTACATCTTTCTTTTCAATTTGGATGCTATTTTTTAAATTTACATACTTATTTGCATAATTGCCCTAGCTCAGATCTCTAATACAATGTTGAATAGAAGTGGTGAGCATGGACTTCCTTTCCTTCTTACTGGTCTTAGAAGGAAAGTATCCACTCTTTCACCCTTTGGGATGATGTCAGTTGTGGTTTTTCATAGATGTTCTTTATTAGATTTCATAAATTCTCCTCTATTTCTAGTTTTATGAGTGTTTTATCATGAAAGGATATTGATTTTGTCAAATGTTTTTTCTGCATCTATTGAGATTAGGTGGATTTTATCCTTCATTTTATTAATGTGGTGTATTAATTAGATTTATTTTATTATGTTAAACCAACTTTGCATTCCTGAAATAAATTTCACTTGATTGTGATACATAATCATTTTTATATGTTTCTAGGTTTAGTGTGCTAGTATTTTGTTGATAATTTTTGTATTAATATTCATGAAAGATATTGCTGTGTTCTCTTAGAATGTCTTTTGTTTTGGTATCATGAGAATAATGACATCATAGAATGAGTTGAAGTTTGTTTCTTCTATTTTTGGAAAAGATTGTGAAGAATTAACAATAATCTTTTTTAAATGTTTGGGAAAACTAATCAGCGAAACCATTTGGTACTGAGCTTTTTTGTGCATGGTGAGTTTCTTAATTACTAATTTAATCCCTTTACTTACTAAGGTCTATTGAAATTTTCTATTTGTTCTTGATTCAGTTTTTGTAGTTCCTGTCTTTCTAGGAATTTTTCCATTTCACCTAAGTTAAAATTTTGCTGTCTTACAATTGTTTATAGTATTCCTTTATAATCCTTTTATTTCTATGAGGTGGTAGTGGTGTGCCCTATTTCATTCTCTAAACATTATTAATTTAATAATTTAATTCCCTATACATTAATAATTTAATAATTTAATGTATAGGGAATGAAATAGGGCACATAACTTTTTTCTTCTCAGTCAAGCTAAAGGTTTACCAATTTTATTGCTCTTTTCAGTGAAGCAATTACTCTTGTTTTTTCCCTTAGTGTTTTTTCTATTCCCTGTTTTATTTATTTCCACTACAATCTTTATTATTTTCTTCTTTCTGCTTGCTTTGGGCTTAGTTTGCGCTTCCTTTTCTACTTTCTTAAGGTGGAAGTCTGGGTTATGGAGATCTTTCTTCTTTTTAATATAGGCATTTACAGCTATAAAAGTCTCCCTAAGTATTGCTTTGACTGCACCCCATACACTTTGATATGTTGTGATTTTATTTTCATTCATTTCAAATAATTTTCTAATTTTCATTGTGATTTCTTCTTTGACCCATTGATTATTTTGGAGTGTGTCATTTAATTTCTACATATTTGTGGATGTCCGAAATTTCTTTCTGTTTTTGGTTTTGAATTTCACTCTGCTATTGTTAGAGAACATATTCTATATGATTTCAATTATTTTAAATTTACTGCATTTTGTTTTATGGATGAATATACATGTATGTGTTTTCTATTGCTGCCATAACAAATTACCACAAATTTGCACCTAACACAAATTTATTATCTTGTGGTTCTGAAGATCAGAAGTCTGACATGTCTTATTGGGCTAAAAATAGGAATCTGTGTGGTTGTATTCCTTTGTGGAAATTCTCGGAGAGTTCCCTTGTTCATTCGAGTTGTTGGCAGAATTCAGTTCCTGCAAGTTGTAGGACTGAGATTCCCACTTCCTTGCTGGCTGTCAGCTGAACTGTTCCCAGCTTCTAGAAGCTACCCACATTCCCTTATTAATAGTCCCCTTCCTCCATCCTCAAAGGCAGCAATGGTGGATCAAGTCCATCAGTTTAGTAGTCACTTAAACCTTTCTCACACCTCAATTGTCTCCTCCTCCTTCCATTTCATCTCCCTACCATGGTTAGGAAAGTGTCTCCACTTTTAAGAACTCATGTATTTTGATTGGGCCCACCCAAACAATCCAGGGTAATCTCCGCATCTCAAGGTTTATACCCTTAATCATATCTGCAAAGCCCCTTTTGTCATGTAATGTAACGTGGTTCCAGGGATTAGGGCATGGATATCTTTGGGGGCCACTATTCTTCTCATGACAAGATTTATTCTTGAGAACATTCCATATACACATATAAAGAATGTCTATTCTGTTGATGGTGGTGGAGTGTTCTGTGGGTAACTACCAGCTCTAGTGGGTTTACTGTTTTTTTCAGATCTTCTATATCCTTGTGGATCTTCTGCCTAGTTGTTCTATCCGTTGTTGAAAGTGGAGTAATGATGTCTCCAACTATAATTGTTGAATTTTCTATTTCTCACTTCAGTTTTTGCTTCATGTATTTGGATCTCTGCTATTAAGTGCATATATATTCTTAATTGCCATGTCTTCTTAATAGATTGAAACTTTTACAATTATAAAATGTTTTTCTTTGTCTCTTGTAATAATTTTTGTCTTAAGAGTCTATTTGGTCTACTGTTAGTATAGCTAGCCACTCCAGCTCCCCTTTGGTTACTACTTTCATGGATTATCTTTTTCCATCCTATTACTTTCAACCTATTTGTGTCTTTGAATGTAAAGTATGTCTCTTATAGATAACAGTTGATTCATTTTTTAAAATCACAACCTCTGCATTTTGATTGGTATGTTTACTCTATTTACATTTAATATGATTTACTGAAAAGATAGGCTCTACACCTTCCATTTTGCTATTTTTATATGTCCTACATCTTTTTTGTTTTTCTTTTCCCTCATTACTGTCTTCTTTTGAATTCAATTGATATTTTCTAGCATATCATTTTAATTCTTTTGTTTGTTTTACCATATATTTTTAGTTATTTTCTTATTCTTGCCCTGGGGATTATAACATTTTATCATAAAACAATCTAATCCATATCAATCCAACTTAATTTCAACAATATATTTAAAGATTGCTTCAATATAGGTCCATTTCCTGCCCCCTTCCTTTGTGTTAATATTATCGTACAAATTACATCTTTATACATTATAAGCCCAACAACCCAGTTTTATAATTACTCATTTATGTAGCTATTTTTAAATCAGATAGGATAAGAAAAGAATTACAATTAAAAATACATTATACTGTCTTTTTAATTATGTAATTACCCTGCAGTGCTCTTTATTTCTTTGTGTGGATGAAGTTACCATCTAGTGTCCTTTCATTTCAGCCTGAGAGACTCCTTTTAGTATTTCTTGTAGGGAAGATCTACTCATGATGAACTCTCTCATTTTTCATTTATCTGGGCATTTCTTCTTTTTTTTCAAAGATACCTTTGCTAGATATAGAATTCTTGGTTGACAGTCATTTTCTTACAATACTTTTAATATGTTATCCCATTGCCTTCTTGCCTGAATGGTTTTGATAAAAAGTCAGTTGTTAATCTTATTGAGGAATTTGAAGCTAGAGTGTATATGCTGAGTTATTTTTCTTTTGTAGCTTTCGAGATTCTCTTTTTGTCATTGGCTTTTGATAGTTTGACTCTGATGTATCTAGGTATGGATTTCTTTGTTTTTATACCACTTGTAGTTCGTTGAATTTCTTGAGCATGTAAATTAATGTTCTTCATCAAATTTGGGAAGTTTATGGCAATTATTTCTTCAAATATTCTTTCTGCCCCTTTATCTCCTCTTCTTTTGGGATTCTCATTATATACATATTGGTATGCTCTCTGAGGCTCTGTTCATTTTTCTTCATTCTTTTGACTTTCTGTTCCCTGGATTGTATAATCTCAATTGACCCTTATTCAACTTACTGAATCTTTTTTCTGCCTGCTCAAATTGGCTGTTAAGCCCCTCTGGTTAATAATTTTTTATTTCAGTTGCACTTTCAACCCAGAATTTTATTTTTTTCCCTTTTTTATATAATTTTCTATCTCTTTATTGATATGCTGTATTTGGTAAGACATCATTTTCATGCTTTTTAAAATTCTTTAAACATGCTTTCCTTTAGTTGTTTAAACATGTTTTTAAGACTTGTTCTAAAATCTTTGATAGTAAGTCCAATGTCTGGGCTTCCTCAAGAAAAAGTTTCTAATGGCAGCTTTTTCCCTGTGAATAGGTCACACATTTTGTTTCTTTGCATTTCTCATATTTTTTTCTTAAAAACTGAATGTTTTAAATAAAATAATGTGGTGTCTCCAAAAATCAGACCTCACCCCTCTTCACAATTTGTTGTTGCTTCTGTTTGTTGTTGTTGCCGATGCTGCTGTTTCTCTGTTTAGTGAATTTCCTGGACTAAGTTTTAATGTATACTTTTTGTCATGTGTAGCCACCGAAGTCTTTCCTCAGTTTAGTTGTCCATTAATTTTTGGACAGAGATTTCTTTAAATTCCTTGCACAACTAAATCTACCTACCTTTGCTGGGAAGCTTTGTTTGTGTTGAGCCATGCCTTCGATGCTTCAGCAAGCAGCTGACAACTCTGCCTCAGAGTTTACTTCCTGCTTGCACAGAGCCTCAAAGCCAAACAAAAGTTAAGCTCTAGTTAGATCTGTCTTGGACATGTGTACAACCCTGCACGTGCACATGGCCTTCTAGGTTCTTAAGAATATGTCAGAGCTTTTCCAAAGCCTCTATGAATACCTCATTCCCCAGTTTTTCCTTGTAACTGTTTTGGTCAGCCTCTTATTAGCCCCAACTGGTACTGCCATCTCAGGCAGTTGCAATGTCAAACAATTTTTGCTGATTGTTTTTGACAGATTCCCTCAGGATAGGGCTGTTCACACAGACTAAGCTCCAAACCATGTTAAGCAAAGACAATCCCTGAGAATGTGCCTTTTCCAGGGAGCTGTCAGACAGATCAAATAGTAACAACTTTCTGAGGATGGGATTTTTGGAGAGCTCTAAACCTATTCTGTCCTCCCCAGTGGCTACCAGGCTGCTGGTTTTCACAGCTGTCATGGTTGTGAGAATGTTAATTGTGTGTGTGTGTGTGTGTGTGTGTGTGTGTGTGTGTAAGACAGAGGTTGTCTCTGTGTTGTCCAGACTGGTCTCAAACTCATGGACTTAAGCAATCCTCCCATTTCAGCCTCCCAAAGTGCTAGGATTATAGGAGTGAGCCACCATGCCTAGCTGAGAACATTTATGTTCAAGTCTATCATAGAGCTTGGAAAAGAAGACTACGAATAAGGCAAGTTAAAACACCACAAAATTTGCTATTCTTACTGAGATTCAGCTGTGTTTCTTGAATAAATCTAACTTGGATTGCTGAAAGCCTTTGGTTAATTTCCAGGACTCTGAAAATGTTAATTTTGACATTTTTGCCAGTGCTCTCATTGTTGTTAAGGAAGGATTTTCAGAAGTCCTTATTCTGACATTCTGCAAGTGTTTCTCTTGGTTTGAGTTTTCATGTGATTGTTTGGGGTAGTTGTTTTTATTTTTGTTGTTGTCTTGATTGGTTTTTGGAGAGATGGTTTTCTACTGGATACTCCTAGGATTCTTTTCTTTGAAGGCAAACATTCATTTTGTTAGGATCTGTCATCTCAGCATTGACTTCTCTAAATCAATTTACCCTTCGGTCAGAAAATTCAAGTCTTCCTTTATTTCAGGAAAGTTGTTCTGAATATTGAGTCTAAGTTTTTTTCTATTCCATAGTTCAGGTTTCCTAACCAGGGGACAGAATGTCCTCCCCTGCACTGAATGGCCTCTGCCTTTGTCTACTGAAGACTGCCTGAGTATCACTTGCAATTTAAAACAGGGCCTGTCTGTAGAGCCTTCTCTGTACCCAGGACAGTTTAGAGGCGTGTCTGTGTTTCCACACCAATAGTAATTATAGTAATAATGATTACTACAAGGTGAGCATCTAATGCTTTGAAATCTGATATCATTTAATGACCCCAGTTACCCTGTGAGGTGGGTATTATCTTCATTTGCAGATGAAGATACTGCAGCTTAGTCAGCAGACTAAGTCACCTAAATGCTCTGTCAGAAGCAGAATTTGTACTCAGGAATGGCCAACTGCAAAGTCCATGTGCTTGAACAGTATGGCATACTGATACATGCACCTGCCATGACCAGAACACAATACAGTGATCTGGCAGCACTTCGTGGCTCACCATCTCTGCTATACTGATAACAACTTGAGGGCTGGACCTACTTATCTTATTCAACAAGGACCCTCTCAGAGGTTAGGGTTGCCCAGTGCAAAGATAGCAAGTCATGTGACACATGGGCCACCTCACCCCTCCTGCAGCCATTGATAACTTTCTTCTTTGAACATGGCATTCTTTCTCTCTAAGCCCAGTTAAGAATTCAGAATCCTTCTAGGCCCAGTTTTTAAAGCAGCCACCACCAATCTATTGGTGCTGACATGAATTCAAAAGATACTTTCTATCCCTTATCTAAATAGTTCATAAGATGATGAGGCTGAACTATGGAACAAATGTAGTCCGTCAGAGATTTCTAGAAAAAAAAACCAACTCTCAATAGTCCTAGAAGTTTGGAAATGAGTATTAATCCCAGGATAATCCAGACACATCTTGTCTTATGGCCTGATGCCAAGTGATGTGGCCCTTATCTAATAGCGCATTTGCATTTTAAATGAGTAAAGCTGGTTAAACCTCTTTTTCCAATTTCAGCTATTATTTTATCTACAAGGGCCTCATAGACATTCACTCCACCCAACAACCACAGAATATACATTCTTCCTATCTGTACACAGAACATATTCTCAGATCAACCATACGCTGAGTCATAAAGCAAGTCTCAATAAATTTTAAAAAATTGAAATTATACCAAACACACTCTTGGACCACAGTGCGATAAAAATAGAAACTAATATCAAGAAGATCTCTCAAAACTACACAAATACATGGATATTAAACAACTTTTTCCTGATTAACTCCTAGGTGAAAATCAAAATTAAGGCAGAAATAAAAAAATCTTTGAAAGTAATGAAAATGGAGATACAACTTAACAAAGTCTCTGGGATACAGCCAAAGCAGTGTTAAGAGGAAAGTTTATAACGTTAAATGCCTTCACCAAGAAGTTAAAACAATCTCAAATTAACAGTCTAACTTTGCACCTAGAAGAACTAGAGAAAAAGAGCAAACCAACCCCAAAGCTAGCAGAAGAAAATAAATAACTAAAATTAAAGAAGAACTTAATGAAATTGAGATGCAAAAATCCATACAAAAGATAAATGAAACCAAAAGTTGATTTTCAAAAAAATAAACAAGACTGAGAGACCACTAGCTAGATTAACAAAGAAAAAAGAATTTCCAAATAAGTACTGTCAGAAATGACAAAGATATTACAATTCATCTTCATTTGCAGATGAAGATACTGCAGCTTTGTCAGCAGACTAAGTCACCTAAATGCTCTGCCAGAAGCAGAATTTGTACTCAGGAATGTCCAACTGCAAAGTCCATGTGCTTGAACAGTATGGCGTACTGATACATGCAGAAATACAAAAGATCCTCAGAAAATACTGTGAGTAATTCTATGCACACAAATTAGAAAATCTAGAGGAAATGGATAAATTCCTGGGAACATACAATCTCCCAAGATTGAATCAGGAAGAGACTGATACCCTGACTAGACCAATATCAAGCTCTGAAATTAAACGAATAATAAAAAACCTACCAACGACAACAACAAAAAGCCCTGGACTAGATGGATTCACAGCTAAATTCTATCAGACATACAAAGAACTGGTACCAATCCTACTGATTAAACCTCTTTAGGTTCTGCTTTTTGTATTGTTAAAATCTTCATTTTTGGTTTTCTAACAGTCTCTGATTCAAACATTCGTTACCAATAAACAATCCAGGTAGCCTCACCCTGAGTGGCAGCCTGGCTGGGTGAGTTCTAAAAATGCCCAAGACCTCCAAGACTAGGTGAGATCTGAAGTAATGAAATGCCTCCATTCACTAAAGGCCTGAAATTGTCCTGACTGCCCCAGTCCCACGGACCAAGAAGAGCCTTTCAAGCTGTGATCCCAATACTTGTGGCTGCTGTGAGAATAAGGAAAGCAGCCTAGGCCTCCAGTGGAAGGATCAGATGTTTGCCCTTCATACCTCAGAGAGCCTTCATCCAAGTAAGATGGGTGGTGAGGAGCTGTGGATGACAGCATGAAGGATGAGGACTGATGCAGCAGCCATAATTAGATTATAGGTTTCCATGGGATGTGCCATGACTGCTTACAAATGGGGCCCAGCCATGGAATTGAGTTATCAACTAAGCTGATTCCTGAGGCACAGATCATCCTGTCCTCCACAACATGATTAAAGACTACATGATGCTCAGGAAGACCTCTGCAGCTGTGTGCTTGGAAGAGTGTGTTTTTCCTGCTAAAGCATAAGAAAAAAGAGACCAGCAATTATCTTAGGCCTTGCAGCATCCTTTCTGGTCCCACAAGTTTGAGAAGGCAGGTGTGTGTGTGTGTGTGCATTTGTGTTTGTGTGTGTGCGCACGTCCACATGCATGCATGATCCTACAATGGAAGTGAGTACGCAAAAGTTGATTGCCTATATACCCTCCCCACAACCAGGTGTATAAGAGTATTCTTTGAGAATGAGAAAGCAGGAAGGAGCACATCCCACACCTTAGCATTCATGTAGTCAATTAGGAACTCCTGAGCTCCCATGACATGCTAGACCCTGGGCTCAGCACTGGATCTCAGACATGTCCCAAACTGGGCGATGGAAGTGGTGGGAAGCAACCACTCATGGACAGCTTCCCGTGTGCCAGGAGTGTGCCAGCATTGACATTATGCCGTCTCTCACTCCTGCCCTCCATCACATTAGTGATTCTGCCATGAGTGACTCGTTCCTTTGGGTTCCTGTTAAGTTCCTGTGGAGGGGTCTAGCCACAGCAGGGGAAAGAGCACCGAGGGAGCTTTTAGGAAACTCTGCTCCAGGTCAGCTGTGTGATGCTGAAAAAATGGCTCACCCTCTCTGGACCTGTTTCCTCTTTTGCACAATAAGAGGGTGGTGTTCTCCAAGGTCTCCTTGAAAATGCGACTTATCCTTGGTCATCACTTTGCAGAGGGCAGGTCCTGTCCCCAAGCCCACCAGAGTGGAGCTGGGAAAAGTTCCATGGTGAAGAAAAGGCAGGGGACACAACTCTGAGAGTCATTCCTTTGAAGATTGAGCCCAGAGGGCTCAGTTTCTGGATTGCATGGGGCACTTTGTCTCTCTCTGCTGGAGCCACGCACCCCTGGTGCAGTAGTTTCTGCCCTGCCCAGACTCTGGTCCCAGAAGGTTGACATAATGAGGAGGGAATGAGCTTGCCAGCTCTGCCATGACCAGCAGGCTGCCTTGGGCAAGTGCTTCACTTCCCTGAGCCTCACTTCCTCTGCCTCATCCCTTCTCAGAGACCACTCCTCATTTACCATCCTAAAGTCTGACCCGTCCTGACAACCATTATTCTCTCTCCATCCCCTGGTTTTTCTCTTTAGGACAGTTACTGCATTCTCTATCTCTTGTTGTTTCTTAGGTGGAGGAGGTACCTGCCTCCTCCCTACCTAGAACGTGAGCCTAGTAAAGGGATGGGCCTCACCTGTTTCAGGTTTGACCTCCAATGCCCGTCACGTAGAAGCTCAACACCATTTCCAATGCCAGAAGTGACAGGACAACAGCAACAATAGCAATATTTCTGTACCACTCCCCTCACTTTCCAAAGAGAAGTAATTCCCAGCTTGGACCTTCCCTTGCTGGGAGGGGTGCCCAGGTGTGGCCTCTCTGTGACCTTGGACCCTGGCTCCGGCATATGCCAGCCTGGCCTTTCCCCAGGGTAGGGAGCTGGCACCCTGGGCATTCCCCAGCCAGCATCCAGCCTTCTTGGGCAGGGCCTTTCCACACCATTCCTCCCAAATCCTCACTGGCCCACCCTGGAACAAATGCAGGCGGAAGCTCGCATCCCCACCTCTGCTGTTTCTGCTGGGTCCCCAAAGAGCTTTCTTTAGGGAAAAAGAAAGCAGGCCAGTGCCTGCTCCTTTTAGACCCCACAGTGGGGCATGGGGTGGGCCTTGGTTGGCCTTAATTTTCCATTCACCTGAGGAGTGGCTCAATCTCACTCACTCCCATTGCAGGTGGATGTCAGCCAAACTGGATGCATAAGGTTTTTGTGATTTAGGAGTTGCAACAGGGGAGATAAAATGCCTAG
This sequence comes from Homo sapiens, assembly GCF_000001405.40. Taxonomy (NCBI): domain Eukaryota; kingdom Metazoa; phylum Chordata; class Mammalia; order Primates; family Hominidae; genus Homo; species Homo sapiens. Next base: position 46,413,268 of record NC_000010.11, read on the forward strand.
GAATGTCTTCAGTTGGAAAAAAGGGGCATGATCCTCACATTCTGTAACCTGAGCACTTTATCTCCTCTCTCCCCTTCCTTCACTGATACAAGAAAGGAGACTCCAGCACTAGTTTCCTCAGTCCTTCTGCAGGGCGGGGCTTCTCACGGCCTCAAAGTCATGGAGAAGAGTGTGCACAGGACACCTCACTTTAAGCAAAGCCCATAGACCGTATTTGAGAAAAGGAGTTAAATAAAGAGGCAGCCACCAACAAACAAGAGCCCTGTGGTCACTCAGGTCCCATAGACTCTAGAGGTCAAAGGGCCTCCGAGCATTTGAGAATCAGAGAGGGCAAGTAACTTGGCTGATATCACATAGCACGAAGGTGGCAGAGCCAGGATTCTACCTGCTGGCCTCCCAGATGTCTTTCCTGTTGGACCCTGCTTGCTGGCCACTCCTGGTGGGGGTCACTCCACCATTAGTGTGTTCGTCAAACTGACAGTTGTGGTCCAGATCCCTTGCCTCTGGTGTGCCCAGCACCTTAGCTGGCACCTCCCTCAGCAAACCCAGCCTTCGCCATCCTCTCAAGCATACTTCCCAGGGCTGTTTTGTCCATTACGGTCCCAGAATATAAGGCCTTTGGGTTTTTTCAGGGCCTGTGAAAAGGTTTGAAACATGAAAAACATACTGGCAGTTCCAAAATTCTCAAATAAAACTGTAGAAATGCCTTAGGAATTAAATATGTAATAAGATGTGAACACTTCATTACACACCTACAATTAGTCACATGCCTACGATATGTGAATAATGTCAGGTCAGCTAGTGAACTGTTATATAGTAATTGCGCATCACTTATATAGATATACACAAAGTGCACTTACTGACTTGGATGTGTGTGTTCATTGTTTGAAGTGGCGTGGATGGAGGCTCCAAAAGATAAAAGAATGTAGGGGAGGTGACTCTTCAAATGGCCCTCACCCACCCCTTACCCTCAGCTCACCCACCATGAAGCTTCCCCTTCCAAGGAGGACACACCTCCTTTCCTAGAACATTCTTCAGTGCCACAAGCTGCTCAGTCAGCCCTGATTCTGGAGTCTCCAGTGAGCGAGGCCTGGGGTGGCCCCAGCGGGATGAGCCACACTCCCCACAGCACTCAGCCTGGATGTGGCACTGGCTGCACATAGCAAGAGGCAGCTATTGGACACCTGCTCGCCACAAGTTCTGTCTTATCCTCCCAGCAACACCGAGTGAGGGAGGGAGTGTTAACCCACCATTCACCAGGTTTACCAGAGACCAAGCCCAGGCTCTCCCCACTGCACACTTTTAAAAGGGTCCTTTCAGCTTCCCATTAAAGTGGTTTGTTCCTTTGTTCCTCCTCTCCTGTTCTTCCTAAGACATCATCACTGAAATTTAAGCTTATAAATTTAAAATGGAGTAAATCTATAAGGGAAAAGCATTAAAAAAAGAGAGAAAGATGGCTTACTAATGGATGAGAGTCCAACACATTTCTGGAAGACAGGGTTCATGAGAGGCCTAGCACTGTGGCTCCCACCTGTAATCCCAGCACTTTCGGAGGCTGAGGCAGGAGGATCGCTTGAGGACAGGAATTCAAGCCTGCAGTGAGTTACCGTCACACCACCCTACTCCAGCCTAGGCAACAAAGCGAGACCCCATCTCTTAGAAAAGAAAAAAGAAGATTCACAAGAGGGTGTGGCAATATTAGACAGGCTAAGCCCCCAGGTGTACCCAGTGTAACCACAGGGGCCCTTCGGTGGAAGGGAGAAGCAGAAGAGGTCAGAGTGAAGCCACACCTGCTGTGACAATGGAGGGAGAAAGTGGCTGGCCAAGGAACTCCATCAGCTTCTAGAAGCTGGAAAAGGCAAGGAAACAGTCTCCACCCGGAGCCTTATGGGAACACAGCCGCCTCATGGGAACACAGCTGCCCTGTGACACTGATTTTAGCCCCGTGAGGCCCATGCTGGACTTCTGGCCTCCAGAACTGTAAGATTTGTGGTGCTCTAAGCAAATCATAAATTTGTGGAAATTTGTTACAGCAGCAACAGAAAAGTAGCACAGGCAGCCTACGTGCTAATTCTCATCTTACCTGAGGTGGGGTGTACAATACACCCTGCGTTAGTTGGAAAGCTGAAACAATTCTCTAATGCTAATACTGAAATTGTCAGGTCGGTGTAACTGTGACAGTCCGGAAGCAATGGAGGCTTCAGTGAGCAGGACTAGCTGCCTTTCTCACCACCACAGCTTGATCTCTCTCACAACTTCCTCTCCACCTCCACTGACCTCTGGGTTGGTTTTCTCCTGCACGATCTTTCCACGTGTCAGGGGCCTGGAGGCACCCTACAAGAGCTGATTTTACATTTCCTTCCTAGAGGTAATCCCAGAACAAAAGAGAGCAGTTTTATTTATTTTTTTCAAGAGAATTAAATTGTTTATTGATTACACATGATAATGGATGATACACAAGCTTCATTCCCATCTATAATTTAATCTGGTACCATTATTCAATTAGATATGTTACATAGGATGTGCCAACAATTACTTTTATAACCAATAATTCCATGATTTTGCTTGGGTAATCCCTTTTAATGGTGACTGAAATCATGACTGACCGAGTCAGTGGCTAGAAAAGGGGCTTTGCCTTTGTAACTTTTGACGACCATGACTCCGTCGTTAAGATTGTCATTCAGAAATACCATACTGTGAATGACCACAACTGTGAAGTTAGGAAAGCCCTGTCAAAGCAAGAGATGGCTAGTGCTTCATCCAGCCAAAGAGGTCGAAGTGGTTCTGGAAACTTTGGTGGTGGTCGTGGAGGTGGTTTCAGTGGGAATGACAACTTTGGTATTGGAGGAAACTTCAGTGGTCTTGGTGGCTTTGGTGGCAGTCGTGGTGGTGGTGGATATGGTGGCAGTGGGGATGGCTGTAATGGATTTGGTAATGATGGAAGCAATTTTGGAGGTGGTGGAAGCTACAATGATTTTGGCAATTACAACAATGAGTCTTCAAATTTTGGACCCATGAAGGGAGGAAATTTTGGAGGCAGAAGCTCTGGCCCCTGTGGCAATGGAGGCCTATACTTTGCAAAACCATGAAACCAAGGTGGCTATTGGCGGTTCCAGCAGCAGCAGTAGCTATGGCAGTGGCAGATTTTAATTAGGAAACAAAGCTTAGCAGGAGAGGAGAGCCAGAGAAATGACAGGGAATCTACAGGTTACGACAGATTTGTGAACTCAGCCAAGCACAGTGGTGGCAGGGCCTAGCTGCTACAAAGAAGACATGTTTTAGACAAATACTCATGTGTATGGGCAAAAAATTCGAGGACTGTATTTGTGACTAACTGTATAACAGGTTATTTTAGTTTCTGTTCTGTGGAAAGTGTAAAGCATTCCAGCTAAGGGTTTTAATATAGGTTTTTTTTTTTTTTGCACCCATGCTGTTGATTGCTAAATGTAATAGTCTGATCATGACGCTGAATAAATGTCTTTTGTTTTAATGTGCTGTGTAAAGTTAGTTTACTCTGAAGCTATCTTGGTAAATTTCCCCAACAGTGTGAAGTTAGAATTCCTTCAGGGTGATGCCAAGTTCTATTTGGAATTTATATACAACCTGCTTGGGTGGAGAAGCCATTGTCTTCAGAAACCTTTGTTGTAGTTGAACTGATAGTTACTGTTGTGACCTGAAGAGAGCAGTTTTAGTAGTGAAAGTCCTGCAGGATTCCTAGTGGTCAAGATTGGGGAGCATGCCTGTATCCCACAGTGGCCAGGGCCCAGGACATATGCCTGGCCCTGTGACTGGCTGGTCATGGGCACAGGCCCCCGGGAGGGAGGGGAGAGTCCTTTCAGAAGAAGGGGAGGGTATGGGAACAGACCCAACCTGACCGCCCCAGACCGTTACTCTCCCTGAGGTGGATGGAATGCAGAATCAAAGTACAATTATATGGTTTAAAGTTTTAAAAGTAAATAACAGAAAACTAAAAATAATTATGCCAAAATGATAAAACTTTGGAAGGATGAAGGGAGGAAGCAGAGGTGCATAATGAGGCCATTTCTTATGTTCCATCACAGGAGGTAGATAAATTTTCTCCAGATGAATAAAAAAATAAGGGTGCCTATACATGCTACTAAGCATTGTGGAGGCACCCACCAGAAGTACTAAAAATGGAAATGTTTACAAGAAGTTGCCTCTGGAGAGTGAGGCCAGGACTGGGGAGGGGAGAGGATAGAAACTGTTTTCTCTCACCATAAACCCTTCTCTCATATTTGATTTGTTCCTATCTGTTTGTTTTACATTGATCACAAGATGTGCTGTGAGAGTGAAAGATTTTTAAATATTTAGATGGATGTCCTGAGCTTTGATATGAAATGCTGATCTGATCAATATCTAATATTATAACTCCATTTGGGATAAAATTTTAGGGTCATGGGGAAAAAACATAATTTGGAATCATCTTCATTCATATGCAAGTTATGCTTTTTAAGAAGGAAACTCCTTGATTCTCATCTGCTGTGCTGAATCTTTAGGAGTTTAACCTGCTATGTCACATGTTTCAATAAAAGAGAGATGTTCCCAGCCTGTTAAACAACAAACTCGCCTGCTTAAATCAAAAAGCAATTATGAATGAATGAATGAACTCTTGTCATCACCCTCTCTCCAGGAGAGAGTAAGGCACATTCATTCTCACAAGAAGACCTGGCCTCACCCCATTTCTCTGTTTCCCAGGCATATGGCTCATCTGCGTCCAGTGTATGTTTGGCCAGGACACTGGACATGTCCCACTTGGCTCCTGCCTCTTGCCCCTGCCAGTCTGGCCTACGGCCGTGGGTCTGAGGGGAGGACTGGGAGCCATCAGAGACAGCAGCTGGCCAGGATCTGATTTGGAGGCCTAGTACTCAATGCAGAGTTACTCTTCAGGCCCCAGCTCCTTCATGCAGGGCTCCTGGGCCACATATTCAGAGTCAGATTCCCCACCCTTCTCCAGAGATTCGGGTCATTGACTTACACCAAAGCTGGAAGCCATAAATCAGGAGACTTCATTGGTCTCATTCCTGAACCCACCCCTGCAACCTTTGGTCATCGCCCCATAGGCCAGCCCTGGCCATCCACCCATCTCCCTGATGCTCCCTCCATCCTGCTCTGGGACTCCTCTCCTTCCTGCTCTTCCGCCACGGCTGACTCTGCCTCTTCGTCACTGTTCCACTGGGAGGCCCATTTCAGAGCAAATGAGCCCTCTGTGTCATCAGCCTTTCTCTCCTCCCCTGGGGGCATACTCCTTTACCCTAGATGCGGGCTTCTCACTCTCCCTCTTCCAACTTGGCTAAGGACCCAGCAGGACAGGGAGCCTCTTCCTCTTCCCCTTTGCCCTCCTCCCACATCCCATCGTCTTTCGCTCTCTGGAGGTTGGGGGGAGGGGCAGGGTGGAACAATTCCCCCAGCTTCTCACTCCCAGGGCCTCCCCTCCATGATCACCGTCTCCCTCTCCTCCCTGAGGCCGGAGGCCTGGCCATGCCCGTAGGGACAACGTCTCCCCAGCTTGGCCTTGGTGCTCTGGGACCTCCCCAACTGCACAACAGGCTCCCAAGCCGGGAATGCTTTTGTCTCAGCTCCCCTCTAGACCTGGGGAGCCCTCCATGGAAAACCACAGTCGAAAAATGGATTTAGTATCTGCATTGTTCAGGGTCATGGCAAGAAATGGCATTGAATGCTTCAAATGATGAGACTTTAATGGCAGTAGTCCTTACAGAAGTGTGGCCAGGTGAAGAGGATGAACAGGGATGTTGAGAAGCACGAAAACAAACAACTCTAGGATGCTGTTACTCATGGGGCTAGACAGAGAGGAATAGTGTTGCCACAGCCAGTAAGAGCTAGAGATGTGGAGAAGGGGTTTCCAGCAGGAGCTGATGTCTTGGAGAGACACAGCCTTGGGGAGGGGCAGTGGGGACGGGGTGGGGGGATACACTGACCACTCTCTCTCTTCCTATACTTTTGCCTTCCAGCTAGAGTCTCCCACTGGCTAATTCCAACCTCTGCCCAGTCAGTAAGAAAGCCTGAGAGGCAGCTTAAAGACGTCAGGTTCCCAGGGTCAAGCAGGACACATGGCTGTGGGGGTGGGGAAGGAGAGTGGGCAAACACCCTGAAACTAAAAGGAGAGTAGCAGTGCAGAATCCAGGGCCACTGAAAACAGTTCCCAGAGTCCAACTCCGTCGTTTTGCAAATGGAGAAGCCAAGGCTGGAAAAGGTTAGTGATTTTCCCAAGTCACACAAAGTTCGTGGCCAGGCTGAGCCCAGACCCCAGATCCCCATCCCCCCTGCTGCCTGTGACACAACAAAGGCCTTGACACCAACACTCCCTTCTGTGGAGTCCCTTGTAGTGTTTATGCACTAAAAATCATTTTTAAAACATTTTAATAGGGTATATTGCTTTGAATCCCTTCCCCAACAGGAAATATGCTGGCTGGCTGGCAGAAGGCTCAGCAGCTGACCTTGAACTCCCTTGACCTCCCCACATCCAGGCTGAGATTTTCCATCCAACGGTATTGCCAGAGCCCAAGCTGAATGGAGGAGGCTGGAATTAAACAGTAACAGCCCCTTCCAGTTATCGTTCTGTAGCCAGCAGCTAGATAAATATTCGGAAAACATCGGAGGAGAAATCTAATTGAATTCAAACATAATAAATTGAAGCCAACTCACTGGATTTATGGTCATGTCTTCTGGCATCTTTTAATTTTGCATCACACTCATTTGGAGGCAATCAAATTAGGGCGCTCATTAGCAGCCAAGGGAGGGGAGGCTGGAGCCACACTCACTGCGGTAATGAGATCTCTGCAGTGGGATGATTCAGAAGTCGGTTGCCGGGGAGGCTGCAAGGGCACAGTGGTCACTGCCTCCTTTCAGGAAAGTTGTTGGGAGGAGCAGGAGGTTGATTGTAGGAGGGAGCAAGGGTGGAGTCCAGCCCAGCTACTCACCGGGTAACTGTGGCCTTCACCGCCCACAGTGTCAGACTCCTCCTCGGTGGGATAGCGGCAGTGCCTGCCTCCGAAGGCTAAATGAGTAGGAAATGAGATAAGAGGTAGAAACCATGTCTTCCTCCAGCCCTCAGAGTTTGATAACCTCTGCCCTCTCATCCCATTACGGCCCCATGGACAAAGCTCCTTGGCCCCCGATTCTCACTCATGGACCTCTGGCTTGTACATGTGAGAAACAAACTTACCCGTCCAAACCCAAAGAATGGACTCAGATACCCAGAGAACAGCGAAAGTGAAACTTTTAATGATGAACTTGCAAGATCGGGTGTCTGATGGACAAGCACACCCAGCAGTTTCGACAAGCAGTTTATCCCTAGAGTACGGGTCCCTCCCCCAGTTGCTCATAGACTGAGTACTATGGGGTCACAATTTTCCCGGATGTTGCCTATTGATTGTTAGGTAGGGGCTTTAGGTGTTTTTTTTTAGGGTTGTCTTGCTGCATTTTGTTGCAGCTCACAATGCATTGCAATCCTAGTCAGCTCAGGGGCTCTTCAAGTGTTTGACTTATGACCTAAGTAGCTAGGCAGGCTGACAAGAAGAGACAAATCAAGCTATCTTGCAGACTAATAAACTTTTATCTAAACTTCTTTGGTTCGGGTGAGGGCAACTAAGGGGGTGGGGAAGAGGGAAGAAGGGGGAGGCCGACAAGCAGGCAGCAGCTATCCAAGCAGGGGCCTAGTATGTCCTGTTGCTTCTATAGTTTGCTGACCTAAGCCGATTCAAGGCACTTGGTCTTGGAAATGGACCACTGTATACATTATTTCCTTCAGACACCCACCGTGGACACAATGCTCAGCTCATCCTGGCAGCCTGGCGAGATATGGCCTTGCCGCTAGAGCCGTTCCAGGCATCCCTACCCCAGACCAGGGGACTGGTCCAAGAGACCTGAGCTGGAACCTGAGAAGGACATCCAGGCAGCAGCCAAATAGGTGCCTGGTGCAAACAGGTGTTCAGGAAACACGGGCTTTCTCATCCACCCCAGTCCCTGCACAGGGCCGAGGAGGAGGAGGGCAGGCAGCTTTCTTGTCTGGCACAATCATTCACTTATCGAATACCTCATATGCCTGTGGTGCCAGGCGGGGTGCAGAATGTTATCCCATTCCATCCTCACTGACCATAAGGGAAGTATGAACACGTTTCACTTTGTAGATGAGGAAACTGAGTCCCAGTGAGAATAGGCATTTGCTCATGGCCACACAGCAGGTAAGAGATGGAGTCAGCAGTCAAACCCAGGTCTGACTGACTCCAGAGCCTGCGCACTCTCTGACAAGCAGCTCCACAGAACCGTGGCTGCCCAAGCAGGTGACTCCACAAAGAGCCTGGAGCCTCTGGGACCTGGACAGGGAAGTAGATTGCAGCCTTGTGAGAGTTACATCATGTGATGAGGGCTTTCTGATCCCACAGTCTACAGAGGGAACCACAGCTGGAGCTGAGCAAAGCCAGCTCATCCAGGCAGGGGCTCCAGTGAGTGCGCCCTGCTGCTCGCCAGGTGGTCAGCCTTCCAGCTTCCCCAGGGACTACCTACATGTCCCCCCAATGCTTACTGCCCACTCCCAGGAGGGGCTGCGTGTCAGAGCAGGCCAGAGCACCAGATGCCCTGTAAGGGTGTGTCTCTGTGTGTTTGTGTATGTGAGTGTGCACACACATGCATGTGGAAATGTGCGTGGGTGCGTATACACTTGTGTGCATGCACAGGACTGTGTGTGCTTATAAGTGTGTGTCTCTGTGAGTGTGTGAGAGTGTGTGTGTGTAAGTGTGTGAGGTAGGCCAAGCAATTCCAATCACTTGTTTTCTGAAATGTCCTCAGATCCACCCAGGTGAAAGGAGCTGATAAATATGTCATTATAATCACATTTTCTACTGTTAAAATACAGTCCTGATTATATTTGCAATGACGACAGTTTACTTTACCCAACACAGTAGGTGATTCAATTAAACCTCTCCCCATCTATCCTTGGGCAGCCAGACAGGCCAGCCTTTCCAGCCACAGGGAGAAGAGGAGGCAAAGGTGACACTCCCATGGCCGCGTACTCTCTCATCACATTCTTGATGCTTCCCCTGTCTTGGTTTTTTGAGGCCCCCAGGGCTTGGCCAGGTGTCTGCTCATTAACATATTAGGCCTGAGTTCAAATCATGAGCCCCATGAGCAGAAATGCACTCCAGGCCCCCTCCCCACTCCACAGAGCAGTGCACCTGAAGCACAGACCTGACTGAGTGAAGAAAGTCTTGACAGTAACCACCTGATGTTAGCACAGATGCCACAGACTTAGGGCCCTGCAGGATGCCAGCTGCATTCCCAGTGCACCCACACTTCCAATCACTGGCTACCAAGATAGAGGCTCCCACTCAGGGCTTCAAGTTGAATAAATAATTCATTAGAATGACTCACCAACCTCTGCACTTACAATTCCAGTTTTATTGATTGGTACAAATCAGGACAAGCTAAATGAAAAGATGCACAGGGAGAGGTTTGGGGAGATTCCCAAATGTGAAGCCTCCCAGAACACGGTTATACGATTACCAACCAGGGTGGCTGCACTGAGCTACAATGTCCAGAGTTTTTATTGGGGTTTGTTACCTAGGCATGATTGATGAAATCATTGCTTACACCTTTGTACTCAATTCCAATACCCACTCTCTCCCCAGAGGTCAGGCTGATATCATGTGGCTCAAAGTCCTGACCCTTTATTCACATGGCTGGTCTTGCCATGGTTGGCCAGCCTGCATCCTGAAGCTATGGAGTCCCACCTTGAAGCACCTGGTCAGCATAAACTCCGGTGTGGCCCCAGGGACCCACGATGAATAGCAAAGACACTCCTGCCACCCTGAAAATGCCAAGCTCCCTTCCAGGAACCTGGGACAAAGCCCAAATGCTTCATTTTACAACACCATGGGCCCCCTAAAGTGTCTGGTGGCTCTTCATTGCCTTCTGGGTAAATCCAGGCTTCAGCCTTGCCTGGAAAGCCCCTTCCTCCTTGTCTGCCCTCATCTCCCAGCTCTCTGGCCAGGTGCCTTTTGTTCCAGCCACACTGGCCTTCTTCACTTTCCAGACATACCAGGTCCTTTCCCATACCTTTGGGGTGATATCCTCCCCATCCTTTCCCCTTTCTTAATGCTTCCACTGTCTTGGCATATGTGACATCTGCTCACCTCTTCATCTCCCTAATGAGGCTATGAGCACCCAAAGGCACCCTCAAGGCCCACACATTTTAGCTGTCCTGGAAGACCTGAAGCCACACAGTGCAAGTTCTGCAGAGACTGTGCCATTCAGAATCCCTGAGGCCCTTGGCTGGGAGCCATATTAGTGGTCCTTCCCTGGCCTACAGAGAGGCTGCACCATTCTCGAGTCCTAAGCATGGCATGGCCACAGTACTTGCATTCACCTTTATCTCTGATCATGAAGTTGAGCAAGCAGCTGACTCAAGGGCCAATGATCCTGCCAAGGTCTTCCTACAGGTGTTCCCAGCAGGCCTGCTAGCCAGGGGTGTGGCGCCACAGGTGCTTATCATGGGCCCACTGCAGGATGGCTGGTCCCCAAGCAGCCCCACCCAGAGAAGCTTCCACCATGATCCTGAGGCAATGCCTAAGGCCTCTGGAGAATGAGGTGACTATCACTGTTGGGGGGGCATGATCAACACAGGGTGCAAGTCAGTTTCTTGGGTGCTTACAATGTTCAATTATTGAATCTGAGTGCTGGTGACATGGTTCCCTTGGCAAAGATTAATCGAACCATATAATTATAATTTGTGTATTTTTGTATATGTCTGTTCACTTCAGTAAAAATTTACATGAAATGTACTATTAAAAAAAAAGCTACTCTTGCCCCAGCTTCTTAGCATATGCATAAAGCGATGCTCTGAGAGCATCTTACTGATCATGAGAGTTCCCCCAAGGTGTTTATAATTGGTTCTCAGAGAAATGCTGGCTCCCTCCTTCTGTCCCCTTAGCTGAAGCAGGCTGTGCATGATACAGCCAGAGGAGGGAGGCCATCAGTGTTCTGCCAGAGTTATTTGAATTTAAGCCCCTGCACTCTAGAATTCTTGAGGCTACCCAAAGCTTCATGGAGCTCATGATGAGATTCAAGGTGCAGATTCCTATTTTGGCATCTAAATCAAGTGAGGACACATTTATGCAAGGACCTTAGGCATCCATATCAGTCACAATAAACAGTTTTTGAAATAATTTTAATTATTTTCAAATAATGCATAATAACCTCAAAACCTAGTGGCTTAAAACAATAATTTGTCACCATCTTTCACAGTTGAAGGAGTTGGCTTGGCTAAGCCAGGCAGGTGTTGTGTGGGGTCTCTCCCTGGGTTAGTCAGATGGCGTCTGAGTCATCCAAAGGCCCGACAGGGCTGGACATCCCAAGTGGCTTCCTCACATAGCTGGCAGCTGGGAACCGAGTGAGGGCTGTGGTCTGCAGGCCTAGGCACAGCTCCTCCATGTGGCTTGGGCCTTCTCACAGCATGGCATCTGGATCAGAAAGGCAAGAAGTGGAAGCTGACAGCCTCTTAGCCCTGAGCTTAGAAGCGGGCACAGCACCATGTGCCTCACTCTATGGGTCAGAGAAGTCATAGAGCTCACCTAGATTCCAGGGGATGGGACAGAGACCCCACCTCTCAAGGTGAGCTCTCTAACTGGGAAATCCGTGACCATGACTTTGAAGTGAGGTTGGATCCAGGAGTCCAAGCAAGGTCCTGAACTTTCCCTCCCCGTCTCTGGCCTCTGCAGGGCTCTGTTGGGCTCCAGCTTCAGACACAGTCTCCCCAGGAGACAGCTATGGTGCTCAGCAGGTCCAAGCTCAGACTCCTTAGAGCACATGCCGAAGGAGAGACAACTGCTCTCCCAGCACTCAGTTTCCTAACAATGGACCCTAGTTGGCCCTGCTGTCCACGTGCTGATCCCAACCTAATAAGCACGTCCAATGTGTGACACACTCTGGCCAATGTGGGTCCTCTGACTGCCCTTGTGGTGGGCAGTGGGGGGCTCTCTTTATTATTACCCCCACCACAATCACATAGAAAGTTTGTAAAGAGGATTCCTTTTCTCAAAGCAGGGAACCACAGAGCTCATACTGTACCCCAAGTCCCCTGCAACGTTACCTACAGGTCATGCAACCAGCATTAAGTTACAAAGAGAAAGGTGGGTACATCTGGAACTCCCTAGGCCTCCTTTTCCAGTCCCTACCTCGGGATGTCCAGCTGTCACTCCACCCCCACGTTCTCCCCCTACCCTCTGGGCCTCCAAGGCCACCTACCTCCCAGCCTTTCCTGCCTCCCTCTCCAGAAGGCCAACTGCTTCCACTGGCCACTTCAGATGGGCTCATCCCCCGGCCCTCCCCCAGCCCTCACCCTTCTCTTGAGTTCTGACAGGATAACATCGTTGATATGATTTGGCTTTGTCCCCACCCAAAACCTCATCTTGAATTACGATCCCCATAATCCCTACGTGTTAAAGTTAGGACTAGATAGATGAAGGTAATTGGATAATGGGGGCGGTTTCCCCCATGCTGTTCTCATGATAGTGAGTGAGTCTCGTGAGATCTGATGGCTTTATAAGTGCCCAGCATTTCTCCTGCTAACACTCATTCTCTCTCCTGCTGCCCTGTGAAGAACTGTGAGTCTATTAAACCTCTTTTCTTTAGAAATTACCCAGTCTTGGGTGTTTCTTCATAGCAGCATGAAAAAGGACTAATACAACTGGCTTCTAGGGTTAGCCGGGGAGTACCTCCGGCATAGACTGGGGGCCACATGGACTCAACATCAGACCACAGGCCTGTTAGAGGAGGAGGCGAAGCCGTCGGTGGAAGGCACACGAGGGATCTGAGTCCTTTTCCTCCCTGCCTGTCTGTGGCCCAGGGAGCCAGTGGTGGAGATGACACTTTTTTTTTTTGAGACAGAACCTCACTCTATCTTCCAGGCTGGAGTGCAGTGGCTCGATCTCGGCTGACTGCAACCTCCACCTCCCAGGTTTAAATGATTTTCCTGCCTCAGCCTCCCACATAGCTGGGATTACAGGCGTGCACCACCTCATCTGGCTAATTTTTGTATTTTTAGTGGAGACGGGGTTTTGCCATGTTGCCCAGGCTTGTCTCAAACTCCTGATTTCAAGTGCTCTGCCGGCCTCGGCTTCCCAAAGTGTTGGGATTACAGGCATGAACCACCACGCCGAGCTAGAGATGCCACTTCTAAGGTGTCCTTAGGTTTCAGAGGCCATGCAGGTGAATGGAGGGACAGTCATGGTGTTCTGTCTTTTGTTATGGAATAGTTATTATTAAAATCCTGGAGTGGGTTGAATTGTGGCCCCCACAAAAGGTTGGTCTGGGTCCAAATTCCTGGATCCTGTGACTATAACCTTATTTGGATAAAACAGCTTTGTAGATGTAATTAAATTAAGGATCTTCAGGTAAGTTCATCCTGACTTTGCCATTTTTAATTAAGTTGTTTGTCTTCTTATTATTGAATTGCAGGAGTAATTTTTATATTTTTGATACCAGTACTTTGTTAGATATAAGTTTGAGTACTCAGTCCTTGTAAGAGACAGAAAAGGAGAGACACACACAGAGGAGAAGGCTATGGGAGGCTGGAGGCAGAGATCAGAGCCACGAGCCAAGCTTGGAGCTACTGGAAGCAGGAAAGCAAAGAAGAACCTTGCCTGGAGCCTAAGTAGGGAGCACAGCCCTGTGACACTGTGATTTCGGACTTCTGACTTCCAGAACCGTGAGATAATAAATTTCTGTTCTTTTAAACCATGAAGTTTGTGGCAATTTGTTACGGCAGCCCTAAGAAAATAATACAAATCTTCTTTCACTGTCAAAAGTGCCTGGGTTGGAATCTATTGTAAGGACTCCCAGAGAGCTCTCGGGAAAGGAAACAAGAAGCCGGTCCCCTAGGCCTGGGCCTGACTGAGGCCGGGACCAGAGGCTCAGGTGGGGCCCTGGAGGCCAGCAGGAGGGCCCAGCCCAGTCACCAGTACAGGAGATTGACAGGAATGAAAGAAAATGTGTTGAGGGGTGTGCCTTAGGTCACGGGTCCCCAGCAGCCAGCAGCATCCGGAGGCTAGCTGGGGTCCTGGGTCCTGGCCATCTTTAGTCCTCAGAGACACAACTGACGTGCGTGTTGGTCCATCCTCAGGCTCACAGCCCTGAAATCTCTCTCCTCTGAGACAGAAAAGGAAGTTCATGTCAGAATCGGAGCACAGAGAGATCATGAATAAGCTGATGTCAGTGGCCCACTCACTGCCAACCTTGCTCAGCTCTGAGCATGATTATACCCAATCAAAGCATGGAAAATCAATGAATCTGCAGCCCAGGATACTGGGTACTACATCCACAGCCCAAAGAGCCTCTCCGGGGAAGGTTGCTAAGATACTAAGGGAAGGATACTTTGGAAAGATGGAGAAGTAAAAATATTTCCTACACCCTTTGTTTTGGAGAGACTATACCTGTATCTGGGATGCACAGGTGAGTTCAAACACCAAGGCGTTTGTGGATGGTGCCCAGGCTATACTCGAAGCAGAGCCGTCTCCTTCCCTGAGTGCCCTGCTCCTGAATGACCAACTGCAGGAGGTGGTGTCAGGCCCTGGGCTGTGCGAGGAAGGGAAGGCAAGACGCAGTGAGCCAGGGAAGGACACAGGACAGGGCTCATTGAAGCCCTACCCTACAGTGATACAAAACTGCTGCACAAGCTGGTCCCCAGAGAGCAACAGAGGAAGACTTAGGAGGCAGAGAGACTGGGAACACCAGTGGGGATGGGAGGGAAGTCTCCAGCCTGAAAAAGAAAATGGCCAATGGAAGAAACTAGGAAATAAAACATGGTTGCGAGTAGGGTATTCCCTACTTCTTCGTATGAGTCTGGGTTCTAGGAGGTGAATATGCATACAGTCACATGCTGTGTGACACTTCAGTCAACTACAGACGGTGATCCCATTAAATTATAATGGAGCTGAAAGAATCTTATCGCCTGGCAACAACCTAGTGCAATGTATTATTTAGGTGTTTGTGGTGATGCTGGTGTAAACAAACCTGCACTGCCAGTTGTATAAAATCTAGCACATAGAATTATGTACAGTGCATAGTACTTGACAATGATAACAAATGACTGTTAGCAGTTTATGTATTTACTATACTATACTTTCATGATTATTTTACAATGCACTCCTTCTACTTATTAAAAAGAAAAAGTTAATGTAACACATCCTCAGGCAGGTTCTTCAGGAGGGATTCCAGAACAAGGCACTCTCATCACAGGAGATGACAGCTCCATGTGCATGACGGCCCCAGAAGACCATCTGGTAGGACAAGATGTGGAGGTGGAACGCAGTGATATTGATAATCCTGACCCTGGGTAGGTGTGGGCTAATGTGTGTGTCTTCATTTTAATTTTTTTCTAATTTAAAATGTAAAAAAAGAAAAAAGCTTATAGGATAAGGATATAAAGAAAGAAAATATTTTTGTACAGTTATACAACATGTGTCTTAAGCTAAGTATTAATATAAAAAAGTCAAAAAGTTAAAAAAATAAAGTTGATAACATAAAGAAGCTAAGGTTCATTTATTATTGAAGGAAGAAAAAAATTTAAAATACATTTAGTGTAGCCTAAGTTTATAGTGTTTATAAAATCTGTAATAGTGTACAATGATGTCCTGGGACTTCACATTCACTCACCACTCACTCACTAGCTCATCCAGAGCAATTTCCAGACCTGCAAGCTTCATTCATGGTAGATGCCCCACAGAGGTGCACTACTTTTTGTCTTCTATGCTGTATTTTCACTCTACCCTTCCTATGTTTAGCTATGTTTGGATATACAAATATTACCGTGTTACAGTTGCCTGCAGTATTCAGTACAGTCACATGCTGCACAGATTGGTAGCCTAGGAGCAACAGGCTATGCCATAGAGCCCAGGTATGTAATGGGCTGTACCATTTAGGTTTGTGTAAGTACACTCTATGATGTTCACACAATGACAAAATCCCCTAATGATGTGTTTCTGAGAACGCATCACTGTCATTGAGCATCGTTGTGTATTAATTCATTTTCAAGCTGCTGATAGAGACATACCCAAGACTGGGCAATTTACAAAAAAAAAAAGATTTAATGGACTTACAGTTCCAGGTGGCTGGGGAGGCCTCACAATCACGGCGGGAGGCAAGGAGGAGCAAGTCGCGTCTTACATGGTTAGCAGCAGGCAAAGAGAGAGCTTGTGCAAGGGAACTCCCCCTTATAATACCATCACATCTCATGAGGTTTATTCACTATCATGAGAACAGCACAGTAAAGATCTGCCCCCATGATTCCATTACCCTCCACTGGGTCCCTCCCACAACACACGGGAATTCAAGATGAGATTTGGGTGGGGACACAGCCAAACTATACCACCATGACTGTAGTCTCTTGTGTGGGCTCCTTTCACTCATCATAATGTTTCTGAGCTCCATTCTCCTTGTCATGTGTATCTGTAATCTCTCCTGCTTTAATGTTGGGTAGTGTTCCATTCTGCAGCAATATCACAATTTGCTTATCCATTCTACTGTCTGGGGTTTTTCCCCAGTTTGAAGCTACTAAAATTGTTATAAATATTTGTTTATAAGTCCTTGTGAACACAGGTGTTTTTATTCCTCTTGAATAAATAAATACCTAGGAGAGGAATTTCTGTTTTTTTTTTTATTTTTATGGGTACATAGTAGGTGTATATATTTATGGAGTACATGAGGTGTTTTGATACAGGCATGCAATGCGTAATAATCACATCACAGTAAACAAGGTATCCATCACCTCAAGCATTTATCATTTCTTTGTGATACAAAAATTCCAATTATACACGTTTACTTATTTTTAAATATACTAAAAATTATCGTTGACTGGCCAACCTGTTGTGCTATCAAATACTGCATCTTATTCATTGTATTTAACTCTACTTTTGTACCCATTAACCATCTCCATTTCCCACCCCCCACACCCACAACCTTTTCCCAGCTCTGGTGACCATCATTCCACTCTCTATCTCCATGAGTTCAATATTTTTAATTTTTAGCTTCCACAAATGAGTAAGAACATGCAAAATTTGTGTTTCTGTGCCTTTTTTATTTCATTTAACATTATGTCCTCTAATTCCATCCATGTTGTTGTAAATGACAGGATCTTATTCTTTTTTATGGCTGAATCGTACTCCATCGTATATATGTACCACAGTTTCTTTATCCATTTGTCTATTGGTGAACAATTAGAGTGATTTCAAATCTTGGCTATTGTGAATAGTGTTGCAATAAACATGGAAGTGCAGCTATCTCTTTGATACACTAATTTCCTTTCTTTTGGGTATTTACCTACCAGTAGGATTGCTGGATCATAGGGTAGTTCTATTTTCAGTTGTTTGGGGAACCTCCATACTGTTCATCCTAGTGGCTGTATTAATTTACATTCCCACCAACAGTGTATAAGGGTTCACTTTTCTCCACATCCTCACCAACATTTGTTATTGCCTTTCTTGGATAAAAGCCACTTTAACCGGGTTGACATGAGATCCCATTGTAGTTTTGATTTGCATATCTCTGACAGTCAATGATGTTGAGCACCTTTTCATATGCCTATGTGTCATTTGTATGACCTCTTTTGAGAAGCGTCTATTCAGATATTTTACCCATTTTTAATTATATTATTAGATTTCTTCCTATTTAGTTGTTTGAGCTTTGCATAGATTCTGGTTATTGATCAGATGGGTAGTTTGCAAATATTTTCTCCCATTCTGTAGGCTGTCTCTTCACTTTGTCATTTCCTTTGCTGTGCAGCTTTTTAACTTGATGTGGAAATTTCTGGTTTGTATGGTAAGTATATATTTAAATTCATAAGAAACTTCCAAACTGTTTTTCGAAGTGACAGCATTAATCCTGAATTTCCACTAACATTGTACAAGAGTTCTAGTTGCTCCCGATTCTTACAAAAATTCAGAATTGTCGATCTTTAAGTTCAGGCATCCTCATGGTGTGAGGGGTCGTCACATTTCCCTGATGTGTAATGCTGCAGTGCATCTTTTTATGTGTTTATTGGTTGTTTCGGGAAGTGTTTGCTCAAAATTTTCTGCCCATTTTGATAAAGTTGTTTTGTCTTCTTCTTACTGATCTTCCAGGGTTCTTTTTAATTTTTGCATACCATTACTTTGCCAAATACCTGTGTATATTTTCTCCTGGTCTGCAACTTGCCCTTTCATTTTCTTCATGGTGTCTTTTGTAGACCAAAAACTTTTAATTTCAATAAGGCCCATTTATCAATTTTTTTCCTCAAAAATTTTATGTGCCCTGAGAAATCTTTGCCTGCCCAAGTTGTGAAGATTTTCTCTTATGTTTTTCTCTAGAAGCTTTACAAATTTAGCTTTTATTTTTGTCTGTGATACATTTCAAGTTATGGTATAGGTAAGGGTTGAAGTTCACTTTTTTCATGTATAGATCTTCACTTGTTTTAGCACCATTTATTCAAAGACTATCTTTTTCCCCATCAAATTACTTTGGTAACTTTGTTAGGAATCAACATATTATGTATGTCCAGAAACAGGACATCTGATTCTGTTCCACTGATGAATTGTCTAAACTGAAACCTATACCACATGTCTTCATTACTGGCTTTCCTGTAATCTTGAAATAAAGTAGATAAGTCCTCAACATTCATTCTTTGTAAAAATTGCTTTGATTATTCTAGATTATTTGTACTTCCATGTAGATTTTGGAATCGCTTTGTCAATTTCAACCAAAAATCAGGAGAGCTGACTTCTTAACAATATTGGCAATTCACTTTGTCTCCACAATGTTTCATAGTTTTTTACATAGAGATTTTGCTCATCTTGTAAGTATTTTCAAATGGTACTATAGACAGTATTATTTATATAATTTAATCTTCCAAATTGCCACAATTTAGGAAAACAACTGATCTTTTGTTTATTGACCATTGTATCTTATGACCTTGCTAAATTCGCTTATTTTAGTAACTTTTTGTAAATTCCTTAGGATTTTCAAGTACATTATTATTTCTTCTATGAATGGATTCACTTTTACCTCCTCCTTTCGAATCTTATGTCGGTATTTCCTCTTACCTTATTGCACCACCTAGGACTTTTGGTACAATGTTGAATGATCATGGCAAAAGTGGACATTCCTGCCGCACTCCCAACCTGAGGAGGAAAACATTATGTCTTTCACTATCAAATTTGATAATACCTGTAGGTTTTTCATGACAGCATTTTTTCAGGTTGATGAGTTTCCCTTCTACTCCAGTGTTTTAAGAGGATTTTATTTTTTTTAAAAAAAGTACATCGTGAATGAGTATTGCATATTGTCAAATGCTTTTATAACATCTATCTAGATCATCACCTGGGTTTTCTGCTTTAAACTGCTAGAATTGCATTCATTGATTGGTCAATTGCACTGATTAACTTTGCATTTCTAGGATAAGCACTCTTGGTCATAGTGTATTACCCTCTACATATATTCCTAGATTCAACATACTGAAATATTTTAAGGATGTTTGCATGTATATTCCTTTTTTTTTTTTTTTTTTGGAGACAGAGTCTTGCTCTGTCTCCCAGCCTGGAGTGCAGTGGTACGATCTCAGCTCACTGCAACCTCCACTTCCCAGGTTCAAGTGATTCTCCTGCCTCAGCTTCCTGAATAGCGGGGATTACATGCGTACACCACCACACCCAGCTAATTTTTTGTATTTTTAGTAGAGATGGGGTTTCACCATGTTGCCCAGGCTGGTCTTGAACTCCTGGCCTCAAGTGATCCACCCACCTCAGCCTCTCAAAGTGCTGGGATTACAGGCGTGAGCATGGTGCCCAGCTGCATGTATATTCCTTGTGGACATTGGCCTATAAGATTTTTTTCTTGTAGTATCTTTTCTCTGAGTTTGATATCAGGATTATGCTGATCCCATAAATTAAGTTAGAAAGTCTTTCCTCCTCCTTTACTTTCTGCAAGTTTGTATAAAAGTGATACTACTACTTCCTTAAATATTTGATTGAATTCACTAGAGAAGTCACTGGAGCCTGGAATTTTCCTTGTGTGAAAGTTTTTAATTACAAAGTTAATTTCTTTAATGGTTATAAAGCTATTCAGGTTATCTATTTTTTCTTCACTGGGCTTTAGTAATTTTTCTTTTGAAAAATTTTCCCATTTCCTCTGGGTTGTCAAATTTGTTGCCGTAAAGCTTCTATAATATCCCCATATTATTTCTTTAATCTCTACATAGTCTGTAATTTTTATTCCCTCTTTTATTAGTGATGTTGGTAGTTTGTTTTATGACTTTTTATTAGGAGTTTATCAATTTTATTGATCTTTTCAAAGAACTTTTTATCTTATTGACTTTCTTTATTATTCCGTTTTCTATTACATTGTTTTCTGCTATTAACTTGATTTCCTTTCTTCTACTTACATTAGGTTTAATTGGCTCCTCTTTTTCCAACTTCTAAAAGTAAAGCTTAAATCATTGACCTTGGACTTTTTATATTTTCTAATAAAAATCATTTAAAGTTATAAATTTGTCTCTAATCATTACAAAAATTTTGATATTCTGTGTTCTAATTCTTATTTAGGAAAAATTATTTTAAAATATCTTTTGTGATTTTCTCTTTGATCCATGTATTATTTAAAAGTATGTTGCTCAGTTTCCAAATACTTGGGGATTTTCTAGATATCCTTCTGCTATTAACTTCTATTTTAGTTCCACTGAATTTAGATAACATGTTCTATATTATTTTGGTCCTCTTAAATGTATAAACTTGTTTTCTGCCCCAGATATGGTCCATTATAATGAAAGTTTTGTGTTCAGTTGGAAACAATGTGGATTCTACGAATACGGTGAATTGCATTGATTGATTTATTGCGCTGTTGATTAAACTGACTTTGCATTCCTAGGATATAGAACACTACACCTAAAAATCTGTATTTAGGTAGAAGGTTCTATAGGCATCAATTAAATCAAGTTGGTTAGTAATATTGTTCAAGTGTCCTTCCCCTTTATTCATTTTTTCTACTTGTTCTATAAGTTACTGAGAAACAAGTATGACAATTTGTAAATATAAGTGTAGATTTCTCTACTTCCCCCTTCATTTCTGTCCATTTCTTTGTCATATTTTGAAGTTCTATTATTAGGTGAATATATGTTTACAATTTTTCTCTTTCTGATAAATTTATCATTATGAAATGTTCTCGTTTATTTCTTGTTCTGCATATTTCTTGTTCTGAAGTTTACTTTTTCTGATATTTAACTAGCCCCTCCAACTTTGTTATAATTGGTGCTACATGGTATATTTTTTTCCATCCTCTTACTTTTGACCTACCTGTGCCTTTAAATTATTGAGGTCTTCAGACAACATAGAGTTGAGTCTTGCCTTATTATACAGTCTAAAAATATTTGTCTTTTTATTGGAATTTTTAGACCAGTTTCATTTTATATAATTATCAGTATAGTTGGGTATAAATCTACCATTTGTCATTTGTTCTCTGTTTATTTCATCTGTTCTTCATCCTTTATTTCTCTTTTCTTGATTTCTTTTAGAGGAATTAAAAATGTTTATGGTTCTATTTTATCTCCACTGTGAGTTCATTAGCTATAACTCTGGCTTCATGTTTAGTGGTTGCATGAGGGTATACAATATGTATCATTAGCTCATTACAAATATACTATTATAACACTTTATGTACAATGTAAGACCTTACAACCATATACTTCCGTTTCCTCCATTCTGTCCATCATGCTATCATTACATATTTTGCTTTAATAGGTTATAAGCCACACAGTACATTGTTATTATTTTTGTTTAAACAATCAATTATCTTTTAAGGAAATTTAAAAATGAGAAAAGCCTTTGTATTTACCCACATACTTACCATTAAGTGTTTTTCATCCTTTGTCCACTTAGTATCACTTCACATTAGAAACACCTGGTGAGTCTTATTATATTTGTTAGTGTGAGGAAAATAATTGAAAGTATACACCGTTACCCAGCTCCTTGTCTCTTATAAGGGGTTGATTAGGAGTATCCAGTGGTGATATCTTTATTGCTAGATCATGCCATGGACTATTAGTGCTCTCTTTACAATTGGAAATAAAGTTATTAGCAACTTAAAATGTAATCAGATTAGAGACCCAATTTTGGAATAGATAGATATGATTATACTTAAATATAATATATAACTATATATAATTTTGTACATATGCATAACGTGTGTGTGTGTGTGTGTGTGTGTGTGTGTGTGTAAGGAATTGGCTCCTATGATTATTGAGGCTGACAAGTCCCAAAATCTGCAGTTAGTAAGCTGGAAACAGCAGAGCCAATGGTGTACTTCCAGTTCAAAGGCTGGCAGGCTCAAGACTCATAAAAAGCTGATACTTCAGTTCAAAAATGGCAGGAAAAAAAAAAAACCACCTCCCAGCTCAAAGCAGTCAGGCAGGATGAAATTCTCTCTTACTTGCAGGAGAGTCAGTCTGTCTGTTCTATTCCGATCTTCAATAGATTTGATGAAGCCCACCCACATTTCTTAGCCACTGGCATTTAGCAATTGGATTATGTTTTACCTTGCATAGTTTTCTTTGTGCTTATCTTGCTTTTGATCTATTGAGCATCATGGATGGGTGGTTTTGTATGTTTCATCAAATTTGGAGCATTTTTTACCATTATTCAAATATTTTTTCTCTTCCCTCTTTCCTTTCCTTCTCAGCTTCCAATTACAAGTATGTGATCCATATACTTGCATGAATATTTTCCCACAGGTTACTAAAGATTCATTTAAATTTTCTTTTTAGTCTCTTTTGACTGAATTTTAGTTTTGAAAGTTTCTATTGCAACTTTCAAGTTCACTGATCTTTTCTTCTTCACGTCTAATCTGTTCATTTCATAAAGAAATTTTTTTATTTAAGATTTTTATTTTTGGCCCTTGTATTTCCTTTTTAATTTTTCTCCTTCTTTGATGATTACTTTCATGTTTCCTTTAAATTCGTGTGTATATCTGTAATTGGTGTTTTCAATCCTTTGTGTGCTATTTCCAACATCCATCATTCCTGAGTGTGTTTCTATTGACTGGTTTTTCTCTTGGTAGGAGTTGCACTTCTGTGCATCTTTACATGTCTGTATTTCTTATATGACACCAAACATTGTTAATTATACCTTACTTAATGCTAGATTTTGTTGTCCTCCTCTAAAGATTGGTAGATATTTTTCTGGCAGCCAGCTGAGTTACTTAGAAATTACCCTGACCCTTTTGAGGTTTGTTTTGAAGCTTTGACTGAAGGAAAGGGGTTAGATTAGACTTTATTTAGGGCTTCTTTACTCCTCCTGCCAAGACATGACTTTTCTGGGATGTCAACTGAACGCACCAGATTTTCTACAAGGACGCTCCACTCTGGCTGGTAGGAATGCAGGAGTCCCCCCATGTCCCACATGAGCTCTGAAAGTGCCTGCTCACTGCTTTCCAATCACCCTTTGCCCAGCCTCCTGGAGTTTTATGATAGACATCCACAACCTAATTTTTATAACAGATCCATGGGGAACCCTGTTGTATTAATCTGTTCTCACACTGCTATAAAGAATGACCTGAGACTGGGTAATTTATGAGTTAAAGAGGTTTAGTTGACTCACAGTTCCACAGGCTGTACAGGAAGCATGGTTGGGGAAGCCTCAGAAAACTTAAAATCATGGAAGAAGGGGAAGAGAAAGCAAACACATCCTTCACATGGTGGAGCAGGAGGGGAAGTGATAATCTCATGAGAACTCACTCACTATCACAAGAACAGCAAGGGGGAAATCTGCCTCTATGATCCAATCATCTCCCCCCAGGCCTCTCCTCCAACACTAAAGACCACAATTCAACAGGAGATTTGGGTAGGGACATAGAGCCAAGCCATATCAACTGTACAGATTTCTGGATATTTTTCTGTACATTACTCCCTCCTCTCAAAACTGCTGCATTGGGGATTAAGTTTCCAACACATAAACTTTGTGGGACACATGCAACCATAGCAATTCCCTTCCAGGGAGGTTCTGCAAAGAGGCCTGCCACTGATTCCTCATTGCATGGAGATGAGATCTCCCTTATTCTGCAAGGCCATGTGGTTTTTCCATCTCTTTCTAATCTGAGTGTTCAGGTAAAAGTCCATACCTGCTAACAGGGGCAAGCAGGTGCTAAAAACTAGTGAAAAAACTAGTGAAGAGGGCCCAACTAACTGAAGAGTAGCATGCCCACCCAAAGGGTCAGCTGTGACCAAGATCCCACAAAGGTAGCCATGCACAAATGCAGGCCAGGGCTGCTTGACTTCAGATTCTTCAAAAGAAGCTGCAAGTCACAATTTTTACATGAAATGTCCTGTGTGTTAAAAGTTAGCAACTGTGGGCCAGGCTCGGTGGCTCACGCCCGTTATCCCAGCACTTTGGGAAGCCGAGGAGGGTGGATCACAAGGTCAGGAGTTCAAGACCAACCTGGCCAATATGGTGAAACCCTGTCTCTACTAAAAATACAAAAATTAGCTGGGCTTGGTGGCACATGCCTGTAATCTCAGCTACTCGGAAGGCTGAGGCAGGAGAATTGCCTGAACCCAGGAGGCGGAGGTTGCAGTGAGCTGAAGTCATGCCACTGCACTCCAGCCTAGGTGAAAAAGGGAGACTCTGTCTCAAAAAATAAAAAAAAAGTTAGCAACTGTGGAGGACAAACAAAATGCTGACCCTGTCTTCAGACTTCTCCTTGGATGGAAGGGTGGCAGACCCAAAGCCTTTGGCTTAAGAAATCTCCCCAGGGCCAGGTCCTAACAAAACGTGGCTTCTCCCATGATGTCCCCCATGTGTCAATGCTAAACCGACCCTCTGGCTCTGACAATTCAAAGTCAACTCAACAAATGCTTACTAAGCATTTGCTGCCTGACAGGCTCTGGCCTTGATGTTGGGAATAAGACTGGACCTGTCACTCATATCTCTGCCCTCAGAGATGTGACCTCAGAGATTAAACCTCTAGTGTTTACTAGAGGTTAAACACCAGTGAGGAGGCAGATATTAGCCCAACCATCGCAAGAATACATGACTACAAACTGAGATAAATATTAGGAAGAAAAATTGGAGGAAACTAAGAGAGTTTATTACAGCAGATTTTACTGGCTATGATATTTGAACTGAATGTTGAAGGATGGATAGCATTCAAATAATTAAAGAGATTGGATGAGATTGAGAGCAAAGCTTTCCATAAAGTGAGCACAGTACATGCAAAGGCCCTGAGGCAGAGCAGAGTGTAGGCATTCTACAAACTCAAAGGCCAGTGTGGCTGGAGTGCAGGGAGAAAGAGAGAAAGTGCACACAGGTCTTCTAACACCTAAAAAAAATGTGTTAGCCACCTCGTTTTCCCCAGTGTAGCCAGAAATGCATTGGTAAGGAAAGACCCAGGTTAAAGCAAGCCCGAGTGTGTGACCACCCTCTGCATGGTGGCTCCTGTCCTGCTACCCATTCCAGGAGGACACAGCAAAACCAGGGGCCACATCTTTGATTCTGTAACTTGCATCACAGGTCCTCCAAATACAGCTCCTTCCCCATCAGTCCCTGGATACTTCTAAGTTCATTTCCTGATCAATTTCCCTCTGGCCTATACATCTTAACCATTGAGGATGTTGTCTTGCTCTCGGCCTGGTCCGTCTGTGTTTGCCACTTACTGTGTGTCCCCTCAGGGCCCAGACCAGAGCCACAGACATGGGCTGGACCCCTCCCTAGGGGGTGAAGAGCCCTGGTGTCATCATCCAGGAAGAGGCTGATCCTCCCAAGGAAATGGGACCAGAGGGAGGGGAATTCAGGCTGTCCCTCTCTGGAGCTGACGTAGGCCCATCTTCACCCTGGTTTTGACTTGAGTTTAGATTTGTCTGAGGCCAGGAAGGTTAGTGAGGCAGCAGCGGGTGGGCAAAGAGACCCATACCCAGTGAAGACAACTGGGGTGAGGCCACCTCAGGGTAAGGCCCTCTGAAGAGGAGAGGGGTTTTCCCGTGAGCCCATAACATCGAGTCACCTGCTGCCTCCTGATTCAGTCAACATTGCTGAGTGTCTGCAGCTGAGCCCACTCTCTGTGCTGGCACTGGAATCCTAGGTGACAAAATGCCCAGGCCCTGTTCTGAGGAAGCAGATGCCCCTGAGGAAGTGGACAACAGTCCAGCAACCCCATGTGGCAGTGGAAGCACAAGTGAGGGCATGGCTATGCCCAGGAATTCTCTGAACCACAAGAGGGTCAAACTCAGGGCCTGAGCCAGTCTTGGGGGTCAGCAAGAGCATCCCAGAGGGAGTGACATAGAAGCTCTCCACTCCAGGCTAGCTGGGAGTTGTAGACCAGGTGGAGTACATTCCAGGCAGAGGAAACTGCAGATACAAAATCCTGGGAGCAGGAGAGAGTGCAGAGAGTTTAAGGAAGAAAGAAGTCACATGAAGCGAGATGGGGCTGGAGGAGAAGGAACCTGTACAAGGACAGACTGAGGAGGGTTGAAGAGTGGGGGTGGGTGGGGCCCAGGCTGTCGGGAGATGTATTAGCTCATTCTCACACTGCTAATAAAGACATATCCAAGACTGGGTAAAAGAAAAAGGTTTAATCGTCTCACAGTTCCACATGGCTGGAGAGGCCTCTCAATCATGGTGGAAGGTGAATGAGGAGCAAAGTCACATCCTACATGGTGGCAGGCAAAAGAGAGCATGTGCAGGGGAACTTCTCTTTATAAAATCATCAGATCTCATGAGACTTATTCAGCATCACGAGAACAGTATGGGAAAGACCTGCCCCCATGATACAATTACTTCCCACCAGGCCCCTCCCACGACACGTGGGAATTATGGGAGCTATCATTCAAGATGACATTTGGATGGAGACACAGCCAAACCATATCAGGAGATTAGATGGGCCCTTTCAGCACAGTCTGTCCTAGACAAAGAGACTTAAGGAAGACTCAGGGCCCCCCTTGGGTGTGGACATTCACTTGGGAGCAGAGTCCGGAAGCCAGCATGATGGGGGGGGGAGGATGCTCTAGATTGACGGTGTTTACCCAAAGTGCATGTGCTGAAATCCTAAACCTCAAGGTGATGCTATTAGGAGGCTGGGTTGTGCAGGGGTGATTAGGTCCCTTATAAAAGACCCTGGAGAGATCCCTCACCCCTTCTGCCATAGGAGGACACAGCAAGAAGGCGCCATCTATGAAAGAGTAAGAGGCCCTCACCAGAAACCAAATCTGTTTCAGCTACTTGATCCTGGACTTCCCAGCCTCCAGAACTGTAAGAAATAAACTTATGTTGTCCACGTGCCACGTGGTGTATGGCATTCTGCAATAGCGGCCCGAGCCAACTAAGAAAGTGGGGAGCCATGGTGAGTGAGGTGCCCAGGAGCCAGGAGTGTCTGCCCCAGGGGCTGCAGGTTCAGGCACTGCTCCACGGGGAGGCCTCCACTCCTTGCCAGTTTTGGCAGATCCAGGCTTGGGGCTACAGAGCAGCCTGCCAGACTGCCCCAGACCAGGCAGGAGCACACCTGCCACATGAGAACTGAGCAAGGATGATGCAGTTGCAGCCCACATCCAAAGCCCTCCTTCCAACACACCAAGCTGCACCCCACAGCCATTTTGTGGTTCAAGGTACAACTCACATTTTCAGGAACAGAGGGCAAGGCCTGGGGATCTACTGCCTTACTATAGAGAGAAATCTGCTTCCAATGCCTCACCTGTAGCCCAAAGCCCTCCTACCAGGACACCCCAAAAGTTGTGTCATAGCTGTGCTGCAGGCCTCAGTGACTCGGCTCAGGATGAACACAGGAGGGCTGGAACAGACCATCCCTGCTCCTCCCTCCTTCCCCCACTCCCCGCCCCATGAGTAGCCCTGGCCTTCTGCCAAGAGTCTGGCAGGGCCCAGGAAGGGAGGGTGCCCTTCTTTTGTTCTGCTAAAGTCCTGGGGTTTCTCCCCCATGGTGTCTGACTGCCCAACCTCCACGCGAGCATTTGGAGGCAGGGGGCACTTTGACCCACTTTGCTCATCCCAGCCTCCTACAAATGGCCTCCTGGTCATCAAGTGTGGAGGAAATCACACTTGGAGCCCAACTGGGAGCCCCAAATTCGGCTCCAGCTTGCTCTTGACATGGGGCAGGGAAAAGCAAGGTGGTATGAGGTGCCCAGGCAGGGAGACGGGGAGCCTCAGGTCTTTCTCTCGGCCGGCCTCCAAGGACCGTCAGACTTCTGAGTCTGGTTTCTCATCTCTAACTTGAGATGCCTGAACTAGACAGACCCCTATCCTAACACTCTGAATGAAACAATGTGTGATCCCAAGTCCAAAACCTTCAAGGTTGGGATCCTTAAATGACACTGAGCAAACCCACTGAGGAGTTTTTCCAGGTGCTGGGGTTACCCCGAGGGTTCGCCTGGCATCTCCCTCTACCAGGACGTGCAGAATGACTGGATGTTTGAGTGGGAAGGGCATGAGAGTGCATGTCATAGGGAAGGAAGCTGTGGCCCAGGGTCCCCAGGCTGCCTGGCTCCCCACTAAAGGCTCCCTCTGCCTTAGCAATTGGCCTTCTGCCGCCTGTAGGCTTAGCACCATCTCAGCGACAGCGATAACACCTGGAGTGAACAGGCCTCCTGCAAACTTTATGTTGCCCTGGAGATAACAGACCGTTCAGACAGACTCAAACACTTCCAGCCAAGGCAGAGGAGTAGGTCCCCAGCAACAGCAGGACTCATTTGCTTTTAGAGATAATGTTGCTGAGGCTGATTGAACTGTGCTCCAGTCTTTTGTCCAAACACGTGTATTTCTCATCTCTTAACTATGCCTGCATGTTTGGAGATAACACCTACGCAGGAGCCTTGGCAACTAGATCAGCCAGCAACCTGTGGGAGAAAAGTGGACTGCCACTAAGTGTCACCAGACAGAATGCCATCCCTTCAGAACACAGCTGTCTGCTCCAAACCCTGTGCCTCTCACACCAGCTCGTGGGGGAGCAGGTGAAGCAGCACAGCCTTGCAGGAAAGCAATTTTGCAAAAGGTGTCAGAGGCTTAGAAGCTTGCATCTCTTGCTTCCCCTTCGTTTTGTTTTGGGTAGCTCTCCTACAGGAATGACTCAAACCAGCCTCCACTGACAGAACACCAAGAACTCAGGGGACCCTACAAAGCTTCCTGGACAGGCTTTTCACCTATTCATAAGGAATTTTAAATTTAAGGAATATAAAAAGTACAAACAAAAATGTTACTACAATCCCATGATCACTGGGGTATTTCCTTCCAGGGGTGTTGCTTCTGTGAATGTATAAGTGCATTTCCAAATAATGAGGTGCTTACTCTGCGGCTTAGCACCTGATTTTAAAATATTTAATAGATAGCAAGCTTTTCTCAGTGCTGTTAAAAAGTAGCCTGTCATGTCAAGCCTTCTCTGATTGCTGGACATTCTATTGTTTCTTATCTTTCACTACATGATACAGCACACAGAAAGGCATTTTGTACAGAAATCTTACAATCAAGTATAGACTCCCCTGTCAGCTCTGAGCTTCTCCACATGCCTTTCCTTCTGAGTAGTGCTGCTTCCAGTTGCCATGGGCCGGGCCCATAGTAGGTGGTGTTGGATAATGCTTCCCAAATGACCCTGCTTCACTGATAAACATAGTGGCTTCCCTCTCATTGTGAAGTGAGTAAATGCATGTATCTGGCACAGCGTAAGCACTGAAGAAAATTCCAGCTGTTTTTTTTTTCTTTTTTTGAGACAGAGTCTCTGTCCCCCAGGCTGGAGTGCCGTGACGCAATCTTGGCTGACTGCGGAGGGTTCAAGCAATCCTGGTGCCTCAGCCTCCCGAGTGCTGGGACTCGAGGCACATGCCACCACGCCTGGCTAATTTTTGTATTTTTAGCAGAGACGGGGTTTCACCATGTTGGCCAGGCTGATCTCAAACTCCTGACCTCAAGTGATCCATCTACCTTGGCCTCCCAAAGTGCTGGGATTACAGACGTGAGCCACCATGCCCAGCCGAAAATGCCAGCTTTAATAAAGATGAAGCTAAGGATAAGGACCATCCCCACGCTCAGAGCAGAGCAGGGAAGACAAAGAAAAACAGATGGTTCTAGGTACTGGTCCTCCCGGAGGAGGGTACAGCAGCCTGCTTCTTACCTGAACTGTGTTTCTTAAATATTTCTAAAAATACTGCCAGGTGTCTGCTTACCCCTGTCTGCAGAAGGAAGTTTGCATATTTGCACAGGAATATAAGCATTTGTTAATTGGTTTCTGTGTTGATATATACAAATGTTATAGATCCCTGGGTCAATAGTTCTGCCTGGGGAAAGGTGGAGGAAGTACAATCAGGTGATAAAGTACTGTGCCCAAGATGCAGAACTTGCTTCCACCGGTGCCCAGAGAATTGGCAGGGGACCATGGTCTGCCTGACTGCCCCTTTCCTTCTCACTCTCCCTCCCTTCCTCCCTCCCTCTTTCTCTCTCTCTCCCTCTCTTTCTCTCTTTTTATTGAGCTTAATTTGCAATATACTGTCCTGCTTTCTTTTCTTTTTTTTTTTTTTTGAGATGGAATCTCGCTCTGTCGCCTAAGCTGGAGTGCAGTGGCATGATCTCGGCTCACTGCAACCTCCTCCCTCCAAATTCAAGCATTTCTCTGCCTCAGCTTCCCGAGTAGCTGGGATTACAGACGCCCACCACCACGCCTGGCTAATTTTTTGTATTTGTAGTAGAGATGGTGTTTCACCATGTTGGCCAGGCAGGTCTTGAACTCCTGACCTCATGATCCACCCTCCTCGGCCTCCCAAAGTGCTGGGATTACAGGTGTGAGCCACCATGCCCGGCCTGTCCTGCTTTCTTACATAGAGGCAGACAAGCCCCATTCCCCTAGGCCCTAAAGTCTAGTTTCCATGCTTTGTATGGAGAGCTATTTTTTTCATGCTGTTGCTGGAGCCCTCTGGAGTCTTGATTGGCTGCATCGTGGGGAAGGTGGGCTCGCTGGCCTAGCACCTCCCTGGTCCCCTGTTGGAGGCTAGCTCACCTTCAAGCTCCAATATCTGTTCTTCACGGTGGAAACCAATTTACTGTGCTCTCAGGGGGCATTATTCTGGGCCAGGCACTGTGCCAGCTGCCCAGGAGATAACAACCTACACCCTTTGTTTGCCGGGGTTACAGCCAGGTGAAAAGATGGAGACTCTCTTGCATCCTTCCAGCTCTAAGATTCCCTAAGTGCCCAACAGGAACAAGGCAAAGTGCAAAAGCCAGGGATGCAGACACGAAACAAGGGAGGCAGGAAAAGTTTTCAGAGAAGGTAAACTTGGAATTGGAAAGCATGAGATTCGGAAGGCATTGAGCTGGGCACAGTGTGGCATATGTGAGGACCCAAAAATAAGGAGTCTGTGGATTCAAGCATGGGGTGGGAGTGAGGGGGTGCTGGAACAAGCAGGAGAGGAAGGCCAGCCAGGGGGAAGCTGTGAATGGCCAGGGGCCATGTGAAAGCACGGGGACCCCATCCTGCAGAGGGCAGGAACCGCTGAGTGGGAGAGTCAAGGTCAGATGTGAGACGTTGTCCAGAGAAAGGATCGCTGGACAAAAGGCCTGGTGGCAGAGATGTCATTGAGGGAGGTTCTTGACATAGTCCAAGCTAAAGGAACAAGTCTGAATCAGATGCCCCTAACTAGGCAATTCAGTGGTTCACAATAGGAATAACTGTGATGGAAAATCCAGCTGGAATCTGAGAAGGACCATATTTTGCTTTGGACTTGCACTTGAGGTATGTGTGGAACACGCCGTGGAGGCGTCCAGCCTGCAGGTAGACGGAGACTGGAGAAGGTGTGAGTCTGGGAACGGGGCACAGTTGCAATTGCTTATGGAGGGTGTTGGGGGCAGGACACAAAAGCTACAGCAGAACCAGGAAAGCCTGGCATATGAGGGACAGAGGACCTAGCTGGAGTCAGGCCATGGGAGCTAAGGGAAGAGGAGATTTCAGGGAGGTGATGTCAAGAATGAAGCTGCAAAGATCAAGTATTGCAAGGACCCAAATCGCATGGCAAGACCATGCCACTTGTGCTTTTTTTTTTTTTTTTTTTTGAGACAGAGTTTTGCTCTTAGTGCCCAGGCTGGAGTGCAATGGTGCGATCTCGGCTCACTGCAACCTCCGCCTCCTGGGTTCAAGTGATTCTCCTGCCTCAGCCTCTCAAGTAGCTGGGATTACAGTTGTCCACCATCACATTCAGCTAATTTTTTATCTTTAGTAGAGATGGGCTTTTATGCAGAGCAGCTTCAGCAGTCACAGAAGTGAAAATGCCTGTCAGCTGAGAAGCAAAGAGAAAGTGAGAGTGTGGTGGCCAGGAGTGTAGAACACTCTTGTGGGGCTTGGCTCTGAGGGGAAGAAGGTCCAGAACAGGGGCTGGCAAAGTCGTGGGGAGTATTTTTCCTAATGGGGGCCTTCGCTGCAGTTTGTAGCTGCAGTGGCAGAGCCTGTAGAGGAAGAGAGGATGAAGATGACCTTGAGGATGCCATCCTGGAAGGCTGGGGAACCGTGATGTCATTACTTATGGGATAAACTCTCCCCAGAGGAGGAATCCTCACGTGCTTTGCATTTGTTCCTTCCCCCAGGCTCAGTCACTTTGACACTCCCCAGTCCTGAGTGTGGGGCCAGTTCAGGCAAGGCAGGAGGGAGGAGGAGGCCCAGAGCCCCATGGAAAATTTTCCTAGGGAGGCCCAAGCCTGACACTGGGAGACAGGTCAGCAACACAGGACACAGGGCTGCACCCAGGCCAGCACGGGGCCCAGAGTGGCAGGCTGGCAACCTGTGTCCCCCTCAACTCATCTCACATTTTTTCTCAACAGTTTGGACATTTATGGCTTTTTATCTAGTACCATATGCCCGTCGATGGGAGCAATGAGGCTGCTGGTCTGGCTTTTAATAGCACAGCTCAGATGTGGACATGGCTAATACTAACTTAGATGAGGAAATTAACTGGAAGAGCCATGGAATCAAGCTTGGCCTGTGTAGGACAGTCCTCTTAAAATGAGATTATGATTTTAACAAAAATCACGCAGCACCTGCCATGTACTGGATATTCTACTCGGTCCTGATGCTGGCTTTGCTGGCAGATCTCTACTTCATTCCATGGAGAGGTTGGAGGGCCTTAAAATTACTCTATTTCCCACAAAGATAAATCATAGACTCAAAAAATAACAGATGCTGGTAAGGTTGTAGAGAAAAAGGAATGCTTATACACTGTTGATGGGAGTGTAAATTAATTCAATCATTGTGGAAAACAGTGAGGTAATTCCCCCAAAGACCTAAAAACGGAACTACCATTCAACCCAGAAATCCCACTACTGGGTATATACGCAAAGGAATATAAATCGTTCTACCATAAAGACACATGCATGCACATGTTCATTGCATCACTATTCACAATAGCAAAGACATGGAATCAACCTAAATGCCCATCAATGGTAGATTGGATAAAGAAGATGTGGTACATATACACTATGGAATACTATGCAGCCATAAAAAAGAATGAGATCATGTCCTTTACAGGAACATGATCTCGTTCTTTTTTATGGCTGCATAGTATTCCATAGTGTAGGCTAGAGCTGGAGGCCATTATCCTTAGCAAATTAGCACAGGAACAGAAAACAAAATACCACATGTTCTCACTTATAAGTGGGAGCTAAATGATGAGAGCCCATGGGCAGAAAGAGGGGAATGACAGACACTGGGGCCTACTTGAGTATGGAGAGTAGGATGAGGGAGAGGATCAGAAAAATAACTGTTGGGTACTAGGCTCAGTACCTGAGTGATTAAATAATCTGTGCAACAAATCCCCATGACACAAGTTTACCTATGTAACAAACCTGCACATGTACCCTGAAACCTAAAATAAAAGATTTTAAAAAATAAATAAAAATGTTTAAATAAAATAAAAAATAAATTTTAAAACTTAAATTAACTTTTAAAAAAACCATGGACTCTTAGAAGAGCACAAATTCTTGAAAATATTCTGGTTCAAACCCTTCATTTGACTACTATGGAATCTGAGACTCAAAGAGAGTTAGCGACTTCCAGACCTCTCTGTGTAGGTGGCAGATCCATTGAACTATCAGAAGAGAGCTGCCATCATCTGACAAGGCTTCTGTGGGGCCCAGGCACCTCTTTCGGACAAGTGTGGGGCTTGGACCAGAGCCCCCATAGCTTCTGGGTGGTGGGGGGCAGGCATGGGTAATGCATTGTAGGGGATGATCTGGGCGGCGAGAGGAGGACTAGAAGTAGGTGGTAGGCACAGCAAACAGAGGCAACTTTCAACATCCCTTAAGGTGCCTGCCTTCCTCAGAACTCCGCCTCCCTTTAGCAAGCTGAAGAGAGTGAGAGCAGCCTCCCTTTAGCAAGCTGAAGCAAAAGGCTTTGGAAATGATCTTGGGGCCGCAAACTCCTTGAGCAAACAAGGGAAAAGTACTTAGCAGCCCATACACTTCCTGCTAGATCAGAGTTCATCAGGGAAAATCCACAGAGATAATCTCAGGAACAAGTGTTCTGACCCTTCCAGGGCAGCGCACTGGGACCTAGCCGGGCTGATGTCAGACTCCAGGAGAGCGACCCCGGACCTTGGGCTTATATGATCAAGGAAGCACAGCCCCTGGCCTGGTGGGATCAGAGCTTGATCTGATCGTAGTGGGGTATGGCAGAACTCTGGCCATCAGCCCTTCTCTTCCAGCTCAAGGGGGAGGCAGGTGGGGTTGCAGGGAGCAGCAGCCCCACTCCAGCATGATCAGGAGCTGGGGTTCCAGTCTATGACACAGCAGCATCCTACCAGTGTTGATCATCTTCAGATTCAGCCAAAACCAGCTTCCTTGGAGCTCTGCAGGAGACGAACTTTGTGAGGCCAGCCTGCCGAGAATAGGGAAACCAGGAATCGGCTGAAGTTTGGCAGTGGCTTACAAAACTAAACACACCATTGCCATACAATCCAGCAAAAGTACTCCTTGATATTTACCCAAAGGAGTTGAAAGCTTATGTTCACATAAAAACCTGCACATGGATGTTTACAGCAGTAGCTTTATTCATCATTGCCAAAACTTGGAAGCAACCAAGATGTCCTCGAGTAGGTGAGTGGATAAATAAATTTTGGCACATCCAGACAATGGAATATCACTCAGCTCTAAAAAGAAATGAGCTGTCAAGCCATGAAAAGAAATGGAGGAACTTTAAATGCTTATTATTAAGTGAAAAAAGCCAATATGAAAGACAACATACAGTATTATTCCAACTACATGGCTTTCCGGAAAAGGCAAAACTACGGGGATGGTAAAAAGATCGGTGGTTGCCAGGGTTTAACAGGAAAGGAGGTGATAAATAGGTAAGACACAGAGGATTTTTAGGGCCATGAAACTATTCTGTGTGATACTATAATGGTGGTTACGTGTCATGATGCATTTGTCCAAATCCATAGAATGTACAACACCAAGAGCAAACCCCGAACCATGGAGTCTGGCATCAACTGTAACAAACACACCACTCTAGTGGACAGTGTAGCTAACGGGGAGGCTGTGCATGTTTGGGGCCCAGGAAGGATACGGGAAGTCCTTCTTGGCCTTCCAGAAACTGGACTCCTGGCCCATCTTTTCATCTCTTTGGAGAAACAAACAACAAACAATAATCTCGTCATAATTAAAATTCACTGTGATATAAAGCTACTCTAAAAATAGTACAATTAAAATTAAAATTTATTTCATTTCTTGAGCTGACATTTCAGACAGCCCAGTGGCCTCCCACTAAACTCGAAGGTAATGAGTCTCTGCTCAGTCTCACCTCCTGGGCTTCTGTTCCAGTGTGAGTCTGAGCTCCATTCAACTCTTCCTGGGCCTTTTCAGCTCTAGGTGTAAAGGTTCAATGTGAACTCGTAGAAAGAAGACAGGCTTTTCAGTCAACAGATCTGAATTCTTATAAGGACTGTCTCATAGTCCTTGGTCTCAGTTTCCATATTTGTACAGTGAGGATCATGGTACAGCGTTAGGGCTGGACAGAAAGCCCTCAGACTGGCTTAGGACAGATGGAGTGGTCATTTGGGTTCTTTCTACTCCATTTCACTGTGACTATAAAGCTGCTCTAAAAAATAGTGAGAGTAAAACGAAAAGATTGATGTTGATTTTCATACTTTAACCCAATATATCTAAAATATTGCTATTTCAACATATAATCAATATACAAAATTATTAATGAGACACTTCACATTCTTTGTAGGGGCTGTCTTTGAAATTCAATGTGTAATTTACACTTGGCACATCTCAATTTGTGCCAGTTCTATTTCACGTGCTCAGAAGTCACATGTGGCCCATGGCCACCACACTGGACAGCTATGGTTTCATTGTCCAACCCCACCTTGGAACCCAAATCCTTGGAACCCATGATCCTCACTGTACAAACATGGAAACTGAGACCAAGGACTATGAGACAGTGCGTGTAAGAATTCAGATCTGTTGACTGAAAAGCCTGTCTTCTTTCTACGAGTTCACACTGAACCTTTACACCTAGAGCTGAAAAGGCCCGGGAAGAGTTGAATGGAGCTCAGACTCATGCTGGAACAGAAGCCCGGGAGGTGAGACTGAGCAGAGACTCATCACCTTCAAGTTTAGTGGGAGGCCCCTGGCTGTCTGAAATGTCAGCTCAAGAAATGAAATAAATTTTAATTTTAATTGTACTATTTTTAGAGTAGCTTTATATCACAGTGAATTTTAATTATGACGAGATTATTGTTTGTTGTTTGTTTCTCCAAAGAGATGAAAAGATGGGCCAGGAGTCCAGTTTCTGGAAGGCCAAGAATCGAAGTAGCAAGCTGCAGCCGTTTTCCAGACAAGCAGGATGTGGGGATGCAGAAGAATTCAGGACTGGAGGGGCAAACTCCGTAAGCAGGGGCTGTCACGATTCCCATCTCCCTCTATAAACCTCTCTCTTTTCATGTCATACTGTTCCATGTTATATGTAACTGTTTTAAAGCTACATACTGGACAAAAAGTGGAATAGACTCCAGCCTCTGAATTGTTAAATAAGCTGATGACAAACCTTCACATTTTCTCCATCAGGATGTGACTGAGGCCCCACTGCCAAATGGCAGCATGCTCAGATAGCACCCAGGAATTTGGGGAAAAAAACTGGTGCTCACAGCTGCCCAGTTAAGGCACAAGTCTCCCGCCTGCTGCAGGTATGTGGGTGGGACAAGTGGGTCAGTCCACAGAACAAAAGGTATGTAAAGGAGGCCTTCTTTTTGGGAAATCCTTTGTAGATCCACCACCCACACCTTAGTCACAAGCCCAGAAGGGGCTGAAAATGACATTTCCAAGGGGCACAGGCTGCCAGCCATCACAAAGCACACTATCTGGTGGGGGAGATATGGCTATCGCAGAGTTTTCACCCACGAGCTGGAGTTCTTTGTTCTGAATGCATGCCCTGCTTTCAGTATGGTTTCCTTGGCAGTCAAAAAGATGCTAATCAAATGCCCCATTGATAGCTTTATGAATGAAAGGATGTGTATTTTAAGAGAGCTTTTTGCCGGCACCCAATTACACTGATAAACTTTTCGCAGTCTGACAGGAATTAGTTTCAAATAAGTGGTGACATTTAAACAACAACAAACCTCAAGGCCATGATTAAGCAGCCACACTCTCAAGCACCCTCCTGCTCCACCGATCATTGTCAAGTCCCCTTGCAGATGCCTGTTTGGCTGCCCAGGCCGGGAGTGCTGGCTACTGCCGGCTAAGCAGACATCTTGCTCTGCTCCTCGGACCCTTTCCCAATATCTCCTCTGGACCTGGGAGCCCCATTCCGGTCTGTCTGTATTTGCAGGGGTTGTGAGGTGTATCAGAACCTTGAAGAGATACTCTGGGAAGAAAGGCCTTCCCAGACTGCCTCTCCGCAGCGCTGTAAGAATCAGATTTCTTCTATGGGGGACTTCCAGGTCTCTTCAGCATTTTCTCAGTCATCACTGTATCCCTGCCACTCAGTGAACCACAGCAACAACTCCCAGCTTCCAGCCGAGAAGCTTGACCCTGAAGCTGGCCTCGATTCTCTACAGAAGTGAGGCCACAGAGCACAGGTGAAGGGCCACTTACCTGGTATCATCTCTGGTCTCAGCTCTGGAGAACTAGCTCCTCTGCCACTGCCACATCCTGTCCACCAAGACCTCCTTGCTGAACCCCACCCCCACCCGGTGCCTCAGGACCCTAACTTGTTTGCTGACCTCCATGTCCTCTCACCAGATCCAGCCCTGGGGAGCTGAACTTCCTCTGGCCCACTGCCAGCTCTGGATCAGTCCACACCCCAGCCAGCCACAGCCCAGCCCTGCCTCTCTCTGTCTCTCTCTCATGGCTGGGTTGGCCTTGGCCAATGCTCTCTCTAGAGATCAAGACACAGGCACCTCTCTTGGTCTGTTCTGGCTGCTGTGACAAAATGCCTTAAGCTGGGTGGCTTATAAACCACAGAAATTTATTTCTCACTGTTCTGGAGGCTGGGAAGTCCTACAGACTGGGGTACTGGCCTGCTTGTTTCCTCGTGAGGGCTCTCTTCCTGGGTTGCAGATGGACATCTCCCTGATGTATCTTCACATGGCAGAGAGAGAGAGAGAGAGAGACAGAAAGACAGAGAAAGAGAGAGAGAGAGAGAGAGAGCATGCTCTTTGGTCTCTTCTGGTAAGGGCCTAATCCCGTCATGAAGAATCCCCATAACTTCAACTAAATCTAATCACTTCTCAAAGGCTCCATCTCCACATACCATCCCATTGTGGGTTAGGGTTTCAACATAGGAATTCTGGAGGCACACAAACGTGCAGTTCAAAACATGTGGAGACAAGGGGGCAAGGACTAGAGAGCCCTACCATCCTCGTTCAAACCCTTGAATCAAGCCTGAAGTCAAAGAACTTCCTTTGGAGAGCCCCATTCCATGAGCCGATAATTTCCCCATTTTGCCATCACCCACTTGAGTTTGGGATTTTCCCCCAGTTACTGAGTGCCTGACTGACATGATGCCCCCCACAGATGGGCCTCCCTGCCCCCAATCTCACCTCCTCTGTTAGTTTCCTGGGGTTGCCACAACAAAGCGTTACAGGCAGAGCGGCTAAAACGACAGAAACTTATGGTCTCACAGTTCTGGAGGCTGCAAGTTCAAGGTCAAGGTGTCAGCAGGGTTGGTTCCTTCGGAAGGCTGTGCAGGAGCCTGTTGGGTGCCTGTCCCTCAGCTTCTAGTGGATTACTTCCATCTTCAGCATGCCTTGGCTTGTAGAAGGACTACCCTGAACTCTGCCTTCATGGTCACAACACATCCTCCCTGTGTGTGTTTCTGTGTCCAAATTTCCCCTTCTTATAAGGACACCAGTCTTATACGGACAATGCTCAATGTATGAACCTTTGCCAAGGGATTGGATTAGGGACCCACTATATTCCAGTATGACCTCATCTTAACTAATTATACCTGCAATGACACTGCTTCCAAAGAAGGCCACATGATGAGGTACCGTTGGTTAGGAATTCAATATATGAGTTTGGGGGGACACAGTTCAGCCCACACCACCTCCTCTGACCCTGAATTGGATGCTGTTTCTGCTCTGCTTATGATCCTCTTGTCCTCACTGGCCTCTTGGTCCAGCA
The DNA here is from genome assembly GCF_000001405.40 of Homo sapiens. Lineage (NCBI taxonomy): Eukaryota > Metazoa > Chordata > Mammalia > Primates > Hominidae > Homo > Homo sapiens. The sequence continues at coordinate 46,452,909 of NC_000010.11, forward strand.
CCCACTGAGGCACCAGCTCTGAGAGAGCTCACTGGCTTCACACAGGTGCGACCTGATGGCGCCTCACCTCATACCCCAAACATCCTTCTCATCTCTGCAGGACCTGCTCTGTTTATGTCCAGGTATGTTCAGTGTTCCTGTGTGTCCCCAGAGTGTGGGGAGGTAATGCTCCATGTACGAACCTTTGCCAAGGGAATATGGAAACCGATGGATGAGTTCTTACCTCTTTTTTCGTCCAGACAAACTGTCCTAAGATGGTTTTAAGAGATACCGAGTAATCAGCTGCCAGCTCAGTAGCGCATCTTCAGATTGACTCTCCCTCCTTCCCTGTCTCCTTCCCCATATTCTTCATCTTGTTCCCTGGGATCTTTCTCCCTAATAAAGGAAAAGCTCATAGACCTCTGCCCCAGCTTCTGCTTTCTGGGGAATGCAGGCCAATCCAGCCACACTACTCTCCCTCCATGTAACCTGACCATGCCATCCCCCTGCTTAAAAGCTTTCAGTGCTTCTCCATTGCCCATAAAGCTCATACTTTCTAGCTATGAGCTTCAAGGCCACTTGGAGGTCATCTGGCCAACTGTCCTTCCTGCTACAACAGTCTAAGTCATAGGCTTTGGAAGATAACTGATTGGGTTTCATCTTTGGCTCTTATTGAAAATGTGGAAAAAATTATTTCACCTCTATAAGCTTCAGTTTCTTCATCTATCTGATCTCAGGATTGAGGGAAGGCAATGTATATAAAGCATCTGGCACAGTGGTTGGGGCACTAAATACATGGCAGCCAGTGTTTATTATTACAAACCAGGAAACCAGGATGCAAAGGGAGCTGCTTCAGCTCCCTTTCAGTCAGCAGACAACGGCTGTCAAACTTGGGACCAAACAGCTACAAAACCAGATGCCCGCTCTCCACAAATAAGAGGCTGAAGTGCAGCTCTCCACTGATGAACTATAACAGTTGGAAATTCACTTGTACTATGGATATTTCTTCTGCACCTCTCGTGAACAGCCTGTTCTTGCTGAGGGCTGGACAGTAAATAAAACATCTACAGTGCCTACTTCCATGGGGTTCATGTTCTAATGAGGGAGTGGAGACCCTCAACAAAGAACCAGCCAATGTGCTAAGTCCTGTGGCAGAAACTGGGCAGAAAAGGGAAGAGAGAGGGAGGATGGTTATATTTTTACAGGATGGTTAAAAAATTAGTCTTCTGTTTTTTGAGACAGGCTTTCACTCTGTTGCCCAGGCTGGTGTGCAACGGTGTGATCATGGCTCACTGCAGCCTTGACCTTCTGTGCTTAGTCAATCCTCCCACCTCAGCCTCCCAAGTAGCTCAGAATACAGGCTTGTGCCACCATGCCCAGCTGATTTTTGTAATTTTTGTAGAGAGAGATGGGGTTTCACTATGTTGTCTAGACTGGTCTCAAATTCCTGGGCTCAAGTGATCTGCCTGCTTTGGCCTCCCGAAGTGCTGGGATTACAGGCACAAACCACCATGCCCAGCCAGGAAATTAATCTTCTAATAAAGGTTCACTTAAGGTGAAGGGAGCAAGGGAGAAAGTTGATATCAAGGGGTGGCATTCCAAGCAGCAAGAGTAGGAAGTAGAAAGGCCTGAGGCGGGAAAGGTCTTAGCCTGTTCAAAAGATAGCAGAGAAGCAAGCACTGCTGAAGAGGAGTGGGTGAGGGGAAGGGTAGTGGGAAGTGAGGCCAGAGAGGGGTGGATGATCTGCAGACACAGGTGGAGACTGTGACTGTGAAATTTGCCCTGAATATGATGGAAAGCCACTGGAGGGTTGAACAAAGTTGTAGAGGCACCTGACTAGTTTCAGTGGATCACTCTGGCTGAATGAGGCCAGAAAGGAGGCCTCTGCCATGATCTCAGTAGGGAGGACAGTGGCTTGAACCTGAAGGCAGAGCCTGGAGGCAGTGAGAAGTGGTCATTCTGAGAACATTTTGAAGGCACAGCTTACAGAACTCACCGATAGATTGGATGAGGGTTGTGAATAGGAGGTGATCCCAAAGACTGTGGCCCAAGCAAATGAAAAGCAGGACTTGCCCTTTTCTGAAAAGGAGGACACTGAGGAAGGAGGTAGCAGGGACAAATCTGGAGTTTGCTTTTAAATGTGCCAAGCTTGAGATGCTGACTGGTGTCTAGGAAACACAAAGCATGCCTGGACACCCAAATCTGGAGGTCAGGGAGAAGTTCAGACTGGAGATACACTGGGGAACATTAGAGTATTTGTGGCATTTAGCACCAGAAAACTGGGTGAGCTCACCAGGGGAATGAGAGGACCTCCAGGGCTCCTTGGGGATGCTCCAGTGTCCCAAAATCAGGGCAACAAGAGTCCAAGAAAAGAGATGGGGAAGAAGAGCCCAATGAGGCAGGGAGAACCATGACCATTATGCCCTGAAAAAGCCACATGCAGGAGTCTCAAGGAGAAGGGAGTGACCAACTGCCCAATACAGCTGACGACCATATCAGACAAGACTGAGAACTGGCCACAGGATTTGGCAACATGGCAAGAGCTATATGAATGGACTGGTGAGCACATAAGAGGAGAGGAAGTGGAAGCTTCAGGATTAGACAGGGGGCCAGGCACAGTATCCCATGCCAATCCCAGCACTTTGGGAGGCCGAGACAGAAGGATCACTTGAGGCCAGGAGTTCAAGACCAGCCTGGGCAACAGAGAGAGACCTCATCTCTACAAAAAAGGAAAAAAAAAAGGAAAATCAGCCTGGACAACATAGGGAGACCCAGTCTCTATCAAAAAAAGAAAAAAAAAGATTTAATTTTTTAATTAGCTGGACATGGTGGTATGCACCTGTGGTGCTAGCTATTCAAGAGGCTGAGGTGAGATGATCACTTGAGCCCAGGAGTTCGAGTTGCAGTGAGCTATGTTCATGCCACTGCATTCCAGCCTGGGTGACAGAGCAAGACCCTGTCTCTAAAAGAACAAAAAAAAAAAAGAGAGAGAGAGAAAGAGGCTAGACAAGTCTCTGGAGGAGTTTTGTGCAAAAAGGAGCAGAGAACACTGATGGTGTGAGAGTGATGTTCTTCAGGAGATGACAGTGAATGGGATCTGGGGACAATGGAGGTCTTTGGGGCTGTTAGCTTGTTTGTTCTTCTCTGGCCATTCCAGCACTCAGGGTCACCTTCCCCTCCAGGCCCCTCCACTCCAGTGACTCCTTTGGTGACTTATCCACTCATGCATTCTGAGTCTTTCCTGTATCACCTCCTGACCCCTCCAGTGGCTCAGTCACTATCTAGCTGTGTGACCTTGGATGAGTCACTTAACCTCACAAGAAGCAGCAATCAGTGAGTCCGGTGACTTCAGTTTCTTCCAGTATCAGGGTGGACAGAGAGTCACAGTGGTAGGACCTGGGGGTGTTTCTCTAAGGTATGTGGAAATTTAGGCTCCCCTTTGATCTCAGATTCATGGAGAACCCAGAACTGGTTATTAGAAAACTCTTGCGGAGTGAATAGGTAAGCTTCTTTCATATTAATTCTTCACTTGGCAAATGCTTAAGTGCCTGCTCTATCCAAGGGTGTGTCAGAGGTTTTGCAAGGGTGGAGGATGAGCCTCTTGGATTTTACCCTCAAAGAGCTCATAACCTTGTGGGGTGGTGGGTGTGTCTATTCAAAACCATAACAGGGCAGACTCTCTGGCACATCATTTTGTGTTCATCTTTAGGACCAGTTGTCACAGTTGCACACACAAATTAAAGTTCCACAGGAGGTGGGATGTTTTCGGTCTTGTACTCTATGTGCCTGACACATCGTAAGCAGTCAGTACATGTTTGTTGAATGAAAGCAGTATTGAATGGTACCATTTAATTTGTGTTTTGAAGCAAGGGTGGGATTTGGACCTACACAGATGGGCGAGGGGGCGCATTGCAGACTGGCGGGGGTTGGGGTGGCTGGAGGCAGGAGGAGGGAATGGCGGGAGCAGATGTACAGAGACAGTGACACCCAAGGCATGGTTGGTAATTGCAGGCCGACTGTGACTGGATCGTGTGATATGTCAGGATGCAAAGAGACTGAAAAAGTAAGTTGGGGCCAGATGGTGGAGAGGGTTGAATTCAAGCTATGTTAAAGGGATCAGATTTATCTATAGTAGGATGATCTCATGTTCCCATTTCCCAGGGTAGTTTTGCCTGTTGTCCCAGGGTGATTATTCATGGTGGCCCCTTTCATGCTCAAGTATCCCTGTTTGGATAAGTTATGTGGTCCTGCAACCCTAAAGGCTTTGTGGAACCCCCAAAGGTTTCACAGAGGGACAGGGTCAGGCTAGCCTTGAATGGTCAGTGCCCACAGTGTTTGCTGGACCTGGAGGCAGGAGCTGGGACACCCTCCAGTCTGGGCGATACAGGTCAAAGTCTTTTGGTTAATGGTAAATCACCAACAGTGGCCAGGGTACGGTGAAATGGGCACTCTTCAGGGAGTGCCCTGAAATTGTTCCAGACCTTTTTTGGAAATCAACTTTGCAGCACACGTCAAGAGCCTTGAAAACTGTCCATGCCCTTTGTTAATTCCACTTCTGGAAATCTCTCCTAAGGAAATAATTCCAAATATAGAAAAGGTTCTTTGCATAGACGTTCATCATAAAACTCTATGCAACAGGTCTAGAGACAGCTCAGAATGCCACAACAGATGATATTAAGGACATAGGATATATCTATCAATGGACTCTAAGTTCCATAGAACAGGGACAATGTCTGATTACAACCACTGTATCCCCACAGCTAACATAGTGTCTGACATATTTAATGAATAAACAAGTGAATAAAAATTTATATCAGGTTAAACAAAAAAGATATAAAACAATCCTTAAATATGATATATAAGTTCCCATGTGGACACACTATGCTCTCAACCATTTTTTTAAAAAACAGACATATGTATATGACTATGCATATGAAAACTTTTAAAATGACTCCCCAAAATGTAAACAGTGATTATGTCTGAGTGGTGGAACTCCTGATAATTTCCTTTTTTCAATTTTATTTTTGTATATATTGTATATCTTTCAGAATGAATATGATTACTTTTATAATGGAAAAAAAAAGGCCACATCAATACTTTAAAAAAGAAAGGCTAGCATTAGGCAGGGTTTTAGCACTCACAGCCAGGACGTGATAAAGTTTTGCATCTTCCAAGGGTTCCCAGTCAGTCTTTGTGGTATGAGTCTCCAATTCCAGCCATGATCCTCCTCTGTAAGGTGGGTACCTCCCACAATGGGTGGCAGAGGGTCCACTTGCTGGCTAGAGATGCCCTCCCACCCCCCCCACCACCCCCAGGAGCTAGAGATACTGAGGGGTACTGGCTTTCACTGGGACAGTTCGTACACTTGTAAGCGGCCATCAAAAATGATATCTAGGCTGGGCACGGTGGCTCATGCCTGTAATCCCAGCACTTTGGAAGTCAGAGCAGAGCGGATCACCTGAGGTCAGGAGTTCGAGACCAGCCTGGCCAACATAGTGAAACCCCATCTCTACTAAAAATACAAAAAAAAAAAAAAAATAGCTGGGTGTGGTGGCAGGCACCTGTAATCCCAGTTACACAGGAGGCTGAGGCAGGAGAATTGCTTGAATCCAGGAGGCAGAAGCTGCAGTGAGCCAAGATCGTGCCATTGCACTCCAGCCTGGGCAGCATGAGTGAAACTCCTTCTCAAAAAAAAAAAAAAAAAAAGATATCCAGCAAGATGAAAAACTGTTGATGATACAGTTTTAAGTGAAATAGAGCAGAATACAAAAAGCCATGTTCACTAAGAACATATCTATGCAAACTATGCACATGGCAAATATTTATCAAAAGAATGAAAAAGCCTCACAAAAAATATGACCACATGCAGCCAGAGATGAGACAGACAACCAAAACTGAATGCACCTTTTCAGCAATAACAATTTTAGAGACGTTCCCAGAACTAGGATGGGTGTCTACAGGTTCTTACCCAGTGTCTCTAGGCTCCAGGGCAACCTGTTTCTTAGAGCAGAGCTTCTCAAACTTTAATGTGCACACAATTAACCTGGGATCCTGATAAAACATGGATTTGGATTCAATCGAGCTGGGCTGGCAACAAGGACTCTGAATATCTACAAGCTCCAGGTGATGCTGGGGCACAGAACACACTCAACGAGGCTTCTACCCACTACCCCAATTCTTAGCACCAAACACTTTCCCCAGAGGCCTAGCCTGGCCCTCCGTCCTCAAGCATGTCTGCACCTGAAATCATCTTTGTCCCCAGCATCTTGGCACCATCGAGACTAATAATGAGAAGCAACTCCAGGCACTTGCGTGGGATCCAGGGGGGCCTGAGGCCCCCAATTCCTTGGGAAGCTTGAACAATGACATCTTTCTGGGGTGATGGGAAGACAAAAGTGACTCCATCTTGGATGCTAATTTTCCCATGTTGACTTCTGATTAGCCCCAGTCCCATGAATGCCTCCTGACTCCTACTTTATTTACTGTCCCGAGTGTAAGAATATGTACTCCTGCTTTTAGATCAAAGCAAGCTTGATGTTATCATGCAAATTCTGGGCTATGATGCACATGGCGTTCTTGCCTGCTCTGGCACACTACCTTTCACTGTCTTGCTGGAGCATGTATATCCTTTTCCCTTGGTATATAAGCCTTGGGTCCGAGAGTAACAGTGCAGAGATCTGCCTGTCTTGTGGCCACCCGAGACCACCCGCCTGCTTAAAAGTTCCCTCAATAAATCACTCAATACCAACAAACTGGATTTGTCTGCTTCCTTCTTTGGTCTCTTGGCTCCTTTGGCATTTGGGGGTTGCTTTGTGCATGTGGGCTTTTCACAAAATAGATGGGTCCCGGAGCCTGGGCTTCGCTGGCAGGTGGTCACCTGGAGCAGCCAGCAGCAGATGGCACCACAGGACAAGCACAAGCTGTGTCCAAGAGAGTGGCTCAAGAAATCTGCCCAAAATCCAACACAAAAATGAACAAAGGAACTGAATGGGAGATGTGACCAAAAGAAGCGATAAGACAAACAGCTCCAGGAGGGGAGCTGCTGGCTCAAAGAGCACTTGTCTTGGGCGTCAGTTCCACCGGTTCTTGGTCAGGGGTGAGAGCCCTATGCCAGACCCCCTTTGCAGAACCTATGCTGGCTTATGATGAGGCTCTTCCAGGGCTCCAGCACATGAATACCCTGCCCTGGGAGGCTATAGTAGGCCAGCCACTGTCCACTCTGCTGGAGGGTCAGTCTGAGCCAACAGAACCATGCGGAGACATCCCATCCAATGCAGCCCAGGAGCAGTCTTGACATTTCTTTCCCTGCAAGGACAGGCTGTCTGGTCCACACATAGATGAAGCCTTGGGCCTGGTTCAGCATCCAGAGGACTAGGCCATAACCCCCAAGGTAAGATATTCACACTCATTGGAGCCCTTTCTCCTTTTTCCCTGGATGGCTGGAGGAAGGGGACCCCTGCTTTTTTCAGCCAGTGCCCCATGAAGTTAGACTCCCAGGACTCCCTGCCCCTGATCCTACTTAAGGCCACTGGGATGCCCAATACCCTGAGGAAGCTTTGAAAGATACGTGGCACATTATCTGGGGCAAGTCAGCTCAGTGGTCAGAGCACAGAGTGAAGGAGGCTGCAGCCATAGCCTTGAGTTCTGGAGGCCTCTGTAGTGGGTCAACAGTGGGGAGAGCCACAGAGTCTCGGTCCAGCTACTGTATCAAATGAGGTCCTGGGAGGCAAGGAAGGGCAGGCAGGAGACTATGGCTGCAGGAGCCTGAGCCCTGGCCCCCTTCCCATGCTGGACTCCTGTCCAGCACCAAACATTCAGCAGTGAGTGGCACCTTTACCATCAACCCACCATGGAAAACTTCCCTGGAGCTCTCTCCTTGTGCCAGGGCCTGTCCATGGCATGTAAGACACAAGCCCCATGATGGTATGGATTTCACCTGCAAGGCGCTTGCCATCTCATCGAGGAGAGGAACTTGCAGGCTGATTTCCATGTAAGGTGGAAGACACAGTGATAGAGAAAAGGGATGGAGTAGGAAGTGAGTCCTGGAATTCCTGCTGCAGAGGGCTGTAAGCCAAGACTACTGCATCTATTGTCTTCAGCTGGATGCGCTAATGATCTAACAGTAATCCCACTGCTTTGCATCCACAGAATTCTTTACTTCTGAAGCACCTCCACACACCATCTCTCACAGAGGTGAAGAGTTGACCAAGGTCTAGAGCTCTGACTCCAAGCGCTCCTTCCCTCACCCCACAGTGGCCCCGTGGTCTCACTGGTGGAGGTGAAATCCCTGGGTTCCCAGGCCAGGCATCTGTTGCTGTGTCACCAGAATGAACCCTGCCTGCTGCCAGCAGACATCTCCGGCTCTGGCATCTTTCAGCTCAAGCTGCAAGGCTTACTGTGACCTCTGGAATCTGTGCTCAGAATTCTCCCAGGAACAAACAGCTGAAGTATCAAAATGCCAGTCTTCACGATGCAAATGGATGCAAAAACAGCTCTTGCCAGCCTATCTGGACCCCAGAAAGCCAGGAATGCTGGGGTGCCACCCCAGCTTGCAGTGTGCCCACTTAGCTAAGTGGAAGAGCCTGGCAAGGGACATGGCAGGGAGAAGACCTAGACCTGGTTAAATGGGATTGGACCTGCCACTTAGCCTCAGGGACCCTTTGGAGACTTCCGTATGTACTGTGGACAGGGGCAGATGCTCTGACTCCTCCAGGGGGGCGCTCTGCTGGCAAGTCAGCACCAGGGCCTTGATCTCCTTCTTGAAGTTGGTGTTGAGAAAGCCATAGATGAATGGGTTGACACAGGTGGAGGCCATGGCAAGCAAGTGGCACACTAAGAAGATGAGGTTCCCATGGCAGATGGGGATGGCCTCATGGTGCCAGTCTTCCAGGCTGTTGAACACATGCAGAGGCAGCCAGAGCACGGCAAAGGCCACCACCATCACCACCAGCACCACATTGACCTGCTTCATGTGCCCAGCTCGCAAGCTGTAGGTGCCCTTGTGAAACACGCGCCCCTGCCTCTGCAGGCACCGGTAGATGCGTGCATAACAGACCAAGATGAAGCCCAGTGGGAGGCAGTACTGGAAGAGGAGCAGGAAGGTGGTGTAGATGGTGCGGTGGTGAGCCAGTGGCCAGGACTCGGTACAGACCACCTTATCCGCCAGGAACTCCAGAGCCTTGGAGTGGTTCTTGTGGAAGACATTCTCCAGGATGCTGTTGGCCAGGAAGGGCAGGGAGAGGACACAGGCAATGACCCAGATGAGCACAATCCCCAGGTAGGCCTGTGAGATGCTGGGCTTCCAGCCTGTTGGGTTGATGATGAGCTGATGCCTCTCCAGGGCCACGAGGACGAGCGAGAGGATGGAGACCGTCACCGACATGCACTGGATGAAGGCCGACATCTTGCAGAGGGTCTCTCCAAAGATCCAGTAGTCCATGATGGTGTAGACGGCGGTCAGCGGCTGGCAGAGGAGGCACATGAGGAAGTCAGAGAAGGCCAGGTTGGCGATAAGCAGGTTGGTCACGTTGGCTTTCTCCTTCTGCCTCACAGTCACACACATCAGGCAGAGGTTACCCAGGACCCCCACGACAGTCTCAATGCTGTAGGAAGTGACGATGAAGACCATCACGTCCACGGAATCCTGGCAATGTTCAGAGAAGTTGTATGGGGTGCCCAGGGGTTTGCTTCTGTTTTCACCTTGTGGAGATTTTGGGAGCAGCAAGGCCAGGAGGTGAGAGGTGTTCATAGTGGATGTGAAAAGATTCCAGGACTCTTGAACTAAGTGATACACTTGAGGGATGACGCCTACAAGGCAAACAGACAAACAATACTCAGGGATCATGCCCAGGGTAGAATCCAGAGAGGAGCAGGGCCGGGTAGAAAGGCTCTCAGCTGCTTCCAACCCAAGGCTGGTATCTGGAGGGGCTATTACCTAAGGCTTATGGTGAGACATTGGCATCCAATGATTGCTACCTTGTTAGAAGCACTTGTTGCATGCTGGGTACTGTGCTCAGCACTTTCGTCTATTAGCTAGTTTATTCCTAGAGGTAGATATTATCAATCCGTTTCATAGATGAGGAATCTAAGACCCTGAGATGGAAAGCAACTTGCCCATAGTCACACAGCTAATTAGTAACAGGGCCCAGTTACAAACTCAGGTCATCTAATGCCAGAACTTGTTCTACTAATTCCCTCCGGCCTCAGGATGAGGCTGTTCTGATGATAAAGAAGTTGGAGTGCTGTATGCAGACTTTAGTGACGGAATTGTTCAGGGAACATGGGTAGAATGCCCCTTGTCACATTTTATCTTAATGGAGACAGCAATAAATGCCACTCTGCACAGGATTGCTTGTGTCCTTCCACGGCACCCCATTCCCTTCAAGATAGAGCTAAAGCCTCGGGGATCCACAATCAGTGCACCCTCCTGGTCTCAGCCCCTCCCTGCCCTGGTAGCCTTGTTTTTTAGGTGATACCTGGCAAAACTGAAGACTGCCCAGTATGCAAAGCCTGGCTCATCAGCACACCAGCTTCTTCCTACTACCCACCATGTGCACAGACATACCTGGCCAAAGTCACAGGTGCCCAGTGCCCTCCACAGAACCTACTCCATGACTATGTTCAAGTCACTTGATGCAGTGTGCAGCTCACAAGCACACCAGACTCTTCCACATCTCTATGCCCTGGTACAGGCTGTCCCTTCTCCGAGGACCTCCTCAGCACAACGGACCCCCTGCCAAGACTGAGTTGGAATTTAGACTCCAGAGTTCCCCCGTGTTAGTGCCAATGATGGATGTTTTGCATGGGAAGCACCATACCACTACATACATCATTGTGACTCACCTCTCAGATTCTCTAGTCATTATTAATCCCACAGGGTTGCAGTTCTCAACCTTCAGTAAACATCAGAATCATTCTAGAAGCATGTTGAAAGTGCAGATCCCAGGGCCCTTCCACCAGGAGATGTAGTTAAGTGAATCCAGGATGGGGGCCAGGAATCTGTATTTAACAAGTAGACTATGTGATTCTGATGCACATGGCCCTTGGACCCCATCTTGTAAAACACTATAGCAGAAAACCCTATTTGAGATATTCTTTAAGTCTCATATCATGGCCATATGTATTTTTTACATGATCAATTGCTATGTTAAGGCAGTTTTTGCAGAGCACAAGGCCAAAATCAACCAGAGCTCAGTAAAATCTATTTGTCGGCTGTCATGAATGTCACTTGCTGTGCATCTGATCTACTTATAAAGATGAGTTTCTAAGGTCAGGACTTCAACACCTGCCTGGCCAACATGGTGAAACCCCGTCTCCGCTGAAAATACAAAAATTAGCCAAGTGTGGTGGTGCATGCCTGTAGTCCCAGCTACATGGGAGGGTGAAGCAGGAGAATCACTTGAACCTGGGAGGCGGAGGTTGCAGTCAGCAGAGAGTGCACCACTGCACTCCAGCCTGGGCAACAGAGCGAGACTCTGTCTCAAAAAAAAAAAAAAGAGTCTCATTTGGTCATTTAAAAGATCAAGCTGTGAATTCACCTGATAGTTTACAGTCTGGTTATTTAGGAACCAGATCTCGAAGGCAGGAAGATTTCTCCAGCACTATGGTCTTCGGGCAAAAAGGGCCATTTGGGGCTGAACATGGCAAAATAAACTATTCCAGAGCCAAACACAGGGCCCAATATAAGATAAAGAACAGTCGCAGCTGCATGAACCTGTGGCAGAGGCACTGCACTCAGAAGCAGCAAATGGGCCAGAACCCAAGGCTCTGGGTGACCATCAGCAAGGCTTGGCCAGTGGTGTGGAGAAACACCATTCATCCCAAACCAACCACCTAAAGCAGGATCAGAGTGGAAGGACTGGGCTGGGAGGGCTCCAGAAAATGCTCACTGCTTCATTCACCCACTCAATAAGTGTGTGTCAAGCCCTGGGCTAGAAACAAGGGCTGCAAAGATGACTTATACAGTCATGGCCCTCCCAGAGCAGAGGGGCTGACCAGCACGAATGCAGATGGAACTCATTGCCATTGCCAACACCAATATGAAAGAGAGGCCTGTGAGTTGAGAGATCAGAGAAGGAGCAGGGAGCAGGGAGGTGAGAGAAGAGGTGGCAATGGTACAGGGCTCAAAGGCTGAAGAGGAGTCAACCAGCCAAAGGGACAGGGAGAGGAGGGAACTCGAAGTGCAAGGAACAGCATGTGCAAAGGCACAGAGGCAGGAAGGAGCAGAGCCTGCTGGGAAAAGTAAGCAGAATAAGAGGTTCCAGGGTGGCAGATGATGAAGCTGGAGTGGTGGGCCAGACCAGCAAGGTCAGGTCCATTCCAGTAAGATCACTTGGATATAGAAAATGGATTGGCAGAGAGGGCCAAGACAGGAGGAGGAGGAGCACTGAAAAGGTGGTGTTGGGCATCTGCCTGGGGCTGCTGGGCTTGGGGTACACTGACCAGTGAGGACCAGGGGACCTCAAGTCCCTCAGGCACACCCAAGGGGGTGGCGAGTGTATGAGGGGGAGGGTAGATTATTACGCAAGGTCAATAAAATGGTGTCTCTGCATTTTGTCCCCAGGCAGCTCTCCAGATACAAAAACTAGAACCAGCTGCAAGCCCCAACAGGGACCCCCTGCAGCCTGCCTTCCCAGTCAATCAGAGGAAAATTAATGAATCATACACACAATGCTAATCTCCCAGTGGGGTTAGAATAGGGAAGGCCCTTTGCTTTGTCTCCTGAAATCTCAGCAAAAGCTACTATATCCTAATGCCCATAGCGCCCAGACACCTCAGATGCACCCCTTACCTCCTTGGCTTGCGGCTTACAGGGTGCGGATGGGGCCGCCCATGTCTCAGGTGAGGAGACTGAGGTCCACAGTGGGGGTAGGATGCTCCCCAGATCCAGTGTGACGCTCTGCGCCCCGGGCCAAGGGCAGGCAGCGCGCCCGGCTTCCCGGAGGGTTCGTACCGGGGCCCACTCGGCCCCGCCCCCGGCCGCACTCCTGTGCCCAGGGGGCACCAGGCGCGGGGCAGAGCCGCGCCTGCTTCACCTGCTCCTGCTGCCCCGATGCTGCCTGCGTGCGGAGTGGAGCGGCTGCTACGCTCCCGCCTGCGCCCGCCCAGCCTGCCCCTTGCGCCCGCCCACGAGAGGGCTCCAGCCGCCCGCCTGCCCCGGGACCCCAGCACTCGCCCTGGGGAGCCGCATCTTGAGCCCCCAAGGCCTGCCCGGAACTGCAGCCCTGCCTGCGTGTGTCTCTCACGCCCACCTCAACCCTGGATACAGGCAGGCTGGAGCTGCGCTGTCTTTCTCTCTTTCTTTCTTTCTTTCTTTCTTTCTTTCTTTCTTTCTTTCTTTCTTTCTTTCTTTCTTTCTTTCTTTCTTTCTTTCTTTCCTTTCTTTCTTTCTTTCTTTCTCTCTCTCTCTCTCTCTCCCTCCCTCCCCCTCCCTCTCTCCCTCCCTTTCTCTTTCTCCAGGAGTGTTTCTCTCTGTCTAGGGGTGTGTGCGTCTGCCTGTCTCTCTCTCTCTCTGCCTCAGTTTCCTCATCCATGAAATGGGTATAAAAAGACCTGCCTTTCATAAGTTCGTCCAGAAACATTACTTGCAGACCTCCTATGAGCCTGGCTCTCCTGCTGGGCACCAGAGCTGGACAAGACAGGCTCCCTGTCCTTGGTTCCTTCTGGAGCTCTCAGCCCTGGGGGAGAAGACAGACAGGGTACAAGGAAAGAGGGAAATAAATTATTACAGGGGGTGAGATGCTGTGAGCAAATGGGTTCGATAGGCCAGATGGATGGCACAGCCACGGCAAAAGCCCTGAGGCTGGGAGCATTCAGCCCCTGGAGACCAGGGGAGGGCAGTGTGGCTGAGAATGTCAGCCAGGGTGAGGGAAGGAGATGGGCATCCAGGGTGTGAGTGAAAACTCAGGGTGGGCCCTGGAAGTGGAGTGTCTTATCTCAGGCAGTCCCAAGGTTGTGGCGATGAGAATTCAATGAGAATGGTCACTTTCTCCTTTGGAGCTGAGATGCACATGACTTGGCTATAATGGAACAGCTTTGCTTACAAGGGCTGCTCCTGTTTTGAATACACTAGCTTATAATTCCCTGCCCCCCATCCCCACATGGCAAAGTCACATATGCGCTTAGAGAACCTCCTGAGAGTAACAGATCTGCTTCAAGAGCACCTCCTAAACACTGGACATACACACCTGTCCAGTGAACCTCCTGTGGCTCCCCATGGAAATGTCCCCATGAAGTCATGGCAGTGGTCCCTCTAGAATGGCAGCTGCCGTTTGTAGTGCAGAGACTCTGCAGACACTACCTTAGTTAATCATCACAACAGCTCTGAGAGGTGGGCATTTTTATTCCCATCGTGCTGATGAAGCAAAGTGACACTCAGTGGTTGAGCAACTTGCCCAAAGTCACTCAGCTAAGAAACAGCCAGATCCAGGATGCGAACCCACCTGCCAAGCCCCCAGGCCTCTGCTCACCATCGCTGTAGACTGGCACCTGTCATCTCTTCTTTCTGGACCATGCTCCTTCCTGTCTTGACTACCTGGAAAGCGGCTGCTCCTCCGTTGCACCCCAGCTCCGATGTCCCTGCTGCCATGACAAATTCCTACCACCCTCCCATGCTCTGCTGCAGAAGCAGATGTAGCAGCCTAGTTGGTTGTCTGCCTGAGCAGCTTTGTCTCCCCACTCCCCTATGTCTAGGTCACAGCTCTTGTCTCCGCCTCCAGATCCCAGCACAAGTCCACACACAGCATCTGACAAAGAAAGAAAGGAAGAAAGGAAGACGGAGGGAGGGAGGACATTTAAGAAGACCTGATTGTAACGGTAGCTTCCAGACATGTAAAATCAGAGAACATTGCTTGACCAGAAACTGCTCAACTCCAGCTGGGAGCTCTATGGACACCCGTCCTCTGTGCAGGCAAGAACGCAGCCACTGTCACCTCCTTCTTGCAGGGCAGCTGTGTGGGGTCTGGATTTGCTGGTAAGCCCTTGGAGGCAAGCTTCCACATAGACACATTTGAGAACTACTGCGCAAGGCACGCAGCCTGAACCCTAGCTCTTGTGGGTCAGAGAACAGCAGAAGAGCTGAAATGGTGGTAAAAGCAGCAAACAGCTCCCTTGCCAGGCAGAAGCATGTGAACATGCCCTTAGTCCATCCTCATGCCTAACTGGTGTGGTGTGATCATCCCATCTCACAGGCGAGAAAACTGAGCCTCAAAGAAGTAGAGTGTCTTGTCTCAGCCAGCCAACTTGTAGATGGTAGGGCTGGACTTTCAATCCAAAGTCCAAGCTCTTCCTTCAGGACCATAATGCCCAGGAGAGGGGTAGGTAGCTCTTCCTAGCAGACATTTCAGGTTAAACCAATACTCCCAGAGTTGGCTGCCAGACCCTTTGCCTCTGCTAGGGAAAGGAGACAGCACCCTCTGGAGGCAGCAGAGCCCTGCACCAATCATAGCCAGAGCACTTGAAGCTCCTCAAGAAAGCAGTCTGTAAGAAAGAACTGGGAGCTGCTGTTCTTCCCCCTTGCTGGAGTCCAGGGTCCGGAGCACAGCCTGAGAGGCTCTGCCAGTCAGCCAGGCTGCATTCTGCCATCTCTGGGGAAGGGGCTAGGTAGGATTTTCCTTCTGCCATAAAAGTGGCTGGCTGGTGTGACCTGCTGGAGACTGCTTCTCCTAAATAGCTTAGTGACAGGTTCCCTTCCCACCCCATCAGGAATGTTCCTCATGAATCACCCGGAAGTCAGACAGGCGCACAACTCCCTCAGGTGTGTGCAGCGCTCCACATTACCTCTCTGAACCTCAGTCCACTGCATGCTCAGTATTCCCCCTGGTCCTATGAGGAAGCTGAAGATCAGCTAGTCAGGGGATGGATAGACCCCAGGCACCCTCCTTACTGTAAATTTGCTGGGATTTGGAATCAGGCCCATTCACAGTTGCTTACACCACATTGAGAGTCAGTGTGGTGACTGGTCACAAGCCGGGCACAGAAGCCGTCTCGCATTGCCCCAGATTCTCATCTGCAAAGCGGAGCTAATAACAAAGTTTGCCTCGGGAGATGTTGTGGCAAGAAATGAGTTGAGATGAGAATGGCTCTCCACACAGTTATGGGCAAGAAACACCCTGCAGAGCTGTGGCTATAAGCATTCCTGTGTCCTGCATGCTTGCCCACCTCCCTGAGCCTCTGCCCCAGAGCTAATGGGCTGTCCCGACCAATTCTAGCTGGAAACCTCTCCAAACCCTCATCACGACCCACACATCTCACCTGGACAGTCCTAAGAGGCCCTGCAAGCTCAGCCATGGTGAGCACCTCCTAGACACTGGACAGACATACACAACTCTCCAGTGAAACCTCCTGTGGCTCCCCTTGGAAATGTCCCCATGGAGTCATGGCAGTGGTCCCTCTAGGATGGGTCCCTCTGAAATCAGTCTGACTCTCTTCCTCTTTCAGGCCTTCTAGTGCTGCCTCCCCCAGACTCATTCTGCATGTAAACTCTCCATTTTCAGGGAGTATGGTTGAGTTTCTCAGATCCAGGCTTGTGTAGATGTTGCTTCCACGGCCTGAACTCATCAAGCTCTCCATTCTCAGAGACCCATCCCACACACACAGCTCCCTGAGAAATGTCCTTGGCCATCCCTGCCCGCAACCTGTGCATTCTGAAGGGCAGCTGCCAAGCATGGTCCACTCACATATAGCTAGCTCCCGGAAGCTGTCCTACTTTTTTCATGGAAGGCTGTAGCAGAGGGAAGCCACATCAGCTATCCGGGGAAACCAGTTTATTTTCCAGTACTTATAACAGAGAAGCAAAGATCCTCACACATTTAGGAAATCAACAGCACAAAGGAGATAGGTCAAGATGAATAAACAAAATAACTGACCCCAAAAGAAGCTGAAATAACTTAGGGAATAGAAAATAACTTTAAGAGACCAAAACTTCCTTTAATGCCTAAATTAGAGAAATTACTGAATCCATATAACAAGAGCAGATTGCCATGAAATAAGACAGACTAAGAAAGCAAGAAAGAATCCTTGAAAACTAAGCATGACTACTGAAATTTGAAAACACATCATTAGAAGGGATGGGAGAACCAGCTTAGGAAATATCCCATAATGTAGAGCAAAAACACAGAAAGATGGAAAACTTCAGAGCTAAAATAAGAGACATGGATGATTAACACTAATGACCCATCATCCAATTACTAAAATTTCCAGGAAGGAAAAATCAAGACAATGAAAGGCAGCATATCAGTCATAGTCTGCACAGGACACATAATTCACCCCCAGATTGTCAAACAAAGGGATTTTAATAAAAAGGTAACTTACAGAGGTGTGGGAAGCATTAAAGGAAAGAAACAAGAAATGGTGAGGCACCCAGAGACTGGCAGAAGACAGAAGCAATCACCACCCTACAGTTAAAAGAACAAAAGGAGAAAACCACATTACCACAGCCAGAGGACTGCAGAGGAAGGGCCCCCAGTGGGAGCTTCTGTAGTGTGGAGGCATGCCACCGCCTCCAGACAGCATGGAAGCAAGGGGAAGTAGAAAAGAATTCTACCAACCTCTCTCTCCTTCCACTTCCAGTCTCCTGTCAGTCCCTCCCATTGACCAAACCCAACTGGAGCCCTGCCAGCAAAGGAGCCATCAGCTTCCCCTGGCACAGGGAAGAGCAGAGAACCACAGTAGAGAATGCATCTGGGTGGGGTGTGAGCAAAATAGTCGACACATAGAATCATCAATAGCAAGAGTATTCCAGAGCTACAGATTAAAAGGAAGCCCGAGGAACTGCTCCACACCTAGACAGGTACTGCAAAATTTCAAAACACCAAAAAAAAAAAAAAAAAAAAAAAAAAAAAAAGATTCTAAAATGTTCCATGGGTGGGAGCAGGAAGAGAAAGGTTGCCTACAAAGGAAAGGAGAGACAGAGACCATTCTCAGTCTTGTCAACAACATAGGATGATGGAAGACTCTGAAAAGATGGAGCTATATTTTTAGGACTCCTGGAAATATATTTTGAACCTAAAACGCTCATCTCAGCGATAATATCAAGTGTAAAGGTAGAATAAGGATATTTCTAAACTTGCAAGCTTACATTTCCTGAATCCTTTCTGAGAGAGTTCATTAAGGAAGTGTATTAGTCCATTTTCACACTGCTATAAAGAACTACCTAAGACTGGGTGATTTATAAACAAAACAGCTTTAATTGACTCGCAGTTCCACATGGCTGGGGAGGCCTCAGAAAACTTACAACCATGGCAGAGGGGGAAGCAAGGTACATCTTACATGGCGGCAGGAGAGAGGCTAGGGACTCCCAAACACTTTTAAACCATCAGATCTCGTGGAAACTTACCATCATGAGAACAGCATGAGGTAAACTGCCCCCATAATCCGATTACCTCCCACCAGGTACCTCCCTCGGCATGTGGAGATGACAATTAGAGATGAGATTTGGGTGGGGACACAGAGCCAAACCATATTAGAAGGTACTCCAGCACAACTGGTATAAAATCAAGCAAGGAGAGATGAGGTCAAAGAAATGGTTGAACAGGCCCAGGAGCCTGGGATTTTCTTTCCCTACGCAAATAGTAAACCTGCATTACTGTATTTCTAGGGGAATTACAGGGATCGATGCCATGATTAAAGACATGAAAGATGCAGGGACAGGGAGGCCTGTCACATTTCTGCCCACTTGGCTCACCTCTTTAGCTCTTTAGCCTGTGCAGGAAGTTGCTGAATCTTGGAGAATGACTGTATGTCGTCGTAAATTTAATCAGGCAGTAACTCCAATTTTAGCTGCTTTTCTAAATGCAACATAGAACAACTTAACCACTCTCAGCACTTAGTATGTAGCTATTGACTCAGCTTGTGTTTTCTCCCCATCTGTATCGGTAAGAACCAGCAGAAGTTTGCTTTCACCTGGCAAGGATAGAAGTACAAAGTCAGTGTCTTCTCCCAGATCATGTTCGTTTTCCAGCTTTCTGTTATAGTGTGGTCTACAGAGACCTTGATCTTCTGAACATCCCACAGATCCACAGATGGTATGCTGGTGCACTACACTGGTAGCACATGCTGATTGAACTGATGAGCAGGGAGAATAAACCAGATGCCTTCATAAGATGCATGCAGCACATGGGCATGGGTGGGACAGTAGCCATCATAGCCCGGGTAGTCTAAGCTAAGCACACGGGATATGTACCAGATGGCACCCATCTGGCGTGGGGGAGCCTGGCATGGCATGTCAGAGCCAGAATAGGACAAAGAGTGGCCATGCAGGGAGGCAGGGGCACGGTGGCCTAGCACAGGGTGTTAGAGTCCAAGTACTGTCAAATGAAAGTCCACATGGCAGAAGGGGACAACCAAGTGTGGATGTCAGAGCCACACAGAATGAGTGGAGGGGCAGAGTTCTGCTATGGAAGATTGGGTATATGCAGGGGGACCAACTGAGCAAAGTTGGGAGCCAGTTTTCTCACTCATGGAGAAGGCAGTCATGAATATGGAAGGAGGGAAACCCAGAATAAGCCCTGTGGTTTTGATTAGAATTGAAAGTATTGAAGTGAGCTCATGGTTTTCTATATAGAGAGATAAATATTGATCTAATAGTGTGTGTGCATATATATCCTTGCTCTGTCCACTGAGAGAGTCTAGGAGCAGTGATACCCCAATAGCAATGAACACTCCTAGCACCCATATATTGACTTCTAAATGCCATTCTCCATTAAAAGAATCCAAGTCTCCTTCGGAAAATGGCTGATTCCAGGGCAAGGGCTGGGAAAGCCCAAGATAAACCTGAAAGATCTTGGGAGCTAGAAAGTAATGAAGTACTCTAAGAATGAAGGGTGCAGGCCAGAAAAGCCCAGAACCTGGCTTGAAGGGGCCCTTGATGGCCAAATCTTCGACCATGTGAGCATCAAAGTAAATAATAATGATGATGGATAATAACCTACTGAATAAAATAAAAATCTGAGTCCATTTCAATATAACTAAATGATGGAGTAAAGTGACAGTTTGATGAGGAATGGAATATATTCATGGTTTCAGTGTGCCTCATCACAAAATATTTGTTTATTACAAAGAGAAGAGTCACCTTACAGTGGAGAAGGCTGGCAGTCACCTCTGTAATCAAATGATCATAGCGAACACCATCTCTAATCCTAGAGTGAAATTACTCACCGCATGACAGGATGCAAGGAAAACGCAGCACAGCTTCTGTGATCTTCCTGCTGAAGGTGCATGCAAGTGAATCCAACCCTGAAGAAGCATCAGCCTCAACCCAGGTGAGGGACATACTACAGAATAACTGGCCTGTCATCTGGAAACATAAGGCCATGGAAGTCAAGGAAAGAAGGGAGAACCATTCCAGATTGAAGGAGACCAGAGACAGGAGAATGAAACCTGTGTATCTTGGGACAGCTGATGAAACTTTAGTGGAGCCTGCAGATGAGGCGGTAGCAAGGTGTTCATGCAAATTGCCGGGATCATGCTTTCAAATGGCATAGAAAAATTAATGTTCTTTATCCTCACTTTCAACTTTTCTATAAGTTTAAGATGATTTAAATTATATTTTTAAAGGTGTCAAAAATTTTCTTCATCTTTATAGAATGAAACAGAAATAAAAATTGAAAGTGGTAACCTCTGGAAATAGAACTGGGGGAAAGAAGGAAAGAATATCAACGGGAGTTATCTGACCCATAGGATTTTAGGTCATTTTTTGCTTTGTTTCCTTTTCTAAATTTCTCTCTATTAAAAAAGAATGAATGATTACAACTTTATAAAGGAAAGAATCCATAAAATATATGTAATTAAATCCCATGGTACAAAGGGCAAAGAAGCTTGGCAACAACGCTTCCAGCCTCAGTTTTGTCATATGTAAAATGGAGCAAAGATGGGTTCAGGCTCATTACAAACTGGTGAGGGTTCAAATAATTAAGGGATAGGGATAGAATATCAAAGTATTTTCAAAGCCACATAGAAGGGAGGTGTGAGGGAGGGTTCCTAGGACTTCAAAGTCGGAAGCCGATAAGGGCCTGGCCTTCCCAGAAGCCTTCTAAGTAGAGATTCTGGCCAGCAGGGCTGCTGAAGTGGGCACACCTGCTGTAGGAGGCGTCTCCTTGGGCCCTGAGGGATCACCTGTTCTTTGTTTGCCTTTGCTTCTCTGCTGAGGCCATAAAGAGGCTGGGCTGTAAAATAACCTACTCTGGCCCCAGGAAAGAGATAAGAGATGTCAACTGGGCAGCCAACACCTTCCCTGCCTCCCACCCCAAACAGCTGGCCCTGCCCTCCCCACCCCCACCTCTTCTTCTCTCCAGAGTAAAGCTGGACTTCCCTACTGCCTCCTGCCTGTCCCTTCTCACCAATGCTGCCACCCTTTTTCTCCACTCTATTTCAAGGAAGTAGCCATCTGCCACTAAAACTTTATCCCATGGTCCAATCCATGAGCTTGAATCCAACCAGCCCAGAGCAGCATTTTCCCCCTTGATAGAGAATAAGAGAAAGACAAAGACAAAGGCACATTATTTCCCTAAAGTCCTATATTCCCTGTCTTCTGTGAACCAGTGAAATTATCAACCCACAGTGGGTCAGCTGCCCTTCTGTGGAGCACATCAGAGGAAAAATACCAACGCAGCCCTGGCTGCACACTTTGTGTCGACTCTCCCAATCCTTCTCCCTGCCTTCTGGAACTACAGAGATTCATTCAGTCTACTGTCATTCAACTAATATTTTAAAGCAGTTCAGTAGACTGAATGTTACATGGACAATAGACTCAGTGTTACAGAGACACTGGATGTACAGTTTCGCTTCCAAAGACATGTTATAAAAAAGGGCACAAATGGGATAATAAGTAAAATAGGCACCAGATTACCATATGCTTTGAACAGAGAATTTACCCTATTCTATTCCCCATCTCAAATTGTGCTTAGCTATGTTGTCCTACCAAAATTCCCTGATATGGTGATATATTAGTTAGCTAAAGCTGAGTAAAAAAGAGCCACAAAATCTTAGTGACATACAATTGACATGACTGCAGGTCAGCTGGGGCTAGCTGACCTAGGCGAGCTCAATGGGGCAGCTCTGTTTCAAGCTATGAGTCCAACTGGACTTGGCTCCTCACTGAGATTTAAACTTCTCCACTGATATTCCATCTGGGGCTCAGGCTGAAGGAGTTCAAAGAAGTGTTATGCATGGAGATGGCAGCAGTTCAAGAGGACAAGCCCAGCTATGCAAGGTAATTTCCATTCCTCCGTGAGTCACATCTGCTAACATCCATTGACCAAAGCAAGCTACATGGCTGAGCACAGTCGAGAGGCAAAGAACTGTCCCCCACCTACCCTGAGGCCAAAGCAAGTCAGAGCCATGCCCAACATTAATAGAACCAGTAACTACACTCTTCCAGTGAAATGGAGAGGTGGAAGAGTGAATATGTTTGAACAGTAGTCTCATCTATCATAGTCAATGATACAATTTCAGAAATATTAAGGAAACCAGTATTTGTATCTATCTCATTGAATATAATAATGAAAAATTTCTCATCTTACATTACCAAGTCCAACTCACTTTTTTCCACAGATAATTTTAAATCTTCCCCCAAAAGAAGCCCCATTCCATTTTCTCATGGAAATAATAAACTCAAAATTTCCCATCCCCTAGAGCAGTTTCACTCTGAAACAGATACAGTTTCCCTACACTTCCAGACTGGGCTATAGAAAGTTCTACAAGGACACACAAACATAGACAAAAAAGAATATTGCAATATTAGTCGTGTGTGTGTGTGTGTGTGTGTGTGTGTACATACATCACATGAGAAAATTCCCAGATCCAAATGAGGTATAATAGCAGCTTATAATTAGAGTAACTATTCCATTATACAAAAAAATTATCTCCCAAAAGGTACTGTTAAATCAAGTTTAGCCGGCCGGGTGCGGTGGCTCACACCTCTAATCCCAGCACTTTGGGAGGCTAAGGCAGGTGGATTACCTGAGGCCAGGAGTTTGAAACCAGCTTGGCCAACATGGTGAAACCCCATCTCTACTAAAAATACAAAAAATAGCCAGGAATGGTGGCACACACCTGTAGTCCCACCTACTTGGGAGGCTGAGGCAGGAGAATCGCTTAAACCCAGGAGATGGAGGTTGTGATGAGCCGAGATCACGCCACTGCACTCCAGCCTGAGTGACAGAGTGAGACTCCGTCTTAAAAATATAATAAAAAATAAATCAATTTAGCCTAAATCTGCCTCCTTACATATTTTAAGTTCAGCCTAAAGGTTTTTCTGTACATCATGAACTATAACAAGTGGAGGTGTAAACAGACTGTAGTCTACACTTGTGCTAATCAATGAGTTTTGGCCAATCAAATGTAGCCAACTGTTTGAACCCTGTTCAAATAAGGTGAACACCAAGCTGTAACCAATCAGCTATTTCTGTACCTCACCTCCGTTTTCTGTACCTCACTTTCCTTTCTCTGTCCATAAATCTTCCTCCATCACGTGGCTGTGC
This sequence comes from Homo sapiens, assembly GCF_000001405.40. Classification (NCBI taxonomy): domain Eukaryota; kingdom Metazoa; phylum Chordata; class Mammalia; order Primates; family Hominidae; genus Homo; species Homo sapiens. The sequence continues at coordinate 46,476,365 of NC_000010.11, forward strand.
TGGAGTCTCTGAGCCTACTCTGGCTCAGAAGGCTGCCCAATTCGCGAATCATTCATTGCCTGCTCACTTAAGCTCCTTTAAATTTAATTCAGCTGAAGTTTTTCTTTTATCAGATGGTGTCAGAGCAGATCTGAAGTAGAGCTTCTAACGACTCCCAGGAGTGCTGAGTGACCGAAGCCAGGTACCTGCAGGACCTATTTGTGTTCGTTGATCTCTCAGAGCAGTTGGAAGTCATGGTAAGTTTTCTCTCCAATGTCAGAGCTCCACTGATTTGTGTTTTGAGCTCTCCGAGTTTCTTTGAGCAAATTTCTGTTCCAAACTGGGTTTGGAAGTCATGACAGAAACTGGGCTGGTTCAAGGAATGGATTTGATCTGGTAATTAACTGGCTTGGATACAGTTAGAGGCCTCTTACATCTGACTGGGTCAGAAAGAAATGTAGTAAATGGTAATATTGCAGGGGTGTAAAATTAGGCTATTGAAAATTCACAGGGATTTTTGTGTTTTACCCCTTTGTTTCTTTTTTTTTTTTTTTTTTTTTTTTTGAGACAGTCTCACCTTGTTGCCCAGGCTGGAGTGCAGTGGCACAATCTCAGCTCACTGCACTCTCTGCCTCCCAGATTCAAGTGATTCTCCTGCCTCAGCCTCCTGAGGAGCTGGGATTACAGGCGTCTACCACCACGCCCTGCTAATTTTTTGTATTTTTAGTAGAGATGGGGTTTCACCATGTTGGCCAGGCTGGTCTCGAACTCCTGACCTCAGGTGATCCACCCGCCTCGGCCTCCCAAAGAGCTGGGATAACAAGTGTGAGCCACTGCACCCGGCCTTGTTTCATTTTTCTTATGCACTTTGGTAGGAGAAAAATCATTGGCTAGGTTGATCAAAGGAACCTGAGAGCAAAGCCAAAATCTGAGGTAAAAATTGAATCCTTAATTTCTTTTTTTTCTTTAATTTGAGACGGAGTCTCGCTCTGTCGCCCAGGCTGAAGTGCAGTGGCGTGATCTCCGCTCACTGCAAGCTCCGCCTCCCGGGTTCACGCCATTCTCCTGCCTCAGCCTCCCAAGTAGCTGGGACTACAAGCACCCGCCACCACGCCCGGCTAATTTTTTTTGTATTTTTAGTAGAGACGGGGTTTCACCATGTTAGCCAGGATGGTCTCGATCTCCTGACCTCGTGATCCGCCCAACTCGCCTCCCAAAGTGCTGGGATTACAAGCATGAGCCACCGCGCCCGGCCTGGATCCTTAATTTCTGAAGAACTGAGTTCCTTCTGGCTAATACCTGCATAAGTGGTAGGCCCCGGAAGCAGCAGTCTTATAGAAATGGTGAAATCTTACTAAAGATAACTTAGAGTGGAATGTTCCAAATGAACAAAACTGCACTGAAGTGCATTTGAAAATGAGGGCTCCCAAGTTAGTCTCATCTAGGGATGTCTATTGATATGCAGAAGCTTCTAAAAAGATTTCAGTATTTTTATTTAAAGACTTTACAAAAGGCAAATCGAAAGCTTATGCGACTCATTGACTTAAAAAATTAAATCTGCTAGCCTTTTAGCTTAGTTACGATCCCGATCCAAAGGAAATAGACCGCAGCACCAATGGGCTGACTTTGGGTGAGTAGTGGGTTCATTTTACCTGGTAAAGGATGGGATTGGGTTGGAGGCCTTCCCCCTCAGTAAAGTCCCTCTTTGTTAAACGTGGATTTGGCACCATGGGGTTAACCACTATTCTCTTTGGAGTGATCTGCCTTGCACTCTTTGCTAACACCAGTGGGTGATAGGATTAGGCGTGTACCAGGCCATAGAACGTGGGGAACTTTTTCTCCCCAAAGGGGAAAATTTGGGAGCTGATGGGACTGCTCGAAAAGATCCTTCACGACCAACAATCAGCCGCCTGAACTTTTGATTCAGCATCCCTGCAATGGGTGGGTCTTTCTCTGGCCTCCCTGAGCTCCTCATCTTCCCCACTCTGCCACAGGCAATGCTTTTCTCCCTTTCTCTTCTTTCCCTTTCTTTTCTGTTAAAAGGGCGTCCATCTTGCCCAAAGATCACATGTTGAAACTCCTTTAATCCACTTTGAATGTATTAAAGATGATAGGGACCAACTGGGGGCAAGTTTGAGCCTCACAAGTTCGATAGTGGGTGCTAAGCAGAGTGGCTAATGTCTATGTTTTGTCACATGTATTTTTCTCTGGCCAGAATGGAAAACATTAATTTGGGTCCTCCATGCAGCTAGTTGGGTGGCAACTTGCAAAATTGAGAGGCTTTTGCCTATGGTTACAAACTTTGCTACAGATTCCTGAAACAAGCAGAAAACTGAATGAGGTCTCCATCTTGTTTTATGTCCTGGGGAGCTTGACCTTGTAACAGCGTGGCAGTACTTTCTCTTGGTCTCTGCCATCTAGGGAAAAGGAATTTTGGGGCTCATATCATAGTTAGCTCTAAAAATTATTTTGAGTAGTTAAAAGCCATTGCAAGCTCAAAATTGATTGCTCTAGACTCTTTGTGGGAAAAGCAGTGGAAACTGCCCAATGTTTTGGCTCAGCAGCTAAGGGTTTGCCATTTTATAATGGCAGCCTGGGTTCTATCCTAGCTTACAGAATGAGTACATTCTGGTGGACATCTCTGTGACCTTTACCGTTTGTTGATTCCCTTCCCCTCCATTAACAACTTCTGGCTTCCCTTCTTAGATTTTCCTTTCTCTGAGCTACCTTTGAAGATTCTTAATTTTGTAAAAATTGAAAATACCTCATACACTCATGGTTAAGTCATAACCTTAGTTGAGGTTTGTTGGTTTCACTCGTAGAGTTACTTACGGTAAAGTTTAAAAGCCAGATATATTGGCTGTTTGCCCTGGCTAAACTAGAGTAATGAGAAATTAAAAGAACATTTTTGTGAGTGCTGTGGTTAAAAGTCAGTTTAATTAAAGCTGACTTGGATACATATATCCAAGCTATATGTATATTTAAATGGCCTTTATGGGTTTTTATTCCCTTCTTGGATCTTATTTTTCTGAAGAAAATAGGTTTGTTTGTTTTTTCTTCTCAGTCAACTGAATTGTTTTTCTCCATTTTGTCTTCTTGCCACACTTAATGCACACATGAGAAGACCTAAGATAACTTCCAATAGTCTGGGACTCCTTAGGAAAAACAGAGGAAGTGCCATAGACCCGGTTTTGGGAAAAAATCTCGATTTTCCTCATGAAACCCCAGGAATTGAAAGTAAATAGATTTTGCATTGTGTTATCTGAAGGTTTTCAGTTTTGGGGGTATCAAAAATTACTTGCATTATAAGAGAACTTTCGTGTGTAATAACTAGGTAGGAAATATACTTTTAGAGATGGTTAATGGCAGTTATGGGGGGATACTAACCATGCTTGAATCAGAGAAGCATGCTCTTGGCCACCTAGAAGGTACGGAAAAATCCCCACCCCCTACTAGGAGTCAAATTAATTGACTCTCACGGGGGACAGGCTGATTGCAAAATGGGCTGATTGGCTTTGGGTTGCCATGCAATTAAATGCATGGTAAAAGCATTGCACTGTCTTCTATAGCATTTTCCTCTTTTTAGGGATCTGGGATGTAATATAAAAATGGGACCCTTAATTTTGGAGATCTGTTTTTGTCATTCAGTTGTGCCTCCTTATTAGGTCCTAGAAACCGCATCCTTTCCTGGCCCTGCTCCTTGAAGGACCCCACCCTGAAGCCAGTAATCTAATTAAGAAACTTAAAAACTGGCAAATGAAAAATCTTACAACTAGTGGATCTTTTTCTATCTGTGTAGTTATATATGTGTCGTGTGTGTGATGTTTATATAAACGAACTCTAAGTAATTGGCTTAAAGAAAAATAAGGCTTAAATAAAATATTTTGAAAGAAAAAACTGTAATGCCTTGTAGTTCACGTGACTTTAGTAATCTCTGAGAAATAAAAACAGTTTTAAAGATTACTGGTAAAATAAAGACATTTGGTCTAAATTAGGTAGGTCAGGCTGGGTGCAGTGGCTCATGCTCATAATCACAGCACTTTGGGAAGCCAAGGCAGGCGGATCCCTGGAGTCAGGAGTTCAAGACCAGCCTGGCCAACGCGGTAAAGCCCCATCTCTACTAAAAATACAAAAATTAGCCGGACATGGTGGCACATGCTTGTAATCCCAGCTACTCAGGAGGCTGAGGCAGGAGAATTGCTTGAGCCCGGGAGGTGGAGGTTGCAGTGAGCCAGGATCGCAACACTGCACTCCAGCCTGGGCGGCAGAGCAAGACTCCATCTCAAAAAAAATAATAATAAAATAAAATAAGTAAATAAATTAGGTAGGTCAGATATTAGGTTTACTAAATGCTTTAAGGTCATAAACTGCTTCTTTGGCTTTTGAAAATTGTTCAACTTGCCTGCTTAACAGCTAGGTCAGACCTAAGGACATGTGGAATTAACCACTCCCCTAGCTATGCTGAAAAGGGTCAGACCTTATCTGTACTTCTGTCTGGTGTCCTAGGCTCCAAACCTAGTACGTAATTAAAATCACTTACTTAACAGGGTTTTCACCAAAAATTAATATTGCTAAGAATTAACATTGTAACATGTAATTAAGACTACTAAAAAAAGTTGTACATGCAAAGTGTATGAGGAAAGCAAAATGTGCTTTTACTAAAAGATTATAACAAGGCATGGAAATGTAAATTTTTGCCTAGTTTAGAGGGTTAAAGTATTGTTTTAAATTAGGATAAAGCTAAAGGTTTGAACAAGTTGTGAAACAGTTGTGAAAAATTAATTGTAACAGAGATTCTATGTATGAACATATTGGCTAAATTTAAAGGGGTATTACTCAGTTTTTTCTGTAAATTGAACATTGGAATAAAACCACAACAGTTTCCTTAGAGCACTGATCTGCTCTTTAACAAAAATGGTAAAGGGTTATAAAAAAGACTTATGAGAATCTTATCTTATAGTCAGACATTAAAATTGAACATATTTGTCTATAAGGTTTTATTAAGAATGGGGTTTGACATCAATAATGCACTAATGCAATGCTAAAATTGGCTTTCTCTCTTGAACAAGATTTTTATGCTATATTTTTAAAAATGAAACATTTTTGTTTGCCTTTTGAATAAACTACCAAAAAAAGAAGGGAAAGACGAGACAGATTGTTTGGAAAGCTAAGTCTTCCCTCCATCAATGAGTAAAGGTTTATGCCTTTTATATTTTTGAGTCATCATTTTGGCTAAATGAATGACTTATGTTGACCTGGGATTCTATTTCATAATATTAAGTGTTTTAAACCTTAATAACATATTTGATAAGCTTCCCAAAATCAAATTTCAGCTTCAAAATTGTCTTTTCTGACCTCTAACTTTGAGGTGCTACAGAGGGCCCCTGAAGCATCCAAAAGAGAGGTTAACAGGATTATTTGACATGTTAAATTACATGAGAAGCATTGTCAAAATAAAAACTAATGTTTAACCTTCTTCAGGCTATATTTTAGTGAATGATATTAATATATGTTCCAAAATTATATGGGGTTTCTAAAATTCTAATATGTCTGAGTATATGCTATCAATCATAGTTATTATGTTAAGTTATTGTAAACCACAGAAATAACCAAATTTTCTTGTCAATTCTGTTTTTAACTACGCCTATTTAAAGTCATTTCCACAGTTATTTGCTTACTGCTGATGCTGTAAGATCTTGGTGTGTGTGTATATGTGTTTAGATGTGTTTACACATATGTACATGTATTGTGTTTTATGTTGTGTCTACATGGCAAAATCTGGCATAGCTGGCCAAAAATTCCTTAAAGAATTCTATTTAGATAAATGAGCACTCATATAAAATATACAGCAATGAACAAAAATTTTTTTCGTTCACATGACTTAAGTAAATATTGGATATATTAATTGGCTTCAAAATTGTTGATAACATAAAATTAGAAATGTCCCAAAATTGTCAACATATATTTTTTGCCTGGGTGAACTGATTAGACAGTTTATTTGCTTCTGTTAGATCCTTTAAGGTTATAAAGCTGTGAACCCAGCCTAAAACAGAATGATTTTTGTGCAATTCTTTGATAAGTAAGATTATTTTAATATTGTTGATTCAATAAAAACAGCTATAGCTTGTGAGTTATCAACCAAATACCCATTTATTTAACTTTAAGGCTCCTACTTAGGTAAACACTTGATATTAACAGGCTACCAAGTTGGCTAATAAAAGAACTTAATGACTAGCTCTAATACCTCAATTTTCATAGTAAACTCTAGATATAGTTGTTAAAAAAAATTAGATGATTATACATATAAACTCTAGATATAATTGTTAAAAAGATTAGGTGACTATAAATAGAATAAACATTTATAAATAAACTTTTCATGTAATCTAAAATCTTAAAGTTATGGTAAATTAAATAATAGGTACTCATTAAATGTCCGGTTCATATCCAAATAAGAAAAAACCAACAAATTGCTAAATAAATGCAAGTTTGTTCTTGGCTTCTTCAATTTTATAATAATACTAAATATATTTAGGTTTATTAATCAAAATATAAGTAATATGAAAAAAATAATTTATTTGAGAAAGACTCTTATGTGGTAAATTGTTGTCCTAAAGCAAAACGACTAGTTATTTAAGAAACAGGATGTATAGAAAAAAGCAAAAAAAACAAGTATGTCAACTATGGTCCAAGTAAGTCATAAAAAGGTTCATAAAGGGGGAAGTTATGAAATAAATTTTGTGTATGATCAAGTTGTTTATAATTAGAAGGGAATTATTTATAAATGTTTCTAAAGATTAAAATTTGATACTAAAAATACACTAATACTAAACCAAAAAAATGTGGCCCCCTATTTAGAACAACAAAGTTTTTTTGAAGTATTGGTCTGCTCTTAATAAAATTGCAAAAGGGTTTTATTTTTAATTCTAAAATCTGTTTTTTTTTAACAACAATCTTCTAAACTGCAGCCAGTGTCAGTATCTGCCACATTTCCTGAGATCTAATTAATTTCCCTAGTTTTGGCTTAAAAATATGGTCCTCTTTATTTACAATGGTAATTCATTCCTTGAGGTAAAGTTTTCCTTTTGAAATTTCTCAAATTTTTGTCTCAGAAGTTCAACTTCTGCTGTACCTTGCAGCACATGACTTGCAGCAAAAGATCCTTGCCTTCTGAACTTTCTCCCCTTGAAAAGGTGTATTTTTTGCTTGGCTGGGGTGATAATTCTCTCCTTCAACCTTTTTTGTCAACTCTTACATCTTTTTTTTTTCCCGCTAGTTCTACCTCTGCTATTATGGTCTGATGCTGAAGTGTTTCTCTTAAAAGCCTAGAAAAGCAATGTTTTCCTCCAGTATAATTTGATTCTATACTCTTGGCTTTTCTCAATATGTCTGAATTGTACCATTGTAACCAGGAAGCTTTTCCATGCTGTTACTAAGAGCCATGTATTTTCTTTCTCAAGAAAACTAGTTTTCTTGTTTACATTCTTCTATAATATAGTGTATACTCACAATCTTGGACATATTCTTCCTGTGTAGGATTAAAATCAAGTATATTTTTCATTAGGTTCAACTTCCAGGTTATATTAGTGAGATTCTGGTAAGGAGAAACAGTCATTCTGCAGATTTTCTTTTTAACTTTTTGGTTACTGAGCCAAAAAAAAAAAAAAAACCATTTTATCAAGATAATTTATTGTGTTGTCTTTATTAGGTTTTTGATTACTTAGAAAAACTGATATTGAAAAAGGTTAAGGTGTTTACATCCATGTAACTTTCTATATTGCTTCTGAAACCTCGACTATCACTTTAGTTAAGTGAATGACTATTATTTTTCAGTGATCTGTGATTCTGTTTCAATCAAATATTTTAAGTTTTTTACATCATTGACAAACTTCCCCAAAATCAAATCCTAACCTAAGTCTTCATGACCTAGAATTAACCTTGGGATTTTTCTAATTTGGTCCCTGGAAAGTCTCAAGAGATATACCTCTCATCTTGTAGATGGGGATATTAAATGGTTACTGTTATTTGGTAAATCATACAAAAAACATTGTCAAATGATAAGTGATACTAGATCTTCTTTTAGTTGCATTTATTGGTATGTTGTTGATATGAAAGTTCTGAAAATTCTGTAAATTTATAAAAATATCAGATGAGAAAAAAAGAAAAAAGTATAAACAAATTTATAGAAATATGTCTTAGTCATAATTCTGGTTATCTTAAAATGCTATATATAATAGAAATAACGAAATTTCCTTGTTGATTATAAACTTTCGTCAGATTTTTAACTATGGCTATTCTAAGTTTTTGTCATCCACAGTTTTGAATTCTTCTCTAAAAACATTTACAATCAGATTAATGGAAAAGATTCTAATAAATACTCTTAAATACAGGTTTCTGTTAACTTTAAGATCAATAGACTAAATAAAAATATCCAGATCTCTACTAAATAAATTGATGGGTTCATGAAACTAGTAATCAAGATCAATCAGGACAAAAATTAATTACATGAATTAAGTAATTGATAAAGATATTTTTGGCCAGGCATGGTGGCTCACGCCCAGCACTTTGGGAGGCCGAGATGGGTGGATCACGACGTCAGGAGATCAAGACCATCCTGGCTAACACAGTGAAACCCCATCTCTACTAAAAATACAAAAAATTAGCCAGGCGTGGTGGTGGGCACCTGTAGTCCCACCTATTTGGGAGGCTGAGGCAGGAGAATGGTGTGAACCCAGGAGGCGGAGCTTGCAGTGAGCTGAGATCGTGCCACTGCACTCCGGCCTGGGCAACAGAGGAACACTGGTGGTGAGCACCTGTAATTCCAGTTACTCAGGAGGCTGAGGCAGGAGAATAGTTTGAACCCAGGAGGCGGAGGTTATAATGAGCTGAGATCATGCCACTGCACTTCAGCCTGGGTGACCAAACGAGACTCTATCTCAAAAAAAAATAATATTTTTATAACTTTTATTTAAAACATTGTTGATTCTTGTCTTAAATATTTTGTTCTCCAGATTTAAGGAAAAAATTTCTCTTTATCTATAATTTACAGCAATTTGATAAAGTATACTTTTTTAAACAAAGATAAAAGCATTTGGTGTTTTCTCCTTACTTGATTCTTCCAGAATTCAAAAACTATTTGTGAGTATTCTTATGGCAATATGATTATTTGCCTAAGTGCAATGAAAATCCATTCTCTTCAGCGGGGCACAATGGCTCGTGCCTGTAATCCCAGCACTTTGGGAGGCCAAGGCAGGCGGATCACCTGAGGTCAGGAGCTCAAGACCCACCTGGCCAACATGGCAAAACTCCATCTATACTAAAAAAAAATACAAAAATTAGCTGATCATTGTGGTTCACACTTGTAATCCCAGCTACTCGGGAGGCTGAGGCACAGGAATTGATTGAACCTGAGAGGCAGAGATTGCAGTGAGCCAAGATCATGCCACTGCCACTGCATTCCTGGGAGAGTGAGCCTGGGAGACAGAGCGAGACCACATCTAAAAAAAAAAAAAAAAAAAAAAAAAAAATCCATTCTCTTTCTATAGCAGAATATAATTGATTATATTACCAAGGCTTTGACTAAAATGTCATATTTGAAGAATGCACAAAATGCCTGACTTCAAGGGTTACCAGCCTTACAATGAGTACATTAAAATTGTCATTTCCTGGCACAGGAACCTTAAAACTGTAAGCAAAATCTAAAGTCTGCCTCAGTTTGGCTTCCCAGTCTCAAAGTTTTAAATCTGAGGTTCTTACGTGATCAATGTTAAAAATTTTAAAACCTGTGTTTCTAAAGTTATAATATGCCTCTTAATAAATGATAACTCTACATTGTGTTTGAGTTCTTGCTATTTACCTATAGACTAGTATAGACCTAAATTCTTCTGGGTTCCTCTAATCCAACTTTCCCTCATAAAATTACCAAAACATGAACTGTTCTATTTCTAAAGCTGAAAGTAGACAAATTTTAAGGAACATGTCTCATGACTGATGTATGTGCCACACAGAAAGTTCACCAAAAGGCCTGATGCCATAACCAGAGGCATTCAAACTGCACACCAGAATGAGAAATTGATGTTTTTCATGGGATAGACAGCTTTTCCCAAGACAGTATGGTTGATCAGCAATGGTTTTGGAGAAAGATCTTGATCAAAAGGGAGCCATAAGAAAGAAGATTATGCAAATTGGGCCATTCCTATTACACCTGACTAAATCCAAATTGAAGGGCCCGGCGGGGAAAATTACTTGAGGCACATAGCACCTGCTCCAAGAATTACATTTTTCACAAGCTCAACTGCTGAAGCTTCCTGTTGTAACCTGAAACCAGTTTTATCTAACAGCTACTAAAACAATCTGCTGTGACTCTACCCACCACCATCCCTCACTAGTCAGAGCCACCAGCTCTCCAAAACTTTACTAATGCAAAATAACTTTCTTTCAAATGATACATAACATTTATCCTTTTTGTAAAACCTCCCATCTTTTCTTTGTTCTTTGAACAGACCTAAGACTACCCACTCTGTGTGTATGCCCCAATTTGCAATTCTTGCTTCCAAATAAAATGTTTTAAATTTAGACATTCATCTCTAATCTTTTATTTTATCTTTTATTTGACATTGACAAGCTCAAAGCTCCCTCCATTCCATTTCTCTGACATCTCTAGTGTGCCATCCTCACCTGCTTGCAGAGCTGGCTATAGGCAGTGGGAAGCAGGACAGCAGGGAGAAGGCACGCCCTTAGTTCATCAGCAGCACACAGACCCCCCACTCACATTCATTGGACAGAATTTAGCCACGTGGCCATATCAACCTGCATGTAGTCCAGCCTTGTACTCTGAAAGAAGAGGAAACTGGAATCTGGTAGACCACTAGCAGCCTTTCTATCTTTTTGCACTGAATTCTGGAGTATCCCTTGCCTTGTTCTTCTACATCACTAATTCTCTATGTATGTTATCATGATACTAATCCTAATCATTAAGTTATTTAGTTTATTTTGACAATCATATCTTTCATTGCCAAGATCTAATTATTTCATTTCTATAATCACTTGTTCTTGATATACTTTCATTCCTCTTGAGATATTTCCTTCTTCTAAAATCTCTTCTTCAGGCTGGGCACAGTGGATCACGCCTGTAATCCCAGCACTTTGGGAGGCCGAGTCAGGCAGATCACTTGAGATCAGGAGTTTGAGACCAGCCTGGCCAACATGGTGAAACCCCGTCTCTACTGCAAATACAAAAATTAGCCGGGCATGGTGGTGCTGCGCCTATAATCCCAGCTACTCGGGAGGCTGAGGTAGGACAATCGCTTGAACCCGGGAGACAGAGGTTGCAGTGAGCCGAGATCGCGCCACTGAACTCCAGCCTGGGCGCCAGAGAGAGATTTCATCTCAAAAAGTAAAAATAAATAAATAAATAAATAAATAAATAAAATCTCTTCATTCAATTAACTCTATTTCCTTGGTGCTGGTATTCAATTGTGACTTTTTTCACAATTGTTTATGTCTTGTTTGAATACTTGTCTTTGACCTAAGGTTCTCTGAGATCCTTCAGTGAGCATTATCTTTGTTACCTGCAAGCAGTGAAGGCTGTCTCCAGGGCTGGGGAGGTGGAGAGAATTCTACTGGGCTGAGTGTGCCAGTAGTTAGTGTTCTATGCATGGGAGGTCCCCAGTGCTTCTGGGGCTACCTTCACACTCCTACTCAAGTGCCCGCTCCCAAAGTTGCCTGCTGCTGGGTGAAGGAGGACAGAGCCAACAATCTCAACTCTGGTTCCTGTCAATGAAAGAAAAAAATCAGGCTTTTCGATAATTAAAGTTAGTTTTATTCAGAAGTCTCACTGAGGATTGCAACCCAGGAGAGCCTTTCACAGAACTTCTGCTAGACTGCTCCAAAGCAATGTGGCAGCCCACAGCTTCTATACTGGCAGTGGAGGTTTTGCATGTGCTCAGAAGTTACATTAGAGCAGAATCTCCTCAATGTTTGGGTGCACCTGGTTATAGATTATAGAAGCATAATCTCTAATCCTCTTGAACATTGTCTTATGTACAAGAAGAGGCAAAAGCTAGGATCATTGAACTTATCTTTTTCTTAAAATGTAGTGATTTAGGCAAGAGAGATGGCAGCCTGTGCTCTATCCTGCTTATCATCTTCAGGGCATTCTTCTGGAGGGCTGCACTCAGCCACTGAGTCAGGGGCTTCGTAAAATTCTGCTGGCAAGGAGAATGAACAAATGTGGTTTCGTATGTGTAGTATTTTGTCTCATATTCCCAAGAGGTTTGCCTGCTGTGGCTCCAGGGCCCTCTGCTCCTTCTACGTGCCTCTTCCCTGCTGGAAGCACTCCATAAGCCCCCCACACTTTCTCACTGGTCCTCCACTGCACACAGTGTGGGTTATAGTTTCCTCTGCTCACCAAATCCCTTCTTTCATCCTTCGAGGAGTCCTTGTATTTTCTGGACCATTAAGAGTAATGTGACAGGATTCTGGGGATGCAGGGAAAGAGATGAGTCATGAGTCCGGGATGCCTCTCAAGTCCATCTCACCGCCACCCCATAATATTGTTCAGAACAACATTCCTACTTCCAGCCAGAAGCCATGGCAAATATTTGGTGCAATTTTGAGAAGGAATCAGAGGCAAAGAAAACAGCTCCTTGGTGTCAGCTCCACTATGACTGCTGGTCAATGCATAGCAATTGGCAGAAGCACACCTTCTGTGAGGTTAAAGCTAAGGTGGGCAAGTGTGCCATCAGAAGGACATTGTAACACTGTGCCTTTATCCAAGAGTGATAGTGCCTCCCCTCTTAGAGAGAGCATCAGAAAAACAATTTAGAAATGTGTAACGCTGGCAATTCCAGTCTCCAGGCCTATTCGGAGGCTCCTTCTTCCCCTCACTGTTCACTCCTTGTGCTAGGATCTCTGTATTTCCCTTCCAATGCCTTTAGGTCTGGTTTCTGGCACTCCAGTCCTAGATTGAGCACAGGATGGGTCTAAGGAGCACCTTTGCTATCACACAGGGCATGGAAACCCGTTTCTTGGGGTGTCCCTCCAAACACTCCTGGTTCTCCCCGGTCGCACCATCTCCTCCCCAATGGCCGGTGCTCCCCAGTCACATTGTCTTCTCCCCGCAGTCCTCCGTCCCCAGGAGCATCCCGGGGCTTCCAAATGCCAATTTCACGTGCAGGTACTGTACTCACTTATCTTGCTGACTATGCCAAATTAAGTGTGTGTGTGTTTATGTGATATATCATGTGGGGTATGTGTGTGGCACATGTGAGTATGGTGTATGTGCGGTGTGTATGTGGTATATTGTGTGGAAGTGTGTGTGTTGTGTGGTATGTGTGACGTATTATGTAGAGTGTGTGTGGTATGTGTGGTGTGTGAGGTGTGTAGTGCGTGCTGTGTTATGTGGTGTGTGTGATGTGTGTATGCTGTGTGTGTATTTTGTGTGTGTGTTGTATTGTGTAGGGTATGTGAGTGGCATGTGTTTCACGTGTGGTGTACTGTTTGGGGTGTGTGTATGCTGTATGTGGTGTGTTTGTGCTGTATTGTGTGGTATGTGTATAGGGTGTACTGTATGGGGTGTTAGTATGTGTGTCTGTATGCGATGTGTGTGGTGTGTGGGGGGTGTATTCTGTGGTGTGTGTGGTGTGTGTAGTGTGTGGTGTGTGTAGTGTGTGTGTGTGGTGCAGTGTGTGTGGTGCATTGTGTGATGTGCATGTGTGGTGTGTGAGGGGGGTATATTCTGTGGTGTGTGTGTGGTGTATATGGTGTGTGTGGCGTGTGTAGTGTGTGTGTGGTCCAGTGTGTGGTGCAGTGTTTGGCATGTGTGTGGTGTGTGTGTGGTGTATTCTGTGGTGTGTGATGTGTGTGGTGAAATGGGTGGTGTGTGTGTGTGGTGTGTGGCGTCTGTGTGTGATGTGTGTTCTGTGTGTGTGTTTGAGTGGAGAGATCCTTCAACCTGAAGGATCCTGAGCCTTTCTCTTCAGGACAGGTGAGGACACCTTAGCTGGTGGCTGTGTTTCCTGCGCTGGGGAGTCAGCCGAGCGGAGCCCCACCATGGCTAGGTGTTACATATGTTCAGTATCACCTCTGACTTCAAAAAAGCGAGCACCCCCATTTCCAGGAATCGCCTGGGAACCGTTTCAAAGGAGTCGTGCCAGCCAGGACAGAGAGCTGGGAAGCGGGACCACAGGAGCAACTCTGAACAGTCATTGGATGCGCTCTCCAACCAGCTGCTCTGCTCACCTCAAAGCACACACCAAAGAGAGGGAGAGGCTCTGAGCCCATGCGGGTGAATCAGGGTGAGCCACGCAAATCTGCTGGCCCCTGGCAGTCATGGCAGATGCTGCCAGGAGGCCTCCCTCATTACTCGGAGTAGGCTTGAAGTCATGCTTTCCAGTGTGAGGTGCGCGAGCCAAGCAAAGGAGGAGGCCTGGTCAGGAGGGGGGAGTTCCCTGTGACAATGGAATGAAAAGGCTGCTGCAGGGCCCAGCTGGCCCTGGGCACGGTGTGGGGAGGGGAATCCGCAAACCAGGCAGAGCCCTCCAGCCCAGGGCGTTAGTTGTTGACCCATCTTTCCTCCCCACCACCAGACTGGGAGTCCTCATCCTTTGCGCTTTGCAGTTTAGGAAGCAATCTCTGAAGAGCACAAACCTATTTAACAATGATAAAACTTCGGCTTTAAAGGGCTGATGTGGCACACTGGCACTAGAGCCAGGACACATGAGGGAGATCTCTCTTCTCCTGCTCAGCAGCTGGCCTCCCTTCTGAGGGCCCACCTCGGACTGACTGGAGGACACCACTTGGAATGGCAAAGATGGGGGCAATGCAAAGGCCACAAGGATGGCTTCATAGACAGGATGTGGACTTGGCATTGGGCAGACCTGGATTTAAATTCCAGCTCTGCCTCAGTCTGTTTTCCATTAAATGAAGATACTTGTGCAAGGGTTCTGTGAGAATTCCAGTGGCTGAAGTGTGAAGCATTCCCCACTCAGGGTTGCACAGCTGGGACTGGGTGAACACTGTTAGTACCCTCACCCTGTGTGCTGCAGCTGCATCAGGGCCAGCTGCCCTTCTCACAAGCACCTATGCACAGATAGCCCCCATTTCACCCCAAAGGACAACTATTCAGAGAATTACCATCCATCAAGCCAGGGCACTCCAATCAGAGGAAGGTGTCACTTCCTGGTAGGACAACTAGAAGGGCAGGAGCTATTCACTGAGCATAAGAGGAAGGCATGGTACAGGTGGGGCATTTGTGGAGAGCAAGACAGGGAGCAGAGAAGTTTCTGGCAACATGCTGCTCCCAGAGGAATAGGGCTGCCACACCTGGTACCAGGAAACTGGGGAATGGCCACAGCTCAGCTCTGCCACTCAAGAACCCCACTTGCCACCTGCATAGGAAAAGACAACATTGTGGCCACAGAAGGGTGAGGGGCCCCACAGAACTGGGGATGCCAGGACACTTGGTCCATGGGAAGCTGCCTTTTGCTCTGGCCTGTGCCTGGAAGCAAAACCATCATCCATAACTCCATCTAAGGATTCTTAGAGCAGATACTAGCTGGACCACAAGGGGCAGCCCAAACCTTTCTGTTCCATCCCATGGCCTGGCCCTTGCTGGCCCACAGCTCACAGAATCTGCTGGGGCTCCCCAGCTCAGGCAGTACAATACTCTGTTGACCATACGCTGACAGGTCAGGCACTGCTCTTCCTAGTTGGACCTGATACTAGTCATGATTCACTCACCTATGCAGAAGCCTGTGCATGCAACAAGGCTTAGCCCTTCTCCCATGGAGATGAACCTTTTGTTCCTCCCTCCTGCTTTCACCACCCCCACCCTACCCAAAGAAGAGGAAGAAAACAGAGTAGCTTTGGCAACCTTTTCTACCCCTCTCCCAGGCAAGAAAAGCAGAAGAACAACCTGAAGAACCAGGCTTCTCTCCTATATCCTCCATCTCGCCTTCAGCCTGCATCCCTTCTTACTACCCTCTCTCCATTATAATTTGCTCTCTGTACATTTTAAATCAATCAAATTAGCAAAATAAATCATGAAAACCCTATACATTTATAAACATAGTAATATGTGATGCTCATAAGATGCAAGGAGATGGGTACTTTCATAGTGTTGATAGTAGGAATATAAACTGAAAATGCTTTTTTTGGTAAGGCAATTTAGCCATTTATATCAAAACATTAAAAATGTTCATCCCTCAGACCCAGGCATTCAGTCTCAGCAATGTATCCTAGAGAAATCTAAAATACAAAAGTCACAAAGCTCAATGCAAGAAAATGTTATCATCTTGCTAATTACAAAAGTGGAAAATTGAAAACAATTTCAATTTACAATATATGGAACTGGTTAAGTAAATATAGCAATGGGATACAACATTGGACAGGCTCTAAAACAGTGTTTAACCAGAATTATTAAACATTCATTTTGTAGTATGAAGTGACTATAGCAATGTAATACAACATTGGGTAGACTCTAACATGGTGTTTATTCAGAATTTGTTTTGTTTTGTTTTGAGACAGGGTCTCACTCTGTTGCCCAGGCTAGAGTGCCATGGCATGATCATGGCTCACTGCAGCCTTGACTTCCCCAGGCTCAGGCAATCCTCCTGCCTCAGTCTTCTGAGTAGCTGGGACTGCAGGCATGCACCACCAATCCTGTCTGTTTTTTTTTTTTTTTTTTTTCTATTTATTTGTAGAGATGGGATTTCACCATGTTTCTCAGGCTGGTCTTGAACTCCTGAGTTCAAGTGACCCGCCTGCTTTGGCCTCCCAAAGTGCTGACATTACTGGCATGAGCCACTGTGCCTGGCCTATTCAAAATTCTAAATGTTTACTTTGTAGTGTAAAATACATGTGGTAAATTTATTTTAATATGGATCCTATAAAATTTCATATACAGTATCAATCTCAAAGACATTTAAAGGTTTTTGTTTCAAATAATAGGAAATTGAATGAAAAGGAATAAAGCAAAATGTTGACTGGTTGTCATCAAGTAATAACTGTGTATTATTTATTTTCATTCATATATTCCTAAATTTTCTAAAAGGTTTATACTGTTTTGAATTTTTTTTAATCTTTAAGGAAATCAACTTTTATAGCTTAGAGTGGGTAAATTTTAATTAATATGTTCCTTTTGTCAGGAATATTTGCAATCTAAACACACTTTAAACTTTGGCTTTTCTCTTGTACCACCCTGTTGCCATTTACCAAACTATAGTATTCACAGCCTATATGTTTATTATTGCTTCAGTCCTCATTGATTGTATCCTATGGACTATGCACCTATTTAATCCTCATACAGAGTATACTCTGTAAAGTATGCTGTCTGACACTGAAAGTCAGAAAGTTTGAGTTGCTTGCTCAGGACACCAAAGGTCATCAGCAGAGGCTGCTTGATACTGTCAGTACTTTTCAGATAGTCACTCTATCAGGGCTTTAGTCCACAGTGCTCCTGTGGATGCTAACCCTACCTGGGATTGCTCTCCTTTTCCTTGAGCCCTCCTGTCTTAGGCTGTTTTGTGTTGCTATAACAGAATACCATACCCTGGGTAATTTATAAAGAGAAGAAATTTATTTGGCTCACAATTATGGAGGCTGTGAAGTCCAAGAGCATGGCACCAGCATCTCTGCTTTCATGTTGCATCATCCCATGATAGAAGGTGGAAGGGCAAGCAAGCACATGAAACAGAGAAGGGAGGGGGCCGAACTTGATCCTTTTATCAGAAACCCACTCCTACAATAACAGCATTAATCCATTCATGCAGGCAGAGCCCTCATGAGCTAATCACCCCTCAAAGCACCCTCCTCTTAATATCATCGCAATGGCAATTAAATTACAACATGAGTTTTGGAGGCAATGCTCAAGCCATAGCACTTCTCAAGAAGGGCACCAGCAGAATATGCTTGTGATCGCTCTGAATCTCCATCAGGTCATAGCATGGAATGAAGGTATCTGGTTTACTCAAGCATCCCTCCCACGGCCTGAGGTCCCAAGATTGGATTTTCTGTTCCCATCATTGGAAAGCAGAGGAATCCTTGTGGAAGTGCATCTGCCTTCACAGGACCACACCAGGAGCAGGAATTGTAAAATCCACCTCTGCTCTCCCAAGAGAGAAGGAGAGGGAGGGAAGGAGCACATTTGGCAACTGAGAGCATGCAACAGAAACCATTCCTTGGAGATCCTATGGGGCAAGCAATGGAAGGGACACTAATTTCCATCTGGAAAAGATATGGCCAGAGCTCTGACTTCAAACTCTGGAAGGAAGGTGGGGGCTGACCCCTATTGAGGATCTTCTGGGCACCAGATGCTGGACTGGGTATTTAATTCTAGTCAATTTATTGAGGGAATGAGACTCCAAAAGGTGAAATACCTTACCCACAGTCATGCAGCTGGTAGGTGACAGAGATGGAGCTGAACCCAGACTCTTCCTCTTATCCAGTCACATACCGAGACCCTGCATTGCCGTTGGAAGCTATTTGCCTTTCTTCTCAGCACTCTGGGTGTCGTTTGCGTGCTCTCTCTCTCTCTTTCTCTCAGTAACTTCAGACTAGAGAATGGGGTACCAAGGTCACTGATAAGGAAGCCCAGGGCCTGGGGGTAAATTTTAGTGAGTCGGCAGTCCTCAATACTCAGACAGATCATCTTCTTCATGATGATGAAGCACCATCAGGAGCTTACCATTTGGAGAGATAGGATGGCTTAACCCTGAATCTGTGCCTGACTGGGGTCTCATACCCTGGGGATTTTATAGTGTAAGCTCAGGAAAGGGATTCTGATGCCTGAGCAGAGAGAATGCCCTAATTAAGAATGACGGCCAGTTTGGACAATCTCCCTGAATCCCACCGACAAAAGAAACAATGGCTTCCCAATGACATGGGTCTCAAGATGGACTTGGGCAGAGCAGGAACATGCAGGGGGGTTGGTGGTCTTCCAGGAGGCAGGGATAAAGCCCCCAGCAGGAGGAAGGGCCCCCCAAGGCTCTCCTTCCTATCTCTATCTCTGGTCAGTATGAGACTGAGTCATTCACTTAGCTAAGGACCAGACAATTAAAGCACAGGAACAGATCCAAGCAGATGTATAAATCTATTATATGGTGAAGTCATACTATAGGTCAGTGAGGAAAGGATGAGTTCCTTAAAAAATATATTGACACATCTGGTTATCCATTTTTAAAGAAAATAAAGTTAAATTCCTATCACATACCATGTACAAAATTTCCAGATAGATTGAATAGCTAAATGTAAATAAATAAATAAATACACACACACACACACACACACACACACACACACACACATATATATTATATTATAAGAAAATGTTGTGTAACCTTACAATGAGGATTTCTACTTAAATAAAATAGGAAACCTAGGCGAGGTGTAATGGCTCATGCTTGTTATCCCAGCATCACTTGAGCTCACAAGTTTGAGACCAGTCTAGGCAACGTGGCAAAACTCCATCTCAAAAAAAAAAATTAGCCAGGCATGGTGGTGTGTGCCTGTAGTATCAGCTATTCGGGAGACTGAAGTGGGAGGATGGCTTGAGCCCAGGAAGTGGCGGTTGCAGTGAGCCAAGATCCCACCACTGCATTCCAGCCTGGGCAATAGAGCCAGACCTTGTCTCGAAAAACAAACAAACAAAACAAAACAAAACAAAACAAAAAACAGGAACTCTAGAGCCCATAAAGAGAAAAACTAACTTGATAAATTTGGTTACATAAACTTTTTAAACTCCTGATTTTGTAAGCCATTAAACAGTTTTTTACTAGACTAGAAGAAAATAATTGCAATACTTAAAATAGACAAAAGGTTTATATCCCTGATATGAAAAGTTTATGAAATTAATAATAAAAAGACGACTATAAAACAGATAAAGGACACAAAGGGCAATTAACAGAAGAGATTATACAAATGAACAATAGCATGTTACAAGACAACAGTGTTGGGATAATGCAAATTAAAATTCATCAGTTTAGCAAATGTTTAAAATGTTGGTACCAGTAGTCTAATTTTGATGACACTATAAATTGCTACAATGATTTTGAGAATTAACCTGACAGTTACTGCTGACATTTTAATCTGGATGCCCTTGGATGCCACTTCTGGAAAAGGCCAGGGATCATAATCAAAACATTAAGTTACTCTTACATCACAAGCATGCCCTGATCAGAACAGACACTGACCACAATAACCAACAAGACTGTAGCATACTTAAAAATAGATGTATACGAGTATGCTCCTTGTACAATTGTTTATGTTAGCAAACAAACAAGCAAACCTGGAAACAATCCAAAGTTTCATCTATAGGGAGAAGAATAACTAAATTATGAAGGATCATCAATCTGGAACCACTGCAGCTCTTTAAAAAAGAAAAAGAAGGTAAAACTACTATTATTGCCCTGGCAGGATATCCACTATAGCTGTAAAAAAAAAAAAAAAAAAAAAAAAGTTTAGAAAATAAAAATAAACAAAGGAAGTAATTCAATTGTAGCTCTTCAAACTGAGATGGTAATAACAGCAATTACTTAAGTACAGTGTAATTATGTCTTCCTGGGGGTTGGTTACATCTTGGCAAAGTTTATCACAGCAAGAATTGGTTTTGGCTTCTGGGGTTGGAGCCTTAGATTGGAGATAGAAAAAAAACCTCAAAGGAAGCATTCCTGTCCAGAAGGTAAAGTGATTCCCACCCCCCTCTTCCCTGCTACAAAAGGTCATGGCTTTGGGGGGCACTGAGGTCTGGCATCAACCCTTAAGTTTATTTTTCCCATAAGGAAAAGCACAGGAGTCTCATGCTAGCACTTTAGAGAACCAAGCATGTGGATCTACAGTTCCAGGGAAGTCCCTGACTCGGGGACACCCTTCTCCTGAAATCCCCACACTCAGTCAGGGCCCTGTCATGTGTTCCCATGGCCCCCAGTTCTCTTCTTGGTGGCACATACCACACGGGTCATTTATGTTAGGATATGTACCTCTTTTTCCCTCCATGAGACTCTCAGGGGGTCACCATCATCCCCAGCACCTAGACAGTGCCCAGAGCTTTGCATATACAGGGTAAATATTTACCACGAATAAATGAAATTAGTAAGGGGCTACAAGAACCCAAGATGATTGAAGAGATATACCAAGAAATGATCAAATGACAGCCAGAGTGTCAGTCACTCAGCTGGTTCCAAATGCCTAATAAAAATTAACTCCCTCTGTCCTTACCACAGCCCTATGAGGTGGCCACACTTATTGTGCTCACTTTATGATGGGGAAACAGGAGCATAGAAGTTGGGCAACTTTCCAAAGTCACACCGTGAGCGATTCCACAACAAGGGGTTGAACCCAGGCTGTCTGGGTCCAGAGGTCTTGTTCTTAACCACAGTGGGCTGCTGCCTCTTCTCCCTAAGCTAGTGCATCCTGGAGGTCCTCAGAATGACTTGAACTGGCCAGAGGGTAAACGTCTGCTGAAGGAATGAATGGGCAATGAATTTCTAGGAACCTGGGGCCCTGGGGTCTGGGAAGGCCGTTGCCTCCCCAAGGGAATGACACAGGGCCAGTCTGCTCTCCTTCTGTGTGGGCCCCTGGACACTGGTCTGGCATTGTCCAGACACCAAAGCACATCCGCATAGCATGCATCAAACAAATGGTGACCTGCTAATGAGGAAATGGCTAAAACAGGAAGCCATGACCAGAGTACATGCTTCATGCCTCCAGCCCCGCATTGGGTAATGGAAGGGCAATTACTTCTCCACCTCTTCACCTATACAGGGCAGACTTGCCTAGAAGTTCAGAGTCCTTCCTGCCAATTTGGCATCCTTTCTTCCAGAGTGTTCCCAGGCTAGGTGGGGATGGGAAAAGCCACAAGGAGCACAGCAGGATGATAGAGATGTGGCCAATGGGCAATGCTGGCACTGCCACCCTGGCCAGAAGAGCTCACTGTGGGACACTTTCTCATTGTTTACTAGGGAAGAGGAGGTTGGTTTGGAATTCATTTTGATTTGTTGTTGTAAATTCTCTTTGCTGTCCCAATTTAAACAAAAAAGAAAATGGAGAAGGGGAGTTTTTAATCAAATGGATTTTCACTTGGGTTTTATCATGAACCTGGAACTGCTTTGAAAGCTGAAGCCAGCTGGGCTTCTGGGTCGGGTGGGGACTTGGAGAGCTTTTCTGTCTAGCTGGAGGATTGTAAATGCACCAATCAGTGCTCTGTGTCTAGCTAGAGGATTGTAAATGCATCAATCAGCATTCTGTAAAAATGGACCAATTGGCACTCTGTAAAATGGACCAATCAGCAGCACTCTGTAAAACGGACCAATCAGCAGGACATGGGCGGGGCCAAACAAGGGAATAAAAGCTGGCCACCTGCTCCAGCAGTGGCAACCAGTCCCTTTCTGCACTGTGGGTGTTTTGTTCTTTTGCTCTTCATAATGAATCTTGCTGCTGCTCAGTGTTTGGGTCCGCGCCACGTTTAAGAGCTGTAACACTCAAGGGGAGGGTCTGCATCTTCACTCCTGAAGTCAGGGAGACCATGAACGCACCTGAAGGAGCAAATTCCAGACGCCCACCTTTAAGAGCTGTAACACTCACTGTGAGGTCCACAGCTTCATTCTTGAAGTCACCAAGACCGAGAACCCACCAGAAGGAATAAATTCCTGACACAGCTTGATTTTGTCTTTGGTGAGAATTAAGAAGGGTCACATCCACTGATGACCAGTTGGGGGATAGATTTACACTGGCTATGCCCAGTGGTACTCAAAGAGCCACAATTACTCTCACTGTGGAGCTTCCTTCAGTGACACCAGAGACCAGGAAGGGAGCTACCTAGGAGACCTCAGCCTGTGGAAATCAAACTGTGGTGTGAGCCCTCCTGTTAGCGAGCAGTGGTGCTGGCTGCCTTCTCACACTGCCACTTGGCAACCAGAATACAGGGACTTCACCGTGAGTTTGAGCTAAAACTTGCCTGCTAGTGAATCTTAGCATAGGTAATTTTGGGTTAGGAGAATTTTGGTTTCTCTGATGACTTGGTTGACATCTTTGAGATTCAGCAAGCCCCAATTCAGATTAGACTTAAAACTTATCAGTGCAAGTCAGACAGCAGTGATTACTCTGCTTGTTGAGACCTAGGGACATCCGTTTGAATTCAGTCCGCACCCCATGGACGAGCCCAGCTCAATGCCAGGAAGTTTATGAATTCCTGGGGCCTTCTAGTCTCATGGTTACATCTGCTGCCAAAAACCAGATCCTATGAAGTTAGTTCAGTTTAGTGATCTTCTCACCAAGCTGCAGGGGCCATCCTGTTTTGTACCATGGTGATGAGGCACAGAGCACACCCTCTTTTTACCTTCAAAGAAAGAAGCCAGACATTGATACAGGTTACTGTGTATGCAGCAGACTATCCTGAAGGTTTAGGGAGACAGAGTATTGATATCTCAGATCTGCAAACAACAGAACAGCCCCTTGGGGATCACTATGATCCAGGCAGAAGGCAGAATTTGTTTTTTAATCAAATCACCAATTAATGACTGAAAACAGTATCTCCTGGAACAAGAAATTATTATTCCTCTAGGCTTGAAACAATATGAAACAGAGGAAAGTTATTTGCAAAAATTGGCTGAATGTGCAAATTATGCTTCCACGTGAATAGCAAAGTAATTAAAACCATTTTCAGAAAGTGAACTACTTTCTTAAAACAGCATGCCGAAAGTGGTCCAGAGTTCAAGATTTTGAAAACAAAAACAAAGTTGGTACTTGAATTCACAGATTGAAGCTAACTAGAAGTCAAAGAAAAGACACACTGGATTATGAGAAGGAGCAGGGATCACAGCCAGGTGCAGAACAAAGTCTGAGCGTGCCTGACCTTCCCTGGAGGTTCCGCCCATGTCACCTGCCCACTGGGTGTTTCCTGTTTTGACCATGCATTCCTTAGACCTTCTGTTGTTAAAATTTTTTCTCCTTGAGAACTTTAACTGGCCAGAAATTAGAATCCAATTTTGAAAATACCAAGCTACTTTCATTATGACACTGCAGTTAAGCAAATATTACCCAAATTTGGACAGCCTTGTCCAAATTTGTTTTATATTGTTTTATATTTAGCAATATAAAGCAAAGTGTCCCATTTAAAAATTGGTAAAACCTTATAATCAATATGCATTAAAAATTTTTAGTATCACATCATTATTAATGGCAAAAATTTCCATTTATAAATAACAGAACTTTTGTTGATTGTATTTATTCTTCCATCCTGGGATTTGGGGTTTTTTCAATTTTGTTTTTTAAGTTTGTTTTTAATTTTTTTTTTTTAATTCAGAAAGAGACCTTGTTGCCACCCTCTGCATACTCAGAAAGGAACCCCAGTCCGTGCAGAAAGGGGCCACGGACAGTGGCTGTCCACCCAGGATGGGCCCAAGAAAGGAGTCGATGTCCTGAAACAGTCCCTGCCCCTTTCCTGAGTGTTGGGGGATGGTGGGAACGACGACCATGTAGCTCCTAACAAAGGGCGTCTGCCTCTGGGGGTGTCCTGGGGCGTGGCTTACTGAGGGCTTACTGAATTTTAAAAATTCAGATTTCAGCCAGGCACGGTAGCTCACACCTGTAATCCCAGCACTTTGGGAGGCCAAGGTGGGCGGATCACCTGAGGTCAGGAGTTTGAAACCAGCCTGGTCAACATAGTGAAACCCCATCTCTACTAAAAATACAAAAAAATTAGTTGGGTGTGGTGGCATATAATTGCTGTAATCCCAGCTACTCGAGAGGCTGAGGCAGGAGAATCGCTTGAACCTGGGAGGCAGAGGTTGCAGTGAGCCGAGATTGCATCATTGCAGTTCAGCTGGGCGACAAGAGCAAGACTCTGTCTCAAAAAAAAAAAAAAAAAAAAAAAAAATTCAGATGTCCAGCTTTTCATGAAAAAATCCAAAGTTCTGGTCACACGCTGGACAACAATAGCCATAGGTGAGCACCTGCTGCCCTGGGAACAGGCACGTGCCCTCCAGGTGGTGAATGACCCACTTCTCTCACCAGCTTCAATTGTGTCCATCTAGGACATTTGGAACTCTTCCAGGCTGCTGCACTCACCAATGGCACCTTCCTGGCCTCATGGGCATTTGAGTTTGTACTCCTGGCCAGGACCTAATGCTGCAGACCAGATAACTTCCTGGGTTCTTGCCCTAAAGGAGGAGCTGAAGCCATAAGCGCAGACCTCTAATGTGGCTCAGAGACACTGTGGAGAGAGGGCAGTCCAGGCCCAGGGTCTTGACGGTCCCGCCCCTGGACTTATTAGGCCCCCTCTGCATAGCTCATAGTGGCAGTGATACCAGACGTCACCTAAACCTTCCCACTCCTGCGGCACCCACTACCATTCAGCCTCAGGGCCATCCTAACCTTAACTCCAGGCTCCTCTCTCACATGGGACTATTCCAGCTCTGACTTTAGCTCCCATGAAGAACTGGCTCCCGAGTCCTGGCTCCCCATCCAGGACCCAGGTTCCAGTCCTCTCAATGGGCTCTCCCTGATAGAGGTCACCTTGGGTCTGGTGGCCTACCCCATTTCTTACAACATACACCCCACACCAGCCTTGGGCCAGCCACCTCCTTTGTGCCCCAGAATGGCTGTCAGGGAAGACCCTGCCTGTGTGCCCCAACCTGTGGGCAAGGCAAGGCCTAGGGCTCTGCCCACCAGGAATAACAGACCCAGCTAGGGAAAGGCAGGCTTTGAGATGCACGTGTGATGTTGACCCTCCCCCCGGGTCACCCCAATACCCGTCTGCCTGATTCTCTGTTGCCCCACAGGGTCCCAGAGAGTGCTGAGCTGCACATTTGACAGGCTATGTGCCCATGGGTCCAATGTGTCCATGGATGACCTGAATTCCAAGGCCATCAGGAAAAGCCTATTGTGTTGGGCCCCCAGGAAGCCAAGCCAGGCTGGCTACCCTGGGATCTTCAGAGGAGAGCAGCCTAGCTTGTACAGATCCCCTCCATGGGCCAGGCCCTAGAAATTTCACACAAAAAAATTATCCTTTTTTACAGCAACTCATGAGAGAGACCATGAGGATACCATTTTACAGATGAGAAAACTGAGAGTGAAGGAGGTGATGCAACCAATGAGTGACAGAACATGGACATGAAACATGTCTTGGCAACTCCAGTACCCAAGATTTCTCCATGTCAGCTGTCAGCCTGCCTGGCTCACAAAACCTTCATCCCCAGTGTAGAAAGGACTGATAGACAAGTTAGGGGCTTCTCTCTCACAGGGCCCTTGTGTGTGCCCACCCTTCACACACATACACCCATTCACACATACATACATACATCTGCACACACAAACACCTATGGGGTCCACACACATGCACACAAATACACGCACAAACACCCTGCATATCCACACATACACACAGGCATATTCACACATATATACGTGCACCTGCATACAAACACACACATAGACACAAACACCCATAAATATCCACACACACACAAACATGCACATACACACAAATACTCATACACAAACACCCTACATGTTCACACATACAAACTCCTGCACTCACACAAACACCTTCCATATCCACACATCCATACATATATATTCACACACACACACACACGCATGCTCACACACACGAGCAGAGCACTGGACCAGGAGCAGGAGCTGGGACTCTCGTCCCAGATCTCCCATCACACTTCTCAAGCCTTGGCTTCCTCATCTGTGAGATGGGGTTGTGCCGCCTGCTTCCCAGAGTGTTGCACAAGCAAACATGCATGACAGCCCAGGAAGTGAGAAGGGTGTATAGGAGGAAAGGGTCCTGATTTTTGGCAGAAGTTGCCCAGGGAGTAGTGAGTGCTCCACACCTTTGTATGTGCTGTACCTTCTCTCTGGAGCTCTTTTCTCTTCTTCTCTGGCTGGTGAACTCATCCTCACCTTCCAGCTCCAACAACCACACTTTGTGTTCCTGATGTCTCCCTGTAGTGGAATTCCTCCACCATCCTCAGTGTCCCCAGCTCCTGTGTGAGACAGGACTTCCTACACTGGAGTGGGACACGTGAATGAGGCTGCATGGCTCTTCGGAGCCGGATGAGTCCCGACTTCTCCTGCCACAACCCAAGTCCCTTCACAGACCCACAGCACAGTCTCTCAGAGGTATCTTTTAAGGCCAGACCCTGGCCTTCCCTTTGACAGCACTGATGCAAAGCTCCTGATGTGACTAGGAGTTTAAGAACCCCCTAAGTGCCCCTAGCTGCCTGGTATAGACCTGCCAGCCTCTGCCCATCCTGCTTCATCTGCTCTGACCTTTTGCTCTCTGGTGGAGTCCTTGCCATGATGGCCTGGGCCCAGTCTGGTCTGGCCTAGGGAGGCGCTTTTCTGCCCAGGCATCAGGGCCTGTCCTCACGCAGAGTTCAGAACACACAGAGGCACCCCATCACTCTCGAGGTAGGCCTCACACCTCGCAAGTCAGCCTCAAAAAAGCAAGTATGAGGCAGGATCCCCTTTCTGGCTTTGGGTAGGGGCTGCAGTTCCTCTTGCCATGTGGAAGCTTCTTAAATATTGTACTACAATATTTAAAAATATTCCCTTTGTTCTACATACCATTAATAGATCAACTCTTCTACAGCTCTGCAATCACTTCTGACTTGGCAAAGCTGAGCCTGAGCTCAGGGAAGGGCTCTGGCTTCAGCCTTGTGAAGCAGAAAGATCGTGGACTCTCGCACAGGACCCCTGTTTACATTTCTCTCAAGCACAGCCTCACCTTCTCAGTCCTGCTCCAAAAACACCACACAACTTCCAGTTCTGAGAATGCACCCTGTTCTCTCAGCCCTGGGCTTTCCACATGCTAACCCCTTCTCAGAACCTCCCTTCCTTCACTTCGATACCTAACTGATTTCTATTCTCCTTCAAAACCCCATTCTAACATCACCTCTTCTGGGAAGCTTCTCTGACTTCTCTGAGGCCCTCCCAGGCTATCATTTCCTTCCTGATAATGGCTCCTTATAGCACTGGCCACTTATATGGAAGTGGTGCATTTGAGTCTCTCCCACTGCACCATGGGTTTTCAATGGAAGAGTGTGTGTATCATTCCTCTTTGTAATCCCAGCTCTGTCATCACAAGATGGAATTCAAGCATGTACCTGGTAGTTGATCAAGCTCTATATTCATAGAGCCCAAACCCAAACCTAAACCAAGAAGAAAGAAGAAAATAATAGAGGCTAGTCTAGAAATAACATAGACCAGGCTAATTCCTTAATAATAAAGACAATAGAGAAAATACTTCCCCAACCCTTGCTAATGCCAATGGGAAAAAAATAGAGAAATCTTTAAAAACCAAAATTGGTTATTTGAAAAGATTAACAAAATTGGCAAATCTTTAACTATACTGACCAGAAAAAAGAAAGATTAAAATCAGAAATGAAAAAGAAGATATTACCTCTAACCTTCAAAAATAAAAAATTATAAGTGAATGCTATGAACAATTATATGTCAATAAATTAAATGACTTAGATGAACTGGAGAAATTCCTAGAAAAACACAGAAACCAAACCTGACTAAAGAAGAAATAGAAAGTCTAAAGAAACCTTTAACAACTAAAGAGATGAAATTAGTAATCCAACAACTAACTGCAAAAAGAAAGCCAAGCCCCAATGGCTTCATTGGTGAAATTAAACATTTAAAGAATAATTTGCGTTTTAAAAATATTTGCATTTAAAGGAGCTTTTAAAGAAAAATTATTATCAATTCTTCACAAACTTGCAAAAAGTTAGGCATAAACACTTCCCAACTCATTCTATGGGGCCATTACTATTCTGATACTGAAATTAGACAAAGACATCACAAAAAAAGAACACTACTAATACCTCTTATGAATATGGATACAATAATAACAAAATACTAGCAAACTAAATTCAGCAACATATAAAAAGGATTATACACAATGATCAAGTGCAGTTTGTCCCAGGAATGCAGGGTTGGTTTAACATCCAAAAAATCATCAACGTAATACCATATTATTAATTGTTCTATTAATACTATATTAATAGAATAAAAGATCAAAACCTCATAATCATCTCAATAGATACAGAAAAAAATGACAAAATACAAAACTCCTTCATAGTAAAAACACTCAGAAAGAATAAAAGAGAATTTCCTCAACCTAATAAAGCGTATATACTAAAAAAGCAGCAACAACAAAAAAAACATAGATAACATCACATTTAATGGGAAAGACAACATGCTTTCCTTCTAAGATCACAAAAGAAACAAGGATGTCTACTCACCACTTCCATTCAACATCATACTGAAGGTTCCAACTATTGCAATTATATAAGGGAAAAAAAGGCACCCAGATAGGAAAGAAAGATGTAAAATGGTCTCAATTGGCAGATGACACGATTTTTCTATGTAGAAAATCCTAAGCAATTCACAAAAAAATTAAAATATGTAAATGAATTCAGCAAGATTTTAGCACATGAGATCAGTTTGCAAAAATCAATTCTGTTTCTATACACTGTCAATGAACAAGACAAAAATGAAATTAGAAAAATAATTCCATTTACAATAACATCAAAAAATACTTAGGAATAAAGATAACAAAAGAAATCCAAATGGTATATTCCGAAAAATATAAAACATTGTTGAAAGAGGTCTTAAAAGATCAAAATAAATGAAAATACATATCATGTTTTTGGACCAGAAGACTTATTGTTAAAGATAGAAATATCCCAGAGTTAATCTATAAGTTCAATGCAATCTCTATCAAAATCCCAGATGACTTCTTTGCAGAAATTGACAAGGCAATCCTCAAATTTATATGGAAAATCAAGGAATGCAGAATAGCCAAAATAATCTTGAAAAAAGAAAAACGAAGCTGGAGTACTCACGTTTTCCACATTCAAAACTTACTAGAAAGCTACAGTAATCTAAACAGTGTGATACTAGCATAAGAACAGATCAATAAAATAGAACTGAGAGTCCAGAAATAAATCCATGATCTATCTACATACATCTATTGTCAATTAACTTTTTTTTTGAGATGGAGGCTTGCTCTATGGCCCAGGCTGGAGTGCAGTGGTGCTATCTCAGCTCACTGCAACCTCCACCTCCCTGGCTCAAGCAATTCTCTTGCCTCAGCCTCCTAAGTAGCTGGAATTACAGACACACACCACCACACCTGGCTAATTTTTGTATTTTTAGTAGATACGGGGTTTTGCCATGTTGCCCAGCTGGTCTCAAACTCCTGAGCTAAAAGTGATCCGCCTGCCTTGGCCTCCCAAAATGCTGGGATTACATGCATGTGAGCCACCAGGCCCAACTGTATTGTCAATTAATTTTTAACAAGAGTGCCAAGACCATTCAATGGGGGAAATAATAATCAAATAATCTCTTCAACAAATGGTGCTGGAACAACTGGATATCCACATGCAAAAGAATGAAGTTGGACTCCCATCTTACACCATATAGAAAAATTAACTTAAAGCGGGTCAACAACCTACATATAAGAGCTAAAGCCATAAAACTCTTAGAAGAAAACATAGGAGTATATCTTCATAATTTTAGCTTTAGCAATAGAGTCTTAGATATGATACCAGAAGCATGAACAACAAAAGAAGAACTAGATAAATTAGACTTCATAAAAATAGTAAACTTTCGAACATCAAAGAAAATTACCAACAAAGTAAAATCATACATCTAATAAAGGTCTGGTATCCAAAGCAT
Source organism: Homo sapiens (assembly GCF_000001405.40). Lineage (NCBI taxonomy): Eukaryota > Metazoa > Chordata > Mammalia > Primates > Hominidae > Homo > Homo sapiens. Next base: position 46,507,031 of record NC_000010.11, read on the forward strand.
TTAAAGAACTCTTACAGCTCATCAGCAAAAACACACAACTCAATTTTAAAATGGGCAAAGACTTGAATAGACATTTCTCCAAAGAAAATATACAAATGCCAACAAGCACATGAAAAGACACTCAATATTTTTATTAATTAGGGAAATGCAAATCAAAATTGCAATGAGGTACCAATTCACACCCACTGTATATATATGTAATAGGTGGATGGATATATATAATATTTATATATAATTATTTATAATATGTATATATAATAATGTTATTATATGATAAATTATATAATACATATATAATTTATTGATTTGAGACAGGCTCTTGCCATGTTATCCAGGCTGGAGTGCAGTGACACCATCACAGCTCACAGTGGCCTGAACCTCCCAGGATCAAGTGATCCTCCACCTCAGCTTCCTGAGCAGCTAAGAGGTACTACAGGCAGGCATAACCATGCCCTACTAATTTCTTAATTTTTTTGTAGAGACAGGATCTCACTATGTTGCCCAGGCTGGTCTCAAATTCCTGGCCTCAAGCTATCCTCCCAAAGTGCTGGCATTAGAGGCATGAGCCACTGCACCTGACTTAGGATGGATATATTTTTTTCAATGGAAAATAACAAGGGCTAACAAGAATGTAGAAAAATTGGAACCCTCAGACATTGTTGGTGAGAATGTAAAATGGCACAACTGCTGAGAAAAGTTTGGTGATTTCTCAAAAACTTAAATATAGAATTATGGTATGATCAAGCAATTCCACTCCTAGGTATATACCCAGAAGAACTGACACTGACTACTCAAACAAGTACATGTATCTTTATAGCAGCACTATGAACAATAGCCAAAAGGTGGAAACAACCCAAATTTCCATAACAAATGAATGGATAAACAAATTGTGATATACAATGGAATAATAGCCATAAAAAGGAATGATGTACTGATACATGCTGGAACATGGATGAGCTACCAATTTACAGGAAACACAGAGGACAGGGGACATGTTGAATAGCACCATGAGAGTGCAGTCAGCAAAATCCAGACTATTGGAAACTCTACAGATCAAATGACCTGGGTCTTGGGAGGGGGTAGGAAAACCTGTGTATTAACCAACTTTTAAAAGATGTATTTTTATAAAATAAGTGAGATTTAATTATAGGGTGTAGGGATATACATGTGGGTAATAATTAGACTATGAAGCAAAGGAAAGGAGTGTCTACTGTAAGTCAAGGTAGTGGTGACTTTGGAGAAGAGAGTGAGGAGGTGCCTCTGGACAAAGTTCTGTTTCTTAGTCTAGGTGGTGGTTACAAAGCTTTACTCTTGTAAAAATCCATTAAGCCATGCATTTGTTTTATGTGGCTTCTTATAGCTTTGTTTATTTGCAAATAATAACCTGGTTCAGAGATTCTGATTCACAGGGTGTGGGGCAGAGTTCAGGAATGCTTTTAAATTTTCCCGTGTTGTGTGCGCACACACACACACGCATACATATATATCTGTCTTCCACACCAGGCTGGTGCCTGTTTGAGGAAGGTCTGTGGCTTGCCTCAATTTGGACTTCCCAACCTCCAGAACTATAAGAAATAAATTTCTGTTCTTTATGAATTACCCAGCCTCAGGTATTCTTTTATAGCAACACAAAACAAACCAAGACAGCTTCTATCTCTCTCCTACTGACCTATGAGCAGGGCATGCTTTGTTTCTGTCTTTGCATTCAGCACCTAGCACACAGTAAGTGCTCTGTAAATGCTGATGAGGCTGGGCTGATACACAGGTGGACTGACAGTGGGCATACCAGACAAGATCCAGTGGCCCCTGAAGCAGTCAACTCACCCACAGCAATGCTGGAGGGCTATGAACTTCCCAATCTCACTGAGGACCACAGGAGCATTCCACCTCTACTGGGCAGTAAAATCCAGAACGCCGGCTGCAGACATTCCACTTAGAGTCATGCCAACATCCTCTCTGGGCCCCACTAGCTTAAGACAGAGCCACAGACACAGGCGTCCAGAATTAAGAGTCCATCTCAGCCCTGAGGCTGATTTCTCACTACACACTGACCCTGAGAAAAACTTCAGGGACTGCAAAAGGCAGCCAGAAACACTGGGAGAAGGGAGGGAAGAAAGCGCCTCTGAAATAGACAGAAACACTAATGCACCACCAGTGCCTCTTTCAGACATAAGCCAGTCCAGCTCCCCATGGGCAGGCCCAGGATCACACAGGACACTACAAACCAGGTCTCTGCCCAAGAACCAGGCTGTAGGGGCCACCAGAGCCTCACTGGAACAGGTTAATGCAGAATACAGTCATGTACGTCCAAACGGAGCTACAGGCCTTCCCCGTTAAAGACAGTGCCCTCCCCGGGGTAGAAAGGAAAACAATACTCCTTATCAGCATGACCATTGTATGTTAAGTCTTGTGATGCATGTTTGCAAGTTACTCCAAGTAACTATGGATCTTGTCCCCAACTCAGGCCAGCCAGCTGACAGGCCCTGAAGTCAGCAGCTACAGTTGGCTGATTCTGAACCCAGTGATGCCTGCTGTTTGCAGGGAATGAGATACTTACTTAATTATCTCAAATTTAAACACTCTTATATGTTTCCTTAATTTAAAAACCATACACACACAGAAGTGAGGACATCTAAAAATGGGATCTGCGTTACTGATGTGTAAGCCAGAAAAAAAGAGGAGTTCTCAAATACACTCTGAGCTGGACTTCACAGCTACGCCAGTTCCTCAAGTGGTTCGTGGAGGTGAGCGGCAGATGCAGGCCAGTCTTAGAATGTGAAAAATCTGAGAGCTATAAGACAATTCAAAAACAGACAATAAGTCAAATCCCATTGAATTGTGTTATTTTAAATATAAAGAAAGAAATGTACAAACATTTAACAGAAAATTAGATTCCCCCTGTCCCCACAAATCAAATCCAAAATTACCCATGTGAAAACTTCACGGCATTATCCACTTTCCACCAAGGCCTCCACGTGCTCGTTCTCTGGCCAGGCCTTGGTAGTGTGGACTGGTCACCATGTAAGGACAGCCTTCTGTGAGCTGCAGACCAAGGGAGGTGGCCTGGCAGCCTGTTGGAGGCCAGGCAAGGATAAAATTTACTATCAATCCTTTTTTTTTTTTTTTTGAGATGGAGTCTTGCTCTGTTGCCCAGGCTGGAGTGCAGTGGTGTGATCTCGGCTCACTGCAACCTCTGCCTCCTGGGTCAAGCAATTCTCCTGCCTCAGCCTCCCAAGTAGCTGGGACTACAGGTGCATGCCACCACACCCAGCTAATTTTTGTGTATTTTTAGTAGAGACAGGGTTTCACCATGTTGGCCAGGATGGTCTCAATCTCTTGACCTCGTGATCTGCCCACCTTGGCCTCCCAAAGTGCTGGGATTACAGGCATGAGCCACCATGCCCAGCCATCAATCCCTTTTTATGTATAAGAAATAGGCTCAGAGAGGCCAGATGGCATGGCCCAGTTTGCACAGTAAGGTGATTGCCTGTCACGGCCAAATAGCCACCACGTCCGGATAATCCATGGCCACTGGTTTCTGTGAGGTGGTGGAGAGGCGGCCTCAGCCTGAGCCCTCTGGATCGTGGGCAACGGGTGGTGTGAGGAAACTGTCCAGCAGTGATCTACTGTCCCTGCACTCCCACACTGCAGGGCCAGGGGTGCATCTGCATCCCACGCGGGGAATGCCTGGGCATGAGGCTTCAAGAAGCACTTAGCAGGAATGCACCGGGTGCTCAGAGGAGCCGCTGTCCTGGCAGGCTTTGCTGTCCACATTTGCCCCTTTGCACGGAGCCTGCTGTCCCTGAAGTGCTCTGACCTGTCCACAGGAAACCAGGTCAGGCACAAAATAACCACCCTTGTCTCAAAGCAAGGGCCCTAATGCCTCCATTCCTTCAATGCCTTTTCCTTCAGCCAAGGTCCCCTGCAGTCTTGTCCTGGGCACTGAACTGGGTGCTGGGGATGGGCTGGATTATGAGGAAGGAAGGTCTCTGCTCTCAAGAAGAAGTGGGTCCCCCATCCTAGGGCAGAAGGCACTGCCATCCTGAGTCAGCTTATCGCAGCTCAGATTTCACTCCCTCTGTGCTGGGCCCTGGGAATGGGGAGATGACACTGCCATGGCCCTGCCCTCAGGGGCTCCCCATCACGTGGGGAAGCCAGACACAAAGGTAAATTTGGGAGGAAGCCCCCAATGCCTCATAAGCTATCAAAAACCAGAGTCCACAGCAATGGGAAAAACAAGGCAAGGAAGGTAACCTGCAAAGAAACGAGGGCTGGGGAGGCAACACGCAAACAGCCAGAGGAGACTGTGAGGAGGCCCCCCACAGACTCATCACCTCAAAGCGGAGCCCCAGGAATGAACAGTCAGCTCTAGGACGTGCTAAATGCCCCAGGAGAGGCACGAACCAGGGGACCACTGACACCACTCGGCCTTCGGAGGTGAGAGGCGGCTTCCCAGAGGAGGGCATATTGGCTGAGCAGGATTTCCTCAGGTAGACACAGGGGGAAACCAAGCATCGCAACTGAAGGCCAGGTAACACAGATCTGCCGAAAGAGACATCATGATTTTCAAACAAGCAAACGAAAGGGATTCATTCTATTCTGCAACTGTCAGGCATACTCAGACCAAGAGTAATCTTTCAAATAAACCCCAGAAAATGAAATCACGTATGCCATGTTCTAGCCCCGCAGTGGAAAGTGGTTTAGCCTCTGGTCCCGGAGTCTTGCCTGTCTCTTCTCCCACCCACCTCCCCTGCCTCTCTCCCCTTCCCAGCTGCCCAGAAGGTGACTAACTGCATGTCCACTTTTTTTTCTGCTGATTCTTCCCATTTCTGATATTAAGTAGCACTTTCTCTGCAAGCAAAGCTACACTGATATAATACAGATGAAACTGGGAAAGTCCAGGCTAAATTTCAGGATACGTATACAGAAATGCGTTGAGATACAGCACCTCACTCAGCAACCATGCCTTATAGATAGTGCTAAGCTTCAGTCGCATCACAGAACTTTCTACCCTGCATGAGTTCTCTGACCTGGCTGTGAGCTTCTTGTGGGTGGGGTCTCAGTCATTCCCAAGCAGCCAGATGTGTCTCAGTGCCTGGCATACAGAAGGCATATGATAAATGTTTGCTGAATGAGTAATTCACAAGTAGGTCCATTGTTATAAATGAATGTTTTGGAAACACAAGCTGTCACTGAGTTCCACGTGTCGTGTTCTGCTTTCGAATGACCTGCCCTGAATATATCTCACATGCAGTCTTGCATATGCCTGATTCAGACTTTTGCTCACAGCTACGGGGAGGTGTTGAGCTCTGCATGGGCCAGCAGATCCAGGCAGAAAGACTTCCATGTCTGTACAGCAGCATTTGTTCATTGCTCCAATGGTTTATTTTCCCCTGGTTTTATTAAAATAGTGAAAAACACTAAAGTGGAAGGGCTTACACTCAAGAGCAACACAATTGGAATGACAGCATGGGTTTTCAGGGGTGCCCAAAGAAGTCCTTCCCCTCTGTTGTATGTCCCTAGGTCTTAAGCCACTACACTGAATTCATGTGTGAAGGAAAGGAACAAAATTCAAGGGTGTGTATGAAATGCTAGCAATATAGCCTTGAATGCTGTACCTGGATGTAGAGCAGGAAGCAAGGCTTGTACCGTCTCTTCCTTACCTCTCTGAGAAGGGACCCCACCCCAAATTGATCTGCTCTGGCTCCGACACACCCCCTACATACGACCCACTCTGTGGAGGCAATAGGGAAGTCCTGCTCTGTGTCTGAAAATGTCAAAGACAGCTTATTCCTGGGAAGCCATCAAATACGCCCTGCTCTGCTGTATATATTATTCAAGTACTCAGTAAACCCTTTGTTTCTGGAGAGCAAAGGCCACTGGCAGCCCAACCTCTGCCCAGACAAGGAGGGGACAGGCAGGGAGCTGGCAAGGGCACACAGGATCATGGCCAGAGGGTGAGCTCAGTGCCCAGAATCTGTCCCCATAGGAGCACAGGGTCCCCAGGCTTTCAATTCTCCAGACTTCGTTTCCCAGCCTATAAAATGCGTACAAAACTGACATCCTCTCGGGATGTTAAGATTCGATGATATTACAAATGTGAAAGCACTTTGGAACCCATAAACTGCTGTATCAATACTGGTTGATCGTGCTCTTATTAAGATTATTCTATTAATAACCCATCTCAAATTACATATCTGTAGACAGTGCGTTTGTGCATCTATTGGGCCAGCTGCTCTCCAGGCCGGGAAGCCAGAAAGATCTCATGGAGGAGCTGGTCCTCCTACTTCCTTCCCTTGCTAAGGCCAAACCTGCCCGAATGAGCTTCATCTAGAGGGCACCTCTCAGGCTCAGCACCTGGAGCAGCCCTCCATGTGGACAGCCGGGCCTGTCCAGCCCAACCAGAGGGGGCCGTGGATTTTGTCCATGGCTGTTTCCCAGACTCCATGGCAGTGATTTAGATGCCCCTGCCCCCTGGCCGCACGCTGGAACATGTGCACCTGGTTTCTCCCGGCACTGACCTACTTATCCATCAGTTACTCAACTGTCTACTGACGTGTTTATTGAGCATGTCCCAAAGGCCAGGTACCAGACCACTTGCTGCATGTGACATGCAGACACATATGGAACCAGGCCAGCCCTTGAACAATCACGACAAGTGTCCCAAGTGCTACAAAAGAGAAGGAAGGGATGATGTTGCAGAAAGTGGGGAGGGAGGGGCAGTGCTAACCTGCTCTGGGGTCTCTCTCGAAATTTCCTTTTGTTTGTCCTGCTGACCTTTCTATGCATGCTTTTACTCTGAAGTCACACCTTTTCTTAACCTGTAGAAAATTCTCGGTCATGTCATTCTACCACTCCTTCTACTGTATCTTCTCTACCATTCTCTCCACATTTTCTCCTTCAGAACATTGGTTGTTAAAACTCAGCCATTTTTTAAGTTCTCTTCCATAGTTTCATCTCCTTCTATCTGTGAGCTGCTTTTAGTTTTCCATTCGCAAATTGTATCTTTGACTAGCTCATCTATTGATTTAATTATCATAGTTTTTATACCTAGATTTCTACTCAGTTTTTTTTCAGAGCCAATCTGTTCTTAATTTATACCTTCCTGGGTTTATTTTATAATTACTTTTTATGAATGCTATTTCTTCTTCTTTGTGGGTCTTAAGATGCTTAAGGCTTTTTGGTTTTGAGATTTTTCTCATATTTCCATTTATTTGGCAGTGAATTCATCTCCTATTATTAGTTTTGTAACCTTTCTTAGAATTAGTTTTTTCACATGCTTCAAAATGTTCGCTTGCAATAGGAATTCTGTGTTTTGTTCTTCCCACTGCATTAACCTCCCAGACCCACCCGCACCCTCCCAGGATTTTGTCATTGCTCCCATCTGGCCTTCTAGAGTACCCAGTCCCAAATGAGGCTTGCTCTGACAGCTCCGAGGTTCTGAAATGCCAAAACGGAGGAGTTAGCCAGTCCAGTCATTGGCCCAGGGCCTGGCCCAGGAACTACCTTTGAGCCTCCCTTTGCCCCCTTTTGCCCTCTTAGGCATGCAGGTCTTGCTAGCCTTAGCCCTGGTAGCAGTTCCAGTATTTTGCAGCCACCTGTCACAGGTGGCTGGATCTGCCCTCGCTCCCAGTTCCCATAGCCCCTGACGCAAGTGAGATGCTTTGGGCTCTCAGGTCCTTTGCCCATGTCAGAGCCCAGAGGTGTGGTCTCACTATGCTGTGGAACCCCAGCTGACAGAACCACTCACTGCCCAGGGATCCTCAGGGAGGTTGAGAAGGGAAAGCAGATTGCTTTAAAGGCCGCCGTTATAAAGCCATAGCCAAAGCAGCTGTGGCCTGTGAAATGGACCTACGAGAAACACAGCAAGAGAGAAGGTGTGAAAACCAGGAGCGCCTCTCAGTCCCTGCATGAGGAAGCAATGTGACTGTTTGATGGCCCTGAGTTATGTGGGGGTCATACAGGCCCCTTAGCTATATCATCATTCCAACAGCACAAAGACATGAAAAAACCTACAGTTTGCAAGCAGCTGCCCCAGAGACAGACTGGCAACACCATGAGGCCAAATCATACAATTGCACAGAGAAGGCAGCCCTTCTGTGTGCCTGTGCAGCCTTCCTCCCTCAACTGGCATTGCACCTAGGGCAGGCCCTATGTCCAAAGTGAGCAGTGATATCAGGGTTACTTGCCCAGGTCACTGACCAGTAAACGACATGTATGTGTCACCGGTCAGTTGCTATTGGTATAAACACTTCTTCTGTAATATATATGGCCTAGTATCCATTTGGGATGGTTCCAAACCATAAGTTGGGGTTCTCCAGGTTTGGAATGGTGCATTTCAGAAGGTAAAAATACCAGAAATTAGACTACAAGAAAATGATGTGTTAGAGAGGAGTGTGGGGTAAGGAGACTAACAGCAGAGAGGCAGGCAAGATTCAACATTTTGAGATTTATTTTGTGTTATTGGCAAGCCTTCATAGGCTTTTTAGCAGGGTACTAACAAGGAAATATTTAGGAAGAAAACTGGTAGCCACATGGATGAGCTGTTGGAGAGAAAGAGACTAGAGACAGTGTCTGGAGTCAGGCCAGCCCCAGGTTCCAGTTTTATACTCCTCTGTAGGTGCTTTTGTTCCAACCTTGGTCCAGATTCACTCCTAAATTCATCAGGGTTTCCACTCCTTGAAGTCAAAGAGGTCTAATGAACACAGCACTTTATGCATATTACCTTTCTCAGCCATCAAATCATTACAAATTAGAACTTGGAACTGGAGAGAGCAAGTTACTTGCCTAAGGACACAGCTATTAGACAGGTGTATGGGCTTCCCAAGTGATGCACCAATCCTCCCTCTCCCCAAGCAGGATGCAGAGGGCAGCAAGGGAGGGGTTCCAAATGGGTGATGTGGTGCTCTCGCAGCAACCCAAGGCTCAGGTTCAGCTCTAGCCCTCAGTACTGAGCTAAAACTGGCCAGGTGCAGTGGCTCATGCTTGTAATCCCGTCACTTTGGGAGGCCGAGTTGGGCAGATCACTTAAAGGTCAGGAATTTGAGACCAGCCTGGCCAACATGGTAAAACCCCATCTCTACTAAAAATACAAAAAAAAAATTAGCCAGGTGTGGTGGTGTGCACCCATAGTCCCAGCTACTCAGGAGGCTGAGGTGGGAGAATTGCTTGAACCTGGGAGGCGGAGGTTGCAGTGAGCCAAGATCACACCACTGCACTCCAGCCTAGGCAACAAAGTGAGACCTTGTCTCAAAAAAAAAAAAAAAAAAAAAAAGAAAAGAAAATAAAAAGAAAAAAGACAGTACTGAGCTAAAACTGAAGACAGTTAGGGAGGCCCTGGTCATCCTCTCACCCCTTCTCCCTTCATGTCCATTCACCCCCAGCCCCAAGCCCAGCCAGTGGTCACTGGGGCCACACGTCCCCATCTTTGTGCTTTGCACATGGGTCCTCTGACCCAGCTGCCTCCCACCTGGATCTGCCTGAAGAACTCTTCAATATACAGCTTCTGTTATCAGACGCTCATTTCGGGGGGACAGCTGCCACAAGTGTGGCCTCTGCAGCCAGAGATCCAAGTTCAAATCCTGATTCTGCCTCTAGTGAGCTGTGTGATCACAGTCAAGTTATTTCACTTCTCTGAATCTCAGCTTTTCATCTGCAAAAGCTGTCCCAAGGTCATTTTAATAAATGCATACAATAGCTGCTGCGAAGCGCTCAGTATTGCTGAGAACTACTGGCGTCTATAAAGTTCTGAGTCAGGGTTAACAGCTGTGGCATGTATGGTAATTGTTTGCTTGCGAATCATCCTTCCCCTCAGCTGCCTGTGAGTTCCTCAGGGAGAGGAGCCATCTTTGATTCAGGGCTATGTTCCAGTGCCTGAAATAAGGCATACCTCGGAAATGCTTGTTAAACAAAGGAAGGAACGTGAGAGTGAATGATGACAACTCTCTTTGCCAAACATTCTACCAGTGACTCCTTTGCGAAAACTGGCTGCAGGATGGTGATTTTGATTTGCTGTAAACCTAGTGCCAATTGCTTCCATCTGAGCTTTAGATAGGTGAAGAGCCTCCCCTCGCCCCGGGAGTGTCACATCTATAGCCAGGGCACCGTGGATAATCCATTAACACGGATTCCCTCTCTGCAGCCTCAATGACCCTGTCAGTTCCCAGCTGCTAAGAGGTTGCCTCAGCCATGACCTGGGACCATGACCATCATACCTGATTCACCTGGACCTCCCACTTGGACACCCTACCTGGACACCCCACCTGGGAATCCTACCTGGACATCCCACCTGGACATTCCACCTGGACATCCCACCTGGACATCCCACCTGAACATCACAGCTTTTGCCTTCCTGGCTTCAGAAAACCTAAAGCCAAGCCTGGCCACACCCTGGGAGTAGCAGAGCTTTGGCCTCACAGAAGCAGCAGATGTGGAGCCAAACTTTACTGTGGCCTGAGGACCTGGCTTTGAACCTAGCTCTGCTAACTGACTTTATCACCTTGGGCAACTTACTTAGCCTTTGGGGACTTGATGTCCATTTATCTAAAATGGAAATAGTGCTAGCTATCGCTTCTTGAGCACTCATCAAATTGACAGGGAAAGGCCTCATTGTTATTTCTATTCAGCATCGCCTTCTCAGGAGCATGGGTCCAGGTTTCTGGAGGATACCTGAGGACCAGGAGCCCTGATGTGTGGGCCGCACGCCCACGTCCCTGCCCAGACAGGCCTCCCCTCACATTGCAATTTCAGTCCTTGGCTGAAATTCAGTCCCTTGGCTATTATACTGCTCCCAGGTGGGGAGGAGTTGAGAGTTAGAGACAGGAAAGACCAAGAAGAGGAAGGTGGGAGAAGACTCCTCTCTGTGTTTATAAAAATGCTTTTGGATGCCTGCTAGCATCAGAAAGATTTTAGCTGCCAATTAACAAACAGTGGCCACAGCTGAAGGTGACAAGATGTTCCTTGCATCTTAAGCTGATGCTACTGTTTGCAAGACATGAGCCTTACATTATGTCAAAAGGTGTTTACTGAATGAATGGATGAATGGATCCATCAGCTCACAGGATTAATTAAGATTTTCATCATCTGAATGTGAAATTATGTCCATGTGCAGAGCCTCCATTCCTGCCCAGCGGCTTCATCACAGCCAGGTCCCTGTCTCTCCTGGGTCCCCTCAATGGCTCTCCTTCCTCCCAGGTGTCTGGGGAAGGACAGCAGCAGTAATCCAGGGACAGCCTTTATAGCGGATGAAGCACTCTGCCAGACACCGCTGCCCTATCTCTATAGGATTCTCATCTCCACTGGGAGAAAAATACTTACTATTATAAGCTGCCTCAAATTATTTCCAACACCACTAAGGAACTCATGGTAAAATATAAACTCAATAAAGAGCTGGGTATGGCTCTTACCCTGAGGATAGGGTGCAGCTGCGAGCTGACTGTTCTGAGCTCTGCCTTAGAACAGAGTGGCAGTGTTTCCTAGTGCCCAGGTGACTCTCTCTGCTGGGCCTGCTGTGGCTCAGCCCTAGATCCAACAAAGAGAGGGCAGGAGCACAGCCTAGGCCTTCTTCTGGCATCCCAGCTCACTGTGGGTTGCAACTCACCAGTGGGTGTGAAATCCATCACGACTGAGACCAGTAAGTTTTTAATGAAATGAAATACAAAAAAAAAAAAAGTTAGAGTTTGTATATGCGTGCATACTGTGTCACACCGTAATTTGTTTTTTTTTTGTTGTTGTTTTTTAATTTTATTATTATTATACTTTAAGTTTTAGGATACATGTGCACAACGTGCAGGTTTGTTACATATGTATACATGTGCCATGTTGGTGTGCTGCACCCATTAACTCGTCATTTAGCATTAGGTATATCTCCTAATGCTATCCCTCCCCCCACCCCACAGCAGTCCCCAGTGTGTGATGTTCCCCTTCCTGTGTCCAACTGTTCGCACTGTTCAATTCCCACCTATGAGTGAGAACATGCGGTGTTTGGTTTTTTGTCCTTGCAATAGTTTGCTGAGAATGATGGTTTCCAGCTTCATCCATGTCCCTACAAAGGACATGAACTCATCATTTTTTATGGCTGCATAGTATCCCATGGTGTATATGTGCCACATTTTCTTAATCCAGTCTATCATTGTTGTACATTTGGGTTGGTTCCAAGTCTTTGCTATTGTGAATAGTGCCGCAATAAGCATACATGTGCATGTGTCTTTATAGCAGCATGATTTATAATCCTTTGGGTATATAGCCAGTAATGGGATGGCTGGGTCAAATGGTATTTCCAGTTCTAGATTCCTGAGGAATCGCCACACTGACTTCCACAAGGGTTGAACTAGTTTACAGTCCCACCAACAGTGTAAAAGTGTTCCTATTTCTCCACAACCTCTCCAGCACCTGTTGTCTCCTGACTTTTTAATGATCGCCATTCTAACTGGTGTGAGATGGTATCTCATTGTGGTTTTGATTTGCATTTCTCTGATGGCCAGTGATGATGAGCATTTTTTCATGTGTTTTTTGGCTGCATAAATGTCTTCTTTTGAGAAGTGTCTGTTCATATCCTTCGCCCACTTTTTGATGGGGTTGTTTGTTTTTTCTTGTAAATTTGTTTGAGTCATAATTTGTTTTTTGTTGTTGTTTTGCTATTTTTTGAGACAGAGTCTCTGTTGCCCAGGCTGGAGTGCAATGGCACAATCTCAGCTCACTGCAACTTCTGCCTCCCAGGTTCAAGTGATTGTCCTGCCTCAGTCACCCGAGTAGCTGGGATTAGAGGCACCCACCACCACACCCAGCTAATTTTTGTATTTTTAGTGGAGATGGGGTTTCACCATGTTGGTGAGACGAGTCTCAAACTCCTGACCTCAGGTGATCCACCCGCCTCAGCCTCCCAAAGTGCTGGGATTACAGGCGTGAGCCGCCATGCCTGACAGGTAATTTGTATTTCTAACTGTAGATTGTAGTCAAAGTTTGAACGGGTCAGCCATGCGCACAATGCCAGCCTGCCTACAAATGTAGACTGGGGCCTTTGACTCATGCCTGTAATCACAATATTTTGGGATGTCGAGGCAGGCAGATCACCTGAGGTCAGGAGTTCAAGACCAGTCTGGCCAACATGGTGAAACCCCATCTCTACTAAAAGTACACAAATTAGCTGGATGTGTTGGTCCACACCAGTAATCCCAGCTACTCAAAGGCTGAGGCACAAGAATCACTTGAACCCGGGAGGTGGAGGTTGCAGTGAATCAAGATCATGCCATTGCACTGCAGCCTGGGCGACAGTGTGAGACTCTGTCCCAAAAAAAAGAAAAAAAAAGAGTAGGTTGGGAAGCCAGTAACTAGGAACAGGCTCCATTTAATCCATCACAAAAAGAGGATTTGAGCAGAGAAGGCAAAGACAAACCCTTGGGCAGGCAGCATCTGCTCTGCTGGACAAGCTGTTTTCAACCATACCTAATGATGGAAGCAGGGACTACATTGTCCAAAGCAAGGATCTTGGGACCCAGTGGGGGCTCAACGCAGCAAAGGGCTGCTGATATGCTCATCTAAGATCCTGATGGGTGCCCGTTTCTTACAGAACTGTGTGCTCACAGCTGTGCTCAGTGGGCCACATGGTCCTGCCCGTCTGGCCAGCCCATCTTGGTTCCACTGTGTTCCTGGAGTCCTTACTGCTAGGCTCTGGCTGATGCTAGCCCCTGTGATGGGCTGCCCGCCCCACATTTCCCCTGGCTGGTCTCCACTCTCTCGGCTACTCCCTGCTCTGTCCCATAAAAGCACTCAAGGCAGCCTTCTCATCTAGATCATTCTTTAGGCCTGGAGTTCTTTAATCTGAGGGCTTTTGCACACCCTGAATTGGATGCAAAAGGGGGTATTTGTCCCATGTGTGTTTTTCTGGGAAAAGGACTCACAATTTTACCAGACTCTCAAAAGCATCTGTGCCCTCAGCAAAAGCCCCAAGCCCTGCCTCAGGAAGCCTGATCTGCTCAGGCTGGGTGACTATCTGTCCGTGTCTGTCCCCCCCAAAGTGGCGTTCAGCAACTGATGCTGGGGCAAACTGCCCTGCCATCTGCCAGAATGTAAAGCATCAGCTGTGTGGAGGATGGGCGGGGGGCTGGACCCCAGCCAGGCCCTTTCAAAGGCACTAGGGGTTTGGCTCTAGCATGCATCCCTGTTGTGGGTGGCAAAAACCACTACCGGGAGTCAGGCTGAGCTGGCTTAAATCCCAGTTCTGTCTCTGGCTCATTCTGCCTCCATAGGCACCTGTTTAACCTCTGTGAGGCTCTGATTTCTCATCTAGAAAATGCCGATAAGAAGATGTACCTTCCAGGATTATTGTGGCAATTAAATGAGATACTGTAAGAACAGCCACTTTACCGCCTATAAATGCTATTTTTTTTAATTGACTCAGTGAAAAACATTTTACCATTTTAAATACCCTCAACCCCTGAAGCACTGCAGCTCTTAGCTCTATGACCTCAGGAAAATTACTTATTTCTGTCAACTGTCCTACTTCTGACAAATGGGGATGGCTTCATGTTGGTGTTCGCAAGATGACAAGTCAACACGTAGGAAGCACTTGAAGCAGGGCCTGGGTCCTTGTACAGTCTTGCACTGTTATTTCTGCAAGAAAGGAGTGGCAGGTGAAGAGTCCCTCCCTTAGACTGTGCCTAGGAGCAAAATTGCCATTTCTGTCTGTCTTAGTCCATTTTTTGTTGCTATAAAGGAATACCTGAGGCTGAATACTTTATAAACAAAGGAGGTTTCTTTGGCTCACAGTTCTGCTGGGTGGAAGGTTCAAGACTGGGCCTCTGGTGAGGGCCTCAGGCTGCTTCCACTCATGGCAGAAGGTGAGGGGGAGCCGGTGTGTGTAGAGATTGCATGGTGAGAGAGGAAACAAGAGGGAAAGAGAGTGGTGCCTAGCTCTTTAACACCAGCTCTCACAGGAGCTAATAGAGTGAGAACTCACTCACTACCTCTAGGACAGCACCAAGCCATTCATGAGGAACTTGGCCCCATGACCCAAGCACCTCTCAATTAGGCCCCACCTCCAACAGTAGGGTTCAGTTGTTCTTCCTGCCTCCTGAGATGGAGTCTTGCTCTGTCGCCAGGCTGGAGTGCAGTGGCGTGATCTTGGCTCACTGTAACCTCCGCCTCCCGGGTTCAAGCGATTCTTCTGCCTCAGCCTCCCGAGTAGCTGGGACTACAGGCATGTGCTACCACGGCTGGCTAATTTTTGTATTTTCAGTAGAGACGGGGTTTCACCATGTTGGCCAGGATGGCCTCGATCTTCTGACCTCGTGATCCGCCCACCTCAGCCTCCCAAAGTCCTGGGATTACAGACATAAGCTATTGCGCCTGGCCTAGGGGTTCACATTTCAACATGAGGTTTGAGGGGACAGACATTCAAACTATAGCACTCTCTCTCCTTGCCTCTCCTTGCCGATGGGCCACCAGAAATCTCTCTTCCCTTCTTCACCAAACACTGCTCCACCTAGACAGTGGTGCAGTTGCCAGAAGGCACATGTTGCCTAGCACAGAACCTCCCATTCTGTCCGTTTTATTGGCACTGTGGGCTCAAATGCTAATGAAACACATGGCAAGACCTCGAATTCAGTCCCCATTTGGTTGGTGAGGAAGAGGCCCTACTCACTGACTTTGCATTCATCACCTCTGACCCCATCACGACCTCTGAGACAGAGCCAAGAAGCCCATTTTATAGATGAAGAAACCAAGCCTGAGTGGGGTAAGCACTTGCCCAAGGTTACACAGCTGGCAAAGGGCAGTGAGGTCTGCCTAGACCTCACTTGCTCCTCCATGCCATGAAGCTCTCTTATTCACCTCTTTGTTAGCAAATGTCTTAAAAGCATTTGAAGTGCCTGAAATGTCAAAATCCAGCTGGCATCCCCATTAGGGAGGGCTCATCCACTGAGTGGACAGATTATGGTGACAGGTACCTGCCCCGGTCTTCCCACACACCCCAGCAAGGGGTCATATGTACTCTCTTCCACAGATTGCACCTCCCGAGTTTTCTCTCTCTCACACCTCCCTTCTCACCACCATACCCTTGACCCAGTAATTTCTCAGACCCTACATGTCTCCACCAGCCCACGTGCCCATTAGACTCAAGGAGAGGAAACGGCAGAGGTTCAACCTAGCAAGCCCAAGCTCTGGGTTTTCTGGCTTTCCCTGAGTGATTGTGGCAGGGGGTGGGTCACTGAAGGTTATCAGCATATCACTGGCTTGACCCTGGGTGGGAGGCAGGGAGGGCTTCCCGCTTTGAGGCGCCCCACCCCCACCCCTGTGAACAGGGTAATTATGGATAGACTGGGCTGAGTGATGGCCTGGGGTCTCGGGCATCTGCAGGCTGCCCCCAGGCTGAAGCATGCCTGCCAGTGGCTTTTAGGCCCATATGAGCTGGAGGGTCCTTCCTTCCTTCCCAGGCTCACAGAACCCCTGTGGGGCTGCTGTGAGTCCTGTGAGGCCACCCACTAAGCTGCCACCCCAGCCAGGCAGCCTTGGTAGGAACAGCCCAGACCAAAGGGAGATTGGAGCCAGGAAATTCCACGGTGGTGGGACTGGCCTGCTGTATGCACAGATTCAGGCTCTAGGAGGCCCTGGGAAGGGAAGGGCCCTGCCCACACCCACAGTCCCTCAGGGCACCCCCTGGCTAGGCTTGTGTTTCCCCCCTAAGAAGACCTTTACAGAGCCCAGGCTGGAGTCCTGGACGTGGGTGCAGGAAGGGAACTCAGAGCTTCCAGGCGGGGCTGGCAGCCACACCTCTGCTGCTCCTCTGCCAGGCCCTGGCATGGCAGAGCCAGCCTGGGCGGGGAACGGCAAGAGGAGCAGGAAGCAGAGAGAGGGTTTCTGTGGGGGTGTAACCGCCCAAGGGGTTCTCCTCACCTGCTGCCCAGATAGCCGATTTATCATGACAGGAGAATTGTAATAGAGAAAGACTAATTCATGCAGAGCCAGCTGTATGAGAGACCAGAGTTTTATGATTACTCAAATTTTTAAGTCTCCCTGAAAATTCTGAGACTCAGGTTTTTAAGGATAATTTGGTGGGTAGGGAGTCGGAAAGTGGGGAGTGCTGATTGGTGGAGTCAGAAATAAAATCATAGAGTGTCAAAGTGGGATTATTTTGCTGTCTTCATTCGGTTCCTGGGTGGCATCGCAGAACTGGTTGAGCCAGAGTACCGGTCTGGGTGCCTGCTGGTGCATTGGAACACAGGGTCTGCAAAATAGCTCTAGCATTAATCTGAGTTTTTACAACAGTGACGTTAGCCCCAGGAGCAGTTTGGGGAGGTTCCAAATCTTGCAGCCCCTGGCTGCGTGACTCCTAAACCGTAATTTCTAATATTGTGACTAATTTGTTAGTCCTTCAAAGGCAGACTGGTCCCCAGGCAAGAAGCCAAGAAGCGGGGTTGTTTCAGGAAAGGGCTCTTATCATTTTTGTTGCAAAGTAAAACTATAAACTAAATTTCTCCCAAAATTAGTTCTACCTACCCCCAGGAATGAACAAGGATCGCTTGGAGGTTAGAAGCAAGATGGAGTCCGTTAGGTCGGATCTCTTTCACTGCCATCATTTTCTCACTGTTATAATTTTTGCAAAGTCATTTTCAGGGGGAGGAGGAGTTTCAGTGCTGGGGCTTGGAATGGCCTGGCATCCTGCCCCAAGGAGCCCAGGAACCCACCTCGGGCTGCAATGGGATCAGAGCTGGTTCAGGGGTAAGGGTCATGTCCAGAACACCCTGGGACTGGCATGGAAAGCCCTGGAGGAATGGCAGCAAGGGCCATGCGTCAGAGGCCCATATCTGGCCACCCATTTTACTCAACATGGGGCCAGAGTCCTGAGGGCAGTGACTTGCTAAGACCACACAGAAAGAATGGGGGTGAGTGGGAGGAGTAGTGTCTTCCAGATTGAGCCTGCGGACCAGAGGCAGCCTGAGGGTGTGAAAGGGCCGTGGCCAAAGAGCACTAACCCTGCTCAAAGGTGGCCCTCTTTGGGCCGGGTCTCACCAGCAGCCAGTGAGCGCTGTGGTTTCCAAGCAAGCTATTCGGAGTGCAAGCCGTCTGAGGAGGCCCCACATCCAAACACAGACACAGGCATGAGCGCGTGTGTGCATTCACACACACACATGAGCACGCCCATGCACACCCCGCACCATGCACACACACATACACACATTTCAACCAGAAGAATTTCTCTTTTCTCTCTTCTGTATCAGATTTTGATGACTGAAGCCAATAAAATTGCTTTTTTAAAAAGGCAGTGGCCACAGAAGAATGGGCACCTTTGGGAGTCAGAAGCCACTGCAACTCCATGTCAGGGCACTTACAGCTCTAAGATTGCTGAGGTCAGGAAGTGGCGAGCCGGGTTCACATACCACACACATAACTCACACCCTCTATACTACACATACCCCACACACAAACACACATCACACACACAACCACACACAATACATACACCCCACACACACACATCACACACACAGCCACACATATCACACACAACCACACACATCACATACACATAATTGCACATGATACACACACCCCACACACAAACACACACATCGCACACACAACCACACATGCCACACACACAACCACACACATCGCATACACACAATCACACACAATACACATACCCCACATACAAACACACATATCACACAACCACACACCTCACACCACATACACACCACATACATCACATACCACACACACCACATATAACCATACACATCACATACATCACACAACTGCATACAACCACACACAATACACAACCACACATATCACATACATCACAGTCACATACACACAACCACACAAAATACACACACCCCCACACAAACACACAACCACACATATCACACAACCACACACACTACACACCACCCATACAACCACACACATCGCATACACACAACCACACAGACCACACACAACCACACACATCATACAACCACACACACAACCACACAACCACACACGACATGCACACCACACATATACCACACAAACCACACAGAACCATACACATCTTATTCATCACACATCAATCACACACTACACACAACCACACACACTACACACACCCTACACACAAATCCAAAACCACACACATCATAAAACCACACATACCACACACCACACAACCACACACATCACATACATACAACACACATATACCACACACACCACATACAACCACACACATCACATAATCGCATACAATAACACACTGCACACAACCATACACAATACACACACTCCACATACCTCACACACAAATTCACAACCACATACGTCACACACACAACCACACACACCACAACCACACACATCACATTCATCATACATCACACAATCACACACAACCACACACCACACACAGTGCACACACCCCACACACACATCACATACACACAACCACACATGCCATACACATCACACAAACCACACACAACACCACACCCCACACACACCACACACACACACACCACATGAACACACAGCATCACAACTGCACACATCACACATACCAAACACATCCACACCACACACATACAACCATATACACCACACACATAATACATACCACATACAACACACACATGTGCACACACATCACAATCACACACACAACTGCACACACACACCACCACTCACAGTTCCCCCTAAACATTGCTCTTCCCCACTCCCCTGCCTTTGCACACGCTGTTCCCTCTGATGGGAAGCCCTTCCGTGGGGCTGTGACACCTCCCACCCCAGGATCAGTGACCCCTGTCTGCCCCACCCCTCCCTGAGATTCCCATGTAACTATGAGGGGGTTCCCAGGCAGCCCGGAAACTGGCACTTTTTCAAAGCTCTCAGGTGATTGTAATGCACAGCAGAGTTGAGAGCAACTGCACTAGACCTGTGCTGTCTCCAGTGGCTGCTGAGCCTTGGAAGCCGGGCTGGTCCCACTGAGACGTGCTGTGAGTGCCGGGTGCATGCCAGACCTCGAAGACGGAGCATGAAGAGAAATGCAAAATATCTCAGTCATATACAAATTAAACTTTGAAATGGTAACATTTTAGATATATTGGGTTAAGTAAAATATATTATGAAAATTAATTTCACCTGTTTCCTTTTGCTTTTTAATGAGGCTATTAGCAAATTTAGAATTGCTGTGTATACCTGGTCCGGGGGCTTGGCGGTGACAAGGTCTCAGGGTGTTCAGGGCTCCAAGGCCATTTGCCAAAATGCTTTGCCTCAGTCTGTCCTGAAAACACAGTGCCTCTGACTGCAGCGTCTCCTTGTCCATCAGAGGATCCCTGCGCTGGGAGGATCCGAAAGGACTGCTCCTTTGTCCCTGGGGTCACTGGGCAGGTCTAGGCCTACCCAGCTGACTGCCGACCACACACATCACACATACCACACACACACAACCACATACATCATACACATGCACACACACGTCACACAGCCCTCGATGGGGGGAGAAGGCAGGTCGCTGGAGCTGATGCCCTGCAAGCCCAAGCCTTGGGACTGGAGCTGAGCCCGGGCTCAGGGCTATGTCCAGATGGTGAAGGAACCTCGGTGGGCAGCAGGGAGGAGGAGGATGGAGTGGGGCCTGACTATCGCCTCTCTATAGTGCCTACAGAGGACCTGAGGCTTGTGAGAGTCAAAGCTGAGAGCAAGGGGCTGCGGCACACAGCAAGGATGGGCTAAGCCCTGGACTGGCTGTGGCCGGAGACAGGTCCAACCTGAATTCCTCACCCTCAGTGTGTCTGCCTCTCCAGGGAGCCCCTCACAAAGGTTCCTTCATTAGATCTTCGCAGCCCCCTCTGAGTTTGGGATTCCTGTCTCCGCATCATAGATGGACCCACTAGGGCCAAGGGTTGGAAAGTGCTCTGTCTGAGAGAAGCGGAAGTTTTCAAACCCAGTCTGGCATATCTTCAAAAGCTGGGGACTTGATCCCCCTTCTTGGCAAAACAGAGTCAAGAACTGGGCCCACTGGGTGATGGGCGATAGGGTCATGGATCCACCCTCTCTAGTTTTCTGTCCATTTGGATGTTTTCACCACAAAAAGGTTTGCAATGCTTTCTCTGGTGGGAAGAAGCTCCCATCCCCAACTCAGAACGTTCTGGACCGGGCTGGATTGAGGGGAGTCGCACTAACCTCAGCCACCAGGGCAGGAACCACAGGGAAGCTAGTGGTTCAGAGACCACCAGCCCTTTCCTCCAGCTCCCGGTCCTCAGCCTGGAGTTGGCCTGAGAGTGGCCCAGGACCAGGCCCCCTGGCAGCCCAAGTGTCCCGACCAGGCCTGGGACACAAAACTCCAGGAGCTGGTACCTTCTCATGTCCTGGTGGGGGGGGGGCATGGCTTCATGGGGGTCCTGACCTCTCACACTAATCCGCAGAGGCAAAGCTGTCCCCAGGCCAGCCAGCACATGGGAGAGACTGTCCCCACGCTGAGCCCCTTCCACCTGGCTGCATCGGGGCCCTTGCAGGCATTGATCTCCCAAAGGCAACGAAAGGGGCCTAATTCTGGCACCCTCTGTACCCTCAGGCTGCCCAGGCTCAGAGTCTGTGCCCGCCCAAGCTCAGAGCCTGCCCTGCAGCTGCAGGGTGACCCTGCTGGGTTGTCCAGGGCGAGGTGCACAGCACTTGTCTGAGGCCTTCTGGGTTCCGAATGAATACCTATGACCCTTTCTTCCTCTCATCTAGATTGAGTCATTTAGTACTCACCTGGTCTACTCGTCTCCATCAGAAGCCCCCCACAAACCCCCTCCCCACCTTTATGTGCTGTCCGGCCTCCAGTGGGTACCTGACCAACATCTAATTAGATGACTGAGTGGAGATGACATGGTATCAGAGTCCCCTCCGTGGGGCCTGCCATGGGTGTTTGGCCCACAGTGCAGTCTCAGACAACAGGGGACAGTGCAATGGGACAATTCAATGCCACCTCTGAGGACATGCTTGGGTGGGCTGTGGCAGAATCAGGGACTTTGTTTTCTTTCAACCCAAAATCCTGTGAGGATGCAATCAAGAAATGGTCACACCTGGGCATGAGGTTTCATTTTTTTTTTTTTCCTAATTTTTAGATTTAGAAATCTATGCATTTAAAGAGCAAACTGTCTAACAAGTTGTTGATGATTGCCACCTGTGACTTTAACAAGCACAGTCCATTCTGTTAATACTTGTTTTGAAAACAGAAATTTGTTCCCATGAGATTGAGTTACAGTATTAGGGAACAATTTGAGCATGATGTGAATTTCACACTTGCTTATGTGCAATGTGGTCTACAAGAAACTCTAGGTGAGCACAGAAAGTTGTACCCAACTGAACCGAGCCAAAATACACCCAGATGGATGCCTCAAATGCCCACAGCTCCGCATCCACCTCGTGTGTTATGAGCTGCATCCATCCACATCTGGTGTTACAGCTCCATGTCTGGTAACACACACGTCCACACACAAACTCCAGGGCTTTTTCAAGATCAAGTGTCATATTTATTGCAATATACATGCTTTTCTTAACCATCAAACGTGCAAAACTCAATGACTATTTTTATTAAGTTCCTATCTTTTTGTTTCTTATGGGCTACTGACAAAATTTTGGAGTGTTGTGCGGTTAACCCCACTTTTCCCATAAGCCCAGTGGTTTTTATTATGTGATTTTTGCATAGAGCACTGGTTTTTTAGGAACACATATATTGTGTTATAGCAGAACTAACTATGCATTCCTAAAATCTTCTTCCTATGCTTTTTTTGTTTTTTCCCTCTTACCAGCATTTTATTTTGAAAAATTTCAGGCCGGACATGGTGGCTCATGCCTATAATCCCAGCACTTTGGGAGACCGAGGTGGGCGAATCATTTGAAGTCAGGAGCTCCAGACCAGCCTGGCCAACATGGTGATACTCCCGTCTCTACTAAAAATACAAAAATTATCTGGGCGTGGTGGTGGGCGCCTGTAATCCCAGCTACTCAGGAGGCTGAGGCAGGAAAATTTGTTGAACCCGGGGAGCAGAGGTTGCAGTGAGCTGTGATCACACCATTGCACTACACACTGGGTGACAGAACAAGACTGTCTCAAAAAAAGGAAAAAGAAAAATTTCAGGTCTGTGATCAACACTATTTCCCTTCACTTACATTCATCAAATCCATCTATTGTTAGCGTACTGTGATTTAAGCCTTTCATTCTCACCAATGTTTTGTAGTTTTCAGTCTACAAGTCCTACACATATTTGTCAGATTTATCTCCAAGTATTTCACATTTTTTGATGCGATTGTAAATGAGGGTTTTTTTTTTCACCGAGCTTTTTAACTGTAGAGTCATGATTCACAAGCAGTTGTAAGCAATGATACAGAGAGGCCCACTGTACCCTGTACCCAGTTTTCCCCAGTGTAACATCTTGCAACACTGTATGACCACATCACAACCAGGGTGTTGACATGGATACAGTCAGGATACAGAGTGCTCCGTCACCGCGGGATCCCTCCCGCAGCGCTTTTACAGCCACATCTGCTTAACCCCTGGCAACCACTAATGTGCTCTCCATTTCTAAAATTTTGTTTCAAGAGTGTTACATCAATGGAATCACACAAAGATAGCTTTCTGAGATTGTCTGTTTTCACTCAGCAGAATGACCTGGAGATCCATCCGCATTCTGAGACAACAGTTCCTTCCTTTTGACTACTGAGCAGCATTTTGGGGCATGGATGTACCATGCTGGTCTAACCTTTAACTATCCAGCTATTGAAGGACAACTAGGCTGTTTCCAGTCTTTCTGGGGATGGTTTTAGCTCAGTCTTGAGCACTCTATTCCCCTGTTCTCTCTCCTATGCAGTTTTTCTCTTTGTTGTTGTTTTTTTGTTTTGTTTTGTTTTGTTTTTTGAAACAGAGTCTCGCTCTGTCGCCCAGACTGGAGTGCAGTGACGCCATCTCAGCTCACTGAAACCTCAGCCCCTGGGGTTCAAGCAATCCTCCTGCCTCAGCCACCCTAGTAGCTGGGATTATAGGCGGGCGCTACGACGCCTGACTATTTTTTGTATTTTTAGCAGAGACGGGGTTTCTCCATGTTGTCGAGGCTAGTCTCCAACTCCTGACCTCAGGTGATCCATGCACCTCCCATGCAGTTTTATCCAGGCTCTGCCTTACTCGGTGACAAGGTTTGGGGCAGAAACTTCAGAAAGAGCTCCACTGGTAATGGTTGCTTATTTTTATTCTCTTGGGTAATTGGAAGATTATAGTGTTCTGTGTCTTCTAGTTATGTTGCAGGTGTGAGTATTGTATGGTTTTATTTGTTCTTCCTGTTGATCTGTATAATTACATACTTTGCTTTCTGAAAAGTATATTAAGATATAAGTGTATGATAAAATTTACTCTTTTTAGTGTACAATTCTATGAGTTTTGACAAACGCAACCATGTTACCATCACAGTAAAAATATAGGACACTTTCACTCCCCAAATCCATCTGAGCCTCTTTGTAGTCAGCCTTTCCCTTACTCTCCAGCCCTTGGCAAGCTCTCCTTTATTTCCTATCCCAATAGTTTTCCCTTTTCCAGAATTCACACAGATGGAATAATTCAGATACGCAGCTGTTGAGTCTGGCTTCTTTCACGTAGCAGAATGCATTTGAGATTTATCCATCATATATATATATATATATATATATATATATATATATATATATATAATTAGTTCATTGTTTTTTATTGATAAGCATTCTATTACATAAATATACCAGAGTTTGTTCAAGGGCTTTGGGGTTGTTTACAGGTTTCGGTGATAATAAATAAAGCTACTGTAAACATTGGTGGATAGGCTTGTGTGCAAACATAATTTTTCACTTCTCTTGGGTAAGTACCTAGCAGTATGTTTGGTAAGTCATGTGGTAAATATTTGTTTGACTTTATAAGAAGCTTCCACAGAGTTTGACAAAGTGGTGATCCCATCTTGTATTCCTACCAGCAGTGTACAAGAGTTCTTAGTTGGTACTGAGAACCCTCAAGGCAGTTGGTACTGTTAGGGTTTTTTTAAGCCACTCCATTTTGTATGCATTGGTCTGATCTTATGGTTTTAATTTGCATTTCCCTGATAACTAAGCATGTTGGGCATTTTTTCACATAACTATTGGCCAGTCATATACCTCCTTTGATGAAGCATCTGTTCAAATATTTTCCCATTTTTAAATTGGGTTGCTTGTTTTCTTATTGTTAAGTTTTGAGAGATCTTCATATATCCTTAATACAAGTTATTTATCAGATATGTGTTTTGAAAATATTTTCTTCCACTCTATGGTTTGTCTTTTCATTTCCTTAACTGTGTCTTTCAAATAGTAGAAGTTTTGGATTTTGTTTTTCAGACAGGGTCTTGGTCAGTTGCCCAGGCTGGAGTACAGTGGCACAATCATGGCTCACTGCAGCCTTGACCTCTTGGACTCAAGTGATCCTCCCACCTCAGCCTCCTGCCTCAGCCACCTACGTTGCTAGGACTGCAAGCACATGCCACCACACAAGGTTAATTTTTTTATTTTTTATTTTTATAAGGATAGGGTCTCTCTATGTTGCCTAGGCTGGTCTCAAACTCCTGGGCTCAAGCAATCCTCCTGCCTTGGCCTCCCCAAGTGCTGGAATTACAGGCGTAAGCCACTGTGCCCAGCTTAGAAGTTTCTAATTTTAAAGACAGCCAGTTTAAACCTACAGAATGGGAGAAAATTTTTGCAATCTACTCATCTGACAAAGGGCTAATATCCAGAATCTATAAAGAACTCAAACAAATTTACAAGAAAAAAACAACCCCATCAAAAAGTGGGCAAAGGATATGAACAGACACTTCTCAAAAAAAGACATTTATGCAGCCAACAGACACATGAAAAAATGCTCATCATCACTGGCCATCAGAGAAATGCAAATCAAAACCACCACACCAGTTAGAATGGCGATCATTAAAAAGTCAGGAAACAACAGGTGCTGGAGAGGTTGTGGAGAAATAGGAACACTTTTACACTGTTGGTGGGACTGTAAACTGGTTCAACCATTGTGGAAGACAGTGTGGCGATTCCTCAGGGATCTAGAACTAGAATTACCATTTGACCCAGCCATCCCATTACTGGCTATATACCCAAAGAATTAGAAATCATGCTGCTATAAAGACACATGCACACGTATGTTTACTGCGGCACTACTCACAATAGCAAAGACTTGGAACCAACCCAAATGTCCAACAATGATAGACTGGATTAAGAAAATGTGGCACATATACACCATGGAATGCTATGCAGCCATAAAAAATGATGAGTTCATGTCCTTTGTAGGGACATGGATGAAGCTGGAAACCATCATTCTCAGCAAACAATCGCAAGGACAAAAAACCAAACATCGCATGTTCTCACTCGTAGGTGGGAACTGAACAATGAGAACACTTGGACACAGGAAGGGGGACGTCACACACCAGGGCCTGTTGTGGGATGAGGTAGGGGAGGGATAGCATTAGGAGATATATCTAATGTAAATGACGAGTTAATGGGTGCAGCACATCAACATGGCACATGTATACATATGTAACTAACCTGCACATTGTGCTCATGTACCCTAGAACTTAAAGTATAATAATAATTAAAAAAAAAAAGATAGCCAGTTTATTCACTTTTCTCTTGTAGGCCATGCTTTTGTGTCACATCTAAGAGATATTTGCCCAACCCTGGTCACACATTTTCTTCTTTGTTTGTATCTGTTAGTTTTCAATTTTACATTTAGGCCTGTGATCCATTTTGGGTTCATTTTTATATATGCTGCGAAGTATGAATCAAGATAAATCTTTTTTGTATATGACAGATGATTAAGTAAAGAAAATATATTTTATAGATGTGTGTGTGTGTGTGTACACATACACCGTGGAATACTATTCAGCCATAAGAAAGAATGAAATAATGGCTTTTGCACCAACATGGATGGAACTGGAGGCCATTACCTTAAGGCAATAACTCAGAAGCAGAAAGTCAAATACTGCTTGTCCTCACTTACAAGTGAGAGCTAAATAATGTGTGTACATGGACATACGGCATGGCATAATAGACAGTGGAGACTCAGAAGGGCAGCAGGGTGGGAGCAGGGCGAGGGATGAGAAGTTACTTACAGGGTTCAGTGCACTCTGTTCGGGTCATGGCCACCCTAAAAGCCAAGACTTCACACTATGCAATACATCCATGTACCAAAAGTGCACTTGGACCCCCTAAATTTATACAAAGAAAACAAATAAATAGGCTGGGCGTGGTAGCTCATGCCTGTAATCTCAGCGCTTTGGGAGGCCAAGGTGGGCGGATCACTTGAGGTCAAGAGTTTGAGACCAGCCTGGCCAACATGGTGTAATCCTGTCTCTACTAAAAGTACAAAAATTAGCCAGGCGTGGTGGTGCACGCCTATAATCCCAGCTACTTGGGAGGCTGAGGCAGGAGAATTGCTTGAACCTGGGAGGCGGAGGTTGCAGTGAGCAGAGATTGCGCCACTGCACTCCAGTCTGGGCAACAGAACAAGACATGCCTCAAAATAAATAAATAAATAAATAAATAAATAAATAAGTTGTTTGCATATGGGTATTCTATTTTTCTAGCACCATTTGTTAGCAAGATTATCTTCATTGAATTGCTTTTGCATCTTTGTTGAAAATCAATTGGCTGTGCATGTGTGGATCTGCTTCCGAATTTTCTATTCTGTTCCATTGATCTATGTCTATTCTTTACCAATACCACACTTAGTTGATTACTGTAGCTTTATAGTACATCTTAAAATCAGGCAATGTGTCTGCTGTTAGTTCCTCACCCCTGGCTGGTGGCTGTTTCACCTTTTAAAAGTCTGTGTCCCACAGTGACTCAGGCCCTCCTGAGGGCCAAGTTCTAGGCATTCAGCCTGGCAGAGACTTAAGACAAGACCACAGCCCTTTGCCCCTTTAACTAAGCATTGCCTGGGAGCCTTGCATTTCCCATCCTAGATATAAGCAATGTGGGAAGACAGACATGAGAGAGACAGTGCCCCTATCATTGGGAAGCTCACAATGGAGTAAAGGAGAAAAGATGAGTACTAAATAAGTCTTAAGAAAGAACGAAGAAAAGTGCCATAAACATTCTGCACCAAGGACTCAGAAGCTGTGGGAGGTGCTGTGTCCATCCTCCCTGCCTGTGCCTCCTGCTTCACGTCGGCTGCCTACCACTGTCAGTGCTGCATGGGGCCCAGGCCTGCGGATGCAAAGTTTCTTTCTCAATCTCTCTCTCTTTCTCTCTCTTCACTGTCTCTCTGCCTCTCTTTCTTCTGTTCCCCTCTCTCTCTCCTCTGTCTCTTTCTCTCCTCTGTCTCTCTGTTCTCTCTCTCTCTCTCCTCTCTCTCTCCCCTTTGTCTCTCCTTGTCTCTCTCTTTGTGTCTTTCTCTCTCTCTCTCTCCCTGCCCCACATCTCACTCATGCTGAGTCAAATCGCCTCGGCTTTCCCTCCTAGTCCTCCTGTTTCTCCTCTTTCTCCTCCCCATCAAGGGGATATCATGGTCTTTCTATGCACCCTAATTTGATTCAGGTCTCCCCGGGCTAAAACCCATCCAGGAGTGCCTTTAGCAACAGGGCAATGTCTGACTTTTCCCTGATGGTCCATGCTTTCCCCCGGGGCTCTTCCTCACCTCTCCAGCCTTCCTGCTTGGCCCGATGCAACAAAATTGTGCAGGAGCAACTGCTCCCTCTTCCTGAAATGCCTCCCCGCCCCTGCTCAGGTTCCTCCATCAGTCTGGACCTGAGCACCACCCTGACCATAGCACCCTCCACTCTGTAGGTGCTTGCAGGTTTTGATACTGGAGCACAGGCCGGGCGCAGTCACTCAAGCCTGTAATCCCAACACTTTGGGAGGACAAGGTGGGTGGATCACCTGAGGTTAGGAGTTCAAGACCAGCCTGGCCAATGTGGCGAAACTCCGTCTCTAGCAAAAATACAAAAATTAGCCACGCATGGTGGCGGGCACCTGTAATCTCAGCTACTTGGGAGGCTGAGGCAGAATAATCACTTGAACCTGGGAGGCGGAGGTTGCAGTGAGCCAAGGTAGCGCCACTACACTCCAGCCTGGGCAACAGAGTGAGACTCCATCTCAAAAAAAAAAAAGATACTAGGGAGCAAAGGCCACCCTGCCCCTGCCACACAGGAGGTACTCAGCCTCTTGGGACTACTTCCCTGACCCCCAATTCCCCAGGGAAGCTTAGCTGCTCCCACCTCAGGCTCCCATCACAGTTCTCAATCTTCACATTTGTTGGCCGTTGGGGTGTCTGCTCCACCTGAGCTTCAGGAAGACCAGAACAAGGTCTTTTGGCCGGTCTTCGTCAGCACAGGGCACGGCACAGAGTCGGCCTCAGGCATGTTTGCTAGGTGAGTGAATGAATGAATGATACTGGAGTAGTGGGCTTCTGCCTCACCTAGGGGTTCTGTTAAAATGCAGACTCTGATTCGGGGGCTCAGAGTGTGCTGAGATTCTGCCTTTCCATCAACTTGCAGGTGGTGCTGAGTCCCTGGGTACATGGAGGAGCAAAGACATGAACCTTTCCCTGCTCCTGGCAACTGGCTCCATCCTACTCCCTATGGGCTTCATGAACTTGCCTGTGGTTGGGGATACTTCCTGCCCTTATGGGCCCCAGAACCCCTATCTCTTAAAAAGGGAAATTTCCCTGGACATCTCTCAGTTGCTGTCCACCCTGTGAAATGAACCCAGGAAGCTATGGTTAGGTACCCTAGCCCGGTCTGGCCCAAATGCAAGTGTTCTGGCGGTGAACACTTAGCATAGGGTTTGGAGAGTCCCTCTCGGTGATGTGCTAAAGCAACCTATATGGCACCACCTCACCAGGGGGCACCGAGGCAAGCAGGATTCCCAGAAGTCACAGACCCGAAGAGAGAAAAAGAACCAGTCCCTGGGCTTGACATGAGACAAAGGAGACCAGAATGGACACACGGCAGCCACTCTCCTATCAAGTTTTCCACATCACCTTCATCCCCTCATTTCAGCCATACCAACAACCCAGCAAGGCAGAGGCAGCAGGCCTCCCATTTGCCTTACAATGGAGGGACTAAGCCCAGAGAGGTGTGAGCACCTCACTAGCATCATCTAGCAGTGAGTAGGGTAGGCACAATGGTACCTGGCTCTGAATGCCTGGTCTAGGTTCTGTCCCTCACATGGCACTGGGTTAAGAGACATCCTGAGACATGCAGGGATACCCTTGGGAGTTTGGAGGAGCTTCAGGCACCATGCATAGCCAATAAATCAGAATAAACAACTAGTCAGGAAAATCAAATGCTTGGATTTTATTATTAAAATATTTTCAAAGCTGATGAAATTGGAAAATGACGAACCGAGACCTGACTCTATTGCTCATCCCCAAGTTAAGAGAGCCAGCTTTCAGCTCACCTGCTGGGCAACTTGACAGAAAGAATGCACACACACACACACACACACACACACACACTCACACACATACCTCCCCTCCTAGACCTTCCAAGCAGGGAGTCTCGCCCGAGTAACACATACCCTTTACTCGCATTCTTCCCTTGATTTATCAGGAGAGAATGGTCAGAACTTAACAGAAAAAAAAGGACCCAGGCTCTTGGGTTCTGAGAGGGGATGGGGTGAGGCTGTCTGTCATGATGACCTTGACCTTTTCCTTCCTGCACCTCCAGATTCCCTCTCCCCTTCTTTAAGAGTGGAGGAGGTGGTACCTAGGGGCCAGGACCCTCCATTTCAGTCTGTACAAACCACTAATTCCTTCTGTGCCCTTAGGCAAGTCACTCGCCCTGCCTGGTCAATAAAGTCTCCTTCTTTACTGAAAAATACATCAGCTTGCCTCATGTGGATGTCCTGAGACATAAATGACAGATGGGAAATGAGGGGCTTTGTAAGATTTAAAATGCTGTGTCCCTGAGAAGGATGTTGCACTGGTTTGGAGCCAGGATCTGATAAACAGGAGACAAATGAAACACTGGAATAAAAAAATACTTGTAACTTATATGAAAAAAATAAACGTATGTTATTAATATACAAAGAGCTCTAACCAATCAATAAGAAAAAATCCTGGGAAATTGATATGAACATAGGCAGATCAGAAATGAAGAAATTCAAGTGCTTATGAACATATTGGAGAATAATAATAGCTTACATTTACTTGGCCCTTATTTTGAGCCAGGAACTGTGCTGGCACTTTACATGAATGATGCCATTAAATCCTCCAATCCAATTAATAAGGTAAAGACCCATTACCATCCTCATTCTATAGATGAAGAAACTGAGGTCCAGGGAGGTTCAGCAACTTTCCCAGCATCACACAGCTTGAGAGTGCCAGAACAGGAATTCTCACTCACGCAGTCCGGCAGACCACAACCTCACTCACAGGGAACAGATTGCAAATCACAATAACTAGGAAGACATTGTTCCTTCACTTATCAAATTAGCCAAAATATTAAAGTTCGATTAACAATCAAATATTGGCGTGGGTATGAGAAAATATGCGTTTTCATGTATTATTGGTGCAATCTTTCTGGGGAGCAATTTGCCAATACCGGTAGATATTTTACATGTACCACTTGATGAAAAATTTATCCTACAGATATACTCACACCTGAACATAAAACTATACATACAAGGATATTTATTTTTATATGAGAAAAAGGAACTCTCATTCATTGCTAGTAGGAATACGAAATTGTACAGAGATAGTTTGGCAGTTTCTTATGAAGCTAAACATAGTCTTACAGCAATGTTGCCCTGCGTATTTAACCAACTGAAGTAAACATATGTCCACATCAAAACCTGCACATGAATATTTATAGTAGTTTTATTCATAATAGTCAAAACCTGAAAGCAACCAAGATGCCCTTTGGTAGATGAATAAATGGCAGTATGCCCAGACAACAGAACATTTTTCAGCACTAAAAAGAAATGAGTTCTCAAGCTATGAAAATACATGGAGGAAGCTTAAATCCATATTGCTAGGTGAAAGAAGCCTGTCTGAAAAGGCTACATGCTACATGAAGCCAACTCTGTGACATTCAGGAAAACTATAGAGACAGTAAAAAGATCAGTGGTTGCCAGGAGTCCTGGGGAAGGTAAGAGGGGTGAATGGACGGAGCACAGGGGATTTTTAGGTGGTCCAACTATTCTGTATGCTACTGGAGTGGGAGATACACCACATGGATTTTCAAAATCCAGAGAAGTGTCCAACACAAAGAGTAAACTTTAAACCATGAACTTTAGGAAACAGTAATGCATCAATATTGGTGCATTAATTGTAACAAATGTACCATGTTGTACACTATGCAAGCTCATAATAGGAGAAAGTGTATGAGAGTGAGAAAGTGTAGGGGAACTCTGTATTTTCTGCATACTTTTTCTCTTAATTAAATCTCATCTAAGAAATAAATCTATTAAGTTAAAAAAAATGTGAGGTGTAACATAAAGTCCAGAAAAAGAAGTCTGGTTTAATTTTAAAAGGCACTTGTATACTATGCCATACAATATGCCCAGGAAGAAAATAAAGAAAATATTGTTATATGTGGCAGTATTATCTACAAGACATATCTTAATTTTTTTTTTCTTTTTTTGGCAGAGTCTCGCTCTGTTGCCCAGGCTGGAGTGCAGCGGCACAATCTCAGCTCATTGCAACCACCACCTCCTGGGTTCAAGCGATTCTCCTGACTGTAGCTGGGATTACAGGCACCCGCCACCACGCCCAGCTAATTTTTGTATCTTTAGTAGCGACAGGATTTCACCATGTTGGCCTGGCTAGTCTGGAACTCTTGACCTCAGGTGATCCTCCCACCTCAGCCTCCCAAAGTGCTGGAATTACACGCATGAGCCACCATGCCTGGCCTATCTTAAAGAATTAATACAGAATAGTATCTAAGTGGGATCTCACTTGTATGGAATATTCAGAGGTCTGAGCTTGTGATTACCAAGGAAGTTTGTGGAAGGCCCATGGAAATTATTAACATCTTCAGTGGTAATCTGCGGGAATTCCAGACAAGGGCGAGGATCAGACCTTCAGTTTACACAGTATTTGAAATTCCTATCATGAATAAAACAAAAGGCCGAGGTCTGTACTGTTTTAAATTCTTATCATAAGTACGTATTACTTTCATTTTTGAAAAGACAAACAAAATGACCGCCCTGGAGTCACACAGACTGGAGTGTGAATTCCAGCAACTGAATTCCAGAGTTGAAATGCAGCAGCCATCGTGGGGCTAAGGACAGCCTTCACTACGCTCTAAAGATGGCACAGCACAAATATGGAAAGAACCTGAATCCATGTCCACACTGAGCCACACAGCCCACCCAGAAGCCAGTTACCTCCTAAATTCTTCAGTGGGAAGGTGAACATTCTATAATAATTGTTTAGCTAACTTTCAGTTCAAAATTAACTTACTTGTAGCTGAAAGTGTCCTAAGGAAGACAGCAGCTCAGAGAGGCCTTGTGCGCATGGAAGGAAAGAGGAATGGGTGTTCAAGATACAGCCACTTCCTTGACCCTCTCCCCAAGAAGAAGGGAAGCCCAGCCCTTTGCGGGTGTCATGGGGTAAAGCCCCAAACTGAGGTTCAGCCTGGGAGGCTACGTCGGTTCTTGGCTTCACCCAGGAAGGAATTCAAGAGCCAGCCAACAGAGTAAAGTGAAAGCAAGTTTATTAGGGTGGATCACTTGAGGCCAGGAGTTCAAGAGCTGCCTGGCCAACATGGTTAAACTCCATCTCTACTAAAAATACAAAAATTAGCCAGGCCTGGTGGTGCACACCTGTAGTCCTAGCTACTCGGGAGGCTGAGGCTGAGGCAGGAGAATCGCTTGAACCCAGAGGCTGAGGTTGCAGTGAGCGAGATTGTGCCACTTGCACTCCAGCCTGCAAGACTCCGTCTCAACAACAACAACAACAACAAAATGATGAAGGCAGACCAAAGGTTTGCACCACCATATTTGCACAGAGGCTCAGAGGCACAGCTTAGGGGGGAAAGAGAGGAAGTCCTCTTCATCCAGCCCCTCGTGAGGATGAGCTGCATCTGGAGTCGAAGAGGTAAGTGGGGCCTGTCTTCCATTCCTAAGGCCGTGGTGTCCCCTGCCTGAGCCCCACCCTTCCCACCTTCTCCATCTCTGTCCTTTCTGGAAGCTTCCGCCCTGCTGTCCAGGTTGGCCCGAGCGCCCGAAGATGAAGAAGGGTGGGGGATGCGCAGGGACGGTCCTGTCGGTGAGGGTGGGACTGTCCTCGGGGCCTTGGGAGCCCTCCCCCGCCCCGCCCCGCCCCGCCCCACGGCGACTCCTCCCTCCCGAATCCCCTCAGGCTCCGAGGGTCCCGGCTTGGAGCGAAATGCCCACCAGGAGGCGTCGGGTCCTGTCACGGGCCGCGCCGCCCAGGACCACGCCTGGCCCGGGACCCACGCCAGTCCGGGGACACACACCTAGCCGCAAACCAGACCGCGGGATCAGCCGCAAGCCACCCTCTCCAGCGCCGCCCTGCACCGCAGATCAGGGTAGGAGATTAGAGTAGGAACGCGGAGGGGTGGGGGAGGGGTGGGCGAGGGGTGGGGGAGGGGTGGGGTGGGCGGAGGGGCCTATCTGCTCCCAGTCCCTATGACACAGGGACTAAGAGTACCTAAAGCCCTGGGAGAGGAGGAGGAAAGGTCAGGCAGGGACTAGGCGCAAAATTTAAGGCAACACTAAGTGATTCGGTAACCAAGATAAATCATATTTTAATTATTTTAAAGCAGTGTTTTAAAATAAAAACTAATGAAAAAATGATAAAATATCAAAAATTTCAATAAAGCAGCATCCGACTTCCTGCCCAGCTGTCCTACGGTATCCCAGGTGCCAGCCCCCTGTGTCCACACCCCTGCTGGTTCCTGCCCCACCCCTTCCCCCAGCCCAGGAGGCTTCCACCCCTTCAAGAATTGAAATCTTCACAAGAAGCCCTTGCCCATCTCCCTGAATACCCCCAACTCTGAAGAGAAAAAAAATCAAACCAAAGAGTTTTCCTCAAGAGTTGCAGGCTGGGCTTACAAAAGCCACAAAGCTTGTGTACAAAATGACACCCTTGGCCACCATCTCCCAGTCTGTTGACTGCTAAAAATGAGAAGTGAACAGAGAGAAGGCCAGGCAGAAGGCTGCAGGGCAGGGGCCAGGTGGGCAGCAACAGGGAACAAATCTGAGTGGAGGGGAGAATTCTACCCCTCCCAGGGTTCCAGCCCCAACAGAGGCTCCCTGCTTGGGCCTTGCTCAGGCCTGGGAGGGTGATATGCTTTGGCTGTGTCCCCACCCAAAATCTCATCTTGAATTGTAATCCCTATAATCCCCATGTGACAAGGGAGAGATCAGGTGGAGGTGATGGAATCGTGGGGGCGGTTCCCCCATGCTGTTCTTGTGATAGTAAGTTCTCACGAGATCTGATGGTTTTATAAGTGTTTGGTAGTTCCTTCTGCATTCATTTTCCTTCCTGCTGCCTTGTGAAGAAGGTGCCTTGCTTCTCCTTCGCTGTCTGCCATGATTGTAAGTTTCCTGAGGCTTCCTGTAAGTTTCCTGAGGCTCCCCGGGCCACGTGGAACTGTGAGTCAATTAAACCTCTTTCCTTTATAAATTACCCAGTCTCAGGCAGTTCTTTATAGCAGCATGAAAATGGACTAATATGGAGGGGTCAAAGACAGAAATCTCCTCCTCCAGTCCCTAGCCTTGGCTCTTGGACACGAATCCAGTTCCTGACAGCAGAGAAGCATACAGGTGGGACAGTGCAGTGTGTCCCCACAGGGGCTCAGGCCACACCCCAACCCAATTACAAGCCATGCAAGAAGATTCTGAAAACATGGATGAGGAGATGGCCTGCCTAAAGCCAGCAGATGGGTGCCACCCACCTGATGTACCTCTCTAGCAGCCTAGCCAGCCAGCCACCAACAAGGGCCACCAAAAGTTAGGACTGATGGGGTGCCCTTCCAGCCCGACCAAAGTCCTTCCATTCACCCAGCAGGGCCACTGACAACTGATTTCTCATTCTGGGCAAAAGCAATGGAAACTTGGCACAGCAACCCCAGGGAGACCTCCCTCTGTAAGGAGATGCTCAGATGTTTTGGTTTGTGTCCAAAGAGGGGAAGGACAGGTGGAGAGAAAGGGCCTAGACCCATGTAAATCACAAATGCCAAGACCCAGACACAGCCACAGCTGGGGGCCTGGTGGGGGGAATGGCCAAGACCGCAAGAAGAGAGACTACTGTATGGAGCCAGAAGGCGAAGGCAAGTAAATCCTTGGCACAAAGCAGGAGGAGGCAGGAACAAGTACAATGGACAGTGGGGAGGCAGACAGGTTCTGAATAACCCAGAACAAAGAGAACATGAAACCACAAAAGAAGAACAGATTAAAGAGAAATGGGGGATGGGGATGACAGAGCACCCAGGGCAGCGGGTGCAGGACCAGCAGAGGTCCCCCGACTGTCCTTGGCTGTGTGCACACAGAGGTGCTGCAGTCCTGGGGCCATGTTCATAGGATGCAGAGAAAGCACACTCTGTCTTTTCTCAGGAAAGCTGCAGGGAAATGAAAAGCTCCAGGCAGGACAGACTGGGCGATGACTGCATGGCTAAAAGCGCACACCTTAAAACTAGACACACTCCCCTGCCCTGAGCCCCAGATGTCAATGGACATATTCCCACAATTTTCACATTCCCTCCCAATAAAGTAGGGCCATGAAAGATGAATTTTAGGATATCCACTTGGGGAGCTCGTATTTTGGGGCCAGACCTTCCTCCTTGCTGGGCTATCTCGGGCTTGGAGTGGGAGAAGCCAGGCAGGAGTCCTGGAGAGTGACCGCACAAGTGAGCAAAGGCGGCATTCACCCAACTCTTGGGACAAGGCAGTCAGACCCCACCACCCATCCCCAATCCTATGGGCCCACGTCACTTTGGTTTCGCTTGTTTTTTTTTTTAGTAAACATCAGCTTTCCTCAGGTGTTCTTCTGCTTTATTATTCCCGTGTAGCCACAGCAACAGAACTGGCCCCATGTCTCTCAATCAGGGAGGTCCCCAGCCAGCTTTGGAAAGACACCCATCAAAAAGAGTGAGCAAACCTAAAGAAGGGTTCAATAGGGAAGGTACCAGCGGCCGGCTGCAGAGGGGCTCCATTCCCCTGACCCTCAGTCACTTCCCAGAAACCACACAGAGGAGCCCGGGTGTGCCAGAAACAGCCTTTCATAATACAAGATGGACAGGAAAGAGGCCAAGGGCAGGCAGTTCCCAATCTCCACAAGGGCAAGAAGGTAGAGTCCATACTTCTTTCTTGTCTTTTTCTTTTTTTGAAACAGGGTCTGGCTCCGTCATCCAGGCTGGAGCACAGTGGCACTATCTCGGCTCACTGCAACCTCCACCTCCTGGGCTCAAGCCATCTTCCCACCTCAACCCCCTGAGTAGCTGAGGCTACAGATGCACACCACCATGCCCAGCTAATTTTTGTATTTTTTGTAGAGATGGGATTTCTCCATGCTGCCCAAGCTGGTTTCGAACTCCTGAGCTCAAGCAGTCAGCCCACCTCAGCCTCCCAAAGTGCTGGGATTACAGGCATGAGCCACTGTACCAGGCTGAGTCCACACTTCTAAGCTTGCTGTTGCTCTCAGACTTGCAGAACAACCTATTAAACAGAAGTAGGTAAAAGTTGAGAAAGGGAAGTGGCCACCACAGAACCAGTTCTGCTGAGAACGAGGACTCGAGTCAGGCTATGCTACCCTCCTTCCATGGCCATGGGAAAAAGGGG
The DNA here is from genome assembly GCF_000001405.40 of Homo sapiens. Classification (NCBI taxonomy): domain Eukaryota; kingdom Metazoa; phylum Chordata; class Mammalia; order Primates; family Hominidae; genus Homo; species Homo sapiens. The sequence continues at coordinate 46,544,795 of NC_000010.11, forward strand.
TGTGTGCTGTTGGTGTGAGAGATCTGGATCTTAACAGATCAGACTTAAACTAATTTGCCCATGATGACCGTGTGGATTTGGAGGGACCTGGGAATCTCACAGACCTATGGGATGTCCCAGTGATATGTCCTGGGCTTCATACCAGCCCTGCCCTGCCTGACAAGTTGGATGAAAACTGATAAAGGACTTGTCATAGCTTCAGATGGCAAAACCAGGCCAGGCCAGAATGAAAAAGGAGAAGGAATTTAACATGGGCAAATGCCAAGCTCTGCATTTAACTAACCAAGGCTGCTTGGCGTGAACAAAACTGAGACAGAGCAATGCATGGAGAAAAGGGTTGGGCATTTGTGGGCTACAAGCTTGGCATGACATGGATGCAAATGTCAATGGGTGCACCCCCAGATGCCTGTGACTCCCTCTGGTGGTTTCTGTGCACAACTTCCCCCAAAATAGGCCCTACGACTCCAGCAGAAACCTACCCTGGGGCTCCTAGAGCTTCCTAGCCTGCCTGCCAGAGAGCAGAAGTGCCTGGAGGCTACATCTTCACCCCTGGGTAGTCCTTACTCTGAGGTGGGACTGCATCCAGGGCTCCCCTTTAGGGTCTGACTTGGACTGAAATCACACCCTGCCTTGCCTTCTGCCCCTCCCTTAACTTGCTCTCCCCTCCCTAATAACTCCAGCATCCTCATCTCAGCAGAAGCTTCTGGGGAACCCAGCCCAAGATGAGTGGTGAGGGCTAGGGTAGCCCTCCTCAATGCACTCTGGGAACTACATTTTCAGAAGCCCCAGCCAGAGGGCCAAGTCCCAGGCAGGGTGCAAAGCTGTGGGGCGAGGAACCTGGAAAGAGGCTCTGAACAAGGGACTTTTAAGGAAGTGGGATGTGGGCTGTGATCACAGCCAAGCTGGCAGGGTAAGAGGTGGCCCCTGAATGTGGCTATGAGAGGGGTGCCCAACACTACCAGCCTGTGTGCTGAGCACTAACTCAGTGCCAGGCACTACTTGGGTTATTCTATTTAATCTCCACACCAAGCATGTGAAGGAGGCACCATTGTCATCCCCATCTTACAGATGAGGAAGATGATCAAGGCTTGTAACTTGCCCAAGATCACATGGCTATAGGTGTGGATCCTATATATCCAGATTCAAACTCCAGCTTTAGCCCACTAAGCTACGGTGGCCAACCCCAGCCCAAAGTGTTGGGACCTGCGTGTAGAAGACCCCTTCAGCCCTTGTAAAGTTAGGATCTAGCATGTCTAAGGGGACAGAGACCCAATCCAGGTGACACAGGAGGTAAGATCACAGTGGAACAGGCCATCCCTGCTTTTCCACCACCACCAGCACTGTGACCTCAGACCAGCTCTACTCTATGAGTTTCTTGTGACAGTGATGGCAGCCTGGGGCCAGACAAGGGATGCGTGTCTTGTGTCCTGGACACAAGACAGGCAGGCCCAGAGGGGACAAGCTATATGAAGAGAGGCTTCAGCTGTCGGGGGTCCTGAATGCCATGGAAGGAGAGCAGGTGGGCAGAAGCAGGGAGCCCCTGGAGCAGACAGAGGGGGGATTCCTGCTGAGGCAAGGGGCTCTAGGACTCCAGGGTTTATGCTCCAAAGAACAGAATTTACCAGGACAAAATAAACAAGACCAGTCAGGACCGATGCCCCATCCCTGCTGGGGTCTGGCAAAGCTCTCACCTCCAAATTTGTATCTGTTTTGAATTCAAAGCCAAACAAACACATCAACAGTGAACTCCAACACCTCCCAGAGCAGGGCCTGAAAGGGACCCAGAAAGTCTGGCCAGAAATCTAGAGTCCAAGGGGAGGAGATCTGTAAACTAAACCGCTGGCCATGCTCTGGGGCCCTAAACCACTGCAGGCATCAGGGCTGTTCCAGGAGAGGGCACAGCAAAGGGGGTTGGGAGGGGTCTCCAGTTCCAATCAGAAATGAGGCTGCAGTCACTTCAGGTAGACCTGTCAGCAGCAGCTGTGCAACTGGGCTAGGGAGACAAGGATCGTGGTTTAGCCAGGAGAATCATCTGGGGCCCCAGCCAAGACACAGGTGTTGGATTTCAGCACCGCTCTGCAAATACTCATCTCAGTGACGATGAGGTGAGTGGGAGCTTGGCTGAGCCCAGCCCGGCCTGCCATCCTGGCAAGCCAGGGCAGCATGGAGGTAGCACAGAGTGGCACCCAGCCAGCGTGAATGCATAAGAATCTGCACGTGACACAGAAGAAAGTCTCTTCATGAAGTAGGTTTCACTGGTCCCAGCCAAACCCTGTGGCAGGTGGCCCTTTCTGCACCTGCTGAACATGCCATTCACCTTGACCCAGGTAGTGGCCTCACCCTCCTCTTGCTCAAACTGGAAACCTCAGCATCCTGAAATGCCTCCTCCCCAAATCCATTGCACACATGTGTGCCTGTGTATGCGTGTGTGTGCACGTGTATGAACCCAGCCCCCAGCTGCCCACTCCATTGCCCCTAAACAGGCCCCTCCTTGGTGTCACCTGGCACATCTCCACTGGAAGCCAAATGGATATTTCTAAACTGAAATCTGGTCCCACCTCAGAACCCCTTCCACAGTTCCCTTAAAGTTCCTTTCCTCATTTACATCAGGATCTTCACAATGGGGACCCCTGGTCACCTCCCAACCCAACAAACGCTCCAAATGAGCCGCCACTGCAGAAACTCATTATGGCCCAGGCAGGACAGGCACATCCAAGTATCTGACCAGGCTGTTCCATCTGCCAGGCAGGTCCTGCCCTCTCTCCACCCACCTGTCTAACCCCTGCATCCTCAAGACCCTACTTAGCTATGGCCCTGTGTGAAAGGTCCCTCCCCATGCACCCACAGCCATTTGTTCTCTCTCATGTGGCCCTAACAGGCTGGGGTTCCTGGAGACTCCATGGGGAGCCAGGCATGAAGATGGCATATACCCATGTGTCACTCCCCAGAACGTGAGCTGCCTGCCCTGGCACCATACACAAAGGGACTGACAGCCCCAGAATCCCAAGGGGTGCACCTATGCATATGGGAAAGGCATGTTTACGGGTGAGAATGGTCCATCGTTGGGCTTCAGGAGGCATCTGACCTGACGCACGCCTTTGTCACTTTGTCCTTGTGGCCTGTTGAAATGCCACTCCTGCTTTACAAATTCACCAACTGTTGCATGAGTCATTTCCACCTCAATGAGTACCAGGTCCTTGAGGATGGGGAAAAGTAAGCCACCACTGTGGGGGTCCTGGGCTCCTAGGTGCAGAAGAGGCTCCAGAAACAGGCCAGGTCGTGGGCCATGACCCCACACTAGCCCTCTGGTCCCTCACACGGGTGGATTGGGGGGCTGTGTCACGGGATCTTAGGATCTTCAAGACAAAGACCCAGGACAAGAACACAAGCCCACTCCCATTCTTCACAGGCCTCGAGAAATCTTTGGGCAATGAAGTCAGACTGTGCCAAAGCCCATGTTTCTGTCTCTCCAAGGCCCCTGGCCCCCACTGCCTAGCCTAGGTCAGGTCATGTGGGCAAGCGAGCCCCCACAGCCTCACAGCCCCTACCCCAGGGCCAGGGCAAACTCCTGCCCTGTCCCCCTCCATTCCTGCCCTCCCTCCTTCCACAAACTGCACCAGCTGGGGAGAAATCCTTCAGCCGACAGAATGAGGTGAAAATAGTGCAATTTTAGGCTTTGTAACTGAGATTAGGGCAGGTGGCCACCCATTCTCCCCTTCCTCAGGCCAGCCTCTGACACAATGACCCTGGAAGCCTGGCAGCCCTCCGTAATGGTCAGCATCCTCCCCTGCCATCCCCAACCCACACCATGAGCTCAGCCAGGGCAGGGGCAGCCTCTGTCTCATTCACCACAGAATCCACAGAACCCAGCACAGAGTATGAGCTCAGTAAATTCTCCTCATACATGACTGCACTGACTGGACCGGGCACATGCTACAGGGCAACACCCACGGCTCAGCTGGCCCTGGCTTTGGATCTCAGTCCCACCTCTTCAAGCTGTCCAGCGTGGGGCACATCGGCTACAGCCTTGCCAAATGAAGGCTTGCCAGGATGAAGAGGTGAAGACAGGACAAGCACAGTATGTGGCACACAGGAGGCCTCTGATAACATCAGTCCCCTTCCCTAAAGACCTGGGCAGTCCCTGTCACTGGGGCCTCACATTTCATGTCGAGAATTCACTATTTCTCAGCACTGATTTCAAATAAAGCCACCAAGAGTCTGACGAGGCAACATGGCAGAGTTCTGAGGGTGGAGTGAACAAAAGGTCATTTTTTACAGAAAACTCAGGATCTCCCCTCTGCACAGTGCTAAAGCCCTGTCTCAAAGTTCAGAGCCCGGAAGGTGCAGAGATGTGGCCCTTGGAAATCAAGCCCTTAAGAAAACAGCCCAGCTGTGTAGGGCCGGAAGCCCCAGGCTGCAGTCCTGTGGTCTGGAGGCAGCCAATATTCAGGTGAGAGATGTGCCCAGCTGCCGGTGGGTCCAGGGGGCACGGAGCCCCCACCGTCCCTGGCCCAGGTCTAGGACTAAGTCAGTGGGCCCAGGCCAGCTCCAAGGGCCACAGCTCCTCACTCGGGGGCCGCGCCGGAGCAGCCGCAGCAGCTGGGGCGCCGCAGGGACTGCATGACAGCCCGCAGTGGCCCCCTCCGGCCCTCCACAGACAGGCTGTCCTCGCTGGCGGGCGCCCGCTGCAGCTGCTCAAACTGCATCTCCAGGTGCTTCTGGATGGCCACACCGAGCACCTCCAGGTCCACCGCAGCTCCGTACACCTCCCATGTCATGCCCTCAGCATCCCATCGCACATCCCGCACAGGGGACGGCACCTCCTCCAGGCTGGACCCCAGAGTTACCTCTGGGAACACATGCAGGGCTGCAGGCGCTTCCAGGGACGGACTGGTGGCCACAGCCTTGCAGGCCGCCACTGGGGCCGCCTGCACACCAGCATCCTGGGCTGACAGCGGGGATGCCTCTGCAGGGGCCAAGTCATTGGCTGAGGTCATGGTCCACACATCTTTGGTCCTAGAGCCAGGCTCTGGGACTAACCCAGCGGGACCCCAAAGGTGGGCACAGCAATGGGAATGCCCAGGGAGCCCCCCAGACAACCTACAGTGGATCTTCACCCCATGCTGAGCCTGCAGCCCAGACTCGCTCACTGACGCCACTAGTTTGGGAAAGGCCAGGATCCCTGTGGCAGGTAGGGCATGGCAGCAGCCACCAGCCCTCACCTCCCTCATGCCACAGAGTAGAGCAGCTGGGGGCAGAGCATGGCAGGTGGTGGTAGCCAGCTGTTCAGCAGCTTTGGGCTCAGCCTGGGCACTGCTGCTGTGGGCAGTTGTGTCCCCCAGGTCTAGTGGTGGCACTGACAACTGACTCGCCCCCAGCATCCAGGCTGAGTTAGAAGTCTCATCCTCAGGAGCCAGGTCCCTTTCCAGGCCTGCAGGGGCCTGGCCACCCTGGCCAGAAGTACCACCTGGCTGCAGCTGAGCCCTGTGGACAGGGCTGCTGCCAAGGGCTGAGCAGCTGAGACTGGCCTTCCGAGCACCACTGTGTCCCCGCATCTGGGTGCTACGGACCAGGTCTGAATGGCTCCTCTGCATAGCAGCAGCACTAGGGGCCCGCAGGCGACACAGGTCACTGCCGCCCATGGTGGACACATTGCCCACAGTGCTGCTCCACCAGTGGCCTCCAGCACTGGGTCGCGCCTTGGGGCCAGAGGCCCGTGCTGGCTTCATGCTCTCAGGCGGGTTCCCCTCTTCCTCCGGGGCCTGGGGTCTGGTGCTGGCCTCGCCCAGCTGGGCCTGCCACACGGTGCTGCTGGCAGTCTTGCGGAGCTCTGGCCTCTGTTCCCGGCCTTCACCCAGCAGGCTGGAAGAGCTCTGGGACAGGGGCTGAAGGCGGGGGCTCAGGGGTGCCCAGGGACCCGGCTCGGGGCGGCTGGAGCTCATGGCTGCCTGCAGAAGAGAGAAAGGGAGGGAGTGGAGTTGAGTTGGGTGGCAGCACCTAAGCCGATTCTACTATGAACTCCCACAGTGCTAGGTTCACCAGGGAGCCACCTTCAGTCCCAGCCTGCCTGACTGGTCAGAACCATATGCAAGGCAGTGAGTGACAAGACACCAGACACTTCAAATCAAGGTCATCTCACATTAGACACAAGGATGACACTGCAAATTATCTCATCATCAGTCTCAAGCAGTTAGAATCTGCCCTAGGGTGGGGTCCTGGAGGCCGCCACTCTATCAGCTCTCAACTCTTTACTGGCTGGTTTGTGTGGGAGGGGAAGGGAGAGAGCCAAATCTGCTGGGGCTTTGGGGGTGAAACTGCAGCCCTAGGGGGTGGGGCTGTGGGATAACAGCTCTTGGTCAACCAGCACGGAAGCACTATGGCCTCTTAACGGGCACAGCTGGACAGGCCAATACTGGGCTACTTCCTCCTGGGACTGGCAGTATCCAACTCACTGTGGACAGGGTCTCCTTGGTACAGAGTGGGAGCTCAGAGAAAGTTCACAGGACGAGGGAGCAATGACCAGAGGACACTGAGAATCACCCTGGGCTTCCACAACCACCCCCATCCTCCTTGGCCTAGCCTTGCTGAGCTGGCATGTCTCTGGGGTTCCCTGACTCCTACCTCTAGCTCCAGGGGCAAGGAGAGGCCCCATGCATCAGCTTTTTCCATGAGGGACTCATTCAGCATCTGGTCATTGATTCCACAGCATCTCCTGAGCCCCTACTGCGTGCCCAGCTGTAGGGCTAGGGAACATGGGATTCATTCAGACCTTTCTGTACCCCTGGGGACGGTGCAGCAGTGAGATAAGATGCCCACCCAGTACCATCAATCAGACCTATCCTGCCTGACATTTAATCCCCTCTTGCCCAGTGTACCTGCATCCTCATTGTCCCCCACCCTCCGTACCATCGCTGTCACTTCCCCCAGCCATAAAGACCACCCTGGACCTGGCAGCTGCAGCCTAGAGCCAGTTCTGGCCCTTTCCACTTCTGCATCTCTTCCTGGGGCCCCTTTCCCGACCCTCCAGCCAGGCAGCCTTCATCCCTGACTGAGCATTGGGCCTGCATGGAACAGTTTGGCCAACTGTCAGCCTCCCCACAGGCCTGAAGTTGGCAAAGCCTGGCCTGTGGCCTGCTCCCCTCTGGCTGTCCAACACCCAGCACTGACCTGATGTGTCGTCGGCACTCAGAGGATTATCTGCTGTGTGCCTGACCAAGAGAACAAGCAAATACAAGAACACACCCACAGAGGAGGGCACTGAGTGCCAAAAATGGGGTCTGAGGGAGGGCACCACCAAGGCAGGAGAGCTCACGGAGGGTGAGAGATGAGAAAAGGCTTCCTGGAGGACCAGCCACGTAAGTCAGGCCTGGAGTGAGAGAAGCAAGAAGGTGTTCAGGTGGAGAGCGGAGTGGGCAGGAGGAAAGAGGCCATGTGTCCAGAGCATATGAGGGGAGCAGTGGGGTCAAAGTGTCTGGGCCACCTCGGCCCTGGCCACAGCAGTGAATTAGGGAGATCACTCTGGGACTCCTTGCCAGGCAGGAGAGGTGGGAGAAACAGGGTGGGGACAGGAGGCAGCAGCTGCATTTGGGCAATCCCAGCCCTGCCCTCCCAGCCTAGGCTGATAAAGACTTCCAGGCAACAACCTCCCCGACCAGGTGAGCAAGGCTACCCGAGAGGAAATTCGGGAAGGGCTGTGGGACTCGGTTTCTGTGTAATTACAAATGTCCTGGCAGCCCAGCACTCAGGAGATGGCTGGTGGCTGCTGAGCCACAGTGAGGATGATACTGGTGCTGTAGTCCCTGAGACTCCAGCTCTGCACAACTTCCTGCGATGATGGAAAGATTCTACCCTGTGCTGTCCAATAGGTAGGCACCAATGGCATGTGGGTACCAAGCACTCAGCAGGGGGCTACTGCAACTGAGACACTGAATGTTTAAGTTTTATTTGAATCTAACTGGCCACATGAGGCTAATGGCTACCGTACAGGACTGTGCAGCTCTGAACACAGCCCCGGCCTGGTAAGGATGTCCCATCCCAGCTGCTTCACGGGGCTGAAGCCAGACTTGTCCCTGGGAGGATCAGGAAGAGGAGGAGTAGCCAAGAGAGAAATCTGACCCAGACCCTGCCCTCAATGAGCTCTAAGATGGACATACAAACAAAGGAGGGCAATAAAGCCCGTAACAGCGATGATAATAACAGCTGCCAGGGCCTGATCACTCGCCAAGGGCCAGACACGTGCCACATCCTTTGCATACATTGTCTCATATAACTGTGCAAGCAACCTCTTGAGACAGTCATTATCTCCATTCTACAGACAGGAGAATTCCATAAGCTCAGAGAGGCTCAGTGACCCCCAAGGGCACACACCTGTGGGGCAGCTGAGCTCCTCTCCCCTTCGAGCACTGAGCAGGCCTATGCCTCGCAGCTCTCACCCTTTTTACTGATCTGGCCTGGCCCTGCCAATCGTGCTCATGACATGCCATGGAACAAGTCACTGAGTGGATCTCCACCTGCCCAACATGCTTCTTAGCAGCTCCTGAGGCTGCAAGAATGAGGAGGGCAGGAGGTGTTCCTCCTGACTGGGACAGCTGTGGTCACTGCCAGCCCCTGGCAGGGAGACAACCACTCAGTTGCAGGTCCAAGACCCCAGGGAGGCCCCATCTGGACATCCACACAGCCTCTGGCCAAACCCCACCACCCTCCCAGGGAGGGGGGCCATAAACAGCCAGGCCAGCAGCCTCTGGCCCCTGAGGAGACAGGTGGAATGAGGTCCTCAGACCCCCACCAAGACCCACTGAGAAGCCATGAGCAATGAGCATCCCACTGTGCCTGTCTCACCAGAGGGCTGCCCAGCACCCAGGGCTAGTCATCACCCAGAGACCCCCGTGTGGGCTATGTATCTATTGGTTCCCTTCCCCATTCCCCCTCCACAAGTGGCAGGTGACAAAACTGAGGCCTGGAGCAGCTCAGAAATGTCAAAGAACACACAGCTGAAAGTGGCTAATTCAGAACCCCAATGGATTGGCCTGGCTAACTACAACCTGGCCTTCCCAGCTCAGAAGGAAGGAAGGGCTCTGAGGGGAGTACTGGGGGAAAGAGGCTTCCACACTGCCTGTCACAGTGCTGTGGACTGGGCCAGAGGAGGGGCCTCCCAGGGAGCCAGGGGTGAGGAGGAAGGGGCAGGGCTCTGCTTCCAATGGGGGCTCTTCCCCTTCCTGTGCATGTACTCACAGGTGGACCCCTAACTTCTTTGAGCCTCAGTTTCTTCAATCTGCAAAACAGAAATAAATCCCCACCCTGCAGGGTTGTTGTGAAGACCAAATGTGACAGCATGTGCACTGTCTGCAATAGTGTTTGTTAACAATAATCTTCTCTTTCCCCTCCCATCAAGAGCAGCTTAAGTTCATGGTATAACAAGTATTAGTACTGGGGGCCAGAGAGGCCCTTTTCAGAAGCCATCAAGACACCCCAAAGGTTAGCCTCCTCTAGCTTCCCATCCTCGCTACCTTCATCCCATCCTAGGACCAGGTCACCATCAGTGTCCCCAGTCTCCCTATCACCAAACTAGGTTTCCCAGAGCCTATTTTAAATGTTAACCTAGGAGGCTACGCATGCATACAAGTCTAGAGTCTGCACTTTAAATGCCCAGAATGGCACACCCACCCTGCCTTTATAACAACACAGAAGGTTCTGGTTTTGCCCTAAAGGGACCCTCGGAAGATCTTTTAGGACAAGATAAAGAACAGGCATACAGAAGTATCCAAGACCTCTAGTATTCTTTGAACGATACCTTAATGTTCTCTCTCCTGCCCCATTTGATGCCGAAGTTGCTATGGTTGTGGCCGATGTCCCGTGGCCAATGCCAGGCTGTCCTGCTGCCTCAGGTTCCACCTGTCAGCAACTGGAAGATCAACCACCTATGTAGCAATCAACCAATGTCATTTTGAGTAAAAGCCCCCAGTTCTCAGACACTTCCAGACTAGCCCAAACATAGAGACCTTTGAGTCAACGTACAGAGTCCAGCTCCCGCCATGCTGCCACAGCAGAGGAGCCCAGGCCTTTGGGATATGCCCAGGGGACTACCAAGACCACCACAAGTGGGCTCCATCTCAGACAACACTGTGGCATCCATCTAAGTCCCCTCTTGGTTTTGTTCGTTCGTTTGTTTGTGAGACAGAGTCTCGCTCTGTCTCCCAGGCTCGAGTACAATGGCTCAGTCTCGGCTCACTGCAACCTCTGCCTCCTGGGTTCACGTGATTCTCTTGTCTTAGTCTCCCGGCAGCTGGGATTACAGGCGTGCACCTCGGCGCCCAGCTAATTTTTGTATTTTTAGTAGAGATGGGGTTTTCGCCATGTTGGCCAGGCTGGTCTCGAACTCCTGACCTTAGGTGATCCACCTGCCTCGGCCTCCCAAAGTGCTGGGATTACAGGCATGAGCCACAGCGCCTGGCCCAAGTCCCCTCTAGTTAAGTGGCAAGCATTTGGATGATGACTTATGTGTCCGGCAAAACCAAAACAGGAAAAGCAAACCTATATGATCAGGCAGGAAAACTGGTTCTATGTTAAAATATGGACCTTACCTCTCAAGGACCAGGCAGGAATGCACACAGCACAAACCCCCATTGCACAGTGGGGATACAGCACCCTCCAGGAGGTGGTTTAATCCACCCCAGAGTGAACGGGGCCTGATAGGAACACTCAGGGCCAACTCTGGGCAAAGCAGCAGGCAGCATTCCTAAAGGGAGGGTTTGGAGGAGACAAAACCTGCCCTTCACAATGAACGTGCCTTAAGGGCTACATGCCCCGGGTCACAAGCTGTGCCAGGAAAGGGTTCTGGGGTAACTGTGGGGTCAGTGGCCCCATGGATGAGGCTCTGCTCACCAGGAAGAGGCCTAGGCGCCCAACAGCCCCTGAGCTTCCTCCCCTGGGGAGGATTTGCCCACAATCCCTGGGGGGCACCTAGGTGGAGAGGGTGCCCCGGCCTAGAAGCAGCCTAGGCGGCCGGTGTGTCCCTATCTGCACGCTCACAAGCACTCATGCCCCAGCCTGGGACACACAGGCCCGTATGCAGTAACAGCGTCTACCCAGCTGCACTCTGCACGCCAAGCACAGGCCGCCCCTGCTGCGGGGCCAAAGGCCTGAAAGCACCGCACCACGCAGCCTCGCCCAGAATAGCTCCCCTCCCGCCCCTCCTGCACAAAGCCCACCCGGACTTAGGGAGAAGGGGGCTCAATACGGGCCCGAAACGAGGCTACAGACCTTCTCAGGAGCAAAGGCAGCGACTGCAGGCAAATGGGGCTGTGGGCCGGGGTAATGATGCGGGACAGGAGAAGCCAAAGGGCAGCAAGGCTGGGGGCGGGGTAGGCGGCGCAGTAGGCTGAGGGAGGGGAAAAGGAAGAAGGGGAGAGGGAGGAGCGATGGCAGCAGGGGTGGAGGCCGAAGGAGACAGGGTCCCGGACAGACTTGTGAAAATGGGAGGATGGGCAGAGGAGACGTAGAAGAGGGGACAGGACAGGACAATGAGAGGCGGAGCGCGGGGAGTGCGATGCGGCCACCGGGGGCTCTGGGCGCTGGGCAGGGGCCAGGATGCCGGGGGTCTGAGCGCAGGCAGCGGGAAGGAGTGGGTTCTGAGGCTCAGCAAGGGGGAGGTGCCGCCCACCACGCCCCCCGCCCCAACGGGAGCGCGCGGAGCCAGCCTCTCACCCTCTCGCCCGCCGGGGCCGCGCAGGCGGGGGAAGCGCTGCTCCTGCGGCCGCCACAGGTGCCAGGTGCCGCGGCCCAAGATGGAGCCAGAGCCGACCTGGCCTGGGCGCGAGACGCCGCCCGCCGCCGTCGGCCCGGCCCGCGGAGCAAGCGCCGGGTACAGGGAGGGGCCAGCGGGGCAGCTGGCACCGGGGCGGCGGGAGGGGCGGCGGGCGGAGACCTCGCTCACCTGGGCCCGTGCCACTCTGGAGCCTGCCACCGCCCCGCCGCGGCCCGGGATCTGCGTCCGCGCGCCCCCACCCCTCCTTCCCGACCCCTCCTCAGGCCGGGTCCCCACTGTCCTCGGTCTTTTCGGCCCCGCCCGCACCACGACCGCCTGTTCTCCAGGCTGCCCAGCGAACCCCCAAGACTCCCACTTCCCCGACGCAACCCCACCGTCCCGGGTGTATAGGCGCAGCTCCCCACGATTCTCCGGCCCCAGACCCAGCCCCTCAAGTCCACCTCCTCGTAGCCCCACCCCCTCGCTCCAGTGCCCCTCGCTCCAGTTCCCCCTCCGCACCACGCCCCGCATTGAGGTCTCCGCGCCGGCGGCTACCCCTTTCCTCTCGCCTTCTCCATCCTAGCTCCGCCTCTCACAATTCTCTGGCTCCAGATCCCGCCCACGAGACCCCGTTTCCTATAGGGCCCTTTCGTCTGGGATACCAGGCCTGGTCTCCACTAGCCTCGGACTTTCCAGCCCCAGGTCCCAAATCCTGGACCCACCGTCCCATCCTCTGAGCTCCACTCTCATGGACCCCAAACCTCACTCCAGTCCTTTGAACTCCATGATCCTGGCCTGGCCTGGCCCCCGGAGCCCTCCATTGCCCCTCAAGAGCCCAGCCTGGTAGACTCCTTCCCTAGGGTTGCATCTCCAGCCCCGCCCCTGAAGACTGGTAATCTACCACCCCTTTCCCTGCCCACGTGCCCCTACCCAGCCCGACTTGAGGCCTTCAGTCTCCCAGCCGCGGACCCCAACAGCGGGCGAGGGCAGTGACCGTGCGGGGATGAGCCACCTCCACTGGAGCCCGCCTTCTTCTCCGCAATTCCCCGCAGCACCACAGCGCCTTCCCGGTCCCGTGACGCCGGGGGCCAGCCCAGGCCCTGGGATCGCCAGGTTCCACACTATGAGGCTGAGGACCTGGGCCTACGGTTCCCTCAATATCCCCCAGTTTCCACAACCGCTGGCCAGCTTCAGGGCGCAGGACAGGCAGCCCCGGCCTCCCGCCACTCGCAATAGATTCCTGCTGTCCACCCAGGGCCACGTGGTATGAGGCACCTGTACTATCTCTGGGCCCCAGTATCACATAATTGGGTCCCAATGTTGGCACTTCTCCGTTGTCCCCTGTGCCGGGACCCCCAACTTGTTGGCCCAGCCCTGTGCTGAGAGGCCTGCGTTCCTCCCTTCCAGTGCCCAGGAGCCAACAGTATCTCTAATTCTCCCCGTTTGGGTAGCAAAGGACCTCAGTCTGCCCAGAGAGACTCAGACTGCCCCAGGTAGCCCTCTCCAGCGAGGTCTGAGAGCAGCTCTCAGATTCTGGCAGATGGCTGCCTTTGGCCAAATGCCCACAGGGGTGTCGACGTCAGACCCCAGGCTTGGGCCTCACCATCACACACTGCCTGGTAGGGGGATCCTGCTTAAAGGAGGCAAATAGGGGATTTGTTTGCCGAGGCCACTACCCACTTCTGCCCCTGTCCAGGAATTAGGACCTCTGCTTCCACATCTTAGGCATCTTACTCATATTCCCTCTTTAGTGAAGTCAGCTGAGCCCCAAGAAGGGATGGACTGCTTGTGGTTACACTGAGAGTTGGTGCCAGATCCAGGCCCCAAACCTGGGGCTCTCAGCTCCCAGGACATCTCAAGAACCAAGAACCTCACTGTGTGTTTCAAGGAAGCCTTCTTGGGGCTGGGTGTCAGGAGATGTCTGCCATGCAATCTACCTGTGAACACAGCTGGCTGGCCCTCACCCCAGGGCATCACTCCTTGTCCAACTGGCCCCCTTCTTCCATTCATGCCCTGGCAAGGAGGCTCCCCTGGCTGTGGCAGCTGTCCAGGGAGAACCCAGCATGGGGAGTCACACTTAAATTCCAATCTCAACTCCCCCACATATTCACTGGCTGTGCAACCCCACACCCAAGCAAAACTGTTCATCTCTCTGGGCATCAGTTTCCTCATCTGCAGAGTGGTAGTAATTATACCTACCTAACAGGGCTGGGGGAAGAGGGTGTTTGTGAACGTGTCCCGTGGAGTGTTATCGCTGCTATCAGTCACTTGATCAAATATTTACTGAGCTCCTCCTGGGTCAGGTCCTGGAGGTACAAGCTGCACTGCATGGGGGAAGGAAGGGATGGATATGTGTAGATTGCTTTGGTAGAGAGCAGCTCAGGCCTGAGGACCACATGGGCCAACTACCATTTGCTGAGACTCTGAACCCTGACAGAAGAGGAATGAGTGTGGGGTGCACTCAGGGGTCCAGCGGGGGCACACTGGGATGTTTGAGGCACCACGTGGACAGGTGGGTTGCACATTACAGGATTGGAGGGGTTTTTCTGTTTGTTTTTGTTCCTTGAGATGGAATTTCACTCTTGTCACCCAGGCTAGAGTGCAATAGCGTGATCTCGACTCACTGCAACCTCCGCCTCCCGGGTTCAAGAGATTCTTCCGCCTCAGCCTCTTGAATAGCTGGGATTACAGGTGCCCATCACCATGCCCAGCTAATTTTTGTATTTTTGCTAGAGGTGGGGTTTCACCATGTTGGCCAGGTCTCGAACTCCTGATCTCAGGTGATCCGCCCCCTCTGCCTCCCAAGATGCTGGGACTACAGGCGTGAACCACCATGCCCAGCCAAGGACCGGAGTTTTTCAGAAGTCTGGGTGTCATGGACATGGGGTGGTTGCTGAAGTCACAGGGGTGGATAAGGTCTTCAGGGAAAGAGTAGAGTGAGGAGAGGGCTTAGGACCCATTTGTGAGTCACCAGGTGACAAAGGATGGAGGAGCACCCAGAAAAGATAGTGGGAAACTGGGACATCATGGTGACACAGGGCACTTGGAGCAAGCTCCTTCAGTGAGGTGGCAGAGGCAGAAGCCACTGGCGTGGGTTGGGGGATGAGCTGGAGGAGAGAACCAGAGATGGTGCATGTGCAGATGCCTCTTTTAAACACAGCCATAAAGGGGAGAAGAAAGGTGTCACTTGGGAAGGAATGTAGGGTCAAGAGAGGCATTTTTTTAATGCTATTTTTTTTTGTTTGCTTGCTTGTTTTATTATCTGCATCCTGTAGTAGGTTTCTTTTATTTCAAACAACAGAAAGCAAGTCTGGTTAAGTTAAGCAAAAAGGGATGGCCAGGCGCAGTGGCTCACACCTGTAATCCCAGCACTTTGGGAGGCCAAGGCAGGTGGATCACTTGAGACCAGGAGTTCAAGACCAGCCTGGCCAACATGGTGAAACCCCATCTCTACTAAAAATACAAAAAATGAGCCGGGTATGGTGGCGTCTGCCTGTAATCTCAGCTACTTGAGAGGCTAAGACAAGAGAATCAGGACACTTGAACTTGGGAGGCGGAGGTTGCAGTGAGTCAAGATCGCACCGCCATTGCACTCCAGTCTAGACAACAGAGCAAGACTCTATCTCAAAAAAAAAAAAAAAAAAATTAGCTGGGCAGGGTGGCATGTTTCTGTAGTCCCCCTGTTCCCAAGGCTGAGGCAGGAGGATAGCTTGTAGCCGAGAGGTGGCGGTTGCAGTGAGCAGAAATTGTGCCACTGCACTACAGCTTAGCAACAGAGCGGGAGTCTGTCTCAAAAAAAAAAAAAAAAAAAAAAAAAAAAAGTTAAGCAAAAGGGGATATGTCAAAAGATCGCAGGGATCTCCAGATGCTAATGCTTTCAGCCATGTTCTTCAAGGCAGGAGCCAGGTGACTCCAGATCCCAACAGGAGGAACCACTTGCTCCCCAGTGCCACCTCCACAGAAAGGATTCCTGTCCATGGTCCTTGGTGTGTCTCTCAGCTCAAGATTCAAAATCCCAGTGGAGTGGCAGTTTGTTTGGCCGAGCTATGGCCACATGCCCTCTGCCCTTGGATCGACATACCTGGAGGAATACCTGGCCCAATGCCTCTCTAGGATCACCCACTGCCCCACCGAGACTGCTCACAAGACAGTTTTCCCCAGCAGGGAGGTTGAAGCCTGAGTGACCAGAAACAAGTATCCACTGCACATTGTAACGAACTGAGCACATTTGACTGCTAGGGAGAAGTACCCATTGAGAAGGAGTGGACAGGAGATACAGGAGCCAGAATTGCTACTGGCAATAAGGTCCTCAATGGGCTGAGATTCAGGAGTTCAATAGGAGGAAAGAGGTGACTTCTTTATGTAATAGCAGAGCAAGAAGAAATGATGGGGGTAGTACTGAGGTACCGTAGTCTCTCTCCTCTTGGGAAAGAAAGTTGCTGGCAACCTTAAATCTACATCCTCACATCTCTGGATCTAAACAACCCACAAATCAAGTCTTACTGCCCCTACTTGACAATCCTGGACCAGAGAGAGAGCTCTTCAATTGACCAGCCTGTGTCACTGCTCTTCCCAAAATGGTGGGGCCCTGCAGTAGGGCTGACAGTGGGTCACAGAGACTAGTGAAGAGTGGTTCCCCAAAGGAAAGGGCAAGACACTGTTGCCAGACTAAGGGAACCTGATACTGAGCTGTCCCAAAGCACAAATTACCGCTGGGGACAGCCTCTGTGCAAGCTTTGAGGAAATGCTAAGTTGGGATGTATCAATGCCTAAGGAAGAGAGAGCTTTGATTCAGTTAAACAGCATCTGCTTTTCTAGCAAAATATCTCTAGGGTACAAGAGACCCCTCTAGCCAAAAGAGCCATAAATGAAAAGGCTGTCTTTTTGTCTGACAAAAAGACACTGACTCCCTGGGACTTAGCATATAATAGATGTTTGCTGGCTGGCTGGCTGGCTGGATGAATGAATGAATGAATGGAAGGCAGTTGATTCAGAAATGCCTATTACTACCTCAATTTAGTTCCACAGACATTTTCCTGAGTCCCTAATAATAATTATCAGCTGCAAGCTGACAATATAGGCTAAATCAGAGGTGCCTTGGCCCCAAAGCCTACATGATGGGGGATTCAGGGGACCTGAGACAGATGCCCAAAGGACAATTAGGTCACAAGGATTGAAGGGAATAGAAGGGGCTGGAGTGCTCAGAGGAGAGGCATTGTAGTAGACATCTGTTGCTTTTTCAGCTCCCCACAATCCAGCCCCCATTTCATTTGGGGGATCATCCCGAGACAGAGACTGCTAATTGTCCCCCAATACTTATTGTCCCCTTCTATAGTAATAGAATTCCTCTAACTGAGTACATAACTGCCCAGAATAATGACCACATTTCCCAGGCATCGTGCACCCAACATGCTGTAGATTAGGTTCTCAGCAGTGAGATGTTAGCAGAAGTAATTTTTGCAATTTCTCGGTCATGCACTTCAGAAGAAATGTGCCTCGCCCCTTTCCCTCTCCCCTGGTAGGAATGAAGTCATGGTGTGAAGCCAGTTTATATCAATCAGATGAAGCTAAAACCCTAAGGATGTCAGAGTGACAAAAGAGAAGGAGCCTGTGTCCCAACACACTGTGGTTGCCTATCAGCCCTGGACTAGCTCTAACTAGGTTTTCCATGAAAGAGAAATTAACCTCCAGTCTATTTCAGTCACTATTTGGGGTGAGTGCTCTCTTGCAGAAGGAAAGCCTGTATACTAATTATTAGTGCTGTATACTAATTATTAGTAAAGGCTGTATACTAATTATTACCAAGAAGGGCTGTGTTGCTGGTAACAAAACTGAAAACATATTTTAAATGCTATACATAAATATGATGATCTGGAAACCCTGTTTATGCCATGCCATAGCAGTCGATCAACTGATTCCTGCAATACCTTGCAAAGTCAGCTCTTGCTCTAAAGGAAACAGTTGGAAATTTCAGAATGCAGGTGTTTGCTGGATGCTTCTTGCCACTCTCAACAGAGTCCTACATGACCCAGAAGAACGTGGACAGAGCTAGCCCGAGGAAGGCAGATACTGAAGAGAATACAGCAGTGCTGAAAGAAGCTCCCTTTGCCTATGGGCTATAACCTCAGTTTAAAAAGTTTTCAGACCTAAAAAAAAAAACTATTGCTTGTTAAAAACTCCATATTTGATAGCTTGATTCTTATATCTTGAAAGATTTTTAAAGTAGAGTGTAAATATAACTGATGTTATGAAATTCTGTTTCATGTTCTGTAGAGCAGTTATATATCATAATGTAGGCAGAAATCAGCCATCATATCATATCATATCATATCATATCATATCATATCATATCACATCATAATGTAGGCAGAAATCCGCCATCATATAATTGTGAGCAGAAATCAGCCATCATATAATTGTGAGCAGAAAAATACCTAATTGGATTCTGTAAATGGGTATATTTTGAATTATGCTGTACAGTGCTTGCCCAAAAAAATACTGTGCCTGAAAATGGCATCAATTTATTAATAAAAAATATGATTTAAGTGATTTTCTAACAACATTTCAAAGGCACCTTTATGGTTCTCAAAGTGTTGCCATATAATAATATTCCTTTAGAATAAAATTATATTTATTTAAAAAAATAAAGAGAAAAATCTATTGCTTCTGTACCACAAACTGAGGCAGATATAGAATAATTTTCTGAAGAAGCAGGATTAGCAGGAGACGAGACTATGGACCCTAGTCTTTCTCAAACACTTGATTACGTTTCTCAACCTGACAATGACAGCCGCTCGGCCACAAAGACCAGATCAAGGAAGCTGCCTTCCAGTCCAAGTTGAGTGTTTTCGCTGGTCTCAGGTTGAGAGGGAGGTGAATAGATATAACATACAGGCTGATAAATAAAAGGCCACCATTTTTAGGCTTAAATACTGCTAATCTAAAGGAGGTTGAGCATCACTAAACCAAAAACCCAGAAATCCAAAATGCTCTAAAATCCAAAACTTCTTGAGCACACATGATGCTCATTGGAGCATTTCAGATTTTGGATTTTCAGATTAGGGATGTTCAGCCAGGATAATGCAAATATTCCAAAATCTGAAATATGAAACACTCTGGCCCCGAGCATTTCAGATAAGGGATACCCAACCTGTACTTGCCCCAGAGGATAACTAGCCACAAATAGGCAGAAAGCCAACTGAGATTTTAAGGGGCATGTGTTACCAAAGAACCATGAGTCTGGCTGGTACAAGTCTGCATTTTTGACTCCTTAAATCAACCGACCCCTACCCACCAAACCTGCACCTGCAAAAAGTGGGCTGCAAAAGCTATGCAGCCCAGGCCCAGTGTGGTGGCATGTGCCTGTAGTCCCTGCTGCTCTGAAGGCTGAAGTGGGAGGATTGCCTGAGCCCCAGGCACTCGAGTCCAGCCTGGGCAACACAGCAAGACCTTCTCTCTAAAAAAAAATGTTTAAGCTGTATAGCCCTAAGAGGGATACACCGTTTGATGCCCTTTAGTTGTGCCATGGAAGGCAGTGGACAAAGAGGGGACCACCAAGGTCCAAAGATGTCTATCCCAGGGAATACTCCTGGAGAGAGGCGCTGTCATCCAAGGACTCTGCTCCACTCCCTGGGAGCCTTCACAATTTCTGCCCACCAGGATTTGGTGGGTGTGTTTTTCCCTCTTCTGGATGAGGTTTCCCACCATGTTTATCTTATTTTTACTGGCTGTTGCATATTGGGTGTAAGGAGGCAGGCAATGTATGTAAGGGTTCCGGGGCAACACACCATAAAGAACTGCATCCAGAAGCCTGGTGTGGTGGCTCACACCTGTAAACCCAGCACTTCGGGAGGCCAAGATGGGAGGATTGCTTGAGCCCGGGAGTTCGAGACCAGCCTGGGCAACATAGTGAGAACTTGTCTAAAAAAACAAAAATAAAACAAAAACCACATCAGATCTGATGGTGCAGGCTGTCCCTCCACAGGTCCCAGGCTTGGAGCTGGACATAGGCACTGGATGCAACTTTAGGGTTGTCTCCCCTGGGGAGGGGACACATGGAAATTTGACTGGCCAATGGGACAGGCTGGGGCTGAGATTGCTAATTGCCCCCGATCACACTCATCTCCTATGTTTAAAGAATTCTTGTTTTTTATCTGGAGATACGGAAATCCAGAAAAAAAATACTGTATTTCCTCACTTCCTAGAAGCTATATTTGGCCAAGTAACTGACCAGCAGCATTGAAGTAGGGAGAGGTGACACTTTTAACCAGAGGGGCGAGCCCTCCTCTTCCGCCTTTTCCGTTTCCACTGGCTAGGCAGTGGAGGTGATGGTGAAACATCTCACATCACAATACCTAGGGATAGAGAAGCAACAAGATGGGGAAAAAAAAACCTGGGCTCCCAGGCTGCTTACCTGCAGGCAGGTGAGGGAGAAAGAAACTTCTATCTTGCTTAAGCCAATCTTATTTGAAGTCTCTCTTCCAGCAGTTCAACATATATTCCACAAAGATATTACTCACACTCTACCTCCTCTACGCTCATGTGGGTCTTAGAGGAGGGGTGTATGCTAGGCCTCAGCCAATCACTGTATCAGTTTCCTGGCCAGAGATTGTTCAGGATAAGTGTGTACCCCACTTAGATCCAATGATAAATACTTTATCTGGGAATCTGGAGAAAGAAACTCATTCTATTCCCCAAGGGAATGTGGCGATGAAGCCACCATCTTACATGAAGCCGGATACTGGAGCCGCCCAGAGAAGGACAAAGTGAGGATGTGCAGAAGCAAGTTCCCGAGAACATCCCGGGAGCCTTGACCTCAGTGAGGACTAAGGCTAGTCTCATCCCTTGACATCTCAATTAAGGAAGACAATACATTTCCTTTTTTAAAAACCAATTTGCATTATATTTCCATCCTTTGCTACCAAAAGTGTCCTTAGTGATACGCTGGTCACCGTGGGAGGGTTACAGAGGCAACATGGAAGGGGGATGTCTGCTTTGGTCTCAGACCACCTGCAACTTGTTTGGGGGAAAAAATGGGTTTGTTATAAGGATGCATGAGGATTTGAACCAGAATTGAAAAGTCCTCAGGAATAGGCGAGACAACTTCAGAAATAGCCATTGCTCCCTCTCTTCATGGAGCTTCCTAGACAGGTTTCCTCCTGACTGTGCTCTGCCAGCTCTTTCCACCAACTGGCGCCCTCTCCTGATGCTGAATTTCTGCTGCTTTGAAACTGAGTTGCCACCACGCCAGCTCCTCCTAGTGGCACCTCTTCACATATCCTTCATGCTTCTTCCCTTGCAGCTGGCTGTCTCGCTCCTGCCCTGTTTCTCAACTTCCAATTTAAAAAAGAGAAATTGGATAGACATAGGTCATCTTTAATGCCAGAGGAAAACTCACAAATCCTGACCAGCCTGATTCAGAGCCTGAGTCAGGTGTTTGCTTGCTCTTGTCCAACTGTTACATGATCTAAAATAGGGCCACCTGCTGGCTGTCTCCTCCTCTAGGGCTGCGGGCATGGCAGGTACCACCACTGATGTGTCTTGTATGCCTACACAGAATTATTGTATTAGGCAATACTCTTCTGACTTCAAGAGGCAGAAACCCAACTCAAATTGGCTTAAGCACCAAAGGGACTTTTCACTGTTTCTTGTAAGTCAACAGTCCAGGGTAACCGGGCTTGGCCAGAGCCCCTAGCTTAAATGATGTCATCAGAACTGGCACCTCTCTCTTTTAGCCAGGCTCTCCCTACATAGTGGGTCTTGGGAACTCCTGGATTATGTTTATGTCCTCACAGCTCTAAGTCCATGGACAAGAGTTTAAGGAACAAGGACAGTGCCAAGTTAACTGTACTAGCCATTACTGTTTTGTTTTGTTTTGTTTTGTTTTGTTTTTGAGACTGAGGCTCGCTCTATTGCCCAGGCTGGAGTGCAGTGGCGCAATCTCGGCTCACTGCAACCTCTGCCTCCCAGGTTCAAGTGATTCTCCTGCCTCAGCCTCCTGAGTAGCTGGGATTACAGGCCCCCACCATCACGCCTGGCTGATTTTTGTATTTTTAGTAGAGACAGGGTTTCACCATGTTGGCCAGGCTGGTCTCAAACTCTTGACCTCAAAAGATCTGCCCACCTCGGCCTCCCAAACTGCTGGGATTACAGGTGTGAGCCCAGCTGCCATTACTGTTATTATGGCTCCCAAAAGTTGCCCACAAATTCCAGGTTCAAGTCATAGTAAACTAAGGTAGGCCACTGCCCAGCTCCTAACCACTCACTGAGGCCTGCAGCATGTGATGCTCTGACTGGCCAGGTCTGGATCAAATCTAGCTCTGGAGTTAAAAGAGAAATGGGACCACTGAATTTTGTCACCAGAAGCAGCAAGAATAGATGCTGAGCAGGCAAAAACAACAAATGTCCTCTGCAATCTGCAGCATTGGTTGTTGAATGTTACACATACCCCTCTTGACATAAACACAGCTGTTAAAATATTCTTTCTCAAGATAAGGCAGTTATACCATATACCACCAAAACCCTACTCACTCCCACTGCAACAGAAGACAGCGCAGAACTCAGGTTCTCAACCAGTTGCTGCATTCAGGTTCAGAACCCCTGGAGGATGTGCTGTCCTCTCCGAACTGTGGTAAGTGAAGCTCTGAGGACATAGATAGCAGGACCCAACGGGCCTCTTCCATGTGCCTCCACCGGGGTGAGTAAATTCCAATCAGTCCCCAATGAGTCTGGCTTATTTCACTCAAGATTCAAGTTTCAGAATGAAAGCATCTGACTGGCCCAGTTTGCATCATGCACCCACCCGCTGACCAGGGGAGTGCAGAGCACAGTGCATCTGTTGGAGGCGGGAACATGGTTTCTGTTACTATGAGCGAGAAGTAAGGATGCTGGGCTAACGTGGGAAATCCTCGCTGAGTGGATTTCTCTGCCTCGATAATGACATGGACACTGCTGATGAGCTAGCTGGTGGGTGTGGCTGGGTCACCAGGCTCATATGTGGCAGCCAGGCAGCTCCAGATAGGAGGGGGTCCCCAGTGTCTGGGAGCTGTGGACTCCCAATTCTTGTCTTGAGGCCCACTGGCACAGTCCTCACTTTGGAGAAATTGGGGCACTGTTTATGCCAGTTCAGGCTTAGGCCCTGGCTCCTCCCTGGTCTGATCATGACCTTGCTTGAGGACTATGTGTGGACACTGCTGATTGCCGACCTGTGTCAGGATAGTCTGGGTTATGTTGCAATAGCGACCTCACAAAAATAGCAGTGGATTAACTAAACACAAGTCTATTTCCCACCCTTGCTCTATGCCTATCACAGGTTTGGCAAGAGGGCTCTGTTCATCGTGGAGGACTCTTGGCATTTGCTTTTACAGTCATCACATCAATGGAAAAGAACTTGGGGAACAATGTACCAACTGTCTTTTTTTAAACTTTTATTTCAGAATCAGAGGGTACATGTGCAGGTTGTTACAAAAGTATATTTTGAGGCTGAGGTTTGGAGGACAAATGAATCCATCACTCAAGAGGAGCATAGTACACAATAGGCAGTTTTTAATCGACTCTTGACCCCCCTCCCTCCCTCTCTTCTCTTGTATTCCCCAGTGTCTGTTGTTCCCATTTTTATGACCATGTGTACCCAATGTTTAGCTCTCATTTAACAAGTGAGAACATGCAGTATATAGTTTTCTGTTCCTATGTTAAGTCACTTAGGATAATGGTTTCTAGCTGCATCCATATTGCTGCAAAGGACAGGTCTTCCTTCTTTTTGTGGCTGTGTAGTAGTCCATGATGTATATGCACAACATTCTTTCTATCCAACCCACTATTGATGGGCACCTGGGTTGATTCCATGTCTTTGCTACCATGAATAGCGCAGTGATGAACATATGGGTGCATGTGTCTTTTTATGCACCAACTTTTAAAGCTTCCACTAGAAAGTGATACATCTCACTTCTGCTCCCATTTCATTGATCAAAGTAAGTTACACATCCTTAACTAACCCCAAGGGTTGTACCATCTGCCTAGAAGAAAGAAAACCAAATATAGTGGCCAAATACCCACTTCACTAATGACAACCACTACCCAATTTCTCTCTCCTCTTCTTCCAAAACAGAGCACCAGTTTTGACTGGGATGACAATTGTCTAGCTAAATATATTTACTTTTCCTTGTAACTTCCTTGTATCTGGGGTTAGTTACACGTGACCTTGTTCTAACCAATGAGATGTAAGAGGGAATCACTAGGTAGGGGTTTCTTGGAAAGCTAGATGTGATGCCTTGAGACGCAGCAGCCATACTGTGAACTTAAGGACAGAAACCACACACTCCAGAAGGTGAAGGAGGATGATGAGGGAGCCTGGGATCTTGATGAAACCCTTAAGCATCTGTGCCACCCTGGGCTGCTGATCTCTGGGGTGCTGGCTACATAACAACAATAAACCCCTATCTGATCCACTGATGGTCAGGTGTTCTGGTATTTCATCCAAACACGTTCCTTACTATTTACCTGCTCTGTATTTGAGGTTTCTCAGTCTTCGGTCTTTCATGTACAGATGATTTATGGTGCAATGGGAAGAACTTTGAATCATTCGACACTGGATTCAAATCTGGGGTTGACCGATTTCTAGTTGTGTGACCTTGGGCGAGTTGCCGAACCTCTTCCAGCTTTAGTTTTCTCATCTGTAAAATTGGAATTGAAATCCCGTGGCATTGACAGCCATTTCTTATGTCCTCTTCCTTCAACCAGTCTCCCATTATAGGACTGAAAAGGTCAGATACTCACTTTCTTGGTCTCCTTGAAACCAGCATGGCTGTGTGTGGGTCTCGCCAGTGAGCAACAAGGTATGGAGGGTCAGTGTGCCGGAGGCTTTCTGATAAGATGAGGGATGTGAGTGAGGAAATAAACACTTTCCCTATCAGATTCCTTTCCTTCTTTTCCTGCCTTTGAACTTGGTGTTAGAAGACACCAAGCCATCTCGAAACTTGAAGGTGGCAGAGCAGGTGACACATCCAAGGAACCTGGATCTTAGATGATGATGTTGAGCTGCCAAGTCAAATCTGAGGCTACCCAACCACAAATGTCTTGCTAAGTAACACCATTTCTCCCCATTCCAAGGAAGGCCTTTTTTTTTTCACATTCTGACACCACTGTCACTTCTCATATCTGATTTGATAGTAAAGAATGGCTTCATGGTTTGGCAGCAAGTTTTGCTTATACAAAGAAAGTGGTGCAAAACAGTGGTGCATTTCACAATCAATGACATCTTAGAGCTAATGAAATAAGAAAGCAAATCTTCTTATGGTGTAAGCCCTATTTAGGCTTATTTAGTCAGATTTAGTCAGATTTACTGTAAATTGTAACCAAAAGATTTCCTAAGTGATAAAAGTACCTGCCATAGGCCAGGCATGGTGGCTTATGCCTGTAATCCCAGCACTTGGGAGGCCGAGGCAGGCAGATCACCTGAGGTCAGGAGTTCAAGATCAGCCTGGCCAACATGGTAAAACCACATCTCTACTAAAAATACAAAAATTAGCCAGGCATGGTGGTGGGCACCTGTAATCGCAGCTACTCAGGAGGCTGAGGCAAGAAAATCTCTTGAACCTGGGAGGCAGAGGTTGCAGTGAGCTGAGATCGTGCCATTGCACTCCAGCCCGGGCAACAAGAGCGAAACTCCATCTAACAACAACAACAACAAAAAAAAAAACCTGCCATAGATGGTGGTTGTAAAGAATAAATAATTTTTTAAAAAGAATGAATGAATAAAACAACGTAAGTAAAGTATTTGGTGTAGATTATTTATTTGGTCAGCATTTCAAAATCCTTATATAAATTATTTTGTTCTACTATGTCCAAATGTAAACACACATGTGTGTGTGCAAACCCAAGAAAGGTGTATGTCCCTAAAATAAGGCCAGGTACAAATTTGGGCCACAGACGGCCCAAAGCAGGTGGGCAATCTTGTATCATTGAAGACTTGTGATTGCAAATGGCAGATACCTACTCAAGCTGGCATTAAGTACACATCGGAATTTGTGGGCTCACCTAAGTGAAAAACCAGGTGGTGTTCTAGCTTCATGCCTTGTCTCATTCACCCATCACCAGCATCCAGTATCTCTCTCCCTCTCTTTCTCTGGGTACGACCTATTCAGCTGACCCTGTCCTCAGACCAGCTTTTTTCTCATCATTTGAGATTCTCTCATTAAATTCAAGACCCTCGGGAAGAACCCTTGCCTCTGTCCAGCATTGTCAGAAAAATCAGCCTTGCAGCTCATTGGCTCTGTGTTTCCCTGAACCAATCTCTGCAGCCAGGAGGAGGGACCTGTGGAGGAATCAAGCCCAGCTGGAAGAAGAAGAGGGTGGAGTCAACCACACCCAAGAGGAGGGAAGGGCTTTCCCAGAGGGCACTTTTGACTGGGGCACCACTGCAACAAAAGAAGGATAAAGTATGCTGTGTGAAAACCTCAGATGTCCCCCACAAGCCTTCTCTCTTTCCCCTAAACCCACTACCCCTTAGCACTTTATTCCTCCCACAGCAGCAGAGGCTGGTCCAGAGAAGACCAAGGCCAGCCAGTAAGGAAAAGTGACAAGATCATCCACCTTCAGCCACAACTTTGAGGCATGTGGAGAGGGGACAAGGGGTGTGGCCCTGCCAGCTCACAGCTCTAGTCTCACCAAAGGAATCAAAAGAGAGTGACAGTGTTTTGCTCAGCTTTTGCTGCTTACAGAGTCTCTATGGCATCATCCAGAAGCATTTATTTTTCCCTTCCATGTCTGTGGGTTGGCTGGGGTCTGCTGGCTCAGGCTGAACTCCTTGATCTCAGGCTCCAGGTGGGGTTTGGACCTGCACCACAGAGCACTCATTGGCCTGGAGCCAGCTCTCCCTGGGCCATGCTCATCTCACCGCCTTGGCTAAAGCACAGGAGAGCAAGGCCAGCCGCACGGTGCAGTTCCAGCCTCTGCCGCATCATCTCTGCCAACTTTCCAGTGGCCCAAGCAGGTCATGTGGCCATGCTCAAAGTCAAATCATGGGGAAGCATGTGTCCCACTGATATGGTTTGGAAGTTTTTTCCCCTCCAAATCTCATGTTGAAATGTGGCTTCCAATGTTGCAGGTGGGGCCTGGTGGGAGGTATTTGGATCATGGGAGCAGATCCCTCATGAATGGCTTGGTGCCTCCTTTTAGTAATGAGTGAGTTATTGCTCTGAGTTCAGGCAAGATCTGGTAGTTTAAAAAAGTGGGCATCCCTTTTCTTGTTCCCTTTCTTGCCACTTGACACACTTGCTCCCCTTCCACCTTCTGCCATGAGTAGAAGCTTCCTGAGGCCTCACCAGAAGCAGATGCTGGCACCATGCTTCCTTTACAGCCTGCAGAACTGTAAGCCAATTAAACCTCTTTTCTTTATAAATTACCCAGTCTCAGGAATTCCTTTATAAGCAATATAAACAGTCTAATGCACCCACCATGTTGCAAGGCTGTGGGAGTACAATACCAGTACAGGGAAGAGAGAACTTGAGACCAATCGTTTAATTGACCACAGAAGGTAACCAAAGAACAGCCTTCCCACAGGCTCAGCACTTTTAACTGATTTTTTTATGGAAGTGAAACCTCAGCCTTGAGCACTAAAGCCCAGTAAAATGGTCTCGTTCAAGATCTTGGGATCTATTTGAGGGAACAAAGGAGGACATGTGAGAGCCCCGAGCTCCCTATGGAGGCCACACTTGGAAGGAGCAGGTATTCAGCAGAGATCATTCCCTTCTAGCCACTGTCCCCGCAGTCCCAAGACAGTCATCAGAAAGGCCACCTAGGTAATAATCAAATCTGCAAACTTGAGTTAAGTCTCCCCATCTCCCATGGTGAGGGCCAGCCACAGACAGCCTCTGCCCTTGGAGAGGGTGCCATGGTCAGCCTCCTCTCTCCTCTCTCACTGCCCGTAGCAGACTTCTGAGGTAAGAGCATGAGCAGAGGAAGGGAAGGGGATTTGGAAAGTTCTGTCTTGACGGTCTCGTAAGATGCCTTACCTCTCCAGATCTGGAAGAGGTTTCATGCTCAAATGGGCCCTTTGAAAGGAACCCTCGATCCTTCACCCCTGACACCCACTCCAGAACCAGAGTGCCCTTGACCTGAGCAAATGAATCAGAAGCCACTTGCTCCCTCCTCTACCCCTAGAAAGTTCACCTCCTACTTCCTTCCACTGTGCTACATATGCCCTCTGGGTAGGGCCTGTGGTCAGGACTGAGATGATCACACACCGGCTCTTTCATTCACATGGCCAATGTCTGGTTGTGGGAAATATGTACACATTCCACATCCTGACAAGTCCCCAGGCACATGTCAGTGACAATTCCCCATCACACTCTGAGCCACACTCGCACTACCAGTGGCGTGTCATGTGCCCAAGATCCACAAACCTTTGGCTGGCATCTGAGGGAGCCTGGCTGCTTCCCAACACAGCAGCTGCCTACTGTCTTCATCAGAACCAAGAAGCCACAATTGCCTGTGCACCTCCACCAGCAGTCCGTCTGCCTCCCAAACTCCAGGGGACAGAAAGCAAGCTCTCAGAGCAGAGTTGAATCCCCAACTCTCTGGGCTGGAGGGGAGGCTGTCCTCTGCTCCACCTGCCCCCTCTCTACCTGAGCACAGCCCCCTCCCCGAGCACACCCCCCTCCCCAGCCCTGGCCAGCCGTAGGAGGTGGGAGTCCACATCACAGCCCCAGCCCTCAAGAAAGGAATCTGGCAAATCCCCTCCCTCCCTCACTCTCTCAGCCCTTCCTCTCACTGGGGGACAGTTGTCCAGCAGGTTCTCAGCCACCTTTGGAAATCTGCGTCTTAGTCTGTCACCACTCTTTGGAGTTTGATAGCTAATTTCTTCATGTCTTAACCGACACATCAATTTAGCATATTAATACATCAAAAAACAAAGTCTTTCCGCCCTCTTATGGCTCATTGGATGCATGCCTGGTGACTGAGCACATTGCTGTTCCTGAAAAAAAAAAATGTGGGTCAGTTGTTAGCACAGAAGCTGGCGGAGGGGCAGGAGTGAGCCATGGAGGCTGAGCAGTAAATTAATTGTTGTTTGCCACAAATGGCCCTTGCTGAAAAGACCCCATCCCTAAGGGGGGTCAAAAAACTTTAGGACAGCTGAGTGCCCAGAGGTGACGATTGAGGAAGGACAAGCCTTGCCTCAGTTCCTGACTTCTGCTCCATGCTGAGGGGCAGCCTTGGTGGTCAAGAGACTGAAGCTGGAACAGCTGATGCCAACGCCGGCTCAGCTCCTTGCTAACACAGTGGCCTTGGCGGGCTCACTCCCCTCTGCCGCCCTCTCTCTCCACCCCTCCAGGGGCAGGGGCTGCATGCAGCAGGATGCAGGGGCTGCCAGGACAACATAGGTCCCCACCTCAGCACCTGTGCTGGCTCCATCCTCTCTGGCTCCTCCACGTGGGGCTTTCCATGGCCCCAGACTTAGCTCCTTCTGCTCAACAACTCCTGCCAGAAAGGAGGTGTCTCTTCCCCAGTACATCCCACAAAATTCCAGTGTTGATCCTGATTAGCCTCTCGCGGGGGCAGGGGGTGGGGTCACAGGGACATCCCTGAACCTATCACTGCAGCCAGAAATGAACTAGGCTGAGCAGCCAGGCCTGGGTCATGGACAAAGCGCTAGAATAGGGGTGAGTAGGGGAGTGCCAGGTACTGTGTGGACAGGGAAGGGGAAGGAAGTTGTTCCCTCCAGAGGGAAGGCAGAGTTCTGGTGCTGGTTGAGAGGAGGCAGGGGAGCAGGCCTGCCAGGCAGGGGAGCAGCAGGGCAGGAAGCAGAAACCACGCCCAGGGGCAGGAGCGAGCCACAGGCCCAAGCCCACCCTGCCAGTCGGAGTGACTGTCTGCAGGAGGAGACACAATTTGGAGCCAGCATGTTTCAGTGGGGGACGAGAAGTTCTGATCCAACAAGGAAAGATACTCCCTCCAAGCTCCTCAAAAGAAGGGGCTGGAGGAAATTAAGTCTGAGGCCGCCATAGCAGAACCAAAGAGCAGACAGGATGCTGGCAGGGGAACCCTCCCCCTCCTCACAAAGAAGGACCTGGGCTGACCTGGTGCAATTTGCATGAATTGAGAAACACAGTCTTCCACATGCTTCTCAGCGTGGCCTTTATCCTGCTATGGCCTCTGTGTTCCTCAGTGATGAGAGATGACACTTCCTTAGACAGGGATGATTCTTAAGGTTAATTGAAAGTGGCCTTTCTCGTAATCATCTGCTGCAATGAATTATTAATCACCTGCAGGCATTTGCAGGTCTTTAAACTCTTGGACTTCCTGCAGCCCTCCTTGGAAGTGCTTTTGCCATGGAAATAAAACTTCCGCTTGGCCATGAAAGACAGAACCCATGTCTGCTGCTGTTTCCAGGCTTCCCAGCTCCACAGACACGGGGAAGAACAAGGTCTGAAAACAGGAAGCAGAGCCAGAGCTGCTGCCAGACCCTGGATGCCTTTCTGTTCTGGGGAGCTGGCTCCAGGCCAGCCAGGTCTCAGAGCCCCCGGGCAGTGGATGGAGGGGAGGCTGCCCAAAGTGCCTGTGGCTCTTTGCCTGATTCACGGTCAGCGCCACAGGAGAGGGTCTCCTGGGTCCTTGCCCTACAGCTGCTCACTGGTGAAGAAGGAACGAGGGAGCCAGGTGCCAGGCCTAGATCCACCACTTAGTGGGTGGGCCAGGAAACCTCTTTGATTCAGTTTCCTCATCTGAGGAGGAGGTCATGACCCTGCAGGGCAGACATGAGGCAGGGCTCCATGGGATCGTGTACATCAGGCCTGCATCTCAATGCTCAGAACATCAGGAGCAGCAAGAAGGATGAGCTCCCTCCTGCCACCTGCTTTTATCTTCCCGTGGAGGAAGATTGACTCAAAACTCAGTGGGCTGGCTGGCAGTGTAAGGATTTTGCAGATAGAGCTGACAACGTGATTTTGCAGACCCCAGAAGCTGGTCTGCAGGACCAGGGCAGGGAGCTCCTGTTGGGCCCTAAATTGTGAGCCCAGGATGTGTATGATGCATGGACAATGTGGGCAGAAGCTGGGGCAGCTCATCCCAATGGCAAGAGCCCTTCATCTGCCATTCAGCACAGCCTCAGCCCTGGAGGTGGATAGTGGCGATGCCAAGCTGAATAAGACACGGCCCCCTGCCTTCATGGAGGCCCTCGGCTGCCAGGAAGAG
Source organism: Homo sapiens (assembly GCF_000001405.40). Classification (NCBI taxonomy): domain Eukaryota; kingdom Metazoa; phylum Chordata; class Mammalia; order Primates; family Hominidae; genus Homo; species Homo sapiens. The sequence goes on from NC_000010.11 coordinate 46,575,726, forward strand.
TGAGGCAGCAGTCTCAGGCACAGAGTCCCATATTCGGCATGGTAGCTGCAAGGACCATGAGGACAAGGAGGGGATGATGAAGGGTTTCACAGAAGGCAAGATGCTGGGGGTTCATCTTGAAACATGAGCAGTGGAGAAGGAGGGTGGGAGGGGCATTGAGTATTTCAGACAGGGAGAGAGCAGCATGGTGGGAGAGCCCAGTGCATACGCAGAGCCGTGGAAGTAGCTGCATCAGTCTGGGCACAAGCACTGCATAGAGATGGGTGGTGGGGGGGATGAGAATGGGAGGGGAGCCTGGAAGACAACAGCTGGGAAGGGGAGTGGGTGCAGCATGGAATCTGAAGAGCTGAGAGGAGGCCCATGCAGAGCTCCAGATGAGAGGTGATGGAGGGCTGGGCAAGGTTTTTTGCCATGATAGAGATGGACAGAGGAGGAACAGCTGTCAGGACTTGGTGACACAGAGAAAGATGGGGACTTTGGAAAAGCACAGCATGGGGGTCGAGAGATGGCAGCTCTGGGCCTGGCACTCAGGAAGTGCCAGAAGGGATTCCCTTTTCAAAAAACATCCCACTACCCAACTCCACCCCCAGAACAGCCTGAGTACAGCTCGGGCGCAATCATGGAGGCAGCTGGTGTGGATGCCATGCCCCATTGGGGTGGTCAGGTGGGGGTGCATGGCAGCTGGGGGAAGGGGTCAAGATAGCTGACGGGTTCCATGTAGGGGTCCCCTGAGCCTTGCTAGCTGCCTGAGTCCAGTGTTGAGGCACACTGAACTCTAGACAGAGGAAGGGGAAATGTAAGCCACCCCTCCCAGGGTACTGCATGGACAACATGGTCCACACAATGGTCCTAGAGATATCAAGTCCTCATCCCCAACCCCGTGACTACATAGCAAAAGGGGCTTTGCAGGTGTGATTAAGTTAATGATCTTGAGATGGGGGTGGTGGTTATCCTGGATTATCTGATGAGCCTCTTATAGAGAAACGCCACACTCTGAGATGAATTCAGAAGTCCTTTATTAGCCGGCAACCGAGAGACGGCTAGTGCTCAAAATTCTCTCGGCCCTGAAGAAAGGGCTAGATTTTCTTTTATACTTTGGTTTAGAAAGGGGAGGAGGAGCCTAGCTGAAGCACTCTTACAGAAGCAAAACAGGCAAAAAGTTAAAAGACAAATGGTTACAGGAAAACAAACAGTTCCAGGTGCAGGGGTTTTAAATCCATCACAAGGCGATAGATGCGGGGGCTTTGGGTACCATCAACCGGACACAAATGTGGGGGCTTAGGGTACTATCAACTGGGCAAATTCCTGGGAACTGCGGATATAGCTTGCCACAGTATCTTATCCATTAATTGCATTCTTTGATGTGCTGGGAGTCAGCTTGCACAAGTTAAGTCCTTGAGGAAGGGGGGTGGGTAAGGGGCTGCAAGTGAAGGAGCCAAAATGGAGTGTGTCTGGCTCTCTCAGCTAAGGGACAGTCAATTCAGGTTAAAACAAGGTAGGGTATCACACTTACAAGAGGGAGGCAGAAAGAGTTGATGTGAAATGACCTGGAGTGGGAGAGGTTAGAAAAGGCTGTGCTGCCGGCTTTGAAGACAAAGGAAAGGGCCACTAGCTAGCAGCCTCTAGGAGCTGGAAACGCTGGGAAACAGCTCCCTTGCCTCCAGAAGGCACAGGCCCTGCCAACCCAGTTTAGATTCCCGACCCCCCGAACTGTGAGATAACATGCATGTGGCTTAAACTACTCAATCTGTGGTACTTTGTTGCAGGGGCAACAACAAACATACAGACATCTAACTCAGACCCGAGGCCTTGGGTGGGACCCAGGCCCCATTTCCTGAGACACCTGCTCCCACAGCGACCTGGGGTAAGCAGAAGTGGGGGAGGATTCTCCAGACACCCCAGACTGTCTCCAAGTAGAGCGGAGATCTCGCCAGTTAAGCGCACAGCTGAGGACAGTTACTGGGTGAAGTGGCCTGGGTCTCCGCCTTCTCATGCCCCCACCGCCCAGACCCTAGAAGGGGAGTGGCTGCGGCCTCTGCACCCTGGCGCTGAGGGCTCCCAGACCCGGCCCAGTGGGGCACCCCAGTTCACCACCCTCCTCGCCTTAGGTGAGCCAAAGCCCAGGCAGGGTGGAGCCTCACGCACACTGACTGCCCCCTAGGACAGGCACAGGTGACGCGGGGGTGTGGGACCCAGGCTATGACTCTGGACATAACCTTCAAGGCTGTAAAACGAGAAGGTCCATCCCCCCAAAACACGCACTCCCCCACAACCACCCCCTCCCCCCCCCCACACACACACACTCCCCTGCACCACAGATACACACATTCCTTTCGCTCCCCACTCAGACGCCTCGAGGCCTCGGCGGGGGAACCATAGGGGCGCGACCAGGGCGCGCCGAGGTGTGACCAGAGAGGACACGCAGCGACCTTACTCCCGCCTTTCCCGCAAGGCGCGTTCGCCAGCCTGGACTAGTGGGCACGGGCCCTGCGTTCTAATAATCACCATAATAATAGGCGCTGGGTGTACAGAGGGGACCCAGGCGACGCTGGCCTCCATCCGATAACCACCGTAACAGGGGCTGGGCCGCGCCGCTCCTCCGCTCTAAGTGCTCTTTACATGCTTCTTAAGTTACCGGCAGGCCAGCCGCCCTTACGAGAGCCCCTCACGGACATTAACCCAATTGAGAAGACTGAACCCAGCTTACGAACGTTAAGTTGTCCCAAATCGCAGGGCTGGCGAGTGAGGAGCCTGAATTGGAACCCAGGAGCTTCTGGAACCCGCTCCAGAATTGCGCTCTCGACCGGTTTGTCCGCTGAGAGCGAACGGGTGCGCGAGCGCCGCATCCCTGCCCAAGGCCATCAGGCAGGCAGCGCTGGGGCCGGGGACCCGCGCGGAGACTCCACCCCGGGATCCGGGAAGGCTCCCCCGAGCCGGGGTCGGAGCTGCGGCTGGAGGGGCCTCGGCTTGAGGAGGATCTGGGAGGGCGGGGGCTCAGTCCTGGCCACCAGGTGTGAGGGGTCGGGTGCGGAGCCCTGTGTCAGACGCGGCGGTGAAGGCTGTAGCCCTGCTCTCCGGGATGGGGGTGGTACTCTCACCCCACCCTGCCCCAAGCCGCAGGGAGCCCCTGGCGCCCCTGGCGCCCGGGACCCGCCCTGGCTGGAGCCCTGCGGTTTCCGGGAGCTCACGGTCGGCTCTGCGCCCCTCCACCGCCGGGCCTGGGCCTGGGCCAGGGACGGGCTGGGGCGGGACTGCGGCCTCGGGGCGCTGGGTCCCTGCCCCTGCCGTGCACTGCGCGGCTCCCCGCGCCGCAGCTGGGCACCAGCAGCACCACGGACCGCCCCTGTGCTCGCCCGACGGCGCCCCGCGGCGCTTTAAGAGACGGCCTGGCAGCCCAGCCCCAGCCGCCCAGACCGGCGAGACCAGCCTGCGGGAGCAGCCCCATGGCGGGTAAGCGAGCCTCGCCTCCCCAGCCCAGCCCCGGCCCCTCTGCGACCCTTCCAGCACTTGCCTCCGCCCCGCCGCCCCCGCTGGGGTGCAGCGCCTGCCCTGCCCGGCCTCGGCGCGCTCTTGGAGGGGCACTGGGATGGAGTAGACGCTGAGGCCCGCTCTTCGCGGTCAGTTGCGGCTTAGGAGGTGTGGGGGGTCCGGCCTTCTCACCACCCCACCCAGTGCAGATCCCTGAGACCTGAATGCCCCGCGGCCGCACGTCACCCTAAGGGAGGCACCTTTTTGGCCCGCCCCAGGTGGCCAGCGGTTGGAACCCAGCGTCTGAGCACCCCCGGGGCGAAGCCTCCTAGGTCCCGCAAATGCGGACGTGTGAGGGCCAGCAGCAACGGGGTCTTGCCCCCTTTTCCTCCCCACCTCGTCCACCGCGTCGCACCAACTCCCCTAAGCGCGTGCTCACCTTGATAGAGGGCTAGGGGAGGGAGCGGGTGTTAGAGAAGAGTCCAGCCTTGCAGCAGGTTCCAGGGCCCCAGAGGGTAGAGGTTTGATTGCAGACCAGGGGGAAGGTACCTTTCAGGGCTTTCCTTAACTGACTGCGTCCACACCCCAGCTCCCCTCCTGGCCTCAACAGGAGCCCAGGGGATATGGAGGTTCTGGTGAGGGCAGGTTTGATTTCTACTCAGAAGCGCAAGGAAATGGCTTCTTTAAGCCAGAATCCCAAGGGCAGGGCCAGCTGTTTTCCAAGGAAAACTAGAAGGTTCTGCCCAGGGCTCTCAGACCCTGGGGTAAACGGCTTCTCCTCTGAGAGCTGGCGGAACCTAGCCAGCAGCATCCCTCCCGGAACCCATCCCCAGCAGGCCTGCTCCTATCACTCCTGAGATCAAACCCAGAGGCAGGGTTGCTGCCCTAGTTCTGCCCCAGCAGGCCAGGGCTGTGAGGGAGAGTGGCTTTCCCAGGCAGGCATCATAGTACTGGTGGTCTCTGCCCCCAGAGCAGCTGGCCCTGGTGATTGGGGGCACCATCGGGGGGCTGCTGCTGCTGCTGTTGATCGGGGCAAGCTGCTGTCTGTGGAGAAGGTTCTGTGCCACCCTCACCTATGAGGAGCTGCCTGGGACACCAGCCATGGCCACCACAGCTGCCTCCAGTGGGCAGCGGGACAGGCCCTGCCAGCCGCATGCTAGGACCCAACTGAGCAGGTGAGGCAGGATGTGGGGCCAAGTGCGCCCCTGGAATTTCCCTCAGGGTGGGGTCGAAAAGGAAAGTTCTGTTTATGGGGGTGCCTCTTCTATGCTGCTTCGGTGCTGGGAGCTATCACAAAGAAACCCCAGAAACCTCACATCAGCTATTAGGCAGGTGTTATGAAACCCATGTTCCAGGTGAGGAATCTGAGGCTCAGTGCACATAAGCAACAGGTCCAGAGAACACAATTAGTAAGTGGCAGAACAGGAATCCAAACCCAGACTGGCTGACACTGTCAGGTGCTGTGTTCCTTCTTCAAATCCCACTGCTGTGTGTGTGTGTGTGTGTGTGTGTGTGTGTGTGTGTGCGTGTGTGTGTGTGTGTGTTGCCTGGTATGGGCCCAGAAAATGGTGCCCTGGCCTCCTCCTGGCTCCCGATGGCTTTTCTTCCTCCAGCCCCTGGTGCTCAACCGTCCTGGCTGAGCGCTCTGAGACCACACCATTGACTTGCCACCTACATGTTGTCTCCCTGACTCTGGACAGGCCACCAGCTGTGCCATTCGTGGTGCCCCCAACCCTTCAAGGCCGAGATTGGGTGCCCCTGCACAGTGGAGAGTGGGCCGATGCCCCATGGGACCCCTGCCCGGCATCAGAGCTGCTGCCTCACACCTCCAGCGGCGGCCTTGGTGAGTGTCCTTGCCAGGGCTGCCCAGAGGTCAGGGTCTGCTCGGGTGGCCCCATCTGCTTTCACCAGCTTGGCTCCGGAACACAACCTGAACCAGCCAGGGATGCCAGGGACCACCCAGGGACCACTCTTTCTGGGTGCTTTCATTTATGAAGTGCTTGCTGCACCCCATGAGGGTAAGATATGGCCTTGGGTGCTGATTTGGAGTGAGACCTCACCATGACTCTGAGGGGGAGGAATTATCACCCCATTTTACATAGTCTTAACTGAGGCTGTAAGCAACAGATTGGAATTGGAACCCAGGCACGCCATGTACAGAACTTGTGCTGGGTCCCACTCTAGGATGATGGGTTGGTTGACCAAGAGGACAGAATGGTAGGGGCTGCAAACACAGCTTTCTGCCACCTCTTTGCCCTGAAGATCTACCAAGAGACCATCACAGGAACCACCCAATAATCACCTTGGCCCTTCTAATTTGAAGAGGAAGAAGAAAGGCAATGTTTTATCGCTGAGTCATTCCCTAGACGCCATGGAAGGGGGCTAGGCCAGGTGATGGGCACTGTGTCCTTGAAACAGGTCCTGACCTCCAAGGATGGGGGCCAATCCCAGGGGGCAGGACTCTGCTGGATCCCCAGCCTGGCCATGCAATGCCTTCATGGTGAGAAGGCTTCTTGGAGGAGCTGCACCAGAGAGAGGGGATGTGTTTAGCCTGGTGAGGAGAGTGGGGCAGATGTGGTCAGGCTAGCTGAGGCTCAGCAGAGACGGATGGGCCAGGATGGGGATGGGTGCCCAGAGCTTGCCACTGTCTCCCATGCCCCTGCCTTCCTCTGGCCTGCCAGCCCTCCCACCCTCTGTCATAGGAGATGCATGTATGGTGGGGGCCATCAACCCAGAGCTGTACAAGTTCCCGGAGGACAAAAGTGAGACCGACTTCCCCGACGGCTGCCTGGGGCGGCTGTGGTTCTCGGTGGAATATGAGCAGGAGGCTGAGCGGCTGCTGGTGGGCTTGATCAAGGCACAGCACCTGCAAGCCCCCTCGGAGACCTGCAGCCCCCTGGTGAAGCTCTACCTGCTGCCCGATGAGCGGCGCTTCCTCCAATCCAAGACCAAACGCAAAACCTCCAACCCGCAGTTTGACGAGCACTTCATCTTTCAGGTACAGCCTCTGGAGCAGGCAGGGTCTGGTGCCCTCCGCGTTGCTGGGAAGGTGCAGACCTACAGGAGAGCCCAGCCTCCTGTACCAGCCAGGGCTCTGCAGCCCCCGGGACCCTTGATGCCACCAGCTCTGCTTTACCTAGTCTGCTAGGTTAAGGCCTATAGGAGCTGATCCCTGATAGAGGGGCAGGGGAGAGATTTGGTGAGTGGTGACCAGAAGCCTGGGCTTCCCTGTCCTGACTACCTGGAAGAGAGTGGGTGAAAACACAATTTTAGAGCAACTACTGAATGCCAGGCCCTGGCCTATGGGGCTCAGGGGAATTATCCCAAAGGCCTGAAGCACTATGGGGTTTCTGGCAAGTTTATCTAAGGAAGGCAAAAGACAGGCCTCAGCGTGAATGCAGAAGCTTCCTGTGCTGTCAGAGGCCAGCGCGGGGCCCGAGTGCCCTCACAGGGTAGGTGTGGTGCCTTGCTGCACTCTGGGCTGGCCGGCTTAGGGTCTGGAGGTGGAGAGTCTATTGGGGCACCGAGCCAGTTTCACAGGGGCCTGGGAGCCTTAGCAGGTGACTGGGGGCCCTTAGGGGAAGGAGTCATCGAGACCTGCCAAGAGGCCTTGGACAAACATGTTCTCAAGAGCTGGGTGGCAAGCTAGCCAAGAGGTGAGGTTCAGCCAGTCAGCTTTCAGGAGGAGTGTGACTGCGGAGGCCAGGGCCATCACTTGTGCCTTCCGCCCTGGCTGAGAGCTGGGAAGAGGGGTGCCATCGGGCCTGGTCCCGGGCCGTCTTTCTGAGGCCAGGGCTGTGAGAATTCACAGGTGAATCGCTCTTCTCAAGACATCAGAATCCAAGGCTGCAGCCTTGCTGACGTGCGACACGTCATGCTTGCAGGCTAATTTTTCTTAGCTCATCACTTCCCCACTCTATCTCGCCCCAGCTTGATCCAATCCCTCTGTGGAAAAGGGAGAAGGGGAAAGAAAAGAAAATCAATATTAATGGGCCATCTGCTGGAGGTCAGACACTGTGATTGGGGTTTTACAACCAGAGAGGAAGACCCATAATCCCCATTTCACAGGCGAGGAGGCCAAATCTCAGGGAGGAGAGAGCTGGCATGCCCAGCTCTGACAGCAGAGACAGGCCGGTGCCCTGGGCTCCTGGGCCTTTGCTACAGTGCAGGGTGGTGGCGGAGCCACACTCACCGTGCAGCCATGTCACTTGGTGCTCCGGTTAAACGGCAGATTCCAATTCATGAATCTGGGCTGGGGCCCAAGATCCTGCATTTCTAACAGGGCTCCAAGTGGTGGTAGACGCTACAGGTCCTCGGACCACACTCTGTGTACCAAGGTCCTGGCACCTACCCCCACTTTCCAGGGGTACACGGCTCTGCTGCTGAGAAGGGTCCCCTGAAAATGCCTAGGTTTGGGGGATGTGGGTCCCTGGTTGAGACACCCGTTCCCAAAAGCACCCATGTCCAGAATAACAAGTCACACCATCCCATCCCCTACCCCCACGCCTGACTCTGGCTGGTGTCCTTGTCCCCCCCAGGTGTCCAGCAAGACCATCACCCAGAGGGTGCTGAAGTTCTCCGTCTACCACGTGGACAGGCAGAGGAAGCACCAGCTCCTGGGCCAGGTGCTCTTCCCCTTGAAGAATGAGACCCTAGTGGGGGACTGCCGGCGTGTCATCTGGAGAGACCTGGAGGCCGAGAGCCTGGAGGTATGGTCAAGGTCACCATGCCTATGCCACTGAGCATCAGCTGGCAGGTGTGCACAGGGCCCAGCACCTGCTGGCGGCATCAGCCCTCAGCATCCTGCACACCACCCTACAACAGTGACTCAGGGAGGAGGGCCCAGGCCCCAAGCAGCATGGGACAGGTGGGAACGGACCTGCCCCTGGGCAGGGAGGGCCTGCTTGAGGTCCTGTTGTCACACTGGCCATCAGACCCCCTGGAGCAACCTGAAATATCCACATTTGGATTCTTATCTAGGTTAGACAGCTGTGAGAGATGACACCACAAATGGTCCAGCCCAGGGAAATGTTTCCTCCAGCCCACCACCCCCAGGAAGGCCCCAGCTGGCTCAGACCTGGGTGTGACTCCTTAGCTCTGGTCCACAGGACTGCACAAGCCCCTTAAACTCTCCAGACCACAGTTGCCCCATCCTTAAAATGGCAGTGGAACTCAAAGGGGACCATGCGGGTGTGTCGCATGGACCGCTAGGAGGAAGCGGGAGGCTCTCTGGGGGTTCTGTGACCCCTTCAGCACTTGCCAGAGTAACAGGGTGGGGTGCTTCCATCTTGGCCTCCCCAGCCCCCCTCGGAGTTTGGCGACCTCCAGTTCTGCCTCAGCTACAACGACTACCTGAGCCGCCTGACGGTGGTTGTGCTGCGTGCCAAGGGCCTCCGGCTCCAGGAGGACAGAGGCATTGTCAGTGAGTTCCTCCCTTTCCTCCTGGGGAAGGTCCCACCCACCGAGCTTACAGCCTGGGGCTACAGTCCAACCTCATCCCTGACCATCCAGTTTCTGCTTGCATACACCTATCATGGAGCGCTCACTACCTCACAAGACGTGCTGTCCCTCGGTCGACAGTTCTGGTGCAGGAAGCCTCTTCCTGTGTTGAACCCAAAGCTGCATCTCCTTGGCCTCCCCTACGGAGGGTTCTAACCCAGCCGCAATACCAGGCCCTGCCCCTCCTGTTTCCCGAGGCAGCGTCTTGGCTCTTTGAACTGTCCTGCCTGCCTCCACCTCCACCTTTCCATCAGCGGCATGGGTCCAGTTCCTCCAGGGTGAGGCCCGCACCTCCCTCCCCACAGGGGAAGAGCCCCCGACTCAATGGGCACTGATGCTTGGCCTCCCAGAATACAGGAGCTGCAGAAGGGGAGGCCTTGGTTCACCCCACATGTCCCACCCCATTTGGGCTCACCCCACACATCCCACCCATCCCAGTGAGGTGGTGGTCAGCCACCTGTTTGTGTTCACATCTGGGGTCACCGTAAGCCAGGCAGGATCCAGACCTTCCACTGTGACTCTGACCCTCACCCACCAAATCTTAGCCCTCTGTACAAGGTGTTTAAGGGGCCCCAGGGGGCCTGGGGGCCCAGTGAGCAGCCCCCCAACAGGGAGGGACAGGCTTGCGGTGCTAGGCTCTGGTAAACCAGGGCCTGCAGGAGCCGTGGGTACTTTCCTGATGCAAAGAGGAAGGAAAAGGAAGGGAGCGGAGCCCCGCCTGGGCCGCAGGGCAGTGCACTCCTCAGCCGGCTTCCTCTGGTCACGCCGGCGGGGCCGCAGCACTGTGTGAGGGGTGGGGCCCTGGCACCTAGCTTGGGCACGTGCCCTCCTAGCCGGACCTCCCACAGGCAGGGGCTCTGCTCCCACCTGCCTCTGCCAGCCCACTAGTGCTCACCGTTCCCTAGGTGTGTTTGTCAAAGTGTCTCTGATGAACCACAACAAGTTTGTCAAGTGCAAGAAGACTTCAGCTGTGCTGGGCTCCATCAACCCTGTGTACAATGAGACCTTCAGCTTCAAGGCCGATGCCACCGAGCTGGATACCGCTAGCCTCAGCCTGACTGTGGTGCAGAACATGGAAGGGGACAGTAAGGCCACACCCTACCCTGGGCTGCTGGGATGGGGACCACGAGGGGCTGCCGAGTGTTCAGGCAGAGTGAGTGCCTCCTGTCCTGACCTCAGAAGGAGCTGTACGAGCTCCCTCCCTGGTTAAGGAAACTAGTGCTCAGAAAGGCTGAAATATTGCCCAAGGCCTGGGTTTCAGGCCCAGCTTTAGTCCAGTTGAGCTCTGTCTGTGGCACCCTAGAAACAGGTTAAGCAGCCGGGCATGCTGGCTCACATCTGTAATCCCAGCACCTTGGGAGGCCAAGGTGGGTGGATCACTTGAGCTCAGGAGTTCAAGACCAGCCTGGCCAACATGGTGAAACGCTCATCTCTACTAAAAATACAATAATTAGCTGGGCGTGGTGGCACACCCCTGTAATCCCAGCTACTTGGGAGGTTGAGGTGGGAGGATCTCTTGAACCCAGGAGGCGAGGCTGCTGAATCTGTCAAAAAAAAAAAAAAAAAAAAAAGGGCCGGGCACGGTGGCTCACACCTGTAATCCCAGCACTTTGGAAGGCCGAGGTAGGCAGATCACGAGGTCAGGAGATCGAGACCGTCCTGGCTAACACAGTGAAACCACGTCTCTACTAAAAATACAAAAAATTAGCTGGGTGTGGTGGCTGGTGCCTGTAGTCCCAGCTACTTGGGAGGCTGAGGCAGGAGAATGGCATGAGCCTGGGAGGCGGAGCTTGCAGTGAGCCGAGATCGCACCACTGCATTCCAGCCTGGGCAACAGAGCGAGACTTCGTCTCAAAAAAAAAAAAAGAGGTTGGCTGGGTGCGGTGGCTCACGCCTATAATCCTAGCACTTTGGGAGACCGAGAGGGGTGGATCACGACGTCAAGAGATCAAGACCATCCTGGCCAACATAGTAAAATTCCGTCTGTACTAAAAATACAAAAGTTAGCTAGGCGTGGTGGTGCACGCCTGTAGGCCCAACTACTCGGGAGGCTGAAGCAGAAGAATCACTTGAACCCGGGAGGCAGAGGTTGCAGTGAGCCAAGATCTTGCAACTGCACTCCAGCCTGTCCACAGAGCGAGACTCTGTCAAAAAAAAAAAAAAGAAAAGAAAAGAAAAAGAAAGAGGTTAAGCAATGGCCTCTGCTGCCCTCTCCTGGAGCAAATCACCCGAGAGAGTGGGAGGGGCCAGGCCTGCCACCAGCCCAGGGACCTGGTGCTCTGACCTTCCTCGTGCCCTCCAGATGAGACTTTGGGGTTCTGGGCGAGTTCTGTCAGCCAGCTCCCACACTGCCCCACACCCCAGCACCCACTGCCACTCTGGGGAAACAGAGCCATCAGGCCGTGGCTGGCCACATGGCCTGGACTTAAGACCCTTCTCCACGGTGGCCAGTGAATGTTACTGCTGAATGTACTCTCGGATGGCCGAGGCCTTCTTTCTAGAGGGGCCCTTTCCTCCCTCAGCTCTTTGGCATAAGGTAGACTTAATACGGCCCCACAGAAGGGTGTGGGGCAGAGCTGGTGGCCCTCAAGGAGAGAGTCTTTCAGGGCTCTCCTTCCTCCCAATCTCCCAGGGGGAGAAGCAGCCCTTCCAGCTGCAGAGCAAAGGCAGGGCCCCTTTGGGGCCTGTCAGCTCCCACTCAGAGAGGAGGGGAGTTGCTACTTCCTCCTGGGGAGGAGGAGGGAGGAAAGGAGGTCACTGGGGACGGGGCTTCTGTGCTCAGGAGCACACCGGTGCTCTCCCTCCCCTGCAGAGAGCCAGCAGCTGGGCCGAGTGGTGGTGGGCCCCTACATGTACACCCGCGGCAGAGAGCTGGAGCACTGGGACGAGATGCTCAGCAAGCCCAAGGAGCTGGTGAAGCGCTGGCATGCGCTCTGCCGCACCACGGAGCCCTGACCCTTCGCCCAGCACCGCGGTTCCGCTTTGGGAGCCGACCATCCTCGCAGTTGCATGTGACAGCCACAGCCACACGCATGGACGTTTCATCCAACAGCTCCCCGAGCTGCCAGCCAGCCCGAGCCAGGAGGACGTGAGTGCTGATATGCAGGAGAGAAGAGGGGACAAAGAAGCCCTGGCCCGGTCAGCGGCTCTGGCCATACAGCCTTCCGACACACTCCCTCCTCCTTATCTGCGGGGCTGCCTGGGCTCGGAATCCCGGCTCCTGGTCCTCACAGCCCTGATTTGGACCAGAATCTCAGATGCTCAGAAGAAAGATCCTGTTTAGTGATGACCCAGCTCTACCTGCTGAATGGACCTGCAGGGTAAACTTGGGTGCCTCCATCTGGGAAAGCTGATGATGTGTTCATGCAGTCGATGACCCTCACTGCTTTTTCAGCCAGGGTTTCTCTGCCTTCTGCCTGGCAGAGAAAACACACTGCTATGGGGAAAATCACAGGGAGGGCGCTGTGACCAGCGCACTCAGGCACCAAGTGTCGGCATGGCTCACTGTGCTGGGTGAAGGCCTCCCCGAGCATTAGGTCCTCCACGGGGCTGTGTCAAATGCCCTCCCACATTGTGTCAAGTCTGCCCATGGCCCACCCTCCCCACAGTCCAAAACCACACAGCCCTGGTTCTCCAGCTGTTCTGCTGCTGTTTCTGTGCTCTCCCTGATTAAGAGCATTCAGTTCCTGGGCTCTCCCTTTGAGCAGGAAATGGTGAAAGCATGTGGCTATGGTATAGCCCACAGGGCTGAGATTGCTGTGTTGCAGTATTGATGTAAAATTTGTTAAGAAGGAAGTACCCACAGATCACTGCCATCAACTCCCCAGAAGTTGCACTCAAGCTAGTGAGCAGCCCTTGTGCTTGTCACAGTTACTGTAACAGGTAGTGTGTATTTGCACCTGGCATCGTGCAGCCTGCACGTCAACACGTTGTTTTGTGTAACTAGAACAGCACATGGAACCACTATCTCTTTCTCTTTTTTCCTTCTTTTTCTTTTTTTTTTTTTTATTTTAATTTTTTGAGACGGAGTTTCCCTCTTGTCACCCAGGCTGGAGTGCAATGGCGTGATCTCGGCTCACTGCACCCTCCACCTCCCAGGTTCAAGCGATTCTCCTGCCTCAGCCTCCCAAGTAGCTGGGATTACTGGCGCCCGCCACCATGCCTGGCTAATTTTTTTTATTTTTAGTAGAGACGGAATTTTACCATGTTGGCTAGGCTGGTCTCAAATTCCTGGCCTCAGGTGATCCACCTGCCTCAGCCTCCCAAAGTGCTGGGATTACAGGCATGAGTCACCGCACCCAGCCCGACCAGTATCTTTTTCTTATGCAGTGAAACAACTTTAGCAAAAGAGGCAATGAATGTTATACTGAGTTTCTACCTCTTTAACTCCACCTCCAATTTCTGTCAATCTACAAACACAAGTGTCGCCTCGCAGTGTTTCGTATGAACAGAATATCTTGTGTTTGCTTTTTGTCACTTATTTCACTTGCACATTTTTTGTTTGTTTGTTTGTTTGTTTGTTTGTTTTTTGAGATGGAGTCTTGCTCTGTCGCCCAGGCTGGAGTGCGGTGGCGCGATCTAGGCTTACTGCAAGCTCCGCCTCCCGGGTTTACTTACACCACTGTCCTGCCTCAGCCTCCGGAGTAGCTGGGACTACAGACACCTGCCACCACGCCCTGCTAATTTTTTGTATTTTCAAGTAGAGACGGGGTTTCACTGTGTTAGCCAGGATGGTCTCGATCTCCTGACCTCATGATCTACCCGCCTCGGCCTCCCAAAGTGCTGGGATTACAGGCGTGAGCCACCACGCCCGGCCCACTTGCACATTTTCAAAGTAGTCCGCAAAGCTGTAGTTTCTAATAGCTTCATAGCTCACATGTAATAGGGGTTCTCTGTGTGTTTATAGAGCAGGCTACTACAGTGGAACTGTTTCTGTTTCATCTGACATCCGGATAGATGCCAGCCACCCCCACATTCCAAGGTGAGATTTCTGACTAGCAGTGACTTTTCTAGGGCCGCTTGGAAAAGTTGATAAGTATCCTTTTCTGCAGGACAGAGTAGACTGGTATCTCTGACTCATCCCTGAAAAATCTAAATGGCAAGAGACTAGCTGGCTCTCTGCTCTGATGGGGAGGAGGTTGTTGTTTGGGCTGTTCTCTACAGACATAGTCAGGGCAAAAAGCATACGCATGCTTCCCATGGACCAGAGAAACCTGGCCTGGGTTGTCTCAAATCCTGTCCACAAGGCAACTCCAGAAGAAAGAAGCCCTTTACATTTCCATAAAACACTTTAGAATCAGCTAGTCAATTTCCACAAAATAAAGTGCTAGAATTTGATTGGATTTAATTGATTATGTAGAACAATTTGGGGGCCATTTGACATCATTAAAATATTCAATCTTCCTATTCATTAACATGGTATATCTCTTCACTTTAAGTCTTTTGTATGTTTCTCAGAACTATTTTTGTGGTTTTCAGTAAAGTGTTCTTGCACATCCTTCAATAGATTTATTCTTAGACGTTTTATATTTGTTTATGGCTAGTATATACAGATTCTGTTGCTACAAAACTATGTTGACCTTGTTATCCAGTGAGAGGCTTTGTGACATTCATTTAAATTGTAATAATTTGCAGATTATTTTTGTATAATCATGTCCTCTGTGAATGACAGTTTTATTTCTTCCTTTCTTAATCTTTATGCCTTATTTAGCTCTTGCCAAACTGCAGTGGCTGAGCAATTGGACAAGATAAAGAAATAAAAGTGATCCAGATCATAAAGAAAGAAGTAAAACTATATCTGCACATGACATAATCTTGTCTATGGAAAATCCTAAGGAATCCACACACAAAAAAACTACTAGAGCTAATAAGTTTGGCAAGGTTGCAAGATATAAAATTGGTATACAAATTGCAGTGGCTAGGACCTCCAGCAGAATGCTGACTATAAGTAGTGATAGTGGGTATTCTTGTCTCATCCTCAATCTCAGGGGTGGTGGGTGTGGCATGTGGAGAGTTGTCAATATTCACCATGAAGTTTGATGGTTGTTATAGGATTTTTAATGTACTCATTAACATATATTCTCAAGCTGTTAAAAAGATTTTTTTAATTACAAATAAGGTTAAATTTCTCTCAAATACTTACTCTGCACCTTTTGAAATAATTTTATTTTTCTCCTTTATTCTTTGGATGTGATGACTTATACTAATTGACTGTTGAATGTCAAACCAAACTTAACATTCTTGTAATAGAAACCAGCAGGGTGTGTACACTTTTGTGTGTGTGCGCAGGTTTATACACATAAACACAACAATACTTGGACTTATTTATTTAAAATTTAGATTTATTAGAGGGAGCATGGCCATAAAATAAAATAAAATAAAATTTAGATTTAAGTCGAGCTCAGTGGCTCACATCTATTATCCCCGCACTTTGGAAGGCCAAGGCAGGTAGATTGTCTAAGCTCAGGAATTTGAGACCAACGTGGTGAAACTCGGTCTCTACAAAAACCACAAAAATTAGCCAGGTATGGTGTCAC
Source organism: Homo sapiens (assembly GCF_000001405.40). Taxonomy (NCBI): domain Eukaryota; kingdom Metazoa; phylum Chordata; class Mammalia; order Primates; family Hominidae; genus Homo; species Homo sapiens. The sequence continues at coordinate 46,591,229 of NC_000010.11, forward strand.
ATGCCTGTTGTCCCAGCTACTTGGAGGGCTGGGGCAGGAGTATTGCGTGAGCCCGGGAGGTTAAGGCTGAAGTGAGTCATGTTCACGCCACTGCACTACAGCTTGGATAACAAAGCGAGACTCTGTCTCCAAAAATAAAATAAGTAAATAAATAAATAAATAAAATTTAGATCAATTTGCTGTTATATTTTTATATAAACTATGTTTATGACATAAGTATAAACAAAAAAATAAAATAAGTAAATAAATAAATAAAATTTAGATTAATTTGCTGTTATATTTTTATATAAGCTATGTTTATGACAGACTTTCCTATAATATTCTTATCATAATGTTCTTGCACTTGAAAGAATGTGCATTCTGCAGTTGTGTGCAGGTGTTATGTGTATTTCAACTGGGTCAAGTTTGTTAATCAGGTTGGTCAAATTATCTACATCTTTACTGATATTTTTGTCTGTTTTTCTATAAATTACTGAGAGAGGATAAAGCCTGCCACTGTTATTATGAATTTGTTTATTTCTCCTTTGAGTTTTGTTAGTTTTTGTTTTATGCATTTAGAGGTTGTGTTATTAGGCTCATACCCATTTAAAATTGACGTTTTCTGGTAGAGTGAACCTTTATTATGTGAAATGGCTTTCTCTACCACTCACAATGGTATTTTTTTCACTTTCCCCCTTATTTTTGAATTTTCAATGTTCTTATAATGATGTCATGTCTCTTGAATAGAGTTGTTTTAATCAAGTCTGTCAAATTTTGTCTTTTGTGTATTTCGTGAATTTACATTTATTGTAATTACTGATATAGTTGTGTTCATAAATACCATCTTACTACTTGTTTCCATTTGTCTTACCCATTTTTGTTTTTATTTTTTCTTTTCTGTTGCTTTCTTTCTGATTATTTTTTTAATTCCGTTTCCCCCCCTACCATTGGTTCTACTTACACATTCTTTTATAATTTCTTTAGTGGTTTCCTCCACAGATTACAACTTCTGTACATTATTATAATCTAATACAAATTTTACTTTTTATTGTTTCCCAGACAATGCTATGATCTCACAATACTCAATCTCTATTTACCTCCATTCTACTCTTGCATGTATATTATTATTACTCATTTTAATTTCACATATATTTTACACCTAACGAGACATTATTATTATTGCTATGTGCAGTCAATATTCATTTGTATTCACCCACATATTCACTCTGTTTTTTTTTATTATTTCCTGCATTTCTGTGATTCTATCATAGATCAGTTTTCTTCTACCTGAAGAATTCCCTTTAGTATTTTTTGTGTATGCACATCTGCTGGCAGCAAATTTTCTCAGGTTTTTTTGTGTTTTTTTGTTTGCTTGTTTTTGAGACAGGGTCTCACTCTGTCGCCCAGGCTGGAGTGCAGTGGCATGATCATGGTTCACTGTAGCCTCAACCTCCTAGGTTCAAGCAGTCCTCCCACCTCAGCCTCCCGAGTAGCGGGACTACAGGCAGGCACCACCATACCTGGCTAATTCTTTTGTATTTTTTGTAGAGAAGGGATTTCACCATGTTGCTCAGGCTGGTCTCAAACTCCAGAGCTCAAACAGTCTGCCTGCTTTGACCTCCCAAAGGACTGGGATTACAGGCCACCTCACCCAGCCTTTCTCAGTTTTTGAATAGAAACATCTATTTCAAATTCATTTTTAAGTATATTTTGTGAATATAGGATTACAGGTTGACACTTTTTTCTTTGAGGAACTTCAGAATGGCACTCCATTATCTTCTCACTTCCATCATTTCTGTTGACAAGTGATTTTCAGTGCTATTGTTTCTCCTTTGAGAGTAATGTGTCAGTAACATGCACTGGCTCACGCCCGTCATCCCAGCACCCTTGAGCCCAGGAGTTCAAAACCAGCCCAGGCAACAGAGCAAGATCCCCCCCCTCTACAAAAGAAAATGACAGGAGGGAGGCAGGAAGGAGGAGAGAGGGAGGGAGGGGAAAAGAAAAAAGAAAAGAAGAAATGTGTCCCTCCTACCTGCCTCTAGCTGCTTTTACTGTTTTTTCCTTGTCTTTCATTTGCAGCAGTTTAAGTATAGTGTGCCTGGGTTGGGTGCGGTGGCTCACGCCTATAATCCCAGCAGTTTGGGAGGCCAAGGCCAGTGGATCACCTGAGGTCAGAAGTTTGAGACCAACCTGGCCAACATGGTGAAACCCCGTCTCCACTAAAAAATCCAAAAATTAGCCAGGCATGGTGGCGCGTGCCTGTAATCCCAGCTATTCGGGAGACTGAGGCAGGAGAATCGCTTGACCTTGGGGAGGCGGAGGTTGCAGTGAGCTGAGATCGCGCGCCACCGTACTCCAGCCTGGGTGACAAAGAAAAACTCCGTCTCAAAAAATAATAATAAAAAAAAAGTATAGTGTGCCTGGATGCAGTTTTGTTTTTATTTATCCTGCTTGGGGATCATAAAGCTTTATCAGTTTTGGAAAGTTCTCAGGCTATATTTATTTAACTGTTCCTTCTGCCCCATCTTCCTCCCTTCTAAGACTCCAGTTACATATGTGTTAGGCCTGTTCACCACCTCCCACAAGTATCTTATGTTCTTTGCTGTATTTTCCATACTCTTTGTCTCTGTTCTTCAGCTTAGAGTTTTTATTCTGTCCTATATTACAGTTCAAAGAATGTTCCTTCTGCTAAATCTAATTGTAGTTAACCCATATGCTAAGTAGTTAATTTCAATTATTGTATTTTTAAGTTTTAAATTTCCATTTCATTCTTTCTTATAGATTCCAGTTCTTTGATGAAAGTCTCTATTCCACCCATCAAGTCTGTGTCTGATAACACCAATATCTGGGTCATTAGTGGCTCCGTTTTGTTGTGTCTGTTTTCCCCTCCTTCCTGTTTTGTGGTGTGTTTGATCACTTATTGTTGAATGCTAACCATTATAATAAATTTTAGTGGCTCCAGGAAACATGATCTGAAAACAATGTCTGTCTCAAGGGAGGGTTTACCATGTCATCTGATAGACAGAGTGGGAAGATTTTACCTTAATCCAATGGTACCGAACTGACTAGAGTCTATGTTGCAGTTTTTGGAAGGCTTCATCTCCATCTCTGGTTTGCCCGTCTATCTAGAGTGTGGTCCTCCAAGGATTCCAACTGAGTGTCTGATGTGATTATTAGGCTTCTTTTCCTTGGTGGGTCCTGAACTCCAACTTTTATCTCATTAATATGACACTGCCAAAACCTGCTGCTTTTCATAGCCTTTCTGCATAGCTTAACTCAGCAGATGCCTCAAGGGGAAAGTGTTCCTTTTCTGTGTCTCCCTTCTACATGATATCTCGGCCCCTTCAGTTCCAGCTGCCTTGACAACCTCAGTCTCCATTTCTTGTCTCTCCAGCTGAAGACGACTCTGCTGCCTTTGCTGCCTCTTAGCTATGGCCGTCTGCCCAAATGCTCGGCCTCTTAGCTAAAATCAGCACGTTTCCTGAAGGGAAAAGTAGTTCACAGAGGGCCAGCTTGCCTCCTTGTGTTTTTCTTCTTTTGAGATTATGACCCTTCAAATGTTTGTTAACTGGGAAGCTTTCCAAAAACTTTTTAAAAAAGTTTTCTGTGTTTTATTCAGCCTTTCCAGTTGTTCTTGGAATGAGTGTTGGTCTGCCTCAAGCAGAAAAAAAATTCTCAGAATTCTTTTCTCAGAAAAAGGATTCTCAGCAGAGAGTGATTTTATACAGGGAATGGGATTAAACAATTCTTGGGAAAGCTGGTGAAGCCAACGAGGGAACAGTTACTTTTATCAGTGTGCAATTTTTTTGCTATAATGGTGCATAACAACTAATCACAACATGTCAATGCCATACTTAAATAAGCACTCATTTCTAACACATCTGTGGGTTGGCTGGAGGTGGTCTGAGCTAGGGTAGGCAACTCACTTTTTTTTTTTTTTTTAGGGTTTCACTCTTGTTGCCCAGGCTGGAGTGCAGTGGCGCCATCTCAGCTCACTGCAACCTCCGCCTCCCAGGTTCAAGTGATTCTCCTGCCTCAGTCTCCTGAGTAGCTGGGATTACAGGCATGCGCTACCACGCCCGGCTAATTTTGTCTGCCTTCCTTCCTTTCTTTCCTTTCTTTCTTTCAACGGAGTTTTGCTCTTGTTGCCCAGGCTGGAGTGCAATGGCGTGATCTCGGCTCACCGCAACCTCTGCCTCCCAGGTTCAAGCGATTCTCCTGCCTCAGCCTCCCAAGTAGCTGGGATTACAGGCATGTGCCACCACGCCCGGCTACTTTTGTATTTTTAGTAGAAACGGGGTTTCTCCATGTTGGCCAGGCTGATCTCGAACTCCCGACCTCAGGTAATCCGCCTGCCTCGGCCTCCCAAAGTGCTGAGATTACAGGCGTGAGCCACTGCGCCAGGCCTAATTTTGTATTTTTTAGTAGAAACGGGGGTTTCTCCATGTTGGTCAGGCTCGTCTCGAACTCCGGACCTCAGGTGATCTGCCTGTCTCGGCCTCCCAAAGTGCTGGGATTACAGGTGTGAGCCACTGCGCTGGGCCTGGCAACTCACTTTCAAGCTGGCTGGGCTTGGCTCCTCACATTTGTGCATTCTGAACACAGGCTGCAGGGACAGCTGCTACCCCCAGGGAAAGCTCTTTTCATGGTGAAGGCAGAAGCATAAAAAGGCAAGCTGCATTGTGCAGATGCATATCTGTGTCTCTCCTTATGTTATGTCATCCAATATCCCATTGGCCAAAGCACGTCACATAGCCAAGCTCCAAATCAAGGGTCAGAGAAGTAAATGATATCTTTTTCCTGAGGGGAACTGCAACACTACAGGGCAATGGACACAGCCACAGGGAGGGGTGAAGAATTCAGGTGGACAACGCAATGAACCATGCTGATGTTTCCTGGAGCTGGGATCTTCAGGAATTTGTGCTTCGCTGTGCCCATCCAGTCACCAAGGAGGAACCCCCCTACTGCAGAGCTGCTTTTGGGCCTCGATGCCATTGTTGCCAAACTGACATTCCATGATGAAAATGGACTGTAATTTGTACAGCTATTTGCCAGTTACGTTTTTTCTATTTTGCACTGTGGAAATCTTTGCCCAAATTACTGCAAGAGTCTCGAGCATCCTGCTGTCATAAGTGCAGAGTCAAAGGAAGAAAACGATGATTTTTTAAACCATCTTTCTGCTTTCTAGTCTCACCTGAGTGCCTCACATTTGGCAGAATCAACCTGGAATCCTGCTCATAAGACTATCAGGGAAATATAATTCCCAGACTTCCATTTCCAGAAAAATGTAATAAATACTTTTAAAGGGGATGGAGATGGTACCGTGTGCTAACCCCACTCTGAGACAAACCTGGGTCACAGGAACCATAGGGAAGATGTCTGCAGTAGAAGGGGACCTCGAAGTACTCAAGTACTTGGCTCACAACAGCACTATTCACATAAAGCCTGGCCTGCCCCTTGGTGACCTCCTTCCCTTACGCCTCTAGACTCTACTAGGTGATCAGAAATCCCTGCAAGCTAGTTGGGGAGGGAAGAGTGAAAGTGAAAAATGGAGAGGAAACACTGCTACCCGCCCAATGCCTGGAGCCAAATGCAAGCCTGGGCCAGACTTGGGGGAGGAATCAAGAGGAAGCTTAAACTTAAAATGAAATCGAAAGTTTAGACTCCTACATGGGATTGGACATTTTAAATGCTGAACAGAGCCTATTTTTATAGCTAGAAGTTACAGGACACATTTTTGGTTAACTGAGAATGATCCAAAAATCATGTGAATTTTGTGATCCAGAAAGTCACAGAACATGCCCTAGATTTTATCCCAGGGGCAGGGAGGAGTGACCTGCAGAGTAAGTTTGAATTGGTAAATAGAAAACAAGAATAAAATAGTTTGCTGTTTACATTCCATAAGCCTGGCTCTTTCAACATCATGGGTATATTTCTTGGTTGAATTTAGTATGCCACTATGACGCCGGATTGTGATATTTGCCTAGGATGTTTTGTCCTAACATTTAGTATGGAATCATTTGCCCAAATCACCTGCCCCTCTCCACTTGTAGCTTTATTTCAAGATGTATGTTTCTCAAAGTGGAGTGACTGCCAGAGTGGGAGAAAGGAGCTAGCCCTTACCGCTGTAGTAGGTCTTTGTACATCAGCTTGGTAAATCTGCAAGGCCCCCCCCTTCCCCCTCCCCCCAACCCCCCCTTCCCCCCTCCCCCCCAACCCCCCCCCACCAGGAGCCTTCCCCACGTGTGGACAAGAGAGATGGGAGGATCCGGGAGGATGTGCTGTTTCTCAGGGTCCCACAGCTAGAAGGTGATGGAGCTAAAATTTAAATCAGATTCCAAATGTCTAAAAATACTGTCATTATCACATATTACCAGAGACACCTCAAAAAAGACAGAGACGCCCTGCAGGGCCGCAACATTCCCGCAGCCTGGTAGGGTCTGTTGGGGGCCCCATGCCTGTGAGAGCCGCTCCTGTCGGTGCAGCACCGGGGAGGCTGTGCATTCAACGAGTCCTTCCTCCCTTCTCCTTTCATTCCATTGCTGCCTTCCTTCCTCCCTTCCCCCTCCGCTCCTTCCCCTAGACCTTCCTTCCGCCCTCCCTACCCCCCGCACGTCTCTCCCTACCGTCCTTCTTTCTGTGTGAATTATCTGTTCATCTCCATTGCTGCAGTACCGTCTGGCAAATCATCTGCTTGGATCCTCCTGGCTTTTTGAGAATCGGCTGGCATCAGGGTGCTGACTGACAAACTTCCCGGGGTCTGGGCACTGTGGGGACGGAGCCTGCAGACGGCGGTGTCCCCGCTAGGAGAGCCGTGGGGACGTGATTAACAGGTCAGGCCGGGCCGCGAGGTGGCGGAGGGGCCGCGCTTGCGGGCGTGGGGCGCTGGCAGAGCGCGATCCGCGGCCTGTGGCCCGCAGCCGGACCCGAGCGACAGCCTCCCGCAGCGTGTCTCCAGCGCCCTCTACTGTTCAGCATCCTCCCTGCCGCGAGGGGAGCCGCGGAAGGGGATTCTGGCTGTGCCCACAGAGCAGGTATTAAAGGATGGATTTGGAGGTGCGAGGCCATACATTGACAACCGGTATACCATGCGTCCCAAAACCTTCCCTTGTGTCCCCTTCCAAACACTACCTCTCCCTCCCCACCAAAATAACCAACGACCTGATTTTTATGGCAAACACTGCTTTTACCACCTAACCATGCAACTTCTCTCTCTCTCTCTCTCTCTCTCACACACACACACACACACACACACACACACACACACACACACACATATATATATATATATATATATATATGAAGCCTGTTGTGATTTTGATTGGGATTGCATTGAGATTTTTTTCTTTTTCCATTTCTTTTTTTTTTTTTTTTGAGACAGAGTCTTGCTCTGTCGCCCAGGCTGGAGTGCAGTGGCCTGATCTTGGCTCACTGCAAGCTCCGCCTCCCGGGTTCATGCCATTCTCCTGCCTCAGCCTCCCGAGTAGCTGGGACTACAGGCGCCCGCCACCACGCCCGGCTAATTTTTTGTATTTTTTTTTTTTTTTTTTTTTTTAGTAGAGACAGGGTTTCACCGTGTTAACCAGGATGGTCTCGATCTCCTGACCTCGTGATCTGCCCGCCTCAGCCTCCCAAAGTGCTGGGATTACAGGCGTGAGCCACTGCGCCCGGGGTTGCATTGAGTTTATAAGTCAATTCAGGGGAGAATTGACATCTTTAAAATACTGGGTCATCTAATCAGTTCACATGGTATGTACTTCTGTTTATTTACCTCTTCTCTCATTTCTCTAAATAATATTTAAAGTGTCATGGACATCTTTCATTAAATTTTTCCCCAGACATTTGAATTTTTATGCTACCATAAATGGTATTGTTTTAAAATGTTTTATTTTCTAACTCTTGCTGGTATACAGAAATAAAATTGGTTTTCCTATTTTGACCATTTATTCAGTCATGCTAAACTCACTAATTCTAATAACTTGTCTCTGGATTCTTTTGAGTTGTTAATATACATACATAGTTTTGTATCTTAGGTCCAATCTTAGTATTTTTATTTCAACTTTTTTGCCTTATTACTCTTGTTAGGAATACCAGGAAAGTATTGAATACAAGTGATGATAATGGACATCTTCGTCTTATTTCTGTTCTCAGAAATGTTTCCACATTTCATTATTAAGGAAAATATTTACCATAGTTGTAGCTCCTTGAGATAAACAGTGTTAAAATTTTTTGGCCACTCTCCATTGATTTAATGTATAGTTTTCTAAAAATGAAATATTTTACATACTGTTTCTGAGTAAGATTTTTTACCCAATGCGCTGTAAACACCAAAATCATATATTTTTATATAGTTTTACTTGGCTTACCTTGTTTTTTTGCTTTAACTTGAAAAATATTTCCCTGTTAGGCCAGGCGCAGTGGCTCACGCCTGTAATCCCAGCACTTTGGGAGAGCGAGGCGAGAGGCTCACCTAAGCCTGGGAGTCTGAGACCAGTCTGGCCAACATGGAAAAACCCCATCTCTATTAAAAATACAAAATTAGCCAGGCATGGAGGTGCATGCCTGTAATCCCAGCTACTCGGGAGGCTGAGGCAGAAGAATTGCTTGAACCTGAGAGGTGGAGGTTGCGGTGAGCCAAGATCGTGCCATTGCACTCCAGCCTGGGCAACAAGAGCAAAACTCTGTCTCAAAAAAAAAAAAAATCCCTGTTTATTCTTTTTTTATAATCGTTTTATTGAGATATAATTCACATATACGATTCATCCATTTAAAATGTATAATTCGATGGTTATTGGAATATTTACATTTCTGTTTAATTCCCTCAATTAATTTTTACATCAACTTGTCAACTTGTATAGGCCATCCCTCAGGGACTTTGTTTATTGTTGAATTAACTCTGTATAGTACATCTTCCCAAACAGCAGGAGCACAGTAGAGTGTTCCACTACTTCTTGTCTCCTTTTATTTCCCTCATGATATTTAAATCATTTCCTTTCAATAAATTAAGCTCTTAAAGTTTTTGGTTTTATCTGTGAGCATGATTATTTTTATTTAGAATTATGTATTACTGTTATATGGTAATATAATTTTGTAAATTTGTTATGTGTAATTAATATATTACTAGCATATTTTTTATTTCCTGGGATTATTTTTCTTAATATATATTCTAGTTATTCAAAATAGTGACATTTTAATTTATTTAAGACTTCTTGTTACGATTACATACGTATTTTTATTCTCAAATCATATAGCCAGCATTTCTACTGCTGAACAAAATGCTTTGAAATATCAATAATACATATATCTGACTTTTATCTAGAATACATATGTCTGATCAGTAAAAAGACAAACAACCCAATAAGATAAATGTGCAGATGACTTGAGAGACACTTCACAAATGAAGGTATACAAATGGCCAATGAGCACATGAAAAGTTGTGCATCATTAGTCATCAGTGAAAGAGAAACCAAAACCAGGAGGTTCCACTTTACAGCCTCTAGAATGGCTACAGTGAAAATGACTGACATCTCAAATGTTGACAAGGATGTACAACAACTGGAAGCCTCCATTTTGGCTGCGGAGAGTGTAAAATTGCACAACTTTGGAGCACTGTTTGGCAGATTCTTCTCAAGTTAAATATATACCTATCCAATAAACTGACAATCTCAGTCCTAGCTATTTAAATCCCTGCCCCAACAAAAACTTATGTCCACAACAAGACTTGTTTTAAAAATGTTTTTAGCAGCTTTATTCATAATAGTTCGAAACTGGAAAGAACTCAAATGACCTTCAACAGGCGAATGGATAATATATTCACACATTGATATATTACTGAACAATAAAAAAGAATAAACTGCTGATTCACATAAAAATATGGATAAGCCTGAAAAACATTCTTAGGTTAAAAAAAGCCAGTTACAAAGGAATATATACTGTATGATTTCATTTACATGAAGTCCAAACAAAGATCAAACTAGTGTATAGTGATAGAAATCAGAATAGTGGTTGGCCATCATGGATGGAGGAGACTGACTGGAAGTGGGGATGAATGAAAATTCTAGGGTGATGGAAATGCTCCATATCTTGTTTGGGGTTCAGTTACATGAATGTATATATTTGTCAAAACTCTAAATTGTACACTTAAGACCTGTGCATTTAACTATACGTTTTCATGCAATTTTTTTTTAAATTCCAAGAAAAAGGATCTGATTGACCCAATTTGAGCCAGGCATCCTACTGCCTTGCATAATCAGTTTTTGCCAAGGAATCCAAACAAGCAGTATAGACGTGACCTAGAGAAGGGGCACCAGAATGGGCTTGGCTCCCACCCACAAAGTTCCAATATCTCCTACATGATGTCAGTTTTGGGGACCAAAACCATATCATCTTTTTCTATTATTTGGATGTGATCTTTTTATTTATGTATGTTTGTTGTTGGTTTTATTTTTTTAGAGACAGGGTCTCGCTTTGTCATCCAGGCTGGAGTGTAGTGGCAGATCATAGCTCACTGCAGCCTCAAACTCCCGGGCTCAAGTGATCTTCCTGCCTCAGCCTCCTGAGTAGTGTGTCACCATGCCTGGCTAATTTTTTTTTTTTTTTTTTTTTTAGTGTTTTATAGAGACAAGATCTTGCTATGTTGTCCAGGCTGGTCTCCAATTCCTGGCCTCAAGCAATCCTCCCATCTCAGGCTCCCAAGGTACAGGGATTACGGGAGTGAGCCACCACACCAGAACTGATCTTTCTAACACAGGGAAATTGTATTCTTTAGAAGTGGAGGAATATTTCCTAGTAATTTGATCAAGTAAAAATAATTATAATAAAGAAGGTAAAATCAAGCCCTAATTCCCCATGTAGGGGAATAATATCATTTTGGTAAGATTCTTCCAGACAGTATGATTAGGATGTTACATAAATCAAACTGTGCTATATACAGTATGCAGAGAAGGAAATTCCTTAGCTTGTCTAAAGTCTGATAGTGTGAAGAATTTGCTGACCTGCTCTCCATGCCTGTCTGAGCACGAGTGAAGTGAATCAGAGAGAGATTGCAAGATGGAGAAAGGAGGTACAGTTGGAGAGAGTGGAGGGGGCAGGAAAGACCAGACAGAGCTGCATCTCCCATGAAAACAACTGTGTACATAAGATAGAGTGAGTACATAGAGTACATAGAAGAGTGAGCTCTGAAAGAACTCTCACATGGACCCCAGAAAGAGGAGTACTCAACGCCTGCTGCACAGAAGGCATCAGCAGTTAAGTACTGGCTAGAAAAGCGGAGTCCATCAAAGGAGAGGACCACAGTGGTAGCTGCCTGGTAAGTACCACTGTCCCCTTTCCTTCTTTTCTCCCTCCCCAGCTCATGGAGGAGCTAGGCCTCAGGAAGCTGGGAAGGAATGGGGAGAATTCACCTCGGTGCCAGTTCACGCCCTCCCTCCAGCTCCAACAGCTGGAGTCAAAGGAAAGGAAGGGTGCACCTATCTCCTCCCCATTCCAAGTCCCTTTAGTGACTAGCTGGACATGCTCTGGAGAAGAGCAAAATGAGGTTAGAATTTAAACAATACCAGACTTTCTAAAACACAATGCCTGGGAAGTTATGTGAGGCATGTGAGACATGAGGGGATGGAAAAGGGATTCAACAGAGCATAGTTGAAATCAATGATTTAAAAAAACAAAAAAACTGGCTGATGGCTCATACCTGTAATCCAAGCTCTTTAGGAGGCTGAGGCAGGTGGATTGCTTGAGCCCAGGAGTTCCAGACCAGCCTGGGCAACATGGCAAAACTCCATCTCTACAAAAAATACAAAAATTAACCAGGTGTGGTGGCACATGCCTGTAGCCCCAGTTACCAAGGAGGCTGAGGTGGGAGGATAGCTTGAGCCTGAGAGGCAGAGGTTGCAGTGAGCTGAGATCATACCACTGCACTCCAGCCTGGGCAACAGAGTGAGACCCTGTATCAAAAAAAAAAAAATTTCCATAGTTAATACCCTTTAAATGTGGACTGCTAAATAAAGCTAAAGCTAAGGAACATTAAAGAATACTTTATTAATTGAAAAAGCATGCTCTTCTTAAATAGTAAGCCTTAACCACTGAAAACATGTCCAAATGATCCATAAATTCAAAGCAATCTCATTAAAAATATCAATGGGATAAAAATGATTCTAAACTTATCTCAAGAACAGATGGCATGCCCACTAGGATGGCTATAATCAAAAAGTCAGATAATAATAAAAAGTGCTGGTGAGGATGTGGAGAAATCAGAACTCCAATGCATTCTCATGGGAATGTAAAATAGTGCACCTGCATTAGAAAAGTTTGGCAGTTCCTCAAATGGTTAAACCATACAACCCAGCAATTCCACTCCTGGGTACATACCCAAGAGAAATGAAAATATACATCCACACAAAGACTTGCACACAAATGTTCATGATAGTATAATTAAAAATAACCAAAAAGTGGGAAAAACTCAGTTGGCCATCAACTGATGAATAGATACATAAAATGCGGTATATCCATACAATGGAATATTATTTGGCAATAAAAACAATGAAGTAGTGATACATGCTACATGTGTGAACCTTGAAAACACTATACCAAGTGAAAGAAATCAGTTACAAAGGACCACATATTGTATGATTCCATTCATGTGAAATGTCAGAATAGTGAAATCTATACAGCCACTAAGTAGAAGAGTGGTTACCTAGGGTTGGGGGAAAGGGGGTGGGTATGGAGGAGCGACTGTTAGCTCCTCTTAAGGAAGAGCTGTGGGGTGGTATAGTTAATGTAACTATGGATGATTCTTTTGGGGGTGATGAAATGTTCCAAAATTGAGTGTGCTGATGGTCACACACTCTGAATATACTAAAAAACACTGCAACATATACTCTTAATGGGGAATAAAAAAGAACAGATGGGCAAAGATGTCTGAGAAAAACAATTTTAATGAAGAAAAATATAGGGGTACTTTTCCTATCAGATGTAAAGTTATAATAATTCTAACTGTATGGTTCTGGCTCAGCAATAAATATAGAACAATGAAACAGACCAGAAAGTCCACAGGTAATGCTAGCAGGAATAATAATTTCATATTATAATAAAGATCACATCTATGTCACTGATGGGAAAGAAAGAAATCAATAGTGTTGGGACAACCAGCTGACCATTTTAGGAAAATGAATCAGTTAGATCCATTCATACCATGCACTAAATTTTAGATAATTAAAGATTTAAATACAAATATAACAATCATAAATGTTTCAAAAAATTTTTTGAAGAAAATGTGTATAATCTTATAGTAGAAAAGAAGCTATCTAGGCATGCCATAAAATCTAGAAACAATAAAGAAAAAGATTGATGGGTTGATCCACGTAAATATTTATGATTTCTGCATGTCAAACATATATAACAAGCTTGGGAAAAATGTCTGCAACACATGTTAAAAATTACTAACTTTATAAGGAGAACATACTAATTTAATAAAAGGCTTCTCCCACATAAAAATGGTCTAAGGTAAAATATGAAAAAGCAAACTGCAAATGACTGATAAGCATATGAAGCAAATGTACAATCACTTTAGCAATAAAATAATTCAATTAAGGCTGGGAACAGTGGTTCACACCTGTAGTCTCAGTACTTTGGGAGGCTGAGGCAGGCAGATCACTTGAGGCCAGAAGTTCAAGACTAGCCTGGCCAACATGGCAAAATCCTGTCTCTACTAAAAATACAAAAACTAGCTGGGCATGGTGGTGCACACCTGTAATCCCAGCTACTCAGGAGGCTGAGGCAGGAGAATCGCTTGAACCCAGGAGGCAGATGTTGCAGTGAGCCAAGATCGCACCACTGCACTCCAGCCAGGGTGACAGAGTGAAACTGTGTCTCAAAAAAAAAGAAAAAGAAAAAAGAAAAAGAAAACCTCAAAAAAAAAATTCCAATTAAAACAGATAACCTTTTTTAAACCTAACAACTAGTCTTTCACTTATGCCATTCAGTTTAGAGAGAGTGTGGAAAACTTCTGATAGGAATATATTTCAGGATAACCTTTCTGAGAACATTTTAAAAGTAGGATTCAAGAGCACACACAAATGATGGAATCCTGTGTAGTTGATATGATTTAATCTATGTTGATTGATTTGGAAAGACGTATATGGCAAATTGTGGAGTAAAAAAAGTACACACTAGATACTGGCCTATATGGAATGGTCCCATTTATGTAAAATTGTGTATGTGCATGCACAGATCTGTCTTCTATCAGGGTATCTGGAAAATGTTCAACAAAATAGTAACAATGGTTATCTGTTTTGTTTTGTTTTTTCAGAGACAGGGTCTTGCTCTATTGCCCAGGCTGGAGTACAGTGGTGCAATCATAGCTCACTGTAGCCTCTAACTCCTGGGCTCATGCCACACAATCCTCCTGCCTCAGCCTCCTGAGTAGCTGGGACTACAGGCATGTACCACCCTGCGTGGCTCTCGTTATCTGTTGATACTGGAATTTCTGCTTTTTTCCTGGTACAGATACATACATACAAGTACTTTGACCCCAAAATTCTATTTTCTTAGAATAAATTCCCAGAAGGAATGAAAGATGTGTGCAAAGACTATCAATGAGAATGTTGGCCAGACGTGGTAGTCTACACCTGTAATCCCAGCACTTTGGGAGGCTGAGGCAAAGGGGATCACTTGAGGCCAGGAGTTTAGACCAGCCTGGGCAACATGGCAAAAACATGTCTCTACAAAAAATACAAAAAGTATCCAGGTATGGAGGCATATGCCTGTAGTCCCAGCTACTCATAGGAGGCTGAGGCAGGAGGATCACTTGAGCCCAGGGAGGCTGAGGCTGCAGTGAGCCATGATCACACCACTACACTCCAACCTGGTTAACAGAATGTCTCTAAAAATAAAATAAAATAAGATGTAGATACATGCAGGAGGCTGAGGTGATGGATCACTTGAGCCCAGGAGTTTGAGTCCAGCCTGGGCAACATTGAAAGACTATATATTTTAAAGTAGACACATGTACAAAATCATACATGCATAAAACAACCGAAGGAATATCTATTAAAATGTTGGCAGCAATTAGCTTTGGTTGGTAGAATAACAGAAGGGTTACTTTTCTCACTTTCATTCATCCATATTTTCCAAAGTTTTAAAAAAAAAGAAACGGCCTGGTGCAGTGGCTCACGCCTATAGTCCTAGCACTTTGGGAGGCCAAGGCAAGAGGGTCGGTTGAGCCCAGGAGCTCAAGACCAGCCTGGGCAATGTAGGGAGACCCTGTCTCTACAAAAAATAAAAAATCAGTTGTTGTGGTCTGCACTTATAGTCCCAGCTACCAGGGAGGCTGAGGTGGAAGGATTGCTTGCGCCCAGGAGGTAGAGGCTACAGTGAGCCATAATTGTGCCACTGTACTCCAGCCTGGGTGACAGAGCAAGACTGTCTCTCAAAAAAGGCAAAACAAAACAAAACAAAAAACAAGGAACATGCGTTTTTGTTTAAAGGAAAACATTTTTTTTTTAAGTTTATAATTTTTTTTTTTTTTAAACAGAGTCTCACTCTGTCACCCAGGCTAGAGTGAACTGGCGTGATCTCAGCTCACTGCAAGCTCCACCTCCCAGGTTCAAGCAATTCTCCTGCCTCAGCCTCCCAAGTAGCTGGGATTACAGGTGTGCACCACCACGCCTGGCTAACTTTTGTATTTTTAGTAGAGATGAGGTTTCACCATGTTGGCCAGGCTGGTCTCAAACTCCTGACCTCAAGTGATCTGCCCGCCTCAGCCTCCCAGAGTGCTGGGATTATAGGCGTGAGCCACTGTGCCTGGCCTTAAGTTTATAATTTCTTAACATGGTGTTTAATTAAGCCTATTCACAAATATTCTTAAATAACACACCAAAATAATTTACTTATACTCTAATAGGAAAGATTCTACATTAGGATGCAGAATCTGAAGGAAACAATCTTCAATTTCTTGACTTAGACATTCTTGGTAACAGACCCACACAGTAATTAGGTAGCACTTATGTATTGTGATATTACCTGGGGTGTTTATAAGCTCATCCTTTAATAAGCTAGACTAAGTGCAGTAAATCAGCTCACTCTGCAACCAACCAGTCCCACCTCCTAACTGCTCCTGAACTGCAAAGACCAAAAGCCTCAGAGAAGACATATTTCCCAAACTTTCTTGCAGCTAAAGCTCTCAGCGTGAATCATGTTCCATCAATGAAACACACACACATGTGCAATATGGAAGATGAGTGAAATCCAGGCTATCTTCCTGAAGCTACTGTTCCTGGCAAGTGTAGCTGTGGGGACTGAGTTTTGGGCAGCAGCAAATAACTCCCAGCTTCCATGTGCTTGAGAGTCAGTTGCCGGGATGCCAGCAGCTGCATCCTCAGTCTAAGATTGCAGCCAATGATGATGTTTTCATGAATCCACCGTTCACGTGGCAGCCTCCTGGAGCTCAGACTGATGCCTGCTCCTCCAGCCTTCCAATACCTTTGCAAACACCTGAATTCCACATTAATCTCTCTCTGTTTAGAATACCCAGAGTGGCTTGTGTTTCCTGGGCTGAACCCTGCCTGGTAAGTCCATTTTAACAGGCTTCTAGATCTTTCCTCAAAAACTGTAAAGCTGATGATTGTTTTGAAAAAAATCACGATTTCTTAACAACGTGGAAGCAGAGAGGTCACCTTTAGCAAATGTATGCCTTAAGTGGGTAGAATTCACTTCTTAATAACAAATCAGGTTCAAGACCTCCAAAGACATAATGACAATTAATTGGCAAACCTCATCCCCTCTCACACATTTCTCCCCTGTTGACATTAAATCAAGGGCCAGAATTAAGCTACTGATAAAGACGAACACTTTATTCTAATTGTTCTATGATTCATGACCTGTGTTCCAACACCTAGAAACCCATCAGGATACAAATATATCACTTAAAATAAGGCACATAGGGATGGTTAGTTTTTCTGTCTCATTCTATATTGTTCTGAGAAATTACAGATATTTTCTTCTAAGAAAGGCATGATCAACTATTCAAGTTTTGCTGAATCTAAGGTAATGTCAGAATACTCTTAAACAACTTACGGCCTCAGATCCCAGTAGTTTAGAATTCTAGGGACGATGTAAATTCATAATCACTGTGAAAATGTTATCCTATCAAAACTCTGTAGAAACATCTATGCTTTTGCAATAACAGCGTAAAAGACCTCTTCTGATGAGAGAGAGAGAGAGGGAGAGGGAGAGAGAAAGAAAAAAGAAAGAAAGAAAGAAAGAAAGAAAGAAAGAGAGAGAGAGAAAAAGAAAGAAAAAGAAAAGAAAGAAAGAAAGAAAGAAAGAAAGAAAGAAAGAAAAATTAGGGAGTTGGGGTAACCAGGTAATTTAGGCCAATGGATTCAACTGTGCCTTAAGCTGGTACTACCCTCATTTATGTGAGTCAATCAAGTCCCCCTTTTTTGCTCAAGCTACTCTGAGTTGGGTTTTTATCACTTGCAACCAAGAGTCATGACTAACAAACCCATCCTACTGTTACCTCTTTTGCCTTGGCTCTGTATTCCACACAGATTTAATCCTGGCGCTGATATAATTTTGTTTAAATATTTCTTCACCAGCTTGCCTGTGAACTTACAGAAGGCAGACATTTGTGTCTTTGCATTTCCAGTGCCTAGCACATGGTAGACATTCAGCGAACGTCTGCAGGGTGGATCATGCACCCAATGTTGTCAACTCATTTGATGATCAGCCCCCTTTCCCCCAACCAAAAAAAAAAAAAAAGATGTAAAATGAAACAGCACAGATCTTACTAGTGGGGAGAAAGGTGAATGCCTCTAACGCTGTTAGAAAAAGGATACCTCTGGGGAAACTAAGTGACTAACAAATAAAAATGATTCTCTAAAAATAGGAGAGCTGTCCCTGCAAGCTGAACTAACAGAAGATGAAGAATGAGGTCTCCCTGAAATGCCCACCATAAGACTGCCAGATATGGGACTGCTGGATGACACTCTGGCTACCCCACTGAGTTTTATGAAAACATAACAGAATAAAGACACTTACTTGTCAACTCAGGTAAAGAATACACACAGAAGGTGTCTTAGTCCGTTCTGGGTGCTATAACAAAATAACAGACTGGGCAATTTATAAGTAACAGAAACTTATTTTTTACAGTTTGAAGGCTGGGATGATCAAGGTGCCAGAAAATTGAGAATCTAGTGAGGGCTTGCTCTCTGCTTCAAAGATGACACCTTCTGGCTGTATCCTGTGGCAGAAGGGGACAAAGAAGCTCCCTCGGGCCACTTTCGTAAGGGCACTGATCCCATTCACAAGGGCAGAGCCCTCATGATCTAATCACCTCCCAGATGCCCCACTTCTGAATGCCATCAGAGATGAGGTTTCAACGTAAGAATTTTGGGAGGACACATTCAGACCATAGCAGGAGCAATGGGCTGATCCTGATCCCACTTAAATAGCTCATAACTTCTGTAGATAGCTCAGATTCCTCAGGACTGGAGGAAACAGTTCCCAACCTAAATAAGGGCTCCTGGAAATATGTGTTAATTAATGAAATACATACCAACAACTGTGAAGAGATGTTGGTGTGATCTGTTGACTCACCTGAAATGGTTTAAAGATTTCTTCCCAATAGGATGTGAAGAGCCATCTCTTCCTGGGGATTATGTTCTGGTTGATGTAGGGATTAGGTCTCCACTTGAGGACGAAGTGGGGAAGGGCACACTTAAGCGAACAGCTCTCTTGGTTGGCCTATATTGACTGGGCAGATTTTATATCAGAATTCCAAATCTCTGCCTAGTGTGGTTATAGTTGAGAGAGCACAGATTAGAAGGCGTCAACTACAGGCTCAAGTTTCATCACCCATTCAACGAATCATTGAAGGGAGCCAATGATTTTGTTTGAATTCCAGTCTCTCTAGATACAAAATGGAGTCAATTCTTTCTGTACCCACCTTATTAGTTGCTAGACAAAACTTTGGCAATCATTTGCTCTAATTCCCTTATCTACCCCACAAAGAAACTCATCAGTTAAAGCCTTGTTCTTACCTTTCTTGGTCACAGAACCCTCTGAGGATTTGTTGAAAGCTATGGATCCTTCTCCACAGAAACATGCATTTGTGTGTGTGTGCTCCCACAAAGGCATTTTGGCATATTATTTTTGAAAGAATCACAAAACTCTTGTGGTTCGTTCTTAGGGAAGCCAAGTTAAAAAACAACAACCACCTCTGAACCAAAGGAATTTTTAAAAACATACACAGGGTAAAAGAAGCTTGTTCATGTCATCATGAATTTATTTTCAGGCAATATGACAATCTATTAACACTCAGCATACTCTGAGCTTACAGAATAAGTACCACGCCATACTTCCTCATTAATGACTATCATTTTACATGAGCTTCTTCCACAATCACAATGAGAGAACAGATTGCTACATGTTTGCTGGTAAATACATTCAGTAAGGCACTCAAATCCTAGACACGAACTAACCACAGAACGCTCTTCCCTGCTTTAATAAATTGAAACATGATCTCATTTCCTTCACTTTCAATACTTTTTATAGAAAGACACGCTTGTCTTGAACTTGTCTAAACATAGGTTTATATAAACTAATCCATTATCATTATAGTTATAATCAAGGAAATGATTTCACATTGACGGTTTTTTAGGTAGGGATAAGCGAAAGCACTGCAGCAGTTTCTGAAGGAGTGTCTTCTCTGTGGTTCCCCATACTTAGTACGATGCCTGGAATGTAGCAGGGACTAAATACAGTGAACAAATGGGCAAACCTTTAATTCCCAGGGATCTGCTACATATTGCCTTGACTGGTAGATCATTTCTCCAGAAGAAAGGAAGAAACCAAAAGACAAAAACAATCTTTTTAAACCTCACAGGATTTTCTTAGAAAAAAGTTTTAATTTATCTAGTGCAATTCTCTTTGTAAAATATATTTCATAAAAAATCCAAAGCAAAAGCCCTGTCATTCATTTATTTCAAAAGACAAATCATTTCAGTACTTCTTCCTTGAAATGCCTGCAATTTCTTCCTCTGGCCTCAGAGACGGGCATTGGCTCCATGCTTTACCATGTCAGGATAAAAATCCAGGAGGGAGAAATCTTGTTGTAATGGATAGCTGTTTTCATCTAACACAAAAAGGCTCTGAATCTTCAATACACAAGGTTCTGCGCTGACTGCCAACAAGGAGTGGAACAGGTCTGCCACAACCATCCCATAGGTGATCTCTGAGGAAGGAACTGCAGAAGACGAAAACACAGAGCTCTCAAGATCGCTGCTAGCTTGACAGGAGCACACACATTGAATGGTTTCATTGTTTCTTTTGGTTCCTCAAGTCTCAAACCCATTTTAAATTTCTCCTCCCGGCCAGTAGCGGTGGCTCACACCTGTAATCCCAGCACTCTGGGAGACGGAGGTGGCTGGATTACTTGAGGTCAGGAGTTCGAGACATGCCTGGCCAACACAGTAAAACCCTGTCTCTACTAAAAATACAAAAATTAGCCGGGAGTGGTGGCACATGCCTGTAATCCCAGCTACTCGGGAAGCTGAGGCAGGAGATTTGCTTGAACCCAGGAGGTAGAGGTTGCAATGAGCTGAGATTGTGCCACTGCACTCCAGCCTGGGCAACAGAGCAAGACTCTGCCTCTAAATAAATAAACAGGTAAGTAAACTACTCTTTCTATACCTTCTCTTTCTAGTTACAAGCTATTGAGGCACTCCAGAGTGACGGCATGTGATCCCCCTGACACAAGAAACAGGCCCAGATAACACACCGTTCAGACCGACAGCAGTTCTGGTTATGCTGCAGTACATCAGACGAGTGCTCTTATCCATCCACAGTTCTTATCACAGTTACTTATGCATATATTCATTTTTTATATAAAAGAATCTTGAATCGGTCACTTAAATATTGAATCTCAATAATAAAAAATACTAAAAGTATAGCTAAATGTGTTATTTTATTTTGCATTTGTCCTACACTCTTCCCCTCACTTTTTTAGGACATGTAATCAAGACATTTGGGAGGTTGTTCAATACCAGAATGACAGAGCACCATCGACCATGCTCAGACCGTACTAACCCCTTGACAATTATCACAGTCTTTCTTGGATGGGGACTACAGAGTCCTGGAGGACCAATGACATATTTTGGGGGGTATGATAATTCTCTACAATAACTTTTAAATTTTGTATTTTCACTGCAATAAACTAAAACATAACCAATATTAGTAATAGTCTGCATGGTCTGATGACCACTTTATGACCAATGACATTTTGACTTATGATCACAATCTAATTAATGCCAAGAAGTACAACTTTAATTGTCTCAAGAATGGACAAAACACTGAAGTATATGTGATATGAGAATTATGCTTCTCTAAGAGATAAAGACTAATTTACATTATGCAAAAAAGAAGAGATAGGCCGGACACGGCAGCTCACGCCTGTAATCCCAGCACTTTGGGAGACCGAGGCAGGCAGATCACCTGAGGTTGGGAGTTCAAGACCAGCCTGACTAACATAGAGAAACCCCATATCTACTAAAAATACAAAATTAGCCGGGCATGGTGGCACAAGCCTGTAATCCCAGCTACTTGGGAAACTGAGGCAGGAGACTTGCTTGAATCCAGGAGGCAGAGGTTATGGTGAACTGAGATCGCGCCACAGCACTCCAGTCTAGGCAACAAGAGCAAAACTCCATCTCAAAAAAAAAAAGAAGAGATAACACTGAAAATATATAAGTAACATTAAGAAAAGGAATGAAAATAGCCAAAAGAATAAAAATGAAATAAAGAAAATGGGGGAAAAAACGGAGAGAGGCTTCTAATTAAGATGTAGAAAGCTGGAAAAAGTGGCTCCTACCCTAACAGTTACTGGAAAAAACTGAATAAATATAAAATCATCATTTTCTTGAATACACATGAGAACCAAGGTTGTAAAACAGCCAAAAAGACTGAAACATAAGGAGACAGGTGCCTCCAGGGAGATGGAACAGGAGCACAGGTTCCCTTGGGGCAGGCCTTGGGAAGAAGACAGGTCCTCCATACAGGCAGGAAAGAAGAATGTGATTAATTTTTATTAATAAATTAATTGCAAAAAGCCAATGAACTGCCAGTGTCAGCAACATAAGGAACATCTGCATCCTCATAGGCTCTTCCACATAGTACGTCTCACCTCCACCAGGTGCTCATAAGACTGGGGGCAGGGCAAGACATCAGAGAAAGCTTCCAACTACAAAACACAAAGCACCATCTGGCCTCCCCTTTAAGGAACAAAAGCCTTCAATTGCTGGAGGAGGGACACCAAATCCTGTTGCCCCAGGGTACAGGTGAGGAACCAGTACAGATGGGGGAAAGAAAAAAGAAAAAAAAAAACCTCCATCCTGGGGGAGGACTGAAAAACCACCCTGGGTCAAGACCATTAGTGGTCCCCTACTGCTGGGGCAGGGCCAGGACCACACAAGACCCACTAAAGGCACAAGACAGAGCTCAGCTGCCATGCCACATAAGGGACAGGGCTACCAAGAAAGCGCCATGTGCAACATCCGTATAAGACTGGGGCTGGACCAGAATCAAAGAGGAACAACCCTGCTCCCACCCACCAGGTTAGGATGCACCAAATAACAACCAACAAAAGCTTGTGCAACTTGGGGAGGTGCAAGAATATGGAAAGAAACTTTCTCTGAGGCCCAGGTGCAGAGTGGAGGGCTATGCTGATGGTGGAGCAGGAATACTGGGGAACCACTTCCCACCATAAGCACAAGATAATTTGAAACCAGTGGTGACCTGAAGGTAACCAGAGAAACAACAAAACCTGAATCCAACTCAACTTATGACAAGGCTGACCATCCTGCTCACCCCTCACCTCCAGTAAAGGACCAGAAGAGGCATGCCTGTTTCCAGGTACAACTACTATTTACCTCAGTTTGTACTGTTCTACTTAATATATGCAACGTTCAGCATTCAACCCAAAATTACTAGACACCCCCAACTAAAAAAAAACACGAAAAACAATCTACTATTGAAAGATAAAGCAATCACAGAACCAGATTAGCTCATCAGCTTAGAGGATCTGAGGCTAATGAGAACAGGAATGGAGTTTGAATACCTGACAAATATATTATCTTTGCTTTATTCTTAGCCACTGACAACTAAGACATCATGGTTGAAGATCTTGCAAATCCATTCCACTGACACTGGACTATCTTCATATATATTATGTCATACACTCATTGACTTCATTCTTATAAAACTAGAGTTAAGTAAAATAGTTTTTGCTTACCAACAGGAAATGTAGGTTAAGAAGAAATTAGGTGCCTCCCACTGTTCATGTACTAACAGGTGTAAAGCAAGTCAACCTTCTAACTTACATAGGCTTATATTTCACTTAAGCTAAATTATCCTTCTGTTTTCATATGGACAGAAAAGCTCTTAATTTAAAGTAGAGTGCTCTTTCTGTTCCGATATACCATTTATACTCCTGAATAAAACAACTTCTTGATGGCACACTGATATATTGCCTATCACTCTGTTGAGGCAGTGTGCAGAAATGTTGAGAAGAATCTTCTCTATCAGTTTTGATTCTACACGGATGTAAACATTATGTCTTCCATCAACGGCAGTCATTAACGCTGGCCTACAGAAGAGTAAACAACACACGACCTTCAAAAAGATTTTCAAATAAAAGAAATGTTTAAATGAAAAATAATTCCAAAAAGCACTTGGTTTTTAATGCAGGATTAATTTTAATGCTTAAAACAACTCTAGGATGTTCTGTGACATCCTAGAAGGAAAAAAAGGTTTTTTTTTCCCCAAGAGCTTCAAATGATAAATTACTACATTTTATTTATTCTATATCCATTTTTAAATTTCAGATACTAATATAAAAATATATTAAACTGTTTTATAAATTGTTTTTAGAAATGAAAATAAAAATAATAATCACATATTTCACAATCACAATTTCAAGTTACTTTTTTCAACTGAATTCTTTCCTATCAGAAATAAACTGTTTTGCATATCAATAAAACTGGATTAACAATTTTCAGTGCATCCTACATCTTAATGCTATGTAGCTGATAAAAAGAATGAAGAACATTTGCAAGTGCTATTAGGGAAGGAGCACCAGGATAGACTCTAGGGAACAACAATATGAACAATATTCTTCTGTCCACATGCTTCTAAAGAAAGGGATACACATGTGCTGGGATGAACATAATAAATCACTGGAAGGACATACAAAAAACCTTCTCACCAGCATGGAAGCAGCACTGGTGGGAGAGGGTTGGATGGTGAAGGAGACTTTCACTCTTTGTTTTATAACCTCCTATGTAGTGTGCATTTTAACCATGGCATGTGGTACCTATTTTATAACTACATTGATTTTTAAAAAATAAATTGAGAACAGAATTCAGAAACAGGCTCATTAGCGGGGGAATTTAATGTAACAGAGCTAAAACATAACTACTGATTTTCCCCCTAAAAACCCACTTCCCCCTTTATTCACACGATGACTCTATGTTCCTTCCTCTTTTCACTCTACACTCTTTCCTCAGCCTCTCTCTCCCTCCATTATTTATTTCAACAAATACAAACTGAGTATCTATCATGGACTGTGGTAAGTGCTGGGTACCCACTAGTGAAAAAGACAAATCTGGTTCCGTCACTCAAGGAACGTAAAACTGTAGAGGGATAGGAAGAAATTGGGCATGCGCGGTGGCTCATGCCTGTAATCCCAGCGCTTTGGGATGCCAAGGTGAGGAGGACTGCTTGAGGCCAGGAGTTTGAGACCAGCCTGGGCAACACAACGAGACCTCATCTCTACAAAAAGAAGAAGAAAGAAAATAAGCTTTTCAACAGTGGTGCCAAGATGACTAAACAGGGATGGAACAGTCTTTTCAAAAATTCACGCTGGGACAACTAGATATCCACATGCCAAAAAATAAAATTATACCCCTTCCTTATCCCATATACAAAACTTAACTCAAAGTAGATAATAAACCTAAATGTAGGAGGTAAAACTACTAAACTCTTAGAAGAAAATACGGGAGCAAATCTCCATAACCTTGGCTTAGAAATGACACCTTTCTTAGATATGACCCGAAAGCACATGCAACAAAAAGAAAAACGGAATAAGAAGTACTGGCAAGAATATGGGGAAATTACAACCCTCATATTGCTGATGAGAATGTAAAATTGTGCAGCAATTTTGGAAAACAGCCTGGTAGTTCCTCAAAAGGTTAAACAGACAGTTACCATATGACCCAGCAATTCCACCACTCCTAGATATATACCCAAGAGAAATGAACACACATATCCACACAAAAACTTGTACACAAATGTTCACAGCAGCATCATTCATAATAGCCAAAGAGTAGAAACAACCCAATTGTCCATCAACTGATGAATGGATAAATAAAATGTGGTATGTGCATACAATAAAATATTATTTTGCAATAAAAAGGAATGAAGTAGTGATACATGCTACAACATGGATGGACCTTGAAAACATCATGCTAAGTGAAGCCAGTCACAAAAGATCACATATTATATAATATTTATATAAAATATCTAGAACAGGCAAATCTATAGAGACAGAAAGCAGATTCGTAGTTGCCATGGGTTGAGGGGCATGGGGAATGGAGAGTGACTGCTAATGAGTATGAGGCTTTGTAAAGGGCTGGGTAATGAAAATGTCCTAACTGGTTGTGGTGATAGCTACACAGCCCTTGGAATATACTACCGCCATTGAATTGTACATTTCAGAAGATTAATTTGATGGTATATGAATTTTAACTTCAGTAAAAATGTTTTTTAGAAAAGACAGTATGCAAATACAAATTACAGTAAGCACACCCAGGCTACTATAACAGAAAATAAAGAAGGGTGGTTAGGAGAGGCCTCTCTGATAAAGCAGCATTTAATCTAAGACATGAAGAAACCAGCCTTGTGGAGTCAGAGGGAAGACATTCGAGAACATCCTAAGGAGAAAAATCAAAATGTCTGAAGAACTGAAAGAAGGCCACGTGGCTAGAGTGCTGGACAACAGGGGAGTGGCAGCAGATGAGACTGCAGAGGAAACAAGCATAAGGAGATGACTGATGGGTGAAGCAAAGGGTAATCACACTGCCAACGGGTGGAGAATAAAGGGGAGGAGGCAAGGCCAGGAGGAGCCCCACCAAGAGACTGCTGGTGTGCTGGTTTGCGCAACAGGTAGTAGGGACTCAGATGAGGCCTGAGTGATTCCAGACCAGCAGGCACTGACTTTCCATTTTGGTTTCACAGTAATTGAGGTTCAGCTAGGGGAAGGTAAACAGGGATGCCACATGCCCCGCAGCATGTGGGATATGGTACATAATGAGAAACTGTCCTGAGAAAAATGTCAACAATGCCCCTGCTGGGATACACTGGACTAAGATGTTAGCAGTGGAGATGGAAAAAAGTGGATGAATTTGTGATATAGTTCTGAATGAAAATTCCTAGGACTTGCTAATAGATTAGATAGGGGAGGTAGGGAAGAGAAAATGATGCAACGATTGTGCCCAGGTTTCCAGCCTAAATAATTGGGTAGATGGTGTGCCATTTTCCAGAAAGTATAAAAACGAAGAGAACTAGATTTGAGTGTGGTTTTAGGAAAAACAAGAGTCTATTGTGGGTATGTTTAAATGTGAGATGGACATCAAGCAAAGAATTTGATACCTGACTACTGGAGCCTGGAGGAGAAAATCAGGGTGAAGATGTTAAGTACAAATACGAAAACAGCTGTGATCATCCAGGCAGAATGTACAGAAAGAATAAGAGGAAGGACACAGACGAGAGCATTTAAAGAGGGGGTAGAAAAGGCTGAGAAAGAAGGGCCTGAGAGACAGGTTAGAAAGCAAGGAGGAGGCTGTTTCAAGAAGGAGGAAGTGGACTGACATGCTGAATATAACTGAGAGCAGTTAGAGCGAGGAAAGAAGTATCCATGCCTCAGGCAACATCAAAAGTGTAACTTTGACAAAAGCAGCTTCTGCAGCATGGTAGGAGTAGAATGGAATAACTGAAGTGAAACTGAAGACATAATAGGGGAGAGAGAGTATATTTACAACTCTTTAACAAAGTTTGGCTGGGTATAAAACAGAATAGAAAAACGAAGGGATAAGAGGGAGATGTAATGTTAATGGATGATTTTGTTTGTTTTTTAATAAGAGAAATATGGGACTGTCTTTATAGGCTAGTAAGAATAATCCATTATGAGAGGTAATCACTGAAGATTAAGAAGGAAAAACAAAACAGGGTGCAGAAACCAAGGAAAAGTTCAATCACCACAGATAACCTTATAAGCCTAGCCCAGACTTCTCTTGCAAATTGCATTTCTTTACATCTAACCACTTTCCAACTTGTTACCTCTCAGGAACTCAAGCTCAATATGATCAAGATTTCTCCCAAGGTTACTTGTTTTAATAAATAATCTTATTGTTCACCCAACTGTCAATGATTTGCAATGTACCTGTGCTCTCTCTTTACCTACCAATCACTACATCTTGCAAACTATTTTCTGACCATTCTCAAATCTGTCCACTTCTTTTTATTCCTACCGCTTCCTCTCTAGTCAAGCCACCATCATCTCCTCTCCAAAATAAGGCAACAGCCTCTTACCGCTTCTCTGCACTAGCTTCATTCTAATCCACTCTCCAACGCACAGCTAAACTCACTTCTGATGAACAGAATTTGGTAGAAGTGATGCCACATGACTTCTGAGTCTAGGTCACAAAAAGGCTGGCTTCCACCTGGAACTCTCTTTCTTGCCTTTCCTGCTCTGAGGAAATGAGCTGCCACTTTGTGAGAACATTCAGGCAGCCCGTGGAGACACCCAAGTGAAGAGGAACTCAACTTGCCAGCCATATGAATGAGCCACTTTGGAAATGAATCCTCCAGCCCCAGTCAAGCCTTCAGATGACTGCAGCCCCAGCCTACACCTTGACTACAACCTCTTGAGAGACCCAAACATTTCCTAGTGCTGCCTAAATAGGAGCCTTAATTGTGGTTTGACCTGCTGGGGTTTTTTGCTTCCAGTACAGAAAAATAAATGTATTTCTTGTATTCCAAAAATGTAAATCTGAATATTCTGTAGAAACATTGTTAAAAATGGTATTTGAGTTTTATGATAGCTTGAAGAGCAGGAACTATGCTATCTACATGTTAATTTAATAAATGTCTGTGGCCTCGTATGAGACTCCATTGCAATATCTAATGTTGCTTCCATTGGAAAATCAGCTCCAAGTTACAACCAATGTAAAATATGATCAACCCACTCATAGTTTGGGACTGTTGTGCCACACAAATGTTCATTAAGTGTTTCTTAAATGGACTACCAAGCTTCTTGGGCACAATAAGTCTACTTAGATCAACTAGTATAACATCCACAGTACACATGTGATATGTGAACATACGTGGATTCCTAATAAATATTTGACTGAGTCTTAGAAAAATAATCAATGAGAGTTTTCTCTTATTCAGTTTGCTGATTGATTTATGTAGATGATTTTGGAGTCACATACTTGATAACTTGAAGGGAGTTTGTTAATTTCAATATTTTCTTTCCAAGGAAACCACATAATCTGGACTCTAATAATTTAAAGGCTTTTAGGCTGGGCTTGGTGGCTCACACCTGTAATTCCAGCACTTTGGGAGGCTGAGACGGGTGGATCACCTGAGGTCAGGAGTTCGAGACCAGCCTGACCAACATGGAGAAACCCTGTCTCTATAAAAATACAAAATTAGCCAGGCGTGGTGGCACATGCCTGTAATCCCAGCTACTTGGGAGGCTGAGACAGAAGAATCACTTGAACCTGGGAGGCAGAGGTTGCGATGAGCTGAGATCGCACCAGTGCACTCCAGCCTGGGCAACAAGAGCGAAACTCTGTCTCAAAAAAATAAAAAAAAAGGCTTTTAAATAAATAAAAAATAATAATTCTTGCCTTAACATGACCATTCAACATTCTAGTAAGACAACAAACTAGCACTACATCTTTAATGTGGTATAGTTTAGGAAGAGATCTTAAATACCCCATACTAGTTATGCCATAATCAGGTGATACTGATCTGTGAAGTCCTTCTCTTGAACAGTCATTTTGTAAACTAAAGATTCAAAGGCCCTCCTCCCCATAAGGAATAGTATTGAGCAACATTTTTGTCCAATAAATGCTTATGTTGAATAGAAACATTTGGAATGATATAAATAAGTCACCTATACATACTTTTGAGGGGCCTTAACTATTAATAAATCAATGTTGTTTGTTACATACCATGCATTTTTTGTTTTGATTTTGAGACAGGGTCTCACTCTGTTGCACAAGCTAGAGTGCAGTGGTGCAAACATAGCTCACTGTAACAATCGATCTCCTGGGCTCAAACAATCCTCCCGCCTCAGCCTCCCAAGTAGCTGGGACTACAGGCCTATGTCACCATGCCCAGCTTTTTTTTTTTTTTTTTGGTAGAGATGGGGTTTCCCTGTGTTTCCCAGGCTGGTCTTGAACCCCTGGGCTCCAGCGATCCCCCCACCACAGCCTCCCAAAGTGCTGGGATTACAGGCATGAGCCACCACACCCAGCCTACCATACATCTTAATTCAATCTTCTTTTCCACAAAAGCAACTTTCACAGTAATAGCAAAATTCATTCACTTATTTATAACAAACATAATATCTGTAAAGAGAAATAAGGTTTACAAATTAAGCTTCTATAACTTTTCTTGAAGTATGCCATGATAACATGTGGAATATATCTGAATTTAGTTTTTAGATACCGCAATATTTAGAAATAATCATAAGGAGCATAAAACACTGAGTGCTATTTTGTAAACACATGTAATTTATAAGGTAAAGAGAAAAATGTCTGAGCTTTTGACTACCTATTATTCAAAAAACAATGTGTTTTTCACTGAGCTGATTAGCAGTTTTACCATATAACATTTATTTGCTAGCTTTAATTTCTAAGGTAAAGGTGGGAAAACAGCTTAAATGTCTTACTAGCTTCCACAACAACTCAGAGGTGACATCATATGGTACTTTTAGCCTTTAAATTCTAATTATATGTTAAGGTGGGAAAATGAGTTATTTATGAGCATTTAGATTTTGGTTAAAAAGTAAACCAAGGAAAATGTTTCTTTGGTACAGCTGTTTGAAGACAATAAAATCTCCCAATTACTGCTTTAAGAAATTCCTATCTTTAAGAAATTCCTATAACGATTCCTGGGTAATTTTTGCTACCATAAATAGCTATCTATCACTCAGGGAAAATTTTGTTCTCTTCGACTAGCTCTAGTTAATTCTTTTTAGAAAGTAAGAGTTTACAGACTAGTTTTTCCAGATCTATAATAATTATTTTCCATCAAATTGGCTTGCTTAGTTGCCTTACCTATAATATATTTTCTTCATAGTAAATGGCAAGCAGCTAAAACATTGTTTGTAGATCCTGTTCTCATCTGTTTCTAGTTCCAATCCACATTTTGCACAGCCAGTATATATGATGTTGGGAAGAGAAGAAAAAATACTCTTCAGAGAACTGTGAGCATTTAGAGCTATCTTCTGAGCTGCTGTAAGAGGAAATGCCAGCTCTGAAATCTGGGCTTTAATTAGAACCACTCCTACAAACAACAAACAGATATGTTATAAATTATTGGGCCAAAATTATAACTTTAATTTACAAACATGGCTAATTTTATAGTTGATTTACAGTCACTTGTAGTAAAAGGATACACTGAGGTCTTGTTCTTCGTCTTCTTTACTATTTTCCTAGAATCTAAGGGCAGGGAGGTCTGGCTGCAACTGAGAGCAGGTTTACTTGGCTAATTTGGCTGAACATGTGATGTTTCCTTCCTTCCCCATCCTCTGGAATCAGGCAAAATAAGTTCAATACCTCCTTTAGAAGAAATCCCTTCGAATACTTGAAACTAGCTAACATGCCCTCTCTCCTTGCCCTGTCTTCTTTTAAACTGATCATGGTGAAAAGCCAGATAGGGGCCGGGCACAGTGGCTCACACCTGTAATCCCAGCACTTTGGGAGGCCGACGCGGGCAGATCACGAGGTCAGGAGATCGAGACCATCCTGGCTAACATGGTGAAACCCTGTCTCTACTAAAAATACAAAAAATTAGCCGGGCGCGGTGGCTGGCGCCTGTAGTCTCAGCTACTCGGGAGGCTGAGGCAGGAGAATGGCTTGAACCCAGGAGGCAGAGCTTATAGTGAGCCAAGATCACACCACTGCACACCGGCCTGGGCGAAAGAGCGAGACTCCGTCTCAAAAAAAAAAAAAAAAAAAAGCCAAATAGGAGGTGAACTTTTCTTCTTCTCTCTACGTAAAAATATCAATAGCCTGTTCTCTTTTAAACTTTTTTCCAACTTTCCGCTCACCATTATCATCTATATACTCTGGCTGTGGGTTATAAAAAGTTCTCATTTATTAATCGTTTCTCAGGTGACTCACAAGAAACCTCAAGCATATTCATAATTCACTGCTAATGGCTCATCCATTCACCAGTAAACAAATACTGAAAGTCTACTATCTCCCAGACATTATTTTTTCCTAATTTACTTTTGTCTTACTGTGTACTGGTGAGGTCTATGAGTTTTCTTGAGCATTATTCTCCCTTTCTCCATAGTCAATTTAAAGGCTTCTTTAAGCCTTAAGCCTTCAAATTTGTTCTTCTTCATCCACTTAGAAGTAAGAACACTCCAGGTCAAGAACTAATCACTCTAGTCTCCTACTGTTTTCTGGTTATCTCTTTCAGAGTCCAGTTAATGATGAGTCTTCTGTTCTTAACTTCATTTGCTTTAGTCTTTCAATGCCCAAAGACGGTTTCATCATCTCTTCCAATTGTGTCACATATCCCTACATGAGTTAGCAGGAGTGCGTAGCGATCGAATATGTAACAAACTGTAGAAGATTCAATACCACATCTTTCCAAAGACATGTTAAATCACTACAAAATTATTATTTTTTGTTGTTTTGAGACAGTCTCACTCTGTCGTCCAGGCTAGAGTGCAGTGGTGCAATCTTGACTCACTGCAGTCTCAACCTCCCTGGGCACAAGTGATCCTCCCACCTCAGCTTCCTGAGTAGCTGGGACTACAGGCACACACCACCACACCTGGCTAATTTTTGTATTTTTTTGTGGAGATGGGGATTTGCCATGTTGACCAGGCTGGTCTCCAACTCCTGGGCTCAAGTGATCCACTCTTCTTGGCCTCCCAGAATGCTGGGATTACAGGCTTGAGCCAATGTGTCTGGCCTAAAAAAATATGTAAAAAAAAAATTTCGATTTTTATTTTAGATTCAGAGGGTAGATGTGCAGGTTTGTTACATGGGCATATCATCACCCAAGTAGTCTCCTGTAGTAGGCAGAGTACCCAACAGTTAGTTTTTCAACCCTTGCTCTCCTCCCTCCACTCAAAAAGTCTTTTTTTTTTTTTTTTTTTTGAGACAGAGTATTGCTCTGTCACCCAGTCTGCACTGCAGTGGTGCAATCTCGGCTCACTGCAACCTCTGCCTCCTGCGTTCAAGCAATTTTCCTGCCTCAGCCTCCCAAGTAGCTGGGACTACAGGCACCCGACATCATGCCTGGCTAAGTTTTGTATTTTTAGTAGAGGCAGGGTTTCACCACGTTGGCCAGGCTGGTCTCAAACTCCTGACCTCAAATGATCCACCCACCTCGGCCTCCCAAAGTGCTGGAATTATAGGCATGAGCCACCCTGCCCAGCCTAAAAAATTCGTAATAATTCAATAATTTTAAAAGAATGTTCACATAATCCTATCATTTTGTAAATTTACACAACTCTTGAAAAGAATTAAAAGGTCACGCTGAATGTGGACTTTGCTTTCAAGGGGGTCACTCCGGCTGAGCACTGAAATTCTGCTGGCGGTAAGATGAGGTACTGGGTAAGCGTCTTCATTTCTTTACAAGGACTCAGGCCTAGCCTCATCCCCCTCTGGCTTTTGTTGAGCAAGCAGACCCTTCTAGGAAATGCTCCCATGCTGATCTCTCTTTCTCCTTTTATTTAACTATAAAATAGGTTAGGGAAAAGTTGCTTGTGTTTTCATATTCTCTCTCCATTTTTGTCTTAAAAACACATACACTATGACAGAAACTATGAATTCAGCCCTCATAGCTGAACATAAAGAGAATGAAAAAGGCTAAACAGGCCTCTGTGAACAAAGCCTCTGAAGGACTGATTTTAATGGCACAGTTTTGGCATGGCTTGCTAATGAGGAGCACACCTCCAGGACTTCCAAGAACATGCACAATTCCTGGCTGCGTCCTCAAACAAGTGGGGCTATAGCCTGAGAATCTTTCATCATCAGCGTGGTGGCCTCCTATTTTGTTGTTGTCCATGATGTTATTTATTTTTATTTTTAAACCTAATTCTAGACTTCAATCCCAGCAGATAACTGTTTTGTGTAAGCAGTAAATAACAGAGTTGACTTCTCCATGGCACCAAACTAAACGTCTCTGCAAAGTAAGGTAGCCCCTCAACTGTGTCTGGCATTCCTTCCTGTGGTGACCACCTCTATATGTCTGTGAAGTTGGAGAAGCAGAGCACGGGAGGGGCACATAAATATAAAACTGGCTTAGGAACTTACATGATGCTATAACATTACCAAGATTTTACCAGTTAGTATAAATCTAGAGTCTTTTATGACCATAGGCAACTTCCATTTTTGAAAATAGTATGAAATTTTTATAGTATAAAAGCTTATAAATTTTCTATCATCTGTGTTTACCTTCCAGAAATATTATTAATTTAAACTATCTGCTGGTATTAGTAAATGTTTCAGTGTAGAACTAAGAATAAGGAGTTCTTCTCTGAGAATGAAATCTCTGTATTCAATTAAAAGTTGGGTTTTTTGAGAGGTATTGTCTTTGTTTTCTGCCTGTATTCTCCTTAGCATAGTTTTATGATATAACAATGCTAACCTTCAATCATATATTGGAAAACATATTTACACATATATGTGAATTAACCCAACTAGTAACATTTTAATCTGGCATTTGGCCAAGATAAAGTAAGGATCTGAATTTCTGCTCCCACTTGTCATATAATAAAAAATAGGTATTTGCTCTTTGTCCCTGGTTCCTAGCACATAGTTCCTAAAACTACTGGAATCTAGTTCAGATATTTGCAAAGATTTATATTTCACTTTTATATAGACTTATACATTTTTACCACAAGTGGTAGCCTTTTTGCTTATATTAAAACTAGCAGTGGGCTGGGTGTGGTGGCTCATGCCTGTAATTCCAGCACTTTGGGAGTCCAAGGCAAGAGGATCACTTGAGTCCAGGAGTTTGAGACCAGACTGGGCAACATAGGGAGACTCTGTCTCTGCCAAAATAATAAATAAATAAATAGCTGGGTGTGGTGGCATGCACTGATGGTATGCACTAGCCTTCCCTTCCCTCCTCAGCTACCCGAAAGGCTGAGCGGGGAGAATCACTTAAACCTGGGAGGTGGAGACTGCAGTGAGCTGTGTTCACACCACTGTATTCCAGCCTGAGCAACAGAGCAAGACTCTGTTTCAAAAGAAATAAAAATAGCAGAATTTATGTATATAAAAATCTTACCTGAACACTTATCCTCTAGGTGGGTTGCTAAGTCTGATATCTTCACAAAGGAGGGTGCACTTTTTTGAAATTTTGCTTTAAATGTAATTGCCCTTATATCATCATCAAACAAGCACTCACAGGATGACCAAGGCGTTGTATGCAATTCTAGGTTTTCTAGTGTGTAATTGCGCTGAACAAAAAGATATTTAAATTCCCAAATATAACCTTAAACAAAAACAGTAAAAACAAAAGTCACCAAAAAGGAAAAAAAAATCTAGGCTTAGTATCAGATTAAATAGATTGATCTGATTAAGTCAGTTGAATACTAATCTTTTATCACTAAAGAATTTGGGTAAACAGAGACAAAATATGAATGGTGCATTAAGACAACAGAAGCATGCTAGAGATTATTATTATTATTTTTTTTTTCCAAGACAGAGTCTCGCTCTGTTGCCCAGGCTGGAGAGCAGTGGTGTGATCTCGGCTCACTGAAACCTCCACCTCCCAGGTTCAAGTGATTCTCCTGCCTCGGCCTCCTGAGTAGCTGGGATTACAGGTGCGTGCCACCACTCCCGGCTAATTTTTGTATTTTTAGTAGAGACAGGGTTTCGCCATGTTGGTCAGGCTGGTCTTGAACTCCTGACCTCATGATCCGCCCACCTCGGCCTCCCACAGTGCTGGGATTACAGGCATAAGCCTCCGCGCCGGGCCACCAGAGATAATTTTAATAAAATATTTTCTAAAGATTCCTTGCCCTCCTGAACGGTCATCATTTATAATAACCAACTGCTTTCTGTAAAGAAAATTCTCATGTATCTATCTATAGGCAAAGTTTTGTTTTGTTTTGTTAAAGAAAGGACACTGAAATGAACCCAAGTCTAATATTTCACTCATATTTCAATACTTTAGTTATCTTAGTTAACTTTTCTAGAACAAAAAGCATTTAGACACAATAGTACTTATTTTTAACTCTCAGTAACAATTTTTTTTTTTTTTTGAGACGGAGTCTCGCTCTGTTGCCCAGGCTGGAGCACAGTGGCGCAATCTCGGCTCACTGCAAGCTCCACGTCCCGGGTTCAAGCCATTCTCCTGCCTCAGCCTCCGGAGTAGCTGGGACTACAGGCGCCTGCCACCACGCCCGGCTAATTTTTTTTGCATTTTTAGTAGAGACGGGGTTTCACTGTGTTAGCCAGGATGGTCTCCATCTCCTGACCTCGTGATCCGCCCGCCTCGGCTTCCCAAAGTGCTGGGATTACAGGCGGGAGCCACCGCGCCGGCCACAATTCTAATACTTAAAGCCACAG
This sequence comes from Homo sapiens, assembly GCF_000001405.40. Classification (NCBI taxonomy): domain Eukaryota; kingdom Metazoa; phylum Chordata; class Mammalia; order Primates; family Hominidae; genus Homo; species Homo sapiens. The sequence continues at coordinate 46,627,093 of NC_000010.11, forward strand.
TAACACAGACCTTGTTACTGTTATATTCTCTATTAGTAAATTCAACTTATCTGTATTATCATATTCTGTATTAGTAAATTCAACTTCAAAACTATAATAAAACAAAAGAGGGTTTCTTAGCACTCATTTTTCTGATAACATCAGCTGTCTTTTTAGTTTCTCACTTCAGGCCATAAATCTAATTTACTACACCTGCTCATCTCCTTAGTTTCTTTCACTAAAGATTTTTTTTTTTTTTTTGGTGGAAAATCATCAAACATCTCAGTAAATCTGTAAAGACAGAACATCACTAGCTAGAACTAAAGCATATATTCCAAGTTACTGCTTAAAACCAATCACTAAAATAGCTTTCTTGTCTTATTACAAAATACCTGATTAGAAAAGTAAGCTAAGAGAAGCCAAGTAAATAAACATATAGCAGCCATAATCTCAACACCCTAAATAAGCAGTTAACATTTTAGCGGACAACCAGTTGTTTGGGATTTTATTTATTGGGATTGACTTAATAAGTCAAATATAGTTTTATATGTATGTATTATTCTACATTGCTTTTAAATATTACATAATATGCCATTGTCCAGATACACCAAAATCTTAAAAATTATTACAGCAAACCTCTATTTTGAGGGACTCTGGTTGTTTTTTATTTTTCACAATTATACATGATACCATGATAAACCCATTTTCAGCTACATCTTTATACATAGTTATGATAAGTTCCTAGAGCTAAAATTATTGGGCTAAAAGTACCCCCAATTTGTTCATATTAATTGTCAGTTATCCTCAAGAAAGGTTCTGCCAGTTTGCATTTCCAATAGCTGATGACAGTAGCTGTTTTCCCATATCTTCTCAATCAATTTCTTAAAAGAAAAATAATCTATCATCATTACTTTGTGTGTTTTCAATTACTTGTAAGAACAATTTTTCCATATATTTATTGGCCATTTTTATTTCTTCTTTGGGGACTTGCCTACTCATATCCTTTCCCCATTTAACTCTATAGATATGTGTCTTTTGCTTACTGCATTATTGTCTGACAATGTAATTTTTTTTCTGTTTTTTTTTTGTTGCCTTTCAATTTTGTACATGGTGGTTTTTATGTATAATAGTTTTTGTTCCTGGATTTTATTTACCCTACCAACCTTTGCATTACAAATAATTTTGCCTATATTTTCTTCTACTATTCATTGTTTCATTATTTTTGTATTTGAATCTCTAATGTATCTGAAATTTATATTGGCACAAATATAAAGTATAAATTTAATTCTATTTTTTCTCACATTGTTAGCTAGATTTTCCAAACATTAACTATTCTTTTATTTTAAAAAGCATAAGGTTTTAATTTTATTTTTAATTATAAAATAAAATACATTTATTGTGAAATATTTAAACAGTAAAGATGAGGGAGGTAACAGGTGAAACAAGACTGACCATGTTTTAATAAGCTGGCTAATAGGTACCGAAGTTCATTATGCTGGCCGGGTGCGGTGGCTGGCTCATGCCTATAATCCCAGCACTTTGGGAGGCTGAGGCGGGTGAATCACCTGAGATCAGGAGTTTGAGACCAGCCTGGCCAACATGGTGAAACCTCGTCTCTACTAAAAATACAAAAATAAGCTGGGCATGATGGCACATGCCTGTAATTCCAGTTACTTGGGAGGCTGAGGCAGGAGAATAACTTGAACCCAGGAGGTGGAGGTTGCAGTGAGCAGAGATCATGCCACTACATTCCAGCCTGGGTGACAAGAATGAAACTCTGTCTCAAACAAACAAAAAAAAAAAGTGCCTTATGCTTAGTATTCTCTCTACTTTTGTATATGCTTGAAGGCTTTTATAATAAAAGTTTTTAAAAGTAAATGCAGATGCTCACACACATATGAAATTCAAACTAAAGGTATAAAGAAAAAAATTAAAGCACATATAATACTACTATACAGAAATAACTACGGCTAGCATTTTGCTATACATGCATATTTCCAGGTTTTCAAATGCACATATGTACTTATAGATACATTTTTATTAAAATGAGATACTATCATATATAAAGGGTTTTCTTGAAAATTTTTGTGTATTAACTTATATAAACATAAAAATATTTATTATATGATAACATAATATATTTTCTATACATGAAGTTTTACAATCCAATTTTTTTTATTTTTTATTTTTTTTTAAGATGAGAACTTGGACTCCTGGGCTCAAGCAATCCACCCACCTCAGCCTCCCAAGGTACTGGGTTAACAGGAGTGAGCCACCACACCTGGCCTATAATCTACTTTTTAAACTAAATAATACATTACATATATCTTTCTAAGCTAATGAACATACACATTTTTGGTAGTGAATATCTTTATGTATTCACCCAGATCACAAATGATTCCCTTAACTGTTTTCCCATCCACTGAAATAAGCTCAAGCTCTCATATTTGTATTGCGTGACCCTGTCTTCCTGATCACAGTTTTTTGAATCAAATTTACTCTGGGCAATCAGATTCTCTTTGCTGGGAATTTGGAAATGGGGTTGGTCTCTTGAAAAGAAAAGTAAAATCAGGAAAATAGAATTACTTAAGTAATCCTTCAAAATTGGTATTTTTATCTTAAAAAGACTGATGTGAGGTATTGAAGTAGATGTTAAAACTTTAAAATGATGGTTACAAATAAGGGGGGCTGGATGAATGAATGTACAAAGAACAACAACATCTTAATTCCTGGATTCATACGTTTTCAATACTAACCTAAACACCATAGAGTCACCTAGAGACAACTGTAATTTCTCTTCTATTAACCAAAAAACTATTAATTTTAAAAGAATATTCACATTAAACATGGAGCAATCTGCTCTGTTACAGCTCCACTATACCTGTGACCTACATTCTTGTGTAGCATGCACTAGACTCATGTTCTCAGCCAGGCTATGGTGGTCAATGATCATAGTTAGTCTATCACTGATACATGTTTGTCAGCTTGCTCAACCAAACAAACATCTGTCCCTGTTTGATCTTAACATAAAAGTCCAAAGTTAGACTTATCTCAAATCCTAGTCATAGCTATTAATGATTAAGAGAGACAATGTGATAGATCCTATCTACAAATAACTATTTGGAAGGCAGAAGTTTGGAGAGACATTAACTCTTTCAGGTAAAAAATAATAATATACTGAATCAATCTCTAAATTAATTTAGCAGGGAAAAATAACTCATAAGCCACAAATGAAACTGTCTTTGATTGTTACAACTAAAGGATCTCACAATAGCAAAGGGAAGACACTATACTATTTTAATGAAACATCAATTCCATTTAATTCAATATACCAGAAATAATTTATGCTTTAAAGAAAAATGTAATCATGGGTCATATTTTAACACTGAACATTCTAGGGATGGCTAACAGTGCATGCTTTTAAAACAACTATAATAAAAATATGAAACTGTAATTTATTGAACATTAATTGTGACTTGAAAGAGTTAAGGTAACTCCCTTGACATCTGCCTTATAATCATAGCATTTATTTATCAGAGTACTCTGGCTGAAAAAAAATTGTAGAAGCTTCTCCAGAATTAAATGTTTAAAGAACATTATTTGAAGGAGGTAAGATCTTCACTAAAAAGGTAAAGTAGTATATCTGGGAATAAATTTAAGCCTTTATTTCACCACCATTAATTAATGAAGACTTATTAGATAAATGAATTGCTACAAGAGGTACAAAATTTTAACAGAAGAAATTTGCAGAAGAATATTCAATCATGATCACTTGTATTTCAAATGCTGTCTCGTCTCTTAAGATTTTCTCCATCTTGGGCTCATAAACATTAATCATTTACCGAAATATAAATAGGTTAAATGCTTTTTGGTGTATTTACCTTTTTTCCTTTGAAGTTGAGGGTACCAGGCTGCTCCAGGACCCCATAATACAAGCGCATAATGTTGATCTTGGGCCTGTTCCACTGTTAACATAACTTTTTTCTGCTTCTGTCCTCTATAACTGTATACTGCCTCTGGAAAAGGAAAATGAGTATCTTAGTTGGCATTACTCTATCACACATGATACCATACTTTAATAGCTGATGATACATATATAGTGATAACCAAATGGTACACTAAGATGGTCTTGTATCTTAATTTTTTCATAATCTAAAATTAAGGAGGCAGTCAAAATGTTTACCTGTCAGTATAGGAAATCAACAACTCTTAGTACTGCGTGGACTAACACATCAGGTTGAAGGTGCTCCAATTCTACAAAGTCTATACTGTTCACCCTCTGAGGCTGTCTCGGAGGAAGATCTCTGAGGTAGGAATGTTTTGAGGACACATATGCCAGTAAGTCTTGAAGTACAACGTCACTAACTACGCTGGAATCTAAGGAAAAAAAACATGCATACAGACAAAAGATGGCAACATTATATTTTTCTTGACAAATAATATTTTTTAGAACTGTATTTTATGTTGTAAAGTATGATTAGATATAAAATATAGTTTTGTTTTCTCTAAAACATGTACAATAGCTAAGTCTTGAATCAGTTTAGATGTAAAAATAAACTTGATATTTTTAATCAATGGAAATGGAATTATTTACTATCCCCAAAAAACTTGTGCTGTTCCCATACTTCTTTACTTTGTTAATAATATCATTTTCTATCAATTAACCAAACACAAAATTTCTGTTCTTTTTTGACTCCACCACCCTGTAACAGCCAATTGGTTCCCCAATCCCTGGAGTCTGATTTGATCCTGCTTTCCCAACTATCCTAGCCTCTGCCGTTCTTCCTCAAGCCCCTTCTGAAACAGGCTCAGAGCCACCTCACTGGTTCTCTCCCTGAGTGTGCCTTACTCTTTCCACACGAGGCCTCCGTCCTCACCAATTTCCAGCTGCAAGGCTGTCTTCTTGTCCTACCCAATACCACATAGAATGATGACCACTATAGATTCACAGTGCTGCTTTTTTCCCTGAGCTCAGAGAGCTTTTAAGCATGTGCTACATTGTAATATTTTTCAAGTGTTGGATTGGTTATTTAATTCTTCAGTTACTATGTCTTTTAAATGTTTTTCTCTTTCCTGTCTCATTTTTTTTCTCACTTTTTATTAAGGTATAGTTTCTGTACAATAACATGCATATATTTTAAATGTACAGGCTGATGAGTTTTGCTGATTAAATTTTAATTTCTCTGAAGGTAAGAGAAGTATGCTTGAGTATGTGATTGATTGCCGACCAAAATAAGATATTGGCAATAAACACTTAAGTACTTTTTAGAAAGCAGACTTCATAAACTGATTTGTGATTCTTCTTTCCTTCCTTTAGACAGTAAAAGAAAAGGGATGTAACAGGTGAAACAAGACTGACCATGTTTTAATAAGCTGGCTAATAGGTACTTAAGTTCATTATGCTTTGTATTCTCTACTTTTGTATATGTTTGAAGGCTTTTACAATAAAAGTTTTTAAAAGTAAATGCAGATGCTCACACACACATAAAATTCAAACTAAAGTTACAAAGAAAAAATTAAAACCACACGTAATACTACCAGACTGAATTCTTCTTTCACAGTATTTCCAGCAAATCTGGAATCAGAAGAGTTGTATTCAAATTCTGGTTTTGTCAATAATGAGCTCTGTGAACTTGTACATAACTTCTCTGGGCTTCGTTTTTCATGAACAAGATAGAGCTTTTGGGGAACAAAAACATCTCTGACATCAAATTATATATTTGTCCCTGATTCATAAAAATTTACGTGGAAACACATGGTTATTTAGATTCCAAAAAAAGTCTACCTCATGGAAACACTGTGTTGATCTTTGACTTATATATTTAATAATATTCAAGATAAATTTATATTCCTGTCACATTATCAGAACTAGGTTTGTAAAACATGTAACACCTCACTATAAAGATGAAAGTACAGAAGTCTTTTCTTTTCAACTTTTACTTTAGATTCGGGTGTACATGTGCAGGTCTGTTACCTGGGAATACTGCGTGATACTGAACTTTGGGGTACAAGTGATCCTGTCACCCAGGTACTGAGCACAGTACCCAACAGGTAGTTTTTCAACCCTCTCCCTCTAGTAGTCCCCAGTGTGTATTGTTGCCACCTCTATGTCCATGAGTAGCCAGTGTTTAGCTCCCACTTATAAGTGAGAATACACGTTATTTGGTTTCCTGTTCCTCCCTCAATTCACTTAGGATAATTGCTTCCAACTGCATCTGTGTTGCTGCAATTTATTTATTTATTTATTTATTTTTTTGAGACAAGGTGTCACTCTGTTGCCCAGGCTGGAATGCAGTGGCACAATCTCAGCTCACTGTAAACTCCACCTCCTGGGCTCAGGTGATCCTCCCACTTCAGCCTCCCAAATAGCTGGGGCCACAGGTGTGCACCACCACACCTAGCTAATTTTTTTGTATTTTTTGTAGAGACAGGGTTTTGCCACCTTGCCCAGGCTGGTCTCAAACTCCTGGACTCAAGCAATCTGCCTGCCTCAGCCTGTCAAAGTGTGGGAATTACAGGCATGAGCCACCGCACCATCCTGATTTCATTCCTTTTTATGGCTGCGTAGAATTCCATGGTGTATATGTACCACATTTTCTTTATTCAATCCTCCACTGATGGCCACCTAGGTTGATTGCATGACTTTGCTACTGTGAATAGTGCTACAATGAATATTCAAGTGCTTATGTCTTTTTGGTAGAACAATTTGTTTTCTTTTGGATATATACCTAGTAATGGAATTGCTGGGTCAAATCATAGTTCAGTTTTAACTTCTTTGAGAAAACCCCAAACTGTTTTCAACAGCGGCTGAACTAATTTACATTCCCACCAACAGTGTACAAGCATTTCCTTTTCTACACAGCCTACCAACATCTGTCGTTTTTTGACTTTTTAATAATAGTTGTTCTGGGGCTGGGAGTGGTGGCTCACACATGTAATTCCAGCACTTTGGGAGGCTAAGACAAGAGGATCGCTTGAGCTCAGGAATTCAAGGCCAGCTTGGGCAACATGACACAACCTGGTCTCTACAAAAAATACAAAAATTAGCTGGGCATGGGGGCATGCACCTGTAGTCCCAGCTATTCAGGAGGCTGAGGTAGAAGAATCTCTTGAGCCTGGGAGATTGAGGCTGCAGTGAGCTATGATCAGACCACTGCACTCCAGCCTGGGTAACAGTGAGATCCTGTCTCTAAAAAATAAATTTTAAAAAAGTATTATTAGGTCCCACTTTTCAATTTTTGGTTTTGTTGCAATTGCTCGAGGGCTTCATCATAATTATTTCCCAGAAGTCCTTTCCAAAAACACAATATATTGATCAGAAATAAGAATCCTCTCATGAGTTGTAACCACTTGCAAAATCAAAACCAAATTGGTAAAATGAGTAACCAAATTGGTTTACTCTTTTTTTTTGTTTTGTTTTTTTGTTTTTTTGAGGTTTGCAGCTATTTTATTTGCAAGTATACATTTAACACAATGAAATAAACACTGATATATTGAAGCCTAGTTAATAGTAGTGTAACAATATGCATCATTTTGATGATTACATTATTTTAAACAACAAACTACACTGAAAAATTAATGCCAATAAAATTCTTGGTCATAATATTAAGAAATACAATATATAAATTGAAAATATGATTGCTTAAAATTTGAAAATGGAAGTGAACTCATTTGGACAGACTCAGAGTTAACATAATCTGAAGGGAGGGGAGCTCTGACCCAAATGATATCTTTCAGGTTAACAGAAGAAAAAAGAAGCATAGTTTATCTCCAAGGAGAACGGGCAGTTTGCTTCTTCAGCTAGAATATATTCCCAGTGTCCTCGGGCTTTGCAGCAGAATCACATCACCGAGCATGAAGACTTGCCTTGTGAAGCTGCCCCGTCCATTTTTTCTGCCTCCAAAATCATCCTTCGAAAAACATCAACAGCAGTCTGATTTTCTTTAGCAGAAGATTCCAAAAAAGCTGCATTCCAAGATTCTGCCAAAGCTTTCCCTTCTTCATAACTGATCACCCTTTCCATATGCAGGTCTTTCTTATTTCCAACCAACATAATAGGTATTTGTACTTTCCCCACCATATCCAACAATTTGCCATGGATAACTTTAATCACTTCAAAACTTTTGATTGATGTAACAGAATACACAAGAATATAGCCATTAATATCTATGGAGTATGTCTGAGGAAAGATAGAATATTCATCTTGCCCGGCTGTGTCTACAAGTTAAAGATGATATTCTTGTCCATTTACTGTGATCAACTTTGTAAAAGTGTTTTCTATGGTTGGATCGTAGGAGTCCACAAATTGGCCTTCAACAAATTGAATCGTCAATGAGGATTTCCCCACAGACCGGTAGCCCAGGATCGCGATCTTCCGGGACTTTGACTGCGGCATCTTGGCGGCCTCCTCAGCCCCGGCCCAACCACATCAACCGCGGCGGCGGCGGCTCCTGCTGCTGTGATCGGCGGCGGCCGCGCCGGGAGAGAGCGGCATACAGAGCAGGGGCGGCGGCGGGCGCGGCTGCCTCTCGCTCGCTAGCTCGTGCGCTCCCAACCGCCCGGAACCGACCGCGCGGCGGCGCCCCTCCCCCCCACAACACGCCCACGTGACCGGCCGGCGTCAGCACCGCCCCTCTTCGCGCCGTGGCCCGCCGCCTCCGCCCCCCGAAATACGCGGGGGGTGCGTCGGGGCGACGTTTTACTTTAAAGGCAAAAAAAGGGGACGCCGCGATGCCCCCAGAAAAGTCACGACTGAAACTCGCTGCGTCATGACCCGGTTTACTCTTTCAGAAGAAAAACAACTGCAATATTCTCAAAATGTCCACTGGTAGCCATTTCCCTACATCAATAAAAAAACTTTAGAATATACTTTATTTAGCTACTAACCTGTAAAAAATAAAGCACCATAAATTCCTGTGTATGTGTAAAAACAAAGATTGTGAAGTAACTTCTAAAGATTATCTAATTAGTTCAAGATTTTTCACATCATTCTACAAAAACCTGAAACTCTCTAGGGGATTCATAGAATATTCTCCATCCAGAATTTTGTCATAAGAGTTTTATGAAATTACTGAACTATTACTTGAATCTAGATCATCCTTAAAACCAGAGATATCTACATTTCCCAAATCTCTTGCAAAGCATTTGCATACCATGTTATTTTCATTATTTCAAAACATTCCTTCCCCTTCTATTCTATCAACATCTACAAGATATGCTGAATTTTACTTAGAAGCCATTTAGCTATCATTCATACACACACACTTTCCAAAATGTAACACCTTCAAATATACATAATAAAAGACTAAACTTGTATCTTTTACAGAAATCTCAAAATTAAAATTTAACTGACTTCAACTGGGCAAAACCACACCATCTCAGTTACTATAGGTTCATACTAAGTCTTGATAGCTGATAGGGTAAATTATTCTTCCCTGCTTTTCTTCTTAAAATGCCCTGCTGTTTTCAACCACTTACTCTTCTACATAAATATCATACAATCTTATCAAATTACATGAAAATCTTATTGGTCTTTAACTCATTGCCTCAAGAGATCCTCCTACCTTGGCCTCCCAAAGTGCTGGCATTACAGGCATGAGCCACTGCGCCCTTGAAATCTTACGAGGATTTTTATTGAACATGCGCTGAATTTACAAATCAACTTGAAAAGAACTGAAATCTTCACAATGTTAAATCTTCCAATTAATGAATAAAGTATATGTTTATTTCATTCTTTGTTAGTTTTTCTTCATTTAAAAATTTTTCCTTTTTTAGGTCTTGCACATACTTTGCTACATTTATTACTATTAGTACAAAATAATATTGTTGTCAATGGCAGCTTCCTTTGTTATTGTTAGTCGCTCTACTCTAGAAATGTGATTGACTTTTGTATGTTAATCTTATATCCAGCTACTTTGCTAAATTTTCACATTATTTCTAATAATTTGTTTGTAGTTTTCAGAGGGAAAAGGTATGTAAACCATCTATAATAATGGCAGTTTTATTTCTACCTTTCCAATCTTTACATATCTATTTTTCCATGTTTATTGCACTGGTTAATAACTCTAATATGGTGTTGAAGAAAAGTAGTAATAGTAGTATCCTAGTCATATTCCTGAATTTTAAAAGGAATGCTTCTAATATTTTTCCAATTAGGATGATAATTGTTCTGGGTTTTCTAAAGACACTCTTTATGAAGTTAAGGAAAATTTTATTCTATTCCTAATGAACAGGTGTTGAATTTTATCAAAAGCTTTCTTTGTACCTATTGAGATGATCGTATACAGCTCTTTTAAAAACTCTGTTTTGAACTAATGTAAGACTTACAAAAAAGTTGCAAAAATAGTACAGAGTTCCCTTATATTCCTCACTATGTCAACTAATGTGGGCATCTCACATATTATAAGTTATCTTAAACAGGAAACTAACGTTAATTAAATATTGTTAATTAAAATGTAGATGTTATTTAAATTTTACCAATTCTCCTATTAATATGCTTTTTCTATGTAGGATTTCATCCAAGATCCCACCTCACATTTAGTTGTTATTTCTCTTTGGTCTCCTCTAGTCTATAAGAGTTTCTCAGTCTTTTCTTTTTCATTACCTTGACACTTATGAAGAATCCTGATCAATTATTTAGTAGAACGTCCTTCCCTTTGGGTTTCTCCAGTGTTTTATGATTGGAATGAAGTTATGCATTTTTGGCAATTCCACAAAAAATATGGTGGATCCTTCTCAATGGATAATATCAAAGAATTTATGATACCATACATCTTATTACTGGTGATATTTACCCCAATCACTCAGTTAACTTGGTGTCTGAAGAGTTTTCTTATAAATTTATTATTTTCCCTCTAGTAAGCTGGTATCCTGGGGAGATACTTTGAGACTATGCAATGCTCTCTCTCCTCAGACTTTCACCTACTAATTTTAGCATCTATCAGTGCATTTGTGTCCGTGCAGTATTTATGATTGTGATCTCTGCCTGATGGTAATTCTCTATTTTTGTGTTTTGTATTTTTTTTTTTTCTTGAGACAGAGTCTCACTCTGTTGCCCAGGCTGAAGTGCAGTGGCATGATCACGGCTCACTGCAGCCTCAACCTCCTGGGATCAATCAATCCTCCCACCTCAGCCTCCCGAATAGCTGGGACCATAGGGGCACACCTCCAAACCTGGTTAATTTTTCTATTTTTTGTAGAGATGGGGTTTTGCCATGTTGCCCAGGCTGGTCTCGAACTCCTGGGCTCAAGCCATCCACCTGCCTCAGCCTCCCAAAGTGCTGGGATTATAGGCATGAACCACTGAGCATGGCCAGTAATTCTCTATTTTTTTTTCTTTTCTCTCAGATTTATTAATTGGAATTCCATTGGAAGGAAGAGCTTTCTCTTCCCCTCTGGTTAGTTAATGAAATAAATATATCTTTATATCAATAAGGATTTGTAAAGATTTTAATCTATGGGTTCTAATCCAATACTATCATTATTTTCTTACTCAAATTGCTTCAGCTTTAGCCAGTAGGTGTTCCTTCAGGTTGGCTCTTGCATTATTTCAACATGTCTTGTCTGGCACCACTAGACTTCCAGGCTTATCCTGAATTTGCCCTGACCCAGTCCTGTAATCAACCACTTTTAGCAGAGCTGGTTCCTTTCATTAGAGAACTATGTTGGCCAGGCACAATGGCTCACACCTGTAATCCCAGCATTTTGGGAGGCCAAGATGGGTGGACTGCTGAAGCCCAGGAGTCCGAGACCAGCCAGAGCAACATGGTGAAATCCAGTCTCTACAAGAAATACAAAAATTAGCCAGGCGTGGTAGTGCACACCTATGGTACCGGCTACTTGGAAGGCTGAAGTGGGAGGCTGGCTTGAGCCCAGGAGGCGGAAGTTGGAGTAAGCCGAGATCGCACCACTGTACTCTAGCCTGGGCAACAGAGCCAGACCCTGTCTCAAAAAAAACGAGAGGCCGGGCACGGTGGCTCACACGTGCAATCTCAGCACTTTGGGAGGCCAAAGTGGGCAGATCATTTGAGGTCAGGAGTTCAAGACCAGCCTGGCCAACATGGTGAAACCCCATCTCTACTAAAAATACAAAAATTATCTGGGCGTGGTGGCACGTACCTGTAGTCCCAGCTACTTGGGAGGCTGAAGCAGGAGAATTGCTCGAACCCAGGAGGCAGAGGTTGCAGTGAGCCAAGATCACGCCACTGCACTCCAGCCTGGGTGACAGAACAAGAGTCCATCTCAAAAAAAAAAAAAAAAAAAGAAAAGAAAAGAAAAGAAAATGTTTACAGATGAAGATCTGGGCACCAGGTATGCTCATTATTACTGAGGAGTAACTGCATCTGTGCTGTGCTCGCTCAATGGACAGAACTAGGAGATGTTTATGTATGTGTACTATCCCACCCATATACACATGCCTATATTTCTGTATCCATTTATCTATATTAAAAATCCTCAGTTTATAACGATACCTCTGGTTCGTTTTAACCTTCCCTTGTTTATAATTTCTTTCTCCAACAGTGAGAAATCCAGCTTTCCTTATCTGCAATCTATGTACTCATTTGTTCATTCTAGTATGTACATAAGGTTATTGCTAAGCCATTCGCCTTTGAGAAACATATTTCTAACTAGATTGCAGCATTTATGTACAGTCCTTTCTGTCATTAGCCTTATAGAATCCAGTCAATATACTCTTTTCCACAGCTACTTAGGTTTGTTCTTTTCTTCCCCACCCCCTTCTATGTAGTTATTTTATTCATTTGTAACAATATTAGGTTCATTTGTAACAATAATACATTCATTTGTTAGTGTCACTTCCTCCTGACCCCTGCTATCCTGTTCCCATTCCCCACTTTCTTCCACCCCTCTCCTACGTGCCCCCTGTAGGTGACCAATCTCTTTAGTTTCTGGTTTATCCTTCCTGCATTTTCTTTCCACAAATAAACAGAGGTATTTTCTTATTCCTCCATTCCTTCTTACAGGAGGGACAGCATACTACATATAGTTTTGGGGGGTTTATGTTTTCACATAACAGTATGTCCTGGGAATCACTCCATATCAGTTTGTAGAGATCTTTTTCATTCTTTTTGTACAGCTGCATAGTACATAGTGTTCCACTATGTGAATGCACCATAACTTAGTGAATCATTCTCCTATATATTTTGCAATTATAAACAATACTGCAATGAATAACCTTCTGATATGTATTTTCATATTGTTGGAGGTGTAGCTTCAGGGTAGATTCCTAGAAGTGGGATTGCTAGGTTGAAAGCTAAGTACATATGTAATTTTGTTAGATATTGCCAAATATCCCTTCAAAAGGGTTGTAGCAATTTGCATTCCTACCACCAATGTATAAGAGGGCACATTACCTCACAGTTGCGCCAACAGAATGTGATTTTTTTTTTTAATTTTGCCAATCTGATAGGTGAGAAATGGTATCTCCATGTAGTTTTAATTTGAATTTCTCTAATAAGTTATATTTGATAGCCATTTTTATATCTTTTTTTGAAAATTGACTGTTCATCTCTTTTTCACATTTTCCCTTTTGCCAGGCTAGAGTGCAGTGGCATGAATACAGCTCACTGCAGCCTCGACCTCCTGGGCTCAAACAATCCTCCTGCCTCAGCCTCCTACGTAGCTGGGACCATAGGCATGCACCACCACACCTGGCTAATTTTTTGACTTTTTGTAGAGACAGGGTCTCACTATGTTGCCCAGGCTGGACTCAAACTCCTGAGCTCAAGTGATTCTCCCACCTCAGCTTTCCAAAATGCTATGATTACCAGTGTGAACAACCACACCCAGACTTTGTCACTCAAGGTTTAAAAGTTCTTTATATATTAGGGATATTAGCCTTTTGTTGTATGTTACAAATATTTTCTCCAAGTTTGTCAGTTGTCTTTTGACTTTGTTTATAGTGTTTTGGTTATGCAAAATTTATTTTTCTGTAGTAAAATGTATCAGTTTATCTTCTACTGCCCCTGGATTCTGAGTAATATTAAGAAAAAGCCTTTCCCTACACCAAGATTACAGAGGATTCATTCAGGTTTCCTTCTTGTTGTTGCATGATTTTATTTTTTACATTTAGACTATTAATCCATATGGTGTTTATTACTGTTTGTTGTGAGATATGTGTCCAATTTTCCCTTTTTTCCAAATGGCTACCCAGTTGTCTCAGCACCATTTATTAAGAAGTTAGCTTTTATCTCACTGATTCCAGATACTATCTTTGTCATATATTAAATTGCTATATGTAGGTGGGTCTAATTCTAATCTTCTTACTCTGTTCCACTGGTCTACTTGTCTATTCATGCATCAGTACTTCACTGTTTTAATTACAGAGGCTTTATAGTATGTTTTAACATCTGGTAAAGCTAGTTCCCCTCCTCTGTAGTTTTCCTTTGTCAGTCTTTTCCTAGCTATTCTTGCATGTCTGTTTTCCCATATGAGCTTTAGTATCAACTTTTATATGCCACAACATATATATTTTCATTGGAACTACATTGAATTTACATATTAACTTAGGAAGAACTGACATCATTATAATGTTGAGTCATCCTATCCAAGAACAGGGAATGTCTTTCCATTTATTCATGTCTTCATTTCTTTCTGGAGTGTTTAAATTTTTTCCTCATATAGGCTTTGCATATTTCTTGTTAACTGTATTTTGAACTATCTTCTTTATTACTATAGTAAATGAGTTTTTCACTATCATTATGCCCTCTGTTTATTATTTGTGTATATTGTCTAATTACTATTATTATTATTTTTTTTTTGAGACAGGGCCTTGCTCTGTTGCCCAGGCTGGAGTACAGTGGTGCAATCACAGCTCACTGCAACCTCATCCCCCAGCCTGGGCTCAAGCAATCCTTTTACCTCAGCCTCCCAAACAGCTGGGACCACAGGTGTGTGCCACCACACCCAGCATTTTTTTCTTTTTCTTTTTCCTTTCCTTTTTCTTTTTTGTAGCCCAGGCTGGTCTTGAATTCCTGGGCTCAAGCTGTCCACCCACTTTCATCTCCCAAAGGGCTAGAATTACAGACGCAAACCACTGCACTCAGCCTAATGATATTTTTTAACATTAATTTTGCATCCTGTTATATCATTGAATTATCTTATTGTTTAAATTTGTTTTAACTTTGATTCCCTGGAGTTTTCAGGTATGTTATCAGAGCATTTGTAAATAGAGATAATTTTCATTCTTCTTTATCCATTCAAATGTTCAAATGCCTCTTCTTTCTTTTTTTTTTTTTTTTTTTTTTTTTTGGAGAGACAGAATCTCGCTCTGTCCCTCAGGCTGCAGTGCAGTGTACAGGTGCTCACTGCAACCTCCACCTCCTAGGTTCAGGCAATTCTCATGCCTCAGCCTCCTGAGTAGCTGGGACCACAGGCATGCACCACCACACCTGGCTAATTTTTCATCTTTTTAGTACAGACAGGGTTTTGCTATGTTGGCCAGGCTGGTCCCAAACTCCTGGCCTCAAGTGATCCGCCCACTTTGGCCTCTCAAAGTGCTGGGATTACAGGCGTGAGCCACCGCACCAGACCAGATGCCTCTTCTTGTCTAAGTGCATTAGCTGATAATTCTAGTATAAGATGAATAGTTGCAGAGATAGTGGACATCCTTATCTTTTTCCTGGTTTTAATGACAATGCCTCGAGTGCTTTTCTATTAAATAAGACATTGGCATTAGGACTAAGTATCTATTTTATTGATATAGTATTAATCATATTATAATGCTGTATTGATGCTATATTTATTTATTTAAGAAAAAAATTTTTTTTGAGACAAGGTCTGACTCTGGTCACCCAGGCAGAAGTGCTGTGGTACTATCATGGCTCACTGCAGCCTCAACTTTCTTTCCCACTTAAGCCTCCCCAGTAGCTGTAACTACAGGTGTGCACCACTACACCTGGCTAATTTTTCCATATTTGTAGTAGAGATGAGGTTTCACCATATCATCCAGGCTGGTGTCGAGCTCCTGGGCCCAAGTAATCCTCCTGCCTCAGCCACCCAGAGTGCTGGGATTACAGGCATAAGCCACTGTGCCAGGCTGATACTATATTTATTGATACTGAAAGGGAAAGTATCCTAGTATATTACTAGTTAACAGTATTATACAAATGTTGATTTCCTGTTGTTGATATTGTACTAAAGTTATATAAGATATCACCATTGGGAGAAGCTAGAAGAAGAGTTCATGGGACTTTATGTATTATTTTTGCAATCCCCTGTGATTCTATAATTATACAGATAATATTTATTTTAAAAACTTTTAAATTTGAAATATTATCTGTATGCTAATAACTCTAAAATTTGCCTCTTAATTTTAAACCTGTCTTCTGAGTCCTGAACTTTGTTTCCAGTTCTTATATGACATCTCCACTTGAATATCTCAAAGATATCTAAAACTTAACATGCCTTGAAACATAGCCCTTTTCCCCACAAACCAGTTCCCTCTCAGTCTTTCCCAATAAAGGCTACCTAGTTACTTAAACCAGTAATCCAGTAGCAGTAGATTGTCCCTCTTACCTGATCCCCAGACCCACATCATCAGAAAATCCTATTAACTCTATTTACAAATATATCTCGGCTCTTTAGCTCCACTGGCCTCCCATTATCTCTCAACTGCAGCTATTGTAACAACTTCCTAACCCTGATTCTACTCCATGATCAATCCTTCTCAACTAGAACCATGGCATTCTGTATCTTAACCCTTTGTTAGTTTCCTTCATAGCACTCATTATCACCTGCAAATATTTTACTTATATGTCTGTTTCATTCATTTTTTTTGGTCTGTCTTCCACATGAGAACATAAGCTCCAGGAGGACAGGCACCATTGTACCCCCAGTGTACAGTAAACACAGTGCCTGAAACAATGTCAACACATAATAAATATATATTGGATAGATGAAGAACTCTATTTGAGTTGTCTATGAAATATGTCAGAGTTGGTTTTCTGCTGATGGGCCACCCTAGTATATAATGAAACCTTGCCCATCCCAAACACAGTTCTTGTTATTCTAATTGTTGCTCTTCCCTTCTACTTGCTCTGCCTTTCTTTAAGAATTCAAAGATTGGAATTCCATGCTCTATCTTCCATATACATCCTATAACTTTCCTATTATTCCAGTTATCTTCTTGTATAATCAGTATATTTCTCTAGCTATTTTCTTGTATGATATTTCAGCATTTTATCAAATATATTTTGCTAGCTTATTATTTCTCCCTCTAATATTACTATGTTACTACTACATTATGTGCAGGTTCAACATCTTATATTCATTTTCTCACTTAATCTTCATAACAACCCTATAAGGTATATATGTATTTTTATCTCCATTTCAAAGAAAAGGAGATAAAGGTATAGTGAAGTGAAATAACTTGCCTAAAGACAAAGACTGGAAGTAAGAGGGCCAGGATTCAAATCCTGGTCTATCTGAGTCCAGTGACCAAAACCACAAGTTTATACTGTTTCCCTTACTTTGTTTTCTTTCTTTTTTTTTATGTTATTTTATTTCCTAGAGGAGGAGATAGCTGCTAGTTTCCTCATTAAACAGCTTCTTTTAAAGAAGAGAAAACTGGACATTAAAGAAGAAAAATAGCTTTTCTTAGCAGTGGTAGACAGGAGAATAAGGATTCAAACCACAGCTGTCTGAATACGAGACCAATACATTTTTATTACCTCAAGGATTCTTAATCAGAGGCTCAGAAGTTCCACAGAAGAACTTCAGAGGTCCACGGAATGCTTTAGAATTATAAGCAAAATTTTGTGCCTATCTACATAAGTCCAGTTTTCTGGAGAAATGGTCTATAGATTCTCAAAGAGGTCTCTGACTCCCTAAAAGGTGAAGAACCACCACTATACTGACAGCCTAAGAAAACGAAACATGAGACCCAATACTTCTTAAAATAAATGTGATTTACAATGTACAAGTTCATTTCTTAAAATTCTATTTTCATTCTTACTAATGAAAAGAAACCAATACTCTCCAACTGTTTAGAAAACATTTTGTAAAAGAACCATTTTAACCCTAATCTTTCCTAGTATGTTTTTATACTTTAAACACTAATACATTACTTCATTTAAAATGTGCCTTACATTCTTCAGGCTGAATAGATGAATAACTCCCAAGATTTAATAACTGACTGCTAAATGTTGATTGTAGTACTGTCTCACCAATCCATTGGTCCTCATGAATAACAACATCTAGAGAGAGAAAAAACATTCTGATCATGCCATAAATTCCTTCACAATGTGGTTAACCTACTAGTCACAGCAAAATATTATGCATGCCTCCCATATACCAAGCAACTAGAGATCAAATAGGTTAAATAACCTGCCTAAGGGCACGAAATGACAAAACAGCAAATCTAAAATCTAAATCTAGGTAAATTAACAAAATTTCTTCTTTATATTCAAATGATAGCAGTATGGAAGTCCACTGCTCTATATAAAAAAGGTTTAATAGTTTTTATTTACATAAGGAAAATGTTATCATGTATATTTCTGATACATCAAAAATAATTTTTTTTAGGACCAGAAGGCAAAGTAGTGGTTCCAAAGCCGTAGTGCCTAGGAGAGTAATAATATTCAGTATGCACTGGTCCCTTCTACTATAAATATATCTGAATATAACACACTTGATTATTTTTCCCTAAATAGCACGATAATTATCTTCCACATAAGTTAAAAGTGAAAGACTTTGGAGGTAGGGAACATTTTCCAATTGGAAAGAGAGAGCTGTATATCTAAGACGGATAGAGTAGAATCAGGTAGAACTAAACATACCAACAGGTAGAAACAATTGTAGGTAGAGCAAAACATGTGAGCTGTAAAGAGAAAGAGGGGAAGGGAGCTATCTCTAAGGCAGGATCTAATCAGCATACAGTGTCAGAGGTATAAACATATATTAACAATAGTGAAATAATTTAGAGATAATAGGAAAGAAAACCAAGGATGTATAAATTCCAAGTGATTACTTACAGATTTAGATTCCAGACCCTTTCCTCAGCTTTTGAACCTTTTATCTACAACTGCCTAATGGAAATTCCCACCTGGATATTCCATTGGCTCCCCAAACTCAGCAATGTCCAAATCTGCTTTTCCTTTCATAGCGCCCAACTCATTTATTGATGCTATGCTGCTAATCAAGTAAACTAAAATCTGAAGTCATCTTGCCTCTCCCTTCCCACTCCTTGCCACCAGCTCCCACCTACCCCTCTGCTGCTTAAATGTGCCCATGCCCCACCACTACTACTGTTTTACATTACACATTCCTTTCCCTCCCAACAGGTGCTTGTCCCGCCTGCAACCCATTTCTTACAATGCTAATGAGTCATTTATCAGAGCAGTAATGAGTTCAGGCGAGTGATATATCAGAGCATTAATGAGTTCAGGTGACTTACTAAAAAACAGTGGTTCCCCACTGCCTAGCCAGGAAGAGCTAGTACAGCATTCAAGACTTTTCATGATCCAACATTCAGGATGCATGTTCTTCAGAAAAAAGGAACAGACAAGAAATTTCAAGGAGAGCATTCTGAAAGCTAGGACTGTGAAGCCTATGTTGGATTAGTGACATGGTAATCACTAGTGGTGCATGGAGGGGATGGGTAGCCCACCCTGGCCTCCTGGCTCCTTCCTACCCTCTCACTGACATGCCCCAGCTCCTAGTCCTTATTCTGTTTGTCCTTTAAACACTGTGGTTTCCCAATGTTAAGCCTCCCATCTTCTTCTAATTCTAGTCAGTAGTCTCCCTT
Source organism: Homo sapiens (assembly GCF_000001405.40). Taxonomy (NCBI): domain Eukaryota; kingdom Metazoa; phylum Chordata; class Mammalia; order Primates; family Hominidae; genus Homo; species Homo sapiens. The sequence continues at coordinate 46,646,834 of NC_000010.11, forward strand.
AGGTAATCCTTATTTTTGGCATCTCTTCATTCTATTGCTAGAAGTTATAATAGCAAACTGTCTACTGTGTTGGTATTCAACAAGGTCTGGAATACATCTGTTACTTCAAATTTTTCAGTATGGGCCGAGCGCGCTGGCTCACACCTGTAATCCCAGAACTTTGGGAGGCCGAGGTGGGCAGATCACAAGGTCAGGAGTTCGAGACCAGCCCGGCCAATATGGTGAAACCCTGCCTCTACTAAAAATACAAAAATTAGTCAGGCGTGGTGGCGGGCTCCTGTAGTCCCAGCTACTTGGGAGGCTGAGGCAGGAGAATCACTTGAACCCAGGAGGCAGAGGTTGCAGTGAGCCGAGATCACGCCACTGCACTCCAGCCTGGGCAACAGAGCAAGACTCCATCTCAAAAAAAAAAAAAAAAAAAGGAAGATTTCTGTTTGGGGGTATATATCAATAGGTAGTATAAACTACCCAAGCTATCCAACTAAGTTCACTGCCTCATTAGGACAACAGAAAAGTGTAGATTTCTTTTTTTTCCCAACATTTCCATCTGTTCCACACAAAAGAAACTTATTCAGAAATCGGTGAACTAGATCCTCTTTTTCTTAAAAAGACAAAAAAAATCTGATTTTTTAAAAAAATGTTCATAGAAATCATCTAAATGTCTTATAATAGGAAAATGGTTAAGTAAATTGCATTACAGCCACCAGAGAGAATGTTACCTAGTCGTTAACAACTATAGAGATGTTAGGAAAAAATACAGAGATTGCAGAGTTGAGTTTACACCTACCTAGGAAAAAGGAAAAGGCCCCTGAGAGGTCCCTGCTGACATTAATTGCCTCGGTAAAATGACCATGGTCCAGGATCCAGCCCTCTTTTACAGTCTGGGAAACTTAATTTTGTTAACACTCCAAAACTAGATTTCAGCTCTGCAACATAAGCTCATACTAAATCAATTAATGAAACAAATTAAAGAAAAAAAAACATTTTTTTTTCATTTACAATAATTGCCCCAAAAAAACAGTATTTCAGCCTGTTCTCATGCTGTGGGCAGCTCTACAACTAGAAAGCCAAATCACAAGCAAAGAGGTATTCAGCAAGCACTGAATCAGAACAGAGGGAGTTAGGTGAATTGAACCTCCAATAATATAATCACATATAAATAATATTAGCTAATACTGCCAGTGGGATGTGGCTATGCTAAGCCTGTTCATTACAATTTTGTGTTTACTTCTTTATAAAAGATTGTACTCGGCCGGGCGCGGTGGCTCACGCCTGTAATCCCAGCACTTTGGGAGGCCGAGGCGGGCAGATCACGAGGTGAGGATATCGAGACCATCCTGGCTAACACAGTGAAACCCTGTCTCTACTAAAAGTACAAAAAAATTAGCCGCGCGCGGTGGCAGGCGCCTGTAGTCCCAGCTATTCGGGAGGCTGAGGCAGGAAAACGGCGTGAACCCGGGAGGCGGAGCTTGCAGTGAGCAGACATCGCGCCACTGCACTCCAGCCTGGGTGCCAGAGCCAGACTCCGTCTCAAAAAAAAAAAAAAAAAGATTGTACTTGACAATCCTACAGGAACACCAAGTACATTAGCTAAGGTTCTCATTCCTCCTGTAAACTATTTGGTAGGACTATCAATATTGCTTCGAAGTTTTCTTTTTCTAAATACCGCCTCTGTATCACATTCTTTCTTTAGATATTTTATTAAGCTTAATCAACTTCCTCCTGCTCTAATACACCATGTGTCAATTTTAAATCAACAAAGAACACGTAACACAATGTTAGATGTGTTCGATGAAAACATATTCTGGCCAGGCACGGTGGCTCACACTTGTAATCCTAGCATTTTGGGAGGGCGAGGTGGGCGGATCACCTGAGGACAGGAGTTCGAAACCAGCCCGGCCAACATGGTGAAACCCCGTCTCTATAAAAATACAAAAATTAGCCAGGCATGGTGGCTTGCACCTGTAATCTCAGCTACTCGAAAGGCTGAGGCAGGAGAATCACCTGCACCCAGGAGGCGGAGGTTGCAGTGAGTCAAGATTGTGCCACTGCGCTCCAGCCTGGGTGACAGAGCAAGACTGTCTCAAAAAAAAAAAAAAAAATTAAATATTCTCTCTGGGTGCAGCGGCATGCGTGCCTGTAGTCCTGGCTACTTGGGAGACTGAGGCAGGAGGCTCACTTGAGCCCAGGAGTTCAGAGTTGTAGCCGATCAGGTGTTTGCACTAAGCTTGCCATCAATATAGTGACCTCCTGGGAGTGGAGGACCACAGGTTCCCTAAGGAGGGGTGAACTGGTCCAGGTTGGAAACAAGGGCATGTTAAAAATACCATGGGCACGGTAGCTCACGCCTGTAATCCTAGCACTTTGGGAGGCTGCGGCAGGAGGATCAATTGAGCCCAGGAGTTGGAGATCAGACTGGGTAATGCAGTGAGATCCTGTCCTTATTAAACAAACAAACAAAAAATTAAAAATAACAATTCAAAAATTCTCATGCTGATCAGTAATGGGATTGTGCCCGTGAGTACCCACTGCACTTGGCAACATAGCAAGACTCTGTCTCTTAAAAATAAATAAATTAAAAATTAAAAAAACAAAATGTTCTTTATGGTTACAACTATATAGTAAGAGTATAAATTCTGGAGTCTAGGAGAAACTATAGCTTTGCCACTTCCTAGATGTATGACATTGGACAAGTTACTTTACTTCTCTGGGCTTCAGCTTCCTCAACTGAAAAGTGGGGATAAAAATCAGTACCTTCCTCATATACTTGTTGTAATGAAATATGCATGTAAAATCTAAAACAGGGTCTCACAAACTAAGCTCCCAATAAATATGAGCTTCTATGTGTGATATATACACACATGCACACACATTTTAAGGAGAACAGAGAAAATAACTGGAAGGCAACACTCTCGAACTCTATTGGTGGTTATATGAAGTTGGTATAATACCAGTTTTTTCCTTTCCATATTTCCAAGTGTAATTAATATAATTTTGATAATAAAATAAGGCAACAGAAATCAATAACTGTTCCCACAGTAAAAACACAATGTGCACAGCATTATTAGACATTAGGTAAAGAAGCAGAAAGGTCTAACTCTGTTGCTCGGGCTAGAGTGCAGTGGCCCAATCAAAGCTCACTGCAGCCTCAACCTCCTGGGCTCAAGCAATCCTCTCATGTCAGCCTCCTGGGTATCTGGGACTACAGGCACGCAAAACTTAATTTATTTTTTGTAGAGACGGGTTCTGTGTTGCCAAGGCTGGTCTCAAATTCCTGGCCTCAAGCAATCTTCCTGCCTCAGCCTCCCAAAGTGCTGGGATTACAAGTGTGACCCACTCCACCTGACTAGGGAAGGCTTATTAAAGGAGGGGATAAGTGGAAAGAAGGGGCAGAGCTGAGAAGGATAGAACAGAGGCCCAGAAGTGGCAATGGGCAGGAGAGTGGACAATGGAAAGGAGAGCAATGCAGATGCAATAAAGGGATCAATTATGCTGAGCTCAGAAGAGGCAAATGACTAAAGAAAGAGTCTTCAAAGACTAAGTGGGAGAAAAACAAAAACAAACAAAACTTAGCTTTATAAAATAAGCTACCACTATACCATAATGACCTCACCCGTGAGTAAAATTATATCTCCAAGAAACACTGTAAATGCCCAAAATGCTGCAGTCCTCCACAGAAAAACCTTCTTCTTAGTTTCTGATTGATCACTTACTGTAACTGTTGCTAAAGGCACTTTAGAGCCAGAATTTGGTCCGAATTTTGTTTATTTCCTTCACATGGCATGGAGATAGCACCATGACTAAACAATTATACTTCTGGCTTTTAGAATCACAGTTTTTTATTAATGATGTTTTTTTAATACTCTTAAATTCAGACACATTTCTCCGATCCATTTCTACAGCAGAATCTCCTCCATTAGAAATCAACTTCATTTTCTTAGCTACTTGAAGGACTCCAGATAGAGCTTCAGACTGGCCCACTTTATCTTCAGAGGTACAGCTTCTTTTAATAGCACTTTTGTGGAAGGTATTTAGTTGGGAACACAGTATTCCTGAGCTACACAACTCAATATGTATCTCATTTGGTGGCAGTTCATCTTCAGAACTGAAAAGTTCTTGAGATCCTGTATGTTCTTCAAGACCTTTATCAGAGTTTATGTGAATGCGGCTATTTTCTGTTTTAGGACAAACAGGACTAAAAAGTTCAAGGGAATATGCTTGGTTTTGTCCACTTTCATATGCTTCTGTAAAACCATCAAGCTGAATCGAATTCTCTTCAGGTATTCTTATCTCCCCGTAACTTGCCTTTGGTTCAGTCTCCATGTTTACATTCCCTTTATTTACAGGACTCCGCCTTTTATCTTTCTTTTGAGCTAAAAAAAGCAACCTGGCTGGAGGTAATTATACTGAGAAATTCTTTATCAGTTGATATTTTAAGGTCTGAGACCTTCTTAACTGCTGCTTCAGACCTTGACTTATCTACTGAGTTCGAGGAAAATAATCCCAAACACTGGTTTTGTATTTCATGATATTCTGTTGGCACACACTCTCTTTGTACCACTTCAGGCCCTATATTAATTTTTTCAGTACTACAAACCAAATCCAACACAGCTGCACATTTATGGCCCAACTGAAACAAATTTGTGTTAAAGTTCTGACCACATATATCTGGCTGATGTTTAGGCTGTTCATCTCTAATTTTATTTTCACTGAGAAGCTTTGATACTTTTCTTCTTCGGTTAAATGCGGAACTGTGCTTTTAAATCCACATATTTGCATATTAGAGCTAGTTATGTCACTCAGTCTAGAGGAGTGAATCTTCTGGGATTCTATATTCTGTGTTTCAGAAACAGAATGTACAAAGTCATCTTTCACATGAACATGTCTATTCATACAGTTTGCTAAGAAATGACCACAAAGATCTGGAGAACCAATAGAATCTGGGACTTCATAGTTTTCAAGATTTTTGTGCTGTTTTTCATCCTTCAGATATAAAGAATGTTGACTGTATAAAAGCTGAATTTTTTTCCAGGGGTCAGCAACAGACATTAAAGAAGCTGTGTCTTCTGATACTGTCATTTTCAGTGAAGCAACTGGAGCACCCCAAAAAATGTGGACTTGAGATCCTCCACTCATGATTTCTGATAAAAATGAAAAATCCAAAATTAATATATTGTCAGCATATTTTTGCATATGGATATTAACTTAATAATGTACCAAAAGAAAATATAACTGAGTCAAAAACATAATTAACATAGGTGATTTTTTTGATATGCCATTTAATTATATAAAATTCATAAATACACAAGAAATTATTAAGGAGAAATCACAATATTCACAAAAATTTTTCACCTAAAGACTCTCTTTAGGCCGGGCGCAGTGGCTCACACCTGTAATCCCAGCTCTTTGGGAGGCCGAGGTGGGTGGATCACGAGGTCAGGAGATCGAGACCATCCTGCCTAACAGCGTGAAACGCCGTCTATACTAAAAACAAAAAATTAGCTGGACGTGGTAGCACACGCCTGTAGTCCCAGCCACTTGAAGGCTGAGGCAGAAGACTCGCTTGAACCCAGGAGGCGGAGGTTGCAGTGAGCCTAGATTGCACCACTGCACTCTAGCCTGGGCAACAGAGTGAGACTCCATCTCATAAAAAGACTCTCTTTAAGGGAAATAAAGCTAAGCACACTCACATCAAACAAGTTAATAGGTTTTTAGTATGTTTGTTTCATTTGAGATGGAGTCTTGCTCTGTTGCCCAGGCTGGACTGCAGTGTTGCCATCTAGGCTCACTGCAACGTCCACCTCCCAGGTTCAACCAATTCTCCTGCTTCAGCCCCCTGATTAGCTGGGATTACAGTCTGTGCCACCATGCCCGGCTAATTTTTGTACTTTTAGTAGAGACGGGGTTTCACCATGTCGGCCAGGCTGGTCTCAAACTCCTGACCTCAAGAAATCCACTCGCCTCTGCCTTTCAAAGTGCTGGGATTACAGGCGTGAGCCACCGCGCCTGGCCTGTTTCTTATGTTGTAAAAACTTGCCCCATTTAAATAACAAGTTAGTAAAGAATGGGAAAAGAGGCATTTGTTTAACTATATTACAGTCACCTTTAAATTAGTCATTTTGGGGCAGAGCACAGTGGTTCACGCCTGTAATCGCAGCACTTTGGGAGGCCAAGGGGGTGGATCACTTGAGGTCAGGAGTTCAAGACCAGCCAGGCCAAGATGGCAAAACCCCATCTCTACTAAAAATACAAAAATTAGCCGGCTGTGATGGCCCGTGCCTATAGTCTCAGTTACTCGGGAGTCTGAGGCAAGAGAAGCGCTTGAACCCAGGAGGAGGAGGTTGCAGTGAGCCAAGACCTCGCCACTGCACTCCAGCCTGGGCGACAAAGAGAGACTCCATCTCAAAAAAAAAAAAATTACTCATTTTTGGCCAGCCATGGTGGCTCACACCGGTAATCCCAGCACTTTGGGAGGCCGAGGTGGGAGGATCACTTGAGACCAGGAGTTTGAGGCCAGCTTGGACAACATAGTAAGACCACCATCTCTACAAAAAAATTTAAAAACTAAAAAATTTCTTAAAATTAGCTGGACATAGTGGTGGAACACCTATAGTCCCAGCTACTAGGGAGGCTGAGGTGGGAGGATTACTTGAGCCTGAGAGGCGGACATTGCAGTGAGCCATGATCACACCACTGCACTTCAGTCTGAGTAACAAAGTGAGACCCTTTATTTATTTATTTTGAGACAGAGTTTTGCTCTTGTCACCCAGTCTGGAGTGCAATGACGCGATCTCAGCTCACTACAACCTCCTGTCTCCCAGGTTCAAGCAATTCTCAACCTACCGAGTAGCTGAGATTACAGCCGTCTACCACCACGCCCAGCTAATTTTAGTTTTTTTTAGTAGAGATGGGGTGTCACCATGTTGGCCAGGCTGGTCGCAAACTCCTGACCTCAAGTGATCCACCCACCTTGGCCTCCCAAAGTTTTGGGATTACAGGTGTGAGCCAACGTGCCTGGCGAGACTCTCTTTTTAAAAAAATGATTAAGAATCACTACTATTGCTATAACTACATATTCCAACCTCATTTAATCCTCATAGAAAGAATAACCTTCATAAGGAATAACTGGTATATTAGCTGTTCTATTGCATGTCATTATTAGATTTACCACTAGGGGCCCCAAATAGCACAGCAAAAGCCTTCAAGTTCAAAATACATTAATATATCAAACCCAAGTGGAAGGAGAAATATATTATCTTGAAATGTTGGTTGGGACCAGGCGTGGTGGCTCACGCCTGTAATCCCAGCACTTTGAGAGGCCGAAGTGGGAGGATCACCTGAGATCAGGAGTCCGAGACCAGCCTGGCCAACATGGCGAAACTTCATCTCTACTAAAAACACAAAAATTACCAGGGCGTGATGGCACCAGCCTGTAGTCTCAGCTACTAGGGAGGCTGAGGCAGGAGAATCGCTTGAACCCGGGAGGTTGCAGTGAGCCAAGATCGTGCCACTGCACTCCAGCACTCCAGCCTGGGTGACAGAGTGAGACTCTGTCTCAAAAAAAAAAAAAAAACATGTTGGTGGGAATACTTAGATATATGCAAATCAAATGCATAACATTACCATGATAATGAATTCTCCTCCATCAGATCTTTGGCTTTCTTCTCCAATGGTTTCTTCCCTTTAGCTTCAAATCTTTATTTTATTTTATTTTATTTTATTTTATTTTATTTTATTTTTTGAGTTAGGGTCTCTCTCTCTCACCCAGGCTGGAGTGCAATGGTGCAATCATGGCTCACTGCAGCCTCAAGCTGCTGGGCTCAAGCTATCATCCAGCCACAGCCTCCCAAATAGCTGGGACTACAGATACATACTGTCACGCTCAGCTACAAGTCTTTAAAAATAAAACCAACCCCCCCGCCCCCACAAACTTGTTTGTTGTTTCTTACATCTCATTTCTCCTTTAATCTTCAACCACTTCTACTCCAACCATTTTGCTATAAAAGTTTTCACTATGGAAACCAATGACCTTCTAGAAGCCAAATCCAAAGGTCAGTTTTCAATACTTTTAGTACCATTTGAAACTGTTTATCAATCCCTCTTTTCTGAAACATTCCGCTTTTTTGACTCTGTGAGACCACCATATTGGAATTCTTTTGTACTTAAGACAGATATGTATTGGATTATTCCTTCAATCACTCACATAACAAACACTCAACATTACGTGCTGGGCATTATGCTAGGCCCTGGGAATTCAAAACAATAATAGAGAGCTTTAAGGAGCTTAATTTCTGAGAGGAAAAACAAACTGACAATTGTAAAAAGTGACAGGAGGCCAGGAGCCTTGGCTCACGCCTGTAATCCCAGGACTTCAGCGGCTGAGGCAGGTGGATCACCTGAGGTCAGGAGTTCAAGACTAGCCTAGGCAACATGGTAAAATCCCATAAAAATACGAAAATTAGCCAGGTGTGGTGGCACGCACCTGTAATCCCAGCTACTCAGGAGGCTGAGGCATGAGAATCGCTTGAACCCAGGAGGCAGAAGTTACAGTGAGCTGAGATCACACCACTGCACTCCAGTCTGGGTGACTCTGTCTCAAAAAAAAAAAAAAAAAAAAAAAAGTGATAGGAGCTACTACAGGATTAAAAGGAAGGGACAGCATCTCTAGAAGAGAGAAGCCTGGGGCAGTTCAACCAATGTGGAACTGCCCATTATCTGCATTTTTCATAGGCTCTTAGGACTACAGTTAATCACAAAATTTTGGAACTGAATTTTATTAATGTTCAGAAAAAAAGTCATATAATAAAGTCCCCGAGTCATTCCCCACCCCAAAATAGGGCCCAGGAAAGCTGCCCTAATTGCCTTACCCAAGGGACAGGCCTACTATGGGTAATCTCCAAAATGTTTAAAAGGCATATACGACATTTACTGCTTCTGTGTCCTCACTTAATATTTTCTCCTAAATGTTCTGCAACCTTTCATTTCCTATCTGTGATAAGACAATAATGAAGTCCAAATTGCCAAATAAGAACTCACAGTGCTTCACCACTGCAGTTGTGAAACTCTCTCCTTAGTTTCTAGAACATTACTCTTTCCTAAATTGTTCTACCTCTCCAATTTCTCTCTCTCTCTCTTCCTCCTTGGGCCACCTCTTTCCATTCCACACACCTCTAGAGAATTTCATCCAATCCCATTCATATAACTACTACATATCCAGCTGTGCTTTACATATCTATACTGAGCCAATCTCTCTCCCAAACTTCAGACCTATATTTCTAGCATTACTATATTTGATAGGATCACAGTAGAATCAAAGGCGAGATTCAAAGCCCTACTTGCCTTCTAGGCAAGGGAAGATAGTAGAGCATAAAGGGATGACACGAAGCAGTCCTGAGAATTCAGAGGATCTCCCAGGGCAAGAAATATCTGAGATGAATGTGAGATCCACAAAACACAAGGTTTTTTTGTGTTTTTTTTTTCTTTTCTTTTCTTTTTTTTTTTTTTGAGACAGAGTCTCGCTTTTGTCACCCAGGCTGGAGTGCAATGGCGCGATCTCAGCTCACTGCAACCTCTGCCTCCTGGGTTCAAGCGATTCTCCTGCCTCAGCCTCCCAAGTAGCTGAGATTACAGGCATGCACCACCATGCCCAGCTAATTTTGTATTTTTAGTAGAGATGGGGTTTCTCCATGTAAGTCAGGCTGGTCTTGAACTCCCAACCTCAGCTGATCCGCCCGCCTCAGCCTCCCAAAGTGCTGAGATTAGAGGCATGAGCCACCGCGCTGGGTGGCACAAGGTTATTATATATAACTGTTATTTCAGTGTGCCTTCACTTATTTGTCTAAATCAGGGGTGTCTAATCTTTTGGCTTCCCTGGGCCACAACGGAAGAAGGAGAATTGTCTTGGGCCACACATAAAATACAGTTAACACTAATGATAGCTAATGAGCTTAAAAAAAAAAATCGCAGGCTGGGCGCGGTGGCTCATGCTTATAATCCCAGCACTTTGGGAGGCCGAGGTGGGCAGATCACTTGAGGTCAGGAGTTTGAGACCAGCCTGGCCAACATGGTAAAACCCCGTCTCTACTAAAAATACAAAAATTAGCTTGGAGTGGTGGCACACACCTGTAATCCCAGCTACGCCAGAGGCTGAGGCAGGAGAATCGCTTGAACCCAGGAGGTGGAGGTTGCAGTGAGCCAAGATCGGGCCACTGCACTCCAGCCTGGACAACAGAGCGAGACTCTGTCTCAAAAAAATTCTCAAAAAAAACTCATAATGTTTTAAGAAAGTTTACAAACTCATGTTGAGTTGCATTTAAAGCCATCCTGGACCACATGCAGCCCCACAGGCTGTGGGTTGAACAAGCTTGGTCTAAACAAATACCCTTGTAAGTGTGGAACTGTTACCCTACCCTCCTTACCCCCCCCCCAAAAAAAAAAAAACTTGACTAGAAAGTGGCCCTATTAATTCAAAAAATAGTAAATTTTTAAAAAGTGTTTATACCAAAGGCTACTGCTACTAAATACTCCAATTTATAGGAGTTGTGAGTATGTGAGTAGGAGGATGGAAACTGGCAAGGGCAGGGGGAAACAAAATACGTATGATAGCCAAATTATACAGACAGAAAAGTTATGGACAACTGATTAATTTCAATAATTCTAGGATATGTTTTAGGTGTACTCAGAGGGTTAAAGGTCATTAAGATACCAGATGAAACTTGCAAGTACATCTCCATTACCGCAGTTAATAATTATACAATTTCTCAATCTGCAGAAGGCCGCTTCAGTCGGAAAAACCAATACAACCATAATCCTTTATCTTTAGAGTGGTCAGAGTCTGATGAATGGGTCAAAGATTTCTAAAACAGGATGAACTGTATCAGCAGGTTTTGTCTTTGCAGAACACTGCAACTAAAAAAAATGCTTATTACAAAACATGTATCATTAAAAGAGAGTGCTTTTCCCCTCTTATTACCAGGGAGTGAAAAAACTCCCTGTAGTAATGCCTTTTCATGTCTATTTTACCAAAAACACCAAAAAAATCATAAAGTTGCTCAATAGCATCAAATGACAAAGAAGCCACATGGGATTGTAATTAAAAGCAAGGGATTTGGAACAAGAGAGATGTGGGTTCAAATTACTACTCTGCAACTTACTCAAACTTGAAATTATTGAAGTTAAGTGATAGTTGCATGGGGTTCATTATACTATCCTTTGCTGGTGGTTAAAGAAAATCATCCTTTTATTCTTTGACCTGATTGAACCAAATTCAATTTGCTATCATAGTTCATTTGTGTTAACAACACAGTACTAATAACCCACGTACTGTGTATATTCATGCTGAACTCTTTTAAGAATTACTAAATGTTGGGAGGCTGAGGCGGGCGGATCACGAGGTCAGGAGATCGAGGCCATCCTGACTAACACGGTGAAACCCCGTCTCCACTAAAAAATACAAAAAATTAGCCGAGCGTGGTGGTGGGCCCCTGTAGTCCCAGCTACTCGGGAGGCTGAGGCAGAAGAATGGCGTGAACCCGGGAGGCGGAGCTTGCAGTGAACCAAGATCACGCCACTGCACTCCAGCCTGGGCAACAGAGCGAGGCTCCGTCTCAAAAAAAAAAAGAATTACAGGCCGGGAGCAGTGGCTCACGCCTGTAATCAATCCCAGCACTTTGGGAGGCTGAGGCGGGCAGATCACGAAGTCAGGAGATCGAGACCATCCTGGCTAAAAGGGTGAAACCCCGTCTCTACTAAAAATACAAAAAATTAGCTGGGCGTGGTGGCGGGCGCCTGTAGTCCCAGCTACTCTGGAGGCTGAGGCAGGAGCATGGCGTGAACCAGGGAGGCGGAGCTTGCAGTGAGCCAAGATTGCGCCACTGCATTCCAGCCTGGGCAACAAAGCCAGACTCCATCTCAAAAAAAAAAAAAAAAAAAAAAAAAAATTAGTAAATGCTTGTACCTAAATTTACTCTTTAAAATAATAGAAAATGTCCACTTTTTATGCGACTTATGAAAGGATATAAGATGATTTTTTTCCTCAGAAACAAAAGCAGTTGAAGTTTAAAGCTATCGCTCATTTAGTATCTCAAAGTAATAGCCACTAAAGCCAACCTGTGAGCAGACAACTGACTTCTCGACTCTCTTTGCATAACTTTTAATTTCCTTTGCAATTGTCTTTGGTATTCATGTGAGACATCTGTAATCACATTCTCATCAACAACTGAGATGCCTTAGGCCAGTGTGGGTGAGCCTCTCTTATTCTGGCTTGCAATACAACGGGAATTTCTCCCTTTCACTCTTGTTCCAGGGCATTTGCCTTCTCCCAATAAAGTCCAAGCACTCAAACAGAAAGTGAACTTTACTCTAGCTGGTTTTCTGGCCTTAGGAATAGGGTGAGGCCAGGTGCAGTGGGTCATGCCTATAATCCCACCACTTTGGGAGGCCGAAGTGGACAGGTCATGAGGTCAGGAGTTCAAGACCATCCTGGCTAACACGACAAAACCCCCGTCTCTACTAAAAACACAAAAAATTTGCCAGGCATGGTGGCATGTGCCTGTAGTCCCAGCTACTCAGGAGGCTGAGGCAGGAGAATCGCTTGAACCTGGGAGGTGGAGGTTGCAGTGAGCCAAGATCGTGTCACTGTACTCCAGCCTGGGCGACAGAGCGAGACTCCGTCACAAAAAAAAAAAAAAAAAGAAAAAGAAAGAATAAAAAGAATAAGGTGAACATGCCTTCTGATTTGCCCAGAACAGTCCTAGTTTAGGCATGCCCTTCTGGTGTCCTGTTTAGTCAGGATCTTTTTTCCTTCTCAAAGGGTTGGAGATAGACTATATGGTATTCCTAGTTAAGAACCATATAAACACATGAATAAATATTCTATTAATGAAGAATGTGCCTTCTAATACACTTTATCTAAAATATTATAACAGGATTAACAGGTAAAGGGAAACATTGCTCAGTTTTCCTGTTAAAATATTTAAATAACAATGAAATACTAATTGAAATAAGGTTGAATTTTGTCTAAAAACTATGATACACATTTGAGACTCTCAAGACTGAGGTAAGACTCAAATGAGGTAAGACAGAGAACCCATGTTTGGCAACTAAGGGGGAAAAAAAGAGGATCATGGCCGCCAGGTCTGTGTAATGAAGCTATGAGACAATGGGATAAGAGTTTTTTGGATCCAGCATTACTAGAAAATGTCTCAGCCCAGATGTCATTTGTCCAATGTCACGCCTAAGGTCGAAGAAGAAATCCTCAAATTCCTAAAATATCACACTTTGCCTCCCCATCCACACCATGCAACATCAAAAGGCCAGAATTTGGCCACGCACGGTGGCTCAAGCTTGTAATTACAGTACTTTACTTTGGGAGGCTGAGGCAGACAGGTTGCTTCAGCTCAGTAGTTCGAGACCAGTCTAGGCAACATGGTAAGACTATGTCGCTACAAAAAATTTTTTAAAAAAATTGCTGGGTAGGGTGGTATGTGCCTGTAGTCCCAGCTACTCAGGAGGCTGAAGTGAAAGGATCACCTGAGCCTGGGAGATCAAGGCTACAGTAAGCCGTGATTGTGCCACTGCACTCCAGCCTGGATGACAGAGTGAGACACTGTCTCTAAAAAAAAAAAAAAAAAAAAAAAAGTAAAAATAAAAAGGACTGAACTTTAAAACTAGTAATCATGAACTCACAGGTAGGTGCCAGGGGTATGCCTGCCAACCCCTGTGCTTGCTTTCATCTCCACCCACCTCCCACAAAAGATGAAAAACAAAACAAACACAATCAAGAAAAATTAAAAAAAAAAAAAAAAGAACTTTGCTACTTATGCCTTGACATTCCTTTGTGAAAAGTCATACTCAGCAAATAACAACTCCACTATCCCAATTCCCCAGGCCAAAAACCTTGGCATCATCACTGATATCTTTCTTTTTCCCTGTGCTCTACTTCCAATTTCTCATCAAATCCTTTTGGTCCTATCTTTAACGTTCATTCAGGGTTTGACCACTTTTCTCCACCTCTACCTGCTACTGCCTGGCTCAAATCACCATCCTTCTTCCACCACCATCCCCCTAGAAAACAGAGTTTACAAAAGGAACTTGCCCCAGGTCAGGAAGACTGCAGGTAGTGGAGGGAGTACTGGCATGTAGGAAATCAAACAGCAGAACATAAGTTCTTAACTACCACACTGACTCTCTGGTTTTTTGCCTTTGCACAATGTGGAGCTAGAATCCAAGTTAGAACACTGCCATTGAGTCATATGACATATGCTCCTAAAGCACTGATTTATCTAAAGAGGTATGAAAAGAATAAAACTTCAGCATAAAGGAGCTTCCTTATCAAAGAATTCCCATAAGAAAGTTCATTATAACTTAATGATGGGGTAAATAACTGGTTTTTAAGAAGACTTCTCTCCTTTTAAAAATTTATTTTTTATTCAGCTGGTAAGTACAAGAGAATTTTTTTTTAATTTAATTTTTAAACTGTCATATTGTAATTGTACATACTTATGGGGTACAATTTGATTTTTTTTTTTTTGAGATGGAGTCTTGCTTTGTTGCCCAGGCTGGAGTGCGATGGCGCAATCTCAGCTCACTGCAACCTCTGCCTCCCAGGTTCAAGCAATTCTCCCGCCTCAGTCTCCCGAGTAGCTGGAATTACAGGCATGCACCACCACACCCAGCTAATTTTTGTATTTTTAGTAGAGATGGGGTTTCGCCATGTTGGCCAGGCTAGTCTTGAACTCCTGACCTCAGGTGATCCACCCACCGCAGACTCCCAAAGTGCTGGAATTACCAGCATGAGCCACCGCGCCGGGCCACAATTTGATGTTTTGATACATATCCATGTTGCATAATGATCCAATCAGAGCAGTTAGTGTATCCATCACCTCCTGCATTTCTCACTTGTGAAAGAACATTCAAAAGCCCCTCTTCCAGCTATTTTGTAATAATATTTTACTCTTAACTATACTCACCCCACTGTGCAATAGAACACCAGAATTTGAGATCAGGAGTTTGAGACCAGCCTGGCTAACGTGATGGACTAAAAATACGAAAATTAGCTGGGTGTGGTGGCATGCACCTGTAATCCCAGCTACTTGGGAGGCTGAGGGAAAAGAATCATCTTGAATCCAGGAGGTGGAGGTTGCAGTGAGCCAAGACTATGCCATTGCACTCCAGCGTGGGCAACAAGAGAGAAACTCCATCTCAGAAAAAAAAAAAACAAAAAACCGAACACCAGAATTTATTTCTTCTCATTGTAACATTGGTTTATGTGTTATTATTGACAAAGGATCTTGCTCTGTCTCCCATGCTGGAGTGCAGTGGCACGAACACAGTTCACTGCAGCCTCAACCTCCCAAGCTCAAGCAATCCTCCCACCTTAGCCACCTGAGTAGACAGGACTACAGGCCCATGCCACCATGCCCGCCTTTTTAAACTTTCTTTTGAGAGACAGGGTCTCACTATGTTGCCCAGGCTTGTCTCCAATTTCTGGGCTCAAGCGATCATCCTACCTTGACCTCCCAAAATGCTGGGATTACAAGTGTGAGTCACTGTGCCTCGCCTTTTTTTGGTTTTGTTTTGTTTTGAGACAGGATCTCCCGTCATGCTTTATCACCCTGGGTGGAATACAATTATGGCTTACCGCAGCCTTGACCTCGTGAGTTCAAGCAATCCTCCCACCTCAGCCTCCCAAGTAAGTGGGATTACAGACAAGTGCCACCATGCCTAGCTAACTTTTTATATTTCTATTTTTTAATCTTTGTAGACATAGGGGTATCACTATGTTGCCCAGGCTGGTCTCAAACTCCGGGCCTCAGCATCCCAAAGTGTTAGGATTACAGGCATGAGCCACCATGACTGGCACTAATTTTATCATTACATACCTAGGTATGATTATATTTGTTTATTCTATTTAGAGTTCACTGAGTTTCTTGGATCTGAGAGTTTATGGTTATCATCAGATTTGGAAAATTTATAGTCACTGTTTCTTTTTCTTTTTTAAGGAAATTGCCCAGGCTGGTCTTGAACTCCTGTGCTCAAAAAATCCTCTCATCTCAGCCTCTCAAAGTGCTGGGATTACAGGCATGAGCCACCATGATGAGCCACTATTTTCTTATTTTCTTTTTCTTTTTCTTTTTCTTTTTTTTTTTTTTTTTGAGATAGGTTCTCACTCTGTTGCCCAGGCTGTAGTGTAGTGGCATGATCTTGGCTTACTGCAACCTACATCTCCCTGGCTCAAGCAATTCTCATGCTTCAGCCTCCCAAGAAGCTGAGATTACAGTCGCATGCCACCAAGCCCAGCTAATTTTTGTATTTTTAGTAGAGAAGAGATTTCACCATGTTGGACAGGCTGGTCTCAAACTCCTGATCTCAAATGATCTGCACCCCCCTCGGCCCCCCAAAGTGCTAGGATTACAAGTGTGAGCCACCCACCTGGCCACCCAGACGCTGTTTCCTAAAGTAATTGCCTTCTACCTTTCCCCACTTTTCTGGAACTCCAATTATACATGTATTAGGCAACTTGCTATTGTCCCAAGGTTACTGATGTTCTATTAACTTTGTTCTAGTATTTTTTTTCTCTTTGTGCTTCAGTGTGAATAGGTTCTACTGCTATACCTTCACATTTAATGATCTTTTTTTCCGCAGTGTCTAATCTGCTGTTAATCACATCCAGTTTTTCCCCCAGTTTTGGATATTATATCTGGTATTTTTCATCTTTAGATACTACTTGTGAGTCTTTTGGTTTTTTTTGCGACAAAGTCTCACTCCGTCACCCAGGTTGGAGTACAGTGGCATGTTCTCAGCTCACTGCAACCTCTGCCTCCCAGGTTCAAGCAATTCTCGTGCCTCAGCCTCCCAAGCTGGAATTACAGGCACATCCCACCACACCCAGCTAATTTTTGTATTTTTAGTAGAGACAGGGTTTTGCCATGTTGGGCAAGCTGATCTGCCTACCCTCAAGTCTGTAGGCATGATTCACCACATCTGGCTTGTGTCTTTTTATCTATCATTCATTTCTCTACTAGTCATTATAATACTTGTATTAACATATTTGGCTGATAATTCAATCATCAGAATTATTTCTAATAATTCCACATTTCTAGGTCTCTTTTCTATTGATTTTTCTCCTGGTTATGGGTCATTTTCCTGCTTTTTATTTGTATGCCTAGTAATCTTTCATTAATATATTATTAATGCTGAACATTTTAATTGTTAGGTGCTGGCATTTACTGTATTCTTTAAAAGAGTTTAGTTTTGGCACATAATTGAGTTACTTAGAATCAGCCTGGTCCTTTCAAAACCTGCCTTGAAGCTTAGGGTAGGTTTAGAAAGGCCTTTAGTCTATAGCTAATTTAACCCCACTTTGAAGACTCTAGCCAATGTCCTTTGTATGAAACAGTCTCTCCACTATGCCTAATGGAAACATAAACTATTCCCAGCTCTGTGTGAGCTCCTGGAATTGTTCAGTGTTCTGATTTCCAGTGTGACTTTCTCCAGCATTGCTGACTTCCACACTTCACATGTGCAGATGAGTGTCCAATCAAAGATTCTCTTACTTCTATAGATTTCTGTGTAGTTCCTTTTATTCTTGTTTTCTGCCCCACAAATTCTAGTTGCCTTGACTTCTCCAAACTCTCCTGGGCTCTATTTGGATTCCCCTACTCTGTGCTACAATCTGGAAACTGCCTATAGGAACCCCTGTAGGGTTCATATCAGTTATTTCCCTTCTCTCAGGGATCACTATCCTGTGCTGCCTGTTGTCCAATGTCTGAAAACAGTTGTTTCATGTATTTTTGTCCTGTTTTCTAGCTGTTTACAGTAGGAGAATGATTCTCGTAGCAGTTAATCCCTCTTGGGCAGATGTACTGACTTTATGGTATCCCTGTTTGTGTTTTTAGTGCTTGTTCTAGAGATTACATATGCATCCAGAAGTTACTACAGTCTCCTTTCACAGAGTAAGAAATGTGTGACAGTATAATTCCATCTCCTCCTTTTTGTTCTTTCATGGTTGTATAATCACATATATGCTGTAAAACCCACATCTTGTTAATGTGTATGTTTTAATGTTTTTTGAGTCCAGGTCTGCTGGAAACAAATTCTTTCCCTTTTTGATATGTCCAAAAAGTCTTTATTTTGCCATTATTTTTGAAGGCTATTTCTGCTGGCCATAGAAATCTAGGTTAACAGGTTGTTTTTTTTTTTTCTTTCAGCTCTTTATGGATGTCATCCCATTGTATTTAACATTCTATTTTTTCTTTTCTTTTCTTTCTTTGTTTTTGAGACTGAGTCTCGCTCTGTCGACAGGCTGGAGTGCAGTGGCACATGATCTCGGCTCACTGCAACCTCCACCTCCTGGGTTCAAGTGATTCTCCTGCCTCAGCCTCCCGAGTAGCTGGGACTACAGGTGTGCACCACCACACCCGGCTAATTTTTGTATTTTTAGTAGAGACGCAGTTTCACCATGTTGGCCAGGATGGTCTCGACCTCTTGACCTTGTGATCTGCCCACCTCCCAAAGTTCTGAGATTACAGGTGTGAGCCACCGTGCCTGGACTTCTTTTCTTTTTTAAATAGAGATGGGGTCTCACTACTTTACCCAGGCTGGACTCGAACTCCTGGGTTCAAGCATGTGCCACCATGCTCAGCTAAGACTCCATTTTTTTCTGGCCCTAAAACATGGAATAGCCATAACCCATGTTGCCATTCTCACATAACTAATGTGTCTTTTATTCTCCTGTTGCTCTCCTGTTGCTTTTAAGATCTCTTCCATCTTCAGTTTTCAGCAGTTTGATTATGATATGCCTATATATGGGATTTTTAAATTTGTTGGCTTATTTTTGTTTTGTATTTAACTTGCTTGGGATTTGCTGAACTTCCTCCATTTGTGAATTGATGACCTCATCAATTTTAGAAGTTCCTGAGCATTGCCTCTTCAAATATGTCTTCTGCCACGTTCTCTTCTCTCCTTCTGAAACTCCAATTACATATATGTTAGACCATCTGATATTATCCCACAGATCTAAAATCTCTTTTCTACCCCTCCCTGACTTTTTCTGTCTTTTCTCTTTCCAATCTGTCTTCATATTCACTGATTCTTTCTTCTGCTATGTCCATAAACTGTTAAGCCCATGTAATGAATTCATTTCTGCTAGTGTATTTTTCTTTCTCCCTTCCCTCCCCTCCCTTCCCTTTCCTTTTCTTTTCTTTCCTTTTTTTGTTTTCCCTGGTCTCTGCTAGTATATTTTTCACCTCTATTTAATAGAATTTCAACTTGGTTCTTTGGCATAATTTCCATGACTCTACAGAAATCCCCATCTTTTCAAGCATATCGTTAACCTTTATCATTCAATCATCTAGCATTTTTTTCATAATTATCTTTAAATCCCTGTCTGATAATTCTGATAAATCTGGATCATCTCTGACTATTTCTTCTCTTGACCTTTGGTCACATTTTCTTGCTTTTCTTGTGCCTTGTAACTTTTCATTACACACCAGACATTTTATATAAAAATAGATTACTTATTAAATTAAGTAATATTTTACTTCCAGAAAAAGACATGACAATTTTTCTGTTAGGACACTAGAAGGGAGTCTGAGTCAATCCAATATGTAACTGAGCTGGGTGTGGGCTATGATGCAGCTTTAATTTAACAGTTAATCACTGGCTTCAAATATTTAAGGACTGAGATCAAGCCTTTCACTTGAGCAGGTCTGGGATCTGAGCCTAGGTAAAATTACAGAGACCTGCTTGTGTTTCATAGCCAAGCCACCAGTTTTTAAAACTGTGGGAGTACCTTACATGTATACTAGAGTAGAATGATTAAGTAAATGGGTGGCTGATGGTAGGAGACAGATTTCTCACTATTGGAGCAGGAGTTTTCAGATAAGCAAGGGCAGGAAGTTAGAATCATCCATGTAGTGATTCAACTGGAACCTAATACATCAATATAAACTCATGTTTAGCTTAATTAGATACGGATGGATACATATAGAAATATTTATAGATATGTGGATATATACAGGGTAGT
Source organism: Homo sapiens (assembly GCF_000001405.40). Classification (NCBI taxonomy): domain Eukaryota; kingdom Metazoa; phylum Chordata; class Mammalia; order Primates; family Hominidae; genus Homo; species Homo sapiens. Next base: position 46,666,860 of record NC_000010.11, read on the forward strand.
ATAAATACATACATTTTCTGGCTCTGTCAGCTGAGATGGCCTACAAGCAAAAACACCCCAGTAGCAACATGTACACCTAGCACCTAGATCTTGGTTTCTCCATTCTCCAGTAAAAGGAACCAAGGCTCCATGGAGAAATGGCTAATTCTAGGATTGAGACAGAAAAATATACTAGATAAAGCATATACTAAAGCATATACTACATGCTTTAGTCTCTAAATATACTAGAGCATCTTGTAGTGCCAGAAAGTGAGAAAGTGCAAACAGACATACACACACATACACTGACAGTGGTATATCAAAAAGTCATACCAACTGAAAGAGCTCCCAGTGGCCAAAGCTGGAACAACTTGAACAATAAAATAAATAAAGCAATAATAAGATTTTAACCCAAGGTATAAAATATCCATAAGTCCATACTAATATTTAAAAAATTGAATGGATAAATAAATGAGGAAGAAGAGACAAATCTTCCATGCAGAAGAAATCTAAATAATTTATATAGACACTTTGCCCTTGAGGAGGGGTATCATAACTCCCCATGCCTTAAGTGTAGGCTGCGCATATGTAACTTCCTTCCAAAGAGTACAGTATGTAAACAGAGGAGAAAAAAGAGTAACTTTGTAGTAAAGAAATACACAAACACTACCTCAACCAGATGATCAAGGTCAATATCAACACTGATTAGTCATATTGACAGTATGTCCCCTTAATATGATGTGATGAAAATGGTACTGCCAAGCATAGTGGCACATGTCTGTAGTCCCAACTACTTGGGAGGCTGAAGTGGGAGGATTGCATGAGCCTAGGAGTTCAAGACCAGCCTAGGCAATACAGTGAGACTCTGTCTCTATTAAAAAAAAAAAAAAAATTAGCCAGGTGTGGTGGCATGCATCTGTAGTCCCAGCTACTCAGGAAGCTAAGGAGGGAGGATCATGTGAGCCCAGGAGTTCAAGGCTGCAGTGAGCTGTCATCATACCACTGCACTCCAGCCTGGGTGACAGAGTGAGACACTGTCTCAAAAAAAGGAAAGCAAATTGTACTTCACCTGCATGTTCTTCGTCCCAAAAATACAAAACCTCACTGTAACAATGACAAAAATACCAAACAGATATCAATAGAAGGACATTCTACAAAATACCTGAACAATACTCCTCAAAACTGTCAGTCATCAAAAACAAGAGATGAGAAGCTCAAGTCTAAGAAAATGCCAAAACCAAGAGGACCCTAAGGAGACGTGACAGCTAAATGGGATCCCAAAACATTAGGTAAATAAAGTATGGACTTTAGTTAATGAAAATATATCAGTATTAGTTCATTAATTATAACAAATATACCATACTAATATAAGGTGTTAAAAATAGGAAAAACTAAAAAAATAAATAAATTAAATAAAAATAGGAAAAACTAGAGGCAGCATTTATGGGAACTCTCCATACTATCTTGGCAATTTTTCTTTAAATCTGAAACTGTTTCAAAAATTCAAGTTTATATTTTAAAAAAGAAAGAAAAAAAAAACTGTAGGAACTCTATCTCTGCATTAAGCGCGACGGTCAGAGTTTGGTTTGCTAGATTCTCCTTGCTCTCCAGTCGCACACCTTGCTTTCTGAAGCTCAGGTGCCCTCGTGCAGCCCTGCTCCTCCTCCCCAGCCAGCCTTCTGGAGGGCAGCTTCCTTACATTCTGTGAAGGCCTGAAATGAATTAGAGCAGTTTCACTCACCTCTTCTGCCCTGTCCCCAGTCCTTGGTGGCTGAAAACATGGACTGCCAGAGTGTGGGGTGAGAGTTATCTCTAGCTCTTCCCCTGCCTGCAGCATTCCAGAACTGAAAGCCTGGAGAGCCTCTGCTGGATTTTTCTCAGCAATCCTGCCTTCTAAGGGTGGTTGCCCTATACTTGGGAGAGGTTCCAAATGCCTCAGGTATTATCTATGCCAGTTCATCACTGGCCCAGGCTTTTGGCTTACTACTCCTGAACATTCAGTGAACATCTGTGGGTAGGAGCTGGAGTGTGGGTGCATACTTGCTCTTTGGTGCCAGAGTTGCTAGGGCTTCTTAGGATCCTAACCTGTCAAACCAGCCCATACGTGGCCATTAAAAATCTGATTTTAAAAAAATGTGGCTGGTTTCTCCTTTCCCCTCATCTATGGTGGATTCCTATTCCTTTGGTTGTTCCATCCTAGAGCAACCATGGGTTTCTTCTCCACTATGAAAGTTTGATTACTTTCTGGAGTTGGTTCATTTAGGCTCCCTTGTATCCTCAGCTCTTCGATGGGTTTTTAGAAACCGTACTTCTTATCCTGCTTTTATAGGTTTTCAGTTACAAGAATGGCAATATCTTGTAATTTTGTACATCTGAAGAGGAAGCTGAATTCTTTCCCCAGACCTCGAATGGTTCACTCCCTCAGTACGTTAAGATCTCTGCTCAAAAGTCATCTTTTCAAAGCAGTTTCCCGTATTACACTATCTAAAGATTGACCAGATCTCAGTCACCCTTCATGCCTTCATCCTGCTCTACTCTTCTTCCATTGTCCTCATTTCCATCTGAAATGTATTTGTCTCATTTTTTAACTGTCTCCTCCACAAGGGCAGGAATTTTATTTTTCTTATTTGTCAGTATAGCCCCAGCTATAAAACAATGATAGGGAGCAAATATGATTCTTTATAAATTATAAGTTTAAGCTTGTTTTAAAACTAATTAACTAAACAGAAAGTTATTGTTGCATATTATAAAAGAAAAAGTACTTTCATGGGAGATAAGAAGTTTTGAAGCTTACCAAAAAAGAACCTGTGTGATCAGTTCCATTCTGTCCTTAGACAACATATTATTCTTTAACATATATACTTTTTCCAGCTATATCGTTCTGTGTACACTTAGTGCTTCCTGATATCCTGCTATCAACCCAGGTTCTAAGCAGGAATTACAGATATTCTTCACAATAGAATAAGACAATTAACAATTGTTCTTAATGAATGGTAAAAAGAACAATATTCATTACTTGCTAATTATTACTCATCTTTTTTTGAAAATGACCCAAATGGCATCTGGAAACAGCATAACACTAAAAATTAGATTGCAATAGAAAACAAGAACAACGTTTTGATGATTAAACATAATAGAAAGGACTGTAGAAGGAGAACAGAAATAAGTAAGAAGGAAAAATTTAGATATTGCAGAAGTGATACAGTAAATCTTAGGATTTCAAAGATATTAATTAAATACCTCAGATTAATCAAGAGGCCTAAAGCACAAGCTAACTAGTCTTTTAAAAGAAACCAATTGGGCACGGTGGCTCACAAAATAAAAAAAAAAGAAGCAAAACACTAAAAAAATTAAAATTAATTAAAAATTATTTTTTTCCATTGCTAGAGATTTTCTGTCTAGACATCAATGGCAAAACTCCACATAAAGCAATACAGTTAAGAAAGACTACTTTGGAATCAGATCTTAATGTTAATCTCAGCTTCATCATTTGCCAACTATGTGACCTTTGGCAAGTTAACCTTCCAAAACAGCATCTAAGGTTTTAGGGACCATTGAGCCCTTCAACAAATATGTGAGTACTCATTCAGGACACAACAATGAATAAGATTAATGAAAATAATTCACGAAAAAAACTTAGAACACATCTGGTACCCAATAAAAGCTCAATAAAATACTATAACAATTATTATCTCAAATATTAGATAGGATTCCATACCCCCACTTAATGCAGAAATATAGTCGGTTTTGTTTTGTTTTGTTTTGTTTTGTTTTGTTTTGTTTTGTTTTTGAGACAGGGTCTTGTCCTGTTGCCCAGGCTGGAGTGCAGTGCTACGATCTTGGCTCACCACAGCCTTGACCTCCTGGGCTCAAGCTATCCTCCCACCTCAGACTCTCAAGTAGCTAGGACTACAGGCACGCACCACCAAGCCCGGTTAATTTTTCATTTTTTGTAGAGATGGGGTTTCACCATGTTGCCCTGGCTGGTCTCAAACTCCTGAGCTCAAGTGATCCATCCGCCTGAGCCTCCCAAAGTGCTGGGATTATAGATGTGAGCCACTGCACCTGGAAAAATATAATCTTTAATATTAATAACAACAAGTACATTATCATGGTTAAAAATAGCTTTTTGACTGTAGTTATTGGTGTAACTAACTTCACTTCTGCTGGGACCACATTTTGGAAGCAGGCCAACTTCCCTTTCTGTCTTAAGTAATTTCTTATCAGTCCTTTATAACCCTTGTGTCGTAATACCATTTACTGGGGGAGAGGAGAGCACCTAAAATATAATCCTTCCAAATAACCTGGTAAATAAACACAAATGACACCAATTCTGTCATCATTACATCACAACCATAGAATATAGATGAGTTCAAGGATCAAAAATAAAAAAGTAAAAAACATCTAGAGGCAAAAGATTTGAAAATCATGTATCTAAATTTGAAAATCATGTCTAGTACCCAGAATGTATAAAGAACTCTTACAACTCTACAACACAAAGACAACACAATTTAAAGTGGGCAAAGGACTTAAACAGACATTTCTCCAAAGAATATATACAAATGGCCAACAAGCACATGAAAAAAGGCTCAATGTCATTAGTTACTGGGGAAATGCAAATCAAAACAAAAAGATACCACTTTACACCCACTAGAATGACTATAATAAAAAGTTTTTAATGGAAAACAGTGTTGGCAAAAATGTGGAGAAATTGGGACACTTGTTTATTGCTAATAGGAATATAAAATGGTACAGTCACTGAGGAAAACAGATTGGCAGTTCCTCATTAAGTTAAAGACAGAATTACCATATATGATCCAGCAATTCCACACCGAGCTATATACCTAAAAGAATAAAAACAAATGTTCACCCCAAAAAATTGTACATCAGTGTTCATAACAGCACTATTTACAATAGCCAGAAAAAGCAGAAACAACCCAAAAGTTCATCAACTGATGAACAGATAAACAAAATGTGATATATCCACACAATGAAAATTATTCAGCCATAAAAAAGAAGGAAGCAGTGATCTATGCTATACCATAGATGAACCACAAAAATATTATGGTAAATGAAAACATGTGACAAAAGGCCACATACTGAATGACTTCATTTATATGAAATATCCACAAAAGGCAAATCCATAGAAACAAAAAGCACATTTGTGGCTTCCAGGGGCTGAGGGAGGGAGGGAATGGGGAGTGACTGCTTAATGGGTATGGGGTTTCTTTTTGGTGTGATAGAAAAGTTCTAGAACTAGAAAGTAGTGATGGCTGTAAAACATTGTGAATGTACTTAATGTCACTGAACTGTATACTTATAAATAATAAATTTTATGTATATTTTACCACAACAAAAAAGATGCTTAACAAAAAAAAAAATTAGAAATAAGTTCTGGGTAAAGAGAAGATGGAACATACATATATTTAACTTCATTTCTTCCCCAAATTGTGCTAAAATACTAATAAGGTTTTTGGGGGTTTTTTGTTTTTGTTTTTGAGATAGGGTCTCATTCTGTCACCCAGGATGGAGTACAGTGACATGATCTCAGCACGCTGCAACCTCCACATCCCAGGCTCATGCGATCCTCCCACCTCAGCCTCCCAAGTAGCTGGGACCACAGGCGTGCACCACCACACCGGGTTAATTTTTCTATAGTAGAGACGGGTTTTGCTATGTTGCCCAGGCTTCTCTCAAACTCCCAGATGCAAGGAGTCTACCTGCCTCGACCTCCCAAAGTTCTGGGATTACAGGCCTGAGCCACCACGCCTGGCCCTCATCAGGTATTTTTAAGGCATAAACAAAACTTAAAAGCTAGAAAGCAAATGCATAAATGGTAACTGACATAGCAGATCCAAGAAACCAGCAGTATGGAAAGCCAAAAACCAACCTTCGTCCACGGAATCTTCAAAAGGCTCAGGAACTGGTAACAGATAGCGCCTGTAGAAACAGGTGTGAAGGGAGCACTAAATAAAGAAGGCTGGCTGAAAGCTCCTTAGGAAACGCTCAATCTCTCAGTACCTTCCTAAATACCACATGGTTAGGTTACTATGCATTTCCCACCAAGGCAAAATTCTAGAGGATTATTCCCTCAGGAGGATTTCAGAGCAGGGAAACATAAAGCACATTGGTGCGGGGGAGGCTTAATGAAAACAGAGGCCTTAAGAAAACACATATGTACTGAATACTGAAATCCTCACTGCCCTACTTCCCTCACTCTCCCACAGAAGTGGCATACAGACCTCCTCCCACCAGACAGGAAATTAAAAGACCTCTCTCCCTTTTCAGAAAAGGGAAAAGTAATCAGAAGCTGACATGAAGGGTGCCCCAGCAAATGACACAGATAGATCACCCTAGAGTGAACTCTAGTCAACAAGTACCAATGAGGTACTAAGAGCTTCCAATCAGCTTTTAGAGGCATAACTGCAAATAGCCAAGGATTACCACTCATCTGAGGAAAGCATCTACCACAAAAAGAAAACAAAGGAAAACAAAAAATAGAAAAGGAACTTGGAGGAAACACGGACAACTGTGGGAAGAAAAAAACTTAAAATTTAAAAAGAATTTTATTAGCAGGAATTTCTGATGTCAATAAAAAATAAATAAATAAAAGGAATTTTATACCCCATCATTAGCGTCCATGGAAAGGATACAGAAGATACTACACTGTAATCCCAGAATTTTAGGAGGCTGAGGCAAGAGAAATGCTTGGCGCTTAAGAGTTCGAGACCAGTCTGGGCAACACAGCGAGACCTTGTCTACTAAAAATCAAAAAAGTTAGCTAGGTTTGGCGGTGCAGGCCTGTAGTACCAGCTACTGGGAGGGCTAGGGCAGGAGGATCGCTTGAGCCTGAGCAATCAAAGCTGTAGTGAGCCACGACAGAGCAAGACCCTGTGTCAAAAGAGTAGATACTCCATCCATGAAAAAAAATCGATACTTTTCCAAAGAGCTCTCGGAAATTAAACTTAGGAAAATTTATCAGAAACAATAAGGAATCAAAGAGATGGCAACAGAATCAAGAAGAAAAAACTGGAGGTCCAGTCAAGATAATTCAGCATCTATGCAATGGGGAATCCACGGGAGAAAACAGAGAGGAAAAAAAACCAGTGAAATAATTCAAGAAAATGTCCCAAAACTAAACAATGTAAGTTTCCTAACTGAAAACACTGAGTGAAGCCAGGCACGGTGGCTCACGCCCATAATCCCAGCACTTTGGGAGGCCGAGGCAGGCGGATCACGAGGTCAGGAGATCGAGACCATCCCGGCTAAAACGGTGAAACCCCGTCTCTACTAAAAATACAAAAAATTAGCCGGTCGTAGTGGCGGGCGCCTGTAGTCCCAGCTACTTGGGAGGCTGAGGCAGGAGAATGGCGTGAACCCGGGAGGCGGAGCTTGCAGTGAGCCGAGATCCCGCCACTGCACTCCAGCCTGGGCCACAGAGCGAGACTCTGTCTCAAAAAAAAAAAAAAAAAAGATTCTTGTTCTACTGAAGAACTGACTGTACCTAAAAACTACTCAGTAGTTTTTATACTTTTTAGTTGCCGTAATCAATCTTTCACTCTCACTAGGCAAGTTAGCAATTAAAAGTGAAAACTTTCTACCAGCTATACATTAACTCAGTAATGCTAGGACAAGCATTTTTCCATTTCACAATAGGTAGCCTCCAACTTATGCACAGATTGTGCTCTCCAAATTGAGTTATACTTTGTTATAAAACTTGTGAAACGTTTCCTCAAAGAAATAAAATTAGGAAATAAAGTTGGGATCCCAGGCAATAAACAAAGGGCAATTTAATCCATAGAGTAGAACAATTTATTCCTAAGAGCCATGGAAAAGGAAAGGAATAAATGTAACTGTGTCAGATGACTTTCAACCACTTATTTTGTGCTCCCCACAGCTAGTAAAAAAAAATAGCATTTATGTGAGATTAGGAATTGTGTAATACTTTGTTCTCTTCATCTTCGTATTCTGGTAACACAAACAGCATATAACACAGTACCTGCCTTCTATCAGGAGCTTAAAATATTCATTTAAGGAATAATAATGAGTATGAATATATAGCACTGTTCAAACCATACTGTTTCAATGGAGAAATACATTATCATGATTTCCAACTGAAAGAATGTCTTCCTTTATCTTAGCAGGACAACTAAAGTTTAAGCACCAAGAACAATAAAGTGTACGCAGCTATTCCACGGATGTAACTATCATTCCTCCTAGAAATCATATTTTGGTCACACATCACTCAGACTATTTCTAAGTATGTATAAATCATGAAGTTGAGTTTTAATAATATAAAACTTGACCTCCATAATGTCCCTGACTTCTTTTCCTTTATTAATACCTTAAATAAAAATAGCAGCCATCAACATTTTACCTGGGTTTTTTTTTTTTAATTTGCAGTTTCTATACTACTTCTAGTTAGTACAGAAGGTTATCAACAGCAAACTTCATACTATGGCCAAAAAAACAAAATCAAAAAAGTCATTAAGACTCAATATTCAGACAATAATCTTGATTAAAACCCAGTATTTCTCAACTGGGTGTGGTGGCTCATACCTGTAATCCCAGCACTTTGGGAGGCCAAGGTGGGAGGACTGCTTGAGCCTAGGAGTTTGAAACCAGCCTAGGTGACATAGCAAAATTCCATCCCTACAAAAAAATTTAAAAATTAGCCAGGCATGGTGGTGCACACCTTTAGTCCCAACTACTTGGGAGGCTGGGTTGGGAGGATCACACGAGCCCAGAAGGTCAAGGCTGCAGTGAGCCATGATTGTGCCAATGTACTCCAGTCTGGGTGACAAAGTAAGGCTGCCTCAAAAATAAGCAACAACAAAAAAACCCAATATTCCTCTGGCTCGAATGCAGCTACCTGTATTTAGATATTCCCAAAGTGAAGTTGACAAAGTTATCCAACACAATAACAGAAATTATTTTAGGTACCAAAAAAATTGCAAAAATTACTAAGAATTATTATTATTATTATTATTTTGAGACAGAGTCTCACTCTTGTAGCCCAGGCTGGAGTGCAGTGGCGTGATCTCGGCTCATTGCAACCTCCGCCTCCCGAGTTCAAGCGACTCTCCTGCCTCAGCCTCCCGAGTAGTTGGGATTACAGGCACCCGCCACCACACCCAGCTAATTTTTGTATTTTTATTTTTATTATTTATTTATTTATTTTTGAAATGGAGTTTCACTCTTGTCACCCAGGCTGGAGTGCAATGGCGCATTCTCAACTCACTGCAACCTCCACCTCTTGGGTTCAAGCAATTCTCCTGCCTCAGCCTCCCCAGTAGCTGGGATGACAGGCACCCGCCACCACACCCAGCTCATTTTTTTGTATTTTTAGTAGAGACGGGGTTTCACCCTGTTGGCCAGGCTGGTCTCCAACTCCTGACCTCAGGTGATCTGCCGCCTTGGCCTCCCAGAGTGCTAGGATTACAGGCGTCAGCCACCGCACCCAGCCAATTACTGAGAATTATAAGTTAAAATTACAGAATTTAGTAGACAATGTAGTCAATGTCCACAATGATACTGATATCTTAAAACCTGAGAAATTCACCTAACAAAAGAAGTCCCTTAATTTTACATTACTCTAAAAAAAAATTTGATCCCTTTAATATATCCCTAAGGGAATAAAGATTAAAGGAATAAAGATTAATTTATCCTAGAGAGCCAGAGTTCACTTCAAGCTTTAAGGAATAATTCACAATCATCCAAACATAAAATTCAGATGGACACCTTAAATGAGATATGAGTTTCATCTAGCATCAGAAATTACTCCAAAGGCATTATTTCTCTTAAGCACCCCTTCTGCTTTGAAATTCAATACTGCCAATGAAACCAATTAATTTTATTTCTTTGTAATGACTTCATAGGACAGGCATGGTGGCTCACACCTGAAATCCTAACACTTTGGGAGGCCGAGGCAGGAGGATCACCTGAACCCAGGAGTTAGAGACCAGCCTGCCAACATAGTGAGACCCTGTCTCTACAAAAAATAAAAAACAAGCTGGGCATGGTGGCATGCACCTGTAGTTTCAGCTACTCAGGAGGCTGAGGCAGGAGGATCAATTGAGCCCAGGAGGTTCAGGCTGCCGTGAGCCATGATGATGTCATTGCACTCAGCCTAGTCAATGGAGCAAGATTCTGTCTCAAAAAAAAAAAATTTTTTTTTAACTATAATGACTTTATCTCATGCAAATTTACAAAGGGTGTATAAATATTTGTTAAAACAAATATAAGAGGTTGAGTTGATAATCACCAGTGAGCGACAGCAGCAGAGACACACGGTCATCAGTGAAGGAGACAGAAACATCTCTAAACCACCCAACACAATTAACGTGGTGTCTTCCACATAGACTTTTTTCTTTTTTTTGAGATAGGGTCTCATTCTGTTACCCAGGCTGGAGTGCAGTGGTGCGATCACAGCTCACTGCTGCCTCAACCTCCTGGGCTCAAGTGATCCTCCTGCCTCAGCATCCCAAGTAGTTGGGACCAAAGGTGCGCCTCACCATGCCCAGCTGATTTTTGTATTTTTTGTAGAGACAGGGTCTCACCATGTTTCCCAGGCTGGTCTTAAGCCCCTGGGCTCAAGCAATCACCTGCCTCAGCCTCCCAAAGTGCTGGGATTACAGGCATGAGCCACTGTGTATAGCCTCACATAGATTAAGTGAGGTCACTGTATGTGAGGTCATTGTATAATATTTTTCAAAAATGTTATTTTACTTCCAAGAAATTATAAATACAATTAGTTATATCTACTCCTGTCACTTTAAACTTTATTATATCAATTTTTATTCACAAAAACATGCATTATTTCAGACATTATAATTAATGAAACAATTTTTATTCATTTGCTTTAAGTTCATTTCAAATCCAAGATTCATATTATAAAACCACTCTCCCTCCCTGAACTACACATCTCTAGTTAAATTTAGATTCAATAATGTTTTCCATGGAAATAACAAAACTCAAGTCCTCTGTATTAGTAAACTGTGTAATAAAATAGGAAATTTACTAAGGAAGAGCAAAGCAGGAGCCCTGTATGTCACTTTTAGATAACTATCCTCAATCTAAACTAAACACTTTCAATTCCAAGCGTATTTCAAAGTTTTAGGAGAAGCAGGTGGATGGAGTAAGGAGATCGTGAGAACTAACTCACTACTGCGAGGACAACACTATGCCATGAGGGATCTGCCCCATGACGCAAACACCTCTCACCAGACCCCACCTCAAACACTGGGAATTACAATTCAACATAAGATTTGGTGGGGACATATATACAAGCTCTATTAGGGTGACGGCAAAATTCTGGAACTAGATAATGGTGATGGTTGCATAACAATGCGAATGTACTTAATGCAACTGAGACTTTCATGCTGTGTAAATATAGATCTCAGTCAATAAAAGAAACAGTACACCAGCCTGGCCAACAACTGCTAAAAATGCAAAACTTAGCGAGGCATGCACACCTGTAGTTCCAGCTACCCTGGAGGCTGAGGTGAAAGAATTGCTTGAACCTGGGAGGTGAAGGTTGCAGTGACCCGAGATCATGCCACTGTACTCCAGCCTGGGTGATAGAGTGAGACCCTCACTTAGAAAAAAAAGAAAAAAGAAACAATAGCACTATATAACAGAAAGTAGACATTGACATCTCATTGAAGAAAGTCACCTTCTAAAATAAATGTTGATTATTTTGGTATCCCTTTAAAAATCTTACTGGGACTCATGCCTGTAATCTCAGCATTTTGGGAGGCCAAGGCAGGCCTTGAGGTCAGGAATTCGAGACCAGCCTAGCCAACATGGTGAAACTCCGTCTCTACTAAAAATACCAAAAAAAGGCCAGGTGCAGTGGCTCACGCCTGTAATCCCAGCACTTTGGGAGGCCAAGGCGGGTGGATCACAAGTTCAGGAGTTTGAGACCATCCTGGCTAACATGGTGAAACCCCGTCTTTACTAAAAATACAAAAAATTAGCCAAGCGTGGTGGCAGGTGCCTGTAGTCCCAGCTACTCGGGAGGCTGAGGCAGGAGAATGGCGTGAACCCGGGAGGCAGAGCTTGCAGTGAGCCAAGATCAAGCCACTGCACTCCAGCCTGGGCAACAGAGCGAGACTCCGTCTCAAAACATAAAATAAAAATAAACAAAAATAAATAAATAAAAACACCTTATTGTTAACTTGATAAGTAAATTATAAACATGTCAAAATGAAATCTTTTACTATAGTGTCAATCCTTGAGCTTTTCTATTTGTTAGGAATTCTCATAACACTCTTAGCACCAGCTTTCCAATGCTTAGTCTGCCAGGGCAGGAATCAATTTTATATAGTGTTGGGTGTCCAAGGGAGATAATACAGTCCTGGGTTCTTAGTTTCTATTTCTGGTTGGGCCAGTAAAGCCCCTTCCTCATCCCTCCTTTCCACTTATCACTACAGACAGAAACTAAAAACCATGGCTTCAGGCTGCTAAAAGCATACAATAAAACAAAATCAAACAACAAAATAAAAGGAAGGATGGACAGGCTAGGAAGTGAATTTTAAAATGGGCAGAATATTTGATTAAATTTAGCTTGCCAATATTGTGTTAAATTTTAATACAGGAGAGTAACATATTTATTTCTAATAAACAAGATCAGCAAAAGATGAAAAACATTTTAGATACCAAAATATACCTTGGTCTGCTGTAGCACTTGGGAATCATGGATCTCTCTTGTGGCACTCATGAATGTAGCCTTTTTTTTTTTTTTTTTTTTTGACAGTCAGTGGAGAAAGACAACATGGAAAAAAAAAAAGCCATGCCAAATGCAATAACAAGCCCATCAATTTCTGTTACCTCAAATGCAATAGAAAATACCACTTTTGGCCAGGTTCAGTGGCTCACGCCTGTAATCCCAGAACTTTGGGAGACCGAGGCAGGTGGATCACTGGAGGTCAGGAGTTCAAGACCAGCCTGGCCAACATGGCAAAACCCCCATCTCTACAAAAAATACAAAAATTAGCCAGGCATGGTGACATATACCTGTGATCCCAGCTCCTTGGGAGGCTGAGGTGGAAGAATCGCTTGAACCTAGGAGGCGGAGGATGCAGTGAGCCAAGATCACACCACTGCACTCCAGTCTGGCCATCAGGACGAGACTGTCTCAATTTAAAAAAAAAAAAAAAGAAAGAAAGAAAGAAAATACCACTTTTGCTGAACCTGATTACAGGCAAGGCCAAATTCAGTCACTTGCATAATAATATGCCCAACATTCGTTCACAATGTTCCTGCCTGCTCTTAACGGGCTTTGAGTAGAGCAGGCTCTCAAAAGCCATGAATTATATGAATTATCAAATTAAACAACAGTTTCCACTTAAAATAATAACATTTATTTTGGGAATATACAAACCAGACAATGAACTAGATGTTTTATACATACTATTACTCACTTTAGCCTCATAATACTTTAGGGATAGGTTAAGTAGCTTGCCTAAGGTCACAACACTATTACATTCAAAAGCCAGGATTCAGGCCGGGCTTGGTGGCTCTCAACTGTAATCCCAACACTGTGAGGCCGAGGCTGGTGGATAGCTTAAGCCCAGGAGTTTGAGACCAGCCTGGGCAACATGGTGAAACTCTGTCTCTACTAAAAATAGAAAAATTAGCTAGGCATAGTGGAGCACACCTTTACTCCCAGCTACTCAGGTGGCTCAGGTGGGAGAATCACCTGAGCCTGGGAGGCGGAGGTTGCAGTGAGCAGAGATCACATCACTGCACCCCAGCCTTGGCCACAGAGTAAGACCCTGTCTCAAAAAATAAAAAAATTACAATTAAAAAGCCAGGATTTAAACCAAGGTATGTCATACATAAAATCATTTTTTGCTAAAACACTCTTTTTTTTTTTTGAGACAGAGTTTCGCTCTTGTTGCCCAGGCTGGAGTGCAATGGCGTGATCTCAGCTCACTGCAACCTCTGCCTCCCGGGTTCAAGCAATTCTCCTGCCTCAGCCTCCCAAGTAGCTGGGATTACAGGTATGCACCACCACACCCGGCTAATTTTGTATTTTTAGTAGAGACAGGGTTTCTCCATATTGAGGCTGGTCTCGAACTCCTGACCTCAGGTGATCCGCCCACCTCGGCCTCCCAAAGCGCTGGGATTACAGACATGAGCCACCGCGCCCGGCCTAAAACACTCTTAAGTGTGGGCTGCAAAGGAAATATTTTCAGTTTACTTGGCAAACATTAATATTCTCTCTTGAATATAGCTTTTAAATGTTAAGGAATGAGAAAGAAGAACGTACTTGAAAAGAATATTACTGAAAAATGCAGTGAGATGTCTGGAAGAAACATGCAATGGCTGTGTGCCTACTATGTGCCACATGCTGTGCTGGCTATATTAAAAACTTCAACACAGCCGGGTGCAGTGGTTCACACCTGTAATCCCAGCACTTTGGGAGGCCTAGGCAGGCAGATCACGAGGTCAGGAGATCGAGACCATCCTAGCTGACACGGTGAAACCCCATCTCTACTAAAAATAGAAAAAATCAGCCGGGCGTGGTGGCGGGCGCCTGTATTCCCAGCTACTCGGGAGGCTGAGGCAGGAGAATGGCATGAACCTGGGAGGCGGAGCTTGCAGTGAGCCGAGATCATGCCACTGCACTCCAGCCTGGGCGACAGAGCAAGACTCTGTCTCAAAAAAATAAATAAATAAATAAATAAATAAATAAATAAATAATAAATAAATAAAAACCTCAACACTTCACTGTTACAGCAGCCTTGGGAGGGAAATATTGGTAATCTCTTTTACATATGAAGAAACTGAAACGTAGAGAAACCTTCAAGGTTACAGAAGTTGCAAGGGACAGAGTTGGAACTGGAAATCAAATTCAGCTCATTAATACCTATCACTAGTGCTTACTAGGGGGCATTTCAAATAGAATATTAGAAATCTCATCACATACAACTCAAACCAACCTATTTTTTCTTTGCTCAGGGAGTTGTTGTGAAAACTGAGAAATCCCTATAGATTTTTCTTCCAATAGCCTTATTTTAAATAATTATCCACACTTAGGTTATATATGTTAAGTACTGCCCATAAACTCCAAAAGTTGATTGCTATGAAAACCAAACAGGCATCCAGTAGTAAATGTGAAAATATAAGCAATTCTGTCCTATATACATGATTTTTTTTTTTTTTTTTTGAGACAGAGTCTTGCACTGTTGCCCAGGCTGGAGTGCAGTGGTGCGATCTTGGCTCACTGCAACCTCCGTCTCCCTGGTTCAAGTGATTCTCCTGCCTCAGCCTCCCAAGTAGTTGGGACTACCCGAGTAGTTGGGACTACAGGTGCGTGCCACCATGGCTAGCTGATTTTTATATTTTTAGTAGAGACGGGGTTTCTCCATGTTAGCCAGGATGGTCTTGATCTCTTGATCTCTTGATCTCGTGATCCACCCGCCTCAGCCTCCAAAGTGCTGGGATTACAGGCGTGAGCCACCGGCGCCCGGCCCTATACACATGATTTTGAACATACTGACAGATGGAGAAAACCACTTTGGAAAAGATACTTCACATGTTCTAGAGACGATTTAAACCATTAAGCATTCTATGAAGCTTCTGAAGGTCTGTCAGATTTCAAATGACAACAGTGAAATTTTAAAACAAGAACAGGAGAAGTCAGCACCAAAGCTACTTTAACATTAATAATAAGTGAGCCAATAAATAGGTCTATGTTTGCCCAGGCAGGTTTTGCTTATTATGTCAGTTGGAAAGCCAGAAGGAAACTGGTTTTAACTCTTAATATAACCTGTATCATGACACCATCACTTTACCAGAAATGTAGCTGATGTCAGCATAAGACTGAGACAGTTTACATTTAAAACTGTTGTTTCCTTTCCAACTATTTTCATAATTCATTCATGGTATAGGATTGAGACTATTTCCTTAAACAGAAAAAAATGGGTAATTAACATTGAGAACTTTCCATGTGCCAGATACTGTGTGAACTGTCTTAATTTTCATAGCCACCCTGCAAGATATTATCCTCATCTTTTTAGAGGAAGAAACAAGTTTCAAGAAACGAAGTAGGTTTTGTAAGGCCACAGCTATAGTAAAGAGGTAGAGCTGACATTCAAGCTTGGATATGAATTATTATAATTTCCACAGCACTACACAGCTGTCATTTTCTCTACCTGCAAAACTAAATAAATACTGTTAAAAATAAAAGATGATCTCCAAGATCTCTAAACATTAAAATTTTACAATAAACTGGTTGAGGTGACACATGCCTATATTTTCAGCTACTCAGGAGTTTGAGACTGGCCTGGACAACATAGCAAGACCCTGTCTCTAAATTTAAAAAACAAATTACAATAAGATAATCTTAGACCAGAGAAAGGAAAGTGAAATAGCTATTTGGATTATAAACTGTTTTAGTAACTCAAATGTAATGTGTGGTGGTGACAATATCTTTGATTCCTGGGAAGGTCATTGTGAAAGGGAATAGAAAATGCCTTGAAGTCAAAATATAAGGCTCTCAAATAGAAAAATAAATATAACATTTAAGTATTATCAACAGAGAACCAAGTTAGAAAAAACTAGTTATAGTCTGAAACAATGCTGTTTAAAAGACTGTAGTCACCAGTGTAAACTGACTCAGGCGACACTTCCCAGGGTCCATGCCGTGGACAACTGACTAATCTCTCTATAAATACTAAAAGATAATAAGGTTCCATAACCAAACAAGATGGGGAAATGCTGGATTTAATGTCAAGCCTGTTTCCATACTGGTTATAGGCTTGAGAATCCTATGGAGCAAGTCTTTCTGGATTTGAATCCCAGCTCTTCCATTCCAGCTTAGCCGTGTGACTTAAATTGAGATAGTTGCTGTAAAGACTGGAAACAATAATGCATGTGGGAGCCTTAGAACAGAGCCTTAGACAGTGCTCAATAAATGTTAAATCATTAATAGTAACATCATTTCCCAGAGCCTTTATTAATCTAAGTTGAGGTTCATTGTGAATTACCAACGGGATAGAGTTTGCAGTTTCTCAAACTTATTGGATGATGGAACCCACTTTTTCATAGAATATCCCTCGAGAAAACTGGTTAATGTCTTTAAAACAAACAAAACTCTTCGAAACAATAGAGAATTCCATCACCAAAATAAAATGTTGTTTTTTGTTTTTTTGGGTTTTTTGAGACAGGGTTTCCCTCTGTTGCCCAGGTTGGAGCGCAGTGGCACAATCACAGCTCACTGCAGCCTCAACTTCCTGGGCTCAAGAGATCCTCCCACCTCAGCTTCTCAAGTAGCTGGGACTACAGGTGCATGCCACCATACCTGACTAATTTTTTGTATTTTTTGTAGAAACGAGGTTTTGCCATGTTGCCCAGGCTGGTTTCAAACTCCTGGGCTCAAGCCAGCTGCCCACCTCGGCCTCCCAAAGTGCTGGGATTATAGGCGTGAGCCACCACACCCAGCCTAAAACGTTTTTAAAAACTGAATTTTTCTTCACTAAATTTTCCTTACCTCTTATCTGCTACCACCTGCCTTTGAGCAAAAGTTCTTTTTTGTTTGAGACTGAGTTTCACTCTTGTTGCCCAGGCTGGAGTGCAATGGTGCAATCTCGGCTCACCGAAACTTCCACCTCCCAGGTTCAAGCGATTATCCTGCCTCAGCCTCCCGAGTAGCTGGGATTACAGGCATGCACCACCATGCCCAGCTAATTTTGTATTTTTAATAGGGATGGAGTTTCTCAATGTTGGTCAAGCTGGTCTCAAACTCCCGACCTCAGGTGATCTGCCCACCTTGGCCTCCCAAAGTGCTGGGATTACAGGCATGAGCCACCTTGCCTGGCCACAGCTAAAGTTCTAACAGATGACACTCTCTGATGTTCACTAAAGACTTGGGAACGTTGTCTCTACTTCATAAACCCACTCCATAGCTGGATCCTGTATTCTGTCATACCCAGCAACTGCTCCTCCCATTCAATCTTCAATTCCACTATCCAGTCTTGAACACCAACCACTTCATGTCCCAGCAGCCACCTTCTGGTGTCATTTGTTCCCTATTCAGCCTAGACTCAATGGCCCACCACTTCAAACACTCTCGCTACTGAAATATCTTGCCTCCTTACCCTCTCTGTCACACTGACGCATAAAACCCAGGCCAAGACCAATCCAACTGTTCAATTGTGTGCTCACCCAGGCTGCTGAGCCCTGAGAGAAGGAGGAAATCATTCATACAAATATATATACCACAGCCGTGAAAAATCCATGATTCCATTTTTTCTAAGTATTCCCACTCAGCTTGCCCTCTCACTTCCCTCAGAGGCTTTCTTGAAATTCTCCTTTTCTCCTCAGTCCCCTACAATCATCATTTCATCCCCACTATAATCTCAGTGGATGACCTTATCCCCCCTTCACTGAAAAAAATAAAGTGTTGATATCCAGAATTCTCACTTGCCACCCAAACACTTCCCCATCTGCACCATCTATTGTTCCTTTATTCCTACTTCAGTGGAAACTGTATTCTCATCTGTACTGCAACCCAGTATCTTCACTCCATTCCCACTAACCTCAAAGACAATGTACAATCATTCACACACACCTCCTTTATTCTACATCTTCAACTTCTCCCTTCCTTTTTCCTTTTTCCATTTAGCATATAAACATGCTGAAGTCTCTCTCATCTAAACACAGCCTGCCCCTCTACCTACTATCTTGTATCTCCCTATGAGCAAAGCTTCAAAAAGAGCAAAGCTTTCTGAAAAGAATGTTTGCACTTACTGTCTCCACTCTCAACAAATATCCACGCTTAGTCCTCAGCAACCTGGCATTTATTTCTATCATGGAGACTCCACTGAAGCTGTTCTACAGAAGGTGGCAATCAGCTGCTTAACTCCAAAATCAAGGGACACTTCCCGGTCCTCATATTCATTCAACTGTGGGCTACATTTGACATTGCAGATGGCTCTTAAAATTTTTGTCTTCATTTAATAAATATTTACTGAAAGCTACTTTGTTGATAAGAACTTCAGATAAAATGATGAACATGACACAGTCACAAGCCCTCAAGAAGCTTAAAGTTTCTATGATAATTCCTACTCCTCCTTCCACCTCTCAGATCACTCCTTCCTTCTCTACTCAACCTTTAGAGCTGATATTCCCCCATGACTCCTTTCTTTGCTCTTCTCACATCCATCCCAGGATTAATGTGTTTACATTACCTATTCATTGATGTTGACGAAATTTTTATCACTAGCTTAGAATTCTTGACCTTTCATCCTCCTCAAACTGTCTAGTCTCAATTTTTTGTCCTCTTCCAAGTAAAACTTTCAGAAAACTATCTTTGCACACTCCACTTCCTCATATCCAATTCACGTTTTAACCCATGACAATCTGAACGTTTTAACCCATGACAACCCACTACACTGAAACTCCTCTTACAACGTCACCACTACCTCATGATGTTAAAATGGACGTGCTTATCATTATTCAAACTTTCAGGGCATTCTCAATAGAACTGACCCACTCCACTATCTAACCTGTACATGTGAAATTTGGCACAGCTGTATACTGGACCCTACTCTATTTCCCACACTCTATCCCTAGGTGTTCCTACCCATTCCCATTGTTTTAAATATGACTTATGCTGGGCGCAGTAGCTCACACCTGTAATCCAAACACTTTGGGAGGCCGAGGCAGGAGGATCACCTAAAGTCGGGAGTTCGAGACCAGCCTGGCCAGCATGGTGAAACCCCCGTCTCTACTAAAAATACAAAAATTAGCTGGGCATGGTGGCCCACGCCTGTAATACCAGCTACTCTGGAGGCTGAGGTAGGAGAATCACTTGACCCCGGAGGCGGAGGTTGCAGTGAGCCAAGATCGCACCACTGCACTCCAGCCTGGGCGACAGAGCGAGACTCTGTCTCAAAATAAATAAATAAATAAATATGACTTATAACTCTGGTCCACATCTTTCCTGAGCTCTAGCTTCATTTACTCAACTCTCCACTTGGCAACCCCATTTGGACAAACTCAATTTATCCAAAATGTCCTTAATTTTCCCACTAAGTCTCTTCCAGAACTACTGGAGTTATTAAAGCCAGAAACAAAGAGCCACACATGACTACTTACTTTTCCTCGCCTCTCACATCAAACTATCTCCAAAATATATTTTGGCTATTCAGTTATCTTCAACTCACTACTATGTCATAATATAGCTATTGTTATTTCTTCCCTAGAGTACTGACTGGTTTTTTGTTTGTTTGTTTTTGTTTTTTTGAGACTGAGTCTTGCTCTGTCGCCCAGGCTGGAGTGCAGTGGCGCAATCTCGGCTCACTGCAACCTCTACCTCCCGAGTTCAAGTGATTCTCCTGCCTCAATCTCCTGAGTAGCTGGGATTACAGGCACCCACCACCATGCCTGCCTAATCTTTGTATTTTTAGTAGATAAGGGGTTTCACCATGTCGGCCAGGCTGGTCTCGAACTCCTAACCTCAGATGATCTACCTGCCTTGGCCTCCCAAAGTGCTGGGATTATAGGCGTGAGCCACTGCACATGGGCTTGACTGACTTTCTAACCAAGTTCACCAATGTCACCTTGTCCCTACCAATCCAGTCTCCAGGAGAAAGCTAAAGTGATCTTTATAAATATAATATAAAATCACTTCTCAGACTTTTGGCTAAGATCAAGTGTAAATATAATATAAATATAAATTGAAACACATCACTCACTATTTAAAACCCTTCAATTGATATGCTGGGAATCTAATTTTAAGGTAGAACAGAGTATTCTCTTTCCCACAACAGAATGTTGCTCCAATTCTCTGGCAACTCATTCTGTGGGTCAGTGGCATTCAACTACTTCAGTACAAAGACAAACATAAGACACAGAAGTTAACTGGGTTAACTAAAGGTTACTAAACCTTTACCAAACCTTACTAAAGGTTACTAATTATTTAATTCCAAAGCAAATACCATAATTTATCTTTTTTTTTTCAAGACAGTCTCGTTCTGTTGACCAGGCTAGAGGGCAGTGGTGTGATCTTGGCTCACTGCAACCTCTACCTCCTGGATTCAAATAATTCTCGTGCCTCAGCCTCCCCAGTAGCTGGGATGACAGGCATGTACCAACACGCCCAGCCAATTTTTGTTTTTTTAATAGAGATGGGTTTTCACCATGTTGGCCAGGCTGTTCACGAACTCCTGGCCTCAAGTGATCCACTCGCCTCGGCCTCCCAAAGCCTGGGATTACAGGCTTCAGCCACTGCACTCGGCCTATACTTTTTTTTAATTGAGATAAAATTCACATAGCATACAATTTACCATTTCAAAGTATACAATTCAGTAGTTTTAGCGTATTCACATTTTGCAACCATCTACACTAATTCCAGAACATTTCTATCACCTAAAAAGAATCCCATACCTATTAACAGTCATTCCCAATTGCCTCCCTCCCCATCTCCTAGAAACCATTGATCTCTTTTCTATCTCTATGGATTTCCTGTTCTAAACATTTCATATAAGTGGGATCATACCATATGTGATCTTTCGTGGCTTCTTTCACTCAGCATAATGTTTTTAAGGTTTATCCATGTTGCAGCATGAATCTGTACTTCACTCCTTCTTGTGGCTGAATAATACTCCATTGTATGGATGGACCACATACTGGTTTTTGTTTTTGTTTTGTTTTGTTTTTTGAGACAAAGTTTCGCTCTTATTGACCAGGCTGGAGTGCAATGGCATGATCTCGGCTCACTGCAACCTCTACCTCCCAGGTTCAAGCGATTCTCTTGCCTCAGCCTCCCAAGTAGCTGGAATTACAGGCATGAGCCACCATGTTCGGCTAATTTTGTATTTTTAGTAGAGATGGGGTTTCTCCATGTTGGTCAGGCTGGTCTTAAACTTCCAACCTCAGGTGATCCACCTGCCTCGGCCTTCCAAAGCGCTGGGATTTCAGGTGTGTGCCACCACACCCAGCTGGACCACGTATTGTTTATCCATTCATCAGCTGATCTACATTTAGGTTGTTCCCACTCTTTTACAATTATGAATATTGTTGCTATTAACACTCATGTACAAGTATTTGTATGGACATATGTTGTCATTTCTCTTGGGATGACCTAGGAATGGAACTGCTGTGTCATATGGCAACTGTATGTTTAACTTTTTGAGGAACTGCCAGACTGTTTCCCATAGCATCTGTATCATTTTACATCCCTATAAGTAAGGAACCCTATAAGGGTTCCCATTTCTCCACATCCTCACCAACAGTTGTTGGGGTTTTGTTTTTTGGGTTTTTTTTTTTTGAGATTTTTTTTAAGTTATTATAGTCATTCTAGTGGGTGTGAATTGGTATCTCTATTATTATTATTATTATCATTATTATTTTAGAGACAGGGTCTTGCTCTGCCGCCCAGGCTGGAGTGCAGTGGCGCCATCACTGCTCACTGCAGCCTCGACGGCACAGGCTCAAGCAGATCCTCCCACCTCAGCTTCTCGACTAGCTGGAACTACAGGCTCAAACCACGCCTATCTCCCTATGTTGCCCAGGCTGGTCTCTAACTTCTGGGCTCAAGTGATCTTCCTGACTCAGTCTCTCAAAGTGCTGGGATTATAGGCAATGAGCCACCACACCTGGCCTCACTGTGATTTTTATTTGCATTTCCCTAATGAATAATGATTTCAACACCTTTTCATGTGTGTATTTCATGTGTTTATTTGGCCATTTGCACATTTTCTTTGGAGAAATATCTCTTCAAATTCTTTGCCCTTTTTTTTTTTTTTGAGACGGAGTCTCGCTCTGTCGCCCAGGCTGGAGTGCAGTGGTGCGATCTCCACTCACTGCAACTGCAGCCTCCTGGGTTTAAACCATTCTCCTGCCTCAGCCTCCCGAGTAGCTGGGACTACAGGCACCCGCCACTACACCCAGCTAATTTTTTTCTATTTTTAGTAGAGACGGGGTTTCACCATGTTAGCCAGGATGGTCTCGATCTCCTGACCTCGTGATCCGCCCACCTTGGCCTCCCAAAGTGCTGGGATTACAGGCGTGAGCCACCACACCTGGCCTGCCCATTGTTTCAATTGGATTATTTGTTTTTTTCTTATGGAGCTGTGATAGTTCTTCACATATTCTAAATACTAGACCCTTAACAGATACACAATTTGCAAATATTTAATCCCATTCTGTAGGTTGTCTTTTCACTTTCTTAATGATGTCCTTTGAAACATAGAAGTTTTTAATTTTGGCCAGGTGCAGTGGCTCACACCTGTAATCCCAGCACTTTGGGAGGCCAAGGCAGGCAGGTTGCTTGAGCCCAGGAATTCAAGACCAGTCTAGGCAACATGGTGAAACCCCACTTCTTTCTTTTTTTTTTTTTTGAGACAGACTTGCCCTGTCAACCAGGCTGGGGTGCAGTGGCATGGTCTCAGCTCACTACAACCTCCACCTCCCAGACTCAAGAGATTCTCGTGCCTCAGCCTCTCAAGTAGTTGGGATTACAGGCGCGTGCCACCATGCCCAGCTAATTTTTGTATTTGTAGTAGAGAGGGGATTTCACCATGTTGGCCAGACTGGTCTCGAACTCCTGACCTCAAGTGATCCATCTACTTTGGCCTCCCAAAGTGTTGGTATTACAGGAGTGAGCACTGTGCCTGGCCCCCATTTCTATAATACAAAAAATACAAAACTTACTGGGATGTGGTGGCACATGCCTACAGTCCCAGCTACTCAGAAGGCTGAGGTGGGAGGACCGCTTGAGTCTAGAGAGGTTGAAACTGCAGTGAGCCATGATGGCGCCACTGTACTCCAGCCTGGGCAACATGATGAGACCCTGTCTCAAAAAAATAAAAACTTTAAAAAAAATTTTTTAATTTTAAGGGCCAGGCGCAGTGGCTGATGCCTGTAATCCCAGCACGTTGGGAGGCCACGGTGGGCAGATCACAAGGTCAGGAGTTCGAGACCAGCCTGGCCAATATGGTGAAACCCCATCTCTTCTAATAATACAAAAATTAGCCGGGCGTGGTGGTGCGTGCCTGTAGTCCCAGCTACTTGGGAGACTGAGACAGGAGAATTGCTTGAACCCAGGAGGCAGAGGTTGCAGTGAACCAAGATGGCACCACTGACTCCAGCCTGGGCAACAGAGCAAGACTCCATTTCACCAAAAAAAAAAATTTAATTTTAATAAAGTCCAATTTATCTATTTGCTGTTTTTGAAACTGCATTTATGAGGAGATTTTGGGGAACAGGGTTAAATGGTGACAGAATAGTGTCCTTTGTGAGGATGTGAAATGGAATAATTTGGATAAATAAATAGGGTTTATGTATCATTGATTACTAATTCTTGCTACAGTATGATGAGGGCAATAACATGTTTGAAAATTTAACCTTAAAGTTTTGCTAATTCCAGTAGTAGCAAAATATTTATATAGCCCTAAATAAATTTTGAGGAATCAAAGGAGTGATACATAATAAGTGAATACATATAAAATGTTGATTGCAAACAAAGGAAAGATGATTGAGAGAATATAATTTGTCAGGGCATTTTATTTGCAGGACATAATAAAACTGGACAATAATATCTATCTCATACAGTCCTTGTATTAGATATATTAATCTTATAAAGTACATGAAAGAATGCTTAGCACATAGTATTTGCTATATGAGTATTATTTATTATCAGTAGTATTCTTATTAAGTATCTAGATTTAGAGCTACCCTGAGGCTCTACTGAATATAGTACGTAAGAAATTTCTCATTGTAACTTCCTCTTTTCTGTTTTGCACACATTTCTTGTAGGATTACCTGAAGAAATATTCTCAGTATTGTTCCACATCAAGATGGCCACTAGTAGCACTGAGCTTATATCTTACTAGCTAAGCTACTTTTTCAGAAAATGAACACTGTTTTCCTCAATAATTCCAACAAAATTTCTAGTTAAGTTTCTCATTAGACTAGGTTGGATCATGATCGTATTACAAAATAAAACATATGGTTAATGGGGTAGCATCTTTATTTTGGGCAGGTTGAGACATATTATGACCACTGCCCATGATGATTAGGTCCATTGCTCTCACATGGTGTGAACTAGCAGTGAAAGAGAGGTAGAACTTCAAAAAAGATTGAAATGCTGCTACAGAAGAAAAAGAAAATACTGAGGTCTCTGTAACCACAGATATTTATGTTATAAGAAATCAATACAGATTAAAAATTAGGTAAAAAAATTGATTTACTAATAATCTTGATCTTTAGCCACATTTCTCTGAAATAAATTTGCTATGATGCCGTGATGGGGATCAGCAAGCTACGTTTTCCAAGTTCCTTCAAGTGGGATCCTGCTACGTACTGCTATTGGGAGGTACTAGAGAAACATAGGCAAGAGAATGGAAGAATAGATCTCCTTTTCCTGTTTGTTTGCTGTCCTTGCTGATATTCTCCCAAGAACATCCCCTTGCCCTAGGAGCAGTAATTGTTTCAGTTTACCAATTTTTTCAGAGCCCCAGAAAGTGCCTCTTCAGAGGTAACAGCAGCAGTTGGAACATTTCTCTCCCTCAGAGGTCTAGCCTCAGCTCAGGAAGGCTTTTACTCTGAGTTTACAAATTTTAATAACTCCAGTCTCTTCCCTTTATTCATCTAAGCTTCTGAGGAGGTCCGTATGTGGCCACGAGATGGTGGTGATAGCTTCATCTTGCAGTCATTTTCTTTGCTTTCCACAGTGTTGTTACTTTTTTCTCCTATTTCCTATGTGGTCAATTTTTTAATATTAACTCATAGTCATAGTGTAGTATTCATACTTTATGTGAAATGAAATGTTTTTTATAATGTAGCCATGGCCTACCAATAGCATATTTTCTTTTAGATTTCACAATATATATTTTGCTTCAGTGACTTTATATGCTTTTTTGTTGCCCACATTAGTTTTTTATATACAAAACATCCAATATTACCCTGGTCCCATCATTTCTTCTGATATCCATTGTCCTGTGATTTCTCCTGGAAAGTGAATTGTTTATCTGTCCATTTCACTCTGTGAAGTCATACAGGTCTATCTATATAGAACTCCTGTGCTCCAATTTATTCCTTGTGTGAAACTGGGCAATTTTTTAATCTCGGAATATGTTTCTTCATATGCAAATCAGAGATAACACTTACCTCACAACATTGTTTAGAGCATTAAAAGAAATATAATATGATATCATTCACACAGAATTTCCCTGGGTGTGAATTGAACAATGTCAGTATTTCTCCCATTTAATGTGAAAACAAACTATATAAATAAACAAAAAAAAGTATAAAAGAAGAAAAAATATCAATAAAATTATAAAATGTATACATATTAAAATATTATCAAGAGTCCTATACAAATTGAGTTTTTCAAAAATAATAAGGATTGTAACTTTTATATTGCAGTTAATGCAAGAAGCATTATGAAAGAGAATCACATGTCTTGAGCAAAGTGATGTTAATAGTGTTTATGTTTGAGCCAGATGGAACTCCTCATAGGAGCACACAGTGCTCATCTCCTCCCAACTTTGCATTCAAAGAAATCATATTCGTAAGCCAAAATTGGTCATAGAGGAAATATTCAACACCACTAAATTAAGCAAACTAAAAATACAGCAGTTTTTCTCAGTGAACTGGTTGTTAAATACATACTAAATCACCGCTAGATGGCATAGGCCCTCATAAATGGCAAAATAAAAATGGGACTGCTTAGTTTCTATTTTGTTACTTTCTTTATTTCTGAAGAGAATGAGTTCAAATTTTAACAGCAGAGAAAAAAATATAGTTATGAGAGAATCAGACTTTCAAGTATGTGGGGCTATTTTAAGGAAGGACATAGATGTTCTAAATTTATCCTAGCCAAGAAAAAAAATGTGCTTGGTTGGCTACAGATGAAAATCATTAAAATCCTCCCATAGGATTATTGATCAGTCTAAACCAAGGGTCCATTTTTTTTTTAAAGGGTTATATTGTAAAAATGTTGGTCTTTATTGGCCTGTTTCTGTCTCAACTAACAAACTCTGCTGCATTAGTGTAAAAGTAGCCATAGACAAATAATGTAAATGTAAATGAATAAATATAATTGTGTTCTAATAAAATTTTATTTGTATATCAAAATTTAAATTTTAGCATGTCATAAGTTATTATTTGGGTTTTTTCAATGAGTAAAAAATGTATAATCTACATTTAGTTTGCTTGCTCTACTAAGTGAGGTGGGGGCCAGATTCAGCTTGAGGAGAGTAGCTAGCTATCTCTTAGTGTAAACAATATATATTATTTAGTATTCTTTTGAAGTGATCAACTTGGTTATAATCATGGTAAGCTGGCAAGTGAGTTGTAAGATAAGGACTATATTAGTTAAGGTTCTCCAGAGAAACAGAACCATAAATGAGATAGATAACTAAGACAGATGTAGACATAGAGGTAGAGATAGAGATAGAGACAGATGAGATAAAGATACAGATGATACAGATATAGACGACACAGAGATACAGATACTGATACAGATGAAATAGATAGAGAAAGAGACAGAGATAGCTAGAAGAAGATAATTCTTGGGAGGAATTGGCTCACAAGGATGTCGAGACTGAGAAATTCCACAATCTCCTGCCTGCATGATGGAGGCCCAGGAAAGTTAGTGATATAGTTCAACCTAAGCCCAAAAGTCTGAGAACCAGGTGTTCCAATATCAGAGGATAAGAGAAGATGGATGTCCCAGCTCAAGAAGACAGATTAAATTCACCCTTCCTCTGCCTTTTTGTTTTATTTGGGCTCTGAAGAGATTGAAGGATGCCCATAGATATTGGTGAGGATGATCCTCTTCACTCAGCCTACCTATTCAAATGCTAATTTCTCTGGAAACACAGACATACTCAGAAATAATGTTTTATCAGCCATGTGGGTAACCCTTAGCCCAGTAAAACTGACACATGAAGTTACTCATCACAGGGAGGTCTGGGACAATTCACGTCTTTGTTAATTTAAATAGACACATGAAGAAATTATTTTTTCTCTTTTCTTCTTCTTTCTCTTTCTTTTTCTTTCTTTCTCTTTCTCTTTCTCTTTCTTTTTATTTTTAACTAAAGGACATTTTGTAAGCACATGAAACCAGAGAATTGCAGTAGCCATATGACTACTATGAGGTGAGAAAAAGGAAAGTTTTTGCATCCTGCAGATCTGCCCCATCTATGGTCTTTGTGTTAACTGAGACAACAAATACGTTACTATCTAAGCTTCCTTTAGTAACGTCTCCCACTACCTTTATGTTAAAACATTTTAAAAGATAAAATTAAAAGTACAAAATTTTGTTCTTTTAGAGTGGAATAAAGTGGGCTTTCATAAGCTCAGATGTGAATTTTACAATGATTCTGGTCAAATTTTTCAGATAATTTTAGAAAATTGTCTAAAAATACTCTGTAAATCTAGTGTTAATTATTAGACATTATTTTTTCAAATGTTATTAATATTATAGTGTTAGATGAAGAAAGTATAATCACTAGGGATGAGTTTAATTTCTTTAAGAAAGACAGATATCAGGATCCTCTAATAATACATTAAATGCCCACTAAAGTCAGAGGTATGTATTTGACAATGTACCTTACTATATTCTTGTGGACAAGAAGGAGCAATATGGATTAGGTAATGGAATAATTTGGTAAATTATTTAATGGTTAATTGATATACTTACATATTACTAACAAAATGGTTTTAACCTGAAAATTTCATTTTTGTTTATATTCTGGTAACATTATCATCAGTGTTTTAGACATGTTCATCTGTCAAACACATGAAAAATGAAACAACTCTAAGGATTAGCTAATAGGTTGAATGATAAAATAAAAACCTATATAGATGTCTGTGCATTACAATTATGAAACAGCTTTTAGTTAATAAAACTAAATAGGAAAGACCCTTAAATATTACATATTTAACAATAAACCACACACACGTAATGACAATACTAGGATGAGAGACATATGTTTTAAAAAGCAAGATTTTACTACAACAAGCAGTGTTTAGCTAGCTATACTGTCAACCAAGGGTTGGCAAATTATGGCCTGCAGGCCATATCCAGCCAATAGACTGCAATAAATTAAATTTTATTGCAGCATGGACACACTCATTCATTTGCATATTGTCTATAAATGCTTTCTCACTGCAACAGCAGAGTTGAACAGTTGTATAGAGATTATATGGCCCACAAAACCTAAAATCTTAGCCTCTTTCCCTTTACAGTAAAGATTTATTAATCCTGCCTAAAAACAATTTAGCAGAGTAATTTGGTTACAGGAAAATAATGATTTTTCTCTTATAAGTTTAATGTCTGGACAAGGTTAATGAGAGCTATGTTTTTCTCCAGGTAGAGTATCCTGGACGTGCAGTTTTTATGCATATTTTAACTTGAAGACACTAAAGAGTGTTCAAATGTAGGATATACAAATGACATAGTGATTTAAAATAGTAGTGTCAACTGTGGCTAACAAAACTAGGACCATGCTTTTCCTAAAAAATGGAGGAAAATGGCAAGATAGGATAGTTTTGGCACATAAATTGCATCACATTTTTGAGAGTGTCATTTGAAGGCATGGTTTAGTCTAATCTTGGTTTATCTCAAATGTAAGTTCAGTAACATGGATGTTACAGCAAGACATAATTTGACTCTAAATCAGCAAGTACTTGCAAATATTCAGAACTATCTGGAAGTGAAAACGGCTTCCTCTGTAGACAGACAGCAAGTTTCTTATCCCAGAGCCCTGTAGGTAGACCATCTGTGCAGGTTATAATCAGGAGATTCATGAATGTGATAATGATGACATAGTCACATTGACAATGAGGCTTTTAGTCATACAGATTAAAGTAAATATATACTCTATTGTGCAAATCTCCTAGTAATTGAAAATAAATTTAATCTTGTGCTACAAGTAGATACAAAGTATTCCCAGTTAGATTTTACATGTATACATTTTGAAACTATTAATTTTTTAAAAATAATGCAATGACTTTTTAAAAAGTTTTATTGATTGATTGATTGATTTATTGATTGATTTTTATGGAGTCTCGCTCTGTCACCGAGTTTCGAGTGCAGTGGTGTGATCTCGGCTCACTGCAACCTCTGCCTCCGGGGTTCAAGCGGTTCTCCTGCCTCAGCCTCCCGAGTAGCTGGGACCACAGGCATGTACAACCATGCCCGGCTAATTTTTGTATTTTTAGTGGAGACAGGGTTTCACCATGTTGGCCAGGCAGGTCTTGAACTCCTGACCTCAGGTGATCTGCATGCCTCAGCCTCCCAAAGTGCTGGGATTACAGGCGTGAGCCACTGCGCCCAGCCAATTTTCTCATTTTTGATACACTAATTCTAAAGTAAACTTTCCCCTTTATTACTTGAAGATTTATTTCAGGTGTTTTTCAATTCTTCCTAATTTCAGCTCCTCAATTGAAATTTGGTTCACATTAATGATGCTTATCTGTTCTTGACACATAGAAAATACAAATATAGGACTTTTACTGAATTCTATTTTTTAAAAGTTCTAAGGAAAAAGCTATTACATCCACATATATGTGTAAAATGAAACGTAGACCTAAGAGCTACTGTGAATAAACAGCTTGACTTTTAATAAAAGAGAGTATATTAAATTTATGTTACAGCTAAGAATCTGGGAATTCTTGAGTACTGTCTGCTAGGAACACTATTATGTCAAAAATAACAAAAGGGGTTATTTGACATGATTTGCTGATCACTAACCCCACTGAGGGAAGCCCTCCAAGGTTTATGTGAGAAGTAGTCAGTTTGTTTTTGTCTTACTGGTGCAGAAGAAATGCTTTTTATTGCCCATGTTCTCCAAGGATGACACTGAGCTCCACAAAGCAACCACTGGGGAATATCAGATAACTAGCATGAATCTATTGTTATAAAACAAGCACGCTGTTTTAAAAACATATTTAAAGTAATTCATGAGTTGGATGTTTCTTGACAGGTATACTTTTCAGTTTAGGTATTTAAAAAGAAAAAGTCTGCTGTGTACCTTTATTTTCACTTTTACTTTGGTTGTTTTTTTTGTTTTGTTTTTTGAGACAGAGTTTTGCTCTTGTTGCCCAGGCTGGAGTGCAATGGCACGATCTCGGCTCACTGCAACCTCCACCTCCCAGGTTCAAGCAATTCTTCTGCCTCAGCCTCCCGAGTAGCTGGGATTACAGGCATGCACCACCATGCCCGGCTAATTTTTTGTGCTTTTAGTAGAGACGGGGTTTCTCCATGTTGAGGCTGGTCTTGAACTCCTGACCTCAGGTGATCTGCCCGCCTCGGCCTCCCAAAGTGCTGGGATTACAGGCATGAGTGACCGCGCCCGGCTACTTTGGTGTTTTGATGTCTATAGAAATGAGCAGTTTCTCTACTTCTTTCCCAGAAATTTATCTCCAATGCTGACATAAGCACAAAGACCTTATGTACTGTGCTGGGAAATATTTTGTGTCTTAAGAATAAAAATTTTCATTAGAGTTAGTCCATGCATCACACATATTATCCTTCCTGATAAGAGGAACACTGAAGCACAGACACTGTGTTGGGCTATAGTTCTTAATGGAAAAATTAAGCTTTTCAAAATGTTAGTCACTGCCATGCTAGATGTTTAAGTCATTTTTACAACCTGTTTTGATAGATTCTAAGAATCAGTCTTACATTATATTTTCTGTGGCTTACTGTTAAAATCTTATTCATAAAAATAACGGTTGTGCATAGAAGTAGTATATACCAACATCATAAACCAGAAAGTAATTTATATTTAACCCTCATAACAATACTTCAAAGTAGAAATTACCTCATATTGTAGAGGAAACACAGGCTCAGATAGGATATAAATTGCCCATATCACAAAATTAGTAAGTGATGGAGCTAGAATACAAACAAGATCTGCCTATTTACACAAATCAATAATTTTTCCTCTATAGCATGTTGTCATTACATGCCTTTGGTTTTCAGGTGAAATGCACTCAACTTCACATTTTAAAATATGCCACAAATGTACCCATAAAGTAAGTGAACATGACTATTGAGTGGGATCACAATTATTAAAAAGTTTGCCTTGGGAACAAAGACAGTATACTGACCGTCAGGGAACTGAATTCCATAACCAAAGGGGACATGTGCCATCTCCCTGGGCTCAATGGGGTTTTCCCAATGGATTCTTTGTAAATAGGTGTTGCACATATTTCTGTTTCTTTAAGCTTTCCTTTATAACTTCCAGACCTACTTCTGATGGTGTTGAATTTCTTTCAAAACCTCACCCTAGATATGGGGTCAGCTTTAGGCAAAACTGAGAGTTGCTAGCTAACAAAAGTAGCTAATATTTTAATGAAAAGTCTTATTATTAAGCTAAATGCCAAACGTTATTCATTACATGTATTAATCAATTATCACAATTTTATGAAGTAGATATGACCATCATTTTTATTTATCAGTTGAAGAAACTAAGACACAGAAAACTCAAATACCTTACCCAAAGTCATATTGCTTGTGGAGAAGTTGGCAATTCATCTTGGTTATCTTGACTTAGAGTCTGCGTGCTGGATGACTATTTTAGACTGTTACGTGTGCATGCAGAGCTCAGTGTTTGTCTGGTCCCACTCCCTCCTACCCTTCTGTCCCCTAGTGACTTCATCCTGTTCCCTACTTCTCAAGACTACTCCTTTTCTTGGACACTTTTTCATATTTCAGAACTAATCATTCTGTTTATTTTTTTTCTGCTCATCATGCCAAAGTTAGCAGGGCAGCTGAAATAAAGGAATTCATACTAAAAAATGGCATGCTCAATTTGTAAAATTTTCCAGAGTTAAATAGGTAGAGTGAAATGCGCAATTTCTTCTTTGAAGAAAACAATGTTGAATTTTACTTAAATGAATGATAAATATAATTTTGACATGTATTTGTGATCTGTATGAGTAATATCATATCCTATCCTGCTTCACATTCTCACACTCTTATACCATTAATGATCTCTACATCTATCCCCAATCAGCTACCACCTCTCTTCCTCAGCTGTGTTATGTCAGGTCTGAAAATTAAATTTTAAAAGTAGTTCCTAAGTTTTCAACATTCTTAAAGTTTTTTTCCTGGAAGGACATGATGAGTAACCTGACTGTCAGCAAATGCCTTAGGTATTAAGGAGAACAATCATAATGGCAATAGCTAATATTTTTTGGCAGAGCCAAGTTTCAGTATCTCTTTGCAACTCTGTGACATCATGATCATATTAATTCTTATTACAAACCTATGAAGTGGCTATCCACTTTATTTTAATTTTATAAGGGAAAAAACAAGTCCTTAGAGAGTCTAAGTAACTTGGCTCTGGATTTGAACTTCAATCTAGCTATCTCTATAACTTGACCTTTAAACATTATACCACCTTATATGTCAAACTTACCTTGAAAACCAACAAGTAAACCAAATAAATAAAACAATAAGAACAACCTATAATAAAAAGCCTTCTCAGCTGGGTGCAGTGGCTTACACCTGTAATCCCAGAATTTTGGGATGATGAGGGAGGAGGATGGTGTGAACCCAGGAGATTGAGACCAACCTAGGCAACACAGTGAAACCCTGTCTCTACAAAAAAAAAAAAAAATACAAAAATTATATAGGTGGACATGGTGGTGCTCACCTGTAGTCCCAGCTACTCGGGAGGCTGAGGTCGAAGGATTTCTTGAGCCCAGGAGGCAGAGGCTGCAGTGAGTCGAGATAATGCCACTGCACTCCAGCCTCAGCAACAGAGTAGAAACCATTTCTGAAAAAAGAAAAAGAAAAGGACTTATTATCCAATTCAGTATGTTCTATAACAATAAAAAAAATACCATTGAATGAATGGGGAAGAAAATTAGATCAACTGCTGTGAAGTAAACTTGTTTACTCCTGATCAAGAAGTAGCAGCAGATTATACCTCTGTGGTATTAGTAAAATACATCTTTGCGCTAGGCGCGGTGGCTCATGCCTGTAATCCCAGCACTTTGGGAGGCCGAGGCGGGCGGATCACGAGGTCAGGAGATCGAGACCATCCTGGCGAACACGGTGAAACCCCGTCTCTACTAAAAACACACACAAAAAAGTAGCCGGGCGCGGTGGCGGGCGCCTATAGTCCCAGCTACTAGGGAGGCCGAGGCAGGAGAATGGCGTGAACCCGGGAGGCGAAGCTTGCAGTGAGCGGAGATGGCGCCACTGCACTCCGGCCTGGGCGAAAGAGCTAGACTCCGTCTCAAAAAAAAAAAAAAATAATAATAATAATAATTAGCCGGGCGTGGTAGCAGGCGCCTGTGGTCCCAGCTGCTCGGGAGGCTGAGGCAGGAGAATGGTGTGAACCCGGGAGGCGGAGCTTGCAGTGAGCGGAGAGATAGCGCCACTGCACTCCAGCCTGGGCGACAGAGCGAGACTCGGTCTCAAAAAAAGAAAAAGAAAAAAAACAAAAACAAAAAACTAAATTCTGGCAGCTGGGGTAAAATTAATATAAGAAAAGAATAGATACAGCACTCACTTTTTCTATACCCCAAGTGTTTTAATTATTTCTATATTTGGAAATGAATTCATAATCTATTAGTCACATTATTTGAAATTTCAAATTATAATTTTATTTGTTTCAGATAAAAGCCTCGTCCTTTAAAAACATACGTTTGGATGAATAAACAAAGCAAGCTTTCTATGACTTTCATATAAACTACTTTCTCATCCTGTATTGCTCCATTGAGTTAGTGAGGTCAGGGTTTTGATAGAATGAGAATATTCATACAGTGAATTGCAGACATATTTGCAGGTTTTTAAAAATGATGTTGGCTTTGTCTAGGGCTGAGGGTGATGTTGCAGGGCAAGTGTAAAGGACAGAGTCACACAGAGACTCCTGAGAACTAGAAAGCAACCAGTGAGTGCCAGCATCTGAAGGGCAAGGAAGTGTCAACGTAGTTCCGTATAAATTTAGTAAAACATAAGGCAAGCACCCAATTGTTTTCCAACACAATATGCTAATTGGAGTGGCAGAATTGTATGGTAGAAAGAACATACAAATGACAAATATATTCACAACACTGTGCCAAGTGCAGTGAGAGGTACAGTGACATAAAGACATGCATTTTCAGACATTATAGTCGGTTTGAGGATTTAATATATTAATCATGTACAGAGATCTAAAATTTCCTTGAGTACGTATTATGCATGCTGAATGGTAGGAAATGTGTGCTAAGTATTTTATTCTGGATTCTCTCAAATAAAACTGACCTCATAGCTCTGAGTTAAGTAATTTTATATTTACCACATAAGAAAATTGAAGTACAAATGAGGAAATCGAGGTACAGACAGATTAAGCAACTTGTCCAAGACTATACAGCTGCTACGCAGAGCATCAGGGATTCAAATCTAGGAATGAGTGAAGAATTTTATTACTAATTGCATAAGTAATTACATACGTCTAAGCCAGTCATATATTCTTTGTTGGTTCTATGACCCAATATTGCAGAAAATAATTATAGAATTGGATTTTCTGTTTGAGTACAAAATTTGCTTCACAAAATTATAATTCTGTTGTTTAAATATTGAATGTATAGTATGAATTGTTATCTAATAGTAGTATCTGTTTTAAAGTCACATATTGGTAAACATTGCCTTAATAATGATTATGGTTGTCAGCACATGTTATATCAACGAATCCTTTCAAATAATTAATGTGGTAAGTGTAGACCAAATCAACTGATAATTAGCTAAGCCTCAGAGGATCTGAGTACTGTATCTATATTTACATGGCCAGTGAGTAGAGAGGTTGAGTCTTAATCCCAGTGATCTGACAGCAGTGATCTCATTTGTGTGTATGATTCCAGAATCACTGTGAGAGAATGTGAACCCATATTTAGACAATGCATAGTTCCCAGCAACTACTAGAGTCTTATCTTGCTCTGGGAGTGCAGAAAATACATTATGATAACTTGGTAATATTGTAATGTGAAAAGCGTAAAGAGAATAACTCACAAGAAAAATATTAAGAAGTTTTCTGAAGCACACTTCTGTTGTGGCTTCCAGATTAATGTGCTTTCAAATTCTAAGCAGTGTTTTCCACAGACAGATTTTCTGTGTAAGCAGAAATTGGCTTAATTTAAGGAGATACAAAGGATGGTACAGTATTTTGTGTTTACTACAGAGGTTGGCTGCCATTTGTTAGTGCAGTAAAATTTTGTAAAGCTGCTCCTCATGAGATTCTTTGAAATTCATTTATAACAACGAGACTGGATACTTAACATCTGCTGCAAATGTTTTCTAGGAGACTTAGTTACTCCTGTTCCCTACTTTCTGTAGTTTATTTCCATTCTATGATTGTTTATCTTTTGAAATAATTTCAACAATTGACTCTGTTTAATTTGTCTGGTTCTGAGAAAACATTAGCTAGATGACAAATTTAACAGTTTAATCCAACAGGCCTTGAGTGGTATATATCGGCATGTGTTACCAAAGGAGTCAAGAAATTAACTCCAGCTCTTAAACATTGAAAAAAGAAAAAGAAGGTAGGGGAGGGAATCTTGATAGCCACTTTGGTAATGACGCAAAGTGAGAGAAAATACCATCCTGGAGCTCAACGGTGAGCACACTTAATGGCAAAAGAAGTGAGAACTGACCATCTGCTCATCCACATGGTGAGATATGGACAAATACCTCTTCTTGAGAATGAATGAGTGGCTATATGAATGAATAGGTGAATGAGCAAATGAAGGCCTATCTGTGAATAACCAAACTGGAAACCCACAGTCAGTTTACAAGCCTCTTGAGGATATGATCATAACTTGAATAACTCACTGAGAGCTAACCCTTTATATGAACTTAGCTCATTTACTTTTGCATTTGTTGTTGAAGGTCCTTCGTACCCTGCTCAAAGGCTGAATTCTTAAAAATATACTACCACCATTAAAAAAGAACACAAGAAAATTTTTGGAGGTGAATAAGTATGTTCAGTACCTTGGTTGTGATGATGATATTGGTGTATGCACACATGTCCAAATTCATCCAGGTGAATATATGAAAGGTGTACAATTTTTTTATACCTCAATAAAACTTCTAAAAAATGATTTAAAACTAAACAGGAACAACAGCAAAACACTTAGGAAACAACAGAAGTTTCTGTCCCTGTTCTAAATGTTAACTTTAAAGGTTTGATTAGGAATTTATTTTTTAGTGCAGAAACATGATTTTCTTTTTCAAAACACAAACAGAGCTAGTTAAAATCTACACATTTCCCTTCATAAAGGCAGAGACCCTCATGCAACAATCATCTTTAGAAATAGAGGTCCCTGTAAAACCACAGTGCATGGTTTTTTGACTGTTTATGCATTAACAGCATTTTTTTGTTTCTAGCCTTGGAAATACATCAGAAATAGATCTCCTGACTGTGTTTGCATGGGTCCCTTAGAAATGACTTAAATATAAGCAAACCATATTACTTAAACAATGTTAAGCTATGCTGTAGCGCTGTATTACTGCTTTGAGAAATTCATATTGTTCAACTAAATATTGTAACAGTAATTCATGTTCATAGAAAAGTCAATCAAAGGTTTTCACAAGTTCGAGGCAGGAAAGGAAATAAAGGTCAGGCATTGTATTGCAAGTTCCCTATTCTAAATTGTAGTTCTTACAAATAGGCTCCTGAGGTTCCATAGCTTTAGCAGGACTCTTACATATGCCTTCATTGTCTCTTCTTTCAATGACATTCAGACATTTATTTCTTTCTCCCTCCCATTGTGTCTGACTGCCTCACACTGTTGAACTTGTGCCTCTCTCACCTCTTCCTTCTGTCTCTCTTTTTAATACCTTGATGCGGCTGCAACGGATGGTGGGATGCATTTTATTCAGCTCTCAAGGCAGTCAGAGTTCCACTTGAGTTCATGTAGCATCTGTTATAACAGGGTTAAAATTATAGAAAGTACATGATTTTATTCCCTTTAGCTGAAGGACAACAAAGGTGGATTTCCATATTTCCTTGTAAAGTGCTGCTTCCGAGAAAGCACATTTTGGTATCCACTAATCCCAAGTAAAGTGACTTGGTTCCTAATGTTGGTTTTGCCATTAGCCTGGTGGTTTTGTTAGGTTATTTATTTTCTTTAAGCCCATCAACCCTTCAGTTAGTCTCCATTCTGCCTACTTGTTGGTGAAATTTAAAAGGCCTCCTAGTAGCTCCAATAGTTACAGTATAATAGAAACAAGCAAATACTCGTTTTAAAAAAAATTCTATGAGGGTAAAAACACTTGGATTCAAAAGTGAGTTTGAACAATATCTACCAAGTGGTAATTAGGTATGCTCAGACTTTTAAACTAAAAATACACCACAAGACTACTGCACACTCCTACTAAGGTCCCAAGGATTATTGAAAAGTAGAAAGAAAAAAAAATAGTGGGAACTTCTTTTAGTTAAAATGCACATCTTATCAGTATTACTATAATAATAGTAATTGTGACCTTTAGTTTGAATTTCTTTTCTGGAAATATAAAGTCTTAGGGAATTGTGATATAAATCCCAAGGCTAAAATAGGTGTCCACTGATCATTCTGATTTTTATTTGATAATAGTCTTCCTAAATAGACTATTATTCTTATAAAATGGAAGGAGCAAGTTGGAAAGCTTAAGAAAACTCTGAAGAGCAGGCATTTCTAAATAGGAAGCTATAGGAGAAAAGGCTTATGACTATCCAAAGCACTTAGGCATCTGGTGTATTATATGGAATGTCTTTCTCTTTTTCCTCAATTATCAGAACAAGTTCAATGGTATTAAAACAATAAAAAATGGTCTTAGTTGGATTAAATAGGCCTTCAAAGGGCTCTCTGACAGATACGCTCATGAAATTATGACATAACTCTGCAAACTTAATCTATGTGAAACAGAAAACATGTAGAAGACACAAAATTCTAAGGGAAACTCAAGGATTTTCTAAGATTGCTTTACATAACTGCTTCTGTTTTCCAAACTTTACCTTCTCTAACAACAAGCCATGATATACCAGCGTCAAAGTCTAGATAGTCCAATGGCAAGAATGCTGACAAAGGTAGTTGTATAAGAATGAGTCATATTTTGAATGACAAAATGGTTAATATCTTCTTTCTTGCTTTTTTATATTGGCAATTTTTTCTATGTTTTAGAGGAATTGAGAATTAGAAGGTTATTTATGAGCGTAAGAGTATAGGCAAATTTAACTCAATTCATTAAATAGTTATTGAATCTGCAAAACATTGTGGAGGATATAGAAAATTGTTACAATATGCATCTTATCCTCAAGGAGCGTAATCGTTTTATTTCAGCTGGAGTTTTTTACCACTTAGATGGAGCTTAGCTTTACTGAATGTAGACCTTAAACACTCTTTATGCCGAGTTTTATTAGCTTGGGTTTATCGTATGGCCGCTGTGGCTGGCACAAAATTTACCAACCATAAATATTAGTATAGTTTAGTCATACTTTCACTTATTACTTAAAATTTATCACTGCTTTTTCCCATGGGGGTGTGGTTGAGCAAAGTGTTTTGAGCTGCGTTTATGCGTGCTTGATACCTGCTCCCTTTGATCCAGGTGATCTGGAGGGCATTCTCACTGGGGCGGGGATGCTTGCATGTGTAATTTTTTACTAAGAATTCAAAAAACAGGCCAGGACCAAACTTCTATGTTTACCGGGTTGTGCGGACCCATCTAGGCATTTTCAGTGCCTTGCTTTAAATAATTAAGCTACATTAACTGGGTGAAAAACATTTGAGTGGTATTTTGAAATACTAGGGGGATGTCAGGGTAGGATCTTGTTAGGTATAAATCTAAAGTGGTCCTTTACAGTCCTGGAAGTTTAGGGCCTTTAAAAAAGTTGAACTAGCAGAGGTTTTCGCTGAGGGGCCATTTGTAGTTGAAGTTATATTTGATTTAGGACTATAATATCTGGGATACAAGCTTTTCAGAGCGGGATACCTGAAGTATTATATAAGTATTAGGACAGAGATTTAGTTAGCATCGAAATAGGAGATTTTATTTGGTTGGAGAATGTTAGGATTTTTTAGAAAATTACGTTAATCGAGGGGCTAGGGTTGGAGTGTTCATGGTTAAATTATGATTTTTAGGGCTCTGACTAGGTTCAATTTAAGTATCTTGTTTTTGGGGGCTGGCTTACCTAATTTAACAATAAACTCAGAGATGGGGGGAGGGCAGATCTGCGGATTTAATCGGAAGCACTCCTTTAAATACTGCGTGAACGTACGTGTGTGTGTGAACGTACGGGTGTGTGAGAACGTACGTGTGCGTGAACGTACATGTGTGCGTGAATGTGTATTGATTATTATGGCCTTCAAGCATGAATGAATTAGCACCTTATGGTTTGGTATGTTGGCTCAGAATATTCAAGATAAGTCCAGCTACAGTCGATTCCGCAGGGATCAGGCTCCCGCCGTGGTAAGTGGCAGCATCCCGAAAACTAAAACATACCAAATGCATGACAGTGCTCCCATGACTAGTTATTAGGGTGATAGTCACTA
Organism: Homo sapiens; assembly: GCF_000001405.40. Classification (NCBI taxonomy): domain Eukaryota; kingdom Metazoa; phylum Chordata; class Mammalia; order Primates; family Hominidae; genus Homo; species Homo sapiens. Next base: position 46,707,327 of record NC_000010.11, read on the forward strand.
GTACATTGAGATATAAGGTTTGCAAATATTTTCTCCCAGTTTGTAGGTTGCCTCTCCACCCTCCACCCTCCTGTTTCCTTTGCTCTGCACAAGGTTTATAATTCTAAGTAATCCTGTTTATCTATTTTTGCCTTTATTGCCTCTGTTTTTGCGTACAAACTAAATCCTCAAAAACCTGTATTATCATAGTTATAAGATTTATTTTGGTAAGATTCCAAATAGTTTAAAATGCTTTTGTTTGTTTGTTTGACATAATGGCATCAGATATAACATGGCATAATGTCATACCGTTACTCTTTCACTTAAAAATCGAAATGTAAACATTTTTAAATATGGCAAAAATGTACATTAGGAATACATTAAATGGTAAATAACAAACTGCTGTTAATCCCACATATAATCATGGCTTACTTTTATAATACTTTGAACATTATAAAGTGATTTTCTATCTCTTATTATATTTTATAATAACATGTGGGATAGCTGGAGTAGATATTATTTTCTCTGCCTTACATGTGCCAAAAACGAGAGAGGGAGAGAAGTGAAGTGACTTTCCCCATATTGCAAAGACACAATGGTGCAGAGCTGAAACTTTACTGATTATTTGAAATACTTTACAATTTTTCTAAAACATAGTGAGATCTAGGTTCTTAGTGTTATAACCAGCCCTATTTGAAAATTTCTCAGGATATTGGTTCATCCTTTATTAAAACAAACAAACAAAAGTAGGATCAAGTTAAGAAAAGCAGAATGTTTTGGTAGGATTAGAATCTCAAAATAATTATCTGAAGCCAATAAAGTGTTACATTATTTTTCTTGCTTTATTTTTAATTCTATTATTTTTCCTGTGTCTATATGATGATGTAATAACCTGAGAAAGACGGTTCTAATCACACATGTACTAATCACAACCACTCAACATAATTTTAAAGTAAAACTTAACCCGGATGTAAATTTAAAAGTTCTTAAAAGTATTCAACTTCTGTGTCTATACTTAAGACTCCATCGCTAGGTGTCCGTTGATTATGCAAGTAGGATTAACAATAATTAATTTATCAACCTAATCTTTAAGCAGTGCAAGCATTATTATTAGACTTTCTTAAATGGGCACTATAATATGTATCTTGATTGAGCTTACTTATTTCATAGAAGAATGGTATTTCTAAAATTCTTTTAGAGATTTTTGATATTCAATCTCAAATGTTTAATATATTTTCCAAAATTATCAAATAAGGATGAGCACTAGCATACTCTAATATTTACAGGAAAAATATAAACAAAAACACTTGGATTTCTAGGTTCTTTAATAATCTCAATGCCAGGATGAATTCTCTAAGTCTGAAAAAATTGCCATGACTTGGTACTAAGATCAATATCGATTCAACCATTATTTATTTAAAAAAAATAACTTAAATAAAAGTTGCATGTACCATTTTGTGCAGTGGTTCTCAACCCTGGTTATTCCTCTATAGTTTTAAAAAATGCTGATACCTGGGTCCTTGGCCCAGTGATTCAGCATAAATTAGTCTCACATGTGGCTTTGTCATCAGGAGCTTAAACAGTTTTCCAGTTTATATTAATGTGCAGCTGAATTTGAGAACAACTGCTTTAGTCTTTTGAAATGAGGCCAGGTGTACATATAAGGCCTTACTGTGCAAAGATTTAAATTTGGGGGACATTTTGGTCATATAAAGCTGGTTAATACAGATGAAGTTTAAAAGAAATAGACTCTTACTTACCAGATACACTAACACTTTGCAGGAATCAAGATCATTTTGAGAGAATTAAAAAGAAGAGAAAAATAAACTTCCTGAATCCTGAATTTATAATTACATGTTCTACCTTTCTCGTACTATACCATCTTGATTGATGCTTAGAATAAAATTCCAAAGAATCTGAAACAGCATACAAAATTATATTTGTATAATTTTCATGTTCAACATATTTCAGTGAATTTCAATGATTAAAAATTAATTATCCATGGGTGATATATATGATTATTCCATTGCCAAGACTGTTACATTAAGTAAGGCAGCTAGTTCCCAACAGATCTGGAAATCAATGTTGCAATCTGAAGAAGGCTTTTAAAGTCAATATTCTTAGGTACATATATAATTTTGTTATAATCTCCATATTATTGCAATTCAGTTCTACAGAAGACCTTTCTTGTCACATCACCAGTCCAGTGACACTGGTAGAGTGTATCAAAGGAAATGTGAATTGTCCTCTTAAACTTCCAAACCAAATAATAGAGTGAATTGATTTATATTTCAACCTTGAGTACGGAAGACATTAACAATTATGATCCATAGTAAAAATCCTGTTTTTATGCAGTATAATTTATTGAGACTCATTTAAAATTCACATAACATTTGATTGTATGGAAGGTGTTTACAATTGTAATTTTTGCAACATTGAAAATGCCAAATGTGTTTGATTAATATCAACTTCCTGCAGCCACACCTGTGTAATATTTATGCCTCTAAATTACTATTTGTGGTAATTAGCAGTTTTTCCATTGCAATTAACAAGCTTCAATCTCGAACATTGTCTGAGATAGCTTAACTTTTTACTTTTTTCTTAGTTGAAATGTTTTAATTATAGTTTACTTTGTTATTTTAGTTTTCCTTTTGTCTTCTTGGAGTTTAACCTCAATAACATTTTGAGTTGGTTCTTATTTATTTGCATCAAACCACTCTAAAATGTAATACAAATTATTATCACTCCAGCTACATGGAAAAACATTAACAAACCTGTGAATGACTTAATCATTTTAACAATTAAGACATTTACACACACACACATTTCTTCTAAAAAGAATGGTTAAAACTACCTATATACTGGAAACATATTTTCATATAACTTTGCTTATTATTATTTGTATTTATATTGCATAAATTATGTCAGTAGCTAGAATGACATGGATTTGACAAGAATAGAGAAAAGGTGGTTTCATATCCCAGACTCTTAAAACACACTTTTCAGTTTAGGACACAAGCGCTCTGAAGATATGTATATAGTCTTCATGTCTGGCATCTAATTCCTATGAGTTTCCTTCAATTAATACTAAACACATGTATAGAAATTGCCATAAACTGAGCTGTATGATGGTAATAATCCCCAAATGACAATTCAATCATCCAGATCTTTGGGTTGTCCTAATTCCATTATACAAGGTGGATCTAATGGTCATTAGATCCCTAGATATGAGGGATCCCTAGAAAAGTATTTTCTTAATCTTGGATAATAGTTTTCAATGCTTTAGTGAAAATTGCTTATGGAACTCTTCGATTTTAATCAATCTTTGAAAATGGCTCTTTCAATGGTTGATAAGGTAAGTCATCACACAGTACTTCTATATTGTAAAAAAAAAGCTAAAACAGTAATCTTAATATACATTAGGTATTAAATACCTCTTATTTCCAGATGTATACAATAGATTCCTTTTATATCTTAGAGTTAAAACCAGAGAAAAAAATTGTCTGTCTCCATAAACCATGCACTCTCTTTTGTTAGATAAAGAAAAAAGTGTAATTCATCTTTATCTTCTCTGATCTATTATGTGACTTTTAATTTTGATTTTAAAAATTGAACTTATTGATTTTTTTCTTGATACATAAATTATACATGTTCAGTGTCTATAGCGTACATTAAAAATTGTTTAAAATACGTATAATCTCAGCAAACAGAAAATTTATTTTTTTATTTAAAATATTACCTAACATTTTAATTTTCCTAAATATCAAAACTGTCTTATTAGCATACACTCTCAAAATAAATTTTATTCTATCTTCTTTAATAACATACCAGTTTTTCCTTTATATGTATTTTGAACATATATTTGCTTCACTAAATGCTATTTTAAAAGCATGGATTTCATTTGTTAGTATTCCATAACTAGCAATTATAAAGTTGGACATTTAGATTTATTTCAGTTTTCAATATTCACTTCTAAAGAAAGGTTACAATGAATATTTCTGTAATTAAGTCTAACCACACATGCAAGATTATTTCTTTAGAATACATTTTAGAAGTAGTATTAGATTAAGGCATTTGGCTTACAGTTTTAAAATCCCTTTAGAAAATGTTCTGTTATTATAATGGTCTATTTTTGTATGCCTTGTATTATAATTTGTATCAAATATATTTTTATATGCATGGTATATATAAGAAATGCAAATCTAATTAGATAAAGCAACAAATATATTACATAATTGTGAGATATAGTCTTTAAAGTTAATATATCTGAGAAGTCTCCTTTTTCTTTTAATCTTCACAAAAGTTTTTTCTTTTGTTCACTCTAGAAGATTTTGATGTATTGGTTTTGAATGACCAGGATTATTTCAGAAGGATTAAACTAATAAAATATTATAGGCAACAAGAGCAGTGAGGTGCTGAGAAGCATGTAAAACTGTGAGTCTATAGCATTTAATGGAAAGACTGACAGAAGGGAGCTAAAAATATATATTTTCGGTACCAGAGCCTACTTTTACAACTAATAATGCTGAACACAGCAAACTTGAACCTATTTAAATAATTAAAAAGCCTTAAATATGAATATTGTCAATACTAATGTTGATTTTAAATAGAATTCAAACATAATTGAGAATTTGCTTGACAAATTATACAACCTGCATCTTTACTATATTGAACACATTTATGTTGAAGTATTGTGATTATAAAAATGTTTATCTTGAATATATAATTTTCTTCTCTTGTATAACATGTATAATGTATGTAGTACCATTCATATTAGTATGTTTCTTCCTTGTTAACAATACAAAAAAGTACGTATATGATTAAGTCTTTTTCTTTAAGAGAACATTCAGAAAGCCTAAAAATAAATTTTAAGTGAAACACTAGCAAAACTTTGACCTTTATTAAAATTGTACTTCTGTCCCCACTTGAACCTGGTTCTGTAGTTTAGATTCTGATTTTATTTGTCGAAAGGGATGCCTATGTACTCAATGCAAGTGACATAACATCCTTCATTCAATAAGAATACAAATGCATGAATAAATACATATCTATTGCAAATAAAATAAAAATAGGAGAGCAGATAATTATTGAGGTATAATTTTTTTACTAAAGTACAACACTCTCTAGTCATAAGAGCAGAAATATATTTACCAGTATAGCATGTTAATAATGGGTATTTATAAATGCTGCCAACCATATTTTTAATCAACTTAAAAATACATTTGGTAGAACTTAAGTTTAGCTGCATAAATGAGAGTAATGAACTTAGTTACAGATTTTTGGACACATTTGCCACTTTAATTAAAAAGATTAGTAATCGTAACATTTAATGCTGCTTTATATTTTCAAAAGGATTAGTTCAGTAATGATTATAAATTTCCCTGGCATCTTTGCAATTATCATCATCCTCAAATTTATAGATGAGGGAATTTTCAGAAGAAAGTTAAGTACTAGGAATAGATTTTGAATCCAGTGGGTTTCAGCTACAAGACTGTTACAAGAGTATGAGTTTATAAATAGTTTCCAAGTGCCAATAAATGCCAGTGGTGGAGATAAACAGAAAAAGGTGATTTTATCACACCTGATTTAATGCTGTTTTTCTTTTATATTTCAACAGTCAGTGGAATCTTGGCAGTAACAAAAAGAGAAACAAAATTTACATTATTAACAGTACCGATAGAGTGACACTCTTTATCACAGTTTGAGAGAAACTTCAAGAAGTAAAAATAGGAGATGTAGTCTACAGACACTTAAGAAATTCACATTATGCCAGAAAGACTAAGTAGCCATTCCTCTAGAAATTGAAGAAAAATAGAAACTGGGTTTGATTAAATGACAGTATGAGTGCTACATATAAGACATTTTCTAGCCTTTCAGAGAAGGAAGTTGAGAGTACATGAAAAGATTATTACTGTTCCTGTTTGCCTTTGAAGATTACAGAGGAGTACAGTCAGCATGCAGAGACAATATTGTTGTGACTTACAGTTTTAACAATGAATTCTATTGCTAGAATTTCCTTTTTTAAATGTTTTCTATAAGAGAATTCTTACAGTTCTGATTATTATTTCCAGCAAGAACCTTAGAACCTTATGTTTCTGTTAGGTTCTTCTTAATCACGTACACTACGAGGAGATGGAGGGAATTTCGTTATTCTATTCTAAAACATACCCCCTTCCAATTTAAAAATGGAACGTTTTTAAATGGAAAATGAAAATAATAAAATGGTCAGTCATCTAAACCATGATTAATGGATTCTCTAGAACTTAGCTTCTTCTCTTCCTTCCTCTGATTACCTTCCTTTGGGCATGTCACAGCTCCTGATGAACATAGACAATAGATAAGACAATTAACCACATTAATGTTTCAAAACACTTTATTATTTGTTTAAAATTACAGTTTGAAGTTAAGTTGGGGAACCAGATGCCACTTTTACAAGGGGAAATAATAAATGGTGTGTTTTAATTATGTATGTGGCCCAATTATCATGAGTAATAAGTGAAGCAATATTTTTAAAGGTTAAAGAAGTTCTGTATATATTAGAGTGGAGAAACTTTAACGTTCTAAAACTGAATAAAATCTTTCCTTAAGAAGAAAGATTTTGTATTCAATTAAATATTATAATTAGTTACAATATATGGGATATCTGTAGGAAAAAATTGAGTAATCTACTTTCTCAAAGTTTTATTTAAGGATATTTCTTTCCACATTAGGTAGTTCACAGATAATAGTGGTTTTGTTTTCACAGTCTTTCTTGTCAAGTCGAAATTCATACAGCAATTCATGTGAAAAAAGTGATTGACTATCCTTTTACAATTTACTTGATAAAATCTAAGTAGCCAAGAATTCAAGCCTAGAAGACTCTGACCAATATTATCCTTTATGCTAAGAAATAATATTCCAAACCTATTTCTTAGGCTATTAACTGCCATTTGACCCTTTATAAGCTGTTATGTTTCAATTTATTCAAATAACATATAATTGTCCAATAAGCTTGCATTGCCTCAGTACCAGATCTATAAAAGGTTAATGGGCTTTAAAAAGGGAAGAAATCTTCTGCAACAACACGGATGAACCTGGGAGACTTTACATCAAGTGAAATAAGCCAGGCACTTAAAAACAACTATGACATAATCTCACTTATATAGAGAGTTTAGATAAGTAAAACTCATAGAAACAGACAGTTAATTGGTAGTCATCAGAAGCTAGGGCATGGGGAAATTGCAGAGATGTCGGTCAAAAGACACACAATTCCAGTTAGCCAGGAGGAGTAAGTTCAAAAAATTGATTGCACATCATGGTGGCTACGGTGAATAACAATACATTTATATTTGAAAATTGCCAATAGAGTAGATTTTAAGTATTCTCACCACACACACAAAATATAGTAAGTAGGTGAAGATGTTGTAGAGGCCCAAATTCGGGCTCATGTACCTGATGCTCAATTGAAACCAAACACTGACACACCAATGCTTGGGGATAGATAAAAGTTTATTCCATTTGGCCAAAGTGAGAACGGGGCAAGATCTCTCAGACATGTCTTAACAATAAGACGAAGCAGAGGGGGCCGGGTGCGGTGGCTCACGCCTGTAATCCCAGCACTTTGGGAGACCGAGGCGGGCGGATTACGAGGTCAGGAGATGGAGACCATCCCGGCTAACACGGTGAAACCCCGTCTCTACTAAAAATACAAAAAATTAGCCAGGCATGGTGGCGGGCGCCTGTAGTCCCAGCTACTAGGGAGGCTGAGGCAGGAGAATGGCGTGAACCTGGGAGGCGGAGGTTGCAGTGAGCCGAGATCGCGCCACTGCACTGCAGCCTGGGCCACAGAGCGAGACTCCGTCTCAAAAAAAAAAAAAAAAAAAAAAAAAAATGCAGAGAGGATATTTTTGCAGCTAGACAGTAAGAGAGGGGGAGTTTTAGGGAACCAAGGGGAAAGTCTGTGTTTCTTTAATCTCTGATAATATCCTGAGCAACCAGACTTCTGGGCCTCAGCAGTTAGTTGCAACATCCTTATAGGCATTCATTCCTTCTGCAAATGTTTTTTGTTACCTTAAAGTTATCTTCTCCTGGTTGACAAAGAAATAGTAAATCAGCAGTTTGCAATTGTATTGTGAGAACAAGGGATGTTGGCTTTTATGCAAGCAAGCAAGGGCCTAATTCGAATTTTTGTTATCTCAATCACTAAAAATGCTGAGGTATTGACACCTCAAGGGGTCCGATTACAAGGTAATGCATATAATGCGTATGTTTAGCTTGATTTAGCCATTCCACAATGTATGTATACTTTAAGACATCATGTGGTACACCTTAAATATATACAATTTATTTTCAGTTAAAAAATAAATAATTCAAAGGAAAAAACATTAATTGGAAGACTCACAAAGATGAGATAACAGGGAATGATAAAGAAGAGGAAAAATGTCAATATAGTTTCAAATAATGAAACATAAAAAATGGAATCAACAGTGGTGCTTTTTGATATGATCTTGAAAGTTAGCAAAGGAAAAAAAATACATGAACAATCTAGATTTATAAATATTGATCTAGAGACACAGCAGAAAATAGTTCAGAATATGTTTGAATATAAGAGAATATTGTTAAATATCAGTTTGGAAACTTTATTTGGAAAATATTAAAGTATACTGAATAGTTCAATACTTCATAACAAAATTTCTTTAGAAGAAAAATATAGTCAGAAAGCAGCCAAAAACTAGTATTTGAACCTTTTGAAGTATCATTACAACTAATGTTTTGTGTACTATTTTGTTTTTGGAAATGCTGGGCCTAAGAAGAATCAGAGGAGAAACATATGAAGCCTTTTTACTTCTTTTTTTTTTTTTTTTTTTTTTTTTTTTTTTGAGATGGAGTCTCACTCTGTCTCCCAGGCTGGAGTGCAGTGGCGCGATCTCGGCTCACTGCAAGCTCTGCCTCCTGGGTTCACGCCATTCTCCTGCCTCAGCCTCCCGAGTAGCTGGGACTACAGGCGCCCGCCACCATGCCCGGCTAATTTTTTTTTTTTGTATTTTTAGTAGAGAACGGGTTTCACCATGTTAGCCAGGATGGTCTCGATCTCCTGACCTCGCGATCCGCCCTTCTCAGCCTCCCAAAGTGCTGGAATCACAGGCATCAGCCACTGCGCCCGGCCACCTTTTTACTTTTAAGTCAGGTGAGAAAAAAATCTGCCTTTTACTTTGTCACGGGTCCCAAAGAGGACGAGAATTTAAAAAAAAAAAAGAAGGGAGACCTGATCATCAGAGCGTATACAGTGTTGTGAAGACAGATGTAGTAAAATATATTATCTAAAAAAGGACTGAAGAAACTGAAATGCAACCTGCTAATGAAGATAGGTATGGAAAAGAGATATGAAATAAGTGCTTTTGGACAAGAAGATCACAATAAAAGGATTTCTGTGAAAAGACTAAAAACACAAAGTCAAATAAAATACATCACAGAATGTAAATAATAGACACCAGCTGCATGGGTTTTAAGACTTTGTTGAAGGAAAAATATAAAACTATAATTAAGAATGAGATTCTAGAAAAGTAAGAAACATACAGACATTCAGCAATATCTAATGGTTTAATTTCACAGAAAAAAATTAGGCATTTATTAGAAAGTGTATTTATAAGGAAACCATAGAATGAGAAGAATCCTTGACCCTCCTCAACTTTAACAATTATGATACATCAAATTCACTTTTGACGGCAGAAGTGATGATATATTTTTTTAAAGTAACCTAGCCTAAAATACGTCCTTAACCACTATCATTTAGACAATTTTTTACAAGCCCTTGCGTTGTGTACAGTAGCAAGCTCATAAGTGGAAACATTGGGCATTTAGAAGCAAACTGGTGATATGGAATTTTATTCTCTTTTTTTCTGTTTTTATTCTAAACAAAATTTTACTTCTACCTCCTACTAAGAAAGATCTCCTTATATTCATTTCCTATATGGTTTGGTATATGAATAAAGGGTGATAACAAATATAAACTAAAAGATGGGTAAATTTTTACATACACTTTCATAGCATTTATAGAGTAAGAAAAATAAAGGAAAGCAAAAAAACTGCAAACAAAACAATTGAGAAGTGAAAGTCAAGGGCTTTGACTCAGAGGAGCAGAATGCTGGGGTGAGAATCCTCATGACATATGAAAAGAAGGAACCCAGGACACACAGTAGACAATTGGCAATTGAGAAAAGGAGAAACATCTCCATGGAAACAGTACAGAATGATTCTTTCCTTGACCTTAGGAGAAAGAAATCTACCATAATTTTGTCAGACTAAGTAAGGATTTCTGTGGCCATATAAAAATGTGTAATGCAATATAAGAAAGTACTTTCCTCACATGTAGTTAAAGATGGATGATTGTTCTGATAAAAAATATGCTTACAGCTAAACTTGCTGCCACAGTTTAGGAAAATAAATGCCAGGCACTAGACTAAACCAAGGTGCTCATGCCATCCCTGGCAAATAGTAAGCTCACAGTCATCTCAAATAACTGCAAGATTAATAGATGTTTCAGGAAACAATAGATAAGTAAATTAGAGAAATGGATAAATGTGTAAAGCTTCTATGCTAGTTTATGAGTGTTTTAGCTTAGAGAGTGTTAGGTCAGGTCAGTCTGTCAGGTACTTCTCACAATTGAAACTGTATAAAATTAAAATACTCAGATTTCAGATTTCAGAAAAAAATGTGTACAGTGAGATGTGATGTACAGAATAAAATCCTTCCATTTGAAGGAATATATAATGGGAATACCTAGAAAATGGTCTGGAAAGAATCTTAATAAATTGATGCTACTCTTTTATTTGACTACTCCAGGTCAGGGAGCATGGATCATCTGTGAGCATGTCTACAAGGAGGACAAAGCGGGTAGTACTATGGGGTCTCTTGCATGTACCATGCACACTATAGTCTATGTGAATGCTGCTCCCCGGAATCATGTAGTGTACAATCTTCCCTTTGGCAATGGGATGGGTAATGGTTATGATGTGAAGCAAACTTTTTCTTTATACCCTATACATTTTTTTTTTGTTTTTGCAGCAAGATTTTTTTCAGATACCAATTTTATAATGAGTGAGAATGATAACGAGGGACAGAACTACCAGGTAAATATTCCCCCACGTCTTGTTGTTGTATAACATAGACATCCTGAATTAGTTTTAAAAAGAATGATGATTTTTTTTTTCTTCTCACAATGCTATTATTTTAAGGAGGAAGGCATGTGAAGACTTTGTATATAGAGTCAATAAGAAGATTTTAAACACGTGCATGTAAACTTGGCCGACAAGAGGCACTTGGATCTAGAGAGACTGGCAACATATAGCAGAACTTCAGCATAGCCTAGAGCTCTGTTACAGAAATTATGAGCTGGGAGAAGAGACAATGGTGAGCTGATGGAAGTCAGAGCAGCCAGGTTAATTAATTAGGACTCTCAATAAACACTAGAACAAAAATAAAGAAGACAGTAATCCGCTAGAACAAAATGGAAACCAAGGAGTCACTACCCACCCATAGACCCAATAACAATAGATGACAATTTTTGATAAGAAAATTAGAAGCAGGAGAGAAATTAGCATTTTATGAAAGAGGTTGTAGTCAGTTGGACAGATGGATGTTTAATACTTGAATCCTCTATTTACACATGCTAGTGTATCTTCCTCTCTGGATCTGTTTCCATATAAGGGATATAATAATTATTATTTCATACAGACATTTTGTTGTGTTGTTGATACATTTGTGTGAGGTACATGAATAATGTATCTAAGTGTCTTGTACAAATCCTGGCACATAAATGTTCATTAAATGATGGGTCTCTACCAACATCCAATATGAAAAAATATTTCCATTTCCCAGGGGCTTCAGAAGATGAGTATGAACTCATCTTAGAGTTGAAGAATGTATCAGACAGGAACAGGTCAGAAAAAGATCCCAATCTATGTATGTCATGTATTTAGGGACTCAGAAGGAGACTTATCTCATGATTAGATGGTGTGCATGGGCAAAGAAAGGAAAAAAAATGCTGCTATTTTCATAAAGGCTGAAAATGCAATAATTATGGGAAAGTTGCTAACAATGATTTTAGATGCTTGTCAAACCTAAACAGGAGGTCACCAGAAAAATGCTCTAAATCTCTTCACTGTGACATCCACATCTTACACTCATGCCCTTATTTAGCATAATTTCACCTGGAGCTCTATTGTCCTGAGATCCTAGAAAATGTAGTGTCTAGGTTTCTCCCTTGTAATTTAAACAATACTTCAGAAGTTAGAAGACATGAGTGGATAACAGGAAACCTGTTACAGGATACAACTTGATTAATATAGATATAATAAATAATGGTGCTTCCTAACCACAGTTAGGATAATAAATAATACATGTTCCAGTTAAATAATAAATGTTGTAGTCTTTATTACTTGAATTTCTTACAAGACATTTAAAGTTCATGAAGACAGATAGTAGATCTGTGTATTTTAATCATTTTTTAAGCATCCAGAACTTCAGTTAATCAAATCAGTAAATATTTCTTTTCTTAAAATGAAACAATCTGCACATATACAACTCCACTCTGAAGAAAGGCAATTATTTTCATAATTATAGGAATTTCTGCATAATTATGTAAATAATTGCCTTTCTTGAGAGTGGAATTGTATATGTGCAGATTGTTTCATTAAAAAAATGTATTTATTATAATTAAAAAAGGCTTTATATATACATAAAGCCTTTAAGGCCTTTTGTTTTTTTTAAAAAAGAAGACTGTCCCTCCAAAAGTGGCACGTAGTTCTACCTGTTGTATAATCAACACTTTACTAATTTATGGATTTAATCCACTGCTTATCCCCAAGATTTCCGAGATCCCAAGTCCAATATAGTCAAGGCTCAAGATCAAAGTACTTACGCTTTACCCTCACTACACCCCTTGCCTTTTATACTGCACCAAATACCACCTCCCAGAAGTTGCTGTAAAAAGAATAATTTACCTACATACATGACCATTAGGATTCTGCCTTGAAGCAGACATGCAGGAAAATATAATATTCCATCCCATGGCAACTTTTCTTTACTTGTTTTGTTGTAATATTTTTGTGTACCCTAAGAAATAGTCATTTTAATAGATTTTCAATTATAGACTAATATTTATCAGGGATTCATTATAAAATATGCTATGAATTTCCTTGATGTTGGGAGCAGATAGAGAGGAATATATGGTTCCATCTCTTGAACCTCCTCTGTGCTCTCTTATCTCAAGTTTATTTCATCAGTCAATTAATCTGCTTCTGTTACTGTGTCTCTGGCTCCCCCTGCCTTTCCCTGTCTCTCAAGCACTGTGGTTTATTATTCCTTATCACTCTAATAATAAATGCCAGAAGCTATGTTTCCTCACTAAGACATATCCTGGGAAGTCAATAAATACACGTTAAGAAGACAAGATTTCTCAACTTTGTTAAGATACAGATTTCTATCATTAACAATTCTGATTTAGCAAACATTTATTCACCCCCAATCTTTCTAACTTAGTTTATCTCCCAGAATTTTGCGGCCACAATTTGGTGTGTGAATAACTTATTGAACTTGCAACAGGTGGTGAATCATTAATGGCAATGTCAAGGCTTAAATCTTGCTCCACTGGTTCACCCATGGCTGCTCTCACATACCAAGCTAGAGTTCAATTAGAAAGTTGGAGATCAGTAACTCCAGAACACTGGCCAGAGGGTCAGAAGAGCTGACTCGTGGACATTCTCATTGCGGGTAAAGGATTCATTGGGTTTATTAGCAGTTTATGTCATTCTTTTCTAAAAATTAGAAGTACCAGTAGTCTCATGATTTAGGTAAATTTGCTGTTGATTGGGGTAGAATAGTAGAAGTATATTAATAAAAATGCCTTTTAAAAATTACAAAGTATTCTTTGCACTGCTGAAGTGATTCATGAATGAGAAATTTTGAATTACTACACATTAATATTTTTTCTAGCTCTCATACCTGTGTAAGTCTCAGAAAGGACAGAAGTGAACAGAGATGAGAATGCAACCCTCTCTTAGCAAATGATCAGGCGATTGTGTATTGTTCAATGATTAATTGATATTTTAAAATGTTTCCAGGAAGACTAAAACACTTTTTGAGAATTATGTTCTTAATTTTATACTCACAGCTACTAAAGCAAGAGGGTTTCTTAGTAACAAATTATTTTTACAGTAATCAAAGAAAGGTTAAAATAAGAGAGTAAGATACCTAAGGCCACATGGAGAGTAAATGCCATAGCTGGAAATTTGGCAATGGTTTTGTGATTCTCATCATTTTCTGTTTTGTTTTATTTTGTCTTCTAATACAGACTTCTCTGAATTATTTTATTTCTGACAGAGAGTAATATTAGACTAGGCCTTTATTTTTACAAAGCGTATGATTTGTATTGTTTAATAAATAGGTAGATAAATAAGTATGGACCAAAATAATGAGCAGTTATCATAAATGTTTACATATATAGAAAATTGTTTTTTAATGGATAACCTATATAAAATAATTTTTTAATAAACATGTATGGTTCAAGAAGGACATTTTAAATTAAATGTTCAATGCCATTTTAAGAATTTGATTCTCTAAAGAATGTCCACAAAATTTGATACCACATTAAAAAAAAATGCCAAATAAATATATCTAGAATCCTCTAGAATTTATTTATTGACGAAATCATAAGGAAAAGAATTTTCATATGTAATTTTTAAATGATAAGTGACTTGTCATTTCATTTACTTGGGAAATAGCATAATAAAGTTTTTAGGAGGTTTTCCTCTAGCTGGTAATTTTTGACAATTAAAAAACTTGACCCAGTTTTGAAAAATATTTGAAAATACTTGACCCTGCCCAAAAGCCACCTGCAAATAGCTTATTTGCATGAACATTAAACACAAGGGCTTTCATGTTCCTTTTACTTATTACTGGGATAACAAACCTCCATTCATTAAGCACAGCATCGTTTTTGTTGTGAATGAAAAATCAGCCAACTTTCTGCCACATCTGGCTGCTAATCTATAAGTTTTGAATAAACAGTAGACAGTCAATTGCCGGCATCCATTCTCTTAAACCACATGAAGTTTTTTTTTTTCTCCCCAGTCAAAATGCCATTTAATACAATTTCATTTCATTTTTCAGAACAACCAAGGCTTTAAAAATAGATCGGGTTTTATGGTGCAGGGTGCAAAGCATGTATTAGATAATCTAAGGATAAATCTGTTCATATACTAAGTCTCTCAGTGTCCAATTGCCGATAAAAGTTCAAATAGTCACTGCAGACAGGATAATTTCACTGTATCAAAAACTGGCATTTGCATTGAAAAGTCATTTCTACTCATTTTTGAGAAACCAGTAGCAAAGTTATTAATTTTATAAAAACCTAGACTCAATCTCAGTGAAGATCTTAATGGGTTTTTTGCTGGGCAAAAAGATGAGGGCAGTTTAACTGCGATAGCTACAAAACATGGCATATAAAACATTTATTTAATTGAAAAATAACAGCTACAGCATCCATAAAATTCAAAGCCCAGCATTAGCATTTTTTCCCACTGGTTCTAAATGAACCCCATCCTCCTTACTTTAAACCTTCAGAACAGTTGCCTATAGATAGAGTTATTAGTCAGACATTTGGGAATATCTTTCAGTGTAGCCATATGAAAATCTACCAGAGCACACATAAGAAAAGTCGTTCGGTAATGGAACAGACAGCTATGCCTCATTAAAATGCTTCACCAGATAAACTATAACAAGACTATTTGTTCTCATAATTTGTTACTTTTATTAATGAAGCCTCCCAATATGATGCCCCTCCCTTGTTTATTAGCAGCAATATCAAATTTTGTCCTCAGATTTATGCATATTTGGGTTCATTTCTTAACTTTCTTAAACTTCAAGTTTATTTAGCCCCCTGTTTCAACTAACATTTTGCTGAATCCTTATACATATTTATGCTATGTATTATTCCCAGCTTTAAAATTCCCGTTTTTAAATTGATATTAACTCCTCTTCTAAACCATTTTTTCTATATGTAATTTACATGTATATATATGAAATGGATACAGAATTTCCTTTTGTCTCAAATTTTTGTTTATTCCCTATTAAATGATGAGTATCCCTAAATTATAGAAGAACAGTTAAGTCTTTGCAGGTTTTAATAAAAAGTAGCCAGACCAGTTCTGTAACTAAAACCTTCACTGACCTCAATTACCTGTACTCTTATGTAAAGAGAGGACTAGACATTCTAAGAATTATCATATAGAAAGTGAATTAGTTACCTAAGTGAGAGTGCTTTTAATTATTTTCTCTTTTGTAAGGAGAACTAAACTTGCTTTAGTTCTCCTTCCAAACAGGAAGAGAGCTCAAAAAGACTGGGAGCAATTTTTAAGAAGGAAAGAATGGGATATCCCTCTCCTTCTGGCACTCAGCATTGCACCCATCCTGCAATGGAACCATACATGATGAGACAGTTTTGGGAAAGTTTGATAGGTGTCCTCAAGAGTTTCAAGATGAAGCTAAACATGGCCAGTTGTTGCCTGCTTCTTGCTTTCAAAATTCTGAAGGCTACATGCTCATTGAGGCAGCTTTTGATGGCAAGATGGAGAAAGAGAAAAGATGCCAGATTCTTCTTCCCACTTTAGATGAGTGAATATGCTAAATATAGGCCAAGTCCGTGCCACAGAAGATGTAAGAGGCTTCAGATACCCACTGGCAAGTGTTTGCAAGAAGTCAGCAGGAGAACAAATTACACAGGTTAACAAATAGGTAGCACAGAGTTACAAAGAATTTACAGATTCACTCCCCGACAGAAGCAGCATTTGGGTGCCTGCCTCTCAATAGAAAAAGATCAGATTATTAAAAAAAAAAAAAGCTTCTCTCTTTTCTTTTAATTCTTCCTGCTACAATTCTTGTTTTCCCCGTTACAATCCGAAGGGACCCATAAACAGCACTTCAAATGTGTCATGTCACCCTCTCCTGGCTGTAAGGTTTCCACTGAAAAGTCTGCTGCCAGATATACTGAAGCTCCATTGTATGTTATGTGTTTGTTTGTTCTCTTGGTGCTTTTGGGATACTCTCTTTTTCCTTGACCTTTGGGAGTTTGATTATCAAAAGCCTCAATGCCTATTGGCTCTGAGATGATTGCTTGTTTTCTGGGACGCACTTATAAGGAAGCAAAGAAGGGAGGTCTGGGCATACCGACATGCTTACCTGCCATGCAGATGCAACTAAGGAAAAGCTCCCAGATTTACCAAGTAAAAGTACAAGTTGCCCAGTTGAATTTAAATTTCATATAAATCATGAATAATGTTTAGTATATGTAATTCCTAAATATTTCGTGGGATATACTCATAGTAAACAATGTAAATTCAGCTGGGCATGGTGTGCTTTATTTGACAACTTTGAACTGAGTCTTCAGCCAATCCTACTGGGCCTCTTTCAGAGTTGTCCCAAATTGATGCAAAGCAGTTGCATGTTTGTATAACTACATTAGCCAGCCATGGGTCAATGGCTGCTCTCTGAAAGGAGGCACCACTTTGGGCGAGTTAGTTCATTTTAGTTTGTCTTAGGACAATATTTAGTGAAAGGTACAGGTGTGAATTGTCAGCTGCTGATGTTCCCCATGAGTGTGGGATCGATGTCTTCCCATGAAGATGGGGTCTGGATGATGAACCACAGTGTCTAGTACAATAATTTCTCTTATGTGAGCTTCAAGAGTGATATTGAGTTAATGTTTCTATATCCTACTTTTTTGTTTTGTTGTTTTGTTATGACTTTGTTCTCTTAACAATTAATTTTCCACCTTAGTGTTTCTTATACTGAGGAATTGTAGCTACTTATACTACAGAGGAATGCTGAGGAATTGTAGCTACACATGACGATTGCAATTTCAAGGAAAGGGAATTTATGCTGAAATATTTGAATAACTTCCCCTCTTAGTTTTTACTATGTCAAAAAAATTCATATAAATGTATCCCTTTACACAATTGGTCTACTGAAATTTTTGGTGAAACTAAAACACAGTATTGCCTTTTTTACTGTAAAAGAGAAAAAATTAAATAGATTTATGTACAGAGACACCTATTACAAAAAATATTTTTAAATGACCCTACACTGTATTTGCATAAAAGACTTAATTTGTCATTTCCTTAGAAATGAGAGGTTAGGGGCCAGGCTCGGTGGCTCATGCCTGTAATCCCAGCACTTTGGGAGGCTGAGGCGGGCGGAGTTCGAGACTAGCCTGACCAACATGGAGAAACCCCGTCTCTACTAAAAATACAAAATTAGCTGGACGTGGTGGCACATACCCGTAATCCCAGCTACTCGGGAGGCTGAGGCAGGAGAATCACTTGAACCCGGGAGGCAGAGGTTGTGATGAGCCGAGATCATGCCATTGCACTCCAGCCTAGGCAACAAGAGTGCAACTCTGTCTCAAAAAAAAAGAAAAAAGAAAAGAAAAGAAAAGAAAGGATAAGTCTGAAGAAATAAGGAGAAATAAGATAACTTGCTTGAGAAAGAAACATACACAAACTTGATAGCTATGGAGTATACTAGATAATCCATAATACGAACACTCAGGTTTGAGGAGATTCTATATAGCAGAAAAGGCCTATCTTCACAAAACTGCTAATTTGATAGGAAGTCTAACCTTATCTTTATATGGTTATTAATGTTAAAGCATGGAACTTTTAAAGGACCTTTTATTTTGTCAAACATTTACTTAAGCAAAGCACACTGCTCAGTGCCTGGCACTTTAAAATACTCAACAAATATTGCTTTTATTGTTCTTTTTTTTTATACTCATGGGAAAACTGCTATTTTAAATAATCTGTAATTGTTTACTATGTATTTGCAAGTTAAAGTATCTAAATGTAGATAGATTTTGGTAATTGAAGATAAAATAATAGCCCTAAAACAGGAAAAGTGAATGTAAAGTTGATCTCTTCCAGGGCTAGAGAGGTATGATAGAAGACAGTAGGGGCTGCGTAAAAGTGGAGACTGTGTATTCAACATAAAGATATTCAAATTCACTTTGAAAAAATAATCGAATTTTCAGGTAGCTGGACTTGAGTTGAGACAAGCAGTGGATCTGAAAGGCCATGAGAGACGTGTGGAAATGTTATAGTGTAAAACAGGGGTCCCAACCCCTGGGCCACAAACTGGTACCGGGCCTGTTAGGAACTGGGCCACACAGCAGAATGGGAGAGGTGGATGAGTGAGCATTACTCCTGAGCTCAGCCTCCTATCAGATCATTGGCAGCATTTGATTCTCACAGAAGCACCAGCTCTACTGTGAACTGCGCATGCAAGTGATCTAGTTTGATCCTTGTGAGAATCTAGTGCTTGATGATCTGAGTAGTGGAGCAGTTTTATCCCGAAACCTTCCCCCCAACCCTGTCCATGGAAATATTGTCTTCCACGAAACGAATCCCTGGTACCAAAGAGGTTGGGGACCACTGGAGTAAACAAAATTAAGGCAGTATTAAATACGAAGATGTCTTAGATGTTATTTTCTTGCAAGAGACAGAATCTTATTTAAATTTCCTTAGTAAAACAGAGGTTTAACTAAAAGGATACAAAAATATCTTGGGCTCAGAGTAAATAAGAAATCATTAGATAGCTGTTTGTTTTATATCTAGTTCCAAGTCTGCATGGTTTCTAGTTCCCATTCATCTGTTTATCATCTTCTCCAATACAGATTAATTTGGAAGGCTGTTAGTATTTGCTCCCTTTAACTTAAGTTTATCCATGGCTTTGGACTGCTGCGACAATTCTGGCCCAATGCTATTAGACTTCTCAGTTGAGATGCCTATAATTAACATACTAAAATACCTCATTTTCTAAATCAAAATTTTGAGAAAAAGCTTCATGTATTGTATGCTTCTCCTTGAGTTACACATCCATTCCTACTTTTCTGAACTGTAACCAGAAAGAACGGTCATGGGGCACAAATAGGATTGGGTTTAAACTCTCTGCTTTATCACAATGCCAGACTGATATTTAGAGCCTCTACATGTGGAAAAGCTTATGACACTCCTTCATTGTACAGTTCAAAACAAAATTATTTTGAATCTATAAAAAAAATACATACTGAATCTAAACAGCCAATTCTAGTTTACAAAGTTCTGGATAAGACCATTGTCTTAGTCCATTTTCTGTTGCTTATAGCAGTATACCTAAAACTGAGTAATTTACAAAGAACTGAATTTATTTTCTACAGCTAAGAAGGCTTGGAAATCCAAGGTCGATGGGGCATATCTTTTGAGAGCCTTCTTGCTTGTGGGGACTCTCAGAAGAGTCCCAAGGTAGCACAGGGTATCATATGGCAAGAGGGCTGAGTATGCTAACATGCTAGCTCAGGTCTATCTTCCCCTTCTTATAAATCTAATGGTTTCCCTCCCAAGATAACCTATTAATCCACTGACTTATCAATGGATTAATCCACTCATGAGGGAAGAACTTTCATGATCCAATCCCCTCTTTAAAAAGCTCGTTCTCTATATTGTCATATTTTGGATTAAGTTTCAACATGAGTTTTGGAGGGAACATTCAAACCATAGCAACCATGAAAGCTGAACCTTTCCAATTCTGTGCATGGATGTTTATATCTGGTATCCTAATTGCTGAAGCACAGTTTCAACCTGCCTGTTGAAAAAGTCCATTTGCAACCCAGCACAAGTCGATCACTTGCTCGAGCTAAATCTCATTTTGTCTCTCAAACGTTTTTCCCAAATTCATGTCATCCCTCTGCTAACAAAGAGAACAAAGGTTTGTAGATGTTTCCTCTCCCAAAGATAGGGTGAATAACTGCTTTAGGCAGAGAAGATCAAAGTGTGACCTTATTGAGCACTTTTATTGGCTTCAGACTAGGGTTTCAACAAGTTCAGACTCCTGTGGCTGCCTCACCATGTCTAAAGAAATTATGAATGATCCATCTCCTTAGTGTGATTCCCCACCCACCCACTCCAATCCAACCCTTCTCTCTACCTCTTTTCAAATATTTCTCTAAGACTTTTCTTAGACCAATATGACTTCCCTCTCACCTAACACCCTTTCTTTAGCAAGTTATATTTATGTCAGATTCTTAATCCATTCAAAGGGAATGATGATAAAGAATAAAAGAATAATAGTAAGTATTAAACTGTGCCATCTTGCCCTTCTCTCTCCCTGAGAATTTTTGCTAATTTAGTAGCCAGGGGAAATGATTGCAATATCTCCTAGTGATCTGGTGGCAGGGGGAGCATCTGGTTTGGGTGAGTCAGTCCCTGACTTTGTAATATGACCTGGTGAATAACTCAATATCAATAAATTTCAACCTGCTGCAGGTTGCTGAAGTTTTATAGAAACTTAGAAGAGCTATAAGCCACCATAAATTTGAGGAGCAACCTTAGGCTCAGAGAAAAAACTGGCTGTTATCTAGCTGTGAAACAAAACACATAATACTTATATAGTGAAACAGGACTTCAAAAGAGAACTTAGGCAAATGAGATTTATGTTCAACATTTTTGTGGTTAATTATTCCATGTTGCTGCTTAATAAATTTTCTAATTTTTAAGAAATACAATTCAAAAATGAAAGTTTTGATTATATTATAGGGTATTAGCACATGTTCAGAATTTTCAGAATTGGAGTTCTCTGCTGCCCTAACTGACAATGACAAAATCAAGGGTAGAAACTTAAGCTTATGCTTATTTCATAATGCTGGTCAAATTCAATTAAAATTAGTAATGTAATCTTTGAGTGGTTACTTTATATTTGTGTTCTCAAGCAGGGACAATTTTACTTTTCAGGGGATAGTTGTCAATGTCTAGAAGCCTTTGTGATTGTCAAAACTTGGAGAGGAGGAGGTACACTACTGGCCAGAGACACTGCTAAGCATCCTATAGCCCCCTCTGCATTAAATAATTGTCTGACCCAAAATGTCATAGTGCCAATGTTGAGAAGCTGTGCTCTACATTCTTCTTATTCCTTTATTAAATCATTATTATGTGTGAAGTGACTGTTACATAACTAGTAGTAAACAATATTTTATTGACCACTTATCACGTGCCATGCTCTATTCTAAGAACTACATACATTCATTCTATTTATCCTCACTATACTACAAAATAGGGTAGGCTATAATTCCATTTTACAGATGAGGAAATTGAAGCACAGAAGAGGTAACATCCACAATCACATAGCCTGCAGAAGATAGATCTGGATTTATAGTCAGGTAATTTGGTTTTAGAAGCCCATCCACTGTGGTAAAGGAAATCAAGTGCTGCTTATTATTTCCCTTGACTTTCTCCTATGCTCTTGCAACTCTAAGAAAAGGACCTTGGCAAATCTCAATCTACAGAATAATTCATAATTCTGGGAGCTCCACAGAAAATAAAAGTTATTTATTTATTTATTTATTTATTTATTTATTTATTTATAGCTGTTGCAGTGTTCTGCCACAGGTATAGTCAACTTTGTCTGCAAAGTTAAAATTTTTAAAATGAAAGAATTAACAATTCCTCCCCTAATTATATATATATATAAATAAATGTAGGCCTTAACATTAACACAAATCATTGAAGTTTCATGGGTCAAAAATTTAGGCAGATATGTAGTTTGTAGGCATCTTATACTAATTAGTTAACATACTACTTCTTTTATTTTTATTATAATATAAACTATATTCATTTTATAATATACATAAATAAAAATCAAATGCTAAATATAATAAAGTTTATTTTATATAGTCCAGCTCGCTAATGTACATTAATGCTTCAATGATAATATTAAACTTTCTTTTATTTTATTACATTTAGATGCAAACTCCAGCCAGGGTTCACATATTGATTTCACGTTCTAGTAAAAACTACAAATAAAAAACTATAAAGTCAGAGATTATTTCTTAATATATTGCATATACTTTCATCCAATGTAAGTCATTTCATGACACGTTTAGCTTTTTTTGTCATAGTGGTCTCATGTTTTAATGGAAAATAGTATGCAACAATTTTGCTCTGTTTTAGATGTGATATTGAAGTTTAAAACTTCACTAATAATTGCTGCAAATATAACACAACAAGAGAAAGCACTATAATCTATTGAGGCAAAACATAATATTAAGTAACTGAAAATGGCAGAAAACTATAGGGTATGATAACAATGCAACATGAAAAGCAAAGAGCTTTATTTGTGGTATTCCAGGTTGAGGGAGACATTCAAATGCCTATTAATTCCTATCTCTACCAATGATCACATTTATATGGTTCTGTACTGGCATGTTCCCTGAAGTCTACTCGTGCCCCATTAGTGGTAAAAGAATTAAATATTTAAAAATATTTACGCATATTATATTTATTAGAAAAAAATACTGACTTCCATTTATGTTGAGAATGTCAGCAAATCCAATCAACTCTTCTCAGTATTTCCTTTTTTCTTTATTTGTTGCTATAACCAGAGTCCAAGCCAACATCATTTCTTGCTTATAAATGTGCAATTATTTCCTACTATCTCCCTTTGCTTTCATTTCTGCTACTTTATGTTCTATTCTCCCCAGAGTAATCAAAGGGATCTCTTAAGAACTTGTCAAATCATGTCACTCCTCTCCTTAAAGCAACTCATGCCGCGCATTCATTTAGACCATACCCAAACACCCTAGTGTGACCTGCCCCATGAATCATATTCAGACCTCATCATTTGTATCTGTACTCCCAATTCACTTTTCTTGAGTGAAATAATCTTTTTTGTTGTTGTTCCTCAATCATCGTGAGCTCTTTCTTGCCTAAGGACATTTATACTAGCTCTTTCTTTTTCTGGAAACATCTTTTTCCCAAATATTGTGGCTAATTCTGCTGGAGGTTTCAGCTTAAATGACATCTCCTTGGCATTTCTCATGAAGTAAAATACAAGCTCCACAAGACAAGGCTGCAGGGGAAGTTAGGAAGGAACTACTTTTTTGGTTTTGCATTCTTTGAAATAAAGCATTATGGGCAACATATTAACAAAATAAAATATAAAAGGAATACCATAAATCTTCATTTTACATTTTTTCCTACAATTATTTTCTATATACCTACCATCTGTCATTTTCTATCTATTTGCTAAAAATTTCTCAGCATTTCCATGTAAGCAACATGCATATTAACTGGGTTGAATCCTCTGTGTCAGATTCTATTTTATAATCCAGAGTGTTTCACTTGCACCTTTTACTTCCTTAAAGTCCTAAGATAAACAGTTGCAAAGAGTCAGACTCTTTGAAGCTCTAAACATACTTCTGCTCTCTCCGTCCTAATAGCCAAAGGAGGGCTTTTCTGCATTTTCTCTATTCAAGTTCCTTTTGCTTTTCCTAAGCTTTGTAGTAAAAATCTGCACTCATGTTCTGCCATCTGCTTTTAGTATATTTTTAATTCACCCACCAATTGCCATTTTACTGATTATCCCCAGAAGGATAAAGCCATTTTTAGTAAAATTCTGCTTTAAGGGGAATTGATAGTTGTGGAGAAATAACTGCACATTGTTGAAGAGTATTTATTAGAACACAGTTCCATTGTATTTGAGGAGAGAAATGCATTACTGACTGCAATGTCTTGAGTCAAGAATTTAGCAAGTTTTTGGAAAAGACTTTCATAAGGTGGAACAGGAATCCACATTAAGTTCTTGAACACATAAGATTGAGTTGAGCAAATCAATCAGAGTTTGACAAAGTAAAGCGATGAATCTAGTTAAGGTAATGAAATAAATTAATCCCACTTGCCTCATATAAGGGTTTGAAAGCAGAAATAAATGCAAATAAAGGAATTAGAGGTAGAGTTACACGTAGAATTGCTGGCTCTATAATGGAGAAAAGTCAAGAAGAATTTGAGATAAATTTATTTGTTGGACAAAATACTACTTACAAAAGAGTTGGAGTTGGATTTGAGTTGTTAATATATAGGTGTGAATGTGTGTGTGTATATGTATGTATATATGTATATGTACATGTGGATTCTAGAGGTCTAGAACTTAAATTGTTTGGACAAAGGATATGGATTTTTACCAAGTGTTTATTTAATTGCATTCTAACAAAATAATATTCTTATAAATGTATGAGAAAGACCTTCTCTCCTATATTTACTTGGAAGATTACCAATTGTATTGACCTTTCCTAATTTAATAGATAAAATAACTACAATAATAAAATTTTTATTGATGTACTTACAGATTAAACAGTTTTCATATTTTTTATGTTTTTGTAAATTGTCTCTCATAGCTATTGCCACTCCTCACCTTTTTAAATGTTTATTAATTTGTAAAAATTCTCTTAAGGACATCCACCTTTGAAGTAAATGTTGCAAATATTTCCCAATGCATATTATTGTCTTTTAGCTTTGTTTATAATGAATTTTTACATTTTTAACTATAAGACTCACAAATATTTGTTGCATCAAACTTATTTATGATTTCCACGTTGGTCATTTTTCAATAGGCCTTCTCACCCCCAAATTATTATTATTTTAATAATGGTCTTTAAAAATATCAAATAATATATGTATTAGCTATTAAGTACAGTTAGACTTTTTTACTAATATAATAAAAATTTGCAAAATGATAAATAATAAAGTAATGGATGATTGTACAATGTTATGCCAATTTTCCATAATGTTGTTCTAATATTGTAATTTGCTTTCTGTCATACAGAATGTAATTTACTTACGGTACAAATTTTAGGTAAGAGTAGATTCGAGTGAATGAAGGCTGGATGAACAGTGATACTGTACCTAAACACAGGTTCTGTGCATTTTAAGAATCATTGCAGACATTTGAATACTGGCAAATCTTTGTTATATTTAAATAAAATTAATATATCTATAAATTTAGCTTATATTTTTTCTTTTATTTTTATTTATACACATATGTATATAATATGACTACAAACAGTCAAAATAATATAACCAATTCCCACATACACACCATTTAGTACAAAGGATAAACATTATCTGTACCATTCAAGTACTCTGTGCACCCTGTCTTAATTGATTTTACCTTCTTCCCCCTCAAAATATTATCTTGATTTTCTCTAACCTGTTGTCTTAAACAGGTCTTGAAAAAACTGTGGCTGGGCACACTGGTACACCTGCAATTCCAGCTACTCAGAAAGCTAAGCCAGATTGCTTCAGGCCAGTAGTTTGAAGACAAAAAGTGCTGT
Organism: Homo sapiens; assembly: GCF_000001405.40. Lineage (NCBI taxonomy): Eukaryota > Metazoa > Chordata > Mammalia > Primates > Hominidae > Homo > Homo sapiens. The sequence goes on from NC_000010.11 coordinate 46,733,473, forward strand.
GAAAAATGTTGGCTAGGCAAAGGGATTTGGGAATACTAGGCAAAATGTTAGACTGCTAAATGGGTGGTTCTGACAGGCTTCATTCATTTTTAACTTTTAAGTTCAGGGGTACAAGTGCAGGTTCATTACATAGGTAAACTTGTATCATGGTGGTTTGTTGTACAGATTATTTCATCACCCCAGTATTAAGCCTAGTAACCACTAGTTATTCTTTTGTATCTTCTCCCTCCTCCAATTCTCCACCCTCCAAAAGGCCCCAGTGTGTGTTGTCCCCCACTCTATGTGTCCGTGTGTTCTCATCATTTAGCTCCCACCTATGAGTGAGAACATGCAGTGTTTGATCTTCTGTTCCTGTGTTAGTTTGCTAAGGATAATGGTCTCTAACTACATCCACATCCCTGCAAAGAACAAGATCTTGTTCTTTTTTTATGTCTGCATAGTATTCCATGGTGTTTATATACCACATTTTCTTTATCCAGCAGACCACTGATGGGCATTTAGGTTGATTCCATGTCTTTGCTTAGAGAAGGAAATAAAAGGGTGTTCCAGAGGGAATACCCAGTGCCAAGCTCTGGTTCAGGAGTGTGGCTGGGATCCTCTAAAACTGCAAGCAGTTATAACTGAGAGTTCTTGCTTAAAGTGTGGTTTATGTTCACCCATCTGGTTATAACTGAGAGTTCTTGCTTAAAGTGTGGTTTATGTTCACCCATCTGGTTATAACTGAGAGTTCTTGCTTAAAGTGTGGTTTATGTTCACCCATGTGGTTATAACTGAGAGTTCTTGCTTAAAGTGTGGTTTATGTTCACCCATCTGGTTATAACTGAGAGTTCTTGCTTAAAGTGTGGTTTATGTTCACCCATCTGGTTATAACTGAGAGTTCTTGCTTAAAGTGTGGTTTATGTTCACCCATCTGGTTATAACTGAGAGTTCTTGCTTAAAGTGTGGTTTATGTTCACCCTTCTGGGACTATACTTTTGAAGTCTATACTTTTGGAAGGATAGATGTTTGATGTTTTTTTTTTCTTTTAAAACTAGTAAGTCATTTTTGTTCAGTTTTTTAAGTGTCTATTTTATATATTCAAAAGTAAGTTGATAATGCTTTCTTGTGCTCATTATGGCTTAAATTTCTACTATGTTTATAAGTGCTGACCCTCTTTTCATCATCATCTTGTGTCTTTTGATCTATCTCCTTCTTTTTCTCTTTACTTGGTAAACAATCTGGCTGGAAATTTGTCTATTTAACTATGGTTTTTAAAGAATCAACTTTATTTTTTATTGTACTGCTTCCTTCTTTCTCTTTGATATATTTTTACTTCATTATAATTTACACTTATTTTGTGTGTTTATGTTTATATTTCTTATATAATTCCAGCTTTTGCTGTATTCAACAGTCTTCCTTTTTATGTGCAATTTTTCACTGTCATTAAGTTCTAAATAAAGTATAACTTCTATTTTTATTTTTCTTTGAGTCATAAATTACATGCAAGCTTCTGTTTAAGTTTGCAAACAACAGCATTATCTGGCTGCCTCTTTTTATTGGGTTCTTTCTTACATTTGGGTCAGAAAACATAGTCAGTCTAAAACAGTTTTCTTGACCTCTAAACATTTTGCTAAATTCACTTATTCAAAATTTTCTGCTAATCAGAATATTATGTAACATAATCAGAACATACCACATTACACTCTGATAATCAATTCACTAGAAAGATATTGTCCCTTATGTATTAAAATTTGTTCATTTTTTGGAATTCTCAGAAATGTTTTTCAAGAACACTTTCCGTTAACATTTTACAAAATTTAAAAATGCAAGTAAATTTATGCCTAATCGTACATTAAGTATGATTTTATAAGTGGCATATAAACAGATTGATAATTCCTTTCCTAGAGTGTAGAGATGCCCTATGCACTGCAAGACAGTCAAGGGAAGGAGTTGGTTTGGTTTAGGATGAGTGATAAAGCATCTCATGAAGTATCTGTATGCTCAGTTTTAGAAAATGGATCCCATTTCTAAAAACTGGATTCATTGACTACATTATTAAATTGTTTCAATGCTGTATTCCACTATATGTTGCATTCTATAGAATGTTTACTTAACATCTTTGGAATAATCATTAAGTAAACAAAAACTGTCCCCTCTTCCTCAAAACTTTCTTTTATTCCCATGCTTATCCACTGTCATCAAAGTACCACATCTGACAGAAATAATTTTAATTTCACCATCAATTGCTAGGATATTAATTTAGACTACAAATAGCTGCATATAAACATAAATGAAAAAATATTTTTCCACTCTCGTTGTTGAAACAGTGGGAGTCCTGAATGATTTGATAGCTGTACAATTAATCAAATAATAGACTACTGGATTAAATCTCAGTGAACTAAAAATATCTGTGCATAGCTGTAAACAAAATTAAATTAATATCCTCAGTACCTCTTATGCCTTTAATGCTATCAGGATCAGTAGATGTGATTTTAAATGACGATTCATATAAATAGGAATATACGTAAAATTTAAAAATACTAAGTGAATTTATACCTAATTGTACTACATTATTAAGTATAATTTTCTGAGTGTTACTCCTAACCAGTAGCAAATATGTTATATATATGAGATATATGATATGTGTATATATGATATATGATATATATGTTATGATATATATATGATATGTGATATATATGTTACTGGGTAGCAGGTACAGTAGCAAGTTTTCTTTCTTAAAAGAATGGTATACTCTGGGTCTAAGAATGACAAACAGATGATGTGGTGGTCACTTACCAGAGTATTTTATTTATACTGATCTGTACCCCTAGAATATTCAAAAATGAGGATGTATGAGATATATAATACTTTTTATTCTATTTTTCTGAGTTTTCCCTCCCAGTTAGGTTTTCGGAATACAAACATGGAGCAGTTACATGACATAAGGGCAAATAGTATAAGAATTATTACACTTTATTCATTTGTATCTTGTATACTTCCTCTATTGGGTAAATGGATAGATGCAATGAACTGCTAAATAATACCTGTTGAATCCAACCTGAGTGAAAACAAAATCTTATGCCTATTGAAAAGCATACAATGTTTGTAGTAGGGAGAAAGGAATATGATAGATGTCTGATATTTAAATGTAAAAACGTTGGCCGGGCACTGTGGCTCACGCCTGTAATCCCAGCACTATTGGAGTCCGAGGCACAGGCAGATCATCTGAGGTCAGGAGTTCAAAACCAGCCTGGCCAATTTGGTGAAACCCCGTCTCTAATAAAATACAAAAATTAGCCAGGCTTGGTGGTGCCTGCCTGTAGTCCCAGCTACTTGGGAGGCTGGAGCAGGAGAATCACTTGAACCCGGGAAGTGGAGGTTGTAGTGAGCTGAGACCGTGCCACTGTGCTTCAACCTAGGTGACAGAGCAAGACTCCGTCTCAAAAAAAAAAAAAAGTAAGAACATTATATGCTAACGTGAATGAAATATAAACAATTTTTAATTTTATATTATATACAATGGCAGATCATAGCTGCACCTGTAAGAGAAGATCAAATTAAAATCAGTTATCTGTTTGTTTATTCTCTTATCAGTGCCTGGCTTTCTAGAAAAATTTAGCGATTTTCATGGAATTCTCTGATAAACATTATGAACTCATTTCTTTCTATAATATGTTGGTAATATTGGCCGTATATAATAATTTAGAACCTCTTATTCTCCTTTATTTTTCTCAGAGCAGTCATTGCCATTTGACATGTTATATTTTATTTTTGTTAGTTTCCTATTTTACCATACAGCTAATTAAAATGAACTTTTCATTAATTCAATTACTGTTCTTTTCACTGTTATAGCCCAAGTATCTAAAACAGTGTCTAGCACTAAGTAGTCACCAGGTAAGTCTTTGCTGAGTGAATAAATCTTAGAAGGAAAGGAGAGAGAAAATCTAGATCCTTTATAGTATCCATGGTTTTCTACAAACAGGTAGAATGTAATATTTTATTATTTTGCACCATGTAAGTTAGAATCATTGTGGAACATCACATTTATACAATTCTTATTAGACTATATCTAGATCTCTTTTAAAATAAGCAAGCAAGCAAGCAAACAAACAGCAATGAAGATACGCTGAAGAAGTTTTGGGAGGAGGACCTACATCTTTACAGTTTCACCCACAACTTACCCATACCCTCCTTCAATGAATTCCTAGGGCTTCTTAGAAAATAGTGGATGCAATTCAGGAAGTGTTTGTTTTAAAACACCAAGAATGATGACTGTCCAAATTCAGAATGTGTTCATGTATTCCATAGACAATGACTGAATATCTACTAGGTTCTGAAAAATGTACTAGTTGCTGTGGTGGATAAAATAATAATAATACACTGTAAGACAGTCAGGGGAAGAGGTTGGTTTGGTTTAGGATGCATGATAAGATATCTCATGAAGTATCTATATACTCAATTTTAGAAAATGGATCCCACTCTTAAAAACTGGATTCATTGATGGCATTATCAAATTGTTTCAATGTTAAATTTCACTATCTATAGTGTTGGAATATTAGTCCAGTAACAATATGAAACCAAAGATACATCACTATCCAGTAAGGCAGTTTATATTATTACCACATAGTACAATGTGTTAACAGAGATCAAAGATAAATGAACACTTCCAACATAAAACGTATAATAATTTACTTCAGGTAACATATTTTTAAATTATGGGTATAATTATGGGCATAATCATAATTACTACTTAGAAATGTATTATGTGTATCATTTAACATTTTATATATAACATTTTGAATTTTTAAAATATTTATGGGTCCTTGTTGTTAAAATGAAGTGGCGTTCCAGAAATAGTTGATTGTAGATTTGTTGCACGTAAAACAGAGAAATCCAGCATTTATAGGTAACACCACAGTTAAGAGGAAAGAAAACTAAGAAAATTGCAGTAGAATACTTTTGTGAGGAAAAAATGAAATGTCAAAGATAAAATTTTTATGGTTCTTTAATCACAATCATCAAATTGTAACAAATGGAACTTTAAAATTGAATTTGTCTCTTGTCTGAATTACACCTGAGATTATACCTGCACACCAAGTGAAGAATCATATTTCAAAATGCATTTCATTTGGCTTTTAACACAGTTATTCTGTTGAAGACATTTCTGTAAAGCTTGCCAGATACAGGAAAAGCAATTTAATAAACACTGTGATCAAATAACTACTCAATTGTTCTTCATCTTTTTTAACATTTAACACCTTGCAGATCATTGCTACAATAAAGTGTGTTATCCCCTTTTCACAATGATTCATTAACCTGTATTAATTGTTCTTTACAAAGTTGTTTTTATACATCTTACTAACTACCAATGTGAGGAAAAGGTCTATGTTGCTTTCATTCAGTAGAAAACACATGCACTTTAATAATATTGTTTCTTAAAAAACACCTATTGGTTTGTTTTCTTTCAGTTTCTCATTTATCATCATTTGTTCATCTTCACTGAAAGCTGAACATATGCAGCCTAACAACAACTTGAATTAATTGAATGTTTCGTATCTATTCTCCAAATTAAATTTTCAGTTTTGCTCACCTTTTCATGATTATATTAAGAAAATGTAGCCATAATTGCTTGTATGGGAAAAATTACTGAGAAAGACATTCAGATTAAATGTAGGAAATGCTCTAAGGATCTTTGAAAGGAAAGAAATGTCAGGTTCTATATTGTATTCAAGGAAGATAGGAGATGAAAGTGTCAGATATGCAAGGCAGATAAGAAAATAGTTTTTAAAAATAAGTCATAGACATTCTTTTTCTGATAGTTATTGAAAAATCCTGTTCATCAAAAGATATCTTAAATCAATAAAGATTTCCTCAACAACCAGACAAAATCGTTCTGTGTGTGTGTATGTCTTATTGGAACTGTAATTATATTTACAATACTATAATTAGTCGTGTTATTAACTCTTGTTACTCACTAGAACATTATTGGTAATAAGCAGTGACATATCTTAAAGATTTTTCTTGTGTCCCAGCGTCTGCCCAGTGATTAATATGTTAAGCTCCATAAATGTTTATTCAACGAGTAAATTAGTGACTAGGTACTAAGTTCTTATTCTTGTGTACAGTCACCTATCAAATCTTTCCACTCTTCTCTGGGCAATTGGGGAAGCTATGTATAGAAAATGGAAGAGTCTCTGTCAGCCTGGGTTACTAAGGGTGAACCTGAACTTTCTCTGAGTGAAAAAAAAATCTATTTTACTGAGCCACAGAGATTTGGATATTCATATTTTATAGCAGTATTAACTAATACAAGGTATTTTTAACCTTTAAAAGAAAAGAAGAAAAAGTAGAAGTGATACTAATTTCCCAGATGCCATCCAACTCCTCTTTCACCAATAGATAGCATTGAAAGGCGGGAATCAGTGCCTCCTCCTAGTGATAGTGCCTCAGTTGAGCAGGGCTTATTCCGAACTCAGTATGCAACATCCCGACAGGGCAAATCTAGGGATTGCTCTCAAGTCACTATCCAACATCCCGATGGGTTGAATGGCATGCCAAACACAGCAATAAGCACTATAAAAAAGCCAGGCCGCCCCGGGGTGGGGCCACGTGGCTTCAGACCAGAGAGCGGAGCTACCTTGGCCCAAGCGCTGCAGCTGCCTGAACCCCAGGGCTTCGCAGCCTTGCTTGTTTTCTCTGAACCGCAATAGGACGGTGTTCACAGCGATTCAAAGGGTGGCATTGGGTTGGACGTTTTGGTTACGAGCCAGCCTATTCCCACATTGTACGTGAATGTTTAATGTGCTCTCAAAACATGGAAAATAAGTTTAGTGCACATAGCTAAATCACAAAACATCCGATTTCTGTTTCCTCAGGAAGTCATTACTGCGCCACCACATCACGTGACCTTAACATGATCAATGTATTTCTCTGCCTTGACATTTAAATAAACTATATAAATTAAGATAAGTAGATTAGAAAATCATTCAAATTATACCATAATCTGTACAAATATTGTGTCCCCTGCCAGGCAAGGGACAGGGTGCGGGCGACGGCCGCGTGGCCAAGGCCCCGCAGGAAAGCGCCCAGGTCTCCCTCACTCTCCAGGTGCCCTTTGCACCCAACAGTGCGTGTGAGGAACGAACTGCTGTTTGAGCGTCCCCTGAGATTGTGCGTAGCCCCGTGTAAATGTAATAGCCTCCATGGCTTAATTGGCTAGCAAGCGAATTTTCCCAGATGAAAGCAATGTTGGGTTAGGGGACGACGGTGCAGCCACCCAGCCTTTACCAGCAGCGTGCTGCAGACGAAGGCAGTCAAGGTGTGGAGGTGATCACGCAGGTACATGTTTTTGACTGTTTAATTTGAAAGTTCACATTTTTTATGCTTTGTGTTGATGTGTAATTTTTGTACTCTTGGTGACTAGTTTTTGTCAAATCTTTTTTGGAATATTGCTTAAATGTTTTGATTTTATGATAGTGAAGCTTGTATTCGGTGTTTTGCCAATTAATATTTTATGCTAGTAAAAAAAGCAAAAGAGAAAAAAAAAGATCTTAGTCTGTTTCTAAGGCCCAGACCACACAAAGTATCCATTTTCCTCTCTTGTCTATAAAACAAAACTCACCTTATCAACAGTTTCTGTTCTACCCAAAGATGTTAAATAAAGTCCAAGGTAGTGGGATGGGGGAAGTGATGTTTTATTGTCTATGGCACGTGTGTTCCTAGGACCTATAAAAAGGAAAGCAGGTAAATGACTTTGATCTGTTTGATAAATGATTTTTATCTTGAGTAGTGTAGTCACTTAAATATGTTGATCCTCCTTCTGGGTGGAAATTATTTCAATACCATGTTGTTTTTGTTATTATTAACTATATATATTATTATGTATATAATAATACATAAAAGTTATAGGAATGAAATAAAAAATTATTGAAATCCTAACACACAGTTGTAGCTATTTTTCATTCATGTATTTATTAAATATTATTAAATTATTCACCACATAATAAATAGTAAAGCATTTTCCACATAATCATATCTACCGTTTTATTCATGGAAATCATTTTATTTGATTATTTAATATTTATTTTAGATTAAGCATGCATGTGTACATTTGTTACATGAATATATTGCATGATGCTGAGGTTTGGGCTTCTATTGAACATATTATCTGAATAGTAAACATAGTATCCAATAAGTAGCTTTTCAAACCTTGCCTTCCTTCCTTCCCCTGTTTTGGAGTCCCCAGTGTCTGTTATTTCCATCCTTTTGCTCCTGTGTACCCAAAGTTTAGCTCTCACCTATAAGTGAGGACATGCGGTATTTGGTTTTCTGTTTACATCTTAATTCATTTAGGATGATGGCATCCAGGCACATCTATGTTACTGCAAAGGAAAGGATTTCATTCTTTCTTCTGGCTACATAGTATTCCATGGTGTATATGCATCATAGTTTCTTTATCCAATCCACCATTGTTGGAAACCAATGTTGATTCCATGTCTTTGCTATTTCATATTTGCAATATAACATGCAAGTGTGCAGAAGCTCTTTAGTTTAATTTGGTCTCACTTGTCAACTTTTGTTTTTGTTGCTTTTGTGTTTTAGTACTTAGTCATAAATTCTTTGCATAGGCCAATATCCAAAAGAGCTTCTTAGGTCTAATTCTAGGCTTCTTATAGTCTAAAGTTTTACATTTAAGTCTTTAATCAATCTTGAGTTAATTTTTTTATATGGTGAGAGACAGGAGTCTAATTTCATTCTTCTGAATATGGTTAGCCAGTTTTCCCAGCACCATTAATTGAATAGGGTATACTTGCCCCATTGTATTTTTATCAATTTTGTTAAAGATCAGTTGGTTGTAGGTATGGGACTTCATTTCTGGATTCTCTATTTTGTTCCATTGGTCTATGTGTCTGTTTTTGTACCCAAACCATGCTATTTTGGTTATTGTAGCCTTGTAGTATAGTTTGAAGTCAGGTAATGTGTTGCCCCTGCCTTTGTTCTTTTAGCTTAAGATTGCTTTGGCTATTCAGGCTCTTTTTTAGTTAAATACAAATTTTAGAATTGATTTTCTAATTCTGTGTAAAAATAACTTTGGCAGTTTGATAGGAACTGCATTGAATTTGTAGATTGCTTTGGGCAGTAAAGACATTTTAATGATGTTGATTCTTCCAATCCATAAGCATGTAATATTTTTCCATTTGTTTGTGTCATCTATGATTTCATTCAGCAGTGTTTTGTAGTTCTACTTAAAGAGATCTTTTACCTCCTTGGATAGAGGTATTCCTAAGTATTTCTTTTTTTTTTTTTCTGTGGCTCTTGTAAATGGGATTGTGTTCTTGACTTGGTTCTCAGTTTGAATATTGCATTGTATAGAAATACTACTGCTGTTTGTATATTGATTTCTTATCTTAAAACTTTACTGAAATTTTTAATCAACTCTAGGAGTCTTTGGTCAGAATCATTAGGGTTTTCTAGGTATAGAATCCTATCATCAGTGAAGAAATAAAATTTAATTTCCTCTTTTCCTATTTGGATGCCTTTTGTTTCTTGCTTTTGTCTGATCATTCTGGCTAGGGCTTCCAGTATTAAGTTGAATAAGAGTGGTGAAAGTGGATATTCTTGTCTTGTTCTTGTTCTTATGAGAATTCTTTCAACTTTTGCCTGTTTAGTATAATGTAGACTAGGTTTGTCAATAGATGGTTCTTATTATTTTAGGTATGTTCTTTGAATGCCTAGTCTATTGAGGGTTTTAATTATGAAGGCATGTTGGATTTTATCAAATGTTTTACCTGCATCTGTTGAGATAATCTTATGTTTTTTTTTCATTTTAAATTCTGTTTATGTGGTGAATCACATTAACTGATTTGCATATATTTGAACAACCCTTACATCCCAGGAATAAAGTTCACTTGATATTGTATTATCTTTTTGATGTGCTGCTGAATGTGGTTTGCAAGTACTTTGTTGAGGATTTTTTCATTTATGTTCATCAGATATATTGGCCTAGGGTTTTGTTTTTTGTGTGAGTATTTGCCATATTTTGGTATCAGGATGATATAGGTTTTGTAGAGTAAGTTAGAGGAGAATCTCTCATCCTCGATTTTTTGGAATAGTTTCAGTAGGATTGGCATGAGCTCCCCTTTGTATGTCTGGTAGAATTCAGCTATGAATTCATCTAGTCCCAGGCTTCTATTACTTATTCAATTCATTCTGTAATTCATTGTTGGTCTGTTCAGTGTTTCAGGTTCTTCCTGGTTCAATCTTGGGAAGTTGTGTGTTTCCAGGAACGTATTCATTTCTTCTAGGTTATCTAGTTGTGCACATAGAAATGTTCATAGTAGTCTCTGAGAATCTTTTGAATCTCCGTGGGACTCGATTGAATGTCGCCTTTGTTATTGCTGATTGTGCTTATTTGGATCTTTTCTTTTTTGTTAATCTTGCTCGCAGTCTATCAATTTTGGTTACACTTTCAAAGAACCAACTTTTCATTTTGTTGATCCTTTGTGTGGATTTTTGAGTCTCGATTTTATTCAGTCCTGTTCTTATTTTTGTTATTTCTTTTCTTATGCTATATTTGGATGTAGTTTTTTTTCTTGTTTTACTACTTGCTCTGGGTGCAATGTTAGATTGTTAATTTGAGATATTTCTATCTTTTTGATGTAGGTATTTAGCACTATAATCTTTCCTTTTTAAACTGCTATTATTGCATCCCAGAGGTTTTTGTTCATTGTGTCTCTATTTTCATTTGTTTAAAAAATTCTTTGATTTCTGCTTTAATTTTATTGTTTACCCAAACAAAAGTCATTCAAGAGTAATTTCTTTAGTTTCCGTGTGTGTTTGTGTGTGAGTGTCTGTGTTTTAGAGTTCCTCTTGCTATTGATTTTTATTTTTATTCTACTGCGGTCCAAGAAGATGCTTGATATTATTTGATTGTTTTTATTTCTTGACACTTGCTTTATAACTGCATATGTGATCACTCTTAGAGTATGTTCCATGTGAAGATGAGAAAAAAAATATATATTGTGGTTGTTGGGTAGAGTATTCTGTAGATGTCTATTAGGTTCAATTGGTCAAGTGGCAAATTTAAGTCCAGAATTTATTTGTTTAGATTTCTGCCTCAATAATCTATCTACCACTGTCAGTGGAGTGTTGAAGTTCCCAGTTATTACTGAGGGGCTGTCTACCTCTTAGGTCTAGTAGTGATTTCTTTATGTATCGTGATGCTCCAATTAGTGTTGGGTGCATATTTATTTAAGATAGTTAATTATTCTTATTGAATTGAGCCCTTTGTCATTAAGCAATAACATTTTTTTGTCCTTGTTTCTGTTTTTGGCTGAAGATCTGTTTTCTCTGATATGAGAATAGAAACTCCTGCTCTTTTTTGTTTTCCATTTGCATGATTAATCTTTCTCTATCCCTTTACTTTGAACCCATGAGTGTCATTACTTGTGAGATGGGTCTCTTGAAGACAGCAGATGGGTGATTCTGATTTTTTTATTCCAATTCGCCACTGTATGTCTTTTAAGTGGAGGATTTAGGCCATTTATGTTCAAGGTTAACATTGATATGTGAGATTGTGTTCCTGTCATAGTTTTGTTAGCTAGTTTCTTTGCAGTCTCAATTGTGTAGTTGCTTTATAGAGTCTGTGGACTATGTACTTAACTGTGCTTTTTCTGTGTATTGTTCTTTTATGTCCACATTTAGAACTCCCTTAAGCATTTCTGCAGGGCTAGTCTGGTGGTGATAAATTCCCTTACCGATTGCTTGACTCAGAAAGACTCAATTTCTCCTTCGTTTATGAAGCTTAGTTTTGAAGAATATGAATGTTTATGCTGGAATGTCATTCCTTTTAGAGTACTAAACATAGACCTCTAATCTCTGCTGGATTGTAAGGTCTCTTCTGAGAAGTCCACTGTTAGTCTGATGGGTTCCCTTTGTAGGTAGTGTTGCTCTTTTCTCTAGCTGTGTCTGAGATTTGTTTTTTCTTTTGTGTTAACCTTGGATAGTCTAACGACTATGTGTCTTGGGGATGGCTGTCTTTATAGTATATAACAGGGGTTCTCTGGATTTCTGGTGTATGCATGTCAACATCTCTAGCAAAATTGAGAATATTTTCTTGAATTTTTTCCTCAGATATGTTTTCCAAGTTGGTTACTCTTTCTTTTCTCTCAGGAATACCAATAAGTTGTAGAAGTGGTTTCTTTACATAATCCCATATTTCTTGAAGGCTTTGTCTTTTTAAAAAATATTTTTTCTTTATTTTTGCATGACTGGGTTAATTTGAAGAATCAGTCTTCAAGCTTTGAAATGTTTCCTTCTGCTTGGCCTAGTCTGTTTTTAAGTCTCCCAACTATATTTTGAAATTTATTTAGTGAATTTTTCAGTTCCAGAAGTTCAGTTTGGCTCTTTCTTAATATAACTATGTTGTCTTTCAAATCTTGGACTGTTTTTCTGGTTTCTTTGCATTGGATTTCTATTTTGTCTTATGTCTCATTGACTTTCCTTGACATCCATCTTCTGAGTTCTATGTGTCTCATTTCAGACATTTACATCTGGTCAGGATCCTTTCCTAGGGAGCTAGTGAGAGGCTTTGGAGATCACAAAACACTCTGGCTTTGTGTATTGCCAGACTTCTTGTGCTTATTCCTTTCCATCTGCGGGAGTTGACACTTCTTTTTTGAATTTGCTTCATTTAGATGGGGTTTGTATTAGTCAGAGTTCTCTATAGGTACCGAAGTAATAGGATAGATGTACATTTGAAGGGGAGTTTATTAAGGATCATTGAATCACACGATCACAAGGTAAAGTCCCACAATAAGCCATCTGCAAGCTGAGGAGCAGGGAAGCCAGTCCGAGTCCCAAAACCTCAAAAGCAGGGAAGCTGACAGTGCAGCCTTCAGTCTGTGGCTGAAGGCCTGAGAGCCCCTGGCAAACCACTGGTGTAAGTCCAAGAGTCCAAAAGCTGAAGAACTGGAAGCATCCAGCACAGGATAAAGATGAAAGCCAGGAGACTCAGCAAGTCTGCTCTTCTGCCTTCTCCTGCCTGCTTTGTCCTAGCCGTGCTGGCAGCTGATTAGATGGTGCCCACCCAGATTGAGGGTGGTTCTGCCTCTCCTAGTCCAGACTCAAATGTTAATCTCCTTTGGCAACACCCTCCAAACACACCCGGGAACAATATTTTGCACCCTTTAATACAATCAAGTTGACACTCAGTATTAACCATCACAGGGCTTTTATATTTTTTATTCTCTTTGAAAGTATGACAGTGGTGTATGTGATTGATTGGCTTCATTTCTCGGTAGTTGCAGAGGGTGAAGTTTCCATATATGTTCCTTGGTTACAGATAGGTTGCTGCAGTGGCTTTCACAGATGTTGCTTGTTTTAGCAATATATTTTTATATGATGGTATAACTTCAGTCTGGTAGATGGACTTAAGAGTAAGAGCTGGCAGGTGGGGTCTTGGTGCATGTTTGTCCTCACTGGAGAATCATGAGAAACAACTTCTTTCAGTGCACGCTTTCTGGGCCCCTATGGGAAGAGCTATTGTTGCATCTGCAACAGTGTACTGGGGAAGGGAGATGGAGGCGAGACATAATTCCTTCTCCAAGTCTGGTTCTGGGCCTTGGTGGTGCTCCTTTCAGTGGCTTATGCCATGGCCGCATTTTCTTTGTCTCATGTTGTGCTTTGCAGGCTGCACTCCCCCTTCCCTTAGGGATGGTCCACACTGAGGATTACATCTCTAGGGACACACAACTCTCCAGAGACCCACCAGTCCACTGTGCTTACCAAAGTCAGAGCAGGTTTTAGGGTATGTCTGCAGTTGCTCTGATGATGCAGTATTTCAAGGGTAGAGGATCTCCAGGCAGGGCAGTGGCACAATGGGTGCAACACCAGTATGGAGTCTGCAGCCCATGATTTTCAGCCCAGCAGGCAACCATGGAGTCTGCCTAGCTTACACTCCCCTGACCCAGCAGATCTCCCACAGACACTCGCCCTGGCGGCAAGCCCAACCAACTAGGCTTTCCCCAAGCCATCTGCTCCCACATTGTTGAGCTGCTCCAGGCATTCTGTGCCAGGACACTCCCTGGGAAAGAAGCTACCACCATCAGGCCATACCCTTCATGGTCTGGTCTTGCAAAGGGAGGGGCGTCCAGCTCCCATGCCCCCATGAGAACCCATACCACACCCTTCTCTGCATTCTGACTATGGAGGATCCTCCTTCACTTGAGATTAGGTTACAAATCTCAGCTCAGTGTCCCTGGGTGGTATACTTGAGTCTTGGGGAGTTGGGACTGGGCTCACGGATTTGTCCTCTGGCCTCTAAGCTTCAAGCACTGGCTGTGACTTGGGGACAGGGTGGTGAGCTTTTCCCAGGCTGTCAACAAAACACTCAAGCTATGCAGTGGATGCTGTGCTGTGGACACCCTCTTGCAGGCATGACCAGGCATGAGCTCTGGGAAGGGGTTGACAGGCAAGGGGGCATGTGGACCAGATGCAACTTAATCACACAGCACTGGTGATGGGGCCTATCTTGGGCATGTGAGCAGGCCAGGCGCGGTTCACTCCCAGCCTGGCGGACAGCAGGAACTTAGCCACTCAGTATGAAATGGAGGCTTGTGGGATGGGCACCTAGGGTTGCATTTTGCTGCAGCTGCACAGCACAACAAAGCCTTCTGGGCTCTGTGTGGGCTCAAACTGTGCCTCTGCATGTGCTCGAGGCAGCTCTCCTACCAGTCCAAAGATCTATGAGGGTCGTAGAAACTCCTGTAACTAGGATCTCAGAGGTACATTATGGGTATGTAGTGTCCCAGGGTTCCTTCACTCACCCCTTCCTTGGGTTTGTTCAGGGTATATGGGCCAGTCCTGATGTCTAGTGACTCTGAGCAGACTGTCCCATTTCTTCCCTCTTCAACCATGGTGTCTGTGTCACCTCTGTGTCAACTTTCAGTGTTTTCTCTCAAAAGATCTGTTTAAAATGTGAAGGTTTACTAGATATTTGGGTTCCTCTCCATGGAAGAGGCACTTCCCAACTGCATCTCCTTGGCCATCTGCCATTCTCCAAATCTTTTTTGGTGCCTATTTTTCCTTTTTACTTTCTGTGCTTCCTCCTTATTCTCTTCCTCCAACACTGATATGTACTCTGACATTCAATTCTAAATATATATATTATAAAAAATAGATATAATGTGCATATATGTGTTCATTAAGGATAGAATACTTGGCTGGGCACGGTAGCTTATGCCTGTAATCCCAGCACTTTGGGAGGCCGAGGTGGGCGGATCATGAGGTCAGGAGATCGAGATCATCCTGGCTAACACAGTGAAACCCCGTCTCTACTAAACAAAATACAAAAAATTAGCCGGGCATGGTGGCGGGTGCCTGTAGTCCCAGCTACTTGGGAGGCTGAGGCAGGAGAATGTCGTGAACCCGGGAGGTGGAGCTTGCAGTGAGCTGAGATCATGCCACTGCACTCCAGCCTGGGCGACAGAGCAAGACTCCATCTCAAAAAAAAAAAAAAAAAAAAAAAAAAATTCAGAAAGAAGGTTACTACATCTGAATTTCTGAAGATGGTTTTAGTAGGGATGAATTCAATGTAATCCATGGATTATTCATGACTTTGTAGAAAGGTTAATGAATGTTTCTTTTAGCCACTCGGGTTGGGACCTCTGAATCAATAGGAAGCATAAATGAGAGATGTCAGGGGAGGATTGAAGGATGCTGATGGAGTTGGGAAGGCCTGAAGTGACCCGCCTGTGCTAGACTGAAAGTGATTCAGGCCCCACCCAAATGCATGAGCAGTGGAGCCTAAATCCTTCACAACTGCACATTAGAGGAGAGAGGATTTGACCATCATCCTGGAATTAGAGTTACTGTTAATCAAGGTAGGAGGACAAGATGCGTTCCCACTTCTGACTCTGATTGCCCTAAATAGAGGCCCTGAGTGGTAATAATTTGTTTTGAAACTAGGAGACAGTTCAGTCAGTGTTTCATCAGATTCATGTTTTGCTGAAAATACTGGCACATTCCTCCATTTAATGAGGAGTCACCACAGGTAACTCAAGGGCCTTAGTCCTGCTGCCCACATAAGGGAGTTCTGGTCCTGAGGAAATGGGGCCGTATTTGAAGGTAACGAAAGGGATAAGATGAGACATGATGGTGTGATGAGTATTCCAGTGACTGCTTTTGGTAAATTTGGGCTGGCATGTGGGTTTCAGTTCCTCTGTCAAGAAAGGAAATGCTCCTCATGACTGACAAAAGCAGGAACAGGTTTTATCATCAGCTCTACACCAAGGCTCTCCAGTTACTAGAGTGGTCTCTAGAAGATAGCATTATCAGCAAATTCCATTAGCAACTAACTTGCTTCTGTGGTGCTGTGTTGTTGTTAATAGTTTTAATTATAGCAGCTGCAAAGCAGGGAACCTGATCCAAAAAAGGCACAAACCAAAACCTGTGCTCCTAAGGAGATTATGAGAAATGAAATCACCAACACTGGCCTCTCTTTGGGAGGAAACTGGAAATGGCAAGAGGGACCACTCATGGGCTAAAGCCCAGCACTTGGGTCACAACTCACCCTGGAGAGGCCAAGTATGGGCCCCATCGCTTCAGGCCTTGGCTGTGGATCACACCCTGGATTCTTCTCTTCCAGGCGCAGGTCAGTTGCCGTGATGCTCCTTGAGTCAATGAGCTCTTTGGTCTGCTCTTCTGCTCAAGCAGAAAATGATCTGCGCTTCACCCTTGAGAAGCTGACAAGAACCACAGGCTTCTTCAGGCAGGTGGTGGAACATGGGTGTATCCTTCAGGTGCTTACAGTATCTCCCTTTGCTCAGGTGACGGAGGCTTGGGGTTTTCCAGCTCTTGACCTAAAATTCCTGAATGATTGTTTTCAAATTTCTTAACGAATAATAGGATGAACTTGCCACCCCTGTCATGGGGGAATGGGGTTCCTGAGAGCTGAGAGGCCAGGATCCAGATCCTGAGCCTCTTCACCAAGCAGATGCTGTAGAGCAAAGGCAGCAACTATCTATCTATCTATCTATCTATCTATCTATCTATCTATCTATCTATCTATCTATCTTTCCCCTTCCCTTTAAGGAAATCCTCAGGACTAGGTGAGATCTTAGATCTAATGGAGAATCTGAGCTGCTCCAAGCAAAACCTCAGGATCCTGCAATCTGAAAAGGTAGAACCAAGGCAAATGTGGGCAGCAATACCCAGAAGTTGGGTACTGAGCCTGTTAGGGAGCATTTTTTTCAGGGGAGTGAAGTAAACAATGAGGTGTAGAGAGCAGCGAGAATGAGAAGCCAAATCACAGACTGCAAAATCACACAGCATCTGTCCTTTCTCCCTGGGCAGAGAGAGTATGATGGGTAGTCTCCAATATAGAAAGCCCATTGTGTCCTTCAGTTCCCCAAACAGTCGCAGAACAAGCCTGATTCTGAAATTTCTGTTCTCTTTAGGCTCTAGCCTGATTTTCTGGCTCATAAGGCCAAAGGGAGCTGGAAAGGTCCCCACGGCAGGACTCATGGTGGAGAGAGAATGATCTAGAGGATTCAGGCCTCTGCACACTGTGTCTGGGTCCCTCCTTAAAGAATGATAAAGACAAGTAAAGAGCTTGAAGCAGCCTGGAGTCCAGCCAGAAACCTTTAACTGAGCTTTAAAGGAGATGGTCACAACACTTTTCAGAATACTGGCAAAGGCCTCCTGTGGCCAAGTTTGTCCTGGGATGAGCAAAATTTAATGTTAACCTGCTGTATCTTTGCTTTTAATATATCTGCTTGCCCATCACAATGATATTATGGTTAATTTCACCAATTTGGTAACCTGCCTCTTGGGAAGTACGAAAGTAAGCAAGGGCCAGGTATGGTGACTCACGCCTGTAATCCCAGTACTTTGGGTGGCTGAGGTGGGTGGATTGCTTGAGCCCAGGAGTTCAAGACCAACCTGGGCACCATGACAAAACCCCGTCTCTACAAAATATACAAAAATTAACCAGGAGTGGCAGTGCATGGCTGTAATCCCAGCTACTCGGAGGCTGAGGTGGGAGAATCTCTTGAGCCTGGGAGGCAGAGGTTGCAGTGAGCTGAGATCACACCACTGCATTCCAGCCTGGGCAATGAAGTGAGACCCTGTCTCAAAAAAAAAAAAAAAAAAAAAAAAAGAGAAAGACAGTGAGGGTGTCCTGTGAATCAAATCTTTGAATGGATGTTTTCTTAACTAACCAAGACCTCTGTAAGAATTCTGTCTTTGATTCCACAATAAAGTGGTGTGAAATTACTATAAGCAAATGTTTACATGTCTCATTTAATCTTCACAGCAATCCTATGAGGCAAGTAGAATTGTTATCCTCATTTTCTGAGCGATGAAACTGAGGCTCAGGGGAGGGTGTGACCTTGCCAAGTCCCCACAACTGGAAACCACGGAACAAAATGACCTGAGTCACACATGCTAGAAAAAACTCATTGTGCCTCCCCATGGAGATTCACAATG
This sequence comes from Homo sapiens, assembly GCF_000001405.40. Taxonomy (NCBI): domain Eukaryota; kingdom Metazoa; phylum Chordata; class Mammalia; order Primates; family Hominidae; genus Homo; species Homo sapiens. Next base: position 46,751,941 of record NC_000010.11, read on the forward strand.
GCTATTTCTGTTGCAATAGAGGATGAAGCAGGTGGTCTTTCCAATCAAGAGCTGTTAAGAAAGGCTCCAGTTCTCCCCGGGGAATCTCAGAATCAGACTGAAGATTCGGAAGAGCCTTTGCTGACCACTGAGTCAAACTCCCCAGAATCCTTTTGTAGTACCGCTGACCAGTGAGTGATCATCAAACCTCCAAAGACTTCGGTAATTTGCAGATTCTAGGGAAAATTCCATGAGTTAACAGAGGTGAAATTTGAAAGTTCCATAGAGAAATTCTGGAACTTGAAATTATCATAGGAAGATTATTATGCAATTTCGTTCCTGTTAGTAGTCTTTAATAAAGAGACTTCAGGTGAACACTGGGTTGAACCAAGATTACTTTCTCCCATTGTCACCATTCTGATTTCAGATTGTTCCTTGCTGGTTTATATCCTCTTCAATTCCATTTTGTACCAGATAGAGGCAGAGTAGAAGGAAAAACTGAACAACAAACCGCATTTGTGCCAGCTCGAGGGATAAACACCCTCTAAGGAGCATCTCAAGCTTTCCACAAGATTTCAACAGGGTCAACCCAGTTCACAGGCAGGTAGTGTGTCTTCAATGTGTGGCCAATCGCTGTTGGACAAACAGGAGGTGTTTTCCCCAGGATACCCTGCACTAGACTCGGCATCTTTTCAGTCTTCTTCCTATTCTGTCTCCTTCCCAGCACACTGACACTGGAAGCACACTAAGTCATCACATGAGCAATTCACAGGTGCCATGAAATACCTCACAAATGTACAGCACTTTAACTGTTGACCCCATGTATTAGGTAAGAAAGATATTATTATTTACATTTATCTATTGGAACTTGGGGGCACAGAGTGTTTAAATTACCTGCCCAAGGGCACACAAGTCACTCGCCTCTTGTGTTTCAATTATACAATGGCTTAGTGATTCTTTCTTTCAGACGATTGTTGTGAGGAGTGAATGGAATTAAATCAAGTCTATGTGGAAAGGGCCTGGAGCATGAGTTCTCAATGCAGGGTGACTACTGTCAGCACCAACTAGTTATGATAATGACCATGATGATGATGGGGAAATAATAACACCTTGAAGTAATAATAATGAAGTTAGAACGATACTCCCAAATGTATGAAAATTACATCTATAAAATGAGTTAGTTTATAAATCGTGAGAAAATGGGCATCCTCAGGTATTGCAGGTAGAAACACACAATGGAATAACTCTTGTCAGCAAGCTAATCCATTTCCAGGAATTTTTATTTTTTTTTTTTTGAGACAGAGTCTTCCTCTGTCACCCAGGTTGGAGTGCAATGGCATGATCTTGGTTCACTGCAACCTCTGCCTCCCAGGTTCAAGTGATTCCCCTGCCTCAGCCCCCCATTAGCTGGGACTACAGGCACACACCACCGTGCCCAGCTAATTTTTGTATTTTTAGTAGAGACGGGATTTCACCATGTTGACCAGGATGGTCTTGATCTCTTGACCTCGTGTTCTGCCAGCCTCGGCCTCCCAAAGTGCTGGAATTACAGGCATGATCAACCACCCCAAGTCCAGAATTTCCTAACAAGGTCCCAAGAGATGAAGGTGCTACTGTTCAGTGACCCCCTGCTCAAAAACACTGCCCTAGGAGATGGGGGCTCTTCTATGCCCCATTTTTACAGGTAAGGCTAGTCATGGAAGTGGGAGATAGAAAATAAAGGGTGGGGTCAGTTTCCTTTCTAAAAACCTAAATGCATGTCAGGCAAGTAGGGCTTAGAAAAGAATTTACCCTCCTTCACCTCTGTCACCTCATCCCTCCTTCCAACCTCCATCACTTGTGTGGCAAACTGGACTCGGAGCCAGAAGGCACCAGAAAAAGTGGAATGTGAGCCTGTAGGCCATCAAGGTGAAGCCCTGAGGATCCCCCGGGGCCAGTCCCTCCACTTTGATGCGGATAAGCCTCAGCTAGTGTCAAGTTGAAAGGAGAAAAAGACAGGTGAGTCACTGTTAAAGAAACAGGTTCACATATGTAGGTCTAGGAGCACTGCAAGTAGTTCTTACAGTGAGAGAGAGCAATTGTGCTCAACTCTGAATCCAGCACAAGGAAGTGGTAATTACACTCAAGGAGGAGGATGGGGGTTAGCAGATAGGAAATGACTATGAGGGAACATGAAGGGTAAGGGAGGATTCTGGCTAAACTGACCTAACGAGATTCTCGCTGAGCACAGGCCAAGGTTATCTGACATCAGCTGCGGGATGGTGGGGGATGAGGACCCTGATCAGTATATGGCGGACGGGGATTCCTGCCAGCTAAACTGACTTAGCAGGGTAATTTCCTAAAACTGAATTTTACAAAAAGTGCACAGATGGGTTTAGCAGAAGGTTCAGAAGCCTGACCAATGTACGGTCAAGCAAACAATTTCTGTCACCACACAGAATGCATGCTCCAGGGACCATACTGGGCCTCAGCATCTTCCTACCCCACCAGCTTCCAGGAGGGCATTTTGCCCTGGGCCTCCTGGGTGTTTCCTTGCCTGATCATTTCTAGGAGACAAGAGACTTGCACTTTATCATCTAGGATAAATTCAGTGTCAGATTTTTAAGCCTAAATCGGATGACAGTGCTTCAGTGACAATCTCAGTTATTTAAAAAGGGAGGTTCATTCATTCACCAGTTCTAAAGGTGCACATAAGACATTCTTTTTTTTTTTTTTACAAAAAAATTGAGACCAAGTTAAAAGAAAAAGAATGAAAAAAATCAAGCAACCCGAATCCCTTATATAATCTCTTCAAAACCCCAAACCAGGGAAATCTTCTCAATATAAACTTGGGAATTTTGTTGATCACTGACTGCAGTCTGGTGGTTTATACTTATTTTCTTGTGTCCTGTGTCCTCCCTTCTCCCACCCCCAGCCCCTCAGCAGGTGCTGCCTTCCTGTCTTGGTCTCATTGTCCTCAAATCAGACCTGCAGGTATGGTCCCAAGTGCTTCTAACCTTCATCCTCATATCCACGGGATCCCCTGAGAACCCAGCTTCTGTTATTGAGAACTGTCCCACCTGCCGACTAAGGAGTCTGATCTTTATTCAGAATCATTGCTAAGATACCAGAAGAAATAACATGTAAGAGTCTAGTATAGAACTCACAGTTCTGATCTGAGGAACTAACAATTGCTTATTTGAATCACTGTATTTCCTATTTATATTCTTTTTTTTTTTTTTTTTGAGATGGAGTCTCGCTATGTCTCTCAGGCTGGAGTGCAGTGGTGCAATCTCGGTTCACTGCAACCTCTGCCTCCCAGGTTTGAGCCGTTGTCCCTGCCTCAGGCTCCTGAGTAGCTGGGATTACAGGCGCCCACCACCATGCCTGGCTAATTTTTGTAATTTATTTTTTTTTTTTTTTTGAGACAGAGTCTCACTCTGTTGCCCAGGCTGGAGTGCAGTGGTGCCATCTCACTCACTGCAACTTCTGCCTCCCTGGGTTCAAGCAATTCTCCTACCTCAGCCTCCTGAGTAGCTAGCATTACAGGTGCCTGCCACCATGCGTGGCTAATTTTTGTATTTTTAGTAGAGACGGGGTTTCGCCATGTTGGCCAGGCTGGTCTCAAACTCCTGACCTCAGGTGATCCACCCGCCTTGGCCTCCCAAAGTGCTGGGATTACAGGTGTGAGCCACCACTCCCGGCCTATATTCATATTTCTATTCACAATATCTCCTACACAGTGTTTTCCTGTTCTATGGGGAGAAATCAGGCAGATAGCAGAAGACACAGGTCAGATCTCAGGAAGAGTTTCTATGGCCTCCAAACAAGCATTTATTGATTATAGATGTAGGGGTGAATATTACGAATATGGGGAGATGTCCCACAAGGTTAGCTCCTATGCTACCTAATGCACCAGGCAGCTTGTCCATAACTTAGTTTAAATATATCTGTCAGGCTCCATGCCCATTTGCTGTAAAAGCAAGATTACTGAGGTAATCTTAGATTTTAAAATGGAAAACTGGGCCTCACAAAAGCAGTTGGGAAAATTACCTGGAGATTGTTTCTAAGGCAGTGCCCAACTGTACCAAGCAAAGGACAACAAGTACAAAGTCAGAGCTTCATTAACTTGATGATTGATTCATTCACTTACTTAATGCAAGACTTCAGGGGAAGAAGAGTCGCTGAGTGGAGGAGATGGGAAACAATGCATTATGAAACGCCCATGGTCTCTGGATACCCACCCAGCCAGTCCCCACCCTCCTAGGGTCTGGTCTCGACCATCTCATCATGTGTTTTGAGGGTGCGTTTTCCTACCAGTTGTTTTTTTGTCTTTGAGACAGGGTCTCCTTTCGCCCAGGCTGGAGTGCAGTGGTGCGATCTCGGCTCACTATAGCCTCAACCTTCCGGGCTGGGCGATGCTGGTGCCTCAGCCTCCCGACTAGCTGGGACCACAGGCGCGGGCCACCACACTCGGCTAATTTTTGTATTTTTAGTAGAGAAGGGGTTTCGCCAGGGTGCCCACGCTGTTCTCGAACTACTGGGCTCAAGGGATCTGCCTGCCTCAGCCTCCCAAAGTGCTGGGATTACAGGCATGAGCCACCAGCAACACGCCCAGATTCTTCTACACCCTTAATTGGGAGGTAAGGCTTCTGCTTGCAGGCTGTGCGTTCTTCCAGCCAGCCGCACCTTTGCTGTGGACTAAACAGGAACCACTGGATTAGAGTCCTCTGGCTCTCTGCCCTGCAGGAGATTTTAATCAAAAATTCTAGGCCTAAGGGAAAAGCAGGGTTAAACTGAAAATGCACACAGGGCTCCTGTAAATTTCTTTTCATAAACCACCCGCCCAGGGCATTAAATAGGGTACTTAGTTGATCCGAACCCTCCAGGGAGACCTCCGACCCTTCTCTTCGTAGCCCCCAGCTCCCCTCCCCCGGTTCCACTGAGGCAAGGGGACTGAGCTGCTCCACATGCCAGGAGTCAGCACGCCGGAAGGCCCCGCCCAGCGGCTGGCGCAGCCAATCGCAGAGCGGGCAAGTGGTGGGGGCGGGCCTGCCTGGGCGGCAAGGGGGCAGGGGGGTCTAGGGGCTTTAGAGGTCAATTAGCTGCTTTCGGGCGGCCTTAGGCGACAGGAGACTCCTGGACCCAGCACCTGCCCACTGTGCCTGTCCACCTGTGGCTACAGCAGCTGAGACCCCAGTGGGCTAAGATTGGACAGGGGCCACCAGGGACCCAGCAAGTCCTTCAGCTCTGTGAGTGAGGGATTTTCCGGAGTGCCAGGCCGCAGTATTCCCAGGGCCGGTGGGGGTGGGACAGGGAGGCTCGACCCCGGCAAATCAGGCAGAGGCGCCCCTTGCTCCCTGCAACATCGCCCACGTCCTGGGGCCACAGTGAGCATGAGCGGAGGGCGGGAGCAAGAGCCAGGGGACCTGGCCTGGGTCCCCAGCCCAAAGCCTGGGAAGCTGCCTACCCACCCCTGTGTGGGCGCGGACACTGGGGACTCTGGCTTCCGGTGGTTCGGCCACCTGATTCAGTTTATGCTCTGTGAGGGGAGCTGGAGTGTTGGCAGGACTGGCCCACCTGCAGGACTGCAGGACTGCGGGAACGGCGGTAGATGGGTGCTCTCCTTCCCAGTTTGTCCTGGGAAGACATTCAATAACTGTTTCATTACAAGGGGCATTTGGAAAACATACTTCACCTTCTGTTGTGTATTAGCCAAGAACAAGGTGTGATGTGACTTCCCAATTATTGGGGATCCCTTTGTCCCTTCTTGAAATTAGATGTCTTCATTCTTGAGGTTTTGCCTGGATGACCTCAGCACAATTGGTACAAAACCTGGGCCAATGGTTTCCTAGTTTCCCGGTTGTTGCCTTAAGCTTCTCGCCCATCAGGTACCTTCCTGTCCTTTTCATAGCCTGTCATCATCATTCCAGAAAACTGTTTCAACTCCTACAGCTCTGGACAGGCTGCTTTTCATTTTGGTGGGTCCCTCCAATACCTCCACTTGCCCTGTTTTTCTCCAGCCACATCCTTGGCCTCTTCCACAGTCCTTAGGTAAATGCTTGGAAGAATAATTTAAATATTTTTATTCTACCATGGTGGCCCTAGTTTCTCAGGGGGTAGTAAAATGGCTTTTTAGGATCGGTCTAATCAGATCCTCATTTCTTTTCCCTTCCTAGATTTTTGAAACATGAATCCTTCACTCCTCCTGGCTGCCTTTTTCCTGGGAATTGCCTCAGCTGCTCTAACACGTGACCACAGTTTAGACGCACAATGGACCAAGTGGAAGGCAAAGCACAAGAGATTATATGGCATGGTTGGTGGCATCTGAAACTGTCCAGGGGAATCCCAGAGAGATGGGCATTGCTATTGGGATCATATGGCCAGAGAGTGGCTTCTAGAGGCTGGCTCCTACCAATAACCTAACGCAATAACTTAATAGCACTGATTATGAGCACGATATGGGCATACACCCTTGTTGTGTCTCAGCTTGGAAAACATCTCCTAGAAGTGTCAAGCCTTCCCTGGCCATGGTTACTCTTACATCTCTGTCTGAAGATTCACTTGGTTAGCATATGTTGGGTTTTAATTAGAAATAAATAGCATTGGCAGGGCACGGTGGCTCACGCCTGTAATACCAGCACTTTGGGAGGCCAAGGCAGGCGGATCACAAAGTCAGGAGATTGAGACCATCCTGGCTAACACGGTGAAACCCCGTCTCTACTGAAAAAAAATACAAAAAGTTAGCATGGTGGCAGGCGCCTGTAGTTCCAGCTACTCGGGAGACTGGGGCAGGAGAATGGCATGAACCCAGGAGGCAGAGCTTGCAGTGAGCTGAGATCGTGCCACTGCACTCCAGCCTGGGCGACAGAGCGAGACTCCGTCTCAAAAAAAAAAAAAGAAATGAAGAGCATCAGTTACATGTTTGCCTTTAGAATGAAGAAGGATGGAGGAGAGCAGTGTGAGAGAACATGAAGATGACTGAGCAGCACAATCAGGAATACAGCCAAGGGAAACACAGCTTCACAATGGCCATGAACGCCTTTGGAGACATGGTAAGTATGCTGTGGGCTGCCCAGCTCTGTGCTTCCCCTCCTCAGTTCTTTACCAAATTAATCTCTTGCTTCTTAACATTTTATTTACTTTTCTTTGAAGACCACTGAAGAATTCAGGCAGGTGATGAATGGTTTTCAATACCAGAAGCACAGGAAGGGGAAACAGTTCCAGGAACGCCTGCTTCTTGAGATCCCCACATCTGTGGACTGGAGAGAGAAAGGCTACGTGACTCCTGTGAAGGATCAGGTGAGACTGTGTTAGGTTCAGACCTCCCATCACCCCAGGAAAGCCAAGAAGCAATTGACATTTGTGCTATGGTAGACTGTGCAGCAACATGCAGTTCACTTTTTTTTTTGTATAATTTTTTTGTTTGTTTGTTTTGAGACAGAGCCTCACTCTGTTGCTCAAGGTTGAGTGCAGCGGCGTGATCTCTCCTCACTGAAACCTCTGTCTCCCAGATTCAAGAGATTATCCTGGCTCAGCCTCCCAAGTAGCTGGGGTTACAGGTGCCTGCCTCCCCTTCCAGCTAATTTTTTGTATTTTTAGTAGAGATGGGGTTTTGCCATGTTGGTCAGGCTGGTCTTGAGCTCCTGACCACAGGTCATCCACCTGCGTCGGCCTCCTAAAATGCTGGGATTACAGGCATGAGCCACCAAGCCTGGCCTGTTTTTTTTTGTTTGTTTTGTTTTTGTTTTTTTTTTTTGTTTTGTTTTTTGAGACAGGTCCTGCTCTGTCCTGCAGGCTGGAGTGTAGTGGTATGATCTCGGGTCACTGCAGCCTCTGCCTCCCAAGCTGAAGCCATCCTCCTGCCTCAGCCTCCTGAATAGCTGGGGCTGCAGGTATTCACCACCACTACACCCAGCTAATTTTAAAATTTTTTTTTCGTAGAGACAGGGTTTTACCATGTTGCCCAGCCTGGTCTTGAACTTCTGGGGTCAAGTGATCCGCCTGTCTCAGCCTCACTAAGTGCTGGGATTACAGCTGTGAGCCACCACATGTGGCCCTTCGTATAATTTTGACCTTTTAAAATGTATTGAGAATTGTTTTGTGACCTAACATATGATTTATCATGGGGAATGTTCCATATGCACTTGAGAGGAATATATATTCTGCACTTGTTAGATGGAGAGCTTTCTATATGTCTGTTAGGTCTAGTTGGTTTAGTATGTTGTTCAATTCCTCTAGTTCCTTATTGATTTTGTCTAGATGTTCTATTTACTGTTGAAGGTGGGGTGTTGACTGGGCGCAGTAGGTCAGGCCTGTAATCCCAGCACTTTGGGAGGCTGAGGTGGGTGAATTGCTTGAGCTTGGGCATTTGAGACCAGCCTGGGCAACATGGTGAGACCCCGTCTCCACAAAAAAATACACAAATTGGCTGGGTGTGGTGCTGTGTGCCTATAGTTCCAGCTACTGGGGAGGCTGAGGCTGGAGAATTGCTTGAGTCTGGGAGGCAGAGATTGCGGTGAGCTGTGATAGAGCCACTGCATTGAGGTCTCCATTATTGTAAAATTGTTTCTTCCTTCAATTTTATTAGTTTGCTTTGTGCATTTTGGAGCCCTTTTTTTTTTTGGTTCATATGTGTTTATAATTGTTACATCTTCTTGTGATTTGACTCTCTTACGAACATAAAATGTTTTTCTGTAACAGTTTTTGGCTTAAAATCTATTTTGTGTGGTATTATTAGTATAGCCACCCTGGCTCTCTTTTGGTTACTATTTGCATGGATTATCTCTTTCCATCTTTTCAGTTTCAACAAATTTGTGTCTTTGGGTCTACAGTGAGTATTTTGTGAGTTGCATATTTGGATTATGTATTACATTATTAAAAAAATTGATTCTGCCGATCTTTCCATTGATGAGATTATTTACATTGAAAGTGATTACTGAAACAGAAAAGTTACTTGACCGGGCACGGTGGCTCCCGCCTGGAGGTGAGGCTGCAGTGAGCCATGATCGCACCACTGCTCTTCAGCCTGGGGGACAGAGTGAGATTGACTCAAAAACAAAAAACAGAAACTTACTTATGGTTGGACTCACGCCTGTAATCCTATCACTTTGGGATGCTGAGGTGGGCAGATTGCTTGAGCCCAGGAGTTTGAGACCAGGCTGGGCGACATAGCAAGACTCCTGTCTCTACAAAAAATAGAAAAATAAGCTGGGCATGGTGGTGCACACCTGTAGTTCCAGCTACTCAGGAGGCTGAGGTGGGAGGATCAGCTGAGCCTGCAGAGGTCAAGGTTGTAGTGAGCCGTGATTGTGCCACTGCACTCCAGCCTGGGCAACAGAGCCAGACCCTGTCTCAAAAAAAAACCAAAAACAGGCTGGATGCAGTGGCTCATGGCTGTACCCAGCACTTTGGGAGGCCGAGGCGGGTGGATCACTAGAGGCCAGGAGCTCGAGACTAGCCTGGCCAATGTAGTGAAACCTCATCTCTACTAAAAATACAAAAAATTAGCTGGGTCTGGTGGTGGGCGCCTGCAATCCCAGCTACTCAGGAGGCTGAGAATCACTTGAACCTGGGAGGCAAAGGCTGCAGTGAGCTGAGAATGAAACACTGCACTCCAGCCTGAGTTACAGAGCAAGACTCTGTCTCAAAGAAACCCCAAAAAACAAAAACAGAAAAACCCACACACCAAAGAACTTACTTATGTCATCCTGCTGTTTAGTTTCTACATAAAGTGTTTTGCTCCTCAGTACCTTCTTTTGTGTTTGGTTAATGATTTATCCTGTAATATTTTGATCCTTTCTTAGTTCCTTTTCTGTATATTTTTAAAGTTTTGTTTTTAGTGGATACTATGAAGATTTCAGTTAACATGCTGAGTTCTAAGTCTAGTTCAGACTGATACCAACTCAGCTTCAATAGCATACATTAACTCTGCTCCTTTCTCTGTCCCCTAGCTATATTGTTACAAATTATGTCTTTAAACAATTAGTTCCTATTAACATAGATGCATATTATTTCATGCATGTTTTTAAATCATAAAGGAGAAAGAGGAATAACATACCCAAAATACAATAATACTAGCTTTTATATTTAGCTATATAGTTGCCTTTACCAGTGATTTTTATTTTTTCATATAGCTCTGAGTTATTATCTTGTATCTTTTCATTTTAGCCTGAAGGACTCACTTCAGCTTTTTTTTTTAGCCCGAGTCTTGCTCTGTTGCCCAGGCTGCAGTGCAGTGGCGCAATCTCTGCTCACTGCAACCTCTGCCTTCTGGGTTCAAGTGATTCTCCTGCCTGAGCCTCCCAAGTAGCTGGGATTACAGGCACGTGCCATCACACACAGCTAATTTTTGTATTTTTAGTAGAGATGGGGTTTCACCATATTGGCCAGGCTGGTCTCGAACTCCTGACCTCAGGTGATCCGCCTGCCTCGGCCTCCCAAAGTGCAGGGATTACAGGCATGAGCCACTGTGCCCAGCCAAGCATTCTTTTTTTTTTTTTTTTTTTTTTTTGAGGTGGAGTTTCCCTCTTTTTGCCCAGGCTGGAGTGCAATCGGGTGTGACCTCGGCTTACTGCAACCTCTGCCTCCCAGGTTCAAGCAATTCTCCTGCCTCAGCCTCCCGAGTAGCTGGGATTACAGGCATGTGCCACCATGCCTGGCTAATTTTGTATTTTTTTAGTAGAGACAGGGTTTCTCCATGTTGGCCAGGCTGGTCTCAAACTCCCGACCTCAGGTGATCCACCCGCCTCGGCCTCCCAAAGTGCTGGGATTACAGGCGTGAGCCACCACGCCCAGACCAGGCCAAGCATTCTTATATTTTTATTCATTTATTATTTTTTTAGTGACAGGTTCTTGCTCTGTCAACCAGGTTGGAGTGCAGTGGTATGATCATACCTCACTGTAACCTCCAACTTCTGGTCTCAAACGATCCTCCTGTCTCAGCCTCATGAGTAGTTGGAACTACAGATGCACACCACCATGCCCAGCTAATTTTTTTAATTTATATTTTGTAGAGACGGGGTCTCACTATGTTGTCCAGGCTAGTCTTAAACTGCTGGCTGCAAGCAATCCTCCTGTCTCAGCCTCCTGAGTAGCTAGGACCACAGGCCTGAGCCACCTTGTCTGGCTAATTATTTTTATTTTGTAGAGATGGGGTCTCCTTATGTCGCCCAGGCTGGTTGTGGACTCCTGGCCTCAGGTGATCCCACTTCAGTCTCCAAAAGTGCTGAAGTTACAGGCATGAGCCACCATGCTGAGCTTCCCCAACCCTGTTTTTTTTTTTTTTTTTTTTTTTGAGATGGAGTCTTGCTCTGTTGCCCAGGCTGGAGTGCAATGGCGCCATCTCGGCTCACTGCAACTTCCACCTCCCAGGCTCAAGCAATTCTCCTGTCTCAGCCTCAGTCAGCTGGGACTACAGGTACATGCCACCATGCCCAGCACACCACCACTGCCTTCTATACTCCGTGATTTCTGATAAGCAACTGTTAGTCTTACTGAAGATCCCTTGTACAGGATGAATCACTTATCTCTTGCTGCTTTTCTGTCTTTAGCTTTCTACAATTTGATTATAATGTGTGTCAGTGTGGATCTCTTTGAGTTTATCCTGCTTTGAATTTGTTGAGCATCTTCAATGTGTAGATTCACAATTCCCATCAAATGTGGGATATTTTTGGTCACTATTTCTTAAAAAAATCTCTCTAGGCCAGGCACAGTGGCTCACACCTGTAATCCTGCACTTTGGGAGGCCGAGGTGGGAGGATTGTTTGAGCCTGGGAGTTCAAGACTGGCCTGGGCAACATGGTGAGACCGTGTCTCTCCAAAAAATACAGAAATTAGCTGTGCTTAGTGGTGGTATGTGCTATAGTCCTGGTGCCATATTCTCAGCTACCTGGGAGGCTGACTATAGCTGGTGCTATAGTCCCAGCTACTTGGGAAGCTGAAGGGGGAGGATTGCTTGAGCCTAGGAGGTAGAGGCTGCAGTTATCAATGAGCCATGAGATCACACCACTGCACTCCAATCTGGACGACAGAGCGAGACCATCTCAAAAAAAAAAAAAAAAAAAGATAGGGATGTATCTGCATGACTATGGATTAGGCAATGGTTTCTTACATACAACCTAAAGCACACCAACCAGAGGAAAAATAAATTATGCTTTCTCAAGATTAAAAAGGAGACTATCAAGAAAGTGCAATGACAACTAATAGATTGAGAGGAAATATTTACAAATTATATACATGATAAAGGTCAATTACCTAGAATATATATACTTCAAAGACTCATTTAGAGACAGGGTCATGCTATGTTGCCTAGACTAGTGTTGACCTTCTGGGCTCAAGTTATCCTCCTGCCTCAGCCTTCTGAGTAGCTGGGACCATAGGCCTATACTACCACAACTGGCTGTGGAGTATATAAAGAACTCTTACCACTCAATAATGTGGACAAAACCCAATTTAAAAATGAGCAAAGGCTTTAAATAGAATAAAAATGAAACATTTAAGATTGTTGAAAGTGGTTGCCTCTGGGGAGTGGAATATGGTGAGGCAGATGTCTGGATTGGAGGGGACGAGCTATTGTGAACAATAAACCTTGTATCACTATTTGGCTCTCTGGATCACAGTTCACAACAAGGGATGAATTTGCTCCACAGGGGACATTTGGCAATCTGAATATATTTGTCATTGTTATAACTGAGGGGTCTTCCTGACATCTAATATGTAGAGGCCAGGGATATTACTAAACATCCTACAAGGCAGAGAGAGCCCCCATAACAAAGAATTACATAGCCTAAAATGTCAATAGTGCTGAGGTGAAAAATTGTCTAAAGTATGTTTGAGGCTGGGTGCGGTGGCTCATGCCTATAATACTAACACTTTGGGAGGCTGAGGCAGGTGGACCACCTGAGGTCAGGAGTTTGAGACCAGCCTGGCCAACATGGTGAAACTCCATCTCTACTAATAATAAAAAAATTAGTTGGGCATGGTAGCTCATGCCTGTAATCCCAGTTACGTGGGAGGCTGAGGCAGGAGAATTGCTTGAACCTGGAAGGCGGGGGTTGCAGTGAGCCAAGATCCCACCACTGCACTCCAGCCTGGGTGACAGAGTGAGATTTCATCTCAAAGTAAATAAATAAACAAATGAAGTATGTTTGATAAAAATACAAATACAAGTCAATAAAAGTTATGTTAAAAAAATTAAAAAATCATAAAACAATCTTTTGTACAATATCCACAGATTTACTTTTCTTTCTTTCTCTCTCTTTCTTTCCTTCCTTCCTTCTTTCTTTCTTTCTTGCTTGCTTTCTTTCTTTTTTTTTTTTTTTTTTTTGAGTTTCACTCTTGTTGCCCAGGCTGGAGTGCAATGGCACAATCTCAGCTCAATGCAACCTCTGCCTCTCAGGTTCAAGTGATTCTCCTGCCTCAGCCTCCTGAGTAGCTGGGATTACAGGCATGTGCCTGCTTAGTGGGGGTATAAGCCCTCCTTACCAAGTAGAGAAAAAGGGGAGAAAATCACATTGCTAAAGCAATTGTGTTAAGCCCCATATTATCTTTACTTGTGGAAGAATGCAGCTTTGACCTATTATTCGACACTTAGCACATATAAAATTTTAGGCCTTAGCTTTCAGTTCCTCAGATCATAGCAAATTGAAGTGTTAGGCTAACAAATTAGCTTACAGGCAATAACAGAAATCACTGACTGCACTACTACTGACGGCTACAGTAAGATCTCTGATAAAAACATGTTAAGTGATGCTCACTCAAATCCGTAAAGGTGCAGAAATACTCCTCTCAAACATAGTAAAAATAAAAACAATCTAATTATCTTGTATGTCAATTAAATGAACTATGGTATACCTATGCAAAGTACTAAACAGCCATTAAAAAGGATAACATATGCATGTAAATTACTTGGAATTATCACAAACATACATATGGAAAAAGGCAGGTTTCATACAACATGTATAACATGTTCCCACTTACAATTTTCTTTCTCTTCCCCATTCTTTCTCCCCACCATATATATATTGTTTATAACTTTCTATATTATTTCAACTGTATAATAGAAACTCATCTTTACAAAAAGAAAAACACAACTTTAAAAATGGTTAAACTATTAGGCTGGATGCTGTGGCTCACACCTGTAATCCCAGCACTTTAGGAGGCTGAGAGTGGATCACAAGGTCAGGAGTTCGAGACCAGCCTGACCAAATGGTGAAACCCCGTCTCTACTAAAAATACAAAAATTAACCAGGCGTGATAGCAAGTGCCTGTAATCCCAGCTACTCGGGAGGCTGAGGCAGGAGAATCACTTGAACCCTGGAGGCGGAGGTTGCAGTGAGCCGAGATTGTGCCAGTGCACTCCAGTCTGGGCGACAAAGCGAGACTCTGTCTCTCAAAAAAAAAAAAAAAAAAAAAAAAGAGGTTAAACTATTAAACCATTATGTCCCCCCATAAAATAATTAAAGTTCTTTCTAAGGACTGTACTCAATTCTTCCTATAAATTTTACTTTTTAGTCGACGGAATCAGTATACTGTAATGTTTTTCTTTAACTCAGGGGCCCAAGGCCTAGATAATCAACTTCTTTGAACAAGATGTGATATATTGGATACAGGGCTGGTACAAGACAACTTTGAAATGTTCAAAGACTGCTTTTTATACCCCAACCCTCTCCACCTCCCACCTAATCTGTAACTCTATGTCTTAGCACCCTTCCCTTAGTCACCTTAAAAATCTCATGAAGTCAACAAGGACAACAAAAAACTTAAAAACAGAAAAAATCTCATGAAGTCTAACCTACCCAAACCTATCCTTCATGAGAAGTCTAACCCCACACAGCACTTGGAAGGATTAATGCCATATTCTAGCCTCATCCACTGACAAAAGGGCTCTCTGGTGCTCTCCAGCTCCTGTTTGCTCACTTTCCATTCCTTTAGTGACATACCTCTGCTGGAGGTCAGTAAAACTTTGTTTAACCACTCCTTTTCTCCCAATGTACAAATGACAAATTGGTCCCGAATCTTTCTAGAGGCATCTACGAAAGTATTATGCTTGCTTTAGGATTAAGTAAGCTTGTTACCTCAAACAACAATTCCAACTAGGCTGGGGCAGTGGCTTACACCTGTAATCCCAGCACTTTGGGAGGCTGAGGCAGGAGGATGGCTCGAGCCCAGGAATTTGATACAAGCCTGGGCAATATAGTGAGATCCCATCTTGATTAAACAATATATTTTAAAAACAAAAAAGCTGGCTGTGCACGGTGGCTCACGCCTGTAATCTCAGCACTTTGGGAGGCCAAGGTGGGTGGATAACGAGGTCAAGAGATCGAGACCATCCTGGCCAACGTGGTGAAACCCCGTTGTAGACTAAAAATACAAAAATTAGCTGGGCGTGATGGCACGCGCCTGTAGTGCCAGCTATTCGGGAGGCTGAGGCAGGAGAATTGCTTGAACCTCAGAGGCAGATGTTGCAGTGAGCCGAGATCACGCCACGGTGCACCAGCCTGGCGACAGAGTGAGACTGTCTCAAAAACAAAAAACAATTCCAATTGGAGAAGGGCTCTGGCAAGTGGCAAGTCTGAAGCACACAGTTTGTAAATCACAAACATATAATGATAAAATCCTTCTCAAAAACAGTCTATACATGTTAAACATGCAACAGCTTCACCCACCCAAAACAAAATCACAAGGTATCAATTATTAGGCTTACTAGTTTTCTGCTCCATACAAACTAATGTATTGGGATGCACAGATTACAAGTAGCTCCTGAATAACAGATACGTTCTTCTTTTTTTTTTAATTTTTATTTTTTTGAGACGGAGTTTCACTCTTGTTGCCCAGGCTGGAGTACAACGGCATGACGTCAGCTCACTGCAACCTCTGCCTTCCAGGTTCAAGCAATTCTCCTCCCTTAGCCTCCTGAGTAGCTGGGATTACAGGTGCCCGCCACCACGCCTGGCTACTTTTTTCTATTTTTCGTGGAGACGGGGTTTCACCATGTTGGCCAGGCTGGTCTCGAACTCCTGACTTTAGGTGATTTGCCTGCCTCGGCCTCCCAAAGTGCTAGGATTATAGGCATGAGCTACCGCGACTGGCCTAACAGGTAAATTCTTATATAGAGAGCACGGTCTGAGGCAGAAGTTCATCTTTTTTAAAAAAGCAACTTTTCTAACAGCATGTGACTATAGAGTAGGAGATGAAAGGGTAATTTTGGTGCACAGAGATATAAGGGGATGAGAAGGGTGGAGACATCAGGGTCCTGCAGAACTTTACATAGGTGATATTTACACTCACACAAGGGAATGAACACTGACCTTTCAAAAGCTTTTCCAAAAACAGAAGAGGAAGGAACACTCCTCAACTCATTCCATGAGGCTAGAATTGTCTGGATACAAAGACTAGACAAAGACATCATAAGAAAACGATAGATCAGTGTCACTTAGAATAGCATTAAAAGGAATACAATACTTAGTTGTAAGACTTCTACAATGAGAACTACAAAACATCATTGAAAGAAATCAGAGACCTAAATAAATGGAAAGACATCTCATATTCAGCATTGGAAGGCTTAATATGGTTGAGATGGCAATACTGGTCAGGTGCAGTGGCTCATGCCCATAATCCCAGAATTTTGGGAAGCTGAGGTGGGAAGATTGCTTGATTCCAGGAGTTTGAGACCAGTCTGGGATACGTGATGAGACCATGTCTCTACAAAAAATTAAAAAGTTAGCCAGGTGCAGTTGCGCACGCCTATGGTTCTAGCTACTTGGGAGGGTGAGGTGAGAGGATTGCTTGAGCCCAGGAGGTCAAGGTTGCAGTGACTGCTGCCTGGTACTCCAGCCTGGGTGAAAGGGCAAAACCCTTTTGGGGAGGGTGGGGAAGATGGCAATACTCCACAAATTGGTGTGCAGATTCAATGCAATTCCTATCAAAATCCCAGCCTCTTTTTTTTTGTTTTGTTTTGTTTTGCAGAAATTTACAAGCTGATGCTAAACACACATGTGATAGGATCAGGGCTCAGGCTCAGGTCTGAGCCTCAATCTGACACTCTCTGTGGAGTGTCAGGAAATAACAGATAAATAACATCGAATTTGAAGGTTTGCCGAGAAGTGAGAGAAAAAACTCCCTTTGCCTGCCTCCTAGGCTTCAAAGCTGTCTGGGCCAAGACGTCAATTTAGCTGCATCATGGGTCAATGAGGCCTTTGCGAATTAGGCAAATAAATCAAGTTACTAGAGTTTAAGCTGTGTTTTCTTTCAGTATTCCAATGAATCACTTTTTGACCTTTGGAATTATTAGGTACTTGTCAAGACTGATAAAATTTAGCTGGAGATATTGCAGATATGGGCGATAAATATGACTGAATAAAGTCTGAAACCATTCAAGACTATAAAATGTGTTTGAGATTTAGGCGAGGAGGAAAGACCTTTTGAAAATTATGAAGGCTATTAACAGGCTGAACATGACTTCAATTCACCATATCTCAGAATCGGTAGGTACTCCTATAAAAGTGTGAGTGAGATAGTTAACTCATGTTAACAGGCTCCGTGTAATGATGCACAAATTCACAGTAGTGCTGGGTATGCGGCACGTCAAAGGCCCAAATGCCTTTTATTATGAAAGACAGGCCAAATCTAGTCAAGTTTTAGAGTTACCTATACTTACTGTATTTCTATATTAGGTTATTTCATGACATTTATTTCATGACTTTTTTCCTAAAAATGAATCTGAATAGCTTTATTTCTTTTCTCTTTCTTCTTGAGATGTGGTCTTGTTTTGTCACTTAGGCCAGAGTGCAGTGGCACGATCACAGCTCATGGTAGCCTCAACCTCCCAGGCTTAAGGGATCCTCCCATCTTAGTAGTTGGGACCACAGCCATGCACCATCACGCTTGGATAACATTTTCATTTTTTGTAGAGACGGGGTCTCGCTATATTGCCTAGGGTGGTCTTGAACTTCCAGGCTCAAGTGATCCTCCCACCTCAGCCTCCAAAACCTCCAAAAATGCTGGGATTACAAGCACCAGCCACCATGCCCAGACTTTATAGTTTAATTTCATAGGCATTTGTCCATGGTGGGGGAAATGCTGAGAAAGAAAGTAGAGAAAAATACACTTTATTTCCTATTTAAGTAGACCTTATTTTGTTTAACTATACTGATACTGATAGGGCAAGTATTATATTATTAAGTAACTATTAACATTCTATTAACTATACTGATAGGCCAAGCATTTTATTAAATAATTATGTATATTCTATTCAAACAAATTAGAAGCCTTCTAGATTAAAAATATATGTATAGAAAGGTTTAAACTGCCTGAAAATTAGAAGGTAAATGACAAATATTTACATATCATAGGAAAGAATGTTCAGATCACACACAAAGAACATATAAACACAGATAATAGTAAGATACGAAGACATCAAGCAAACGAAGATTAGTGTCTTCAAAAATGTTGTATGTTTGGCAAAAGCTCCTATCACAAATAGTAGGAGGCCGGGCATAGTGGTTCATGCCTGTAATCCCAGCTCTTTGGGAGTCTGAGATGGGTGGATCACCCGAGGTCAGGAGTTCAAGACCAGCCTGACCAACATGGCGAAACCCCATCTCTACTAAAAATACGAAAATTAGCTGGGTGTGGTGGCACATGCCTGTAGTCTCAGCTACTTGGGAGGCTGAGACAAGAGAATTGCTTGAACCCGGGAGGTGGAGGAGATTGCACCACTGCACTCCAGTCTGGGAGACAGAGTAAGACTCTGTCTCAAAAAAAAAAAAAAAAAAAAAAAAAAAAAAGATTTTTTTAGATGTTCCCACTTTATGCCAAAATCTATGTGGCTACACATACCAATAAAGCCCTTCTTTGCTAGCTCCATGGTGAACCTCCTTGTGATCTTTTCCAGTTTGTTATCCTGTAAAATAAGAAAACAATAAAAATAAAAAAAGATACAAAAATCGCTTGAGATTATAGCTAGCATCTTATTTTCTATTTATAGTACATTTTCATGTCTTCTCATCCTTAGAACAACTCATAAGGTAGGCAATGCCATTTTAAAGGTGAGAAAATAAGGGATCAAAAAAGTAGGTTATAAAAACAAGATAGTAGAACCAGGACTCAAATTCCCATTCTATTAATTCCCCACTGAAAAATATACCAAATCTTAATTAAGATTAATTGTAATATAATTATATTCCATCTAAATGGTGAATTTTAAAGAGAATAAAAATCATATCTGTTTATGTTTGTATATAGATAATTTAGTATTATGTAAAGCATTGTGACAACCAGTTTGAATTTACTTGGAACTGACAGGATAAAAAGTAAGGTTTTTATTGGCTTAGTTAAGATATTTGTCACTAGCATGAGATCCTGACCTAAAAACTTCAGATCACAGTACTACTTTTCTTCTTTCTTTTTGAGACAGAGTCTTGCTCTGTTGCCCAGGCTGGAATACAGTGGTGAAATCTCGTCTCACTGCAACCTCTGCCTCCTGGGTTCAAGCAGTTCTCATGCCTGAGCCTCCCGAGTAGCTGGGATTACAGGTGTGCGTCACTATGCCTGGCTAATTAGATCACAGTGATTCTTTTTTTTTTTTTTTTGAGACAAAGTCTCGCTCTGTCACCCAGGCTGGAGTGCAGTGGCATGATCTCGGCTCACTGCAAACTCCACCTCCCGGGTTTACTCCATTCTCCTGCCTCAGTCTCCTGAGTAGCTGGGACTACAGGCACCCACCAACACGCCGGACTAATTTTTCGTATTTTTAGTAGAGACGGGGTTTCACTGTGTTAACCAGGATGGTCTCGATCTCCTGACCTCGTGATCCGCCTGCCTTGGCCTCCCAAAGTGCTGGGATTACAGGCGTGAGCCACCGCACCCAGCCAGATCACAGTACTTCTTAAATATGGGTATAGGTGTCTAATAATATGAAGATATTAATTACCTTTTAAATAAGAAAATAATAATACAAAAAGCAAAAAAAAAAAAAAACAAGACTCATAAAAACAAAACCAAACAAAACAGAAAATGATAAAGGATATAGATATTAAGTAGGTGACCTTTATATGGCAAAACACTCAATGAGTTAATTCTTTACTTTTTTCATTCCATTTGAAAAGCAATGGGGACTATTGATTTCACTGATATGGGGGATACAGAGAAGCCCAGTAATTTCAAGTCCTTCATAAATGCACTGTGTGCACAAATATCACTTTGAGGCCGGGTGCGGTGGCTCATGCCTGTAATCCCAGCACTCTGGGAGGCCAAGGTGGGCAGATCACCTGCGGTCAGTAGTTCAAGACCAGCCTGGCCAACATGGTGAAACCCCCTCTCTACTAAAAATACAAAAATTAGTCAGGCATGGTGGCATGCACCTGTAATCCCAGTTACTGGATCAAGGAGAATCGCCTGAACCCAGGAGGCGGAGGTTGCAGTGAGCCGAGATCGCACCGTTGCACTCCAGCCTGGGCGACAGAGCAAGACTCTGTGTCAAAAAAGCAAAAACAAAAACAAAAACAAAAACAAAAACTTTCATACTTACGGTATAGTTCTTGGGATAGATCTTAACACCAGCTTTAGCACCCCCAAACGGCACATCTGAAAGAGAAGGTTGATGGTTGCTATTCCATATAAAGGTTAAAAAAGTAAAATGACAGAAAGCGCCACATGATATTAGAAAAACGTGTGATGCTTTAAGCTTGAATTTCTGAAAGTTCAAGAAATAAACCTACCATCGTTTTCTCAACTGTACTTTAAACAACATTTATTGAACAGGAATTGTTCAATAAAATTGGCTAGCCAAGTTCTAATATATATATATAAAACATAATAATAATTAACCAATAATAATAAATACTTAAACCTCTAATCCATAGATTGCAAATGCAACAATGATAGCTTATTTTCTTGGGGAACAGGAGTGGGTGGGGACAGAGGGAACGGGAACAGGACTTTTGCTGAAAGGAGGGATGACAGGAACACAAGGCTGTGGGTGAAAAGAAGAACAAATAGAAGAAACAGCAGAGAAGGCGGCTGGCTGGGGTGGGGCGGGCGCCTCCCTGGCCCTGCTCCAGGACTCAGGACTGGGTCCCGCCTGGGCCGCCCCTCCTGCCAAGCCCCTGGCCTCTTCCCAGGGTGACTGGCCCACTCCTAGACCCTAGGACATCTGAAGGGCAGGAGTCCCAACGGCCTGAGAGGGTATGGGCCAGGAGCAGCAGGCTGACCCATCTGGGCCCAAAAGCCACCTGTGTTTGGGGGCTGGAATGCTGTCTAGAAAGAGGGCGCCCTGGGAAAGGGGCGCACGAGAGTTTCTCTCCTGAGAGGCCCCCATGCAGGTCGGGTCAACAAGGGGGCTTTATCTGCCTTGAGGCAGCGCTCCCTAAGTGAAGCAGGCCTACCCCAGAAGCACAGGGGCTTGGCTGGCGCCTGAACTCCCTGTGCGAGGCAGCACCTGCTCATGGAGCCCCTCAGCCTGCAGGTGCACACCTGGTTTCCAAGTCCTGCCTGGGGCCTTGCTAGGTGGGGGACGGACCTGGAACAGGACCCTAAGCCCACCCCCTCCTCATACCTGGCGGTCCAGGGCTCCCCGCCCAGTGGAGCCAGCACAGGCTAGCCAGGCCCCCCTCCTGCCTGACCCCCGGAGGCCAAGCTCCTCTCCTGCAGTAGTGCCGCCCTGCCAGTCAGGTAGCTCTGGGGGCAGGGGCAAAGGAGAAGGGAGGGCCGCAGCCCTCTGGGAATGGCCTTTCTGAGGCACTCAGTGGCTGGACTGGGGCTCTGGCAGGAGTTGGGGCATTAATAACACCCCCATCCTCCCCTGGGCTCTGCCTCATCTGACCCTCCAGAACCCCCTGCCCCAAGCCCCTACACACACTGTTCTATTCCTCAGCCCCTCTCAACGCCCTGGCACCATGGGGCCCAATGCATGTCCTCCCCTGAGAGGGAACAGCTCTGGGGCAACGGGCAGCGGGGTGCCCTCCCTGCCACCAAGATTTGGTGCCTAGAGCTGGTGGAGGGCTGGCCGCACCTCTCTGGGGCACACCAGGTCCTGCTCCCCCAGCCTATGGCTTTGGGGCGGAGCCCGAAGGGAGAGAGCAGGGGCGGTGGGTGGGGGAAGAAGGGTGTTTCTGCGGCTCGGTTTGTGGCAAGAAAGTTTTTTTTTTTTTCAACTTTCTCTTGTGTAAAAAGTTCACGAAAGCTCGGCAGCCTCTGCAAATGTCAGCAGTGTTTCCTGGGGCGGGGGAACAGGGAGGGGCCCCAGGCCTGGCCTGCAACTTGCGACTGAAGGTGGCCTCTTATTGCTTAGAAACGCGTGTTTCGGTTTAAATACCAGACAGTAAAAATAGAGCTCGAGGACCGCCCGCACTGTTGCCAAATCAGTGCCAGAATGAACAGCTTAAATAAATAAAAAATCGAAATATTTACTTCTGGATAAAAATCGCAGTAAAACCATTTGCCTTTCTTTGCATTATATATAATATATATTTATAACTGCCCAGCTGCGGGCGGCGGAGCCGAGGGCAGCGGAGGGGTCAGGACATCTCGATGACCTCCACGCTGCCCGAGAAGCTCCCCTGCTTGCCCAGGGCGGCCAGCTCCTCGCTGCGCGCGCGCCCCTCCACCATGCCCTCCTCGAACTCCATCTGGCAGCTGCAGCACTTGAAGTGCGAATCCGGGGCCAGCTCGTCTGACCAGCTGGTCCGCGCGTCCCGGGCTCAGCCGTTGCTGCCTCCCGCCGTGGCAGGTCGCTGCAGCCGTTGGGTTCCGGGGCGCCCGCCCGGCCGAAGGGCGCAAACAGCACCCTGCCCGGCCCTTGCACGCCCTCGGGGCTGAAGCACCGAGGACGCTCCAGGGAGTCGAGCGGTGGCGTCCAGGCTCCGGGGCTGGCCGGCTGGCCAGGGCCCGGCAGCCGCGTAGCCGAAGTTCAGGCCGCGCGCGGGATAGCGCGCCGGGCCGTGGGTGTGCCTGGGCGCGGCGTCCGGGCAGGGCGAGGGCAGGCCCAGCATGGCCCCGACTGGCTGTCCAGCTTTCAGAGAGCTTCGGGGCCTCGCCGGGGTCGCTGGGCCCGGGCCGCCGGGCCGCCTGCTGGGGGCGTAGGCCGACTTGATGTCCAGAGAGAAGGAGGGCTTGAGGCGGCTGGTGTCCTGCAGGTGGTCCGAGGAGAGGCGCAGGCTGCGCAGGCCCTGCTGCAGCGTGCTGGTGGCCGTGGGGGGCGCCGGGGGCTTCCTGCCCGCGCTCGGGCCGCCCTCCCTGGCAGCCGCACTCCTGGTGGCAGCGGTCTCTGAGGTAGGTGGTGGCAGCCATGGCAGTGGGGCCCCGGCCGCAGGGCTGGGGGGAGGCTCCTGCATTCCTGAGGGGGTGCCCGCGTCGCCCTGCACGGCGGCCAGCAGCTTCGGGCTGCTCTGGTACTCCAGCAGCTGGCCCAGGAAGTTGAAGTTGGGCGAGATGGACGGGCGCTGGTCCTTCACAAACCTGTAGGCGTCTTCGGAGGACATGCCCATGGTCTTCATGATGTAGGCGATGGCGATAGTGGCACAGCAGGAGATGCCGGCCAGATGGTGGACGATGACTTGGCAGCTGGACAGCTTGGCTTTATCGATGAACTCGATGGACTTGTCCAGCCAGGGCAGCAGCTTTTCACAGTAGTTGTCGTTGATGGGGACCTGCAAGAAGTGGCTCTGGTAGATGAAGTCAGGCTTGGGGCAGGAGTTGCTGGCATAGAGGACGTAGCTTATTCCATTCTGCGTCATCAGATCCTTGTTCAGGACGTCTTCCTGCGAGCCCAGGTAGAGGTGAGGCAGGATGAGGGTCAGGCCCACGCTGGGCACGAGCAGGCAGGACTGGGAGAGGCTCATGGGTAGCAGGGCAGCAGGCTCGCCCTCGCAGAGGTCGGGGAAGCAGGAGGAGAAGGTGGCGAAGCCCCCCGTGATGATGGCCATGCTGTGGAAGCAGCCGGCCACGCTGTGGAAGCAGCCATCCAGCTTGCTCAGCAGGATGGAGAGGAAGCTGTCTGCGGCCGCGTGCTCTGGTCATAGACCACCACGTCCTGTGGCTCAGTGGCCTCCACCTGGCTGCGTGCAGCCGGCTGGATGAACTCCACAATGGTCACCTTGCCCTTCTGCAACCGCCACTTCACCAGCTTGGAGCAGCAGATGTTGACGGAGCTGAGCACATGCCAGCTGTTGTACTCCAGGAAGGAGTGACTGTCGATGACCAGGCCCCCCCAGGCCCGCCCCGCAGCAGGCTGGCCAGCTTCTTGGCGTCCATCACCTTCCTGGGGAGCCGGTCCCCGGCCATGATGGGGCAATGGGTCTTGGGGAGGGTGACCCCTGAAGTGAGGAGGGGCTGCTCCGACGGCCCAAGTGTGGCCTCGCACTGGGAATAACCTAGCACATGATGCCGGACCTTGCTTGCGCTCACCTCGGGGGTGCTCCGAGGACCCGCACCGCGCTCAAGGCGCCCGCTCGGCTGTGCAGTCCATGGGCCAGGCGGGGGCCCGCGCAGCTGGGGCGGGGGCTGGGGCTCTAATATATATTTAATCAGTGCTCTTCACCACTTTAAAAAGATAATAGCTTATTTACTCTCCTTCTACTATAATTTGGTCTTATTTATAGAATATGTTGAGGAATTGAAAACAAAGATCTAGACTTAAAATCCAATTAGCTCCCTCCCGTAAAAAAAATCCCTCCCGTAAAAAAAGGCTATATCTTAATTTAGAGTAATTGAAAAATGATGCAGGTCTTAAAGAGTACAACTTAAAAAAAAATCAGTTCTGATAAGGTATATTTCTATAGCATCTTAACAGTAACATGTGTGTAAACATATTTCCCCAGAGTTCTCATTAGGTAGCAAGAAAAGCGATCACCTACCAACCACTGCACACTTGTATGTCATCAGAGAAGCCAAAGCTTTTACTTCATCTACACTCACATCAGTGCTATAACGGATACCTGGTGGTGTTTTTTAAAAAATGTGTTGGGGTGGGTGAGAAAGAAGGAGATATATTTAGAACAAATTTCAGTAAGTTTCAAAAAAGAAAGCTACAAATTGAAAATATCCACTTTTTACATTTTATACCCAAGCTATGTCCAAAAACACTTGAAGCAGCTCATACATCAGAACACCATAAAAAATGAATATAAAACATTTAAAAAAGCTGCTAATAACAGTAACTATGATTTCACAAGACAAAAATCACCCTGCAATGAATTTCTGTACACTTTCCAGAAGGCTTTTTTATGTTCCTTTTACCTTTGGTTTGCGTGACCTGGTTGCAGGGAGTTCAAGAATTCAGCTTGCTTTTTTAGGGGGTGGGTAGGGGTGGGAAACAGGGTCTTGCTCTGTTGCTCAGGCTGAGCGTAGTGGCACAGACACTGCTTACTGTAGCTTCAACCTCCTGGGCTCAGGTAATCCTCCCACCTCAGCCTCCTGAGTAGCTGGGACCACAAGTGCATGCCACCATGCCCAGCTAATGTTTGAATTTTTTGTAGAGTCAAGATCTCACCATGTTGCCCAGGCTGGTCTCAAACTCCTGGGCTCAAGTGATCCTCCCACCTTGGCTTCCCAAAGTGCTGGGATTACAGGGATGAGCCGCTATGCCTGGCAAGAATTCTGCTTTCTGATAATTCACAAACATGGGCAATGAATAGTCACCAGGTTCAAAATACCGTATGTCTAAACAGAGGTTTTGGCTTCAAATGGGTATATTGAAAGAGATCCTTACTTGTTATTCTCCTCACCCACTGCCAACCTCTTTCAATTTGAAGATGAGAAAGCCATTTTCCCTTCCTGAGGTTGAGTGATTCCCTTCACCACTTCTGCAAGAAGGGGAGGTAGCCAAGCAGACAGGTACTAGTGCCCCTGTATCTAGTAGCCATTACGTGTTGGTATAGGGTATACAGAAAGTGGGGATGCCCACTGCTTTGGCTTTGGGGGGTCTTGGTCAATTACCCTTCCAAGTTTTGGAGTGCTAAGCCACCTTTCTTTCTCTATAATCCATTGCTTCTCAATCCCAAGGAGGAAAGTCTGAGCAGGGTTGATGTTTGACTGCACAGTGCTTGGGGCACTGGGTGTTTGTGTGTGAAGTTTACCCACAAGAAGCTGCAGCATTTTTTCTACCCTCCCACTCTCAACAGATTCAGCCCCTCTCGAGGGGCTGGGTACGATTTCCACTGGGAGTCACAGGTAAGTAATGGGAGCCTCAGGGACAGCTCTTTTAAAGAATTCTGAGAATAAAAGTTTTTCAGATAGAAAATATACAATATCTCAGGGACTGGCAGTTTGAGAGAACTTCCCTAGTCAATTTTAAAAGCTAGCTTTTTTATATGTTTCTGAAAACATCAACCTTAATATTAATAATATTTTAAGAGAATGTATTTATTATACAGATCATAAAGAGCATATTCTAAGCTGAACATACTTATTTGGTCTACTGTAAAAACAAATTATATTTAGGGGAGTATGTGCTTACAACTATATCTTGTATATAATTGATTCTCAAATTGTGAAATAAATGTACTCATTAAACTTTTAGAATGCAAAATTACAGGTAATTTTTCTAGCACACAGCAGATATCTGTATAGCTGACTCCCCCATCTCATTCAGGTCTCTGTTAAAAACTTCATTCTGAGAGGCTCTCCCTGACCACTGTATTTAAAAGAGCACCTCTTTCTCACTCCCACTTTCCTGCCTCTCCTACCTTACTTGTTTCTTCATATCGTTTATTATTACTGACTTTGCATTATACATGTGTTTAGTATCTGGCTTCCCTACCTGGCAAGTTAGCACCACGAGGGCAGACTTTGTTATGTTCACTGCTTTAATTCCTGGTTCCTAACATAGAAAATGGCATACATTAGGCACTCAAATACATGCTGAATTAATATACGAATATTCTGACTCTTAAAATTTTAAAAAGAAAGAAAAGCTATGGCCACAAAAAATTTTGACATACATGTACTTTTAAATAACTTACCATAAGCCTCCATACATATCATGAAAGGACTCAGTATACAACATTGGGGATGGGGGTGACGGGGAGATGATGGTCAAAGGGCACAAAGCCTCAATTAGACAGGAGGAATACATTTCTTGGAGATAAATTGCACAGCATGGTGAATACAGTAAATAATAATAGATTACACATTTGGCCCAACATGGTAGTTCACGCTTGTAATCCCAACACTGGAAGGCTGAGGTGGGAGGATCACTTGAGCTCAGGAGTTTGAAACCAGCCTGGCCAACATAGTGAGACCTCATTTCTACAACAACAACAAAAAGTACTGCACATTTCAAAATCACTGAGTAAATTTCAGATGTTCTCACCAGAAAAAATGATAATTATTTGCAATTGTTTCCAGTGGTGAACAGGTTAATCAGCTTGACTTAATTATGTAATGTTGTATTCATAAATCATAAAATTACTTTGTACCTCATAAATATACATCTACAATTTGTCAATTTACAATTTAAAAAATAAAAAAATTGAAAGGCTTTCCAGTCAGATGAGGCCCACAGAAAAGGAAAAAAAAATTGTAAATAATATTAAGATGAATCCTTTGTATCTTAAAAAAAATTGAGTTGGGTGTGGGGGCATGTGCCCGTAGTCCCAGATGCTCAGGAGGCTGGGGCAGGAGAATCGCTTGAGCCCAGGAGTTGCAGGCTGCAGTGAGCTACGCTCAGGTCACTGCACTCCACCCCAGCAACAGAGCCAGACCTTTTCTCAAAAAAAAATTGTTTCAACACTAAAATGTGCTTTTCAAATTATTCAAAATGCTTCTAAGTAATACCACATATTTAATGATAACTACACTAAGCCAGGAAAATAGTCAGGCGCTGTGCCCAGGCGACCCAGCCTGCACCATCCGCTTGCATGGAGGGGTGCTAACGCCGCCCTCCTACGATGGGCGTCACAACTGCGAGGAACATTGCACATGGGGAATCTGGCACGGTGCCCTGCAAGTGGTCAAACAGGCAAATCTCAACTGTTACCACTGCTATAACAAGTATTACAAAGCAATGGCATGTAACAAAGCAATTAAAAAGTCTAAACTGACAGGAGTTTGAACAAATGACTTAAACCTTGGTTTCATTACTTCTACATAAATTCACGGGAAGTGGTAAAACAATGTATTAATTAAGAACTAGTATTTCTTCTCCCACACATAAATCACTTTTTTCATTGCTCTTTTAGAGCCTGTGGAAGTCATCACTACATTATTTTTAATTTTCCTTGCTTTCTTAAGTGGAGGAAAAGTTACTTTCTTTTAACTTAGAAACTTAAAAATTTTAACTTGCATTTAGCAGGGAGCTAAAAACTGCTGGAACCAATGATATTCATAAATCAAACAGAAGCATTCAAATGGCAAGCCTAATATTCTAGAAATAGATGTTACTAAAAATTAGGAACCAGACCCCTGCTTCCACACAACAGTGTAAACAGAATGTCCATTTTATCATAAGTCATGGAATGATATGAGTCAGAAACTGTGTGTGTATAACAAAAGACATGTTCCGCTGGATGGAACCCAGGAATTCTTGTTTGTAAAGTTAAATTTTCTTTCCCAGCTACACCCATTTAGAGAGCTCAACCTGCTAAACAGTGAAGAGAAGCAGTTTCACAAATTACCTCTCACACCACAGGCATTTTCTGTAGGCTATGAACCAATAAAGGTTCAGTGAATGGAAGTACAGGAGGTATAAAGAAAGTACCAGCTTAGTGGAAGAAGCCCTGGAGCCAACAGAGTAGGGACAAGGAGGGGATAGAAGTGAATGCAAGTGATATTGCCTGGGCTAAAGAAGAAACATTTTCATTTTAAATTTCTAGTTAACCAGTGATACACACATGTTTTTAATTCTAGAAATTGGCAAATACCGAGTACTGGGATACCTAAACCGTTAATCTGAAAAAAAAAAAAATTTTAAAGTTGCACCCATTAATAAAATAGTCTGCAGCGATACTTGAGACAAAACAATCTCCAATAAGACACAATGTACCCACACAGAGAAAAAGCCAGTTACTCTTCCTTCTCTGGGTTTGGAAACCAAAGATAACTATCAAAAATATACTGTCACCTGAAAATTCTTAACTACATTCTAAGGCACATTAAGATATTTAAGTAAGGAGGCCGGATGTGGTGGCTCACGCCTATAATCCCAGCACTTTGGGAGGCCGAGCTGGGCAGATCACTTGAGGTCAGGAGTTCGAGACCAGCTTGGCCAACATGGTGAAACCCCCATCTTTACTAAGAATACAAAAATTAGCTGGGTGTGGTGGCATGCTCCTGTATTTCCTAGCTACTCACGAGGCTAAGGCGGAGGTTACAGTGAGCTGAGATTGCACTACTGCATTCCAGCCTGGGCGACGGTTTGAGACTCTGCCTCAAAAAAAAAAAAAAAAAAGTAAGACTCCAAAAAGGAAGGTACTCTACTTAATGGATTGGGAAAAATTAGCACAACTGGAGAATGTGAAGGACAAAATGATGTGACATATACATACAAAGTTCTGAAAGGCAGGGAAAGCTTAGCACTTTTTAATGCCCATTCCCATTCAAATATACTCAATTTGAAGTTATTCAATAAAGTCAAATAATAGGTAAATACATATGCATACAAGAAAATCAGAAAATCTTAAAATATTTAATCCAAAATGAAGCAAGAAGGATCTTATGTGGTCTGAATATTGTCACTTTTTATAAAACCAAGCCTTTCCTCCTTCAGCAGAGAAGGCTGAAGGTGAACAGGACCAACAGAGATCAAACAGGGGCACAGAACAGAAAGTAGGGGGAGGAAGAAGAGATGTTTTATTCCAGAAATGAAGGAAAGTAAATTATGTTTTTGTATCCCAAAGTCTTAGAGGGTTAGGCATGGTGGCTCATGCCTGTAGTCCTAGCACATTGGGAGGCTGAGGCAGGAGAACTTGAGCTCAGGTGTGCAAGACCAGCCTGGACAACAATAGTGAGATCCCATCTCTACACCCCCCACCCCCAAACACACACACACATCTTAAAACTCTGTTAGACTCCATTGATGCATTACTAGTGTTTGGGATCAACTGGGTCTTTGGTCAACTGTGCTAGTAGGAATGAAGGTAAATACTTTTAACAAAGAGCAGGAGTCCACGGCTGGCTAAGCTAGATAGTGAATGGGCTTGGTACACAGGTGTCGGCCACAGAGCTGATGCCATTAGACACATGGCCTAAAAATCAAGACCACCCTGCTGACAAAGTAATCTGTGCATCCAGCTCACCAGAGGAAACTAAAGACACACCACCCATGATGTTTATTATTTATCAATCTCAGTAAAGCTGGAGGAAGGGCTAGGGATAGAATGACGTATGTACTACAATGGGAACTTTTAAGTCATTCCTTCTATTCTGAACAGAAACCAACTAAACAGTTATTTTATGTTAACTGGTATCCAGATGTTTCCAAAGAATATTAGTGAAATGCAGACATCTGCAACTATACACAGCACAAAGCACTGATCTGATTTTTAACTTAATTACCACAGATATTCCTTAGTATGCTCAAGTCTAATGAGCAGTGCATGCTAAGTTTCTCTAGGAGAAATAAAAATCAAAAGCAAAAACTAGCTTAAGTTGCTATAGTGATGAAGAAAACAAACCAGCTCATTACTTTAAAAAAGATTCAGTGAAAACCACAATTGACTAAGCTTGAATTTTTCTTCCTTTTCCTAGCTGACTCAAAAGCAAACACACAAAAGCCTCCAGCTAGAGTCACTGTTTTTTTTTATAATTAATCATTAACAAAACATTTATGAAAATTCAAATGGTTTTAAAATTACTTGAACCTGTTTCTCTTAATAGGGTTTGATTTATTCATCAGAAATCTGATTTCCAGCTGTACTCTCTCACTTTTCAGGAACTATTTATAAAATAACCAAGAGTTCTACCACAAGCACAGAACCCCCAGAAAAGCAAAAAGGCCTCAGAACAACTCTTAATATTCATACGTTAACACTCTTGCCACTTACTCATCAGATCATATTTTTTCACTTAATATTAATGTACTTTCTAATCCACAATAATGTAGCGTAACTTAATTTAAAATGAGGAGAGGAAGGTTAGAAGCAGGGAGGAACTATTAATGACCACCCGTAAGTAATGACCATCTGAAATACTATGTCTCAGATAAAAATTCAGACATTCAGTATGGGGAAGGAGCACTGCATATAGGAGCTAAGAAAAAGTACACACTTTAGGCTGGGTGTGGTGGCTCATGCCTGTAATCCCAGCACTTTGGGAGGCTGAGGCGGGCAGATCATTTGAGGTCAGGAGTTCGAGACCAGCCTGGCCAACATGGTGAAACCCTGTCTCTACTAAACATACAAAAAAATTAGCTGGGCGTGGTGGTGCACGCCTGTAATCCCAGCTACTGGGGAGGCTGAGGCAGGAGAATTGCTTGAACCCAGGAGACAGAGGTTGCAATGAGCTGAGATTGCACCACTGCACTTCAGCCTGGGTGACAGAGTGAGACTCCATCTCAAAAAAAAAAAAAAAAAAAAAAAGAAAAATTATACTTTAATTGCTTTAGCAGCATCAATGTACTGTTCTGTATAAAGTAGGCAAATACCATCTTAGATTTTTAATTCATTGTCTAAATCTTTTATTTTAACCTGAATAAATTTTGAAAAGACAACTAAGCTTTCTGGGAAGCAAATGTTTAGCTGATATTGGAAAAATATAATGTAGTGACAGATCAAGAAAAAAAAGGAAAAATACTTTTTTTCATTAAAAATTTAAAATTATAATACATATGTATGTATTTCTGTCAAAATTGAAATACAAAAAGAAATCTGAAGACTCCCTTGACTACCACTTGTGACTCCAGTCTTCTCTAAGTGTACATCCTTCCAAATCATATTCCCTGCAGTTATATATGTACATATCCATAAAACATACAGCTTTCTTTTATGTTAGGTATTTAACTTACAGCCTGATGGATGAAAGATTATGCATTAAAAGGGGGATCTTGTTAATTTTTTTGGTAGATTCTTTTATTCTGATCTTGATTAACAGTAAACTTAGTTGCACTTTCACACCAAATACCTCTTGGAAACAGAAATGATGCTAGTTAAAATGGCGAATATAAAGTTGGACTTAGTAAAAGATAACAGTAACTTGTTATTAAAAACTTTCAAAGGGATACCTCAGGTATCCAGTTTCATGTAAATTACTTACAAGTCTAGGTGATATTTGAGATGGGTCTTAAGAGAGGAAGAGGAATCCTAGGGAGGGGGAGGCGAGGCATGGACAGGCAGAAGGACTGCACTGTGCAAGGGCATGATGGAGAGAAGTACATGCCTAGTTTTCCAGTTTTCCTGAGGATAATTTTACACCAGATCTTCTTTATTTTAAAAATCCAATCCTTTTTCTTAATAACCCCTGTCTGTTCCTGATACCACCATTTTTTTCTACCAGTCTCTCAGGCTAGAAATTTTGTAGTTATCTTTGCCTCTTCTCTCCATCCTGTAAATCCTACCTGTTGGGAATACATTACTGTCCTTTCTTCAAAATGTTTTATCTGTCTTTTCTTTTTCATTCTCTGCTATTAACTATAACTTCATTCTCAGTTCCACTGCTGCCTAGCTTTCTGTGTCCTGCTAGGTTCATCATTATCCATCCAACAAACATAAAAGGAAAACTGTTTCTACTCACACACTTCTGAAACAAAATGTGTGGGTTTTCCACACTAAGCAGTTCTCCAGTTCTCTCTGCAGATACAAACCGGGTGTCCTGCAATTCACTTCTGAATTGCCATCAACTAAGATCATAAGACTGCTGAGCAGTTGGTTTGAGAGGGAAGATTCTGAGTTCTGTAGGGCATATCACTTTGGAAATGTCCATTAAACATCCAAATGGATATCTCATGGAGGCAGCTGGAGTTCAGGTTAGAGGTCTGAGTCACTGATAAAACTTTGGGAGTTGTTGGCAAATGATAGCGTATTGGTCAGAGTCCGATTAGGAAAGAGAAGCCACACAGTCATTTGAACAGGAAAAGTGTACATAGGGAATTGTTAATTGCAACAGGGAAGTGGAGTAACCAGGCACAGACTAGTAGGAAGTATAGGAGGAGCAGCTACTAGTCTAGGGCTCAGGTAGAGAACTCAGGAGAGTCCTCCCCTCTTAGTGCCCTGCCCCTGCACCTCATCAGAGGAACCCAGCCATGGCCCTCTGCTTGTCAGGAGAGTCACCGATGCTATACCACTGGAACTTACTAGAAATACTTCCTTAGGTGCTGGGGAAAGGAGCAGTGTCTCAGAAGAGTTACTCTACAATAAAACTGCCTGGAGCTGGTGAGAGGAGTGGGACCTGCTGGGCACTGGCCACTGTGTCCCTGGTGAAGTCAACCGCCTGCAGGAGCCAGGCGAGGGAGCATAGGAGAACCAGTAGCAAAGACAGCTTTCACCTACAAAGTCTCTCCATTGCTCTAGATAGGAGGTGGTGGTCAGAGTGGGATACTGTGAGGGTTGCAGTCCTTGGACCTGACAAGGTCTAAGGTCTGATCATGGAGGGAGGGGGAAGCTGAGGTAGGGCAGAGGACAAGAATGGGCTTCATGAGACCAAAAGGATGTTAGAAGGATTATTTACCCAGATACTGACATCTCCAAGAAGTAAGAGGCCTAGTGTGAAGAAGTTACAACATCCTAAGCTCTTCAGGGATAAGGGAAGCATGCGCCACGTAGGTAGCCTCCCTAGTGCAGCACCCAGTATATAGCCTACGCAGAGTGAATACCTGGGGGCTGCTGGGGGTGATAACAAGGTCACTGTGACAGGACCTGAAGCCTGGGGGTCTCGGCGACAGGAGTGGGCCTAGTTTTTTGATGTAGAATTGAGCCTTGCATGCACCGGTGGGATCATATTGAAAAGAAACCCTCCAAGACTAGAGGAAGATGCATCCTCTGACAATGTAGTCTCTGTAGGCGTCCCAAGTAGCTGGGCTGGGGATTAGATGGGCTCCAAGGCATTTCCTCAGGTGGCAATGGGTGGATCCCTGGGAAGGCAAAGCTGTGCAGGAAGAAAATGGCAAGATGCTACCTTCCCTCAGGGAAAACCCCTTTCCCGGGAGCAGGGAAGGCGAGGCAGTTTAGGCTGGGTCAGTTTGTCCCTGCCCTCAGAGTCTGTTGGTCCCGGAAAAAGAGGGCCTTATTTTATTTATTTATTTTTCTTTGAGACAGTGTCTTGCTCTGTCGCCCAGGCTGGAGTGCAGTGGCTCGATCTCAGCTCACTACAACTTCTGCCTCCCAGGCTCAAGCGATCGTCCCGCCTCAGCCTCCAGAGTAGCTGGGACCACAGGGACCACAGGCGCCCCGCCACGACGCTGGCTTTATTTTTATTTATTTATGTATTTATTTATTTTTTGAGAGACGTAGCCTCCCTATGTTGCCCAGATTGGTCTTGAACTCCTGGGCTCAAGCAATCCTCCTGCCTCGGCCTCCCAAAGGGCTGGGATTACAGGCGTGATCCACCGCTTCTGGCCAAAAGAGGGCTATAGGGCACCCCCAGAACGTGAGATCTCCCTCGTCTGTCATCTTTACAGAGGAGGAAGTGGACTCCCAATCCAGCCATAGTCCATTCGCCCCGGGCACGGTGACTCCGGGGCGGCCAGAACCAAATGTGTCTCCTGGCTTTTGCACGGCATCAAGTAACCCGCGCCAGGCCGCACAGCTGCCCTGGCCTTCAGCAAGGACTCCGCGAGCGAGGTGCAAGCTGCTGGGGAGTGCCACAGCAGGAGCTGAGGCAGCGGATTCCGAGGGCGGGGTGGGGCTGAATCGGGAGGGACGCGGACCCGGTGGAACGCACTGCGCAGACGGCGCCGGCGCCAGCACTCGGCCGTTGACGAGTCTTTCTTCCAGCTGTCCCCTGCAAGTCGTCCAGGCGGCGGTCCCTTTTTTTCTGCCTTTTTGTTTACCTCCGGCGAGTCGGCGCGAGGGTGAATTTCCGTTTCCGGCGGTGTCCAAGCGGACCTAAGGAGTCGCAGTTGTGAACAGGTTAGGTGCCGCGGGCTGGGGTAGGCTGGGAAGATCGCGAGTCGTGCGCGTGGGAAGGTACTCCCCCGGTCCTCCGGGTCATCTTTGCTCCCCAGGAGCGGCATATTTCGCATCTGCCTGAGGTGTGCCCGAGGGTCGTTGGGAGAGTGACGGGATGAATCCCTGCAGAGAGCCCGGACTGGGAGGGAAGGTGTCGGGGAGACGTCGTTTCCTGGCGACGTGGTCCCGGCAGGCGACTTAGACCTGAGCCGAATCTGTTGACCCCAAATTGTGCTTTTCCCACCAAGAAGAAAAGGGAGAGAAACAGTACAAGTTCGGCAGTAAAATATAGTAGACAAGCAATATAACCTCTGAAATCACACAGCTATTCAGTTTCAAAGCGTTCCTAGTGCCCAGCTCTCCTAACTCCCGGCCAGTGTTCCTTGACATATGGTGATATATAAAGACTTTGTTTCCGCTCGTGTGTGTGTCTGTGGGAAGCCTTTGACTCACTTCTGTGCTCCAGTAGCACCCTCTGCAGCCTTGCAATGTAGCTCTTATTGCATGGCACGGAAGATACTAGTTTGGATTTCCTC
Organism: Homo sapiens; assembly: GCF_000001405.40. NCBI lineage: Eukaryota > Metazoa > Chordata > Mammalia > Primates > Hominidae > Homo > Homo sapiens. The sequence continues at coordinate 46,787,471 of NC_000010.11, forward strand.
TGTCAATCAGACCATAGCTATATCCATTTTCTGGCACAGTGGCTAGCACATCATAGACAGACACAAACGTTTATTAAACGGAATGAATACAGGACCTTAACTGAATGAAATGGCACCCTGCCCCGCTTTTTCTCAATCAAGCTGTCAGATTTTATGCAGCCCGATATTCCAAAAAAACTCACAGATTCAGTGACTACCAATTTATTGGCCACAGATTCCCAGGTACCTCAGAAATCACTGGAAGGGTCTCTGTAAGTCCATGGGGCCTCCAGGCATCATCTAGAACCAGTCATATCTCACACATACAGATATTGCTATTTTTCAATTGTATGTAGATGAGCTGTAATTTAGAAGTTTTAGAGTCAACAGGTACTAAAAGTAATACTGCGATCCTATTGGAAGTTCATAAAAACGTTTTAAATTTTTTATTGAAATTTAAGTTCTGGTTTAAGTTAGGAAACCACTTCGTTAGTCCAGTCGATGTCTAGGTCTGAGCTGTCCAGTATGGTAGCCACATGTGACTATTTACAGTTAGAATGAAATTAATTAAGAATTCATTTTTTCAGTTTCTCTGAAGTACATTTTAAGTAACCACATGTGGCTAATGGCTAAATGGCTGAAAAGTACAGATATAGAATATTTCCATCCTTGCAGAAATAGGTACTGGTGATGTTGACACTTGAGACGAGTAAAAAGTAACTTAACCATAGAATGTAACCTTAGCAGAGGTAACTCATCTAATTTATAGCATAACAGAGAGAAATGAAATTGGGGATGGTTAAGCAGTTTCTACCCTTGTTCAGTGAACAAATACATCATGTCTTCATAAAGAAATAAATGAAATTTAATGTTTTTCCCTGGGTATTGCCTGGATTGTAAAATGCTTCTCCCACCTCCTTACCCCAACCTTCTTCCTTGTAGGTTAGAGTTACTTGTTATTGGTAAATAGCCACTATGGAGACTAAGGACCAGAAGAAACACAGAAAGAAAAACAGTGGACCCAAAGCTGCAAAGAAAAAGAAGTGGCATCTGCAGGATCTCCAGCTAGGAGACGAAGAAAATGCCCAGAAGAGAAATGCCAATGCTTTTGCAGTTCAGTCTGCTGTGTGGATGTCTCGATCCTTTCACAGGTGTGTTTAGCTACAGTCTGATGGTTCTTCCATTGAATCTTTTTAAATAGTTAGGAGCCTCTCACAGGTGACATTTGGATTCACAAGTCTAGTCCAGCTCCAAAGGACATGGAGATGCATGCTGTGTGGCTTTTACTAAAACGTGAGAGGACTTGCCATAGAAGCTGCCTTGCCTCCAGCATCTGCACACTGGTTGGTGTTTCTTGCCCAAGATACAAGAATTTATAGAATTTGATTCTTCCTAAACTTTAAACTGTTTCTATGGTGATAAGTGTGCTTTTTCCCTCTGGATATGTTTTACAAAGTTGTAATATAAAATACAAAAATTACAATATGTAATACTAACATAGTTTTATTTAGTGAGTCCTTATGATATTCTTAGCAGTGTACTTTAAACGTTATTCAACTAAATCCTTCCAGCAGCCTTACCAGAGTAGGAATCATTCTTGCCCTCATTTTATGGACAAGAAAACTGAGGTCAAGAAAACAAGTTACCTCCCATCATACAACCAGTAAGTCGGAGAGCCAAATTTAACTCCAGAACCTCTGCTCTTATCTGTTATGATGCACTGCCTCAGTATTTACCTTTTGGTTTTTAAAAAACTATAAAAATCACTCATAAAACAGTCAGATTTAAGGAGTGTTTAATTTTCAACTCTATACTATTGAAGTCATCTTGTTACATCTTTACTGAACAGCAATTGATTTGGATAGGGGTCAGAAGTTAATAATTGACAAGTTACTTATATTTTTATATTGTCTGTTGTACTCTCTATAAAATATACTAAAGTACTCATATCTGTAATTATACTAAAAAAAAGTCTACTTATAAGGTTGATACCTTTTACTCTATTTTAAAAGTGAGTTTACTTTTTTTTTCTTTTTTAAATAAATAGGACTCTGGATTTGAAGACACAAAAGCATCATATTCCAGTGGTTGATGGAACTCCACTAGAGCCGCCACCAATAGCGGTAGTGGTGACGGGGCCTCCAAAGTTGGAAAGAGCACTTTGATATAATGCCTCATTCGGAACTTCACCTGGCAGAAGTTCACCGAGATCAGAGGCCCTGTGACGATCGTGTCAGGTAGGAGATGCCGCCACAGACACAGACTTGGTGTGGCTGTTGTCATCTGAGGGACATGCGTGTGTTTGTTGTTTTCTTGAGTGGAACATGTTAAATATTGTCATATCATGTTACCTCTCTCTTACTTTTACTAAGTTAGCTATAACTTCATAAAAGGATAAGTTCCCAGAGATAAGGATGTGATACATACCTTATCCTGACTGCTTTATGGCTTTGCCAAGCATGTTCCTTGGAAGGGCCTGACAGGCCTGGTCACTGCGAACACACCATTTAACAGACAGCACGTACCTCCTATGTGCCAGGTGCACATGCTTGCCCTTATGAAGCCACATGCTGGTGGAAGTGCGCGTTTTCTCTTTTTCCTATGAGAATTTGTCTGCTTTGGGAGATGGTGACCTTTCCAAGTTTGAGGGAAGATGAAACAAACATCCAGTGGTAGAATGGCAATGTACACTCTGAAATCTCTTATTATTGCAGTAATATAGTTGGATTGAGGCTTTTCTTTATCTTTGGCGCATCCATATTTTATTTTCCTTTTTTTGAGACAGAGTCTTGCTCTGTGGCACAGGCTGGAATGCAGTGGTGTGATTACAGCTCACTGCAGCCTTAACCTCCCAGGCTCAAGCAATCCTTCTACCTTAGCCTCCTGTGAGTAGTGTATGCCACCATGCCTGGCTAATTTTTCTTTTTTTTCCTTTTTTTAAATTTTTATGTTTTTGTAGAGATGGGATTTCCCCATGTGGCCCAGGCTAGTCTCAAAACTCCTGGGCTCAAGGGATCCACCTGCCCTGGTCTCCCAAGGTGCCAGGACTACAGGCATGAGCCACTGTGCCCAGCCAATATTTTCTTGATCATTTTCTTATTACCTTAATTTAGAAATAATTATCATTGTAAATATTCTGTTGCATTATGTTTGAGGATGTTTTTAGCGATAGTGGGAATACAGGAAATTTTGATAGAGGTGAAGACATTGGCCTGCAGCTGAACAGCAAGATCATGGTTATCGTGGAGCCTGTCTAGTCAGAATTTTCCCTGTTTTGAGCACTTTTATTCATCTGGGTAGGCTTTTGATATTATCTAAATTTAGAACACAGGAAGAAAAACAGGATGGAATTTATTTTACCAGTTTTTGCCTATAAAAATGAACTTCTGGTACACTCCTGTAAACGTATGTGGTGTTTTACTGGATGCAGTTAAAAAATGAAAATTAAGAGTTGATGGTTAGAGTTTTTTCAGGGTCTTTTTAAAGTAAAATTTTCATCTTTTCACTTATAGGTAAAAAGCGCAGACTCACCATTATTGAATGTGGGTGTGACATTAACATGATGATTGATCTGGCTAAAGTAGCAGATCTGGTAAGTGAGCAGGGGCAGCCTGGGGTGCTGATGGAGACTTACAGCATTGTGATAGGTTATTTACCCCGTGATGAAGGGAAGAGAGTTTTGTGATTATTAAAAGGATCATGGTCATTATCAGGGATATAGTAGATGTGATTGAATTGATGATGATAATAATAATAGTAATAAATGTTGTCATATTAATAATACAAATGGAATGTGCACAATGAAATGTGTTCCAAAATCTAAAAGCAGATCACAGGATGGAGAAAACCTTTAATGAACACAGCTAATAAGAGCTCATTTACATGCATACATATATATGTACAAATATATCATAGTAAGTACCATTTCTTCTTGGACCCTTCCTGGCACTGTGCTAACTGCTTTCTACAAATTTAGCTTACATACACCCTTGAGGTGAGTAGGTATTATCTATAGTTTACATAAGATGAAATAGAGCCTCCCAGCAGTTAAGTAACTTGTGTGAAGATGGGACCCTTGTTCCTGATGGTTCTAGAACCTTCATCCTTAATGATAATGCTAAAGTAAGTACATGAATTGCCTGAAGAAGTGGTCAGAGTTTATCAATAGAAAATTCAGGCAGTACTCAGCGTGTGGAAAATGTACATGCTCTTGCATTTATGGAAATGATAATGTTCACTATTTCTGATATTCTATGAACTATCTTTTACATTGGCAAAAAAAAAAAAAAAAAAAAAAAAGGCCAGGCACAGTGGCTCATGCCTGTAATCCCAGCACTTTGGGAGACCGAAGTGGGCGAATCACCTGAGGTCGGGAGTTTGAGACCAGCCTGACCAACATGCAGAAACCCCGTCTCTACTAAAAATACAAAATTAGCCGGGTGAGGTGGTGCATGCCTGTAATCCCAGTTACTTAGGAGGCTGAGGCAGGAGAATCGCTTCAACCCAGGAGATGGAGGTTGCGGTGAGGCGAGATCACGCCATTGCACTCTAGCCTGGGCAACAAGAGTGAAATTCTGTCTCAAAAAAAAAAAAAATTAGCAAAAAAATAAGCCATATTGATTAGGAAGTGTGGGGTGACAGATACCTTGTTTTTTTCATTTTTATTTAGTTTTTTCTAGAGCTACAGATTTTATACTTTGGCCTAGGAAGACTCCTAAAATATAAAGGAAAAAGTAATACAGATTTTAAAGTTGTGCCATTGTAATGTCAGAAAACTAAATAACATTCAAATTTTGAACATGTAATGCTACTATTAGTAAAAATAAGTGTAATTAATGTAAAGTTGTGTAACGATTACTAAACTTGTATACTTGAAATGATTGAATAGTTCCTAGAAGTCATTTGTTTCTCTTTTATTTAAAATGTAGCAAGTTTCTAATTTTAAATACATACATATTAAGAGATGCATTTACATTTTTTTATTTTTAGTTATTATGGATACATAATAGTTGTACATATTTATGGGGTACATGTAGTATTTTGATAGAAGCATACAATGTGTGATGATCAAATCAGGGTAATTCAGAGATCCGTCACTTCAAACATTTATCATTTATTTGTGTTAGGAACATTTTAATTTCATTCTTTTAGTTATTCTGAATTATATAATAAATTATAGTCACCCTATTGTGCTGTTGGACACTAGAATTTATTCTATCTAACTGTGTTTTTGTACCTGTTAACCTTTCCCTCTTTGTCCCTCCCTCCCTGCTCCCCTTCCCAGCCTCTTAACCATCATTGAGAGAGATGCCTATGTAAATCTTAAGATTTTCAAAAGGAGCACACACATTTGGTAAAGCACTCTAACTGTAATGCACGGTACACACAATGCGCATTTTCTCTTTCCTTGCTGTAACCTCTGGTCTCTCAGGTCCCTGCAGACCTTTATATATATGTATATGTATATGTATATCCTTCCAGATACATATAAACACACATGCCACCCTTTAAAAACACAAACGGTAGCTTATTTTATACACTGTTCTATGCTTTGCTCTTTTCATGTAATATACTTGAAGGTATATAATCAGTAAGTACTGTAGCTCTGCCTCCTTCTTTTTAATATAACATTCCATTCTGTGGATGCACCATAATTTATTTAGTCTAGCTTATGTTGATTGCTCTGCTCTGGGTTGTCAAAGCCTCCTGAGTACAGCAGAGGCACACACAATACGTGGATTTGGGTGTGTACGTGCGTGTGTGGATTAGGGGAGTGACACTGGCTTAGATGGCAAAGATTGGCAGCTGAGGGACTGTTTGCTCCCTTTTATTCCTGACCCTACAACCAGCTGCTTGTCCCTTGGCACTCTGGCATCAGATGTGGTGTGAGGATATTCCACCTGTTCTTTGAGCTGGTCCAGTGTTGCTGGAGAGCTCTGCTTGCTGCCTTGGTCTGCAGTGGCAGCTGTGCTTTCCTACAAGCCCAACTTCATATATTCTGTGGTTTTGGGTTTTGATGTTTCCTAGTTTAATCAAGGATGGGCATTTCTGTTTCCATTTTGTGTTATTTTTAGTTATCCATGGAAAGATACAAACAGAACTATCTTTAATATTAAAATTACAAGTTTCCAGGAATCAGTTCTGAAATTATTTTGCATCTTTGAAGTGTCTTAAATTTTAAAAATTGGTCTTGGCCAGGTGCGGTGGCTCACGCCTGTAATCCCAGCACTTCGGAGGCCAAGGCAGGCAGATCACGGGGTCAGGAGATCGAGACCATCCTGGTGAACACTGTGAAACCCCGTCTCTACTAAAAAAATACAAAAAAACTAGCCGGGTGTGGTGGTGGGTGCCTGTAGTCCCAGCTACTCAGGAGGCTGAGGCAGAAGAATGGCATGAATCCGGGGGGCGGAGCTTGCGCTGAGCCGAGATCAAGCCACTGCACTCCAGCCTGGGCAACAGAGCGAGACTCTGTCTCAAAAAAAAAAAAAAAAAAAAAATTGGTCTTATCTGCTTATATTTTCTTATAGACTACCATTCATCATAATCTTTCTGTTTTTTTACTTAATTCTAAACTGGTAGCTATTTCAAATATTTCTGAGCAATTGAGTTATACAAATTAACATACAAGTTAGAGGTTTCCATTGTATACTTCCCAGCAAAAAAACAGATTTTTTTTTTTTTTTTCTGTGAGGAGATTGAAAGAAGGGGTTGGTTTTCTGTACGTATTTAATATATTTCATTGATTATCACTTTCTTCCCATTCTTTGGATGTCAGAGACCTGTTATTTGGCTTAAAAATACATTACAGAAAACTTCATTTCTTTAAATTAGGATTTCTTAGGTAAGGGCCAGGTTAGACCCAGCCTTTTCTGAGTTACTTCTCATGCATTAGAATTCTTAAAATGGATGTTTATATCCTAGTGGCCTTGTCTTATGGTTGCCTTTTAGAGCAAGTCAGAGGGTGGTGGTTTCTCTGTCTGGGTGATGCCTGTGTAGTCATTTGATTTAGTCTGGAGTGGGACTTTTCTGTCGAGGGCCAGATAGTGAATATTTTCAGCTTTGTGGATCATATCTTCTGCAGCTACTTAGCTCTGCAGTTGTAGTGCACAGGCGGCCATAGACAATATGTAAATGAATTAATGTGGCTATGTTCCAATAAAACTTTAGTTACAAACACAGGTGATGGGCTGGATTTGGCCCGTGGGCCAGTTGCCAACCCCTAGTGTAGGTGGTCTGTTTTGGTAGTTTCTTCGAGAAATAATGTGTTGTGCTTGTAGGTACTGATGCTTATAGATGCCAGCTTTGGGTTTGAAATGGAAATGTTTGAGTTTCTAAACATCTGTCAAGCACATGGCTTTCCTAAAATTCTGGGAGTTCTCACCCACCTCGACTCCTTCAAGCATAACAAGCAACTGAAGAAGACAAAGAAGTGATTAAAACACAGGTTCTGGACAGAAGTTTACCAGGTAGGAAGAGAAATAATTGTTAGAAACTAACAGTATAATCTTTTAAAAACAGACTAAAGAGGCCAGGCACAGTGGCTCACGCCTGTAATCCCAGCACTTTGGGAGGCAGAGTCAGGTGGATCACTTGAGGCCAGGAGTTTTGAGCTCAGGGCAATATGGCCAAACCCTGTCTCTACTCAAAAGGCAAAAATTAGTCGGGTGTGGTGGCATGCATCTGTAATCCCAGCTATTAGGGAGGCTGAGACGTGAGAATTGCTCAAAGCTGGGAGGCAGAGGGTGGAGTGAGCTGAGAGTGCACCACTGCACTCCAGCCTGGGTGACAGAGTGAGACTCCATCTCAAACAAACAAACAAACAAAAAGACTGAAGAGACATTACTAAACGTCTCTCTAGGAATTGCCTCCTGAATTCCCTTTGTGTATGTGTTCCCAGTCTCTGGAAGGTTTCCCTCAAGAGAGTGGTTATTCTGGGCCTCTTGGTGTATCTCATTTGTCTCCGTACCTGCTGCACCAGGCAATGTCTGGGTGTTTTGGAGTCGGGACTTAATAGAGTACATCAGAAGTTTCTCCCAGTTACAGGACCAGGCACTGCCCCTTCCTTTCCATACTGCTGTGGTCCATCGGCCACAGAACCGTTTCTGTGCTCAGAGGCCTCACCTCCCTCTCCTCACCATACTTAGATGGATGCCCCGGCTTGGTTGCAGAGCAGTCTGCCTCTGTGTGGTTCTAATAAGTCCTGAAAGAATCCAGCAAGGCTCTGGAAGCCTCAGGACAGTGGCTTTGCTGGAAGTCTCCCTTCTTAGGATTGCTTCTTGTTTAGAGCTTTTATTTTGTTGCAGTATTGACGAGAATTTAATTGAAATTTAATTTTTAATTTTCCTTTAATGTTTAGGTTGCCAAACTGTTCTACCTTTCTGGAATGGTGCATGGAGAATATCAAAACCAAGAAATCCACAATCTGGGCCATTTTATTACAGTTATGAAGTTTAGGCCTCTCATGGCAAACTTTTCACCCTTATATCCTGGCAGACAGTTAAAAGGTGATTGTAAACTTTTTCTTCCTGGGCCATATATTTCAAAGCTAAAAAGGCTAGAAAAAGAACAGTGATAGGATTTATTTTGTGCCTATTTGAATAGTGGGGGTAGAAGTGTAGTTGATGGAAAATGTCTACTTATATCATTGCTCAAAGATGCTGTGCCTTTGGGAGTAAATTAATTATGAGATGTTTAGGAAAATGGGAGGACTTGGAAGCATTTAAGACTACAGGATGTGGCCCCATCCTACGTTCAGCCTCAGTTTTCAGTGATGCTGCCTTCATGCCCGGGTGCTGGAGTCCTTCGTGCATGCCTTCAGTTTCCTTCCTTTGTGCTCTTCTTTGTGCTGTGATTTTCTCAGCCTGGAATACCCTTTTTCCACCTGCCAGAATCCAAGCCACAGTACAAATCCCAGAGCACAGGCTCACCCTCTTCGAGAAATGGATTTTCTGAATGTGTTCTTCACTCTTCCCTGACCCCAGGTGGACGCCATCTCCCATCTGGTGTCTTATGGAATGAATGTCACTTTCAGCCTAGAGACACAGTTGTGTGCCTGCCCCTTTTCCTCTTCTGGATGGTGAACGGTGCTTCCTTATTTCTGCATTTTCTAGTTCCTAAGTGATGTGCTTAATGGACAAGAGTGTGATGAGTCATTGACACATGAAAGGAGGTATAGGAACTTTGGCATTCATTTCTGCTGTATGATTGAGTTTATTTTTCTAGGATGGAAGATTTGACAAACCCGGAGGATATCCAAACAAACATCAAATGTGACCTGCAGGTGTCACTTTATGGTTATTTAAGAGGAGCACACTTGAAAAATAAAAGCCAAATTCACATGCCAGGTATTCTCTTGCTGTAGAACATACGAGAATTGCACATAGGATTCTTGGGATGGCTTCATTTCTCAGGAAAAGTGAAAAATGACCAAACAAGGGAAGATGGCCTTGCTGGAGGTTTTAAAAGTAAGCCAGCTATGTGTAGGCCTGCAAAGGTGTTACCGAATCCCTCTTCTCTGACCTCTTGTAGCTAGAGGGCCACTGTTCCAGTGTGGCACAATGCCCTTCTTTAGGGTCATGGGTTAAGCCCTTGGACTGTGGATCGTTTTTAACCCCCCAGTCAACAGTAGATACTTACTGACTTCTTGTCAGTTGAAGCTGGCTTTTTGGGTCCTGTCTTCCAGGGGTAGAACATTTTGCCATGAGTGACATCAGTTTCCTCCCAGACCCTTGTGTTCTTCCTGAATAACAAAAGAAGTGCTGTTTAAATAAGAAGGAGCAGCTGGTTTATGCGCCTGTTTCTGGAGTTGAGGGTGTGCTGTATGACAAAGACGCTGTCTGTGTTGACCTTGGTGGCAGCCACGGTTTTCAGGCATCAGTGAGGCAGGAGTCTTTGCTCTGAACTCTCATTATTCTTTCCTAATCTATTTCTTAATCAAAAAAAGTAATGTACTCAGCTTTTATTTATTGAAGATTTTTCTCTTGTACTTATAATAAAGGCCCAAATGCATATTGTCAATATGTAGAATAAAAAGAATACCATTTTTTCATTGTACCAAGCAGAAGAGTCCTGTCCTCCATGCCTCCTTGATCCGTGGCCCCAGCGCGGGCACTGCTGCCAGTGTGGCACCTGCACGGCTTATTTCCGTTTCTACAAAATCAGTGTGCTTTCCAGCTCTCGTTTGTCTTTTTCTTTTTCTCAATCACAGTGGTCTCCTCATTATTTTAAAGTGGATTTCCAATATTTATTTCTTAGTTCTGTAGTTGAATTTTATTGGGTTAAAAGCAGGGTTACTTAAAAATGTTAGAAAAGCTAGCACTGTTGTAGCACTGGAACTGAGGTTTTTCTAGCTAGGTGTTTAGGTTATCAGGTTATATACTCACTGAGCTTTGGACAAGTTTAATGGAGATGGGGATCCATTTCAAGCTTTGTTATAAGGATTTTCTTCTCTGGTGTTTGTGGCATTAAGAAAGGTTCTCAGGAAATGTGTCTAAGATAATTTTGAGAAACTGAGTGAAACCAGTGTCTCTCCAGGATCTTTGTGCTTTCCTCACGTGCCCTTTCTTGGTGGCCTTGATAGGACAAGGTGGGGCTCACCCATGAGCTGGTCCAGAGTCTCATCTCCACCTACTCCACCATTGATGCCAAGATGGCTTCAAGTCGAGTGATGCTGCTTTCCAATTCCAAACCACTTGGGTCAGAGGCTATAGATAATCAAGGGTAAGTCTGCTTTTTTTCTATTTTTAATAAAAAGATATATTACAGAAGATCGTATCACCCATAATTCTGCCATCATAACACATTTTGGTGGGATTCATTCTATGTCGTTTTGTTTTTCTTTGTGTGTGCATGTGTCTCTGAGGGCTCTTCACTTACCTGACATTACAAGGGAGTCTTATCTTGAAAAAAATACAGGATGCATTTTTCAACAGACTTCAAATATTCCTCAAATACCACGCCATCTTCCATAGGTTGCTTTTTTGGTTTTTCAGAGACCTGAGGCCACTTGGCTTTCTTTTGATGGCCGAAACACTAGAGCAGAGTCAGGGAGTTTGTGGCTGTCCAGAAGCCACATGCCTTGTCTCTGAAAGTTTTATTTAGATTATGTTGTATTATCTCCCATGGGTAGGTTTCCACTAATGTGTGGCTTATGTGAATTATTTTTCAGTCTGGGTTGGGAATTTGTATACCTTTATGCTTAGTGGATGTTTGCAAAACACTGATTTTGTTGTATTGATTTATGACTTCCAGTAAAATTTATCTGAAAATTTTGAGATAGTGTAGTATATAATTTGTTACAATGTGCATAAACTACCTACCACAGTGCCTGACATAATGAGTGTTATTAGCTGTTTTCATTTTTGCGTATCCTTCTAGACATCCTTGTCTACAAGAATACTCTCTTCTAATATAGCTACAGGTAAAATACGTAATTTTATTTCTATATTCTGAGGATTTTTTTTCTATACAGTCTTTATGTAATCATGATTTTATTGTTACCAGTGTTTTTTTGTTATTGTGGTTTCTTTGTTTTTGTTTTTGTTTTTGTTTTGAGATAAGGTCTCACTTTGTCTCCCAGGCTGGAGTGCAGTGGCGTGATCTTGGCTCACTGCAGCCTTGAACTCCCAGGCTCAAGTGATCCTCCTGCTTCAGCCCCGCAAGTAGCTAGGACTACAGGAGTGCACCGCCACTCCCGGCTAATTTTTTTTGTTCTGTTCTAGGGACGAGTTCTCACTATGTTGCCTAGGCTGGTCTCGAACTCCTGGGCTCAAGCAATCCTCCCGACTTGGCCTCCCAAAATCCTGGGATTACATATGTGAGCCACTATGCCTGGCCTGTTATTCCTGTATTCTAACTTATCCATCCCTTATGGTATGATTTTTAGTTTTTTCTAATTTATGTTTTCATACTTTTATCTATTGTGCTACGTTAAAAAGCTTCATATAGTTTTTTTAGCTTAGAAATTAATCAGCTTTCCAGAAGATCTATAAAACCCTAACTTCCCTTTTGAGCAATTTTTTTCTAAAATTAGATTTTTTTTTTTAAGGGTTATTCCTTTATTCTCTCTATAAGTTCTTTTGAAGTGTGGTGTTAGGGAACCATGCCTCAGTTTCCTTATTAACTCTTCCGGTGTTTATCAGATCATTTTTTCCCTACGCTATGTCATCTTAAACATCTTAAGCAATTCATTGACATTTTCTGTTTCTTTGTATTTTCATTGACTATATTTCCAGTTCTAGATTAGCTGATTAATGTACAAATTGAATTATTTTGCATATCCTTGGTGATATAGGCTGTTGATGCCAAAGGAGGAAAAACAAATAGACTTGAAAACTGGTCGAATGCGTCAGAAAGCCATTTTTGGAGATGATTCTGTGCGAACGTCTTCTCTCCTTTCTTGATCTCTTAATTTTTTTTTCTTATCCAAATATATACCAGCTGATTTTGTTTCTAGAAGATCCAAGATCTTTGGTTTAGAGATATATTCTCTTAATGTTAACTGGTATTAGAATACTGTATTTTCTGTATTTTATTTCAATGCATTTTAAAATAGAAATGATTGTATTTTCTTTTAACTTGTGAAGTAGAGCATGGCATACAAATTTTGGAATCTCATTATTTCAACAAATTTCCTTCTTAGTGTGCAAGTTGTATTCAGCACATAAAGTCCATCCAGCTTTGTTGTAGATGCAGTGTGATTATTACATGTTGATAAGGTGTGAATTGGAGATGGGATCCAAAAGTACTGTACTTATTGTAATTTTTAAGCTAATTGTAGATTTGGTGGTGAATATTTTACTACTGCAAAATGAAAACAGCATTTCATCAGAAGTTGTTTTATGGTCTTTCAGGCATTTTATTTTATATCTTTGGTGCTTTTTGCCCATGAAGTATCTCTTTTGTGTGTTTGTGTGTATGTGTACTGATTTGCTGTAAATTTCACAGTGCTCATTGTCAGGGATCATCAGAATCAGGCCTAGGCAGAGAGCTGAGCAGTACTCTCAGTATGTCTCTGTGTCCTGGTTGCCACATATCTCTGTTGTTTATTTATAAATTGGAGAACTCTCTGATGTGTAACAAAGGTTGGATAGATCAGAGACAATTGGAAGACGAATCCTCTACTCTATTGTCACCTCTTCTTTTTCTATTCACACATGTCAGATAGAGACATGCGTGTTGTAAATTATTTTGTCAGAATGAAAGCCTGGCAGATTAAGTGATTTCTTCTCTTTTTGCTGTACTTGATATCGATCTCTTGTTCATTTCTTGATAATATGTTTGGTTATTTTTGTTTTCATTGCTTTTGGTGTCAGAGATGGCTTTGGATTCCCTGTTCTGTGTGCTCCTGTCTGGCTCCTGAACCCAGCTGGAGAGGTGTGTCAATCCCAACTGGTGAAGTACTGAGAGGAAGCTACACAAAAGGCAGCAAGGTGTTAATAAGTGTACCTCTGACATTTTAACCACCTCTGACTTTTCCATGGAATGGACAAGTAGTAGTCTCTGTCAGAGCAATGTTTTAAAGGAAAAAAAGAAACTTGAGGTCGTAAACTGTTCATTAATTTATGCTGTTATTTTGTGTTTACTCAACTCATTTATATTGACTTGTAAATTAGTAATTTATGAACTACTATTCATCAATTCATTGCCTACATGTCAGCAAACAAGTTTTCTTCTTAATAAAGAATCCGGTGGCTGGGCACAATGGTTCACACCTGTAATCTCAGCATGTTGGGAGGGCAAGGCAGGAGGATTCCTTGAGGCCAAGAGTTCAAGACCCACCTGGGGAACATAGCAAGATTTCATCTCTACAATAAAATGAAAACATTGGCTGGGCATGGTGGCTCATTCCTATAGTTCAGGCTACTCAGGAGCCTGAGGTAGGAGGATCACTTGAACCCAGGAGTTTGAGGCTGCAGTGAGCTATGATCCTAACACTCCTCTCCAGCCTGGGTGACACACCAAGAGACCATCTCTTCAAAAAAGGAATCTAGGGGCATCAGTGTGTGCACACAGCATGGCTTGTGAATGCGGAAGTGCCTGTGTGCATAGTTGTGCTCAAGAATGTGTTGATGATTATATCTTCTCAGCATGAAAAAAAGTTGTTTTTTTTTTTTGAGATGGAGTCTTGCTCTGTCACCAGACTGGAGTGCAGTAGCGCTATCTCGGCTCACTGCAACCTCTGCCTCCTGGGTTCAAGCGATTCTCCTGCCTCAGCCTCCTGAGTAGCTGGGACTACAGGCACACGTCACCACTCCTGGCTGATTTTTTGTATTTTAGTAGATACGGGGTTTCACCATGTGGGCCAGGATGGTCTTGATCCCCTGACCTCGTGATCGGCCCACCTAGGCCTCCCAAAATGCTGGGATTACAGGTATGAGCCACCGTGCCTGGCCTGAAGTTCACGTTTATAAAGATCTCTCTACATCTTAGATTTGATTCTTCCTTTAAATATTTTTCTCATTGACATTTGAAAGCACCTGACCTTATATAAAATGAAGAACTTTCATAACTCCATAAAAGGAGAATTATGACATCATCTACTATTTCTTTCTCTTGTCTCATAAATCTAAACCATCAACCTGCTTATTTTTGTATACTGTCACACTGTGTATTCCCTGCATTGAATGCATTTCTATTGACATTGTCTGTAAAAATTGTGGGAAGTTGTCTGCACCCTAAATTTTCTGTTATGGGGATTAAATATCCAGTATCCATGTTTTTCCAAGTCTTACATCAGAAAGGGTAAATACAGCCCTCACAGCAGCCTGTTGTTTGTCCTGCAATTGTGTTTCCATCACATTACACAAAGCCTCTTTGTCTTCGTGGTTGTACCCTGCTAATAAGTTTTTTTTTAAATTATGTAATGTGTGTATATACAAATACCTATATGTATGTGTGTACACATACAGCTGATATCTACTGAGATTATGTATGCATGAACTATAGAATTAACTTGCAATTTTAAGAAAATAAATTATTTTGTAAAGATAAATCTCATGTTTAAGAAGGGGAATTACAATTGAATCATTTAGGGATGCCTCAGCCTAAACATAATATGGAAAAAGCCATAACCAAAAGTCATTTTAGAGTACTGCTAGGTTGCTCAACCTATCATCACATTTAATTAAAATGTCAGTTTGAACCATGGCCAGTCGATTTTCGTTAATATGTTATTTAAATCAACTTGTGAAGTCTTCATTTTAGATATAGAATTTGTGTTAATGAACTGGAAAATAACATTCTATTGCTTGGAAGATGTGTTAAAGCCTAAATATTTATGACTTTGTAAAAGAAGAAAACCAGCTGGTGATCAGTTGGCATTAGTATATAAGGATGTACTCATATTTGATAATAGCCATTTTTTTCTAACAAGAGTAAGGGAGTTGGGAATGGGAGGCAGAGACAGGGACACAGATATATAAAAAATTGTAGACAAAACTGTATTGCGTTCTGAGTATGGTTCTGTGATCCATGGTTCAGTTTGAGAGGTTCCTGTGTCCCTTATGAGAAGGGACAGGAAAGCCAGGAGGACAGGAGTATGTTTGGGCCTGTGTCTGTGCTTCCACCACAGAAGTCAGCAGCTCTACCTTTCTCTTTTCTCCTCTTTATCTAATAATTGTTTCCTCTTCAAATTTGGGAAATGAGCTTAATCAAAGATTTGTTGTGTTTTTTGTTTGTTTGTTTTTGAAATGTGGCCTCAGTGTGTTTGCCCAGGCTGATCTTAAACTCCTGGGCTAAAGTGATCCTTCCTCTCAGCGTCCTGTGTAGCTGGGACTACAGGCATGTGCCACCACACCCAGCTAAGTTAATGCTAATGTGTAGTTTATCTGATTCAGTTTTGAAGGGCAGGATATATATAGATAGTTATGTTGTGTGTGGTGGGGGGGTAGTGTTTGTGTGTGTGTGTGTGTGTGTGTGTGTGTATATATATATATATTTATATATTACTAGTCCATTGCTGCTACAACAAACTACCAGTATGTCAGGGCATAAAACAAATTTATTACACTCCTGTATGTCAGAGTGTGATGTGGATCTCACTGGGCTAAAATCTAGGTGGTGGAAAGGCTACCTTCATCTCTAGAGGCTCTAGGGGATCTTTTTTCTCGCCTTTTCCACATTCTGGAGTCTGCCTGCATTTTTTGGCATTGGGCTCTTCTCCACTCTCACCATTAGCAACCTTGCATCCCATGGGCCCTTCTTCTATGGCCACATGTCTCTGTGGCTCTTTCCTTCCCCCTTCTCTTCCACTGTTAAGGACTCATGTGCTTACTTAGTCCTGAATGGAGACACCGTCATCATCCACATGAGCCCACTGTCCGAATCCGTACAGGCTGCTACAAGGAAATGCATTAGACCAGGTAGCTTATAAATAACAGAACTTTGTTTCTCACAGTCCTGGAGGCTGAGAAGTGCAAGATCAAGGTGCTGGCAGTCTTGGTGTCTGGTGAAGGCCTGCTTTCTCATAGAGGCTTCCTCCTTGCTGTGTCTTCGCATGGTGAGAGGAAAAAACAAGCTCCCTTGTGCCTTTAATAAGGTACTAATCCCAGTCATGAGGGCAGAGTCTCCCGTAAGGCTTAACCTCCTAATACCATCACCTTGAGGGTTAGGATTTTAACACATGAACATTGACGGAACACAACATTCATTCCATAGCACCAGGGTAGTCTCCTCATGTCAAGGTCTTTACCTGAATCACATGCATGATGTACCGTTTTCATGTAAGGTTCTAGGAATCTGTGGACATCTTTGGGGGGCCATTATTTTGCTGATCACATATTACATATATTTTAATATTCTAGACTAGTATGAAAACAATGCTACTTCCATTGCTTTATATACGTATATATATACACATTGTCTAATGCTATAATTAAAAAAAAGTTGTAGACACAAATATACCCATTTAAAAAAAAAATTTTTTTGCTATTTTACTTCATACTGCCAACTCCTTTTTCCTGAAACTGCTTCAACTCTGGAATTCTTTTTTGCTATTAGTTTTATTTTATTGAAATATTCATGAATGAGCATACACTTGTATATGGATGTAAAATTCACAGTAATGTTCTCATGAATTCATCTGTGAATAACATTTTATAGACAAAATGTCTGCACTAGGACAAGAGAAAGATCTATAATTCCTTTGTTCTAAGGTAGCGCCATTCATTGTTATTATTTTAAAATACGAGTGTCGACTGATGTTAAAACACAAAATGGGGCCGGGAGTGGTGGCTCCCGCCTGTAATCCCAACACTTTGGGAGACCGAGGTGGGCGGATCACCTGAGGTCAGGAGTTTGAGAACAGCCTGGCCAACATGGTGAAACCCTGTCTCTACTAAAAATACAAAAATTAGCTGGGCATGTGTTGCGTGCCCATGATCTTAGCTACCCGGGAGACTGAGTCCGGAGAATCGCTGGAACCTGGGAGGCGGAGGCTGCAGTGAGCCGAGATCATACCAGTGCACTCCAGCCTAGGTGACAGAGTGAGTCTCTGTTCTTCCCCCAACCCCCCAAAAAAACACTAAAAGGGATAATTGGCCAGGCACAGTGGCTCACGCCTGTAATCCCAGCACTTTGGGAGGCCGAGGTGGATGGATCACCTGAGACCGGGAGTTTGAGACCAGCCTGACCAACATGGAAAAAACCCATCTCTACTAAAAATACAAAAATTAGCCGGGCATGGTGGCACATGCCTGTAATCCCAGCTACTCAGGAGGCTGAGGCAGGAGAATTGCCTGACTCTGGGAGGTGGAGGTTGCTGTGAGCCAAGATCGCACCATTGCACTCTAGCCTGGGCAATAACAGCAAAACTCCGTCTCAAAAAAAAAAAAAAAAAAAATTATAACTGGGCAGTGGAATTGAAAATCATTTTAAAAAATATCCAAAATACCTAAGGAACTTGTATAAATAAATAGGAAAAAAAAAGAGAAAAAAAGAAGCCCACAAAAAAGCAGATTTGTAAATGGGCAATGGATTTGAATAGACATTTAGCCATAGAAGGCATCCAGTTGGTGAAAAGGCATATGGAAAGGTGCTCAGCATCACTGATTATCAGGAAAATGAAAATGAAAACCGCCACGAGTGGTTTAGACCATAGCGGCATGCATGAAAGTTTTCAGACCTCCAGTTGTTGGGAGTGGCTGAGGAGATTGGGGAGCTTCTGTCTGAGTTGGAAGAGTGGAGTCTCAACAAGAACCAGTGTATTCTGGACATGTGTGCGCCCTGTAGTGTTCATGGCTGGATGCCTTGTCTACCTGTGCCTTACAGAGTGACACCATTGTGGTGTGGTCGATCAGAGGGGCAGGAGGCTTTCAGAGGGAGTGGGAAGTGGTGGGGCTTGGTTTGTTTGCCCATGGATGACAGCAAAAGTGAGTTGGCTTCCCAAGAACTTTTACCAGTAGCCTGTTTTGCTACAATTCTAGACCCAGACTGGGGTCCCAAGGCATCATAGCCCACAGCTTCTTAGCAAGTGCATGTTCAGTTGGATCCCCCAGCTCAGCCTGGGTCATCCCCACATTCTGCCTCTTGGGCCATACATAGCTCAGCTCTGTACTGAGCCATCATCCCATGGTGAGCAAGACCCCATTCTTGGTCTTCAGTCTCTTTCCCTGCAGCATGCAATCAAGGTGGTGGCTGGAAGGGGCCAAGGAGCCACATGTCACAGTGCCCTGCTGCCTGAACAAGGACCAGAGGCCTGTGGAACACATGGCTCTCAGATTTCTCCCATTTGATGACTCATCAGCTGCCCCCACATGGCTTTCTAGCTCACAGCAGATCTAGCCTTCTCTGAGCAGTGAAGATGGGATGTTTTATGGTCATTTTCCCTGGTGTGCAGAGCTCAAGTGGAGTTCTTCAGCACACCCTACACCATCCCCTCACTAACACCCCCACCTGTCCAGTCTTACCTGCCTTCATATCAAAAGCACTCAGTTAACCCAGAGGGCTTCAGCCCTGCCCTGCCTGACTTTCTAGGAAGCCCCTCTCTCCACCCACCCTAATCAGACACTGTCTGAAAGTTCCCCCTCATCATTTTAAAAGGAAGAGAAATTTTTCTGACACAGAGGTTCTGGTGAAGTGGCCAGCTCCCACATCACAGGGTGATGGCGGTTTGGACTGGACCAGGATCAGACAGTGCTGTCCTGGGGCTGGCCATCTGATAAGGGGCTCCAGAAAGGGCAGTGATGGACCCCTGGGAGGCTTTCTGCTCTCCTGATCACAGGTTTTTGGTGAGAGGACCTATTGGCCACTAGGGTGTCTGCGGGTGTGTGTATGTGTGTGTGTGTGTGTGTGTGTGTGTGTGTGTGTGATGTGTGTTTACTTGGAGTGACTTCTTTCAGCATGAAGCCCACTGTTTTGCTGAATGTATCTCACTGTTTCCTGAAACTCAGTACATTCAGCTGGCTTAAGGGTCCTGGGGCCTCGCTGTGTCATATTTGCACAAGCCTAGTGTCTGTGCAGACTGTACACTGGAGTTCAGTTGTAAGACCCTTTTGAACCCTTATTCTGTTCCTGTAATAGAAAAGCCATTTCACTCAATGGAATAGAAACCCAGATCTAATGGAGAGATGTTCTAATCTGCCATACACTGGGGCAGTGGCTAGTGATTTGGACTTTGTGGCACAGATGGAAATTTCCAGGTTCTCTAGGTGGTAGGCAGAGGCCTCCCTTTTTAAGAAACTCCCCACTCCACCCCTGCCAATGAGGACGTTGCTTAGAGGTATTTCTATCAGTGTTGAGTAGAAGAGATCATTTCTTGGTGTTGAATTTCAGGTAAGGATGCCAGCTTCTGCATATCAGGGTGATGATGTTTGGGCTGCGACAGGTCTAGACAGCAGTCTGAAAGGGGGCTCAAGGAAGTAGCTGTGAAAGGCCCCTGGGATGTTTTCTGCTCCCCTTTCTGCAAATCCCCTGGAGGGAGATCCTGTTAGTCACTACAGGATGTGTGTGTGTGTGTGTGTGTGTGTGTGTGTTCATCACTTGTTGCTTGGGGGTGGGAAGAGACAACAACAACCTACAGAATCCAGAGTTCTCAGTTCATCTCCCATCCTAGTCCAATCATGGCCTAACATCCTTAGCTACCGATCGCAGAGGAGACTGCGCATTTGTGTTCATGTGGCCTTGGATGTTGGCAGATTCAGATTGGTGCCCCAGGCATCTGTGCCTGTAACTGCAGTTTCAGCGGGCTCAGGACCAGGCTAAAGGGCCTCCAAGCTTCCTCCAGTTTCCTGGTGCATGCATGTGCAATATGCTCCCCTGGCCTGGGTCTTTCCTGCTGCTTCTTGCCAGTTGGGTCAGAACTAGCTTATTAACCAGTTTTTCTTCTGAGCTTTAATCGAACTGGCTCCAACCAGTTGGAGGCTTGAAAAGGGCTACGTGCTAGTTATAGATTTTTAAAGATATATTATTATTTTAGAGTAGTTTTGAGTGTACAGCAAAATGGAGTACAGAGTCCAGAGATCTCATATGCCCTCAATTCCTGTATACTCTCGGGTCACTCCACCAACAACCTCCTACACCAGAGCCACTTTGAAACATTAGAAAATATATTTGAGCATTCAGAAATGTATAAACTAGGCAGCCCCAGACTGCAAGCAGCTCAGAGGTCCCACAGAGAGGCTTAGGGAGGGTGGGGGAAGAATTTTATATGGTGAATGTGGAAGAAAAAGAAAATACTTGATTGGGTAAAGTGGAGCAGTGGCCTCATTTGGAACATTACAGTGGAAGGTCTCTAGTTAGATGTTAGTTGGTGGTTTCTGATTGGTTAAGCTTAAGTTTCCTTTTATTATTTACACTGAGTCAAGTTTTGGTTTATTTAAGGAGGAATTGAGTGCACGGCAGCCACCTCAGCCTCATGGCCACCTGTTTATTGGATTATTTTAACAGAGAAGATCCTTTAAAAAATATCTGTTACCCTGGCTGGAGTGCAGTGACGTGATCACGGCTCACTGCAGCCACAACCTTCCAGCTCAGGTGATCCTCCCACCTCAGTGCTCCCCACCCTGAGTAGCTGGGACTACAGGCATGTGCCACCACACCACCATGCTAGGCTAATGGTTTGTATTTGTTTAAGAGATGCAGTTTCCCTAAGTTGCTTAGGCTTCTTTTGAACTCTTAGACTCAAATAATCTGCCTGCATTGGTCTCCCCAAGTGCTGGAATTACAGGCCATCTAAATCTTTTATCTCAGATTTGCCTTGTGGCAAAAGGTGGGGTACTTTTTCTGACATGATGAGGCAGAGAAAGATGAGGTGGGTGCATCCTGTGCATATGATTTTCTCAGGTGATGGGAATATGGTGGGCTCTTGCCTAATGGGATATATTTTCTCTTTGAATGATTTGGCAAGATATCAGATGAGAGAAGTTGAATAAATGTTAGAAGAACATAGAAAAAATAGGTTATACACGTTGGGTTTCTGAAGAAATGATGTCATTGGAGAAACAAAACTTTTATTGATTTCTGGAAACATTTAGGGCCAATTTTTTTGTGTAAGTAATTTGAATTTATGATGATATCTCTGACCACTTTTTGATATTTTTTCTGGTTCAGGTGAGTGGTGTCATTGAGCAAACACAAAGTCGGGCTCATCCAAGGATGAGATTTTGCCAGAGAAAGGACGAGCAGCAAGTCAGGGAGCTTAAGGTAATTATGAGAAAGTGACTATCTAAAATTGCTTAGGTAGAAGGAGACAGATTGGATTTTTGTGTGTTTGGTATTTGGGATAAGAGGGATGTGGGTGTGTACTTGACATGGGTTGTTTATTCTCGCTCTCTCTCTTTTTTTTTTTTTTGAGAGGGAGTCTCACTCTGTCACCCAGGCTGGAGTGCTGTGGCACAGTCTTGGCTCACTGCAACCTCTGCCTCCCGAGTTCAAGGGATTCTCCTGCCTCAGCCTCCCGAGTAGCTGGGATTACAGGTGCCTGCCACCATGCCCGGCTAATTTTTGTGATTATTTTTTTTAGTGGAGACGAGGTTTCACTATGTAAGTGAAGCTGGTCTCGAACTCCTGACCTCAGATGATCCACCCGCCTCAGCCTCCCAAAGTGCTGGGATTACAGGTGTGAGCCACCGCGCCTGGCCTGTTTATTCTCTTAAGAGAGAAAATGAGGGGATTAATGGACTGTAGTTCTGGACAAGGTGGAAAACTCTTAAAGTGGAAGTATTGGGGCGAATGCTCTGACAGGCTAGGATGGTGCAGTCAGTCCCTTCACCCAGAAATCAGTAGAATGTTAGCAGTTCAGACTCAAACCTTGTGAAAAACAGGTGGTGGAAAGGAAATCCCTCACAGCAACTGGCACCATAATCAAGACAATGTTTGCAGAATAAATGGAGTTACCTGCTTTCAGCCCCAGGTCATAGCTATTGTCTGCCCTGCTGATATGTGATAATAATTTGTGATCATGTTGTCTTAAAATGGGGTCACTCATCTCCAGTAGAATTAAGTCCACAGTGAAGTTGTCCCCCCATCCCCAAAGAGATAAACATATATGAATGAACTCACGTGATAACAACTACTGCTGCCTGGGATCATGAGAGACCTGAACTGAACTGATAGGAAGTGAAAGGTGGCTGAGATAATGAGAATAGACCCATCTGCAGAGGATCATAAAACCAGCAAAGACAATATCTTGTCTAAGATGCCTTCACAAACTTTGTCCATGAGAACTCTTAAGGATTTCACCAGACCTGTTGGCTGCTGCTGTGATCTCTGCCCAAGAGGAGCCTCTGACCAACATCCAAAGGGCTTCTGGACCCACTGGACTCCTCTGGAGGTACCTTAGTCTCCCGATCCATGGCTGTGTTTTTTTACTCCCTTTATCGCTGCCTGTGTGTAGAATGATAATTGCACAATTGATAGTGTGAAGACCTCTTGATAAATGGTAAATCTGAGCATATGTATTTGGCTGACATGTCATTGTGAAACCTCACAGCTTCAGTCAGTGTCAACGCAGCTAGGGAGCATGTACCTAATGCACATATCACTGGGCATAGTCTACAGGCACCTAATAACTCAGGTACCTTAACAGTCACTAATGAGTGTCTCTCCAAGGACTAAACAATGGAAGACTGTAGAAGATGCTATTCATTAAGATATCTCAAGAATATGGAAGACTATTATTCACTTCTCATGGGACAGGACTTTATAGGGCACCTGAAAAAACTCCCATGAAAAATCACTTTTACAAAATGTCAAGTTATGATATCCAAGATGAAACCAATGAGTCACAACATTCACATAATACACTGTACAACCCTGATCTCTTGACTGTCATCAAATGTTTCTTACCTCTAAACCAAAGTTTCATTTTATAATTTAATTTTTCTCATTTTTTCCATTCTCTTAGCTTAAGAAAAGATCATTACAAACTTTTTGTAAGTTTTTCATATATGCTTGCAAAGGGTTGTAAAACTTTATTGTGATTATTCTTGCTTTAAGCTGAAACTTCCCTAATCTTTCTTTAGAGATTGTGGCATAGCATGTTAGTTTCTTTTCCATATCCAATTGTTTTCTGTTATGAATACAGAAATACAGGCACTGTCTTGTAACTTTAAATAGACATCATCTCAAGTCTACAAGAATTATCCAAAATGGTATTTAATGACATTTCTAGGTCTTCAGACACTATTAATGCAGATTGTAGCCTCTAGGTCCTGAAGATTTTACTAGATACTGGTTACTGAAACTGAGCTTTCTTGAATTCTTTTTCCTTCCACTGTGGTTTCCCGCATTTCAACATATCACCTATTTTTGTCCTCAAAGGTTACTTAAATGTTTTCCACAGAATTAAATTAAATATGAATCATCCCTCCTCTGATTTTTGAAATGACCCTTTGCTTCCTATGATAATGATTCTTCTGGTCCGTTTTGTAGTTATATGTTAGAGTTTGTAAATAGTCACACATTTTGCAACTGCATATAATTTTCTTATTATTTTTTCCTCTTCCTCTAAAACTGCTGTTATTTCTTTTAACTTTTTGTGGGAAAAATTAAACCCATCTTTCACTTTGTTGATATACTTATTTATAATTGAACTCCTTGATTTTTGCTCGAATTGCTTTTCAAGTTACCCACTTTTAGGGAAGACATTATTTGGGTTTTGTTTAGTGTATCAGGCTTTTTTTAGTTAGTTGTATCAAGAAGTGTAGACTTTTCTATACATAATATCCTTTTTCCCACAGTATTTTTTTTTTTTTTTAAAGTCTAGCCAGGTGCAGTGGCTCACGCCTGTAATCCCAGACTTTGGGAGGCCGAGGCCGGCGGATCACGAAGTCAAGAGATGGAGACCATCCTGGCTAACACGTTGAAACCCCGTCTTTACTAATAATACAAAAAATTAGCTGGACATGGTAACGGGTGCCTGTAGTCCCAGCTAATCAGGAGGCTGAGGCAGGAGAATGGCATGAACCCAGGAGGCAGAGGTTGCAGTGAGCCGAGATCGTGCCACTGCACTCCAGCCTGGGTGACAGAGCAAGACTCCATCTCAAAAAAAAAAAAAAAAAAAATTATGTTAAAATAAAGGTCATCAAAAGATATTTTCCTAAACCTTTCCTTTACCAGAAATATCTCTAGTGTCACATGGTCCTTTCTCCCTTCTTGCTTTTGTAGGAATCCAAAGCTAATCTGTCCCTGATCCGGATTGCACGCACCTGTGCCTTTTGGGGCCCTTCTGCATTAGTTCTTCCTTCTCTTCTAACCTCAAAAATGTGTTTTCTCTATTGGCTCTTTCCCTTTAACATAGAAGTATACTCACGCTTTTGTTGAATCTTGAAATAAAAGGCTTCCTTTACCACATATCTCCCTTTAATACTACATCTCTCTTCTCAGCCAAATACTTGGGAAGAGAAGCCCTGAGTTTGTGTCATTGTTTTCTCACCTCCAGTTCACTACTTTGCCCACTGCCTGACATCCAGCTCGCTCACACACACACCCAAGCCCAATCACTAAGTTGCCATAGCTAATTTGTAGCTTTCCTGCCTTCCTGGCAAAATTTGACTCTGCATTGGGATAATACATGTCGAGTACCTATTGAACAGGCACTGTGCTAGGTGCTACTGTTATAGATATGAAAAGAAGGCATCATCTCCTTTCTAACAACTCACAGGAGCAGCCATTTCTGATTCATACATGTCTCTTGACTCCCAGTGCTCACTTTTGCAAGCTTCACTTAATGCCGTGCAAATCACCCTATTCTCCAGGTCTTCTTTCTTCCCAGTTCTCCTTACTATACACAACTTCTCAAGGCAGTCACCTCCACACCCATGGCTTCAATTGCTTTCTCCATTCTCTGAGAACAATAGAATTTTAAATGGTTTTATTTCATGTATTAGCTTTATTTTATACAAGGTGCCTCACCTGCTGTAACCATAGATTCAAAGTTGCTCCATGAAAGTAATAAATGAAAAATGGTGATTTTTTAGCATGTAAATTTTAGGAAATTTCCCCAGTTACGCTTAATGGCTTGATTTAGTGTGTATGTTATTTTTGAAAACATATGTTGGGATGTCACAAATGGACTTAGCCTACAGAGATTTATATTCAACTTTTGACCAGAGAGTTCCATTTTAATGTGACACTGAGAGTAAAAAACTATCTTTTCCTCCTTACCTATTTCTCTTCCTACATTCTCGGCCAGGAGGAAGGCACTGCTACACACCCAGTCTTCCCCAGCAGAGCCTGAGCAGCTCTGTTTTCCTTCTACTTCCCCTCTTCTTTCACATCTCATGACCAAGCACTTCCTATTCTGTCTCCCAAATGATCACAGACTTTTTCCTCCACTTTTGTCACTGCCACTGCCCTTAGCATTACTCTGCCTTTAGAGAAAGTCTCTTAATTGGTTGGGTTGCTTCCTTCAGTCTTTATTATACAGACCACTACACGCACATCTGACAGAGACTTTTCACCTTTTTATGGTTGAATGACTGAAATTCCCAGAATAAAATTAAAACCACCCCAGCATCAAATTTGAGGTCAAATAGAGGTGGGTTTGTATCCCAGGTTCATATACTGTCCAGCAGTATGGTCTCAGAAAACTGACCTCCTTAAGCCTTTGTTTGTGTATCTGCCTACACTCATTGAGAGTTGGGACTATTTCACACATACAGTGCCTGGCATGTAGAAGGGACTTAATCAATGTTGAAAGAAGGGGAGGCATTTTAAAATCCACATCAAAAAAATGTTGTTCTGTTCGGGAGTGGTGGCTCACGCCTGCAATCCCAGCACTTTGGGAGGCCAAGGCAGGTGGATCACCTGAGGTCAGGAGTTCGAGATCAACCTGAGCAACATGGTGAAACCCCATCTCTACTAAAAATACAAACATTAGCTGAGCATGGGGGCGGGATCCTGTAATCCCAGCTACTTGGGAGGCTTAGGCACTTGAATGAGAATCACTTGGACCCAGGAGGTGGAGGTTGCAGTGAGCAATGATTGTGCCACTGCCTGGGCCACAGAGTGAGACTCTGTCTTAAAAAAAAAATAAAAAGTAAAAAAAATTCTTTTAAAAATATACGAATCTGGCTGGGCACGATGGCTCATGCCTGTAGTCCTAGCACTTTGGGAGGCTGAGGTGGGCCTGACCAACATGGAGAAACCCCGTCTCTACTAAAAATACAAAATTAGCCGGGCATGGTGACGCATGCCTGCAATCCCAGCTACTTGGGAGGCTGAGGCAGGAGAACCGCTTGAGCCCGGGAGGCGGAGGTTGCAGTGAGCCAAGATCACGCCATTGCACTCCAGCCTGGGCAACAAGAACGAAACTCCGTCTCAAAAAAAAAAAAAAAAAAAAAAAAAAATAGTGTTCAGCAAGGTTGAAGCATAAAAGGTTAATAGCCAGAATCATTTATCAATTGTATTTCTATACATCTACAAGACACAATCTGAAAATGAAATTAGAGAAACAATTTCACTGGGCAACAAGAGCAAAACTTCGTCTCAAAATAATAATAATAATAATAATAATAATAATCTACAATGTCATTTCCCATCCAAGCTTGACTTCTACCTTTACTTTCTGATATGGTTTTGCCATGTCCCCACCCAAATCTCATCATGAATTATAATCCCCATAATCCTGATGTGTCGAGGGAGGGGCCTAGGGGGAGGTGATTGGATCATGGGGGCAGTTATCCTCATGCTGTTCTTGTGATATTCAGTAAGTCCTCATGAGATCTTATAGGGTTTTGTTTTGTTTTTTGGGATGGAGTCTTGCTCTGTTGTCCAGGCAGGAGTGCCATGGCATGATCTTGGCTCACTGCAGTCTCTGCCTCTTGAGTTCCATTGATTCTCCTGCCTCAGCCTCCTGAGTAGCTGGGATTACAGGCATGCACCACCACACCCAGCTAATTTTTGTATTTTTAGTAGAGACAGGATTTCACTACATTAGCTAGGCTGGTCTCAAACTCCTGACCTCAGTTGATCCACCTGCCTTGGCCTCCCAAAGTACTAGGGTTACAAGTG
The DNA here is from genome assembly GCF_000001405.40 of Homo sapiens. NCBI lineage: Eukaryota > Metazoa > Chordata > Mammalia > Primates > Hominidae > Homo > Homo sapiens. The sequence goes on from NC_000010.11 coordinate 46,814,900, forward strand.
TGAGCCACCGTGCCCAGCTGAGATCTGATGGTTTTATACATGTTTGACAGTTGCTCCTTCACATGTTCCCACTCTCTGTGCGGCCACCATGTAAGTCGGACCTGCCCTTCTGCCATGATTGTAAGTTTCCTGAAGGACTTCCCCCTCTGCCATGATTGTTAAGTTTCCTGAGGCCTCCCCAGCCATGTGAAACTGAGTCAATTAAACCTCTTTCCTTTAAAAATTACCCAACCTCAGGTGTTTCTTTATATCAGTGTGAAAACAGACTGCTATACTTTCTGATACTCATGCTTAAGCAATTGGGGAATTCAGACTACCTGGGATCAAACTATGGCCCCACCCTTAGCAGTCATGTGACCTTGGGGAGGTTACTTACCTTCTCCATCTCAACAACTTCTGTAAAATCTGTAACATGAGATTGTTTCTGAGGGTTAAATGAGCATAGCACAGTGGGGACACTGTCAGGCACACACTACTTGCCAGATGTCGAGTATTCATCTTTATTGAAATAGGACTGTGGTAAGCCACTTTATGGCTCTCGATTTTGTATGAGAAAATCATGCTTAGTGCCTTGTTAGTAAAAGAAAGAAAACCTGAAAGTCCCTGCCATGGAAGGAAGAAATAGCGGGGAGAAAAGGGAGTTGGTAAGTTTCAGCATTTCAGAGCTTGGAGGTGCCAGTTAGGTTTCTATTTTATGGAGAAGGAGGTGGAGGCAGGATGGGTCCTAAGGTGTCATTCAAAACACACAGCCATAACTCTTTATTGAGAGTAGAGCTAGGGCCCCAGGGATTGCTGTGGTCAAGTTGCGGACAAAAATGACCACTCGTTGGAAGACAGGAGAGGAGTGTTTAGTTACAAAAGCAGTCAACAATTCAGGTGTATCTATATTCAGACAGCAAATAAAAGTTGTTCAACTTGGTTGCTAATGGGACCCACTCTACTGAGGCTTTGTATAGAACTCATAGAGGAAGCTGGCTTCAAGGAATGAACTACCCTGTGCTTTTCTTAGGACTAAAATCTCAGGAAGCTGGTGATGAATGAAAACCTTAGTCCCACTGGCACTGCACGAGGGGCCAGGAGAGCAGCAGCATCATAAGCCACAGGGTGGGGCAGCCAAGGCAGGGGCATTCTGAGCTGTTGGGGAGGGGTGGCAGGCAGGGTGGGGCACTGTGAGGTGTCGGGGAGGGCATTGTGAAGTGGGGGGTGGGGCATTGTGTGCCACATGCCTGGGCTCCCACCTGGGGCCAGTGGGCTTCAGTCTGTAGGTGACTACAGAAGGAGAAGGAGCTCCGTCTGTTCTCTCTTCAGGCAGTTGTTGTGTCTCTCAGCGCTTGTTGGGTTCACAACCTATTAAATAAGCCGGCTGGTCTTCACCCTCCCAGACAAGTCAACTCAGGGGAGGCAGCAGGGTGCGGGCCTTGGCCCGCAACCCTAGCCGGGGCCGGGGCCGGGGCCGGGGCCAGGGCTGGTGCCCGGGGCCGCGCTGTGAGGTGGGCAGGCGAGGAGCGGGAAGACCATCTCTGCAAGTGCAGCATAGCCTCGGCCTAGGACAGCGGGAGTGCGTGGCCAAAGCTGTGAGCAGAGGCACAGGTGGTGGCAGACAGTAGAGGCGCCCCATGGGGAACATACTGACCTGTCGTGTGCACCCTAGCGTCAGCCTCGAGTTTGACCAGCAGCAGGGGTCGGTGTGTCCCTCTGAATCTGAGATCTATGAGGCAGGAGCTGAGGACAGGATGGCAGGAGCGCCCATGGCTGCTGCTGTACAGCCTGCTGAGGTGACTGTTGAAGTTGGTGAGGACCTCCACATGCACCAGGTTCGTGACCGGGAGATGCCTGAAGGTGAGGAGGTGATAGGTGCCATCTACCCTCGGTTTGCCTTTGGCTGCTGCTGTCCCCAAGGTTCCCTTTGAGGCATCCCCCACTTCGAGCTCCTTTCTGCTTGTAGCCAGCTTTCCCGGGGGCTGGCCAGGAACAAAACTGGCTCTGCCTTGAATTCCCACCCCTTAGTCTTTCCCCACCGAGTCCAGTCAGTTTCTTTTCGCCTCCCCTCCCAATCGCCCAGTTCTTGCTCTCTCATCTCATTCTCCCAGGCTGGCATGGGGCCATTTATTTATGGCTCTTGTCGAATAAGCAGCAGTTGAATAAATGAGTTGATACATTTTTATAAATGATTACATCTTTTTTCTTTTCTCCCTCTATACATATAGCTTTGGAGTTTAACCTTTCTGCCAATCCAGAGGCAAGCACAATATTCCAGAGGAACTCTCAAACAGATGGTGAGACAACAGTGTCTGTAGCTCTGTTTATTATCCTGTGGGACTTTGTTTAGGCTTCTTTGAGCTATTCTCTTCCTTTTCTCAATAAAAACTCAAATATCCCAACTTTTCAGTACCCATCTTATTTTTTCTTTGTACCTATCCAGATGGTACCTAAGTGAAGGAACCAGGTAAGTGCCTAATTGTTTCCTTTGTTAAAGTAGCCAAATCTCAGGACAGTTCCTATTCAAATATTTGGGGATTTCTTATTTAAAATCAGAATGGAGGTTGCCACGGGAGAGGCTATATGGTATTCTTAATGGGCTGCTTTAAGTCACCTTGATAGAAGCTGCTTAGTTTCTTCTAACTGTAATTTGAACACAGAAGGAAAAAGAAAAAAGGAGAATGCTTAAAATAATTGTGAAAGGTGTGAAATGTCACAGCCGGGGCTGCAGAAAAATGGTTGTGTGTGTGTGTTTGGGGTTTCTCAAAGGAGTTTACCTATGAGGCTCTGATTACTTTAAAATTCTTACTTTAACAGAAAATGTGTCTCCAGATTTATTCTGGTGACTTAACAGACTTTATTTACCTCCTTGTTCTAAAAGAGAGGTGGGGATTGGTTCATGGTCAAAACTTTCAAAAGACATGAAACGTCAACGTAGACTTTTAATGTGTAATATAAAGATTGCAGGTTAAAATGTCAGACCTTCCCTGTTAGAGTGTTTGTTGCCATGGCTCCCCCTTTGTCCCTTCCCCTCCTGACAATAGCATCTTGTTCAAAGATAAGAAAGTTACAGTTTTGGCTGGGCTTGGTGGCTCACGCCTGTAATCCCAGCACTTTGGGAGGCCGTGGCAGGCGGATCACCTGAGGTCAGGAGTTCGAGACCAGCCTGGCCAACATAGTGAAACACTGTCTCTACTAAAAAAGAAAATACAAAAATTAGCTGGGCGTAGTGGCGCATGACTGTAGTTCCAGCTACTCACAAGGCCGAGGCAGGAGAATTGCTTGGACCTAGGAGGTGGAGGTTGCAGTGAGCAGAGATCACGCCAATGCACTCCAGCCTGGGTGACAGAGCGAGACTCCGTCTCACAAAAAAAAAAAGGAAAGAAAGTTGGAGTTTTTTAGTCTCTACACTGCTGGCAGAGGCAGGGGATGGGAGCCGGTAGAAAAGAGAAAACAATTAGTTGGTTTGCCTCTAAAATTTTGCAAAGAGATGAATCTAAGTAAAAGTAATTCTGGGTAATAATATGGTTCTTGAATAAAAACTGAAATTTTCAAAATAGAAAACATTGCATCATAAACATATTAAATCCAGTTGGCTTATTGGTTTCATTTAAATGCCAGAGATTTCATCACTGTAGAGGAAATGTCTTATAGCTCTTCTATTTAAACTTTGGTCGGGCTCTTAATTTTTAAAGAGGTAGGATAATTAAGACTCATTATGAGTGTGACTTTGTAACTTGGAAGTACTATCTTCACATTTCAAGATATTTAAGGATTGCTTTAGAATAAACAAATGCATTATGTGAATTAATTGATTGTACCTTTATACACAAAGCATGTAAGTACTTGTGTAAACTTATACTCTGCTTGGTGATGTTCGGAAAGCCTGATGGATGTTACACACCAGTTAGTAGATGGGTAGTGTTGGATGAGAGCCCAAAAATGGCTCTTTATTGTCATTCTTTAGGATTACAACACAGTTTATGTATGTCTCACTTGGCCCTTTCCAATACAAATAAGGCCTGTGTATGTTCTCCCTATGTATTGCTAATGAAGAAATGAAAACTTAGAGATATCACATGACTATGGAAGACAGCTACTCAAGAGAACTAAGGTTCTGTGTCCTCAGAATGAAATGGAAGTGACAGATATGATGAATTTACTTTTTAAAAATTTTAAAAACTCTAGAATACATCTTATATTTTGCCTATAAAATAGACTGTCTTTTAAAACTTACTGCTATCTTGATTTATTTTATGCAAAGTTGATTTTACACAACTCAAAGCCAAAATTTACCTCTTTTTTTTTTTTTTTTTTTAAATAAAGGAGGGTGTCATTGTGTTACTCATGCTGGCCTCAACTTCCTGACCTGGGTTCAAGTGATTTTCCCATCTCAGCCTCCTGAGTAGCTGGGACTACAAGCATGTGCCATCTTGCCTGGCTCTATCTTATGTCTATACATTCATTTCAATGGATAAGAATCAAAGTAGAGATAGTGAAATAGCCTAAATGCAGCAGTCGAATAAATGAGTTGATAAATTTTTATCAATGATTACATCTTTTTTTCTTTTCTTCCTCTATGCATATAGCTTTGGAGTTTAACCCTTCTGCCAATCCAGAGGCAAGCACAATATTCCAGAGGAACTCTCAAACAGATGGTGAGACGACATTGTTTTTTCCGCCAAGAGAAAGAATAAAATCTCTTGTTTGATCAGGTTATAGAAAGTATTTAGAAAAACTCATATTGGTTTAAATTTTTCACCTTTTCACATGTTCACTTGTCTCATTTGAATATGTGATATACTTTCCTTTAGTTGTTATGATGTTAGTGAAAATGTGTAACCTTTTTGTTTATACATTTTGCCATCTTTTTATCAACACAATTAATTTGTGATGTGATGGAGGAGTCATGGATTTCTCTTTATAATTCTTGGATTTATCTTTATTTATAATTAATGGATTTATCTTTATTTATAATCCCTTTTCCCTTGCTCCAAAAAGTACACTTTAAAGATGAATGATAGAACTTAGGCTTCAGCTTGGTTTTCATTTAAACAACTTAAAAAACATAGTTGTTTATCATCAGGGATTGAATCTGTGATTTGGGCCTCCTCTTACACAGTCCTCTGACCACATTCATTTACCACATCCAAGTTCATGCTACTCAAAAGTTTTAGGTTATTAACTTTTTCATTCGATGTAATGTAAATTTAAACGTGCCCTACTCCTGCTTATTTCCCTTAATGTTATGTTAAATCCTTATTTATTTGCCAACAAGCCATACACAGCCAAGTTTTCCAGTTGACTTAAACAGCAAGAATACAAGTGAGGGTTCTATAATAGTGTGCGAAGTAATGCAGCACAGTAAAACACGGGAGTTTGTAACCTTTGTTTTTATAGTTTGAGTAGACTTTGCCCATCTTGAGTCAGTTATTTCTGGTTAGAATTTGTCTTCATTTTTTACATTACTATAAAGAGATACCTAAGGCTGGGTGATTTATAACAAAAAGAGGTTTAATTGGCTCAAAGATTTTCAGGCTGTACCAACATGGCTTTAACATCTGCTTCTGGTGAGGGCCTCAGCAAACTTACAATCATGATAAAAGGCAAAGGGGAAGCAGGTGGTTCCACACGGTGAAAGAGAGAGGGGAAGGGGGAAGGTACCACACTCTTTTTTTTTTTTTTTTTGAAATGGAGTCTCACTCTGTTGCCCAGGCTGGAGTGCAATGGCACGATCTTGGCTCACTACAACCTCCATCTCCCAGGTTCAAGCAATTCTCCTGCCTCAGCCTCCCGAGTAGTTGGGACTATAGGTGGGCACCATAACACCTGGCTAATTTCTGTATTTTTGGCAGAGACAGGGTTTCACCATGTTGGCCAGGCTGGTCTGAAACTCCTGACCTCAAGTGATCTACCCGCTTCAGCCTCCCAAAGTGCTGGGATTACAGGCTTCAGCCACCGCACCTGGCCAGTACCACAGTCTTTTAAATTACCGTAATGAGAATGTGCTTATTACCATGGGGATGGGACCAAGCCATTCATAAGGAATCACTGCCATTACCCAAACGCCTCCCACTAGGCCCTATCTCCAACATTAAGGGTCACATGTTAACATGAGACTTGGAGGGGCAACATATCCAAAACATATCAGAATTGTATTTCCCAGTTCCTTCCAGAGCCATGGGCTTCTCACACCTAGAGAGCATGGAAGCAGTAAAAGAAAAGCTATTCCATGTCCCTCACTCTTCAGTGGTAGTAACTTTTGCCTACAAGGCCCTCCCAGCATCAAAGGCAGAGGCAGTGTAGGAAACAAAGCATGGCCCAAGTCCCTCTTGGGGCTTTTATTATTCTGGCCTCTTTTTAGGGAAAAAAAAATGATTTTTTTGTGCTGCAGACACCATGTCCAATTAGGTTTGTATACTTATTTTAACATCAAAATTTAGGCCAGGCTCTGTGGCTTACACCTGTAATCCCAACTCTTTGGGAGGTTGAGGTGGGTGGATCACGAGGTTAGGAGATCAAGACCATCCTGGCTAACACAGTGTAACTCTGTCTCTACTAAAAATACAAAAAACAATTAGCTAGGCATGGTGGCACGTGCCTGTGGTCCCAGCTAGTCCAGAGGCTAAGGCTGAAGAATTTCTTGAACCTGGGAGGCAGAGGTTGCAGTGCGCTGAGATCCCGCCACTGCACTCGAGCCTAGGTGACAGAGTGAGACTCCATCTCAAAAAAGAAAACAAATTTAAGATAGGTTACTTTCCAGTTGTGTAAAGACCATTTTTTAATTTTGTTTTGTTTTTAGTGACATATTAGTAGATAACCACTAAGTGTGGTTCAAGATGCTTACAGGGATTCTGTTGCATCTAGAGATAGGTGTCTGGTCAGGAAGTAGTTTTTAGAACTGTTAGCTCTTAGAGTCTGATAATTAAAGTAAGCTATGTGTAAATGCAGAATGAGAGAATACTAATGGATCATGGCTCATATATGCAACAGTTAAACTTTTTATTAGCTAAATTTTTCATCTGGCCTAATTTTTTTGCCCTTTTCTTTTGTACATGAGGATTCTTTCATTTGTATGTAATAGAAACAAAAAGTAAACTAAATGAAAATCTAAGTTTTTAGATTTGACTTATGAAATTAATCATGCCAGATAATTTAAATTATATGTTATTGAAAATTTTTTTTTAATGGAATTTTGTCTCATTTTTCATAGGAGTAATCAGTAAGATGTTAACAACTACTTTTATTTTATGGTATTTGTATCAGAAGTGACCAGTTTTTTTTTTTTTTTATTCTTAGTTGTAGAAATAAGAAGAAGCAACTGTACAAACCATGTAAGTAAACACTCAAATAGTTAAGAAATTGATAGTTTGACATAAAAGGATGTCTCTCTTGATTTCTTTAAATTACAATGTGGACCTGGTGGTGGTAGCATGGACCTCTTTTTGTGGATTTTCTAAATCTCTTCTATTTTCCTGAGTATTAAATTTATCCAGAAAAGTGCTTAGTTTAGCGTGTCCACCTTTTAAAGATTTCTGACATTTAAGTTAAATTTCAATAGTCCGGTTCAAAAGACCTGCCTTAAGGCTGGGCATGGTGGTTAACGTCTGTAATCACAACACTTTAGGAGGCCGAGGCAGGCTGATCATCTGAGGTCAGGAGTTTGAGACAACCCTGACCAACATGGTGAAATTCTGTATCTACTAAAAATACAAAAGTAGCTGGGCGTGGTGGTGCATGCCTGTAATCTCAGCTACTCAGGAGGCTGAGGCAGGAGAATCACTTGAACCCAGGAGGCGGAGGTTGCAGTGAGCCAAGATCGCACCATTGCACTCCAGCCTGGGCGACAGAGCGAAACTCTGTCTCAAAAAAAAAAAAAAAAAAAATTGCCTTAAATATTTAATCTTATTTTTAATGAAAGAACAAAAATAGAATAGCTAAGTTAATTGCCAGCACTGTCTATTGACTTTCTGTCACAGCAGGTAAAAGCATACCTTCCCCGCTACACCATGATCTTATGTTTCTCCCTGTGTTTCTTCCAATTGTAGCACACTTTTTAATTAAATCAGTAATATTTACATGATTATGACTCTGCAAATATTATTCACTGCTAAGTCATATGGTGTTTTCACTGTGCCTCTGCATTCCATGTCCTTCATCCTGTCTCTGAAACAGTTCTGAAATCTGAGCACTTCTGCAATTCTCCTGGATCTTCTTTTTTCCTAGCCTACATTAGTTTATCTATCCAAATATCGTTAAGTAGCCTCTGGGTGCTCTGTTTGCTTTCACATCCATTATTTTTTAGCATGAAGCTAATTTTCTGACTATATTCATTTGCCTGTTTTCTAACAGCTGTTTTCCCCCAAGTATTGTAGCATTTATCACATGCCTTTCAAAGATATTTTCCATCTGCGAAAACACATCTGTTCCTTTTTATGTTTGTGTGGGGGGCAACTTTCTTTGGCCTTTTGTCATCCTAGTTCAATATAGCGTGGGTTTCCCTAGATATGCTCAATGTCTGCTTTTCTGGGCTAACTCTTTAAAGTCTTTTGGTATCTCACGTAACTGCTGTCTTGTGTGGGATCACCTGAGTCCTAGATTCTGTGTTTCCTTCTGTCCTGTTATCGTCTCTAGTTGTACTTGAACACATTTTCCTGTGTGGAGATGTTAAAATCCCTCCTCTTTGATAGAGAGTACACCTCTAGGTTGAATCTAAATGTTGTGGTTCTGAAGACATTTTGCAGTTGTGCTCTTATTACAGTGTTGTTCTTGAATCTATTGCCAGTGTGTGATACGTTATTTACAACCAGGTTTTAGTTATCTGTGGAAGCTTTTTAGAATCTCTCTCTCTAAGGTTCTGAAATTTTATAACAGCTTGTTGGGGATCTTTTCATTTTATTGAGGCTACTAAACCTGCAGACTATCTCTTCTTGAGAATTTTTTTTTATTTTCTCTGTTACTTTTTTACTGATAGTCTTGTTATTCAGATGCTAGGCTGCTTAGACCAATATGCCTGCATTGATTTTTAATTTTTCCCCTTGTATTTTTTTCAGTTTGTCTTTTTATTCTAGTTCTGGGATATTCTGTGACTTTATCCTCTACTATTTCTATTGAATTTTATATTTTTTGAGAGTGTTTTAAGATTTTTTTTTAAAGTTTTGCTCCTGATTTTGACTGGTCCTATCAATTCCTTTTTTCTATTGTTTTGATCTCTTTTCTTGGAGGCTTCCCTCCAATGTGTGGTGGTCCCTGGCCTGCTTTATTTGGAAGCAGGATTTCTGTTAACTGATAGCACTCAGTGTGAGGCCTTAGAAGCCTGACTAGCTTTTCATTTGGGAGACCTCAGTGTATTATCTGGGGATCTTTATTGAAGACATTTCAGTTTCTTCTGAGAAGGATCTCCCAATTTTCTGCCTGGAAAGTAAAAGCAGGCCTGGAAAGGAAAAACAGAGTTAGTGAAGAAAGTTGGAGTTCCATTTTTGGTGTACAGTTTTCTTTATATCTCAGGTTTAAGCCATGGTATCTCTGAGCCAGAAATTCTCAGGTTTGATATATCCAGAGAACACACATCTAAGTTTCTTGTCAGATGGAAGGACAGGTGGACTTGGGGCTCTAGTTAGAGATTTGCAACTGACCTTGCTGGCTTTTTTTTTTTTTTCACATTTTACCCTACTTTCCAAAGTTCCATTTGCCTGTAAGTTCACAACCTGCCTTTAGTTCTGCAAGACAAACTGGCTCGCTTCTGTTCCAGTCACTTTCTGTAGGCACCAAAGTTGTGTTTCTGTGTTATTTACCACTCCTTTATCTACTTTTTATGTCTCAGCATTTATTAAAAATTATCTCTGTCAACCTTCTGTGCTGGTCATGGGTGTAACCTTTATTTTATGACTGATGAGGCTTCCGGAGGGAGACGAAATAAATTTGTGGTCAATCTATTATATTTAATCCAAATTTAGGACCTGTGTTTAAATCAAAATCTAATTTGAGTATAATTAATTATATTAAGCCAGAGAATTTTTTAAATTAATGTATCTATAATAAGCATATTACACTTTTCTCCTAAGGCCTTGTTTAATATTTTCATTCAAAGTTTATCCACTGCCATATACTTCCCATTACTTCACAACATAAATGGAGCTGTTTTCCTGAATGCCCAAAGTGTTAGAAATATTTAAGTTAATTAAGATTTGTTCATTTTTAGCCTGGTCAACATAGCAAGACCTCATGTCTACAAAAAGGTTAAATAAAAAATTAGCCAGGCCTGGTGGCATGCGCCTTTCGTATTACCTACTCAGGAGGCTGAGGCAGAGGATCGCTTGAGCTCAGGAGTTTGAGGCTGCAGTTAACTATAATTGCACCACTGCACTCCAGCCTGGGCAACAAAGGGAGACCCTGTCTCGGAAAAAGGAAAAAAGTTACTAATTCTTTAAAAACCTATCTAAAATTTGTCCTGCCCAAAAGGAGAGTGAAAAATATGAACTTTAGTCTTTGTTTTATTTTATGTTTGCTGAGAAAAATGCTGTACTTTATTTATTTATTTATTATTTCCTTAGGTTTCTGGGGGAACAGGTGGCATTTGGTGACATGACTAAGTTCTTTAGTGATGATTTGTGAGATTTAGGTGCACCCATCACCTGAGCAGTATCCGCTGAACCCAATTTGTAGTCTTTTATCCCTCACCCTCCTCCCAGCCTTTCCCCCAAGTCCCCAAAGTCCATTGTATCATTCTTATGGCTTTGCATCCTCATAGCTCAGCTCCCACGTATGAAAGAGAACATGATATTTGGTTTTCCATGCTGAGTTATTTCACTTAGAATAATAGTCTTACTTCCATCCAGGTTGCTGGGAATGCCATGAATTTATTCCTTATTATGGCTGAGGTGGTATTCCTCATATATATATATATGTATGTATATCACGGTTTCTTTATCCACTCATTGATTGATGGGCATTTGGGCTGGTTCCATATTTTTGTAATTGTAATTTGTTTGAGTTCCTCATAGATTCTGGATAATAGCCCTTTGTCAGATGTATAGACTGTGAAGATTTCCTCCCACTCTGTGGTTGTCTGTATACTCTGCTGATTGTTCCTTTTCCTGTGCAGAAGCTCTTTAGTTAAGTCTCACCTATTTGTTTCTGTTGCATTTGCTTTTGTGTTCTTGGTCATGAAGTCTTTGCCTAAGCCAGTGTCTAGATGGGTTTTTCCAATGTTATCTTCTAGAACTTTTATGATTTCAGGTCATAGATTTATGTCCTTGATCCATCTTGAGTTGATTTTTGTGTAAGCTGAGAGTTGAGGATCCAGTTTCATTCTCCCGCATGTGGCTTGCCAATTATCCCAGCACCATTTGTTGAATAGGGTTTACTTTCTTCACTTTATGTTTTAGGTGGCTTTGTTGAAAATCAGTTGGCTATAGGTATTTGAGTTTATTTCTGGGTTCTCTATTCTGTTCCATTGGTGTATGTGCCTATTTTTATATCAGTACCATGCTATTTTGGCGACTATGGCCTTATAGTATAGTTTGAAATCAGGTAATGTCATGCCTCCAGATTTGTTGTTTTTGCTTAGTTTTGTTTTGGCTATACCGGTTCTTGTTTGGTCCATATAAATTTCAGGATTGTTTTTTCTAGTTCTGTGAAGAAGGATGGTGGTATTTTGATGGGAGTTGCATTGAATTTGTAGATTGCTTTTGGCAGTATGGTCATTTTCACAATATTCATTCTACCCATTCATGAGCATGGGGTGTCTTTCCATTTGTTTGTGTCCATGACTTCATTCAGCAACGTTTTGTAGTTCCCAACGGCATATCAAAAAATAATCCGGCCAGGCACGGTGGCTCACACCTGTAATCCCAGCACTTTGGGAGGCTGAGGCGGACAGATCATGAGGTCAGGAGTTCGAGACCAGCCTGGCCAACATGGTGAAGTCCCATCTCTACTAAAAATACAAAAGTTAGCCGGGTGTGGTGGCACTCACCTGTAATCCCATCTACTCAGGTGGCTGAGGCAGGAGAATCGCTTGAACCTCGGAGGCAGAGGTTGCAGTGAGCCAAGATCACCGCACTGCATATTCCAGCCTGGGCAACAGAGCGAGACTCCATCTCAAAAAAAAAAAAAAGATAATCCACCATGATCAAATGGGTTTCATACCAGGGATGCAGGGATGGATTAACATACACAAGTCAATAAATGTGATACACCACATAAACAGAATTAAAAACAAAAAATCACATGATCATCTAAACAGATGCAGAAAAAGCATTTGACAAGATGCAGCATCCTTTTATGATTAAAACCCTCAGCAAAATCAGCATACAAGGGTCACAGCTCAATATAATAAAAGCCATCTATGACAAACCCACAACCAACATGATACTGAAAGGGGGAAAAGTTGAAAGCATTCCCCCCGAGAACTGGAACAAGACAAGGATGCCCACTCTCACCACTTGTATTCAACATACTACTGGAAGGCCTAGCCAGAGCAATCACACAAGAGAAAACAATAAAAGGCATGCAGATCAGTAAAGAGGAAGTCAAACTGTTGCTGTTTGATGATGATATGATCATATACCTAGGAAACCCTAAAGACTCCTCCAAAAAGCTCCTAGAACTGATAAATGAATTCAACAAAGTTTCAGGAGACAAAATTAATGTACACAAATCAGTAGCTCTGTTATACCCCAGAAGCGACCAAGCTTAGAATCAAACCAAGAACTCAACCCCTTTTCTGACAGCTGCAAAACTAAACTAAACTAAACTAAAATACTTGGGAATAGACCTAACCAAGGAGGTGAAACATGTCTACAAGGAAAACAACTTTAGTATTTTTAATGGGTTAAAATGAGAGGCAGCAGGTACAGCAGAAGAAGTCAGTGCGTGGGCATCCGCATCCAATGGGTACTGCACCTTTGATGGTAAGGCTTTGGTTTTGACTTACTAAATTACTAGGTACGATTATTTTCTAGTTTTTGTCATTAAACCTTAAAACTACTAAGTAACCCCTTCCATTTCTTGTTAAATATTGTAAAATTTCATACTCTCATTTATGCTGCCTGACGTTAGAGTATTTGTTTCTATTTTGTGACTACCTTAAATAATACCTATAAAGAGTAAACTGTTAGTAGTGTTTTTGCTGTAATTAAATGTAGTAAGACTTACCTTCCAAATGATAACTGAATTGTCAAACACTTGTCGAAGTTTTGGATTTACTCAAAATTCTATGCTCAGCAGCTGGAGGTAGGAAGAGTAAGGGCCCTCCCTTACTCTTATGGAGAGGCATACTTTCTCACAAGGGGAATACTCTGCAGGAATTAGCATCTTGTAAGCAGTGGTGAATTCAACTAATTAGTGTATAAAAATACATTTTTTGGTGTGGCTGCCGACAAAGAGATCCAAGAGGGTAGATGGAGTCGAGCTTGCTGAAGCAAGGAAAGAGAAAAGCAGTATTCTAGGCAGAGAGCAGGGGTAGAGCAGGAAAATGGCTAGGTGCAGGTCAGATGATTTATAGAATGCAATTGATCAAGTTTTGAAGTGAATGCAAAGTATTCTCCGAGAGTCTCATTTGAGTCATGTCTTGGCAGTCTTATTTAAACATGAAGTGAAAGTTAGATTTTTTAAGTTGTCATTTGTTTTCAGGGTGTGAGAGAATATTTAAGTGATACTCTTTTTATCCTCCACATAAGAAAATAGGACTAGAGAAACCTATGGCTTCCTCACTTGTTGGTGGCCTAGCAGCCCTGGCACACAGAGCCTCTGAATCTGAAACACTTCTTTTGTAACAATATCACCTGAAATAATACATTTAGGATTAGTAATTTAGTAAATGCATTAGTCTTGTATTCACTGCAATAAAATGCTCTTGTAGCAGGATTATTTAATACATTACATTTTATCGTAGTAAATAAATAATAGAAGGGCTGGGCGCCGTGGCTCACGCCTGTAATCCCAGTACTTTGGGAGGCTGAGGCAGGCAGATCGCGAGGTGAGGAGATCGAGACCATCCTGGCTAACACGGTGAAACCCCGTCTCTACTAAAAATACAAAAAGTTAGCCGGGCATGGTGGTGGGCGCCTGTAGTCCCAGCTACTCAGGAGGCTGAGTCAGGAGAATGGCGTGAACCCGGGAGGCGGAGCTTGCAGTGAGCCGAGATCGCGCCACTGCACTCCAGCCTGGGCGACAGAGCGAGACTCCGTCTCAAAAATAAATAAATAAATTAATTAATTAATAGAAATTCTCAGCTGCTTTTTATTGCTGCAGAAAAAAAAATGAAATCTTATTTTAAACTTTTCTTTTTTTTTTTTTTTTTTTTTTTTTTTTTGAGACGGAGTCTCACTTTGTCTGCCGGCCTGGAGTGCAGTGGCGCGAACTCGGCTCACTGCAAGCTCCGCCTCCTGGGTTCACCCCATTCTCCTGTTTCAGCCTCTCAAGTAGCTGGGACTACAGGGGCCTGCTACCACGCCCGGCTAATTTTTTGTATTTTTAGTAGAGACGGGGTTTCACCATGTTAGCCAGGATGGTCTCGATCTCTTGACCTCGTGATCTGCCCGCCTCCACCTCCCAAAGTGCTAGGATTACAGGTGTGAGCCACCGCGCCCCGCGAAGCAGACTTTTCCCATTATTTTTAACGGTAATTCATAAAATCCTTGTTAGGTTTGATGACAGGTACCATATTAAGGGCAGCATTTTATAACCCATATCTTAAACATCATCTCTGGAAGTTGAGAGCCTCCAATGGGTTTTCTATAGAGTGCACATGATACCACACTCAGGCAGTTCATGGAGTGTAAGACATATCTTAGTGCTTTGTCATTTGACATTTTAACTGAGAAAATAATACACTTTCATAAGTTTGACTTACACTTCCCTTCCCCTTCAGGTATCTACTGTGCGTTTCAGTCAACAATACAGCTTGTGTTCGACAATATTCCTTGATGACAGCACAGCCATCCAGCATTATCTTACAATGACAATAATATCATGAGTACAACTATGCTGCCGAGGGACAGATTCCTTTATTCTAAAATTATTTCAGTCATTTGGTTGTCCTTTTCAGCAATCAGTTTAAGAAATTGGAGTCAACCATATATTGATATCCAGATTCTGAATATTAAGTATCAGTTTCTCTTTTAATCTTAGACGTCGTGGTGGAAGGAAAAATCAGTTAGCAAAGAAGCAATCCCAGAAACAATGTATCTTTTTGATGCCTTTATGCCTTTAGACAATGTTGAACACAGTGAGAAGGATAGGTTCCCTTTATTGAATGTTTTTTGTGGAAACTTAGTTTTTCAATGCATCATAGGCCTAAATCAGTGTGCACTACTTTGGACATTATCCTTGGAGGAAGGAACAGCTTTTCTTCTTCTGGCACCACAGTGTATCTGCATTTGAATTTCTCCCATTGTGCATGAGCACCTCTTGGGCCACAAAGGTGCGCTTTGAGAGCACCCTGAGATGAAGTTTATTTTAAAAGGAACAACAACCAACACCACCACCAGCTCCACAGGGGCTGTCCAGTGTACATTATTCTCATCTCCTTGGGTTATTAGTCTTGATTTTTAGAACACAGTTTGGAAAGTGCTAATTTAGAATATTAATGTCTTTATCTTTAATTTAACTTTTCATTCTGTACACATAACTAGCTTATAAACAATTTTGTTTCAAATGCACTAGCCTTTTTAACTAATTCAATTGTCAATAACTTTTACTTCAATTAAAAGTGGAAAGTTTACACTCATAATAATGTCACTTTCCTCCCTCCCTTTTAACAATAGTTGAGAGGAAATTGTGTTTCGAACAAAAACTGGACTCAAACTCTGTCTCAAGTCCTGAGCTTTGGGACCTATTGAGTAATCACTAAATGTCTGTAGTCAGCTAAGTCTCTTAAATCTCTGAGCACACATACACAAAAATTACTTTGACTAGAGTCCCTGGCTTCTTCTGAGTTCCAAAGATTTTCATATGTTAGCATATAATTCAAAAGCAGCTTTGAAGATTAATTTTGCTGAAACAAATTTCGTGCTTTTTTCCTCATTATTCTACTTTTTAGAAGTCTACTTTTGAGAGTATAGTAAGTTTTAATTTGCCACCAGCAAGTTTGAGAAATGATCATTTGGTGTATTCACTATTGGTGAAATAAAGTTATTGAACAAATTAATAGGGCAAATTGGCTTCAAGAAGATATTTTGAAAAATGTTTTATCATGAATCAGTAGTGCACTGTTGTCAGTGGGATAGGTGGAACTCGCTGAGATCACTTATGCAAGGTTTTTTTCAAAATGCAAGTCTGCAAACACATGTATCTTCCCATCTCCACTTTCCCTCTATCTCTAGGCACTGAGAAGCCTTTTAGGAAAATCGGGATGGATGTGAGGCATCTTTCTGTGAAGAAAAGCATCCCAGAAGATTCTGATTTTCACCCCAGCTCAGTCATTCCAAACTTTGCTGCTGATTGAAATCACCTGGGAAACGTTTACTAAGAACCTTGATGCCCAAAGCCATACCCAATACTAATTAAATTAAAATGTCTCGTGGAAGATGAGGCAGATATTAAAGCTTCTCAGGTGATTTTAATGTGCAGCAAAGTTTGAGAGCCACTGCTTAATTTGAGTTTAGGATGAGAAACTGCTCCTATTTGGTGGGACCTTGGGCAAGTCAGTTTTAAGGTCTGTTTCCCTGATCTGTAAAATGAGTGTTGAATTAAATGTCACATAAGGTCATTGGTCCTTTCCAGCATGTAACTTTAAATTCTGTGATTTTAAAATTATTTCAGAGATGAAAACTACTTGAAGCACTATAGACATATCCATCTTACCTGCTGATGTTACAGGCTTTTTAAAAAGTGCTAATATTGTGTAGACCTATTAGTAGAATTGAGATTTGCCTTCCCTCAGTTGTTTTGAGCCTCACTCTACAAAATTAGCTGGGTGTGGTGGCACATGCCTGTAATCCCAGCCACTTGGGAGGCTGAGGCAGGAGAATCTCTTGAACCTGGGAGGCAGAGGTTGTGGTGAGCCGAGATCACACCATTGCACTCCAGCCTGGGCAACAAGAGCGAAACTCCACCCACCGCCCCCCTCCAAAAAAAAATTATCTGGGCATAGTGGCACAAACTTGTAGTCCCAGCTTCTTGGGAGGCTGAGGCATGAGAATCGCTTGAACCTGGGTGGTGGAGGTTGTGAGGAGTCAAGATGGCACCACTGCAATCCAGTCTGAGCAAGAGAGACAGACTCTGGGTCAAAAAATAAATAAATACATAAAATAAATCGCATGGGACGAAAGGTTTCGTGGGTAGAAAAGCATATAACAAGGAAATCTGTTATTATTTATATATTGTAATCACCAACAGAAACGCGTCTTCTAACGGCATATTTCCTTGCATTTTGGTTCTCATATTTTTGTAAAAAACAAAGAAATGAAAACAAAGTGCCCTTATGGTACTGTTCTGAACTAGAAGATTTGAATTTCAGGGCCACTAGGAGAGTTTCCTCTGCCCCCCTTTTAAAAAATGTCTTCAGGCCTAACAAATGTTAACATCTATTGTTATGAATTTTTTTTCCTTCCACAGTGTGACCTTGGAGATACCTCATCATATCACACAAAGGTGAGCTTTTTAGAAACCTGTCTTGTTATTCTAGCTAAGTACTTTGCAAGATATCAAGCTCAGTGTTAGGTCACAGCTCTAGACATCATAAGCTGTATTGTGCCTACTAAAATATCGAAGCAAATTATTTGTATTTTCTTTGTTCCTTAAGACTCTCATAATTCTTAAATGATTGAGAATCTCAAAGAGTATGTGTTTATATTGATTATATTGATATTTAGTGTGGTAGAATTATACAATTGAAATTTTTTCAAAATCTATTTTTAGTTTAGATTTCACAGCCTTACCACTGTTGATATTATGGGCTAGATAATGCTTTGTTGTGAGGACTGTCTTGTGCATTGCAGAGAGTTTAGCAGTATTCATGGCCTCTACCAACTAGATATCAGTAGTAACCCATGACCCAGGTTATAACAACAGAAAATATTCCTTGAGAACAGTATTGTTAACAGAATTTTTTCATTGAAAAATAACTTTTCTACAACAAAAAGTTGAGTAAAAAGTGCGTCATGTATTTATATTATTTAAAGTCTCTCATGTTGAGCTTAATAGGAGACAAATGGATTCTCTAGAGCTTTCTTTGCAATTTGCTTTAAAGCAGCAATAAGAGGTTGGGCACGGTGGCTCACGCCTGTAATCCCAGCACTTTGGGAGGCTGAGGCGGGCAGATCGCAAGGTCAGGAGATCGAGACCATCCTGGCTAACACAGCGAAGCCCCGTCTCTACTAAAATTACAAAAACTTGGCTGGGCATGATGGCACGCACCTGTAGTCCCACCTATTCTGGAGGCTGAGGCAGGAGAACCGCTTGAACTTGGGAGGCGGAGGTTGCAGAGAGCTGAGATGGTGCCATTGCACTGCAGCCTGGGTGACAGAGCAAGACTCTGTCTAAACAAACAAACAAAAAAGCAATAAGCTGGTGGGGCGCAGTGGTTCACACCTGTAATCCCAGCATTTTGGGAGGCCGAGGTGGGTGGATCACTTGAGGTCAGGAGTTTGAGACCAGCCCGACCAACATGGTAAAACCCGCCTCTACTGAAAGTACAAAAAATGGCTGGGCGTGGTGGTGCATGCCTGTAGTCCCAGTTACTTGGGAGGCTGAGGCAGGAGAATCGCTTGAGCCTGGGAGGTGGAGGTTGCAGTGAGCCGAGATCTCGCCTTTGCACCCCAGCCTGGGTGACAGAGAGAGACTCTGTCTCAAAAAAAGAAAAAAAGAAGCAATAAGATGACCTAACCTCATGCAAATATGTAGTTAGTAGAAGGTGTATTTTAAAAGTTTTCAGACGGTTGTGGGTATTTGTTAACACTAAATCAAAACTTCACAAGTGGTGGTTTCTTAAATTAGTTACGGTGGCATTTTACATATTAATAAATTTATTCCATCAGTACTCATTGATCTTTCTTGCACAGTAAATGGATCTTTTGCTCACTACTTGCATTTATAATATCATGCATTAGTTACTTGGAATATATTGGTTTATGTTTTATTGTGTCAAAAATCACTTTCAGTTTAACCACCAATCTTACTTTAACACACCTTTAAGTATTGAAAAGCTGCCAAGCCTACAGTAGAAGGAACAAGTTTGTCAAAGTCCACAGGAAAGCTTAAATTTTATCATTGGGAACAAATACGTATTTCCCTTGAAGTGACAACCTCTCACTTCATTTATTTTTGAGAATGATAGTTGAACTGGTTTTTTAGACCGAGTTTCACTCTGTCACTTGGCTGGAGTGCATTGGCATGATCTCAGCTCAAGCAATCCTCTCACCTCAGGTTCCTTTGTAGCTGGGACCACAGATGTGTGGCACCACGCCAGGCTAATTTTCTTATATGTTTGACAGTGACAGGGTTTCGTTATGTTGCCTAGGCTGGTCTCGAACTCCTGAAGGAGCTCAAGCCATCTGCCTGCTTTGGCCTCTCAAAGTGCTGGGATTTTACAGGCGTGAGCCACTGCGCTGGCCCAGTTGTACTTTTAAATAAAAATGATGTTCTGTGAAAAAAGTGATTTTTCAGTTCACAGTTAAATCACGGATTCTTTAAAAACAAACAAAAAAAGCGCTTCTGGTTAACTTTCCACTTATTCAGAATATTAGAGACATGTCAAGATTTAACAACATTAATTTTTACTGCTTCATCAAAGACATTCTTAAGAAATTCAGGCTATGTTTTTTACCTGTAGGGGACAGTGAAGAATAGAATGACTACTAATGTAATTGGTACCACTGCCTTGATTTATGCTGAGAAACCAGCCATTGTACCCACTTTTGCTTTTATATAATCATGGCAAGTGTCAATGAAAAAGCAGGCAATGACTTTGTATTACTTTCACAAATTTTTAAAATTTTTCATCAGCTTTCTCAGGTTTAATTAGTATGATTCAGAACAGTGTTGGCCAGGCACAGTGGCTCAGGCCTGTAATCCCAGCACTTTGGGAGGCCGAGGCAAGCGGATCACCTGAGGTTAGGAGTTCAAGACCAGCCTGGCCAACATGGTGAAACCACATCTCTACTAAAAATACAAAACTTAGCCAGGAGTGGTGGCAGGTGCCTGTAATCCCTGCTACTTGGGAGGCTGGGGTAGGAGAATCACTTGAACCTGGGAGGCGAAGGTTGCCATGAGCCGAGATCACACCATTGCACTCCAGCCTGGGCAATAAGAGTAAAACTTGGTCTCAAAAAAAAAAAAAAAAGAACAGTTATGACCTCTTAGGCCTTCTGGAAGGGGTCTTCGGGATCCCGAGAGGTCCACACAGCACATTTGGAGAACCACTGGTTTATACACAGGCACAATGCATTAGTTTTACAAAGTTTAAAGTTCATCAAAGACTGGCCTCTTAAAAAGGCAGATGAGTTTGTCATTCAAACAACAGAAAGTACATAAATACATCATGAGAGTATACTACAGAGAACTAAAGAGAAAGGAAGCTAGGAAATCTGAATCACATTTACATTTATTAAAGTTTACTACTACTGCTTTGTAGAACATTCTTGTGTTTCAATGTGTGGTTAGAAGAGTGAAAAGATGTTTGGTTTATTGCCATGGCCTGTTAGGGAGAGTCAATACTCACGGGCATTTCTGACTGGTTATCATATAAAAGACTTCACGGTACAGGCCATGATGTGCTGAGAAAGAAGAAGTCAGGAAACCCTCTGCAAGTCAGGATCCAAGAGAAGAATTCGTAAAAACTGCTTTGGTAAAGTAAACACCAAAGCACACAGGAGGCAGTATTTTACTCAACAAATATTATACTAAGATATTAACAGTTTTTGAAGTAATGCGCTTTCTTATTTTATAGAGATGCAGATAGATCTTTGAGCATACCTGATGAACAGTTACACTCATTTGCGGTAAGTGGCACTTTTATTGAGGTTGTATTTTCATCGTACACTTGTATCTGTTTCATGCTGAAGTCAAAGCCATCTTTTTTTAAATCTTCCCCATTTCATGTTGCATTTAGTCATCTTAAGTGTTGTAAAAAGAATGTGCTGGAGTAAGAACTGATCTGCAGCTCTGTTTAGTTAGTGAGCTAGTATGAGTAAATATACTATCCAAACAACAGAAAATGTATCTTTTTTTTTTTTTTTTTTTTTTTTTTTTTTTTTTATGGACTCTCTTTCTGTAGCCCAGGCTGGAGTGCAATCGCGCGATCTTGGCTCACTGCAGGCTCTGCCTCCCAGGTCCCTGTTCAAGCAATTCTCCTGCCTCAGCCTCCCGAGTAACTGGAATTACAGGCATGTGCCACCATGCCCAGCTAATTTTTTTTTCTTTTTTTTTTTTTGTAAAGACAGGGTTTCACCATGTTGGCCAGGATGGTCTTGAACTCCTGACCTCGTGATCCACCCACCTTGGCCTCCCAAAGTGCTGTGATTACAGGTGTGAGCCACCATGCCTGGCCCAGAAAATGTATCTTTTTAAAAGGTAATTGTGAGCTGTCTATAGGACCCTGCAAGCCACTACCCAATTTTTGAAGCCATTCCTCCTTCTGTTCCACACAGGTTTCCACCGTGCACATTATGAAGAAAAGAAATGGAGGTGGGAGTTTAAATAACTATTCCTCCTCCATTCCACCGACTCCCAGCACCAGCCAGGAGGACCCTCAGTTCAGTGTTCCTCCCACTGCCAACACACCCACGCCCGTTTGCAAGCGGTCCATGCGCTGGTCCAACCTGTTTACATCTGAGAAAGGGAGTGACCCAGACAAAGAGAGGAAAGCCCCGGAGAATCATGCTGACACCATCGGGAGCGGCAGAGCCATCCCCATTAAACAGGGCATGCTCTTAAAGCGAAGTGGGAAATGGCTGAAGACATGGAAAAAGAAATACGTCACCCTGTGTTCCAATGGCGTGCTCACCTATTATTCAAGCTTAGGTGATTATATGAAGAATATTCATAAAAAAGAGATTGACCTTCAGACATCTACCATCAAAGTCCCAGGAAAGTGGCCATCCCTAGCCACATCGGCCTGCGCACCCATCTCCAGCTCTAAAAGCAATGGCCTATCCAAGGACATGGACATCGGGCTGGGTGACTCCATATGCTTCAGCCCCAGTATCTCCAGCACCACCAGCCCCAAGCTCAACCCACCCCCCTCCCCTCATGCCAATAAAAAGAAACACCTAAAGAAGAAAAGCACCAACAACTTTATGATTGTGTCTGCCACTGGCCAAACGTGGCACTTTGAAGCCACGACGTATGAGGAGCGGGATGCATGGGTCCAAGCCATCCAGAGCCAGATCCTGGCCAGCCTGCAGTCATGCGAGAGCAGTAAAAGCAAGTCCCAGCTGACCAGCCAGAGCGAGGCCATGGCCCTGCAGTCGATCCAAAACATGCGTGGGAACGCCCACTGTGTGGACTGTGAGACCCAGAATCCTAAGTGGGCCAGTTTGAACTTGGGAGTCCTCATGTGTATTGAATGCTCAGGTATCCACCGCAGTCTTGGCACCCGCCTTTCCCGTGTGCGATCTCTGGAGCTGGATGACTGGCCAGTTGAGCTCAGGAAGGTTATGTCATCTATTGGCAATGACCTAGCCAACAGCATCTGGGAAGGGAGCAGCCAGGGGCAGACAAAACCCTCAGAAAAGTCCACGAGGGAAGAGAAAGAACGGTGGATCCGTTCCAAATATGAGGAGAAGCTCTTTCTGGCCCCACTACCCTGCACTGAGCTGTCCCTGGGCCAGCAGCTGCTGCGGGCCACCGCTGATGAGGACCTGCAGACAGCCATCCTGCTGCTGGCACATGGCTCCCGTGAGGAGGTGAACGAGACCTGTGGGGAGGGAGACGGCTGCACGGCGCTCCATCTGGCCTGCCGCAAGGGGAATGTGGTCCTGGCGCAGCTCCTGATCTGGTACGGGGTGGACGTCATGGCCCGAGATGCCCACGGGAACACAGCGCTGACCTACGCCCGGCAGGCCTCCAGCCAGGAGTGCATCAACGTGCTTCTGCAGTACGGCTGCCCCGACGAGTGCGTGTAGTATCTGTTTTATTTGACTGCAGTCTCCTTGGTGCAAAAACAAAATGGGAAAAATAAGGATAACTCAGAATTTCAAAAGGAAATCACAAATTCAGCTAGTAATAGCATTTTCAGTACTTTTCGTAAACTAAGTAAATACACAAAATGTTGATTTTTCTGACCATAAGACATATTTTATGTCCTTTTGCCGAGGTGGATGTGTTAGTCTCAGGCCCTCCTGGCCACATTGCCCAAGTCACACAGGCTTCTGTATTATGTATTTAGATAAAATGTGTGAAAATATATTTGAAAAAAAGTTCATAAATATGCATTGATTTTTGTACACATGGCACCTCTTTTTCATTTTTATTTTTATTTTTTTTTTGGACGATGTTTTGCTCTGTTGCCCCAGCTGGAGTGCAGTGGCGTGATATCTGCTCACTGCAAGCTCTGCCTCCTGGATTCACACCATTCTCCTGCCTCAGCCTCTCAGGTAGCTGGGACTACAGGTGCCTGCCACCACACCTGGCTAATTTTTTGTATTTTTAGTAGAGACGTGGTTTCACCATGTTAGCCAGGATGGTCTCGAACTCCTGACCTCGTGATCCACCTGCCTCGGCCTCCCAAAGTGTTGGGATTACAGGCGTGAGCCACCGTGCCCAGCCCATGGCACCTCTCTTAATTTATAAATTGAACAGGATGTGAAGTAATGTCAGCTAGTTGAGATAAGAGAGTTACAGTTCGGCTGGGCGCAGTGGCTCACACCTGTAATCCTAGCACTTTGGGAGGCCTAGGCGGACTGATCACCAGGTCAGGAGATCGAGACCATCCTGGCTAACATCATGAAACCCCATCTCTACTAAAAAATACAAAAAATTAGCTGGGCATGGCCGGGTGTGGTGGCTCACACCTGTAATCCCAGCACTTTGGGAGGCCGAGGCAGGCGGATCACGAGGTCAGGAGATCAAGACCATCCTGGCTAACATGGTGAAACCCCATCTCTGCTAAAAATACAAAAAAAAAAAAAAAAAAAAAAATTAGCCAGGTGTGGTGGCGGGCACCTGTAGTCCCAGCTACTCAGGAGGCTGAGGCAGGAGAATGGCGTGAACCCAGGAGGCGGAGCTTGCAATGAGCTGAGATTGCACCACTGCACTCCAGCCTGGGTGACCAAGCGAGACTCCATCTCAAAAAAAAAAAATTAGCTGGGCGTGGTGGCGGGCACCTGTAGTCCCAGCTACTTGGGAGGCTGAGGCAGGAGAATGGCATGAACTCAGGAGGCAAAGCTTGCAGTGAGCAGAGATTGTGTCACTGCACTCCGGCCTGGGCAACAGAGCGAGACTCGGTCTCAAAAAAAAAAGAAAAAGAGGGTTACAGATCATTGCACGTGGAAAATATTCCCAGCAGTAAACACTTCCATTAATGTGATCTACAGCTTTTAAAAAGGAGCATCTCAGAATAAGATGGTGGTACAATTTGCTTATTGAGAAAGGAAAAAAAAAAAACACATGAGTATATTACAAAGGGAAAAGAAGGAATGTGATTTCTCATGATTGAAAGCTTGATTTAGATTGCATACAGCTTTTGCTACCCAAGACCAAGAGGCTCTGGCAAGACAGGGTGGTTTTCCGAATGCCAGACCGACGTGCCTTATGAAGGCAGCTGCCGATGGTTCCAGATGTAGAGAGATAGGTGATGCAGGAGGGAAAGCTGGATTGGAAAAGGGAGAGTTTTGTAGATGGGCTACGCTCATTGTGCCTTTGAAAGAGCAGAGCCGGCAGCCTGTAGTCATCATTTGGATATACAGGACTAGAGCATGAATCTGATGTAGAGCTACAGAATGAAGAGCAACAGCAGCTGTTTAAATACCGAGAAAGTGTGTAGAATGAAATTGGACAAGCCAAGCATGGTGGTTTCATGCCTTTAGTCCTAGCTACTTCGGAGGCTGAGGTGGGGGAATTACTTGAGCTCAGCAGTTTGAGTCCAGCTTGGGCCAGATGGTGAGACCCTGTATCTTAAGAAAAGAAAAAATAAGACCAGGTACAGTATCTCATGCCTGTAATCCCAGCACTTTGGGAGGCCAAGTTGAGAGGACAGAAATGAACCCCGGCTAGGTGCCAAGCACCTAGGCACACACCTCTTCTGCCACCCTCCTTGTGCCCTGTGTCCCCCCAGGGCCCTCAAGAGTGGGAGGAAGGGAAGGTTACAATGATTTCTCCCTCAAGAGTGGGAAGAAGGGACCTAGCACTCAGTGCTCAGTCTCCCAGGCTCTCTCCGGCTCCAAAGCTGGTGCAGCTCAGTGGGGCTCGGGGGACTGCGTGGCTTCAATACCCTCTTTTGGTCCGTCTCGGTGACACCATGGGGTCAAGCTTGACTGGGTAATCTGGAAGGGAGGGTCCCTCTGGATGGGACAGAAGCTCACAGCCATGTCTGCCAGCTGCCCCAGTGCCCACCTGGAGTGAGGAAATACCACTCAGGAGGGGAAACAGGCTCAAGGCAGGACGTGGGCACAGGTTGGTGGGTGAGGGGTGCCAGGGTGGGCATGGGGACAACAGAACATGCCAGAGGCCCTTGGTGACAGGGGACATGATGGATGATGATAAAATGGTTGGCTGATCCAAGGGGTCCCACAGGAGCTGGCGGGGGTGACTTGGGCCTGAGGGCTCTGGGCTGGAAGGATTTAAAGTGTACCCAGCTGATCCCAAAGGCATCCGGGGTTCGGAACCACTGATGTGGAGGGGCAGGAAGGGCTGGCCCAGGAGAGAGTCCTGGGGAACAGTTCCGGGAGGCAGAGGAGAGACCAGAAGGAATGGTGAGGGGCACTGGGGATCCCTGTAGCCAGGAGAGGAAGGAGAGTCAGACAGAATGTGGGTCATGGGCTGCAAGAGCTGGTGAGACAGGCCTGAGGAGGGGATGTGAGCACAGGCAGGGAAATGGCCACAGAGGGGCCACCCTCTCCCACAGCCTCACTGTGCCCCGTGGGCCTCAGCGGCTGTGTCTACTGCTCTTGGCAGCACTCCTTGGAGCGTGTCTCGGTCTCGGGGCTGGCATTTCTCTCTGGGCTCTGCCCGGGGCTCCCCACACTATGGCTCCTTTGAGGGAGCCCATCTCAGCTCACCTTCATAACTGGACTTTGGCCAGACCCTTCTGGAAGGGACCCACCCCCTCCCCCAAGACTCATTGTCCCCAGACACCCACACGTGGCTTGGTGTGGGCACGCCCCTATGTGCATGTGTGGGGAGCGGCTGAGCTTCTGAGAATGCCACCAGTGAGGGCACCTTTGTCCTGGCCCACAGGACAGGGCTCCCAGAAGGGTAGTGAGCCCGGGTGCCCAAAGGCCTGGAATGGGCCCTTCATCAGTCCCGGGGCACGGAGACAGCTTCCATCTTCCTCTCTGGAGGGCATCTCACAGCACCATGTGCAAGATGGCTCCCAGCTCTGGGGGCAGCTCTGGACAGTGGCTATGTGCCCCGGGCATGGCTGCCTCCCCTGGCCCAGCTGGTCCAGCTAGTCCCTACAAACCCCAGCCCACGCCTCCAGGAACAGCCTGGGGATGCTATGTGCTTAGAGCGAAGGGCACTGGACCAGAGGTCAGGACAATAAGTGCTTCGCATCACAGGACATTCTTGACTGTTACCTCCAAGGTTGCACTGGATGAGAAAACAAATCACTCCCCACCCAAGATGTGATTCCCTCAGGGCTCCAGGAGCCATGGGGGTTCTGGGAGTCCCATGGCAGCCTTCCTGAGATGAAGGGGCTGGTCCTGGACGTAGGATGTGTTTGCTGAATGGTGGGAAGGACACAGCCAGTTAGGAGGCGGCATGGGGAGGGTGGTGCTGGGGGAACATTCCTGGCAGGGACCCCAGGGTGGGCAAATCCTGGAGTGGCAAAAGTTAACCTCTGCCCAGGAGGATTCCTCCTCCTCTTGGCAGCCAACATCTCCTGGGGGCCCACGGGAGAGCAGGAACCTGCAAGCCCAAGAGACCTGGGGGATCGCAACTGTACTTCCCACAAGAGGTGTGTTTTGGGCAAATTGTCTCAACCCTGGAGGCTCCGTTTCTTATTCTCATACACCGAACCCATCCCTACTTCTCGGGAGTGATTAAGAGGTGTCTAGACATGGCCATTCCACTGAAGGGAGGATGCTGTCACTCTGCGTCCTTTGCTGAGCTCCTCATTGTGTCAATTGTGTACAAGCTGCACAATAAATGGAAGAGACACAATCTTTTTGATGTGATCAAGGTCTAGTAAAAACAGTGGAGAAACCCTGTGTCCTCTAAAAATACAAAATTAGCTGGGCGTGATGGCTCATGCCTGTAATCCCAGCTACTCAGGAGGCTGAGGCAGGAGAGTCACTTGAACCTGGGAGGTGGATGTTGCAGTGAGCCGGGATCGTGACATTGCACTCCAGCCTGGGCAACAAGAGCAAAACTCCGTCTCAAAAAAAAAGGATGATGAAAATGTCTGGGCATGGTGGCTCACACCTGTAATCCCAACACTTTGGGAACCCAGATGGGAAGATTGCTTGAGTCCAGGAGTTCAAAACCAGCTTGGGCAACATAGTGAGACCTGTCTCTCCAAATATACATACATATATATATATATTTATTTAATTATTTATTTATTTATTTTTGAGACAGGGTCTTGCTCTGTCACCCAGGCTAGAGTGCAGTGGCATGATCTCGACTCACTGCACCCTCCGCCTCCTGGGCTCAAGCGATTCTCCTGCCTCAGCCTCTCAAGTAACTGGGATTACAGGCACCTGCCACCACGCCCAGCTAATTTTTGTATTTTTAGTAGAGACGGTGTTTCACCATGTTGGCCAGGATGGTCTCAAACTCCTGACCCCAAGTGATCTGCCCGCCTTGGCCTTCCAAAGTGCTGAGATTATGGGCGTGAGCCACCATGCCAGGCCAAAAAAAAATTTTTTTTAAACTTAGCTGGGCTACTCAGGAGGCCGAGAGAGGAGGATCCCTTGAACCCAGGAGTTTCAGGCTGCAGTGACCTGTGATTAGGCCACTGCACTCCAGCCTGGGCAACAGAGCAAGACACTGTCTCACGAAAAAATATTTTAAAAAAGAATGATGAAAATGTAATATGTCATTTGGGAACATGTCCTAATAATGTAATAACATATATATGTAGAATAAGTTCATTTTTATAAAGCAAGCATATAATTGTATAAAAGTACAAAAAAATGGCCAGGCATGGTGGCTCATGCTTGTAATCCCAGCATTTTGGGAGGCCGAGGTGGGTGGATCACCAGAGGTCAGGAGTTCAAGACCAACTTGGTCTACTTAGTGAAACCTCGTCTCTACTAAAAATATAAAAAAATTAGCTGGGTGGGCATGGTGGCAGGTGCCTGTAATTCCGGCCACTTGGGAGGCTGAGGTGGGAGAGTTGCTTGAACCTAGGAGGCAGAGGATGCAGTGAGCTGAGATCGTAGCACTGGACTTTAGCCTGAGCGACAGAGTGAGACTCTGTCTCAAAAAAAAAAAAAAAAAAAAAAGAGTAGAATAAACCTGGTATCATATATGTAGCACGCATATTACCAGTGATCATCTTTGTGATTCTGTGGGAATATGGGAAATCCTCATTTTCTACATTACATATTTACATGATTCTTGAACTGAAGAGAAAACCAATACCGATATATTTTTAATTGTGGTTGTGGAGGGCAGTACTAGCTTATTCAAGATTATTCCTAGTAAAGGGCCACTCAAAATTTACTGATTTGAGACCTTTGTTATCATATGATAATTGAGAGCATTTGGGAACTTTTACAGCAAGTTGACATTGCCCAGACTTCCAGAAGTGTCATTAGTAGATGGTTCTTGTTGAACAGGGTATAGACCGCCTTGGGTTACTGAACTTGCATGGCTAGTTGCATGTAAACTAGTCACATGCAGTAAAACCATGTACTACACCAGGGGCAGTGGCTCAGACCTGTAATCCCAGCACTTTAGGAGGTCGAGGCGGGCAGATCATCTGAGGTCAGGAGTTCGAGACCACCCTGGCCAACATGGTGAAAACCCGTTTCTACTAAAAATACAAAAATTAGCCAGGTGTGGTGGCATATGCCTGTAATTCCAGCTACTTGGGAGGCTGAGGTGGGAGAATCGCTTGAACCTGGGAGGCAGAGGTTTCAGTGAGCCGAGATTGTGTCACTGCACTCCAGGCTGGGTGACAGAGAGAGCCTCCGTCTCAAACAAAACAAAACAAAACAAAAGAGGGATGCCAAATCAAACATAAAGTTACAGATATCTATCATAGGATAGCCGGCCACGGTGGCTCATGCCTGTAATCCCAGCACTTTGGGAGGCCGAGGCAGGCGGATCTTGGGGTCAGGAGATCAAGACCATCCTGCCCAACATGGTGAAACCCCGTCTCTACTAAAAATACAAAAATTAGCCAGGTGTGGTGGTGGGCGCCTGTAGTCCCAGCTACTCAGGAGACTAAGGCAGAAGAATCACTTGAACCCGGGAGGTGGAGGTTGCAGTGAGCCGAAACTGCGCCACTGCACTCCAGCCTGGGCAACAAGAGCGAAAACTCTGTCTCAGAAAAAAAAAAAAAAAGAAATCTGTCATAGGATTATATGAAGAGACTAATTTTATTTATGTAGGAAATACCTGTCTTTTGACTAGATCTCTGAGCTCTGGGCAGAGCCCACACTGAATCCTGAATCTCCCAAAAGGGAGAATTATTATGAGGCTAGACCATGTGATGCTTTTTCAGTGCACTTAAAATTTTTTTTTAAACGAAGACACTTCCAATGTGTAAACTACACTCTTCCTTAAAAACCAGAGGAGGCTTTGGTGCAACAACTCTTTTAGTCAATAAGTCAGGTAACACAATACAAAAGCAGGCAATTTAAGAGCTGAGATGAACTTATCTGCTTACACTCTTGGGGTTTCATAAGGAAAAACAGGTTTCTCCCCAAAAAGGAGTCTGGTGCCTTCTCTGCTTTCTTGAAGGAAAGCCAGGCTATTATAAACTATAATAGTTTAGGTCCCTCAAGCAGCAGAGGGTGCAAGAGAAAGGAGAGGCAGCAGAAGTAAATAAAACAAAACAAAACAAAACAAAAAACAGAACTCAGTCAACTGAGAAAAAAAAATCTTTAACTAAAAAAAAAAAAAAGAGAGACAAGGTCCTAGGAGAAAAAAAAAAATATGTGAAGGCCTTTTCAATACAAACACACACACATACACACACACACACACATGCACAAACACATACACACACACATCTTGGATGTTAGCTTTTAGTTAAGCTGACTTTTAATCATTGAGCTCCTTTAAAAAAATCTTTTAAAATCTCATTACCATAATTCAGCTAGAACAAATTGCTGCTATTTCAGAAGTACCAAGTATCAAACCGAAAATGGCTTGATTTAGGAAACACACCCAAGCTGTCGTGGTGGAAAAAAAGAAGCCAGAGCCCTTAGCTATGGAACTGCAGTATGGAGTGACAGCCATTGCTCTTTCAGTTTGGCCTGGCTAGCAAAAAGGTGGCCTTGTTATGTAAATAAAGCCCCTTAAGTAGTCAAAGTAAAAAATCTTCCCTGTTTTTTTTTTTCCCCTTTTTTGGCTGTTTTTCTCCCCCACCACAGTGTGGAAATTTAGCCACTTCAGAGGTCTTGTTCCCTATAATTTGGAAGTTTCCTTTGGATTTGATCAAGTCGGATAGAGTTGATCAATCCCAATGGCAAAAAGACTGAAACAACAACAAAAACAGAAACAAACAAACAACAACAACAAAAACAATTAAGCAAAACAAAGATGGCACAACTTATCCAACTACTGAGTGCTCTAATGGTAAAGAGAAATTACAACCAGCTGGTTGTTAATCTTAACTTTAGCCAAGACAACCCCCAGTTTAGTTACCCATCCTTAGGTAAGGGATGGGTCTCAGGCTGAAGACTGCTCTTTACCATCCTAGTGTAGCAGGACGAGCTGCAGACAAAACTCCTCAGACACCGAATTAAAGAAGGAAGGGGTTTATTTGGCCGGGGGCATCGGCAAGACTCCTGTCTCAAGAGCCGAGCTCCCCAAGTGAGCAATTCTTGTCCCTTTTAAGGGCTCACAACTCTAAGAGGTGCGTGTGAGAGGGTCATGATTGATTGAGCAAGCAGGGGGTATGTGACTGGGGGCTGCATGCACCAGTAATTAGATTGGAACAAAACAGGATAGGGATTTTCACAGTGCATTTCTATACAATGCCTGTAATCTATAGATAACATAACCAATTAGGTCAGGGGTCGATCTTTAACTACCAAGCCCAGGGTGCGGCGCCAGGCTGTCTGCCTGTGGATTTCATTTCTGCCTTTTAGTTTTTACTTCTTTCTTTGGAGGCAAAAATTGGGCATAAGACGATATGAGGGGTGGTCTCCTCCCTTACTAGAAGAAGGAAGAAACTCACATTTGTCTTCCCCGTTGGAAGCAAGCTCAAACTCCATAAAGGAGTTACCTGCATTTCATCGTCATCAAAGCAGGAAAAACTTGCCTTTCTTGCGTTGGAAGATAGTAAAACTCCAAAAAAAAGGAGTTGTACTGCAAAATAAACTTTAGATCTTGACCAAGTTTTGAAAGATCAGTGATTCTCTGGAGGGGGTGCTTCCAGGCCTGTCTCGGCAAATTGTTCTATTGGTTTGAGCCATAAAGATAGTTCAAGCTGGTACCGAGCACTGATAGGAGATTTCTCAAAGGTCAGGGGAGCCTCCACCCAGAATCCCTTCATGGTTGCCAAAATGTGAGCCTTGAATATCTGAGAAGGGTCTCAGTTAATTTAGGAAGTTTATTTTGCCAAGGTTGAGGAGGCACACCTGTGACACAGCCTCAGGAGGTCCTGATGACACGTGCCCAAGGTAGTCAGGGCACAGCTTGGTTTTATACATTTTAGGGAGACATGAGACATCAATCAATATATGGAAGATATACATTGGTTCTGCCAAGAAAGGTGGGACAGCACAAGCAGTGAGAAGGCTGCCAGGTCACAGGTAGGTGAAAGACAAGTGGCATTCTTCTGAGTTTCTGATTAGCCTTTCCAAAGGAGGCAATCCGATATGCATTTATCTCAGTGAATGGAGGGATGACTTTGAATAGAATTGGAGGCAGGTTTGCCCTAACCCTTTTCCAGCTTGACTTTTCCCTTTAGCTTAGTGATTTTGGGGCCCCAAGATTTATTTTCCATTCACTGTGTGTGTGTGTGTGTGTGTGTGTGTGTGTGTGTATGTGTGTACATATATACACACACACAAATAAATAAAATGAAAAATCTCATTAAGAACAGCAAGCAGTATGGTATTTTTAACTTGCCCTATTCTATTCTCATCCTCTCCTCGCTGGCTCCACTGCAGCCTTGAAAATTAACAGCCCATAATTACAGTGAAGACCAATAGCCTGGCAGCCACTGGAAAGACAGAATGGGGCTGGATTTCCTTCAAAGCCTCATTCCCAGAGAACTGTCATTTGACTTGGCTGGTGGTTTTCAGAAACATCCCACTGCCAGGATGTCTTTTTCTGTCCTAAGAGCTCACTTAACGAAAAAGCCTTTTCCTTAATGGCATTTGTCAAAAACATTTAAAGGCCGTTATTCAAGTTGGTGCCTGTATGAGGTTGTAGATAACATTTTGGGCAGACAATAGGCTAACTAAAAAGCTTTAAAAGTAAAACAGGAGAATGAGATGTCCATAAGGGCTTTGAAAATTCCAACAGAATGATTCCTAGAAATCTATGAGGCTACTCCCAAGTGTAGGCCTGCGTACATGTTCAGTAAAGACCTGGGAAGGCTCAAAGCTCTCACCTCTGACTGGCCTTGAGGCTCTGGGCAAGCAGGAAGTGAAGGCTAAGGCAGAGATGTAAACTGCCTGGCTGAGTGTTGAAGAGTAGTCCCAGACTACAAAATTATTTCAGAAAGCTCATTAGACACTGAACAACAATAACAGCAGCAACAACAGCAACAACAAATAGGGGGTATAGAATCTGATTTCCAGAGTTGTCACATTAGATCGGGGTCCCCAACCCTGTGGGCCATGGACTAGGTCCATGGCCTGGTGAGGAACTGGGCCACACAGCAGTAGGAGCAGTGAGTAAGCAGAATTTACAGCTATTCCCCATCACTTGCATTACTGCCTGAGCTTTGCCTGCTGTCAGATCAATAGTGGTATTAGATTCTCATAGGAGCACCAATCTTAATGTGAACTGAACATGTGAAGGGTCTAGGCTGCACGCTCCTCATGAGAATCTGATGTCTGATGATCTAATGCAATCCCCCTGCAGTGTGTGCATCTGTCACTGTCTCCCATCATTCCCAGATGGGACCTCTAGTTGCAGAAAAACAAGCTCAGGGTTCCCACTGATTCTACATTATGGTGAGGTGTATAATTATTATATATTACAATGTAATAATAATAGAAATAAAGTGCACAATAAATGTAATGTGCCTGTGCCAGGCATGGTTGCTCACACTTGTAATCCCAGCACTTTGGAAGACCAAGGCAGGTGGATCACCTGAGGTCAGGAGTTTGAGACCAGCCTAGCCAACGTGGTGAAACCCCATCTCTACTGAAAATACAAAACGTAGCCAGGTGTGGTGGCAGGTGCCTGTAATCCCAGTTACTTGGGAGGCTGAGGCAGGAGAATTGCTTGAACCTGGGAGGCGGAGATTGCAGTGAGCCTAGATTGCGCCACTGCACTCCAGCCTGGGTGACAAGAGTGAGATTTCATCTCAAAAATAATAATAATATAAATAAATAAATAAATGTAGTGTGCTTGAATCATCCCAAAACCATCTTCCCTACACCACGGTCCATGAAAAAACTGTCTTCCATGAAACTGGTCCCTAGTGCCAACAAGGTTATGATGAACTAATTTACACTCCTACCAACATAGACCAGGTGTTCCAATATTGGAGGATAAGAGAAGATGGATGTCCCAGCTCAAGAAGACAGATTAAATTCACCCTTCCTCTGCCTTTTTGTTTTATTTGGGCTCTGAAGAGATTGAAGGATGCCCATAGATATTGGTGAGGATGATCCTCTTCACTCAGTCTACCTATTCAAATGCTAATTTCTCTGGAAACACAGACATACTCAGAAATAATGTTTTATCAGCCATGTGGGCAACCCTTAGCCCAGTAAAACTGACACATGAAATTAATCATCACAGGGAGGTCTGGGACAATTCACGTCTTTGTTAATTTAAATAGACACATGAAGAAATTATTTTTTCTCTTTTCTTCTTCTTTCTCTTTCTTTTTCTTTCTTTGTCTTTCTCTTTCTCTTTCTTTTTATTTTTAACTAAAGGACATTTTGTAAGCACATGAAACCAGAGAATTGCAGTAGCCATATGACTACTATGAGGTGAGAAAAAGGAAAGTTTTTGCATCCTGCAGATCTGCCCCATCTATGGTCTTTGTGTTAACTGAGACGACAAATACGTTACTACCTAAGCTTCCTTTAGTAACGTCTCCCACTACCTTTATGTTAAAACATTTTAAAAGATAAAATTAAAAGTACAAAATTTTGTTCTTTTAGAGTGGAATAAAGTGGGCTTTCATAAGCTCAGATGTGAATTTTACAATGATTCTGGTCAAATTTTTCAGATAATTTTAGAAAATTGTCTAAAAATACTCTAAATCTAGTGTTAATTATTAGACATTATTTTTTCAAATGTTATTAATATTATAGTGTTAGATGAAGAAAGTGTATAATCACTAGGGATGAGTTTAATTTTCTTAAGAAAGACAGATATTGGGATCCTCTAATAATACATTAAATGCCCACTAAAGTCAGAGGTATGTATTTGATAATGTACCTTACTATATTCTTGTGGACAAGAAGGAGCAATATGGATTACGTAATGGAATAATTTGGTAAATTATTTAATGGTTAATAGTTACATATTACTAACAAGTAAAATGGTTTTAACCGGAAAAATTCATTTTTGTTTATATTCTGGTAACATTTTCATCAGTGTTTTAGACATGTTCATCTGTCAAACACATGAAAATTGAAACAACTCTAAGGATTAGCTAATAGGTTGAATGATAAAATAAAAACCTATATAGATGTCTGTGTATTATAATTATGAAACAGCTTTTAGTCAATAAAACTAAATAGGAAAGATCCTTAAATATTACATATTCAACAATAAACCACACACATGTAATGACAATGCTAGGATGAGAGACATATGTTTTAAAAAGCAAGATTTTACTACAACAAGCAGTGTTTAGCTAGCCAGGCTGTAAACCAAGGGTTGGCAAAGTATGGCCTGCAAGCCATATCCAGCCAATAGACTGGTTTTGTAAATAAAGTTTTATTGCAGCATGGACACACTCATTCATTTGTGTATCGTCTATAAATGCTTTCTCACTGCAACAGCAGAGTTGAATAGTTGTATAGAGATTATATGGCCCACAAAACCTAAGATCTTAGCCTCTTTCCCTTTACAGTAAAGGTTTATTAATCCTGCCTAAAAACAATTTAGCGGAATAATTTGGCTACAAGGAAAATAATGATTTTCTCTTATAAGTTTAATGTCTGGACAAGGTTAATGAGAGCTATGTTTTTCTCCGGGTAGAGTATCCTGGACGTGCAGTTTTTTTTGAAAAAAAATGCATCACATTTTTGAGAGTCTGTCACTTGAAGGCATGGTTTAGTCTAATCTTGGTTTATCTCAAATGTAAGTTCAGAAATTGTGGATGTTACAGCAAGACATAATTTGACTCTGAATCAGCAAGTACTTTCAAATATTCAGAACTATCTGGAAGTGAAAACAGCTTCCTCTGTAGACAGACAACAAGTTTCTTATCCCAGAACCCTGTTCATAGACCATCTGTGAAAGTTATAATCAGGAGATTCACAAATGTGATAATGATGACACAGTCACATTGACAATGAGGCTTTTAGTCATACAGATTAAATATGTACTCTATTGTGCAAACCTCCTAATAATTGAGAATAAACTTAATCTTGGGCTACAAGTAGGTACAAAGTATTCCCAGTTAGATTTTACATGTATACATTTTGAAACTATTACTTTTTTAAAAATAAAGCAATGACTTTTTTAAATTATTTATTTGTTTATTTATTATTTATTTATTTATTTTTAAGGAGTCTCACTCTGTCACCCAGGTTGGAGTGCAGTGGCGTGATCTCGGCTCACTGCAACCTCTGCCTCCGTGGTTCAAGCAATTCTCCTGCCTCAGCCTCCCGGGTAGCTGGGACCACAGGCATGTGCCATCATGCCCGGCTAATTTTTGTGTTTTTAGTAGAGACAGGGTTTCACCATGTTGGCCAGGCAAGTCTCAAACTCCTGACCTCAGGTGATCTACATGCCTCAGCCTCCCAAAGAGCTGGGATTACAGGCGTGAGCCACTGCACCCAGCCAATTTTCTCATTTTTGATACACTAATTCTAAAGTAAACTTTCCCCTTCATTACTTGAAGATTTATTTCAGGTGTTTTTCAATTCCTCCTAATTTCAGCTCCTCAATTCAAATTTGGCTCACATTAATGATGGTTATCTGTTCTTGGCACATAGAAAATACAAATATAGGACTTTTACTGAATTCCATTTTTTTAAAAAGTTCTAAGGAAAAAGCTGTTACATCCACATATATGTGTAAAATGAAACGTGGACCTAAGAACTACTGTGGATAAATAGCTTGACTTTTAATACAAGAGAGTATATTGAATTTAAAGCTAAGAATCTGGGAATTCTTGAGTACTGCCTGCTAGGAACACTATTATGTCAAAAATAACCAAAAGGGTTATTTGACATGATTTGCTGATCACTAAGCCCACTGAGGGAAGCCCTCCAAGGTTTATGTGAGAAGTAGCCAGTTTTTTACTGGTGTAGAAGAAATGCTTTTTATTGCTCCAAGGATGGCACTGAGCCCCACAAAGCAACCACCTGGGAATATCAGGTAAATAGCATGAATCTGTGGTTATAAAACAAGCACACTGTTTTAAAAACATATTTAAAGTAATTTGTGAGTTGGATGTTTCCTGATAGGTATACTTTTTAGTTTAGGCATTTAAAAAAAAGTCTGCAGCGTACCTTTATTTTCACTTTTACTTTGGTGTTTTGATGTCTATAGAAATGAGCGGTTTCTCTACTTCTTTCCCAGAAATTTATCTCCAATGCTGACATGAGCACAAAGACCTTATGTACTGTGCTGGGAAATATCTTGTGTCTTAAGAATAAAAATTTTCATTAGAGTTAGTCCATGCATCACAGATATTATCCTTCCTGATGAGGAACACTGAGGCACAGACACTGTGTTGGGCTACAGTTCTCAATGGAAAAATTAAGCTTTTCAAAATGTTAGTCACTGCCATGCTAGATGTTTAAGTCATTTTTACAACCTGTTTTGATAGATTCTAAGAATCAGTCTTACATTGTATTTTTCTATGGCTTACTGTTAAAATCTTATTCATAAAAATAACTATCATGCATGGAAATAGTATATACCAACATCATAAACCAGAAAGTAATTTATATTTAACCCTCATAACAGTACTTCAAAGTAGAAATTATCTCATATTGTAGAGGAAACACAGGCTCAGATAGGATATAAATTGCCCATATCACAAAATTAGTAAGTGATGGAGCTAGAATACAAACAAGATCTGCCTATTTACACAAATCAATAATTTTTCCTCTATAGCATGTTGTCATTACATGCCTTTGGTTTTTAAGTGAAATGCACTCAACTTCACATTTTAAAATATGCCACAAATGTACCCACAAAGTAAGTGAACATGACTATTGAGTGGGATCACAATTATTAAAAAGTTTGCCTTGGGACCTTTGAAACAAAGACAATATACTGACCCTCAGGGAACTGAGTTACATGCCCAAAGGGGACATGTGCCATCTACCTGGGCTCAATGGGGGTTTCCCAGTGGATTCTTTGTAAATAGGTGTTGCACATATTTCTGGTTTTTTTTTAAGCTTTCCTTTATAATTTCCAGACCTAGTTCTGATGGTGATGAACTTCTTTCAAAACCTAACCCTAGATATGGGGTCAGCTTTAGGCAAAATTGAGAGTTGCTAGCTAACAAAAGTAGCTAATATTTTAATGAAATGTCTTATTATTAAGCTAAATGCCAAACACTATTCATTACATGTATTAATCAGTTATCACAATTTTATGAAGTAGATATGACCATCATTTTTATTTATCAGTTGAAGAAACTAAGACTCAGAAAAGTTAAATACCTTACCCAAAGTCATGTTGCTTGTGGAGAAGTTGCAATTCATCTTGGTTATCTTGACCTAGAGTCTGCGTGCTGGATGACTATTTTAGACTGTTACGTGTGCATGCAGAGCTCAGTGTTTGTCTGGTCCCACTCCCTCCTACCCTTCTGTCCCCTAGTGACTTCATCCTGTTCCCTACTTCTCAAGACTACTCCTCTTCTTGGACACTTTTTCATATTCCAGAACTAACCATTCTGTTTCATTTTTTTCTGCTCATCATGCAAAGTTAGCAGGGCAGCTGAAATAAAGGAATTCATACTAAAAAATGGCATGCTCAGTTTGTAAAATTTTCCAGAGTTAAATAGGTAGAGTGAAATGCGCAATTTCTTCTTTGAAGAAAACAATGTTGAATTTTACTTAAATGAATGATAAATATAATTTTGACATGTATTTGTGATCTGTATGAGTAATATCATATCCTATCCTGCTTCACATTCTCACACTCTTATACCATTAATGATCTCTACATCTATCCCCAATCAGCTACCACCTCTCTTCCTCAGCTGTGTTATGTCAGGTCTGAAAATTAAATTTTAAAAGTAGTTCCTAAGTTTTCAACATTCTTAAAGTTTTTTTCCTGGAAGGACATGATGAGTAACCTGATTGTCAGCAAATGCCTTAGGTATTAAGGAGAACAATCATAATGGCAATAGCTAATATTTTTTGGCAGAGCCAAGTTTCAGTATCTCTTTGCAACTCTGTGACATCATGATCATATTAATTCTTATTACAAACCTATGAAGTGGCTATCCACTTTATTTTAATTTTATAAGGGAAAAAACAAGTCCTTAGAGAGTCTAAGTAACTTGGCTCTGGATTTGAACTTCAATCTAGCTATCTCTATAACTTGACCTTTAAACATTATACCACCTTATATGTCAAACTTACCTTGAAAACCAACTAAATAAAACAATAAGAACAACCTATAATAAAAAGCCTTCTCAGCTGGGTGCAGTGGCTTACACCTGTAATCCCAGAATTTTGGGATGATGAGGGAGGAGGATGGTGTGAACCCAGGAGATTGAGACCAACCTAGGCAACACAGTGAAACCCTGTCTCTACAAAAAAAAAAAAAAATACAAAAATTATATAGGTGGACATGGTGGTGCTCACTTGTAGTCCCAGCTACTCGGGAGGCTGAGGTCGAAGGATTCCTTGAGCCCAGGAGGCAGAGGCTGCAGTGAGTCGAGATAATGCCACTGCAATCCAGCCTCAGTAACAGAGAGAAGCCATTTCTGAAAAAAAAAGAAAAAGGACTTATCATTATCTAATTCAATATATTCTATAATAATCAAAAAATACCATTGAATGAATGGGGAAGAAAATTAGATCAACTGCTGTGAAGACACTTGTTTACTTCTGATCAAGAAATAGCAGCAGATTATACCTCTGTGGTATTAGTAAAACATATCTTTGCGCCAGGCGCGGTGGCTCACGCCTGTAATCCCAGCACTTTGGGAGGCCGAGGCGGGCGGATCACAAGGTCAGGAGATTGAAACCATCCTGGCTAACACGGTGAAACCCCGTCTCTACCAAAAATACAAAAAATTAGCCGGGCATGGCGGCGTGCGCCTGTAGTCCCAGCTACTTGGGAGGCTGAGGCAGGAGAATGGCGTGAGCCCAGGAGGGGGAGCTTGCAGTGAGCAGAGATTGCACCACTGCGCTCCAGCCTGGGTGACATCTCAAAAAAAAAAATTAAATTAAAAAAAAATATGTATCTTTGCTTTGGTTCCAAATATATTTTTTAAATGTTTGATACATGGGGACACATCACAGTGTATATTATCAAATTACTTTGAGTTATAAATAGAAGAGGAAAATCAAAATAGGAAAATTACAATAGCCTTAAATCTCTCAGTTGATGTTAAAAGTACTAAATTCTGGCAGCTAGGGTAAAATTAATATAATAAAAGAATAGATACAGCACTCACTTTTTCTATACCCCCAAGTATTTTAATTATTTCTATATTTGGAAATGAATTCATAATCTATTAGTCACATTATTTGAAATTTCAAATTATAATTTTATTTATTTCAGATAAAAGCCTCATCCTTTAAAAACATACCTTTGGGTGAATAAACAAAGCAAACTTTCTATGACTTTCATATAAACTACTTTATCATCCTATATTGCTCCATTGAGTTAGTGAGGTCAGGGTTTTGATAGAATGAGAATATTCATACAGTGAATTGCAGACATATTTGCAGGTTTTTAAAAATGATGTTGGCTTTGTCTAGGGCTGAGGGTGATGTTGCAGGGCAAGTGTAAAGGACAGAGTCACATAGAGACTCCTGAGAACTAGAAAGCAACCAGTGAGTCCCAGCATCTTAAGGGCAAGGAAGTGTCAACGTAGTTCCATATAAATTTAGTAAAACATAAGGCAAGCACTCAATTGTTTTCCAACACAATATGCTAATTGGAGTGGCAGAATTGTATGGTAGAAAGAACATACAAATGACAAATATATTCACAACACTGTGCCAAGTGCAATGAGAGGTACAGTGACATAAAGACATGCATTTTCAGACCTTATAGTCGGTTTGAGGATTTAATATATTAATCATGTACAGAGATCTAAAATTTCCTTGAGTACGTATTATGCATGCCGAATGGTAGGAAAT
Organism: Homo sapiens; assembly: GCF_000001405.40. Taxonomy (NCBI): domain Eukaryota; kingdom Metazoa; phylum Chordata; class Mammalia; order Primates; family Hominidae; genus Homo; species Homo sapiens. The sequence continues at coordinate 46,855,810 of NC_000010.11, forward strand.
GTGTGTTAAGTTTTTTTTTTTTCTGGATTCTCTCAAATAAAACTGACCTCATAGCTCTGAGTTAAGTAATTTTATATTTACCACATAAGAAAATTGGAGTACAAATGAGGAAATCGAGGTACAGACAGATTAAGCAACTCGTCTAAGACTATACAGCTGCTACACAGAGCATCTGGGATTCAAACCTAGGAATGAGTGAAGAATTTTATTACTAATCACATAAGTAAATACATACGTCTAAGCTAGTCATATATTCTTTGTTGGTTCTATGACCCAATATTGCAGAAAATAATTATAGAATTAGATTTTCTATTTGAGTACAAAATTTACTTCACAAAATTATAATTCTGTTGCTTAAATATTGAATGTATAGTATGAATTATTATCTAATAGTAGTATCTATTTTAATGTCACATATTGGTAAATATTGCCTTAATAATGATTATGAGTCAGGAACTGTTCTTAGTACATGTTATATCAATGAATCTTTTCAAATAGTTAATGTGGTAAGTGTAGACCAAATCAACCAATAATTAGCTAAGCCTCAGAGGATTTGAGTACTGTATCTATATTTACATGGCCAGTGAGTAGAGAGGTTGTCTTAATTCCAGTGATGTGACAGCAGTGATCTCATTTGTGTGTATGATTCCAGAATCACTGTGAGAGAATGTGAACCCATATTTAGACAATGTATAGTTCCCAGCAACAACTAGAGTCTTATCTTGCTCTGGGAGTGCAGAAAATACATTATGATAACTTGGTAATATTGTAATGTGAAAAGCGTAAAGAGAATAACTCACAAGAAAAACATTAAGAAGTTTTCTGAAGCACACTTCTGTTGTGGCTTCCAGATTAATGTGCTTTCAAATTCTAAGCAGTGTTTTCCACAGACAGATTTTCTGTGTAAGCAGAAATTGGCTTAATTTAAGGAGATACAAAGGATGGTACAGTATTTTGTGTTTACTACAGATGTTGGCTGCCATTTGTTAGTGCAGTAAAATTTTGTAAAGCTGCTCCTCATGAGATTCTTTGAAATTCATTTATAACAACGAGACTGGATACTTAACATCTGCTGCAAATGTTTTCTAGGAGACTTAGTTACTCCTGTTCCCTACTTTCTGTAGTTTATTTCCATTCTATGATTGTTTATCTTTTGAAATAATTTCAACAATTGACTCTGTTTAATTTGTCTGGTTCTGAGAAAACATTAGCTAGATGACAAATTTAACAGTTTAATCCAACAGGCCTTGAGTGGTATATATCGGCATGTGTTACCAAAGGAGTCAAGAAATTAACTCCAGCTCTTAAACATTGAAAAAAGAAAAAGAAGGTAGGGGAGGGAATCTTGATAGCCACTTTGGTAATGACGCAAAGTGAGAGAAAATACCATCCTGGAGCTCAACGGTGAGCACACTTAATGGCAAAAGAAGTGAGAACTGACCATCTGCTCATCCACATGGTGAGATATGGACAAATACCTCTTCTTGAGAATGAATGAGTGGCTATATGAATGAATAGGTGAATGAGCAAATGAAGGCCTATCTGTGAATAACCAAACTGGAAACCCACAGTCAGTTTACAAGCCTCTTGAGGATATGATCATAACTTGAATATCTCACTGAGAGCTAACCCTTTATATGAACTTAGCTCATTTACTTTTGCATTTGTTGTTGAAGGTCCTTCATACCCTGCTCAAAGGCTGAATTCTTAAAAATATACTACCACCATTAAAAAAGAACAAAAGAAAATTTTTGGAGGTGAATAAGTATGTTCAGTACCTTGGTTGTGATGATGGTATTGGTGTATGCACACATGTCCAAACTCATCCAAGTGAATATATTAAAGGTGTACAATTTTTTATATCAATTATGCCTCAGTAAAACTTCTAAAAAATGATTTAAATCTAAACAGCAACAGCAACAAAACACTTAGGAAACAATAGAAATTTCTGTCCCTGTTCTAAATGTTAACTTTAAAGGTTTGATTAGGAATTTATTTTTTAGTGCAGAAACATGCTTTTCTTTTTCAAAACACAAACATTATAATACAGAGCTAGTTAAAATCTACACATTTCCCTTATAAAGGCAGAGGCCCTCATGCAACCATCATCTTTAGAAATAGAAGTCCCTGTAAAACCACAATGTGTAGCTTTTTGACTGTTTATGCATTAACAGCATTTTTTGTTTTTAGCCTTGGAAATACATCAGAAATAGATCTCCTGACTGTGTTTGCATGGGTCCCTTAGAAATGACTTAAATATAAGCAAACCATATTACTTAAACAATGTTAAGCTACGCTATAGCACTGTATTACTGCTTTGAGAAATTCATGTAGTTCAACTGAGTATTGTAGCAGTAATTCATGTTCATACAAAAATCAATCAAAGGTTTTGACAAGATTGAGGCACGTAAGGAAATGAAGGTCAGGCATTGTATTGCAAGTTCCTTATTCTAAATTGTAGTTCTTACAAATAGGCTTCTGAGGTCCCATAGCTTTAGCAGGCCTCTTACATATGCCTTCATTGTCTGTTCTTTCCATGACATTTAGACATTTATTTCTTTCTCCCTCCCATTGTGTCCAAGTCCCTCACACTGTTGAACTTGTGCCTCTCTCGCCTCTTCCTTCTGTCTCTCTTTTTAATACCTTGATGCAGCAGCAATGGATGGTGGGATGCATTTTATTCAGCTCTCAAGGCAGTCAGAGTTCCACTTGAGTTTCTGTAGCATCTGTTATAACAAGGTTAAAATTACAGAAAGTACACGATTTTATTCCCTTTAGCTGAAGGACAACAAAGGTGGATTTTCATGTTTCCTTGTAAAGTGCTGCTTCCGAGAAAGCACATTTTGGTATCCACTAATCCCAAGTAAAGTGACTTGGTTTCTAATGTTGGTTTTGCCATTAGCCTTTGTTAGGTTATTTATTTTCTTTAAGCCCATCAACCCTTCAGTTAGTCTCCATTCTGCCTATTTGTTGTTGAAATTTAAAAGGCCTCCTAGTAGCTCCAATAGTTATAGTATAATAGAAACAAGCAAATACTCTTTTAAAAAAATTATATAAGGGTAAAAACACTTGGATTCAAAAGTGAGTTTGGACAATATCTACCAAGTGGTAATCAGATAGACTTTTAAACTAAAAATACACCACAAGACTATTGCACACTCCTACTAAGGTCCCAAGGATTATTGAAAAGTAGAAAGAAAAAAAATAGTGGGAACTTCTTTTAGTTAAAATGTACATCTTATCAGGATTACCATAATAATAGTAATTGTGAGCTTTAGTTTGAATTTCTTTTCTGGAAATATGAAGTCTTAGGGAATTGTGATATAAATCCCAAGGCTAAAATAGGTGTCCAGTGATCATTCTGATTTTTATTTGATAATAGTCTTCCTCAATAGACTATTATAAAATGGAAGGAGCAAGTTGGAAAACTTAAGAAAACTCCGCAGAGCAGGCATTTCTAATTAGGAAGCTATAGGAGAAAAGGCTTATGACTATCCAAAGCACTTAGGCATCTGATGTATTATATGGAATGTCTTTCTCTTTTCCCTCAGTTATCAAAGAGAGAACAAGTTTAATGGTATTAAAACAAGAAAAAATGGTCTTAGTTGGATTAAATAGGCCTTCAAAGGGCTCTTTGACAGATACACTCATGAAATTATGACACAACTCTGCAAACTTAATCTATGTGAAATAGAAAACACGTAGAAGACACAAAATTCTAAGGGAAACTCAAGGATTTTCTAACATTGCTTTACGTAACTGCTTCTTTTTTCCAAACTTTACCTTCTCTAACGACAAGCCATGATATAACAGTGTCAAAGGCTAGACAGTCCAATGGCAAGAATGCTGACAAAGGTAGTTGTATAAGAAAGAATGAGTCATATTTTGAATGACAAAATGGTTAACACCTTCTTTCTTGCTTTTTTATATTGGCAATTTTTTGTATGTTTTAGAGGAATTGCGGATTAGAAGGTTATTTATGAGAGAAAGACTTGTAAGAGTATAGGTAAATTTAACTTAATTCATTAAATAGTTATTGAATCTGCAAAACATTGTGGAGGATATAGAAAATTGTTACAGTATGAATCTTATCCTCAAGGAGCATAATCTTCACCCAATATGAAGTTTAAGAGACTACCAAAAAACAGTCTTCTTGTTAGAACAGGTTTTTTATAATGGATTTTGCTCCTAAATCCAACGTAATAATGGCAGATTTAGAAACTGAGATAAAAATGTGAAATAAGACTTAGAACTTATTTGATACAAAACTTTACTGGGCAAATCTATTGACAGCAGATATTATGCAGAATTTAAATTCCCCTACCTCAGCTGGAAAGTAGTTAAGGTCTCATTATTATCTTATGCTCATGCAATCCAGTGCGTTTTCAGTTAACCCTTGAACAACACAGTGGTTAGGGTGCTGACCTCTATGAAGTCAAAAATCACTGTATCACTTTTGACTTTAACTGCTGGTAATATAATAATAGCCTACTGTTGATCAGAAGCCTTTCCAATAACATATACAATTAACATATGTCATGCATGTTATATGTATTATACACTGCATTCTCACAATAAAGAAAGTGAGAGAAAATGTTATTAAGAGAATTACAAGATCTTCACTATTCACTGAGTGGAAACGGATCATCATAAAGGTCTTCATCCTCATCATCTTCATGTTGAGTAGGCTGAGGCACAAGAAGAGGAGGGATTGATCTTGCTGTCTCAGGGATGGCAGAGGCAGAAGAAAATCCTTGTATCTGTGAACCCATGCAGTTCAAACCTATATGGTTCAAAGGTAAACCGTATATGGAAATTATAGAGGGGGAACACAATTAAATTAACTAACTTAATATTTAAGTAAATAATTTAGAGACACAAAACCAAGAAGAGGGTAATACACAAATCTACACAAATGAAGAATTGTTTGGAGTGTGGGGTGTGTGTGTGTGTGTGTGTATGTGTGTGTGTGTGTGTGACAGAGGGAGAAAGAAAGAGATTACATGAAAATGGAAATGTGGATCTTTTCATAGTAATACAGAGGTTAAAATGTCCAAAAATAAATTTGCTAACTTCTGAGTAAACTGAAATGCACATATGAAAGCTTTGTAATTCATCCATGAACTTATAAGCACACATATACATACACTCCCCTCCACACACCACACACACATTTATGCACTTGTAGAGACACAGATAAATAGGCAGATAGATACAGACCGGTTACTGTAGACTGCTCTCTGGCTCCAAGTAATGCACACACCTCACTAATTGTATCCTAAGTCTACCAAAGCTTCATCTCATCACAGCATTAGTTTGAAGTCTAGAATCTTGTCATTTAAATCAGGTCTAGCTGCAAATACAACTCCTTGAGTACAGTTTGTCTTGATTTGAAGACCTTTGAAACTAAAGAAACAACTTACCTATCTTTCACACATCTATCATAAAATGATGAGACAGGCATAGAATAATCATCATAGGCACTCGGACTTAATAGAGGAAAAAGGGAGACATACAGAAGTCAGCAGTCAATGAGAGTTCTGAAATCTAGCTGGGAAAATGTTAATTTTTTCTTTTTTTTTGAGGGGAATTTAATCCTATTCCTACCAATCAATGGCTATTTCTTGATTCCACCGTCTGGTCTCAGTCCTATCCTTTGAAATAGCCTACTTTTTCATAAAAGTTAGAACATATTTAACTCTGAGTAGTTTACTCAGCCTGCTATCTGCTTAAAGAAACTTGGGTGGCCCACTTTAAAATGAATCTGGCTTATTCAGTTTAAATTATCAATATTTTTACATATGTAATTTACCTTCAAATTTTTGTAGGTTTACTATGAATCTTACTAAGATTCACTCATACACAAAGGGTAACTCAGTAATACTTTCAGAAACATGCCCTTCTCTTTCTTGAACTTTTGTTGAGGAGGCTGCAGAGCAATGCTGTGAGCTTCCTGCAGGTTCCATTGTTCGATTGAGTTATCTGTATATCATATACTTTATATTTTAGAGGACCGTATGTCTAACTAAATGGCATTCCAAAGCACAACCTTTGATCTTCCTGCAACATATGGAAAATTTTACAGTTATCTTTTTGGCTACAATTTTGGACCATACTTTCCTGGCAGTGCCCTGGATTCTATCTTTGCTTGAAAGCTATTTATTCATTTCAGCATCATTTGCCATCTGGTGAGTCTCAGAATTTTCAAAGCCATTATATCCATTATTTTTAAGTTAATATAATTTATTTATTTATAAAAACAAAGGGAACATATATGCAAAAATAGAACCTTTTGAACTCTACAGAATGTTTTAATCAAAACTAGGTTAACAAGTAATTGTTGAGCATCACTTTTATGTTATGCAATCTATTCTGTGATGTAAAAAGAGATACAAAGTACTTACTCCCATAGTGATTGCATTATATTTGATGTAGACAATAAGTAAATTTGTATTTTTTGGATTTTAGCAAGTACATTCAATAAACAAATCGGGGGCAATAAGAGTACTGACTGGTAGTCTCTGTTTCAGCTAAGATAGTCAGGGAATGAACATGATGATTGTATTAGTCAAGGTTATCTAGAGGAACAGAAAAAAATGTGTATTTATACACATCCATGTATATTCAAAGTAGGCAGCCCTCATCCACTCAAGGACTTTGCTTCCTCTTCTAGGGAAGGGGTTAGTGCATTTTTGGTTGCCACAGGATAGTTGTATCACATCAGGCAGAATTATGACCTTGCTATTTTCTTTAATTGACAATTAAGTATGGTTTTAGGAGACACATGGCTGCCAGGTTGACAGGGGATGAACTTATAATAGCTAATTTTATGTGTTGATTTGACTAGGCTATGGGTACCCAGATATGCTGACAAATGATATTAAGTGTATCTGCAAGGATGTTCTAGATAAGATTAATATTTAAATTCATGGAGTGAGGAAAGCAGATTGTTCTCTCTAGTGTAGGTAGCCCTTTCCAATCAATTGAAGAGGTGAATAGCACAAATAAAGTTGATTAAGAGAGGATTCCTTTTCAATGTTTCAAATAGAAACATTGTCTTTTTTGGGTATTGAGCCTGCCAGCTTTTGGACTGAATCTTACTCTACCAGCTCTCCTGGTTCTCATGCCTTTGGACTCAAACTGGAACTACATTTAATCTCTCCTGTGTCTCCAGCTTGCCAACTACAGATATTGAGACTTCTCAGCCTCTATAAGGATGGTGTGAGCCAATTTCTTATCCTTTCTTGCTCATCGTATGTTTCTCTAGATAACATTGAGTAATAGAGTCATCATGTCCATTCCATGACTATCTTAGCTGTGTATACTGCTCTCAATATTGAGAGAGAGAGAGAGAGGGAGAGAGAGAGAAAGAGAGATTACAAGAAATTGGCTCACATATTATGGAGGCTGATAAGTTTCAATATCTGCAATTGGTAAGCTGGAGACACAGAAAAGCTGAAATTTAGTTCTAGTTTGAGTCCAAAGGCATGAGAACCAGACCTGATAGTGTAAGCTTCAGTCCAAAGGCTGGCAAGCTCAATACCCGAGAAAATCCATGTTTCCATTTGAATATAAAAGCAAGAAAAGACCAATGGCCCAGCTCAGGAAGCCAGGCAAGAGGAGTCCTCCCTTAATCAACCGTTTTGTGCTATTCAGGTCTTCAATTGACTGGATAAGGCCTACCTACTTTAGAGAGAACAATCTGCTTTACTCACTCTATGAACTTAAATATCAATCTCATCTAGAACATCCTTGCAGATACACTCAATAGTATTTGTTTCCATATCTGAGCACTCCATGGCCTAGTCAAGCCAACACATAAAACTAGCTATTATAAGTTTATTCTGTGTCAATGTGGCACCTATATGTATCTTTTAAAACCATATTTAATTTTCAAATAAACACAATAGCAAGGTCATAATTCTGCCTGACAGGATACAACTATCCTGTATACACCAAAAATTGCACTAATCCCTTCCCAGAAAGAGGAAGCAAAGTCATTGAGTAATGTTTACTCTTCTTGATATCCCCTAACTTAAATACTATGATGTAAAATTAGGATTACGTAAATACTATGAAACAAATTCAGTACATCTCATATTATATGATAAAGTCATGAAAACAGGAAGCAACCATCTTGCTACTGAGTCACTACAGGTAAGTAATAGTGAACTCTGTCACTCTCATTTACACTCCTTCATTCCTGGAGCCATGAATTCTGCTATGGTAAAAACAGCACCATATATTGAATGCTGATTCAGAGCATATACAGCCTTCTGGAGAATTTGTCCCAATTCTGCAAGACATTGCCACCTAGCTGGTGCTGCAGCAGAGTTTTTAACAGGCTATTCCACCATTCTATCAATCCAATTGCTTCAGAGTCATGCGGAACATGGTAAGACCATTGGATCATAAGCGTGGGCCCATTGCTGACATCTATTGCTAGGAAGTGACTTATTTGATCACACGCAATGGTGTGTGATACACTGTGATAGTGTATAAGGCATTCGTAAGTCTCTTATGGTAGTTTGGGAAGAGGCACTGCATGCAGGGAAGGCAATCCGTATTCAAAGTAAGTGTCTGTTCCTATAAGAACAAAATGCTGCTACTTCCATGATGAAATTCATACCATGTAATCAGCCTGCCCCCAGGCAGCCAGCCGATTACTCCAGGGAATGTCACCATATCAGGGGCTCAATATTGTCCTCTGCTACTGGTAGACTGAGCAATCAAGTCAGGCTTGGTGAGTGGAAGTTCATATTGTTCAATATATTTTAACACAGTTAGGCACACCAGCTGCTGCAGCTGGGACAGGCAGCTCCAGGTGCCAGCATGAGTGCTAGCTCACTATAAGGCTTTGGCTGGACCAGACACACCACAAGCAGCTTCCATGGCTGTTACAAGGGAACACAGTTGTACCTGGAAGCTTGCAGACTCCAGGAACCACAGGGTCCCATAGCGGGAGTCACAGCTCTGGCCTGGGGAGCTCCCAGGTCTGGGTTCCCATAGAGCCACAGCTCTTTTTTTCTTCTCTCTTCTTGTCATCCACAACATGGTGAGCAAGGGGCATGTTTCAACCTTGTTTGTGTTACAGCATTTTTAGTCCTGTCATTTGGCAAGTCCCAAGTTCTTGTGCTACCTCCAGGAAGAATGAGGTATATAGACAAGTGGAGAGTGAGCAAAGAGGAGCTATATTGAGTGACAGAATAACTCAGAGGATGTCCTGGAGTGGGCACCTCCATTCTGCAGCTGGGCATCCCAATATCTGCATCTCTCAGAAGAGATGAGGCCCTGGAGTGGGTAGCTGCTCTCTGTAGCTGGTTGTCCCTATGTCTGCTCAGTTCTGGCTGAGCCTGGGGCTTTTATAGGTCTCAGAAAGGAAGAAATGCACACTGATCGGTCCATGAGAGGCCATGGATGGCCCCAGAAAAGGCATCACAAGTTTACACTCTGGTTCACGGGACTGGCAGCCCAGACCCCAGCCTTCACACCCATCCTGGCCTGAAGGAAAGGCCTCACCAAGGACCCACCCCCTTCTGTGCAGGAGCCTGTCTGCCTCCTGCTGCCATTCATGGCACCCAGGCTATTTGTGCCAAAGGATGCCTGCAGGCCAGTGCCAAGCTGCCCTCAGCATCTCCTCAGCTTCCCTCCCATGCTTGTCAGTGCCCAAAGCCTGGGCAGGGGCCAGAGACAGTATGGTACTGGTGTATCAGCACTGCCTCAAGCATGTGCACACCCACCAGGCTGCAACAGCACCTGAGCCTACCCACAACCTTGCTCCAAGATCAGAGCAGATGTCAAGAGTGGGGAGGAGCCAGGCAATGGGAGCAGAAGATACCTCCAAGTCTGCAAGGGCCTGGGGTTTTTTCCTGTGCCCCCAAGAGTGTAGAGATGCCTGACTCTGCAGCCGTGGCTTGGGCATCTGTAGTTGCATCTTGAAGGACAGGTGTCCTGTGTGCTCCATGGAATGGGAGGCCCAGATCTGCAGCCACTACTTGGGCTGCTGCACCTGTTCCCAGGAAGCTCTAACTCCACCAACTCAGAAAGGGCATGTTTCCCACTTGTATCCAGCTCTTTACCATGTTTCACCGCTGTAGCTGATGTGACGGCAGTGGCTGCTCCAGATGGGGTGCCACTGCCATCTTTGTAGCAGTAGATAATTATACTACAGTGTATTTTTACCAGGTAAAGTAAGGTTTTTATGGTTCACTGAGGACAATCAATGCCTTCATAAACTAGAACCTGAAGACTGATCTTCTGAGAACATCAAAGAAAGACTGTCATTGGCATGCACACTACAGTAAAACTTCAGGACCTTGAACCTTGGGTTCATAATCTCACAACTGAGAAGGCTCCCTTTACACTCTTGGAACTGTACACCCATTAGAAGCCTTAAAGAAAAGCTAACCAGGGGGGTTTCTCCCCAGAAGATGGCATCCTTGACTGTGAACAGGTTTTCCCAAGATCATGGATCAAGAATTCTCTACTATCATAAGACTCTTATCTTTGATTATTTGTCCCTTGCTTATGCTTCTATGAATAATAGAAGTGAAAGGGTTCTCTTGTGTGCATTTATGGGGTATACTTTTATTTGTGAAGGATTTTGCAGCCAGCCTTATACATGGATAACCTTATACCTTAATAGACAAAAATGAAGGCCCAATGTAGATGAGAAACTTTAATGGTACGTACATTGCCTCATAATCAGTCAGAAACAGAACATTGATTTACTCCTCTTAACCCACATCATGGGTTAAGGAGAACATCGCTGGGAGGCTTTCACTCTTCTAAAAGGGCATCATTTGTTAGGTCCTTTTTCCATAGTTTGGAATAAAAGCGGCAAAGATTAAAAATGTATTCCTCATGATAGGCTCTAAAGCAGATTCTACTGTAAAGGCTATGGTTACACAATAAACTTTAAATTCTCTTGTGAAAGTTATGCTAAATAATAGAATTGATCTGGATAAGTTACTAGCTAAACAGAAGTATCTGTACAGCTGCTGGCACTTATGGCCTATGGGGAAAACATCACATATTATAGATTTAGTTGTAGGGGATTAATGAAGAGACTCTTTTTTTTTTTTTTTTTTTTTTTTTTTTTTGAGACAGAGTCTCGCTCTGTCGCCCAGGCTGGAGTGCAGTGGCGGGATCTCGCCTCACTGCAAGCTCCGCCTCCCGGGTTCACGCCATTCTCCTGCCTCAGCCTCCCAAGTAGCTGGGACTACAGGCGCCCGCCACTACGCCCGGCTAATTTTTTGTATTTTTAGTAGAGACGGGGTTTCACCGTTTTAGCCGGGATGGTCTCGATCTCCTGACCTCGTGATCCGCCCGCCTCGGCCTCCCAAAGTGCTGGGATTACAGGCGTGAGCCACCGCGCCCGGCCGAGACTCTTTAGTTAAGTGAGTAGACTCTTCACGTAGCTCATCCTTTGATCTATTTAATTTTGGGTGGTTTGGTTTATGGGGACCCCGGGTAAGGAGCACACTCCGAACTCTTGGTATTATCCTACTGATAGTCATAATAATAGTCTTTCTGGTGTGCTATATTCTCTTTAAAAGTGTTAAATGTTTGCATGCAGACATCTCTAGAATGTCAAATGGTCTCTCTTTAACTGGAATGACAAGAGCTGAAAGAAATGTGCAGCCATGAGGACACCGTAACTTATGAATGACATGCTGAGACCAGAAATCCACAATGATGGTAACTGAGAGTGGTGCTAAGGCCCTAAGTTTGGTCACACTCTCACCTAAGTGAGAACATGACCTAACAAAAAGGGGATTCTTTTAAATGAAATTATGGGAGGCCATTGTTTTGGACTGAGCTCATGCACTAGGCCCCAACAGACCAAACCAGACAAAACTGGGGTTGCTTGTGCTGAATGTAACATAATCAAACTACGTTTGATCATGGAAAACATAGCAAACAGATTCTAGAACAGACCAGGTTTTGTTTTTCTTCTGTAAACAGAATGTTCCAACATATGGACATACCCTCTACTCGGTCCTTGTTCCCATCTTTGCCAAACTCACTGTTCTGCTCTTTCCCAGTAAGTTTCAAGAGCCATGGTAATAGTAACATCAATAACTAAAGTTTTGGTCAATATCTCAAGATTGAGAAAATGACCCAAAGAGGGAAATTGTTAAATCAAGTTTAGCCTAAAGCTGCCTCCTTACATATTAAAGTTCAACCTAAAGGTTTTTCTATACATCGTGAACTATAACAAGTGAAGTTGTAAACCAACTGTAGCCCACATCTGTACCAATCACTGAGTTTTGGCCAAATGTAGCTAACAGTTCCAACCATGTTCAAATAAGGCAAAGACCCAGCTGCAACCAATCCAGTTGTTTCTGTACCTCACTTTCCTTTTGCTGTCCGTAAATCTTCTTCCACCACGTGGCTGCGCTACAGTCTCTCTAAATGTGCTGTAATTCTGGGTGCTGCCTGATTCTCCCATCATTCATTGCTCATACTACTTTACATTTAATTTGGTTGAAATTTTTCTCTTAACGACAATCATAGAATCAGTGTAACAATCTGTCTTGAAAAGTAGTAAAGTGTGTTACTTCTATAGGAGAAAACAAGACATCTGTAATGATAAGCCAGAATGGTCACTGCAAACAGCAAGATGTATATTTAACTCAGCCTATTCTTTGTGTAAAATATATATATATATAAAATTTAAAGTAGTTTGAGCAATGAACGATGGGAGAATCAGGCAGCGCCCAGAATTACAGGAGATTTAGAGAGACTGTAGCGCAGCCACGTGGTGGAAGAAGATTTATGGACAGCAAAAGGAAAGTGAGGTACAGAAACAACTGGATTGGTTGCAGCTGGGCCTTTGCCTTATTTGAACATTGTTGGAACTGTTAGCTACATTTATATATATATAATCTATTTATATATTATTAAATATATTTACATTTTTATATATTATATATTATTAAATATATTTATATTTAGATATATTATATATTATTAAATATATTTATATTTAGATATATTATACATTATATATTTACATATATATTTATATCTTTTTATATAAAATTTTAAATTTATAAATATTTATATATAATTATAATATATTTATAACTTTTAAATTTATAAATATTTATTTATATATAATATATAATATATTTATAAATGTTAAATTTATAAATATTAAATTTATTTATGTTTATTTATATATAATATATATTTATTTATATATTATGTATATTTATATATATGGAAAACACATTTTAACTAGCTTCTGCACTCTCTCTTTTATCACTTTTTTACTTAGATTTAGAACAATGTGAATAGTTCATGAGCTCAAATGTTCTCCCAAGTTCAGTTAATAACACCAGCTTGAGGTTGCTGCACACTTAATGAAATGTGCTAATATTTAATAAAACTAATATTAATAATTACCTCATAGACCCTCCACTCTTTCTCTTTTTCATAATAAGCAAATCTCCTCTTTTTATAAGGCTCACATTGGAGGGTTTATGCCATATTTATTTTAATACACCGACTTTGTGAAGATATCCTGAGTTCTAGAATTTTTTACATCAACATTTTTCAGATTGATTTGTCATGAATGTTATTCCCTGTCCATCTTTTTTTCATCTGTAACTGTTTATTAGGACTTGTTATGTACCAGACATTTTGCTAGCAACTTTATAAGCAGTATCCCATGTAATCCTCAAAATACTCTATGAGGAATTTTTGTTATTTATTCTCCTTTACAGGCAAGGGAATCTAAATCTCAGGGAAGTTCATTACCTGTTCCAGTGTTACAGAGGAGAAAGGTGATGGAACTGGGATGTTAGTTGCATCCAGGCAATCCCACATCAGCTCTCACTTTTAATCTCTTCCCAACTTTGTCTCTCTCTATTTCTTTTCAGCTGTTAATGATTTCATATGTATGATTGATTTTGCCTGACTGAGCCAAACTATATTAGCATGTTATTAGATTAGAATAACTTAATCTCTTTACTTGGAGAAAAAAAAAACAAATCAATTAAACAACTGCACTGATGAGACAGAGGAACTGTTTTAGGCATAATGTAGTCTAGAAGTTTTTTAAGTGTGATCAACAGACCAACAGCATCCACATCATACATAAATGTATTAGAAATGCAAATTCTTGGGTACCATTCCAGCATGAATGAATCAGAAACTAAGGAAACAGCAATCTGTCTTTTAACACATATTTTAAGTGAATTTTAAATTCTAAAATATATTAACCACTGCCATAATAAAGGGGTCAGCAAATTAATGAACATGAGTCAAGCTTAGGCACCTCCTATTTGTTTGCTTTTTAAAATTTCAATATGATATACATACATCATTTAAAAATTTTTAAGTGTATAATTCTATGGTAGTAATTACATGCAAAATGTATAAACATCAGCAACCTCACGTTCTTTTCTTTGTTCTATGCCAGGTCACGAGTCAGACACAGGGTGAGCAGGAATCAGTGGCCTAGCTTTCACTCACAGGGGCCTGCAGTTTGGTTATTACCAAGCCTCCCAAAAGGACCTGATACATTGGTTTTTGGATCACATGGTGGCTGCAGATGTGCTCAGTGGGGTGTCCAGGAGAGGCTGGGTTTAAGACAGTTCCCACATGCTGGCTGTAGCATTTGGGGCAGGACACTTAATAGCTTTGACTCTGTTTTCTCATGTTTGAACTGGGATTACACCTTCCTGGTGGGTTTGCTGAGAAGATGGGAAGATGTCCATATCTTCCTATATGTATATCTAAGGTGCCCATCACATGGCTAGAGCTTAATAAGGGATAGCTGGTCTTATGAACTTCTTTTGAGCCTACGCATTCATAGTTGGGTCACGTAAGCTCTATCTAGGTTTCTAAATCCCATGTAGAATCTTCCCTTTCTCTAATCTAAATGTAACATCTTTCAGGAGGAGCTAAATTCATATTGTACCCGAGCAGCTATAAACGATCACTCTGTCACTGGAGGAAAACGCTGTGCCCACATAGAGATGCCACCAAGAAACCAGCCTTTTTAAGCTGTTGACTTTTTCTTGGCTTGTTTTTATAGGTGTTGGTGGAAATAACCCAGATGAAGAAAAGAATAGCACAGCCAATTCTGGGGTCTCCTCTACAGACATCCTGAGCTTCGGGTACCAGGGAAGTTTGTTGTCACACACACAAGACCAGGACAGAAATACTGAAGAACTAGACATGGCTGGGGTGCAGAGCTTAGTGCCCAGGCTGAGACATCAGCTTTCCTTTCTGCCGTTAAAGGTAATCATCCCTTGGTTTACTTTCTAGATCTGGATGAAAGAGAACAGACTGTGAAGCCCAACAGCCTGGCCCCTAGGCCCTTCCTGTTCTCTGTTTTCCATGTCAGGTGGATGGAAGTTACTTAGCCCGTTTGAGCCACAGCTTCCTCATTTGCATACAGAAGCAAATGCCTGCATGGCATGGTTGTTGAGAAAAACGCATAGAAGAAGGCAGAGTTCTAGGACAGTGTCTGGGCACAGGCTCAGTGTGGGTGCCTCTGGAGTCTTTAGTCACTAATTATAATTGTTGTGATAATAGCACCATGAGGAAATTGATTGCTGCCAATGGCAAGGCGTGGGCAATCAGGCACCTCCTATTCTTGTCCTTGAATTGGTCCTCAAGCTGGGAACTCAGTGGCTTTGCTCTTGACCATACCCCATGGAGGAAGAAGATGGGATCTGGAGTAGGTGTATGGAGGGCTGTGTGCTTCAGTCCCAGCTCTGCTGTCCTCTGCCGTCTCTTTGGACTCCCAGTGGTGTTGTCTTCTCAGGCCCCGCCAGACCCATGCCCCAGCCTCTCCATTCTGCTCTGGGCCCTGCACAGCTGGTGCTCATGGACTGAGTCACCTTGCTGTGTTCTGCTTGGTTCTGCCCAGTCAAAGCCTCAGCAGGAGCCCGCAGTTGTGGGATGAGTGAGGACAGGGTGGCAGTGCTGGAGTCTCAGTTGCACACCCTTCATTCCACTCTCTCCCTGTGCTGACACAGGTTGCCTGTGCCCCTCTACAAAGAGCACAGCTCCTATGAGGGTCCATCGACCACTCCCTTCTCTCGCCCTTCAGGCTCAGGGGTGGTCACAGCACCCAGTGTTTCTAGCCCCAGGTGCTGAACTGATATTACTGGTTTCTCCAAAGGCTGGCAAGACCTTTGAAAACAGGTCTCCCATGACCTATCCTCCCTTACTCAGGCTGAGTGTATGCCCTTCTCATTCTTGCTGGGACAACTTGCTGGTTGAAACAGGCAGGTTATTGCACCTCTTTCAACCTTGTTTCTCTTTTTATGATGGAGATAATGATGTCTGTCCACAGCCGTGGAAACTAAGGTACTATGCCCAGTGTCGGGGATAAAACCCGTATCTTTCTTCTACTCATCTTAGCTTCATCAGCTGGGACCCCTGTAACTAAAGACAGATTAATGAGAGAAAAGCATCCACGTGTATTTACTATAAGTTTTATGTGACATGTGAGCCTTCTTACGGAAATGACCTGAAGAAACAGTTCTCCCTGAGTATATTTGATGAAGAATGGAGAGTCATGGAGAAATGAGATAAGACAAAAAGCAGGAGTATGTAAGGTGGGAGGAACTCAGCAGGGCCTGCTTGTTCAGATTCCTCTCTCAGTCCCTGTGTCTTCCCACATAAGATGCTCCATTTTTCCAGATATAGGGAGGGCATTCTCACTTGAGGGTCTTGTGCCCTGCTTCGGGGGAAGATTAGAAAATCCTTCCTAGGTTTTAGGGCCTGCTTCAGAAGAGAAGGGCAGGGGAAGGTCAGAGAAACCTTCCCTCATGTGCTGTTTCTCCAATTCCTCCAATGTGCCAAGGTGCCCTATTTTGGGGTAGTGTGTCTTGACCTCTGTCACAAGGATCTGGCATGCAATAGGGCTCCATGAATGACAGTGCCTTCCTAATTGGCCATGGTGCTCACCTGGACAGAACATCCCATGAGGAACTGGATGCAGGAGGCCAGTGGAAGAACAACGATAGTAGCTGCCATTAATTGAGTGCTTACCTGTGTGCCAGGCAGTGTCCTGAGCACTTTATATGTATTAGCTCATGGAAGCTCCATGGTAACCCAATGAGATCATTCCTATTATCAACCCCTTTTATGGGTGGGGTACCTGAGACAGAAAGAGCAAAGGAGCACACCCAAGCTCTCTCAGGGAGCAGGGGACAGAGCTGGGATTCAGATTGGCCTCCAGAGCAGAAACCTTCACCCCAGGCCTTCCTCTGGTAGGTCCTCTCTGGCAGGAAGCAGAGCAGAGAGGCCTTCATGCTGGGGCTTCTTTGGTGGCAAACCTGAGAGTTGGTTTCCTGGGGCTGGGGGCCGTTGAGGGGAGCAAGGGAGCTCTAAGGCCACGTTGACCATGGTGCAGGCTGTAGGACGCAACCCAGATGCTGCAGGCTCTTCTGGGTCTCTTGGCCAACTTTGTGGCCAGATGATCCTCTGTGGTATGGTGGACTTTAGATTCTCACTTCAGGTCTCAACCTCAGCAGTTGAGGCTTCGTTGTTCAGCTTCCTCCAGCTTGTTTATTTTCCTGCATGTCGTTAGAATTTTCTAACATTCATGGTGATTAGAAAGCACTAAGTAAAGGGGGCAGATAGGACAAAAGACCCCATCTTCTAGGCAGAGGGACAGCGGAACATGAACAGTGACCCAAGCATTCTCTGCCTAGAAGTGGCATCAGCCCAGCCCATCACTCCCTCATCTTCCTCCTGCTTTGTCTGAGGTCACATGCAGAAGGCCTGATAAAGCTGGAAATGAATCCCCTGCTGGCCCAGTCCAAAACTCATGATCTTTCTGAGGTGCAATGCTGCCTGCTCCTGAGAGCAGTATGAGCCAAGAGGTGACATCTTCCTTCATCCCATCTTTATTTTTGTTTGTTTGTTTATGGCAGGGTGCTGGTTCTTCTTGTCCTCCATCACCTCCAGAAATCAGTGCTGGTGAAATCTACTTTGTGGAACTGGTTAAAGAAGATGGGACACTTGGATTCAGCGTAACTGTAAGAGTTTTTAGGAGAGCTTGAAAAGCAGTTAACAAGATGTCCGTCTAGAACCTGGTGGCCATTCCACCCAGATGGCAACCTCTGACAGTGTGCTTAGTTTGCACAAATGTAAGGGGTAAATAAAAAAGCAAATGGGGGCCTGCACTGGGGGATGAGTTCAGAGACAAACAGAGGTACTGGGGAACCTCAGGATGAGCAGGGCATGCACTAGGGGACTCCAAACTCATGAGGAGGCAGTGTGGGCAGAGTTGGCTGATGTGTCCTGACTCTGAGGTCAAGCTGGACTGCAGAGAGAGAGAAGCACATTGGGGCTTCAGGGACACAAGCTAAAGGTAAGAAGGGCAGTCCACTGTCATCTGGCCAAGGATGGGTGGGGCAGTCCACTGTCATCCAGCATAGAATCAGTGTGGAGCCTCTGGCTCAGACATCCCAGGGCCAGGCCTCCATCAGGACTGACACTTTCCATTTGGTTTCTGAGCTCTGCCTGGTAGACCCTTGTGAAAGGAGATTACCCATATAACTGTGTTTACTCAAGGGGTTGGGGAATGGCACACACAAAACTGGTGAAAATCCAGAGGTCAGAGGTTGGAAGGTGCTGCTTTTATTACTGAGTATTGAAAGTGATCCATTACAGGCTGGGCTCGGTGGCTCATGACTGTAATCCCAGAACTTTGGGAGGCCGAGGCGGGTGGATCGCAAGGTCAGGAGATTGAGACTATCCTGGCTAACATGGTGAAACCCCATCTCTACTAAAAAATAAAAAAAAAAAATTAGCTGGATGTGATAGCGGGCACCTGTAGTCCCAGCTACTCGGGAGGCTGAGGCAGGAGAATGGCGTGAACCTGGGAGGTGGAGTTTGCAGTGAGCCGAGATCACAACACTGCACTCCAGCCTGGGCGACAGAGTGAGACTCCGTCTCAAAAAAAAAAAAAAAAAAAAAGTGATCCATTACCTTCAGACCCTGGAATGGGTCTGGATTTCAGGAATGTCATTGTTGGATTTAACTGTTGATGGGAAATAGAATGGCATCTCCCACCAAAGTAAGGACACTCTATGGCTGATGAAAATTTTCAGAGGAAATTCAAGAGATATGTGAATGGAGGGCATTCTTTGCTTTCCCCTGTGATAATGCTATGTACCTAGAGCAAGGATATGTGTTTTCTTGGACCCTAAGCCTGCAATGAATTTGTCATCAGTAGATGATTTTAAGGGACCAAGTAAGAAACCAAGCAATAAGGCTCATGAATCCACATGGAGTGAACAGGCTGATACCAAATATGGTCCATTTATTCTTGGCTTGGGGTAACAGCCTTATCAGACACCAAACATAGCTATTTTTCATCTGAAAAACTGACTAAATTTTGGGTTATTCACAAATATATATTTGCTGAGAAGAGTTTGATGATTTCCTTTGGCTGGCAAAAACTTGGATTTTCTTTGCAGATATTTAATTTCAAAAATAATTCTTGAAATGTCTCACTCAAATCCAAATGGCCATTAAACACATGAAAAACACTCAAACCCGTGAAAAGCCACAGGAATACAAATTAAATTAAAATAAAATTTTAAACTTTATGTCTACCAGCTTGGCCAAATACAGCTGGTGGAACGTAGAAAAATGGTACTGTCATACAAAGCTGGTAGAAATGTGAATAAGTATATCCATATTCACATAGGGATGCAATCTGGCAACATCTATTATAATGAAAAATGCACATATCCTTTGGCCCATCAAAGCACACAAGACGTGCCAGGCACAAGCCTTCAGGCCCACAGCCATATCCACCTACGCTGGTCACTACCTATATAGAGATAGTGGTGCATCCCACGTGAGCAGTTGCTGAGCACCCGCCTTGTACCAGTGCTTGGGCTGGGGACATGCCCAGATCTCTCACATAGTTGCTATTGTTAAGCTTATGAACACCTAATCTTATTGCTCAGTGGAGAATACAATCTAAACAAACAGGTGAATACAGAAGACAGTGCCAGTCGGAGGTAAGGTCATGGGATAGAGTGGTGGGCAGGTGGGGATTCCCTTAGCTGGGGAGGTTGGGGAGGCTTCCTGGAGGAGGAAAGATGGGTGGTGAGCTTTTTGTTGTGTTTTTCAGGGTGGCATTAACACCAGTGTGCCATATGGTGGTATCTATGTGAAATCCATTGTTCCTGGAGGACCAGCTGCCAAGGAAGGGCAGATCCTACAGGGTGAGAGATGGGGATGGGTCCTCATTGGGAACTCTGTGCTCCATGGTGTAAAGAGCCCTGCACTGGGAGGGGCAGCCTCTAGGCCTTGCCCTGCTCCCATTCTGAAAACTCATGCAAATGATTGCCTCCCCAGGTCATACTTTTCTCACCTGGAAAGGAGGTGATAGAATCTGCCCTGCCCATTTGATAGGTTGGGGGGTCTGCAGTGGCACACTGGGAAGCATAGGTGATAGAAAAATAGTAGAAGACTTAAAAGACTTGTGTTGCTCTTTGGCCTCCATGGGAAAACATACTGCTTCCCTTGGAGGACAAGTGGGCCTCGGTAAACTCACTCGCACATCCGGGGAGGACACCTGAGCCTTCTGTTTGCCCTTGCTCAGCTCCCACTTCTCTGATGGAAGGGGGTGATTTTTATTGGTCTCCAAAACTGCCAGAATTGAGCCAAAAGGGGAACCTAGGATCTTACTTATCTCCATTTCCCCTAGAATTCTGGTGTCCCCAGCGTCAACCATGCCTCCCTGACCTTTTTTTGAAATAAAAAAAATACATCCTGGAGATATAAATATCTAAGTGACTTGAAAATACTTTCAAAAACGGTTTCACAGGAAAACAGGAGGAAGGATAAGGTTGAACAGAGCTGGCTCAACCATTCTGTGAGCCAATAATAGAAAGGCTTTTATATCCCTGATCTGTGATGTGCCTGAGAAGAAGGGAGTGAGACTGCTCAGAGAGGCAGGATTCCTGCTGACTCCAGGGGGACACCTGGCACCTCAGCTTCCTTTCCCACTTCTCCAGGCTGCATGGAGGGGTGCCGGGCAGGGGCCTCCTGGAAGGGAACCTCCTGCAGCCTCAAGCACCAGGTCATGACATGACATCTATCCCTTTCCCAGGTGACCGACTCCTGCAGGTGGATGGAGTGATTCTGTGCGGCCTCACCCACAAGCAGGCTGTGCAGTGCCTGAAGGGTCCTGGGCAGGTGAGTGGACTGTTGCTGACCAGCTTCCCCTCCTTCCGGAACTTTCCTGAACAACATCAGAAGCTGAAATCGCCTCTGGGTGGGAGGGAGGCAGGCAGGAAACAAGACTTTTTCTTTGTTAGTTTTTTTTTTTCTCTTCCATTTCTTCTTACCCTCACTTTTCTATGGGGATGTGAAACCCAGGAGATAGCAGATAGATGTTTCTGAGTAAAAAAAATCTCACCCCCCATAGATAGCCTTAGAAACTTACTGGTGGCTTGCCTGAATTCTGGAATCAGACAGCGGAATGGAGAAGATGGAGTGAAGAGACTGCTCTAGCCTGGCTCTGGCTGCCCCAGCCCCGCTGGCCCTGTGTCCATGGGCCTTCTTACCTCCCTACGTTTGCATGGGATGACCCCACTCCATTCCCTGTTCATGCCATTCCCCCTCACCCTGTGTTGTACCCACCGGGGCGTGGGTCAGAGTGTCCTGGGATTCTTTTCCTCACAATGAGGTAGGAATTCAGGGTGCCAAGAACAGAGCCATTCATCCTTTATGTCCCCTTTATTCCCTGCCCCGCAGTGACTCGATGTTATCCCACTGTGCCGAGTCCTCTGCCTGAGGTTAGGAGCCTCTAACTGCCTCTGTGTCCTGAGCCACAGAGCTGGCATCACCCTCTTTTGGCAACTAAAAAGTCAACAGAGACAGGAGGGATTCCTGAAGGCCCTTCCAGCAAGCTTGGGGCAATGTTCTGGCCACTTTTCGCTTTCTTTCCCAAAGCGTTTTTCTGGTGTCTGGTGAAATTTGCTTATATTAGTGACTTTGGTTGACCTATCTTGAGAACAGAGCCATAATTTATTGGCACCTTCTGATATTTAGACCTTTGCTAATGAGCATGGGTAGAGAGGGTACTTGGCTGGCCTCTTGGCAGCTTAAGCAGGTAGGAATTGTCCCTCTGGGATCCTGGGCCAGGTGCTGAGTGACAGGTGCAACAGGAAGATGAAGGCAGGGCCACATGCCCTGAATGGGAGCTTGGCATTTCTGAGAAGCTTCCAGGTGATGTCTATCTGCTGGTTCTTGAATCACACTTAGGGCGACAAGGGTATATGGTGTTGTGGGGAGAAATGTGGGAAATCACATTGGAAAGAAAGGGGAGGGCAGGTGGTACAGACCTGGGGTGCCATGGGTTTGGGTCTTAGGTGATGGGAAGCATTGGAGACTTCAAATCAAGAATGTTGCATGTTCAGTTTTTGTCTTAGACCAATTCACTGGCAGCCATGATGGGGTGGACCAAGAAGGGTGCAGACAGGGTCCAGCGAGCCAAGGTAACCAGAGCTTGCCACGGCCCAGCGGGTCACTGGCAGTGAGAGAGGAGGTGGAGGGGAGGGGGCACTGAGGAGCTGTTCTTGATGGGGAATGTTCACATCTTAGAAACCAGATGGGGGAGAGCTGGACCACTCCAAATGTGGCCCTTGGCAGGTTAATGGTGGGGTGAGCCAATGCGAGGGGAGGAGTGTTTTAGGAAGAATGAGGAGGGGAAGTGAGGGTGAGTGAGGGGAGGAAGATGAGTGTGGCACTGCATGTGTGAAGTGGAGGTACATGTGTTGCTTTCAGGTGCACTTGTCTAATAAGCACTGAGAAATCTGGGTCTAGATCCCAATATATAGGCTAGTTGAGAGATTCAAATGAGTCTGCTTATAGGAAGGATTCGAAAATTAAGAAGCATTTGCAGAGTCAAGGGAGTGCCTCCTGGTTGCCATATGAAGTGTAAACTGAGTTTGTTCACCTTTCCTTCTAGGTTGCAAGACTGGTCTTAGAGAGAAGAGTCCCCAGGAGTACACAGCAGTGTCCTTCTGCTAATGACAGCATGGGAGATGAACGCACGGCTGTTTCCTTGGTAACAGCCTTGCCTGGCAGGCCTTCGAGCTGTGTCTCGGTGACAGATGGTGAGAGGGGAGAGAATTGAGTGTTACTATTGTCATGTTATTGTGTGCCGCTTTTGAATTGTCAAGTCAAAAGGGAAAGGCAGGAAGGCTTCCTCTGGGTCCTGAAAAGAAAGCGAGCCATGGTGATCATGCTGAGATCGGCTTTTTCATGCCATGGAAGCCCATCTCATGGAATAGGTTTCTGGAAACAAATGCATTTTCCCCAAATGATTTCTAGGCATCTTTCTGCCCCCAGCCTTCCTCAGTCCTTTGATCAGCTGCCAGAATGTTAATGTTTGTGTGAATATTTAGGATGAAATTGACTGAAAGGGTCATACACTTTCAGATACATTTGGCTTCACAGTCCAGCCAAGTCATTTGTAACAAAGTTATTTGAGGAATGACTAGGCAGGTTGGGAGAGAAGGTTCAGGAATCTAGCCTTGTTATTAGCATCATTTTAAAAGGCAAATGAACGATCATTTAGAGGGACAAAACTGCACGTTTTCCGATGGGCTGCCCATCTGCAATTCCCTTGTGATTTTGGTATTTGCCAGGAACACGCTGATTTCCTCAGTAAGAACGATTTGGACCTTAGCCATGTTTTAGTCCCTTCATAGAGATTTTCTGATTTTGCTGCAGAAGACTCAAGCCAGCCATAGGGTAGGGGTGGGGCAAAGGGGCATGCTTCTGTTTAAATCAAGTCTCCTCTGTCCTCACCCCTTTGCTCACTCCCTTGGGGCCTTTGAGAAATGGACTCCAAAGAGTGGAGGAGGCCTTAGGGCGATGGTAGAACTGGTCGTGTGACACACCTTCACATAATTGCTTCACATAATTGCTTCACATGCTTCCATTCTTGCCCTGGTGAAGTTTGCAAGCTGTGCTCTGTCCCTCTGTGCATTGATGCCAGCGGGGCAGCCCAGAGGCCTCTTTGGTGGACAGACCATGTAGGTTGCCAGCTCTGTTCATCCTTGGTGCCCAGAGGCAACTGTTTTGTCTTATGGTCAGCCTACATGGGTAAACAAAATGGCAGCTAAAGCATTGTCCATAGAATTGGCCATAATTTTCTCCATGGTCTAATTATTCAAAATTTAGTTTCAAGTATACTACAAATGACTAGAGTTCTAAAGGAGTAATAGGAATGTATGTGATACAAGTTTTATTAAATGCCAAGAGCATGTTGTGTATGCCTAGCAGCTATATCTTTATGTATAAACATAGTTGAGTTATCTATAATTGTGCTATTCAATATGGTAGCCACTTGCCACATGTGGTTATTGAGGACTTGAAATGTGACCAATCTAAATGGATAAAATATGTATTGGATTTTGAAAGCTTAGTTCATAAGAAGAATAAAAAATATCTCATTAATAATTTTTTCATATTGATGACATGTTGAAGTGGTAATATTTTAGATATATGGGATTAAATTAGATGTACAATTATAGCGTATTTAACCTGTTTCCTTTTACTTTTTAAATTGTTTTATTTATTTTTTGTTTGCTTTTTCCTTTTATTTTAATGTAGCTATTTGAAAACTTCAAAATGACATTTGTGGTTTGTATTTATAGCTCACATTATATTTTATTGGACAGCACTAATCTATAACATACATAATGTACTCTGTCATAAAATTGGCAAAGGAATTATTTGAACGTAAAAGAAATAATTCATCTACTTGACAATCTGCATTTTGAGACTGGTCAATTTCACTTGTAATCTACTGAAGAATTTATTTTTATCAACATCCCACACTACAGGTCCTAAGTTTGAAGTCAAACTAAAAAAGAATGCCAATGGTTTGGGATTCAGTTTCGTGCAGATGGAGAAAGAGAGCTGCAGCCATCTCAAAAGTGATCTTGTGAGGATTAAGAGGCTCTTTCCGGGGCAGCCAGCTGAGGAGAATGGGGCCATTGCAGCTGGTGACATTATCCTGGCCGTGAATGGAAGGTCCACGGAAGGCCTCATCTTCCAGGTGCCGGGGGTCATGGGCAATGCAGCTCTCTGTGCAGGCTGGCCCCAGCTTTGCCTCTTACTAGCCTGCTGCCGTGGGGAAAACTCTGGGCTCTCAAAAATCACACCAGCAGCCCGGATTTTAATCACACAAAGAGAGTAATTAGTGGTACATGCTCACATTTAATTTAAAATCTCTGTTTTTAAATATCTGACCTTGAGTCAGCCTTGCTTCTCACTGGGTTCATGAGAGAAGCTGAAGATAAAGCCCTGGCCTTTGTGCTGGCTGACATCTCTTCACACACATCCTGGGAGGTGGGCGTGGGGCTGAAGGGACTAGAGTGGGTCCCTTTCTGCTCTCCTTCCCATTTCTCAACACATTTACAGCTTTTCATACATTATTACACTGATTGTCCTGTCTATGATAAAAAATGCAATTTAAGAAGAGAGAGTAATGAAATACTGTATATATTAGACAGAGTCCTGGAAGAAAATGGAGTCATTTGAGGAACATTTAATAAAGGTGTGGGCAGGTTGTTAGGAAGCTCAAGGGAGCATGTTGTGGCCTAGGGCTAGGATAGGAAGAGTGGGATGCAGTTACCCCTATCCTGAGGCCAAAGGGGAAGGGAAAGAGCAGTTATTCCACCCCAGGAATGGAGAGCTGTTGGAGGGGACTCGCTGGCATGAGCTCTCACTTTGGCTGAGGTTGTAGTCGTCCCATGGCAACCTGAAGGGAGGAATTTGGAAGGAGCAATGACCTCCGCTCCTCCCTGTCTCTGGTCTCTTGCCGTGTTCCCCTAGCTGAGCCCAACAGGAAGCCTCATGCAGCCTTTATAAGTCAGCTCCAGAAACACAAAGCAAGATGGACAAAGGGGGACAGTGGCTCTGGGCAGGGCTGGGGGGAGGTCTCTAGAACACCATATGCTTGGGTGGGAGGGCATGCCTTCATCCATCCATCTCCTGATCCAAGAACCCTTCTCTGAGAACCACTGCTGGGCTGGCAACTCTATGAGAGACTGAAGACACAGAGGAAGACAGCTCATGCAGTTTCAGAGCTCATGGACAGAAAACAGCGGTGATGGCAGGAGATATGTATCCTGAGAGATGAAAGCCCATGCTGCAGTGCTCACACCAGTGAGCCAGGAAAGAAGTGCACCCCTTGGAAGTCCTGCGTGGCTGAAGCAGGGACTGGGGAGTGTCTTGATCAGCAGTTCTTAAGCAGAGATTATTTCCTTCTCATGGGATATTTGATTAAGTCCAGAGACATTTGTGATTGTCACAACTGATGAGTGCTTCTGGCATCTAGTGAGTAGAGATCAGAGATGCTGCTAAACACCCTACAATGCACAGGACAGGCATTCGCATAAGGAATTGTCCAGCCTGAGAGGTCAACAGTGCCAAGAGTTTGAGAAATCCTGGTCTAAATAGGAAATAGGAGCTATCGAGGCAACCTTGAACCCTGGACATTGAGAGGGTGGCTTGGAGCAACAGATTCAGCATGGCAGGGGCTTAGGACGTGGGTGCAGAGGGGAGTAGATGGGAGAGAGGGAACTGTGGTGAGAGGCAGAGGCAGGCAGAAACGGGGTCTATGTGCTATGCCTTGGAGCTTACATTGAGGGAAAAGTGAGTCAGCCAGGGTGTGCAGTGGGGGAAGGACTCAGTTATATCTGCACTGTGGAAAACTACCCTTGAGCATTGCAGAGGGAGGCAGGTGGGTGACACTGGAGAAGGCAGCAAGCAGTGAGGAGGTCACTGCAATACTACAGGTGAGAGGTTCCCAGAGCCCAAGCCGAGCCCTGATAGGAAGCTCAGAGCCAAGGGTCAGGCTTTAGAGATTCAGATGGTGGAGGCTGCAAAATTGCTGGCCCAAGATGAGGGGAGGTTGGGAGGAAAGGGCAATTGAGATGAACAGCTATTTGTTGGAGTCATTCTTTCTCTCTCTGAAGAAAAGGCATTGGTATTGGCAGATATTGCCATTCCCTTGAGCAATGTGGAAGGAGGCAGGTGGGTGACACTGGTGAAGGCAGGGAGCGGAGAGGAGGTTACTGCAATATTACAGATGAGAGGTTCCCAGAACCCAAGCTGCACAAAGGTGATGCACAGCCCAGCATCTTGCATCAACTTTGTGGAAGCTGCAGGCCACTGACCTTGGTTCCTTGCACTTTGAAAAGTCAGGCCCACAGCAGGGTTCTCCGGAGTTCTCTGGAGTGAGAAATAGATCAAGGTGCAGGGAGGAGGAGCTAGT
Organism: Homo sapiens; assembly: GCF_000001405.40. Classification (NCBI taxonomy): domain Eukaryota; kingdom Metazoa; phylum Chordata; class Mammalia; order Primates; family Hominidae; genus Homo; species Homo sapiens. The sequence goes on from NC_000010.11 coordinate 46,883,102, forward strand.
GCCTGGGACGCAGTGGGGAGAACATCACTGCATCCCCAGCAATGCAAGCCCAAATCTAACAGTGAATCTTGGTTTCTCGCAGGAGGTGCTGCATTTACTGAGAGGGGCCCCACAGGAAGTCACGCTCCTCCTTTGCCGACCCCCTCCAGGTGCGCTGCCTGAGATGGAGCAGGAATGGCAGGTAGGCTGCAGTGTCTTCTACTCTCTCTACCTGGCTCTGGTTGGGCCCCCCTTTTCCAGACTCTAGGGTCCTAAGAGGGTTGTAGATAGGTTCAGTGCCACCTCCTTTCACAGGGGTAGGAAAATAGCTGGCCCCCAAACCTCAGTAGGTCTCCTTCCTCTCCCTGATTCTGCCTCTTCTGACATTTGGGTCTTCTTGTAGATGTTTACATGTTTAGACTTTGGCTGTGAAACTTTTAGGGCCAGGCTCTCTGGAAGCTCAGGCATCAGAGAGGGAAGCCTGGGAAGAAGGAGAGTAGACACAGAAGCAGACCAAGGGAATTTCCAATAAGAATTTCCATTCTGAGAGATGATGTGGAAAATAGGATATATGATTACCCTCCTAAAGCATGAAATAGGCACGTGCAGTCTGGTTCAAAGAAGAGAGCCATTGGAATCAGGAAAATAGGGATTTTTACCTTGACACATATATTAGTCAGGTTCTCAGAGAAATAGAACAGATAGAATGAGTGTGTGTGTGTGTGTTTATGTGTGTGTTTATATATGAAGAGAGTGAGAGAAAGAGAAAGAGATTTATTATAGGAATTGGTTCATGTGATTTTGAGGGCTGGCCAGTCCAATTCTACAGGGGAGGCCAGCAGGCTGGAGACCCAGAGAATAATTGATGGAGATCAAGCCCAAAGGTGGTCTGGAGGCAGAACTCCCTCCTCCTCAGAGAGGTCAGTCTTTCCTCTTAAGGGCTTCAGCTGACAGCATGAGGCCCACTACATTATGGAAGACAATCTGTTTTACTCAAAGTTTGCTGATTTAAATGTCAAATCACATCAAAAAAAAATACCTTCACAGTGACATCTAGATGGTATGTGACCGCCTATCTGTGTACCATGGCCTAGCCAAGTTGACAGATACAATTACCCATTGCCATGCCTTCTGTGGGGTTCCTAGGAAACAGATTTTGCAGCAGAGATGTGAGCGTGGGAGGTTTTATGGGGCCTGCGCTTGAGAACATCCCCTGTGAGGGTGACTGAGGTGGGGTGGGGCAGAAGGAGAGATCAATGTGCAGCTATAAACAGGGCCTCAGCTGATTCTGGAGGGAGCCCTGGAGCAGAGATGGCCCCTTGGAGCTGCCATGAATTGGGACAAGAGAACCTGTGCCTTTGCTTGTTGCCCTAACCAGCGCTGGGGTGTGGGCTGCCCCAGGGGAGGGGAGATGAGGCAGTAGGATGCGAATCTCAGTCCTGGAGGGGGATCTGGGCGGGTACCTGGATCACCTGTACCTGCTGTGCTGCATGGGCCTTGGGCAGTTGCCTGTCCTCTCTAGGCCCCATGATTCCTCATCTCTAGGATGTGGATAAAAGTGATCACTTATTGTGCCTGAGGGTGACACCATCACTAGGACAACATAAAGGACTTGATGTCCCAGATCCTGTTGATGCTTAGACTCCAAGAGGTCATTTGACATAGCCTCTAGGGAGGGAAGAGCTATGGGAAAGATATCCAAAAGTTGCTGGGTTGGAAAAGAAGGTAGACAGCAGCAATTGTGTTAAGAAACCGAACCAGGTGAGAGAGGGCCAAATTTCACACACACAAATTCAGGCCAAGGTGCTGGGACCCTGTGTTTTTGTTGAAATATCTAGGAAATCCCAGGGAAAAAAGTGGTATTTCCATCCTGGAGAATAGCTCCTCCCAGGAGAGCCCATAAAGATCTAGCAGGAAGGGTCCAGGTGAGGTGTGGGGGTGAGCTTTCCCTCCTCATACCCGAAGGCCAAGTGGGAGGATTGTGATTTGCTTGGGTGGCTCCAGTGGTCAGATTGCAGAACAAGGGTCAGCAGCTCTGGGGAGCAAGCATTTAGTCCATAAAGTAAAGCACCTCTGAGAAGGAGGCAGCCATGCCCACATTTGGGGTAAGGGCATTCCAGGCAGAAGGAACAGCATGAACAAAGGCCCTGAGATGGGAACCCACTTGGATGTTTGAGGGACAAAAATACAAGTGTGCTTGGGCCATCGTTAATGAAGCAGAAGTGGAGGAAGTTGTGGAGGTGGCAGGGACCCTGGAGGGCCTTGGGGATCAGAGGAGCATGATGCCGCCATCCTGCATGCAGTGGGAAGCCACTGGGCTGGCATGGAGGGTTAAGCAGGAAATGCCCTCCTCCGTTCTTCAGAGGGGCCACTCGGGTTACTGGTGCACAGGGACTAAAGGAGGTCAAGCAGCAGTCATTCAGGTCAAACATGATGTGGCTTGGACTCAGGCTGTAGCTGAAGTGTTAAGAAGCAGCCAGATTTGGGATACATCTGGGAGGCGGAGTTCAGGAGACTACTTTGGGATTAGAAACAGGCATGAGGAAAGAGAGCAATCAAGCTTTGGCATGAGGAAGCCTTGGGGAAATGGTGCTACCACCAATGCAGGGTGAAGGAGGGGTAAGAAGGTAAAAAGCCTGATTTTCCTGATTCCAATACCTCTCTTCTTTGCACTAGATCACATATACCTATTTCATGCTTTAGGAGGGTAATCATAGATCCTATTTTCCACTTCATCTCTCTTGGTACCAGTTCCCAAGAGAGGGACTGCTTACAGGGGCTGGGGAAGGCCATCTGGGGTGCATGGAAGAGAAACAATAGTTCTTGGTATCATTTAAAACTGAGATGTTTATAGGCTATCCAGTGAAGAGTCTATTAGGCAGTTGTGGAGAATAGGCATGAGATCAGGGCTGGGAAAAGTGAATTTGGGAGTTGTCAGCATATATAGAGGTCGTGTAAAGCCATGAAATGGTTGAGATCACCTTGGGAAAGAGTGCAGATAAGTTCAAGGAGAGGACTGAGAAGTCAGCACAGAGCATAACAACATTGAGAGGCCTGGTACAGAGATGGGACAACATATGAGATTAAGATGGGGCCTGGGAATTGGTGGAAAAACCAAGCAAGGGTGGGGCTCACGGTCAACTCCATGTAAGTAGGGCTAATGAGCAAGGAAGCTCTCAGGAAGGAGGGAGGGACACACTTTGTTGAACGTTGCTGAGAGAGAGAGTGAAAGGACAAAATATTGTTCTTCAGCTTTAGAAAGATAGAGGTCGCTGGGGACCCTGATGTGGGCTCCTTCCCTTGGGTGGTAAGGACAGAAGGCTGGTGCTAGTGGGTGCAAGAAAGAAGGAGGGAGGCGTGGAAACGGTGAGAAGAGACACTCATCTAAGAGGCTGCCATGAAGTAGAGCACAGAAATGGGTGGCGAGAGGTGGAAGCTGAAGTTGGGGTAGGGGCACAGGCTGCTCAGTGGAATTTGCTGTGGGAAGATGAAGAGTTCTCATCTGAACGTGTCCATTCTCACTGTGAGGTCACAGGCAAGGTCAGGGTGGAGTTGTTAGAAACTTGAAGAGAGAGACAAGATGAGAAATAATTTAGAGAGCAGAGGTAGAAAACTGAATGGATTAAGGACACAGAGAAAGATTATGTGGAAGTCTTGACTGCCCATTTGACATCTGCAGTCACACACTTGAAGCTAATCTAGTCAGAGGCTCAGAAGCAGGGGTGAGGTTCACACAGTTTGAGTAGGAATTAAAATGGAAACTCAGAATCTGCAAGTGACACGTGATGGAGGAAGAGAGGGGCAAGGAGGTGGGAGCTCAGGGTCTTCCTTGTCTGTAAGTGAGCATCTAGGGGCAGAGCCATGGAATCTAAGCAGAATAAGAGGCACACCGAGGACATGTGTGACAGGGAAGGGGAGTGGGGGTAATGATGAAAAGCAGCAGCTCCACAGACTGGAGGTCTTGGAGTGGGGAAGGATTGCTGGAGAGCATGTCCAGGGATAATGAGCTAGAAGGAGAGGATAGGTTAGAAAACAGATTTTGGAGGTCTCTCCAAAGAGTATGAAAATGTGACAAAATATGGTCTTCTTAAAATTTTGATTTTTGGTGTATCCTTTATAATGTCCAGTCTATCAGAAGAGTAGTAAATGTTTATGATTTATAATTAAATAAATGTGCACATTTGGAGGTGTATCCCTCTCATTGTTAGGGATGTACAATCAGAAATGTGGGGAGACCACTCATTGGGGTGGTTCTTCTTTTGTAGGTGAGGGCAGGGGTGGGAACCCAGGCATGGGCTCTATTACATCAGGTATGGAGATCATGGGGTGGAAGTGCTGGAAGATAATTTTCAGGAAAAGGTAAAATCATGATTCCTACAGATATAAAAATGAACACGTTAAAGATTTTATTTAACTCATTCAGTGAGGGAACCAGGCAGATGTTAAAACTGGCTCAAAAGAGATTTCAAAGGACCTGTTTATTTATAGAGTTGTAAAATAGCTCAAAGACAGTGGAGACAGCCAGAATCAGAGAACCCAGCAAGTTCTGCTGTAGATAAAAACAGTTTTCTACTGAAACACAGATTGTTTTTCTGTAGAAGGTCAAGCAGTGGCAGCAAGACATAGCACATCATCAAAACCAGAACCTAAAAGGCTGACAGGGAGGTGAGCAGTTGAGACGAAGCAAGTCATGTCTGGGAAAGTGAGGAGGAGACCCAGGAAAGAACATCACCTTGATGGGGGTGGAGACAGGGAGACAAGCCCTGAGATGACAGATGAAGATGAAAAACTTAAAAAGAAACATTTCTTATCGGAAAGTGGAATAGAGTCATTGTTTTGCATATTTATCTTCCATTTTTATCTTTGTCTAAATTTTGCAAATATTTTTTATTTAAAAATAAGGCTCACATTTATGGAGAGCTTCCAAAGCCCCCTAAGCTAAGGTGCCTGAGTGTGTTGCCCAGTGTCCAGCTGGGAGCATGTGGAGGAGCTGGGATGCTATGGTGATAGACAGACCTCAAAGCCCATCTTGTAACTACTCTGATCTATAATCACATGGGGGAAAAAAGCTTTGTATTTTTAAAAAAACAATGTGCATCCCGCAGCCAGTAATTAGTAGCATTTCTTTTAATAGACACCTGAACTCTCAGCTGACAAAGAATTCACCAGGGCAACATGTACTGACTCATGTACCAGCCCCATCCTGGATCAAGAGGACAGCTGGAGGGACAGTGCCTCCCCAGATGCAGGGGAAGGCCTGGGTCTCAGGCCAGAGTCTTCCCAAAAGGCCATCAGAGAGGCACAATGGGGCCAAAACAGAGAGAGACCTTGGGCCAGTTCCTTGACACATTCTCCTGAGTCCCACCCTCATTTATGCAAACTTCACCAAGAAAGGGATGAATCAACATTGGCGACCTCTTTGGAAAAGGATGTGAGGCAAAACTGCTATTCAGTTTGTGATATCATGAGACTTGGAAGGTAAGAATCACCACATTTGCAGACATTTTGTAAACTATGTGCATCTCATTGCTAGGAAATTGTAATCAAGCCATCAATAACTATGCTTGGATGATTTTGTGCCCAGCACTGTTCCAGGCATTTAGAAGAGAGGTTGCAACAAGAGAAGCATAAGGTCTGGTGCTGCTGTGACCACCTGTGAGCTTTTGGGAAAGCAAACCCTACCCAGACCACAATTGTCCCCAATATGTCTTGGAAGCTATAGGTGGCAGGCCTCAGGTTTTCTCCTGGCACACAAACCTTTCTCTTGTATCTTCCATGGCCTGTTAAAGCTTTGTAGTAAGAAGGAAGTTCCTACATGCATCCTCGTTTCTATTGCTAGTATAATGCTTCATTATCAACATCAGCTTTTTTTTTTTTTTTAAAGATGGGGTCTTACTATGTTGCCCAGGCTGAATTCAAAATCCTGGGCTCAAGTGATCCTCCCACCTCAGCCGGTCAATAGCTGGGTCTACAGGCACCAGCCATCATGCCTGGCTACACCAGCTTTTGTTTTCTGAACACATCTATATCTTCAAGACCACCCTGCAACATTCATTTTCACAGTCATTTTAAATTTAGTCTGCATTTTTGTGTCCATCCATCTGTAAGTATTTCCGATTCTCAGTCCTATGCTGAGGGAACACATAGTCTTTGATTCAGTTTGACAAGTACTTATTACACAAGGTGCTTGGAAACCTGTTGAGAGCAGACAGAGGGCTGCACATGTAGGGTAAGACCTGCTTCTAGCATTTGCCAGCCAGAGGCATGGGCACAAAGCAGGTAAATAACAAGGGGCAATTGTTTGTGTTTGACACTCTATAAACCCACTGAGATTAAATGGCTCTCATTTGGTAGCCATCCTAGACGACTGTCAAAGGTAGATCCATAGGAAATGATAGTCTCTGTGAAGTGTGAAGCAGTCGTGTAATACCGTTGGACCCGATGAGAGCTGTGACAAGCAGGAGCCAGGCATGCATTCCCTAAAAGTACCCTGCTACAATTTTTTGAAGAATGCTGTGTCAGCCAAACAAAAGCTAACTGGTTTGCAAAGTAGAACAGGGTGAACAAGCACATTCATCAATGATATTCACTTTCGTTGTCTGATAATGTATAACATAAGTGTATTTATAGTTCTTTACAATTGCAGTCTAGGCAGTAATTGACATACTTGATAAAATAATAAAGAAAGTAACCTACAGAGACTTGTCCAAGGACAACTATTACCATGATCTTAAAGGATATATTACAGGAACGGTACTTTCCTGTAGGGAGGAGGCACTTGTTTGGATATTGAAAGGTTTTGCTGCCAGATAGCTTGGGATAATGAACAGGGACCCTGAGAGCTGAATTATAAAGTGACCCTGGGTATAGGTACAAGCTGGGAATTTGACTTGCCAAGTGCCTTTAATTTAATATAGCCAATAGTTATTTAAAATGGTATTTTAAACTATTAGTATAGGCAGTCACTGTTTCATTCATTAAACTACAGAAAATCAGCCTGTTCAATATAAAAATGATCTAATCTAGCCTCAAACTCCATGCTGGAATCTGCTCCATAACATTCCTGAAGAAGGGGTCCCAGCTTTTGCTTGAATATCTGCAGGGATGCGGAACTTGCTACCTCTTGAATGACCCATTTTATCATCATCTAGTTACTGATCAGAAGGTTCTTCCTTACATTAAGGTGAAATCTTTATGCTGTTATGCTGTTCTTATAGGGCCAGCATTTAAAGTTACACATTTTGCATACAGCATGGCTCATAAATTTAAGCCTCCTAACTTCATCTGAAGCTCAACCAAAGAAAAAGTGATTTGCTCCCACATCTTCCACATCTTTATGCCTCTTTATGTCTTCTACTTCCAAGTCCGGATACCTATTTCTGCCTATCTGTTAGCATTTGCTGTTTTTTTTTTTTTTTTCATCAAACATCACATTATTCTGTTTTTCTGAACCAAATTAAATTTGGCTTAGTGGCCCTATTTGCAAGGGTATACCAGATGTCCAAAATCTGTCATTCTTGGAGGGACTGCTCCTTTTAGAGCCACACGAGAGTCCCAAGGGCTTGTCCAGAGCATTCCAGGGGAGTCTCCTATCTTCAGTCTGTTGTGAACGCCCATCAACCATCATACTCACTGCCGGGCCCACATGGTCCATGTACCCATGGATGAACTGTGGGCAGGCAGCTTTACTGTTCTCGGTATCCTGGCTCTCTCAATGGCCAACCGCACCCCCTTTTTCTCTTGCCTCCCTGTGGTAGTTCTGTTGATGAATGCTTTCTGCCTCATCACATTTCCTGGCTTTATTTTTACTTCGTTTTCCCTCCCTCACTTAGGAACCTTTCCTCCCCTCTGAAAGAACTCAAACCAAGTCCACCTCTCCTCCAATAGGACGTCAGTTTGCATTTAATGCACACATAGTGGCTGCCCCCTACAGGAAGAAAAGAGGGACGCATGCCCAGCGACCCCTGGACACAGTTCCCCCAGCTCCTGGATAGGGTCTGAATCAGGATTCCAAAGTGGGATTGTGACTCTGCAGAAGCCTTAGAAGTGTTTGCAGCTCAGTTCTGAGGTGACTGTCGCAGGCCACTGCCTCTTAAGTGTCTGGCATCTGTGAGTTAAACTCTTCAACAAAAAGAGCATGGATTTCTGTATCCTATTATGTGGTTTCAGCGTTGCCACTTACTAGTATGCCTGGAGCGTTGCCTTCCCTAAGCTGGAGGCTTCCCAAATGTAAATGGGGACCATGACAGTTCCACAGGGTACTGTGCAGGTCAAAAGAAATAGCACGCTCAGGGTGCTGTCACAGTGCCTGGCATGCGGTAAGAACTCAATGCAAGTCTGTTTTCCTTCCCTTTCCTGAGCTATTTCCAGCTAAAGAACAGGTCCCTTCAATTGAAATTCCCAGCAAATTGCCGGAACTTACCATCTGCCAGGTGGCAATTTCCTACAGCCAGATGGCTGCCAGCACCACAGCAAACCCAAAGTGTTCATGGACAAGATTCGATTTCACTTTCTTTCCCTGTTCTCTTTTCTCACACTCTATATCTAGAGATTTTACCATCTAGTAGTAGATCTTTATAAAAATATCTTGTAATAAAGCAGTACAGTACATTTTTATGAAGGAGAGTTGGATTACGTGCCTATCAGAGGGAAAGCTTGGCTGGAGACATATTTTTTATAAGGTTAGTTCCTAAAGGTAGGCAGAAGGCAACAATCACATCAAGTCTCATTACCCTTGAAACATCACTTTGGAAGGAGTGATGTTATTTGCCCCTTGGTGTGGGAGCAAATCACTTTTTGTTTGGTCGAGCCTCAGATGAAGTTAGGAGGCTTGCATTTATGGGCCATGCTGTATGCAAAATGTTTGTCTTTAAATGCTGGCCCAATAGAAACAGAGACAGATTGACAGGATGAAAGATTTAGTTCTCCCACTCATGTGCACTTCAAGGCTTACACTTATCGGTTGGAAAGTTGGTCTTTGCAGAATGTTTAAGGTTATCTTTCTCTTTCTCTTTTTGCCTAGCACATATCATTAAACTCATGTAAGTAAAATGCACGTAAGTTCCACAAGCATCACTTTGTGAAAGTGATGGTATAAATCTTGATGGTCATTTATTTAAGAAAGCAAAATGAAGCAGGACTCCTGGAAATGAACCTAAAGTTATGATATACCTTCTGGGGAAGGGCACTGCCTGGAATAGCAAAAGATAATTAGGAGGCCAGAGATCTCACTCAACTGCAGGGGCCGGGCCAGGTGTGATGTCAGAGTAGTTAGGGAGGGATGCAGTTGCCAGGTGAGGGAGATGTCATGCCTGCTCTTGGGTTGGAGTGTGGCTGAGGGGAGTGAGGGAGGCGGCAGAGCCTGGGCTAGATCCTGGATGCTGCCTCTAGCAGGATTCTCTTTACACCTTACAGGCTCCCAGGGCTATCCTTGGGTATCCCCAGATACCCAGGGGTATCTGTCCACACTACTGTGACAAATCCTAAGTATTGTACTTCAGCTCAGATTTATCATCTGAGCTTCAAATCTGGCAGTCCGTTGAACTTGTTTACTTTGATGTCTTAGAGATACTGTAAATCCAACCTGCCAAAACTAAATGCAGTTGTCAGGAGCAGAGACCTGGGGCTCCCAGCTGTGTCATCCGGGCTAATGGAGACATCAGTATGGGGCCTGATGTTGGAGAACTGGAGACATGAAGGGACACAAACCCCAAACTTTGTTGTGAGTTTAACCGTAAGTAAATAGGACAATTATAATACCTTCATATTTCAAGCCTGAAATGCCCAATCTGCTTCTATGAATTTCCTCCTGAAAGGCAGAGATGAATTTGGTGGCCCAAGTCTTTAAAGGACAGCTGTCCAGAAAAGTTGGGCACAGTGTCTTTTCTCAGTAAACATTCTGTAGCAAGCAGAGCCTTCAGAATGGTTTCACTGACTTCAGAGCTGAACTGGGATTCCTCTTAAAAATACCCACTGAAGAGTTTCAGGACTTGGTGGGGACCCTGGTTCTGGGGTCCTGCTGGTTTGTATGGGAGACATGGCTGGCCAGGAAGCCCAAGTGAAATCTCCAGATTCTCCTCTAGTTATCATCTGTCTATAAAAGCCTCCTTCTGTTGGACAGCTTGGTGGGCAGAGAGTGAGGGCAGGAAGAAGCTGAGATCATTACACAGAATCAGGGGGTGAGCAGAGAGCCCCGTGTACTCCGACAGCATCAGGGTCTTGCTGAAAGTCCTGCTACATTAGCCATGAGCTGGCCGGCCTTGAACCCTGGGTGAAGAACTCCACCTCTTTACCCATCATGTCCACATGCAAAACATGAGGCTTGCTGTGAAAGAATGTCTCTATCTTAATGAAATTCTCCAAATTTCCAAGTCTTGCCCTTTCTGTGAAATAGGCATACAGGCTTCTGGTGCCTCTTTATTCCCTATTCACCCTTTCCCTATGTCCACAGTTGAGCCCCAGGTCAAATCTCCAAGGGCAGCCTGATGGCACGTGCAAAAGGATAGAAGGAAAGGCAGTCGTTCTCCCAACTTGTGGTGGGATGATGGCCAAGATTTCACCCTTGGGACCACCAAGTCCCCCTGGACAAGTGGGGAGCAAATCGCTTTTTCTTTGGTTGAACCTCAGATGAAGCCTTGCCTCTTGCCTCTCAGGCTGATGGCTTCTCTAGGTCTCTGTCCAGGCAGAGCCAGTAGCTGGAGCTCAGAATCAAAACCAGAGGGCAAGGAGCTTATTAGAAGAGGTGGAGGGAGTCTACGGGTGGGAGGTGAGGTGTGGACACTGAGGCAGCTGCAGTGGCCAATGGACACATACAGCTGCCATCTTCCACTCCTCAACAAGGCTTAGTGAGCTCAGAAAGGAGGGAAGGGGGTGCTGCTTGAGGTGGTGGGGACAGTGGTGAGCCTAGGCCTGGGCAATAGGCTAGATTTCCCATTCTTTGATAAAACTTCTTGAATGTTTCTTTCCCATGTTTATAAGAAAACACAGTTTCTACATGATTTAGCCAAGCTTAAAGTCAATTTTCCCTGCAAATGCTCAAGAATTAAAAATGTCTTTTGACAGTGAGTGTTCCTCTTCAGTCTTTGTAGAATAATTTCTTTTTTATACACTTGAGTGTGCATATATTTACATGAAATTCACTATTTCACATACCTTGTAGCTCTCATGAGTGGAAATAATGTCTCTTTCACAGTGAAGCTCAGTTTGGGACAGATGCTTCCGGCTCTACTGGGGAGGAGGACGTGCTCTCTGGGTATCTAAGGGTTTGTAGCTATTGGGGTGCACCAGAGCCAATTTTAAGAGAAAGAGGCAATGCAGGAAAGGAGAAGGAGAGCAGCAGCACATAACAAAGCCAACCCATTGATTTGGGTGGGGGTAAGGAGGCTGAGAAATGAGGATCCATGTATTTGCTAAATCTTTGTGCTTTTCTCTTAGATATTCCTTCTCATCTCCTCTAACCAGACTTTCGACAGATATTTTCTGAGCACCTTCTCTGCATGTCTGCAGTGCTGTGTAAAATGCCCTACCTTTGCATGGACTATTCTTTCTAATCAAGAGGCGTGTGTGGCGAACTTGGGGCAGCCCCTGGAAGTCTTGTTCTTTGACCATTACGTCTGCGGCTGCATCACCAGATAATGAGCTTCACCACTTGTCTGCCTCCTGTGTCCTTCCGCGGGGAGTAAATGTCACTTCAGCTTGCCGCATCTCTAAATAGGCAAATTTTCAGTGCTCAGAAAAGGACCTGATCTTTGCACAAAGTGCTTTGATGGTTGCCTGCTTGAGTCACTCCCAATCCCTTCCTGAAGCCCTTTCTTTATAATTCTTCTGTTGAAATAGCCATCATATTCACAGTACTAATCACAGCATCTCACATTTACTAAAAACTTACCCCATACCAGGAACCCAGAGTTGGGGGGGCTGTGTCAGAATTATGTAATTTACGTGTCCCAATAATCCTAGATGCTTCTTGACCATCTAGTTTTGTCAAATGAGAAAACTGAGGTTCCAAAGAAGTCAATAAACTTGTCCAAAGTCTGACCGACTCTGCTTGCCATGTGACGAGTCTGTCTTAGAACTGGGTCATTGCCCTGCTTGCAATGCTGTGCCCTCTGGCAAGCCCCCCCACCCCCCTGGTCTCCTGAGCTCGGTAAGGTGCTCCAGCTGCCTCTACCATAGCACTTCCTACATGGACTGTAACATTTCTTTACTGCTCCAACTTCTCATTAAATTGGGGGCTCCTCAAAGCCAGGGTTGGTGCCTTATAAGTTTCTTGCTTCCTGGTGCCCAGAGCAGCCTCTGGCATGAGCTGTTTGAACACTGGCTGAGTCTCACGGGCCTGTGTCGTGCAGAGTATTCTAAAAGGCAAGGGGAAGGTGGGGTGAGGAATTTTTTTTATCAAGGCTGGAAGAAACATGGGCTTCTGTATTCTAGTCCTGAATTGGATGGGGAGGATGGGGAAGGTGACATGTACCATCCATGTGGAGCCCCTTCTCCCACCTCGGAGGATGAAGAGTATCTTACCATCAACTCTACATGCCAAGGCCAGCTACCCTGTGAAGAATGTTTGGAGGCAGATTCTGGGACCATTCCCTTGCCACAGTTCTGCTCTTGGGGCACTGTCCCAGAGTCTTTGCCTCCAGAAGAGTCCCCAGAGAGTGGGAGTGAATGGGAAGACCTGGAGGAGCCTGTGGCCCTGGAATACGGTGCCCTCAGGTGGGTGTCACTCTGGCTGGGTGAACTGGGGCTGAGCTCTGACCAGAGCAGGGCTCAGTGCTATCAAGCCACTTCAACTGGGGGTGGGGGATGGTCTGTGGGCATTGCCCAGTTTCCCCTGCATCTTCTTTGGGGGTCATGCGTCATTGTAATGGCCATTTTCACAGAACACTTACCATGGCCCTTGCACCATGACAACGACCTACAACATGGGGACTGTCATCACCCCCATTTCACACATGACACATTTGGGGCTTTCCCAAGGTTATCCAATAAGTAAGTGACAGAACTAGAATTCAAACCTGATCGGTTCCCCACTCCACGGCCCACCTGTCGAGCACCCATCTGTTCTGCCTCCTATGTACAGGAGTGTGCATTCCTCTCCTCAGGTCTCTCTCTTTTGGGGGTCTGAATGTCTAGTGCTGATTCCTGTTTTGCCTGCTCCTACCTGCCCCTCTGCTGGATGTACTGCAGAGAAGAGTCTTGGTGTCCTGTCATAGGGCCCATCTTGTTGGACTGCTGTGGCTGAGTATAGACCAGCATCAGGAAAGTCTCACTGTTAATGCAAGGAGCCACCAGAAGCTGACCTGGTCACCAGGCAGGGTCAGAACATATTGATGAGGACACAGAAAAAGTAAGGGCAACAGAAACTGTCACACTGGGAAGAAGGGAGGTTAAATTCTGGGCAGGTCTGTAACCACTCAACATTCTGTTAAAGTACTTACAGTGTATATTTAAAAATGCTGAATGTTCCAAAAACTTTCACATAAACACAGTTTCAAGGTCCACTGAAACTTAACGAGACAACAGTTTGAGAAGTTTCAAGTATAATTGAAACCCACTCCTTAACTTTCCTCCTATTGTGTCCCAGCTCCATTTTCCTGGCTGTACATAAGGAAGCTCAGCCACCACAAATGATTGAGCTGGAGCCTCAGAGGACAGTGGTGGGCCAGCTGATAAGGAGAGTGGATATTTGAAATTAAAATATAACAAAAGGGCTGGTTCTTATCTGAAATAGGAAGCAACAAGTTAATAGAGTGGAAGATTCAGAGGCTTTGAAGACTGTGCATGTTCATTTATGGGGAAGTACAACACTTTACAGCATTGGGAGTGTACGTTATGGATTCACAGAAATGTGGGCAAGCAGGAAGCAGCTTGTATGCAGGGGGCAGTCTTCTTGGAGCTGGCTCCGCAGGGCTGGGAAACAGAAAGAAGAAGGCTGAGCAATTGGTGGGGACCACAAGGGCCAGTCCACTGAGATCTGCAGTGCGTCTGAGCCAGCCGGGAAGAGAAAGGCAGAAGATGTGGCATTGTGGTTGGGGGAGCTCAGATTTGAAGCCTGGCCCTGCCACTCACTGGCTGGGAGACCTGCAGCACATGACTTTTAAACCATTCAATATGCAGCTGACTGCCAGATAACCAAACCCACTTCATGCGGTTATGACAACGCCAGGTGTGTAGTGGTAAGCGCTTAAAAAACATTAGCTATTTTTATCATCAATCACAAAGGAGAGAATTACTCCAGTGAGAAGATATAAGCTTTTTAATGCATTCAATCCTGTTGGGTTTTTTCCATGTAGTCAAAGAAACTAGACAGTTGGACTTGTGCCCTAACATGTGGTATGGGTCTGGGTGGGGAGAAGCACTCACCTATGGCAAGGGTGCCAGGCTCTACCATGCCCTCATCTATATATGGACTGTAGCATGGGCTGTGCTCAGGGTGAGTCCTGTTAGAATCACTGATCCTGCACAAAAAGGAGAACAGGTCTCACCCTCCCCTGCAGACAGAGGATGGGTGTGCCAACATGAGTGCCCAAGGCATGAGTTCTTAGTTTGGCTCCATGCAGCAGCCCACAGGTGTTCTTCATGGCATCTATGGGCTATTGCACCTAGAATGTTGACTTGTGTGCTTCTTTTGGGAAATACAGGTCTTAACAGCCTTTAAATTCTCCAAAGTGTCTATAACCCCTATAAGCTGAACCCCCTCCACTGTATATATTATCTCATTTATAAAGAGGACTTTGCCTACAGAGCAGTGCAGCCTTTAAACCTAATCACCAATTATTTCATTTGGTCCTTTTAGACATTAAGACAGTCATAGTGCGTAAGGTAGTTTCTACATGTGATTTAACTTAATCCTTATGTCAGTTTTGAGTGATATTCTTATTTCTGTTTTTAAAGGGGGCTTAGGGCTGGGTGCGGTGGCTCACGCCTGTAATCCCAGCACTTTGGGAGGCTGAGGAGGGTGGATCACGAGGTCAGGAGATCGAGACCATCCTGGCTAACATGGTGAAACCCCATCTCTACTAAAAATACAAAAAATTAGCTGGGCGTGGTGGTAGGTGCCTGTAGTCCCAGCTACTTGGGAGGCTGAGGCAGGAGAATGGCATGAACCAAGGAGGCAGAGCTTGCAGTGAGCCAAGATAGTGCCACTACACTCCGGCCTGGGTGAAAGAGCGAGACTCTGTCTCAAAAAAAAAAAAAAAAAATTAAGGGGGCTTAGAAGATTTAATTTCCTGAGCTCATACAGGTAGGACAGGTGGATTCACACTACATCTGTCTGCTTCTACTTTTGGTGGCTTTTCACATTTCCCCTAGAATGTGTCTTTCATGTGAATTTGTGTAACACAGGTCTTTCCATAAAGTGGCATGAGTCCTACTTTTCCTTCACAAAATATTTCTCTTTTATGAGGCTAAGGAAAACTCCCTTGCTCAGTGGGATTAAGAAGAGGACGGAACTGTTCTGTTTAGGGAAGGCTACTGGCAAAATGACGAGGTCACCCATTAAAAGCTGCTTATTGTTTTAGATAAACACAGAGAACAGCCGTCTTCCGAGGCAGAGACTGAGGGTTTCTGCATGGAGGTCCTTTGGACAGAAGAGCCCTCAGGTGACCTTGGTCCAAAGAGTGTACCCACCAGCTCTGCCACTGGGAAAGAAATCTGTAGGCTCCTGCAAAGGTGACCTGGGATGAAGGGCCTGGCCCAGTTGTTAAGAGCTCACTTCAAGAAGAGCATGCTTGTCAATTCCAAGACTCATTTTGAATCATGGCTGTTGCCTCTCTTCAGTTCTGGGGTTTACGTCCAGCAAAGCTTTGTGCGCGTGTGTGTGTGTGTGTGTGTGGGAAGGGGAGGTGGTGAGAAGGGGGTGGGGGCTTCCCTTTGTGAAAGGAATTGAGAACCAATCTCTTCCTCCAAGATACCCCAGGCAGGGGGAAGTCTTGCTGCAGCACTGGCACACACTCTCCGGGACAGACACAGTGTTGCAGGGTGCACTTCATAGTTCACCTTGGAACAAAGGAGTTTTATGGTTATCACAGTGGAAGGACTCTGTTAAGGGGCTTGGCTCCAAGGTTATGGGTGTAATATGTTTTGATATCTTTCTGTATCTTTTCTATACAACTCCACATAGCTATACATTCTTTTAAAAGGACTTTCCTTTTGGACTTTATACCTGATTCTACAAAGCATATGAAGGAAAAATAAGATGGGGATATCTAGTAAAGAAAGCAGAGTGATGTGTTAGATCCAGCATTACCCCATATTAGGACAAAGAACTAAAGACACATGGATTAGCAAATGCACAAAAGAAACACTGGGGGACCACAGGCAGGCCCAGGAGCATATCTGGTGCTGTGTAACAGAGAAAGCAGGGCAAAGTTGGGGTCTCAGCATAGGGGAAGGGGAGACAACTTCATTGATACAACTGGGAGAGCTGGAAAAATGATTCAGTTTCAAAGCCCACTTCATCTACTAGAATCACATAAAACACACACACACACACACACACACACACATCAGAGAAAGACTGGTAGGAAACAGGCTCTCGTTTTATCAGATCTGCAGAGGAATGATCACTCTTCCAGCTTACTGCAGTAGACCAAAAGTATAACAACAGAAAACCTACAAAGCTGACAATATTGAAAAAGTTTAAACTTCCATACAATAATAATGACAAAACTCATGTAAAAAGAATAGCAATGGGTTGGGAAAGCATTTACATAATTGTGAACAAAGATTAATATTTTTAATATTTAGAAAGCCCATTTTAATTTATAATAGATCAATACAGGATTTCCATAGACAAAATATACGATAAAATACAAATGGCCAACAAACACACAAAATATTCTAACCAAAACAATGTCAATATACTGATTTGCATTCATTACATTCATAAAATTTAAAAAAACTGTCCAATGCTGGCAAAATTTTGCTGAAGCTGGCATATTCAGAAATATCAAAAGCTATAAAAATGGGTATACCCACTGACCCAACAATGAAATCCCTGAGAATTATCCCACAGAAATAATCCAGAATAAGAAAAAAATCAATTTATTTAAAAATGTTCACTGTAGTGCTCTTGATAAAAACAACAAATTGGAATTGGCTGAAATGCATTAGAATAATGATAACATTAGAGAAAATGATGGTACAATAGCATAATAGAATACTGCACTGCCAAGAAAGTAATATAACTACGAAGAACTCGCAACTTAGTAAAGTGTTTGATATAATAACTCAGAATTACATGCTGGTTACAACTATGGAATGCCTCGCAGGCACAAGGAGAAGCACCGTGAACAGAGGGGAGGCTCAGCAATGGAACAGAAATTGACCAAAGTTTGGGTGATGGGATTAGGAGAATACACTTTATTTTGTTAAAAATTACCTTTATATATCTATTACTTATATAATAAATTTTACATTGAAAATAAAGAGACTGAAACTGCAAAATAAGAGAAGGAAAGCAACAATAACCAACCAAACAAAAACAAAGACTAAGATTAAAAAAGCCTGTGCTCTAAAATCTAATTCATGAACTCTCCTCTATGTGCTTTTGTTTCTAATTTTTCTGTTCTCCTTATGACAGAAAAATCTTATGGGTCATTTGGCTTCTTCTGCTATTAATGAAAAAGATGTTTCCAGGGATCTGAACAGCCTTGTTCTAAATTCTCTCAGAGCTGAGGCCAGCTCCCCTGGTGCATCATTACAGTTTCACAGGCCTCAAGGTTAGGGAACTAATCAAGTATGCAATGAAGTGATTAAATAACAGTATTTACAATTTTGGAACTGCTCACATTCTGCTGAACATTGGTTGCTTATTTCCTCTTTGGAAAAGAAATTGGTGGATACAGGCTCAAAATACATCTGGTCCTCCTCCTTGTAGGAAAGGACCACCCTTGACTCCCAGGCTGCTATACTCATTTTGAGCCATATATCAGGAAGAACATGTTAATTTGTCTTAGGTGGACTCAATTGCAGCTACCACTTGCTTTGTTTCAGGGCAAATGTCAGAAAGAACAGCTAATTCCTAGGAGACTCAGCTCAGCGCCTGCACACTGCTTCCATTGTTGGCTGCTACATGCTACAAACCTGGCTGTGCTTGAGGATCAACTATAGCAGGTGTTCAAAATACAGATTCACTGGCCTCATCCCGGAGATTCTGAATCAGTAGGGCTGAGATGAAGCCCAGAAATCTGTACTTTTACCAAGCTCAGCAGATGGTTGTTTCTGTGGCCAGATTTAAGGACAACTGATCCAAACTCTTCAAGACTTCACTTGGCCTTCCCATCCTTCCTCCCTGCCATAAATATTTATGAAGCTCCTATTATGTGCCAGCACACCGTTGTTATGAGGTTGCTAAAGCATATACATATTCAGCACTAAATTGTAGTGCAAAAGTGGGCTTCCAAACTCAACATAGTAAAAGCATCAATTCTCCCCAAATTAATTTTATAGGTCCAATGCAATTCTTACCAAAATCCGAGCAAGGTATTTTGTAATCATAGATGAGTTTATTCTGAAATTAATTTTATAAATTTTATTGTATATTCATAATGTAATTTACATTATACAAATAAAAATATCTTCTGAAACTTATTTGAAAATGCACAAGCACTAGAATAGCTATAATCTTCAAAAACTAGAGTGGAGTGGGAGGAATCACTGTAATTAATATTAAGGCTTACTATATAGCTACAGTAATAGTGAGACAGAAAGATGGACACATAGATCAATGGAACAGAATAGATAATCCAGAAATAGACCCACACAAATATTCCCAACTGATATTTGACAAAATGCAGGAGAAATTCAATGAGGAAAGAATTGCTTTTTCAATAAATGGTGCTGGAACAATAGGACATCCGTAGATGAAAAAAAAAAAAAAAAGATCATTGACATTAAACCTCACACCTTGTACAAAAATGAACTCCATATGGATCCTGGACTTACATGTCAATGCAAAACTATATGATTTTTAGGGAAAAAAAGGGGAAGAAAATCATTGGGATCTAAGGCTAGGCAAAGAGTTCTCAGACTTGACACCAAAAGCATGATCTGTAAAAAGAAAAGGAAAACTTGACAAATTGTTTTTTGTTTATTCTTTTTCTCTGTAAAAAGTCTCTGTTAAGAGGATAAAAGATCCAAGCAACAAATGAGGAGGAAGTATCCGGAACAAAGGACTAGTATTTAGAATACATAAAGAACTCACAAAACTCAACCTTGACAAAAGAAAAAAATCCCATTAGAAAATAAGAAAAATACATGAATGGATATTTCACTGAAGATAATATACAGATGGCAAATAAGCACATGAAAAGATGCTCAACTTCAATTAGCCACTGGGGAAATGCAAACTAAACTACAATAAGATATCTCCACATATGTATCAGGATGGTCAAATAAAAAATAAGGACAACACCTAATGCTGCTGAGGACATGGAGAAAGGGGATTGCTCATACATTGCTCATGGGAATGTAAAATAGTGTATACATTGTGGAAAATGGTTTGATTGGGTCTTACGAAACTAAACACACGATCACCATAAGACCCAGCAATTGCACCTTGGGTATTTATCCTAGAGAAATTAAGATTTGTGTTTATACAAAAACCTTTACGAAAATATTCATAGCAACTTAACTTGTAATGACCCCAAATGAGAAAGAACCCAGATATCCTTCAAATAAGTGAATGGCTAAGTAACATGTGGTAATCCATATCAAAAGAAATAACTATTGATACTCACAACAACTTCTATGAAACTCCAGAGAGTTATGTGGAATGAGAAAATGCCAATCCCCAAAGGTAGTACAAGTATGATTCAATTTATAGAACATTCTTAAAATGACAAAATTATGGAAATGGAGAATGGATTAGTGGTTACAAGAAGTTAAGGAGAGGTGGGGGAGAAGGGAAGGCCCAATTGGCTTTAAGGCAACCCTTCTTGCTAGGGACAGAAGTCATAGTTAAATTTAAGCCAGTGAAACACACAAATATTTCATAGGGACTTTTAGAAAAGTGCCCACACATCTTTAGGGAAAATTTCCAGAAGCAATTATTTATCTACCCCACTGTATAGCTTCTGACAGCCTTTCCATGACCTTAAAAGGGATCTGTCTTCAAAGGAAGCCAAGCGAAATCAACACTCTGGATGCCAGAGCAGGAAGAATGGTGAGAGCTGGGGTCCCAGTTGTTATAACTGAATCAACCAACTGAACCCTGTCATGCAGCGGGACTTGGAGCTCCTGTGGCAATCAGTCTATGCATGCTTAAGCCAGCTTAAGTTGCTCTGCCTGTTTCTTGCAAATGAAAACTTTCTTACACAAGAGATTATCAACCATCTTTCCTCAAATTTTGTCCTTGGAGCCCTCTCTGTCTATAACTCGAAGATAGAGACATTTATCAATCCTGATCTTTGGGATTTCTGTTTCCCAAGTGGTTTTCCTTCACTGGACTTTTCAGATTTCCTTTTACCATTTTGAAATAATTTTAAAGTGAAAAGCTCTGGCCAGGCACGGTGGCTCATGCCTGCAATCCCAGCACTTTGGGAGGCCAAGGTGGGTGGATCACCTGAGGTCAGGAGTTCGAGAGCAGCCTGGCCAACATGGTGAAACCCCATCTCTACTAAAAATACAAAAATTAAGCCAGACATGATGGTGGGCACCTGTAATTCCAGCTACTCGGGAGGCTGAGGCGGGAGAATCGCTTGAACCCGGGAGGCGGAGGTTGCAGTGAGCTGAGATCACACCATTGCACTCCAGCCTGAGCAACAAGAGCAAAACTCTGTCTCAAAAATAAATAAATAAGTCTCCATGCTTAGCAGTGTTACTGTAGACAGTATGCTTTTTCTAAAGTACTTGCCAGTGCGAATCTGGCAGTCTTGACCACAGCTGTGGGTGGAGGCTGCTCTTCCTAGAAGAGTTTTGTCAGAACCTGCCAGCCTTCAAGCCCTGCACCAGGCTCTTTGTGTTGTAGCCCATGTAACCCTCACCCTACACCTGTGGAGTAGGCATCTGTGGTAGTCACACAGGGCCCCTTTGTGGTGGAGCAGGGCCATGTGATTTCCAACCACGGAGCTGTGAGGAGAGGCATGGATTGCCAATTCCATGCCGGTGTATTTAATTGCAGGTGGACGACCCACCAGAGTGCTCCTTCCATCTGTCACCAAGATCCTAATGTGATCACAGACAGTGGGCGTGCCATCAGCCTGTGTGCTAAGTCAGGGAGCAGGGAGCAGAGTAGCCAGCTGACCCTCACTGCATATGCACTGAGAGCAAGAAGGAAACCTTTACTGATACAGGTGGCTAAGATTCAGGGTTTATCTATTACAGCAGCATAATCTAGTTTATTCTGACTCGTACACTGCAAGGGTCATTTTTATAGATGAGGAAATTGAGACCCAGAGAAGTTCAATAATTTGTCTGAGGCCACAAGTAGATAAAGGCACTGAAATAAAACCCAGGCCTATGCCCTTCTCACTCAATCATGCTGCCCACCTAAGGACCTGGCAAGCTGTTTTGTATTCTTTTATGATGTGGTCAGTCAGGTGTGGCCACAAGAAGAGACCCAGGACAGGCTCAGGAAAATAAAGTTTATGATACACACAGGTCCTAGAAACAGGAGGCATTCCATGCCACTCCACATGGGAAAGACATCAGGGTGGTCAGGAGGCAGAAGACAGGTGAGGGGGCCACCTAGGCCATAGCTTTTACCGGGTTTCATGGGAAAGGCAAGGCAAGGCAGGGTGAACAGCTTAGGACTAGCTAGTTTGAATCATTCCAGCGGGCTTTGGCTCTAGGCACGGTTTCTAGTTGTCTTGTACCTGGCCCTGGGATGATTAAGGAGAGGAATATGGTCTCTGGAGCGTAGGGCCAGATAGAGATGTAGCTCTGTGCTGGTTAGTTTGTATATCAAATGCATGCTCCTGTCCTCAGTCTCCTGGCCACCCTGGTGTCTTCCCCATGTGGCCTGCTGTGCCTGCTGTGCCTGCTGTCTCTAGGACCCAAGAGTATAATAGGTTTTGTGTTCCTGAGCACTAAGTCTCCCCTTGTGGCCTCACCTGATTGATGAACTCATAAAAGAATACAAAACCCAAACCAGGAAGAATGTCTGGCTCTCAAGACCGAATTAGAAACCACCTTGAGAAATGAGAAAAAAAGGTGAGAAATTTTTTTACTTTGAATGGAAGATTCTCTGAACATTGCTTATTAACCTACTTAGTGCACACCAAAGAGGTCTCCACTTTCATCATGCCTCTCCACCCAGCATGCTCAGAGGCAAATAAGACCAGGTACTCTCCTGCTGAATATCGTTCACCTGCAATCCTATGGGATAAAGTTCAAATTTCTTAGCATGGCATGTGAAACTCTCCAGTATCTGGCTATAACCTAGTTCTCCAATTCCAATCCCAGCTCTTGGACCATCTCCAAACTCTCTCTTGCAGTCATTTGGAGCTCCTGGTAGGTAGCTAGTCAGGCAGGAGCAGAGCAGGAGAGGGCTACCCCCACCAACAAGAAATGTCAGGCAACCAACAGGTGATGGTCAGGCAATTGTCACATTGCCTCTCTGAAAGAATAACTGGTCACAGCCAGCACCAGAGAGAGGCAGCTTCCCAATAGATAAAAACATCTGTAACTGGCAGCTTTCAGGAATTGGGCAAGTGGGCTCAAGCATGCACATTAACGGGCAAAATGGCAGAGTATGACCTTCCAGAGGCATTCCACCAGGAAAGGGAAGAAAGCCTCAGGTGAACATGCGTACAGCTCCACTAAACACACTGCCCATGCTCACCTCCCAGGTGCTAGTAGGCCACTGTGCATGTGGGTAGCTCACCCTGAGAGAAAAATCAAGGGAAATGGGGTGCAAAATGCTGGAAGTCGGTCAGCATATGAAATCCTAGGTTCAAGGTCAAATGGGGCACTTGTCCTTCAAGTTGCCCACCTGGGCCTCTTCCAAGTGTACTTTCTTTCCTTTTGTTCCTGCTCTAAAGCCTTTTAATGAACTTTCACTCCTGCTCTAACACTTGTCTTGGCCTCTCCTTCTGCCTTATGCACCTCAGATTCTTTCTTCTGAGGAGGCAAGAGTTGAGATTGCTGCAGACCCATACAGGTTTGCCACCGATAACCTAGATAACTTCCACCACTAACACACCCATGAGGGTTTATAAAAAATTGAGGCCAGGAGTAGAAAATTCCTCTGAAAAGAGTTGTTGGAATGCTATGACATTTCCCCTTCCATACCTCTTTCCCCTCCTTGTGGAGGGGAGAGGAATGAGGTACCTCTCCTTTCCCTCCAGCCACATGAGAAAGACTGCTCAAATCATATACAGGGTTTGACATGTGTCTTCTGAAAGGGCTTGGTGTCTGGAACATCCCTGAGCAATCTCATGGTGAGAGGTGATGACGGCAACAACATGTCTGGCGGGAGAGCAAAGAGAAAGAGGATGGCGCTAGGAGTGAACCGCCAATCCCCGTGTCAGGGCAAGGGCGCGGATGCCCTTTTTATGTAGGCAAGTAAGCTGCAGGCAGGTCATAGCCTGTAAAACAAGCAGGGGTGATGTTGACCCCAGCAGAGAGAGAGCCAGAGCCTCAGCTCACACAGAGCATGCATTAGGGGGAATCACAAAAAGGCATCCACCTGTAGCTTATGAATTACACAAAGGTGGCCCTTCCTTTCCTGTGCAGCCCATTATTGGGGCACAAAACCATGCCTACAACTCAGCCTCCACTTACTCATTTGTCTGGTACCTTTATTCATGGCACAAATTACATAAACAGATTGGTAGCCCTGGATGGGCCGAGGAATGGTCTTGTAAGTAGCTGGGCAGAGGCAACATCACTGGGCATGGGTTTGTACTCAGAGATCTTCTGCAGGGGAATTCCTGAGAAAACACAAGATTGTCTCACAGAAGAAATGGCCAGCTCAAAATATCTGCTGAGCCCAGGGGGCCCATTGCTGAAGGACTCCAGCTGTAGAGGTGTCAGACACCCACTGAGTCTGGAGGGCCTGGGTGTGAAGCTGGGTGAGAAAGGAGAAATTGATGGTACCCATTTCTCAGGCTGAAGGTGAAGAGAGCCTAACAATTAGATAAGTCAGAGGGAATCTTAAACTGAAATGGGAATATTCTGGGTGTTCAAAGTTATAAACCAGCCCAAGATTTCATCTGCACGGGCCCAGGGGAAAAAAGCATCTGGGCATTGAGTTCAAATGGCATTGGAAAGAAATTTGCACTCTGTTAGGTCCAGCTAATGAGATGCAGTTCAATGAAGACATCTGTATTCTTGCTGTAAAGCACAGGGCTTGGCGCAGACCAAGGAATGACTCATAAGGATTAAAAGGCATGAAACCAGGTTCTTTCTTAGAATTTGGCAGTCTTTGCACTTCACTTTCTGCCACATCATTATTTTACAGTTAGTACGTAGAGCTGGAAGTGGAGGGCAGGACATTTATGTTCAAGGGTTTGTGGCAGGCTCTCCTGCCAGCTGAGCAGCTCTCTCCTGTCGAAGTCTATGGATTCTCTCTCCTTGTGGTGTGTGCACGCAGAGCCATGGGCTGGCTGAAGCTGCAAATGGATGAGCAGCCAACAAATTGATCAATCTATTAATATTTATTGGGCATCTGCCGTGTGTCAGGCTCAGGGACCAGGCAGCCGGGGATTCACAACAAGATAAATGTATGTCCTTGTGCTCTTTAAATAGTTTTCTACCTCCACTGGGATTTTTACTGGCATTGAAATCTCCACAGTTTATTTTTATAGAGTCTTTTATGTGAAGTGTCTCAAAGCAGGGCAGAGAGAAACACACAGAGAGGCCCCCACGGCTTCTTCCAAGCTCATGGTCCTCATCAACTCACACTTAACAGGGCTGGGTGTGAAGCATACCATTCCCAAATGAACCAGGCTGCAAAGCACAGGCCTGAAGCAGGCGGTCCTGTGAAGGGTAATGTCAATGAAGTGATTATTTTTTTCTGTCAGTATTGTTCTTAGTTATCTTCTGTTCCTGGGCTCCAAGCCTGAATTAGAAAACTCTGAACTCGAGCATAGGCCTTGGGATCTCTCCTGAGGTCCTGAGTTCCAGCTATCCACTGGGGTCCTCCTGACTGTATCTGGGGACCCATGGCTTGGAGGAGGGTATGTTTGGCAGTAAGTTCTTATACTTGTAAGGAGTAGATGAGCCCTACCTCAGCAGAGAGCAGACATTGGCACGGCCCTCAAGGTCCATCTCAGAGGGCGTCTGGGTATCCGGATCAAGGCCAAGGACTGCAAAGACAAAAATTCCAAACCCAGCATTACCTCCCTGTGCTGGCCAATTCTGCTCCTCCAGCTGAGCCTTCCCAGTGTGATGATTTGAATGTTTGTCCCCTCCCACACTCATGTATTAATATTCAAAGAAATTTGGTTGCTGCTGTGGCAGTGTTAGGAGGTGGGACCTTCGGGAGGTGAAAGGACCATGAGGACTCTGTCCTTCTGGGTGAGATTAATGCTATTAGAAGAGGGTGAGTTTGCCTTCCTTTTTCCTATTTGCTCTCTGCCTTCTGCCACATGAGGACACAATGTTCCTCTCCTCTGGAGGATGCAGCAAGAAGACTCACACCAGATGCTGGCACCTGATCTTGGACTTCCCATTCTCCAGAACTGTGAGAAAAAAATGTTTTGTTCTTTACAAATTATCCAGGCTCAGGAATTCTGTTATAGCAGCACAAAACAGACTAAGACACCCAGGGATTAGCATTGAGCCTCGGACCATGCAGGAAATAAGGAGGCGGTGTCTGGGGGCTGTGGTGCAGCAGGCAGGGGACAACCAAGCGACTTCCCAGCCCTGTTGGAAAGTGGATCTGGAGGGATGGACTAAAAGAGGCAGAACTGAGGCCTGGGCTGGAGGACCTGAGAGTGAAACTGGGCCTGCACTGGGGAGTGAGGAGGACCTGAAGCTGCAATGGGAAGCCCTGTGTGGCTGAATCCTAGAACCATGAGGAGAGGCAACATTAGCAACTAGATCTCTGGCCTCTGCTTTTGGAATCACTTTTGGATTCACTTTTGGATGAGTGGTGCATGAACTCATCCAGACTGATGTGTGAAGGGCATCCAGGCTTACCCCTGAAGTATGGAGACTGCAGTGGGTCTGTTGCTCACAGAGGAACTCCCAGAAACTCTGGGAGAGTCACAGACCTAGAGAAGCGTATGGCTCAAACCTCTTGAGCAAGAAAAGCAGTGTTCACTGCCAGGCGTGGTGATGAATGCTTCTGTTTTTTGTCTCATTAAACACTTGCAACTGTGTCTCCTTTTTTAAAAAAAGGAAAACTGAGACACAAGTTGGGAAGTAACCTGCCAAAGGTCACCAACTATTCAGTAGCAAAGCAGGGACTTAAGGCCAGGCTTGCAAAGCTCCTAGTGCTACTGGTAATTGGTAAGACTCAAGGGTTTAAAGAGGCCTCCAAAGAAGGGTAGTAAACTGTGATGGGCCCTAAACTTTATAGTTCTTCGAATTTTTCACAGGTAAAAGGACAGAAAGCCAAGAAGAGCCTTCTGGGTCACTGGCTTCTGGGAATATTGTGTGGTCAAGCAGGAAGTCTGGGGGAGATGGAATGACACCTCAGGGTCCACTCTTACCAACTGTTCATTTAGCCTCCATGCAAGGATTTCCTGGTGATGTGAATGGGGGTTATTCCCTCTGTGTGTCTTGGAGCAGCCATGCTGCTCATGTTTGTGAAATGATGACCAGTGCAGAATCTTGATGTTAGGCACTATGAAGAAACATTAGACATGGGGTCCATCTTTAAAGGGGAATCTTACCCTGGTGATATAGTTTGGATATTTGTCCCATCTAAATCTAATGTTGGGCTGGGTGCGTTGGCTCATGCCTGTAATCCCAGCACTTTGGGAGGCTGAGGCGGGCGGATCACCTGAGGTCAGGTGTTCAAGACCAGCCTGGCCAACACAGTGAAACCTCGTCTCTACTAAAAATACAAAAATTAGCCAGGCATGGTGGCATGCTCCTGTAGTCCCAGCTACTGGGGAGGCTGAGGCAGGAGAATCACTTGAACTGGGGAGGTGGAGATTACAGTGAGCTGAGATCACGCCACTGCACTCCAGCCTGGGCGACAGAGCGAGACTCCATCTCAAAATAAATAAATAAATAAATAAAATCTAGTGTTGAAATTTGATCCCCAATGTTGGAGGTGGGGCCTGGTGGGAAGTGTCTGGGTCATGTGGGTAGATCCTTTATGAATGACTTGGTGCTAGTCTCATGGAACTGAGTGAGTTCTTAGTCTTTGTTTTCATGAGAACTGGTCATGGAAAAGAGCCTGGCACCTCCCACCTCTCTCTCTTCCTCTGTCTTGCACACATTGGCTCTCCTTTGTCTTCTGCCATGAGTGG
Source organism: Homo sapiens (assembly GCF_000001405.40). Classification (NCBI taxonomy): domain Eukaryota; kingdom Metazoa; phylum Chordata; class Mammalia; order Primates; family Hominidae; genus Homo; species Homo sapiens. The sequence goes on from NC_000010.11 coordinate 46,910,449, forward strand.
AAGCTTCCTGAGGCCCTCATCAAAAGCGGGTGGTGGTGCCATGTTTCTTTTACAGCCTGTGAAACTGTGAAACTAACAAACCTCTTTTCTTTATAAATTACCCAGCCTCAGGTATTGCTTTATAGCAACACAAACAAACTAAGACATATGGCAATGGCGTGGGTTGCTTGCAGGGTACCTTGGCTGCTACAGAAAGAAAAAGTCTCTGTAGAGACTCACTGTCAGTGACTCACGGAGCAGAAGGCTGGCCTCAGAGCCTGGACAGAGGGTAGCTGTCACTGCTTAACTGCAGTTCAGCTCAAGCATATGGCTCTCTGTGGGACCAGCACTGAAGGCTGGGGGATAAGTGAGGCAGGTCTTGTCACACCTTCAGGGTATCTGGATTCACCAAAGTGGCTCAGGTCAGGACCAATGAATAGAGGTTTGTTCGTCAAGATAAAAAGATTCTGGCTTCCTGTTTTCAGGCAATGCCAACGATTGAATTCCCTCTACATTGACCACCCTTGCTGAAGTTGTCTTAATTGACCTAGCAGCCAACTGACCTCATATTCTGGCACAGGCTCTGACTCCTTTTGCCTATCTGCCCTGCTCTGATACTACAAAGAGACCCCCCCACCCCAGCCCTCTGGGGCCTCATTAGGGGCTTAGAGGGCAGGCGTGGGTCAGGCGAGCATTCCTGGAGAACACAGTCCTCAGTGGTTCAGGATATGAGCATAGCTCAGAGAGCTGTTGACATTATCAGCCTGGCCTGGGAGAGGGGGACCCGCACAGGGTGGTGCACAGGGCCCGCAGGGAATTTACAGCGGCGTCCGCGGCGATGGGCTCTCAGTGCCTTGGAAGACCGGTAGAGGCAGGTTCTGTCTCTCCCGGCCTGGCAAGCAGAGGGCCGCGGCGCAGGGCAGAGTGCCGCGGCGCAGGGCAAAGCTCCAGTGCGCAGGCTCGCGGGCGCAGGTGGGATTGGATAGCGACGAAGGCCGGCAGGCTAGGCGTGGACCCAACTGGCGAGGCTGCTGGGGTTGCAGCGGGACAGTTGGGGCGGCCCCGCAGGCCCAGGTGAGGAAAGGTGGCTGGGGGCCAGGTGGGCAGGGGGCGTGCGGGAGGCCGCTGCGCCGGGCTGTGGGAGGGCGGGCGTGAAGAAGGAAGATGCCGTTGACGTGCAGGGGTCACAAGGCGTGGGTTGTGGCCCTGGCCCGGGAGACTGCCCGGGTGGGCCTGAGCTGTGAAGTAGTGTCGCTGCAGCCAGAGGGCAGGACGTGATTCTGGCCGTGTGATGCCAGCTGCACTGTGACGCGTGTTGGGGCGCCTATGCGAGACGGGACCGGGACAGGAACCCTGTGGCTCTGTGGTAGGGGAATGCCACCAACTCCCTGAGGAGCAGCCGTGTGGTATGATTGGTAAGAAGCCATCATCAGGCGCTGAGACAGCCCAGAACTTCCCAATGACTCAAGGGCGGGTGGAGGTCGAGGGACCTAGAAAGAAAGAACATGAATTCATCAATCCATTCAGCAGCTATTTTGAACGCCTCCTGTGTGCCAGATGCTGTTCTAGAAGCTCAGAATATCTATGAACGCGATAGGCAATGCCCCCATATGCCAAGGCCCTCATATGCTAGCCTTGACTCAAGGAAAACTGTAGGATGGGGTAGGTTTCATTTTTGGAAGTTGTGGAATCAGTACTTATGTTTTGAATGTGTTAGGTTTGAGATGCCCAGTAGGTTTTTCCCAATAGAAGACATAAGCATAGCTGGGAAGAATTTTGCAGAGGACTCTGACCACCTACCACCTACAGGTGCCATGAATATTTAGCACATTTGATTTTTCACATTACCTATTCACCTTCTCTCCATTTATCAGTCACCTGGTAGTTTTTTTTAGTATGGTGAAATATACACACATAAATTATCTAGTAGATATTTGGGTTGAGATATCAAATGTGCTTTTTAGAAATTTAAATCTGAAGTTCTGGAGGATGTCGGGCTAGAGTTAACCTTTGGAATCGGCATCATATACTGTACATAGTATTTAAAATATATGGGACTGGTGAAGACATCTAGTTTAATAGTGTACACAAAGAAGAGGAGGCGAAGCCAAAAAAGGGAGGGAGGTAGTGGTCAACCATGTTGAATGTTACCGTATAAGATGACTTTGGTAATTAGGAGGATTTTAATCATTTTGACAAGAACAACTTTAATGGGGAAGAGGGGCCTTAAGGTTGGGTAGAGTTTTTTTCAAGATAGAAGAAAGCAGAATGTTTATATGGCAATGTGATTAAACTCGTAGAAAGGAAAAACTGCTGCAGATGAAAGAGGGGAACATTGTAAAGGGTAGTTGTTGAATACCTGAGAAAGGAGAAGACCCTAAGCAGGTGAGTAGTTGGTTTTGAAATGAGCAGGGACACTTACTCTGTTGTAACTAGAGGGGAAGCTGAGATAACAGGTGCAGATACAGTGGGTGGTGGGAAAAGAGTCTATTGGTATAGGCATCCATCAGCTTAGAGGGAGGGCAGCGGGGGAGAGGAAAGGTGTGGGAACTTGGAGGAGAGATATGTGACAGAGTCCTAGAGAGGGTGAAAGTGAGCGTACTAGAGAAATAGAGTTGGATTCCCAGGCAGTGCTCAGGGCCCATTTGAGACGTGTAGTCTTACATTTAAAGTGATATAAACCAGTGTGGTTGTTTCATGTTCAACTTTGGAAGGGTGTTGTGAGGATTAAAGAAGGTAATGCATGAAAAACATTTAATAGAGTGTCAGGCGTTTAATGAATGTTAACGCTTTTTATTTGAGCCCTCGTTTTGTTTTTCTTTTCTGTTTATACATATGTGACTGAGGATGGCTGGCAATTACCACTTGACAGGCTGTTCTGGGGCATGTTCTCCCATCACAGAGAACTGCAGTTTGCAGCTACTCAGAAGTCTGGTTCCTGTTGTGTTTACATGTACACAGCTTGATAATTGAAGATGTTTGCTTTTTAGAGCCATTGTCCTGGACTGTTTGGGCTGGGGTTTGTCACAGTGACAGTCCTTAAGTTTTTGTGAAAATCTTTTATGACTGCATTTCATATTGGATCTGATGTACTGGTAATCTACAGAATCTACAAATCTAAGATTGGCAGGAAAATTTTCAGTTTAATAGATTTTCATTTCTCCCTGACCACTTGAGCTGTTTTAAAATACAAATAATAATAATGGCTGACAGAAAGCTCTTAAAAGTGCCAAGTACTTTTCTAAGCACATCACATGCCTAATCTTGTTTAATCATCACCTCAGCTCTACAAGGCAGGTACAATTATTATCCTGATTTTTCAGATGCAAAAATAGGCTCCAAGAGGTTAAGTAATTTGCCCAAGGTACCCATACCCTGACCTCCAGTTTCTACTGCAGACAATAACTTTTTCTTTTTTTTTAAACTGCTTGGCCATCACTCATCTGCATTGCAGTGGAGTACTTAAGATGTTGGACTCCAAAGCCAGATTGCCTGGTTTCAGAAAACTGCCACTTAGTAGCTATGGGACTTTGGGTAAATCATCTAACTTCTGTGTGCCTTTGTTTCTTTTTTGACAAAATGGAAATAATAATAGTACCTGCCTGATAGGGCTATTATCATCGCAGTTGAGAATCACATGAGTTAATATATTTAATATGCCTAATATAGTGCCTGGTTGTTTAAATGCTACTATTATCACCTGCCTGGTAGTACCACCATGGTGCTGTATATACTGATTGGTTTGATCTATCAAAATAAGATTCCAAGTGTCCTGTTATTGTCTAAGCAGAGTTTTAAAATTGCAGCCCACTATATTATTCCCACCTCAGGGATCACTCCTGTTTCCTCTGAGTTTATCTCTCTGAGGGAAACAAATAGATAACAGTTTGCTTCCAGGAGCAGACAACAACTCAGATTTCATTCAGACTCATTTGACCAATAGAGTTCATTTCATTAATCCTGGCATTACATACCACTTAGCAAAGGGGAATAAGGCTTGGGGAGTAATGTGATTCCATGTTGCTTTTCCCAGATCAGCAGCCCATTTAGAGGAATTTGGTTAGAAATACCAACGGACTACATAGCCAGTATTTGGCACAGCATAGGGTAGGTGATGTGGGTCAGTGGGCTGGACATAAAAGTGTTCTGAAAAGATCTGTAAAGTCATTGGAGTTACTGTGATGTGTTGTGTCAGTTACTGATTAAAAGTAACTGGCAGGCTTGGCATTTGAGACCACTGAAAGTTTTAAATGATCTTTCTGATATACAACACGTAGAGTAAATGTATGATACAAAGTAGTGGTTCTCAGTGAGTTTGCATCAGAATCACCAGTGGGGAGTTTTATGAAGATTTGCACAATGACAGGCTCCACTTCCACAGATTCTGAATCAGTAAGTCTCGGTAGGGTTCTGGAATCAATCAACTTTTTTAAGAGCTCCCCAAGTGACTGTGATGTGCAGTTAGCATGGCATATCGTTAGTACAAATCAGTGCTTTTAAGCCCTGACTGTGTTTTACAATTACCTTTCTATCAGCTTTTTTAAAAAATACTGATATTCTGGAGCCACCCCAGGGATTCTGATTTAATTTGGCCTGGTGAGTTCTGGACATACGTGTGTTTCTTTAAAAAAATTTCTGAGATGATTCTAATGTACAGCTAGGTTTGAGATTCACTGGCATAGTCAGCTAGATTTCCCGCCATAGTTTATTTACTCTTGAAAATTTAAACATAGCTTCAGGCAGCATCTTACCACCAGGAAAGTGGAAAAATGAGCATTTCTGAATTTCCTCAATGTAAATGTTCAATAAAATAATCAGCTAACAATGAAAAATGTGAATTGCTGGTAGAATTAGCATTTCTTACCCTAAGCTATGAAGATTTGATCAAGTTTCCCTTGGGGATGAGAATTTACATTTCCTGAGAGCCTTATATAGAATCTCAATATTTCAGCAACTCTGGGAGGTACATATATTTCCCATGTTGTAGATGAGAATTTTGAGGCTAAGGGAGGTTAAGTAGCTTGCACACTCAGTTGTGTACATTTCCAAGGTCTAGGTTCCATTTTTTCAGTGATTCTCAACTTTGAGTGCACACTGGGATCACCTGGGAACTTTAAAATTACCAGTGCTTGGCTGGGTGTGGTGGCTTACGCCTGTAATCCCAGCACTTTGGGAGGCTGAGGCGGGCGGATCACGAAGTCAAGAGATCAAGACCATCCTGGCCAGCATGGTGAAGCCCCATTTCTACTAAAAATACAAAAATTAGCTGGGCGTGGTGGCATGCACCTGTAGTTCCAGTTACTTGGGAGGCTGAGGCAGGAGAATCACTGGAATCTGGGAGGTGGGGGTTGTAGTGAGCCAAGATGGCACCACTGCACTCCAGCGTGGCAACAGAGCAAGACTCCGTCTAAAAAAAAAAAAAAAAATGACCAGTGCTGGTGTTCCATTCTCAGAGATTCAGATTTTGTTGGTCTGGTGTGGCCTGGAATTGGGATTTTGCAAAGCTCTCCAGCTAATTCTAATGTGCAGCTGAAATTGGGAATCATGCATTACAACATGCAGCTTCCTGGTGGTCTAAATTAATTTTCTCTTAACGCTCCTCTGTAGATGGCTGTGACTGGGTTCCTTGCCTTCATATATTCACTTATAGATGTCTTAGTGTCTTTTCTTTCCACCCCTTCCTCACTTTTAATAAATATGTAAAGATTGCCAGACACTGTTCTTGGTGCCAGAATGACACAGTGATGACAGGACAGACCAAGTTGCCAGCCTCATAGTACTTATATTGGGGAAGATAGACAATAAACATGTGAGAAGATATATATGGACTTACATGGGTAAGCAAACTTTAAGGTAATAAAAAGTGGTTTTGGGAAAAATAAAGCAAGATGATGAGTAGAGATCCCAGCAGCAATGCATGAGATTCCATTTGCTCCACATCCTCACCAGAATCACTTTGTATTGGACTGTGTGTGTGTGCTTGATTTTAGCATTTCTAGTAGGTATGTAGCAGTATTTCGTATGGTTTTCCTTTGCATTTTTATGTTGACCAGTTGTCTTAATCATGTTTTCATATATTTATTTGCCATCTATGTTTCTTCTTTGGTGAAGTATCTGTTCACATCTTTTGACTATTTAAAATTGGGTCGTCCTCTTTTTGAGTTATAAGGGTCTATATATTTAGGATATAGGTCCTTCCTCAGATGTGTGTTTTGCAAATATCTTCTCCCAGACTGGGACTTGACTTTGCATTTTCTTAATGCTGTCTTCTGAAGAGCAGAAGCTTTTGATTTTTTCAAAGTCAAGTTATCAATTATTTCTTTTGTGGTTTGTGCTTAGTGTCTTAAGAAATCTTTGTGTAATCCAGTGTCACAAAAGCTTTCCCCTAAGCTTTAAGCTAGAAGTTTTATAGGTTTAGAGTTTGCATTTAGGTCTGTCATCTATTTTGAGTGGATTTTTGTACATAATATGAGTATGGGGTGAAGTTCATAATTCTGTATGTGGATGTCTCATTTTCCCACACACTTGTTGAAAGCACTATCCTATCCCCATTATATTATCTTGGCACCTTTCCCCTCCTAAATCAATTGTTGCTATGTGTGAATTATTTCTAATCTCTCTGTTCTTTCCTGCTGAGGTATATGTCTATTCTTATACCAGCATCACATTGGATGTTCCATTCACAATTTCTGTTCGTTATAGGGAGGTCCTAGTCAGTGAAATAAAGGAAGGAAAAGATATAAATGTACACAGATAAAAAAGGAAGAAATAAAATTGTCTTTATTTGCAGACAACATGATTGTTTATGTAGGAGCCCGAGGAATCTACAAAAAAGCAACTAGAAATAACATGACTTTGGCAAAGACACAGGATGTGAGGCCAATATACAAAAATCAATTGTATTTAGCACTGGCAATGAACAATTGGAAATTAAAACTTAGAAATACAGTTTACAATGGTATCAAAAACATGAAAAACTGAGGGATAAATCTAATGATGTTCTGTAATATTTGAATACTAAAAACTCTAAAACATTGAAGAGAGAAAACCAAATAAATGGAGAAATAAATCTATTCTACTTGATAATATTTTGTTAAGGATTTTTTTGCATATACATTCATGAGGGATATTGGTGTATAAAGATATTGGTCTGTAATATTCTTGATTTTGGTATCAAGGTTAATGGTGGTCTCATAAATTAGTTTGGAGTGTTCTCTTTTCTATTTTCTGGAACATTTTGTATAGGATTGTTATTCGTCCTTAAAGGTTTGGTAGAGTTCAACAGGGAGGTATCTGGGCCTAGAGTTTCCTTGTGTTAGTTTTATACCATGGACTCAAGTTTTTAAAACTATATATGGCTATTCAGATTGTATATGCTACTCAGTTCTTTTTGAGTGAACTTTAGTACTTTGTGTCTTTCAAGGAATTAGTTTTTTTCATCTATGTTATCAACTTTGGCATACAGTTGTTTGTAATACTTTCTTATTATCCTTTTAATGGCACTAACATTAGGATCTGTAGTGAAGTCCTCTTTTTCATTTCATTTCCGATTTTGGTTATTTGTGTATCTCATCTTCTCTGCCTCCCTCTTTCTCTCCCTCCTTTATCTCTTCCTCTTCCTCTTTCCTTCCCACCCCTTCCTTTCTTTCAGTAGTCAATTCTAGAGCTGCACTGTTCAATAGTTATCCCTAGTCACATGTGTCTATTTAAATGTAAATTAATTTCAATAAAATTACATTAAAAATTGAGTTCCTCAGTCACACTGGCCACATTTTAAGTGATCAGTAGTCCCAAGTGGCTTCCACATTGGAGGGTGCTGCTATATAGAATGTTTTCATCATTATACAAAGTTCTACTGGACATTGAGGGTCTAGAGGTTAGCAATTTTTTTTAAAATCTTTTCATGGACCTGTTTTGGGTTTCATTGATTTTTCTCTGTTATTTTTTTATTTTCCATTTCATTGATTTTTTTTCCTCTTTATTATTTCCCTCTTTTTGCTTGCCTTGGATTTAATTTCTTTTTTAATTTCTTAAGGTAAGAACTTAGATTACTCATTTGAGGCCTCTATTATTTCCCAATATAAATATTTAATGCTATAAATTTCTCTATCAGCACTGTTTTAGCTGCATCCACTAATTTTGATGTTGTATTTTTACCTTCATTCAATTCAGAATATTGTGTAATTTCCTTTGTCACTTCTTTGAATTGGGAGTTATTTAGAAATATATTGTTTAATTTCCAAATATTTTAGAATTTTAAAGGTTTATTTCTGTTGATTTCTATTTTAATTCCATTTTTAAAAACATATTTTGTATTTCAGTTTAATGTTTTATGGTTTGTTTTTAGGCCCAGAATATGGACTATCCTTGTGAATGTTCCGTGTCCACTTTAATACTTATTTTGTTGTTGGCTGGGATGCCCTATAAAAGTTAGGCCAAATTGCTTCATAATGTTGTTCAGGTTTTCTGTGTCCTTATTATCTGCCTACTTGTCTCCAACATTGTTGTAGATTTTTCTGTTTTTTTCATTTCAGTTTTCATTTTATCACTTTGGAAGCTATGTTGTTGGATACACACACATTTAGAATTCCTATGTATTATGTAATGCCCCTTTTCATTTCTGGAAATGTTTATCATTTTTTAAAGTCTATGTTGTCGATGTTAATATGGCCATTCTACCTTCTTTTGATTAGTGTTTACATGGGTTATCTTTTTTCCATTTTTTTAGTTTATCAATGTCTTTATATGTACGGTGGGTTCCTTGTAGACAGTATATAATTGGATCTCACTTTTTTAATCCAGTCAGACAATCCCTGACTTTTAATTTGGATGGCCAGACCATTTACATTTAATATAATTATTGATATGATTAGATCTTAATCTATCATCTTGCCAGGTTTGCGCTTGCCTTACCTGTTCTTTAATCTAGTCCCTTCTTTTCCCATACCCTTTTGGCTTAAATGAGGCTTTCTTTAATGACTCAATTTTTTACTCCATTTTATCTCCACTCTGCCCTTATGTTGCTTCTGCTTTTTCTCCTCCATGCTTCTTCTCCTTCTTTTTATTCTTTTCTTAGTGGTTACTCTAGGCTGTATAAGTTTGTCACAGTCTACCTTCAAATAATATATCATTTCACATATAGTATAATATATATACCTTACAACAGTGTGCTTCCATTATTTCCCACCCATACTTTGTGTTATGATTGCCATACATTTTACATCTACATATCTTATAAAGTGCACCATATAATTGTCATTATTTGTGCTTCAGACAATTATCTTTTAAAATTCTTGTTCTGTTTGCTCTTAAAAATCTTATTTTACAGACTACTTTTAGAACAGTTTTAGATTTATTAAAAAATTGAGTAGATAGTACAGAAAGTTACCCTATACCCCCTCAGCCCCATGGTTTTCCCTGTTATTAATATGTTGTGTTTGTTTGGTACATTTGCTATAGTTAATAAGCCAATATCTATAGATTAGTATTAACTGAAGTCTGTAGTTTACATTAAGGTTCACTAGTTATATTGTACATTTCTATGGGTTTTGACAAATGTATAATGTCATGTATCCACAATTATAGTATCATATAAAATAGTTTCATTGCCCTAAAAGTCTTCTGTGCTTCTTCTGTTCATTATTCTAGCTCAACCCCTGAACCCCTGCTTACCACTGATCTTTTTGCTGTCTCAAAAGTTTTGCTTTTCCTAGTGTCATATAGTTGGAATTATATAGTATGCAGCCTTTCAAATTGGCTTCTTTTCTTTAGAAACATTGATTTAAGCTTTCTCCATATCTTATTATAGCTTGATAGCTTATTGTTTTATCTTTATATAGATAGATATTCCTTGAAAGGGCCATATATGCAAAATAACCTCCAAATACAGAAGGAGCCAAGAAATCAAAGAATGAGGCAGGCATATCTAGTTTATTGGCAGAGGGTGATTTTTAGGGGAAACTTATGGACAGAAATGTGTTCTTGGGCAGAAATGTGTTCGTGTAAGACAGGTAGATGTTCACACCATTACTCCCCAGACTCAGGGCTTATATACCATAGGGAAAGAGTATATATATATGCTCCATAGACAATTAAAGACAACCCTCCAGAGCAGAGGGTGCTGGGGGCAGGGTTCAGGGGATGAAGCTCCCCAGAGTTTCTATGTTTTGTGTTAGGCTACCAGGGCAGGTAGGGAAATGCCGTCAGGTGGCAGCAGGGTTAGGCAGGTCTGGTTAGGCAGCAGGGTTAGGCAAGCTCCTTGGGCGGGGCTTGCTGAGGCCACTGTGGGGGCTGGGGGTTGGTTCTCCGGCCAATGGGGTTATGTTCCATAGGGGATCTTGGCCGCCTCTACTGTATTATATAGTTTGCCAGGGAAGTCAGGGATAGCCAGTAGCAAGAGGCCTGACTCAACTCCCATGCAGTTGGCAAGCCCGCATATCCTGCAATGCCCCGCCCAGACCTTGCCCCTGCTCTGTTGGTGGCAGTTCTTGTACTCCTGTACTTGCTTGTATCTGCAGCAGCTCCTGCTCCTTCCTTGGACTCCACTCCAGAAAATGTGTGCCCAGTCGAAACCACTACCAATTTCATCTGGGAGCTTTCTTCACCCCACAACACTTCCGCAGTTCTGCTGGTTGTCTTCCACAAGGGCCCCAGTGAGATATAGTCAGGGATGGCGTCCCTGTGCTCGAGCTGGAGACTGGGAGTGCATACAAGGCACTTCCTGCTGCTACTTCTACTTTCATATTTTGTGTGACTCTCTAAATCCCTTCCATCTCTAGGTAAGGTTAAATTCTTCTCCTGTGATCTGGATTTTCAGATTCCCAGCAGGGATGTGTGTTTGGAGGTCGGTTTTCTCCCTCTTACACTTTGGGAACTCACAGTTTTTCTCCTGTTTCACGGAATTTGCAGTGGCATGCCTATTTTGCCAATTTTTAAATGAGGTTGTTTGTTTTCTCATTGTTGAGCTTTAAGAGTTCTTTGTTTATTTTTTATTAGAAATTTTCTGTCAGATATGTGCTTTCTCAAACATTTTCTCCTGGTCTGTAGCTTGTCTTTGTAGTCTCTTAACAGTGTATTTTGCAGAAAAGAAGTTTTTAATTTTAATAAAGTCCAGCTTATCAACTTTGTTTCCTGGATTATCCTTTTGGTGTTGTATTTAAAATCTCATTGCCAAAACCAAGGTCACATAGATTTTCTCTTTTATTATTGTTGTGTGGTTGAATTTTATACCCCAAGAGAATATTTTGAAGTCCTAACCCCAGATACCTGTGAGTCCAACCTTACTTAGAAATAGGATCTTTGCAAATGTTAAACAAGTTAAGCTGAGGTCCTAATGCAATGACTGGTGTCCCTATAAAACAAGGGAAATTTGGACACAGAGGGAGAAATTCATGTAACAGCAGAGGCTGAAATTGGAGTGGGATGTCTATAACCAGGGAACATCAAGGATTACTGAAACCACCAAAAGTTAGGAAGAGACAATTAAACATCCTTCCCTGGGGCCTAACAGAGGGCATGGCCTTGCTGCCACCCTCAGACTTCTGCCCCCAGAACTGTGAGAGAATACATTTCTGCATTTTTAAGCCATCCAATTTGTGGCACTTTGTTATGGCAGCCATAGGAAATGAATACATATTTTGATACCAGGAAATCTTTTTCTGTTGGAATAACTACCTAAAAAACATGTAAGTGGCTTTGGAATTGTGTATAGACTGGAATAATTTTTAGGTGCATAACATAAAAAGCCTAGACTGCTTTGAAAAGACTATTGGTAGAAATACAGATATTAAAGGTGATTCTGGTGAAGGCTCAGTAGAGAGGGGAATTTTAGAAAAAGCATCTATCATAGATTCTTTGCATCTTAGAGAATACATATGTTGTCATGAACAGAATGTTACTAGAAATGTGAACTTTAAAGGTGCTTCTTGTGAGGCCTTAGAAAGGAAGTGGTGAATATATTATCAGACACTGGAGGAAAAGTGATCCTTATTACAGAGTGGCAGAAATTTGGGTGAACTGTGTTTTACCTGTGGGTGGAAAGCAGAACTTGTAGGCAGTGAGCTGAGGAGATTTCTAAGTAAAGCGTGAAAGATGGGGCCATGGTTTCTCCTTGCTGCTTATAGTGAAATGCAAAAGGAAAGAGATAACTTGAGGAAGGAATTGTTAAGCAAAGGAACCAGCACTTGATGGGTTTGAAAGTTCTCAGCCAATCCAGGAAACATACTCCCGAAACAGGACCAAGGGTGTGGCTGAACAACCATTCACTGAAAAGATTACCTGGTGACTCATGGATCCAGACAGCCCTCTCAGGCCCTGGAAACCTAATGAAAATTTCCCTGCCATGTTTTGGACTTGTTTGAGACCTGTGACCCACTTTTTCCTTCCAGTTTCTCCCTTTTGGAAGGTGACTGTCTGTCCTATGCCTGTTGTATTTTGGAAGCAGATAACTTGTTTTGTGGATTTCAGTGTCCATAGGAGAGAAACTTTGCCCCAGGCTGGACCATACCCAGGATCTCACACATACTTGATTTAGGTGATTTAGGAGATGAGATTTGGGACATTACAGTTGATATTTAGAGGCAATTTTGACTTAGAGTTGATGCTGGAATGGGTCAAGGGTCCTGGAGATGTTGAAATGGGGTGAATGTATTTTGCATACAGTAAGGATATGACTTTTGGGGGATTGGAGAGAAGACTGTTGTGGTTTAAATTGTGTGAGACAGTTGAATCGTGCTGTCCAAGGATTTCTGGCAACCACCAAAAGACAGGAAGAGACAAGGAAGTATACTCCCCTAGAGCCTTCAGATAGAGTGCAGCCCTGCTGACACCTTGATTTAAGGCTTCTAATTTTCAGATTTGTTTTCCCTTCTTTTAAGCCACCCAGTTTGTGGTACCATGTTATAGCAGCTCTTGGGCACCAATACAGTTATCTTCTAGAAGTTTGAGAGTTTTTGTGTTTTACATTTAGGTCTGTGATTCATTTTGAGTTATTTTTTTGTGAAAGGTGTAAGGTCTGTTCCATTATCATTTTTTGAAAAAGAATATTCTTTCTTCACTGAATTTTCTTTGCTTCTTTACTAAAGATCGGTTGACTACATTTGTGTGGATATATTTATATGGATACTGTATTCTGTTCCATTGATCTATTTGTCTATTCTTTCAACAGTACCTTGTGGTCTTGTCTTGAAATCTTGTATTATCTGTCTTCCAACTTTGTTCTTCTTTAGTATTTTGTTGATTATTTTGGGTTTTCTGCGTTTTCATATAGACTTCAGAATGAATTTGTTGATACCCATGAAACAATTTGCTGGTATTTTTGTTGGAATTACATTGGCTTTATAAACCATATTGGGAAGAATTGAGGTCTTAAAAATATTGAGTGTTTCTATACATGAACATGAAATATCTCTCCATTTGTTTAGATATTTGCTTTCCTTTGTCAAAGTTTGGTAGAGTTTCTCATATAGATCCTGTATATATTTTGTTATATTTATACCTGTATATTTCAGTTTTGGGGAGCAGCTAATGTAAATGATACTGTGTTTTATATTTCCAATTCCAATTGTTAATTGCTGGTTTATAGAAAAGGAATTGACTTTTGCATATTAACTTTGTATTCTGCAACCTTGCTGTAATTGCTTATTAAGTTCCAGGAGTTTTTATTTATTGATTTATTTCGAGATGGAGTCTCGCTCTGTTGCCCAGGCTGGAGTGCAGTGGCGCGATCTCAGGTCACTGCAACCACTGCCTCCCGGGTTCAAGAGAATCTCCTGCCTCAGCCTCTCGAGTAGCTGAGATTACAGGTGCACGGCACCATGCCTGGCTAATTTTTTGTATTTTTAGTAGAGATGGCACTTCACCATCTTGGTCAGGCTGGTCTCAAACTCCTGACCTCAAGTGATCCGCATGCCTCAGCCTCCCAAGGTGCTGGGATTACAGGTGTGAGCCACCACGCCCAGCTAAGTTCCAGGTCTTCGGTGTTTGAAGGAGAAAGTTTATGGACTTAAAAAATTTTGTACCTGCAAAAGATCCATATTGCCCATAGCCCTTTTCTAAATCTTTTATTTTATAGATTAAGTGGCTAATTGTTTTTGTTTATTCTTTGAGATATTTTATATAGACATTTATGTCATCTGAGAAGCAAGGCAGTTTTATTTTTTCCTTTTCAACTGTATGCCTTTTGTTACTGAATTAGTCAGAAGTTGTATAAGATGTTGAATAGGAGTGGTAAAAGAGAACATCCTTGCCTTGTTACCTATCTTAGGGGAAAGCCTCTAGATTCTCCCTGTAGATTTTTTTTGTAGATATTTTTTATCAAGTTGAGAAAGTTTGCCTCTAGTCCTAGTTTTCCAAGAATTTTTTTTTTTAAATCAAGGATGGAATTTGGATTTTGTCAAATGCTTTTTTGCATCTATTGATATGATTATATGAATTGTCAAGAATCAGTGAGTACTTTGCCAGATGTCCACTAAACTATGAGCTCCTTGGAGGCAGAAGTTATTGCATCATCCCTGGATCCACATCTCTGATACAGTGACTAGCACATTGTAGACACTCAAAGCCTGCTGAATTGATTTAGCGTTTTACTTTTCACAGTCAAGAGATCACACACCGGAAAGACATATTTGTGACATACTCGGTACATGGAAGGTGTGGTTGCCAGGCAACCACACCCCAGCCTGGGTTGTTTGGTGACTGGATAAGGTATGGGGCTGGTGGTCTCCGAACCATCCTAATCACTTTCTTAGAACTACCTGATTGAGGCTAAGGGCATGCCTCTTTCTGTTTATTTTTCTGTTTGTCCTTTTCTTCTGTTTGTTCTTGAATTAGTCACCGTGCAACTTTAGCCACTCGCTTCTAAGTAGCATAGAGTCCCCCAAAACATGAGTACCATTTGCTATTCTTTAGGAACAGCTTTCTTACCAGAAGTGGGTGGCTCAGGCATCACTGCCTTATCACAGGGAAGTATTTTCCACCTATTACCTCATATCTGACTGTGAGGACCACAAAGGAGTGAGAAGGTGGGGAAGGTGAGCTAGGAGAGGGAAGAATTTCAGATGAGGAGAACTTGCTGCTGCTGCTGCTGCTGCTTCCTCTTTTTTTTTTTTTTTTTTCCAGGCTGCAGAAACTCAGGGTTCAAACCATTAAATGATGAGAAAGCTAGAAGGTTGGTTTTCTCTTCTCATTATTAACTTATCACGGAGAAGATGTCTACAGAGGATAGAGGAGTAGGAACATGCCTTTTCTTTTTTCTCTGTTCATGGCAGGGCTTCTAAAAGGAGCCTGACTATAGCTCTCAGTTCAGACAAGAATATTATAACCATCACTAATGGTCTTCAGTGTTTTAAAGAGAAAGTTTATGGACTTAAAAAATTTTGTACCTGCAAAAGATCCATATTGCCCATAGCCCTTTTCTAAATCTTTTATTTTATAGATTGAGTGACTAAAGATTAAGGACAAGGTTGGCCTTTAGGCATATGTGGACCCATGGGTATATAATCTGAGTAAGTCAGGAAGTTCTCTCTCTGACTTCTTTTCATTTTCTTAGTGTAGATGCCTTCCTTGTCCTTTAGGTGGCATATTGGTTTTTCTGGAATCCGTTGCGAAACTGTTCTTATCTACTTAAAGGGAACTCATTTGAAGTCTGAGTCTTGAGGGAATAGGCAGAACAGGCATGTTGGAAGGAAAGTATGAGTCTCAGGTGAGTCTCAGGTGGGAGGGACAACTGTGTATTATAATTTTACTTGGAGTTTTCCCTGGTTTGATGATCTTTTATTGAGCTTGTAATTTTAGTCCTTATTTATATAAGCCCACTGACTGCACATTATGAGACATTTGTCTGGAATTCCTCTTTTCATGATAGCAGAACAAGTTAAATTTTGTTGGACATGTATATTTTTATATTAAGAAGATATTAGCTTGTTACTTTAAAAAAGCATTTAGTGCAAAAATGGTCAATTGTAGGTAAGCCTTGTATGCAAAATTATTTGCAGTTAAAAATATTGCAACATTACACAGTTCATTTTTCCTTCTTTTGCGGAGATGGCTGCTCTGTGATTACCCTGGGATGATGTTCAGGTAATGCTGTGTAGTTTTTTCTCTCCTAGGAAGTGGAAGGCAGGAACTTAGAAAGTGAGATATAACTAAGAAGGGTCTGTTAATGAGGAAGACAACGTATTTTCCCATGCTAGCCTTTGTCAGAGCTCTCCCAGGTTCAACGATTGGATAGAAGGATTCATGGGGTTCAGCAGGTAGTCACATTCATGGCTAAGATATGGTAGACTGAAAAGGTAGAAAGCAAAATCAACAAGGGATATCAGATACAAACTCCCCAGAATATTCTCCTTGTGGAGTCACATAGGATGCACTTAATTTTCTGAATAACAAGGTATGGAAACTTGTGTGAAGTGTTGTCTATCAGGGAAGCTCGTCTGAGCTTAAGAGTTTAGGGTTTTTATCAGGGGTTAGTCATGAGCACAGACTGTCAGTGTGACTGATAGCAGTCACTGAAATTCCAGATACCTAGAAGGAAAACAGATGTTTTAGGAGAAGTGAGCTACTTTTCTCATTTAGAAAAAATTTATATTAGTGTAGGCAATGATTTTACCAGCCAAGTTCCCAGACACCAGCCAAGGGCCAGGCTTGTATGCAGGCATTCCTAAGGAGACTCGTCTTGGACCTGGTAGGTGAAGTCATGAACTTTTGTCTGCACACATGTGTAATGTGTATACATTCCTGACTTACATGATCTCAGTTATGGAAATGGTTCAGCTGCACCCAGTAGATAAGTAGTTCTTTGGAGTATGGAGGCCAAGGTCTACTAATGAAACTGTGCCCCAAAGAGTTAACCAGTGGCAAAGAGAAATTCTTGAATTTATAGGATTGGTTGATAAAAATAAAAAACAAAAACAACTTTCTGAAACACTGAAATTCTCTCTGCTTTTAAGATAACAAAACTGGCTGAAATCAGTTGGAACCAATACAGCAAACTAGAGTCTACACAGAATGAGCTTGCTGACGCCACAGCCCAAATTTCCACTGCATGTTTCGTACTAACTCCCCCTGAATTTACATATGTGACCCATGAGATAGCATGAAGAGATACTGCAAATGCCCAAAGCCTTTTCAGACCCCCCTTTCCTTCTACCAATCTCCTACTATCCCCAAATTCACTCCCTACACATTTTCTAATAAAAATACTGCCTTAAAAACAGTACAGGAAGACAGATTTGAGCTAGACTCCTGTCTCCTTGTTGGTTGACCTAGAAAAAAGTCTTTCTTTTCTCAAAAACCCAGTGCCATAGTATTGGCTTCTAACACATTGAACAGTGAACTCTTTTGCTTGGTAACAGTGATTGGAGGTACAGGAATTGTGTCTTCTGAAATAAAGCACCCTCTTATAATTACTGATACACTTCCACAAGAGAGGGAGAGGAACGTAGGAAGGAGGGAAGAAAAGAAGTGTAAACAGACAAATGGACAAACAGATCGACCTGAGGTTCAGGAGGTTGGAGGGAATATGCCAAAGCAATTTATATCATGAATGAAACAAACAGTAGAAGGTTGTTTGCCTTGCACCCTAATAGCAGAGGCATCCAGATAACAGAGTCATTTCAGAAAGATGTCTTAAGTCATTCATTACTTTTACTTGAACCATTCTAATAATTGATAAAGTATTTACTCAGAATGTAGCTCATGGCAACTGTATCATCATCAGTCCCTGGGTTTCAAGGGTGAAGCATTGTTGATATAGGGTCTCAGTGCCTTTGGAACCTTGAGTCTTCCATTATTCCAATGAATGCTCACAGTAATCTTTAATGAGCTTGCTGCTCATGTCTGTGATGAGTGGGTAGCAACTATTTTTTAATGTTTAAACTTGCATTAATAACTTGATATTATCTTTATCCTAGAGTTTCTGTATTTTATTTTAATTGAAGTACATTATCTTTTTGTGGCTTTTTAAAAGTCAACTTTATTGAGGTGTAATTATGTATAAAGCTTTTAACCTTGCAAGTAAAGATGGTTTTCCTTCTTCCTTCCCAATATGAATCCTTTTATTTTATTTTTCTTGTTTTGCCTGATTGCATTGGGCAGAACTGTCAGTGGCTCTGGAGGTAGCACTTTAGCACTTCACTTCTCCCTGCTTCCCTCTGAGCCCCCAGTCCTATACTCACACACTACAGGGAATGATTGATTAAGAAACCACGGAATGACATTTCTTAATGGTTATGTTTATAATCAGAAAAAGCAATACCACCATTCCTTATAGAAAACTAAGAGCCATTATTAAAAGGCATAAAACATGCCAAATAATTACTAGTAGTCTAAGAAGCTTGTACTGAGAATTTAGTCACAGGAAATACAGATTTCAGAGGAAGGAACTCATATCCCTGGGGTGCCTACAGGTAGGGCAAGAGTAAGTCACTATTGAACATTTGAGACTTCTTTCATTCCCTTCTCTTCAGGCTAGTATAGGTCTCAGGGAGTAGTGTATGATAGAACTTTCACAAGAATTAGAAGTAGCCCTGGTGCTAAGAATTGCCAGAGGCCCAAGGTGCTGAGCATGTCATTTTACATTGTCTATTTTGGCATCTTGCACCCAACCCAAAGTCCACTGTGAAGAAATAGTCTTTGTTAGCACCTGCTTCAGTTTTGAGAGAGTTTGAGATAGACTGAAAATAGTGTCCCAGCTGAGAATTTGAGAATATGTACAGTATTCAGTGACTCTCCAATTATGTCACCCTGCCACCTGAGGAAAGGTGTTTTGCTTTTGTTTCCTGAGCAAACCAAACACTTGTAGTTTTTCTTTTATTTATGATTAGATGGGATCACTTTGTTTCATATTGGAGCTTTTGTTCCTCTTTCCTCAGTGCTCTATCACAGAATAAGTAATACTTTTTTAAGGATTTCTCTTTTATCAGGGCTAATTCTCTATTTTCTATACTATTGCACCTTCCCCAGGAGTTGGAGGGAAACCTTTATCTTACGAACCTGACCACTGGTCCCTCAATATCTTTCACAATCTTTCCCTAAGGGACCGAGTGCCTATCACTCAAGTGGTACCTCTGTGACTTCTCAGAGTTCTTGATGTGGACATGCAGATTAGTTACCTGGTGATACATACACATTCTTTATGGAATTTAACTAATTAGTCCCTCAAACATTTCTTGCCATGTCTCCATTGTGTTAGTCTAGTGGCTGGAGATTGAAAAGTGAAAATGTTACAGTTTCTGTCCTCAAGATGCTTATGGTCCAACCCGAGGAGATGAGTCCAGAAATCATTATAAAACATGGAGCTTATAGGGGAAGCACTTGCAGGGGCTTACTTAGCCAAGCTTGAGGGGAGGTGGGAAATATGGTAAAAGCTTGCACTATATTTTCTGAAAGGTTTTCTTCTGCAAATGAAGATTTTGTTTTTATCATATAGTTTACTTTTCTAGGCTACCTAAAATTTCAGTACACATGTGTTGATGTTGACTTGTATGATCTTATTACTGATTTACTACAGTAGCTGCAACTCAAAATTGAATTAAATGTTAATGATTTTAATATTGCTTTGTTTTGTCTATTTTAAGATATACTAGAAAACATGCCAGGAAAGGGAAATTTATCCAGTTTAATTCTTGTGTTTCTGTAGGGTTATCTGTGACTCACTGCACTGTTGTTTATTAAAATACTAGGATTAGGCATGCATTTCTGATCAAAGCTGTTCTGATGGAAGGTTTGAACAACTGACTATTGGTATGGTTTGATATGAATTTTAGTCTATTCATCTGTGCACTGGAGAGGTCTTAATAATATGTGTGTGTATTTATATAAAGAGGATAAGTCATTGGGGTAAAGGACCATTCACATATTTATTTGTGGAATGCAAGATATAGCATGTTTAAACCCTAGTATTTGAATTAGTAAGAGTGTCTCCAGTTATCAAGGAGTGTCTTGAAATTACTTGATAAAATTCGAAACAAAATTTATTTTGTCTTTAATTAAAATTGTACTATTTTGTATCTTTTCAATAACATAGTTGGTAGGCAGAAGCTTAGGTGTCATTCTTAGAGGTTCTTAGTTAATTCTGAGGTCCTTAAGATCTCATGTCTGCTTCCAGGGAAGGCTCCTTACTGAAATCTGTTACCTCACTGCCAGTCACAAGAACACTGCCATCCTTTTGTTTTTGTTTTTAATTGAGACAGAGTCTTGCTCTGTTGCATAGGCTGGAGTACAGTGGCACAATCATAGCTTATTGCAGCCTCCATCTTGCGGGCTCAAGTGATCCTCCTGCCTTAGCCGCCCAAGTAGCTGGGACTACAGGTGAGTGCCACCACACCTGGCTATCTTTTTCTTTTTTTTAATTTTTGGTAGAGATGAGGTCTCACTGGGTTGCTCAGGCTGCCCTCGAACTCTTGAGCTCAAGTGATCTTCCCACCTCGGCCTCCCAAAGTGCTGGGATTACGGGTGTGAGCCACTGTGCCTAGCCCTCCTCCTATTTAAAAAAGATATTCTTCCCCTTGTCAAAGCAGAGTTTTTTAAAAATTATAAATGTGACTCACAAATTTGAAATGAAACCAGGTTAAACATTTTACTCAATGTATTAATTAGTGAAGAAACCAGGAAGATGGCAAAGGTAGTTCAAAGAACAGTTTGAGGATCTAGGTTTTTCACTGGCGTTTTGAACCAATGTTAGAGTAAGAATGCTAGATTAGATTAAGAAAACCTGGTTAATGCCAGACAGAAATAAATTATAATCTTTAGTGTTACCTTATCAGACAGAAATTATTTGTATCACTGCTGGACAAAAATCTATAGGTTACGTTGTAATTGCATTAAGTCTAGGACTTTTAATCAGTAGTAAACAATGAACTGAATAAAGTACAATTTCCCCACATAAGTAATCTTTGGGATGGCCTGTCATTATTTTATGACATTGAAGTGACATTCCACTTATCTTTTGCCTTACTTTCACATTTTAATTTAGTTTAATTTTATTTTTTCTGCCACAGGGTCTGGCTCTGTTGCCCAGGCTAGACTGCAGTGGCATGATCTTGGCTCACTGTATCCTCCTCCCAGGCTCAAGCCATTCTCCTACCTCAGCTTTTCAAGTAGCTGGGACCACAGGTGTGTGCCACCACACCCGTCTAATTTTTGTAGAGACAGGATTTCACCCAATTGCCCCAGCTGGTCTCAAACTCCTGAGCTCAAGCGATCCTCCTGCCTTGGCCTCCCAAAGTGCTAGGATTGTAGGCATGAGCCACTACACCTAGTCTTAAATAATTTTTTAACACCTATATCTCAAAGTTTTTAAAATAAATCTGTTTCACACATTAACTTTAGATTCAGATTATAGTAATACCATTTTATTTGCAGGTAGTAAATGGAAAGGTCTCCAGATAAAAGTATTCTTGGTTTTAACCAATGGGAGCAATGTAACATGGCCTTACAGGCCCTTTATGGCAAGAATTAGAAAAGAAAAAAGATTTATTCTGTGTGAGAACTTTTTATAGATTGAATGAACAAGAACTCCTTGAAGACGGTCTCTGTAATTAATTCTTATTTATTCAGTACTGAATTCTCAGCACCTAATTTAGCTTAGGTGTGGCGTTTAAATAACTGAGTTTCCATTGAGTGACATTGATTGAATTTGTGTGTGTGTGTGTGTGTGTGTGTGTGTGTTTATATAAAGAGATACGTCATTGGAGTGGAGGGGCCATTCACATATTTATTTGTGGAATGCAAGGTATAGCATATTTAAGCTCTGGTATTTGAATAAATAAGCGTATCTCCAGTTCTCAAGGAATATCCTGAAATTATTTGATAAAATTTCAAATGAAATTTATTTTGTCTTTAATTAAAATTGCAGTTTTAAATATTTTGAATTGATGAGTAATAATATGTCAAAGCTGTGATAGCTCCAGTTGTGTAACAGAAAAATCTTTGGCTTTGTGTGTTTTACCAGGTGAACAAAAATTGTTTGCTGGCCCCCAGGATACTAACTAGACCTTTGGCCTGACTCACAGGACACTAAGGCTCCTTTTCTGAAGAAGCCTTTTACCAGTCTCATTTAGGGGATGGGAACAACATGTCTTCACCTAGGGACTTTAGAGCAGAGCCTGGTAGGTGCATCATCTACTTTTGTGGGTATGGGATCAGGAGGAGCTACAGGAGTGCCTCTCAGACTGTAGATTTGCATAGGGACCACCTGTGGATTATTATCCTGCATATTCTGATCCTCTGGGTCTTGGTGGGGTGGGGTGGGGGGCAAGACTCTGCATTTCTAATAAGCCATCACGCTTAGAGTAACAACAATTAAACTCTAGTGTTTTACTTTACCCTTTTCAAATGGCATTTTTTTTTCCTGATTATAAATGTAATATAGGTTTATTGTGAAGAATTTGGGAAGTACAAAAAAGCACCAAAACACAAAGAAAACAACAAGACAATAAAAACAACCTGTAATCTGCCACAAAGCTGTTTGTTTCCATAATTTTGTTAGCTGTGAACTCAGGGCATATACATTTCTAAGGTTTTTGATACATCTACTAATGCAGTGTTTTAGTTAAATGTCAGCTGTCTCCCAGCCGACCCATATTGCCATTGTCTTGCTTAAAACATTAGTAGCTTGCCATCATTTTTCAGTATGTCTTTTATGCCTTTTCTCATTCCTTCCACCTTCAGCCCAGCTTCTATTCCCTCTTCTATCCGCCCTCCTTGTCATTATTATTGCTCTCTCCCTAGAAGTGTTTTTCCAATCCTTATCGGGTATAATTGACAAAAATTGTGTATACATAAGGTGTGCAACTTGATGTTTTGATTTGTCTATATACTGTGAAATGATTACCACAATTAAGCTAACATATCCACCACCTCACAGTTACCATTTTCTTTCTTTGTGTGTATGTGTGTATTACAAACATAAGATCTACCCTCTTAGCAAATATCATTACAATACAGTATTGTATGTATTTTGCTATACATCAGATCTTCAGAACGTATTCATCTTGTGTAACTGTTACTTGATACCATCTGACCAACAACTCCCCATTTCCTCCTTCCTCTATACCCTGGAAACCACCATTCTGCTATCTGCTTTTGTGAGCCTGGATTCCATCTGTAAGTCAGATTATGTGTAAGATGAGGGATAGGAGTCTAAGTTTATTCTGCATAGGAATATCCAGTTTTTTCCAGGACCATTTATAGAAGAGACTTTCTTGTCCCCAATATATGTTCTTTGTGCCTTGTCATAAAAGAGTTGGCTATAAACATATGGAATTATTTCTGGGTTCTCTATTCTATTCCACTGGTATATGTGTCTGTTTTTATACCAGTATCATGATTTTGTGGTTACTATAGATTTGTAGTGTATTTTGAAGTCAGGTAGTGTAATACCCCAAGCTTTGTTCTTGTTTTTTTTTTGTTGTTGTTTGTTTGTTTTTATTTTGTTTTTGTTTTTCTTGGCTCAGAATTGCTTTGGCTATTTGGAGTATTTTTTGTACTTCCATATGAATTTTATGATTTTAAAATTTCTCTGAAGAATGTCATTGGTATTTTGATAGGAATTGCATTGAGCTCTCAGATTCTTTGGTTATATTGTCATTTTAAAAATATTTATTCTTTTATTCCATGAACATGAGATGTCTTTCCATTGGTTTGTGTCTTCCTCAATTTATTTCATCAATTTTTTATAGTTCTTATTCTAGAGATCTTTAATCTCTGGTTAAATTTATTCCTAGGTATTATTTTTTGTAGTTATTGTAAATGAGATTGCTTACTTGATTTCTTTTTCAGGTAGTTTGTTATTGTTTTATAGAAATGCTACTGATTTTTGCATGTTGATTTTGTATCCTGCAACTTTACTTAATTTGTTTATCAGTTCTAAGAGTTTTTTGGTGGATTCTTCAGGTTTTTGCATTTGTAAGAGCATGTCATCTCTAAACAGGGACAAATTTGACTTCCTCCTTTTCAATTTGGCTACCTTTTATTTGTTTCTGTTGCCTAATTGTTCCTTCTTTTCAATCTGGATGCCTTTTGTTTGTTTCTCTTGCCTAATTGCTCTGGCAAGGACTTCCTGTATGGTATAGTTTGGATGTTTATCTCTTCTAATCATGTTGAAAGGTAATCCCCAACCTGGTGGGAGATGTTGGATCATAGGGGCAGATCCTTCGTGAATGGCTTGGTGTTATCCCCCTGGTGATGAGTGAGTGCTCTCTCAGTTCATGTGAGATCTGATTGTTCAAAGGAGTCTGGAACCTCCCCTTCTCTCTTGCTTTGTCTCTCACCATGTGATTTGCTGGCTCCTCATTCACTTTTTGCCATGACTATAAGCCTCCTGAGGTTAGATACTAGAAGCAGATACCAGCACCATGCTTCCTGTACAGCCTGCAGAACCACGAGCCAGAACAAACCTCTTTTCTTTATAAATTACCCAGCCTTAGACATTCCTACGTAGTGATGCTAACAGACTAACACACAGTATTATGGGTTTTTTAAAAAAAAATTTAAAAATAACATCTGCCTGATTCCCTCACTGATTAATGAATATAATAAAGTAACATGTGCATTTATATGTCTGTATGAGAGCTGTGATTTTCTTTTTCTGGAAACTATCCTTTAACAGTTGCAAACTTTTATGAAAAAGCTAATTTTAATGATAAATCAGTTAAGCTAGAATATGCAAAAACATGGAAAGCTACCCAAACTTTTTTGTAGACTAGTTCTTTCCAACTTTTATTTTAGGCTTGGGGGTACATAGGAAGGTTTGTTACATGGGCAAATTGCTTGTTGCTGTGGTTTGGTGAACAAATGATCTCATCACCCAGGTAGTGATTCACTTAAGATAATGGCCTCCAGCTACATCCATGTTGCAGCAAAGGACATGATTTCATTCTGTTTTTTTTTTTTTTTTTTTATTGTTGTTGTTGTTGTTTTTGTTTGAGACAGAGTCTCGCTCTGTCAGCCAGGTGGAGTGCAGTGGCACGATCTCGGCTCACTGCAACCTCCATCTCCCAGGCTCAAGCAATTCTTCTGCCTCAGCCTCCCGAGTAGCTGGGATTACAGGCGTGTGCCACCATGCCCGGCTAATTTTTGTATTTTTAGTAGAGACAGGGTTTCATCATGTTGGCCAGGCTGGTCTCAAACTCCTGACCTCAGGTAATTCATCCGCCTTGGCCTCCCAAACTGCTGGGATTACAGGCATGAGCCGCCGCACCCAGCCATGATTTCATTCTTTTTATGGTTGTGTAATAGTCCATGGTGTTTTTGCACCACATTTTCTTTATCCATTCCACTGTTGACAGGCATGTAGGTTGATTCCATGTCTTTGCTATTGTGAAAAGTTCTGTGATGAACATACATGTGCATATGTCTTTATGACGGAACAATTTATATCCCTTCATATAGCCAGTGATGTGATTGCTGAATCAAATGGTAGTTCTGTTTTATGTTCATTGAGAAATCTCCAAACCACATTCCACAGTGGTTGAACTTAAATTCCCATCAGCAGTGTATAAGTGTTCCCTTTTCTCTGTAACCTCACAAACATTTTTTTTTTAATTTTTACTTTTTAATAATAGCCTTTCTGGCTTGTGTAAGATGGTATCTCATTGTGGTTTTCATTTGCATTTCTCTGATGATTAGTGATATTGAGCATTTTTTCATATGCTTCTTGGCTATGTGTATGTCTCCTTTTGAAAAGTGTCTGTTCATGTCCTTTGCCCATTTTTTAACAGGGTTGTTTGATTCTTGCTTGTTCATTTATAAGTTCATTATAAGTTCTGGATATTAGACCATGTGTTCTGCCAGGTTTTGGTATCAGAACGATGCTGGCCTTATGGAATGAGATAGGGAGGAGTCCCTCTTCCTAATTATTTGAAATAGTTTCAGTAGGATTGGTACCACCTCTTGTTTATACATCTGGTAGAATTTGACTGTGAATCCTTCTGGCCCGGGCTCTTTCTGATTGGTAGGTTTTTTTAAATTACTGAGTTAGTTCCTGATTTAGTATCTATTCCATAGCCTAGAAATCAATGAGTAATTTTGAGTTTCATGTCTCATTATTTAAGAAACATTTTGTAAGGCTGTAGCTGCCATAGATAGTGATTCTTCTGATGGCTCTGGGCAAAGTAAATTGAAAACCTTTTGGAAATAACTCCCCATTCTAGACGCCATTAAGAACATTTGTGGTTTATGGGAGGAGGTCAAAATGTCAACATTAATGGGAGTTTGGGAAAAACTGATTTTAACCCTCATGGATGACTTTGAGGGATTTAAGACTTCAGTGCAGGAAGTACTATCCTAAGTTTTCGGCATCCACTGGGGGTCTTGGAACTAGGCATTCCCTGTGGGTAAGCGGGAACTGCTTTACCATTTCACATATAGTTGTAGGAACATAAGATACTTCCATTTCCTCCCATTTGCCTTTCATGCTATTATTGATACCAATTTTATTGTGAGTGTTGTATACCCTACAATAGATTATTATTTTTCCTTATAATTGAGTTATCTTTTAAAGAAATTAGAACATGTGAAAGAGTATGTTTTATGTGCTCATGTATTTTCCAGTTTTGCCACTCTTCATTCCTTTGGATAGTTCTACATTTTCATATTTTATCCTTTTCCTTGTGCCTGAAAAACTTCCTTTAACTTTTGTTGTTGTTGTTTAGTGCAGGCTGGATATAATCTTAGTTTTTATTGGTCTACAGAAGTCTTATTTTTTGAAATATATATTTTCAGGGTATAGAATTCTATATTGACATTCTATAAGAATTCTATGTTCTTTCAATACTTTAAAATGTCTCACCATTATCTTCTAGCATGCATGATTTCTGATGAGAAATCCATCATTCTTATCTTTGTTTTTCTATATTTAATGTGTCTGTTTTCTCTGGCATTTTTTCTTTTCAGTAGTTTGAATATGACATACATGAATGTGATTTTTCTATAAGCTCATATATTACATTTGTATTTTATTGACCTTCTTTGGTCTGTTGGTTTATAGTTTTCATCTAGTTTGGTAACACTTCAGCTATTATTTCTTCATATTTGTTTTGGCATTCCAGTTACAGGAATTTTAGTTCACTTGATGTTGTCCCAGTTTGCTGAGTCTGTTCAGTCTCTTTTTTTCGCTACTGTGCGCTTCATTTTGGATATACTCTTGCTGTATGTTGACAGACACTGATTTTTTTTCCTTCTGCCTTATCTGCTGTTAATTTATTTTAGTTCATACATTGTCTCTAGAAATTTCAGTAGGTCTTATTTTTACATGATTTATATCTCTTTTTATTGTATCATGTTTTTCTTTATTTCCTTGAGCACCTTTTAAAAATTTATAATAGTTAAAAGTTCTTTTTTCTAAATTTTATCATCTGTCATTTCTAAGTACATTTCTATTGATTGATTGATTTGGCTGTGGGTTATACTTTTCTATTCCTTGGCATACCTGTTAATTGTTTACTACACATTGTGAATTATATGATTTTGGTGCTGGATTTTTTCTTTTTCTTTTCTTTTTTTCTTCTTTTTTCTTTTTCTTTTCTTTTTTTTTTTTTTTCTTAGACAGAGTCTCACTCTGTCTCATAGGCTGGAGTGCAGTGGTGCAATCTTGGCTCACTGCAACCTTCTGCCTCCTGGGTTCAAGTGATTCTCCTGCCTCAGCCTCCTGAGTAGCTGGGATTGCAGGTGCGCACCACCATGCCCAGCTAATTTTTGTATTTTTAGTAGAGATGGGGTTTCACCATGTTTGTCAGGCTGATCTCGAACTCCTGACCTCGTGATCCACCCTCTTCAGCCTCCCAAAGTGCTGGGATTACAGGCGTGAGCCACCACACCCGGCCTTGATTTTTCTTTAAAGAATGTTGGGTTTTTCTGCCTTGTAGTTATGTTACTTGAAGTTTAACCTGATCCTGTCTGAGGCTTGCTCTTCACCTTTTTTATAGGTGGCCCTAAGGAGCTTCTGTTCCAAGGATAGTTTTAGTACTAAGAGGTATCTCTTCTGTGCACTATCCTCAACGCCCCCTGTATTACAGGGTCTCCTCATTCTGGCTCATATGAACTGTTCCTAGGAATTGTGTGGCTTGCTACTTTCCGGTGGTCCTTCCTGAGTGTCAGAGATTGTCCTCCTTCATATAAGCATATCCATATTCTGCAAAGGACATGAGAGGGTTTCTTTGCAGCTACTTAGACTTCTCTTGTTCTGTATAGCTCCCTCCTCCCTGGTACTCTGCCCTACAAATTCTGGCTGCCTCAGCCTCTCCTAACTTTGATCTTTTTCTTCTCAACTCATTGAATCACTGGACTCGTTGATTCCTTTCCTGAGCTATAGCCTGCAAACTTCTGGAGGCCATAATCTGGAGCAACCAGAAGGCTCACCCCCTTCTCTCTGGGATCACAGTCTGTTGTTTAAGGTCTGAAAATTATTGTTTTATATATTTTGTCCTATTTTCTGGTTGGTTGTGGTTAAGTCCTATTACAGTAAATCTCTCATAAGCATAAATGAAAGTCAATTGTAGGTTGTTTTACTTTTCATTTTTTGTTTGTCAGGTGAGGCTGGACTTTTTCTGAATATATTATTGGCCTGTAAGTCGCCTTCTATGAGTTGCTTGTTTACAATTCTCATAGACTTTTTTTTCCTGTTAATTTTTTTTCTAGCACTTGAAGCTCCTTCCTAGGTTTGCGGAATTTCCTATTTTCAGAACCGTTTGCATGAGAGATTTTTTTCATTGAAAGTCTGATAAAATCCCATCTGGAAACCTGTTTGGGCCCAGATGCTTTTTCCTCTTGGGAGTGATATTTTTGATTATTGGTTTGACTTTTTAAATGGTTATTACACTATTTAGGCTTTCTACATCTTCTGGAGTAAATTTGTATAACTTATAATTCTCTTATAAAAGTTTCCATTTCATCAGATTTCCCTAAAGTTTCTCATAATATTTGCTTATTACCTTTAAAAATGAGAGTTGCATCTGTAGCTGTGCCCTTTCTCATTTTTACACTTGATCTTAGCCAAAAGGCCGAGAAGCGATCCTTTTTCATTTTTAATGTTATTTGTGCACTTACTCTCCATTGATTTGTAGTGAAAGAGGGTTGCGTATTTTTAAGTTTTTTTTTTCAAAGAACTAGTTTATTGGATTTTGCTGATTATTCTTTAGGCTTATTTTCTGTTATTATATTTTTCTTTATGATTTTCTCCTTTGTAGTTTCTCTGGGTTTCCTCAGTTTTTCTTTGGCTTCTATG
The DNA here is from genome assembly GCF_000001405.40 of Homo sapiens. NCBI lineage: Eukaryota > Metazoa > Chordata > Mammalia > Primates > Hominidae > Homo > Homo sapiens. Next base: position 46,939,649 of record NC_000010.11, read on the forward strand.
ATTGAATACAAAACTCATTTATATCAGCTTTTTTTTTCTGCCTTTTTTGTAAACACATTTAAACCTATACATTTTCCCTCTATCTAAATACTCATTTAGCTACTTCACATTAGTTTTGATATGTTGTCCCTTCATTGATATTTCTTAATGTTTTAATTTATAAAATTAATTCATGTGTTATAAAGGTTCATAATTTCTATTAGATTTCCTTTTTAACACACATTCAGGAACACACTTTTTCATTTCCATAGTACTTGTTTACTATATTTTTATTGATTTGGTAATATGCCATGCCATAGAATTTCTAAATCATAATATTTAAGGCTCCCATGGTATGAGAAACAGTACTCTGAGTGCTCAGTACTGAGATCAGAGAAAATTTTCTCTTGGCTTCTTATCTGAAAGAGTCTGTGCAGTAAAATTAACACAGTAATTAGGAATAATCATATAAGAAACCCAGAGTTTCCTTGGGATGATTCATATTACATTATTCAACAAAGCCGAAAACAATTTTCTGTATAATTTAACATATTACTAACTTATGAATTATAAATAATACAAGAAGTTACAGTGCGACATTTGTAACACAGTATTCTTTATTCAAGAAATAGACTCTGAAACACAGAAGACTGTATTCTGTAGATCCCAATGCATAGGTTCTGCAGGTTGTAAATATCTAGGATTTACTTGAAGAGTACTTTCTTGAATAATATGGCAATGAGGAACAAGGGAACCGCTCAAAAGTCAACTCCCTGAGGATAATCCTAGAAGAAGGATCAGCTTTGCTATGTTGATTTTTTCAAAGCAGGGGAGAAAGAGATGATTACCATAGGAGATAAAGATGGGGTGTTTGGAAAACAGGAAAAGTAGATGAAAATGCCCCTCATGTAGCTTGTTTTTTCTCATTAAGGCTCCATTTTTCCTTCTGTATAGTGTTTTCTATTTGATCAGTTTTTCCCCCCGCCTTTGTTCAGTAAACGATTATGAGGGAAATGACTCTGAAGCAGAAGACTTGAATTTCAGGGAGACTTTGCCTTCATCAAGTCAGGAAAACACACCTAGATCAAAGGTAAGACTAAAAGGAGAGGGATCTCTACTAATTTTGGCTAATACCTAAATTGCTGACTATGCTCTCTGGGAAATGGGTATCTATTTGGTTCTCACCAAAATGATTTCTTAATTTTTTGTCACTGTAGTGTTGACAGTGACCAAAATGGGGATTTGAAAGAGTGGAATTTTTTGCAAAGTTTCTAATGAATTGCATTTTCTAATGCTACTCTGGAAATTTTACAGGCACTAGTTTTGTGTTACTAATGAAGATACAAAATAAATGTCACATGAAGTATGAAGCACCTTTAGATGTATTGATTGTGGACTTTTTCATTGTTTGAGACAGCATGATTGGGTGTCTCCGAACTATGGAAAAGTAGAGGGCTGTGAAAAGTCTGTGACAAAAACTCTTACTTCAACACATTACCCCATTTGTGGAGATAGTGCTAGGGTTAGAGCACAAAAAAAGGGAAATGCATTTTAGTCTGGTGGGTGCTTTGCATTTTTTTTTCTCTTACCTAGTCAACTGGAGCTTTGGAACTGCGATGATGATGCTGGCCTTGTGTTCATTTCCTGTAAGTTACAGGAGTAATAGAGATAAAGTCAGTACATAGACCAAAAACTGCTCCTACCACTTCCCCTGTTCAATTGCCACCTCCACCCCAGGTGGGCAGGAGTGCAGCTTTTAAGAACAGTGTTGTAACTTGATTATTATCTCCTGTCCATTCTCTGCTATACTTAAGTTGGCCACATCAAGGCTACCATCACATCTTTGGCTGGGAATCTCTGGCTGTTAGTGCCGTGTTGGGCTCTCCGCTCACTCTTGATTCTTTTCTCTGATCAGAATGGTTTTCTCTTTGAAGCAGAGACGATTTGAAAGGGAGCACCTTCACAGAATGGCCCAAGTATATCCTTTATATAGTCTTATAGTCTTATTTGACTTCTTCTAGAACTGAGCACATTTTGTGATTTTGTTTATATTTTTACTTTGGGTTTTTTTTTGCTTGTTTGTTTGTTTGTTTTTTTGCTAAGTTATAGCTTGGCCTATCTAGGGTGAATTCTGATATGCTTTAAAGTTTCCTTTCATAAAAAAGGATCTTAGAACATTCCTGGATGGTTTTTATAGTGTTGGGAAAATTACCTGATTTTATTAGAACTTGCTTTTCTTATGTTTCATGAAACAATTTGATACTGTAGCCATTTTTATGTCCTTTCAGATATGATGCTGTCCCCTAGAAATTGTCTAGACTCATAGACTTGAAGTTGGTTAGATTTGGAGCATAAAGAAATTTTTTTTTTGAGACAGGCTAATTTATTTTTTGGATTTTTGGTAGAGACAGGGTTTCACCACGTTGGCCAGGCTGGTCTTGAGCTCCTGGCCTCAGGTGATCCACCCGTCTTGGCCTCCCAAAGTGCTGGGATTATAGGCATAAGCCACTACACCTGGCCTGTTAAAGACATTTTTATGCCAGCACTCATTTTAGAGGTGAAAGCTGAAGCGATTTGTCTATGATCATATAACTCTTGAGTCACAGACTAGAAACCAGGCTCCTATCTGTGTTACTGTTTTCACTTTGTCCTCATAAATCCTTGCTGCATGGACTACAGAAAAGCTAACTTAGGCTCCTCAGAAAACATTTTCTAACATTTAAAAAATTTGATATTAATTTGATTCCGTGAGCAATCTCCAAAAGTCCTGCCATCTTGATAATTTATTATATTTCTCCTTGTTAGTTCTTGGTATTGTTAGCAAAATCACATTTCACTCAATCAGACATATGTTAGTCAGCCTTAAATTTGAATTGCAGCCATCTGGAACAGTCTGCTTCTTTAAAAAATAAATATAATCAATTTGATTTTGAACCATGAGCTGAAAGATGTCTCAGGTTTAAATTGTGTTAGGACTTCCAGATATCACTTTTTCTAAGTAAATGAATTGTACTCAAATGACTTTTAAGCATGTCTCATAAGAGGGAAGTGGGATCATGTTGTGTAATAGCATGTGTCCCACTTCTTTTCCTCCATCCCACTGGAGCCACACTTTCTACATTTCAATTTTAATTATCCTGAAATTAATTTTTAGGGATTTGCCAATCAGTGCTGATTTCAAAACTAGTTCAATTCTGTGAAGCTCATTTCATTTCGTGTATTGTAGCTACATAGTTTAATGAGAAGGAATCTTAGGTGGACATTTTCCTGTGATTTTAAAGTAAAAATTAAACATACACCAAGCAAACACTAACAAACTCATTAGTCAAAGAAGAAATCATAATGGAAGTTTAAAGTATTTAGAATGGAATGTACACAAAAATACTAGATGTAAAAACATGTGGTTTGTGGATTGAGCAGTGTGTATCAAATAAAAGGTCTGCTCTATGACATTACATTTACAATTGTGCCACTTAAGGTGTTTAGGAGTAAATCTAAGAAAAGGTATACATTGTCTTTATTGAGAATATTTTATAATGTTTTTGCTGGATAGCTATATCATATTAGTGGATAATGATACTTAATATATAAATACATCACTTATTTCCAATTTAAATTAAAAAATTCATATTACTTAATTTCAATAATAGTCCCAAAGTTATTTCTGTGTGTGAATGAGATTTGATCAGCTGATTCAAAAGATGTTCTTGAGAAAATAGAAGGCCAAGTATGGCAAGACAGTATTAGACAAGGAAGGAAGGAAACGTGTATGTGGTGGCTGGGGCACTGGCACTGCGAGTTATCAAGACTGAAGTCCACTGCCCGGTGCAAAATTGGGCAGTGGAATGTGGAGAAATACTTAGAATTAGTAGATTAGATGGTGCAAGTACTAAAGTAAAGATAAATTTAGTGGCAGGAATTTTATATTCACAGTAAACAAAACATGGTAAACACTTATAAGAAAATCTCTTCTGGGCTGAAGTAATAAATCTATTTTTTCTCAAATGAAGCTTTTTAAAAATTTAGTTTTGAAAAATCACTTGAGCAATTCAATATAAATAACTTCTGTTTACATAGTACTCTACACTGTTTTGACAGATTGGAAGATATTTAATAGGGAGATATACAATTAAGTGATTTTCTAGGAGCAGACATTATACTATGTGATTGTGGTTATAATTCCATTATTGCAGATCTTTTTGCTCTTCTTAAGTAGCTATAGAAATCACGTTTTAAACCATATTTTTCTAAAACCAGTGCTATAATTTGTTTCCTTTCTTATGTCTGTAGGTTTTTGAAAATAAAGTTAATTCAGAGAAGGTAAAACTTTCTCTTCGGAATTTCCCACATAATGATTATGAGGATGTTTTTGAAGAGCCTTCAGAAAGGTATAACTAATATGCTTATTTAGTGGGTTTTCTGTTTATGCTACTTATATTCATAGCTAGCCCTCTGCATGGAGACAGTGAATAATGGCCCTGAAATGTTTAATTTTTCAAGATATAGCTTTTTATAAACTTGATTTAGCTTTCTTAGAAATATGTTTATGATCTCAAAAATATGGTAATTAACATAAGGGAAAAGTATTCTTGAAGGATTCGATTTCTCTCTCCTCTCAATAGTTACATGGCGTCAAAGCTTTTGCAAATATGCTTGGAGCTTTTGAAGTGGTCAGTGTACTTGAGGTAGCATGAAGCTCACGGTACAGCACTAAATGTTATTAGAAATGTAATCTGTTTTCAGAAAGAAAATTATATGGTATAAACAACAGGTTTATTAGTATGGTGAATTTCTGGTAGTATATATTTAAAAAATTTAAAGTACCTGAAGAACAGTAAATTTCCATTAGGAAAACAAAGAAACAAGTTTTCATGCTTATAAAATGTTCAAATTTAGGTGTTATAAGCAAAAACATCAAATGAGGAAACATTTTGTTAAGCCATATTTTCTTAGAGATTTATCAGTAATATTAGCTACCCTCACTGGAATAGCACTGTATAAGAATGTGTATATTCTTTATATTATGTGTTTTTGTATGCGTATTGTATGAAATTTATATGTACAATTTTCAGAAGTGCATTAAACAAATAATAGTAATTCCAAAGACATTTTGAGATTCTGTGATACACTAAGCACTGTATACAAATACAAACTACTATATATTTTTTGCTCTTTAGTTCACAGTTTAATTAGGGAAACAGACATATAAAAGACAAATTGATGTACAACATAGTAAATATTATTTTAGAGTAAAAATCCAAAGATTGTGGGTACAGAAGATTGACTATGCATGAGGGAGGTTTCCCACAAGCTTCTTTGAAGAAAAGATATTTTGGTTGAATTTAGGATTTAATTAAATAGAAACCTAGCAGGTGAAAAAGAGAAGAACATTTCAGGCAAGAGGGAGAAGTTTGAGCGAGGGTAAGGAGTTGTGAAAATATCTTAGGGGTAATGGGGAGAAATATTAGCTGCCAAGAGTTGTAGGGTGTATGTGAGGTGGAATGCTAGGAAGCTGCAGAAGATGAGAGGTGGAGCCCAAAATACAGTGTGGGCTGGAGAGGGAAGTAATGCCATATATGTGAAGCTGAGTATACATTTTATTCAGTCTGTTAAAATCAAAAGGATGCATACGGAGGGTCTTTTTGTTTTATTCATGCAACTATCTATTTATCCATCCAGAAGGAGGAATGCTGGTGGCAAGGTGAGGATAGCTGGAAGTGGCAGTCAGTGGAGATTAATTAAATGTTTACAGTAATCCAAGAAAAAAATTAGAAGGAGAAAAGAGTAAGAAACCCGAATTTTCTTACAGAAGTAAAAGAAAAAGGCACTTATTTTGCTAAGGTTAAAGCATACAGTGCATGTAGGAAATCAGTGGAGATGGTGATGGAAAAATAGACAGAGGCCACCTGGCCAATATCCTAAACTTTTGTGTCTGATAAGGGGCCTTGATTTATCCTGATATTGGTGGGCAGGTGTAATTAAGTTTGTATTTTAGGAAGAATTTTCTCTAAACATTGAAGGTTAGATGCAGAAGTCAAATTAGGAGGATTTTGCTAGGTAGGGTTGCAAATGAAAGTGCAACAAGAGCCAAGTTAATAGCATTAGCGAGTCAGTTGAGTATGGAGACGTTGCAAAGGAAACAAAGTGGGTATGGGCTAGGATTTGAAAAATCTGTTAACAATTAGTAGCTAGACAGAGTTTAAAGCATTTCCTATTTTTAAGATACAGAAAATTGTGTATTCTTATGATATGAAAGAATTTGTAGATAGGGAGAAATTCACGATATGTTAAAAAAAAATAAGTTATAGAAAAATACCTTAGAGGAGGCAGAAGGAATCTGGTTAAGAACACGGAAGGAGGAATTTTGAACAGGCAGAAAGCAAGGAATAAGAAAGACATTGATGCATCTAAGTAAATGTTTTAAAAGATAATAAATTGAAAGAATTTCTATTTTCTGGCTTGCATTTTCTAGAAGAAGTTACATTTTTACTAAGTCAGAGAGAGTATTAAAATAAGGACTATAACAAGATGGTGGCTTGGAATTTGCTGCCATGGAAGAGTGGTACAGGAAACCAACCAGGGACATGCTGGTATTTTCCAAACGGCTCTCTGCCGATATTAGAAAGCCCAGTGACCCGAGTACTTCCCTCCCACAGTCTAGGTAAAGGAGGGGAGAAGGTAAATAAGTGGATGGATCTGAGGCGACTAGTTTGCAAGGTAAAAGTAGTAGGAGGAGATGGAGTTTGTGATCAGACATTGGGATTTGGGAATTATTTCACAAGTGGGCCAGTTTCAGGTGATGACAATGGGAGTGGGTGGCTGAATTGAAATGGAAATGAATGTCAATTAAATAATCAATGAAGATGATTAGAAAGTATTTCTCAAATGTATATATTCTTTGAAACCATGGGCAAATATATACATTTCTTTTCTAGTGGCAGTGATCCCAGCATGTGGACAGCCAGAGGCCCCTTCAGAAGAGACAGGTGGAGCAGTGAGGATGAGGAGGCTGCAGGGCCATCACAGGCTCTCTCCCCTCTACTTTCTGGTATGACATCATCCTATTTGTAGTAGCAAGTTGAGGCTCTATTTTAGAGATATGCACAAAGATATTTCTAATACAAATGAAAGAAAGAGCTAGGGAAAACTTCAAAAATGGGAAAATATGGTTTTCTAGGATTTTCTTTTAAAAATAAAAAAATGCAATTAAAAAAATGCTCCACACCCCATATTCACAATGGCTAATTCCTGTCCTTTCTTCAAGTATTTTAAAGTATTAAATATGTCAGTTTAGTAAAATCCATTTTTTTAAAGCTAGGTATTTTATAGATTTGAAAAATAACCTGCTTCCTTATTTCCTTTTTAAAAATTTGTTGCACAATATATGCTTTGTAAGTAAAATAATAACATTTTTGGATTACAAATTATCACATGTTTATAGTGGAAAAAAAGACAATAACAAATATATAATAAATTATAATACTGAAGAATATTTCAGAACTTTTTGTGTATACGTATTTACATGTATATATAATATAAATGTAATTAGAACTATGAATATATACTTAACATATATGTGTATGTGTATATATATATATATATATATATTTATAAAATTTGTGTTTGTAAACTTGGGGGATCACATGCACACCTCAAAAACCTTGGAGTTGGAGAGGATCTTAGAGGTCATCCATAACCAACATCCCATCAAATGTTGGAAACATCTTCTCTAATGACTTTATTTGAAAAATGTCAAATCCAGTTAAGAAAATATCACCTTATGCAATTATTAAAATGCAGATCTCCTACAAAAATAGTTTATAAGAATATGCTTTTATAAAACGAGACATAATTTTTAATTAATTAAAACATGCTTAATTAAACTGAGGCATACAGTAAAATTCACCCTTTTAGCATACAGTTCTATGAGGTTTGACCAAGGTTTACCATCACAATCAAGGTATAGTACATTTCTATCTCCCCCCAAATTTCTCTTGTATTTTTTTATAGTTAACCCTTTACCCTACCACCGGTGCCTAGCAACCAGTAATCTATTTTCATTCTCTTTACTTTTGTCTTTTTCAAGGTATTGTATAAATGGAATCATAAATATGTAGCCTTTTGAGTCCAACTTCTTTCACTTAGCATAATTCTTTTGATATTCATCTGTGTCATTGCATTTATCAGTATTTAATTTCTTTTTTATTGAATAGTATTCCATTCACCAGTTGAAGGACACTGTGTTGCTTCCAGATTTTGGCAATTATGGATAAAAGTACTACAGATATTCACAAACTTTGTGTAAACATAAGTTTCCATTACTTTAAGGTAAATATCTAGGAGTGGGATTGCTGGGTCATAAGTGTATAACAGACAAACTGTATTCCAAAGAAGCTGTACTAACATTATTTGTTGCTTTTTACTTTTCTTTTCTCCTACTCTTCTTACTCTTTGTATTTCAGTTAGGTAATTTCTGTCAACCTTTCTTCAAGTTTACTGATTCCTTTCTTGGTTGTGTCAAGTCTACTAATGAACCCATTGAAAGCACACAGTGTTTTTTATGTACAACATTTCCATTTGACACCTTCTTACAGATTCCGTCTCTGTTGTTAATGCGTTTTGTTTGCATTTTTCATAGAGCTTAACATGTTAATGATAGTTATTTAAAATTCCCTGGTGGATAACTCTGACAGATGGGTTGTTGCTGATATTTTTTTCTGTGATTGCTTTGCTTTTTGACACTGGCTTCTGTTGTTGCAGCTGCTGCAGCTTCATTATGTGTCTATATATCTGATTGAGTGTTGGTACTGGGTGTAGAAAAAAAGAGACTAAAGTAAATAGAATTTATGCCTAGAAATAGTCATGCCTATTCCTCTGGTAGGCCATTTAGGACATGAGCTGGGTTTTGGTTTTGTGTTGCTCTCATTACCTATGGTGAACCATTGGCTTAGAATTCCTTAGGATTTAGCTTGTGCGCAGGGTGTCAGCTGGGGTGCTAAGGAGTTTTTATTTTTGGTCTCTTCCTGTTTCGTCCTCAGCTTTAGGCCTCCCCTGTGTGCCTGTGCTTTAGAAGGGCTTTCTTTCCTTCTCCTGCCTATCTTCCAGCAGTAGACTGGTGCTTGCGTGCCTGGGGAGGGAGGGCCAAGTCATTCTTTGTTGTCCTATTCCATTCTCAGCCTTGGGCAGGTCCTCTGTCCCTGGTCCTCAGTGACAGGCTTGGTTAGTGATACTACCCCTTCTCATGGCATCCAGACTCTGCCTGACACCTTTGGCAAGTCTACAGTGGAGAAGGTTTCCTCCCCTTCACTTAGTGTAGTGGTAGGAGTTTTGTAATAATAATGGCATTAAATCCTGGGCTTAGGACTGTTTTCTGCACCTTCTCCAGGAATAGATGGATTTTGTTTGCTCTGTTTCCAACTGCAGTGGGTATACACTTATACAAAGCAGGGATTGCTGCTCCTCCTCCTGCAGTGTAAGGCTTTTGTTCTGGGAGAAATAGGTCTAAGTGGGGCTTTACGCATTTTCGACCATGACAGTGGCTCCCCTCCTCCAAGCCTACCCTTCTGAGGGAATGGTTCTTCCCGTTTCCTGCTCTGCTCTCAGTCTTTCTTATGAGCACCTGTTGGAGGTCTGTGAACTTGAGTCTGTGAATGTGTGCAAGTTCTTTTTGTGTCTGTGGCTTTACGCTGTTCTGTACTGTCACACTGGCCCACATCCAGCTATCAGCAGTGCATTACATTTTATGTCTGAATACTTCTTTCCCATTTGTATAGTGCCTGGTATCTCTTTCTCCCTTGAACTGCCACAGGGAGCCAGTGTTCATGTCCTGTCACTCCTTAGGAGAGTCTGTCTTTCCTTAGATTGCAGACTACTTGGTTGCCCTGCAACCTCAGCTCTCTAATGGGTTCAATAAAATTTTGATTTAGTGTTTTTTTTTCAACTTATGTATATTGTTAGGGTAGGAGTGATGCTCATACTAGCTTTCTATATTTAGGCAGAAGTGGAATTTTGAATATAAATATATTTTTAAAATAAAAATAAGAACACATTACTTTGCAAACAGGAAATACCATTTCTTAGCTGTTAGAGTAAGGCCAGTTCCTAGGGAAAAGTAGATAGACACTGCTTTTTTCTTTCTTAGTACCCTCCTTTTCAGTTTCAGTTTAGGACTATGGTTAGGCTCCTCCTAGGGTCTGTTACTGAGGTCTATGCTCACAAAGGATTAATGCCTAGAAAATATAAGAAACTGCATATTAGTAAGTAAAAGATAACCAAATAGAAAAATGGGCAAAACACATTAACAAACATTTCACAGAAGAGAAAATATGAAAAAGTGGTCCAACCTAATTTCGAATCAGGGAAGTGAAAATTAAATCATAGTGAAATAATAATTTACACTGACTAGATTGTTTCCATTTTTAAAAATGTGATAATAGTTGATATTGGTGAGTATGTGGCTTGATGGAAACCATTTTGGAAAATAATTTGGTATTTTTTTAGTGTGCACATGCCATATGTCCTAGCAATTTCCTTCCTGGTTATTTAGCTTAGAGAAACTCTTTCCTTTTTCTACCAGAAGACATATGCAAGAATGTCCATACTAGGCTTGTTTTTAATAGACTTCAACTGTAAACAACTCAGATATCTGTCAACACCAGCATGTATGAATTAGATATTGTATTTTGTTTAATGTGAAGATGAATAAACCCAGATGCAGTCTTAGCAAAAAAGTCAAGATTTAAAACAAAATAATGTAATCTATATAAATTTGTGAAATATGCAAAACAGCATAAAGGGTAAACAAAACAAACAAAAGGAATGATAGTACAATTCAGAATAGTGATTATTCCCTGAGGGAGGAGGACAAGGAATGAGGTCTGGGAAGGGGACACAGGAGCATCAGGGGCTAATGTTCTGTTTTAAATTGGGTATGTATTGTTCTTAAAGATATTTTACTTAATTATTATTTTGTACCTATTTAACATTTAATAAAATATTTTAAAAGCCAAAATTTTAAAAAATTAAATTATAAAGTTAATGTATGCTAATATTTTAGTGAAAATCAATATAGAATGATATAGAGAAAAAGTTAATAATTTCCTCCCATCATCCTGAATCCTGGTTCAGAGGCAACCAATATAATAGTTTATCTAAGAATACACAAAGATATAAAAACAGATTTTCTGTTTAAAGTTTAAATAAAAATTGATGTGTGCTCTGCAACTCTACAATTACCCTGCAACCATAGTTTTTAAAATTTAAACTATATTATTATATAGGTTAAGACATATTCTGACATAGGATTAATAGTTGTCTAATATTTCATTGTATGGAAATACCATAATATATTCACCCATTCTCCAGTTGACTTTTTCTGCAGTATATATATTTACATGTATTTCCTAAGTACTGGTACTTTGATTTTGGTTAGATTCCCTAAAGTAAGATAGTTAAGTCAAAGTTTATGTTCGTTTTATATTTTAATGGGCAATACCAGATTCCTTTCCAAAAGCTTAGCCACCATGCCCGGCTAATTTTTGTATTTTTAATAGAGTCCAGGTTTCCCCATGTTGGTCAGGCTGGTCTCGAACTCCTGACATTGTGATCCACCCGTCTTGGTCTCCCAAAGTGCTGGGATTACAGGCGTGAGCCACTGTGCCCAGCTAGGATCAAGTATCTTAATATATGTTTATTAACTTCTTCTTGGATTTGCATATTTATAAACTTTGTTCATTGTTTTTCTTATTAATTTGTAGGAACTCTTCACATGTTGGAAATCTTAACATGTTGTCTGTCTGACAAATGTGCTATAAATTGTAACCCTCAATTCTATACCTTAAGAAGGGAGACTTTCATGAACATTCTTAATTTCTAAAATGTTTAAAAAGGTCTTCTTTACAGGAAAAACATGCAAATATTCTCCTAAATTTTCTTCAGAATTTTTATTCACTTATTTTGCTTAGATCACGAATCTATCTGCAGTTTATTGCTAAATATTATAGGGGTATAGAAAACTATATTTTCTTTCATATGACTGGACAGTTATACCAGCACTATTCACTAAGTAAACCACATTTCCCAAATGAATTTATATATACTTTTATCACATATTAAGTTTCCAAAAATGTTTGATCCTTTTGTATTCTCTAAATTTTTTTTCACTAACTGACTTGTTTGTTCCTGTGGACATATTATATTATTCTGTTTTGATTCTACTTATTCTAAATATATCTGGAAAGGAAAATCCTCCCTCTAATTTTTTAAAAAATACATTTTTGTAGCTATTTGGGCAAGTTTTTGCTGCATCGGTGATTTTAAATTATTTTGTTCATTCCTGTGTAAACTTGTTTGAAATTTAGATAGAATGACATGCCAGTTATATTCATTCAGGTAGGATTGGCACTGTTGTGATTTTAAGTTCTTCCTTCCACATATAGAATGAGGGGAGTCAGGAGATCATCCATAGTGCATCTGAGCACAGAATAGCTGCTGCCCCATGTTCACCTTCCAGATCTGACATGAGAACCTCGCTTGTGCCCTGTTTTAGCTGGAAACATTCAGAGAACAGAATTCTGGGAAAAGTGGTCCAGCCTAGCCATGTCAACATATTATAAAGCTATCACAGTTCACCCTGTATCAGCCTGGCACCTATATACACCCTTTTAAATGTTACTTAATATCCAAATAAGGACAACCTTATGCTTGCATCTACAGTGATAAAACTAATCTGTGTACAACTGAAAACATTCTCTCCCCTTCTCCAAAAGTGTCTCTTTTTTGTCTTGAGTGATATTCTTTCTTTTCCAACTGATTCACATTCCCTTTAATATTTTTAAAAGAAAACAAAAATATGATATATATATATGTATAAAATATGCATATCAAAAAAGAAAGAAAAATTCACAATATTTTATCCCTGTTTATGCAGCTGGTCACATGGTTGTATCTGATTTTGATCACTGCCGTCTTACACCTGTCTGGTATTCTCTTTCAGCTCAGCAAACATCCCATTTGGTTGTGGTTCCTTGTCTGATAGGGTGACCCACACATTCATTCCTCAAGATCTAAGTCATTAGTAGTTCTGCCTAAATTGGGTGGTTCTAGTTTTCTGTTTACTTAATCACCTTGACACACCCTAGAGGATCACCTGCATTGCAGACGTATTCCTCGTTACTCCATTGGAAAGCAGCAGCCCAGTTTCCCCTTAATACTTGGAATCCAGCACACTAGGCAGTGTAGTAATCCCCCTTTCCCTGATGATTCAGTAGCATATGAGGAACCCAAAATGTCCTGGTGGCGTTCTCAAATTCCACTTTAACGGATTTGTTGTTGTTTCTCCTGACGGAAGCATTCCTCACTCTGTTTAGGTCTGCATTGATTTCTTTCATCAGTGTTTGTTTGTTTTGCAGTCTTAACATATAGATTGTATATATGTTTTGTTAGATTTATATCTAATATTTCACATGTTTTGGTGCTATTGTAAATGAGACTTATGAAAAATATTTTAACTTCTATTGTTCATTGATAGTAGATAGAAATATGATTGATTTTTGTATATTACCAATGTGTCCTTCAACCTTCCTAAATGCTCATTAATTCTAGGGCCTTTTAAATATATTTTTTGGAATTTTTTTAAGTAGATACTCATGTTGGTGAATAAACACAGTTTTATTTTTCTACTTTTCCAATGTATATGCCTTTCATTTCTTTTCTTTCTTTCTTTCTTTCTTTCTTTCTTTCTTTCTTTCTTTCTTTCTTTCTTTCTTTCTTTTTTTTTGACTTACTAACTTATTGCATTCGCTAGGACTTTTGGTTCAATGTTGAATAAGAGGAAAGGGAGTGGACATCCTTTCCAGATTCTCCATTTTAGGGAGAAAGCATTCTGTTTTTCATCATAAAGTATAATGTTCGCTGTAGTATTTTTGTGAATGCCATTTATCAGATTAAGGGAGCCTTCCTATTATCCTAGTTTCCCGGAGTTATTATGAATGGACTCTTACTTTTGTTAAATGCTTTTTCTGCGTCTATTCAGATCATCATATAGTTTTTCTTTTTTTTGCCTGTTGATATACCGTGAGTTACTTTGGTTGATTTCCAAATATCTCACCTGCTTTGCATTCCTGGGATAAGCCCAACTTTGTGATGGTGTAATATTGTTTTTATGTTTTACGATTTGATTTGCTAGTATTTTCCTGAAGACTTTTTTTGTGTTTATGTTCATGACAGATATTCATCTGTAATTTTCTTTTTTTGTGATATCTTTTTCCGGTTTTAGTATCAGAGCAATGCTTCCCTTATAAAATTATTTGGGAAGTGTTTTCTCCTCTTCAATATTCTGGAAAAGTTTGTATAAAATTGGTAGTATTGCTTCCTTAAATGTTTGCTAAAATTCACCAGTGAGGCCAACTGGACCCAGAATTTGTGAGGTTTCTAAATACATATTTGTGTTAGTTTTTAGTTTTTTTTTTTTTTTGGGGGGGGGTGCTTTTATAACAAAATATCCAAGAATGGATCTTACAGTTCTGTGGGCTAGCAGTCAAACATCAAGATGTCAGCAAAGTTGATTTCTTCTGAGGCCTCTCTCCTTGACTTGCAGATGGCCGTCTTTCCTCTGTGTCTTCACATGGTCTTCCCACTGTGTATATCTGTGTCTTAATCTCTTCTTATAAGGATATCAGTTATATTACGTTAAGGGCTATTCTAATGACTTCATTTTAACTTAATCACCTCTTTATAAACCCTATCTCCAAATACGGCCACATATGGGCCACAATTCAGCCCATAACAATATTCAATTTATTTAATTGATATAGGACTATTTAGGTGTCTCTCTTTTTTTTAATGAGCTTTGGCAGTTTGTATTTTTCAGTGAATTTGTCCCATTCATGTAAATTGTCTAACTTATGGGACTAGAGTTGTTTGTAATATTCCCTCATTAACTTTTTGATGTCTTATCTTAACTGATCACCTCTCTTTTTTTTCAATTTCATAAAATGTGTCTTTGTTCTGTGTTTCTTGATCAGTTTGGCTAGAGACTGTATCAATTCTATTGATATTTTCCAAGAACTAGCTTTTAGTTTCCCTTACTTTCTCATTGATTTCAATTTCATTGATTTCTGCTCTTTATTATTTCCTTTTTCCTTCTTGCTTTGGATTTTATTTTATCTTTTCTTAATTTATTAAGGTGGAAACTTAGATTATTGATATATTTCTTTTTCATAAATACAACTGGCCCTCCTTATCTGTAGATTCTGCATCTACAAATTCAACCAACTATGGATCAAAGATATTTTAGGAACAAAGATAACAATACAACAACAAAAAATTACAAATTTTAAAAATATAACAACTATTTACATGGCATTTATGTTGTATTAGGTATTATAAGTAATCTAGATATGATTTAAAGTATTTGAGAGAGAGGGTGTGCTTAGATTATATGCAAATACTATGCTATTTTGTGTAAAGGACTTGAGCATCTGAGGATTTTGGTATCTGTGGGAGGTCCTGGAACCAATTCCTTGCAAATACAGAGGGACAACAGTAGTACAAGTATTTAATACAACAAATCTTCCTGTAAGTACTGCTTTAGTTGCATCCCACACATTTTGAGGTGTTTTTATTTTCATTCAATTTATAATGTTTTCTCATTCTAAGTAGCAAAAGGTGGAACAATTTGAACAACAATCTAATGTAGCAGTGGATTATAGTATGAAGTATAAAATCATCATCCATGAGTTCATACTGATATAAATAAATGATTAAATATGTTAATAAATGGGGAAGAAGAGACAAATCTCCCATGCAGAAGAATTCCTGATAAATTACGTTAATATTCAATTTTAAAGGAAGTGGATCATAATTTCCCACCTCTTAAGTGTGGGTTGCACATATTGACTTTCTTTCAAAGAGTACAGTATGGCCAGAGGAGTACAAAGAATAACTGCATAGTAGAGAAACCTAATAAACACTACTGCAGCCATGTGATCAAGGTCACCATCAACTGTCATACATCATGTTGATATAATATACCCTTGATACTATGGATAAATATGGCACTCTACCTCTGTGATCTTATTCCTGAAAACCCATAACCCCAGTCTTAATCATGAGAAAAAATTAGACAAATTTCAATAGTAAGGCATTGAAGAATACACCTGGCCAGTACTCTTCAAACCTATCAAGGTCATCAAAAACAAGGAAAATCTGAGAAGCCATCATAGCCAAAAGTTGCCCAAGGAGACTTGACAACTAAATGTAATGTTTTATCCTAGATGGGCTCCTGAAACAGTAAAAAGATATTAAGGAAATCTAAGAAAACCAAAATACAGGATGGACTTTAGTTAACAAAAATGTATCAATATTGGTTCAATACTAATGAATGTACCATCCAAATGTAAAACATTAATAATAAGTGAAACTTTGGCAGGGGATATATGGGAATTCTAAGTGCTCATTTTTTTTTCATGTAAAACTTTTCTAAAAAATACAATCTACACATTTTTAACAAAATGTCTCCCTATTTCTCTTATGACTTCCCCTTTGATCTGTGGGTTACTTAGAGGTATTTTCTCCAAATTATTTTTATTGTTGTAAATCTTACATAACATAACATTTACTATCTTATCCATTTTAAGTGTATATTTCAGTATTATTAATTATATTTTTTAAAATTTGTTTGTACCTTTGGAATCATTGCCAGATCCAATGTCTTGAAGTTATTGCCATGCTTTCTTGTAAGAGTTTTATAGTTTTAGCTTTTACATTTAGGTAATGGATCCATTTCAAGTTAATTTTTGTATATGGCGTTCGGTAAAGATCCAATTTTATTATTTTGCATGTGGATATCCAGCTTCCCAGCACCATTTGTTGTAAAGACTGTGTTTTTCCCATTAAATGGCCTTGACAACTTTTTTGAAAATAATTTGGGTTTTATTTCTGGACTCTTTCTTCTATTCCTTTGGCCTATATGTCTGTCTATGCCTGTACCAGACTGTTTTGATTACTGTAGTATTGTAGTAAGTTTTGAAATCAAGAAGTGTGAGTCTTTTTTCCCCATATTTTTCAGGATTGTTTTAGCTATTTGGGGTCCTTTGAAATTCCATATGAATTTTAGGATGAGTTTTTCTATTTCTGCAGAAGGAGTCATTGGGATTTTGATAAGGATTACATTGAATCTGTAGATCGTTTTGGGTAGTACTGATATCTTAATGATATTAAATCTTCCAAACCATGAACATGAGATATATTTGTTTAATTCTTTTTTCAGCAATGTTTTATAGGTCTCTTTGTACAAATCTTTCCCTTCCCCTTCTTGGCTAAGTTAATTTCAAAGTATTTTATTTCTTTTTATATATTATTGTAAATGAAATTGTTTTCTTAATTTCATTTTCAGATTGTTCATCTGAGTGTATATAAATGCAACTGATTTTTGTGTGTGACTTTGTATCCTGCTACTTTACTGAATTTATTTTTTTTAACTCTGTGTGTGTGTGAATATGTGTGTGTAAAATCCAGTAATCTTTAGGATTTTCTACATATAATATCATATCATTGGCAAACAGAGATGTTTACTTTTTGCTTTCCCCAGTTTGGATGGCTTTTATTTCTTTTTTTTCCTAATTTCTCTGACTAGGACTTCCAATATTATGTCAAATAGAAGTGGCAAAAGTGGCATCCGTGCCTTGTTTCTGATCTTAGGGGAAAAGCTTTTACTCTTTCAACATTG
Organism: Homo sapiens; assembly: GCF_000001405.40. NCBI lineage: Eukaryota > Metazoa > Chordata > Mammalia > Primates > Hominidae > Homo > Homo sapiens. Next base: position 46,957,356 of record NC_000010.11, read on the forward strand.
AGTATATTTGCTGTGGGTTTTCCATACATAACTTTTATTATGTTTATGTATTTTTCTTATGTTCCTAGTTTGTTGAATTTTTTTTCTACAAACAAATAGGCCAGGCATGGTGGCTCATGCCAGTAATCTCAGCACTTTGGGAGGCCAAGGCAGGCAGATCACCTGAGGTTGGGGAGTTCACGACCACCCTAGGCAACATGTCTCTACTAAAGAAAAAGTACAAAAATTAGCCAGACGTGGTAGCAGTTGCCTGTAATCCCAGCTACTTGGGAGGCTGAGGCTGAGGCAGAGCAGGAGAGTCACTTGAACCCAGGAGGCAGAGGTTGCAGTGATCTGGGATCACACCACTGTACTTCAGCCTGCGCAACAGTGAAACTCTGTCTCAAAAAGAATATATTCTTGAAAGGATGTTGAATTTTGTCAAATACTCTCTCTGCATCAACTGAGATAAGCATGCCTTTTTTTCTGTTAGCGTATTGTATTACCTTGATTTTTGTATGTTAAGTCATCTTTGCATTCCAGTAATAAATCCCACATAGTCATGGTGTATGATCTTTTTAATATGCCGCTAAATATTTGCTTTGCTACTATTTTGTTGAGGATTTTTACATCAATGTTTAAGATGGATATTGGCCTTTAGTTTTCTTTTCATGTAGGATAATTGTCTGGCTTTGATATTGGGATAATGCTGGCCTCATAGATTAAGTTAGGGAGTGTTCCCTACTCTTTAATTTTTTTAAACAGTTTGACAAGTATTGGTGTTAGTTCTCCTTTAAATGTTTGATAGAATTTAACAGTGAAGGCATTGGATCCAGGGCTTACTTTTTTGGGATAGTTTTGATAACTTATTCAATCACCTTACTAGTCATAGGTCTGTTCAGATTTTCTGTTTCTTTGTGGTTTGGTTTTGGTAGGTTTTGTGTTTCTATAAATTTGTCTATTTCATTGAGGTTATCCAGTTTTTCTGCATACAATTGCTCATAGTACTCCCTTATAATCTTTTTTATTTCTTTAGAATTGGTAGTAATGTCCTCATTTTTATTTCTGATTTTAGTAGTTTGAGTCTTTTCTCTTTTTATCTTAGTTTATCTAATTAAAGGTTCATCACATCATTTTGTTGATATTTTTGAAGAACTTGCTTTTGGTTTCATTGATTTTTCTCTTTTTTATATTTTATATTTTGATCTCTGCTCTAATCTTTACTATTTTCTTCCTTTTGTTAGCTTTAGGTTTAGTTTGTTCTTCTTTTTGTAATTCCTTACGTTGTAAAGCTAGTTTGTTTATTCGAGGCCTTGTTTCTTTCATGTAAGCATTTATAGCTATAAATTTCCCCCTTAACCCTGCTTTTGCTGTGTCCCATAGTTTTGATATGTTGTGTTATGTTTTCACTCATTTCTAAATGTTTCTAATTTCCCTTGTAATTCCTTCTTTGATCCATTGGTGTTTTAAAATTATGTCGTTCAATTTTCACAAATCTGTAAGTTTATCAGTTTTTCTTATATTTGATTTCTAACTTTATCTCTTGTATTTTGAGAAGATACTCTTTGTGATACCAGTGTTTTAAAATTGACTGATACTTAGTTTATAGCCTAACACATGCAAAATATTCCATGTGTTCTTAAATATGTGGTCTGTTGTTGCACAGAGGATTCTGTATGTATCTGTTAGATATACTTTGTTTATTATATTGTTCAAGTCCTCCCTTTTCTTACTTCTGTCTAATTGTTCTATCCACTAATGAAAATGGGATATTGAAATCTTCAATTATTATTGTAAAACTGTTTCTCTCTTCATTTCTGTCAATTTTTGCTTTGTGTATTTTGATTGTTACTAGGCGTGTAAATGTTTATAACTGTTATATGTTCTTGCTGTATTGAACCTTTTATGATATATAATGTCCTTCTTTGTCATTTTTAACTTTTTAAAATTAAAATCGATTTTATCTGATATTAATATAGCTATTCATGCTCTGTTTTGGTTCCTGTTTGCATGGAATATTTCTTTTACTTTTAACCTATTCGTGTCTTTGGATCTAAAGTGAGTCCTTTGTAGACAGTGTATAGTTGGATCATGTTTTTATTTTTTAATCCATTCTGCCAATCTTTCTTTCAATTGGTGAGTTTAATTCATTTATATCTAAAGTAATTACTGATAAGGAGAGACTTCTGTCATTTTGCTATTTTAAAAAAATATTTCTTGTAGCTTTTTTGTTCCTCATTTTTTTTTGCCTTACTGTCTCCTTTTGTATTTAGTTGCCTTTTGTAATGAAATATTTAAATTCTTAAAAAATTTCCTTTATGTATTGTTTTTAGCTATTTTCTTTGTGGTTACCATGGGCATTATATTTAACATCCTAAACTTATCACTCTAATTTGAATTTATGCCAGCCTAATTCAGTAAAATACAAAAAAAAAAAAACTGTGGACCTTTGACAGTTTTGACCCCATCTCTTTCATTTGTTGTCACAAAATTACATTTTTATATATTATGTGTTCCAAAACATAAAATAATGTTTTTAATGCTTTAGTTTCTCATGTAGAAAACAAAATGTTGATTTACAATCTAAAGTTATGATAATTTTTTTATTTTTAGGCTAATAAATTTAGGAAAAAGTCATCTCTTAAATCATGTAGAAAAGAAAAAGTGAAGTTACACATTATTGTTACAAGAATACTAGCTTTTATAATTAGTCATGTATTTACTGAAATCTTAATTTCTTTATTTTGATTTTTTCTTTGATTACATTAAAGTTGTCACTCAATTGTCTTCTGGCTTATATTGTTTTTGATGAGCTTTTGGATCTGAGGCTTGGTGTCTTTCATTCATTTTGGAAAAAATTCTCAGTTATTATCTTTTCAAATATTTCTTCTGCCCAATTCTCCTTCTCTTCTATTTTGGGATTCCATTTACAGGTATAATATATTAGTCTGTTTGATATTGGTTTGTAGTTCTTGGATGGTCTCTTCTTCTCTGCCTCTGCCCCTCATCTACCTTTTTTCTCTGTGTTCTAATTCAGATAATTCCTCTTGATCTATTTTGTAATTCATGAATTCTTTTCTTGCCTCTGTGAAATCTACTGATGAGCTTATCAATAACATGCTTAATTTCTTACAATATTTTTTTTACTTTAAGCATTTCCACTTTATTATTTTTATGGCTTCCATCTCTCCATTGAAATTCTCCATTTGTTCATGTATATTGTCTACTTTTCCCACTGCCTTTTCACACATTGATTATCACTATTTTAAATTCATCACTTGACAGTTTTAACATATGTTATATCTCTGTCTGGTTCTGTTGATTGCTTTGTCTCTTGGCAACTTTTTTCTCTTTTTCTTACTTCTGTGTGTACTCTATAATTTTTTGGTTGAAAACTGAATATTGTATAGTCTAGAGATAGAAGTAAAAATGTCTTATCCATGGTTTCACTCTTCATAGTTTCAGTTACCTGCAGTCAACCACAGACTAAAAATGTTAAGTGGACAATTCCAGATATAAACAATAAGTTTTAAATTGCACACTGTTCTGAGTAGTGTGATGAAACCTCACACTGTCCTGCTCTGTCCTGCCTGGGAGTGAATCATTCCTTTGTCCAGCATATTCATGCCCTATGTGCTACCTGTCTCTTAGTCAACTAGTAGTCATCTTGGTTATCAGATCTACTGTTTTGGCCTCACAGTGCTTGTGTTCAAGTAACCCTTATTTTACTTAGTAATGGCCCCAAAGAGTAGTGATGCTGGCAATTTGAATATGCCAAAGGGAAGCTGTAAAGTGCTTTCTTTACATGAAAAGGTGAAAGTTCTTGACTTAATAAGGAAAGAAAAAAATCATATGCTAAAGTTGCGTAGACCTATGGTAAGAATGAATCTTCTATCCAAGTTTTGCTGTTGCACATCAGAGTGCCAAAGTTATGGCCACAGTGCATGATACATGCTTACTTAAGATGGAAAAGGCATTAAATTTATGGGTGGAAGACATGAACAAAAATATGTTTCAGTTGATGACGATCAGGTTCAATACTATCCAGAGTTTCATGCATCCACTGGGGGTCTTGGAACATATCCCCTGCAGCTAAGGGGGAGCTATTGTAGTATTTCTTAGCTAAGTTCTAGACGCTGAGGTAAATAGGGATGGACATGACTCTTTTGTTGGTAGGCCTTCAGTGTGAGGAGTTGCATCAATTTACTCAGTAATGCAGCAGGGCTTGGGTTTGATGTTGCTATGGTTACCCTTAGTGCACCACCAGCTTCAAATTCCTCCAGTGTTACCTTACATGTAGAGGATTTGCCTCAGTGTTTACTCCACCCTCTGCTTTAGCTCTTCCCATTGTACATGCACCTCAGAGAAGGTCTTCTCCATGATCTTCTCTAATTCCCAGCAGTAGAGAGCTCTTACTTATGATTACCTTGCTTGCCAACCTGGTTGGGGTGACATTCTCTGCTGTCCTTGTTCAGTCTCAGTCTTAGGAAGGCCTCAGGCGGTACCTCCTTTGTTATTTTGTCCATTCTGCAGGTGTAGGGAATATCTTATGGCCTGGGTCCAGGATGCTCTTCTCTCTTCCCTACCCCCAATGTTAATGAGTCTTCATTTGTGCCTTGAGGATGACAGAGTTTCATGCGTTTTCTCAGGTTCTTATGCTTTTGGTCCATTAGGGAAATAGGGAAAAGCATTTTGGGCATGCTTTGTGCCATTCCTGTGGATGCTGTTTTTCCCCTTCCCAAGCTTGCCCCACAAAGGAGGATTTCTCAAGTTCCTCACCCTGTCTGCAGCTTTTCTCCTGAGCCTCTGATGAGGTCCTCACATGCATTATCTTTTCACTGTTTGTTTTTAAACCTTTCTTGTCTTCATTACTGTATGTATACATGCCTTTGTCCTATGGCAATAAGTTGATTTTCAACTGTCTGCTTTGTTTCTTGCAGAATTCGATTTAATTATAAATTATTGCTGTAATTATGTACTTTTGAGTTTTACCTTTATTTTCTTAGGTTTATAAACTAATTTTTTTAAACCTCATTCTATTGTTTTCTTATCTCCTTGTGAACTGTTATTTAAAATAATTTTTCTTTTTCTTTCGACAGATGTTGCATACACAGTTCATTTTCCTTTTTAAGCTTATCTTCCATTTTAGAATAGATTTTAAAAATTATTCTGCATGCTATATTATATTATTATTTTTTCTGTGTTTCACATTTTATTCCATTTTGTTATGAACACGTATAGCTTTTTCTGTCTCTTCGGTTTTGTTGATTGAGCAGGAATGAATTCTTCCTGATTTCCATTTTTATTTGGATCTCATCATCTTCCCTTGTAAACTGTATTTTGGAGGGCTGCATTGTTTATTTTGCCCGAGGACAATGATAAGTGTGCTGAAGGGATAGGGGCCAAGGAGCAGGATACTCAAAGGGCATGGTGTGGCTGAAATGTTAAGCAGATATCACAGATGCCCTTACTCAATATCAGTCACACCCTTCTCCTAGTGTACCTTCCTGTATGGCCCAGGCAGAAAAATGAAAAATTACATTTTCAAGACTTCCTGGTAGCTTATTTGGGCTTTGCCGATCATATGCACTTAGCCAAGATGTAAATGTGTAGAGAGGCATCCATTTTATTGCTATGCATCATAGCAGGCTTGGCGTTCCTGGTCCTCATTATAGGTAAGGTGATGTGTTACTAGAGCCAACAGTTGTGGTAGTGACTTTCTTATTTCTCCATTGTTGCTGAAGTGGTGTCATCTAGGAGCCAGTGGCTAGAAAAAATGGTCTCCAACTTCCTCAGTTTCCTAATTGTGGCAAAGACAGAACTTTTCTTGGCAGACCATTATGCAGTGTTGTTCTTGGATCATAATGAGAGAAGCATCTGTTCTTCAAGCCCACACAATGGTGATACAACACCAAATAGCTAGATCAAATCCCTTTCTGTAAACTGGCTGAAATGATTCCCAGGATCTACAGCTGAAACCTCACCTTTATACTTTGATTGGAATTCTTGGACCAGGCTACAAGAAAAAGAGACCAAATTCAGAATGATGTTAATGATAAAGATATATATATATTTTCTACCATAATGGAAGCCCAGAGATAGGAAGGATTCCAGGTTCAATATGATCAGTTGCTAATGTCATCAAGAACATAGTTTCTTTATGTTTTTCACATTTGCTATACTCTTTCCTTTTATGGCCATAAGAGGGCAGACTATGATAATTAGGTCCTTATACTTCTTTGTTTATGTGTGTACAGAGGGATGAGGGTAGAAGAGAGGTTTGCTTCTCTTTTTTACAAGACCAGCCTATTTCTATGGTTGGCGCAAATCTCCTACCTATTTCTGAATTATTCACTGGAAGGATCTTACTATGGAATGATCACAAATGGCTTTAACTAACCAGAGGGGTAGAATCGGTGTTGGGGAGTCAACACCAGTGTTTGTTACAGTCATTCTACATTTTCATTTTTTTCTCTCTTCATTCTCCCAGCTTTTGTACTAGCAAAGGTGGAACACAATGGGAAGATCTAAGGGTTTTTCTGTTGGGCATCAAAGATGATCAAAATGGCTTCTACGCTTGTGGGAATTTTATCTCCCCTTCCAGCCTGCTTAGACCTCCTCTCATACTAAGGTTAGGGATATTTGTGAGAAATTTTAGGATTTCTGTGCCTGTCTATCCCAACCAAGAGCCCTCACTTCCAACCCTACAAAGAGCCTCTGGATATAGTGGAGTACCAAGATAAGATGTGCTTCCCAGGAATGTGCAGATTCTTAGAAATTTCCACCTCTTTCTTTTGCTATATTGTTTTGTATATATCTTTTTGCTGGTATTAACTTGATTATTGTTCACATTATTTGGCTTTGCAAAGAGATTATGAGAACTTGTTTTACTTGAACATCTTACCTCAAAATTTTGAAGCTTTTAAAATACTCTTTTACTGTTGACTTCTAGATTTATTGCATTTTGGCCAGTGGACATAATGTATAAAATTTCAGATGTTTGGAACCTTGACTGTCAACATTACCTAAAAGATCATAATTAAAAATAAAAAGATTGTATGTGTGCTATTAAATATTAATAGAATGTTCTCCCCAATTATTGGTTGCAAGTGTCCATATGTATCCATTATTCCATCTTATTAATTATATTGCATAGATCCTCTCCATCCTTGGTGTGTGTGCACGTGTGTGCGTTCATGTTCAATCTGTTTCAGAGTAATGAAACAGGACGTGAACTCTCCACATCACCACATCTCAGACTCTAGGAACTTCCAAACACTTGGTCCCAGGGAGGGCAAAAGTTCTCTTTCCTAATCCAAGCCTTGTACGTTCTTGCCTTGGCATAATTTTCAATCCATATACCCAATTCACATTATAAAACTGAACACTTCTCAATCCACAGCATTCGTTATGTTTATGGCACTGAACAGTTTTCTCCAAGGGCAGTGGATTTTGTATAATTTCAAGGTGTAAATAGCCATGATTTTTCCAAAGGAAGCCTCTTTCAAAGTAGTAGACTCTTCACCCGTGGAAAAATAAACTTCTGTTTACCCTTAAATGGCTGTGTCTTTAAGAGAAACAGAAACAAAAATAAAATCTCCCTTCACATATATACCAGTAACTTACATATGTGAATTTTTCTCTTCCTTAGATACGCGCAAAATTGTTTCTGAAGGAGAACTAGATCAGTTGGCTCAGATTCGGCCATTAATATTCAATTTTCATGAGCAGACAGCCATCAAGGATTGTTTGAAAATCCTTGAGGAAAAAACAGCAGCGTATGATATCATGCAGGAATTTATGGTAAATATTTTCTTAACGAAAGTCTATATGTGATTTCTTTTTTTATATCATTGCCAGAGGGTTTCTTTTCTTTTCTTTCTTTATTTGGTTTTAGTACATTGTTTTTACTTTTAAATGTTATATATATTTTAAAGTAATAGATGTACGTGGTTAAAAAAAAAGCCAAATAGCATAAAAGGATATAAAATAGAAAGTCTCTCTCTTTCTCTCAAGACTTTCTAGGGCCCCTTTACACTATTCATTTTGTCATTTTGTCATGCAAACTTTTAAAAAAATTTGTTGGAATGCACTTTACATCCTTAAATTTGTTTTCCTCCTAGATACAATTTCCAAGTATATTATCAGCATGTATAGCAGTATCTCATTTTTTTAAGTGTTGCATGGTAATTATATGGATAAGTACCTTAATTTATTTAATATTTAATTTCTGAAATTAGGGTACTTATCCATATAATTAACTACCATGGAACATTTGGACATTTAGGTTGTTCTAGTCTTTGCTATTATGAACAGCGGTCATCTCTCTTCATATACTGTATGCATATATTTAAATATTTTTTGAACAAATTCCTAGAAAGACAATATTAATATTTTGGGCTATCAATTTTTTGGATCTTTTCTCATCTCTTAAATGACAAATTATTTCTTATTGATTACTTAATTGGTATTTATTTGAGAACAAAAGAATATCTTTCCATATGTTTTTAAGCCTTTTATATTTTCAGTGAACTGCTAGTTTCAATTCTTTGCCCCATTTTCCTTTTTTTTTTTTTCTTATTGGTTACTCTTTTTTTTTTTGAGATGAGTCTTGCTCTTGTCCCCCAGGCTGGAGTGCAGTGGTGCGATCTCGGCTCACTGCAACCTCCGCCTCCCAGGTTCAAGCGATTCTCCTGCCTCAGCCTCCCGAGTAGCTGGGATTACAGGTGCCTGCCACCATACCTGGCTAATTTTTGTATTTTTAGTAGAGACAGGGTTTCACCATGTTGGCCAGGGCTGCTCTCAAACTCCTGACCTAAGGTGATCAGCCCACCTTGGCCTCCCAAAGTGCTGGGATTACAGGCGTGAGCCACCGCGCCTGGCCGATTACTAACTCTTTAAGGAAAAAATTATGCCTTTGTGTGTCTTACACGTAGTATTTTTTCTGCTGTTGTTTGTGTTACACACAGGTGCACATGCATGTGCACACACATGCCTATTTACCATGAAGAAATAGCTGATTTTTAGTGGTCAAATATGGCAATCTTTGCTTTTGGGGCTTCTGGGTTTGGGGCTTTCTGTGCTCTTTAGGAATGCTTCTTTTACTCTAGGATTGTAATAATTACTTCATGTTTTTTTCTAGTACCTTTATGATTTTTAAGCATTTAAATCTTTGATGCAGCTAGAATTTAATTTGGTATAAGATGTTTGATAGGGACTCAGCATTATATAACTATCCAGTTGTCCCAAGACTCTCCTGGAATTTCTCTTGAGTGAGGTAAAATGCCACTTTTATCATATACTAGAGCCTTACATATATTTTAATTTATTCTTGGACTTTTTCTACTGATTTTCTTATTCCTTTATTGGTATTGTTCTGTTAATTAGCATAGCTTCATATTATCTTTTAACATCTAATGAGACTCATCTGCCATCATTATTCATTCATAAATGAATTTTTTCTCATTCTTCCTACAGAATTTTTTCCAGATTAATTTTAAAATTGATTTTCAGAAAGACTTGATCATTTTATTGTACTACTTAAAACCTTCACAGGCTCCTTGTTCCCCATGGCAGCGGTTGCTAGGTTGGCTACACAAGAGTTACCCAAGAGCTTTGAAAATGTATAGATTTTCAGGCTTTCTCCACAAATATTCTAATAAAGTATGACTAGCTACCTCCTAATTTCATTTATATATGAAACAAGATATTTTATAGTTTTAGTCTGTTGTTGGACTAGATCATGTGCTTTGTGCTCTTATTACCGTATTAGTCACAGTTTCCCAAAGGGACATGTATGCCTCCATTATTTCCACCCCTTCACCTTCTCTCCTCTTTCCTTCTAAGTACACACTGTTTTTCATATGCTAACTTCCAGTGACTCACTAAGGCCCAGTTCAAGGGCTATTTCCCTTTGAGGAGCTTTTCTTCTTGACTTTTAGGTGCAATCTAGTGCTGTCATTTATACTACTGTCTCCGTACATTGGTCACATGGTATTTGATTACATGTCCTCTAACTACTCTGTTCACTCCTTAAGGATGAGGCCATTATCCAATTCATCCCTGTATTCCAGTGTCTGAAACAAGGCCAGATACCTACTAAATGCGTAATAAGTGTTTGTTGAATTCACACTTGGTAAAGAAATTTTTTGAAAGGAAGGATTCTTAGGGTCCTAACTATAATTTCTTCAAAGGGGAAGGGTAAATTGTGAGACTGTTTGTATATATTTTTTGTTTATATGTTTTTGTTGTTGTTATGTTGTTATTTTTATTTATAAAATGATAGATCTGTGGGTAGGTTCTGAGAAATGAATAGCTTGTATTTCCTTTTTTATGAAAGAAGAACAAAATGAAGTTCAAGTGGAAAGTATCTCCAGAAAGTTTAACATTTTCTTATTAACCAACTCATTGATTGGCATGTGAAACTTGAGATATTTTATATAGCACTTTTTAAATGAGGATCTAGCTTCACTTATCATACAACACATTAAATAGCAGGTCATGTCATATAGGGATTTAAGGATCATGAGCACTAAACAAAGGCATATTTTTTTCTTTTTTATTGGTTATAGTAAATACACAATTTATTATTTATTTATTTATTCATTTTTAACCTTTTAAAGGCTTTAGAACTTAAGAATCTGCCTGGTGAGTTCAACTCTGGGAATCAACCAAGCAACAGAGAAAAAAATAGATACCGAGATATTCTTCCATGTAAGCTAAAAATAGTTTTGATTATTTTCCTGTTTACATTTAGAAAAAGTGCAAAGGGCACTGTATGGCTTTTTGTATGAGACATTTTGGCCTGTGACCATGATAAAGGGTTCTGGTACATAGCACTGGGTGATCTGGGCATATTCTAAGATATGTGCTACATATGAGAGAGTCAGGTCCTCTGTTTTCTGGTACATCCTTCAGCCACTGTTACAGGGTCCTTTACAGCAGTCCTTCAGCCTTGTTCTCATATATTGCTGCTTCTCAGAGCATGAGCCTTCCAAAACATAAAATCCAATAGTCTGAGTCATACACCACTTTTGGTACCCGAAGCCTTAACCACCTTCTCTGGCTATTTTGTTTAGACACGCGAAAAAAGAGCTATTTGCATCCTTCATCCTGGACAATAAAGCTGTTAATCTGCTCTCCAACAGGAGGCTGCCTTTTGATTGTCTCCACAGAGCCTTAACATTGCTTCCCTGTGTTGGATGGGAGGGTAGTGGCACCTTCTGTCCTCCTCACTCAGTTACTCTTAGGAGTTATCCATCTCAGGCCATTCAAAGAGCAGAATCAAAACACAGCAATGCAATTTTAATCTTAGGCAGGATATCTCATTCCATAACTCACATTCCTTTCAAAGTCAAAGTTTTTCAAAACTAAATTTACTATTTTACTTCCTCCAACTTGACCCTCTTCTTATATTCTATATCTTATGTAATCACCAAGTTCAAACCAGAAAACAGGGAGTCAGTTGATTCTACCTCCATAATACCTCTGGAGTCCTCCCCCATCTCTCAGTTCCCACTGCTGCTGACTTAGACTGAGCCCATTTTACCTCTCAGCTGGTTACGTTCTTCTTTACTGCCTCCCTTTCTGATCATTCACAAAAGCTACTGAGATTTTCTTAAAATGCAAGTCAGAACATGTAGCTCTTCTTTTAAAGCTCTTTCTTGGCTCTTTGTTACTATCATGGTACAGTTGTTTAACATGGCCTAAGAATTTCACCTGTTTGCCTCTCTAGCCTTAGCTCTCCCACAAAACTTCTTTTGGTATCTAGAATTCATAATTCTTTTCTTATTTGTTGGTTTTTATGCCTCTTAACCTGCAGTTCTTGAAAGAACTACTCATCCCTTCTTTGCTGAGGCAGTTCCTGCTATCTTTCTTAACCAGCTCCAATAGGCTTTTCTTATTTTCCTCAAAGCTAGGTTTGGTGTTTTTCCAGTAGTCTCACAGCATCTTGTAACCACTCTCCCCTTCTACCAAACCATATTTTAATTATTTTCACTTTTGTTTCTCCTACTAGACTTGAGATAGTTATTATAAAAACCAGAGTGGAACACAGTGACTGCGGTCACTAGATAAATACCTTCATGTTTAGTTGGTTTATTAGAATTGAAACTAACTTTATGATGATAAAAAACAAGTACATATCCAACATGGTTAAAATAAGCTATTCTGTTATCTTCTGTGGGGAGAGTGTGGAGAAGTGCATTGATGAATACTTCTGAAATCAGAATAATGAACCATGATTAGACATTTTAATAAATAATACTAATAATTTGTTGCTTCTCCAAAATGTCAAAGGTCCAAATTTTATAATTTCTATTTCTGCATGTGCAGTTTGCCCTCAAGGAGACTAAAAGCAAACATGCCTTAAAAATTAGCCTCTCGGGATTGTAAGAAGCTCATTTTACAATAGAAGGTACACATAATATTTGATCTGACTTGAAGTTTTTATTCTGGATATCAAAAGAGTTACAACTAAGAAATTCAAAGATAATAAAAATAATGTTAAATCATTAAAGTAAGGGAAGTTATGTAAAACTTTTGGCTTTTCATAAAAGAAAAGAAACTATAATTCAACCATATTCTTTTTAAAGGCCCATTGGTATATCTACCTCATAACGCAGTGTAATCTAATCTGAAACTCAGCCAACTTAAGTGGCCATCATAGAAAGCTCTGTGGTTTTTTTAATCACACATTTCTTGACTTTATAGAAAAGGTTCCTGAAGACTCATATTAAGAAAGCTAAAGAAGTAATTTATTTGTCGTCTTCAAATGCTGAGAACACTAAATAGATGAATTCACACACCTTTGAACACTGCAAATATAGGGAACCTTCACTTTGCATGGCCCCAATATGCTCAAATATCAGTTACTGTGTTTAGCTAAATAACACCAGTCCCACAGTACAATTCACATTTTAGTTACCACAATATATTCACTGCAAGTAATTGCCTAAAGTAGTAAGCATCTTTGCTGGCACTTTAGTCCACAAGTCCCTATGTAAATAACAGATGTGCATCATGACCAGTGACTAATAAATGTTACTTCTTTCAAAATATGTCAGTGATAGGTAACTGTGAGCCTCTTATTCAGTTCACACACAGCAAAGCATGTGATTGTATTGTCTCCTTGTCTCTCAATGGTAAACCCCTATGACCTTTTACCAAAATGTATAATCAAGAGAGAGATTTGGCTGAGAGAGATGAAACTGCAATAAAGGGATAAAAAGTGATAATGTTGGAAATGAAATTTGAATGGAGTTATAGAAGAACTAGCTGACCAGGGACATGCTGACACTGCTACTGCTCAAAAGACCCTAGAGCTGCAGCCTAAGGCACCTGTGGAAGGGGAACTTACCGACATGAATGACCAAAGTGCTTGTGAGGAAAAGGATAAAGGCAACCTAGGGGAAGCAATGATGGTAGAAAACTTGACATTAAAGAAACTTTGGAGCTATTTCACAGCAATATAAGTGCCAAGGATAAAAGGTGGAAACTGATCCAGACTTGGAAGTTAGCCTAGACATAGAAAAAATGCTCACTCTGTATTGTAAGTTATACAACAAAAAGAAGAGGCAAACACTGTTCAAACTACTCTGGGTAAGTTTTTTTTTTTTTTTTTAACAAATTAAATGCTTTAATTCCCAATATTTCTAATGTTTTAAATTACAATGTTCTAAATATTAGTCTTGCTATTTTTTGCTTCTCTATATATGTATAGCCAGCAATAAGTGAGTTTTTAATGATTTCACAAAAAATGTTAAGAGCCATGAAACAAGAATAATATTTCCTATTGATTACTAAGATCCTTTTGTGACTGGGCGCGGTGGCTCATGCCTGTAATCCCAGCACTTTGGGAGGCCGAGGCGGGCAGATCAGGAGGTCAGGAGATCAAGACCATCCTGGCTAACACGGTGAAACCCTGTCTCTACTAAAAATACAAAAAAATTAGCTGGGCGTGGTGGAGGCCCCTGTAGTCCCAGCTACTCAGGAGGCTGAGGCAGGAGAATGGCGTGAACTCAGGAGGCAGAGCTTGCAGTGAGCCGAGCTGAGATAGCGCCACTGCACTCCAGCCCCGGGCGACAGAGCAAGACTCCGTCTCAACAACAACAACAACAACAAAGGTCCTTTCGCATGGTTTCAACTTGCATGGTCATATTTATGGCCCTGTACCATCATGCCAAGCAAGAATGGCCTTTATTATGTAGTATAGGAATTTTTAGGTATAAAGACAATATCTTCCATTTCTTTACCATTTCACAACTTACAAAGCAGTTTGAAGGCTAATAAAAGAGCGAGTCACACAGGTTCCCCAACTCCTGGCCTAATATTTTTTCTGTTACTTATCTATCAGGGACCTATTCAGAACTAATCAAGGTAGTGACTTAGGTTTCTGTTAGCTTCTCACTTTTCAGAGCATGCTTATATATTTCTCATTGAGTGTTCTGTATGATCATGTGAGAAGAACAGAGAAGATGATAATATCTAAATTTAATGCAAGACAATAAGGAAGGGATAATCTTTCAACAAATCATCTGGACAGTTGCATATTCATGTACCAAAAATGAACTTTGATTCTTACCTCACAACTTATATAAAAATTAACTCAAAATAGATTATAGACCTATCATTAGAGTTAAAAACATAAAACTTCTGAAAGAAACCCTAGGAGAAAACGTTACTGCCCTTGGCTTTGGCAAATTTTTCCTAAATAGGACACAAAACCCTCAAATTGTAAAAGAAAAAAAATAAATTGGACTTCATCAAATTAAAAAAAAAACCCTGCTCTTCAAAGCATATTATTATAAAACCAAAAAGGAAAGCAACAGGCTAGAAGAAAAATACAGGCAAAACATTTATCTCACAAAAACTTATATTTATAATCTATAATTACTACAAATCAAGAAGAGGACAAATAACCCAACACTAAATGAGCAAAAAATTTGAGCAGACACTTCTCAGGGAAGATATAAGGATGGCAAATAAATGCATGAAATGATATTCACCATTGTAAATCATTAGGAAAATGCAAATTAAAACCATAATGAGATACCATTTTACACTCACTGCAATGAAATGGAATTTGTTTCTAATAAAGTTAAACATGTACCTACCATATGATTTAGCAGTTCTATTCATATGTTTTACCTAAGAGAAATTAAAGCATATGTCTGCATAAAGACTTATATACTAATGTTCATATCAGATTTACTTATAATAGCCAAAAACTGGAAACAGTGCAAATGCCCATCAACGGAAGAGTGAATAAACAAATTGTGGTATGTCTACATAATAGAATGCAACTAGGCAATAAAAAATGACTAACAATGCATTGAACAACATGAATGAATCTTAAAATAATTTTACTCAGTGAAATAAGCCAGTCAAAAGAGTATATACTGTGTGTTATGAGCCAAATTAAATTCTCCCAAAATTTGTATGTTGAAGTTCCAACCCTTTGTACCTCAGAATGTGACCTGATTTGGAGATAGGGCCTTTAAAGTAGTAATTAATATAAAATGAGGTTCTTAGAGTGTGCCCAATCCAATCCATCAGATGTCCTTATATAAAGAAGAAATTGGGACACACAAGAGACATCAGGGATCCAAAGGCACAGAGAAAGGTCCATGTGAAGACACAGCAAGAAGGCAGCCATTGGCAGGCCAAGGAGAGAGGCCTCAGGAAAAACCAAGCCTGCTGCCACCTTGATCTTTGTCTTAGTTTCTTTGTGTTGCTATAGAGGAATAATTTATGAAGGAAAGGGATTTAGTTAGCTCATAGTTCTGCAGACCGGAAGGTTCAAGAGTGGGCATCTGGTGAGGGCTATGGGCTGCTTCCACTCATGGTGGAAAGTGAAGTAAAACCAGCATATGCAGAGATCACATGGTGAGAGAGGAAGCAGGAGAGAAATGGGGAGGTACCAGGCTCTTGCAGAACGAATAGAGTGAGAGCTCACTCCTGCCATTAATCTATTAATGAGGGATGTGCCCTTGTGACTCAAACACCTCCCATTAGGCTCCACTTCCAACATTGGGAATCAAGTTTCAACATGAGGTTTAGAAGGGCCAAACATCTAAATCATAGCATTTTGCCCCCGGCCCTTTAAAACTTATGTTCTTACCACATTGCAAAATACAATTATTCCTTCCCAATAGTCCCTAAAAGTCAACTTGTTTCAGCACCAACTTAAAAGTTCAAAGTCACATCTGAGACTCAAAGTAAGTTCTTTCCAGTTGTAAGCCTGTAAAATCAAAAAAGAGATTATTTACCTCCAAGGTACAATGGTGGTACAGGCACTGGGTAAATGTTTCCATTCCAAAAAGGAAAAATTGGTCAAAAGAAAGGGATAATAGGCCCCATGCAAGTCCAAAACACAGCAGGGCACACTTTAAATCTTAAAGCTCCAAAATAATCTCCTTTGACTCTATCTCCTACATATTGGTCACAGTGGTGTGTGGGGTGGGCTCCCAAGGCCTTGAGTAGCCCTTCCCCCATAGCTTTGCTGGGCGTAGACCACTGGCTGCTTCCATGGGTTGTAATAATGCTGCAGCTTTTTCAGGCTGAGGTGGAATGCTGTGGATAGCTCTACTATTGTGGGGTTCCAGCACCTTTGTGGGTCCACTAAGAGTTGCCCTGGTGGGGACTCTAAGGAAACTCCAACCCAACATTTCCACTAAAGATTGCCTTGGTAGGGGCTCTCTTTGGTGGCTCCACTCCTGCAATAGGCATCTGCCTGCTTTCCCAGGCTTTTTAATATATTCTCTGAAATTTAGGTTAAAGCTGCCAAGCCTCCATGTCCCTTGCATTCTGGATGCCTGCAGACTTAACACCACATGAATGCCACCAAGGCTTACCACTTAGCCCCTCAGGAGCAGTGGCCCAAACCCTACCTGGGGCCATTTGACCCACTGCTGGAGCCAGAGCAGCCAGGATGTGGGGAGCAGCATCCTGAGGTGGCCAAGGGCAGTGGTGCTCCAGGTCTGTCCCCAGAAGGCCTTGGGCCTATTAGGGAAGGGGTGGCCCCAAATATTTCTGAAGTGCCTTTGGGCACTTTTTCCAGACACTCTCTCATATTATTGTCTTTTTCTGAGCCTTCCACACACTTCCAACCTCCGCTCATCGCCCAGTTCCAAAACTGCTTCCACATTTTCAGGTATCTTTATAGCAACACCCCAATTCTCAGTACCAATTTTCTGTCTTATTCCATTTTGTATTGCTATAAAGGAATACTTGGGGCTGGTTAATTTATAAATAAAAGAGGTTTATTTAATTCCCAGTTCTGCTGGCTGGAAGGTTCAAGATTGGGCCTCTAGTGAGGGCTTCAGGCTACTTCCACTCATGGTAGAAGGTGAAGTGGAATCAGCATGTGCAGAGATTACATGGTGAAAGAGGACACAAGAGGGAGAGAGAGAGGTGCCTGGTCCTTTTTAATAATCGGTTTTTGCGGCAGTGAATAGAGTGAGAACTCACTCAACCCTGAGGAAGGGCATCAATCTATTCATGAGTGATTTGTCTCCATGACTCAAAACCTCCCATTAGGCCCCACTTCCAATGTTGGGGATCAGTTTTCAACATAAGGTTTGGAGAGGACAAACATCCAAACCATAACAATACTGGACTTCCAGCCTCCAGAATGTGAAAATAAATTTCAAACCTAGAAAACTAATATACTGTATGCTTCCACATATATAAAATGTTAGAAAATTTAAACTAATTTGTATTGACAGAACGTCTCAGTGGTTGCCTTGGGGCAAGATGAGAGCAAGAAGGATAGATTATAAAGAGGCATGAGGATAGTTTTGCACTGATGGAGATGTTTAATTATCTTTATTGTGGTGGTGGTCTCATGGGTGCACATGTATGACAGTTTTACCTCCATAAACTGTTAAAAAGGTGGTTTGTGAGTGCAAAAGGTATATTACACTTTTAAAAAATTTTCATACACTTCAGCATTATAATATAGATAGATGGGAAAACAAGCTCTTCAAGGCAGAGATTTAACAAGCTTCTTTCTGTACTTCTTGAGGTTGCTCTATGTTTGTTTCTGCTACTACCACCCACTAATAATAATAGTAGTAGTAACACTAATATGTTTATTACTATTGCTTATTACTAATTTAAGTCTGTTATAGGTAGTAATGTTTAATCCCCACAACAACCTACCTCTAAGGTGTCAGTATGTTAGTGTCCTTGTTTACAGAAAGGCTAAAAGAGATAAGTAATTTTCTCACTTTCACACTGCAAATAGGAGAGAGATCTGGGATTCAAACCCAGGCCTAACCACCACTGTATTTATTGTACATTGTTTTCTTTCCTATTTCAAGAAACCTTTTTTTTTTTCTCCTTTTGAGATGGAGTCTCGCTGTCGCCCAGGCTGGAGTGCAGTGGCATAGTCTCAGCTCACCGCACCCTTTGCCTCCTGGGTTCAAGCGATTTTCCTGCCTCAGCCTCCTGAGTAGCTGGGATTACAGGCATGTGCCACCACACCTGGCTAATTTTGTATTTTTAGTAGAGATGGGTTTTCTCCATGTTGGTCAGGCTGGTCTCGAACTCCTGACCTCAGGTGATCCACCCACCTCGGCCTCCCAAAGTGCTGGGATTATAAGCATGAGCCACCGCACAGAGCTGTTTTGTTTCTTTAAGAATCAGAGTCTACTTGGAGTGCAGTAGCATAATCATAGCTCACCGAAACCTCAAACTCCTGAGCTCAAGCAATCCTCCCACCTCAGCTTCCCAAGTAGTTGGGACTATGGGGATGGGCATGTGCCACCATACCCAGCTAATTTTTTATTCATTTATTTTTTTTTTAGAAACAGGGACTCACGCTTTTGCTTAGGCTGGTCTCAAACTCTTGGCTTCAAGTGATCCTTCTGTCTCAGCCTCCCAAGTAGCTGGAATGCCTGGCTCTCGTCATTCTTCTTATAGATATGAAACTATGTTTTGTAGTATTTGTTGCTATTACTTCATTTTCTTTCCCTTTTCCCTTAATTTGAAATCACTGTTCTGATGAATTAATTGTTTGATTGGAGATGGGTATAAGTAGTTGATGCAGTCTCAAGCTCTACTTTTTTTTTTTTTTTTTTTTATCCTGATAAACGAATATCCTTGTTGGTTTTAGGAATCTTGGGTTTTAGTTCTTTTTTTTCTCATTTTTTTTCCCTGAGTGTTACTTCACTGTCCTCTTCCTTCCAGTGTTTTAGATGAGAACTGTAATGGCCATCTGACTCCTTTTCTTCATGAGAAATATGCTCTTTTATTTCAAAATCTTTAACTATTTTCCTGGAATTAAATAATGTTACCAGGTATGCTTCATTTCCATCATTCTTACCTAGACAAATAAACCCTTTAATTGATCTTCCTTTAGTTGTAATTTCTACTCTTCAGTCTACTCTTGTCTTTTTTTTTTTTTTTTTTTAGTTTCTATGAATTTTAGGGTTGCCTCTTGGTTCTATCTTATAAAACCTTTTCTCGTTACTTCTTTTACCTCTGTAGTTTTGCAAGTACTTTCTCTATCTCTCTCTCTCTCTCATTTTTATTCTTATTTTTTTCTTTCACTTGGTTTTATAGGAAACTAATATAAGTTTTTAAAAAATTTCCTCCTTCAAATCATCTACTAAAATTTTTAGCTTGTTTAATGGTTAATTTCATGTGTCAACTAGGCTAGGCTATGATACTCAGCTATTTGGTCAAATATTAGTCTAGATGTTGGTGTGAAGGTATTTTTTAAAAGATGTAATTAACATTTAGATTAGCAGACTTTGAGTAAAGCTGATTAGCCTCCATAACGAGAGTGGGCCTTATTCAGTCAGTTGAAGTCATTAAGAAAAAAACGCTAAAATTTCCAGAGGAAGAAGGAATTCTACCTCCAGACTGCCTTTGCACTCAAGACTACAATGTCAACTTTTCCCTGGGGTCTAACCTGCTGGCCTGCCCTGCAGATATTGACTTGCCAGTCCCCACAATCATGAGTCAGTTCTTTAAAATAAATCTTTCTCACTGTATATATACAGCCTATTGATTCTATTTATCTAGAGAATCTAGAGTAACAGAATTTGGTACTGAGAGCAATTCTAGAGGAACAGAATTTTAAGGATGAGTTTTATGAATTACTTCCCTAATCTGATAAGATGTAAAGGCATTAATGACTTTTCAGTAGTGAATAGAGTATTAATAATTCATAGTGTAATGTGACAGTAGAGATATGCAAAGTATTGCCATTAGGTAATCCTATTCAGACATTTACAAGAAGCAAGGTTCTGGGCATCTGTATTTGATACCTTAGAACATTTTTGAGTTCTCATGAGAACAATGAGATTGGCTAGTTACTCCTAATGTAGAGAAGGAAAGGATGATCTTAGGGATTAAATTTCCCAGCTCAAGTGCCGCATGAATAACCCAAAAGTTTCTCTTTCTGCCCTGAAAGAAACTCTTATATTTTATAACAACAAAGCTGAGATTATTGAAAACCAAACCCAAAATCTCATCCTGAAAATGGCTGAATTACAGTGCAAATTGAATCCCCACCCTTTTAGGGTGTCTGCTGTTAAAATGAGGGCATTAACTGAGAAGGAATGGGATCTTGAAAACTGGAGTGCAGACATATGTGAAGAGCCTTATAAAGCTGGGTGTATCGAACCCCTTGACCCTGATGAGTCTTCCTTGCCAGTAAAAGCAGCCATGCCACCCCCATCTGAGGAGATTAATGCTACTTTACCTGAGGAAACTTTTATTACCTCCCCTGAGTTTGTTGCCTTGCAAGACATTGCTGATTCTTCTCAAGACTCACAGCTACCATCCTTCATTGCTTCTAGACCTATAACTAGACTCAAGTCCCAGCAGGCCCTTAAAGGTAAGGTACAAAGTGTGACCCATGGGGAGGTATGTTACACTACAAAAGAGCTACATGATTTTTCCAATTTATACTGACAGAAATCTGGGAAATATTTGTGGGGAGGGATTTTAAGGGTGTGGGACAATGGTGGAAGGAACTTAGTGTTTGATCAGGCTGAATTTATTGAAATGGGACCACAAAGAAGAGATTCTGGACTTAATATGTGGATTAGGGAGTTAGAAAGAGCTCTTACAGTTTATTTGGTTGGTTGTATTAAATGGACCAAAAGGTGGCCCAGTCTAAATGAAGATAAAATGCCAGAACTGCCTCGATATACTATATACTGTGATCCAAAGGATTAGGGAGATTGGAATATTAGATTAGGTTTATCATTTAAGACCTGCCAACCCACCCCAGGAGGTCCAGAGGATGTACTTTTCTCATAACTGTGAGAAATATATTTGTGAGGTGAGTCCCAGAATCCTTGAAGAATACTGTGATTGTTCTTCTCTGTAGTTCAGATATTGCAGTGGAAATTGCTGCCACTGAGTTGGGAAACCTGAATGCAGTGGGTATAATTGGATCCCAGAGAGATAAGGGCCAGGTGGTGGCACTTGATAGCCAAAGGCAAGGTGAGCATGGTATGGTAATAGCAGAGTCAAAGCAGCAATCAGAACAGTCTGACCTGTAGAGACCTGTGGTGTTGATTAGTTGATCATGGTGTTCCTAGAAGTGAACTAGATGGGACGTCTACTGAATTCTTCCTTGATAGGTGTAAGCAGAAGAGTTCTAGGTCAAGTGAGCAAAATTCTAACCTGAACCATAGGAACAGAGAATCACAACCAGTCAATAACTTCCCAGACTTGAGCCAGTTTACACACAGAGAACACCTTGAATGAAAGGGAGGACCCTGGCACACTGCTAAAAATGTATACTGTTAATCTTTCAGCCTTCTCCAAAGGGATCTATAGCCTTTTGCCAGGGTGACTGTACATTTGGAAAAAGAAAATAGTCAGAACTTTCAGAAACTACTGGACACTGGCTCTGAACTGACACCAATTCCAGGAGACCCAAAACATCACTGTGGTCTACAAATCAAAGCAGGGGCTTATGGAGGTCATATAGTCAATGGAGCTTTAGTTCAAGTTCATTTCACAGTGGACTCAGTAGGTCCCTAAAACCATCTTGTGATTATTTTCCAAGCCCTGGAATGAATAATTGGAATAAACATACTCAGAAACTGGTAGAATCCCCACATTGCTTCTCTGACCTGTGGAGTGAGGAATATTATGGCAGGAAAGGGCCAGTGGAAGCCAGTAGAACTGATTCTACCTAGGAAAATAGTAAAAAAGCAAAAGCAATACTACATTCCTGAAGAGATTGCTGATATTAATGCCTCCATCAAGGACTTTAAGGATGAAGTGATGTTGATATCTATCACATCCCATTCAACTCACCTATATGACCTACACAAAAAAGAGATGGAATTTGGAGAATGACAGTGGATTATTGTAAGCTTCCTCAGATGGTGACTCTAGTTGCAGCTGCTATACCAGATATAGTTTCATTGCCTTAGAAAATCAGCACATCTCTTCATACCTGCTATGTAGCTATTGATCTGGGAAATGCTTTTTTCTCTATACCTATTAATCAAGAACACCAAAAGTAGTTTACTTTCAGCTGGCAGGGCCAACAATACACCCTCACTGTCCTACCTCAGGGGTGTATTAACTCTTCAGCCCTATGTTGTAATTTAGTTCTCAGGGATCTCAATCACCTTTCCCTTCCACAGGATATTACAGAGGTTTATTACATTGATGACATTGTGCTGATTGGATCTAGTGAACAAGAAGTAGCAAATGCTTTAGTCTTATTTGTCTGTCAGAGGGTAGGAGATATATCCAACAAAAATTCAGTGGCCTTCTACTTCAGTGAAATTTCTAGAGGTCCAGTGTTGTGGGACATGTGGAGATAATCATAAGGTGAAGGATAAATTGTATCTGGCTCTTCCTACAAGCAAAAAAGAGGCACAATGGCTAGTGAACCAGGGCGTTTTGGAGGAAACATTCCTTATTTTGATGTGCTACTCTGGTCCATTTACTAAGTGATGTGAAAAGCTGCTAGTTTTGAGTGGGGCCCAAAACAAGAGAAGGCTCTGAAACAGGATCAGTCTGCCATGCAAGCCTCTCTGCCACGTGGGCTGTATGATCTAGCAGATCCAGTGGTGCTTGAAGTGTCATTGGCAGATAAGGGTGCTGTTTGGACCTTTGGCAGACCCCTTTAGATGAATCACAGTGCAGGCACGTAGGATTTTAGAGCAAATTCCTGCCACCCTCTCTGGACTCTCTTTTTGAGAAACAGCTTTTGGCCTGCTACTGGGCCTTGGTAGAGACTGCTTCATAGAGAACTAAGTAGAGAATGCTTAACTATGGGCCACCAAGCCATAAAGTTGGGCATACACAGCAGCACTCCACCATCAAATGAAAGTGGTAGATACAACATTGGGCTTGAGCAGATCCTGAAGGCACAAATAAGTTACACGAAGAAGCTGCCCAAATGCTCACTGTTCCCACCCCTGCTACATTACCTGCTCTCTTCAGCCAGCACCTGTTGTCTCATGAGGAGTTGCCTATGATCAGCTGACAGAAGAAGAGAAGACTTGGACCTGGTCTACAGAAGGTTCTGCGTGATATAAAGGTACCAGCCAGAAGAGGACAGCTATAGCACTACAGCCCCTTTTTTGAGACATCTCTGAAGGACAGTGGTGAAGAGAAATAACTCCCAGTGGGCAGAACATTGGGTAGTGCACTTGGTGCTTTTTGTTTTTTTGTTTTTTGCTTGGAGAAATGGCCAGACGTATAAATGTGTACTGATTCATGGGCTATGTTTAATGGCTTAGCTGGATGGTCAGGGAATTTGAAGGAACATGGTTGGAAAAATTGGTGACAATAAGGTCTGGGGAAGAGGCACGTGAATAGATCTTGCTAGATAGGCACAAACACAAAGATATTTGTATCCCATGTGAATGCTCACCAAAGGTTGATCTCAGCAGGGGCAGACTTTAATAATCAAGTGAATAGAGTGACATGCTCTATGAATATCAGCTAGACTATACCCCCAGTCACCCCTGTCATTGTGTCATTGCCCATAGGTCTCATGAACAAAGTGGCCATAATGGCAGGGATGGAGGTTATGTATGAGCTCAGCAACATGGACTTCCACTCACCAAGGCTGACCTGGCTACAGCTGCTACTGAGTGTCCAATCTGCCAGCAACAGAGACCAACACTGAGTACCTGATGGGCACTATTCCATGGGATGATCAGCCAGCTAGCTGATGGCAGGTTGATTACACTGGGACCACTTCCATAATGCATGGAGCAGTGCTTTTTTCTTACTAGAATAGACAGTAACTCTGGGTATGGATTTGCCTTCCCTGCACACAGTGCTCCCACCAATTTACCATCTGTGGACCTACAGAATGCCTTATCCACCATCATGGTATTCCATACAGCATTGCTGTAATCAAAGAACTCACTTTGTGGCAAATACCTTGTGGCAATGGCCTCATTGCCACTATGTTACCATATTCCTTATCCTCTCAAAGCGGCTGGCTTGACAGAATGGATGAATGGCCTTTTGAAGACTCAATTACAGTGAAAGCTAGGTGGCAGTACCTTGCAGGGCTGGGGTAATGTTCTTCAGGAGATTATACATGCCCCATGTCAGCATCCAATATATGATGCTGTTTCTACCATAGCCAAGATTCAAGAATCAAGGGGTGGAAATGGGAGTGGCACCAGTTGCCATTACCCCTAGTCATCCATTAGCATAATTTTTGCTTCCTGTTCCTGTTCCTGTGGCCTTATGCTCTGCTGGTCTAGGGGTCTTAGTGGCTCTCTTCATTAATGTTGTCTGACACTTAGGCCTTTCTGTCTGCAAACTTGAGTCTTCCTTGATGGACAACAGAGCATGGAATTATTTTTGGACCAGAGTCTAGATTTACCTAGTCTGTGGAGTCTAGAAGATTGCTGCATAATATGGAACAAGTTACTTTGTACAGATTCTTTATTTGAAAAGTATGAATATAATAGCACCTCCCTCAAAGGTTTGTTTTGGAGTTGACAAGGTGATACATGTAGCGTATCATGCTGCTTGAACCTGGTATGCATGTTTCACTGCATTCTGTTAGTACTCCTGCTTCTGTTTAGGGAGCTTTCCTATGATCACTTGAATTATTTCTTTTCTGCAGTGAATTCCACAGTTTGCTTCTGAAATTCGTTTTTTACATTCCCCTTGTATGCGCTGTGTCTTTTACCATTTTAATCATTATTGTAGGTTTTTTTAATCTTTTTTTTCTGAGTTCTGGGAAAATTTTTTAAGCTGATTTTCTAAACATAAATTTGTTTTTCTGTTCAATTCCTGCTTTAGGAGTTTGAGTTGAATGATTGTGACTTTTATATGAAATCAAGCTTTTATTATTTTAGATTATTTAATTTTCACATATTTAATCTCATTTCAAAATTTAAAAAATGCTTTTTTTACTATGAAGTAATTTATATGGTTTAGATACTGTAATAACTACTGCTAACATTGTGATGAACACTTGCCAGGCTTATTATTATTATATGACATATATCATCATATATCTACATAAATATGATGAAAGATCTCCCTACAAAGCCATTGTTATCACCTTTATAATTTAGTAATATAACATATTTGTTAGTAAACATAGGTATAAAGTATTGTTTTAAATAATTAATGCTCTCTTGAATTTTATTTAATATACAAATAGGAGTTTTTAAGGTGTTATCATCTTTTATAGAAAGGAGAATATTTGTTGTGATTTTTTAGAATGGTCTCCCTTTTTGAAATACCGGGTATCTTTATATATCTAGCTTTTTTTTTTTTTTTTTTTTTGTTTGAGATGGAGTCTCACTCATTCTGTCACCCAGGCTGAAGTACAGTGGCGCGGTCTCAGATCACTGCAGCCTCCGCCTCCCTGGTTCAAGCGATTCTCCTGCCTCAGTCTCCTGAGTAACTGGGATTATAGATGTGAGCCACCGCGCCTGGCTGATTTTTTCTGTTCATTCATATTTACAAGGGAAAGTTTCTGTGTGCTATGTTAAAATTTGAGAAGAGTTCTGCCAGATATTATATAAATGCCTGTTCAGGTCTTGTCAGCATATTTACTAGATAAGTGGTCCATGTGATTCTGAGTAGTAAGGAGAGGTTATTGGTGAGAGAGCTGCATGGCAGAGAAGGGCCTCCTTTGCTGTGTGTGTTTCTGCTCTCACTGTGGGGATGGTGGTGGAACCAGAGCTTCAGATGTCTGTGTCAGGTGAAGAAGGAACTCCTGGAGCAGTGAAGGTTAGTAGGCCAAATAGCTGGTTTTCCCTCTCATATTTGTTATAACAGTCCATGTTAGATGAGTCCCATATTACTTGGAGCAATTTCCCTTGGTAGCATCCTTTTGCCACAATATCTTTGCTTTGAATAACATGTCCTATCACCAGATGAAGGCTGAGAATGGACATAAAATATGGCTGTCTAGTTTGGGGACAGTGGTGGAATTCCATTAATCCTAGAATTTGTCTGCAGTCAACTATCAGATTTTTTTTTTCCCCTGGCCCCTGCTGCTCTGGGTTTGCAGGTTTCAGATTTGCAGGATAATATCACTCATTTACTCCCACAAAGAGTTTCTCCTCTGTTGTGTTCAGTTGCAAACTATAGGATACTTCCCTTGACTTAACCTTGCCCATGCCACTTCTAGCAGAAATTTCCAAAAGTACCTGGATGCTAATGATATCATTCTGCATTTATTAAAAACTGATTTGAAAAATAAACATCCCATAATTGTATATTTCTTAGGTCATGCCAATAGTTTTCAGGGAGGAAATAATTTAAACTCATGGACTCAACCATTTTGAAAAGAAACTCCTAGGCCATCTTCTCTATTGGTCAAAGAGATATATGGATTTACATGTGTGAAATCCTTTCGTGAAGTCTGGGTGTGATGTATCTCCCACCTTTATCTACCAGATGTTTCTGTTTCTGTAATAGATGATTCAACACGCGTTCCTCTTGGAAAAAGCAAGGACTACATCAATGCTAGTTATATTAGAATAGTCAATTGTGGAGAAGAGTATTTTTATATCGCTACTCAAGGACCACTGCTGAGCACCATAGATGACTTTTGGCAAATGGTGTTGGAAAATAATTCAAATGTTATTGCCATGATAACCAGAGAGATAGAAGGTGGAATTATCAAATGCTACCATTACTGGCCCATTTCTCTGAAGAAGCCATTGGAATTGAAACACTTCCGTGTATTCCTGGAGAACTACCAGATACTTCAATATTTCATCATTCGAATGTTTCAAGTTGTGGAGAAGTCCGTAAGTTTTTAAACATCAGTATTAGATATATGTTTCACCACATAAGCAGATGTCTTAGAACTAGAAGTTAGGAGTAGGATGGAAAATCGATCGATGATACTTCTTAAGTAACTTTTTACTTGTCCCTGGTACCAGAAGCCACCACCACTTCTACTTCTCCTCAACCAGATTCTGTGGAGAAGAAAAAATTGGAAAAGAGAGGTGGGGCAGGGAGAGTGACTGTTGAAGTTGTCTGATTCTGGGTTATACCTGCCTCTGCCAAATGTAGCAGATACGTATTGAGTCCTTAAAGTATGCTAATCACTGGGCCAGGCACTATCAGTACTTACCGAATAGTGGAGAGGTTGGTTACACTCACTGATAGATACCTAACTTACCGTGTTCAGTGATAATGTTGAGATATGTCTTGGGCACTTTGGGGCTCAGAAGGTAAACACTTGGCTTTACTTGGGGTTTTGAGACAGGTTTACTGGAGGAGGTGGCATTTGTTTTGAGAATTATGCAAATGAAAAAGATGGAGGGAGAAAGTAGATGATCAAAATATAAAATAGCATAAGGTGTGTGTAGAGACAAATATAAGTAGTTAAGTGTTTCTGAAATGTAAAAGTTCAGTGCCAGGGAGTAATAAAAGATGAGATGAGGTTCTCAAAAGTAAGCAGGGGCCAGCTAGAATGTGAAATGTCTTAAATTTCAGCTAAGTAGCATGAACTTTATTATGAAGATAATTGGGAGACATTGAAGAATTTTAGTAAGTGACATGATCAACTACGGCTGTTGGCATGGGGGTGGAAAGCACAGACGCAAGTGTTTTGCAGATAAAATTGGGAGACATATGTGACTTATGACTTATGATTTATAAGTGACAGAGGAGGGGTTGAAAATATATTCAATACAGTAACCACATGTGGATATTTAAGTTTAAATTTAAGTTATTTAAATTTATGTAAAATAACAAATTGAGTTCCTCACCTGCAAGTAGCCACATTTTAGGGCTTATGAGTGGCATGTTGATAGTGGCTACTATATTGCCACTATTTAAGACATTTGCTTCAGTATAGGAAGTTCTGTTGAGAAGCATTGGTCTAGAATAATTCATGGATTCCTTGGTCTAATAGACTTAGAAAACAGAAAAGGAATGGTTTATAGGAGAAAGCAATGAGTTAGATTGCTCTAGTGGATTCAGTTGGCAGGTAGGTGATACATGTGTTAACACGAGTGAAGGGAATAGGAGTTGAACAGGAAACTTGCAGAGAATGGTGAGTTTTGGAGTCATCACCAAAGAAGTTGATTGGAGCACAATCACCAGGAAAAGGGTTGCTGAGTGATGCTGAGGTTTGACCCATACATTTGTAGTAGCAACAAAATATGTGATTATGTGTATTTTTCTAGCAGTATAACATTGAGATCCCTGAATACAGGTTATGGGACTGATCCAGAGAGAGAGATTAATTTTAAGGAGTTGGTTCAAGTGATTGTGGAGGGTTGGCAAATCTGCAGGGTGGGAAAGTAGGCTGAAGACCCAGGGAAGAATTGGAGTTTGAGTCCAAAAGCAATCTGCTGGTAGAATTCCTTCTTGCTCATGGGAGGTCAGTTTTTGTTCTCTTAAGGCCTTCAGCTGATTAGATGAAGCCAACCCACTTTATGGAGAATAACCTGCTTTACTCAAATTCTACCAATTTAAATGTTAATCTCACCTAAAAAATACCTTCACAGAGGCACAAAATAATATTTGGCCTAGTATCTGGATACCAGGGCTCAGCCAAGTTGACACATAAAATTAACTATCACAAATTTCAGTCGACACTGTGGATTAGAATAGAGCTCTGAGCACTAGCATCTTTATTCAGAAAGCTTAGGAAAAAGAGGTGCATTCGGGAGAAGCATAGGAGAAGTGAGAAACTCATTTTGAGTTCTTCCATTAGGGTCCCATGTGTGATAAAATAAGGGCCCCACACTGAGGAAAGGGTCATGATCCCTTTGGATGAGATATAGGTAAATTCAAAGTGCTTTATCTGACAATGCTGGGAAGAGTTTCATGACTCCACTTCAAGGGGGCTCAGCACAATAGTGGGACCCACAATCTACTCTCATGGTCATTGACTACCCTGTCTTCATCGCTGGAAGAGATCGGTGCCTCTCTTGTCAGACACCTATATGTCTTAATTAAATTTCATATGTCATTTCTAAACTAAGATACTTTGCCTTTTGGTCTTATTCCTAACATGACAGTCCATCTCTCACTCTAAGCATTTTGAAATCTTGGTTTTCCTGTAGCCTCATGGTACAGAAGAATGATGGTAGATTAGAATTCAAGACACCTACATTACAGTTCCAGCTCTAAACGTGTGAACCTTCTGACCTAGCATACATCTCTCGTCCCCCTCATCCTTAAATTTTCATCTGTAAAATGGAGATAAAATGGTGCCTATCTCACATGGTTGATGTGAAGATTAAAGGAGAGAATTCATGTGAAGCCCCTAGCATAGTAACTGCCACATAGCAAGTGCTTAATTTTTGTTACCTGTTAATACTGGTATTTTTATTGTTGTTACTGTGCTCTCCTTTGTAAAATGGAGAAAACCTCTATTCCTAGCAACTTCCAGAATTCTTATAAACATCAAAAAGAGGTTTGAGTACTTTTTGAAAGTTCTATATAATACCAAGGTAATACCATATAGCCATTATTATTATCATTTGAATATTAGAAGTTGGCGTGAGGTCTCTAATATAAGAAATCAATAAATGTCTTTCTCGCTCTGTTTCTTTCTCTAACAGACGGGAACTAGTCACTCTGTAAAACAGTTGCAGTTCACCAAGTGGCCAGACCATGGCACTCCTGCCTCAGCAGATAGCTTCATAAAATATATTCGTTATGCAAGGAAGAGCCACCTTACAGGACCCATGGTTGTTCACTGCAGTGCCGGCATAGGCCGGACAGGGGTGTTCCTATGTGTGGATGTCGTGTTCTGTGCCATCGTAAAGAACTGTTCAGTAAGTGTGTGAATCAAGCAGATACACTGATGCTGTTGGTGTTTACACACTACATTTAATAGCCTGATCATTTGGAAGACTAATATTTGGTCTTCAAAAGCAACTTAGTAAATCAAAAGCACATGAGCTTTGGATACCTGATTCTCACCGAACTTGCTGCAGGTTCCTGGGGGTGTTTGTGAGGATTAAAGTATGTATTGTAAATAATGGCTTAGGACAGTGTCTGGAACATAATAGATACACAGAAAATGTGAGTTCCATTTCCTTTTCCTTCCCTGTATCTTACACGGGGTGTTTAGACTCTTACTAGAGAATGTTGATGGAATGTGCCTGTTTTTAATGAATATAAGTGACAAGCACATAAGAATGTGAGAAAAAATGTAGACTTCTGAGTTAATGAGGGGTCCCTGTTTGACTGCCTGTTTTGCCACATACTTTAGATTTTGGTGACTTTGGGTAAATTGCTCATCCTCTCTCAAATCTAGTTTTCTCATTTGCAAAATAAACATAATAATATAATTGAGTTTGAGTCAATAATTCACAATCCTTTACTTTTGTTTTTAATTTGGAACCAGCTAAGAGATAGACACAGGAATCAGATGTGATGATTACAATATTTCCTTTATGATTATTTTTATTCTCAAGTTTTATCTGTTAAAATGATTCCATCTATGTTGTTTTTCCTTTTATTTTTAGTTGACATGTAATAATTGTACATATTTGTGGGGTACAGAGAGTGGTATTTAGATATATGTATACAATGTGTAGTGATCAGATCAAGGTAGTTAACATATGCATCACCTCAAACATTTGTCATTTCTTTGTGTTGTGAACATCAAAAATCTTCTTTCCTAGCTCTTTAAATATATACAATAAATTATAATTAACCATATTTGCCCTACAGTGATGCAGAACACCAGAGCTCATTCCTCCTATCTAGCTTAATTTTGTATTTGTTAGCCAACCTTTCCTTATCATCTTTAATACCCACAGTTCTACTCTTGACTTCCATGAGTTTGATTTTTTAGCTCTCATATATAAATGAGAACATGCAGTATTTATCTTTCTGTGCCTGCCTTGTTTTGCTTAATGCAATGTTCTCCAGACTTGTCCATATTGCTGTGAATGACAGGATGTCACTCTTTTTTTATGGCTGCATAGTATTCCATTTTCCAATTCATTAGCATAGGATTATTTCCATTTGTTTCTGTCCTCTTCGTTTCTTTCATCAGTGTTTTATAGTTTTCCTCATAGAAGTCTTTTACTTTTTTGGTTAAATTTATCCTAGGTGTTTTTTTTTTTTAATAGCTATTGTAAATAAGATCACCTTCTTTATTTCCTTTCAGCTAGTTTGTTATTGGAGTCTAGAAATATCACTGATTTTTGTATGTCGACTTTGTATCCTGCAACTGTACTGAATTAGTTTATTAGTTCTTAGAGTGTTTTGGTAGAGTCATTAGTTTTGGGGGATATATATATATATACATATATATATGAATATATGAATATATAGTCATGTTACATGCAAAGAAGGACAATTTAATTTCCTTTTTTTCCAATTTGGATGCCCCTTATTTCTTTCTCTTGACTAATTGCAATGGCTAGGACATCCAACATTATACTGAATAAGAGTGGTAAAAGTGGGCATTCTTGACCTGTTTTCCAGTTCTTAGAAGAAAGGCTTTGAGCTTTTCCCCATTCAGTATGATCTTAGCTGTGTGTTTGTCATATATCGTCTTTATTGTGTTTAGATATGTTCCTTCTATGCCTCATTTGTTTAGAGTTTTTTTTTTTTATCATGAAAGCATGTTGAATTTTATCAAATGCTTCTTCCACATCTATTAAGATTCTCATATGGTTTTTGTCATTCATTCTGTTGATATATCACATTTATTGATTTGCATATGTCAAATTATACTTGCATTCTGGGGATAAATCCCACTTGGTCATAGTGCATTATCTTTTTGATGTGTTGTTACATTTGTTTTGCTAGTATTTTGTTGAGGATTTTTTTTTTTTTTTGCCTCTATGTTCATCGGGGATATTGGCTTGAACTTTTTTTTCATTGTGTCTCTGTCAGATTTTGGTATCAAGTTGATAATGGCTTCATAGAATGAGTTAGAGAGGAGTCCCTCCTCCTTGAATTTTTTGGAATGGTTTCAGTAGGATTGGTAGCAGTTCTTCTTTGTACATGTGGTAGACTTTAGCTGTGAATCCGTCTGGTCCAGGGCTTTTTTTGGTTGGTAGGATTTTTATTACTGATTCACTTTTGGAATTCATTATTGGTCTGTTCAGGTTTTCTTGAACAGGAATTTCTTCCTGGTTGAATCTTGGGAGTTTTCAGGAATTTACTCATTTCCTCTAGATTTTCTATTTTTCGTGTGCATAGATATTTATAATAATCTCTGAAGATCTTTTATATTTCTGTGGGATTAGTTGTAATGTCATCTTTGTCATTTCTGATTGGGCTTAGATTTTCCTTTTTTTGTTGTTTAGCTAGCAGTCTATCAATTTTGTTTATTCTTTCAAAAAACAGACCAGGCGCGGTGGCTCATGCCTGTGATCCCAGCACTTTGGGAGGCCGAGGCGGGTGGATCACCTGAGGTCAGGAGTTCGAGACCAGCCTGATCAATATGGCGAAACCCCGTCTCTACTAAAAATACAAAAATTAGCCAGGTGTGATGGCATGCACCTGCAGTCCCAGCTACTTGGGAAGCTGAGACAGGAGAATTGCTTGAACCCAAGAGGCAGAGGTTGCAGTGAGCTGAGATTGTGTCACTGCACTCCAGCCTGGGAGACAGAGCGAGACTCCATCTCAAAAAAAAAAAAATTGTTTGTTGATCTTTCGTATGCATTTTTCCATCTTAATTTCATTCAGTTCTGCTCTGATTTTGGTTATTTGTTTTCTTCTGCTAGTTTGGGATTGATTCGTTCTTTTTTTCTAGTTTCTCTAGGTGAGACATCAGGTTGTTCATTTAAGATCTTCCTAACTTCTTTGATGTAGGCATTTAGCACTATAAACTATACTCTTAGCACTGCTTTAGCTGCATCCCAAAGATTTTGATTTGTTTTGTCTCTGTTTTCATTAATTTCAAAGAATTTTTTTGATTTCTGAATTCATTTGTTTACCCAAAAGTCATTTAGGAGCAAGTTGTTTAATTTCCAAGTAATTGTGTAGTTTTGGGAGATCTTCTTGGTAGTAATTTCTGTTTTTATTGTACTGTGGTCTGAGAGTATGCTTGAGATGATTTCAGTGTTTTTAATCTTTTTCAGATTTGCTTTATGGCTGAGCATATAGTCGATCTTAGAGTATATTCCATGTGCAGATAAGAAGACTGTATATCCTATGGTTTTGGAGTGGACTAGTCTGTAGATATTTATTGAGTCCAATTGGTCAAGTGTTGAATTTAAGACCAGAATTTCTTTATTAATTAATTTTTCGCTTTGATGATCTCTCTAATCCTGCCAGTTGGGTGTTGAAGGCTCCCAATATTATTGTGTGACTAAGTCTTTTCATAGGTCCAGAAGAACTTGTTTTATGAATCCGGGTGCTCCAATGTTAGCTGTGTGTATATTTAAGATAGTTAACTCTTCTTTTTGAATTTTTCCCTTTGTCACTGTGTAATGCCCTACTTTGTCCTTTTAGATCATTGTTGGTTTAAAGTCTGTTTTATCTGATATAAGAATAGTGACCCCTGCTTTCCTTTTGTTTTCCATTTGCATGATAGATCTTTCTCCATCCCTTTACTTTGAGCCTGTGGGTGTTCTTACATGTGAGATGGGTCTCTTGAAGACAGAATATGGTTGGGCCTTATTTTTTTAATCCATTTTGCCATCCTAAGCCTTTTAAGTTGGGTATTTAGACCATTTGCCTTCAAGGTTTATATCAATATGTGAGATTTTGATGCTGTCATCACATTGTTGGCTGGTTGCTTTGTAGATTTGATTGTGTATCTCCTTTATGGTGTCTGTGGGCCATGTACTTGTGTTTTTGTGGTGCCAGGTACTGTTCTTTCATTTCCACATTTAGCACTTCCTTAAGGACTTCTTGTAAGACTGGTCTAGTGCTCATGAATTTCCTTAGCTTTGATTGTCTGAAAAGGATTTTATTTCTCCTTTGCTTATGAAGCTTTCTTTGGAAGAATATCAAATTATTGTTTGGAGTTTATTTTATTTAATAATGCTGAAAATAGGTCCACAGTTTCTTCTCACTTGTAAGTTTCTGCTGAGAGGTCTACTCCTAGCCTGATGGGATTTCCTTTGTAAGTAAGCTGACCTTTCTCTCTAGCTGCCTTTAAGATTTTTTCTTTTGCATTGACCTTGGTGAATCTGTTAACTATATGTCTTGAGGATGGTCATCTTGTATGGTATCTCACAGGACTTTGCTGAATTTCTTAAATTTGCCTATTGACTTCTCTAGTGAGATTGGGAAAAGTTTTGCGCACTATATTTTCAAATATGTTTTCCAAGTTGTTTACTCTTCTTCTCTTTCAGAAATGCCAGTGAGTCATAGGTTTGGTCTCTTTACATAATCTCTTATTTCTTGGAGGTTTTGTTCATTTTCAATTTTTTTTTTTTTTTTTTTGAGACAGAGTCTTGGTCTGTCGCCCAGGCTGGAGTGCAGTGGCGTGATCTCAGCTCACTACATCCTCCACCTCTCAGGTTCAAGCAATTTTCATGCCTCAGCCTCCTGAGTAACTGGGACTACAAGCGCGTGCCACCAAGCCTCACTAGTTTTTGTATTTTTAGTAGAGATGGGGTTTCACCATGTTGGCCAGGCAGGTCTCAAACTCCTGGCCCCAAGAGATCCTCCCACCTCAGCCTCCCAAAGTGCTGGGATCATAGGCATGAGCCACCACCCCTGGCCCGAAATTCTTTTTTCTTTATTTTTGTCTGACTGAATTGATTTGAAGGACCAATCTTTGAGCTCTGAGATTCTTTCCTCATCTTGGTCTATTCCGTTGTTAATGCTTCCAACTGTATTATGAAATTTCTGTAGTGAATTTTTCAATTCCAGAAGGTCAGTTTGTTTGTTTCTTAAAATGGCTTTGTCAACTTTTTAACTCTTGGATCATTTTACCAAATTCCTTGGATTAGGTTTCAGCTGTCTCCTGAATCTCATTAAGCTTCCTTACCACCCAGATTCTGAGTTCTATGTTTGTCATTTCAGCCATCTCAATTTAGTTAAGAACAATTTCTGGCGAGCTAGTACAATTGTTTGGAGATAAGGAGGCACTGACTTTTTGAATTGCCAAAGTTCTTGCATTAAATCTTTCTCTTCTGAGAGGGCACGTGTTCTTTTATCTTGTTGAATTTGCTATCATTTCGATGAGGCTTTTTGTTTTTATATTCTTTGTATCCCTTGTGGGTTTGACTGTAGCATAAGCTGAGTATAGTCAGTTGGCTTTATTTCTGGGTGCTTTCAGAGGGCCAACACTCTGTATGGGATATTTATTAATACTTGTGGCTAGATTCTGGCACTGGATTTCACAGGCAGTGTATACTGGAAGAGTTTGGGGTGTTGTAATTTAGGCTTCAATCCAGTAGATGGTGCTTGAGAATAATGGCCGGCAAATAGACTCTCAGTCACATGGCTCTTTTGTATTCCAGCACATTTGCAGCAGTGGGGGTGGTGGGAAGGGGTAGCGATGATCCCCTGCCAGGTCCATTTCCAGGCCTTAGGGGAGCCCCCTCCAGTCACTGGCACCATGCCCACATCTCTTTAACCCCAAGGGGAACCCTGGCAGCCTGTGCTCTCTCCTCCCTTGGGGCAGCTCGAGCCAAAGATTAGGTCACCAGGAGATCCACAGCACACTGGAGGCCTGCTGATCCTCTGTGCTTGGGAGTCAGAGCTAATTGTGCAGTAGACCTACAGATGGTTTGTTGATGCAGTAGGTCAGGGGTGTGAGATCTCCAGGCAGGGCGGTGTTGCCGTGGGTGTATAGCTGATGTGGCACCCATAGCCTAGGGTTTTCTGCCCAGCAGACAGCTGTGGGGACTTCCCAGTTCTTTTTGCCTTGAGTGGATCTCAATAAGCTATTTTAAAGAAGTGACAACTTATCTTAGATCACAAAGTAAAGAATAGAAACAAAGAAAAAATTTTAAAAAAATTCTCTATGCTTTAACTCCATCCCCACCACATTTCAACTGCTTATTATCTAAATTTGTGTATTTTTATATTACCTTTCTCTTAATAGGTTGCTGTAGCTATTACGGCTTTTTATGAGTTTATCTTTCAGCTTCATACCAGAGTTAGGCATGGATTGCACACCATCATTACAATAATAGAGTATTCTGGTTTTGTCCATGTTGTTAATGTTACCAGTGGATTTTATGCCTTGAAAAGTTTTCTTTTTGAATGTGTATGTGGTTTTTTGTATTTTTTTATTTTCCTTCTGAAGAACTCGCTTTAGCATTTCTTGTAAGTCAGGTCTGCTGCTGTTGAATCCTCAGATTTTGTTTATCTGAAAAATACTTTATCACTCCTTCATATTTAAAAGTACCTTTGCTGAATATAGTGTTCTTGGATAACAGGTTTTTTTTTTCTTTCAACACTTTGAAAATTTATCCCACTTCCTCCTGGCCTATATGATTTCTGTTGAGAGTCAATTGTCAGATGAATTGGAGCTCTTTTATATGTTAATTACTTCTTTTCTCCTGCTACTTTTTAGGATCCTCTCTTTATCCTTGAGCTTTGAGAGTTTTATTATTTTATGCTTTGGTGTAGCCTTATTTGGGTTGAATATGTTTGGTGTTCTCTGATGCTCTTTTTTTTTTTTTTTTTTTTTTTTGAGACGGAGTCTCGCTCTGTGGCCCAGGCGGGAGTGCAGTGGCGCAATCTCGGCTCACTGCAAGCTCCGCCGCCTCCCAGGTTCACGCCATTCTCCTGCCTCAGCCTCCCAAGTAGCTGGGACTACAGGCGCCCGCCATCACGCCCGGCTAATTTTTTTGTATTTTTTTAGTAGAGACGGGGTTTCACCGTGTTAGCCAGGATGGTCTCGATCTCCTGACCTCGTGATCCGCCCGCCTCGGCCTCCCAAAGTGCTGGGATTACAAGCGTGAGCCACCGCGCCCGGCCCTGATGCTCTTATACCTGAATATTTATATCTGTTGCATTTTGGAAAGTTTTGTTATTATTTCTTTGAATAAGCTTCCTACCCCTTGCTCTTGTTCAACTCCCTCTTGAACACCAGTAATTTTTGGATTTGGTCTTTTGAGGTAATTGTCTATATTTGGTGATGATCTTCATTCTTTTTTATTCTTTTTCCACCTATGACTGCATTTTCAAGTAGCCGGTTTTCAAGCTCCCTGATTCTTTCCTCTGCTTGATTCATTCTGCTATTGTGAGGCTGTAATGAATTTTTCAGTTCAGCTAATATATTTCTCAGCTCCAAGATTTCTATTTGATTTTTAAATTATTTCAATCTCTTTGTTAAGTTTGTCTAATAAATTTTTGAATTGGTGTTCTGTTACCTTGGAGATCTCTGAGTTTCCTCAAAGCTATTAATACTAGTTTGAATTTTTGATCAGGGAGCTCTTATATGGCTATCTCATGAGGGTCAGTCACTGGTTCCTTGCTTTATCCATTTGGGGAGGTCATGGTTTTGTGTTGACTGCAGTTTCTTCTGGATGTGCAAGAAATATATATCTTGTATTGATGTCTTTGAATGAAGGATTAGTTATTTATTCCAGTGTTCTCTGTCTGGCTTATTTTTGTTTTTTATTGAATGTATTTGGTTATAGATTCTATGTAATTTACCTGTCGAATTTTTTTTTTCTTTTTTTTTTTTTTTTTTTTGGTGAGGGGCTAAGTTGCTGCCTTCTTTTTGGCACTAGATGTCACCTTACGACCAAGTTTGCCTTGGCTCCAGTAAACAATAAGAGAGCTGCTCATTCCAATTAGGGAAAGTCTCAAAGGAGATATCATGGCAGTGTGGGAAAGGTGGCTAGAGATTCATGCCCAGGGGTCCTGTGCAATGTATCTTCTGCAATGTGGTGCTACTAAACAACCACTCTGGTTTGGCATCTCCTTTAGCTGAGTTACAGACCAGAGTTTCCAGGGCTGGGGATGGTAGTCCCACCTCACCTGTTTGTTTCTGACTCTTCTCAGGGTATTTCTTTCTTCAGGCACATGTAGTGCTTCCTGTGGGTTGAGGTAGGGACAGGTTTCCTGCCAGGTAACCCAGATGGTGGGAAACCTGGATGTCACCTTTTCTGGTATAGAAATCATGAATCAGGTGGAGATTTTTTGCACTCTTGGTGCTGGGCAAATTGGAGAAATGGGCATTGCAGATGTGGAAACCCAATTCTCTTACTGCCTACTTAGAGTTTTTTTCCCATCTCTGTGGATCCAGGAACTGTCTTCTCCTCGTATTTGATTTCTGGGATATTGTTGGTGATAATTTCAGTGCTGTATATTTGGTTTTGGTTTTCTTTGTAAAGAAGTGAAGCCAGCTTGCTTCTACACTGTTATTTTGGAACCAGAAGTCCTCTCTTGTCTTTTTAATCTAATTCTCTTTAAGATAATTATTTTATCTTTGAATTAATTATTTTTTATGTAAATTACAAATAAGTCTTAATGGTTCCTTTGCTTTGTTAACCAGTACATCTTTGGAAATAACACAAGTGTAGTTTTAGAGCTTCACAATCAATAATG
Source organism: Homo sapiens (assembly GCF_000001405.40). NCBI lineage: Eukaryota > Metazoa > Chordata > Mammalia > Primates > Hominidae > Homo > Homo sapiens. The sequence continues at coordinate 46,996,212 of NC_000010.11, forward strand.
ACTATAAAACTCAATATATGAGGAATCATAACTCCAAGTGAAAATTATATAACTCTTTGTCTTCATTTCATTGCAGTCACTTCCATCTTCATTATTTGGTTAACCACTACAGCCACATTTGGAAAGCTGTGTCTTTTCTTAACTGAACAGTCCAGTCATGCTTGTTTTATAGTCAGTAAACTGATTAAAAATTAGTAATTCAAATGTATTTCCATAATTTGCCTAATCTTAAATTATAATTAAAAAAATGCTTTTAAAGAAGTTACAGTTTTTAATTCTGATGAGATTGTATTTTATTAGTTTTTCCTTTTATGGATCATGTTTTGATATCAAGTCTAACAGCTCATCACTTAGCTGAGGGCCTGAATAATTTTTTTGTGTTCTTTTATGAAAATTCTGTAAGTTCATATTTGACATTTAAGTCCATAGTCCATTTTGAGTTAATAAATTATTAAATTTAGGTGAAGATTCATTTTTTGGCCTATTGATGGCTAGTTGTTTCAATATCATTTATTGAAAATTCTGTTATTCCTCTATTGAATTATTGTTGTACCTTTGTCAAAAATTATTGGGCATATTTGTATGGGCCTATTTCTGGTTCCGTATTCTGTTCTATTGATTAGTGTGTCTATCCTTCTGCCGGTACCACCCTTTGGATTATTGTAGTGATATAGTAAGCTTTAACATCAGATAGAATGATTCCTCCCACGTTATTCTCCTTTTTCAAAATTGTTTGAGCTATCCTAGGGTCTGTGCTTTCTCTAATAAATTTTAGAATTAGTTTGGCTACATCTACACAAAACTTGCTGGGATTTGGATGGAAATTACTTTAAATCTGTAGTTTAATTGGAGAGAGCTGATATCTTTACTGTATTGAATCTTCCAATCCATGAACATGGTAAGTGTATTTATTTAGGTCTTTTTTGAATTCTTGCATCAGCATTTTGTCATTTTCAGTGTATAGATCTTGTATATGTTTTGTTAAATTTACCCTATTCATTTTCTTTGGAGCAATTGTAAATGGTATTGTGTTTGTACTTTCAGTTTCCACATATTCATTGCTAGTACGTAGAAATTTAATTGATTTTCATTTGTTGATCTTGTACCCTGTGATCTTGTTGAAATTACTTATTAGCTCTTAGAGGTTTTGTAGGTTTTTTTTTTTTTAGATTCTTTAGTGTGTTCTACATAGACAGTCATGCCATGTGCATATAGATTTGTCTCTTCCTTTTTGATCTGTATACAATCTGTATACATCCTACTTATTTTCTGGTCTTATTGCTGTACTAAAATGTCAAGTGCTATATTGAATAAGAGTGGTGAGAGCAGGCGTTGTTGCCATCACTGATCTCAGAGGGAAAGCAAACTAAAATTTTATGTTTTGTGAAAGACCCAATGAAGAGGATAAAAAAAAAAAAACAAGCTAGAGAGTAACTATATGCAGGGCACATATCCAACAAAGGCCTTGGATCTAGAATTTATAAGGAACCCTCAAAAATCAATAGTTAAAAAAAAAAGAAAAACAGAAATGGGTAAAAGACATGAACAGACAGTTCACCAAAGAGAACATACAGATGACAAGCACGTGAAAAGATGCTCAGCTTCATTAGCCCTTGGGGAAATGCTAATTAAAACCAGGATGGAGTAGCATTACACACCTATCAGAAAGGCTTATGTAAAAATAGTGACAGCACCCCATGCTGATGAAGATTTGGAAATGCTGGTGAGGATTTGGAGAATTATGTGAAGATTTGGAGAAACTGTATTGCTCATACATTACCCATATGTATGAGACATTGGGAATGTAGACTGGTACCAGCCACTACGGAAAACAATTGAGCAGTTTCTTGGAAAGAAAACAAAAACAAAACTAACTAAAGTTGACATATAACCCAGCAATAGCACTCTTGGGGCATTTATCCCAGATTAATCAAAATTTATGTTCATACAGAAACCTGTATGTAAATGTTCATAGCAGATTATATTCACAGTAGCCAAAAACCAGAACAACCCAGATGTCCTTCAACAAATTGATGGTTAAATAAAGTGGCACATATCCACATCATGGAATATTATTTAGCAATAAAAGGAAGCAAACTATTGTTACACCAACAACTTGGATGGATCTCCAAGTTATTCTGGGTGGGAAAAAAGTCAATCACAAAAGGTTAGCTATTGTGCAATTTTATTCATATAGTGAATTTTGCTATTTCTTCTTGAAATAGCAAAAGCATAGAGAAGGAGAACAGATTACTATTTTCCAAGGGTTAGAGATTGGGGTGGATGAGTGTGACTCTATAGGGATAGCAGGAGGAAGTCTTGTGGTGGAACAGCTCTGTATCTGGACTGTGGTTATAGTTACATGAATCTTCACATATGATATAATTGCATGGAGCTCTGTGCATGCACACATGCACACATACACACTCTCACACACTCACTAACAGTTGCATGTAAAACTGGTGAAATCTGAATTAAGCTTTGTGGATTGTCCCAATGTCAGTTTCCTGGTTTTGATATTATATCTTGTTAAACAAGATGACACCATCTGGGAAACTGGGTGAAAGATACACAGGGCCACCCTGTACAACTTCCTGTATATCTGTATTATAAAATAAAATTTTTTTATGGCAGATATGGTGGCTGACGCCTATAATCCCAGACCTTAGGAGGCCAAGGCTGAGGATCACTTTAGGCCAGGAGTTTGAAACCAGCCTGGGTAACAAAAATAAAAATAAAAAAGTTAGCTGGGCATGGTGGAACGCACCTATAGTTCTTGCTACTCAGGAGGTTGAGGAGGGAGGATTGTAGTTTGAGATTGCAGTGAAATATGATGACACCGCTGTACTCCAGCAGCTGAGACAACAGAGCAAGACCCTGTCTCTAAAAAACTAAAAGTTTTTTCAAAGGGTTAATTAAAAATTTTAATTATAAAAATGATAAGCTATGAAAATAAAGGAATGCTTATTGTTTTCTATTTTTATATGCTTTGGGGTTACAGTTGACAACATTTACATGTGTCCACAATGTCTTGCTGAAACGACTCATTCTCAGCTTGTCCCACATGTGACTCTCCAGGCAAGTTCAGCAACACCTGAGCTGGTCTATATCCTGTTCAGTTGAGCACACTTCTCAGTGCTGTGCCAGTGTCAAATTGCCATAAGAGTTTCTGAGCACTTACTCCCAGTTTCTTGACTCATTGTGGACCAGCAACAGACCTTTGTAGGCCTGCACCAACTCAATGACCACACCCAGCTGTACTGGTGTCCACACACAGTCTGGAATCTAGTGTTGGGTCGACTGTTGCTCCCAGTTTCCGTGTGAGTTGACAGGGATCTTCATATAAGAAACAGATATGCTATTGTTGGGGCCAGAGAAAGTCTTCTGTGCCTTTCCAGAATTACAGTGCTGCTTTAAGTTCTGCCTTTGGATAACAAACAGGGACACACAAGGGCAAATTTATTACTTATTTTGGAGAGCATTTCTTATTATGAATGATTGCTTCCTGCTTTCTCCTGAAAACCTATTAAAATAGTCTTCCTTATCCATTGGGCTAAGTTAAAAATAGCACATTTTCTTGTGAGTGAAAATGAGATCTTTCTGATTAAATCTTGACATCTCTTTCACCCTTTTTGGCAATCTGTGAATTTGTGTTTTTCCCCCATGTGGATCATACAAAATTACTGTCATCTTATTACAGTTCAACATCATGGATATAGTGGCCCAAATGAGAGAACAACGTTCTGGCATGGTTCAAACGAAGGTAAGCTTTCACCACATACATAATAATAAGAATAATGAATATAAAGATTAACATTGCATAACACTTTACCACTTAAAAGCTCTTTTATTGACATAATCTCATTGAATTCCTACTGTTTGAGGTAGACATTAGTTTTGCTCTGATTCTCTGGTATTCCTGACCAAGTACTTCAAATTCAGAGCAATAAAGCCTGCTCCATGGGGTCACTCAGATAGAAGGGGAGGAGCCAAGCCTGAAGTTGAGGTCTCCTCGTGTCCAAACACATGCCTTGTCCATAATGCCGTGCTATTTAAGTAACATCTAAAGTTATTTTTAAAACATTTCTGGATAGCAGTTTGAGATATTTACTTGCCACTAAACTGTCAAGGTTATCAGGACGTCATAAAAAGACATCATTTATGTCACAGATTTGTTAGTAGTCATTGGGAGGGTAGATTAATAGAATATGGATAATGATAAAAAAAACAGTTATGTTAAGCCTTAAGGTAACTAGTTCTAGGCCAAGAGCTATATTTTGATCATTTATCTTCCTCATAGTTTTAAAAATGTATTCACGTAAAGTTCTTAAGTGTTTATAGTTAAATGTTTGCTCTTTTTAGGAACTTTCCAGTGTGGCTGAAAATTACAAATGTGTTTTCTGAAAGTGGATTCTGTTATTCAATTACTTAACATTCTGTTGTTTTTTATATATATGTATATAGGAGCAGTATCACTTTTGTTACGATATTGTGCTTGAAGTTCTTCGGAAACTTCTGACTTTGGATTAAGAAAGACTTCTGTTGCCTCTCACTTGAAATTACCAAGTGGGTTTGCACCTCCTCATAAAGAACATGTTTGCACTGTGCTGAAGGGCTTTGCTATGCATACAATCTGCTTTCTTGGTTTATCAGTTTATTTTCTTTCTAAAAGCTCCCTGAAGGGCAATATCATTTGGCTTGGGGTGATCAGTGTTTACTTATTGATCTTGCTAGACAATATCAAAATAACTTCCCACATTTTCCAGTGAAACAGATGTTACATAAAACGATTGCAGCTTGGCTATTTGGTTGAAGGGATTACAGAGCCCAATAAAGGATTTAAAATATATTCATTAAGATTTTATTTGGAAAGGTGGCTGGAGAGAGCTGAGGATTTCCAGGACTTTGTAAGTTCTTATTCTGGGAGAACATAAGGCCAATAATCATGACCTCTTCCAGGCATTTTTAAGACAGATGTCTATTCATGTTCTTTAGCTAGAGCCTGTACTTTTTGCTGGCATTTGAATAACCCAGTTTAAAAAGAGTCCAGTTAGGGTGGACTAACTTTGGACACAAATTGGCTTCCATTTCCTACATTTTCATACTGCTGCCTTCCTACAGCTGCTAGACCAAGACCTGTTGGTCTGGGAAGCATTTCATGGATAGGGAGAGCTCCTCTCGGTGAACAGTCCAAAACTAAAATAGATGTTTATATAGAAAGCCCAAGAGGAGACTTTTGCCATGCCTGAGTTCTTTCCTATCCCACCCTAACACTTAACATATTACTTAGTCTGCTTTGTTAAAAGCAAGTATTACCTTTAACTTGCCTCTTACTCTTTGCCCTTTAGCTAACTAATAAAGTTTGATATAGGCATTATTATATAATTCTGAGTCATTCATGGTATCTCTCATGTTTGATGTATTTTTCAAACTAAGATCTATGATAGTTTTTTTTCCAGAGTTCCATTAAATCATTTATTTCCTTTACTTTCTCACCTCTGTTGAAACATTTAGAAACTGGATTTGGGAACCCAATTTTGGAAAACCAGATTCATAGTCATGAAAATGGAAACTTCCATATTCTGTTTTTGAAAAGATGTGGCCATTATTACAGTAATTTTATTATAGGACTTTGCCTCGTACAATTAATAGTGATATTTTGGACAAGGAGTTCTGGTGACAAGCTATACCTAATTATAAGCTATAAAACAATAGATATGAGTGTTTGTACAGTTTAACTCAATGGAGATCAGAATATTCTATGTATTGAGAAAATGTTTAATATCAATCTATAAATCTTGAATTTCTAAGAGGCTTATTTTGTTCTTTTGGCTGAATGAGTATATTTGAATTGGTTGAATAATTAATAATTCTCATTGTAAAAATAATTATATGCCAAAAATATATTTGATGTTAAATCAAATAGATGATTCTGTTTACATTGTTCATATGAATAATAATCTGTGTTAATTTCATTTTGATAATTGGCCTTTAATATTTGTATCTCTAATTTTATTTTCTCTCTGTTACTGTAAAATAATAGCTATAATGTATAACAATTTTCTTCAGAAGAATTCTATGCTATTATTAAAATAAAATATTTACTGTGTATTGCCTGAAGTATTTTTATTTATCTGGGCCTTGAAATCGTCTTGTAAAGAAAAATTCCACAATGCTTGATGTTAAACATGTCTCTTCTTTAATGTGTGCCTCATATTTTTACAGCTGGACTAATTTTTAGTTTTCCAGGGAAATTAAAGGAGTGAATATGGAAATACTAATTGCATTTGTTTTCACTTCATTCTTGGAAGGTGAATGCCAAAGTGAAAACTTTTGACTGATTGAAATAATTTTATATCAATAATGAATCAATTTCTGCCTGCAATGTGAACATGAAATTTTCATTGACACCTTTGTGAGTATATGAATGCTAATTTAAAGGAAGTTTTAAAATATTTAAATATAAGCATATATATATTTATTAACTTTCAATTTTAAATACATATTTTTAAAGTTGTATGTTCTTGAGGCTTACATGTTAGACCAAAGCTTTTCAGAAATAAACATCTTAGATTTTTTTCTTCCATATTAGAGTTAGTAATTTATCTTCCTTTGGACCTTTTACCCCCAATCTCCTTAGAACATTATTGAATTTTCAGCTAAATTTACCTTTAGCACTCAAAAGTTATTTTAGTGATTTATTTTTATTGAAAAACCTCAAAGGAAAACACCTTTAAAAAGTCTAAAGCAAAATACTTTTATTTCCTACTTAATTTTTTTCTAATTCCTCGGAAGAATTCGTTTTCTTCTATGTTGTCTTGAGGTTCATGTAATTGAACAAGAAGATTCAGAAGGTCTCTATTAAGTAAAAAGAAGTCATTGGTATTCAATGGGGGTGATGGATTGCTCACTGGAACACTCATTTGTCTATAGCCTCAATCAAAAACTGGTAATTACTTCATAATTAAACAATTTGAATTAGAAGGGATCTTAAAAGATTGAATACAAGCATTGTATCTGAAACTTGAACGTGATAACATTTTTTAGAAACCAACAGCAACATCAAATTTGTAGGTGAAAAACAGAGCCCCCCCTATTAACAAAACAATACCTCCTGTTAGCACAGTAGCTGAGTATTGCTCCAGAGTTATCTAGCCAATGCAGTAAGATTACAAAAGTGGAATAATTGCTGTAAATATTGGAAAGCTAGAAGAAAATGATCTTTTGTTCATACGTTGTTCACATAGAAATAATAGACTCAACTCAAAAATAGTATTAGCAAACTTATTATGAAGTTAAGATACAAGATAACTATGTAAAAATTAATCTTTCTCTATATCTATTAGTCTGTCTCTTTATCTACAACCAGCAAACTATGGCCCACAGGCCATATCTGACTTCTTGCCTTTTTTTGTAAATAAAGTTTTATGCCCATTTGTTTACATATTGTCTGTGGCTGCTTTTGTATTATGGCGATGACTGAGTGAATAGTATCAGCAGAGATCATATGTCTTATAAAGCCTACAATTTTTACCACCTGGCCCTTTAAAGAAAATTTTTGCCAACCCCTGTTCTGTATCTTCAACAGGAAAAATATCTTTGAGCAACAGGCATATATAAAATGTATATTTTATAAAATATGTGAAATACTTAAGATTAAACTTAACAAGAACGTGCCCAGATGATGCTTACATTCTAAATGAACAGTAAATGTATGAAAAGAGCTAAGATATTTTTGAGAAAGAAAAATTAACTGGAGGAAAGGGAAAAGGTTTGCCTTAACGATAGTCAAAGTATTATCTAAAGTCACAGTAATTAAAACAATCTGATTCTGGCACATGGATATATAGATAGATAAATGGAACAAAATAGAGTTGAGCATTACAGACTCATTTATATTTGTGAATTTGCTGTATGCTAAGGATAGCATTTCAAATACAGAGCTTCAAATACATGAAACAAAAATGGATATATAAGATCAAACTGGAAAAATATGCAAATCCATAATTAGAGTTTGAGGTTTCAGCATTTGTCTCTAAGTAATTGATAGAACAAGTAAACAGAAACTAAGACGTAAAAGATTTGAATAACCCTACCAACCTGCTTGACCTAACTGATACTTACAGAACACTAAACTACAGCAGAATACACATTCTTTTCAAGCGGACATAGAACATTCACCAAAAGAGACTGTATTTTGGGTCATTAGTCTCACTATATTTCAGAAGAATGTAACTATATAAAGTATGATTATGGAATTAACTAGAAATCAATAATGTGAAGATATTTTTAAAATTCCAAAATATTTGGAAATTAAACAGCATACTTCTAAATAACTTATGAGTCAGAGAAAAAATTAGAAGTTACAAAATATTTGGAACTGAACGAAAATAAAAACGCAACAAAACTTTTGAGATTCATTGACAAAACTTGGGGAGAAAGTCATGCACTTGTTTGGTTCATGCTGAATTCATTATACCTATGCAAGTGTCTCTACAAGTTTCATGTTAAAAAAGATTCCTGAGCTGAAAACTCAGGTCTGGAGGAATGCTTGCCTTGAAAGTGATGTTTGAGGGCATGGGAATGGATAAGCTCCACAAACAAAGTGAGATGGAGGCCAAGGGCAGAGCACTGAGGAACTTCAACATTCACTTCAACCCTGATTGCCCTCCAGGGCCTGGCCTAAGAACTATCTCTTCTATGAAGCCTTCTAACACTCATCTCTCCCTCTGCTGATTCCTTCAGCAATGCTTCTCAAACTCTGGTGAAGGACCCGTTTTATTTACCAACTGATAGACCTGAACACAGCCTAAAGATCCAACAGATATTTACTAGGAGGTGTGGTGGGGCTAAGCTGAGGATGGCGTCTGAAACTGGATGGGCATTGCTCACTTTCTTTTTTTTTTTTTTAATTTCATTATTATTATACTTTATGTTTTAGGGTACATGTGCACAATGTGCAGGTTAGTTACATATGTATACATGTGCCATGCTGGTGTGCTGCACCCATTAACTCGTCATTTAGCATTAGGTATATCTCCTAATGCTATCCCTCCCCCCTCCCCCCACCCCACAACAGTCCCCAGAGTGTGATGTTCCCCTTCCTGTGTCCATGTGTTCTCATTGTTCAATTCCCACCTATGAGTGAGAACATGCGGTGTTTGGTTTTTTGTCCTTGCGATAGTTTACTGAGAATGATGATTTCCAATTTCATCCATGTCCCTACAAAGGACATGAACTCATCATTTTTTATGGCCGCATACTATCCCATGGTGTATATGTGCCACATTTTCTTAATCCAGTCTATCATTGTTGGACATTTGGGTTGGTTCCAAGTCTTTGCTATTGTGAATAGTGCTGCAATAAACATACATGTGCATGTGTCTTTATAGCAGCATGATTTATAGTCCTTTGGGTATATACCCAGTAATGGGATGGCTGAGTCAAATGGTATTTCTAGTTCTAGATCCCTGAGGAATCGCCACACTGACTTCCACAATGGTTGAACTAGTTTACAGTCCCACCAACAGTGTAAAAGTGTTCCTATTTCTCCACATCCTCTCCAGCACCTGTTGTTTCCTGACTTTTTAATGATTGCCATTCTAACTGGTGTGAGATGGTATCTCATTGTGGTTTTGATTTGCATTTCTCTGATGGCCAGTGATGGTGAGCATTTTTTCGTATGTTTTTTGGCTGCATAAATGTCTTCTTTTGAGAAGTGTCTGTTCATGTCCTTTGCCCACTTTTTGATGGGGTTGTTTGTTTTTTTCTTGTAAATTTGTTTGAGTTCATTGTAGATTCTGGATATTAGCCCTTTGTCAGATGAGTAGGTTGCAAAAATTTTCTCCCATTTTGTAGGTTGCCTGTTCACTCTGATGGTAGTTTCTTTTGCTCTGCAGAAGCTCTTTAGTTTAATTAGATCCTATTTGTCAATTTTGGCTTTTGTTGCCATTGCTTTTGGTGTTTTAGACATGAAGTCCTTGCCCATGCCTATGTCCTGAATGGTAATGCCTAGGTTTTCTTCTAGGGTTTTTATGGTTTTAGGTCTAATGTTTAAGTCTTTAATCCATCTTGAATTAATTTTTGTATAAGGTGTAAGGAAGGGATCCAGTTTCAGCTTTCCACATATGGCTAGCCAGTTTTCCCAACACCATTTATTAAATAGGGAATCCTTTCCCCATTGCTTGTTTTTCTCAGGTTTGTCAAAGATCAGATAGTTGTAGATATGTGGCGTTATTTCTGAGGGCTCTGTTCTGTTCCATTGATCTATATCTCTGTTTTGGTACCAGTACCATGCTGTTTTGGTTACTGTAGCCTTGTAGCATAGTTTGAAGTCAGGTAGCGTGATGCCTCCAGCTTTGTTCTTTTGGCTTAGGATTGACTTGGCGATGCGGGCTCTTTTTTGGTTCCATATGAACTTTAAAGTAGTTTTTTCCAATTCTGTGAAGAAAGTCATTGGTAGCTTGATGGGGATGGCATTGAATCTATAAATTACCTTGGGCAGTATGGCCATTTTCACGATATTGATTCTTCCTACCCATGAGCATGGAATGTTCTTCCATTTCTTTGTATCCCTTTAATTTCACCTTCAAAGTGGAAAAGTGCGAGGAGTACATGGTAGGGCCTGAAGGGGTTAGAGCAGTGTAGCTCTTATCTGCTCTAAAAGGTGACCAGCCAGGGCTCCTTTCCAGAACAGAGTCACACTGAGGAGAAACCTTAGAATCAAAGTTGAGGAGAGAATGGAGAGAATGGGATAAAGAAAAGAGAAGATCCTATAAAAGTGATTGAGGAGAATAGAGCCAGAAAACCTCAGAAAGCAAGCTCAGTGAACTTATAAGAGCTGTCTGTCCAAGTCAAGTTTAGTTCAGGAAATCCAAATTCACATGGAAACAAGCACTAGAAAATATTATGATCAAATCCCGTACAAGTTACCATAAGAAAAAAAAAAGACTGAGGAGCTGAATAGCATCCCTTACAAACAATGAAGGTACACCAGAAAGATACACTCAAAACACAGTTCTCAATGGCAAGCAGCTCGGGAAGTCACAGAAAACGATATCCTACTATTTCAAAATGAGCTTAAAGACAATAGGAGAATTGCATAAAACAGGATGGAATAACAAAAATCAGAACTAGAAAAATTTAAAGCAGTATGAAAATCAAGAAAGAGTTAGAAACAAAAATTAGAAATAAAATCTATAAACTAGAAGGAACACAAAAAAATTGATAACTGATGCTTTACAATAAATAGAAAGCTTAAGAGGAATAATTTCAAAACAAAATGGAGAAAGAAAACAGGATTTAAGAGCATAAGAAGGATCAATGATAGGTAAAGAAGACTAGTAGATAGATAACAGAAAGTTTAAAGAAGAAAAACCAAAGCAAGGGTTCAGAACAAATTCACTAATTCAAGAAATATTTAGAGTAATAATTAAAGAAAATTTTCCTGAAATAATTGTTTTTAAAATTATATGTTGAAGTATCATAGTACATACCTGAAACCATCAAATGAGTATGACCAATACCAAGGTTTAATAAATTTTAAGTAAAATTGCTGCAGTTTGAAGAAAGAAAATGGGGAGGGGGGAGGATTTACGCAAAAGAATATGAGGAAAAGAAAATTAGATGATTATCAGATTTTTAAGAGTAATGCTTTAATACAAAAGAAGATGGAATAATAAGATGTCCAAGGAAAGATTTTTATGAGCCAATATGTTATGTCTAGAAAAACTGACCTTGATGCACAGGGTGAAAATTGAAATCAACATGCAAGAGCTCAGAAAATATTGTTCCCAAGAGCCATTCCTCAATAGATGCAGAAAAAAAATTCGAATCAAATTTGATATCCATTCTATATTTTAAAAATAAAAAATTTTAGTAAACTTGGAATAGAAGGGAATTACCTTAATCTGCTAGGGCATAGCTACAGCAAACTTACAACAGAAGCACATTTTATGGTAAAACACTGTTTCTCTCCTATAAGTTAAGTACTGTTTTGGACTGGTCTGAAGAATGGATTGGAATGCAACTGGGGAAACTGAGTCCATCACACAGCCAGGCTTGGAAATAATAACCCCAGGGAAACAACTAAACGTCCCTTTATGCAAAAGAACCTATCTTCCTCACTGGTAACACTGCCAGAATTCTTTTTCAGATACGGAGGGGGGGTGGATTTGGTTAATTATACTCCATAGAGCACCTTTAAAATTCTGTCAAGCCTTTCTCCTCAGGATCACCACTGAGATGTTAGCGATCAGAACCATCTCTCTTACAAATCAGATGTATAGAAGGCATTTCACAGTCCAAACTGAAATATGTATGTTCACAGTATTTCATTCTCCAAGCATATACATCTCCAGCAGAGCACAAGACTCTACGGTTGCTGAAGGGCTTATTTACCAGTAATTCTGGCTGCATGAAGCAGAAAATGAGGTAAACATTAAAGCGAGTAGCAACAAAGGACTGAATCAAAGAGGCTGGCTTTCCAAGAGCCTGAGCTTTACTGAATGGCCTTACAAAACTAAATGGTGCCTGGGTCCTTTCGGTACTTCCCGAGCTGCTTGCCGTTGAGAACTGGGGCATGCTGGGGCCTCACCAGGATGTCTGGGCTGGCATACCTGTGGGGTCAACTTATTTCCATGAGAGTTCTTATGGCCTCTAGGGAAGACAATGACAGGGCCTCTGGCACCGACTGCCACCCCCAGAGCTAGGTGGCATGCCACTTGCTATGACATTAGAGCACAATGATCATTCCTGACTTCTCAGGTCACATACTGTGTGGGAGAATCATCCAGGCATGAAGAGACTGCCTAAGCTCTGGACAGAGCCAAAGACTATGAATAAGGGGTTTGTAATTATGTTAGGGAGGCCAAGTGTTGAGAAGGGTTGCTCATATTTTTGTCTGGATTTAGACCTTCAGGGAAAGTGTGTTAAGTTGAGGCTGGGTGAATGGCATGACAAAGCCAAACATTATGAGTATGATAAGAACAGATAGCCTGGGGATATCCTGTTGTTGGGGGGCGTTCCTCAGGGGATTCAATTAAAAGAAAAGAGCCCTCAGCTCTTCGCTGTAATGATGGGAGCACAGGAACCTGTTGCTTTGAGGCTGGGACAGGAGCCACACCTGCAGCCAGGAGGGTGTTCTGCCAGGGGAATCAGAGTTTGAGGAGTCCAGAGACCCACGGAGCAGCTGCCTCAAGGGGGTGAGGAGGAACTTCAGAGTGCCGCACAACACTTGGAGATGGGCTGGGGGCTCCTAAATCAGTGCTGGGGGAGGCACCTCTGGGTTTGGAGGCTGTGGTTTTGCTCTAGCCTGGCTCTATTGGGACTATTGGTTCAGGAAAGTCACAGAAGTAGCCCTTCTCATTCTCATGTGCACTCTGGTTGCCCACACCCAGATACATGGACATTCGTGCAGGTGTGTATCTCCTGGTGCTATGCCACTTGCCCTGTGACACACTTGCCCTTTTGACACACCCGTATAATAAGTAGGACAGGCAGGAACATGGTCATATTCCAATTGTCGACAAAAACAAACACTATAAAATATTTGAAGAGATTTAAGCATATTAGCACCTGAAGAGCCTGGAGAAGAACTTACATGGATAAAGTGACATCACTTCAGCTTCTGGTTATGAAATTAGGAATATTAGGATAAGGAGGAGTGAATTAAATATCCAAAGAGCATAATGTAATGACAAATTTGTTTTGTCTCTTTAGCTAGTATATAGAAATTTCATTATGCATAACTTGGCTGATGACAGTTCATCCTCCAAAAGGTTTTCCAAGATGGGCTCACAAGTTCTACTGTCCTTGATTTCTGGCATTCTTTCAATTAATTGAAGTTCTTTATATGTATGTGACATTTTGGCTCTGTATAAAATTCATGTGTCATTTTTTTCTCACTTGGAGGGCTTGTAGACATTGTTTCACTTACTTTCTCTTAACATTCAGTGTTGTTATGGAGGAATCTATTGTGTTGGAAACATAATTCTCATACACAGAGGGAGTGAGCACACTTTATTGTTTCATTTAACTGTTTAATGACTAGCCAGCTGGAAGGCAAAAGAGCTGGGTTGGAGAGTATTAACAAACAAGAATTGTTTTCCCCAAGCACCGTTGTCGACTCATTTATCTTTTATTTTTGAAAGTTTTAAATTTTATTACGTAAAAGTGAAGAAAATGGACATATATTCCACTAGAGTTTGTCATTAATATAAAGTCTTTCATTGACATGCTAAGTCATTTCTCTCTTTTTTAAAAAATTTCAACTTTTATTTTAGATTCAGGGGATACATGTGCAGGTTTGTTACATGGGTATATTACGTGATGCTGAGGTTTGGCATATGACTGATCCCACCACCCAGGTAATCAGCATAGTACTCAATAGGTAATTTTTGAACTCTTGCCTCCCTCCCTCTCTCCCCACTGTAGGAGTTCCCAGTGTTTATTGTTTCCATCTTTATGTCCATGAGTACCCAATATTTAGCTCCCACTTGTAAGTGAGAGCATACAGTATTTGTTTTATTTTGTTCCTGCATTAATTCATTTAAGATAATGGCATCCAGCTGCATCCATGTTGCTGCAAAGGACATGATTTCGTTCTCTTTATATGGCTGTGTAGTATTCCCTGGTGTATATGTACCACATTTTCTTTATCCAGTCCACCACTGATGGGAACCCAGGTTGATTCCATGTCTTCACTATTGTAAATTGTGCTGAGATGCACATACAAGTGCATGTGTCTTTTTGGTAGAATAATTTATTTTTCTTTGGATATATACCCAGTAATGGGATTGCTGGGTTAAATGGTAGCTCTGTATTAAGTTCTTTGAGAAATATCCAAACTGCTTTCCACAGTGGCTGAACTAATTACACTCCCGCCAATAATGTATGAGCATGCCCTTTTCTCCACAGCCTCATCAGCATGTTATTTTTTGACTTTTTAATAATAGCCATTCTGATTGGTGTGAGATGGTATCTCATTGTGGCTGCATTTCTCTAGTGATTAGTGATGTGGAGCATTTTCTCATATGTTTTTTGGTTGCATGTATGTCTTGTTTTGGGAAGTGTCTGTTCATGCCCATACCCATTAACTTCTCTTCAACATAGTCCTGGAAGTCCTAGCCAGAGCAATCATGCAAGAAAAAGAAATAAGAGATAATATAATTCTAAACCAAAAAACCCCTAAAGACCCCACTAGAAGGCTTCTAGAAATGGTAAACAACTTCTGTAAAGTTTCAACAGACAAAATCAAGGTACAAAAATCAGTAGCATTTCTATACACCAATAATGTTCAATCTGAGAGTCAAATCAAGAATACAATCCTATTGACAACAGCCACAAAAATATCTAGCAATACATCTAACCAAGGAGGTGAAAGATCTCTACATGGAGAATTAATTACACGCTGAAAGAAATCACAGATGATGCAAACAAATGGAAGAACATTCCATGCTCATGATTGGAAGAATCAATATCATTAAAATGGTCAACTCACTTTTAAACTCTTCTTGTAACCTTTTTTTGAGGGCCTCTCTCCTTTAGCTCTTCCTGTGTGGAAGCTGTAGTTTTCATCTACTGCGTATTCTTGAGCTGACTGTTGCTTTCTTTTCTACTATCTTCGAATGGCTTCCTTGATTGTTCTTTTCGTCTTTGGAAGCCACTTTTCCTCCTCTCTGCCAGCTGATGTTGACAGCTGGTGTTGAATCAGGGCAGGGGGCAACTCGGATTCTGCTCTGTTGTCTTTAAATCCATCCTCACCAACACTGTCCTGTAGGGGCAGGGGATGTCTCTGCTCCTCAGTTTCCAGCAGTACATAGTTTCTAAGGAGTGAATGAATGCAAATACCTGACTTTCACTGTGTGATCTCCTAGCATTTGGGTGAAGTAGGCCACCATAATGTCCTTTCGCTTTTAGAGAAACTGAGTGCCACCACAGGACCAAGAATAAGTAGCATAAGTATTGTCACAGAGAACCCTCAGGAGCTTTCCTTTTTCATGGAATGAGAAGAGACACATTTGAGTTTTCATTCTGCAGTGCCAACTAGGATGATTACATAGATCACATTTGACAGATAGAACAGCACCTCTGGCCCATTCTCTCCCAGGCCATTTTTTGAGAGAGGCAAGCTAGTCATGATGAATGCATAGTGATGATGGGGGTCACATTTTAACTCATGTTGCTGTCCAAGGTGTTTGGGAAATCTGTCAAGCTAATCCTCCTGAATTTTGGAATTCTTGTTTTGCTTAGAAGCTTCTGCTAATAACAGATAGACCCAAGACTTACTGGTTAAAAATGAAATAAGTCATAGTATATGTCAGCTGTGTCTAGGATTCAGCCCTCTATGTATACAGTTGCTCAAAGATTTTAAAGCCCCCTGCCCTGACTGTCTCAGGGAGCTGGAGAAGCTGCCAATGATGATCAAAGGTGACATGAGACTCAGGCCCTGCTGACCCTAGTAGCAGGCCAGGGACAGTTCACTCACCGAGCACAATTTCAACCAAGGAAACAAAGGGACAAAGGGAGGACAAAAAGAAATAGACAGTCTTTGAATCAAAATAGTGACTCAGCTGTGCAAGGCTCCCTTCACAATACCGCGGTTGGGCAAAGACACTTTTCCTCTTTGGCCTGACTTGATTTTATGTTGGCCTTGCACCACCCTGTACACAGGGTCCTCTGTGGGGTGCAGTTCATGTGCATGTTCTGCCCATGATGGGAAGTGGGATTGTGGGCATTTCTTTAAGTAGAAGTGGCTGTCTGTCCTTTCCCAGATACCAATAAGAATCTGAAACCCATTCGGTATAATGTCTTTCCTAGGCCAGAATCATTCTGCTCCATCTGGAACACATGCTATTCTTGTGTTCCAGGCTGTGAGAACAAGCCTCAACCCTGCAGGGCTGCTGGGAAGGAAAGGTGTGGGTACCCAGATGGGTCCTGGTTGCTGAGATCAACTTTCATTTGTTTCTTTCTCGAGAGAAAGACACTGGGGAGACCAGCACCAGGCTGGGCTTAGAACAGCCACATCTCCTTTCAGAACTGTTATTCTCCAATAATTCATGTAGAGCTTCCTCTTACCAGCACCCTCACAAAAATAATTCAACCCCTCTTGAAAAAAAAAAAAAAAAAAAGGGAAAGAAAACAGACCGCTGTTTTACAAGCTGATTGTTGGGTTGAAACTTTCAATACCTACCTCTGATATTAACCTTGGTTCAAACGTATTTCAATCTTTGCCATATTCATTTTGTATTATCAGTACCTAAGGTATTTTCTAGTCCCCAGAAACTTTGTTAAATGAGTGAATAAATAAATATTATGCAAGTTGGTAGCAGAGTGAGCTCATCCTGATTCTGAATATTAGCTGCATGCCTGTTCCATGCACAACTTGGGCTTGGAGACAGCTCCAGCATGCTGGAAACTGGGAACCCACAAAGGAGGCAGCTCCACCCGGAGGGCCTCAACGGCCCTGGCCCTGCAGCGCCCCGGACAGGCGCCCCTCTCACAGAGCCCAGCATGCGGCTCATGCCCAGAGATTATAAATCAAATCCCTGGAATGCCTTCAGATGGGATTACACCACAGCTGGAGGAATTTTCTTTTTTCCCCCCCAAACTTAGCACATCATAAAACATAGCCATTTGGGGAAGGAGAACAGCCAGGAGGTGTTTTCGCCTTGGAAGCTCTGTTCTGGGAAGGCTGGGAGGGTGCGGTCAGGACTGTGATACAGCCACACAGCCCAGGCAGCTTGGCCAGCAAGCACCCGGAGGGCCTCGCTGCACATTCTAGACTCCCCCTGGACCGATGGGCTGGCTGCTGTGGCCCAGGGCTAGCCCAAACTAGCAGAAAAAGGCCGTGGCTCCCTCTACAGGGCCACCTCGGATTTGTGACATGCAGGCTTACTGTAAGCGAGTGTAGGTTAGTCCTGGATTCCACTAATCCCTACATCTGTTTCTGAGTCCGTCAGCACCTGTACCTGGCCCAGGTAGGTATAATGCACTTCCGGTCCATGATGCCACAGGTGTCCAATACCTGCTTCCTGGCCTCAGTGAGCAGAATCCCTACCAGGTCCCCGTCCCGGGTCAGGGCAGGCAGTAGATGGTCTCCATCAATTCCTCCCCTCCCTATTCAGGAACACTGCTCTACTTTCAAGAAGTGGAGTCTTTTCCTGCCCCTTGAATTGGGGGCAAAGCTTTGACACTCCCTGACCAATAAAATGTAGACAAAGTGATGATTTTTAAGCCAGTCCTGATTCTGGCCCTTAAGAAGACCAGCAGCTTCTGCTACCCTGGGGAAGCCACCATCATGCTATAAAGAAGCTAGGGCTAGACTAATGCCAAGAGGCCAGGTGAAGAGAAGCCACATGGATGAGCACCCAGGTGTGAAACAGTGATGATATCTGCCCAAGCAGGTTGCTGGCAAGATTGCGTGAGGCCACACGGACAGAGTGCTTAGCATGAACCAGGCAGGCACTAGCAGTTGAGCCAGCGTTCACTTCCTTCCCCACAGTTCTCTTGCCCTTCTGACTCTAGAGAAGCCATCTTTTATTCTGGGAGCCCAAGGGCCAAGAGGACAAACTTGAATGAGTAACACGTTGCTGTTCTTCCAGCGTGCTGAAGGAGAACACAGTGTTTCTTCAGTGCTGATACACCACTTCAAATCTAGGCTGACTTCTAAAGCACCCATTACATTTAAGAATTGCCTTCTGACCCTTTCTGGAAGGGTTTCCTCAGAGAGCCCAGTAGGCAGTACACCCATGTTACAAATGTGCTGGTGACAACCTACAATGCCTAAGATTTGTCCAAAGCAGCCAAGTGAAACCCAGAATGGGTCTATACATGTACACATTCACAGCCTGTCAAGAAGAAATTGCACTGGACAGTTGTTAAAAATGGCAAGAAAGGTTTTTGCAGTAGGGGAGAGAGACAAGTATAGAACTGAGTTCAACTCTGCATACAGCAAAGACAGCTAAGGATTTATAGCCAAGGTGCAGGGGTATAGTCAGGTGTCAGTGGGTGGAAAATCACTAAGAGGAACTTAATTAGACATCAAGGGTTGGGGAAGTCTCCGTAAACTGAGTTCAACAGGCCACGGCCTAGTCAAGAAGAGGGCTCAAAGCAGACTGACTAAAGTCTGGCAAGGAAGGAGTCCTTGTCAAGCCACACCTTCTGTTTATTATCAGATTAAAATTCTCCAATATGTGTAATACAAATTCTACTTCCATCCATGCATCCTTCCACCCATCCATCCATCCATTCACTTACTTTCTAGTTTAATTTACCTTTCTTCATTTAGTGAATATTTCTAGATATGTCCTAAGTAAAAGGGGCAGCCTAATAAGCAATCTCTCCTATCATCTATCTATCTATCTATCTATCTATCTATCTATCTATCTATCATCTATCTAATCTATCATCTATATCTATCATCTATAATCTACCTATTATCTCTCTATTATCTATCTATTGATCTATCTACTATCTATCCACCATCTATCATCTATATCATCTATTATGTATCTACCATCTTTCTAGCCTAGCATATACACATGCATGTCCAACTTCATACATATGTACATATGTGTTTATTATATTTATGTCTGTATATATGGTCATATATATATTAGGTGATGTATATGAGAGAGAGAGATTTGCGGTTGAAGCAGGCAGTGTGAGAAAGGCACAGAGGTGAGAAGAAGCGTGGTGAATTCAGGGGACTGAAAGCTGATTAGCTTGACTGGAGCCAAGGACAAGGGGATGGGCTGGCTTAGTTTATGTCCCTTGGGGGACCAAAGAGAAGGAGCAGATGGGACATATTAGCTTCACCAGGCAAAGGTCACCTTAATCAGAGGTTTAGGATCATCAGTAAAATAGGTGATAGTCCAGCCAACATGACCTGCAGTCTGCGGGAGGAGCCACTTGCTTAAGCGGGGCCCTACAGTCTCCTGAAAGCACCTTTCTTAGACATTTATGCTTTTCAAGACCACCAGTCCCATGAGTCTCAGAAAAAAGAGGGCAAGTACATAAATTACAAAAAAAAAAAAAGAAAAGAAAAAAAAAGGTTTTCAATGCCCTAAGGAGAATCTCTTCATCACAGGCTCCTCAGTATCTAAGCTGTGAGAAGTTTTGCAGTTCAGCAAACCCCAGGAAGAGCACATGCCCTGTAACCTACTATGGGAAACACTAGGCTAAGACAGCGTGTTTCCCAGAGGCTTCTGCTCCCATTTACTATGCTGCCAGGGAGTAAGGCACTGGCACATCGGCACCATGCCTTACGCTGGAGGTGGGCAGCATTGTTCATTCTAAGAGTGTCTACACCTCTCTCTGCCCCAGAGGAGCTGCTTAGGAAGCGCACACTGATAGGAGAGGTGGACATGGTGGAAGGCAGGCTGGGGCGCTGGGAGGGAGTGTAAACTGCGGCTGGGACTCAGGCAGGGAGAGAGGCCTAAGCTGAATTTCCAGGAAACAGCCTTGTAGCAGGGCCTTGAGACAGCTGGGTCTTCGACATGTGGAGGGGGAAGGCATTCCAGGTGAACGAGAAAATAGGAGTCACTGTGGCACCAGGCAGGCGGTGGGATCCAGTCCAGCAGGCGAAGGACACAAACTTAGATTTGAGGCATTAGATGTGTCAAGTGAGTATAAGTTGGGGGTGCAGGGGGAGGCAGCAGGCAAAGCCCTGGCTCCCAATCTCTCCCTTTCCACACGCACCTGGTGTGTGCACGTGTACATGGGTAGCACTGGCTCACTCAGGCAGTCATTCTTACCTGGGGGAGGGGGTGGGAAGGGAGCATGGACTTAACTCTCGGGGGTGGGAAGAGAGCATGGACTTTATGAAAAAGCCTGTTGGGTGACTCTGATAGTCCCTATATTAGCCATCCCTTTTATTTTCTGTATTCTGCTGCTCTGACAGTTTGGGGCCTTGCTGCCCCTCCCAGCGTTGCCAATTCCTAAGGACAGTGAATAAGTCACCCAAGCCCATGCTTTTCTGACACAGACCAACCAGTCCAGAGCTTACACCCTGAGTGACCCCCTCCAGGGGGCTCTCACTCATGATCACTACTCACCTGCCCTAATCACCCAGGGCCAGGTGCCAGACACCTGGGCAGCCCCTGTGCCCCAGACCCTCTCCTATTATTCAAATTAGCTCATCTTAGGCCTGTTTACCTTGCCTTGCCTGTTGCTTTTCACAGAAACCTCAATAAAGGCTCTTGCCCATAGATTCCCACTCTCCTTGACCCCGGACTAAACCCAGTGCTTCCCTGTTGGCCTCTGACTGGGGCACCACGCCTCCTGTTTCTAGGGACCTGTGCGGAGGCCTCTTCCTTCATGACAGTCATTTTAATCCCTGCATGTCTTACCACACCCGATTCAAACAAATCCCAAATATCCTTATGGCAAGCCTGGGGCTAGGATGATCAGGACAGTCCACTTGATGCCTGTTGACCTGCGTAATTATTAATGACACCTCCTTCACTTTCAAAAGTGTCCCAGTTCAAAATGCTTCAGGACATTGGTATGGGCAAAGATTGTTCCTAGGTAATACCTTAAAAGTGGCGAAACCTAAGCAAAAATGGACAAATGGGATCACATCAAGCTAAAAAAATTATACACAGCAAAGGAAACAATTAACAAAGCAAAGAGACAACCAACCTACAGAATGAGAGAAAATATTTGCAAAATATCCATCTGATAAGAGATTAATAACCAGAATAGGTAAGGAACTCAAACCACTCAATGGCTAATAATAATAATGATAATAATAATAATAATCCAATGAGAAAAATATCTGAATAGACATTTCTCAAAAGAAGACATACAAATGGCCAACAGATATATGAAAAAAATGCTAAACGTCACTAATCATCAGAGAAATGCAAATCAAAATAATGCAATATCATCTAGCCACAGTTAAAATAGCTGTTATCAAGAAGACAAAAAATAGCATGCTTGCATAGATGTGAAGAAAGGGGAACATTCTTACACTGTTGGTGGGAATGTAAGTTACTACAGTCATTATGGAAAACATCATGGCAGTTCCTCAAAAAACTAAAAATAGTACTGTATGACCCAGACATGCCACAGTTGGGTATCTACCCAAAAGAAAAGAAATTGGTATATCAAAGAGATATCTGCACTCCCACATTTATTGCAGCACTATTCACAATAGCCAAGATATGAAATCAACCTGTGTCCATCAATGGATGCATGAAGAAACTGCCATGCATATACACAATGGAATATTGTTCAGCCTTTAAAAAGAAGAAAACCCTGCCATTTGCAAAAGAAAGGATAAGCCTAGAAGACATACTAAGTAAAATAAGCCAGTCACAGAAGGACAAATACTGCATGATGTCACTTACATAAGGCATCTAAGATAGTCAAACTCATAGAAACAGTAGAATGGCAGCTGCTAGGGGCTGGCGGTGGGGAAGAAATGGGGAATTGTTTTTCAAGGTATAAAGTTTCTGTTATGCAAGATGAGTAAGTTCTGGAGATCTGCTGTACAGCATAGTACCTATGGTTAACAATACAGCATTGTGCATTTTAAAATACATTAAGAGGACAGAGTTCATGTTAAGTGTTCTTACAAAAAAAGTGACTTACAAAAAAGTACACAAATTTTTGGAGGTGATGAATATGTTTAGTTCCTTAGTTGTGGTGATGGTGTGTGCATATGTCCAAACTCATGAAGAGGTATACATGAAATGTGTGCAATTTTCTGTATATCAATTCTATCTCAATACAGCTAAAAAATAAAAATTTAAGAAGTTAGAAGACAGAAAAATGGAAGGAGGTCAGGAAGGAATCAGGAAGCTGAGAGATTTAGAGTCCAGAGGGAAATGTTTGTTTCAAAAAGAGGAAGGGTATTTCACAGAAAAAGACACACTGGGGTAAGATAAGAGACATTCTCAGGAGAAGGGGAGAGAAGGTGAGAATGTCATTATAGGATGAAATTCTCAATAAATTATAAAGTGAATTCATCTGGTACGAGTTTGGGACGTGGGGGTGGGTTTGTGGACTGGGGAAAAAGAAGGAGATTGGGAACAGCTGTTGGATGCTAGCAAGGGATGAAGAGCTGGGCTGTGCATCAGCCTGGGGGGCTCATGGAGGTTGCCTGGCTTGTCAAGGAGCCAAGGCACACAGTTGCACAGCTTCCCCTCCATGTCGCACTGGCCAGGAGATAGAGGAAGGCAGGTGGTGCCTTATCCATGGTTGGTTCCTGACAAGGCAGCCATAGAAAGGGGGACTCTGCAGGGGTTTGGTCTGTGTGTGAGGATAGAGCTGAAAATGGTTTCAGGAGGGACTTGCAGGATAAAAGAATGGGGTGTTCTTTATGGAAATAAAAAGCAGGTGAACCAGGCCTGGGGAGAGGTGGAAGGGGAGGCAGATTGTGGCCAATGACGGCAATGTCAGAGGGCTTGGCCTGGGAGCTGGTTTGATTCTTGAGGGATGAAGAAACCCAAGATGAGTATGTTTCTGTGTGTGGCTGAGAAGAGTGGAGTCAGAGGCCACCAGAGAGGGCCTGGGAGCAGGGTTTCAGCAGAGTCAGAGCATGGAGGTTGGCGTCGTCTCCCATTCTGGAGACAATGGCAGGGGGCAGAGAGAAGAGGGTGTTGAGAGTCTGGGCCCTCATCCTCTGAGAAGATGGAGCTTGGTGGGGGTGTGCTGTCAGTGAGTGGCATTATTTTCCAGTGATGTGGTGAACATACCACCGTGGAGTGGACACAGATAATGTGGTGGTGCTGTAGCACAGATAAGATGATTAGTAAGGAAATGGAGAGTCAAAACCACACGTTTCTTCTTGATATGATAAGTAAATACACAACCTTGCAATTATCAGACAGTTTTTTTTTTTAACAATCTGTTGCATATCTAGGCCAGTGCTTCTTTCTGAAGGGGATAACTTCAGTGGTGATAGAAGACAAAGATCACTGTCCTTAAAAACCTGGAAAGTAACTGCAGAGACATAAAGTAACTAGGAACCCTCTAGGTTTGCATTCAAAGCCTTCCATTCCGTGCTGAGGGCTCTGGGCCTCAGGCTTCTCATTTCAAAGATGGACATGGGAACTCCTGTGTTATCTGCGTTCTAGAGTGTGGCCAAGAACTGGGGTGAGGAGAGGAGGTGAAGGGGCGTCAGGCACACTCAGCCCCACCTGTACAGCAGTGTAAGCGTGCGCTGTAAGAGTGTGGCTGGGTTTCAGAAAAGGAAAGAGATGGGAAAGGCTGGGGTTACACAGGGAGAAGACTGAATAAATGGTGTGAAGAGTCTGGGGCTGGTTCTTTAGGAGGAAATTCTGGTATGAACAGAGAACCATTATTGTCCTAGAAATGAGGAAATTGAGAGAGAACAGATCATCAGAGTCCACCTAATTAAGGCTGGGCTTAGTCACCCTAACAGGAAGTCTGGGAGCCTGATCATTGGCGGCATCCCCTGGACTCAGAAACTCAGCCGGTCCAGCCCAGGAAGGCTCTGCCAGGCCATGGAGGCCCAGCTAGTGCACGCTCAGGCATTCCACTGTGGGCCCACACTCAGCCCTCAGCTATGGGTGGAAACACTACTCCCAAGGGCTGGCCCAGGGGCCTTGGCCAAGGCTGTAGACCCACGCTCCAGCCACGGCTTAAAGATCTACATGTCACCCCATTTACAAGGTCTGCAATGAAAAAAAGGAAGGACACTTTTGGAGAAGGAAGAGTCTGGAAACAAAAAGAACGGGATCGTATTAATTTTGTTATTCCTATGTAACAAATTACAAAGTTAGCAACTTAACTCATTTATCTCATGGTTCTGTAAGTCAGAGGTCCCGGTGGGCTCAACTGGGTTGTCCACCCAGAATCCCACAAGTGAAATTGAGTTGTTGGTAGGACTGCATTCTTTTCTGGACAATTTGGGGGAAAAATTGTTTCCAAGCTCATTCAGATTGTGGGCAGAATTCATGTCCTTGTGGTTGTTGGACTGAGGTCCTCACTTTCTTGCTGGCTGATATCTAAGGACCACCCCAGCTCCTAGAGGCTCCTCTCAGGGCCTGGCCCCATGGCCCCTCCGTCTCAGGAGAGGAGAACCTCCCTAGTGTACAAGCCCCTTTAAGCATCAAATCTCTCTGACTACCTCATCTCCCACCACCAGAAAAAAAATGTTCTACTCTTAAAGGTCTCCTGTGATTAGGTTAGACCCAAGCAGAAAATATCTCCTTAAGGCCAACTGACTGACTAGTAACCTTCATAACATTTGCAAAGTCTTTGCACGAAATAAGTAACATAATCTTGAGAGTGATAGATTTTCATACTCACATTTACTCACTCGAGGAAAATTATAAAAAAGACAAAAGTCATTAGGGGTCATCTGAGAATTCTACCCCTGCCGCAGGGCTAGAGATGAAATGCAGCGAGGACAGCCCTGAAAGGAATTTCCTGGAGGGGGCTGTCCCTGGGGGGAAGGGGATTTCAGTTTGGGGGTCTTTTCAAGGCCTCTGTTCCTCCCCTAATAAGCTCTTCAGACTAATACAGTGAGAATCAGGGAGGCAGCCATGGTTGGGAATCAAAAAGACCGTGGACTTGGAGATCATCTGAACTGTGTTCATCACTTCTTGCTGTATCAGTTACTTAAAATTACCCTGAAACCTAGCGGTTTAGAAAAACACATTTATTTAGCTCATGACATTGTAGTGTGGGTCGGGCTTCATGGGGATGGTTCCCCGTGGCATCACCTGGGCAACTCAAGGTGGGGTGGAGGGTCCGCTTTCAAGATGGCACACCGCATGGCTGTCAGCAGGGGGCCAAGCCAGGTTCTTCTCCTTGGGCCACTTGGGCACCCTCGGAGAAGGATGATTGGGTTCCAAGAGAACCCAGGTTTCTTACAGCCTGAGCCCAGAAACTGGCCCAGCATCATGTCCACAGTGTTTCTTTGGCCAAGCAGCCACAGAGCCTAGGCTCAAAGACAGGGCATAAACCCCACCCCTCAGTGGAAGGAAAGTCAAGGGATTCTGGGGCCACGTTTAAGACTGCCACCCTTGCTGTGTGACCTTGCCAAAAACTCTTGAGCCTTAGAGTCTGACTTTCGTCATCTAGAAAGTAGGAAGAACATCTTATCAGGGTTGCTGTTAGGGTGGCTCATGCGAGAATCCTGGTTTTAGAGCTTCGAAGGTGGAGGGGTCTCAGAGGTGAGGTCTTTGTACTTTCCCAGAGCAGGGGGCTGCTGTGCCTGACGGGAGGGAGAGCAGGAGAAGAGGGGCTTGGCCAGCCTCCCCTGGGAGACAGCAGCTCTGAAACTCCTCCCAGGGCCCACTCCCAGGAGTCAGGGTCCTGGGATCCACGCCATGGGACTGCAGATGGAGCTCACTGGGCTAGCCTGGGCAGCAGCCAGCGTTGTTGGGGTGGGAGGCTGCCTCTTGCCCCTTAGGAAGATGGAAGGAGTGTTAGGAGGTGCCTGGAGTGAGGCTAGGGAATCAGGAGCTGGCTAGGTGTGTCTCCCATAGATGTGGGTGGTGGCTAGGTGCCTCTTCCTGGACTCACTGTGCCAAAGGCAGGGCATCAGCTTTCCATCGGGGCTGTCAGCCCTGGCCTAGGGAGCACCCGCAGACTGTCTGAGTGCAGGTGCCCTGGCCTGTCCTGGAGAAGGGCCTGTTCCCACCAGGGAGGTCAGAGATCAACGAGCTTCTGTGGCTGGGAGTGATGGCCACACTCCAGCCCGGCATGGACGGAGCAAGCCCGAGCTGATGCCATCAGATCTGCTCTCCAGCCCTGCTGCTGGCGACCTCCTTCTCCAGCTGCCGGCGACCTCCTTCTCCAGCTGCCGTGGCTGGCAAGGGGGTGCTGTTTGTCAGACCCCAGCTGTGGGACGGAGCCTGACTTGGAGTTTTTCATCACATGAGGCTGGGTGAGCAGGATCCAAGCCTGCCTCTGAGTGTGGACAGGAAAAAGGGAACTTTTGTTGAGTCTCTCTTTGGTCCCAAGTACCGTGTTAAGCAAGCATGACCTGTGACCCAATCCCTACTTTATAGCAGGGAGTGTGGGGCTCAGAAGGGGACAGAAAAGGTCCATTGAGTTAGTTCTCTGTGGCGGTGTGACAAACTGCCCTCCCTTTGGTGGCTTCCAACAACAGTTATCCTCGCACGGTTCCTATGGGGCAGGGATTGGGGTGGCTTCGCTGGGTCTTCTGCCTCAGGGCGTCCCACACGCTCTCTTCACTCGGAGGCTCTGCTTCCAAGCACACTCAGGCAGTTGCTGGCAGATCACTTGCTGACTGTTGGCTGAGGCCAGGCTCAGTTCTCTGCTGCGTGGTCCTCTCCAGGCCACAGCCTGGCCACCGGCTTTCCCTGAAACAGGCAAGGGAGCAGGCAGGAGGCACCCAGGGCAGAACCCGAGGTTTTTTTTTTTGTAATCTAATCTTGGAAGTGGTGGCCGATGACTTCTGCCTTGTTCTGTTCATTAGAAACAAGGCACCAGGAGCAGCCTGCAGTCCAGGCACGGGTTCCACAGGAACACACCCAGGACATCTGGTGCAGAGCAGGGGTTTAACCACACTCTGAGCGCCTGTTGGTGCCGCGAACCCCACTCACCACAAACACACTCATACCACACACACCACACATTACACACCACACACCACACATTACACACACCACACATGCACGGCACACCACATATAACACACACATCTCACCACACATCACACATACCATGTACATGTACACACCATGCCATACACACCATGCACACATACACATCATGCCATACACACCATGCACACTTCACACTCCACACACTCCACACACCACACACACTCCACACCACAAACACCACATATTACACACACCACACATGCACACCACACCACACACACCGCACATATACCACAAACACACACCACACATTCATTCCACAAGTACTCCACACTCCACACACACACACCACACACACTATACCACACACTATACCACACACATCACACACACCACACACACTACACACCACACACACACATCACACCATACATCACCACACACAATCACACCATACATCACCACACACACCACATATACACACACAACCACACACACACATTTGTGCACACACAAACCACACAGTCACACACACACACCGTTGCTGGGAGGAGAAGGAGGAGGAGGACAGCATAGGTTAGACAATGGCTGCTGAGAATGCAGGTTCTGCTGTCACTTAGAAAATCATCTCGGGACCCTAAATAGAATTATGAGTCAAGTTGATTCCATTTCAAATAAAATCTAGTTCAAGAAGGAAGTTAAAGGATCCAGAAAAACCCTTTTTTATGATGGAATAGTCTGTGGAGCTTGTAGGAACCAGGCCGTACAGCTGCACAGCCTGGGGCTTGCAGTCTTGTGTTCTCTGGGTGGGCTTGGGCAAGCTCTTAACCTTTCAGTGCTACGGTGACACCTCCCTCATGGCTTGGAGCCTGGCATGCACTATCATGCCCTTAGCAAATGTGACCTCACCCCCTTTCCATTTCAGACTACCTGGCTGTCCTCACACAATCCCCAAATTGGCTTTTGGAAAGAGGAAGGATGCATGGTTTTATGGCTGCTGATGCTCAGCTCCAAGATAGGATCCAAGGGGTAAGAAGCTAGAAGACGTTTGTGTGCGGGTGAAGGTGTGGGTAGGGGCCTGAGGTGTGTGTTCACAGCTCTGTGCATGTGTATGTGCGCGTGTGTGAGGACAATCAATACCCTGAGTCATGGCACTATGCATGCCCACTAGGTGGCGTTGCCCACCTGCGCAGCAATCAGGACCCTGCCAGAGGCAGGTACTGGGAAGCAGGATCCCCTGACTCCCCAACTCACACGCTCAGCTGCTGAACCTGTGTCTCCTCCTCTGTTCTGGGTCAGAAGTTCATGGCTAACAGATGAGCCCCAGCTGGAAACCTCTGCCATCAGACCCACAACCTATTTGAGCATGGACTTAATATTATGCCTGACTCCCACTTCCCAGCACTGCACTTGTTAATTTCAGGGAGGAAAGGAAGGCTTCATCTGCTGCATGCAAAGCACTTGACACACATTATTGCTTTGGATCTTCACAACCACCTGTCAAGTGACAACACTGAAGCTCAGAGAGGTGAAGCACCTGCCCAGGGTCACACAGCAGGGAGGTGGAGCGAGCCAGGCCTAACTCCACAGCCTCTCACTTGCATAGCCTGCTGCCTGTGCCCTGCTCTCAGAGGCAGTCTGGTGGAGGAGGGTGTGTTGGGAACAGAGCAGGGAACGTGTGAGGGCCTCAGGACCAGAGACAGAGAGAAGACTGAAGCCAGATGGGGTGGGGCTTCTGCAGTCGGGGGCCTTTGCTCCCTCCCCTGTGTGGTGCGGCAGGGTGGCTGTAGGACTTTGCTAGCCCAGACCTGTGTGAACAGGGGCTCATCCGACCCTGTCCACATGAGGCTGTAGCCTGGTAGCCCACAGATGCACAGTCAGTGGCTGTGCCTTTCTTAGAGGCTGGTGCTTGTTGGGTGGCCAGAGCCTCCACCAGGCCCCATCCTCAGCTCTTTACTCATCCTTCCTGGCCCTTGCAGGAATCCAAGTCTGTGGTCTTTGGACAGGATGGACTCTGGGCCCCACCTCCTCTGGGATGACTCCCAGAAGCCTGGGAGAGAGGAGTCCAGGCTGGGTGGAGGCCTGTGAGCTCCAGTCACCCTTAGCTTCCTGAAGAGGGGCACGGAGGTCTGTCTGCCACTCTGGCCCCTCCTGGGGATGACAACTGCTACAGCTGGATAGGATCAAGTGCCCACAGGTGCTCCAGCGCTGACGGCAGATTCCCTGCAGGATCATGAGGCAGAGACCCCATCTGCCCTCTGCCTCCCTGCAGGAAATACTACAGAGAGCCAGAGCTACACTATTGCCTGCAAATGTCATCGACCCCCAAGGCCACCTCCGGTCACTGTGCCCATCTCCACATGGTTCTGCAGGGCAGCGTGGGTGGTGCATTCACTCAGGGTCCCTGGCCCCATCCAACCTGGTTTAATCCCAGCTCTGCCCCCAGCTGTGTGAGCCTAGGGTACTAACCCTCCTCGAGCCTGTTTCATCTTCTGTAAAATAGGGTTCATGAGAGTGACCGCCTCCCCTCCCGTGAAGAAGGTGAGGATTTGACAGGATTGGACCTGCAACCAGCACATACTGGCTCTGGCCTCCCTGACCCCTCACTCCCAGGGCCCAGCCCCTGTGACCTGAGCTCCTCATGGGGTCCAGCTGCCTCCATCCACACACATGAAGAAGGTCAGGGCCTCCCACTCACCATTCCCTTCTTGGAGTTCCCAGCGGGACTCTGCCGGAAGCCAGGAGCCCGGCCACTGCCCCTGAGTGCACAACCAGGCCTCACAGCAGTTTCCAGGACGGGCTGCTGCCCTGGGCCCTTGGGCTCTGGGGGGCGCTCGCCCACAAGGTGTTGGTGGGTGGAGAAAGTGGGGAGTTGGGCTCCTGGGCTATCCAGTGAGCCCTCTGCCCAGCCTTGGGCCTTCCTTCTGAGTACCCCACAGGGACCGGAGTGAGGATGTCAACTTGGATAGGAGGGGTGGGGAGGGGGAGGGCAGAGGGGATTCCTGCACTGAATGCCCACTGGTGCCAGTGGAAGCTGGGCGCCAGGCAGACAAGGGTCCCATCTCCTCGAAGCTTCACCCCACCAGAGGAGGGGGTCACTCATGGCCTCTTTCTTTGCAGAGAAGGGAATGGTGGCCACCCAGGGGTCATGGGGCTGGTCAGAAGCTGCCAGCCTGATGCCACACCTGCCAGGTTCTCCCCATCGACTGCGTCAGTACCCCAACACACTTGTGTTCACATTTTGAGGGTGTTCTGCCAAGGTGAGGCATGCCAGAGCCCTAGGAAGAAGCCAGGAGCCTCCCAGCCTCAGATGGAGCTTCAGATGCAGAGGTATTGGAGTGGGAAGGGAAGCACTTGGGGGGTTTGATGGGGCCCAGTGGGACAGGCTTGTCGCCCTGCACTTCTGGAAGCCTCCACAGTTGGCTAATCAGAAGAGCATGGCACAAGTCTCCACAAGCCAGGCAACCCGGATCCTGAGGCCAATGGGGAAGGGATAACCAGTGCCCACCCCAGCCAGGGCGTGGCAGAGGGGTGCACGGACCTGTGGGCCATGTGCTTCACAGGGCAGCCTCGCCCAGTCCTTGGAGAAGCCTGCTGGTGCGGCTGTCTTAGTCCCAACAAGGAACAGCACAGTGAGAGCGTTACAGATGCTGCCAGGCTTGCACCACCAATGTTTCATGGGATTGGCTTTTCTTTCCTGGGAAGCTGTGCCCTGGGGAGAGGGAGAGAGCCAGGGGTGGGAGGTCAGGGACAGGGCTGTACAGGAGACTTCTCCATCACAGCCCCAGCATGCCCTCCCCAGCAGCCATGGCATGGCTAGCCCCAAATCTGTGCCTCTTGCCCTGACTTCTGAGTTTCAGACATAGGTGTCCTCATGTCTGATGGCTACCCCTGCCCAGGCTCCCGTGTCCTCATCTTCAGCACGTCTGCAATGAAGCTGCCACTCCACACTCTTTCCTGCCCCCCTACCCTGCATCCACAAGGTCTCTCACAGCCCAGACAGAAGCCTGAAGCCCTTGCTCTGCCTACCCAGCCGGCTGGTCACCAAGTTAGTCCTGCTCTTAGGTCTCAGACACATGGAGGCTCCCCTTAACCCACCTGCTTCAGGCCCCCCCAGTTCCATTCAAGGACTATTTAGTGAGAGCTTTCCCAAGGCTGTACACTGTGATCCCCTGTATGACTCTCCACGTGGACAGCAAAACAGCCTTTCTTCATGGGCGCCACCCCTGCCCCACTCTCCTGTCACTTAGAAGATCGGGCAGGGTGCCCTAACACCACTCTCGGGGCCCCCACCTGCCTCTGCAGCCCCCCACCCAGCATCCCAGCAGCCTGGTGGCAGTATGGGAGCAGCATGACTCGGGGCAGGGTCTCCTCCTTTGGGTCTAGACACCTTCGGCAGTGGGAGGAGGAGTGGGGCCTGCAGACCGAGAGTGGTACCCTCACCCAGTAACCCTATGGGGTCACTCAGGAGAGAGGGGAGAGAAAATGGATGGAATGTTTATGTCCCCCCAAATTCGTATGCCGAAATCTTAATCCCCAGGGTAATGGGATTAGGATTGGGGCCTTTGGGAGGTGATTTAGGTCATGAAGGTGGAGCCCGCTGGAATGGGTTTAGTGCCTTATAAAAGGGACCCCCAGAATATTTCTTACCCACTTTCTGCCACATGAAAATGCTGAGAGAAGCCAGTGGTCTGTATCCCAGAGGAGGGCCCTCACCAGAGTTCTCCACACCTGAGTGGGATAAGGCAGGGAAGGGCATCAGAGAACCCAAGCACTTGATTACAGGACGGATGCTTTCGGCCCTGCCCACCTCTGACCTCCAGGGAGGCACAGGGGCTGAAGATTGCGTTCCGTCACATGGCCAGCGATTGCATCCATTATGTCTGTGTAATGAAACCCCAACAAAGCCCCTGGAACGGGCGGCTCAGGGAGCTTTCTGATGCTGAAACACATGGGTGTGCTGGAAGGGGAGCCCGGAGGGCATGGGCCCTGCCCCAGATCTGGCCCCAAGGACCTCTTCATGTGGCCATCTATCTGTAGCCTTTATCATAAACTGTAATAGTAGGGACAGCTCTTTTCTGAGTTTTGTGAGTTGTTCTAGCAAATTATCAAGGGGGCGGTCTGTGGGAGCCCCCAAATGTGTACTCTGCCAGGCAGAAGTGCAGGTGGCCTGGGGCCCCTGAGATTTGTGGCTGGCATCTTGAAGTGGGTGCAGTCTTGCAGGGCAGAGTCCCTAGCTTGTGGGGTCTGTGCTAGCTCCAGGCAGTTGTGTTAGAAATGAATTGAATTGTGGGTCCCCGGTTGGTGTCAAGAGAATTGTCACCCACCCCTTCTCTTAGCTCACCTCCTTCCTTCTCCGCTCCATGGCAGCATCTCCAGCTATAGGTGTGTAGTTCAGGTCCCACCCAGAGGCAAGGTGGCTTCCAGATCCTCACGGAAGAAGCAGGAAATTAAAGGGAAGCACACCCCTCTGGGGGTAGGAGGCAGGACCGCCTTGGGGAGAGGGCTAATGCTCAGGCCAGAGAGAAAAGGGCTGTATGGCACCGAAGGTCAGCTCCAGGTAACAGCCCCACAGCCTCTGTGCAGCCCCAGGGGAATAGGCCGTGCCTGGGGGATGGGGCCCAAAGTGCTGCCGTCTGGGGCTCAGTCAAGTGAGGATTGCCTGGAAACCTGGCTCAAGCCCCTCTTTCTCAGTGAGCACATCTGCATTTCAAGCAGTTCACCCTGTGGGGATGGGAAGCCAGGGTGGGATTGAGATGCCCAGGGCAGACAGAGCTGAAGGGCCCTCTCCAGGGGGAAGACAGAGCAGGCAATGGGCACAGGCCTCAGGGACACCCCTGAACCCCTTCATGAGGCACGCTAAGCTTAGTTCCTCACCCAGCAGAGAGGCCCGCATTGGCCAGGGCTCTGGAGAGTCTGTCTTAGTCGGCTTGAGCTTCAGAAACAAAGAATCACAGACTAGGGGGCTTAACTACAGAAAGTCGTTTTCCCACGGTTTCCCATATAGTTCCCACAGGGCTAGAAGTCCAAGATCAGGGTGTCGGCAGGGCTGGGTTCTCCTGAGGCCTCTCTCCCTGCCTTGCAGACGCCGCCTTCTGCCATGTCCTCACATGGTCCTCCCTCTGAGTGTCTGTGTCCTTGTCTCCTCTTCTTACACAGACACCAGTCATACTGGATTAGGGCCCATCCTAATGATTTCATTTTAACTCAGTCATGTCTTTAAAGACTCTATCTTCAAATACAGTCACATTCAGAGGTACTGGGGGTTGAGACTTCAACATCTGAATTTTTCGTTAACACAGTTTAGCCCCAAGAGAGCAGTGGATCTCAAGGACTCGGGGAGAACTCCCTTTCTGAAGGAGGGTTGGAATTTGCCCTTTCAGCCTGGTGGGCCTGAAGGGGAGAGTGATGTGGCCACAGACCGTCAGCTCCCCTGGATGTCCTGACCACCATGGGGTTTCCTAGTCCAGATACACTGAGAAGCAGGATCATGAGCACTACCCCGGCGAGTTCCACAGGGCCCAGGCCCTCGGTGGCTGATGCAGCGGACTGTGCTGGTCATCATGGCTGTGCTGGGCCCCAGGGGCTTCTTCATGCTAATCACGACTCTGGAAACTCACGGAGTCTCCACAGTTACGGTCTGGCTGGGCAGGCTGGCCTCACCCTCACCCCTTCTCTGCAGCCTCACAGGGCCCTTTCTGGGTCTTTCACACCCAGTGTTCCATTTTCCAAAGCTCCCCGCCCACGAGAAGGGACATGCTGTGTGCATTTGAGAGCTCAGATGCTTGCTGGCATCTGTCTGCTGTGCTCAGTGGTGGCCTGGGAACAGGACATGGTAGCAGGAATCAAGGCTGTTGGAAAATCACAAAAACATGTGTTTTGATGATGTTGTAAACTCTCCAGTCTATAAAGAAATCCAAATGATGTAACGGGAATGCATTCAGAGGTCCCAGGCCCAGGCCCTCCAATTCCCACCTCCGTGTCTGGGAAAGATGCTGACCCTTAGGGCGCACAGCAGGACCTGACCTCGAAGAGAAACTCACAGGGGTCCCCCAACCCTGATAAAAGCAACATGTAGCTTTGTCTTTTTTAACTTATTCAGAAATTCCACCCAAGATTACTCACATACGTGAGATCCAGTCAACAGAGTCCTAACGAGTGGCTGCAAAACTTTGGCTGGCCAGAGTGTATCCCACTCATTCATTCATTCATTCATTCATTCGGCTAGCATTTTTGGGTCCTTTCGAGCGCTTATTGAAGGTTTTAGTGGTGGTGCTGTCTCTCAAAGTGTGGCCATCAGGTTAGCAGCATCACCATCATATGAACTTGACATTGGAAATGCAGATTCTCAGGCTCCACCCCAAACTCACCTATCAGAAACCCTGAGGGGATCCCAGTGTTGTATGTGCCTGAACAAGCCCCTACAGTGATTTCGATGCACACTTAGGTTTGAGAGCCACTGCCCAGGGATGAGGATGGAGGACAAGGGAGTCCAAATACAAGGGTCAAAGTGAGAAAAAAGCAGTGTTGAATGTGCAGAAGAGAAAGGCTCCCAGGTCGGGGAGCAGGCCTGAGCCAGGTCACGTGGTTCTCCCTTGCTGTGTCAAGACATTTGAGTTCTTGAAATGTAGGGGGAGCCCTTGAGGGATTTAGAGCTGGAATGACACACCATGTTGGACCTTTATAAAGATCATCTTGAGACCTGTGCTAGGGAAGGACTGGCAGGGAGCCAGCTTAGAATCAGAAAGACAGTGAGGGCGCTGGTGCGGTAACAGCCTTGGCAAAAGATGAGAGCCTGAGCCAGGGAATGACAGTGGGCAAGGGAGTGGGCTGGGCTCAGGAAACCTCAGGCCAGTGCAGCCGCAATGCTGACTGATTGCTAGGGGTGGAGATGAGGGCCAGAGACACCTCAAATGATTCCCAGGTTTCTGGCGTGGGGACCGGCTGGTGGTGATGTCATTCTTTGGAGCAGGGGATGGAGGAGGAGTGAGTTTGGAGGGATCCATAATGAGTTCCATTTGGGACCTGAGTTTGAGCTGCCTGTAGAGCTTTCAGATTGCAATGGAGCCTGGAGCCAGGGGAGATGGGGCTGGGGATGTTGGGGAAGTGGGGGGACTCCCCTGGGAGCAGCAGGGAGGAGCAGACAGCAGGCCCAGGTGGGCCTCGAGTAAGCACAGCCCTCAGATCATTGCACTTCGCTGAGTCCACTCTGGCTTGAGGACAAGGATGCAAGAGAATCAGGGACATTGTGTGCAAAGCTCCTCACATGGTCAGACTTGGGTGGGGAGAGGGAAGGCCTTGGCTGGGTGTGAGTCAGAGCCACAGAAGATTCCAGAGGGCATTCTCTGACTCTCTGAGCCACTGTCTTCCATAGAGGCAGAACTGCCCGAATGGAGTGAAGCCTCCTCGGTGCTGCGCAGACCCCACCGAGGTCCTCTGAAGAGGTGCTGTGGCTGAGCAGGAAAAAGATGGGCCTGGAACCATGTCCAGAAGGGACTGCTCCATTTGAGGGGTGGGGAAGGGAGCATTTGCTTCCAGAGTGGCTCTGTAGCTCCCCGACAGAGACAGGAGGATGTCAGCAAGACTTAGAGGGGGCTTTCTGATCTCTGAGCTGTTGCTCATCACAAAACCCCTTCCTGGGGTGTCTTGGGGGAAGTTGGACTCCAACTTTTTTTTATTGAGACATAATAGTTGAACATATTTTAGGGGTATGTGTGATAATTTGAAATATTCATATAATGTGTAGATTAAATCAAGGTAATTGGGATTCTCATCACCTTAAACATTTGTCTTTTCTTTATGCTAGAAACATTCTAATTATTCTCTTCTAGTTACTTTGAAGTGTACAATAGATTTTTTTTTAACTATTGTCACCCTATTGATCTACTGAACATGAGGTCTTGTTTCTTTTATCTAACTGTATATTTGTACCCATCAATCAACCCCTCTTTATCCTTTGCTCTCCCTAACCTTCCTGGTCCCTGGTGACCACCAACCCACTCTCTATCTTCATGAGACCCACTTTTTAAGCTTCCACATATGAGTGAGGACATGCGATATTTGTCCTTCTGTGCTTGGCTTATTGCACTTATCATGATGTCCTCCAGGCTCATCCATGTGGCCATGAATGACAGAATTCCATTCTTTTTTACGGATGAATAATATTCCATTGTTCACTCATTTCTTTATCCATTCAGTTATTGATGGACACTGAGCATCAGTCAAGCTCAGTGACCACATGTTGGCTGTTGTGAATACTGCAGCAATAAACATGGGGGTGCAGATATCACTTTGATAAACTGATTTTCCTTCTTTTGAGTATAGACCCAGCAGTAGGGTTGCTGGATCATATGGTAGCTCCATGCACTCCAACTTTGGGGATAATGCGGAATGGTCCCCTCACATAGGAGCTGGGTCTCATGGACCTCAAGAGTCCCCTTGACACGGAGGTGGGTCCCCTCACATAGGAGCTGGGTCTCATGGACCTCAAGATTCCCCTTGACATGGAGGTGGGTCACCCTGAGGCTCATTCTCCAGGTGACTGTGTAATCCAGGTGTATTAGCTGGTGAGGGGGACAATCCACAGCCCATCCTCACCAGGTGTCACTTCACTGAAGACTGAGCCGAGAGGGCACTCGAGACAGCTTGCTGGCTGGGTGGGGAGGATTTCAGGCTTGAATCTGTTTTCCTTTCATTCATCTGCCTCTTACGGTTCCAGTTCTTAGTTGGTGGGGGGGGGCAGTCATTTATGAAATGAAATCATAAACTGGGACTGTTTTGAGGATGAAGAGGGTGGGCACAGACCATGTCAATGTCACCCATGCAGCTTTAAGGGAACGTGCTGGCTAGTAAGTGATAGCACATGATACAAGGACAGCCTTGGGCTGGTCCAGTGCATCCCTGATGCCTCGTGGGGTGCAGGCGCCATGCGGGGTGCAGTCCTGCAGGTGTCACAGTCTGACCTGGGCACCGCAGAGTCTAGCGGGTTGGGAGACAGGACACTGGCAGCAGCCTGTGGAGGGTGTGATGTGATGGACAGTGCTGTCCGTGGGATGGGTGGGCACAGGAAGTAGGCGCGGGGCTCAGGACAGCTCTTGGGGCACTATCTGGGAATGTCAATGAAGAAGGGCGGAAGATCCTTCAGGCCAGGGAGAGAGTGTATTAAGAGTGGAGGTGGCAGGGACCCTCCAGGCAGGTGGAGGATTTTCACCATGACTAGAGCAGCAAAAGGGAACAGGAGCAGTGGGAGATAAGGCTGGGCCCAGCTCGGGCCAGGCCATGGAGACTTGGGGCTTAGCTCTACTTGGGAGGGAATAGAACTTTCTGCAGGGAGTTGTGCATTCTAGCAAGACTGCGCTGGTAGCAATGGCCTGGATGATACAAGATGAGGGATGCAGAGGCCATTAAGAATGGGCTGGGAGAGGAAGGGACAGCCAGAGAGGCAGATTGGAGGACTCTGGTGCTGAGTGCGGAGCATGAAGGTGGGAAGAGGGGTGTCCAGGCCTCCATGGAGCTGGTGTCCCCTGTAGTACATCAGAAGTATCTTAGACATGTGCTGCTTTTCTGACCATCTTATTTTTGAATTGCAAATATGAAAATAAATAAGCTTTAAAAAAAGCCCTAAAGTTGATTGTACTTGTTTTTGAAGAGAAACGTTGGAAATTAACTCACAGTTTCTGAGGTCTCCAAGTTGCCTTCCAATTCCTGTTGAAAACTTGGACAGGGGACTTGTAACATCCTTGTCGACTGTCCTTATTAACTCCACATTTTATTTCAATTGTGCTTAGCACCTGCCTCCAATTACTCGGCTCTGGCAGAGAGCAGAGCTCTGATTAAACGCTGGGCTCTGTGTTAGTACAGCATTACCCAGGCACAGGCCATCATCCATCTTCATCAAGCCTGCGGCCTCAGTGGCCTGACAGCCATTCCAGGAAGGACCAAGGATGGTTAGCACCCAGAGGCTGCATCACCCAAGATAGGCTCTGTGGTGCCCAGAGAATGATTTGTATTCATTACTGTTCTCTCCAATCATTGTCCAGGCTTTTCATGGGCTGCTGGTGAGCTGGCACAGACAGCCTGGCCAGGATGTAAAAGGGAGGGCATGGGGCATGGGGAGGTTAATGACAGGGAGGATGCAGATGACAATGACTACCAGATAAGGTGGGGGCATCGGGGTTGCCACAGCTGTGGACGAGCCCCGTCACTGCCGGAGCACCTGCCCTGGTGGGGCAGCACCCACCACAGGACTGATCCTCCCTGTGTGTGCCGCACAATGAGGTCATGAGGCCAGCATTCTCAGGTTCTTTTTCCATTTTATAGATGAGGAAATGGGGATTGCCTCATGACCGCTCACCCAGAACAAGGAATCTGTGTTCCCAAAGCCCACCACAGAGCATGTCTGCTCCCCTCCAGCCCCCATCCAATGCTTGAGAAAATGACTTTCCCACCCTCACTGCTCCCGGCCAGGAGATGCTCCTGCCCAGTGGGGCCAGGTGACTGTGGTCAGGAGCGGTCACCTCCACCACTTCCCTGGCACATAGGCAACTTGATTCAAGCAGGGCTGATGACTGGAGGTGTTAAATGCAGGTAAGTGTGTGTGTAAAGCCGAATGTTTAGCCCTGGAACACAGGAGGAAATAAGTGGGGAGCCCCCTGATTCCTGGGGTCGGCGAGAGCTGGGTTGGAGGGGCAGCTCAGCTTCAGTGTTCTGCTGTCTTGATCTTGGGCAAGTCTCTCATGGGTGAAAGACTGCCTCAGGGAGGCACACCCCTGAGATGGAGCTGCAGGGTCACCTTTACTACCAGGGGAACTAAGGTCTGGAATCTCCCTATTAGCACATTCAGCCATAATGGGAGACAGGTGGCCCTGGGCACAGAGTGTGGGGCACTCAGCCACACGCAGTTGCAGCAGGGCGGATGCCTGCAGAATGCTCTTCTCCTTCCTTCTCCCAACACTCCCACTGGAAGAGCCACTTACCTTCTGAGGGGACACACACCTGGTGAACACAGCTGACAGCCAAGGGACAGACACCTGGCCATGAACAGCAAAATCAGGGTCCCAGATTGGGAAGTCTGACCTTCCCCCTGAGTGTCCAGCCCATGTGTGCAGCCAGCCCATGTCTGGAGAGTGCAACTTGGGACAAGGGGAAGGAGGTCAAGTCTATGCCATCCTGCCCTGTCCTGCCCACTTGTCCTTAGGCTCGGAGAGCAAAGCTTTAGGCATTGAAAAGAAATCTCTGGGACCCCAAGGTCCCAGGTGTGGGGCCTGGCAGGTGTGCTGGGAGCCGGCTCTCTGCCCCCTTCCTCAACTAGGCCTTGGGCATTGTCCCCCCAAGGACCTCCTGTGACTGGAGGCTCCTGTGCCCTCCCATCCTGGGGCCCGACGGGTCAGGATGCCCAATGCAGGCTAACTGCACTCTCCAAGCCTACCCTCTCCCTTTCTCACTGCTCCACACACAGTGAAATGCTCCACTTTCATTTCTGGAGCCCACTTGGTCCTCTGCAGATTTGAAGGTGTTTCCCAGGAAGGCAGGTAGTTCAAGAGGCTGACTTGGGAAAATTCATCAGAGAAGCCCTGGCTGGGGAGGAGAGTGAGGGGCAGGTGTCAGGACACTCACACCTGGCATCTGGGAGGTGGCCCATTTCTGAGGGTCTAGAAAGAGCAGTGCTGCTCCTTGAGAGGGGTGTGGCTAGCGAGAGCAGCCTGTGCTTGTTAGGGTCAGAGGAGATGCGCTTGAATCCCAGCTCTGCCTTTTCCCATCTGTTATCACTTTGGACAAGGCACCTAAATTGCTCCAACCCTGTTTCTGCACAGGTGTGGGCTGACTTTAGTAGAAAATGAATTTATTGAACAGATGGGGTGGTTGACAGAGAATCCTGGAGCACAGGCTTGGAGAACAGGAAGGTATCAAGGCAAGCTTGACCACCGAGGTCAACCTGGAGGTGGGGGTGGGTGGTGGCGAGGTGTGGGCCACACCCCACCACCCCACTGTGAGGCCTGGCAGAGCTTACTGCTGGGTGGCAGAGTTCAGGTAACAAGTAGGTGGGTGCAGCAGCAGAAAGATGGCTGAGTCTGGACTGCCCTGCTCCGTGTCTGTAGCAGCAGCTAGGTCCTGAATCCTGCAGGACTCATCCATGCTGGGGCCAGTTCTTCAAGCACTAAGGGCGTTCAGAGGCTTGACAGCCAATAGAGAGAACAAGAGGCACTCTAATGCCCAGCGCGTCTGCTTTCTGGGGGATCCTACAGACTAAAGATGAGGTCTGTTGGGTTCCTGACTCCCGGAGGGCCATCACTGAGTAACCAGAGGTTCTGTCTCTGACAGCTTCTCTATAGCCACAAATCAACTCCCTCATCCTGCGTCTCCACTGCCCAGTGAAGAGGCACCTGCCAGTCCCAAAAAGGACCTCGTGCGGCATCCAGGGTCACCTTACCCACCTGGCTCAGGCTCCAAATGCACACACAATGCCTGGATCAAAGGGAGGAGGAAGAGGCTCACTGGTGGATACACTTTTATGTCACAAACCTAAGGAGAAGAGGAAAGAGCTGTTTGAATGAGTAATTTTGGATCTTGGAGGATAATATGGAGAGGGTCATTTGTCTTTGGATTTTAACCGGGACTTCCATGGAGAAAAGTTGGGGGCTGTTACTAGACATCCTGCAGGTTTGGGAGGTGTAAAAGCTCTAGCCCTGCTCCAGCAACAGGATCAAGGCAACATTTCACCCTCGGCTTATTCTGCCAAAGATGCAACAAGACAAATGCCAAAAAGACAGTCTTTAGAGTTAGTACATGTGGCTTTGAGGCCCACCTCCCTTCCCTAACAGCTGGGTTCTATTTAACTTTGCCAAGCCTTGGTGGCTTTCCTTCAAATGAAAATCAACGTCTATTGCCCAGGGACATTATGAGGCTAAACTAAAATAGTTTTTCTATACCTCCTAGAATAGGAGACAGTAAATTTTCTCTATAAAGAGTCAGAGAGTAAATATTTTAGGCTTTCAGGCCGTAGGGTCTCTGATGCAACCACTCAACTCTGCCATCATAGCCTGAAAGCAGCCATAGGCAGTGCATAAACAGATCAACCTGGCTGCATTCCAATAAAACTTCATTGATAAAAATAGATAGCAGGCTGGATTTCGCCTGCAGGCCTTGGTTTGAGAAGCCTCCCCTGGAAAATAGTAGATACTCCTCTGCCAGAGAAGGCTGGATTGAGTAATAAAGAAATTGAGGATTATGCTCAGCAAAAGGGGGCATGGAGAATGGCTGAAGGAAGGAGGAGGGGCTCAGAAGGTGTCCCCAGAAAATTACTGGTTTGCACCTTACAGCATCTGCTTCCCACACTCCCTGACAGACATGGCAGTCCCCCCTCGAATACCCCCGCACCCAGACCGAAGCGTGTCCCGGACCCCTAGAGTGGGCTGGCCACATGGGTGCATTGAGTGGGAGGTGCTGCCCAGTCTTGAGGCTGGATGATCTTTCCAAACTGGATGACGTGTGCCATCACTGAGGGGTCCTGACCGCAGGAGAGTGGGCAAGGCTACTGCAGCACTGCTAGTCCTGGCAGGGATCACACTTGCTTGGGTGGTGATGTGCTCCTGTGACCCCTTCCCTGGCCGGTGGAAGCTTTGGAGCCAGTCCTCTAGTACAGGATCACCCTCTGTGCAGGAATCATGGCAAGCACTCTCATCAGGACCTAAGTCACCAGATATTGACCCTAGTGGTCGTACATTTGCCGCCTTTACTTTAGATTCAGCAGTGGAGTCTGGTCCATCTGCCTGGGGCTGGGAACTGGGGTGAGTGTGGAG
The DNA here is from genome assembly GCF_000001405.40 of Homo sapiens. Taxonomy (NCBI): domain Eukaryota; kingdom Metazoa; phylum Chordata; class Mammalia; order Primates; family Hominidae; genus Homo; species Homo sapiens. The sequence continues at coordinate 47,038,561 of NC_000010.11, forward strand.
GGGGAGAGAGCATTCAAATGGTACCTAGGGATGTTATCTCATCCCATGTGCAAGGGTTTGAGCTCCCATCACTCACTTAGATCACCCCAGTCCCCGACCTCGCATGTGGGGGAGCCAAACCCTTCAAGAAGCTCACAGCCTCCTGGTAAACAGAGAACAACAGCAGAAGCTATTCAAGGTTACATTTTGGTTTTTCCCTGCCTGTCTATTTTCCATTGTTCAAGATTATTCTTGAATTTTAATCTGTTTTGATGATGGAGATGTAGACATTCAGAACTGTCCTAAACTTCCTCCTGGGTCATAAATGTGTTGCCATTAACATGAGACTGTCCCCCCACAGATCCCCTCCCTCAGGCTCTGGATGGCTGCTGGGGGAGTGCCCCTAGCCTGCCGCCAGGCCCCACAGCCACACCCTTTGTGACGGGTGCTGGGCCCTGATAGGAGCATCCCCCAATCTGTACTTGGTGAAGCAAGACCTGTCACTGTCACCTTTTATCATACTCTCACGGGCTGCTGGCTTTCTCAGCCTTCTTCCTGGTCTGTGCTTGTCAATGTCCCATTAGCAGAAGGACAGACAGTGGGAGAAATCTGTGTCCTCTCCCTTGTGTATGACCCCGTAGTCTTTAATTAGCTCATGACACCAGTGGTCTATAATTTCCGCCCAAGACCTGCTTTGATTTTTGCAACACAAACATTGCGCGAGGACCACTGATAAGGTTCAGGCGGGACAGAGCAAAGAACCCAGCACTTCTCAAGCAGATGGCCAAGGGATTGCATGGCCCATATCGCTAATCCCTTAATGAGGGCCTGGGGGCTGCTGAGGGCAGGGGCCAGGGGGAGCGAGGGCTGGAAAAGCATAGCCCAGGCTACGCAGATGCCCCAGGAATGTCTTACACTAACAAACCAGCCTGCAGGGCAGCCCCTCTGGCCTCATCGTCATGCTCATGGAAACTTGTGCTAATTATGGACAGAGCAATGTGGCTCTGCAAAGGAAGCTCCTTTGAAATCTCATGGCCTCTGATGATAATGCTTCAGAGCTGTGACATTAACACAAACAGGCCTTGGTAGGTGGGCAGGGTGAGAATGTGCTGGCCCCGCAAGGCCTACCCAGCCACGCCTCGTGGAATGATGCTGCAGGGGGGACGGCTCTGCCATGCACCACAGCTGCTGCTGATATGTCTGTTCACAGCAGTGACCATTTTCTCCCCACTTGCTTTAGCTTGAGGTTTGGATTTCACCATCTCATCAATTCTTAAGACAGCTTTGCAAGGCACCTGTCACTGTTGCCAAGTTACAGATGAGGAAGCCTTGCTGAAGGTCACCCAGCTGAGAAGGAGCAGGAGTGGGATTTGATCCGAAGACTGGTTCTGAAAACCCACGTAATAACCACTACAATGGTGCAGCCACCTTAAGTCCCAAACTAGGCTTGCCGTAGCAGATGGACCAGGCTTGAGGACCACCCCGTGTCCTCATCATTCCTGACTGCTCTGCTGCTCCCCCATCCAATCTCACTGTCCACAAGGCAGCGCCGTAGACAAAACCCCATCCCGAGTGGCAGGTGTGTTGCTCCGCAAGCCCAAAGCCTGGCAGCCCAGCCCACAGGTTCCAGCCTCCATGGCAGGGCCTGTGCTCTGGTGCTGGCATGGTCAAGCTGCCCACCAGGCTGTGACATGAATCTGACCTGGGCCATGTGAATCTGTTCCATACCCATTCCTGGAGCTGGTCCATCCCCTGAGTCCTGCCCCACAGCCACAGCAGGGCACCTGCCTGCCTCCACGCATGGGATTGGAAGAAGTGTGGCCTGTCCCTCTGCACACTCGCCCTCCCTCATGCCCTCGTTGTGGGTGGATGCTGATCAGACCCAAGCCTGCTTAGCTTGCTCGGACTCTGGACAGGGGCAGTGACTGCTCTCCGCTGAGGCTGCAAGCTGGTGAGACCTTGAGCCACCCCTTCCATTTGATGCCCCCTGGAGCTCTCTGAATGCCCTCACCTGGGCTAGGGTAGAAGGAGAGAAGCCTGCATGCAAAGCAGAGGGGATTGTTTTAAAAGGGGGAAGGGTGGAACAGCCTGGGACTCAGTTATCTTGGCTTTTATGTTATTTGCATTAAACTTTAGACATCTGTGTGTTCCTTGAGCATCTTTCTTCTTGTTCTACATGGTAAGCGCTGTGAGGACAGAGACTTTGCTCACTGTTGTATCACCAAGTCCTAGAGCATTGCCCCTGGCCTGTGCCCACTAGATGCTCATGCGGAGGTGTGGAGTAAAGGGAGGGAGAAAGGGAAGGAGGGAAGGGCTGTCTTCAGAGGCAGAACCTGCATGCTGTCACTTAGGATGTGCCGTAAGGACCCACACACCTGGACCTAAATTCTGGCTTGGGGAAGCAAGCACCCACTGTCGGGGGTTCACCTGGAATGTGGGGCAGGGGAAGTGAACAAACAACTCTGAGAGGTAGGTGCTGTAATTCCCAATTTGCAGAGCAAGATACTAAAGATGTCAGGATGTTTCAAGTTTCTGCAAGATTATAGTCCCCCCAGATAAACAGGTGCAGACTTCACATGCATGGGAATTATTTTGTGCCAACCTTACTACATTTTACATTTTATTTGGATTTTATTAATAAGTTAACTCATTTCCTGTTAACAAAAAAATTGAAAGTACATTTTAAAAACCTAAGCTCACTTGCTGAATCACCACTTACATTGAGTTTACTGGTACCCAGATGACGCTTGACTCTTTAAGTTCTTTAAGTTCTTTTTATTCATGTTTACCACTGAACTTGACATAGATTATAGGACTGTGTTTATTTTTTAAAAAATTTCCAACAGCAGGTTATTTGCTAAAAAAAATTTTCTACTTATCAAGATATTTTGGTTTGTCCCAGTAAAGTGGACATCATATCCCCAGCACCAGCTTCCTTATAAAGGAATGTTGGAAAAAGTTCTTTTTCTTCTTCTTCTTCCTTTTTTTTTTTTTTTCCATTGGAACAACATCTGGATCTGAGGTCCTTTACCAAGAAGAGATTCCTCTGTGTTAGTCAAATCCAAAAGTCTTCTGAGTACTGGCTGATGAAATTTCAAAAGGGATTCTCAACAGCCTTTGCATCATCAAAATGGATTTTTATGTTGAAAAACATCTTCAGTCTTGGCACTGTGTATATGACACCTTGATTTAAGGTAACTGTGGATAAAGTTGTCAAAAATATACCTTCCTCTAATAACGTGGTAAGATTTTAGGAACTGAGGCTGACAATAAAAAATAAATAAAAACTGAGACTGGGCAAGGACACTTCTGTGCTCACCACAGAATAGCACTGAGGCCTGGGGAATGGCAGACAGGCTGTTGGAGGCAGTGGCAAGCAGACTTCGAACATAGGGATCGTCCAGGGACCTTGCTGCTGTCTCCAGCAGAGGGGTTGAAACTGGCCCAGTGGTCCAGGACACAGGCCAGGAGAGTGTGTATGTCAAGGTGTTAGAAAATTACTTCTCAGGGAGAAACCCTGACCTTGTCAATCCAGAGGTATCTGGAGCTCAGAGAGGTTGGAACACCTGCTCAAGATCACACAGCTTCCAAGTGCGAAAGTGGGATTCAACCTCAGTTCTAATCCTTGAGTTTCTAGTACAGACTGTCTTCTCTTCAATGAGGCTTCTACGGCGGCCTCTGACCTCCATGCTGTGCTGAGAAGGGGAGAGAACTGTGGGCAGAAGGACAAAGGGTCAGGAAAATGACTCCAGCAGATGCTCCAAAGGCCATGCTCTCTGCACCCGACATTGCTTCCTGGTAGTTTACCCTTACTCGAGGGTATGGGGTGTGCTGCTTTCCCAGGCCCCAGAGGCTTCCGACACAGACAGTGGGGACCCTGAGCTGAAATGCCATGTGGTTCAGTGCATCCAAGATGACAAATTTCTCTCACTGTAATGCATGTGTGTTGGGGGGTTGCAGATTCAGTGTCAGGAGGGCTGGGTCTACATTCATTTCACAAACATTTATGAAGATCTCATTATGTGCCACCCACTGTTTTCGGCTCTGGGAACATTGCAACTGCAAAAATCCCAGACCTTAGATAATGTTACCATTTTAGATTCTATGGCCCAGGGGTTAACTATGCAGATTCAGGAAGCCTGGATGGAGTCCTTGCTCTGCCATGCGCCAGCTGGTTGCTTTGGACAAGTCACTTAGCCTCTCTGGGCCTATGTTTCTCTACCTGTAAAATGGGAAGGTGCTGAATGAACCAAAATGAATGAGCACTGTGCATGGGAGGCACTCAGGGCAGAGCTCAAGACTGGGAGCCCGGTGAAAGCAAGGTGCTGCCATGGAAGGGCTGACGGTCTCCAAAAATGGGTGGAGCCCACACTACGTCTGTGATGATCAGGCTGCAGAGCAGGGAGAGAAGGGAAGGGAAATGGGGAGCGGGTGTTGGGGAGTCAGGGAAGGCCTCAGCAGAGGGAGACTGCTGTCGGGACCAGAGCGTTCTTCCACCCAGGGTGCCACACGCAGGTTCCTTGAACCTCTGCCCAATGTGATCTGGATGGTAAAGATGAGTGGGACTTTTTCTTTCTTCTTTTTGGCCAAACAAATAAATAAATAAATGAATAAAAGAAGCTGCATCCCACCGTCGACTCACGCCCCTCTGTGGAAATCCCCTCCTTGCAGGTGATCACTTGAGGCTCACCTGAGCTGCCATCTCCTCTGGGGGCTCTCTCTGCCTTTGTTCCCTGAGGCTCCCGGCTGACAGGATGGCCAGTGCCATAGTCACTCTCTCCAGATGGGGTGCCCTTAGGGCAGGCAGACGCTCCTTGCTTCATGCTCCAGTGCATTGGGCGGGGCCTCTGTGCAGGCTCCTGGTGATTTCCCCCATAGTTGCCCAGCCTGCAGTGCTTCCCATGGGGGAGGCATTCCAATGTGGGCAGGCACAGATCCCCCATGCCCTCTTCCCTGGGACACCTGCAGCAGGCCCCAGGCTGTCCTCAAGGCTCCACCACTGTGTGGGTGTGTCAGGGGGACCCAGACCCTAGGGCCATGAGCCTGCCTCTCCCCTTGTCCCTGATGAATATGCTCAGAAGTGCAGGACGGCGGCCCCGGGTAGAAGCTCCCTTGGGCTGAGTCAAGACCTGCCCTTCCTGCCATGTCATCAGCATGCATCGTCCCCTGTGGCCTCCATCCCGTGCAACTTTCAGGGCACCATGAGTGCCGCAGTGTCTCCTGCAAGCTGCTGCTGCTGGACTTTAGAGAATCCATGCTGCACTTTCCCTTCTAAATCAGGAGCCTGCGCTGTGGGCTGTTTGCTCCATCTCCACTCACCCTGCCCTGGGAATTCATGACAGGTGTCTCTGAGTGGTTCTCCAGAACTCATCATTGGCATCCCATGGACAAGAAGGAAAATAATTTGTTCCCTCTTCCCAAAAAAATGTGTGTAAACAACATAGGCCTTGTCTTTGATGCGAGCCAACTCTCTCCAATTTGATCTGTCTCTAAAGAAGTGAGACAGTGCAGGGTCCCCCTGGGTGGGAGTGATGCCTGACGGGAGCCTGGAAACTTAGCAGCGATGCCCTGGATCGCGGCTCTGGCGTTGGGCCCACCTGGCAGGGGAACGGGGAGAAGCTTTCCCATTGTCCTGATGCGATTCTCCCAGCTGAAACGAGGCTGGTGCACATGTGGGCCGACACTGATGGGATCCAGCTTGCCAGAGAGGTGCACTCCCCCATATGAGCTCTGGTCAGCAGGCACTTACCGGCATTCACTGAGTGCCCACTGTTGTGCCAGGCACTCACGGGGTTACTGGAGGAGGGCACTGGAGGCCTTCATGTTTCCAGGGCTAAGACGAGGGTGGGAGCCTGTGACCTCCATCCCTCCTGGGGCCCCTGATGCTGCCTGATGTGATCCTGAGTCGTGGAAATGAATCCAGATGTGCACACTCGCTCACCTGTGAGTGATGGCCATCCCTCTGATGGCCCCCAGGACCCTTCCCAAGTGAGGATCTTAGTCCCTAAGTTGGGTTCCCTGGCGCCTGACATCTGAAGATTAGGAGCCACCCCAATGACTGGAGGCATTTCTACTGCTGACCCAAGGTGTTTAGCATTAGGAAAGTGCCCTGCAGATGTCACTCCATGTTGTTTGAAAAGAATTGAGATATCACATGAAATATATTTCATAATCCAGAGGAAGTTGGGAGAGGTGTCCTGGGCTCCAGCCCCAGTGCCAGGGGTCTCCTGTGCTTTCTGTGAGGCAGGGTGAGCCTGGGATGGGGTGGGGGCCAGAGCCTTCCACAGGTTTCCCTGTGGGCCAACCTCACCTTTGCTGCCTGGGTCTGGCCATGGTGCTCCATGGGGTGTGGGCCCCAAGCTCACAGACTATGGCAAAGACAAGCCACAGAGAGGAGGCAGCCAGTGGTTCCAGGCAGCGATGGGCTCAGTGCCAGCCATTCCAGGCACCAGCATCCTGCATGTCTCAGCTCCCCTCTCCGCCAGACTATTCTCTGTCCACAGCACCAAACACCAAAGGAAATAAGCTCTGAGAGGCCCAAAGTGGCTCTGGGTGGCCCACCTGAGCATGGACTGGGCCAAGTCCAAGGCACAATCTGGGGCAAGTTGGAGGTCAAGGCCAGATCCCAAATCACAGAACTGAGTCCAATGTGGGAGCTGGGCTGTAAGAAGGAGAAATCAAAGGTTGAGGACAGGGTCAGCGCAGGGAGGCCTCAGAGTGAGGAGGAGACTGGTGATTCGCCTCACTGTCATTGGTCAGCTGGTATGGGCTATGTGGGCAGGTGGATTGGGCTCTGAGGTTCTGGAAACCAGTCATGCCCCATGCAGATGCATGTATACAGACCCGAGCCTCCAGGCCTGATGGGAGGGACCCCTCCAGGGGGACCTTTACAGGCAACACCGAGCTCTCAACACCTGCATCTTAAGGCTCCGAGGACATGGCAGGTGTGGCCCGTGAGTGGCAGGGCCTCCACGTGACCACAGCTTGGGAGGTGTGAGGGGCTGGCTATAGAAGGCCAGGCAATAGTGCAAGAGGTAGGGAGGCCCCAGGGTCAGGGCAGGGGCTCCCTCCAAAGGGCCTAGGGCACGGGACAAGAGGCCAGGCTGCTGGCAAGCTCTCTGTCCTCCCCGCAAAGTCTCATAGAGGAAATCTGTGTATTGAACATGGCCCTGCCACCCTTGGCCAAGCACCTACTAAGGTGCGTTGGCCCTGTGAGGGGCTGGGTGTGAGGAGGTGGAGAGCCTGGGCTTATAGCAGAGCCTGTCAGAAGTCCAGAGAGGGCCAGAAGTCCTGGGTGGCCCAGTAGGATGGGTGAGGAAGGTTCTTGGGGAGTGGAGATACCGGTAGCAGACAAGTGCACCATTCCTGGGACTCAGAGAGGGACCAGCACTGCTCAGAGTCATGGTAAGGAAACATGGGTGGTAGCACTGGGCCCTTGAGGCCGAGGGGAGGCTGACATCCAGCTGGGCAGAGACCACACCACTGGGCCCAACATAGTCAGAACCCAGGAAGCTTAAATTTGGGGACAAACAGACCCTAGGTGGAGGCAATACCCAAGAATATGTTAAAAGGGAACTCCACTCACTGGTGTGAGGCACTGCTCCTGGGCCTGAGTGTGCATTTTCCCTCGAATCTCCACGTGGGCCCTTCAAGCTTGATAGCCAGGAGGGCATGAGGAACCCACGGTCCTGACACTTGCCTGGAGTCACACAGCTGCTTTGAAGCATCCAGTGATGTGAGTGTAGCTCACTGGGTCCCCAAACCCATGCAGGCCATGACCAGTTTTGGGTGGTGGAAAGAGGTGGTCAGAGGACCCAGAGGGCCCAGAAGTCCTTACAGGAAGGGCTGTTGCCAGCTGGGAGCCCGGGCTAGGCCTGTGCATCCTCTCCCCACCTCCCCATTTCCTCCCTTCCCCTGTGCCCTGGGCCAAGACACAGTGCCAAGCGAGGGGACTGCGGTTGCTGTGGAGGCAGGAAAGCCCAGGGCCCGGCTGGAAGGTCATGTGGGAAACTTCTGCTTGAGGGGAGCTGCTCAAACGGGTCACTGGGCCCCTCGGGTACCAGACCTTGTTTTCCTGCGGCCTCCTCCAATGGATAAGGGGCACTGGGGTAGGGGCTTGGCTCCAGCAGCCAAGGCGTGAACAATGGTCTCGCTGGCTGCCCCGTCATGCCCCCTCCTCAGCCGCTGCCCTCCCGGAGGACCAAAGCTGCCATGTGAAAGCGATTTCTCTGAAAGGCTTCTCTGGGGAAACTGGGCGTCGGGGCCTATGCTCACCACACTCCCTGCATCCCTCCTTTCTGTACAGAACCCTGAGTGTGGGCGGGAGGGTGGATACCACAGAGGGTGTTGGGGCATGGGTGCTTCTGGGTGTGGGGGCTCAGATGAAGAGGTGAGTGGCCTGGTGGGTCCATGTGCAATGGGAATGGACGAGGGCCTCGGCGTGAGTCTTCCATAGGAACGAGGGGTCAGGGCTGTAGGGGGACTCTGTGAGGCTGAGTATGCCTGTGCAGGTGGGGGGCTGTGAAGATGTGTGGGAGGCTGCTGTGAAGGGTGCTTTCTGGGAATGGTGCTGTGCTGCTGCAGTTTGCTTAGAGGGCAGATTGAGTGGGAGTCAGGCAGGCAGGGCTGCGTCTGCAGGTTGGGTCTGATCACCCAAGCCTTTCCCTGGGCTCTTTCTCAAGGACAGGGAAGCCCTGGAGGTTGTGGAGCTGGTGGTGAGAATGCTCGAGCATTCTTGGCAAGAGTACTGGAGTGTGGGTGGTGTGCGGGATGGATGGGTGCAGGAGAGTGCAGAGATAGGCCACGTGGTTGGGCCCTGGGTATGTGTCCTGTTGGGGGCGTGAGGACCTGGTTGAGGAGGAAGGCACAAGGGGCAGTTCTGTGGGGGTGAGAGCCATGGGAGGTGGGGCAGGAGGACTATGGCAAATTGAACACAGAGAGTGGAGGTGGGGAGCATCCAGGTAAGGTGAGTCTGGGCCAGTGTGTGCACACTGCAGGTGCTTGTTAATTTGTTGATTGGCTATGTGATTGATTTGTTGGTGGTGCCAGTGGGCACAGGGGGTCCTCAAGAGAGGTGTCAGAGCACGTTTGTATGTTAGAGAATGAGAAATGGCCCATGCATGCACACCCCTATCCCTCTCCCACCCCGCCCAGCACTCCCCTGCCTGGCTTCTGGGGAGCTGCTGCAGAGGAAAGCCCTGTGAGCTAAGCCGCATCATCGTCATGGCCAGCAGGGGGCGCTGTGCCCTTGGGTGGCCCAAGCTCTCCCAACAGCTGGAAGATTGGAAGATACGTTTGTACATTTTTGAGTACGTGCCCTGCTCTGACATTGCTTAGATGGTCATCTCGCCCCCATCCTAGCTGACAACCCGTCTTCACTACATCACCTCCATGCTAACAATACCACGGGATGTCACCTGGGGGTAACCAGGGCTCCTGGACCCCTCAGCTCTGCTCAGCCCTGAGAAAGGCATGCAGAGTCCCCGACGAGAAGACACCCGGAGCTGGGCATGAAACTAAAGCAAGAGGAAGGGAAGGTGGCCCAGTCCCCAACCTGGGACCTGTGGCCACATGGGAAAAGCAAAGTGCAACACAGAGGGTGGGGGCTTCCATTTGGGGGTTCTTTCAGAGCTCAGGGTGGGACCCCAGCAGAGGCTTCAGGCTCTGTCCTCACAGCCTCTGCAGCCCCAGGGCCTCCCACCAGGGTGTGGTTTGCTTGAGAGTGGGTAACAGCAGCACAGGGTGGCATCAGAGGCAAGGACCAGGGGCCCCAGGGACAGCTGCTGGGACCCTCAGGTTAAGGCAGTGGCCCCAGGAGAGCTGCCTTACCTCAGCTCAGCGTTGCCCCTCACTGCAGAGTGGACTCACTGATAGTGAATGAGATCAAGGCCAAGGTGGGTGCTGGTGTGGCCTAGGGAGGCATTCAGCCCAGCCTGGGGAGCTGGGGTTGCCAGGCACAGCCCCCAATACGAGGTATGTCTGAACTGGGTTCTGAAGGATGAGAAGGAGTTGCCTGGGCCAAGAAGGCAGTAGTTGGGGGAGTGTTCTTTTGTCCACAGAGTCCATTTGAGTCAAGGAATGGCATTGGCAGGCCGCCTGCAACACCGAGAGGAAGAGGCCAGCACTGGGTTGGGCACCCCTGCAACACAGACAGGAAGCGTGGGCTGGGTGATGGAGGCCTGCAGGTCCTCTCAAGAGCAGAGGCAGGGCAGCCCCTGAGGAGGGCGCTGGAGCCTGGGCCCACACATGTTGGAGCCATGGGAGGGAGTGTCGGTCCAGGGCCAGAGGCTGAAGGCACTGCAGGGGGGTTACTGCAGCTGGCCGGGTTTCTAGGTTTAATGTTGAGACCGACCAAATTTGAATCTTGGTTCAAATCTTGGGCCCTTCCGGGGACAAATAGCTCAACTTACCTGGAGCTCAGGATTTCATCTGTGAAGTGGAAATAGGGGCTGTGTGAAGTGGGGTGATAGCCTGCCAGGGTGATTCATAGGGTGAGTTGAGATGACATTTGTAAGCCCTTGTCAAGGTGCCTCATGCATAATAGGTTCAACAAATATTAATTCCCCTTTCTCCTCTCCTTCTCCTTCTCCTTCTCCTTCGCCTTCTCCTTCTTCAAGGATTTCTGCACATGGGTGAAGCTGGGAGGGAATTTATCTAATTGTCTAATTTTGTCCTTTTTTATCTAGCATGAGATAGTGTTCCCATTTTACAGATGAAGAAACTGAGGCCAGCCAAACTAAGTCATTTTCCCAGGCCACACAGCTAATGAGTAGCAAACTTACTAGCTGCCTTTCATGTCTGGGGAATGGGCAGCCCCATGCTAGGGCTTCCTTAAAGGCCATGGGACTTGGTCCCTGGAAGGGTGTGCCAACTGGGTTGCCTGAGTGGAGCAGAAAGTAATTGTGTTTAAACATGAGCTTTGGTAACAGCAAACAAGGGCCATGAAACACCAGCAAGTCTTTCTCCTCCACAGCCTGGTGGTCCTGGGTTTCCTGGGGCTCGGACCTCTGCTTTGTGACCAGCTGGGCAGGTGACAGACATGAAGAATGACCAGATGTCTACACCGGCTGACCAGCCTGGAGGCTGTACTGCAGGTGGGCTCCTGCCTCAGGGTCATCTGAACACTGGGACAGCTCCGGGGAAGGCAGAGCCCCATGACCAGGATGAAGGCGAGGGAGGAGCATGGGCCCTGGAAGCAGAGGCCCCCCTGCCAGCCCTGAAGGTGGCTGGGGCCCAGGGGTGGGTGTTAGGGGACACCAAACAGAGGTCATGAATGTGCTGTGCTGGCCAGATCCGTCCTGCTGATGTGTTTTATTTGGCTTGCAGAGTGCTTCTCAAAAAACTTTGAATTATGTCTTAACATTTTCATATGAAAATCTAGATCTGCAGTTTCTCCTGAAAAGTTGGAGACTCTGGCCACAGATGTGAAAGGAGACGTGCGGCAGGAGAGCGGCTGCCCAATCTAGTTGGTGGCAGGTTCCTGCAGACCCCACCACTCTCCATAGTGCTCCCGGCACTGCCATTCCCTGCCTGGGCCCCTCGAGGCCCCTCTCTTCACAGACATGAGCCCTCAGCCCCTTGCCCATGACCCAAAATCTGGCTGTGATTTCCCACTCTGGCCAGTTTCCCTAGAGGGGGACATGAGGGACGTGACACACACTCAAGGTCATTAGTCTCAACAGTCTGGGACTGAGTGTGAGGACCAGGGAAAGAGGGCTCTTGCCATCCCCAGAGCCAGTGATTCAGAGGGTTTTGGTGGGGGGCCTGGCTGGAGCAGACACCATGGAACCTGAGGGGCTTTGGGAGGCCTTCTACTCTCATGCAAGAGCAAAAAGGCCAGGGCTGATTTGTCTAGCCACATGGTGACGTGGAGGAAAACTCCATCATCCCCAGGGAAATGCAAGGAAAGGGGGAGGAAGGAGAGAGAAAAAGAGAGGGAGAGGAGGGAAAGAGGGAGAGAGAGACAGAGACAGACAGAGACAGAGATATAGAGAAGGATAAACAGAGAGGGAGACAGAGACAGAGAGAGAAGAAGACACAGAGAAAGATACAGATAAAGACAGAAAAGAAGAGAGAGACAGAAATATTGGGAGCTTGACAGCCACAGAGCGAGAGACTGAGTGTCTATGATGGGCAGCCAGGTCCCTCCTATGGGGCCTGTGGATTCTCTCTTGACAGCTGGATGGCCACTCCCCTCTCCTCCTCCTCAGGCCTGCTGCTGGCTCCAAGGAAGCTGCTGAGATAGGGATAGGGAGAGAGTTCCATGCTAACAAAATGGTGCATACCAGGTGCTCAAGATAGCTATGTGGAGATAGATGCCTACTGCTCTGTCTCCCAACAGCGCAGATTTCTGTTTGCCAGAGGGAGATCACCTTCGCTGGCTTGGAAAGTGCCAGGAAAGGGCCAGTGTAGCCAGGTGGGCTTCTGCAGGTGGCCAGTGGTCAGTGGAGGGGCTGGCACCTTTCTCGGCAGCAGAACCACTTGAGAAGGCCCGGCCCCTCTCTGAGACCAGGCTTCGGCCCCAGCACCCGAAGCCAGCCCCAGTAGGACACAGACTGGGGCCTCAGGATCATCCACAGTAAAATCAAAACCAACTTTTTCCACGGTACCAGGCCAAGTGTGATAAATTTGGAAAGTAATATTTGCAAACCGTTTCCCGGCATCTCACAGCAGATTGGCTTGGTGCAGCTGGCATGGCGTGCCCAAGTGTGTGCGGCCGGGACTGAGGGGCTGCTGGGACTGGTGAAGGTAGGAACGTGGTCGGGAACACCAATTGCATTTCATTAGAGGCTGGTGATGGGGCACTTCCAAGTGGATGGTTTGGAAGCCCACGACAAGGCAATGTGGGGGGCCAAGCCAGACTACATTATTCACAATGTGGTTTTCTAGCTGCTTCCAAATTTGATTTTGCCAGTTGAGGCTGAGCGAGTTAATCCCCTGGACTTCATCTCTTGTGCCTCAATTTCCCAAGCTTCTCCAAGGTGTTGCCCTTTCCTCTCTGACCACTAAATCTGTGGGAATGAGCTCGAAGCCTGCACCCAGTGCTTCCTGTCTATGCAGCATCTGTATTGACCAAGTCACAAACTGGTCTAAATAATAAATAGGATCAAAGACTGACCCCTGGATGGGGTTGGCTCCACCGCATTTCTGTGGCTGTCAGTGGCCTTGGCAAGCTGATAGGCGCATCAAAACCTCTTTGGTATAAAAGTCCAGATGAGGGAGATCAGAGAGTGTGTGGGTGCAGAGCCTCTGGGGAGGACGGGTTTGCAGGCTACACTGTGTTCAGGTGCCCAGGTCAGTAGGGATCCTTCCCTGCAGGTGGCCTCTGAGATGCCTTTCACCCACCCTGCACTTGTGACATCTTGGCTTGTACCTGGGGACCTCTCTCTGCACCGTACACAGAAACAAATCTCTACCTTGATCTCCTCTGGCCCTCCATTTTCCCTGCGGCACATCCCTTCCTGAGATTGGGCCCCAGGGCTCCCCTGGCCAATGTAGACTCCCCTGTGCCACCAAGACCCACACCGAGTCCCCATGTGTAGGTGTCCTCTGCAGGCTGTGCTGGGTTGTGGCGCCAGCCTGTCTTTGTCTGTCACCCACCCTCTGAAACTCAGAGGTGATAGCCAAGTTCACAGGCTTGTCCCATGTGTATACAGTCTGCTGGATTCTGTGAAATCAGACATAAACCAGGCACAGAAAGGTACATAATTTTTTTGGTTATTTCTCTATTCCTCATCTCTGTTTAAAAAATTATGCCTGCAAAGCATGTTTAGTTTGTGTATTTACATAACTTAGCCTTGTGTCAGAAGAGACTCCAGGAGACCAGAATAGGTAGCTTGACTTCAGGATGAGAAATACTAACCCGCCCAAGCTAAGATGAAGGAAGGGCATCCGCGCTGGATCGGGTGAACTCCCTGTCCTCCCCATGGCCTTCACATGAGCCACCATGCCAGTCAACTTCCCTGCTCGTAGGAAGCTCATGTGCAGAATTGGAGAGCCCTCAGAGATTACTCAGAGTCATCTCCCCACTTGACAGAAGACAACAGCAAGGCCAGAAGAGGGAGGTAAGTTCATCTGCATGGGCTACTGTTCTTTCTCTGCTCTCTGGTTGCTTCCAAGGTCCAAGGGACTCCCTGGTCAGAAGATGGCATTTCCATGTGTCTCCTTCTTAAGTATCCCAGTCCACACACCTCACTGGCTCTTGCAGAAATGAGGACCAAGAAACTGCTTGCAATCACCCATCCACGGAGGAGGTGAGCACTACCCCCACATTAAAATGCAAGGGATCTTGCAAAGGGCCGCTCCATATTTATGAGCATTACTGAATCAAAGTGTCTGAGCAAAGGCTCTAGGGATCCCTGAGAAAAGAGGTGGGCAGGCCCATTTTTTAGCCTTCTGAAGCCATTTATTTTAAAGAAATACTGAGGGGTACTAAGACATTCCTTTGGGAGCAGTTGTGTCAGCCTCCTAATTTAGGTGTCTGATTGATTTCCTTCTACGACTGTTTCATTTTAAAAGTGCATTTTCTTCTGATAAACTCATCTGTGTTACACACACACACAAAATGCATAAAGAAGAAAACAACCATCCTCCGAATTGTACCACTCAGAGCATTTTAGTTAATATGTTGGTAAATTTCTTCAGGCTGTGGATACCTAGTGACAAGGGAGAGACATAACAGAAGGATTTTCTTTCTGTTAACACTGTTGGTATTGTGTCATGCAATGCTGTGGGAACCTTATTTTGCTTACATATTTGTCTGTTTTTCTGATCATTCCTATTCATAGATTCCTGTAAGGGGGATTGCCAGGCCAAAGAGTATGAATACTTTGAATATGTATTGCCAGTTTGTCCTCCAGAAACTCATGTTATTTGCTTTCCAGGAGTGTGAAAGTACACACCATCAGTCTTTAAAAAAGAACAGGATTGGAAATGACTCAAAAGTTAATCTGGGGACGAGATATCTAGTGACCAGATGCCAGTCCATTCCCCATTTGAATCAGGGGCGCCTGAGCCATGGGGAGGTGTTGGGGGATGGAGAGCTAGTGCCTGCCAGTGGGGCTGCACGCCTGCGGGTGGTTAGGTTGGCTCTTTGTCCCAGGGCCTAGAGGTGGCTTCTGGGCTAAGGTGACTGAGGCCGTGCAGAGTTTGTGTCTGCACCCATGCCTGGTCACCACCTCTGTCACAGTCCATCTAGTTTCTACGATTCCATATTAAATGTAGGGGACTTTGTAAAGAAAAAGGATAACAAAATTGTGAGTACAAAACTAGGTGTAAAAGTGAATACTTATTCAAAATGATACAAGAATTAAAATGAACTACACATTTTTTAAAAGCTGATAAATAATGTAAACATCACAAAACTCTGCAAAAACATATTATTTACTGGCTTCCAGACATACTGTGTAATATTTTCCTTCTTGTATTTTTGGCTAGGTACTTGCTGTTTCCCTCTTCATATGACAATGATTTTCTAGAGTCATAATAGAAAGGTAATTTCAGTCTTTCCTCTGGCAGTGCTGGTCAAACAGCATTTTCTGAAAAAATCGGTAGTTGAGAAAAATTTATTTCAACTTCATGATGAATTGATAATGTCATATAAATTATAATAAATTGTTGAAAAAATTAGGGAAGACTTGAACCATGTTTCTATCCCATCTGAGCTGTATGACTTTAGGGCATGTCAAATTTTCTGTATGGTGATTGACCTGAAATGCTCTCTGAATGACAAATACACTTCTAGACCCACATTTTAATGGTATTCATGTTTAGTGTCTTCTTTGTTTTTGTCAGTTTTGATTAATTCATCAATAAATTTAAAAGTTTCCCCAATGTCTTCATAGGACTCACTTCTCTTGATTAGATTACTAAATATTCCAAGAGCCTGATTATTATTTTTATTAGGCATTTATTTCTACTTCTTCATGGTAAAATATGAACATTTAAAAACATAATTTTATTAACAGTAAATTCTTTCTTTCTTTTTTCCTTTCCTTTTTTTTTTTTTTTTTTGAGACAGGGTCTTGCTCTGTCACCCTGGCTGGAGTGTAGTGGTGTGATCATAGCTCACTGTAGCCTCAACATTCTGAGCTCAAGTGATCTTCCCACCTCAGCCTCCCAAAGTGCTTAGATTAAAGGTGAGAGCCACCATGCCTGGCCCCATTAATCATTATCTAATTTTTTTCTCTGTTCCTTAATTAAAAATTTAAGGATGACAAAATCATATTTCTGTCCAAAGTGGAAGACCATAACTTCTCATTTGTTTTATTGCAACTTTTCAAAGCATCTTTCCAGATTATAGATTAAATAACATATTCTCAGCTGAACCTCTCTGGATCCCCCATATGCCTGGGGCCACTCCAGTGCCACCTGATGGGGGCAGAGTGCATTGTGTGGGACACAGGGGAGGTCCCAGTAGAATGAGAGGTTATCTTCTTACTTACATTGATTGCTAGAGCCACTCCTGGGGCTTTGGAAGGGGTTCCTACAAATGAGAGGCCTGTGCTGGAAGCATCATTAGCTTCAAGGTAAATCTACTTCTTATATCAGTTCTGAATTTCACCCCTGAATCTGCCCCACCTGCAGGCATCCTGGAGGTTCATCCCACCCCCGCTGCTTCTTGAGTGGTTCTGGGTGCAGGGTGAGCATCAATGAGTAGGAGGGCTGGCAGAGACCCCATCCTGGGACACATCATCAGACATCATTTTGCTGGAGGTGGAGCCAAAACCCTTTGCACGGTTGGGCTTTGGGGCCCAGCACTGACCCATAAACTCTGGCTGCCTTAGTTTCCTTTCCTTCCTGATTCCTGGAGGACAAGGCCCTTCAGCTCTGCTACTGTGTCCCCCTTTTGGTCCCTCAAAAGACTCGACAGTTCCCATCATCATGAGCAAAGTCTGTTTTGGGGAAAGGCTGTTTTGGGCCCTCCCTTCTCGCCCTGCCTTCCTGCTTACCTCAGCTCTTTGATTTCTGTGGCTTCTTTTATTCCTGTCCTACGGTAGCTGGATAATTGCAGAAGCAGCAGCCTGGCCAAGGGATCCAATCCCAGCTCCTCACTCTACCTGATGCACCCCTGGGCACAGGCATTCTCATCCTGGGCAACTGTGTGACCTTTGGTGACCTGCTTCAACATGGTGAGTCTGACAGGGTCCCACCACAATCCCTAATCCATGATCCGGAGGCTCCCAGCAGAACAGTTAACAGGGAAGAAGGAGGAGGGAGGGCGGAAAGAAACCAGGCACAGCACTTCCTCTTTGGCTGCGCTTGCTCTGTGGCCAGCCTATGTCCAGGGCCTTGTTCTGTTCCTCCAGCCCCTCTGGATCCTGGCTGTCCCCCAGATCCCAACAGAATTGTCAGGTAGGGCAGTGTGCACTGGGCACTGCACCAAGGTCTCCTGCAGCTCCAGCTCTGGCTCTGTTCTCACCAACGGCTGGGCAGGAAGAGTTGGAGGGGCTCTGTCTTCCTCATGCACCCACAATTGCAGTCTTAGGCACGTGGAGTGCTGTGAGATGCACAACAGTCCCCGTGGAAAAAACCTGAAAGGAGCACAAAACCAAGTGGCCTGGCCCCAAAGCACTGCAGCCTACCTTTATCCTTTAAATTAAATGGGTGCAAGAGTCATCAACCCAGGCATATCAACTCTCAGCTGCCTCTGTCAGGGGTGAGCTCCCTGGACCGGAACAAGGGGGCTTCCTGGCTGCCTCTCCCATGACCTCCCTCACTGTCAGGGAGTAAGATTGCCTTCCCCTTCCCTGAGAATGCTCCAAATAAGTCCCTGTGCCTCACCCAGTCACTAATCTCATTTCCTGTCCCTTGCTAGAATGACCAAGAGTGGGAATTCCTCTTCTTTGAGGCACCACCACCTCCTCCCTGGAGAGAGAGGCCTGTCAGGTGGAGTCTCTAGTGAGAGGACTTTCGGCCTTTCTACCCCAAAGCATTAGTCTAGGCACTGGCTTCAAAAGAGTACAGCTAGCCCAGGAGACGTGGGACTAGTGGCCACAGCTTAGCAGGCCAGTGTGGGCTCCTGACAAACCCACATCTAATGGCCAGGAAAGCCTAGGAAACCACAGCTGTGCACTGCTTCTAGATCTAGGAAGAAGGTGCTGTACTCATTCTCATTACAAACTCTTTAAAATAGGGTTGTTTTTGTCCTTAAGTCAAGTCAATATAATTCGAAATAGTGAGAAAACAAACCACAGACTGGGAGAAAAATTTGAAAAAAACACATCTTACAAAGGACTATCACCTAAAATATACAAGTAACTCTTAAACTCAATAAGAAAACGAACAACCTGATTTAAAAAATGGGCAAAAGACGTGAACGGACACCTCACCAAAGAAGATACAAGTTGGCAAATAAGTGTTTGAATAGATGCTCAATGTCATATGTCATTATGGAGTTGCAAATTAAAACAGGATCCAACTATATACCAGTACAATGAACACAATCCAAAGCCCGGGAAACACCAATGTTGGGAGGATGTGAAGCAACAATGCTCTCATTTGTTGGTGGGAATGAAACGTGGTACAGTTTCCTTTGGAAGACAGTTTGACATTTCTTTAAAAACTAAGCATACTCTTACCATAGGATCCAGCAGTCACACTCCTTGGCATTTTCCCCAAAGAGTTGAAAACTTATGTCCACACAACCAGCACCCCCAAAACTAATGTTTATTGCAGTTTTCTTCATAACTGCCAAAACTTGGAAGCATCAAATTGTCCTTCAGTAGGTGAATGGATAAACTGTGGCACATCCAGGCACATGGAATATGATTCAGTGCTAAAAAGCAATGAGCTGTCAAGACATGGAAAGACATGGGGGAAACTTAAATGCATATTGCTAAGTGAAAAAGGCCACTCTGAAAAGGCTACACACTGTATGATTCTAACTATATGACATTCTGGAAAAGGCAAAACTATGGAGACAATTAAAAGATCAGTGGTTGCCAGGGGTTGGGGGGACAGAGGGATGCATCGGCAGAGCACAGAGGTTTTTTAGGGCCATGAAGCTATTCTGTGTGATACTACGATGTGGATACCATTGAGAGAGTGCCGGGGATGGCAGGACTGTCAAACTCACCCAGAAAGGAGGGAATGAGACTTCGGGGTGGGGAGCTGCTGCCTTTCTATGGCCCTGTTCCACCCAAACTAGGACTGTGGACCGTGCTGTCACCACCATCAGTGGGGGGTGGGGATGGGAGGCAGGCAGTGTCACTCTGGTGGAGGTCTCCCCACGTGGCCTCAGAAAGCCTGAGAAGGGGCTCATCCTCCACCATGCCTCCAATGATAGGTGATGGCACACACTGGCCCTCTTCCCTCACTTGACACAATGGTGGATACATGACATTATTAACCCCCATAAAATGTGCAACACCAAGAGTAAACTCAAATTAATCATGGACTCTGGGTGATACTGGTGTGTCACTGTAGGCTCATCAATTGTAACAAATGCACCACTCTGGCGGGAGATGTTGATAATGGGGGAGGCGGTGCATGTGTGGGGCAGAGGGTATAAGGGAAATCTCTGTAGTTTTTGCTGTGAACCTACAGGTGCTCTAAAATTATAGTTGACTAAAAAAACCAATATATTCAGTATTTTGCAACTTATTTTAATAGCCTCTTCCATGGAATCTATTCCATTGATGTTTACTAATCCCTGCTTCATGCTAGACCTGCCCAAGGCCCTGAGGACACAGTTGAGAAACAGGCTGCCCTGATTTCTGTATTCAAGGCACCATAATCCCTCACGGAAGAAAGTCATTACACAAGTGTAAACAACACATTACAGTTCAAAACACAGTAAGGTTTTTTCAGTCTTCCTGTATTCCAGAGAGCGGGGGGTCTCAGGTCAATCTGGAGGGCGATGGGCTTCCCTGCAGAAGTGCCATCTAATGCCATCTGAGACTGAAGGTGGCCGCAGTTGGCTGAGCAAAGTGTGGGAATGAGAGGCCGTGCAGAGGGACACACGTGTGGGAGCCTTGATGGGAAAGAGCCGGTGCTTCTGAGAACAAAAAGGAGACTTCTGTGGCTGGAGTTCTGAAGAAGGGGCAGAAGCCAGCCCTGTAGTGCCTGGGCCCCCGTCAGCCATCCAGTTTCCCTCCAAATGCACTGGGAGGATTTGAAGGGCTTTAAACGACTGTGTGACATGATCAGATTTGTGTCTAAGAACTATTATATTGGGTAGTACACAGAATGGATTTGATGGGGCCAAGGTGGGAATGGAAGACTAGTTTAGGGGCTAGCACATAACCCGGGCAAAGAAACCATGTTGGCCTTTGCAGAGAGAGATGTGAACAGGGCCAGGAGTTCTCAGTTTGACCTACCCTGACTCAAAGCCTGATTGGACACGGGTGTTGAGAGAGGGGCCAGTGTCTAAGGACAGTACCATGTTCTGGAGGACCCTGGAGGAGCAGATCTGGAGAAGCAGATGTCAAGTGGATGTAGACCTGGGAGCTTCGGCAGCTGTCAGACGGCTGAGGGAGGTGTGCACAGGATTGGATGTGTGCACCTGGATCCCTGCACACAGCCTGGGCGGGAGACATAAATCTGAGCAGAGAGCCGGTAATTGGAGCCTTGTGGCCGATGAAGTCATCTAAGGGGAACGTGTGGGCTGAGGAGAGCAGGGAACAGGGCCATGATCGCTGCCACATCTGTGGACTTCGGGAGCTGGAGGCAAGACACCATTGGATTATCAGCAATGCGAGGCACAGCAAAATCTAGAGCCCAAGGCTTGCTTGATGCTCTGCAGCTGACAAAAGCTTCCCACCAAATGAGGTTCCCAGGGCTTCTCACCCAAGCCCTGAGAGACAAGTGTACTGCTACCGATGGGGACTTTGCAGTGTGGAGGAAAGAGCGCAGGGGTGGGAATGGCAGAGACTGAGGCTCACATGCACAGGGTGATAATTCCCGCCTGGAGAGTTATGGCACAAAATGACACGAGGGATTGACAAAGCTCCAGGCACCTCGTCTGACACATGGTAGGGTTGTTGAGGTTTTAAGGGACTCATAAATAACACCCCATTATTCCTCTTCTCCACTTACATCTAGCTGAGAAGTGAAATGCAGGAGATGGAGAACTGGAGAAGGAGCAGCAGCTTCCTCACGGCACTGCCGATGGAGCAGCAGGCCCACACTCACCTCCCTAACCCTGTGCCCACTCCCTGTCACTTTTCCGACAGCCCCGAGAGAATGCTGGAGCAGGCAAGACTGTCAAAGTGACCCAGAGAGGAGGGAATGAGACTCCGGAGTGGGGGGTTGCCTTTCTATGGTTCTGTCCTACCCAAACTAGGACTCTGGACTGTCCCATCGCCACCAGCAGTGGGGGGTGGGGATGGGAGGCAGGCAGTGTCACTCTGGTAGAGATCTCCCACATGGTTTCAGAAAGCCTGGGGAGAAGGGGCTCGCCTTCCACCACGCCTCCAACCATAGGCGATTGCACACACTGGCCCTGTTTCCTCGGTTGACACGTAAAACCAAGACCAACAAGTAGAGGAGCGAGTATGTGCTCACAGGGCTTCTCACTCCAGTCTGGCCAGTGCCTGATGGCAGGGCTTGGTGCCTGCAGCTTGTCCTTGAGGACCCCTCCTCCCTGGCCTTAGCTGAGTTTTGGGTGGGTCCCAAAGGTAGCCCTGAGCTGGGGTGGTGGGAATGGTGGCTGTGTCTCGGGGCTTTGCTTCTTAACCCTGGGAGCTCTTCCTTCCGACCTCTGCTGTGGGGCCATGCCTTGCCGCCTCCCCATTCTCTCCTTTAGGTACTGGCTTCAGACTCATGAGGGGACGACTCTTTCTTCCCCATTGGTTATGTCTGTCACATGTGAGCTCTGCAGTCTGAGACCAGCTCCCTTCAATGTGGCGTTTGGAGCACTGGGACACGGCCACAGTGTGGGTGGGGTATACTAACTTGGGTATCGCCTGGTGGCTGAGCTCAGAGAGACAAGAAAAATGAAACCCAGCCCCAGCTCAGAGATCACCCACTTCTGCCCAGGGCTCAGTGCGGCTCAGTCAGCCTGCTGGATATGGTAACACCGGAGGTTGTGGGATGTGCCTGTCTCTAAAGTCTCCTCTCTTCCTTGTCCACCCTCCTCTCTGTCCAAGGACTCCCTTCCTCTGCCTTGCTAATTCTCCCTAGAGCTGTCAGGGTCAGTTGTGACAGCTGACTCTGGAACCAGCTGTCTGGAACAGAGAGAGGCAAAACCCTAAAGGTGACTGCTTGTGTCTGGATGTGGGAAGGTGGAGTGAGTGTGATTCCAGTCGAATTCCTCATCCCAGGCCAAGCAAAGCCTGGTGGAGGAAATTTCTCACCTGCCTTGGATGCCAGGCCAGATGGGGCATCACCTGAAGCAAAGGAGTTCATAATTCAAAACAACAAGAATAACTTAAGCGGCAGGCATATGCCTTGCTTCCCAAATACTCTTTGAATTTCTGGCACTTCTGCCTGGCTGGAAATAATTCAGTCTCAGTTATATTGAAGGTTCCTTTTGAATCCTGGGCTTATGAAGGTCCCACAAGAGCAGCAAGCAAGTCCTCCAACCCACCCGTTAGGGCTATAATGTGGAGAACACAGCCTACCTGGTCTCCTCAAGGCCAGGGGCACCGTGCATCTGGACCCCAAGGTCACAGCAACCTGCACAGGAGTGGAAATTCCATGCCTCCCTCTAGCAGTTGCTTTCAGAAGTTGCTTTCCTCAGCACCGACAGCTAGCCAGGCAGGGTCTCTCCTCCAGGAGCCATGGACTTTGCCTCCCTCGATGGCTGCACAATCTTTCCTCTTTCCCTCCCGGCTTCTGCAGCTAACTTCTTTCTTCTTCCCAACACACTTCCTGACGTTTGAAGAACAAGAGCTAGGAACAGGGGTACTCTCTGAGAACCTTCTGTTTTCTGCCCTGCTGCCCCCCCAGGAGGTAGAGAGCACAGAGGCTTCCAGCCTCCAACAGGGCAGGACGTGGAGAGACCCCCACAAAAGTCGTATCCCAGGGAATTTTCCTGCCAACATCACATCATCTGTCCCATGTGTGATGCCACTGTTTTCCACTTGTCATCTCCATGCTTCCTAGACTGGGGCCCGAGGGTCTTTGGGAGAACTTGGGGGATCCTGAGCCTCAGGATAGACTTTGCATATCAGTGGCCAATAAAGGAAACTGATGAAATCACAGCATATTTTTGAAAGCTCTGTTGTGCAAGAAGACCCTGAACGATGTTTGCTGTGAGTATAACAACTGTACTGATTCCAGAATTCACAAGAGGAGTTGGAGAATTGGGATGGGATTCTCCACTTTCTTCCTTGAAGCCCACCTTCCCAGATTCCTTCTCTGCTGTGGGGCTTTAGGTCTAACTCTTTGGGAGCAACCCCATGGTCTTTCTGATGCTAAGACTGAGATGTCTTTTCCTTCTTGGACTCCATCTCCTTCCCCTCCTCCAGGGCTTTGTCTGCCGCCTGATCCCAAGAGGGTCCCACCCTGGCCTTGTGCTGGGGGTCCAGTCTTCAAGCTCCCTGAGTTCCCTGCTCAGAGACACCAGGCTTAGACAGTGGGGTGAGCAGATGCTATAAGGGGCCTTGGTAGTACTAGTCCGTAATGACTGAAAAATTATCAGATATTTCACCCTTCCCAGTTAATCCTACGGGCACCCTCTATACCTTATTCTACTGAAAGAATGTCTTTCTCTGTCATCCCAGCCTGATGTGTGTCTCAGGAAAGAGAAAGAAGGCAAAAGGAGAGGAAAAGAAAACCTTCTGCCAGGTATGCCACATACTATAAAAACAAACAGGGATGTATTATGAAAGAGAGTAAAAACTTCTGCCTGAATTTTAAAGATAATAAGTAAGACTTTGAAGAAATTTCTGGATGCCACCCCTTTAGGTCTATGCCTAAATGGCATAGACTGAGTTATGTATTTACTCACTTGGAGGTAAGTCGCTGAAACAGTCTGAAATGTGCTGCCTTCACCCTTCTTAATCTTTTCCTTGCTGTTTTGTAAGTAGTTTTAAAAATGTATGTTTATCAGAGTCATATATGTATGTAGTTTTAAAACTTAAATGGTTCTTCAAGGTTTGTAATGAGAAACAGCGTTCCTCTTCCCACTCCAGATTCCCGTTCCCCAGAGGCAATCACTTTGAATTCCTGCCGTTTCTTCTGGTGCTTTCCTCCTGACTTTAAAATAACAAGTTTAGAAGGCCATTTCTTGATTTTCCAGTTTAAATGTCACGGGATGAACTTCCACCATGGAAGAGGAGGATGTCGCTCTTTAAAAACACCATCCTCCTGTGCATACGTGCTGTCTCTCTGTTTGTCTCAACCCCATCATGGTAGTTACAGCCTAATTTTTGGCCAAATCAATATTTGGTATTTACATAGTTATGACTATGTTCGTATTATTCACAGCTAAACCATGCAGTGCACATTTCCTATTTTGTACAACTTTTTGTTTTACTTGGAATAAACAGTTGCCAAGATTTCCCTTGGTTTAGTGCTGTCTTCCCACTCATCCCTAGACTCTGGGCCAGAAGGGGGCTCTCTTTGCAGTGGTGCAGATGCATCATGGCTGGGCTTCCTCTCCTAGCGACATCCTCCCAGGCCCCTGCCCCAGCACACGTGGTGGTCCAACGGTTGTCTTGGGGTTCTGGGAGTCCCCTTTGCCTTCCCTGCGCTGGGTCTCTAGTTGCTGAAAGATGGGTCCTCTCTTGTTTTTTTCCCTCTCTATAGCTTTCTGAAGAATGTTTTGTACTGGGAAATGTTTTGAGAGCTTGTATGTGCAAAAATTAGTTATTCTACCTTCATGTTTGATTGGCAGCTTGGTCGGAGATTCTTGACCTAGAATTTGAAGCCATGGCCACTAACTTCTGGCTCACAGAGCTGCCACCAGAAGTCAGACACCGTTCTCACCCCTCTTCTTTCATACAAGGCCAGATCCCTCTCTGAAATATTTCGGGATTTTCTCTTTTATCCGGGGAGTGCTCTGGTTGGCGTGGATCTCATTTCACTTAGGGGTTATTCAGTGGGTCTTTTCACACTAGAGGCTGATGATCATTATGCAAAATCTGATACATTTTATTTTATTGTTTTCTTTAATTACTGACCCCCACTCCATATACTTTCTCTGTTCTCTTTTCTAAAACTTTTTCAATTATGGATCTCCTGGGCGGATTCACTTATTGTTGTAGCTTTTCTCTCCTATTGAGGCAGGAGAACAGGGTCTGGAGGCAGGGAATCTAAGATCAATTCACACTGACTTCCTAGAACTAAATTGAGAGGAAAACCCCAACTTTCCATGCCTCAGTAACAAAAGGACTCAAGGCTGCTCCCTTTGCAAATCTTTCCCCTTTTCTCTGTGGCAAATGGAAAATTGAAGGTACCTCTGGTTGGCTGCAGAAAGCAATCAGTTAAGGTTTCTCCAGTTAAAATGAGGTCATTAGGGAGAACCCTAATTTGATATGACTGGTGTTCTTGTACACAAGAAGAGGAGACACAAACATCATGTGATGACAAAGGCAGAGAATGGAGTGCTGCCAGGAACAACACCTGTCTCCACCAGACAGACTGGAGAACTTCCCAATTCATGGGCATTGAGTACTCAAAAGGTCTTGCCTCATGAGTGTGGCTATCATTAGTCCTACACTAAACCCAGCTCTTGTCCTGCCTAATAAAATTTGAAAGCAAGACTTGAAGGGATCAAACGATTTTCAGTTAATTCAACTGCATATAAAAAGCTCAAGAATATGCATAGGATTACAAAAGTAGCTAGCACCAAACAAGGTAAAATTCATAATGTCTAGCAGTGAATAAAAAAAGAAGCAAAAAAATGCAACCCATAATGAGAGACAGTTAATCAATTGAAACTGATGCAAAACTGACATGGATGTTACAATTAGTAAACATGGACAGTAAAACTGTTATTATAACTGCATTCCACATGTTCAAAAAGTTAAGTACAGACATGGAAGATATTTAAAAGATCCAAACAAAAGACAATATATAAGATTTAAAATACACACGATGGAGTTAATATCAGATTAGGCATCACAAGAGACTGGTGATCTTGAAGATGTAGCAATAGAAATCACAGAAAGAAAATTTTAAAAAGTCTTTGGGCCAGGTGCAGTGGTCCAGGCCTGCAATCCCAACACTTTGGGAGGCCAAGAAGGGGTGGATCACTTGAGGTCAGGAGTTCAAGATCAGCCTGGCCAACATGGTGAAATCCCCATCTCTACTAAAAATACAAAAATTAGCTGGGTGTGGTGGCAGGCACTTGTAATCCCAGCTACTTGGGAGGCTGAGGCAGGAGAATCACTTGAACCTGGGAGGCAGAGGTTGCAGTGAGCCGCGATTGCACCACGGCACTCCAGCCTGGGTGACAAGAGTGACGCTCCATCTCAAAAAAAAAAAAAAAAAGTCTTTAAAAGACTCCCAGAGCATCAGTGAACTGTGGGACAATTTAAAGTGGCCTAATTTACAGGTCATTTGAGTCCTCAGAGGAGCAAAAGAGAGGGTGAGAAAGAAAAAGAACTGAAGAACTAATGGTCAAATATTTTCCAAGTCTGATGAAATCTATAAACCTATTGTAATAGTTTCCTAGGGCTGCTGTCACAAAGAATCATAAACTGCGTGGCTTAAGACAACAGGAATGCATTCCCTCTCAGTTCTGAAGGCTGGAAGTCCAAACTCAAGGTCTCAAGGTCCATGCTCCCGCTAAGGCTTCAGGTAAAATCCTTCCTTACCCCTGAATCTAAAATATAAGCTGAAAAACAAAAACAAATAAAAAAGAAACCCATTGTTTCATGTGTTTTGTTGTCTTTGTGGTTGTTTCAGACAATAGTATCTCTCTGTTCCTTGCTCGAGCATCTCGACTGGTAGAGAGAATACTTACTGAAGGATTTTAAGTAGAATACTGATGTAGTCATGCTTGTGATTCTGGAAGATGACTTTGTCAGTCCTGTGCAGGATAGACTGAAGGTAGGGATGGGAGGGATAAAGAGGTCTCAAACCAGGACAAAGATAGCAGGCATGGAGAGGAGGGGGCTTTATGGTAATTAGATAGTGATGCTTCTCAGCAATCCAAAAGGAGGAGTGCAAGTAGGATTGCTTCGGCAGAAGCGAAGTGGTGTAGTTGCTGTGAGTGTGGAGTCAGCCAGAGCTGGATTCTTTGCTATGTTGGGAAAATTATTTGGTGATTCTAAGCTTCCAATTGCTCATTTATAAAATGGGAATCATGATAAAACCCACCTCCCATTATTATAATGATTGAATAAAATAAAGGGACAGCACACAGCATATCTCACTTGCTCAACAAATGGCAGCCTCTCCTGTGGTTGGCCTTTTTGCTGTAGTTATCATCTCCTTCCTCATCTGTCCATCATCTGTTGGTGCCTTCCATATTTCTATTCTTGTTCACCTTGATCATGCTCAAAGCCACTTACATGTTCAGAAATACAAATTGGAATCTCCAAGATCTGCCGCCTGAGGTGTGTGCCCACACACTCCACTGTCTGATGGGCCAGAAGTGTATCCCCTGGGATATGAACTCTCACCTCTGCTTCCTTCCCCACCCTGCTCCTTGCCCTGGGCCCCTGCTCGAAGTGTGGGACAGTTGTCATCAGCTACATTAGTCATCACATTAATCTATTTTCTTCCTCTCAGCCCGCATGTCCACAGTCAACAAACTGTGCCAGTTGTCCTCTTAAGCCCATGCTCACCTGCTCCCCCTTCTCCTCCCGTGCCCATGTCTAATTCCAGCCTCCACAGGTGTCCCCTGGACTACTGCTACAGCACCCTAGGGTGCTTCTCTGATTGGCTTTTCCCTTCATCCACTCCATCCTCCACAGTACTCTTTCTTCATTTTTAACTTCTCTAACCTTTATTAACATTGACCATACACATATATAAATACATTGTCATTACAAAAGATTCATATAGCAGTGAAGTTTACTCAATAAAAAACGTGAGGCGGGTGTGGTGGCTCACACCTGTGGTCCCAGCACTTTGGGAGACTGAGGCAGGTGGATCATTTGGGGTTGGGAGTTCAAGACTTGCCTGGCTAACATGGTGAAACCCTGTCTCTACTAAAAATACAAAAAAATGAGCTGGGCATGGTGGCACATGCCTGTAATCCCAGCTACTCAGGCGGCTGAGGCACGAGAATCACTTGAACCCAGGAGGCAGAGGTTGCAGTGAGCTGAGATCACACCACTGCACTCCAGCCTGGGTGACAGACTGAGACCCTGTCTCCAAAAAACACAAAAAAACAAAAAACCTCTCCTCACATGTACCCACTACCCTCCCAAAGGTAACCACTACCTTCCCAGAGGTAACCACTGGCAACATTTTGATGAGAATTCTCTAATTATTTTTTACATATTTATATATGTATGAATATATAAATACATACACACACGCATACATATATATTTGCTTTTTTTTTTGTTTTGTTTGAGACGGAGTCTTGCTCTGTCACCCAGGCTGGAGTGCAGTGGCATGATCTTCGCTCACTTCAAGCTCCACCTCCGGGGTTCACGCCATTCTCTTGCCTCAGCCTCCCAAGTAGCTGGGACTACAGGGGCCCGCCACCACGCCGGGCTAATTTTTTGTATTTTTTAGTAGAGACGGGGTTTCACCGTGTTAGCCAGGATGGTCTTGATCTCCTGACCTCATGATCCGCCCTCCCAAAAGTGCTGGGATTACAGGCGTAAGTCACTGTGGCCGGCCTATATTTGCTTTTTAATGTAAGGAGTGTCATACATTGGATACAATTCTGTGATTTGCTTTTGCCACTTCCTGTGTCTTGGAGACTTTTTTATATCAGAAGATAGAGCCATTCTTTTTACCAGCTGCATCTTATTCTGTGTGTGTATGCAGTCATCGTGTTTTGTTTGTGTGTGTGTGTGTTTTTAGCTTTTAAGTTCAGGAGTACAAGTGCAGAATGTACAGGTTTGTTGCATAGGTAAACATGTGTCATGGGGGTTTGTTGTACAGATCATTTCATTACCCTTGTGGTAAGCCTAGTATCCATTAGTTATTTTTCTTGATCCTCTCCCTCTTCCCTCCGACCCTCTGACAGGCCCAGTGTGTGTTGTTCCCTTCTATGTGTCCATGTGTTCTCATTATTTACCTCCCACTTATAAGTGAGAACATGCAGTATTTGGTTTTCTGTTCCTGCATTAGTTTGCTTAGGATAATGACCTCCAGCTCCATCTATGTCCCTGCAAAGGACATGATCTCCTTCTTGTTTATGGCTTCAGAGTATTCCATGGTATATACGTACCACATTTTCTTTATCCAGTCTACCATTTGATGGCCATTTGGATTGATTCCATGTTTTTGCTATTGTGGATAGTGCTGCAATGAACATACATGTGCATGTGCCTTTATAACAGAATTATTTATATTGCTCTGGGCATACACCCTGTAATGAGATTGCTGGGTTGAATGGTATTTCTTTGTTTAGGTCTTTGAGGAATTGTCACATTATCTTCAACATTGGTTGAACTAATTTATACTCCCACCAACAGTGTATAAGCGTTCCTTTTTCCCCACAGCCTAGCCAGCATCTGTTTTCTTTTTTGTTTTTAATAGCCATTCTTACTGGTGTGAGATGGTATCTCATTGTGGTTTTGATTTGCATTTCTGTAATGATCAGTGATGTAGAGCTTTCTTCATATGATTGTTTAGCCACCCTTATTGATGGAAACGTAGATTGTTCTAAATTTGCACTTTTCTAATGAGGCAATGAATCTATATTCAACTTTATGCACATACAAGAGATGTTTTAGAACATATTCCTAGAAGTGGGATTTTTGTAAAGTGTAAGTTTAGTTTCAGCAAATCTGCATTTTGCCTTCTGGAGGGAGTTTTTGCACTCCCAGGCTCTTCAGTGATGCATGAGCAATTTCCTCACCATCCTGAGACCACATTGGCATGTTGCATATTTGCCCCTCTGAATCGAGAGAAACATATTTTTGTCTTAATTTGTGTTTTTTTGATTGCTGGTGAGGAGGACCTTTCTGGACAGGATCCAGGGGACTTCACCGGGGGCCAAGTGGAGGACCGCTTCTGTAGTTCTCACTATTGCCCTTTCCAATCTGCTCTCCTGGTTTTCCTTCCCTGCTGTTCAATAAAATCTGGGGCAACTCCCACTAAATTTTCAGTGGCTCAGTCTAGTCGGTCAGTCTAGGATCGCACAGCACTGTCAGGACCGCACAGCACAGTCAGGACCAGCGTAAATCTGACTCTGGGCTCTCATCCCAGTGAAAGCTTCCCCAGCCTCCAGCAGGAGATGCCTAGAGAAACTCAGCTGTTCTCACCCTTCTTTTCCCCCAACTCAACAGGAACTGCTTATTATCCTTCTTAAGCTGGACTCAGGAAGGAGAAAGGATTAGGAAAAAAGGCCACAAAGTGGCTGATGTCATACAGCTTGGGGTTTTTCAGACTTCTGGGTGCAATTTCTGATGCTCTCTTTGAATGATGCTTTGGGGGCTGATGAAGGCCCAATCCACTGTGGACCCAGATTGTCCTTTTCTTGACAGAGGGAAGGCCTTTCACTGGGGCCACTCGTAGTGCCACCATCAGCCTGTAATTTGGGGCCTAGATGCCCTAGGTCCTTCCCCTCTCTTCACTGTCCTTTGCTTCCCCTTGTGCCAGCTTGGGCAGAGCAGACATAGCCACGTACCCTCACCTTCAGTCTTTGGAGGGACGCATGTCACATTCTCCTGGTGACCCATCTTGGAGTTCCTCTCACAGTGTGACTGCCCTCTGGCATGGGCTGAGAAGCAGATTGCCTTCCTCCTCCGTGTGTGTCTGAGTGTGCATGCGTGTGTGTGCCCATGTGTGTCTCCAAGGAACCTCGGGGGCCACTGCCAACTCTTCACAAGAAGCCCTGTCTCCCTCTGCCTCTCCTTTGGGTAAGAGGTGGAGGGTTAGATCATCCTCTGAGCAGGTCTTGCATCGGGGTCCAGCATGTAGACGCTGGGGCTAGTTGGCACCTGCTGTCTTGTTCTTGACTTTCAGAGTCTCAGGCCAAACCAAGGCTGAAAGATTTCTGTTTTAGCAGTCAACATTATTGCTTTATCCTAGTGGTCTGGCCAAAGTCTTCACCAATTTTTCTATTTCATTGTTTTCTCTTTGTGATTTGTAAGGACAATTTTTGGCTACTAATCTTTCGTTTGTTAGAAAATTCCACGTTACTTGTTTTTAAACTTTCTTTATGATGTGTTTTGATCTGTGGGAGTTTTTATTTTTTTATGAGATGAATCTGTTAGTTGTTTCCTTTATGGCTTCTGGGTGTTGAATCTTCCTTCCTTGGAAAGGGAATCTCCACCCTAAACTTGTAAAAATAATATATTATTTTCCCTATCACTTTTATGGTTTTGTTTTTTCATTTAGCTCTTTCCAATATTTATTTTTATTATAAAAATGCATCCTAATGTAGCAAAAAAAAGTCAACATAGAATATGTCGATAATGTCATCTTGATAACTTGATAATGTCATTTCTTTTCTCCTCCATCCCGGCTTCCATAGGTAACCAGTGTTAATAGTTTGAGCTCTGTCTATCACACCTTGTGCTCATTCAAATATATATTCAAATATATGAAGTTTCATTTTGTCTTGTTTTACCAAAATGGGAAGATGATATTTAAATACCTCTGAAAGCTACTTTTTTACTGTATTATAGATTTTGTTATAATATTTTTAAAAGGTTTTTAATTTAGATTTTTATTTGGTTAACTATAGATTCACTTCCAAGTTGTGAAAAATAATATAGAGTTCTTGTGTATCTTTACCTAGTTTCCTCCGAGGATAACATTGTGTGAAGCTGTAGTAGAAAATTACATCTAGGATAGTGACAGTGATGCAATCCATTGATGTTATCCCTGGTTTTACTTGTACTCTTGTGTGTGTGTGTGTGTGTGTGTGTGCACGCGCACGCACACGTGTATTTCTGCACTACTTCATTACATGTGTAGGCTCCTGTGGCCACCATCACAGTCAAGATACAGAACAATTCATCACCATAGGGACCCTCTTGTTGCCTTTTCATTACTCCTCACCTTCTTCTTGTCCCCTTCCTCACACACACATTCGTCCACCTTCCTCCAATCTCTAATCCCCAACAACCATTAATCTGTTCTCTATTTCTACAGCTTCATTATTTCAAAATGTCGTGCAGATGGAGCATACAGTATATAATCTTTTGGGACTGGCTTTTTTCATTCAGCACAATTCTTTGCTGACTCATCCAGGTTATTTACTGTGTGTATTAATATTTCGTTCCTTTTCATTGTTTAGTAGCATTCCATGGATTCATCAGTTTGTTTAGTATTCTCCTGTTAAAGGACATCTAGCCTGGCTTTCATTTTAGGGCTATTTTGAATAAAGCTTTTATGAACCTTTGTGTACAAGTTTTTGTGATAACACAAGTTTTATTTCTCTCAGGAAAAAAAATCCAAGAATGAAGTTTCCGGGTCATATGATAATTGCATGTTTATTTGTTAACAACTTGCCAAATCATCTTCCAGAGTGTGAAACTACTTTTAAATTAATTTTTGAGATCTGTTTTGGACTAAATGTTTGTATCTCCCCAAAATTCATATGCTGAAATTCAAACTTCCAGTGTGATGGTCTCAGGAGGTGGGGCTTTGGGGAAGTAGTTAGATCATGAAGGTTGAGCCATCAGGAATAGGATTAGGACCCTTATGAGGAGAGAGATTTTTCTCTTGGCCGTGCGAGGATACAATGAGAAGGTGTCTGTCTAATCTTACCAGACACCACATCTACCAGCACCTTGATCTTGGACTTTCCAGCTTCTAGAAATGTGAGAAACAAGTGTGTGTTGTTTAAAACACCCATCTATGGGGTATATTTGTTATAGCAGCCCAAACTGAATAAGACAAAATCCCTCCAGGTTCATAAGCATAGATCTAGCATTTTTGTTTTTAATAGCTCCATAACATTCCATTGTGTGGATAGGATGCAATTGATTCCACCATCCAAACTGTTTCATTGTTTTTTTTATAACTATGCTGTGATAGGCATCTTCTTACAGAGAGTCTTATATATTGATAAGAACTTGAACTTGGTTTCCATAGCTAGATTCTCAGAATTGATAATTTTAATAGATATTGTGTATCACTCTCCAAAAAGTTGTAGCAATTCACACTACCACTAACAATGTATGAAATTGCCTTTTCTACACCTCCTAGCAAGGTAAACTATCAGTCTTCTTAGTTTTATTCTAGTACTTTATTGCTTTGTAAGTTATATATTTAAATCCCTTTGGAACTTATTTATAGTGTAGAAAGAGAGTCTAACTTATTTTTCCCCTAAGTTGTTCTGGTTAGCTATTACTGCATGACAAACTATCCCCTAATTTGGTTTACCCTCAAGCCAATAATTTACAACCATTACTTCACATGATTCTGTGGATTAAGAATTGGGACAGGGCACAGCAGCAATGACTTGCTTTTGGTCCACAATGTTGGGGCACTCAGCTGGGATGGAGGAGGAAGGAGTCATGGGCTGGCCCCTCAACTTCCCCTTTCTCCCTCCCCATGGCCCCCCACCAATGGCAAGCCTGGGCTTCCTCACAGCATGGCCAACTCAGGACAATCAGACTTCCCACAGGACAGCACAGGGCTACCAGAGAAAGGAAACAGAATCTGCTGTTGCCTTAAAGACTTGGACTGGAGCTGGCACAGTATCACTTCCAACATACTCTAAAGCAACTAAAATCCAGCCCAGATTCAAAGGGAGGAGGCAGAGACCCCACCTCTTGATGGCAGGCATATCTAGACTCTGGAGCCATCCTTGATCTGACACACAGGTGGATCCCAATTATGCCTATGCCAGCTATTTCATTATTCCTTAGTCATTGAATTAAAATATTTTTTTTCTGGGCTGTGTATTCTATTTCACTGATTTGTCTTTTCCTTGGCTAATTCTGTTCTGTTTTGATTCTTGTGGTTTATCTTTTGATATCTAGTGATCTGGTGCCCCATTGTTGACTCACTCCCCTGCTCTAGAATTTGCTGTAACCCTGGCTGGTTTACACACTCAGGTGAAATTTGGGTTAGCTTCTCATATTTTGTAGATAGTAAGTTTGGATTTTTATTGGAATGGCTCAAAAATGTATAGGTTAATTATGGGAGAATGTATATCTTCACAATATCAAGTCTTTCCTTTAGAAACACAGCACATCTATTTATTTGGGTTTCCTTTTTTAATTGAAGTCATAATTTTATTCACACAGGTGTTACTGGAGATGTTACTGAACGTCTTATTGGTTATAGTATGTTTTAAAGACAAATCCCTTGGACTTCCTAGGTAATGGTATTATCTGCTAATGATGTCAGCGTTAGATCTTTTGCTCCAATATCATATCTCTTGTAAACATTTCTGGTGTTATTGCCTTGACGAACATTTCAATATATGTTGAGTATTTAATGGTGGTGATGGGGAGAGACATTCTTTTCCTTCCTTCTTCCTTTAGTGGTAATACAGCAACCATTCACCTTTCAGTGCATTATTTGATAGCGTCTTCAGCATATACCCATCCCTAAAGAATTTCTCTTCCATTCTTGTTCAGCTCAAAGTTATTATTATAAATGGGTTTTGATTTTTTTCAAATGCATTTCCCACATCTTTAAAAATGATCCTATGAATTTTCTTCTTTAACTTGCTAACTGAAAATATTTCCTTGACAGATTTTCAAATATTGAACAATTTTGAGCCCTGCATGGTGATCAAGCAGACTGTCTCTCCCTGGCTCTATCTCCATGGGTTACACTTTGAAGGGCATCCTTGGGGAAAGCCAATCTGGAGGTGGTACCCACTCGGGTGAGCTCTTCTTTCAGAGACCACACCAGGGGGTGTCTGCTGCCCAAACTCAGGAAACAGTTGTTTTCTGTGTTCAGCCTGGCTTTTATATGATTCCCAGTGGGGCAGTATCTCCCATACCAATTACTATGATGTCTTTTTCCTAGTTTTTCAGTTTTACTTATTTTTACAATTTTTAATGAGGCAAATATGCAAAATTTTATACGTAATCATTTATCTGCTTTCTGATTATTTTATTAAAATAGATGCTTACAAATAGAGTTACTGAGTTAGTGTGTTTTTGAACTGTATTGCAAAGCTTGCTTTCTAAATCATTATACTAACTGACAGCAATCCAGGAAAGTATGTTTTATTGTACCTAAGCCAGGATTGATTACTATTGAACTTCAAGTTTTGATGAATGTGTTGATGAAAAAAAGTTACACCTCTTACTTTTAATTTATATTTATTTGATTATTCAGATACTGCATGTTTTTCTTACTTTAAAAATAAACGTTTAATTTTATAACAGTTCTAGATTTATAGAATTATTGTGAAGCTGGTACCAAGTTCCCATGTACTCTACACCCTGTTTTTCCTATTGTTAACAACTTACATTAGTGTGGCACATTTTCTACAACTAATGAACCAGCAGTGATTCATTACCATTAACTCAAGTCTATACTTGATTCAGATTTCCTTAATTTTCACTTAACGTCCCTTTTCTGTTCCAAGTTCCCATCCTATCCAGGATACCACATGACATTTTGTCTTCATGTCTCTTTAGGCCCTCTTGACTGTAAAGGTTTCTTAGGTTTTCCTTATTTTTGATGACCTTGACAGTTTTAAGGAGTGCTGATCAGGAATTCTGTAGAATGTCCCACAGTTGGGGTATGTCCGATGTTTTTCTCATGATTGTGCTAGGGTCTGGGTTCTTGGGAGGAAGCCCACAACAGTAAAGTGCCATTATCATCACACCATATCGAGGGAACATGCTATCCACATGACTTATCACTGTTGACAGTGACCTTGACCACCTGGCCCAAGTAGTGTTTGCCAGGTTTCTCCACTGTAAAGTTACTCTTTTAAAAAAATCCTTTGCCATCCTGTATTTTTGGTAGAAAGTCACTTCCCTGTCCTCTGCAAGATGTACAAGGGGATCTTTCTCAGATCTTCACCATGGCCACCTTGTGGGGCTCCTAGACTTAAGGCCCATGAAAATGAGGACCCCTCTAAGACTGCAGCCCTCTAGAGTTTCTCATTTTTGTTCTACTCCACACTCAGTTCCCAGCAATTCCTCAAAATACCACCTAAGTGTTCCCACCAGTCTGTGGTTCTAGTGGCTTCTGCTCGAGGTGAGCTGAGCCCAACTAGGACTCCAGACTGCTGAACTCTCCAGGTTTCCAGGTGGAGGTTTTCCCTGAGCCCTTGAGTCTCCAACAGGTCCTGGAACACTGGTTGATTTTCAGTGTTCTAGCTTTTTCTTGTTGTAAGGATGGGAGAGATGATTTCCAGGCCTTTTATGTATTGGAGCTGAATCTAGAAGTTCTCTTTTTTTATAATTCATGCATTTCCTTTTAGATTCCTTTTTTCATACTAAATTTTATAGAGACTATATATTAAGAATATTAATCCTTTGTGATATTTGTTTTAAAAAAATTATTTTCTTCTTATTTATTCTTTATTTCTCACTGTGAGAGATAACAGAAACACCAGAGATGAATTCCTTGTGAAGTGGAAGGCGTTTGAGCATGGTGACTGAATATGACAACTGGTCAATATTTGTACCCATTAATTTGAGCTTCAAGAATTTGCTTACATCCTCCCCAAACCTCAGAGGTTTTCGATCTTTTCTGTCTTTACCGGCCTCTAGTCTCTGAGTGAGATGCCTCCTCTTCCTAGTGGGGTGAGCCCATTCACTCTTTTCTTGGTGCAGTTTCCATCTCTCTCTTTCTGAAGCCCCCGACCCCGGCCGGGAATTATATTCCTTCACTTACTCCTTCCTGCAACCCCAAGCTTTCTCTTCAAATACCAATCTGATCTTGATTTTTCCCCTTTCACAGCCAAATTAATAGAAGACATAGAACAACAAGAAAAGAAAAAAGAAAAAACACCCTCCACCTTTGGCTCTTATTTCTATATCACTGCCTGCTTCTTAACCTATAGCTGCTGTGACTCTTACCCTTACTGCAGCCAGGATATAACACCACTTACAAAGCTGGCCCATGCCCCTAAGTGTCTCTCCAGTGTCCATCTCGTCTTTATCACTTCTTACCATTTAAAACAACCACCTGAGTGTCCATGGGGTCTGGGCCTCCAGAAGCTCCTCCCCTGAGCACGGAGCTCTGTTTTGTTTGTAGGCATCCTCAACGTGGAAATGGAAGAGAAGACCAGGGAGAAGAGGCTTGCACACTTTTTGCATGCGAGGTCCAAGCTACAGTGGTGAAACACTGTTTCCTTCCTTCAAAGGCTGGTCATTCGAACCCGGCTTGGTTTTGATTTTCCAAATAAAAGGAAAGGGCAAAAACATTATTTCCTCTGAGAACTCCTTTCAACATCCCAGAAGCCCGGGGGGAGATTAATGGGGAGATTGATGTGTGACATTTACATACAGGGTTTGGGAAGGCATTATTTGTTTTATAAATTCATTTCTGTTGTTCATGGTCTCAATAGACATGGATTGGTTACCCGCAATAGTTTAACCATAATATAACCTCAGGCGAAGCTCCTATCTGCCCCTAATGAGGGGCCTCTCAACAGGACATAGCAGAGTTTGCATGTGTAGTTTTCTTGGAAGATGGAGCAATGATGAACCATCTAACACCGTCCATTTCCAGGAAACAGGGAGCATATTATGATTTCTAAGATGGAAAGTGTGTTTCAGCTGCTGTCTGTATGGAACTACTGGGTGATGTTAAGTCACAACAGGCCAGTACTAGCTTCTAGGGGACCCATAGAGTAGACACTGCTTAACTGAAGCAGAAGGAAAGATGTAAATGCCCGCTGTGTGTTAAAGCAGGACATGGGGATGAAGGAGGCCTTGTGGCATTGTGTATGCTATGCACTGAGCAGGGACGAAGGTGTTCCTGCTTTCAGTCAGGTTGGAGACTGATGACATCAATGGAGGCAGTTTGGCAGCTGTAATCTGGGGACTTGACAATTTCAAATTCAGCTTTTATGAATTGGAGAATGCACTACTTACCAAGTAACAGTAGGTCAGAGACACATGTTAACGAAGATGGCTCCATTAAACTTTTCAGAGTTGGTACACTGTGTTAAAGCAACCATGAACTATTGCACAGCAGAGTTAAAAAGCCAAGCCTTTACTCCAGGTGGCTGCGTGTGAGGCTGGGAGGCTGCGTGTGCCAGCAGGGCCCTGGTGCTCACACTCACTCCTGTGGATCTGGACATATCAGCTGGGAAGAGCCCCGTGCTGATGAACTGTGCCCATGCTGAACCTTTAAGTATAGGATGGAAGGGAAATGGACAGTGGAAACGATCCTGTCCTGTTATATTTACCAGACCCACTACCGCCTCTGCAGCCCCCACACAGGTCCTGTCCCGTCCTCTGCCGGCTCCCTCGCTAGACTCTCTAGTTCTCACTTCCACAGCTGCACTCCAGTCCTTTTTGATTTGAGGCACTGGCACACACAGCTCCTTCTTTACAGTGCACTTCCCCGATATTTGACGTGGTTAACGCCTCCCTTAGTGTTTTACTGTATCTACCTCAAGAGCAAGGTCAGAAAGTCCTAACATGACACAAACATGCATGTTACTCAGTAAGTCTTCCTCCCACTCCATCTCCTCTCTCTCCAGGTCTCAGTGGAATAAATGACGTTTCCTCCGGGAGGTTTTCCGGCTTCCCACATCCCAACCACACTTCCCCATGATGTTACGTCATAGATCTTATCACAATTTTTAATGATCTGTTTTTCTGTGGCTATTGTGGGCAAATTGCTAGTAGAGAAACATCACGTCTTTTGTTCACCTCTTTTCTCAGCACCCAGTCCAGAGCCTGATGCTTATGTGTTCCATCAATGTTGGCTGAATTAATAATTGCTGCAGTCTGCGCTCATTTTATTGCTTCAGGAATGAAGACTGCTGTATTAATTTCCTTGGGCTGCTGTAACAAATATCCACAAATTGGGTGGCTTAAAAAATGGGAATTTGTTCTTGCACAGTGTGGAAGCCAGAAGTCTGAAATCAAGATGTCAACAGCACCCGGCCCCCTCTGAAGTCTACAGGGGAGGACCCTTCCTCACCTCTCAGCTGCTGGTGTTGCCGGCAATCCTTGACGTTCCTTGGCTTGCAGACACATCGCTGTAGTCTCTGCGTCTGCTGTCACTTGGCATTCTCCCTGTGTGTCTGTTTCTGCCTCTTTTTGTTTTCTCGTGAGGACACCAGTCGTAATGGATTAAGGACCCACCATACTCCACTATACCCTCGGCTTTACTAATTATACTACAACAATCATATTTACAAATGAGGTCACATTCTGACACTCCAAGAAGAATGCGAATTTGGCGGGGGCTGTGGGGGAGATTATTTCACCCACTGCAGTTGAGAAGTCTCCCTGTCTGCCTTCAGGGATTGCCTGGGTGATGTCCCTTGCATGGCGTCTAGTGCTGCTGCTCTGATGGCTCTGTCCAGTACTCCCTGCGTGGTGCCTCATCACCTATCACAGAAGGTTGTGACGAAGCATGGACGGGGTGAGGATTCCCAAGAGGGGAAGCCCAGACTTGCATTGGTAATTAAGAGAGAAGAGTCTGGAGCCCAGCTTCCCTGGAAGTCAGCAAGCACTTATTTCTTCCACCCAATCTGCAAGCCACTGTGACATCCCCAAAGATGGGAGGGTGTGGCCCTGAATCTCCTGAGGGACCCTGCATCCTTTTCTGAGAATGAGTGATCATCTTACTGTGTCCAGAGTCTGTTCCTGCCATAACCCTCCCGATCTGCCTGACTTCAAGAATGGAGCCGCGGACCTTCCCCGTGAGTGTTACAGCTCTTAAACATGACACGGACCCAAAGAGTAAGCGGTAACAACTTTTATTGTGAAGAGTGAAAGAAGGAAGCTTCCACAGCGTGCAAGAGCACTAACAAGTTTGCTGCTGGTGATGGGGGCGTGGGGTGGCCAACCTTTATTCTGTTATTTGTCCCCTCCCATGTTCCGTTTCTGTCCTATCAGAGTGCCCTTTTTTCAATCCTCCCTGTGATTGGCTACTTTTAGGATCCTGCTGATTGGTGCATTTTACAAAGCGCTGATTGGTGCATTTTACAGAGCTCTGATTTGTGTGTTTTACAATCCAGCTACAGAGTGCTCGTTGGTGCGTTTTACAATTCAGCTACAGAGTGCTCATTGGTGAATTTTACAATCCTCTTTTAAGACAGAAAAGTTCTTCAAGTCCTCACTCGATCCAGAAGTCCAGCTGGCTTCACCTGTCATTACTATGGGGCCTTGGCATTGTCCTCTGGGCCTTCCCTCATCATGTGGTCTGAACTGCCAGGAGTCTGCTGAACAGGACGCTGATCCTCCTCTGCTTTGCCAGCATTAGGGGCCTGAGTGTGTGACCTTAGGCATGGAAGTGTGACCTTGCACAGAGCACATGGGCCAGAGCAGTGTGAGTGGGCTCCAGACAGGCTCCTCTCACACCTTGGGGTCAGACATGTCCTGGGGCAACTGGCAAGCCCTAGCCTCTAAACAGACTCACACCCCATCACACTGGGCCTCTGCCAGTGGGGGGTGGGCTTGGCTAGATTTCCAGGAAGCAGAAAGAATCAACACAAAAGCAATCATACTGACAGAGACTTCTGGGGCTGGGGGTGGTAAGGGCATGGGGAGGTCAGAGCTTCATGTCCAGTTGTTTCCTAAGCACGTAAGCCCTTTAGCAGCAGGGCTGCTGGGGAGATAATGCAACAAGCTTGTCAAGTAAAACTGCACATATCTTTTTGAAAGACAGCTTTTTAAGGTATGACTCACTACGCAATTTATCCACTTACTTACTGTGCAATTCACCCACTTAAAGTGTACAATTCAGTGGGTTTTGGTATATTCAGCATTGTGCAACCATCGACACTGTCAATTTCAGAGTATTTTCATCACCTGAACCCTGCACCCCTTAGCTATAATCCCCCAAGCCCCAGCTGTAGGAAACCACTTATCTGCTTTCTGTTTCTATAGATTTGCTGACTCCAGCCATTTCATACAAATAAAACCATGCAATATATAGGCTTTTGTGTCTGGCTTCTTTCACTTAGCCTGACAATTGTAAGGTTCATCCGTGTTGTAGGATATGTCAGTACTCTGTTCCTTTTTTTAAGAGCTGAATAATATTCCACTGGATGGACGGACCACAAATCATTTATCCATTCACCAGTTGATCTACATTTAGGTTGTTCCCACTTTTTTACTATTATGAATACTGTTGCTATTAACACTCATGTACAAGTTTTTGTGTGGACATTTTTTGTCACTTCTCTTGGGTATACACCTGGGACTGAAACTCCTGGTCATATGGCAACTGAATGTATAACTTTTTGAGGACCTTCCCAATTGTCTTCAAAAGCAGCTTCAGTCAGGGAATGTAGGGCCACGTCTCCCTTCAACCAGGAATTCCCATGGCACTTGAGAGAAGAAGAGGGTTTATAAGGTTTACTAGAGGGCCAGCAATATTAACGGGGGGAGGGAGGGGCAGGGCAAAATGAAAATGCAGACCTCTTGTTCAAAAAGCAGAAAAAGGGCCATTAAAGGAACAAAAAAAGTAAAGATTTTTCTCTTTCACGACCTCTCTCTTTTTCCCTTTATGACGTTTTCTGTTTGTTACTGAATCTCCTTCTCCCTTAGGCATGGGGACAGTCGGAGTGAGTGCAGACCCTCCCAGCTTGTTCCCACTCCCACCAGCCACAGAACTGATGCACCATGCCCCAGCCAGGCATGGGTACAGTGAGCCCCTTGTCTTCTCTCCCCGTAAGCCTGCTCCCCAACTCACAGTGGGTAGGAGACCCCAGGATGTTGCAATCTTCACAACAGGGTGCTCTAGTTCCTGGATTAGGGGGTCAGTGAGGGGCTTACACCTGCCAGGTCACCTCCTGAATGCACAATAGTGCTGCCCAGCTGGAATGTGCCACTGCCAGACCCCACCCTAAGATGCTCTGGGCCATCCACACCAGACCTCAGCCCTCCCCCATGCCCAGCCTCCCCTAGGAGCAGAGGTTGGTAGCTGTTGCTGATTGGAAGTGGGAAAGGGGTGTCTGGGAAGGATCCGAAATGCTGGGGCAGGTGACCAGATGGCCAAGAACCTCTCCTGGGAGGCAGGAAAAGGCAATGGGTAGCGGGGCTGTGTGCGAACCGAGGCTCTGTGCCTCGGTGTATGCTCTATCGTCTATCTGACTTCACTTAGGAAACACAGGTGCAAAGATCGGGAAGACCTTCCTGAGGGCACTCAGCAGTTGCAGTGCATTAAGCCCCAAATTCAGGGCCCTTCTGAGAGCAGGACCTGTGGCCTGTGCTGGTTACCCACACATAAAGCCAGTCCTGGTGTCCCACAAGATTTACTGGGAGACGGGCTGAAGTCCTAGCTCAGTGGTAGGGGACACACAACAACCTTCCCATGTGGAGGACGGTTGCCACCAGAGGCTCTTGCATTCTTTCATGCCAGTGAGCTGGTGGACAAGGGGTCTCTTAGTGGCCCCAGGACAAACCCCACAGACCACCCACATTGAGGAGGGATCCAAAGAGCAAGAAGGAGGTGAGATCAGGGACTCATCCCACTAGGGGTAGGAAGCCAGACAGGAAGTGATCCCAGTGCCCTGCCCTCGCTTGGGAGTCAGAGAGGAAGGAGAACAGAAAGAGAGAATCCCTGGGTTTTCACCAAAGATGTTGATGTGGTTTCAGTATTTGTCCCCTCCAAATTTCATGTTAAATTGTAATCCCCAGTGTTGGAGGTGGGGGTCATGGGAGCTGTTTGGATCATGGGGCAGATCCCTCATGAGTGGCTTGGGCTGTCTTCTCGGTGATGAGTGAGCTCTCACTCTGAGTTCACAGGAGATCTGGTTGTTTAAAAGTGTGTGGCACCCACCCCGCCCCTTCTTTCTCTTCTGCTCTCACCATGTGATGTGCCTGCCCCGTCACTGCCTTCCACCACGATTGGAAGCTTTCCAAGGCCTCCCCAGAAGCAGATGCCACCATACTTCCTGCACAGCCTGCAGAACTGTGAGCCAATTCAACCTCTCTTCTTATACATTACTCAGTCTCAGGTGTTTCATTTGTTTTCTTTTTTTCTTTTTTGAGAAGGAGTCTTGCTCTGTTGCCCAAGCTGGAATGCAGTGGCTTGATCTCAGCTCACTGCAACCTCCACCTCCCGGGTTCAAGTGACTTTCATGCCTCAGCCTCCCAAGTAGCTGGGATTACAGGTATGTGCCACCACACACGGCTAGTATTGGTATTTTTTGTAGACACAGGGTTTCACCATACTGGTCAGACTGGTCTCAAACTCCTGGCCTCAAGTGATCCTCTTGCCTCAGCCTTCAGATGTTTATGGCAGTGCAAGGATGGCTTACTGCAGCTGTATTAACATGAAAGAGTGGAGTCTTAAACTGCAAGTGACTAAGTTACTTTGACTTGGTACTATTACATTTATGGATCTCAAATCCATCTGAAGATCTCTGCTCTAAGATCCATTACAGAGACTAAAACATCTCCCTTTGCTTTTATAACCAAGTTCTGTGGACTGTTGCATCTGTGACATGACACCTCCACACGGGTGCTAGTCTGGCTTATGCCAGACCAGGCAGGGCCAGAGCTTCTTCACATCAGCTAACTTTCATAACAACCACACGCAGCAAGTATGACTGCCTCGCCACTTTTTGGAAGAGGAAACTAAGGCTCAGGGAGGTGGAATCCCCTGGGTGGTTATGAGGTGGACAGTTAAAATGTAGCACAGCCAGAACCAAAGCCCCCACCCTACTTGTGAGAGGTGAAGCCAGCTGGGCTTCTGGGTCAGGTGAGGACTTGGGGACTTTTCTATCTAGCTAAAGGATTGTAGACACACCAAACAGTGCTCTGTGTCTAGCTAAAGGTTTGTAAATGCACCAATCAGCACTCTGTTAAAACGGACCAATCAGCACTCTGTAAAATGGACCAATCAGCTCTCTGTAAAATGGACCAATCAGCAGAATGTGGGTGGGGCCAAATAAGGGAATAAAAGTGGGCCACTGTGGACGCAGCGGCCCCCAGGTCTGGTCGTCTTTCACTGTATGGGAGCTTTGTTCTTTGGCTCTTCTCAATGAATTTTGCTGCTGCTCAGTCTTTGGGTCCTGGCTACGTTTATGAGTTGTAACACTCAGTGTGAGGGTGTGCTGCTTCATTTTTGAAGTCAGCGAGACCGTGAACCCACCGAGAGGAACGAGGAACAAACAACTGTGGGTGTGCCAGCTTTAAGAGCTGTAACACTAACTGTGAAGGTATGCGGCCTCACTCCTGAAGTCAGCTAGACCACGAACCCATGGGAAAGAAAAAACTGTGGAGACATCTAAATACCTGAAGGAACAAACTCCAGAGACGCCATCTTTTAGAGCTGTAACACTCACCGTGAGAGTCTGTGGCTTCATTCTTGAAGTCAGCAAGACCAAGAACCCACCGAAAGGAATAAATTTTGAACACGTGGGCTCCTATTTGTTTCTTTACTCCTAATCTTGAAGTGAATGTGTGTGCATGTTGCATGTATGTCTTTATGTAGTAAATACTTTGAAAATGCTCCCAAAGACGAAGAGGGTAAGGGTGAGAGCGAGGGGCAGCTGCAGCTAGAGGAGTCTGAAAAACGTGGTCCCAAATGCTGGCCAGCTGGTTGAAAGGATGGAGATGAGGATGGCCTGACACTCAAGAAGGGAA
This sequence comes from Homo sapiens, assembly GCF_000001405.40. Classification (NCBI taxonomy): domain Eukaryota; kingdom Metazoa; phylum Chordata; class Mammalia; order Primates; family Hominidae; genus Homo; species Homo sapiens. The sequence goes on from NC_000010.11 coordinate 47,083,218, forward strand.
TTACACCTTTTGTGCCTAAGATACCTGTTCTGAAATGCCCCCTACCCTGGGTCCAGGGTCTGTAAAGACTTGGGCCCATAAAGATGTCTCTGTGACAGCAGGCAGGCTTTTCAGTGGGTAGCAAGCCACACTCCTGAAGCCCAAATTTGAGAAGCAGAAAGCAGGTATTGGAGGGACAAAGCCCCTGCATCCAGGAAGGACTCTCTTCATGCCAGATTCCATTAGGTTAGCTACTTCCCCTTCCACCCTGTGAGACATTATAGGCCTTGCATCCCAAAAGCTGGGGTTAGAGGCTGGGTATGGGATATGCTTTTTTACACACCACACACTAGGTGGCTGGAGACAGTCCCTAAAGCTCCTGAAGGGATGGCTTGGAGACAAGCAACCTGAATTTTAAAACAGCACACACTCTCCCAGTTTTTTTGTTTCATTTTGTTTTTTGTTTTTTTTTGAGACCGAGCTCCACACTGTCATCCAGGCTGGAGTGCAGTGGTGTAATCTCGGCTCACTGCATCCTCTGCCTCCTGGGTTCAAGCGATTCTCCTGCCTCAGCCTCCTGAGTAGCTGGGATTACAGGTACGTGCCACTGCGCCCAGCTATTTTTGTATTTTTAGTGGAGATGCGGTTTAGTGGAGATGGCCAGGCTGGTCTCAAACGCTTGAGCTCAGGTTATCCACCCACTCGGCCTCTCAAAGTGCTGGGATTACAGACGTGACCCACTATGCCCGGCCCACCCCCAGTTTCTTAAGATGATTGAGGGGTATAGGTTTTTCACGACATCTCCAGGTCTGAGCATAGTCTTCCCCTTTAATGCTTGAGAAAGGGAGTGCAATATGTGTCTTTCACATTAATTACATCTCCTAATAGAACTTTGTGGTAAAAGCACTTTTCATGCATTTTAATATTCCCTTGCACATCAGAAACGAGAAGGTCTACACTCCATACACCTAATTACTGACGAGTGCTCCATGTGTGCATAACATAGACGCTCACATGCACAAACTCCCCTGTCCTTCACGCAGGCTGTAATCATTTGCTGTCTTTGGTCTTTCACCCAGTCTTTCTTGATTTATCTCTCCTAATAAAGTGGTTGACTTACAACCTGTGGACATTGCCGCCTTCATTGATATATATTTCCTAAATATTGTATTTCATAACCATTCAGTGCTCATGGAAATTCAAATCACTAGGAAAATTACTATGGGCACACGCTAATAACTATCTCATAACAGCTTTGATTAACACTGAAATACATCTTATTAAGGTCATTGGATCAGACACCGAATGAATAAAACTGTGGGGATATTCATTCAGCCAAAGTAAGTTGGGGCGGTGGTTGTGGACGGTGGACGAAGGGAGTTTCTAAAGCCCAGGTGGGGCTAGGAGAAGGTCCCTCATGTAATAATGTGTGTGAAGAGCTTTGGTTTCATAAGCTGTTGTAATTCCAAATTACTTCTGATTTTCAAACACGCACACGCAAATACACACAACCACACACACAGAGGGGTTCCCTTTCAATCATCCACTGAAAATATTTATGCTCTGGGCCTTCCCATGGGTCTACCTTCATTTTTTTCTGTTTTCCTCTTCCTGTTTCAAGCAAGGCGGAGATAACAGTGGGAATCTTCAAGCGACATCATGACGTGCTATCCATCAACTTTAGACATGTTTTGTTTTTCTCCCAACATTTTTATAAACATCTCAAACACACACAAAGTTAAAAGAATAGTACAATAAACACCTGAAGGCTCTCGACCCAGATTCAACAATTATTTACCTTCAGCCACAGTGACGTGTGCATCTGTCTGCCTGTCTGTATACTTCTTTATTTTTATTGAACCATTGCAATGTTTTGCACATCATGTCTTCACCCTTGGATACCTCAGCTCTCATTTTCTAAAAATAAGGATATCTTCCCATTATAACCACAACATCATTATCGCACCTAAGAAAATAATAACACCACAATGTGATCTCAGATCTAGCTTATTCACAAATTTCCCTGCGTTAGCCCCTAGACCTCCTGGGCCCGGGCCACCATAGCAAGTAAAGCAGCAAGGCTACTGTCCTTGTATGTGAACACACCCTCCCTTCCTGCGAAGTTCCTTCAGGTTGGCTCCTGCCCCCTTCACCCTGTGAGAGGGGGTCTTGCATTCTGAAGGTGGGGGCCCAGATGGAAGGGAAAATGAGATGCATGGAGGATGTCCTGTGTGTCCTGCCCTCCAGCCAGATGTTTAGAGCTGGGCCATGGCGCAGTTTGAGGTGGGTTACAGGACTGGTCTCTCTTCTTACACGCCACACACTGGATGGCTGGAGGCAGCCCCTGCAGCTCCTGACAGGACAGGTTGGAGACAAGCAGCCTCTGGGGCTGCACATCTTGGTCTGCCTGGCCGGCTGGGGTCTTGGACCACCCCATATGCCATTTCCATCTGAGCATGTGAGCACCTCATGGCTTGGGCCTTGGGTCTTCCTGGAGCCACCACAGGTAGAGAGAAGAGGCTACCTCCGCATTCACCAGCACCTTTCAGAGGGAGCGGAGAGAGGAGTGGGGAGATGGGCTGCCAAGTGCTTCATGCTCCCCTCTTGTGACAAAGCACCTCAAACTTAGTAGCATAAATCAACAGCCACTTCATTATGCTCTCGAATTGCGTGGGTCAGGAATTGGACAGGGAACAACAGGGCTGTTTTGTCTCTGCTCCATGATCTCTGACTTCGGCTGAGAGACACAAAAAGCTGGACATGACTTGAAGGGCTGAGGGCCAGACTTCGCTGGAGGCTCTTCACTCCTAGGTCCAGCACCTGGTCTGGAATGACCACAAGCCTGGACTTAGAGTGGGATTGTCAACTGGGTAACTCAGGTAAATTTCCATGGGTCTGGACTACTCCCAGCATGGTGGCTGGTGTTCTAAAGGGAGCCTCCTGAGACAACACCCAGGAAGCCAACATCCCAAGAGAACAAGCGGGAGCCGCCTGGCCTCACTGAGCTACCTTGGGAGTCACTCACCATCACTGCTGCCACATACTGTGGGTTATAAGTGAGCCACAGAGACCAGCTCAGATTTGAGAGGAGGAGCCATAGACCCTGTCTCCCATGAGGCAGTGGGAGGTCACATTGCAGAAAAGTGTGGATGGGCAACACTGTTGTCATCTTTGGAGAATATCATCTGCGCTGTGCCGCGGACATTTCCAAGCCTTTCTAGACAGTGGCTGTTGACGACAGTGACTGGAAGGAGGCAGCTTTGGGTCTGCACACACCAGGAGATCAGGAATCCCAGGGGAGAGAGGCAGCCTGGCCAGAGGGGAGGAGCCCCAGCTCTAACCCTGATGGCCCACAGTCTTGTCCTTATGCTTACAGGCACTAGCTGGTTTAATTAGGCAGCAGGCCCTTAATTGTATGAGATTGAAGCTACTAGCTCTGGGCTATGCAGGCAGGAAGCCCCGGCTAGACCCTGAAACCAATCTGTCTTCCCTCACCCCACCGCCTCCTCACTGAAGGCCAGAGCTGGCCTTCAACTGTCCAAGGGCTGCTCTGCTCTGGACTCTCTCACTGGTAAGATGTGTTACCATGGGTGCACCACTTCACCCAAATGAGCCACAATCTCTCACTAGGAAGAAGGAGGCCATGAGTCCTGCCTGTTGGGGCTCCCGGGGTGGTCGAGTAGCACCGGGCATGCTTGGGGCATATGCATAAGGAGGGCCAACACTGTGCGTTATCAAGTGTTACATGTTCATGTGTTTATCCATAACTCACAAAACATTGTCCTGCATTTTAAATGCTCTAAGCACTCAGCTACTCGAGAGGCTGAGGCTGAGGAGGATTGCTTGAGTCCAAGAGTTGGAGCCTGCAGTGAGCTATGATCATGCTACTGCCTTCCAGCCTGGGCCACAGAGAGAGACCCTGTCTCCAAACAAAACAAAACACGCTGGGCGCATTGGCTCATGCCTGTAATCCCAGCACTTTGGGAGGCTGAGATGGGCGGATTGCCTGAGGTCAGGAGTTCAAGACCAGCCAGACCAACATGGTGAAACCTCGTCTCTACAAAAAATACAAAAATTAGCCTGGCGTGGTGGCGGGTGCCTGTAATCCCAGCTACTCAGGAGGCTGAGGCAGGAGAATCACTTGAAGCCAGGAAGCAGAGGTTGCAGTGAGCTGACACTGGGCCATTGCACTCCAGCCTGGGCAACAAGAGTGAAACTCTGTCTCAAACAAGCAAACAAATGAATGAACAAAAAACAACACCCTAGTTTGCTTTTGATTAAAACTTTTTATAAAAGAAAAGTAAATACTCTCAGCTGGGTGGCTGGTCTGCTGAAGGCCGGAGATGGTGGGCTCTCTCTTCTGTTCCAGGGGCTGGGCAGCTCAGCGGCTCAGCGATTTCCTCAAGGCAGCCATTGTTCTTCATCTATTTAGGCTCATAGGCCTTTAAGAATGTGATAAAAGCAATTAACACTCTCTCAGTCTCTCCAATTTTAAAAAAACCTGTTGTTATAATTTTGCACATCATTTCCAGAGGTTCACACTCACCTATCTAAATCCTTCTCAGATTGTGAAAGGAAGGGGGAGGAGCTCCTCATTCTCTCCCTGCACCTGCTAATGCAGGAATGAAGAGTCCCACAAGCAGGAAGTGCTTTTCACTTGAGAAGTGAGTTTCAGTGCTAAGATAAAGACCAGTGGGTGGAGGGGGAATGTTGCTGGTGGAAGGGGGGTGCTTTACAGGGCCAAGAGCCTGCACAGGAAACCTGGGGCCTGTGACTCTGCTGCACTATGGGGCTGGCCTCACTTGGTGGCCTCAGACACTGAATTTCCTCAAGACATCAGCACATACAGGGCAAGAATTGAATATAGTGACCAGGGTAACCCTAAGGATTTTTCTCTTCTAAATAGGTTTGTTTTAAAGTGATAAGAGACCTGAGTCCCTCCCTGTGGATCAACATGTGGCAGGCCACTTTGATCTAAGTCCTTGTCCTGTGTGGCTGGAACCAGCCTGTCATGGACAGGGTTCCTTGGGAAGCAGGCTCTGGGTCTAAGCTATGCATGCAAGAAATTTCCTGGGAAGAAATGCAGAGAAGGCATGGGCAGAGAGAGGAGGTGGGCACGGGGCACTTCCAACAGGTACCTCGGCCAGTCACAAGGGGAGCAGGCATGGCCCGGTGGAGTAGTCCCAAATGGAGGCAGGGAGTCAGGGGAACGAGCCTTTTGCCCCTGCACTGAACCCCTGTTGAACATGGGCTGGTCAGGGATGTGGCTGTACACAGCTGGGAGAGTAGGGACTTGGCCCTGTGGGCGTCGGGGGCTATAAAACCCCTCAAATGTGGCACTCTGATCTTGGAAAGGCAACCATCTAATTCAGCCTGTTTTCAGTCCTTTTTATGACCAGATAGATGGAACTGACTTGTGACACTCTTCTAGCACTTTCTAGAACTCCTGTTGTAATGCCACTTGACCCAGGTAAGGGCACGTCCAGAAAAGAGAAAAGGCAGTGCGAGCGTCATGCCAGCCAGGGATGTCTCCTTACTCTGGACTCACTGAAAATACAGCTCAGGCCATCTGGAGTTGGGCACAGCAGGCGGAAGCAGGGTTGGACTCTCTTTGGACGACCGTTGCTCACTGGCTATGGGAAGCTCAGCCAGGGAGCTGGAGCTTACACAGGGTTCTGGCCAGCGTGGGGCCAGTGGAAGGCTGGAGGGAGAACCAAGAGAGGATCATGCCAGACCAGGCTGTTTTTGGCAGCTAAGTCCAAGAACTTGGCTTTCCAGGGTACCTGGAACTGGCTGAGTACAAGGGATTGACTCAAAATGAACAAGCTCTTAAGATACTGATAATGATAACAGTAATAAAGATGACAACGAGAATAGTGACAATAGCTACCATTTGCGGAGCTCCCTTTTGCCAGGGCCTGGGCTAAGCACTCTGCATGAATTATCCCCATTAGTCCTCCTGACAGCCCTAGGAAGCCAATACTATTTTTATCCTCATTGTACAGACAAACGTACCAAGAGAGGCTGGTTAAGTTGCCCATGTTACAAAGTTAGTAGGTAATGAACCATTATTTAAACCAGACAGTTTTTATTAGACCCTGAGGCCCTCCCCCAGCCTTCTGTTTCTCACTAATTGGTGCCATTGGTTACCTAGTGGTTCAGGACGAATTCCCTGGCAGTCATCCTCCATTTCTCTTCTTCTCAAACACTGTACAGCGAACTTATCAGCAAGTCCTGTCATCTTTACCTTGAAAATGTAGCCTCCCAGCTTGCCACTGTGGCAGTCATAGTGAGCTGGGAGATGCCTCAGCGGCAGACACTTCTAACTCTGAGGGGCTAAAATGACAAATCTTATTCCTGGTTCTTGCTCTGTGTGCACTGCAGGTCCATGGAATTGCCAGGGAGGCTCTGCTCCGTGTGTTCTTTACTCAAGGACCCACACTGACAAGAGTTTCTAGAATTTATTTATTTTATTTTTTATATTTTAACTTAATTTATTTTTAAGTTCCAGGTTGCATATGCAGGATGAGTGCCTAGAAGTTATAAACCACCATGGTAGGGGAAAGGCAGACTGAATCATGCACTAGTTCTTAAGGTCTTCTACTCCTTGCATTTTATTGGCTGAGCTGATCACATGGCCACATGAAAACTCACAGGAGTGAGAGGAAGGGTTCCATCATGGATCAAGGGGGAGATCTAAAGATGCGGGTGAGCACTTGAATTCCTGCCACAGACACTTTAGATACAGTCTCCAGCCTCTTTTGCCCAAAGAACTTTAAAAGCCTTGAACTGGTCTCCCTGCTTCTGCTCTTGCCTTACAATCTTTTCTCCATGTGACAGCTAAAATGATCTTCTAAAACACAAATCACATCACTTTACTCTTAGGCTTAAAACCCCCACATGGCTTCTATTCCTTTAACAATAAAAGTAAAATTCTCATCCTGGCCTACAAGGCTCCAAAACAAAGGTCGGCAAACCATGGGCCTCTAGTCAAATCCAGCCCTCTAGTCAAATTCAGCCCTCTGCCTATCTTTGTCAATAAAGTTTTATTGGAACGCAGTCCCACCTATTTATTTACATATTGCCTGGAGCTGTTTTCACGCTACAACAGCAGAGATGAGTAGATATAACAGAGACTGTATGGCCACCAAACTGAAATATTCCCTACCTAGCTCTTTACAGAGACAGTTTGTAAACTCCTGCCTTACACTACCTTGACTTTGCCTTCCCCTCAACTTCATTACCTTCCTCAGCCCCATCTTCCATTTTCTCTCTTCCTTCTCTTTTCAGCACCATGCATTTGCTCCTGTCCTTCAGCTTTCTTCTCTGATAGGACCTCCTCAAAGTGTCCTCGCTGACCCCTACAATATCAACCCCCAACCTTGTCACGCTTTAATCCCTTCTTTGTAGCACTCCTTTCCACTAGAAATTATATTCCAGACTTCATTCCTTTATGGGTCTCTGGTCTTCTCCCATGTTAGGGGCTATGAAGTCTTGGAATTGGGGTTGAGAGACCTAGAGTGGCCTCCGTACCTTGATAATCTTCTCTTACTGTCTGTGCCTTTTGTGTCTCTCATTCCAAGCTAACCAGTTTCCTTTTGGGGAGGAAATTTTTAATTTTTTTTGGCCTCAGCTCTAAAGAGAATATATTTCCATGAGATTTTCAAAATTGCTTTATGAATGAGGATTTTAATTTTTGCATCTGAGGGTCAAGGACAATAGTTGTGTTATTATGCCTTGTGGTTTTCTTTTAACACTTCAAGCAAATTCCGGTCATCCCTAGGAGGCATACTTTGAACATCTCTGCAGGCCCCAAGGAGAACAATCTTCTGTAACTTTGAAGCCAAATAGGATTTCTGAAAAGGAAGTTACAGTCAATTGAGAAATCTCAGTGGAGCGTGAAGAGCCGAGGGATCCTGTGGTGGGGCTGCAGCTGGGACTGTCCAGGGTAGAAGTGCCCTTCCTGGCAGAGGGAGACCCCACAGGCAGCATGGCGGGCTTGCCGGAGGCTGGCTGGGCCTTGGACATGACTGCATCCAGAAACTACAGCCCAGAAAACGCAAGCGTGCCTTCCTCATCATTGCTGTGGGCTTGACCATTCTCTAATGAGTTTAGGTGATTGAAGCAGGGCAGACAAGCAAAGCAAAAACAAAATGAGACTCCACTCACCTATTCCTTAACCGACATGCTCTGGAATATGGCAGAAACAGAGTCAAGGGCAATGAAAGTTTGGGGGCTGGCATCTGTAGAGAAGGGTGGTCTCCAGAGCTCCGGCCCAGTCTTCCCAGAAGTAACTCTTTGGCTCCTTCCTACTCTGCCTGGCTGCAAGGAATGAAATGCAGGGGTGTCAAGAGGTCGACTGCCTCCTGGGCTTGGCCTGCTGCCTGCCTGCTTATGTGACCTCCTGCCACTTACCCTTGGCTGCCTGCTCAGGTGCTGGTCTCCTGTGTTCTGCTGTGCCTTACCCCTTGTGACCTCCTGCTACCCCCAGTTGATTACATCCCAGCTTAGCTTAGCATTCCAGGTCATTTGCAGTCTGTGCCCAAGAGCATCTTCCCTTTCTCTCATACATGGGTCTACCCTGGGTTTAACTAGTTGGGCATCCAGCTGTTTCTCAGAGTCCAGCACTTTCCTACTCCCTGCATTGGGTCTTATGCTTGCCATATTCCTGGTGTCTGCTACTTCTGCCTACAGAAGCTATCCATCCTCCCAGGCCTAATCCCATGTCACCTCCCTGGTGATGTTCCTTTGGTTTTCCTGAGCCCCATGCACGCATTGGTGTCTCTACCATGACTTGCACCTGGAGCTGCAGCCGCTCATGACTTCTCTCTTTCTAGAGCCTCTGTGGAACCAGGGACATGGCTTGTTCATCTTTATTCAACTCTGTCTGCTGCTGCCCCAGCACGGAACCTGATGTAGAAGATGGATGAGTAAGTGCTTATCAAATGAATAAATGTTCTAAGAACAGGAGCTGGTAATCTAATTCACACCGAAATGTAAATGACTAATAAGGTTTCATGTGTGGTCTTCCCACCAGGCTTGGCATCCCTGAGGTGGGGGTGAAGGTGGCATAAAATTGGATGAGGTGGGGGGTTGAGAATCTAAACCAGGGAAGGCACTCGGTTCGGCTGTGTTTCCTGGGCAGGCCTGACCGATTGGGGCCATTCAATGGGGTCACTGAATTAGTTATTGACTGGGTTCATTGATTGGGGTCATTGATTGAGGTTATCACCCCAGAGCATTGCACTGGGGGACTGAGAGGCTCTGCCAGGCCTGCTCCAAGCAGAGCACTCATGCGCATTCACATCCCTGGCAAAGGCATGAGCCTCTGGGAGGAAGGGGCAGACCCAGTTTCGGGGATCAGAAGAGCAAGGACTTCGAAGAAGGCAGGCACACCTGCCTACACCCCTGACAGCCTCCCTCAGTGGCCCTCTGATGCCCTTAAGTGTACCTGCCAGGTAAGCTGGGTGACTCTGGCCTCTTGCCGGGGCCACCTGTGCTGCATATGGGAGGCCCCTGGCCATGCCATGAAGCCTGCAACCCTCAGCCTCTGTGCAATCCCAAAGCTCCTCACTCCTTGCCCTGTCGAGATGGGCAGGAATCAGTCACGGCTCATTTCTGTGTCCTGCTGCCTGGGCCCTGGACCATGCCAGCTGTGTCCCAACCACAGAGATGCCTAGACCCAGACACACTTGGGGGTCCTCCCTCACTCCAGCCTCCTCTCTGAAGGGGGCTGAACAGAGAAGCCTCCAGGGCCACAACTTGTTTCTTGGAAAGCTTACTTGGACATGGTTCTGACACTGGGCCGGGCGGTTGGCAGGGTGCCTGGCTCCTGTTCCCAGCTCAGGCTGTGGCTTTGCCAAGCACCTTGCCCACAAGAGTTTGTGAAGAAAGGCCCAGCAGGTCCCTGGATGCTCTCAAAGGCTGCCGCTCCTCTCGAGTGGCTGAATACAACAGTTCCCTCCTTGAAGTTCTATTGAACTTCAGGAGCCGGCTGTGCAGAGGAAAGAAAAGAACTGTCACTGAAATCACAGAGGGGGCAGGACAGCAGGGAGGTGAAGGAATCCGATGAATAGGAGGGCCACGGCAGCCAGGTGTGGAGTGGCTGGTGAGACCAGCCTGGCAACAAAGTGAGAACCTATCTCTACAAAATTTTTTTAAAATGTGTTGGGCATTATGGCGCATGCCATAGTGGTGGCCATAGTGGTGCCTGTGGTTCCAGCAATCTTGGGGGGCTGAGGTGGGAAGATCACTTGAGCCCAGGAGGTTGAAACAGAAGTGAGCTGTGATCATGCCACTGTGCTCCAGCCTGGGCAACACAGCAAGGCTCTGTCTCAAAAAGTAAAAATAAAAATAAATGTTTTAAATAAAATACATTTTCAAGTTCTCCCTATAACATGCATTTTCTATTCACTCAGTAGTTTTTAAATCTGTTGGGTTAATAAATGGTAGAGTGTAGCTGTGTGGATGTCTTCACCTTGCTGAGCCCTGAGGTGTTTTTCCTGTTGGATAAGGGTAACAACACCAGCTCTACAAGATCTGAGTGGATTGAAAACACACAAGAGTTGTCCCATATCCATCCACATCCATAACCACATCAGTCTACGCTACACACTGCTCACAGCTGAGACCCTGGTCTGTCTCTGTAGTACATATTTATGTATTTATTCCTGCCTAGCATGCACTTCTCCTCCCAATAACACCTCAATGTCTTTATGGAGAATTCTTTGCCTGGTGGGGATTTGAGGAGGTCAACACCAGTTGCCTGCCTTCACCTGGGGCAACAGCACTGCTTTCTGAACGCTTCTAACTGGTTTGTTGAGGGAGCTGAGGATTTTCCTAAAATTGTCACCCTTATAAGAGTCTCCGTTGGACATTTTTTCCCCCATATGTGAGAAAGTTGTGGCATTTCCATTAGCACTGTGGAAATGGCTGAGACCCAGGAGCGTCCATGGGTGTGTCACATGTCACCTTGACCTGCCAGGGAGGCCCTGGAAGAAAGCAATGCCTCTGGGTTGTCATGGGTCTCGGGGAGGCAGGTTAAAGGTCTAGAAGGCTTTGCAGAAAGGAACTACCTCCATCCTGAGTGGCTGGGCTCTGATGCTGTTCAGGCAGGAAGTTCACTTCTGCGACCTATCTATATGAATTTCGCTAAGGGACATAAATAATGGTTCCTGCCAGGACAAAAGGCCAGCCTGTTAAAAACCACAAGCAGAAAGCCCACCGGTGCAGTGTTGGGGCCGTGGAGAGGGAGGAGTGCAGCTCTTCATGAGAGAAAGAGAGAGATCGAGGTCTTGTTGGTTTCCCCCACCCTTGCGCCACGTTCATCTGTCGGGTTCTTGTACCACTAGGTATTTCTCTGAGCCTCTCTCCTCATCTAGAAGGCAGGGCATGATATTTGCCTCTTATAATTGTCATAGAGATTAAAATAATGTGAAACCATGTGTCAGAACTGCCTGAGACACGGTGGGCACTTGATAAACGTGGTCTCCTTGGCCGTGGGGTGGATTTCAGCAGAGGAAGAAAGGAAGGACCCAGCATGGAGGAGGTTTGTGGCCTCTGCTATGAGCGGGGGACAGAAATAGCAGGCAGGAGAGAGAGAATTTGTGGAAAGGACCGTAGTGAGGGCAGGAAACCCAGCTGTAGAATCACAGGATTTGAACCACAGTGTGAGGACTACCCAAGACCATGGCTGGGCACCTGTACAGCACCCCATCCTTCCAGGGGGCTCCCGTCGCCAGGGTTGATGCCCGTTTGTTCGAGGAGCGTGTGGGATGCACACTGTGGACATGCATGAGTGGATGTGAGAGGTGGTGGTCAAAATAACTCACACTTGAAAGTCTGTCCCCTCATGAGTTGTTTCTCTCAAACTCAACCGCCCAGCAAATTTAATTTCCAAGTCTATCCGTGTTATGATTATGTTATTTTCAAGTCATCTCTTTTCCCGAAAGTCCCCACGAAAGAAGGCTAAGTGGATGCAGTTTGTTGTAGAAAGAACACTCAAAGCCAGGCGAAGCCTTCTGTTCCCAGGTGAGGGGCCAAGGCGAGGATGGCCGTCCGTAATGAGGTCTGCCATGCCACGCCTGCCTGGTGAGAGGAAGGGTGCTCAGAGGGTCCTCAACCCGTCAGCTCCGGACCAGGCAAGATCCCGAGGATGTAGGAGTCAGGCGGGCTCCTCCTCCTGCTTGCCCTCTGCCCTTCGCCCTACTCTCAGGAGGCAGCCGCCTACCCTCCATCAACCTCGGGTCTCACTCCCAGTGTCTCCATTTCCCTTTCTGGGACACAGGCCTGGCCAGGCTCCCAGGAGAGAAAAGATGAGTTTCTAATGCAAAACAGGATTTTGTGGAGCCAAGCTTTGAATTTGGAAGCAAGCTGAAATGGAAGCAGCTTCTGTCTTCCATTAGGCAGAAGCGGGGCTTCCATTTCAGGCTACCGGAGGTGGTACTGGGCTGTTGGATGTGGAGAGGTCCCCTCAGGTCAGCCGGGAAGGCTTGGGAAGGATAACCGGCAGCTGGCGACCTTTAACTCCCTTGTCCTGGCCCTCTCTCCTCTCTTCCCTTTCATGCTGTTGAAAGGTGAGGCCAGCTGCACTTCCTTGGTCTACTGGGGACTTGGAGAACTTTTCTATCTAGCTAGAGGATTGTAAATGCACCAATGAGCGCTCTGTGTCTAGCTAAAGGATTGTCAATGCACCAATCAGCACTCTGTGTCTAGCTAGAGAATTGTAAGTGGACTGATCAGCACTCTGTAAAATGGACCAATCAGCACTCTGTAAAATGGACCAATCAGCACTCTGTAAAGTGCACCAATCATCAATCTGTAAAGTGGACCAATCAGCAATCTGTAAAATGGACCAATCACTAGGACGTGGGTGGGGACAAATAAGGGAATAAAAGCTGTACCCGCCCCACTCCCACACCAGCCAGCAGCGGTAAGCTGCTAGGATTGTTTCTTACGCTGTGGGAGCTTTGTTGTTTAGTTCCTCACGATATATTTTGCTGCTGCTTACCGTTTGGGTCCATGCCACCTTTAAGAGCTGTAACACTTGGCTTAGGAGCTGTAACACTCACTGCGAAGGTCCCCGGTTTTTTTTTTTTCTTTTGAGACAAGATCTTACTCTGCCACCCAGGCTGGAGTGCACTGGTGCAATATTGGCTCACTGTGATTTTCGCTTCTCCCGTTCAAGCTATTTGCTGACGTCAGCCTCCTGCGTAGCTGGGATTACAAGTGTGGTGTGCGCCACGATGCTGGGCTAATTTTTGTATTGTTAGTAGAGACGAGGTGTCACTGTGTTGGCCAGGCTGGTCTCAAAACTCTGGACCTCAACTGATCTTACCACCTTGGCCTCCCGAAGTGCTGGTGCTGGGATTACAGGCAGAAACTACTGTGCCTGGCTAAAACATCAATGCACTCAACAAGTATGATTAAAAGCTCAAATGTCTTATAAATATGGTTTAGAAGGCAAGTGATCTCTCTGCTATAAAGAAAAATGAAAAGGTAATCAGATTCTCCAGACAAAACAAAAAACTGTAAAAGTTATGGTACAAACACACAACAAGCTAATCTTGGTATAATCTTGTGTAATCAATAGCATTTAAGAAGGGAATAGGTTTGACTTTAAACTTTGGAATACTATCTATAGAACAGCAAACATTCACCGACCTAGGAAAATAAGCTTATTTTTAAGCACGTTTCTCTAATAAAAATGACTAATTATACCATAGGAAATTGCCATAATTTTCATATGATTCAACTTAACACATCATCACACTAACAAAAATGCTAGTCATTTGTGTTTGATTTTCAGAATCAACATACAAATCAATCACGAAAGATGTATTTGCAGAGCAAGGCATAAGTGATAAAACTTTTCAAAATCTAAAAGGCATGCTGTGTTTAGGAGAGGCACAAAGAAGTTCAGGGGCACCGAATTACATAGTGAGGAATCACAAGATACTGATTATATTTATTTTATGGAGCAAGAAACATTGTGGATATTATAAGAGAAAACAAATGGGTAAATACACTAATATTGAGAACTAAGACTTTCATTATAAGGAAAAGAAGGTACAAGTAAAAACTAAAAGGAAAAACCCTATTTTATTAAATTTGAATTAGAAATATCACTATAAATTCATGATTTTAGGTATATCCCTTTCACTCATCCATCCACACCTCCAAGTTCTGCCTACCAAAAAGACAAATAACAGCAGCAATGAGTCTATCTAGTAACCCAAATCTTGGTTTCCAAATACCATTTTTCACTGAAATGAGTCAGATATTCTTGGAGAAATCGATAATTATAGGCCTGGAGAAAGAAAATAAGTCTGGAGCACTTTGTTATGTCAGAAAGTAAGAAAGTGCTTGAATAATACTGGAAATACGTCAAAAGAATACAGAAGCCAGCCTTAAGGCAGTCCCATTGACCATATTTCAGATAATTTATGTATCAAGAAGTGTAACAATGAAAAAATATATGTGTGAATCTGTAGTAATAAAAGATTTTGCTTATATCTACAAAAATAGACATGGATAGTAGTTCCATGCAATTGTTCCAAACTGGAAATAATCCCAATGTCATCAACAATAGAATGGATAAATAATTGAGACACACTCATATAATGAGTGCCGAATAGCCTTGCTGTCACCTTTTGCATTAGCCCATAGTTCTCTCCCAGGGGTAGCTTCTTGCAAAACCAGGGAGAAGTCACCCCCACGTTAGCTAGCAACCATCCCCACCTCTCCTGCTGAGTGCTCCTGGATGCTCTGGCGAATGCATCTCTGCCCTCCACCAGCATTGATGGACCAGACAAAAGAATAATAGATTATACATATCAGCTAGGTCTGTGGTTCTTAATTCTTGCCCTGTATTAGAATCACACTAACATCCAAGCCTTACCTCCAAGACTCTGATTCAACATTTAAAAATTACCCCCAAAGGAGTCTAACGTTCAGCCAGAATGAACTAGGAAAAAATGTGACAAAGTCTGAGATAACAGAGTTCAATTTGTGCAGTCTCGATAGACTGGCTATTGAGTGTGGCTATAGACTGTGGTTAAATGTGGCACTGTTTAACCCTGGACATGGCGGAGAGGAAATAATAACCAGGACAATGTGGAGTCCAAAATACCTTTCACCAATTCCAGTTAAACTTTCCACAATAACATTGATTAATGTTGTGTGTTCAATGACAATATCAATAATAGAGTCTATCAATCACTCTATTGATTAATATAATTCTACTGATAATAGAATCAATAACTATTCATTGATTGCTTGCAATGTGTCGGCCACTGTTTAAATATTTGACTTGTATTTTCTCCTTGTGTCAAATCCAGTTTCAAATGAAGCCCCCTCAGCAATAGGTTAACATTTGTACTAGGTTGAATTATTGGAACTTATTGCCATTTGACCATTTTTGTCCTGCTAAACGGTACTTTCACATGGTTCAATCTGATCCCACATTGCATGGCAGTACCAGCCTTAGCAGTGCCCAGAAGCTCACGGGAGCTGAGAAAGAGGCCGCGTGGTCAGAGGCAGGGAGAGGGGGCTCAGACCCAACCTGCAACACTAGAGCACCGTCTGCTAAACAGGAACATGGGGACTTTGGATCCTCATCCCCTAAAGTCGTTTTCAGGCCCCTGAACTACACCAACAGGAGGTGTGCAGGTTCCTAAAAGAAGAAGGGGACTCCCCATTTCAGAAGAGCCCATGGAGAGGTGCCAGGGATCACAAAGACCATGGACGAGGGGGACCCCACCTTGCCATTTAACCTGGAATTGACTCCGGTGCCAGAGAAGGGATTCGAATTTCCGATAAGCAGGATTTGATCATCGCTATGGACAGCAGTGGTTCAGAAGTTTTCCTGAGAGTTTTTGTTGGGGTTGTCCTGTCCCTTCCCTGTCCTTTATATGGAGGGTGCTGGGTGAGATGACTTGTCCTTAGGTGTATGGCTCACAAGGCCACCAGGTGAGCTGGAGAAGATGGCCACGTGATACCTGAGGGAGGGAGCCGCCCATCATGCAGATCAGGCCTTTGGGTTGGCTGTGGCAGCTGATGGCACTTGGGGATGGTGTCCCTGGAGGATGTGAGGCGTGTGTCCGGTGGGTAGGAACAGCCTGTGTGAACGTCGGGCAGCTGAAAAAGTGGAGGCGGCAGAGGCTGCTCTGTCAGTGCCTGCCTCTTGCTTCCTAACAGCACCCCTATTTTTATCTGGGACAGTGATGTGCCCAGCTGAGAGACTACATTTTCTGACCTTCACTGCAGCCAGGAGTAGTAAAGAAGATGGACGCATGAACCACTGCGAGGGGCTCTGTGGATGCTTTTTGCTGTGGAAAGTAGACTGTTGTGTCCTCCCCTTTCCTCCTTCCTGGCACCAGTGAGGTGATCCAAGGCCCTGTTTTCAGGCCACCATGGCTCTGAAAGCCTTTCGCAAGTGTATGTGTGGACCCTCTTCTCATGAGCACGTTCTCTCTCAGGAGATGCCCATTGTCCTGAAGTGCCTAGGATCTCCTGCAGGCCCACCCCTGGGCTTCCCTCCACACATCGTCTTCGTCTTATCTAAATCCTGGTTGGGTGCTGCATGAGGCTCAAGCTCGGGAGCCCTTCAGATGGGCCCAAAATGACAAAGGAGCACATTTGGTAACAGCAAGGTAGCAGGCTAGAGTCCAGCATCCTTGCCCCAGCACAGAAGTCCTTTCCCTCCCTGCCCACAGTATTTGGGACCATCACCCCCAAGACTCTAGGTTGTAAGAGAGAACATTTTACCACTAAAGACCAAGACCCAGACCCTGGCTGAGTCAGACCTTCCATCTGAGAGAAGGGCAGAGCCAGTTGCTGAACATGTAAGATGTTTCTCCAGCCGTGATGCTGGGAGCTGAGAGAAACACTTTCCTAGGCAATGTGGTAACAAAGAGAGCCAGAAACCTCCATTTCCCTCCAAGGTGCCCCACCCATTCATTCCTTTACTCCAGTAGCTTTACCAGAACATTTTGTGCTGGGCACCAGTCTAGGTCCTGGGCACAAGGAGAAGTCAAATACTGCCCCATCCCAGTTCTTTGAAAAACAGCAGCAAAGGGAGCATAACTGGTAAGTCTAAGCAAGGAAGTCAACAGGCACAGGGAAGAATTGTACAAACACAGACAATTAGGAATGAGATTATTTTTAGAAGTAAAAGAGAAAACTATAACTCTATGTTAACAAATTTGTATATCATAATAAAAAGGAAGAATTCACAGGAAAAAATAAACTTCCAAAATATATGTATATTTTTGATATATATGTATTTGTTGTGATCTGAATTTTTATGTCCCTCCAAAATGCAGATGTTGAAATCTAATCCCCAGTGTGTTGGTATTAGTTGGAGCCTTTGGGCTCCAACTGATTCGGTTGTGATTCGGTTATGAGGGTAGAGTCCTCGTGAATGAGGTTAGTGCCCTTATGAAATAGGCTTGAGGGAGTTGGCCTCCCTTTCCACCATGTGAGGACACATAGAAGGCGCTATCTATAACAAACAGGCCCTCACCGGACACCAAATATGCCAGTGCCTGGATCTTGGAGTTCCCAGCCTCTGGAACTGTGAAAAAATCTATGTTGTTTAAAAATCAACTAATACTATATAAGGAATTTGGTTATAGCAGCTAGAACAGACTTAGACAGTTCTGGATGCCTAATGCACAATTGTCAACTTTAGGGGTGTTACAGATTTATAGTGTTATAGATTTAGACGTCCTGAGTTCAAATTTCAAGTCCATCAGTTTGACTTCCAGCCAATGAGATCACTTCCCTGAGTCTGGGCTTTTTTGCTACAAAGGCGGGGCAGTAAGAATGTTCCCCAACTTCTCCCAGTCTGTAGGCCCTGGCTCTATCCCCCAGAGGACTTCACTCCTCCTCTTTGCGGTTTTGGAAAAAGCCAACTAAATCCTTTCTATCAACTTAAATAAAAGGTGTATTAATTTTAGGTGAAAAGGTGAAATGCTTTATAAAGCACGACACTCTGCACAGTATGTGGATGGGCTGAAGATACATTTCCATGGTCACAGGGCAGGCTCTCAGGGGTTCCCTGCGGCCCATACAGTGAAGAGCAGGGATTCAGAGGCCAGGCTGGTCAGGCAGCTGCCTTGGGTCCCAGTCATTTTGTGAGGGTAAGTTTTGACATTCTGTAGAACCTGAAAGCTGCCTCTCAAAACAGTGCCTCGCTCCAGCGTGTTGGTGGGCCACATCTCCTCTCAATGGTCAGAAGCCCGGGCGGGGATTCTGCTGGAGGCTGAACTCAGGCCCAGGGAATGGGAAGTGGGAGCAACTGGCAGTTGCTGCCAATGGGGACCTTCTCCATCTTCTGCTGAGACAACTCCCCACCATCCACTTGAACTAAGGACATTGTTTCTTCTATTGCAAAGAACAACTCTCTGGGCAAAGGAAAGGAAGGCTATGCCATATCCCTTTCATACTCTCACAGCAGCAGGTTGCAGGAAAGGGAGGCCCATGACCATCTTGCTAGCTGCCAAAAGGTTTTTGCTAAAATTCAGTTTTAGCTCCTACTACAAGAACATGGGATGGGAAGTAACTTTCTCATGTAATTAGCAATATTTATCTAGAAACATCAGCCCAAATCACCTCACAGTCAAATATTAGAACACTCTCCAAATTGGGTATCAGGATGGCTGCAGGCTGGGCTCCCTGGAAGGAAAATCTGATACCAAGATTCAAGACAGGAGATCTCCTGGGGATGCTCTCAGATCAGCAACTGTGAAAGGAACAGAAGCAGAGGGAGAAATGTGGCTTCATGCAGTTGCAACAGCGGCCTTGCTGATTCCCCAGAGAGCTCTAAAGCTGGATAGCCCCACAGCATTGGCAGGCGAGGTGAGGAGACAGGACTTCATACCCTGCATTGGCCAATCACTGGACATGAGTTTCCCGGAAGAGGTTGAGTGAGGGCCAAGGTGACTCTCAAGGTAGTCTTTTAGCTGAAACCATTCTGTGATGGCCAGCACAGGGGGCTGACTGCCAGTAGCTCCCTCAGTAGCTTGGAGCTTTTGGTCCTGATGGTGATAAAGGTGGTGGTGGTGGGAGCATTACAGTAGCCACTCCAGTGCTGTGCATCACATCCCTCTCATGGGTGTATATGATGTAAGGAAGCTTGCTTAATATTGTTTAATCCAACCTTTCACAAATATATTTTAATCACACCACATCCCTTTCTTTTCAGCAGAATGTCACAGCTCAGGCGTGTAAAGCTGTGAGGAAGAGCGTTTGGGGGTGCTCTTTAGAGGCCAACCTGGTTCCTTGGGTGCTGTCTCTGAAGGTTCTGCTCCTCCTGTACCCAGCCCCACTTCTGAACCCTTTCCGGTTGGCAGGAGGGTCTAGAAAGACTTCCACCTCTCGGCCATCGAACCTGAAACAAAGACTCTTAAGAACAGACAAAGACTCTAAAGAACAGGCAAAGTCACTGTGCAGAGATGCCTGAGACTCTCTCTGCCCTGGGGAAGACTTAATGGCAGCGTGCAGCTCACACTCATGTCACTGTGGACACCTGTGGCCTCCTCATCCCTATAGAGATCAGCCCTAAGTTGCTGCCTGGCTTCCATCCACTGGCCCTGCATTGCTAATGTCTACCTAAAATCTCCCTGCTGAAATTCCTGCCTCTCCAGACCAAACACCTTTGGGATGGTCAGTTTCTTGTCTTTGGGGTACATTTTGGCTCCTCCAGAATCAAAGGGGCCTTGCAGTAAGAAGACATCCTTTAGCTCTAATGTTCCTCTCTATTCTTGCCATCAAAATAAGGAGGAAGGAGGAGAGAGCATGTCACAGCCTTTCATCACTCCCACCAGAAGGCTGCATTCAGGCCAACTGAGGAGGGCTCCTTCTGGAGCCAAAGAGGGGAAGGAGAGGAGAGGTGTTTGTAGGAGAGTCACTGTGGAAGACAAGGATGGTGCAACCCCTCTGCGTCTCCATTTCCCAGGATGGTATTTCAGTGGACTCCAAAATTCCCTTCCTGGGGCACCTGGAAGAAAAGGGCCCCCATATCTCCATCCATTCTGTTCCTTCCCTCTTTCTCTTTATTTGAAAAGAGTTGGTGTGCTATGGATGAAAGAGTGAGTTTTAGAACCAGGCACAGAGACCTTGGTCCAATCCCATCTTTGCCACGGAGATGTCCTAGAACTTTCTGAGACTCGGTTTTTCAATCTGCAAAATCACAATAGCAAAAACATCTCCCTTGGATGATAGTCTTGATGATGAAACAAAATGACATTTTCAATTTAATTTAGGGCAAAATCACAATGACATATGTCTTTTTTTTTTTTGATTAAGAGACAGCCAAGCTCCTGGCATATGAATTTCTCCTTTTAGCAAAAACTATTTATTTACATTTTCATCATTTATTTGTGTTTTTCCTTTCTCTAAGAAATTAGTACAAATCTTCACCAGATTAAAATTATTCAAACATATTTATAGAAAGGAATCCTGATTTCTTCATGGCTGTAAAATAACTTTAGCTCTGTTTCACATAATAATTTTTATTCATGTTTAATAGCTTTTTTGAGGTATAGTAGACATACAATAAACTGCTCATTTAAAATGCACAATTTTTAACATTGTGACACATATGAAATCACCACCACATCAAGATAACAAAGACATCCATCATTTCCTAGTTTCCTTGCACCCGTATATAATCCTTTTCTCCCACCCTTATGCCCCCATCCTCAGGCAAACATTGATCTGTTTTGTTACTATTCACTAGTTTGCATTTTCTGGAGTTTTCTATGGATGGATGAGTGTACACTCTTTTTATTAAGATTCATTCATGTTGCTGTATATATCAATAGTTCATTCCTTTTTTATTACTCTTACATCACACTTTGATGCATAAGATAAATACTATGAGAAATATAGCAATTACATTTTTTTCTGGAAAGTCAGAATGTTATAGGAAACATTCTGGACACAACTTCAAAAATTTTTAGTTGAAATGTTCCAGCTGTAACCATGAACACATCATTAACCCTCCCTAGGCCTCAGTTTCCTCTCCTGGGGGATGGGAGAGAATCATGACAGCACCTCCTCAGCTGTGTTCACCAGAGCTTTCGTCACTGACTTGAGAAGTCCAGTTTCCCAGGCCTGTGTCTGTCTGCATGTCTGAATGGCTTATGGACTGATACTTCTATCAGCTCTGGCTCCATGGGGAGTGGTGATGGCTGAGGTCTGACAGGGGCCAGGCAGTGCTAGATGAAGGGAGAGGGGCCCTTCATTTGGGTGAGCTGCCGGAGTGGGAGGCACTGTGTCTTGCTTCTGATGGAGTGTCTGAGAAGCAGGTCCAAGAGGCGCTGCTTCAGGACCCGCCTCAGATTAGCACAGGTCCCCACACTGGGAGCAGAGGGCATGATTTCTGGAGTGATCTCAGAGGTGCTGCAGCTGGAAAACTGATTACCAAGTGAGAAGGATGTTTAATGGAGATGGTGGTGAAGTGACACTAACAGGAAGCTGTACTCCTGATTCTCAGCAGAAATAAGATTTGGGGGAAAGCAGGAAAGTTATTCACATCCCTCTGAGAAGGGGAGGAAGGCATTAGGTATTTGGCCAAACAGGCCCTTCCTCCTAGCAAAGTTAAGTTAGGGAAACTTGAGGAACTTGCAGACAGGGGTGGCACTCTTCCCAGCTGAGGACAGAACTTGTGGCAGATTGTATTTTTCAAAGATGGCCCTAACAGTATCTTCTGTCCCACGTGCCTTTCCACAATCTTACCACTTCCCTCATCTAGAAGTGGCACCTATGACCTCTCCCCTGGAACCAGGCCTGGGTGACTGCTTTGAGTAATAGAATATGGAGGAAGTGACACCATGTGACATCCAAGGCTAGGCTGGGTCATAATATTGTCATGCATTTCTGCTAGGTTCTCTGGGGACAGTTACTTTTGGAGCCCTACCACCACACTGTGAGAAAGCCCCAGCAGCCTGTGGAGGGGCCTACGTGTGGAAGAACTGATCCCAAGTGCCCAGCCCCAGCTGAACTCCTGGTCCACAGCCAGTGGCCACTTGCCAGCCAAGTGAACGAGCCAGCCTGGAAGTAGACCCTCCAACCCAACGTATGCCACATAAGGCACAGATAAGCCACATTGTCTGACTTTCAGATTCATAAGCAAAATAAGTATTGTTTTAAGCCACTAATGCCTTGGAGTAATTTTCTTATGCAGCAATAGAAAACTCATACAAAGCTCATCTAGGAAAAAGGTTAAAGTTGAGGACAGCATTTAATAGCAGACACAAGTCCATATGGGGACAGGCCAGCCTTAGCCTGTACTGTCACATGGTAGCCTCCAACACTGAGCAAGGGTGTCCCACCATCCTGGCCAGTCTAAGGCATTAAAGGATAACATTAAGAACTGCCCGTCCCCTCTTGGACATCCAAGTTAAAAAAAAATTATAATAACACCTCTGATAGCAGCACATTTTTGGAATGACTGAAAGAGTTTTTGTCATAATATTATTTATGAGTTGTGGGATTCACTGAGAGTTCCAGATAACTCCTCTGCAATGCCCACGGCCTGCTCTGTCATCTAGGTTTATAAACCTCTTTCTCTGCAGTTTGCAGGATGAACCAGGCTGCACAGAGTGTTTAATGAGATCTAACCAAAGGTTTCAAAAACCTGTGTATTATTTTGCTGCATTTTATAGATGAAGAGACTGAATGTTCTAAAGATAAAGTCCATTGAGCCAGTAACTGTAAGAGCAAGACAGGAAGCTAGTTCTCTCTGTCTCAGAGTCTGACACTCTTTACAAAGCCAAGGAGTAATTTTTACCTTAAATTGAGGATTTATACTATTTCACTTAATTGAGTGATCAGAATAAGAGCATGCATCTTTTACTCCCCCTTCTCTCTCTTTTTTCACTTTAATATATCATAGGCAGTCATTTCTTTTTCCCAGTTTTTAAATTATAAAATATACATAACATAAAATTGACTTTCTCAACCATTTTAAGTGAACAATTCAGTGGCATTAAGTACATTCTTGTTGCTGTGCAACCTTCACTACTGTCCATCTCCAGAACTCTTCATCTTGCAAAACTGAAGCTCTGAACCCATTAAACAGTCAGTTCGCATTCCTGCCTCTCCCCAGGCCCTGGCAACCACCATTAGCCTTCCTGTCTCTATAATTTTAACTCCCCTAGGACCCTCATATAAGTGGAATCATGCAGAATTGACCTTTTCTGACTAGCTTATTTCACTAAGCATGATGTCCTCAAGGTTCATCCATGTGGTGGCCTGTGTCAGATTTCCTTACTCAAAAAACAGCCATTTCTTTCTGTCCAAATACAACATCTTGTTCTTTAAATTCTCCAACAAATGAATGTATCCCCATTCTCGGCTTAATGTATGAGACTGGGTTTCTCTTAACAAGAAATAGGGGTGGAGGAAGGACATGGCCCCCAGGAGTTCCCTGCTTCTGTCCCCAGGGGTTAAACACACCCTTCAGCTCCGGAAGACCACAGCTCAGCATAGCCCCCTCTGGGGAGCTCTCTCCCAACTGGGTTGGGCTAGGAGCTTCTTTATACCCTGGGAGACCAGAGCTTCTTTAATCCTACACCACATCACTCTCTATCATTGATTGGATCATGAGAGTAAAGGGAGTTTCTTCATTGATTCTGAGTTCCAGGAACTCACACACCGTAGAGTCCTCTGTAAGCATCTGCACCTGAATGAGTAGCTTCATGAACACATGCAGGCACCAGAAGGCACATGAGTTCGTGTAAAACCTGGTCAGTTCATAACAGTTACCACAAGGGATTGGCAATGGGGGAAATATAAATGGATGAAATGTTTATAATGAACTCCTATTGAGTTCATAGCAGAGATTATAAAATTATTTTAAAGACTTTCAAGTCAGTAAGCTGTGACTTTAACCAAGCTGCATGTGTCAGCAAAGCACATGTCCCAGTCAGAAGGGCAGCGAGCATCCACACTGTGCTGGCTACATCACGCCCTGTCCTGATTCATTCCTCCCAAGAATCCGCATGCATAGGCTCTGCTGCTGTTCTCATTTACAGGTTAGGAAATGTGTCCTGCGCAGTTGAGTAACTTCTCTGCAGTCTCACTGGCCTTCCTAGAACTTGAATCCATGTAGCCAGCTGCAATGGAGAAGCCCAACCAGGGAGGCCCAGACAGGAAGTATCTCAGGGGACAAAGCTGGCATTCTACTTCTTTGTGCCACCTGGGCAGTGCTTCTCACCCTTCACAGTGCTCACAAATCCCCTGGGGGTTTTATTCAGCAGCTCTGCACAGGACTGGGGGTCTGCAGTCTAACAAGCTTCAGCCGCTGCTCAGGCTGCTGGCCCATGGGCCACACCTGGAGCCGAGAATGCTGGGAAACAGATGGTGCTGGCCATGCGTCACCACCTGGGAGGTTCCTGGGGCAGATGTAAATTCAGACCCAGGATGCAGAAGCATTGGCTGTTTTGGCAACTTTCTGACTTTACATTGGTTTCCTGTGTATTATCAAATTATCAGATGGGGACGGGTTGATGCATCCCTTTACTAAAGCTGGGGCATAATGACTCTGCCCCTGAAGCCAGAGCCACTCAGCATGGCTGGGACTAACCCACCAGCCATCTCAGGAGACAGACCTGGCCTTCTGTGGTCCCCGTGTCACCACACCTGTCCCATTTGGAACATCGGCAGAAGGAGAGCAGAGCCACCTTCAGAGGTGGGCACAGCTGAGTTAACAGGCCTGCTCTCCATCCTTGACTAGCTGTGAACCTCAAGGAAGTCCCTCCTCCTGTGGACATGATTTCCCTATTTGAGAAATGGGGCAGTGATAACACCTCACAGGTCCTTGAGATGACGTAAGTACAGCCAAGTTGCTTAACAGAATGGATGCAGACTACACCTGTCTAAGGCAGGAACAAGAGACACTACTTGGGAATCTATGGATTTCATTTAAACAAGCTTTAGAAATGAGAGTGCAAGGCCTTGTTGGCTGGAGATGCAGCTGGCTGGGCGATCCTACAGAAATGACTTATGAGCCAAGATATATGGACTGAACATGCAGTTTTCTCCACCTAGCACAAAACACTGTTCTATTTCACACTTGTATGCACAGCGGAGTCAGAAACCAGAGCCCCCCGCATGTTTTATAGACTCCCCTTACTCTTGAAATTGGCATCATAAAAAGAATTTTCTGGGTCCCAAATGTGTCTTTCTCCTGTAGCCACAATTCTCCAGCTCCTCAGCAGAACATCTGTAAAGCCCGGTGTCATATGTCATGTTCCCTGATGCTTCCTGTGACCGGCATCCAGCAGGATCTGTGGGCTCCCCTGTGAGTGTCCCAGGCCAAGCCTCTCTGCTCCCCATCTCTGTGCTGACCTCTCTTCCAAGCTCCTGCCCTCTAATGGGCTCTTTGTCCCAACCTGAGTTCCCTGGGTTCTGCCTGCTTGGAATAATGGGAGATTTGATCAATCTATGGCCGCTGATGTCCACCTCTGTCCCCATCCCCACTCTGTGAGTGGGGTTGAGTCACGGATTTTGCTTTTTATGAAGTGTAGTTATTCTCAGTAAACTTTTTAACCATGCCTCTGTCATTTGAAAGCACTTTTGTTCAGGATATGTGGACTGGTTTATGGAGGTTTTCTTGTGGTTAAACTGTGTGATTTTTGTATATACTTAATTCGAAGGCTAATGTCACAAGGAAGCCAGAAGCTAGGCAGAGATTTTCTTTTTCTTGCTGCCTTCAACATGAAATCAAAGTGATTTAGTTGTTGTTTAAGACCAGGTGGGAAAGCCTGAGCATGGAGCTTCCCTTGGAGGGACCAAGGCCACAGGGCCCCAAGTGGGTTGATGGCACTCACAGCAGCAGACCACCACTCTGTGCTGGGCACTGTCTGGGCAAACCTGCTTTGTCTCCTATGTCTCCTTTATCATCACACAAACTCTGCATATGCTATCTTCCTTTTTCAACTGATGAGGAAACCGCCCAAAGATGTTAATAAAGTGCCTGAGCCTTTATTGTTGGTGGGGTTGGGAATCAAGCCCAGTCCTTCTGATTCTTCTCCTGGCACCCCCAGGACCAGCCTCAGCTCCCACACAAAGTCCTCCAAGTGATGCTCTTGGGGTAGGTGCTTCCCTCTGGACACAAGCAAATTTAAGTCCAGCTCCAGGACTAACAGACTCTGATAGTGGAGAGTTCCTTCCCTCCCCAGGCCTTGGTTTTCTTGTTTTCTCATTCAAACCATAGAGTTCGTGGGTTGGAAACTTAATCCCCAATACAATAGTGTTGCAAGTGGAACCCTGAAGAAGTGATTAGGTCATGGGGGCTCTGCTCTCCTGAATGGATTCGTGTCCTTATTGTGGGAGTGGGTTGTTACAAAAGCGAGTTTGGCTCCTCTTGCCCTTCTGCCTTTCACCATGGAATGATACAGCAAGAAGTCCTTTTCCAAATGTGGGCCCCTTGATCTTGGACTTCCCAGTCTGCAGACCTGTAAGAAATAACTCTGCTCTTTATAAATTACCCACTCTGTGTATTCTGTTATAGCAGCACAAAACAGACTAAGCCAGGTTCTTGCAGGCCTCAAGGAGATGGGACATAGTCTGCTCCAGGGGGCTTTCTGGCTCTGTCCTCATGTCCAGCCTAAGAGAAGTCAGAGTTGGCTGACTGTGGCTTCTCTTCATGCCAGTGCCCAGAGCAGCCCATCACCCTCCAGGAACCTTGCTGACCCTGGACTCCCAAGAGTTGTCGTTTGAAGCCAAATGCCTTCACAGTCTTTCTATAAACCAGTTAGCCATTGCAAGCGTGAGCCATAAAATGCTGCTTCCTTTTCCTTTCCTGTAGATTCTAGGGGATTTTTGTCTAAATGGAAAACATGGCAAATAGTATAAATAGTATAACCTACAAGCTTGATCTGCTTAAAATAAAATTCAGGAGATTGAGCTCAGCTGGCTCTGGGCCCATAGCTCTTTTTAGAGTGTTTTGAAAAATGCATTAGATTCAGCAAAAACCCTTCCCTACAGGCTTCCTCTTAATTTTTAACCCCTTTTGTGTATCAAGGAAAATGCAAGCCTTTTGTTTCCAATCCATTTACACCTTAAGTCACTGCAGTTGTTCTATAAAAGTGATTGAATGTTCTGATGGTTCCTTTCTCAGGGCAGGAGGCTGTACTGAAGTTAGAATGAGCAATCTCTGATGTCCCAAGGTCTGACAAAGAGTTAGAACCCCAAATGGAAGGCTTGGCTGAGGAGTGCCTTCTTTGGCTAATACTATATTTTGGTTCTTTTAGATTCCATGTTCCTTTAAAGAAATTATTGGGTGTCACTGATTTATTCTTTCAAAAAGCCATCTTAAAGTCAAATTACCTACACAATTCAACTGAGGCACACAGGCACTTTTGCAGTGAAATCAGAAACCTGGAAAATCCCCCTAGCTTTGTGTTTCTAGGTGGGTTCAGAATTGGATCAGAAGACAGGGCAGGACTGGGCAGTACCTTTGACTTTGTCTGCAGCTTCTGGAGGTGCAGATGTCTTGTGTATTGCTGAGATGATTCTCAGCCTAGTTGGAAGCAATCAGATGAATGGGAGAAGCTTTTCTAGGAAAGGACCTGGTGTCCTAGGGGTGGAGGTGAATACCATAAACACAGTAGGGACTCAGTGAGTTGATTCAGAGTTGTTGGTTTGTGCCTTGGGCTCTCTGAATGATTGGCTTCAGGTTTGGCTTTGGTTTTATTCTCACATATGAATCACCTCTTCTTTCCAGTCTTCCTTTGTGGATGAAACCAACTGATCTATGACTCCAAAAGGCTCTTCGGGACCTTGTTCATATTGTTCCCTGTTGAATCCACCATAGAACCTGGAATATGGTTGGTGGTCAGTTACATGGTTGTCAAAAGAAAGAATGAAGGAATGCCCAATGCCCTTTTACTTTCATTTTCTTATTAAAAAAAAAAAAAAAACTCATGTAAGTAAGCCCACTCCTTCTTTGCCTCTTCCTTCCTAGTGTGGCCACAGAATTTCCTAGTTTAGCCTTTAGACTGCTGTAAACCATTTCTTCATTTGTAAATCAGCTATGGCAATTGCTGTTTGAGCTATCGTGTTTGGAATTCTCAAGGATTTGTCTAATGGCTACTTCCAGGCTCCCCTTGAAACAGGTGGAGAAAATTCCTTTATTGGTTGGACATGGAGGAATGGGCTAAGGTAGAAATGTCCTAGATCTGTAATTCAACCTGCCAAACATTGATGGAAAGACAAGGAAGGAATTGGAGTCGGGGAAGGAATCTGGGCTAACAGGCGAAATAAACAACGTATCCAGGTGGAAAAAGTCCTTTGGCATGGGTAGCACAAGACAGACCATAGGGGGCAGTCCTGCACCCAAACCGTGAGAGGGTCTTGCTGGGGCATGGTGGTTACACACAGGATGGCAGGTATGGAGATATTCAGACTTTCAGAAAACTTGCCAGTGCCAGGCTGGCCACAGACTCCAAGGCAGTTTTAGGGTTAGGCCTCCAGTCTTGGGGTATGAGTGGGGATTACTCTCTTGAGCATAAACAGCTCTAGCTCCAGGGGAGCAGAGCTGGGTTGAGAATCAACCCTTAGGAACAAGGCAGAAATCCAGTTACTAGAAATGAACCAGCAGCAGATGTAACCTAAACTCAGCCCATGTGAGGGGTCGGGGCTGTTTAAATGCCCCAGTCTCAAATCTAGACTGGTGTGTGAATGAGGAGAAGAAAAGGCAGGCTGAGGGAGGCTAGGCATTCCCTCATCCAGTGTTTCTTCTTGCTTGAGTGTGGCTGTTACTTAAAGGCTTGACTACTTGGAAAGGATATCAGAGCCAACAGGAGAAGGACCACACTTCTTACTTGTATGTGAAATCCTTGCAGGAAAGGCATACATGGGGGAAGCTGCATGGATTTCAGACTCTGTGCTACCTGCTGCGGCATGGTTAAGTCTGACGAGGGGCTTCACTGCTTTAACCGCCACCTCACCTCCTCCCACCACCGCTGTCACCCGTGGTTGTGGGTGCTTCACAGTCTGCTCGCTCTTTAGGCTTCTCCAGTTTAGTGCCTAAAAGGCAGCCCCTCACTCCTTGTTCACAGATGGAAAAACAGGATCCAGGAAGTCTGATGATTTGCACAGGGTAACACACAGAATAAAGTGGGGCCCCACCTTTTTTCTACTATGCCACCGAAGCACCCCTAAACTTAGAAATTGGAAATCAAAAAATAGAAAGGATATTTCATTTTTGGAGGAGTGAGTGAAACCACAGAAGGTCCTGAGACCTATGTGGTCTACTTCTCAGTGGAATGAAGGCAGTGTTTTAGCAGGGACCAGAAAGGTGCACAGTAGACCTTCTACAGATAATAGTGGAATAAATAGATACATAAATACAATTTATCTCATTAAATAAATAAGAAAATATGCGATTGGCTAAAGGCCAAATTCTCTGTGTCCTTGTTCATCTCCACTAATTCAAAGCATGCCCACCTGCTTGATGTGAAGCTCATGTAAGCTGGGTCCCCATCAGTTTTTGACATTTGACTCACCTAGAATCTACATACTTATTGCCTATATCACAGTTGACCCACGTGCTTCTTCCCCACAGACCTCAGAGGGATCCAGGTTGCCATGTCTACGGCCACTACATATGGCCTCATCCTCCCCAGTGGTGGATTCCCTGGCTGTTTTTTATGATGGCCTCCCTGTGTCCGGCCCTGGCTCCCCAACTGCTACCAGCCCTTCATGCCTGGGTTTGTTCTACCTACTTCATCAGGGACCTCAATGCAATTGGGAGAAACCCACAGGGAATAGGATCTTCGCCAACCACCATGGTTTAGGCCATCAATGTCTAAGCAAGACTCTGCAAGGAATTAAGTGTGCTCAGTGGAACCTTCTGGGCAGCCAAGGAGTTCTCAGAGCATGCAAAAGAAAAAAAATGAAAGAAAGAAAAGAATAGAAACATCAAAAAGTCCCTTCGTTATATGCACTACATTCTGTGCCTCAGACAATAAATTAGAAATAAGCAGAAGAAGCAAGATATAAAAGTGCCTAACCATGGCTGGGTGCGGTGGCTCACGCCTGTAATCCCAGCACTTTGGGAGGCAGAGGTGGGTGGATCACCTGAGATCAGGAGTTCGAGACCAGCCTGACCAACATGGAGAAACCCCATCCCTACTAAAAATACAAAATTAGCCAGGGGTGGTGGCACACACCTGTAATCCCAGCTGCTCGGGAGGCTGAGGCAGGAGAATAGCTTGAACCCAGGAGGTGAAGGTTGCGGTGTGCTGAGATTGCACTATTGCGCTCCAGCCTGGGCGACAGAGTGAGACTCCGTCTCAAAAAAAAAAAAAAAAAAGGTACCTAACCACACAAAATCTAAAAGTAGTCTCCTAAGTACCAACCAGGCAGGGAGGAAATTCGAAGAAAGTTACAAACATTTAAGAAAACAATTAAAACACAGATACTCTGTGGACTCAGGCCAAACCGTTCTCAGAGGGAAAGTAATTTCTTTAAATGGCAATTTTATTAAAAATGCTAAGTGAGCTTTAATGATCTAAAAAGTTAACAAAGAAAGATGCTGGCTCAGAGAACATGAGCGGAGGAAAGAAATACAAACAGCATAGAGAAATAAACTGAAAAGAGAAACAATAGGCTACATGATGTGGGTTAATTCCTTAAAAAATAAATTCACCAAATCGATAAGCTATGGAAAATATTTTTAACAGAAAAAAAAGAGAGAATATAGAAGCCGACAAGCTTAGAAATGAAAAAGGCTGATGAAACATAGAGAACAATTAAAGGGTTTGAGGCCATGGCACCACGCTTTGAGAAAGTGAATGGAACAGTGTTTGGCTTGGGAGCCGACTGCTGCATTTGAATGTCACTGCTTCACTTCCTTCAGCAAGTTACCTAACTTATTCTTATGCCCATTCCCTTCTGTGAAATGGAGAGCATCATAATAGCCTAACCCTTAAGGCTTTTTGCAGAGATTGAGTAAGTTAATACATGTCACTTATGGGGATGTGGCAGGGGCAGAGCTGGGGAGAGAAGCCGACCTTAGCCTCCCAGCCTCACACAATACCAATCACAGAGCTGCTGCAGCCCAGGAGGCCTGGCCTATTCTTAGCCCCATTGTACAGAGAAAGCTATCAGGGCAAAGAAAGGTGAAGGAAATTTTCCAAGGTCATTCAACTTTCTCAGAAAGATTTTCCAACCTGGTGGAGAACCACAGAGCTGTCACATGGTTGAAGGAGCTGGGGATGCTCCCCTCAGAGAAGAGAAGACTCTGGAGGCCATGGGCCCTGAGTCCCAGCCAGGAGGTAACACCCCGGCAGGGAGCTACAGAGAGGGGCATTCAGTTTGATATGAGGGTAGTGGAGTAAATGTTTGCATTTTACACCATTACTGTCTACTTTCTCTAGCATTTCCCCTTTCCTTCTCAGCTTCCATTTTGGAGAGTGATGGGGAATGGCCTTCCCTGATTTTTGTGTTTCCAAAAACATGAGTTTGTTATGAAACAATATCCTGTACCTCTGAGAGAAGGATCATCACCATTAGGAAGGGAGGAACTTCTTCCAGAGGCTGGAAAAAACTTGGGGTGGTGAGGTGGGTGTTGGAGGGGTCAAGTGTGGAAGAGAGATGAGATTACATGAGGAAAGAGGAGATGCCCCACTTCTCGAGCAGGCTATGGTGGAGCCTCCAGGAGGCAGGGAGGCCCTGGGGAGTCACTGACTGTTTGACGGCCTCCCCATTGAGAGTCTCACCAGGCTTCCAGTGCCCCAGCACACCCCTCAAAGACACAGGCAGGCTCCTGTGACCACCCCACCACCCGCCTAGGAATGGCATAGGTGGGCTGGTGCCAGCTCGGGATCTGCAGGAACCACAGCTGCGGGGACGAGGAGGCTCAAGTAGAGAGCCTGGGACCCAAGGTCAAGGATCAGATGACACTTTGCTCATCTTGGTAGACAACTGAGTGGACAGAGGACTCAAGAGCCAGGTGCTTTCTCTACCTAAGTCCCCTCTAGAACATACTCACATCCCTGGGGATGAAAGGGGGGATCACAATGAACTGAATTCAATTTTTCCCTACCTTCAGTAACATGAGATTTTCTAATACAAATTAAGTAGAATTGGGTTGTAGATTGAGTGTGCCTCTATTTTGGGGAAATTCTTTCCCCTACTAGGTAGAGGCACTAAATGTAGACGGTCCCGTCACTGGAATGTTCCAGCAGGGACTGGATAAACCTTTGGTGAGGATGCCTAGAATAAATGGCCAAGCTGTCTAGAGACTGGCTCGTCGAGAGGCCGACTGCAGAAACTCCAGCAGGTAGGAAGATGACAGCCGCCAAGAGCAGTTCTGCCAAAACGTTCCTCCTGCAACCTAAACCTCGTGTTCAGTGATTCATTTCTGAGGGGAAAGAGTTGTAGGATATATGAGGCTAGTGGAGGGAGACAGGGGATTTGGGAGTAGGAAAAAGATAATGTCTTTTTTTGTTTTTGCTCTCTTTACTAACTAGGTTATAAGAGATTTCATTTTGTAAATCATCACTTCTTGACTCTGTTCAGTCTCCTGTTTATCTCTTCTGTCATCATTTGTTTTTATTTTCAAATGAGTATAGTTTTCACTTCCAGATTTCTGGTTTTTTGTATGCTCCTGTTGTCGTTCATAATCTCTAATATTTGATTCACAACTTCCTATTCTTATTTTATGAATATATTACTTCCTTTGTCTCTTTAGGAATTTTAAGGTGACCTATTTTAAAGTCCTTTTCAGATTACTTTATTATTATCATTTTTTCTGGAAATGAATTCTTCCATTTACTGGATTTGTTAATATTCATAGTATTATACTTTTTTGTTTGTTTTAACTTTTGGCTTTTGAGCCCATCTTGCTTTGGGTTTTATTTTTGTGGTTGTTACTTTAAATATTTTCTTTGCAAATTATCTTGTTATTGTATGGTGGCTTTCCAGATTCGGCCAGGCTTCCTGTGGTCTACATCTCAGAACAAAGTCTTGTAGAAGGATTCAGGGATCTTTCCCCTTGGGAACTGCCAGTCTTGGTCCCTGAACCTGTGAGTGGCAGTAAGAAGCACCAAGTTGTATGACTCCAGGGGCACTATTTACATGAAGTATGATGTTAAGATAGCACCTTAAAAGTGTGCAATAAGGTGGCCCTGATGCTGGCCCATTTCCAATCTTGATATTTATTTTCTATTGCCTTTCACTCCTTGCAGGTACCACTATCTAAGGCTCAGAGAATGTAAATCACTTGCTTAAGGAAATTCAGTGAAGAATGGCCCAAAGCTCATACATTTTCCTGCTACACTGCTGTACCCCAGCTGGGCCCTTGAAGATTGGCATTCTCGAATCAAATGAAAATGGATTCCTCACATTTTTCCATGTGTGTGTGGATGTTTATGGGAAGAGGTGTTGGTGAGAAGAGACTGGTTGGGGCCAGACTGCCTCCAGATTGCCCCATGTCTGCTATAATGGCTGGACTGGCTGAGTCCTCAGCGGATGCCAGAGACTGGGCTGTGCGTGTGCACAGGCAGACCTATCTGTGATTCTTGCAGTTCATTCTACACTACAGAGATTGATAGAGGTCGCTCTCCTTCACTTAGAACTCTCTGGATTTTAAACAGTCCCGAGGTTGTGTTACATTGTTATTGGATGTGATTTTCCAAAACCACGCTTCACTTTGAGTTTGCATCATGGTTGGGCAGCCTCCCCCACTACTTCAGAGGAAGAAGATGGAGACCAGATGAAGAGTTAGTAAATATACACATATAGCCTTTGCACATTTCCTCTCTGATTTTTGGCCTCATGGGTTCAGTAATCCTGGAAATATTTGAACTTGGCACTGCAAATTCCAAGGGGCATTGGTTACTGGAGGCCAGTGCTTGAAGCCTCTCCTGCTAAAACCCCAACACCAAAGAAAATATCTCAAGGCTACCATGGGAACTCACTGCATGTTCAGCCAATCAGATCTTTGGGAGGAGGGTTCAAACCCTCTCCTTTGGCTAAGCCTGTCCGATGCAGTGGGAGAGCTGCCAGCCGGCTTCCCCTGTGCCTAGCATGGAGCTCAGCACATGAATAGCTGTCAGCAACTGAAAGGAAAATAATTTGGCCATCAGAAGAGAACTAGCCACTGTCACTGTCCAAATGGTAAAGGGATAAACAGCAAAATGGTTCACCTCCAGTGGATCCACTTCCAAAAGATGACAATCTGCATGCACTTTGGGTTATGAAAGTAGGTAAAACTGCTTTTCTAAATGTTTCAGATCTGAAAAACTTCAGAGGTACTTGGTCAAGCAAGATTTTTCTTAATTTTAAAATCCTGGTATGTTTTAAGAGAAATGTGAGCCGCCTGTTTCTGATTCAGTTATACTTTATTTGTCAAAATACTCTTTTCTATGAGGTGTTTGTTGTCCAAAAATCCATGTGAGCCCTCTTAGAAGTACGGCATTTTGAGACAGGGAATTGATTATGGTCAATTGTCCTCAGCCCCAACCCTGATCTTAGCTCCATTTCTCATCTTTCTGGAGGGATCTAAGTCTTAAAGAAGGCTGCCTGTCTCTTCCCTTTTTGGGAACTAGACAGATACTTTAAAAGAAGAAACTGTGGTTGGTTGTCCTCAGATCCCCAACCAAGTCTTAGAGGTTTGGCTAAAAATCCTGAACACCCTTCCCAGAGGAGAGTAAATAGAGCCTTGTAAAAATACAACATTTGTGTTCCTTTGACTTTATTAGGTTTATATACTTGCAGTGTAGCATGATAAATGAGTGTGTTGTTTTGTGGTTACCTCTGTTTGGTCTGCTGTAGAAGGGTCTGCATTCATTCTCATGATATCTAAAATGACAAATTATCCTTTTAAAAATATTTTAAAATTACATGCAGTGAAATGTACAGATCTTAAGTGTATAAACTGAGGAGTCTTGACAAACATATATACCTGCATAACCAACAATCTAAATCCAGATGGAGAGCATTTTCATCATCCCAGAAGGTTTACTTGTTCCCCTTCCAGTCAATTCCCTGCTGTTCTGGTTTCTGTCACCATGGTGGGCAGCTGCTAAGATGGCCTTAGTGATCCTTGTCTTGGCGTTCATACCCTGGTGCAATACCCTCCACCAGAGTGTGTGCAGTGCCAAGTAACTTGCTATCCCTTCTGAGGTTAGGTTATAAAGACACTGTGACTTCTGTCTTTCTCATCATTTCTTTCACTCTCTTCTGGAGCTCCAGCTCTAGTGGAAGCCAACTGCCATGGGAGAGACCCATAAGAAGAGCTCCACATGGCAAAGAAGCGATGTCTCCAGTCAACAGCCACGTGAGTGAACTTGGGAGCACACAGTCCCCCAAGCAAGCCTTGAGATGACCACAGCCCCAGCCAACGCCTTGAAGTAGGCTTGCTGGAGATCTGAATCTGAAGCATCCAACTAAACTGTGCCTCGACTCCTGACTCAGAAACCTTGAGATAATACGTTTGCTATTTTAAGCCAAATAGTTTTGGCATAATTTGTTATGCGAAAATAACTAATATAATTACCATAGATTAGTTTTGTCCTTGAATTTCAGAAAAATGAAATAATACAGTATATATTCTGTCATACCGGGTTTTATTTGTTTAACAGTATGTCTATAAGATTCATTCATGTTGACGTATGGGTCAGTAGTTCATTGTATGAATATAGGACAATTCTTCCATTTTCCTGTTGGTAAACATATGGGTTATTTCTAGTATTATGCTTTTTTGAATAAAGTTGAAAAAAGGTGCTATGAACATTCTTTTACAAGTCTTTCTATGAAACTATTTTTTCATTTTTTTAGGTAAATACCCATGAGTCCAATTGCTCAGCCACTGTTAGTTAATCTTAGAAGAAACTTCAAAATGGATTCCAAAGTGGCTATAACCCTTTTCAACTTCTTTTTCAAAGTGTTAAGATTTCCTTTTATTTACCTTTTCTCCTTTTTTGAGCTTCTTTAGGTAAAAACTTAGATCATTGATTTTTAATTCTTCCTTCTTTCTAATATTAGCATTTAAAGTTATAAATTGCTCACTAAGCATTGCTTAATTGCATTCCACAAATTTTGATATGTTGTGTTTTAAAGTGTCATTTGGTTAAAAATATTTTCTAAATTCTAACTTTTCATTCTTCCCCAGAGGTAGATTATTTTGAAGTATACCTCTTGATTTTCATATATTTGAGATTTTTATATTTATTGTTATTGATTTCTAATGTCACTGTAGTCAGAAAATATACTTTGTTATATTTTAATCATTTTAAATTTATTGAAGCATTTTATAGGCATTTATAGACAGATATGATCTGTCTTGTGAATATTCCAAATGCACTTTAAAACAATGTATGTGCTGCAGTTTTTTGGTATAGTATTCTATGTACATGTAGTCTTATAAATTATTTTAAAAGGGGTGTTAAAATCTCCAACTAAAATTGCACAGTTTTTTATTTCTCTATCTGTCAATTTTTGATTTATATATTTTGAACAATTTTAAGATGCATATTGTTTTGGAATTGTTATGCCTTATTAATGAGTTGATCCTTTTATTATTATAAAATTAGACCTCTGCAATCTCTGAAAATACTTTCTGCTTGAAGTCTCCTTTTTCTGATTTTAATATGCACATAACTGCTTTCTTATGTTTCCTGTTTTCATAATGCATCTTTCTTCTTCTTATTTTCAAACTCTCTGGTGCCTTTATATTTCAAGTCCATCTCTTGCAATCAACATATAGTTAGGTATATTTTCTTTTCCATTCTGGTAAGGTTTGCATAAATACTGAAGAATATATTATTCTCTTATATTTACCCACATATGTACCATTTTTGCTACTCTCCACTCCCAAATACAAGTGTCTATCTGGTGTCATTTCCCTTCAGCCTGAAGAATATTTTTTTTTAGCAATTCTTATAAGACAACTCTGCTGATTACACATTCTATCAGTTTTCATTTATATGTAAATATCCTTCATTTAAAAAATAGCTCTATTGGTTGTAAAATTGTAGATTGACACTTCTTTTTTTTCACCAGAAGTTAAAAGGTGTTCCATTGCCTTCTGGTTTCCATAATTTACAAGACTAAATTTAGCCATAATTTGAAACATTTTTCTCTAGATGTAACATGCCTTTTTTCTTTAATTGCTTTTAAGATTTTCACATTATCTTTAGTTTTTTGCATTTTGACAATGATATGACTACATGTGGATTTCTTTGTATTTATCTTGCCTGTGGTTTGCTTAGCTTCTTAAAGCTGTATGTTTGCTTTTCACTAAATTTGAAAAAATAGAGGTATTATTTCTTCAAATATATTTTTCTGCTACATTCTCTGTTCTATTTTTCTGGGATTCTAATTATACCTATGTTAGACTGGTTGGTATGATTCCACAGGTGACAGAGGAGCTGCTCTTATTTTTCAGGTTTTTTTCTCTTTGGATTTGAAAATGTCAATTGATCTGCATCACAGTCGCTAACTTATTCTTCAGCAGCCTTTTGTGAGCTGTTATTCCTATCAAATGAATTTCTCAATATCGACATTTTTCTTTTCATTTTTAGAACTCACATTTGTTTCGGTATGACCACATTTTTAACGGCTTTAACATATTTATCACAGCTACTTTAACAACTTTGCCTGTTATTCAACATCTGAACCACCTTGAATTCAATTTCTAGTGACTCCTTATTTGTCTCTATCATGGGTCACATTTTTCTGCTTCTTTGATAAAGGGTCATATTTTCTAGCTTCTTCACATGTCTAATTTTTTTTTTTTACTGAATGTTAAACACTTTAGATGACATGTTATAGGGTATCCAAATTATGTCATTTTCCTCATAGGGCATTGAGTTTTGTTTGGCAGGCAATTCACTTGCCACTAGATCATTTTCTGTCTATCAGGCTTGGCTTCTGACTCTCTTAGGAAGGGTGTAAATGTAGTTTGTTTCTTTGTTTGTTGCTTGTTTGTTTAGATTTTTAACCTGGCTTCTTAACTTAGCCCTACGGCAAGTCCTTTACTCTAGGGCTGTCCTTGCTCCTAGGCATGGCTTTTCTGGGGTGCCAGTGAATCTCTGATGCAGTCAGCTATTCCTGCCCTCCCACTCAGCAGGAACTCAGGCATCTCCCAGCATTACACACCTTTGGTATTTCTATCAAGCTTTCAGCTCCATAGCACACGATCGCATCCAGGCCTTAGGACGTCTCACCTTGGCCATTTGTAGTCCATCCCTCACAAAAGACCTACAGAAAACTTGTGGAGACTTCTGGAGATCTCTTGGAAACTCCTTTTCTCTAGTACTCTATCTCACAGATTCCGGCTGCTTCAGCAGCTTATGTCTCCCATACTTGGGATTTTTGCCTCCTCACTCAGTTCGTCATCCTCTGCTTGAGCTCTGCTTCCACTTCCCTGTATGGCAGCTCGAAGCTGCCTCCAGGCAGAAAACCTCAGTGAAACTGAAGCTCACTTCACGTGATTCTTTTCTCTTCAAAATCACAAGCCTGTGTTTTCTGTATTCAGTACTTGAAAAGTCATCCAGTTTTATAGTTATTTTCCACAGAAGGACAAGTCTGGAGCCAGTTCCTCTGTGATGGCCAGAAGCATAAATCTGGACCAAACTTTAGTTTAAGGTCTCAATAATTTATTTTTTGTACAGCCATTTCTACCTGCCTTTCAGTTTTGGCTCCTTGACATTTGTTTTTGGGAGAAGTCACTTTCCAGCTCAAGCATAAGCTACTGAAGAGGTAGCTGATGCTGTGGAAAGAGCATTTAATTTGAACCTTAATTCAAATCCTAGCTCAGTCACTTATAATCTCAGGACTTTGGACCAATTAATCACTCTAAGTTCCAGTTTTCTCATCCAAAAATTGAGGCAATAACAATAAAAATAATAATAATGCTGATGCTGAGAGATAACCATAGCATGCTCACCCCGTACCAGGAATTTTTCTAAGTGCTTTAAACTTGCACATGCTTTGTGAGCATAGATTAATGCTCTGTTTAAGGGTCAAGCAGCACTGGGGATTGGGAAGAAGAAATTTAAGATTCTGGGACTCAGGTGGGGCCTGACAGCCCACCCCAGTGACAAATCTCTGTCTGAGTGCTATCACTTGGTGTCCACTCCCTATCCTGGAGGTTTCATTTTGTTCCTACCAACAACTGGGGGATCATTAGCCTCCTCAAGCATGGGTGGCCAACTGACTCTTGGATGTTACTTGCCAGTTTCCTACTTGAATATATTAGACCTATTAGACCTACAGTATTAGACCTATTGCAAGTTCTCAAACATTTAAAGGGATTAAATGTTTGAATTATTACAAATTTGAAGTAAAGAAATTATTGAAGATAGGGCTTAATTAACTACTAATTTTCTGAGACACTGAATTTTTTTCCTGGTACTCAGCAGATAACAGTTTTCTTCACCAAGACTGTTGAATAAACTTTATATCAGTCAGTGTGGTCTAGGTTACATTTCAGTAACAAATAATCCCATATCTCGGAGATTTAACACAACTGCTATGGACTGAATATTTGTGCCTCCCTTAAATTCATATATTGAAAGTCTAACAAGGTAATAGTATTAGGAGGTTGGGCTTTTGGGAGGTGGCCAAGTCAAGATGGCAGGACCCTCATGAATGGCATCTGTGCCCTTATAAAAGAGGCCCCACAGAACTCACCCCCTTTCCACCATGTGAGGTTATAGCAAGAAGATAGCTGTCTATGAAAAAGGAGGCAGGCCCTCTCCAGACACTGAATATGCTGGCACCTTGATCTGGCCTTCTTAGCCTCCAGAAATGCAAAAAATAAGTGTTTGTTGTTTATAAGTCCAGTTTATGGTATTTTGTTATAGCAGCTCAAATAGACTAAAACAGAAAATTGTTACTGAAAGTGGGGGTGCTGCTGTAACAAATACTTAAAAATGTGGAAGGGACTTTGGAACTGGGTAATGGGTAGAGGCTGGAAGAGTTTTGAAGTGAATGCTAGAAAAAGCCTTCAGCCTGATATCATGATTCATGATATCTAAAATGACAAATTATCCTATTAAAAATATCTTAAAATTGTATGTAGTGAAATATACAGATCTTAAGCATATAAATGAGGAGTATTGACAAACCTGCATAACCAACAACCTAAATCCAGATACAGAGCATTTTCATCATCCTAGAAAGTTTCGTTCATTGCTGTGAATGAACCTTTAAAGGTGATCCTGGTGAGGGCTCAGAAAGAAAGGATAACTATAAATAAAGTTTCAGTCTTCTTAGACAATACCTAAATAATCCTGATCAGAATGTTCGTAGAAATATGGATGATAAAAGCCATCTGAAGAGGTCTCAGACAGAGAAGAGGAACATATCATAAAGTGGCAAAGGATTTTGCTGAATTGTGTTCATATCTTAGTGTTCTGTGGAGAGTAAACTTGTGAACAATAGAACTGGATATTTGGCTGAGGAAATTTCTAAGCAAAGTGTTTGAGGATCAGCCTGGTTTCTCTTGATTGGTTATAGTAAAATGCAAGAAGAGGAAAATGATTTAAAGACAAAATTGTTCATCAAAAGGGAAGCAAAATTCAAAGATGTGGAAAATTCTCAGCCAATCCGTATTGTAAAAATGAGAAAGCATGGTCAGAAGAGAACACTAAGGATGGGGTCAAATGACTGCTAAGGAAGGAGATTAATCAGCTGTCTCAACAGAAGACAGGAGCTATTGTTAAAGACAATGAAAATATGCAAACGAAGGGCCACTGGCAACCGCAGGACTTCAGTGTCCTACCCAGCACTGCCTCACATAGCAGGCTCCACTGCGCATGTGTTTTAACACTCTGGAACTGCACTTCTTGGCTACCCCAGGTGTAGCTTTGGTGAGCCCTGGTTTGGTGTGGGCTGTGCCCCGTGGAGCCAGGGGGCATGGATATCTCCACCTAGACTTCAAAGAAGAGGGTCTTCTGGCAGAGCCAAGAGCTTGGAACCCCAACACTGGAGAGCTGTAGGGCCTAGGCAGAGGACTCCCATAGGAGCAGGGCCCAGGCACAGAACTGCCACTGAGGTGGAGCTGCCTAGAAAACTGAGGGCTTGACTCCTGTTTGGAAGAGCCGTAGAGGCAAGAACCCATCTTGGTGGGTCTTGAATGCAGAGCCCCACCCAGTAGGTCTAGAAGGTAGGACCTCTGCCCCAGCAGGCCTGGAGGGCAGAGCATCAAGCCAAAGATGATGATTCTGAAGACTTAAGGTTGAAAGGCATTTGTCTAATTGGGTTTTGGACTGTCACTCTTTTCTTCTTTCTTATCTCCCCTTTTGGAAATGCAATGTCTATCCTATGCCTCTCTCACCATGACATTTTGAAAGCACATAACATGTTTGATTTTTGCAGGTTCACAGCTGGAGAGCAATTTGCCTCAGAATGAATTGTATCTTGAGGATCACCCATAACTGACTTAGATGGTATTTAGATGAGACCTTGGACTTTAGACTTTCAAGTTGATGCTGCAACAAGTTAAGGCTTTTGGGGCTGTTGGGATAAAATGAATGTATTTTTTATGCAAGAAGGACATGAACTTCGGGGGGCTAGGGGAAAGAATGCTATGGTCTGTATGTTTGTGTCCCTCCAAAATTCTTATGTTGAAATCCTAAACCCCAAGGTGATGGTATTAGTATATGAGGCCTTTGGGAGGTGATTGTGTCATAAGAGCAGAGACTTTATAAGAGAGACACCAGAAAGCTCCCTCTTCTTTTCTGTCATGTGAGGCTGTAGCAAGAAGATGGACATTTATGAACCAGAAAGTGGGCCCTCACCAGATACTGAATCTGCCAGCATTTTGATCTTGGATTTCCCAGCCTCCAGAACTGTGAGAGATAAGTTTATGTTCTTTATAAGCTACCAGGTTGATGGTATTCTATTGTAGCAGCCCAAACAGACGAAGACAACAATGCAAGTTTGCTTCTCTCTCATGCTACATGTCAAATTTAGGGAAGGGAGTTATTTATTTATTTATTTTATTTAGAGACAAGGTCTCCCTATGTCACCCAGGCTGGTCTTGAACTCCTGGGCTCAAGGGATCCTCCTGCCTCAGCCTCCCAAAGTGCTGGGATTACAGGCATGAGCCACCATGCCCAGCAAAGAAAGGGAGTTTTGCTCATTGCAATTTCTCAGGGATGCCAGGTTACCAGGAGGTATCTCTGTATGTACTTTTATATGTCTGTATATGTACTTTTATTATCAGTGAGATGGGGGAAAGGAACAGTGCACTCTTTGCTGGATCTTAAGGGGTTTTGCACATTTCACTGGCCAAGCTGGATTTAGCTGCACATAACTTTAAAGGAGCAGGGAAGCAAATTTTAGAATACACTTGGGGGAGGGGTGTGTGTAAAGTTGGAAGATTTGTGAATGACCCTAATGGCTATACTGTCTCTTTGCAATTTTCACCAAACCAGCTTGGGCCATTTCAGCCACACTTTCATTTGGCAACACCTAACAGTCACATGTGCTTTTGCCAAGAACCATCATGCCTTTAAAATGGCCATTTGTCTCTTAGACATGTGGTCCTTGTTGTCTTCTTAAACTCTCATAACTAATAAGAATGGCAGCTCAGTCGGCCTATGTTCAACTCCATCTTTTCTAGCAAAGATTTTAGTTTTAGGGCCATGAAGTTACATTTTAGCCAATGTACAAAGATGCGTTAAATGTAAAAAGTTTAAATTTTTCTCAGAAAATCAAGACTATGTGCTTTCTTTGGCTTCTTATTACTCTTGGAACTTTCTTAAATTAATTAATGATTATAATTCCATACAAATTTTAATTCATTTGTGTATTAGTTCAAGAAGCTCTTTCTACCATCCGTAATTGTCTTTAAATTTTACATTGCATATATGACAGAAGGATCACTGAAAGGCCAAACCTATTAATATGTGAGATGTGAGGTTCATATGTAAGTGAGCAAATTTTTCCACCAAAAAGAGCCAGAGTAAACTGCAAACCACACAGTGAGAAATGAAAAGATTTGAGGGTGTTTGGAAAAAGAATTTTAAATGTTAGCTTTGGCTTAATTATTTTAGTAGTACCTGTCCACAAAGCCCCCACTTCCTGGTTATAAGAACATGAATTTCATGGACATGTCCCTGACTGGCACTCCTGAGAATATCTGTTATTTGGGGTAGATAAGCCTTGTTTTGCCAGTCTCATACCATCTAGTTACAAACACTATTAATACAAGGATATAGAAAGAGGTTCATTTATAGAGAAAAGTATGCAACAGCTATGACATTTGTAGATTATATGTCAAGGCTAAAAGCTGACTCAAATTTTCATAAGCTCTCAGATAGCAGAATAGGAAGGAAAATTTGAGGGTAGTTTTAGGATTCCAAAGGCAATAATTCTTTGCCTCTAGTTGGCCATACCTATTAGTTAGCATCATTTCAGACACCACAAAAATCACTGTCTTTTCTCCTCATAGTAATTTCTTAAGTAAAAATGCTCTTACATTCTCATAAATGCTCCCATCTTTCATATCACCATGATAACCATCTTCTATCTGCCTTCCTTCTGCCACTGCTACAATAGTCAGGAGGTCACACATCTCTATGTTGTCACTGGTGTTTCCTTTTTTCTATCAATAAAGAAGTCTACTTATGGACTTGATGCCATCATACTGAATCTATAAAATCTTTGCTTTATGAGAGTTCTCTTATTATGAGAAAATTAAGCTAGAAATCTATAACAGAAAGAAAACTAGATACTCTGGCCTGGACAAGATGAAATATACCTGTTTCTCCCTATTCCTCCCCACCGAGTACAACAGTAAACCCTGAAAATAATGAAAAGAACTCTGAAAGGTGGGAAGAGGAAGGTAAACTGATTAGAAACCTAAGGGTTGGAGGGACAACATAGAGTCAGGGTGACTTGCAATTTCCCATCACCCAAAAGAAGAAGAAGGAGATTCAGGCATAGTGTTTCTGAAACCCCAGCTCAGCAACAGAAGGCAGCCCAGGTAGGAAGGTCCCCAGATTGAACGGGAGTCCTTCTGATGGCCACAGCAGGCGAGCCCAGTGGCACTTCATATGGGATCAATCAGGAGCCCCACTGACAATAGGTAGTCAGGGAAAGCACTCTCCTTCCCTGCTGCCTGTGAGACTCTTCTCTCCCAAGAGACCACAGAAGGCAATGCTGGGGTAGAGGCCCTACAACTCCATGCTCCCAGCTCAGGAAGCCTCTTTTTCTCCTTAGGCCCAAGACTCCTCTCCCACATGACAGACACCCAGTAGCAAAGCAGCATGGGCAAGGAGATCCTTTTGCAAGTGGCCAACCAGAAAGCCCTCTCTATCCTCTCAAAAGCAAGGGAGATTCTGCCAAAAGGCAGTCCGGAAACTTCCTTTCCCCACAGGGTGGTGTCAGGTAGCTCAACGTCTTCTGTCCCCTCGGGCAGCACCAGCAGGAAGCAGTGGGAAAATGAGATAAACCAAGCAAACCAAAATAACACCACACAGGTCTCGGAAATTATATTGTCATTGGAACCACAGCTGACAAAAGTAGGACAGACCTGTGGGCTAATCCTAAACAGAGCCCCTGGCTGTTAAAATAATATATTTAAATAGAATCTAGAGTGTTAGAATAGTCAAATTTTCCAGGATATAACTGAAATTATCCATCATACTAAGAATCTGAAAAATTACAACTTGAATGAGAAAAGGCAATCAACTGACCCTGCACATTGAAACGAATCAGATGTTGGAATTATCTGAAAAGCACCTACTCTAAAAATGCTTCAACAATCAATTACGGATTTTCTTGAAACGAACGGACTAATAAAACATTTCAGCAAAACAATAGA
Organism: Homo sapiens; assembly: GCF_000001405.40. Taxonomy (NCBI): domain Eukaryota; kingdom Metazoa; phylum Chordata; class Mammalia; order Primates; family Hominidae; genus Homo; species Homo sapiens. Next base: position 47,128,000 of record NC_000010.11, read on the forward strand.
AAGTATTTAAAATAATCAACTAAAAATTGTGGAACTGAGAAATACAATAACAACAATTTTAAAAATGTGCTGAATGAGCTCAGTGGAGATGACAGTAGAATCAATGAACCTGAAGACAGCTCGAAAGAATTTACTCAATCTGAAGGACAGAAATAAAATAAACTAAAAAAAAAAGAGGAATGAACAGAGACTCAGAGACCTGTGGGACAAAAATAAAAGTTATAAAATTTACATCATTGAAATCCCAGAAAGAAAGAAGAAATATAGAATGAAAGAGTATTTGAAGAAATAATTGTGGAAAAGCTTCCAGATTTAGCAGATTCAAGGTGATCCAACTCAGTATTTGAAAAACCCAAAGAAATTCATGCCAAGACACATCATAATTAAACATTGGAAAACCAAAAGAAAAAAAAATTAAAAGTAGCCAGGACGAAACAATACATGACCTAAAGGGGACCACCAATTTGAGTAACAGTGGGATTCTCATCTGGAATAATGGAGGCAGAAAGAAGTGGCGTGACATTTTTCAAGTATAGAAATAAAAGAACTGTCAGCTAGTAATTCTAGATCCAGAGAAACTATCCTTCAGAAAGAAAGGGAAGTAAAGATATTCTCAGAAAAAGAAAAATTTAGAAGAATTTGTCATCAACAGACTTACCTGTAAAGAATGGCTGAAGTTCTTTAAATAGAAAGTAAATAATAAAGAAAGGAGGCCGGGGCGGTGGCTCACGCCTGTAATCCCAACACTTTGGGAGGCCGAAGCGGGCAGATCACAAGGTCAGGAGATCCAGACCATCCTGGCTAACATGGTGAAACCCCGTCACTACTAAAAAATACAAAAAATCAGTGGGGCATGGTGGCGAGCACCTGTAGTCCCAGCTACACAGGAGGCTGAGGCAGGAGAATGGCATGAACCCGGGAGGCGGAGCTTGCAGTAAGCCGAGATCGCGCCACCGCACTCCAGCCAGGGCGACAGAGCCAGACTCCGTCTCAAAAAAAATAAAAAATAAAAAATAAAGAAAGGAATATTGGAGCATCAGAAAGGTAGAACAAAAGAAAGAGCAGAAATATGAGTACATACAACAGACTGACCTGATGAGTTTTATCAATTATATTTGATGATTGAAATAGAAGCTATAACACTATCTAGTACGCAAAATAATATTTAAACGTGGGGGAAAGTAAAGCGACTTAATAAAAGTTAGGTTTTAATCCTTCATTTAAAGTGATAAAATATTGATACCAGTAGACTACAGTAAGACATATTAGTATATTGCAATATCCTGAACTAAGAAAACTATAAAAAGAGATGCACGTAAAAGCACTATAAATACATCAGGATGGAATCATAAAAAATGTTCAAGTAACCTATCAGAAGACAAGAAAAGAGAAACAGAAAAAAACAAATAATAAAATGGTAGACTTGAGAACATATAATGACCTTAAATGTAAATTGTCTTAATACACAAATTAGAAAGCAGAGATTTGTAGAGTGGAATAAAAAGCATGACCTAACTATCTGCTGTTTATAAGAAATTCACTTCAAATTCAATGGCTTATGTAGGTTGACAGTAAAAGAATGGGAAAATATATGCCCTGCAAACATTAACTAGAAAAAAGGCAGGACTGGCTATGTCTATATCAGATAAAGTAAACTCTACAGCAAAGAGAATTACTAAAAACAATGAAGGACATTATAATAAAATAATGATAAAAGAATCAATCCAGGAAAATATAACATCCTACATCTACATGTACCAAACAACAGAGCCTCAAAATACGTGAAACAAATATTGATAGAAATGAAAGAAGAGACAAATTCACAATTATAATTAAAAACTGCAACACCCTCCTTTTAGCAACTGAATACTAGACAGAAAAGCAGCAAGTATACTGATGATCTGAACACAGTCAGCCGGTAATATCTAGTTGGCATACACAGAACTCTTTACCCAATAGCAGCAGAATATACTTTTCTTTTAAACATAAGTATTCATGGAAAATTCACTAAGATAGATTATTCTCTGGCCCATAAAATGCCCTCAACAAATTTAAAAGAAGTCATCCAGAGGGTATTCTCTGATCACAATACGATCAACTAGAAATCAGTAACAGAAAGAAAAAAAGGAAACTCTAAACATTTAGAAATTAAATAATCCATGAATCAAAGAAAAGTCTCAAAGGAAACTAAAAAAAAAACATAGAACTGAATGGAAAATTTTTAAAGTATATTAAAATATATGAGACACAGCTAAAGCAGTGCTGAAAGGAAAATTTACAGCACTAAATCCTTACATCAGGAAAATAAAGGTCTCAAGTTAATAATCTAAATTCCTACCTCAAGGAATGAGAAAAGGATCCAAATAAACCCACAGCACGCTGAAGAAAGGAAATAAAGGTAAGAGCAGAAATCAGTAATATTGAAAATTAAAAAAAACAACAAAGGAAAATCAATGAAACAAAAAGCTAATTCTTTGAGAAAATTCAATAAAATTGATAAACCTCTAACAGGAAAAAAGACATAAATCACCAATATTAGAAATAAAATAGGAATATCAGTGCAGATCTTGCAGCCACTAAAAGAATAATAAGGAAATATTATGAACAACTTTACTCTCATAAATTCCACAACTTAAAAGAATAAACCACTTTCTCAAAAACCACAAACTGTCAAAATGCAACAAATAAGAACTATATAATTGTAACAGTCCTATAATTATTCAAGACTGATAAAATCTTTACAAAGAAAGGAGTCTGAGCAACTTGAGATAGGGCAGGGGCTAGGATCTGCTACCCAGGGAAAGAGTAAGAATAAGAACTTAAAAACTAAAATGATAATAGAACTTAAAAACTAAAATGATAATAGAGATAAGAAAGCATGCATTGAAATCCTTGGGTTAACCTTTTTCTAACTGGGTCCTTTTGCACAAGCCCATTCATCAATTTGTAACCACTGTAATATTTTGTAAGATTTTTTTTTTATTTTAAGATTTCCAGGCTGGGCGTAGTGACTCACGCCTGTAATCCCAGCACTTTGGGAGGCCAAGGCGGGCAGATCACGAGGTCAAGAGATTGATCGAGACCATCCTGGCTAACACGGTGAAACCCCCGTCTCTATTAAAAATACAAAAATTAGCCAGGCATAGTGGTACAGGCCTGTAGTCCCAGCTACTTGGGAGGCTGAGGCAGAAGAATCGCTTGAACCCGGAAGGCAGAGGTTGCAGTGAGCCGAGATTGTCCCACTGCACTCCAGCCTGGGCGACAGAGCGAGACTCTGTCTCAAAAACAAAACAAACAAACAAAAGAAAAAACAAAGTTTTCCTTCAAAAAATCTGTTGTATTGAACTTTTGATTTTAATTTGATGATACAAAATATTTATAATTGCCATATTTGAATGCCTAGGGAAATTTAAGTTGTTAAATGATGTATTTGTAGTGTGAACTGAATACTTGGAGGGATGCTTATTTAATGTTCAAAGAAATGCTATTTGATATCTTTATACAATGAATAAACTGGACATTATCAAAGTACAAATTGTAAGACTATTATTTTCCCATGCATTAAAGCTTCTCAAATATGAAAGGATTTATCAATAAGGAGAAACTGAGCATTCATAATTCTAATCACTATCATTTCAATACCATTTCTTGAGCACTTCTTTTGTGCACTTAGTAACAAGGCAGTTAATTCCCTCATAGGGCAGGGGTGGTCAGTACAAGGATGTCCTAGCATAGGTCGCTCCAGAACAGAGGTCCTCAACCCTGTCTTCATGTTGGCATCACCTTGGGGCTTTAACAAAATGTCAGTCTGAATGAGCTTGTCTAGGGTGAGACATGGACATCAGTATTTATAAAATACTCCTAAGGAGTTTCTAATGGGAATGGGGCTGTTAAAAGGTAAACTGCAGCATGGTATAATTTTAAAGAGTTTAATGGAGCAAGCAGCAATTCATGAATTTGGAAGTACTAATCCAAAGGTGGTTTCAGGCTGCACTGAGGAGATGCAAGGGAAAGGCTTTTTTAAATGGTGAATGAAGAAGTAAAGCAAAGGAAATGTTTGATTTGTTACACTTATATACATACAAGTTATATACATACAAGTTGATATGCTACAGTTATAGAGTTGCCTTATTTGATTTATCCTGTTGGAAAGTTTCTCATTATATAATTGTCAGTGAGTTGACAGTTCTGATTGATTATCCTTAAGTTTCATTTTTCTTTCTTTTCTTTCTTCTTCTTCTTTCTCTTTTTTTTTTTTTTTTTTTTTTTTTTGTAGGAATGGGGTCTTGCTTTGTTGTCCATGCTGGTCTTGAACTCCTGGCCTCAAGTGATCCTCCCACCTTGGCTTTCCAAGGCACTGGGATTTCAGGCATAAGCCACCATGCCTGGCCTCAGTTTTCTTTAAAATAGGCATTTACAAGAAATAGCTCAAGTTAAGCTTTGCTTATGTTTGTAAATCAAGCAAGGTTATGGTCACTTGTAAGGCCTCACTTATAAGTGACCTCATAATTTACTTCAGCACAGCTGAGAACCATGGCCTCACAATGTGAGGAGGCAGGTGGAAAAGGAATCAAGGAAGCTGACTAGGAATCTGACTGTTACAGGAGAAGGAGGTTTGAGTAAGGCCTTGAAGGAAAGTTTGATTTTACAGGCCAAGAAGCAGGAGTGCAAGAGGAGACTCCTAGACCGCACCCACAAGAACTGCCTTCACAGCAGGTGCATGTCCCGATCTTTGGAGGCAGCATACTCCCTGGCATGTTCTCTCATAGGCACAAATCTCTCTCTGGATTCAGAAAAGTCCTGCTCAGCTCACGGGGCAGGGACATCTACCTAGGTCTGATCACCATGAGAAGGCTTTGAGGGCAAGCCACAGTCCTGTTAAAACCAAACGGTGGGGGCTCCAAGAATCTGTGTCCGGTGTCTGGTTTAGAAGGAGGCCAGCAGAGAACGCTGGGGACTTGGCCTTGTCTCTTGCTCAAGCGCGATGGGCCAGCTGATGGTCTGCAGTCTGCCACAGCTTGGAGGAGGCCTGGATGTGGGAAAGCGATGCATCAGCATTTGGGTGGAAGCTCTTCCGTTTTGTTAATACTCGTTGAAAACCTTTTAGTATCAGTCATTCTGATAGGTACAGGAAGACAATAGTGAATAGAACAAAGTCCCTGCACTCAAGAAAAAAGCCAGATAAGCAAATGGTCACAATCCAATGGGATATGTGCACGGAGGAGGTAAATATGAGATACAAAGAGCAACTAGCTGAGAGTGGCAGAATTGTGGAGCAGGCAAGAACACACATTCTGGAGCAAGACTGCCTGGAAGTGTGAGCTTGGCTAAGCTGCTATACTTCTTTGGGTCTTGTCAGCAGCAGTAAAATGGGAATTAATATTAAATAAAATGATAGGATATAGTATATTTATCTGAGGGTTTCTGTGAAGTATAGATGAGTTAATACATGTAAATTACTTATAATAGTGACTAAAACATAATCGATACTGAATAAATGTCATATATTTATTATTATTATTTACAACCATTCCCAGGAAATCCAGGAAGCTTCCCAAAGGAGATGTGGGAGTTGAATTGCGAAGGGAAACAGTGGTGTTTTGGGTGCTGTTTCCGAATGGCGAGGGCATTCCAGGCAGGGGAACAGCATGTGCATAGGCCCAGAGATAGGAGGCAATGCACAGTCTTCAGGGAAGCCCCTGCGATTTGGTAGAACTGGAGCAAGGCATGGCATAGATGAGGCCAAGGGCAAGAGTGGAGGCCATGTGAGCCCCAAATATCTGAGACAGGTCTCAGTGCATTTAGAAAGTTTACGTTGCCAAGGTTAAGGACGCGCCCACGACACAGGCTTAGGCGGTCTTGATGACATGTGCCCAAGGTGGTAGGGTGCAGCTTGCTTTTATACATTTTAGGGAGAAATAATACATTAATCAATACATGTAAGATTTACATTGGTTCCATCTGGAAAGGCAGGACAACTCGAAGCAGGGGTTTCCAGGTCATATGTAGATTTCAACATATTCTGATTGGCAATTTGTTGAAAGAGTCATCATCAATAGGAAGGAAATGTCTGGGTTACGCCAAGAGGTTGTGGAGACGTGGGTTTTATGCAGATGAAGCCTCCAAGTAGCAGGCTTTAGAGAGAAGACAGTAACTGTTTCTTATTAGGCTTAAGGCCTGTGTTGATGTTAATGCTGGGGGAGGTTTAAAATGAGGCATATACAATCCCCACTTCCAGTCATGGCCTGAACCAGTCTTTAAAGTTACATTTTAGAGTGCCTTGGCGAAGGAGGAAGTACATTCAGATAGTTGCAGGAGTGGGAGGGTCTTTGAATTTTATTTTCGGTTTACAGCCCCAAGTGGAGGCTGGGGAGTATGCCCGTGGCCCCACTGGCCAGAGTCTGCTGATCCCCATTGAGTTCACAAATGTTCCCTTTTCAGGATATGCATATTCTGTGGACATTTAGCAACTCTGTGGTCTTATGTTCACAGTTTTTAAAAAGGATCTTTTGTAATAATAGCTTGCATTTGAAGGACATTTTATTTAAATAAGATTTTAGTTTCATAAGTCGAGGCCCCAACTAGGGTGCCTCCAACTTGGGTCCTTGGTCACCCAGGAATCTTGAATCAAAATTCTTCCAGAGACTAAATATATCCCGACCCATACTGGCATGTCTAAGGTACAGCATGAGCTGCAGGATATATACCTCCATTCTCATGATAAATACATACACAAGCTTTTGAAACACGGTAGAGGCACCAGAGAGTGTGTTGGCAGGGCCTGCCTCACACATGGCGTTCCTTGTGCAGCCCTACTGTGCTCTATGCTTAGAAGAGCCCTGTGCTTGGTGTAACATGCTGTTATTGTGGTTTTGAAATTCTTAACTTTTGAGCAGAGGGCCCACATTTTGATTTTGCACTAGGCTGTGCATAGCATATTATGTAGTCAGTACTGTAAGGGGCACTGACCATTAGCCTTTTTTCCTGATTGGCAGATGGAGAAACTGAGGTTTATAGAGCTGCCATCTTCCTGCAATGGGGAAGCAGCAGAAGTGGGGAAGTAGCAGAACCAGGTGAGGGCCAGTTTGGCTGACCATCTTTTTATTGTGCATAGAGGTGGCCTAGTGCCATATTTGAATTTTTGAGAAATGCGTAAGTAATTTCCACAGTTTCCTTGATGTCCTCACTAGTAGAGCCCCTTTCTGGGGTTCCTGCTGTGGGTTTTTTGAGGCCTTTTTTCCAACAGCTATGGACTTCTCAGTACTTCCCACCTAGGAGTGAGGCTCCGGGACTGGCCAGCACCCAACCTGCTGAGTTATGGTCAGCTGGTCCTGGGGAGGGGAGAGGATGGAGCCAGCTGACCTACCCACTGGGGTGGTGAGTCGAGCCTGGATTCTAAGGCCTGCACTCAGGCTGCCATCCTGGGTGCCCAGAGCTGCTGCTATACCCACACATCGGGGCTAGGACCTGGGCTGCATGATCCACTCTACCAGGCCCATGCTTATGGTGAGGGCTGGCAGAGACCCTCTGCTCTCCCTGACTGTCCATTCCTAGAGCCTCTTCTCAGTCCCACACCCAGAGACCTCTTCAGGGCAGCATTTATGAGGGCAATTTCATTTCACAGTGGGCCACCCCAAAGGAGTGACATTTACGGTGAGTTCCAGGCCAGATGAAGGAAAGGCCCCCTCCCACCATGGTTGCATAGCCAAAGCACAGCATCCCCACTGGGTAGCTGTGCAGCTGCTGCTTGCGTGGAGCTACTGAGGGGACAGCCTTCCCCCAGAACAGCCCATCCCACTCAGGGCAGCTCTGAATGTGAGACAGGCCTTCCTTGCTGTGCTGGTCTTCTGATATCAGGTTGGCTGGCCAGGACTACGTTTCCTGGTGCTCACCATCAGCTGTTTATGGTTAGAGTCAGCCACACAGAAAAGTCTTGGGAGATTGGAAAGTCGATGGGGAAATAGCAGCACACACCTATTGTTGCTGGTCTGGCGATTCACCCCAGTGGCATGAAGCCACAGCCAGGCCACCTTCTCTGCCTCCTGGCCCAGGTGCATGTGTTTAACCCTGTGAGGGAGAGTCCCTGCTTCTGCAGGACACCCTTGTCACCATGGTCAGAGGCAACAAGCATGGGCATGGTCTCCGCCATCCCTCCTGCTTGCGGGTTCCAACTTGCTCACGCTCTTCCCTTCCTGATGGCCTACTTCATAGACTTCAATCTCCAGCATCAGCTGTGGGGACCATAACCTTGCAGAGACCACTTAACAAAACCACCCCCAGGACGACGTTAGCTCAATGCCCAACAACAAATCATCTATCTCTTACTGGGTCTGCTTCTCTTGGTAAATCCCAGTTGATGCACTCAGATTACACTGAACTTGAGTTCCTTTTGAATGGTCCCTGTGGGCCCCAACTTGAGCTCTGGGTGTCATAAGGAAGAAGCCTGTCCTCCCTCCACATCAGCACCTCAGATATCACCAGGCAGCAGCACCTCCCACTGTGTTTGCTCGTCTCCAGGTCAGAAACCCCTGATACCTTCAGGTGGCCTGGAGAGTAGAGCCCTTGCCATAGTGGATGCTCTGGTGTCCAGTCCTGGCTTCACAGCAGAACACCTGGAAGTGAGCTTCAGGGTCCAGGTGAGGTCTTTACTTTCTGAGGTCCTCATCACTGACCCTTCTGCAGGGCTCAGTCACAAGTGTCAAGGCCTCCTAGTTCCTGCCTCTTTTCTTTCCTTTCTCTTTCTTTATCTCTCTCTTTCTTTCATTGTTCTCCTTCCTTCCTTCCCTTCCTTCTTTTTCTCTTTCTTTCCTTGTCTATTTCTCTCTTTCTCTCTTTTTCTTTCTTTCCTTTCTCCTGACTGCAGGAGAGAGAGTACAACCACAGGAGAAAGCTAACCCACCCTGGATTTGTTTGGTTTTCTTCCCAGAGACTCAACACCAAGCCAGGCTGGAGCTCCCCTTTCTTGTTATTGCCCATCAGGCATCTCAGGCTTGGCAGGCTGTCTGCTGGCCTCAGCACTGCAGCTTCCATGGACTCCAGCTGCAATGAGATTGCCAAGGCCTGGAAGTGACACTGCTTCACTTAGCAGCCCCGTTCCCCAAGCCCCTTGCACTCAAGGCGGACACAGAGTGGAGCTACATTAGGTGGCTGAAGTTTTTCGCATGATTCTCTGTGGTTAACTGGCTTCTGGAGTCACTGAACATTCCAGGACCCTCACCCCCTGGTCCCATGGTTCAGGGCTCTGGCAGGGGTAAAGAGAGGACTAGAAGTTGACTCTCTTTTTGTCTGTTTCTTCACTGCTCCCGTCCGAGACCTGAGGTTCTTTCCAGTGGCTTCGCTTATCTTCCCAGGGAAGTGATTCAGCCCCCAATTCAGGCCCTTTCATTACAATAAAAAGTCAGTGAGACTAATTCCTTAGATTCTATATTCCCACAAAAGCTAACTAACCTCCAAAACTCTGGGCAACATGAGCAGAATGCCAGCAGACCCCACCTCACCCTTGGTCCAGCCTGACTCCTTAGCTGTAGGGTTCCTGGCCACGTATGCACACTATTTACACTTGATAAGCATCCTCCCACTCCTTAGTCCTATTATTTTATTGATTCTCATATCTTGGAACAAAGACCTCTTTCAAGACAGACAGTCCCAAGGAATCTCAGACATTTTGGGGGGCCCAGAAGAGAATGATTCAGAGGAGACTGAAGGCTTAAGGGTTGACTCATGGATGTTTAGTATTGCTACAGACACTGATCTTAGGTCAGGCACTGCTGGGAGCTTCATTCGGGCTGACAGCGGCATTTATGAGAGCAAATGTCTGTCCCTGCGCAATTTCTGTGGGGATAGTTGCAGTCAGGTCTACAGGATTTGCTTAAAAATTTCCAAGACCTGGGTGTGTCTGACAGCCTGGACCTCAACCTCAAAAAGGAACTAGCTCCTCTCTGATTTCCTTGGGACACCTGGGAGCAAGCACAGGAGCCCATGGAGCCACGGAGAGTGTCACTTCAAGCGCCTCCTGGGAGCTCTTGCAGATGCCAAGTGCTCTGCCCTTCCCCATTACCTGTGATTTCAAGTGGGCTTAGAGATTCTCCAAGATGTGAGATGAAAGGCCAAGAAACTAATTCCTCTGACTTCTTCAGAGAACCGCACAGTCTCTTGAGGTAAGATCTTCATGGAAGGCTGGGGATCTGGGATCTGGGAAGCCGTGAAGTCAGCATCCACTAATACGGGGCTTCTCCTGGAATCTGCCCCATGACCAGGGAATCAGGTGCGAGAACAGGCAGGTGACCACTTCTCCTCTTGGCCCCGCCAGGCCACCCGGGTTCCAGGGGACAGCAGGGTAGTAGCCCTGATTCTCCTTCCTTCCCCATCACCTCTCCTGTGTCTCTCCCCAAAATCCCCAGCCTTGGCCCTTCTGGAAGAGGAGCTAAGGATGTCCGAAGCTGACACCTCCCCCAGCCCCATGACCACACTTGGTTTGTTCCCTCACGTATCCAGAAAAAAAATGTTTTACTTAGCTTCTTCGCTCCACCACCCCCACCCGCCCCCACCAACCAGTGGCTCTCTCTTTATGAGGGCATAGTTTTTTTTTTTTGGAAAAATCTAGGTTTGAATTCAAGTTCTTCAATCTGCTAAGTAGGTGCCTTTCACAAGTAAATGATACCTTTGTGCTTTAATTAGATGAAGAAAATCAGAGCCGTGAGGATGATGATAAAGGTACTTAGAAGAGACCAGGCACAATGGGGGTATGTTGTATATATATGACTCCCTTCCTTCCATGTTTGTCCAGCTAGTTCAAGCACAATTGCTCAGTGACTGTCTCCTCATGCCCCTGATCAGGGCACTTCTCTCCTGGAGACAGAGGGGGGCTGGGACTCAGTGATCCCAAGCTGCCTGCTCACAGCCTCTTGCGTCCAGGACCCAAGCCCCACTGAAGTGCCCTTCCAAGGAGGCCATCAAAACAAACAACACAGCTCCTAAAGCAACTCTCTCATGAGCTGCTTGAGTTCCAAAAACAGCCTACCATGTTTCATAGGAAGGTTTATTCTGTAATGCAAGTTTGAGTAACACAACAGCCTCTCCCACCCCACACTGCTGTAGCTTATAATAAAAACTCAGGGATTTAAAAAAAAATTGGGTTGACATATTGCTATTCCTGACCCAACAAATAAATAACTAAATAAATAAAAAGAGAGAGAGAAAGAAAGAGAAAATACAAGTGCAATTATTACCTAAGCTCAGGAGAAAGTCTGCAACTGTGTTTCTGAGTTAGCAGAATTTCTGGGTCATGATGTTTGTGGTCAGAGGGCACCCAGGGCCTCTGCAGGGCACGTCAAGCACTTTTCTGTGCCCTTGACTTCAATGAAAGAGAAAAAGGCAATAAAGACCAGGAAGAGGTATGGTCAGATGCAGACGCCAGACACTGGGATGGCGTTTACAGCTGAACAGGCCCAGCAGGAGGAAATGAGGCCTGGGATCTAGCGTGTGTAGCTGCGGGTAAGTGACAGCCCGCCTCAGGCCCTCGGTAAAAGGAGTCTCTGTGACCCAGGTGTGTCCGGAGTTGGTTCCTGCCAGTAGGTTCGTGATCTCGCTGACTTCAAGAATGAAGCCGCGGGCTAGGCGCAGTGGCTCACATCTATAATCACAGCACTTTGGGAGGCCGAGGCGGGCGGATCATGAGGCCAGGAGTTCGAGACCAGCCTGTCCAACATGGCGAAACCCCGTCTCTACTAAAAATACAAAAATTAGCCAGGCGTCATGGTAGGTGCCTGTAACCCCAGCTACTCAGAAGGCTGAGGCAGGAGAATCGCTTGAACCCAGGAAGCAGAAGTTGCAGTGAGCCGAGATCACACCACTGCACCACTCCTGCCTGGGTGACAAGAGCAAGACTCCATCTAAAAAAAAAAAAAAAAAAAAAATGAAGCCGCAGACCTGCAGACCTTGCCCGTGTCACAGCTCTTAAACATGGCGTGGACCCAAAGAGTGAGCAGTAGCAAGGTTTATTGTGAAGATCTAAAACAAGGTTCCCACAGCCTGGAAGGGGACCCCAACAGTTGCCTCTGCTGGCTGGGGGGTGGCCAGCTTTTATTCCCTTATTGTCCCCTCCCATGTTTCATTTATGTCCTATCAGAGTGCCCTTTTTTCAATCCTCCCCATGATTGGCTACTTTTAGAATCCTGCTGATTGGTGCATTTTACAGAGCACTCATTGGTGCGTTTTACAATCCTCTTGTAAGACAGGAAAGTTCCTGATTGGTGCGTTTTACAATCCTCTTGTAAGACGGGAAAGTTCCCCAAGTCCCCACTGGACCCAGGAAGTCCAGCTGGCCTCACCTCTCACTGGCAAAAACTGAGAGCAAGGATCTGCAGCCTTTCTTTCCTGTGTCCTACCCAGAAACATTTCCCACTGGGGAGAGCAGGGCCAGATACTACCCTGGCGTCTGCCTGTTTTTCCTGCCTCCTATCCCCTAGTGAGACTTGTGAGTCTCCAGCCAGGATAAGAACGGAAAGTAAATTACACAGGGCTTGACACCTAGCAAGTACTTGAGAAATGTCTGTGACAATAGCAACTCATGTGTGGATTTGATTTGAGCACAGGCCAGGCTCTGCTCCTGGTGCCCTACATACATTAACTTGGTTCACCTCACTGTGTTCCTGTGAGGCCGGCAGTGTGGTTATCTCCATTTTACAGATGAGGCAACTGAGGCACAGAGCCATGAGTGGGCTCGAACTCAAATGTTGGCTTCTAGCATCTATGCATTGGCCATCGAGTGGCTTGTCCTCTCAGGCTCTGCAATCCCTTCCTCTCCTGGAACCTGGAGTCAGAGCAGAGGGAGCCCCAGCCTGGAAGACTTGGGAAAAGGCCTTTCAGGGCAGGATGCCATGAGCTGTGGGAGGGTTTGAAGATGCAAGGATGTGGCGCATTTTAAACCTGACATATTTCATGTTTGAAATTCTCCCCTGACACTCTCCAGATGCAGGAAGCCGTTGAAGTACACATGATTCAAAGCCATCTCAGGTGAATAATGTGATAATAAAACAGAAGGGAGTGAGGGTTAAGTGCTATGGGACATTTTACCTGCAGTGTGAGAGCCAAGCTGCACATCAGCTTCCATCACCAGGAATTTGGGAGGCCCTGCTGAGGTTAGCTGCTGGCCATCTGCACTTGCTAGACAGTTTTATCTTTGCGATGTCAAGACACGAAAGACAGGGCAGGCAAAGAAGGCAGACTTCGCATAGAACAGGAGAGCTGTGAAACTGTATGACTCTGACAGTGCCTTGGAAGAGGGCATAGTTGCTAAACAATACCCCACAAATAATAATTCCCTTTTCAATTCTCAACCAATGAGAATCCCAGATTGCCCTGGTGGTCTGGGCACTTGATCCCCAGCTACTCAGCCTGACTCACTAAGCATGTCTGAGGGCCAAAGGGCCACTCTTAGCTGCCAGAATTGGGCCAATAAGTGACCAAGCCACTGCTCAGCAGGCTCGGGGGTCTGCACCTGTATCTTCAGTGTCAGGAGCAAGAAGGACTTGTTTTCATGGGGGTCCTCCATGCGTCGTCAGGCACATGCCATGGGGCAGGAGCTGCCGAGTTGTTGCTGCCCAGACTCAACTGAGGCCACAAACCTCGCTAAACCTCAGTTTCCTCATTTGCCAAGTGAGACAGTGATGACTCCCCAAAGGGCTGCTCTGGGAGAATGGACTGGCAGGAGGTGGGAGGCCAGGTGGTTGGTGCCCTGGAGATGGAGGAAGTAGACAAGGAGGGAACGGAGAGATGGCAGAGATTCTCTGTCATCAGGGTTTAGGAGTCTTTACTGCTGATGGGGGATGGGCCCAGGCTGAAAAGCAGCTCATCTGAGGTCCACAGAGGCACCAACATCCATGAGCAGGTGCAGAGGTCAGGGACCAGGGGCTTCCCTGGCATCTTGCTGTACCGCATCTTGTGCCCAACCCATTCCAGACTCACAATTTCACCACCTGCTACGTCCTCCAAACCCACTCACCTCACTTTGTGTTCACCACCTCCATCTTGCCCAAATCCATCCCGTCTTGGGCCCACATCCCCTTCCCATTCGGCAGCCATGCTTGCATCTGAGGGGGCTGTCCATTGCTCAACTACGTCTGGGTTTATTCTTGCTTGTGGGATGGAGAAAATCCCTCCCCCTGGCCAGAGTCCACATGTGGACAGCCCTGTTCTCCTATCCTGCCTCCTCCCCACCAAGTCCCTCTGTCTCCCAAGCCTCCTCCCCACCATGTCCTCACCCCATGCTCCCACCCACCCCAGGGCCTTCCTGCATGCACTGTGTGCCTCAGTTCCTCTCCCCTCTCCTCTTCCCAGGGCTTCCTCTCTCCTTCAGGTACTTGGTCTTCCTGGTGAGAAAATAGCTCTGATATGATTTGGATCTGTGTCCTCCAACCAAATCTCATGTCTAATTGTAATCCCCAATGTTGGAGGTGGGGCCTGGTGGGAGGCGTCTGGATCACGGAGGTGGATCCTTCACAAATGGTTTAGCACTGTCCCCTTGGTGCTGTTCTCCTAATAGAGTTCTCACCAGATCTGGGTGTTTCAAAGTGTGTGGCATCTCCCACCTGTTTCTCGCTCCTGCTTCTGCCATGTGAGATACCTGCTTCTTCTCTGCCTTCCGCCATGATTGTAAGTTTCCTGAGGACTCCCCAGAAGCAGAAGCCACTATGCTTCCCGTATGGCCTGCAGAACCAGGAGCAAATTAAACTTCTTTTCTTTATAAATTACCCAGTCTCAGGTATTTCTGTATAGCAGTTCCATAATGGACTAATGCAAGCTCTAGCATGTGTCGATGTGTGTGCACACCACAGGCCACTCTTTCAGGGCCTTTGCCAAAGCAGCACTTTTTTATTTTGAGAGAAGGCCTTTCCCTGAACTCATATCTGCCTCCTTTCCCTACTAGAAGAGGCAGGAGCCTCTGTAGCCCAGGAAGGGGCTGAGTCTGGAATATCGAGTCCATGGTGGCTTACTTAGCACTGAGATTCTGTGGCTCTCTGTCACCCTAGAAGAGCAGCTTTTGTGTATTACACCTATCATGTGAAGTGGCGAGGACAGAGAGTCCACGCCTCTCTGTTCTTCATTCTGGTTACATTCTGGATTCACGGCATCCAGAGAAGGCCTGAGGCTCCCTGATTCGTGTCAGGAACAGAAAGCGGGGCAGAAGGCTGCTTAGTGAGGCCTTCTGGGTCGGGGTTCTGGTGAGCAGTGGACGCCCTCGGGCTACGGCTGGGCTGGGATTGCACACACTCTTGGAAATGCAGACAGAGCACACACAGCTGTGACACTGGGAGTTACAACCACTGAGTTATGCCCCATCTCCTCCTTGAAGTGGGGTCTGAATCACAATCTAGTGCTCAGGTCTCAAAACCAAAGTGCCTGGATGGGCCAGACCTACTTTCGGCCCCTTTAGCTCCATTTGTCCAAGCCAGCAGGGAAGACCTACACTCCCACGGCCTGCTCTGTCAGGAGAGCAGAGGCAGCTCAGGCAGGTCCCTGAAGAGGGTGTTCAAGGATCAAGCTCTGTCTTAAAGCATGAAGGGCTCTCCAGGTGGGCATAGAGGAGTATGGGGGGCAGAGGTGCAGGTGAAAGTGTGGAAGCCTGGGGACAGGTGTGGCATGTTCAGGACCCAGTAGTTGGTGGTCTTCATGGGAAGTGTTGGGAGAAAGAGCTCAGACTACAGGGCAGGGCAGAGTGTGAGCTGCTAAGGGACTTCCACCAGATTGCCTGCTGCAGGAAGGATAGGGAGATCTTCCAGAGGAGAGCCAGAGGGCAGGGGGGCCTGGGGCTGGGGGAGGGAAGGAGGCTGTAGTCACACACCAGCCAAGGGAGGCCAGCCTGAATGAAGGTGGTCTATGGGTGGGGGGGGTGCAGAAGGGACAGACAGATGAGATGGAGCACAGCCTCCTGCCTGCCATCTGCTACCCAGGAACCTGAATCCACCACCCGCTCAGGGTGGAGCTCACACAACAGCAGGGCCTGCATTGGTCACAGATAGCCATGGGTCCCCCCACCTCTTGCTCCATCCATTGGCCTCAGGCTCTGGAGGACGGCAACAAGCAGGGGGATCATCCTCATGGTGAAGAGGAAAGGCTGTCAGTGTCCGGGATTGGTTCCTATCCCTTTTGGAAAACTCCAGGGACCCACAGACTGGTTGGGTCCTGAGTGCTTCAGTAACTCCCCAGGGGCCTTCAGCTGGGTTCTTCTTCCCTCTGTGTTGCCACCATCCAGGCATGGGGGTCTCCCTGACCAGGCCCCTCATTCACTATTATATGTACTTGTCAGGCACACACTGGTACTGGGCACTGGGCCCTCTCTCAGGGACAATGAGATTCAGTCCTTGTCCTAAGGAACCCACATGGGGCTAGGCTGAAGAATAAACACACACCGAAAAATTTAATGACACACTGTGGTCAGAGGGGGAAAGAACGGAAGCAAGTGCCTTTAGAGAAAAAGGAGTGAGGACTTACTGAGAGCGAATCAGAGAAGACATCCGCCAGCGGCTGCTTTGAAATTGAATCCTGAGAACCCATGGGAGTTGCTCAGGTAAAGAGTGAGGAGAGGTATTCCAGGTGCGTGGACAATTGCAGGACAAGTCTCTGAACAGGTAGGGCATGTGTGCCCTGGGGAGGCAGAGAACAGTCAGGGGGCTGCAGCACAGTACTCAGGGATGGCAGGGGGGAAGCCGGAGAGAAGCCAGGCCCTGGCGAGGCCCAGCTGAGGCCCTGGTGAGGTCCTGGTGAAGCTCTGGTGAGACCTGGTGAAGACCTGGTGAGGCCCTGATGAGGCCCTGATGAGGCTGTGATGAGCCCTGGTGAGGCTCTAGTGAGACCTGGTACAGCCATGGTGAGGCCTTAGTGAGGTCCTGATGCAGCCCTGGTGAGGCCCTGGGGAGGCCTAGTGAGGCCCTCATGAGGTTCTAGTGAGGTTTTCATGAAGCCGTGGTGATGCTCTGGTATGTCTGGGTGCCTGTGTCAGGGGTCATATTCAGGGCCTCAGTGTCCCCAGGCCCAGCCCAGGTTCCATCACAGAGCAGACATGTGGGGATGATCATCCCCTAATAGAAGTGGTGATCTTTTAGTCCCAGGGCTGTGGGCTCTCACATCCCCTCCTCTGGGGCTGGAGTGGTAGTTGGGAGGTCCAGGTCTTGCCTGGGCTCCTGCTGGCCATGCCCCGCTTGCTGGCTTGGGCCTGCCTGCCTAATGGAGGAGGACCCCTGGCAGGCAACACAGGCCCTTTTTCTTTGTTAATTACTAGCTGACATTTTAATGTTCACATTTAATTACATTCTTCACCACTTGGTGCAAAAAAACCAAAAACACTTGAAGCCTTGGAGACCTATAAACCAAGTAAGAGAGCTTTGTAAAGCCCTTTGAAGTCCCTGCTGAAGCCCAAAATGTGTTTTCTCTTTGAATGTGCTGATTGTGTGATGGGGCTTTTGAAATGAGGAAAGGCTATGGGACCTGTGTGCACATTCACACTAAGCCCCCGCCACCAGCATACACACATGTGGGTTGGAGACACCCAGAAACCCACTGCCGCCCCACAGGCCCCCGAGTCTACACAGCTGTTTTTTTTTTTTTTTTCTGGGAAACAGCAGGAGTTAACCAGAAGAGTGACGGTTGTGCATGGACGGCCCTGGTTCACAGTCCAGCTCTGCCATCCCTAGCATGATACCTGGGTGAGTGACAAAGTTTCCATTTCCTCCCCCACAAGGCAGTGGTGATGTCCCTGAATGAGCAATGCCCACAGAGCCTGCTGTGTAATACTGTCTTATCCACACTGAGTAAGTGTCTGCTTTAATCAGGTGACTTGCTACATGTTTGCCAAATTGCAAGTTAACTTTATATGCTTTAAAATGTTTTCCATGAAATGAATTCACTTTCCAGAGAAGAGTCCTCCCTGGGACACTATCTTATTCCTTTTTATGCTGTAAAACAGAATTCCCAAGACTGGGTAATATATAATAAACATTTATTGGATCATGGTTCTGGAGGCTGGGAAGTCTAAGATTGATGGCCTGGCATCTTGTGAGGGCCCTCTTGCTCTGTCATAGCATGGCAGAAGGGAAAAGAGAGGGTGAGAGAGAACAAAAGATCAAATTCACAGCATCAAGCCTTTTTTATAATCAGCATTAATCCTTTTATGAGGGCACAGCTCTCATGGCCTAAATACCTTGCAGTAAGCCCCACCTCCCAACACTGATGCATTGGGGATTAAGTGCCCAACACATGCTTTTGGGGGACACATTCAAACCTTAGCAGACACTGTGTGCTCATTGCTCCAGCACTACAGAGCAGATTTGGAGCAGTCAGGTGGGGAAGCTCGCTTTGGGTGCCTTCACATAACTGCATTTCTGACCTGCCCCATGATAGTTTTGCTGTTAAGATGCTTGTACACCTGACAGCAAGGTCCTTTTGAGGTTGGTCTACAGTTCATGCTAGCCAGACTCCTTGGCTCCCTCTTTATTTTCTGCTCCAGTCTGGGAGCAGAAAGGAGTGGGCCATTGTGGCTGAGTGCATTTTCCAAAGATTGCACCAGCAGCATCTCCTTCCCACATGTTCTTCTGCAATGAGACTTTGCCACTCTCCCCACAGGATGGGGAGGCCAGGCCCCTCCATTGTGAATCTTGGCAGGCTGTAGCCACTCGCTTGTAACTAATAGAATGCAGTGGAAGTGAGGCTGCGTGATTCCGGTTGGGTCAGAAGAGACTTTGTTTGTTCTCTTGTGGGATACTTCCTCTTGCAACTCAGCTGCCATGCCATGAGTCCACACCCAAGAGAGTGGCAGTCAACAGACATCTGGCTAAGTCCAGACTTGCAGTATTCTCAGCTCAGGCAGAGAGATGACTGAAGTCATCTGAAGATTCTAGCCTCCAGCTGAGTCCCAGATGCCAGAGAGCAGAGACAAACCATCCCCTCCATGTCATTCAAATTATTGACCCACAACATCCATGACTATAATAAATTGACTTTTGTTTTGCACCACTAAATTTGAGGTGGTTTATAAACGGTGAGACAGGCATGGGGATGTCCAGACAATATACTGCTAGAGGTCAAACTGGGAGGTGGGTGATGAGTAGTGACCAGTGTGACCATGTAATTTATCCTTCAACCTGGGGCAGTTTGAGAGCGAAGTGAAGGTGGAAGAGAGACAGAGAAAGACAGAAAAACAGAGACAGAGAGAGGAACAGAGAGAGAGAAAAAAAAAAGGAGATCCAGATATCTATGTTTCTCTATCTGTATCTCAATGCCAATAGGTATATCAAAATAATGGCACAAACTGGAATTATCTTGGATCCCTGGTCACCCTAGGGATGGGCTGATTCATCACTGACTCTTTCCTTTTCTTCCAGCACTATAGAGGAAAAGCCTGGCCTTGGCTTTGGAAGATCTGGATTTATGTCCCTGTTGAGTCATTTTACTAGCTGAATGACATTGGATACATTACCTAGATAATCTTCCCAAACCTCAGTTTTCTAGTCTGTAAAATAGAAGTAATAACTCCTTTTATTTTGTTCAGCCTTTAAGTCATAGCAATCAATCTTTTGCCCTTACAATGACTGCTTCATGTCAAATCCCAAAGGCTCTGTTCAGTTCTCACCTCTCTGGCCTCTCTGGTATCCAGCCCTGCCAACTGCCCTTTTCTTGAAGTATCTTCCTTTTAGTTTCTGCAGCATCTCTCTACTGGTTCTCTTCCTGCTTTTCTGGCTGCTATTTCCCAGTTTCCTCTATGGCTTTTCTTATTCTGCCCACAGTTTAATGGTTGGGCCTCCTGAGGACTCTGCCTAGGCCCAATTTGAACAACAGAGAGAAAATAGACTAAGCAAAAATAGCAAAGCCTGAAGCACCTGTGGGACTATAACAAAAGATCTAACATTTGTGTTGTTGGAGTTGTAGAAGAAGAGGAGGAAAAGAATAGCGCTGGAAAAGTACTCAAAGATAGAATGTCCCAAAACTTCTCAAATTTGGTAAAAGACACAAATCTACAGATTTTTAAAGCTAAGTGACCTCAGCAGGATGAGCCATAGAAATCCATATCAAAGCACATCATAGTCAGCCTTTTGAAAACCAAAGACAAAGAAAATTGAAAGCAGTCAAGGAGAGATAACACCTGAGATACAGGGGAAAAACAATTGGAATGACCATGGATTTCTCATCAGAAACCATTGAGACCAGAAGGAAGTGACATTACATTTTTCAAGTGTTGAAGGAAAAAAATTTTCAACCTGGAATTCCACATATAAGTGATAATATACTTCAGAAGTGAAAATATCCTTCAGAAATGAAGGAGAAATAAAGATATTCTCAGACAAAAACAAATAGAGAATTTATTGACAGCAGATATATCCTAAAAGACTAGTTGAAGAAAGTTCTCTGAACAGAAATAAAATAATAAAAGAAAGGATCTTGGAACATAAGAAAGGAAGAAGGAACATGATAAGCAAAAATGTTAGCAAATACAATTGACTTTCCTTTTCCTCTTGAGTTTTCTAAATTATTTTGGCCGATTAAAGCAAAAATTATATCACTGTCTGATGTGGCTCTGAATGTATGCAGAGAAAATATATAAGACATCTATATTAAGAAAAGAGAGATAAATTAAAAGAAGGTATTTTTTCTATACTTTATGCAAACTGGTAGGATGACATTAAGTACATTGTGATAAGTTATGTGTGTATATGTATACATATCTATATACATCTAGTAATACTTAGAGCAACCACTAAGAAAAGCTACACAAAATGATACACAAAAAACTAAATATAATCAAAATATAACTCTAAAACTGCTTAAGTAGCCCATAGGTAGGCAGGAACAAAATAAAACTAAGAAATGCAAAACAGAAAACAAAAAAATTAAAAAGGCAGATGTAAAGCCTAAAATATCAACCACTTCATGAAATACAAATGGGTCTAAATATATCAATTAAAAGACAGATACTGGCATAGTGGATTACAAAGCACTACTCAACTATATGCTATTTACAGAAAACTTGCCTTCAACATAACACTGTAGATGGGCTGAAAATAAAAGGACGGAAACCATATAGCAGGCAAACATTAAACAAAGCAGGAGAAGCTATATTAAGATCAGATAGATTTCAAAGCTAAGAAAATTACTAGAGACAGGAGGGATATTATATAGTAAATCAACCAAGAAGACATAGCAATCCTAAATGTTTAATGTTCAAACAATAGAGCACCATAACACATGAAGCAAAAAATGATAGACCTGAAAGGAAAAATAAACAAATGTGTGATTGGTACTTTTCAAGTCTGAGAAACCATCACAGCCAAGAGGAGCCTAAAGAGATGTGACAACTAAAGGTCATGAATCCTGAATGCAATACTGAAACAGAAAAAGGACACTGGGCAAAAACTAAGGAAATCTGAACAAGGTATAGACTTGAGTTAAAGATAATGCATCAATATTGGTTCATTAGATGGAACAGACAAATCTGGGTGTGGGATAGATGGGAATGCTCTGTACTATATTTGAAACTTTTCTGCATATCTAAGAGTTTTTTTTTTTTAAATGGCAAAACAAAACAAAACAAAAAAACCCAATACCCTTCTTTCGGATGTCCAATCCAGAAATAAAGTGGACAGAGTAGTTAACTGGGCTACTTCTTCTCATTCACTTCATTTTTTGACTCAATTTCAGATGAAGCCCTGTGGATTCTACCTCTGGATCATCTCATCCAAAATGCCACCCGTCAGTTTCCACTGGTCCTCCTTGGTTCAAGGCGTCCTCATCTTCACCCTCCACTGAAGCAACAACTCCTCACGGATCTTCCTGCTTCCAATCTTGCCTTTCTCTTTTCTCTCTTACCCAAACCCATAGGCATGTCCTCTTCAGATCATGAATAATATTCCTAAAACACAAACAGGATCAGATTCCCCCCTTGTAAAATTCCTTCAGTGGATGTCTTCTAACTTCAAGGGAAAGGCTAGGACCCTTGGATCTTCCAAATCCAGACCAGGCTGACTGCTCTAGCCTTCTTCCAACATCCACGACACCCATTTTGCACCCAATGCTCTAGGCACTGGGAGCTACTCACAGTTCCCCTGACCTGACAAACTGTTCAGACATCCACACATTTCCTAGTGCTGTCTGCACCTGCATAAATTGCCCTCTGCTTTCCTCATGTCCCCTCTACTGTTAAAACCTGCTCATCTCTTATTACTCAGCTCCACTGTTCTCTTCTCGCTCTACAGAAAAGGTTCCAGGCTCCAGTTATGACTCTCCTCTATGTCCCAATCAGAACACATTCGGTTCCCATTAGAGTCTCTAGGACAATCTAATCTTGCATTACCTTTTCCTCTATAGGACCACAGCTTGTTGAAGAAAATGAACAGTCTCCCTGGTACCATTTGTTTTTGTATCCCCAGCATCTATGGCATTGAGTACATAGAATCCTTGGGATGACCAGCAATTGAGCTGTGGGCAGAACAAGAACAATCAGCAAAGGAGACTGAGAAGCACCAGCCAGAGAAGCAGGAGGAGAACCGGTAGAGAGACAGCTACTGCAGCCACCAAAGGGAGAAATGTAGGCATCTGGTTGGGTTGGGCTAGATTTTTTAGGTCTGCATGAGGCCTCAGGATGACCCTGTGAGAGCACCCCAAGTCACCCAGGAGAGCCAGCAGAGCATCTGTGTATGACATATGACCCCCCTACCACCACCCTTGACTGTTCAAACTGGAGAAGGGCTGAAAACACGTGGGCAGCCAAGCACCTTTTATGGGTTTCTGGAAGGTCATCTCAGCCACAGCATCAAGTACACCACGTGATGCTCACTCACAGTATGAGCCCCCATGAGGAAAGCAATGACCCCAACACTGAGAGCATGGTAGGGTCCCATCTGCTCCCACATGGCAGACAGGCCCCGAGGAATGAGCATGACTGGGTCTGCCAACCAGATGCAGATGCAGGGTGGTATGGTTGAATCAGGCAGATGGCTGTAGGATCAATTCTCCATCTCACCATTTTTTTGTTGGGTAATTCTGATTAAGTTAGTGAACTTCCTTAGCTTGCTTTGTACCATGGAGACAAAACATCCACCTCACACAATTGCTAGAGCATGCAGGCGAGGAAGGACTTGACATCTATTGTAGCTGATAATAAAGACACACTAGTGCTCTCTTCTTGTGCATGTTCTTAGTCTTACAGATGTATGCTGATTTTGAATATAAAACCTATATAGTTGATGTTTACTTTTTGGATATCATAATGACCCTAGAGCCCACAGGATATATGATATGAACATTCATTCCTTCAGCTAATATTTATTGAGCATCTGTGCTAAGTACTGGGAAGGCAATAGTGATTATCCAAAGGTCACATTTTCCTGTGTGTTGAAGGTGCTTCATTGAGGAAGACAAATGTGTGAGCTTCTAGGCAGGAGAAGTGACATTCACAAAGACACATACTGTGTATAATTGGAGGGTTAGAAGATGGCAGAGATGAGAGATAGCAGGGAAGTTGCACAAGGGCCGGGGAATGGACCACAGAGAGTGTTGAATGCCACCCTCAAGATAGCAGCCCCTGTGGGCCATGGGCAGGACAGTGACAACTGACTGCTTCCCTTCCCTCTCTTTTTTTCTTTTTTTGTCTACTTTTAGTGTTTAAAATTTCAATTAATTAATGAATCAAAGTTGGCAACAAAAGATTTTGCTACATTTGCCTGTCCCGATTCTTGACAATTCTCTCTGAGGAGGAGCACTGGGATACTCGTACTGTCTGGCATCTATTAGGTATTGTTTAATATCTGTTCAAATGAACAAAATGTACTTGTATTGAGTTGAACCAAAGTGAAGCCCTTTGGGACAACTTTGGAGCAATAGTGGATTATATTATTCTGGATGACTTATGAAAAATATTTACCCTTAATCAGTCTTAGATGAACTGAAAATTATTCATATTCAGTTCAGTTAATGGTGGTTATTTAGCTAAGTCTTGATTACGTATAACGGACAGGAGCTAGTCAACAGATAACGACGTGGCCCTGGGTTCCCTCTGCCCTGGCCTGAACATCCTTTTTATGAAAGGACACTTTCCTGTTTGTACAGCAGCCAAAGACTCACATGTGAATTCTTTATACACACTGCAAGCAATCCAAGCATCTGACTTCCATTCTTCACTCACAGCTGGGAGCAAGTGCGAGAAATCAGTGGAAAGCTGGAGGTTTGTTAACAGGGGGTTTATTTTGGCACTCAGTTGCAATTAAATCCGGTGGGTTAAAAGCTTCTGAATGTATTACCCTCTTTTAAACAAGCCACTTTTAGAGTGTTTCCACAATGAACAATATTCATCACCAATGTTATATATGGCTGACTTTCACTCTCAAATAATACCTTCTTTCCTTGGAAGGAAAAACAACTTTCCCATCCTTATAATTGAATCCAAACATCTGTCACCCACAAAGACATGGTTTTAGAGGTTGATTAATGGATATCTGGCTCACGGAGTACACAGAACCACACTCATTTGCAACAAATTTACACCAACACCCACACACGCTTAGGCACATACACCAATACGCATGCCCCAAATGCGTTCCTCCAAAAAACATGTTTCCATTATCATTTCTTTTAATACAATTAAGACAACAATAAAGAAAGAGATGTAGGCAGAATAGTAAAAAAGCAATGACTAGGAGTCCAGAGACCTCAGGTCTGATCATGACCTTTGACGAGTAACATAATCTCTCCAGCTCTCAATTTCCACACATGAAAAATATGAATGATGAAACCACCTCCATCATTTAACGCTTATAACCCACCCACGACCTGACATGTTCATGCATTTGTGCCTTCGTGTGAGAGTTCCTCTGCCAACTGTGTTCCACGAGACCTTCATCATCTTTCAGAACTCAACAGATATACCACCTCCCCAAAGAATCCCTCCCTGGTTCCCCCAAGCAGAATCAGCAGCTCATTCTCAATCATTCCAGAAACCTTGCATGCAATCAGTTTTGTTGCAGCTTTCATTGCATAGTACAGCAACCACCTCACCTAAACTATTAACCCACAGAGAACAGAGCAGGTCTGATTGTTTTCGTTTCCCTGGTGGAGAGAAAAGGAATAGCACATGAAGTTCTAATAAAAAGTTGAAGGGAAAAAACAATTGAATGAGTCATTACTTGAATGACACAATATCCTCATATGGCATAAGAAAAGCTCCCACCTGGCCTGCAGTCTCTTCCCCTCTGCAACACTGAGATCTCGGTCTTGCTGAAATCTGGTACTAGTCCCATCATGTTCTTGGCCCATCACCTTCAGGATACAGTCCAGATTCCTCATCAAGGCAACCTGTTTCTCTGTCTTCATGACTGAGTTGCCACCTCTCCTGCTGCTCTCCTCCCATCCCCCACCACCTGCTATGTTCTAGGATACTCAGCCAAGGTTCCTGACACACCATGCTCTGTCTTACCTCTGGGTCTATCCCTCTCTCCTACAATCCCATCCACCTTCCTCACTTAGCCAATCCCTACCTGTCTCCCAGACTTACCTAAGATGATTTTTCCTCCAGGAAGCCTTCCAGGGTCCCAGAATCCTCTTATTCTCTGCCTGCCAGAATGCCATGGTTGTCTCTAATAGGACCATCTGTTTGAGGGTCTGTGGGCTCCTTGAAGACAGAAACTGGGAACTGCTCACCTCTATCCCCTGCCCCATGCCTGATGCTGACTGGCCACTCAGTAAGCATGTCTTGCTGTGAGTGGGTGGGCAGATGAATGAAGAGTCCAAGGTGATCAGAAGAGGGTCAGATTCTATAGGGCAACTCTAAAGCATGTGCATGTCACACCACCAGCTGAGGGTTTCCTTCTTGCCCTTTGAGGAAGGTTATTTTCTTCTAGACCTTAACCAGCTTCTGAGAAAAGCATTCTTAAAATCTCCCATTGTAGCTATTAGTTTTTCAAATTCTCCTTGTAATTCATTGTATGTGTCTGTGCACATATGCCTATATTTATATGGTTATGTGTGCACAGACACATACACATAGTCACATATATATGTATGTACTTATAAGTACACATTCAGTAAATACACATCGAAGCTGTGTTGCTAGGTGTCTGCAAGTTTTTGATTATCTTAACTCTGCAGTAGAGCCAGACTTTGCTTAGATTATTTCTTTTTATCCCCTCCCCTCCCTCAGCACACACACTTTTATTTTCAAACTTTGTGTTTAGTTTTATTTGGTTAACTCTTTTGTAGGCAGCTTATACTAAAATTTTAAAAATTGAATTTGATTGTGTTTTCTAGTGAGATAATGTAATTCATTTAGGTTTACTATTATTTCTGCTTTTTAATGTGTTCCATTTCTTGTGCTTTTTTCTTTTTTTGCTGCCTTTTTCTACTTTCTTTTCTTCCTTCTGCTGGATTAATAATGCTAGATGTCTTCCTTTTTCCTATTATTTGCTTTGGAAGTTGGAGATTCTATTACAATTGGGTGGAATGGATTGTCCTCTAGGATTTTCACTTTACAAAATCACATTTATATTTTCAAGCAGTATCCAAAATTATTCAGTATATCTGTCTTCATTCCAAATATGACACTGCTGTTAGCATGCTTCAAATGCCCTTCACACACCCCTGCTCCATTATCTGTGTTATTGCTCTATAACTTTAGTTCCATATTTATTTTTTCTATCAAGAATTCATTGCATCTACCAACATAGTTTACCAATTTCTTTAATCATCATTTCTTCTTTTATTCTACTCCTCTGAATTTAGTTTCCTTCTTGCTAAAATTTATCTTTTAATAGTTCTTTCAGTGGAAGTATAAACTCTCTTATTCTTGTATGTCTGAAAATGCCCTTAATTCAGATACTCTGGAATGACAGTTAACTGGGTGCAGAATTTAGACTCACAGCTCCTTTGAAGATGACTTTCCATTTTCTCCTCACCCCTATTGTGGCTGATTGGAAGTCTGCTGTCAGTCTGGGTATAATTCTTTTCTAGAAGTCTTAGTCTGTTTAGGCTACTATAACAAAATCTTACAGGCTGGGTGGCTTATAAACAACAGAAATTTATTTCTCACAGCTATGGAGGCTGTGAAGTCCAAGATCAAGGCTATGGCAGATTCAGTGTCTAGTAAAAGCCTGTTTCCAGGTTCATAGATGGCACCTTCTCACTGTGTTCTCATGTAGTGTGTCAAGGAATCTTTTTGGGGTTTACTTTATAAAAGCATTATGGGCTGGGCATGGTGACTCATACCTATAATCTCAGCATTTTGGGAGGCTGAGGCAGGCAGATTACGTGTGGTCAGGAGTTTGAGACCAGCCTGGGTGACACGGTGAAACCCCATCTCTACTACAAACATAAAAATTAGCCAGGCATGGTGGCACTCACCTGTAATCCCAGCTACTCAGGAGGCTGAGGCATGAGAATAACTTGAGCCTGGAAGGCAAAGGTTGCAGTGAGCCAAGATCGTATCACCAGTTGCCATGAAGTGAAGTGTGTGATTAACCTTGTATACAAGGTCCCTCACTTGTTTTATCTATGTGTTTATTTTATTTTACCATGATTTATTTATCTCCCCTCTCCCACAGAAGAACCACTCCTGTGTATTTAATGTGTATTATTTTGTTCATATGTGATATTAAAACATGTATTGTTTTCTGAACATGTATTTTTAATTTATGGAAACAATCATATGTTATATATGTCACACTGTATTTTGTAAGAGCCACACATATTGTTGTGTGCACATCAAGTTCATTACTTCCAATTGCTGCATATTAATGCTTGGTGTACTCCAACCAAGTGTTACCAATTCATTTCCCAGTGATAGCAGCCAATCTTCTCTATCTCCTTGACACTACAGATAAATCCCACTTGTATTTGTCCTCTTACTGGATGGTGAACATTTCTTTGAGATATCCCTATTCCTACTTCTATACAGATATCTATCTATCCATCTCTCTCTCTCTGTCTCTGTCTCTGTCTCTCTCTCTGTATCCATCTATGTCATCTACCTATCTCCAGGAACATACCTAAATTAACTAGTGCAAGATTGCCTTTCAGAATACTAATAGCTTTTACTTCCACTAGCTATGTGTGAGGTTCCTATATCCTTATATCCTAATGAACATTTGATCCTAATCAACATTTGGCTTTATCCAATTTTTTTAATAGTCTTTGCTTGCTATATATCTCTGTGTGGAATTATGCATAAATTTTCCAATGTTATTTTCCATTTTATTAATTGTGTCTTTTACTGTGTCCAGTTTATTTTCATCTCATCTACTGAACTTTCAGTCTTTCATTTTAAAGATTATATTTTTCATTTCATGGGCTTATTATTTTTTCCATATTACCTGGTTTTTTATTCATATTCACCAATTTTTGTTTTATAATCAACTGGCATTTTGATTGATAGTATTTCTTTCATTATTTCTTGGAGAACTGCTTAACATCTTCATTTTTAAATCCAACTTAAATTGTAAGCCATTCTTCCCCAGCCCCATATTCTGAATTGACTTGACTTTGCTTCATTTTTTTTCTATAGCACTTACTAATTCCTAGTGTACTATATAAGTCAGTTTGGCTATCTCCTTCCCCTGATCCAGGCAGGGACTTCTGTCTGCTTGTCCATGCATCTCTGGTACCTACAACAGTACCGGGCACTGTAAATGTGTAGCTTCCCAACACACTCGTTGAATTGATCAGTGAATGGATTGGTCTATGTTATCTTCATTTCCTCTGAGTGAATCCTTTGGTTGTTTTGTTTGTTGGATGATTGTTATAGTGGCAGCTTTCCTCATGTGCTACAAATTTCCTACTGTGCCCATGGAGTGGTATTGGTTTTTGTTTTAGTTGCCTTTTCCTGTCCCTTCATTCACTTCTCCTGCCTGGTAGTTTTGCTGTTGCCTTTACCCAACCCCTGGGTTTTCTGCACTATCAACGCTCTCATATTTGTGGCCCACGGTTTGCACCCATAGAGATATCACTGATCCTGTGCCCAGGCCAAAGCACAGCTTGTCATGGCTCCCAGAGGATGAATGGATACCACCTTTCCCTCCCGCTACCCCAGGGAAATGTTCATCACCATCTGCAGCCACAGGAAA
Organism: Homo sapiens; assembly: GCF_000001405.40. Classification (NCBI taxonomy): domain Eukaryota; kingdom Metazoa; phylum Chordata; class Mammalia; order Primates; family Hominidae; genus Homo; species Homo sapiens. The sequence goes on from NC_000010.11 coordinate 47,157,093, forward strand.
ACCATCCCAGGCTTGATTTCGTGTCTGTGTGCCCAGAAGCCCAATGAACTTGTGGGTTTCACACAGGGAAGCTGGCTCTGGACCACTCCCCAACAGTAGGGTGAGCTTGGGCCTTGTTTCCAGTGGCAGTTGGCTTTGTGGGACCAGCATCCATTTCTGCAGCTTCAGCCCTGGGCCATGTGAGTTCACATTCTGTCTCTTGTCAGTGTCAATGCTTATTTTGTTCGTGAGTGTAGCTCTAGCTTTTCAACATCTTAAATATATCCCTAAAATAGCTTTTTAAAACCACCTTATCGTCACTTCAATGAGTTTCACAAGACTATTTTGAAATTTGATGATCAAGTGTTGATCTTTTCTTTCTCTTTGCATTTTAGCTCCATCACCATCCTCTGAGCCCATAAAAGCTGGCAGAAAACACTCCAAACATCAGACAGCATTATCCTGCCTCAAATACCCTTGCATCTGTTTTCTTTACCTCCTACTTTTTCACCGGGCATCTCAGACATCATCTTCTTTGAGCAAGATGTCTAGGTTTTATGCCTGTATTAGTCTGCTTAAGCTGCCATAACAAAATAGCACAAACTGAGTGACTTAAAGAACAGAAATTAATTTTCTCACAGTTCTGGAGGTTGGAAGCCTGAGATGAATGCAGTAGCAGGTTTGGTTTCTCCCACACTCTCTCTCTCTGTGGCTTGCTGGTGGCTGCCTCCCTGCTGTCCTCACATGGCGTTTTGCCTGTATGCACACCCTCAGTGTCTCACCCTTGTCTTATAAAGCTACTAGTCAAATTGGATTAGGGCCTACCCTTTTGACTTCATTTAACTTTATTTCTTCCAAAGATTTTACCTCCAAATACAGCAACATTGAAAGTTAGGGCTTCAGCATATGAATTTTAGGAGGACGCAATTCAAACCATAAAACTCCTACTAAAACCCTATGTTATAATTGAACAGAAATAATGAGGCAAATAGATATTCATGCATTTGGTTTTTCTCTTCTTGTAGTCAATGGTCTTCACAACAAGAATGAAGCAATGTCTTTTGTGATTTGAAGTTCATAAGCACCAGCCCCTTGCAGATATGCTGCAATGTTCAATGATCTCTGTGATTGTGTGTTATGAGTGTATGGAAGTGGTGTCCATTGAGGCTTAACTTCAAATTATTTTAGTAAGATTAAATGCTGGTTATCAGTGAAAACATCACATTACCTTGGAGTAGATGTTCATTGATAACTAGATGTTAACCAGGACCCTTTGCGTAACCAGATGTCAGCAAGCGCCTGTAGCATTTACAGCATATGTTTACTGTTCTGCATTGAGAAAGCCACGTTTTCCAATATTCCTCATGATTTCTGGGAAGAAGTCAAAATCTCAAGCCCTCCCCCTTTGAGGCTCAATGTTAGGGAGTGGATTAAGGAGGATCCTATTGGGGAAAGATGACAAGAGCGAACAAGGGAGTGAGTCCCTGATGGCAGATGCGCCGCGAAAGCAGAGAGAGAGGGACTGGCCAACCTGGCCCAACTAAGGACCTAGGTGGCCAAGAGAAGATGTGGGTGAAGCTGACAAACCTGCTGTCTAGTCTCCATGGGCATGTCTTGGGAACATGTGTGAGTGTAAGGGTGTCTCCATGTGCATGTGTGGGTAGGTAAGTCAAAGTAGCCATCTACCTGAATAATTTAACACTGGGAGTCCAGGCATATTCCCCGGGGGATCCACCAGTGCTGAGCATCACTAAGCAGGTCAGGGAGCCCCTCCCTGTCTCGGGTCCTGAATCACTGTTGCCATGCACCCAGAACTTTCTACATCTGACCAGGGCTTCCCAAACAGTGTCTAACAGCAGGAGAGGTGCTCAGAAGAGAGTGGCACCATGGTAGATGCTGGTGAAAGTAACTGTTCTGCCCTGGGGCCTGGGCCAGCCTTTGAAGAGTCTTTGGATGATCCAACCCCGGGTGTGTGGAGTATGCTACCTGGGGAGGAAAAAAGGAGTATGAACACATGCTATTTTTAAATTTAAATATTAGAAGCAATGAGACTTTTTTTGTACGCCAAGCTCAGGAGTTGCCACTACTATTTTGAAGTCAAGGTAATCAAGGCAAAAATATTTATTTATAAAATCAAGGCAAAACACATTTATAGATCAAATGTGTTTAGTTAGCACCTATTTTATGCCAGAACCTGAATTAGGCAGTGGGTACACAGAATCAACATGGCCTCCCCACAGGGAATGCCCAGATGGGCAAAGAAACACCTTAATCATCTGTGCTGATGCCATGTGACACATGCAGTGTGATGATGCCTGCAGGGCTGGGAGGGACAGCTTTTTGCAGGAGTGGCCCAAGGGTGGTGACAGGGTTTTGAGAAGTAAATAACAGCTTATCAGGTAAAGAGAACAGCAGAAGAGGCTCCCTTTGGTCAGGTATCAGCCAGGTGTCTTTATTTTAGTTCTCTGAAAGGAAGTCTTTCATTAAGTGGGTGGGACTCAGCCCATCTGTGACCACCGATGGTTCCAGGGGGACCTGGCAGTCACCACCCCAACAAATGTAAAATCTGCAGCTGGGGCATCTGTATGTTCAGTGAACTTCCGCATTGGAACTCTCTATCCTGTGCTCAGCATGTTCCTCCACACATGGGAACACTTCCCATGAATCTGGCCAATCTGGAGGTGGTGCTGGAGATTCAGAGACCTCCCCACACCAGCCTGGCAGGCCCCTCTGCCCAGAGTGGAATGAACCCCAGGTGGAGCCCGATCACTGGCTCCTGCCTCATCTGCTTTTAATCACCCCCTCTCCACAGTACATCCCATTATGTTAACAAAACATTTTTGCAATTGCCCAGTGCTTGCTCCTGGGTCAGAGAGCTCACCTCTATGAGTGAGGTTGGAAGGGTGACGCATCCTTGCCTGGGCACATTAGTAAATCAAGATTTTTCTAGGTCTGGGCGTGCTGCCCCGGTGCTGGCGAGCCCTGCAAGGGACCTGTGACTTCCAGAGCAATCTGGTCTGTATCAGTTGAGCACTCCCTGGGCCTCAGCTGGCCAGCAGGATGCTCTGGCAGAGGTCTGTGTTCTAATGAGGCTCTGTTTGTCTAAAGATCACATTTTGGTATCCTTGGGGGAGGCTGCTAACAGAATCAGGGAGCATCCTGGATCCTTCATCCCACAGTTTCTTAAGTTGCTGTCAACAGGACTTTAGCAAAACCTGCTCTTCAATTCTCCAAATAAGTTACAGAAAGAGAAGCTTTCTGTGCCACAGCCACGTCAGCAACCAGGCAACCGCCCCAGGAAGCCCCTATGTCCCTGGCTGAGGAGCGCTACTTGTAAGCCGGTGTTGTTTGAAGCCAGGATCTTAGCATTAGGATGTGTTGGAAAGGGAGGCATTCCAACACCACCTTCTTACTGTGGTGCTAGAGTGCCCTGGAGTTTTCCAAGAAGCAGGGGCATTGGTAAGAAAATGTGCAGGTGGCAGATGACTGTCCTCTCCCCTGGGGGAGGTGAGGACAGGATGCTGAGGGACCAGAGAGCACAAGGGGAAATGTGTCCCTCAATGGGCTCAGCTGACTGTCCTGGGAGTTTCTTGTGCTGATCCCTCGCATCCAGGCCCCCGCTGTGAACTGTGTTTTCCAAGGATTGAATATACTTCCCTGGCAGAGGGACGAAGCAGGAAGTGGGTTCCGTTGGACAGGGTGCAGGCCATGTTCCTTAACATGGGCCATGGCCCCTGGGGACCCATGGAAGGCTCCTACCTCCCTCCAGTCAGACAAGCTGTGTAGATGCACCTATATTTATTAAGCTCGTTTTCTATGACAGATCACCAATGGCTACTGAGCTTACAGCTCCTCCCATGGAGTGCTGGAATCTCTCTCAACCCCCTAGGATCTGGGCTGGCCTGTGACTTGCTTTGGCTAATGGGATAGTAGCAAAAGTGGCACAAGCACCGACTCTCTTCCTCACTCGCTTTCCCCATTGCTGCTCTTAGAGCCCTCCTGCCATGCAATTAAGTCTAGGGAAACTTCTGGACAATGAAAGACAGGAAGCCCGGCCCCCTCCTCTTCTTCTTTCTCAGCCCTTCAAATGTACTTTCAACATCCCTATCAATCCACCAGTATGACTCAGGGGTTATGTTTTTGGTTTTGGTAGAATGGAAATGACTTCCCCATGTAACAACTTAGGGTGTGTCTGTTATCCCCACCAGACTACATACTAGATCCTCAAAGTATGGAATATGTTCATTTGTCTCTGTAGCTCATGCTTACAGCAAAGGAGCTGACACGCAGTAGGTCTTCAATATACATTTGTGGAACGAAGACAGGATGGAGGGAGGAAGGGAAGGTGTGAGGAGGGAAGGTCCCCACCGGGACCCACACACAACATTTTTAATGTAATAACTACATAAACAGTGTTGTCAGGACTTCTTTAATTTAACACAACTTCATAAAATCTCAGATTGGGAAGAGACCTTGATATTCATAGCTGCTTTTTCACAATGACTTTTCTTTGCCTGACTCTCGACGGTATTGTGAAGCAGTCATACAAGGTCATTTTCATTCTTATCTCACAGTGAGGAGAATAGGGCAAAGGACTTAAATGACTTGCCCAGCATCGTGACACTGTTGTGTGTGGACGGCAGAACTCAAGCCAGGATTTCAAACTTCAAACATCCCCTACCATCCTACCTGGGGGTCCTCAGGGTCAGTGCTTCCTATGTGCCAGTTATTGGAGTGACACCTTCAAAAGTTTTGCCATTTCCACATACCACTTGCCACTGTCATTTTACTTACTTTATTTTCTTTACACAGATGCATTTTAATTTTGGTGTATTTATTAGATTTTAGTTAAGCTTTTTTATTTTGAGATAGCTGCAGTTTCACATGCAGTTGTAAGAAATAATACCTAGAGATCCTTGTACCCCAGTTCCCCAATGGTAACAACTTACCAAACTATAGTACTATTAGCACTAGGATATTGACATTGATACAGCCAAGATACATAACATTCCATCACCACAAAGTTTTTCCTATTGTCCTTTTGTGGCCACACCCACTTCCCTACCACTCCCAGACCCCCCTTATCCTTGGCAACACTAATTTGCTCCCCATTTCTGTAAGTTTGTCATTTAAAGAATGTCACATAAATAAAATCTTTTGGTATGTCTAATAACCTTTTGAGATTGGCTTTCTTCATTCATCATCACTCTCTGGAGATTCATCCAGATTGTCGCATGTTAGACATAAAAGTTAAATAAACTTCCTTTTCATTACTAAGTGGTATTTGGTGATGGTATTCCATTGTCTACCTATTCACCATTGAAAGACATCTGGGTTGCTTCCAGTTTTTGGCTATTAAGAATAAAGCTATTATACACATTTGTGTCCAAGATTTTGTATCGATTTGCTTCCTTTTATCTGAGAAAAATGTCCAGGACTGCAATTGGTTGCACGGTAGTTGGATGTTTAGTTTTTGTAAAAAAAATTGACAAACACTTTTCAAGAGTGGTGGTAGTGTTTTATACTTCCATCAGCAATGTGTGAGTGACCCCGTTTCACCAGATGCTTGCCAGCATTTGTATGGTCACTATTTTTTTTTTTTTGGCCATTTTGGATAGGTGTGTAATGATATACCATGGTGGTTTTCATTTGCATTTCCCTAATGGCTAATAACCTTGAACATCTCTTGATGTGCTTATTTGATAAATGTATATCTTCCTCAGTAAAATATCTCATGACTTTTTCCCATTTTCTGATTTGATTGAATTTTTTACTATTGAATTTTAAGACTTTCTTACATATTCTAGATACTATGATGTTGTCATACGTGATGTTTGCAAACATTTTCTTTCAGTCTGTGGCTTTTAAAAAAGTTATCAATAGGCTTTTTGTAGAGCAAAAGTTTTTATATTTAAGAAGTCCAATTTATCAATTTTTCAATTTATGGGTTGTGCTTTTGGTATCAAGTCTAAGAATCCTTTATCTCATCCCATATCCTGATGATTTCCTTCTATTTTCTTTTAAGTCTTATAGTTTCATGTTTTATATTTAAGTCCATTATTTATTTATTTATTTTTATTTTTTTAGAGGGAGTCTCGCTCTGTCGCCCATGCTGGAGTGCAGAGCCGTGATTTAGGTTCACTTCAACCTCCACGTCCCGGGTTCAAGTGATGCTCACCTCAGCCTCTTGAGTAGCTGGGATTACAGGCACGTGCCACCATGCCCACCTAATTTTTGTATTTTAGTAGAGACGGGGTTTCACCATGTTGGCCAGGCTGGTCTCGAACTCCTGACCTTAGGTGATCTACCCGCCTCAGCCTCCCAAAGTGCTGGGATTACAGGCGTGAGCCACTGTGCCTGGCCCATGATGTATTTTGAGTTAATTTTTGCAAAGGGTGTAAGACTTAGGTTGAGGGTTTTTGGCTTTTTTTTTTTTTTTTTTTGCCTATGAATATCTAATTACTTTAGCACCATTTATTTAAAAGGCTCTTTTCTGCAATGAATTACTTCCACATTTCTGTCAAAGATTAGATAAGCATATTTTTCTGGATCTGTTTCTTGGTTATTTATCCTATTGTATTGATCTATCTATGTGTCTAGCCTTCCACCAATACCACACAACCTCAGTTACTATAGGTATACAATAAGTTTTGAAATCAGATAGACTGATTCTTCTCACTTGATTGTTCTTTAAATTTTTTGATTTAGTTATTCAAGTTTTTGTGCCTTTTCATTGAAATTTTAGAATAATTTTCCCCTGCCAAAAAAATATAAATCTTGCTAAGGTTTTGATAGAATTGCATCAAACCTGTGTGTCAATTTGGGGAGAACTGACATCTTCAGTTCACTGCATCTTCCAGCCTATGGTATGTCTTTCCATTTGCTTAGATCTTGTTTGATTTCTTTAATCACTATTTGTAATTTTCAGCATGCAAGTCCTATGCATATTTTGTTAGATTCACATCTAAGTATCTTATTTTTGAGCAATTATAAATGGTATTGTATTTGATATATTTGTTTAAAATAAAACTTTGTTGTTCCATAAATGAAAAACAGTTATCACTTCTCATAAAATAGGGAATAACTACAAAATCTATATAATTTAACAGAAAGAAAACACACTTTTTAAAAAAATGGTCTGTGTGCTTTATAAAATCAGCGCATGGACCACCAATCGTGTATGTGCCACACTTTGGAACGCAATCAAGCCTCCAGTGGTTCATGACTCACCACACCAATAAGACATTCCTAGAATATAGCTGTGGGTGCCTTACATAAAAACCCTCAGGGCTGGGAAACTCAACACCTCGGCAGCTCATTCTATAGTCAGACAGTTCTGATTGTTGAGAACTCCTTTCTTTGGTTGAGCTGAAACCTATAGTCCTGTGATTCCCGCTGGTTCCAAGTTCTGGGGTAGAGGGCCAGATGGTGCTGGTGCCTTCAATGTGCCTCCAACTATGACTTGGACAGTGTGCTCTCCTTGCCTGCAGGACGCCACTTTCAGGAACTGGGCAGTATTCGTAAGCCCTGGAGTCTTACTAACTGGCTTCAGATGTCTTGTCTACCGTCAGTGCCCCAGCAGCCCTTCAACTGGCTGGGAGGTGACCACGACATCAGCCTTCAGTTGTCCCTCTGTCCCACCATGCTGCCCAGATCTGGTAGACCTCAGGCATGTTTATTTTTGCAGCCCAGGTATCCTCTCAGGACATGATGGAGGAAATAAATCAGTTTGTTATTCATTCAACCCACCCTCAAGTGAGCAGGGGACTCTTCCAGAATCTGGGGACAGCTTGAGGCATAAAGTGCAGCCCCCACCCTGCAGCACTCAGAAACACGTGTTGGTGACAATCACGCACTCATGAATCACCAAGGCTAACATGAACTCTATGCAAAGAGCTGCAGGCAACCAGAAGAGGCAGCAGCCACGTTTCCCTGCAGTGCAGGGGACATCCAAGAGTGCTTGATCTTTACAAGGACCTAAAAGGTAGAGACATTTATTCCCATTCTATAGTTAGAAGACTGAGACTTATACATAGTTTTCCAAGATCTCAAAGTCAGTAAATGACAGAAACAGTTTTGGCTTTCAAAGTCCTAGCCCCTTTTTCTTATTAAGCAAATGGAAGGCTCTCAGTACTTGTTGAATGAATGAAAAGAGGTAGAAATGAATTCTACACTGTCTGCCAAGAAGTTTCCTCAGAGGCAAGAAAGAGCAATTGTGCTCATGCATCCTTCCGTGGGGCTCTGCAGTACTCCTTCCCGGCTTGCCCTGGGAACCCCAGAAGAACACCTGTACCCACAGCCTTGGAGGAGCCCCTCCCTCTGTGGGAGGCCTGGAGCCTCTTGGCATTACCGGGCTGGGCTGTTGATTTTGTTCAGTCACACTCACCCAGGGAATGACTTTGATAGACAGTTTTGTCTGAACCTGGTCCTCGGAGGCTGGGGGTTAGTAGGAAGTATGTAAGAAAGCCTGGGGCAGGGGGAAGAGCAGCCCCAGAGTTCACAGCACGACATCTGCTGCCCAGAGAGGTGAAGTACTTTGTGCAAGATACACGTCTATCATACAAGGAGCCAAGATTTGGACCTGAGGTTTTCCTGGGCCCTTCCCACATGCCCCCGGCCTCTGCAGAGATTCAGAGGAACGAATGGGAAGGAGCAGCCAACCCGACCGCAGCGTGATCACGAGAAGGAGGGCTCTGCTGTGCCCTGTGAGGCCACCCTAGGGCCCCTGGGGCAGAGAGCTCGCGTGTGTCTCTGACTTGCCTGATGGTCACTGCCAGGCTGCCTTGCCTGCCTTCAGAGCTCTAGACAGAGGCCCCTTTAAACTTCCTCCTCGGCCGGGCCAAGACGCTGCAACAGCTCAGCGCGGCTCCCAGCGAACCCCGAGTGAACCCTCGGGGCTTTATTTTCATTTCTTCTTGGCAGGACGTAACTTCCTGCTTCTAAGAAAAACATCTTTAAACAGAGCCACGAACGGTTCCAGGGTGTCCCGCACATCCCCCGCTAGACGGAACAATAGCGCAATGAGCTGCGTGGAGTGGATTGGAAGCACATGGAGCCTGTTTCCTTTCAAAATCCCCCAGGGGCTCAGCCTGGAGGAGCCAGGGTGTTTGATAAATCATGCTGGAACTTTTATCAGGTCCAGTGTGTGTGAGCAAAAGCCAGAAGGGGAGGGAGGGGGTCCCCTAGGGCCCCCAGAATCCGGGCCAACTGGAGGCCTAGACAAGAGGAGGGATCTGAGTCTTGAGCACCTACTGCATGCGCCTGAGGTGCTGACTCATCCAGGGCCAGCGGGAGAAGTGCCCCAGGACCTGCCCTGAGCCCTGTGGAGGCAGAGACACAGCTGTCATAGACCAGGCGCCACTGGGGAATGTGGTAACCAGGAGGAAGGGTCACTGGGTAAGGGGGCTTCACTGTTACCTGTGCACTCTCCTAGTACGTGCCTCTTCAGACCAAGCAGAGGGGAATTTGTGCAAGCCCAGGAGGAGCCTTCTGGATTCTTTTCCTTTCTTTTCCTGCAGTACCGGTATATCAGGGCCTGGCCTCAGCCCAAAGCGTCAGGGAGCTCAGAGCGAAGTCTGGCCTTGGGTCCTGGGGAAAACATGGAGGCATGGAGTAGGGCGGGAAGGGGCAGTGAGGAGCCGAGGAAGGAGGCTCTGGGAGTCTTAGGGGTCTTGGCAGCATGGAAGTGAGAGGTGAAGCCAGCTGGTCTTCTGGGTCGGGTGGGGACTTGGAGAACTTTTCTGTCTTGCTAAAGGATTATAAACACACCAATCAGTGCTCTGTGTCTAGCTTAAGTTTTGTAAATGCACCAATCGGCACTCTGTAAAAATGGACAAATCAGCACTCTGTAAAATGGACCAATCAGCACTCTGTAAAAATGGACCAATCAGCAGGATATGGGCGGGGCCAAATAAGGGAATAAAAGCTGGCCACCGGCCCAACTGCAGCAACCCTGTAGGGTCTGTTTCGAGTTTGTGGAAGCTGTGTTCTTTTGGTCTTCACAATAAATCTTGATTCTGCTTAGTGTTGGGAACTGTGCTATGTTTGTGAGCTGTAATACTGCCAAGGTGTGCAGCTTCACTCATGAAGCCACAGAGACCATGAACCCATCAAGACCACGATCCTACCGGGAGGAATGAATAACTCCAGACACGCCACCTTTAAGAGCTGTAACACTGGCCGGGTGTGGTGGCTCACGCCTGTAATCCCTGCATTTTGGGGGGGCTGAGGTGGGCGGATCACAAGTTCAGGAGATCCAGACCATCCTGGCCAACATGGTGAAATCGTGTCTCTGCTAAAAATAAGAAAAATTAGCCAGGAGTGGTGGCAGGCGCCTGTAGTCCCAGCTACTCGGAGGCTGAGGCAGTAGAATGGCATGAACCCGGGAGGTGGAGCTTGCAGTGAGCTGGGATTGCATCACTGCACTCCAGCCTGGGTGACAGAGCGAGGCTCTGTCTCAAAAAAAAAAAAAAAAAAAGCTGTAACACTCACGGCAACGGTCTGTGCCTTCACTCCTGAAGTAAGCAAGACCACGAACCCACCAGAAGGAAGAAACTCTGGACACATCTGAACATCTTAAGGAACAAATTCTGGACACCATCTTTAAGAACTATAACAGTCACTATGAGGGTCTGCCTGTTCATTCTTGAAGTCAGTGAGACTAAAATCAACTGGAAGGAACCAATTCTGGACACAGAAGCATTACTTTCTCTGAAGGAAGCCCATGCTTCTGCCCCTGGGCATCTGAGCCAGCTCAAAGCATGTTTGGCTTGGAGGAAACCTCACCAGGAAGGACAGCGCAGCTCTATTAAGCTGTGGTGGGGATGAACAACTGGCCTGTGAACTGTCATGCCTGGATTTTGGTCACATATAGTTAGTTACCAGGTTTGTAACTTAGCTTTAGTCTTATAAACAAACATTGTTTACAATATATAACATTCGTTGCATTATTAATTTCCTTGCAGTCTCTAGAAAGCAATATTGCTCCTAAGAATTTTACAGTGGTTCTTCTGTAACAGGAAAGGGTGCTGAGAGCAATGGACTTTGGGATCAGAGAGCAATGGTTTCAGTGGCACCTTCTTGACTTATTTTCAGTCTCAGTTTTCTTACCTGTGAAGTAGAAACAAGGACACCTACCTTAAGGATTTGGTGTGAGGGTTAGTTATTTATGGGTCCTTATTACAATAAGGTGAAGGTGACTTATAGATACATAAAATAGAATAAAGTGGCAGAAGAATAAAAGAAGGAAGGTAAGTATAAGAGAAAACAGAAAATGTATTCAGTAATAACTAAAAACCACGTACCATAATTTTCATTTTCTGAGGGTAAAGAACTTTTTTTTTTTTTGAGATGAAGTGTTGCTCTGCTGCCCAGGCTAGAGTGCCGGTGGCACCATCTCGGCTCACTGCAACCTCTGCTTCCCAGGTTCAAGCAATTCTCTGCCTCAGCCTCCCGAGTACCTGGGATTACAGGCACCCGACACCACACCTGGCTAATATTTTTGTATTTTTAGTAGAGGCAGGGTTTCAACATCTTGGCCAGGCTGGTCTTGAACTGCTGACTTTATGATCCACCTGCTTTGGACTCCCAAAGTGCTGGGATTACAGGCGTAAGCCACTGCACCCAGCCAGAACATTTTTATCTCTAAGGATTCTTACCCGCATGAGAACGGGACTCTGCATGCTCTGCGGTTCATGGAGGGCATAGGATGAAGCAGACCAGGTCCCCACAAGAATCTCAACTGTTCTTGGTACCAGGATGAGGTGGAAAATAAGCCTTGTAGTCTTATTTTTTAAATTTTATTCATTTAATTATAAATTGACAAATTACATTTGTATATACTTATGGAGTACAAAGTGATGTTATGATTTATAAATACTGTTGACTGTTGAACAACGTGGGTTTGAACTGCATGGGTCCACTTATATGCAAATTTCCTTCTGTCTCTGCCACTTTGAGAAAGTATAGCCAACCCTTCCCCTTCCTTCTCCTCAACCTACTCAACATGAAGATGACAAGGATGAAGACCTTTCTGATGACCCACTTCCATTTAATGAATAGTAAATATATTTTCTCTTCCATATGATTTTCTTTATAACATTTTCTTTTCTCTAATTTAGTCTAAGGATGCAGTACATGATACATAAAACACAAAGTATGTGTTAATCAATTGTTTATGATATCAGTAAAGCTTCAGATCAGGAGTAGGCTATTAGTAGTTAAATTTTGGGGGGGGTCAAAAATTATACACAGAATTTCCACTGCCTGGGGGTTTGTACCCCTAACCCCCATGTTGTTCAAGTCTCAACTGTACAATGTAAAATAATTAAATCAAGCTAATTACTGTATCCATCACCTCAACCATCATTTTTGTGGTGAGCATAGTAAACATAATAAATAATAATGTATTACACATTTCAAATTCACCAAGAGTAAATTTCAAATGTTTTCACCTGGTGGTCTTTGTACAGAGATTGTGATGTAAGATTATGAATGAAGTCCCAGGGTAATTCTATCAATTTCTTCCATAAGGTAATCTCTCAGCTTGGAAAAACAGCATCAAGCAACTAGTGAAAGTGATTCTCTGTGCACTCCAGGTCCCCGACTGCTTGCTGAACTGACTTGATATAGATGTTGGTTTCACAATACTGGGAAGTGTGAAATAGCTGATGAACTTTAAAGAAATCATCCCTATCACATGTCAACAAATTGAAGGCTGTCCTCTCCAACAGCTACAGGATGGGCAGCTGTTCTCTGTTGCTGATTAAATGCAGATCCATAAGCTTTGGCAAGAAGTTGAGTGGAGGAAGTGTTGATTGCCTCCTGAGGAAACCAAGATGCCTAACAATGACTTAGGCCTGAGTCCTTGCTCAGGGCTGTGTGTGTTTATGTGTTCCACAATCATCTGTAGAAAATTATTGGGGGAAATTCTCCCCCGATATTTCACTTAGGTTCTTTTCTGTTTTCCCTAAGTGTCAGCTGGTCTGAGAAATAAAGGGACAGAGTACAAAAGAGAGAAATTTTAAAGCTGGTTGTCCGGGGGAGACATCACATGTCGGCAGGTTCTGTGATGCCCCCTGAGCCATAAAACCAGCAAGTTTTTATTATTGATTTTCCAAAGGGGAAGGAGTGTACCAATAGGGTGTGGTTCACAGAGATCATGTGCTTCACAAGGTAATAGAATATCACAAGGCAAATGGAGGCAGGGTGAGCTCACAGGACCACAGGACCAGGGCGAAATTAAAATTGCCAGTGAAGTTTTGGGCACGCATTGTCATTGATAACATCTTATCAGGAGACAGGGTTTGAGAGCAGACAACCAGTCTGACCAAAATTTATTAGGCGGGAATTTCCTCATCCTAATAAGGCTGGGAGCACTACTGAGACCCGGGCTTATTTCATCCCCTATCTACAACCGTAAAAGACAGCTGTCCCCAGAGCGGCCATTTGAGAGGCCTCCCCTTAGGGACGCATTCTCTTTCTCAGGGATGTTCCTTGCTGAGAAAAAGAATTCAATGATATTTCTCCTATTTGCTTTTGAAAGAAGAGAAATATGGCTCTGTTCTGCCTGGCTCACAGGCAGCCAAAGTTTAAGGTTATCTCCCTTGTTCCCTGAACATTGCTGTTATCCTGGTCTTTTTTCAAGGTGCCCAGATTTCATATTGTTCAAACACACATGCTCTACAAACAATTTGTGCAGTTAACGCAATCTTCACAGGGTCCTGAGGTGACATACATCCTCCTCAGGGATTAAGAGATTAAAGTAAAGGCAGGCATAAGAAATCACAAGGGTATTGATTGGGGTAGTGATAAGTGTCCATGAAATCTTCACAATTTATATTCAGAGATTGCAGTAAAGACCGGCTTAAGAAATTATAAAAGTATTAATTTGAGGAACTATTAAATGTCCATGAAATCTTCACAATTTATGTTCTTCTGCTGTGGCTTCATCCAGTCCCTCCGTTCAGGCTCCCTAACTTCCCACAGCAGAAAATGATTTTGGATCCACCAGAAAACACAAACTATGATGGATGACCAGAGCTCTAACATTTGCACTCCTTACTAAAAGAACACAATCGTTTTAGTCTTGGGAATGTTCAGAGTAAGTGAAATCAGTTAAGTATCCCAATCAAAAAGAATCTCCAGAAAGCACCTCACATTTGAACTTGAGAAAGCAAATTTTTAGTGAAATGATTTATTTAAACAAATCTTTGTTTGTAAACCTCTTGGGATGAGGATTGTCTACAAAACCATAACTTGAATTTGAGACTAGTTGGTCTTACTTTGAAGCAACACAGAACTACAATGCTTAGCTGTTTGATGCACAACTAGATAGAGATGGCACACTTCATCATCCACCTAAAAGAAGATGCATGTATTCATATTACCTACATTCTCCATACCAGGCAATTATGTAGCCACCTTAGCTGTGAATAGTATAAGATAATTAACAAATAAGTGTTAGAGAAGTGGTAATTGTAAGTTCTAGAAAATATTACTTGAGTGCATTTTTTTGTTTTTCTTAATTTGTGGGAATTGCTCCATTCTGAATGAATTAATTAATTTTTTAACAGTAATACCCTTAGTAGTAAAAATCCAAACAATGCTGTAACTATAGAATAAAACCCTCCCTTTCCCTCCCACCCTTCTTGCCAAGGGTAATAACTTTCCAAAGTTTCTGCTTTTACTTTTTCGGGCCATGGTTTTCATAGCTCTAAATAATATGTTCAGGGCCCTAGTTCTTGATCTGCCAACTTTCAACAGTGTCTCTTGGCTCCTCTCCGTTAAAAAAAAAATTAAATTACATACATCAAATTTTACTCAGCCTAAACTTTATTTATATATGTGTGATTATTTTCTCTTTTAGTTCTTTTGTTTTATTTTTATGACTTCAAAATATGTCAAAGCTATTTCTTGATCTCTATTTACAGGGCACCCTTTGACTCTCCATGTACGTTAAAGGAATTAAAACCTTTGTTTTCCTGCTCTTCCTCTTCCCTCTCCATCTCATCATCTGTCAGTTCTGTTCTTATCTCAAACTGTAAGGTTTATAATATTTTCATTCTCCTTTGTCGGTATATTGTATTTTATCAAATCTAACATGCCACATAATTGTTGTATGTTTCATTAAACTAAGAAAATGCCGTCAATGGTACTTTATTGGTTACACAGTACGTCCCATTTTCAAGGAGGCTAAAATGTTGGGGGGGAAGTTCCATTAGATTTTATAAGAGATAATAATTAGTCTCCTGTACTTTGTAGGTAAATTCTAAAAATAAAAATAAGCTACTTTTACAATATTGTTGTGTAATATTTCAGTAGAATGGATTAGGATCATAGAAGAGGGATAGAAGTTTTTGTCACTAAACCAGTGCTACCCAAATGTAATGGTTACATGTCAAAAAGATTCTCTTTTTTTACAGCCTAAATTTGTCCTAAATCATGCACCATTTTAATGTTCTTCATGTTGAGCTTTGATTTTATGTTTCTTTCCTAGACTGTCTATTGTATATATTTTAGCATTAAAAATAATATTTTGTATTCACCTTATCACAAAGATTGTCTGGATCCTAAATCAAAATATGTGTTGTGAAAATTCCACATTTGTCTTCAAACGTTCTTCTAGGGACTTTCTGGTTGAACCAGTTGGTTTCTAGATGTGCCACATAGCTGCTGTCCTTAGATTCTCCCAGTGCTGAGCACCGTTTGCATCTTCATTTTGTGGAAAGCACACATTTTCTCTTTAGGAATAAATCCCTTCTTTGTTGTTTTGTAGTACATCCTCAAGTCATTTTTCTTAGAAGAGTGAGAAGAAAGTGTATTTTTACAGATCTAGAGATAACTGAACATGTTCATTTTCTCTGCTCCCTCACCAAGCCCCACTGAAATGGCAGTAAAGTGATTTTTAAAAGCACAAGCTTTTTTTAAAAAAGGAGACAGGAGAGTAGTTAATATCAACAAAATGTTGTAAGCTAAAAAGGAGAAGGATAAATGGTAAGTGGCTGAGCAGAATCCCAAACCTCAAATGGCAAATGTCTGAGCAATCCAACCCACCCCTGAACACCCACAGTTGCAAACTGGAGCCCCTTAGTCCACCTCGGTGCGGGGGGAGAGTGAGGAGGGGCTGCAGACAGGGTTTATTAACAGCGTATTTAGGTTTGTAGATGTTTCCCTCAAGAATCTGAATATCTTTGGTTGTACGGTCCTATTTATGAATAAATTATGATTAAATATGATTATGATTAAAGAGTCAGGCACAGCCCTATGCTGATATATTCTCTTCCTAGTCTCACTGCTGTTATGAAATTTTTCATTTCTGTGTTTTTTTAATCATAAGAAATTTAGGGAACATCAAAGATAGGTAGGCAGATTGATAGATGGTAGATATAGATAGATAGATAGACAGACAGACAGACAGACAGATAGAGCCAGTCAATGATTTTGAACCAGTATCACTGCTGGAAACATTTAAGGTCCTATTCTGTCAAGAGATAATTCCTCCTGGCTCATGGTTCACTTTTGCAAGTTTAGCCCATGATTCAAAAACAAAACTCTTTGTTGACCTTATGTAGCTTTGTTCATAAACAAGTTACATGAATACATTAAAGGTAATTGGAATGCAATGAAATTCATCAACAAACCAACACAATCATTATGTTACCCCAAGTGGTGGAAAGGTGAACATTAGTCTGTGTGTTAAGTCCTCTGGCTGTATGTGGAAAACATTGGCTTGGAAAACCCTGACCCACAGTGTGTCAACCAAGAAACAGGACAACGTTTGGATCATGTATCTTTCGATTAAATTTGCAGGGAACAGAAAGTCATCTTTTTAATGACAGGATTCCCTTTCTCAAACCCCATGAGACTATGTCTATACAGTTAATGAGGGTAAGTGAGGGGTTCAAGAGAAAAGCCCACCCCCTGGTTGTGATGCCTTTTAATGGCCTGGGTGTGCTATGTACTCGGTTGGAGGGTGCTTGCATTAGTCACGGGCTGCCACAACAAAACATCACAAGCAGAGTGACTGTAGCAACAGAAATCTCCTTTCTCACAGCCTGGAGGCTGCAACGTCTAAGACGAAGGTTCTGACAGGGTTCCATGTCTGGTGAGGGTGAAATGAGGTTATAAGGTTGGAGCCTTGACCCGATAGAACTGGAGTCCTAATAAAAGGGAATGAGACACCATCCCTCCCTCTCTCTTTCTGCCATGTGAGGACATAGAGAGAGGGTGGCCAATTGCAAGCCTGGTATTTTAAAAGTCTTCACCTAGTTAGCTGACCCTATCTATGCTCTCTATCCCTCCCCGTGCTGTGTTTTCCTTAGAAACCCTGGGTTTCCTTGGTGGCTCTTGTTCTTTAAAGCACTTCCCACATGCACATACACAGAATCACACACAGCACACAGACATACTCACAGGCACACACAACATGCACACACACTGAGAGTGACCATTAGCTGCTTAGAGGCAGGTCTTCACCTCTGAACCACCAGTCCCAGCCCACTGAAAATTTACTTAATGATGTGTGGGAAAGCACATTGCTAATGGTCAATTTCTGTACCAATTAAATCCTATCAAATATCCAGCTGAGAATAATACAACACAAACATGGTTCTGCCATTGAATTCCTTCCAGCAGTAGGATTTTTACTCTGATAAGAAAGCATAGTTGTGCTTGAAATTTGCTGAGGGTCGATCTTAAGTATTCTCACTCCAAGAAAGATACAGAGAGAGAGAGAGAGAGAGAAAGAGAGAGGGGGAGAGAGAGAGAGAGAAAAGGAAGGAAGGGAAGAAGGGAGGGAGGGAGGGAAGGAAGGAAGGAAGGGAAGGAAGGAAGGAAGGAAATGGTAACTATATAAAGTAATGAATATATTAACTTGATTGTAGAGATTATTTCACAGTGTATATGTACATCAACGCCAAGTCATACATGATAAATATATACAATTTTCATTTGTCCATTATATCTCAGTAAAAATTTCTCCACAATGATGGGACAGTGCGTCAGGCTGGGCTGGAGTGACAGCAAAGGGCCTGCTCTGCCTGACGTTTGAGCTGACTTCTGTCCCACTTGCTACTCCCACCCTGTCTCCAAAGTGCCCAGTGAGGAGCCATTCATCATGTCCCTGGGTAGTTCCACTGCTGGGAGGGTCGGCGAGTGCCTCGCAGGCATCTCCATTGTTGGGGATGAGGTAGAAGTGTGACTGGGAGACGTGTCCAAGAGCCCAGAAGCTGAAACACCAGTGATGGTATCTGTTTGATTTTCCTATGGTCAATTAGCCTTTATTTCTAAATACTTTGGGGTCACAGTACTTCCATCAAGCAGCCCTTCCAAGCACTGCCCGGCTCTTGAGGACAATGACGGACTTAATGAAGATTGATGGCCCAGGGAACCCCCACTGGGCCCCCTTCCCCACTGTGGGAAGAGGGACTATGCAGAGCCTTAGGGGGCAGATGTCAGCTGGCGGCTGCATCCGCAATTCCTTCTTGCTCAGACCCTTAGCAAAATTGGCTGTCTTACTGATAGCCTTCATAAGCAGGTGAAAAATAGACCCTAATTGGCTTTGTCTCTTGATCCTAGCCCTGCCTGTCTCCAAACACCTTCCACATGCACTGAAGAAATTTTCAAATGCAAATGCAGCCCCTTGGGTCAGGCCCTGGCTTAATTACCTTTTATTACTCCCTTCGGGATACAAATTGAAGCTGGCACATATGACTTCTACAATGAGGCCCTGATCTCTTCTTCCTCACTTCCTGCCCTGCCTCCCTTGGCATTTCAGCAACCCTGAGCTAATCCTAGTTCCCAGCCCATGCCGCCCTGTCTCGTGCGTGGAGACTACGCTCCTGGTGTCCAGGTGCCTGCCAGGAAGCATTTTCCTCCTGGCTGCCTGAGAAGCTATGATCATCCTCTTTTCTTTCCTAAGCCTCTCCTGACGTCAGCAGAGGCAAATCCCTCACTCTGCTGTCATATCTTACGTCTGTCCCTTCCTATGTCTCATTGTTTTGTGTACTACATTGTCCTTGTTTAGACCTTTAGTCCCTTTGTTCTAATTTCCAAAGGGCTATGTGTTTATTATAAAGCAGAAAGTACAGGAATGAATGCGTTTCAGAAGGGAACTGCCCCGCAACTCTGCTAATGCCAATGTGCATTTCAGTTTTTCTGTAATTACCTCTCTGTCTCTCCATGCAAGGGATACCCCTGTGGGCAGGGGGAGACACCTCCCACCTGCTGAAGCCGTGCCCAGGAGCAGTGGGTGGTGCGGAGCTAGGCAGAACAGATGCCAGGAACCTACTTATTCTGGAGATTCATGTCTAACGCCCACGAGCCCCTGTTCCAAGGTCCCCAGTGCCTGTGCATCTGTCCCTGACAGCCCCACCCTCCTACTGATACGGTCCTGGAAAAGGGTAACGTGAGATAAATTTCATGTCACTTTCAGTGCACAGAGCAGCTTTCGTGCTGCAGATGTTTGGCTGGGATAGACAAAGTGAGAACTCTGATTTTTAAACCCACAGGCTCAACCAAGGTGTGTAAACCTAGACCTCTGATGGGGCCGCATGTGGCAAAGAGCAGGGTAGGAAAACAAGGAGTGGTGGACTCTCCCAGAGCTGGAAGCCTGACTGAGCTGAGATTAAATGCTAGGTCAGTCTGATGCCTAAACACATGCCCTGCCCATTGCTCTGCATTGATCCCCACCCAACAACAAACAAGAATGAGATTATTCTGATGGGACTCAGTGCCCGGTGCTGGGGACTGACATGTAGACAGGTTATTGCACAGCAGGGTGGCTCACGTGGTGGCGGCCTCGGTGAGGGGCTGTCAGTTCTTGGGTGGGTCTGTAAGTGCTTTGGAAAGTCAGAGATTGTCTGCAATGTGCTTTCCACACATCGCGTGATCCTTCTGGCCTTTTCTAGGCCAGATGGTCATTAACTTTGAACATATGGGTTATAGTCTTGGCTGAATGTCAACAGTTGACTTGGTCTCAAAGTATCATTCATTTGAAGTATTCAAAATAGAATGCACTTAGTCAACAGGGCTTTGTTTTAAAAGTAAGCAGGTGGAAAATAACAGATCATGCCTTCAAACACCAGCAGAATAATAGCATATGACAGTATGACCTATGTGTCACCAGGCTTCATGGAAATGGTCTGCATGATTCTAATCACTCTACATGCTCTGGCCACTCCAGGATGTGAATAGTTTCTAAATGATGTGCATACTCATTTGCAAGGTCCATGGCCAGCCCAGAAAAATCTCTGCCTGAATCACTGAGGGAGAAGCCAAGAGAACCTGGTTACAGATACAGATTTTAAGAACCGGCTTCATCCCACACTTCCCAAATTGTCCACATGCTTTACAATCCCCAAGTTCGCAGCCCATCTTCCTGAAGGCCTTCTCAATACCCTCTCGCTTCCTCTTCTATTTCTCATTTCCTTTCCCCCTTTAACAGGTTCTGCTGGGAGGAAAATGAGAGCCTGTGGAAGTGAGCCAAAGAATCTTCTGCCTGGGGAACATTCACTGATGCTTCAAGTGCTGGAAGATCTGTGACTCCCAAATGGACCATGCCAAGCTCTTTCCCTTTAATTTCAGAGGCGCACAGTGCAATTTACAGAAAATCCACTCCATGTGTTTCTGATCCATCTCCTAGCAGCTCATCCAAATGTTGGGTTTTAAGGGTTTGTAGATATGCACAATGCATTTGGAGTCAATTTTACAAGCCTTCCATGCTTTCATTTGTATTGAGAGAGGAAGCCCGGTTTTGCCAAGAGTAAATGAATTGGCATCTCCGAAGGTTCATGTTGGGTCTGCACCCTTGAAGCCAGAAGGCTTGACTGAAAGCTCAGCCTCAGAAAAGGTGCTCTCATCCCTGACCAGATGCAGTTTCAGAAGAGAGGCTTTCACCGGGCCACTTGAAGCCTTCCCATCCTTGGCCTCCACATATTTCATGCTCATTCGTTACAGCTTTCCTTGGAGCACAGCAGTGTCAGGACAGAATCTCATAGCCCTGAGGGAGCACATCAGTCATGGTCTTTGGGCGTGGTTGAAATGAAGTTTTGAGCCCAGAACTGATGGCTTTGCCTTCCGGTTTTGAGGTGTTGCATAGGGTCTGGAGCAAGAAGAGAGGCATGTGATGCCCCCCAAAGTTAACAGGTTGAATCAGCCTCCAAACTGTCAATACATATTATCCACAGCTGCTGAGGTTCAGGGCAGAGGGACATGAGTGAGGATCTGAATTCAGCCCTTCCCAACTTAGTGTTACCAGCCTGGAGGAAGAAGGGAAGGCAACATGGTTTTTCTGGAGAGCCATGCACTAGGAAGATAAGAGGGAGGGGAAGCGAGACCACCCCTAGGACAAAGCAGGCTGCACATCCCTTCCAAGGGGGTCATTTCAGCAAGAGTATGGAATGTGCTGCTTAGGGTCTGTTCAGATCTTTTCCTTGGCTTTGTAACAGATACAAAGTGTCTGTGTAAAGAGGGAAACATGTACCTCAACAAGGCAAATGCAAGGTGCTGGGAACCACTCTCATTTGTACCCTAGCCACGGGCCCAAAGGGCAGCTGCCAAATATGGTACAAAGCTGGTGGACTTGGGAGCCAGGTAAGTCTGGGTTTGCATCCTGAATCTACCACTTAGTGGTAATGTGACCTTAGGCAAGTCCATGCACCTCAGTTTCTTCCTCTGTAAAATGGGTAGAGCAAAATCAACCTCTGGTAATTGGAAAGGTACAAGAAAACACACAAAGTGTTTCATAGAGGATATTGTTATAGGGCTGTTAGCAGATGAGTACAGTTCTGCAGCCCTGTGAGCTGGCTAGCTGAGTCAATTGTAGGTGACTCTTTTTCCAATTTGGCCATTAGGCCTTAGTCCTGATAAAGGGAGTCGAGGTGGGGCTTTAAGAGCTCACACAGTGGGTATGTGCAGATCAGGGAAAGATTGTTGGCTTGGGTGTCTGAAACCCTGAGACCTAGGTTTGAGTCTCAGCTTTGTGACTTTAGGCAAGTTGCTGAACCTCTCCGGGCCTCAGCTGCTTTATCTGAATAAATGGGACTTATGACAAGGATTTCATGAGAAAACCCACGTGTGAGTGGATAGAGCACTAGGCAGGGGTCACAAGGCCAATGCTCACATGAGCCAAGCAGGTGCAGGAGCGAGAGCCCACCTATGGGAAGAAATAGGGAGTGGAGTTATGGGGAAAGAGGGTTGGGAGAGGGCACCAATGCCATCACACTACCAGAAGGAACCACACTGACCATGCAGGCTAACCAGAGCAGACAGCCCTGAGGAGCCAGGATGCAACCTCTGGGCAACAGTGCCCATCACTTTACATTCTGTGCAATTATGAAAAGGTTGTGGTCAAGGATGGAAATCTCCGCTGGCTGCCCAGAAGTCAGACAGCTGAGAGAACATCAGAAGAGGCCATTTATCAGAGGGTGCATGCCTCTCTGTCACACTGTGGTCTTGGGCAAGCCCTTTCCCTTGTTCACCCTTAGCTTCCTATCTATAAAACAGAGTGGTGGTGAAGATTAAGAAAGAAGGCAAACACCAGATACCTGGAACATGCTGGGCCCTCAGCAGTTGTTTTGGTTTCTTTCTTCCCCTGCAAAATAAGTCAAACTATTCCGACTTTGTTTCTCACGGCTAGTGCAGGACTTTCTTAATTTCTCTGGCTGGCCAGTGTGGTGGCTCATGCCTATAATCCCAGCATTTTGGGAGGCAGAGGCAGGAGGATGTCTTGAGGCCAAGAGTTCTAGACCAGCCTGGGCAAGATAGTGACACCCCACCCCCATCTCTACAAAATTAAAAAAAAATAGCTGGGCATGGTGGCATGCACCTGTAATCCCAGATACTTGGGAGGCTGAGGTGGGAGAATCACTTGAGCCCAGGAGGTTGAGGATGCAGTGAACTACCATTGTGCCACTGAACTCCAGCCTGGGTAACCAAGTGAGTCACCTTCTCAAAAAAAAAAAAAGTCTGTGTATATATTTATACATATATTTATATATGTTTATATATATTTATATATTTATATTTATATATATTTATATATTTATATTTATATATATTTATATATTTATATATTTATATTTATGTATATTTATATATTTATATATATTTATATTTATATATATTTATTTATATTTATATATATTTATATATTTATTTATATTTATATATGATTATATATTTATATATATTATTATATATTTATATATATTTATTATATATTTATATATACTTATATGTATTATTATATATTTATATATATTTATTTATATTCATATATATTTATTTATATATTTATATATTTATTTATTTATATATATTTATATATATTTATGTATATTTACTTATTCATTTATATATTTATGTTTATATATTTTTATATATTTATATATTTATATGTTTATATATTTTTATATATTTATATATAGCTATATATATTTATATATTTATAGATATATATATTTATACATTTTTATATATTTATATTTATATATTTATAGTTATATATTTATATATTTATATATAGTTATATATTTATATCTTTACATATATTTATATATTCATATATTTACATATATTTATATATTTATATATATTTATATATATTTTATATATTTTTATATTTATATGTATATATGTATATATTTATTTATATTTATGTATATTTTTATATTTATATATATTTTTATATATATTTATATATTTATATATTATATATTTATATGTATATATGTACATATTCATATATATTATATATATTTATATATTTATATTTTATATATTTATATGTATATATGTACATATTCATATATATTATATATATTTATATATTTATATTTTATATATTTATATATTTTCTATATATTTATATGTTATATATATTTATATATTTATATATTATATATATTTATATATTTTATATATGTATTTATATCTTTTGTATATATATATCTATAAAAGGAAATGTGTGGGTGCAGATGAGGTCAGACTGAAGGCAGCTTCGAAACAGCCCAAGGAGAAAACTTAAATCTGGCCCTGGTGCACTTTAATTGCTCTGTTCATTCAAAATAAAAATGCACATCAATGTTAGCGCTCTCCCGTCTCCCAGGCTGCCGTCCGAGGGCTGGAGGAGGAAGCCCCACTTCCTCGCAGGCCCTGCTAGAGATTGACTCCAGGAAGGCCGCTCTTCCATCCCCCTGGCATGTTTTGCTTCTGGAGGTCCCGCCAGTGGCTAACAGAACCCCTATTCACACCACCTCCAAGGAGTTACAGAGCATTTCACTATTGCATGCACAGGCTCCCATAAATCAGGTTTACAAAGAGTTATTTTCTTAAAGACAGATTCCTTTAAATTCCATTTCCTTCTCTTTCGCCCATGCCCAACCCCCATATCCTTGTGATTGAACCAAAGGCTCTGTGGCCAAGCTTTTCTTGGATCGTGTGAATCAAGATCAATAAATATCCATGCTGCAGCATGACTAGCCCGGCGCCTCACTGTGCTCTGGGATAAGGGCCCGGGTTGTGTGCGGCCGTGTGGCCCTGGCATGGGCCTGCCCTGCTGCTATACACGTCTGTGTTGAGTGCGGGCCCCCGGGTCCCCAGCTCCCAGAGAGGAAAGACCCTTCCTGGGGGAAAACTAACCTAGAAGTCACCCTCCTGGGGGTGTTACCTGTCTCAGGGGTTGGGTATCCAGGGTGGATTTTCAGGCCATGTGATCCACAGTTTGATTTCGAGTGGCTCATGAGCTGCTGCAGGCAGATGAGTTCTTCAACACCAGCACTGTTATTGAAAAAGTCAAGAGAAGACTGTGCTCCCTGTCTCCCCTTCCTCGCTCCCTGTCCTCTCTTTAACCCGCTCCAATGAGGTGTTCACTCTTACTGTCCCACCAAAAGTGCTGCCATCTTGTCAAACCCAAGGGTCCTCATCTGACTCAATGCCTCAGCAACGTTTTTTAGTCAATCGCTCCATCCTTTCCAAGCACTCTCATTGTGTTTCCACAGAACCACGGAAGACCACAGGGGTCTGCCTGTCTTCATCTCCCTGGCTGGCTCCTTCTCTCCTTCCTGACTCGTTAATGTGGGGGACCAAGGGCTCAGCCCTCAGATCCCACCCTTCATGCACGTGTGCCACCTAGGCATTTGGGCCTGTGGCTTCGAACACCATCTATGCTACTGCTATCCCTAAATTTATCATTTCAGCCCCAGCCTTTCCACATAGACCCAGTTCAGGTCACCATTCAAATATCCATTTGGAGTCTCAAACTCAGTATGAAGGTCACTCTAGGTGCAGTCCCCACATTGCAACACACACCTACTCAAAATATACTCCTCTCTATGCACATACTTTGCTTTCTTTTCTTCCCACAAACTGAAGTTGATTTTTTAAAATTTATTTACTTGTTCCTTGTCAGTCTTCTCTGCTAGATCATGAGCTCTACAAGGAAACAGGATTATATTTAATTTTGCCTTTGTAGTCCTAAGAACTATCCACTCCACTCAACCACTTGCTGGGTATTTAGTAACTGAATGAATAAAATAACACTGACTTTTGTAATGTGAATGTGATTCTCTTTCTAGTTCTCTTTAGATTCCCAAAGGCATGTCTGTAACACTGCTCTAACACATGATAATTTCACTGTTTAACAAAGAGAGAACAGTTTCAATCTGAGAAACTTGGCAAAACAGTGTCCTGCTAGAATTTAATAAACTTGCTTTATTTTCATTGTATTTTAAAATATAGTTCCCTTCTACTTATGGCAAGTATTAATAGTTTCCTATTTATACTTGTGGTATAAAGTTTCCTTTTAAATTCTATTTATGTAGGCAGTATGAGTGGATCAATTTAAAGAAAATATTAAGTAAATTATAAATGGCTGGACATTGGCACTGGATGGCTGAGGGTAGGGAAACACTGCATGGATCTTCAAGTGTCTGGGAGTGAAGGACCAGATATCTTGAGCCAGACAGGTTTTGGACTCAAATAGTAAGAGCCTAATTCATTTAACAAGGACCAGCTCATCTGCACTATTTCAAGTTAGAAAGCATATGGAGGTTGACCAACTGCCTCCCTTGCCAAACAGCTGTCCAAGCCTAGGTAGACATGTAAATATTTGAAGAGGCTTGGATGGGGGTTCGCCGCACTCAGAGGACATAGTTCACACAAGAAAGAGTTTCTCTTCACCCTCCCATCTCACCAGGTGCCCTGTGGGCACACATCTGGCCTCCAGGTGTCCCCCATGTGGGCAGACCCTGGACCTAGAGGGCTTGGTGGCTGGACTTGTCCCATGACATCCCCACCCCATTTCTCACATAGGGAGTCTGGCCAGGAGACTCTGACATAATCAAAGTCTAGCAGCAGAGAAGTTATCCTCGGAACCTGGCACCGCTGGGCCTCCCCAACCCACCACCTGGGCAGAGGGAGCTGACAAAGGCTGCAGTTCCCTGTCCTCACTCCTTACACATTCGTTCCAGATGCCCAGAGATCTGGAGCACACTGCCGTGATGAAACCCAGTTGCAAGAGTCAGCACCGGTCCCTCCGTCCATTTGCCTACAGCTCTGAAGGTACGGCTGGCTGTATGTGGCAAACAGAGCAGCCACGACCACAAACTGCCGGGACTTCACAATTGGCTTTGTAGTTTTGCTGAGGGACTGTCCAGGTTTGGAGAAGTCCTAGCCTATCACAGGTTATATTTCCCAGGCTTCTTTCATTACACAGGGCTCTGCAGCCAAAGAAGACCTCACATTTCTGAGTCATGAAATCCTGTCAGGACGGGTACATGACGTTCCAGTAAGGCTGAAGGAATCAACTCAACATGCAAAGCACAGCCTCTCCCTGGAGCCAAGGAGCCAGGGGCAAACTGGGGCAGCACCTCTGTGGTTGGAGGGCAGAGGGCCTCACACAGAGGAGTCAGGGTGAGGGACAAAATTGGAGGCAGAGCGGTCCCCAGGGAGTGCACAATGAGGCGGATGCCACATGAGCAGGCCCAGAACAATTTTGGTGCCAAGGAACAGGCACCTCTTAAACAGGCCCCACCCTAGAGCAGAGCCCAGCAATGAAATACAACGAAAATAAAGCCTTTGGAGGTGCAGGTGCAGGACAAGCCACAAGAAGAGGAAAGAACACAGAAAGTGCTCCCAGCACCTGAGGTGCCATGTCTTCTAAACTCACTGGCAGTGCAGTGGCCCACCACCCTCAGAGAGAGCCACCTGCCCTTCCCAGGGATGGGCACCAGGCAGCTGGATCATCCCTCAGTATGTTTTATCTCCAGTCAGTGGGTAAGTCTGCCTATAGGCCTTGGCCTTGTTTTATGCCTCTTTGGGCTCACCACTTGTGCCTAATGCCAGATGCATATTGAGTCTTGGGTGATGAACCGGCAGGACTTAACTAGGGAAACCCCCTTGGGCCACTCCCTAAGCTACTGCAGGCTACAGAACTAGATATTCAAAGGGAGCAAATTGCTCTGCCCACACCCCTACTGGGGCTGGGTTGGACCGTTTGGTGACAGGTGGCGTAACCATCCTGCAGAGGCCTCCCCTGCTCTCCAGCAAATGTGGACTTTCCAGGTCCTCACTTCAGAGGGAAAGGATTACTTCTTTGACCTCATGGCTCTGCAGCATCCTCAAGTGGTGCAGCTGGAAAACCAGGGCCAGAGGCTGCAGAGGGGTGACAGATGTCACCACTTCGCTATGCTGGAGTCAGATGGCTGCAGAGGCCAACACCTCTCTGACCACCAGCCAACCCCCTGTGTCTGGGTTACTTTGCCTGGAGGGGGCCACATCGAGGTGCCCCAGGGACACGACCTGGGGCCCAGAATACATCTTGCTGCCTGAGATAGGGTTGCACAGGGCCACCTTGGGCACCAGAGAAGCTATGGACTGTAACACACAGGGCAAAGCATGGGCTACAGCCCTGGACTGTGTCCTGGGTGAAGTAACAGCTGCGGGCCCTTGCCCTCTTGCATGCCATTCTCACGCTCATAGTGGGGAGGACGACCCGGTCTCCTGAGTGGACAGCACCTCATCTGGTGCCCAGTAGTGCCTGGCCCAGGTCCCCGGATCTGAGTGCTTGTGTGCAGGTCTCACCGGGGGCCATGAGCCCAACTGTGCTGCAGCCTCCACCCCTGAGATCGGCTATTCTTGCTGTGTTGGCAATCTTGGGTCTTTCCTGAACCCCAGCCAGGGCCCCGACCCCTGTCCTGCCCCTACCTGCCCCTCTCTCCAGGGATACTGTTTCCATCACCACCTGGTTACTGCTTCTTCTAGGCAGGCCACACCCACTCCAGAGGTGCAGGGCTCTGAGCCCTGCTGCACCTTAACTCCTTTCCCGCCTGGGCCCCTCCCCACCTTCCTCTCTGCGCTTTGGCACACTTTCTCCTGCTACACCTTGCAGCTCTCTTGCCGCTCACCTTCAGCTTGGTAACTTGCAGCGACAGTCAGGAATCACTGTTTTCACAGAGGTTTATGCATTTACATAACCTACAAGGGTGAAGCTTGGGCTCACTCACTCTCAAAGAGCATCTGCTGAGCTAGGTAGTTTCTGTAACTCAGATTTATTAAGGTATAATTTTACATACATAACATTTGTCCTTTTAGATGTACTCTTCTATGAATTATGGCAAATATATATAGCCATGTAATCACCACCATAATCAAGATACAGAGTATTTCCACCTATTATATTTGGAATAATATTTCATCATCTATGTCCATATAGAATATTTCCTGAACATGCCCCACTGTAGTCAAACCTCTCCCCTAACCTGAATCTCCCTGTTTCTATAGTATTGCCTTCCTCAGAATGTCATATAAATAGAATCAGACAGTGTGTTGTTTTTGTGACTGGCTTCTTTCACTTAGCATAATGCATGTGAGATCTGGCCGTGCTACTGTGTGGAATCAGTAGTCCTTTCCTTTTTATTGATAAATAGAATTTCATTGTATGATGTACCATGATTTGTTTATTCATTCATGGAATCTGCGTGGATTCCAGCTTTTGGTAATTATAAACGAAGCTGCTATAAACATTTGTGAGCATTTGTATGGAGTCATGTTTTGCATTCTCTTGGGTGACACCTAGGAGTGGGGTTGCTGGGTTGTATGGCTAGTGCGTGGCTCACTCTACAATGACCTTCCCACCACTGCCAGAGTGCTCACCATGGTGGCTGTGCTGTTTCCCCTTCCACCCACAGTGTGGGAGAGCGCCAACTGCTCCACATCCTCACCAGCCGTTGGTATGGTCAGGATTCCTGTTTAGTCTTTCTGACATGTCTATTGTGTGTGCTGGGTATTTTAGTCTTTTAATGTATTCATTCTATAGTTGGGTCTCAATTCTGTTAATTTTATGAGAAAATGGAAACCTCCCAATATATACACCCCAAGAAACAAAGTGACAATTATCAGTGTATTCCAAAGTGGCCGTTTGACAGGATGGGTGCTTTCGCAATTGCGTTTTGTGTCAGTGGAAGCTCGTGGCTAAGGAACAGAGGCTTGGTCGTTAGATGGACCCAGATGGAACTCCATGCAAAGACCTGCTCACAAATGTTTATGGCAGCTTTGTTCATAATTTCCAAACACTGGAACCCACATGGATGTCCATGAGTAAATAAGCAAATTATGGTACATCAAACAATAAAATGCTACTCATCAATAAAAAGAAAATAACTACTGATCCATACAGCAGTATGGCTGAATCTCAAATGCATTATGCTGAGTGAAAGAATCCAGTCACAAAGACTGCCTGCCGTATCTTCTCTGTCTCTTCTCATGGGCTGTGTGGGACCTTGGAGCAGTTATGCAGCCTTTGCATGGCACCTTCCCTGTCCATCCAATGTGGAGAACTATCTTGACCTCAAAAGTAGACATGCAATTGGGAGTTGACCCTGATGGGTGCCACCCTGACTGTCTTTGCAGTGGTAATAGCGGTGTCACCTTGAGGCTGCCGTGTGGACTAATGTGACCATGGGCAGAAAGGTGACCCTAAGGTGCAAAGTTCTGAACAAACATACATGATGGCTGGGGCTGGGAAGCAGGCAGGAGACAGTCATGAGAGCAGGAGGAGATGGGACCCGAGAGAAGGGAGGCGTTTAGAGCAACCATGTGCTAGGAACTGCCTGGGAGTGAATGAACCACAGAGAAGCGGCAGTGTCCGCAAGCGTGCACCATGCAACATGTCTAAAGGCAGAGGCAAGGATGGCTGCAGAGGTGAAGCAGAAAGGTCCTTTTCACTCAGCAGCCTTGCAGAGCTTCATTGAGCAGAGCTCAAGGGGATGTGTCCCCCTCATCTGGCCACTTTGTTGCTGGCCCTTTGCTTTGTCACCATGTGGCACTCTCTCTTTCTGTCTCACACCTGCCCCCTTCTTTCTCTCTTTCTCATCTGAACTCTAAAGTGCATATACACCCCACTCACCTGAGCAGGGTGCCCAAGTGAAGGGGGTGGTTTGCTAGAACCCTTGCCCACACTAGATGCTGCATCCATTCCTCCACGTTTGTACGTATTGCAGGGATACCTGGTTTGAACTGCTGACCTCATATCTTTACCGTGACCTCGGTGGGCCAGAGATGCAGGCAGCTGGCCATGAAGACGCACTTCCCCGAGGAAGAGGAGACAGGCTCACCCGCTGCAGGGCAGTCCCACAGCCTGCCTGCAATGGAGCCTTCAAGAATACAAACACTTCTAGAACAAGTTATCAGGAACATGGCATGGTTGGGCCTTCTCTGAACGGGCCCCAGGTGAAGTGGGCCTGGTCAGACACCATCTGGCCAGACATCACCTCTTCTGAGAGCCTTGGCCTCTGAGAGAGGCCTTGAGCTGAGGCAGGAGGGCCAGTGTGTGGGGCCACAGCAAGGGGACCCCCTGTGTGGCCACTATAGAGGGAAACCACGATGGATCACTGGCTTCTCCTTCATCTTCTAAATGCATGTCTTCTGAACACCTACTGTGTGTCAGGTGCTCTGACAGAAAGATGATCTCTATCCTCAGGGTAAGCCATCTGATAAGGGAGAAACATCTGCCAACACCCTCAGCCACAGCGTCACTGGGCTCAAGGGCCACAAAGGAGGCAAAAGCCTGCAGGGAAGTGAGGCAGGGGTGGCGTCTCCTCCTCAGAGGACCAGGCAAGGGTTTCACAGTGGCAAGGCAGAAGTTGGGGGGTGGGGAAGAGGAGGTAGGGTGGAGGTGGGGAGAGAAGAGGGACTAGCCCCTGAGGTGAGGTTCTCACTGGGAGACTGGATGATGGCTCGGCCACTGCCATCCTGAGCTTCTGCTGGTACCTGAGGCCCCACCTTCCTACCAGGATATGGTGAGGGCGAGTTTGCACAGGCCTGCAGTGGAATTACCTCAAGACCTTCTGGGACAATCAAGTAAGAAGGGAAAGGGAAGAGAAAGAAGAGAGGAAGAGGAGAAGGAGAAGGAAGTGGGAAAGGTGCAAATAATTTATTTCCTATCACACCCTGAAAATTATTGCAATCTACTTGAAATGTTTGATGCCACATGCACACAAAGAAACCATTGTCTAGATGCTTGACCTTCCGGTCTGTGACCCAGTCTTTGACAACTCAGTCTTGAGACCAGGCATCATCTTGCCAGACACAAAACTTCTGCTTCAGGTCAATTTCTCTCTGAGACTGGGAGCTGCATAAGGGCAGAGCCTCGGTCCACCTCGCACTCCATCGTGGTGTCCTCAGAACCTCACAGGTGCTCAGCCACTCAAAAATATTTGCTGAATGAATAGAATAAAACTAAAAGTTAAGGGAGAAAAAAACCCTGAAGATACTGAGTTTCCACTAATAATTTAAGACAAGATGATGTAGCAGGAACACAATCAATGAATGCTAAATGAATGGATACTTGGCCTAAAGGGAAATGCTGTGGGGTGAAGGTAAGGCTGGGATGCTAGGTAGGGGGGCATGGTATTCTCTGTTCTCTAGGGAAGATGCTCAGAACATTCCTTTATCAGGGCATCCCAGCTCTCCAACACAGCACAGAAATTCCACAGCACAGATGTCCTGCATGATATTCCAGTTTCCAGGGGCCATCTCCTGACCCACCCACTGTTGTGTGTGTGATGGGTTGGTTTTACACCAAGGATCATGTTCTTTATCGGAGAGATAAGGCTGTAGTCTAGGGGATGGTGACAGCCATTCCCCAGGGCTAACTTTACCCCACATACTAACTTCTCCCATCTTGTTGTCCTGGATGGAAGAAATATCCTCTGTCATAAAGAATTATTCTGACACTTGTTAAAAATTGCAAGACTTTATTTGGGATTATTGCAGCAGGGGAGAGAGATTGAACTCAACTTGGAATATACCAGGGGCAAGCAGGAATTTACAGAAAGCAGGGAGAAGGGGTGGAGGGAAAATTACTGGGAGGAGTTTGGGTAGGAATCAGGGGTGGAGGAAGAGGAGTTTGATCAGCTATCAAGGATAGGAAGATTTTCATCAACTGAGTTAGTAGGATTCTTTGCTAAAACTGGGCTTAGCCTGCTAAGGACAGACCAAGGCCAAGATCTAGGTGGAAAGAGGGTTCAGAGGAGCCTGGTTAAAATTTTATCAAGGAGACAGTCTTTGCCACCCTTGACGAGAGAAAGGCTTGCCTGAGGCACAGGTTTGCGTGGGCACGGAAGGGAAAGAATGATTTGAGTGAAGCACTGTGGAGTGCCTCAGAGGGTTCTCAGGCTCCCAGGGAGATAAGCCAGGACTGTGGGTTAGGGGAAAGATCTAGAAGAGGTGGCAGGAAAAAGCTGGGCCCCAGGGATCCTGGTGTGTAGCCCAACACAGACATTTTCCCGGTGAATAGAGGATATACCTACAGCACTCCAGCTGTGAGACCCCAGTGAGCTGCAGGCACTGCCACTCAGAGGGAGGAGCAACAACAGGCAGGGGCCGTAGCCTGGGGCAGGGCAGCAGCTCTGAGCCTGCAGAGGTGGCATCAGCAGCCAGAGGCAGATGTGCTTGGGAACCTCAAGGTGGAGAAGGAGGGCTGCCACCGACCACCAGCAGACACCCTGGGGGGCCGATGAGTCAGTGGAGGTATCTGGGGGGACAGTGGTGGCCCCTCGGGAGTTCTGTGAGCTGGGCTAGAGCCAGAGAGTACGGAGCTAAAGCTGTTGGGTCCCATTCTTGGGTCACAGCCCCCAGGTGGGCTTGGACTTCTGGAGCTTGGCCTGCATCCCTGAAGTCCTGGAGAGTAATAACAGACAGTCAGGTCGGAGGCCGAGGCCTGGCTCAGTGTTCATGATTAAGGACAGAGTGCATTACTTTCCCCGGACTTACCATCCTATGGCATCAGCGTGGATGAATGCTTTACTTTAAAAACCTGTTTGAAAAAGGCAAGTCTTCATGCCATTTCTGCCCAGGTGTTCCATTTTTGGGAACTTTGCCAAAGTAAATAATATTAAACAGAAAACAAGCTTTATGCACGAAGATGTTTATTGCAGTGGTACTTATATGAGCACAGAACTGCAAACAATACAAATGTCCCACCACAGGGAACGATGATTAAGTTCTTTCATAACCCACTCGAAGTATTTACTCAACCATTAAAAGTGATTCTTACACATTCTATAGCAACAAGGAGAAATGTTTAAAATGAGCAAAAAAGTGGGAAACATAACTGCATATATACTATGTCTGTGTACAAGTAAATAAAAATTCAAGTATTTCTGCATACAAGAAAATAAAATTGAAGAACTTCAGAGTTCCAATAGATTTAAACGTTCCTCTGTTAACCAGGAAACCTGTCTGTCCCGCACCTCCTAACTCCAGATCATACTCTACAAGGCAGCACCCCTGCATGGCTCAGGTCAGTACACATGTCATTGAGGCATCTGGCCAGTAAGGATACTTGCTTGCACCAAGTGACCCTGACAGGCTCCACTGGTCAATATGAGTTAGGTTAGTGCAGTAACAACTAACCAAGAAATGTCAGTGGCTCCAAACAGCGCGGGTCTGTTCCTCACTCAGGTTACATGTCCAGAGTGGCTCAACTGGGCACTCTGCTCCTCACTGTCTTCACTCAGAATGCAAGCTGCTGGGCCTGGAGGTTTGTGGGTCCCCCTTGCAGATTGTAGAGGGGCAAGAGATGTAAAGTGGCTCCCATCCATAATTAAATGCTCCATCCTGGAGGCAGCTCACATCACTCCCACTCACACCCCACTGGTCAAAATCAGTCACATGGCCTTCCCCACTGAGGAGGCTGGCCTGCTCTGTGCTGGGAAGGAGAGAGGGACTGGCTACCTCAGGGCACAAGGGCCCCGAGGGCTACATTGGCCACAAGGGCCTGCTGTGAGCTGAGTGCTGCCAGGAGATCCCTTGGGAAAGTTTCCTGGTGTCTATGGCTCGGTGTCACCCTTCAATGCCCTGACCATGGCCTAAGAAAGGCAACACTATACATGAGGTCCCAGATGCACCTTGAAACCACAGCAAATGACTCAACTGCCATCCTTATTTTCCGTTTTCCAGGTTCAAAATGGAGATATTTACCTTCTACAAAATTATTGCTTCTGGGGCACTTTACAGAGTGGGAAACATGTTCACACCCAGGCGGCCCAAGGGCCATGCCTGCTGCTGAGCTACACGGTGCCACGTCCAGAGAGCCTCTCCATCTAGGCTTGCTCTCCCCCCAGAGCTAGCTGCCTTGTCTGCAGGGACCAGCTATTCCCCAGAAAGAAAAATAAAGTTCTAATCAGAAGTAGTGAGGATTAATTTACTAAGCTTTATTTCATTCTTGGCACTATTAGGACGACAAAGTTTACAAATAAATGAATGAGTAAAGCAGAAGCAAGATGAAAGCATTTGTAACAAAAGCACTGTGTCTGTGACAGCTGAGGAGTCTGTCTCTGAGTCTCTCTCTCTTTCTCTCTCTCTTT
Source organism: Homo sapiens (assembly GCF_000001405.40). Lineage (NCBI taxonomy): Eukaryota > Metazoa > Chordata > Mammalia > Primates > Hominidae > Homo > Homo sapiens. The sequence continues at coordinate 47,191,937 of NC_000010.11, forward strand.
CTCTGTCTCTCTTTCTGTGTGTGTCTTTTTCTTTCTTTGTTTCTCTCTGTGTCCATCTGTCTCTCTCTCCGTCTCCCTCTCTCATTGGTCCCACCTCTGTCCCACAACCATGATAGTAACGGATTTATTTTTGCTTCAATGTTATGTTGTCAGCATGATGATTAACTTTTCCTATCAAACATGCTTGAACTGAGATATATCCCTGCCCACTGTCATGCCAGGCTGAGCTCTGAGAGATTTATCAGGAGGAGGAACCTGGGGGTGGAGAGGGCCATGTTAGTTTTGGATAGCTACGAAGCTTAGTGGATTAAAACAATGCAAACCTGTCATCTCAGTTTCCAGGGTCCAAGATTCCAGGTGCAGTGGGGTGAGGTCCTCTGGCCAGGGTTACCCTGGACTGAAATCATGGTGGGAGCTGGCTGGCTCATTTGAATGGTTGGCAGAATCCAGCACCTTGTGGTAGTAGCACTGAGGTACCTGCTTCCTTGAGGACTGTCAACCAGAGGCCACACTCAGCTGCTAGAGACCCGGAAGGCAGTCCCTGGCCCTGTGGTGCCCTCCAGGGGTGTGGCTGCTTGCTTTCTCCCAGACCAACAGGAAAGCTTTGGAGGTGTTCCCGTTAAGGTCTCACCTAATAAAGTCAGGCCCACTTAGGATAATCTCCCTTTTTATTAAATCAAAGCCAAATGATCAAGGACTTCAATTCTAGCTGCCCAGGCCCCTTTGTCAGGTACAGTAACCTGATGACAAGGGTGATTCCGCAGCGTATTCACGGGTCCTGCCCATAGCCCAGCGAAAGAAATTAAATGGGTGTTGACACGCAGGGGCAGGAATCTTGGGGCCATTTTAGAATCTGCCCACCACAGGTGTCCCCTCTTCCAAGGTCAATGGATTCACAGTTAGAGGAAGCCTCCAGACCACACACACTAAGCTGTCCTGGGCAGCTGCAAAGAACCATGTTTTCAAGGAGAGTTCTTTCTTGCCGGGAGGGCTTGGTCAGGAGAGGGGCCTTCTGCAGTTCCCAAGGCAGAGGGCTGGAGCAGAGAGGAGATGGATTTCTCATTTGCAGGCGCTGTACCTCCTTCCCTGTGCATCTTCCTAAGGAAGTGCAGGGGCGGGGGAGCAGGGCAGCCTGTGGGAGGGCAGGGCTGGGAGATTAGGGCAATGCCACACACAGAGGGGCAGCAGACCTCAGACCCCTGGGGCAGCCACACTAATATTTTCTTCTCCCCAGTCAGGGGAAACAGAGGGCAGGAGGCCCTGGAAATGATAGCATATGTGTGTGGGGCCTTGGCACACAGCGTGAGGGGTGTCAGAGAACTCTCCCCACTTTGGATACAGATGCCCTGGCCTTGGTCCAGGGGCCATCACTTGGAGGCATGCCCCACTCAACTCCCTGTCAGCAGGGCTTCCGAACAGGGACCACGGCCCAGTGGTCAGAATTCAGGTCTCTGTGAGGCTGAAACCCATGTGGGACCTGAAAGTCAATACTGAGTCTCAGTGACTGTCCTGGGGCTGGAGCTGGGAACTTGGGTTCTCTCTCACTGTTGGCCTCGGGCAGGTCACTGAGCCTGGCTGAGCCTCAGTTTCCACCTCAGAATATGGGGGTAGGTGCAGGATGGAGAGAGACCTTTATGAGAGCAAGTTTTCTGATGGCCACATATAGTTGATGTGTTCCACATGCCTTTTGCTCCCGGAGACCACACTGCAGATCTGTGTGGCAGTGACCTGCTCCGCTCCGCTGGGGAGAAGTCGAGTCTGCCTGAACTGGTTTGAAAGATCGATCTCTCCTCTGCCTGCCTGTGTCTGCCATCTCTTGCATACAATTAGGACAGCCTTTACCAAACAGAGTCAAGGAAACCAAAAGTGACTCTCCTTCCACCCCACCATGAGTGGAAGCTCCCTAAGGTCTTTATCAGAAGGAGATGTTGGTGCCACACTTCCTGTACAGCCTGCCGAACCATGATCCAAATAAACCTCTTTTCTTTGTAAGTTACCCAGCCTCAACTATTCCTTTATAGCAATGCAAATGGACTAAGACAGTGACCTTGGATAAACCAGGGCCGTACTCTGAGCCTCAGTTTCCCCATTTCAAAATGAGGAATTTGGGCTGGTCCTACAATATCCACTACGTAGCCTAAGGTCTAGGGATAAGCCCACTTGATTCTGGGACAGCCTGCTGTGATTTTTTTTTTTTTTGACAAAGTCTCTCTCTGTTGCCCAGGCTGGAGTGCAGTGACGTGATCTTGGCTCACTGCAAACTCTGCCTCCCTGGTTCAAGTGATTCTCCTGCCTGAGCCTCCCAAGAAGCTGGGATTAAGGTGCCCACCATGATGCCCAGATACTTCTGGTATTTTTAGTAGAGATGGGGTTTCACCATGTTGGCCAGGCTGGTCTTGAACTCCTGACTTCAGGTAATCTGCCTGCCTCGGCCTCCCAAAGTGCTGGGATTACAGGCGTGAGCCACCATGCCCCGCCCCTTTTTAAACTAAGTTGTCTAGCACCAGCACTTAGTGGGCCCCAATATCTCCCTTACTAAAACTAGGCTGAATAATGAGAAAGTCTCTGGGGAAGCCCCTCAGGTTGGGTAAGGATGGAGGGTCAGCAAGAGCAGACGGCGTATGACAGAGTTCATCACTGAAGACAACCTCCCGAGGCAAGCAGGGGTCTCTGCCTGAGGCTTCCCAGGGCTCCCCACCCACTACTGGACACTTCCGCCTGTGCTGCAGCCCATCTCCCTGTCATCTGCATGGAGTTTCTGGGGGTTTCTGGGGCCTGTGCAGGGGACCCAGTAGAATGCTCACCTTGGGGCTGTGGGGCAGACACAGCTGGGCTCTGATGCAAATTGTGTGAACCAGAAATCCCAGCCCTGGCTTCCCGGCCTGGCATTGCTGCTGTGGGACCTGGGGACCACCACCTGTCTTTCCAAAGTCAGTTTCCTCATCTGCAAAATGGAGCCAATGAAACCAGTTTCTCCTGGGTAGACTGAGAATGAACTAATCCAAAATGGACTGGGTGTTATGGGCTAAATTGTGACCTTCCCCCCAAACAAATTCATACATTGAAGTCCTTAACTCCAGTGCCTCAGAATGTGGCTGTATGTGGAGATAAGGCTTTTAAAGAGGTGACTAGGTTAAGATGAGGTCAGTAGGGTGAGTCCGAATCCAATATGACTGATGTCCTTATAAGAAGTGATTAGGGCACAGATGGACACAGCAGTAAGACCGTGTGAAGGCACAGGGAGAAGGCGACATCTCCAAGCCAAGGAGAGAGGCTTCAGGACAAATCTACCCCGCCGACACCTTGATCGCAGGCTCCAGGGCTCTAGAATTGTGAGAAAATAAATGTCTATGGTTTAAGGACGGTCTGTGGTGTTTTGTACGGCGGCGCTTGCACACTAATAGATGGGAGATTGGTTTTGCATTAGGCAAAGGGGAAAACCCTGGAGGAGGGTGCTCTGCCTTGCCGCTCCTCCTGAGGCCCCCAGCCTGGTGTTCCCAGGCCTGCCCCATGGCCTGTAGTGCTCTGTATCCAGTGCAGAACAGCCAGCCATGCCACTGGCAGGGGAGTCCACGGGTCCAGGGCAAAGTTGTTTTGATTGTAGGCAACTGCCGAGAGGCTGCGAATGCCGCCAACTTGTCTAACATGATTCTGCGAGAAATGTTGACTCTAAATTACAAGGACTTAATTTTTCCAACCACAGCTAGGCAGTAAATGACTCTCTGAAATGACAGATGGAAAGTTCAGTTAATATGTTTATCTTCTGGCTCAAAGTGGCCCGCCTCCCCCAGCACTGCTCGGGCCAGCCTACATGGAGTGGGGAGGAGCTTCTAGATGCCCCGACGTGCCCCCTGGACCTAGACCCCCAAACCTGCCCTGGACGTGGGGTCACTGTGGTATGCAGGGCAGGAAGGCTGTGAGAGCCCCAGGGTCTATGTGCCTCTTGGAAAAGTTAAAGGAGCTAACCTGCAGTGACAATGGCCTGGCTTTGTCCCCAAGGGGACAAATCACAGGACCTCATCTACCAGGTCGTACTCAGAATCGTCATCCAAAACTCTCCCTACTGGTCTCTCAGGAACAGGGTCATAATTTTAATACCCAGGATCTACATAATGTTTTCTACAGGACCGACACTGAACAACCTGAGGATGTGGGTGCTATCAGTGTCCTCATTTTATTATTGAGTAAATGGAAACAAAGAGAGGTTAAGCAACTTGCTCAAGGTCACGGAGGCAGTCAGTGCTAGAAATGGGATTCAAACCAGGGCAGGCTGGCTCCATAATGCATGCCTTTGATCACTGTGGCATCACCCCCAGAGAGGTTTGCTGAGGGAGATGCTGTGGGGAAGGGACCCGTACCAGCTACTTGGCAAGGCCTGTCGCCATGGAGCTCTGAGGCTCCTGCCTCTCTACAGACACCAGCATGGCAGGCTTGGGTCCAGACTGGGCTGGGCACCAGGTCACACCTCAGCCACTGATCCCAGGAGGAAAGGGTAGTACGAAACTCACCACCCTCTTCCAACCCTCTCACCTGACAGCCACATGCCCCTTGGCCCCATCCCTGCCTCTGCTGTCCTGGGAGCTCTGACACAAGCACCCACAGGATGTCACAGTCCAGAGGGTCTGCCAGAGATGGGGAAGGTGAGCACTGAGGCATCTGATCCTGGCCCACAGCCCTGGCCTCTACGTAGGAAGAGGACACCTTCCCTGTCAATGTCTTCCCCTACCCTCTCCCACTCTCCATGCAGCCCTCTGTGATGCAGGGTGAGGGTGTGTCCCACCTGTGCAACCCTATACCCTCAGGCCAGTCTCCTCCACCCCACATCCCTGGACCCAGATGTGGATGTCAGGGTGAGTTCAGGGCCACACCATCCCTCAGGACCTCCGCTCCCCGGCAAGGGCTCCAGGCTGCTGCCCACGTGGTTGCTGCTGCTCCAGCTGGTTGGATCATTGGCCAGCACCGGTATGATGAGCTGGAGTCACAGGATGACTTGGGGGCAGCTCCTAGTCTGAGAAGCCCCCATGTTAGCAGAGAGAGATGGCGAGATCACCACAGTCCTCTGCAGGGTGGGCCCGCAAATACATCAGAGCGCAGAGCACGGGCTGGAAGCCTGAGGCCTGTGAGGAGAGGTGGCCTTGCCAAGCCCCCACCTAGGCCGAGCCCTCAAAATGAGAAGAGAGGGGGAATTAAGGAGAATCTCAGGAACAGCTTGAGCAAGAAGAAGAAATGGTGTGGTGTGCGTAAGGAAGCCAGGAGTGGAGCTGCGGGGGCTAGGGAGACAGGGACAGGCAGACGAGGCTGCAGGGGTGGCTAAGGTCTCACCAGATAGCCTTCAGGGAGAGTCCCACATGCCATGTGGAGGAGCTTGGGCCTCATCCTTTAGGGGATGCAGTCACTTTTTAAAATTGTGGTAAAATACACATAACATAAAATATACCATGTTAGCCATTTTTAAATTCAGTGGCATTAAGTGTATTCACATTGCTGTGCAACCATCACCACCATCCATCTCCATCACCCCAAACTGAAACTCTGTTCCCATTATACAACAACCCCCAGCCCCCAGCCCCTGACAACTTTCATTCTTTTTTCCATCTCTATGGATTAAACTGCTGTGGGTAAGGGACGCAGTCGCAACCTGGGAAAGGGGACACTGTGAGTGGTTGGTCCCTCCAACCGCTATACCTGCAGAGTAGAAAGTAAGTTGGACAAAGACCTCACTGGCAGCCACTGCAAAGGTCCAAGCCAAAGACAAGGGATGCTTGCTTGAGGTGGTGGCTGCCAGTTGGTGCCCTGCCTGGAGGACAGGAGACCTGGGTTTGAATTCTAGTTCAAGTTCTCAGAGGCTTGTGGCTCTTCACAAGTTCTCAGCCTCCTGAGTGCTCATTACCGTACATGAGATGAGAATGACAATACTCTCTTTGTGGAGTTGACTTTAGGTACTGAGGATAATAATATTAATAGCAAATATTGACCATGCTCTGCCCAGCACCAAGTTTTTCACCAAGTGATGAGATGATGAAGACCTGTCTCTTATCAGCCTTGAGGCCTTACAGAGAGAGCAACTCTAAGGCGAAGAAACTGAGACTTGTTGAGTTCAGGGCTTATTGCCTAGGATTTGCAGCAGAGAGAACCTTAACCCAAGGTCCAGCACAGAGGGGATGCTCCACACATGTGAGTTGACTTCCAACCCCTCTGTAAAGTTAAGCCAACCGTAGTGCCCAGTTCATGTATCAGCCAGTCCGGTGGATAATACTTTCAACTTGCAGAGTTTCCCAGGAGTTCAAAGTGGCCTCAAGACAGATCCATTTCAGCATAATCAGAGCCCCCACAGGAGGCTGCGGCTTCTGAGAGGACTCTGCTGGCTCTGCCACTCATTAGAATCTGTGTGGAGGCCTTTGCCTGAGGCCAGCTGACTGCCCAGAGGCTGCTCTGCTTACCCTGGGAACGTGGGGGTGCAGAGCTCCTACAGGCGCCTGAGAACAAGAATGTCACAGGGGTTTTTGTTGAGCAGCCCCAGACACCATCCTCATTTATTATGCTCATGGCTGTTGGGTCTGGAATTCAGTCAGAGCACAGTAGGATGGCTTGTCTCTGCTCCATAAGGTCTGCAGCCTCTGCTGGGATTCCTAGAATAGCTGGGTGTGACTTGACCGCTGGCAGCAGGAATCATCTGATGACCTCTTCACTCAGCTCCTATGTGTGGCGTCTCCATGTCACCTTGTCTTCCTCATAAGATGGCGGCCACATGGATAATCAGTTCAGGCCTCTAGCACTACTATTCAAGTGGTTAAGGAGGAAGATGTATTGCTTTATTTTTTTTTACAAGCTCATAAAATTCAAGAGGATGGAACATGGAGTCTGTCTATGTGAGGGTTGCAAAGTCACATTGTCAAAGAGCATGTAGGATGGAAAATATTGTTGTACTCTTTTTTGGAATATAAAACCTGCCACAAAGTGAATAGCAGATAAATTGAAATACATATACCCAGTTGAAATTTTCTTCTTCTTCCCTCTGCAGAATTGACACTGATCCTCCTTCTCCAAAATCAGGTTTTCAGCACAAGGACGAAAGCAGGCAACAGCAGCAATCTGCTCAAAGAAAGCTCTTTTGCAGGCACATATTCTTGTGCATATTTAAAATATGACATCCCAGACTCTGTGAAAAAAAATTATTTCTTCCATCTTTCCTACAGGGTAATTTCCAAAATCAGACTGTTTCTTGATCTAAGTTGAAAACTAAAAGAAAAACATTAGGCCCTAATCTCCATCAACAAATTTGTTCCAGCCAAGAACTCCCAGGTTCTACTGGGTTCATTTCTGTAGGAATTTGGGCAAGTAAAAACAGACTGTTTTTCAACTCAGGATCTTCATCTATTTCATTGGAATAGATGTCATATTTTCTAAAGGGAGGGTGAGATGTTTCATTCAAGGCATGTAAAATGAAGTGGGGAGCAGAGAATGTAAATTCTGTTTGTTCTATTTATTCTGAACATGTTAGAATAAATAAAATGCTGGATGCTGAAATGTGTGTTTGTTTATTGAAAAATTTTAAAGAAATTTAAAATGCCATTTGTCCTATCTCTTTAATTAGAGATGAAGGCAGGGGGCTGGGAATGTTGAGGTTAACTGAGAACAGGGTCCAACTGTCCTCAGTCTAAACAGAAGGGAAAAATAAGTGTAAGCACCCAAAAAAGCATTTGATTATTTTTCTTTAAATGCAAATAATATTTTTGGCCAGGAGAGCATTGAGGACAGGCTTTTGCCTTCAGCAAATAAAAAATCCTGTTCAAGACCCAAGACCCAGGCTGGACTCACCACCAATTTCGTCTTTTAAAAAATTCTTATGACTTATTTGAGCACTTCCATGCCATCAAAACTGGTCTGGGATCTTTGGTTAACATCTGGAAGAAATGTATGTTGACAAATGCCAAAAACAACTTTTAAATATCAATCCTCTAGAAGAAGCAATGGAGAGGGAGGGATTCTTGAGAAAGGGTGGAAAAATCAAACTCATTTCATTGGTTTAGAGAGCAGCCTAACTTCTAATCCATCCCCTGATGCTGATGTCATGTAATCAGGTGGTGCATTTCCCCAGCTTCCCTCCCCTCTGTATCATCGCTGTCAGAAGATGAACCTCTGAAAAGAGAGGTGGGGGTCCTCTCCTGTCTTTTGTCATGGTTATGTCTATGATGAACATAACTATGGTGACGGGTCCTTGGCTTCTCTAGGATTTCTGAAGGAACAGCATTTACCTCAGCCAGTGGAGCTCAGAAGGAGGAGAACATCCCAGGGAAAACTAGACAGGAAGCAGACTGAGCATCCAGAGTGGGCTGCTCTCAGAACACTTTGTTCCAGCAGCCTTAGCGACCTGTCCTTCAGTTTGTACTTGAATGCCTGCTGAGATGGCGAACCCACTGCCTCCTAAAATTTTCTGTTCCATTAGGAGTCTTTGCTGGGCAGCTCTTCTTAATACTAAGCTGAAATATAAGCCCCTTCAAATTATTTGTGGGATGAAGTGAAGTGAATAAATAAGTACTAAGTTGAATCTTTCTCATTTGTATCCACTGTGTATGTTGTACCCCACCTTCTACCCCAATCTTTACAGAAGAAATCCAAGACAGTAAAACAGAAGAACGAGTATTTGCCTGTAACTATCTGTGTCAGAGGTTCTCTGGTGAGGTGCCAGAGCACCCAGGACCAGCACACAAGACACAGTCATACACTGAGATGGAGGACAAGGTACAGCATGCTGTGACGACAGCATAAAGAGGCCTGGAGCAAGTCAATGGGTACCACGTCTACTGTAATATGTGAGGACTATACCTCAAGACTGTGAATCCAATGGGAAATGGAAAGATTTTATCCACACACTGCTGCATTGCTGAAGAACAATGAAGTGGACATGGGAGAAACAGGTGTAGAATGTAATTCCTTTCCATGTTTGAGGCACACTTTCAGTATTCATATCACACAAGGCTTTGGAGACCACTGTAGAGATGTTGCTCTCGCTTTGTAGGAATGGAAGCCATTGGCGAGTCTTGGGCATAAAAAGTGATGTGATCAGGTTACACTGTGAGAGGATTACTCTGGATGCTGTGAGAAGAACTGGTTTAGGGAGCAAAGCGGGATCAGGAACTAGAAGTCAGCTACAATGATCTAGGCAAGAGTTGATGTGGCTTAGACCATGCCAACTTGGGCCATCTTCAGCTGCACGAGTCCGTGAAGGCACATCTGTCTAGCTGAGCACATTGTCACCTGCATGCAATCAGAGTTCTTATAAGGAGCAAGACATATTAGTCAGGGTTGTCCAGAGAAACACAACTATATATATATATATATATATATACGTGTGTGTGTGTGTGTATATATATATATATGTATTATATATATGTGTATGTGTGTGTGTGTGTGTGTGTATATATATATATATAGAGAGAGAGAGAGAGAGAGTGTTTCTTATGATATGAAAGGGGCTCACACAATTATGAAGACTGAGAAGTCCCAGGATCTGCAGTTGGCAAACTGGAGTCTCAGGAGAGCTGGTGGTGTAGTTCCAGTTTGAAATCAAAGGCCTGAGAACCAAGGGACTGAATGTAGTTCCAGTCCAAAGGCCAGTAGGCTCAAGATCTAGGAAGAGCTGATGTTTCTGTTGAAGTCCAAAGGAGAGGACCTATGTCTCAGCTCAGGGCAGTCAGGGAAAAGGAGTTCCCTCTTACACTCGGGAGGGTCAGTCTTTCTGTTGTATTCAGGTCTTCAAATGTTTGGATGGGGTCCACCCGCAATAGGGAGGGCAATCTACTTTATTCAGTCTACCCATTCAAATACTAATGTCATCCAGAAATATCCAGAATAATGTTTGACCAAATATCTGGGCACCCTGTGGCCCAGTCAAGTTGACACAAAAAATTAACCATCACAGAAGGTGAGAAAGGATATAGGCTAGGTGGCTTCAGCATCTGCCAGAGCTCCTGTGTGCCTCTGGTTCCAGATTTGATTCTTTTTCTACCAAAAGGAATTAAGACACTTGGTCCCAAATCTCAGGACAGAAAAAATATTGAGTATGGACAACCTCAATGCCAGAAAACAAGACTGTTTTAAAAATGACAGTAAGTTGCTGTTGAAAGGACAAAGGTATCAGTTTGAAGGGTCCCATCGACCAAGCAGAGCATGAAAAATAAAATAATACTCAAAGTTAGCTGAAACAAGTTGATTTTGTGAAAGATCATGGATTTACAACAATATTTGAAAAAGCAAAGTTAATATAATGTGTGCAAAAGAATGCACATGTTAGGATTTGTTTAGTTTTATTGCTTTAATAAATAGAAAAGTACTTATGTTTGTATTTACATTTTTCTATTGAGCATATATCCATTTACAAAGTATAGAGTTATCTTTCTCACTATCTCTGTGCATAAGAAAGAATAAACACAAGGAACTATAAATAAACTAAAATCCCCCAAAACATGCATAGTATAGGGAATCAAACAATTGATTGCTCTCGTGATCCTACACAGCAACCAATTAAACAGGGAATTTCACAGTGTTCTAAGATGATTAATTAGCTAAACATTGCACACACTCCATCTCTCATCTCTTAGTAGATGGAACCTCAAGATGACCCCACTAATTATAATGTAATATTGATAAGGCATGCATAAGTTTACAATTAATATTTATAGACTAGGCCAATTCATCATAATGACAGGACAATAGTTTAGGTACTGCCAGCTAGCCATAAGAAACTTTTTACAATACATCATTTCTGGGAAAGACACCAAGTTTTAAAAAATTAAATCTTTGAATTTAGCTTTTGAAAGGCAGAGGCTTAAAAGTCCAAATGTAACAAATAGAACTGTATTATCAAAAGGCACTCAATCAGTGGTTTGGTTTGGATCACTTTAAACAAACAGACTTATCCTGGACCAGAATCTGCAACTTCTTCTCTCCTGAAATGGTATGCACCTGGTTTGGGATCTGCTGTGATTATTAGTATCTCATAGAATTACTGAAGCCCTATGTGAGTGTAAAAAATGAAACTTTTTGAATGATATTCAAATAAAAATCATTTAAACACAGAGAATTCATAATTTTGTAACCACATTTACATATTATCAGTGTGATTTTATTTATGTTTATGTCTTAAAATGACTACTAGTCAGGATGTGTAGGTAAAATTCCAGTGACTTGATACAATGAAGGTTTATTTCTTTCTTGTGCTTCATATCCATCTCAGTTCAGCAAAGGGCCCTCTGCTCCACCAGGTCACTCAAGAACCCAGGCTGACAGAGGCTCCACAGCCTTGCAGTTGCCTCATCCAGAAAATGCAGCCTGTTCAGTCACTCAATGTGATGGTTTTAAAATTTTGTTCACAAATTATTTTATACTTCTCCCCTCAAAAATTGGAGACTGATCTTCTTCCCCTTAAGTGTGGACTGTTCTTAGCCACTTGCCTTTGATGAATAGAATGTGTCAGAAGCAACAACCTGTGTTTTCCAGGACCAGTCATAGAAGGCATTGTGACTTGGGCCTTATTATATCTTGGATAACTCATTCCTGGGGAAGCCAGCTACCATGTTTGAGGCTACTCAATGAGTCCTAGGAGAGGTCCATGTGGTATGGAGTGGAGGCCTCTTTCCAACAGCCAGTGAGGAACTGAGGCCTTGCACCAACAGCATGTAAGTGAGCAGTCATACAAGCAAATCCTCCAGCTCCACTCTGGAGATAACTGCAGCCCAGGGTACATCTGGGCTGTAACCTCAGGAGAGACCATGGAGCCAGAACCACCAAAGGAAGCCATTTCTGAATTCCTGATCCACAGAAACTGTGAAATAACAAATGTCTGTTGTCTTACACTCCTAAGTTTTCGGGCAATTTGTTATGTAGCTAAAAACAACCAATACCATGAGACAGAGGAAAAGACCACTGGAAGGTCTTGTTCTAGCAGTTTAGTGTTTTAGCCAGAAGAGGCACATTTCATTTCTGCTATCAGCCCTTCAGCCGGAATTGGCCAAGGAGTCATTTCAGATTGCTAGGGGCCACAGGCTCCTCCCACGCACTCAGGCAGAGAGGAGACCTAGATTGGGGCAGCTACTCAGAAGAGATTCAGATATTTAACCACTATTACAAAGCATGTAAGACATTAAAGAGAATCTCATACATTTGATCTGCATTTTTTATTAAGTGGAAAGTTTGATCAAATAGATTTCTAATGATGTATAAACATTAGGAAATGCTTAATTTATTGTATTCATAATTGTGAAAGATTATATTAGAAATATATGATTAGAGGAAATATTATCATCATGTAAAAATATTTATTATTACAATCTTAAGATTCATAAATTTCCTATCGAATCCAAGATGTACAAGTATAACCATTCTTCTTGCACAAAAGCCTTTCGAATGTTAAAAAATCTATCAGCCTAGTAAAGAGGTAGATGGACAGATGTTGTCCTGGTGAGCATAAAGAAGAAAAGGGTGGATTCCAAAAGACAAGACAAGATACTCCTTCATAGACAGATTCTAAGTGAAGCCATTACATTGAAGATGGTGGCATACCTGGAAAAGGTGAGCCAACAGGGGTTCACCAAGAACAAGCCGTGACAAACCAATCCCATTTCCTCTTTGGGAAGGCTTTACTATTAGTAAAATTTTAGCAGAACACATTCAAATACTATTTTTTTAATCTTGTGCTATGTGACATATTAATTTATAGCTAAAAATGATACTCAAGGAGCATCAGCCTGGTTAGAAATATTAAGATGTGTGTCCCACTTCTCTGTAACTGTTGCTCTCCTGTCTCACCAGATCCCTGCCCAGCCCATCTAGTCTCTTCTCTGATCCAACAGGAAACTCACATATCCTCTGTTCTCAAAGCACAGAGCCAGGGTAGGTTAAATTGTGTTGCAGTGACAATTTAACCTACCCCTAAGTAGGTTGCATAACACAAAACCAGTCAACATCACCTGGAATGGGGAAAAATTAATCTATTGGATCATCAAATCATGATTCAAAATGATCTTGTTAGATTGGGAAGTGGTCTAGTAGACATTTAAATAAAGATGGCTCAAGCCTGTGGCTCAAGCCTGTAATCCCAGCACTTTGGGAGGTCGAGGCAGGCAGATCACAAGGTCAGGAGATAGCGACCATCCTGGCTAACACGGTGAAACCCCGTCTCTACTAAAAATACAAAAAATTAGCCAGGCGTTGTGGCAGGCGCCTGTAATCCCAGCTACTCAGGGGGCTGAGGCAGGAGAATGGTGGGAACCCGGGAGGCAGAGCTTACAGTGAGCCGAGATCTCACCACTGCACTCCAGCCTGGGTGACAGAGCAAGACTCAGCCTCAAAAAAAAAAAAAAAAAAAGGAAAGAAAGTGTATTACTCAGAGCCCTTAGCTAATGGACAGGACTACTGTGTCTTTTCACCCATTTATTTCACAGCTTGCTTCAAGGCCAGTAGCCTCTTCCTCCTTCTCTGCAGTCTAAGCATAAGTGGCCAGGCCAAGGGCTCATCTTCTGTAGGCAGGCCTGGCCATCTTCTAATGTGTATGTGGGTGTGCATGCATACCTGTGTGTGTTCCAGTTTCTTTACCTTCAAATGAGTGAGTTAAGTCAGCCTTACATTAGTTCCCAGTTGTCTTCAATATAGAATGCAGAGAGCTGCGGTCACCCTTCAGCCTCAAAAATTCAAGATGAATTCTCTATTCCAGTTTAAATCAAAGAGGCCTGCCTTTTGTCAATCTTGGGATGCATGCCCAACCATTAATCAGCCTGTCACTTTTATTTACATCTCTTTTTGCCTATAAACCATGGGACAGAACCTGGAAGGGAAGAGGGGGTCAGTTTTAGACTTCAAATCCCAATAACTCCAGTTGGAATATAAACCCAGAGTGTGATGTGGTTGCTGAGAAAAGTAATGCTGCTTTGGTGACACTGCTAGAATCGTGCAACACCTAGAACAAGATCAGTGATAACACTTTATCTGACAACCATCAGACCAAGAGGTTCTGAATACTACACTAAAAGAAGGTGACATACAGAGTGGTTATCAAGACAGGGAGAAATTGGAGGTCACGTGAGGGGTGGTGGAGGGAACTGAGGCTATGGAACCGAGCAAGGAGGAAACATGCCAATGGCCTCAGGCATTTGAAGGGGCATGGGAGAGTGGGGGTGGGTAGAGCCAGTTCTATTAAGCATAGAGAATTGGACTTGAGAAGTGGCCCTGCCAGGAAGGTAGACAGGATCAGAACATGGAGGAATTTTACAAAGAGCTGTCTCAACATGGAATTTTCTGGCTCATAAGATAGTGAGACGCCATCGTGAAAGTGTCCAAAGAGAGGCTTGATAATCGTTTGTTAGGATTAATATCAAGGATCCTGAATTGGGATAAACTGGACTAATGGCCTCCAAGTTTCTTCCTCACCAAGACTCCGTAATCCTGAATCTGGCTAACACAAAGGTAATAGCTCAGAGGTTAGCCAGATGGAACTCTTTAGCAAATGAAGACAGCTTTTGTCTGTATGATCAACAGAGTTAATGTTCACCAATATTTGGTACTCTGCTACTTTCAGTTACACAGAGAATCATAAGGTATTCCTTGAATTTAGGTATGGCTAAGTAAATAGTTCTCACCAAAGAAACATGAATAGAAATAGGGCCACTCCTAGGCCCAAGCAATTAATTACAGCTTCTTGACCCTCCACCTCTTTCTTCATCCGCACCAGTTGGGGATTGCTTAGTGTTGAAATGGAAAGGCCAAAAGAAGGAAACAATCTGACTTGCTAAATATGGAGGAAAATTGCCTGGAGAATCACCCAGATCTGCAGTCTACTTTATGAGACCAAGATATCAACTTCTTGTGGTAAGCCACAAAGAGTTTTAGGTGATTTGTTACTGCAGCATAATTTAGCCTACCGTGGCTGCTATGCTGTGAGAACAAAGGTCATGTTAATTTCCTGTTGGGCCATAGAAGAGACTAGAGAAGATGAGCAGGGCTCTGAAGAGACAGATAAAAGGAGAGTCAGATCCCTGGGTCTGCCTATTTTCATGGAGGCTTGGAGCACTGTACATATTTCTCCAGTTCCCAGAGGCCATGACTAGGTCTCCTTCCCTGTTAAATGGGCAATACCTTACATGAAAGTTTGGGAACCAAGGTCACAGATCGTGAAATGAAGTTAAACTAGGCTGCTAGAGTTGCCACCTTGGCTCTGTGCAAAGATCAAAGGCTCTCTTTGGTGAGAAAAAGCCACCCTCATTGTGCCTGCCAACATTTTACATCTGGATCTACATATTATCTGCTGATTTTATAAACTACTTCCTTCCCAGAAATCCAAACTAGCCTTGTTTTATAGATGTGGAACTGCAGTCTCCTAGTTTCTGGATGAGCTTACACTGGGCCCTTTGGGCTTCTGTCTTCCCACTAGGCCATGCTATGGAGATTGCACAATGGACCTATTGCTTCAAAGGAGAGTCACACAACACTCCCCAGCCACTGTGTTGACAGCCCTGGGCTGGAGGAAAGGCAGCAGTCTTCACAGAGCTCACTTTACGGCTGGGCTCACCCTTCACCCCAAGACAGCTTTGATCACTGGGAAGTTTCCACAAACACAGAATGAATGAGGAAGAAGGTGATTATATTTTCGGTGTGATCCACGTGGACGAGAGGTGAGAGATGGAACGTCTGTACCATCAAGGTTTCTTTAGCTCCTTGACTTTACATGGCTGTCAGTTTCCCCTTAATGTATAGGTTTAAAGTAGTTGTATATTTTCTTGCTTTTTATCACTTTTCATCACGTAATGAAGATTTGAAGGTGTAAGCCACTTACGGCTTAATTTACTAGTGCAATTCGGTAGCAAACAAGTGCAGGAAGCAGCCTGCCTGCCTTCAAATTCCAATTCCCTCCTTTCTGCTTTCTATCTGTGTGGTTTCAGGCAAGTTACTTAGCCGCTCTGTGCTTTCGTTTCCTCATCAGTTAAATGGGTGTAATAATAATAATATCTATCTCATAAGGCTATGGTGGGATAACATGTATTAATATACGTGATGCATTTGGAAGTGTACTTGGCATAGGAAAATTTCAAGAAGTAGTAGCTATGTTTTATTAAGTTCTTGACTGGCAGCCAACCAAATTCCAGGAACTGTGGACACCTGCTGTGTGCTCAAGCCTAGGCTAAGCACTGTTGGGGAGTTTTAAAATAAGGTAATTAACAGGTCACTCCGAAAAGTCCTAGAATCTATCAGGAACCAAAACAAAAACAGACTAAGCAAAACTCTGAGTCATATTAGTAAGAAAGAAGTTAAGAATGGGCAATAGATAGGAAGCTAGCAGTGTCTGCACCAGTCACGGTGTCACTTGATCACCTCAAACCCCAGGGATGCTGGGAAATTGTTCTAAATGGCCAATGCGATGACAGCAGGCAGTTTCTGCTTCCAGCTCTAAGTGTTACTCTTTCTTCCTTATCTCTTCACTCTCCCCCTCCCAGAAAACAAGAGTGTGTTTCCATCTTGCAACCATTTAGGAAAGGCCACAGGAATTTCAGATCATGGTTCTGACAGTCCTGAGCCTCTGAAGCAGATCCTAGGCACATGAGGAAAAACAACAATATCCATCCTGTAATAGTAACATGTTTAGCTACTCTTGAATGCATTGCATTATTTGTGCCAAAACAGACTCTAACTAATATGGTAATCATGGCTTCTGTGAAAATGGACAAATGTTTCAAAAGTGAAGAAAAAGGAAATTGAGGATACTGGGAACTATAAGGCAGTCACAAACCTGGTAATACCTCTCTCCCTCCATCCATTCCAAAACTACTTCCAGAGTGTGGAACTTGTGCACAATATGGGCAACTTCATATAAACGGATACTGCTGATATTTCAACCTATTCTCTTGGAAGCCAAAATAATTAAAGGATGTGTCTACATATGATGATAACAGATGACAGATAGATAGATATAAATAAATAAATAAGCTAATTAAGAAGCAGCAATTATATCTATATATTTATTTATTTAAAGCAAGAAGAAGGGACTATGAAAAGAGAACAATCTGAGAACAATAAAGACTTCTTAGAGATATAATTGCCAAGATAGCAAGTCGTTAGACAGTCTAGAAAATAAACAGAATTCTCACACAATATGAAGCAAAAGAAAAACCAAAATATACATCCAAAATTGAATGAATTGAAGTTTCAGAAAGGGACAATGGAGAAGGTGTAGGGGAGAAAACTGACAAATAAATAATAAACAAAAAAAGTGAAAAAAGAAACTCAAAAAGGAAAAAAAGGCAAGTGGCCAATGAACAGATCAGGTTATAAAAGAAATGTAAATTATACTGACCATGAGATATTAGTTTTATCCATCAAATTGGCAAAATTTAAAAAGAATAACATCTGATATAGTTTAAGTGGTGGGTGAACACAATTTCAAGGACAATCGGTAAGGGTGAGTACTGGTACAATATTTCTGAAGGATATTGTAAAAATCTGTAGGATAATATGTATTCATTTTAATGTGGCAATTCTACTTCTGGGCACTTCATTAGGAAATTATTGGGTGATCATACAAATGTGTACCTATCTGAAGGTTTATGAAATGATATTTTTAGTAGCAGAAACTAGAAATGCTGCATGTTCCTCAGTAAAGAGCCAGGTTTCTAGGGAGAGCTACATCCTACAATACTACCAAGTAGGTTTCAGCATGCTTCATGATTTATTGCGTGCAAAATTCAAGTGATGAAATAGTGCATATTGTATGATCTCATTTGGATAAATATATGTTGTATTTGACATATTTAATTTAAATATTTGGAATGATATACAGTTTCATTGTGAAGTTGCTATCACAAACTTCTAGAGGTTTATAAGGAACATTTTCTTTTCAGTTTTCAGATTTGTTAGTTATCTTCTTTATAGTTAGCATGCATTAACCATTCAATCAGAAAAAATAAACACAGCTATTTACATTTTGGTGAGGGAGGGAGAATAAGGAATGCCTCTCAATTGCAGCTGTGATGGCACAGACAGCTTGGAGCAGAAGTGCTCATGTTAATGCTCACCATCACTGGCCATCAGAGAAATGCAAATCAAAACCACAATGAGATACCATCTCACACCAGTTAGAATGGCGATCATTAAAAAGTCAGGAAACAACAGGTGCTGGAGAGGATGTGGAGAAATAGGAACACTTTTACACAGTTGGTGGGACTGTAAACTAGTTCGACCCTTGTGGAAGTCAGTGTGGCGATTCCTCAGGGATCTAGAACTAGAAATACCATTTGACCCAGCCATCCCATTACTGGGTATATACCCAAAGGATTATAAATCATGCTGCTATAAAGACACATGCACACGTATGTTTATTGCGGCATTATTCACAATAGCAAAGACTTGGAACCAACCCAAATGTCCAACAATGATAGACTGGATTAAGAAAATGTGGCACATATACACCATGGGATAGTACGCAGCCATAAAAATGATGAGTTCATGTCCTTTGTAGGGACATGGATGAAATTGGAAATCATCTTTCTCAGTAAACTATTGCAAGGACAAAAAACCAAATACCGCATGTTCTCACTCATAGGTGGGAATTGAACGATGAGAACACATGGACACAGGAAAGGGAACATCACACTCTGGGGACTGTTGTGGGGTGGGGGGAGGGGGGAGGGACAGCATTGGGAGATATACCTAATGCTAAGTGACGAGTTAATGGGTGCAGCACACCAGCATGGCACATGTATACATATGTAACTAACCTGCACATTGTGCACATGTACCCTAAAACTTAAAGTATAATAAAATAAAATAAAATAAAATAAAAAAGTTATGTAGCCAGATAGTTCACTGGATGTCTCCTTAGTGTTAGATCAAGACCAGCCCTTTCAAACCCAAGTCACCACTTTGGAAGCTTTCCTTTCATGTTAACTACAAGCATACCTTATTTTCGTGCTCTTTACTTTATTGCACTTTGCAGGTGTTGCATGTTTTTACAAATTGAAGATCTGTGACAACCCTGGGTCAAGCAAGTCTATCAGTGCCATTCTTCCAACAGTAAGTGCTCGCTTCGTGTCTCTGTGTCACATTTTGGTAATTCTCACAATATTTTGAACATTTTCATAATTATTGCATCTGTTTTGGTGATCTGTGGTCAGTGATCTTTGATGTTACCATTGTAATTGTTTTGAGGCACCAGGAACCATGCCCACACAAGACGGCAAACTCCATTGATAAATGGTGTGTTCTGACTGCTCCACCAACTGGCCATTCCCCTGTCTATTTCTTTCTCCTCAGGCCTCTTTATTCCCTGAAACAACAATATTAAAATTAGGCCAATTAATAACCCTACAATGAACTCTAAGTGTTCAGGTGAAAGGAAGAGTCACACGTCTCTCACTTTCAATCAAAAGCTAGAAATGATTAAGCTTACTGAGGAAGGCATGTTGAAAACCAAAATAGGCCAAATGTTAGGTCTCTTGTGCCAAATAGTTAGCCAAGCTGTGAATGCCAAGCAAAAGTTCTTGAAGGAAATTAAAAGTGCTACTCCAGTAAACACATGAATGATAAGAAAGCAAAACAGTCTGATTTCTGATATGGAGAAAGTTTTAGTGGTCTGGATAGATAATCAAACCAGCCACAACATTCCCTTAAGTCAAAGCATAACCCAGAGAAAGGCCCAGGTTTTCTTTAATTCTACAAAGTCTGAGAGAGATGAGGAAGCTGCAAAATAAATGTTTTGAGGCTAGCAGAGGTTGGTTCTTCAGGTTTAAAAGAAGCCATCTTCATAACATAAAGTGCAAGGTAAAGTAGCAAGTGCTGATGGAGAAGCTGCAGCCAGTTTTCCAGAAGATCTAGCTAAGATCATTGATGAAGGTGGCTACACTAAACAACAGATATTTTTTTTTTTTTGAGATGGAGTCTCGATCTGTCACCCAGGCTGGAGTGCAGTGGCATGATCTCAGCTCACTGCAACCCCCGCCTCCCAGGTTCAAGGGATTCTCCTGCCTCAGCCTCCTGAGTAGCTGGGATTACAGGTGTGAGCCACCATGCCCAGCTAATTTTTGTACTTTTAGCAGAGACGGGGTTTCACCATGTTAGTCAGGCTGGTCTCGAACTCCTGACCTCATGATCCACCCGCCTCGGCCCCCCAGAGTGCTGGGATTACAGACATGAGTCACTGCGCCCGGCCACAACAGATTTTTAATGTACACAAAACAGCCTTCTATTGGAAGAAGACGTCATCTAAAACTTTCATAGGTAGAGAGAAGTCAATGCCTGGCTTCAAAGCTTCAAAGGTCAGGCTGACTCTCTTGTTAGGGACTAATGCAGCTGGTGACATGAAATTTAAGACAATGCTCATTGATCATTCCAAAAATACTAAAGGCCTTAAGAATTATGCTAAATCTCTACCTGTGTTCTATGTATGGAATAATAAAAGTCTAGATGACAGCACATCTATTTACAGCATGGTTTACTGAATATTTGTTGTCCACTTTTGAGACCTACTGCTCAGAAAAAAGGTTTCTTTCCAAATATTACTGCTCATTGGCAATGTACCTGGTCACCCAAGAGCTCTGATGGAGGTATACAAAGAGATAAATGTTATTTTCATGCCTGCTAAAACAACATCCTTTCTGCAGCCCAAGAATCGAGAAGTAATTTCAACTTTCAAGTCTTACTACTTAAGAAATACATTTTGTCAGGCCATTGCTTCCATAGTTGATTATTACTCTGATAGGTCTGGGAAAAATACATTGAAAACCTTCTGAAAGGATTCATCATCGTAGATGCCACTAAGAGAATTCATCATGCATGGGAGGAGGTCAAAATATCAACATTAATGGGAATTTGGAAGAAGTTGATCCCAAACCTTATGGATAACTTTGAAAGATTCAAGATTTCGGTAGGGAAAGTAACTGCAGATGTGGTGGAAATAGCAAGAGACCTACAATTAGAAGCAGAGCCTGAATATGTGGCTGAATTGCTGATTTTTGGTGATTAAACTCAAAAGAAGGAGCAGTTGCTTACGGATGAGCAAAGAAACCGATTTCTTGAAATGCAGTCTACTCCTAGTGAAGTAGCTGTGAATATCATTGGAATGACAACAAAGGATTTAGAATATTACATAAACTTATTTGATAAATCAGGGTTTGTGAGGATGGACTTCAAATCTGAAAGAAGTTCTGTGTGCAAGATGCTATCCAACAGCACTGCATGCTACAGAGAAATCTTTCACTGAAACAAGGCTCAATTGACGCTAAAAACTTCACTGATGTGTTATCTTAAGAAATTGATACAGCCACCTCAACCTTCAGCAACCACCAACCTGATCAGTCAGCAGCCATCAACATCGAGGAAAGACCCTCCATCAGCAAAAAGATAATGATTCATTGAAGGCTCAAATGATTGTTAACATTTTTAGCAGCAAAGTATTTTTAAATTAAGGTATGTTTTTTAGACAGTGCACACTTAGTAGACTACAGTATACTGTAAATTATAACTTTTATATGTACTGGGACACAAAAAACCTGTGTGATTTGTGATATAGTTCAGCTGTGTCTCTTCCCAAATGTCATCTTGAATTGTAGCTCCCATAATCCCCACGTTTCATGTGAGGGACCCGGTGGGAAGTAATTGAATCATGGGGTGGGGGATGGGGTTTTCCCATGCTGTTCTCATGATAGTGAATAAGTCTCATGAGATCTGATGGTTTTATAAAGGATAGCTCCCCTGGACACATTCTCTTTCCTGTTGACATGTAAGATGTGCCTTTGTTCCACCTTTGCCTTCCACCATGATTGTGAGGCCTCCTCAGCCATGTGGAGCTGTGAGTCCATTAAACTTCTTTTTCTTTATAAATTACCCAGTCTTGGGTATTCCTTCATAGCAGTATGAAAATGGATGAATACAACTTGCCTTATTGAGATATTCACTCTATTGCAGTGGTGTGGAACCAAACCTGTAGTATCTCCAAGGTGTGCCTATATGTTTGGGTAATGACCCTGTGTAGGTGCAAGTTCAACTCATTCATTTGCTAAGAGGTACTTTTTATAATGGGTTTATCTTGGAGTGTTCCTCAGGAAGTCACATAACTTACATCTGCTCAATTTTGCTAAGCCTTTTATGACTAACATGAGCATTTAGTAACATCTATTTTAAATTTTCCAGCCCAGAATTATTGCTATAACATTAAAATCTTGGGCCTTGAACACATTCTGTCTATTGATAAAATAGATTTCAATTTATGTCTTCATACATTAATTCTCCAAATTTTTTTTAGTGCTGTGCAGTTGTTGTTTTTTACTATGTTAGGAACTGGAGCTATGATGGTGTTAAGGTTGGTGTTCACCCAAAATTCATATGTTGATATCCTAACACACAGAACCTCAGAGTGTGACCTTATTTGGAGATAGAGACTTTACAGAGGTGTGATGAGGTAATTAGAATGGGCCCTAATCTAATAGGAGGAGTGGTGTCCTTATAAGAAGGGGAAATTTGGAGACAGCCATACAGTTGAGAGAAGTCCACGTGAATATGCCAATGGCCATCCAGCAAAGGAGAGTGGCCTAGAACCAGCCCTGATGACACTGTGATTTCAGACTTCCAGCCTCCAGAATTTCAAGCCAATGCATTTTGTTCTCTAAGCCACTCAGCTTGCAGCACTTTGTTACAGCAGCCCCTGCAGACCAATACAAACAGTGAGCAAGTCAGGAATGAGCTTGGCCCTCCAGAAGCCTCTTGTGCAGTGGACAGAGGTCAGCCCTGGATGCTGGGCAGGGGTGGGACAGGCAGCATGACCTGCTGTCAGGCTGGTGTCCTGGTTAAGCAGCTGTCCAGCTCTCTGCAGAGCATGGAATCTGGGATTCACTCTGACTAAGCATTTTTCTGTCATCCTTCAAATGGAAAGGCAAGGAACACCAGCTTCACTGCAAGTATCAGGGAGTCAAACCTTGAAAACATCATCACCTCACATTTAAAGTTGAGAAAAAATTATTCATTGAGAATTTGGCGAAGGATTAATCCAAAGCAGCATGGACCTCGTTCTCAGAGCCCCTCCCATGGAGCTCTTTTCATGAAAGTGTGCTTCCTGCTTAAAGTGCAGACACATGGAAAGCAAACTCAAAGGCAGCTGGGAAACCCACCGTTGCTAACTCTGTGAGGATATTGGTAAAGGACGCTGTCCCTGGCCCTATACAGTGACAGGGCTGTGGGTCTCAAGTATCAGCAGCATAAAGTGCAGTATGCAGTCGTTACAGTTTGTTTATATCAAGGACACTGTAATTCATGTCACAGGATCCTGTTTTCCTTTTCTGGTGGGTTGCTTGGAGTCCCAGAAACACTTTAAGATCCTTTTGTGTGTGGGATCTTAGAAAGCATATTTCATGCCTCATCTTACTATTTCTACTCTCTTAGCCCCACTGACTCTTTTTTAACCCATATCAATTTTCATAAGCCCCCTCCAATAATTATTTAAATGAAGAGGGGCATGAATATTTGAAATTAAATAGGTAACTTAATTAACTCTAGCAGCCACCAAAAGATACTTTATTCAGTTGTTTTAAAATGAATTAACACCTTGGAAAATATTGTTATTATATTTATTTATATTTAATATTTATTTTTATTTATTTTATTTAGTGCTTATACTTAATGTCTATATTTAATGTTCAGGAAAAAAAAAAGCCCAGGATGGACTTCTCTTTCCAGAAATATCCCCACTAGCTTTTGATGCAGAGCAAAAACTAGGAGTGGCTCCAGGTGCCTCCGAGAGCAGACTGTGGACCCAGGAAGCAGAACCAGGCTCTGGTCAAGGGCTTTCCTGAGCCCAAAGCACGGTCATCTGGCAAAGTGTTCTCACCCCTAGACCCAAAAGTTTCATCTCATTATAACATCAAGCTCTTTAAAGTTCAGGATCTTGTCATCTAAGTCAGGCACAGAGACCTAAAAACTGAAAAAAGAAATTATTTGCCCCTCATTCCTAATTCAGAATACAATCATGAGACAGAGATAGAAGAATAACTAAATAGACACTTCCACCCAGAAGGAGATGAAAGGGAGGTACATTACAACTACTGAAATCTACCTGGGCTCCAGCAGAACCCCCTGCTCTGGGATAAGAGAATGTCCCTGATTAGAAACTGGTTCTATTCCCTAGAACTGACTCCATAATTCATTGTCCTCAAAAGCTTTGGGATCCACTATTTGATATCTTAATTTTTCTATAAGAAATGGCCATGTTTGCAGTCAAGTAACAAGTTTCATGATCTCAGTCCCTGCCACAGCAGTGAGGTCGCTTAGATCTGCTGAGACAAATGAAACAACAGATACAATACAAATTATCACTTTTTTCTTTTTTCTTTTCTTTCTCTTTCTCTCTTTCTTTCTTTCTTTTTTTTTTTTTTTTTTTTTTTTGATGAGGGCTCACTCTTTTGCCAAGGCTGGAGTGCAGTGGCACTATCTCAGTTCAGGGCAGCCTTCCCCTCCCAGGTTCAAATGATTCTCATGCCTCCCCCTCCTGAGTAGCTGGGATTACAGGCGTCTGCCACCAAGCCTGTGTATTTTTTGTATTTTTAGTAGAGACAGGTTGGCCATTTTGGCCAGGCTGGTCTCAAACTCCTAACCTCAGGTGATCTGACCACCTCAGCCTCCCAGAGTGCTGGAATTACAGGTGTGAGCCACCGCTTCCAGCCACAAATAATATATTTTTAAATATAATGCTGAGCTGGCACAGAAGTTAGAAATCCACAGAATGATTTGCAAATATCAGGGGTCAATCCAGGTTCTGTGAGACTGTAAATGCACAAAATGTGCCTTGTTAACAAAAATACCAAATTTTAAAAAGCAAAATTAGGCTCAGCAGATTAGAAAGAGCTCATGTAAATGAAGCATTCTGAAAAACTCATGTTTCATTAGCTTCACAGTACATCCGCTTGTGGAAAGCAATAAACCTTGAAATGAAGTATATCAAGTGTATCAGTTGAGATGACCATAGATATTGATAAGCTTTAGGCATTCTTAAACACGCATACTGAAATAGCTAAGATAATCGCTAATAGAATAGACAATTATATTTGTAAAACACGTAGAGGGATAATAGTGGAATCTGATTTTAAAGCACTCCATCCAAAATAAGGCACAAAAGGAAAGGACAAAAAAATTGCTGTGAACTAGTAATAAAGAGATGTTATGAACAATGTCATAGCAACAGATGATGAGAAAGATACATATCTAAAAAAACCTTACTAAAATTATTTCAGGAAGATGTAGGAGGCCTCATTAGTTGTTAAAATTCTTTCGCAAAGGAAACCCCAGACCCAAGTGGCCTTACAGTTGATTTCTATCAAACATCAAAGATCAAATAGTTTTATCTTACACACACTCTTCCAAAGAATAGAAAAAGCGAAAGCACATCCTAACTCATTGTATGAGGCTATCACATGTCTGATACTAAGAACAGATGAGTAACTGCAAGAAAGTAAAGCTACAGATTAAGTTTCTTTATAAATAAAGGTGAAGACATCTAAACAAAACTGCCATAAAGAACACACAAAGGAAAATGTATAATCATACATCGTAATCACTTTGAGATTATCCCAGGAATACAAAGTTGTTTAATTTTGAAAATTAATTAGTGTAACACATCACATCAACAGATCGAAGGCACAAAGTCCATGCTCAGGTTTACAGATGCAGAGATCTGTTTGACAAAATTCAACATCCACTCATGACTTAAAACAAAACAAAACTTGTAACAAAACAAGAATGGGAGGAACTTCCTTAACTTAATAAAGAGCACCTAACAAAACCTACAGCAAATCACATGTAAAGATGTTTAAGACATTCCCTTTAAGATCATAAAATGGCAAGAATGACTGCTTTTCTCTTTCCTGCTCAGTAATGTATTAAAGGGCTTAACCAGTGCAGTAAGAAGAAAACAGAAATAAAGAGAGATTGGAAAGCAATAAACAAAGCGTCATTATTTGTAGATGTTAAGATTTTCTATATAGAAAACCCCAAAGAACCCACAGATAATTTTTTAGAACTAATAGACAAATTTACTAGTTGATTTTTTTTTAATTCAAAACACGAAAGTCACATTGCATTTCTGAACATCAGCAACTTGAATTTACAAAATATGATTTTTTAAGGTTTGATACTGTGTTGAAAATGACACAGAAAAGCAACAGATGATGAAGACATTATTCAGGATGACAGTCACTTGCAGGGAGTAGGTGCAGTATAATTGAGGAAGGGGACATTATGGGTTTCTAGTACATTTGAAAAGGTCTGTTTCTTAAGCCAGGTGGTGGCTTTATGATGTCTATTGGATTTTTCTTGTTTCAGCTGTACATATACTCTTTTTGGGCTCTTTTTATATTATATTACTTTGCAATTCTTATTATTAAAAACAGTTTAAATTCTTTTTATGTATGATATTGTTTGAAATTATTTTATGCTATTTTTAAAAAGCAGAGCACCATATCTCTGGTATTATTACCATAATGTTAAAATATGTATATACAGTGGGAAGTGGCAGGGGGGTATAAATGACAAATTAAGAAGCTGGAAGGATTTAAGTTGGAGGATGATATAAAAAATCCTTAGGGCTTAAATTCCACGTTAAAGAATTTTTACTCTGTTCTAAAGCAATAACTATATACTCCATCAGGAAACAGTATGTGTTCACATAATCAAGGGATTGGGTGTATGGCACCTGTGTTTTAGGAAGGTAATTGGCATAATGCTGGGATGACTATTTTAGAATTTTAGAAATGGCTTTCTCTGCAGCTTGGCTTTCTCTGGTGATTTTCCGTAGCTAAAGACTCCTCTCCTTGGCTTCCCCAAACTTTTCAAGTGTAAAGTGTCAGGGCCCCTCTGTTGTGAGATGTCCTGTCACATGGACTCAGCCAGAGCTCCCCCGTGTTCTATGGAAAAGGCTAACGAGATGAAGTGGACCTAAAAGGGCAACACTTGTTTTATAGCCTACAGCACTCAGGGACCGAGCCTGTGCCAACACCATCCCCAACATAGATGAGCTCTGACCTTTAGGGTGCTTGCAGCCACGTGGCTGTAGCTCGTCCCTCTGTCCCTGCCCCTGCCCTGAGTCTGGCCTTTTTGGCAGCTCCTTCTTTTCTCTGCCCTGCACTTGCTCTTTGAATGGTCCCCTGGTTTTGTCCCCTGGCATTGTGTCTCAGACACAGTTCTCACTCCCCCTCCATCCTGATCCTGTCTGGCCATCCTTCTTTCTGGAAGAAACTCAAACCCCTGGTCCCCAGACTGGGGCCACTGTTGTAACCACCATTCCCTGACCAGGCCTGCTCAAGCCTATCCATGGTCTCAGCTCCCCCATCATTAAGATAAAGGCTTTGATTCTGATTAGTATTTGCTTAGCTCCTTAGATTAGAGTGGAAATAAGTATTCTCAGGGTTTGGCCTTGATCTGGAAAAACTGTGGGTTGTAACCATTAATGGATTGTGAAATCATTTTTGTGGGTCATAACCAGGGTTATTTTAAAGAAATAGAATAGAATAGCAAAGATCAAATGGTCTCCCACATCGTAAAGGTAATGTATTAGCCCGTTTTGTTTCTGCTGACAAAGACATACCTGAGACTGGGAAGAAAAAGGGGTTTAATTGGACTTACAGTTCCACATGGCCAGGGAAGCCTCAGAATCATGGTGGGAGGTGAAAGGCAATTCTTACACGGCAGCAGCAAGAAAAAATGATGAGGAAGCAAACGCGGAAACCCCTGATGAAGCCATCAGATCTCGTGACTTATTCACTCTCACAGGAATAGCACAGGAAAGACCAGCCCCATGATTCAATTACCTCCCCCCGGGTCCCTCCCACAACACATGGGAATTCTGGGATATACAATTCAACTTGAGATTTGGGTGGGGGCACCAGCCAAACCATATCAGGTAAGTACTGTTTTGTTCTGTTTTTTTTTTTTTTTAACTCACATCTCATTATTATTATTATTGTTATCATTATTATTATTGTTTTTGAGACAGGGTCTCCCTCGGTTGCCCAGGCTTTAGTCCAGTGGCATGATCTTGACTCACTGCAACCTCTGTCTCCCAGGTTCAGGCGATTGTCCTGCCTCAGCCTCCCAAGTAGCTGGGATTACAGGCACGCACCACCACACCTGGCTAATTTTTACATGTTTATTAGAGAGGGTTTCACCATGTTGACCAGGCTGGTCTCAAACTTCTGACCTCAGGTGATCCACCTGCCTCGATCTCCGAAAGTGCCGGGATTACAGTCATGAGCCACCACACCCGGCCTTTGTTAGTTATCTTTATGTACTGAGTGTTGAGATTGTTATGGGCTGGGTTGTACTCCCCTCCAAATTCATAGTGGAAGCCCTGCCGCCCAGAACCTCAGAATGGGACCGTATTTGGAGGCAAGGTCTTTAAAGAGGTGATGAAGTTAAAATGAGGTCCTTGGAGTGGATGCTAATCAATATGACTGGTGTCCTTATAAGAAGAGGAGACTGGGACACAGACATGGACACACAGAGGAAAGACCATGTGAGGAAGTGAGAAGATGGGATCTACAAGCCAAGCAGAGAGGCTTTGGGAAAAAACCAACTCTGCTGGCACCTTGATCTTGGACTTCTCATTTCCAGAACTGGGATAATTAATTTTTTGTTGTTTTCAGCAACCAAGTCTGTGGCAGTTTGTTATGACAGCCCTAGCTGACTAATACAGACATACAATATAATTCTTATGGGGTGAATTCAGTCAAAAACATTAGCTATTCACTGGCTGGCCTTTCAAATTTTAGACCTCATTAATGGTTGAAAAGAGCAAAGTCCTATTCTGCAGTTTGTAAGGGAAGCTCTCTTGGGGATATTTGGAACTTAGCAACATTTCCTATGATGCAGTGCTCTCATGCAGTGGGTGCCCAAGCAAAATCAAGCTTCAAAGATCTAGAGCTACAGTTCTCATCATGAAGACAGAAAAACACAAGCATGTGGGAACCAGCTACAGGATCCACGGACCAAACAGCACATTGTAGCAAAGGGTTAAAAAAGAACTGGACATGTGAAATGTCCAGGGCCAGGCCCTGGGTCTCCCTAACACTGGATCCCTTGTGCGATGAGATAACATGAGTGAGGTAGTGGATGTTTCTGGATCCTGCTCCACCTCTTTCCATCAATCCACACTGAGCACCATCCCAACATAAATGAGGGCGAGCCCGGCTGCATTAGAGCAGGCCCTGCTCTTGGCTGGGGCGACGGCACGCTCACCACACAGTATTCCAAAGGTGAGTCCATAAACTCTGTCCCCAGAGTGCCATTTGATGATGACCTCACCTTGGAAGGTCTATTTTGAGTATCCAAGAGTCTCCCTTGCACAGTCGTTGTATAACCTCCTGCGCTTGCTGCTAAAGAGTTTTCTGTCTCCAAAAATAATCTCCAAATGATGGTTAACACGACCCTGGCATAATTCATCCTGTACAAATAAGTGAAAGGGAGCTAATGCCCAACTCCTGGCACAGCCACAGAGCGGGCGTTGGAAGTGGAGGTGGCCATGACTTCAATCCTTGGCAGAGGGTGCAGATTGGATGGGGAGCCAGGCGAGAGGCAAGAACACCATGCCCAAGGCGCCTGGCATGGGCATTTCCTTCTGGACGGGGCCAGGGAACAGTTTGAGGCTCCTCCACTATTCCACATAGAGCTTTGAGTGTCTGTCACCTGAACTGGCCACACTACCATCCCTGAATGTCACCACGACTTTACTTTTTAAAGAGCTTCTTAATGGGTAGCTGAGCACCAGGTTGCAGTCACCACATTGTATTCCCTGACCCTTAATTCTGAGAATAGCATCTCTCATGTCCAACTTAGTCCTATCATTGACCACAGAGAGATACCAAGTATCATTAGTCAAGGTTCTACCCTAGATACAGTTTTATTGGAGGATGATTTTTAGGAGTAGAACTGCATTACCTTGTGCAAAGAGAGGGATGTTGTGGGCCCCTGGCTTTCTTCACATGTTCCTTCTCCTACTCATTCAGGGTCTGGTTTATCCGAAACATTTGAACCTGCAAAGAGCTGGAGGATGGACAAGGTTACTGAACATCTTCAGTGTCTCATAAATCTTTGCAACAGTCCTGGAAGTGATCGTTAGTATACTCACTTTGCAGACGAGGAGACTGAGTCCTGGAGGTCAAATAACTTGTTCTACGTCACCACACCGTAAAGGGGACAAATCTTCACAGTTTACTTGTTGGCCATGGTCTATATGACCTTGGCATTCTCCCTCATGCTGAAGCTGGAAAAGAGAATCAGTTCAGAGGGAGATAGGAATGATGGGGGCTAGCCCAATGATGACCGAAGGTGCCAAGAAAGCTTCCAGGGCAGCCCAAAGTCAGGCCCTGGAGATGGTTCAGAGCCAACCCCAGGTTCATAAACCTCTGAACTGCAGCACATTCTGACTTTAAAGGATTGATCCTTCCTTAGACTTTGGAGACGTTGGCCCATGAGGGAGGCAGAGCCATGTGCTGGAAAGCTCAGGGTCTGGGGTCGGGTCCAGCCTCATGATTTACTAGCTGGGAGACTCTGGGCATGTTGCTGGACCCCTCTGTGCATGGGAGGATCCATCTCCTCATGCAGAAAATGAACACGGTGTTCTCTATCTGTTACCGTTGTTGAGAGACCCTGCCTTGTGCTGGGCCACTCTTCTTCCTCATGCCACCCGTGTAGACAGTGGCATGCTCACACTGAGCTGCTCACTCACCACTCACTGCACTTGGAGGTGCTGAAGCCAAGTGGAAAATGTGGGCTTTCCCCACAGAGCTTTCCTTGTTTGAGTGAACTGAATCTTTATTTTCTTTTACAAGCAAAGAGCTTTTCATTAATTTGTGCCAGACCATTTAATATATTCTACAGTGTTCTTGTTTCACTTAATTTTCTGGATTTCCAAGAAAGCTTTAGGATTTGGTTTGGTGAGAGGCCTTGAAGGGACTCAAAGAAATAAGAAAAATTAGAAACAATGTATTCACAACAAGACTTCAGTTTAAGGATTTCACCAAGGAATAAGTACAATGAGATGTATGTGGGGATTTTCCTCAGAAGTCACGATCTTGGTTTTTTCTAGACAATATAAGATTGATAAGAGCTGAAGCCAGAAATTCAACCATAAAAAAAATTTTTCTGTTTGTTATATTATAAATCATCAATCAGCAGTTAAAGCCCTGGATAGCAGGGAAAGAGATGCTTTTGAAGAAACTTTCACTGTAACCCACTTAAAAGTCACCTGGGAATGCTGCAACCTGGTGGGAAGGGTGTTTGCACTGAGAGCCAAGTTCATGTTTCTGGATTAGGTGAGAGTATTGATGCACTGGCAGCTCTGGTGATTTGTCTGAGGTTCAGAGATAGTGAGAGGATCTAGCAGACCCAGCAGATTCCAAAAACCTTCATGGCAGAGAGGGAGGGAGAAAGATCAGAAGAAACCAATGGGATCCTGCTGGGGTCGGGGGAGGGGGAGAGGGGACTTAGCTTTCCTATGGTAGGCATCTCCCAGGGCTGCCATCTCCCAGGGCTGCTTCCAAGATTACAGTGACAGAGCACAGCACAGAGAAGAGCTTTCCTGCACCAGGCTCAGTGGGGGCAGGGCAGTGGGATCTGAGACCAGACCCTGCAGATGTGTGGCCTCCAGCAAGCTTCTGTCCTCTCTGAGCATTGGTTTCCTCAGCCACAAAATGGGACTAAGAATAGACCCTGTCTTAGAGGAGCTGTGTTAAGATCTGACACTTGCTGGGTGACCCATCAGAGATAAAAATCCACACATGTGATTAGTAATATGATGCCCACTGAGAATGTTAGCATGCAACACAAATAAATATTATTGTTATCATTTGCATGAAGTAGGTGTATATGCTGGAGCAGCTGTACTTAAGTCCAGAAATAAGAAGATATTTGATCTGAGGACTCAGGAGAGAGCATGGCTGCTGCATAGATGGTGCCTTCCATCGCTTGACATAGGGAAGCCCAGCCAAAGCCTGTGTCTTGGGCAGCCGGGGAGCTCTCAGGATGGCTTGAAATCTCCCACATGGCCTGGGCCTGTTCTCCTTCCCCTCCAGGTAGGGTTATCAGATAAATTAAAGAAATACATAATTAAATTAGAATTTCAGAGATGTAACAAATACTTTTTTAACATAAGTATAGCTTAGGCAATATTTGGGATATACTTATACTAAACATTTATTTGTCATTTATCCAAAATTCAAATGCAATGAACATTCTATCTTTTTATTTGCTAAATGTGGAAACCCTTCCTCCAGTTGGCCACTTGCCACTTAACTGACTTGTTATGATATTTTTGTTATAATTTTTTTCTGATTATGAAAATAATGCACTCTTATTACAGAAAATCTTTAAAAATACTAATAAATAAGAAAGAAATAATAACTCATATGTAATACCATTAACTGATAATTGAAAGGCTGCAGTATTTGAAAATACTTAAAAATTATGGCCTAATTCTTGAATTTTACATGATTGAGATGCTACTTTATGTGTAGGCTTATATGTTTCTTTGGTTTAGCATTATACCATGATCTCCCTGTCATTAAATTTTTTTCTCCGCTGGATTCTGTCATCTGGCACAGCAGCTTTCTCTTTTTACTGAAAAAGTTGGTGGTTTTCAATATGTGTATCTCTGTGCATAAAACTCTGTCCACACCTCTTCAGTTGATCTCTCAAGTGGCTTTTAAAATTATTCCTATATATATATAATGAATAATCTGAAAGTGATGACATTTAATATCTCATGGTGACTTTTTTCTACAGCTCTCCTGGGTGCAGTCAAAGCTTCACTCCCTACACCCTACTGAACTATCAGCTGACTGATTCCCACTTGTCCATGCCCCAGGACCCCACAGAAGCTCCACATGCTTCCACAAGCTGATGCACCAGTTCCAAGAGGAGGAAGAAAAGCTGGCACTCAGCCTTTATTTCTCCCCAAACACCACAGTCATTCAATTCTGAAAAAAAAAAAAAAAAAAAAACCCATTGCTTTGAAAAACATAAAATGAGATCTATCAAACAGCATCTTGTATTTTAAAGTGGAAAGAATGGACTTTGGAATCATCTTTGGCAGCTAATAGGCTGGGACACGCAGAGAAAGAGCTTGCCTGCCTCTGCAGACATTCCTTGGACGAGTGGTTCTAAATCCCAGCTACACACTCAAATAGCTGCAGGAGGTTTAAAAACTGTCAAATCTCCCAGCCCCTGCCCAGCCCAGTCAATATTTATCTCAGGAGGAGGAGCCCTAAAACCAGTGTCTTTTCACAGAGCTCCCTACATGACTTTGATGTGTGGCCAGGTGATATCTCCTGAGTTCGGAGACACTGATGCTATCACTCACACCTAGTCAAATGAGAGGAGTCGGGGATGACAGAAGAATGCAGGCAACTTACCTACCTGAAGCTGGGGCCTCAAGGTCACCATGCCCTTGAGTGAGCCCTGTATGGGTCTACCTTGTGTCTGATGGTTCTCAGCAGGCACAGCTTCTCTTCAGGGCTTCTGCCGACATCTTCCCTGCATGTGGAAAATGGCCTGGGGTCCCCTTAGACTCAGCTCATGTCCTCCCCTTTGCTCAGGTTCCCTCTGAGTCCCGGTACCCGCCCATGCTGCAGACCTCCTCATGACTCCTTCCTCCCTGAGGCCTGGCCATCTGCACACCCCCATCCTATCCTGTCAGCTTGTTTTTTGTCTCTTTGGTGACCAGACATGAACCCCTCAAGGCTGTTCCCTCCACATCCCCAGCGCTCAGTTTCAGGCCAGCCCAGGGCAGGATGCACCTCGTGCAGACCAAGGGAAAGAGCCAGCAGCTGCTTCACATGAGCCTGTCCTCTGCACCTGAAGAGAATCTTTGGAAGGCCAGCGCCCCCACTTGTCCTGAAGGTGGAGGGGCTGTTCCCTCTAGCCCACACCTGTCATTCTAGGACTAACTTTCACTTTTTGGAAGCCAGAGCCACTCCCGACCATTCAGGGCCTTTCAGCATTCGGAAGGGACAGTGACTCCTCCTTAGATACCACATGTAGGACAGGAGGGAAGTTCAAGAGTGGTGTCAAGGGCCAGAGACAGGGAAGCTGGGGGGTCTGAAAGAAGCTTCCAGGAGATGTCTTCACTGCAAAATACCATACACCAAGGGGCTACAGGCTAAAACAAGACATGTATTTCTCACAGTTCTGGAGGTTGGGTGTTGGGGATTAAGGTGCCAGCCAGCATGGTGGGTCCCTGGTGAGGACTCTCTTCCTGGCTCACAGGTAGCCGACTTCTCACTGTGTCCTCACATGTGGGAAAGAAAGCTCTGGTCTCTTCATCCCCTCGTAAGGACTAATCCCATCATGGAGGCACCACCTTCATGACCCCATCTAACCGTAATTACCTTCTAAAGGCACCACCTCCCATAATATCACCCTGGGGCTTGGGGCTTCAACATATGGATTTGGGGGAACACAGACATTCAGTCCATAGCAAGGCACATGGGGAAGTTGGAGCATGAGAGCAGAGGAGACACCCACACATCTCAGGAGAGCAGTCACGTGTTCGGAGGATGTCAAGCCACGCTGAAGGCCCCTAGCCATGCTGGGGAGAGCATGCTCTAGCCATGGAGTTGAAGATGAGGTGGGAGTTGCCCTTGAGACCTTTCATCTAGGACCTCCCAAGTTCCATGAAGAGACAAGAGAAAACAGTAAGGGCACTGTATTCAAGGGAATGAGGGGTGATGAGTCCCTCTTGGGTTCCTCAGTAATGTCTTCCAGGACAGTCCATTGATTACACCTCTGCACCAGTCAGCGGACTTTTAGTGAGCCCTGGTAATGTGCCAGATGCTGTGCTGTGAGTGAGATGTGCACATTTCCTTCCTCGTGGAGCTCACACTCTCATGGGGCAGACACACAATCACACAATCGCACACATGTGCAGTGTGCAGAGCCTCCCTACAGGCTGGCCCGTGCCTTCCAGCTGCATTCACCTGATAGGAGGGCCAGCTGGAGACCAGAGGCTGGAGGCAGCCAGGGAGGAATGTGGGCACTGGTTTTCTGACTCCCTGCCCGCTGCATTCTCTGCAGCAGGCCCAGTTCCCGCCCAGCCCCCATGCTGCACAAGGTTCTGAGAATCACTCCTGCCCCCACTCCATCAGGTCCCACTTAAGGTAGCTCCACTGGCTTAGAGGACCACCCCACCCCAGGGGCTTCACCTAAACCAGTCACACTTTGTAGACAGTCCCCTCATTGAACTCTGATCAAATTACCCAATTTAAATATACCATCTGTTTCCCGCAGGGACTCTGACTGACCCAGTGACCTAGTCTAGGAGGTTAGGGAGTCTTCTGAGAAAAGGATGCTTGAGCTGAACTCTGAAGGATTAAATTCTCACTGCTTTTAATAGTAGGATCCAACATGTGTGTTTAGTCAGTAGTGGGGGTCCTGGTAAGCTTGAGCCTGCAGTGAGGGGTGCTGCAGGGGACACAGGCGAACCCATGAAGCCCCTCACCCCACCTCTTAGCCATGCCTGGCCAGGGAGGGCATCCCTAGACCCAGGCTCAGCTATAAGAAAGAGCAAGAACCAACAAACATTTCTTAAGCACCACTCCGGGGCCAGGCCGTGTGCTGGGCCTGAACGCTTCTCATAGGTGACGTGGAGACCTGGGGGTGGCTGCCATCTGGTGCTCTGGGTTTTGAGGGGTGCTCTCTGAAAGACCAAGCTGAGCAGCAGGAGGCCCAGAAATGGGGGCTCCCATTAGACATTGTGGCCAGTCTCACAGCACAGCCAGAAGGGCCAGCACTGCAGGGAGGGGAGCAGAGGGGAGGATGTGCTCTTTGGCCAGGCGAAAGCCTGGTCCCCAGGACTGAGGTCCTAGAGAATCAGGGATGCAGGAGAATGATGAAGAGAGAGGTCTCAAGGCCAAAGACAATAAGGTGAACTGTCAGAAAGTCTGGGAGAAAGATGATTTGAGGGTGACCCGAGAGGCTTGCTGTCAAATGTCCCAAGATCGGACAGTCGAGCAAGGCAGCATGATGGAAGGAATCTAGCCCTGTCCATCCACATAAGCCCAATTGCAAGTGCACTGTTGGAGTCATGAAAAATGTAATGTCTAGTTCTGGTGTGAGCAGGGCCACTCTCTTCCAAAGATACTCCCATGGGAACAGAAAAAAAGGGTAGAAGCCCGAAGAGCCATAAAAGGCAGCAAGGTCAGGAAGCCACCAGAATGTCAGTGAGATGTTTAATTTTGAAAATCAATTAATGTAATGTGTCATATCAACAGATCGAAGGGAGAAAGTCCATGCTCAGGTTTATAGATGCAAAGATCTGTTTGATAAAATTCAACATCCACTCATGACTTAATAAAGAAACAAAACCTATGGCAAATCACATGTAAAAGTGTTTAAGATATTCCCTTTAATATCAGAAAAGTGGCAAGAATGCCTTCTTTTATCTTTTCAATGCTGTAATGCATTAAAGGGCTTAGGCAGTGCAATAAGAAGAAAAAAGAAATAAAAGAGAGATTGGAAAGCAATAATCAAAGCTGTCATTATTTGAGGCAGATAGATAATTGAAAGTACCTCTGATTGGTTGCAGCAGACAATCAGATGTTTGCATAGAGTAAGTTTGTAACTTCAGCCTCTGGTTGCTTTCCAAAACAATTAGACTGATTGCCGGCCACCACTTCATTTACATGGGGTGAACACCAAGTGGCCAATGGGAAACCTCTAGGGGATATTTGGACCCCGGAAGATACTGTAACCGAGGCCCTTGAGCTGCTGCTCTGGCCCACTCCCACCCTGTGGCATGTACTTTCATTTTCAATAAATTTCTACTTTTGCTGCTTCAGTCTTTCCTTGCTTTGCTGTGTGTTTTGTTCAATTCTTTGTTCAAAACACCAAGAACCTAGACAACTTGCAGTCGATACCCTCTACAGTTAACAAGCTGGGGAATGCTCCTTCCAGGGTCCCAAGGTCCTTGCCTGGCTGAGCTTCTGGTGGCTGCCAGCATTCCTCGGCTTGTGGCCGCATCACTCCATTCTCCATCTCCATGGTCACATCACTTCTTTTCTGTCTGTTTTCAGCCTCCCTCTGCCTCTCTTATAAAGACATTTGTGATGCATTTAGGGCATACCTGGTTACTACAGGATAATCCCCCTTATCAAACTCCTTAACCTAATCACATCTGGAATACATTGTTTTTGCCTAGAAATTCATATTCACAGGTTGCAGGGGTTAGGACCTTCTCAGGCACCAAATGATAAGAAATCATCTTTCTGAGTAACCCACATGGAGTGGCCGCTGGGTCCTAGAGGCGCCGTTGGCCTGACAGCAGAACTCAGGGACTCTTAATGCCCTTGCAAAATGAATGCATTTGCATGTGGGAAGGTCTCTTGGAGTCTGCCTTAGCTCCTCTCACACAAGGTAGCAGACCTGGCCACCTTCCTCACTTGGACAGAGAGCCCTGGGGAGCTCTCAAAAAGTAGCCAGGCCCTAGATCAATTCAGTCAGGACCAGTGGGGGTGGGGTCCCTGCACCAATAGGTTGTTTAACCTTCCCAGGTGATTCTGCTGTTCAGGCAGGGCTGGGAACCATGAACCAGGTGGACATTAATGTCCCTTGCAGGTGAGACATTTGACAAATAAGCAGAAATGGAGCCAGGGTCTCCACTCTGGCTCCACATCAGCATCCCCCAGGGTAGGGACATTGAAAAGACAGGTTTCTGCTCCCTCCCCAAGGCAGGTGATCTAATTGGTCTGGGTGTGACCTGGACATCAGGACCTTCAAATTTTCCCAGTGATTTCCACGTGCACCCAGGTTGAGAACGCTGCGGCCCATAAAAGGGAGCCTTACACTGTCACTGCTATTGCAAAGGACAATTATCAGACCTGGGGAGACCTTCCTGATTCTGAGTTTCCAAACCACAGAACAGCTTGTTCAGGGAGACTGTGGAAGTCATTTCTCTAGAAATCTTGACTGATTCAGGAGGTTTCTAGCTGTCAGAGGATTTAGCTATGGTTCTGCTGTATGAAGGTGGAGGCATGGATTAGGTGATTTTCAAAATACCCTACAACTTCTTGAGTTTATGAAAAGTGATATCATGCCTCCCCTTGATAGATTCCTTCACCATTTAGACAAAGAATATAAAAAGAATTAAAATAACCCAATGAATTCAGGATTGTGGAAAATGTCATTACTGGTAATGAAAATTACAGGAAGTCTTGCTGGCGCTTGCTCCCTCCCCAAAACTAACATGAGAACATGTTTTTTCTTCTGATGCAATAATTAAGTTTGCCCAAGAAAATGTCTCTGTGCGCACCTCAGGGCAGGGGCTAAATGAAGCCTTTAACTAAACGATAAATGTGATCGTCTCCATGGACTGAACCCTGCCAGGGCAGACTGGCTTCCCAAGTGGATTAATTAACTCTTAGCAGCCCTGTGCTGGGAGGCTCTACAGAAGGGATTTGAGATTCCTGAGGCCCAGAAAGATGACTTTATTAAGAAATGGAAGACATTTGGGGTGACTTCTGTAGCTGGTGGCAGCCACAGTTCTAGGATCAGAGCCTAGAAGTCAAGACCTCAAGATGGAAATAACAGTTCAAAGGCAGTCTCATCAGATAGCACTGGGAGGAAGACACAGATTGGTTCAGCACTGAGCACAGACGATGTGTCTACCCTGTGTGTCTCCCTGCTCTCAGGAGGTCGTGCTGTAGTGGAGGACAGATCTCAATGCAGGAGTCTCCCAGCTGGGTGGGGATGGGTGTGCTCAGAGCACTGACCCAGACTGGGGCTGGGATGGGTGGCATCTGGCTGGAGAGCTGAAGACTGGGAGGAAGTAAAACAGGGCTCGGAGCCAGGAAGTGGATGCACAGGCCACAGTAGAAGCAGATCATTTACTCAGTTGCAGAACACGCAATGAAGGTTTAGCCTCACTAGCAATCAATGAAACAAAAAATTAAAAGCCTCTTGCAGAGTCATTTTTCTCCTCTGGAAGAATACTCAAGGGATGAGCGGGGTGTAATGAACTGGTTCTCCCTGTCTTGAGGGTGAAAGTGTGAACCATCATGAACCTTCCAAAAAATAATTTGGCATTCTGTGTCAGGCCCAGATGTATCTTGCAACTAATTATTTTCACTCATGAGAATTTATTCCAAGAAGCAATCCACCTTCCAAAGGCTTTATGCCCTGCACTGCTATTTATAAGAGTTGTCAGCAGAAGCCAAACCCTTCTCCTGCCAGCACATAGAAATAACCTTTATGCCCCCAGCTAGGTGTACATGTATTCCATATA
The DNA here is from genome assembly GCF_000001405.40 of Homo sapiens. Taxonomy (NCBI): domain Eukaryota; kingdom Metazoa; phylum Chordata; class Mammalia; order Primates; family Hominidae; genus Homo; species Homo sapiens. The sequence goes on from NC_000010.11 coordinate 47,231,229, forward strand.
AGGGATATTATTAGGCTATGAATATAAAATGTATGAAGACATAAAAAATGCCAATGATACAAAAATATTAAATGTGACATGCAACATAAAAACTATATTTATTTGGGAACAACTATGTAAAAATAAAAGAGGCTGCACTGAAAAAAAAGAAATTATTCTTTGTTAAAGTTATACTACTAGCAACTATTATTTTCCTCTTTATTTTCTATATTTTCTAAATTGTCTATATGAGTATTATTTTATAATAAAAAGAGTTTGTTTTGTTTAAAGAAAAGGTTAATTCTGTTTTAGTTGCTAAATGGGAGCCATGACTCATTACTGTGGTCCTTATTTTTGTCGCAGCTGGTCAAGTGATTTTTAACAACCAGCCCCAGCCACCACCCCTACACACACAAACACACATGCCTCCTATCAGGAGAACATGCCTGTGGAATGTTGTAGAGTCACTCTGATTGAGGTAGTAGGATGACAGCAGAAAACAGTATTTCATCCCCTTTCTCTCTGGCACACGCTTGCACATGCCAGGCACTTAAAAAGGGTCTGGCTTTCAGTAAAATTGATTATTACCATTATTATTATTTAATCTTTTTTTTTTTATTTTGGAATGGAGTCTCACTCTTGCGCAGCCTGGAGTGCAGTAGTGAGATCTCAGCTCACTGCAACCTTTGCTCCTGGGTTCAAGCAATTCTCCCTCCTCAGCCTCCCAAGTATCTGGGACCACAGATGCATGACACCATGCCGTGCTAAGTTTTTGTATTTTGGGTAGAGATGGGGTTTTACCACAAAGACTGGGGTTTGCCCAGGCTGGTCTTGAACTCCTAAGCTCAAATGTTCCACCTGCCTTGGCCTCCCAAAGTGCTGGGATTACAGGCATGAGCCACCATACCCAGCCTACCATTTACTCTTAAAATGACAGCTTTACTTGCTTAAACTTAAATAATGTTTTCTTCTCTGAAGATTAAGATTACCACATTGTCTTCTAACTTTGAATGATTCTGTTGTGAAAACTGCAAGCCACTATCAGAAACTTTCTTCTTTTGCAATTCAGTTGATTGTTTTTAAACCTAGATGGCCAATGAGTTGGGACTTTTTTACATTTTAATTAAAGTATCTCCATCAGAATATCACTCATATTTTGTTGTGCTATGACCATTTTTCTGGGTCATGAAATTTTGGGTAAATTTAGATCTTTCTTTACACGAGGATAGTTTCTTCTACTATATCTTTATTTTTCAATTCTGTGTTTTCTGCTATTGTCTTCAGAAAAATCAACTATTTGTACTTGAGACAGCATTTGTCTGTCTTTCAAATCTCACTTTCTTCTTTTTTTATTTATTTATTTTATTTTATTATTATTATACTTTAAGTTTTAGGGTACATGTGCACAACGTGAAGATTTGTTACATATGTATACACTTTCTTCTTATCTGTATTAGCTCTTTACTTTTTTCCACTTCATTGTGCTTCATTTTCTCAATTCTGTCCTTTTTCTCACTGCCTATTTACTCAACAGTATCTGGTCTCTTTTTTGATGACTGTCATGTAGCTGTTCTTTCTATACAGTTTTTAATGTTATTGCTACAGATTCATTTTTTAAATCTTCTTAGTTATCTTATCATCTCTTCTTCAAGTTCTCATACCTCTTCTTTGAGCTCTCATTTCAGAGTGATGACATTTCCTCTAATTTTATTGATTTCTTGGCTTTGGGGTCTAATTTCATGTGTTGGATGTCATCATGCTCCAGGTATGTGTTTCTCATCTGCCCTTTGTCTTTACTCTTTTCCTTTTCATGTTCCTCAATACCTTCCATAGATATCATGCTGGCTTCTTGTTGATCACTACTTATCTTGGAAGGGAGTCTTTAACCCTTGCTAAGTGTTAAAGAATAGCAGATAAGTAGGCAGCTTGGTTCTGCCCTGTTGTCTGTGAATGTATTTCCATCTACATTCTTCCCTGAAAATCTGATGTTGCCAAGTCATGAGATCTTCCAAGCTTAGAGTGAAGCCCCTAATACATGGATGTATGCAGAAAATTGGTTTATTTCTATATCTCTATGCACATCTTTAGGAGTTCATGTTTCCTTTCCTTCTAGTTACCACGATCAGAATGGTAAGTCTGCTGGTTTGCCTTCCCTGTTTTGGCCCCCATGCTGGTATCCACATTTTTGCAAAGATGCATGTCCACATGCTTCCCCATGTTCTATCATTTTGCCCTGCTTCCCTACCCTCTACATGCTGTGCTGCATAAAGAACCCTCCCGTGTCCCCCAGTGTCATTCTAAAGGGGGAGTCTGGCCTTAGACCCCTCAGTTTGTGCAGCTTGCCTTTGGAAGGCCATGCATGCTTCCTCACCAATTGTGGCTCAAATGTACCTGTTTTCTAGTTTCCTCATATGTGATTTTTACTTTTCTACTCCTTTTATTTTATTTTTTCACTCTGCAGAGTTTCACTGGGGCAGCATGATGGAGCCAGGCCACCAATTCCCCTCAGTTGTTAAAGACTTGCTTTGTCCCTTGCCCAGGAGCTAGCAGCCCCATGGACAGCTTTTGTCAGGTCAGCCAGACACACATTTTGGTCTCACTTCATCACTTGCAGGCTAAACATTTGGCAATTTATTTACTGCCTTCTGACTTATCAGCCTCTCCAAGAGATCTAAAGCACTTGTCTATGCCAGTGGCTCTCAGTCTTCAGCATGAATCAGAATCACTTGGAGGACTTGTCAGAACATAGAATGCCAGGGTCCACCTAGAGTTTCTGATTCAGTAGGTCTGATCTAGGGGCTGAAAATCTGTGTTATTGACAAGTTCTCAGGAGATGCTGAGAGCTTTCTAAATGCTGCTGATTTGCACAGCATGCTGCTTTATACAGACTACAGAACCAGGCACACACCTTTCTGCAGGCAACTCTGCATCCCTCCATCTGCGGAAGAATCCAGGGCAAGCACAGGGAAGGACTTCATGCTTTCTGAAGCTAAAGTTAGTAGGAGAGACTATCCAAGTTTCTTAACTTCAGGTGGAGAAAGGTACAACTTACTGCCAGGTACAATGCAGTGGCTAACTCTACAGCTTTTGTCATCAGGGCATAGAGAGAGGCACTAGGATAATAGAAGCTGGAAGGAATGGTAGAGGCCTAAGGGGAAGTGTGGTGGAGGGTGGGGGAATAGAAAAGAAGAAAGACATTCCTGATGGACCGAGAAGCAGTGTATAGAATATGGCAAAAAAGATCGAGCCATGGGCAGTTCTGTGGATTGAATTGTGTCCCCCTGAAAGATATGTTGAGGTCCTGACCCCTGGTACCTGTGAATGTGACCTTTTTGGAAATAAAGCCTTTGCATATATAGTTAAGTTATAAATTAAAATGAGGTCATGCTGAAGTGAAGTGGGCCCCTAATCCAATATGTTGAATGTTCTTATAAGAGGAGAAGCATACACAGACCCACACACAGAGGAGAAAGCCACGTGAAGACACAGACACACAGAGGGAAGACAGCCTTGTGGTGATGGAGACAGAGACTGGAGTTACACAGCTGCACACCAAGGAAGGCCAAGGATCACTGGGAACCACAAGAAATGAGGAGAGAAAGCATGGCCCTGCTGATGCCTTGATTTTGGACTTCTGTCTTCCTGAACTGCGAGAGCATCCGTTTCTGTCGGTTAGCCGTCAGTCTGTGGTACTTTGTTATGTTTGCCCTAGGCAACAAATAGAGGCAGGGGCTGTTGATTTTCTTCTTTCAAAAGCAGTAGAGTAGAATAGCAATCCCACCTGTTCGCCTTTGAAATGGGTCAGCTGAGCCTGAGAGGGGCCTGAGCACTTTCCTCAAGGTCAATGCTCTCATGCTGCTGGTCCTCTTCACACAATGTCCTGCCTTGGCCTGCTGGGTTCATGTGTGTGAGTGAGGTCCCACATCTGCATCATGTCAAGTTCTTGGTGGACCAGGTCCTGTTCATGGTGATGACAGCAGCGGTCAGTCGGCTCTACTAAAAGGGATGGGACTCCAGCTTTCTTGAAGGAAGCCCATGTTATAAGAATTAGAAAGGAGTCTGCTAGGCCTGATTCTGAGCCCTCACAGAGGGTTCTGTCCCATCTAGACTCTTTTTACTTTATGATGCAGAAGGGTCGGGAACTCTTCCCGTTAGGCATTTAGATTGCAACTCTGCCTTCATAATCTCAAGGTTGTTTACACTTGGACCACCTGATACTTGTATCTTTTCATTAGCCTTTTTTATGCAATAAAGCCCATAATATGATACTGCTCACATCCACCAAGAGGGCTATAATTAAAAAGACAGATAATAGAAAGTGTTGGTGAGCACATGAGAAAATGGAACCCTCATACACTGTTGTGGGAATATGAAATGGTGCAGGCTTTTTGGAAAACAGTCCAGCAGTCCCTCAAAATATTAAACATAGAATTACCCCATGACTCAGCAATGCTATTCCTAGGCATACAGTCAAGAGAAATGACAACATATGTGCACACAAAAATTTGAATATGGATAGACATAATAGCATTATTCAGAACAGCCAAAAAGTGGAAACAAACCAAGTATGCATCAATAGATGAATGGATTAAAAACGTGGTATATCCATACAATAAAATATTCAGCTATAAAAATAATGAGGTACTGATACATATTACAACATGGATGAACCTTGAAAATAGTACACCAAGTGAAGACATCCAGGCACAAAAGGCCTCATATTGCAGAATTCCACTTATAGAAAATGTCCAGAATAAGCAATTCCATAGAGACAAAAATAGATTAGATTGTCAGTGGAGTGGGGAGGGGGCAATGGAGAGTGAATGCTAATGGGTATGGGGTTTCATTCTGAGGTGATAAAAATATTCTGGAATTATATAGGAATGATACTTGTAGAACATTGTAAACATACTATGAACCACTGAATTGCACACTAAAAGAATGAATTTCATGAATGTGTGAATTGTATATATATGACACCAAAAAACTCAAAGAAGCAATCTATGCACTTAAGGATCAAACAAAGAGAAATGACTGTGACTTCATATGGACCTGATGTATTTTCTTTTCCCTGAACTTCTCATCGGAGAATTTTCATGTCTACTCCAAGTTCCTCTATAGGAGAATATTAGGTTAAGATCTACATCTGATGATAATTACCTTGGCAATCCTGTGCCCCAGGGGTTGGAGCAAAGAGAGGCTAGAGACAGTGAAAACAATAGAAAAGAAATGGATACAGGAAATAAAGAACCAAGAACTAGGATGGCTATAATAAAAAAAGACAATTAATAATAAGACTTCCCAGGATTGGGTAGTTGCTTTGACAATAGGATAGCAGGACACATGGAAACAAGGGACCAAGTTGTCTGAGGAGCATTTCAGGATATATTGATGGCAAGCAAACCGCTGCAGGGACCAGGGGGTCTGCCTGGACATGACCCCAGAACCCTCAGGGCACTGGGAGGCCATGCTTAACAGTCTGAAGTAGTGAACCAGATGAGCCCCATTGGCCATTTTGGCTCCACAGTGAGTTTAACAAGGAGAAGTAAAGGTCTCCAGATCACCCCAATATTAGCCCCTCTCTTTCTACCTGTGGAAGCTGGTCTCTAAAGATGGCTCCCTAATGAACCATGTTTCCCAATATTCACATCCTCATTTAATCCACAATAAGCATGACATCAGATAAGAAGTACAACTCTTCTGAAGCCACCATGATGTGAGGAAGCTCAGGCTACCCACACAAAGAGGTCATCTGTAGAGAAAGATTCCCAGCCAGCCAAGTTGGCCAGCCATCTCAGTCTGGGCACTTGGCATGAGAGAGAAAATGCTGTCTTGAGTGTCCAGCCTAGGCGAGATTTCGAATGACTCTAGTCCTAGGTGACATCTGATTGCTGAGTCCCGTAAACCCTCAGGATTGTGAAAGAGCATGATAAATTATTTTGAGTGTCTAAGTTTTGGGGTAGTTTATCACACAGAAATACATGAAACATTAACTCAAGAAGCCATATGAGGCCACCCTCTCTGCAGACACAGGGACCACTTCTCTGGATTGGAGCAAGAGGAGAGTGTCACCTCTGCCCCCGGCCCTCACTGGCTTTAGTAGTTCTGCCAGATGTGGATACCAAGGATACCAACCTCTCCCCACTTTACTCTTGCCCACGGAAGTCAGAGAGGTTCCAAACAGCTCTTCCAGGCACGGAGCCCTGGAGCCTCCTGGGGTTGCCTGCTGCTGACTGCTAGTTTCCCTGGCAGTACCCAGTGATATGGGCAATGACCAGGGCCCTGCCATGTGTTTCCTGGCTGAGTCTCCCTTTCTCCACCCCGGACCTCTGAAATGTCCTGCTGCTGCCCATCCCAGGCATGGTGAGGCTTCCCCGAGGGAACCTGGGAAAGATCTAGAAAGGGCAGGGGCTCAAGGAATCCATGCCAGCAAACCCCCAGGCCATACTGGAGCCCACCTTGTGCGGTGACTCTCCCTGGTGTTGACTTAGGGCTCTGTGTACTTTATATTTTATGACTGGTGGCCCAGGGCAGAAGCTGCAAATAGTGTCTAGGCTGGCAACAGGGGGCAGCACTTCCTGGGCTGCCATCCAGGGGAGGGAAATCATGTGTCAGGGGTTTAATTCTTCTGTATGGTGTCAGTTTTCTCCTCCTCCTCCTCCTCCTCTTATATCAGGGTCGAAACAGAGCTTGATCCTTGGGGTGAAATTCCATTCTTACCCCCATGCCCAGCCCTTTTGTAAGACACACAAGCTCACTCCGTGGATGAAGCACTTTAACCCCATCAGGGGCACCGTGTGGCTTTTCACGGAAGTGACCAGTGTGCTCCCTGAGTTTGAGGGCCAGGGCTCCATAACAGTACCAGGATGTGACAGTGAGACAGGGGTCAGCCATGGACATTGCTGGTGTTTGGGCCCACAGTTTCCAGACTGGCTGGCACATTCAAGGGACTCCAGCCAGTGTTACCGATGGTTGTCACCTGTGTTGAGTGTAATACTAGCCAAGACCACCCCCAGATGGTTCAGAGTTGGAGGAGGTAGGGTAGGGGCTTGGGCAGGAAATGGTAAGTACAGTTTATTAATGAAACCTGTTTTAAAATATCCACTCACTCATTAAATATCACACACACACACACACACACACACACACACACACACTCCTGAATGATTTGAGTACATTTAGGCAAAACAGGATTACTTTTCATGTTTCAACAGCTGAAGATTGGGGCAGTTGTGGTTCCACACATAACTGCAGCCTCCGGGCTTGCCCTGGGCTAGGGATCTGACCAGCAGCTCACCCTTGACCTGTGCTCCCCTTGGACCAGTGGCCTGAAAAGGAGCTGCCCAGTGACAGCCAGCAAGGAGGCCATGGGGCCAGCTGGAATTGGCCTTCTTGTCTGCCCCCAGGCCATTCCCAGAGCCCACTCTGCACCACCCAGGAAGGTTTTGCTTTCTCCAACTCCTTTCCTTGCTCCCCAGTCCTGGCTCCAATTCCACACTAAGGATGGAAAAACGGAGTCACATGGAAGTGAAGCCATTTAACTGGGCATTCAGCAAACAGCAAGAGAGCCAGGTCAGAACCCAGGAGGAGATCTGTTGCCCAGAGGCATGAAGAGGGCTTGGGGATGCTGGCAAAGCCTGGGACAGGGCACATTAATACATGGAGGGTGTCACCTGCGAGGATGGGTGGGCTTGAGCTGGGGCAAATGGCAGAAAACTCGTGTCGTGTGAGCAAAGTCACTTGACTGCTTCAAGCCTGTCTCTTCACCTTTAACACAGGCAGGTAAAGAATATTCTGCTTCTCACTAACCTCTTGCTTACTCGCTGGCAAATCATGTAGATGTGAAAAATGTTTTGCGAAGTGCATTTGGGAAATAGCCTCACCATTATCACTGCTGCCAACAGCAATACCAGATAGAGCCTGAAGAAAACCCTCAACCCTGCCTTCCACACTCTACCTGGCAAGTCCAGCAAGAGACAGATGCCAGGTGCTGCCCTCTTGTCCTTGCCTCTCCTGTGCATGCACAACTAACTCCTCACGTCAAGAGGTGGCATCTAATCTTTGCCCCCTTAAAAATGGGCTGACCTCATTAACTTCCTGGCTAATACAGTGCGATGGAAGTAACATTCTAGGACATCTGAGGCTGAGTTGAAAGAAGCCTTATAGCTTCCACCTGGGCCTCTTGCCAGCTCACCCTTGGGATGTTCTCTGGGCCTCTTGCTTCCACGTTGTGGGAAGCCCAAGCCACACTGAGAGACCACAGATAGGTGTTGACATGCCAGTTGAGTATCCAGCCAAAGGCCAGCATCAGCAGCCATCTGTGTCTTGCCTAGCAGAGCCCTCACATACTGTAGCCCAGGCACCCTATGACTGCAACTGCATGAGGACTCTTAACACAAACCACCCAGCTGAGCCCAGTCAATACAAAACATAACCAGGAGAAATAATCATAAGTTGTTTCTTCAAGCCACTAAGTTTTGGAGTAGAATGTTTAACTGAAACAGCTCTTCACAGACCTGCAGGCACCTGAACCCCCTGGTTCTCCTGCCTGAGACCCTACACTTTGAACAGCTTCATCTTCTTCCTAGTGTGGCCTTCTCTCTCATCCTGTCCCTTGGTATCATCATTCCCTACTTTCTGCTGTTAATAAGCCCAGGGTCACTCTCAATTTAAGGCTTTTCCTACAGGTTCCCTACAGGGACGAAGATGAGACAACAGAGCGACAAACACAGGAAAGTGACTTCAGGTGGGGCTCTGCACATGCCATTCTTAGCCTGAGGTGGTGACTTCCTCTTTAGAGGACACCAGGAGAAGCGCCTGAAGATTTGCAAACCAAACTCTGAGTTCTTTCTGATCTTCACCCCCTAAATCCTTGCCCCAGAGCCATATATTTGGGCAATGTGGGTGAGATCCTGTGAAGCTTTGTCGGGAGGTCACGAGCTTTCTAGCCTCCCATGTCCATCTTCTAGCCAGGGGACCACAGTGCTTGTCCCCTCTGCCACATTGTCTCACCTTTGACCTTCACTGCCCTGTCCCAGGCCAATGGACAAAATGATGCCATTCAGAGGAAGGACTCTGCCAGTGAGCTTTCTGGCTCCAACATCTGTGAAAGAGCCACAGCTCCCAGGGCTTATCAGCCACTTTCAGTGTGAGCATGCCTGTCAAACATCCCAGGCACAGGAGGCGCTAGGCTGAAAGGTAAGCTGCTTGCTTAAGGGAGGTGGGTGGTCTCCAGTAGGACTTTCAGATTAACCTGAGCCCTCACTCTGAAAATACCAAGGGGGAAAGCTTAGGGCACCAATCAAGATAAGAACAAGCCAGGTGTGAGGTCCCCTTTGATTCAGGATCCCCTAGGGCAAGCAGGAGGGAAGGAGAAGGAGGGTAGAATTCTTTCTGGCTCCAGCCAGAGACCAGAGAGGCAGGATTTATTCTCACTCATAGGTGGGAATTGAACAATGAGAACACATGGACACAGGAAGGGGAACATCACACTCTGGGGACTGTTGTGGGGTGGGGGGAGGGGGGAGGGATAGCATTAGGAGATATACCTAATGCTAAATGACGAGTTAATGCATGCAGCACACCAGCATGGCACACGTATACATATGCAACTAACCTGCACATTGTGCACATGTACCCTAAAACTTAAAGTATAATAATAACAAAAAAAAAAAAAGAAAGAAACAGAGGTCTCCTGCAGCCCCTGCATAACATTTCTCAGGAGAATGATTTGGAAGCCCCTGCATTGTCCCATACGCCCTCGAGAAAGCCACAGAAAGGTTTGGCCTTAATGCTGGACCCTCAGCTGGGAAAGCTCAGAGCCTGACTTCTCACAAGATTCTAACTAGCCTCTGCACACGAGGCTCCTTTCTTCTGAGAAACAAAATTGTGGTGCTCCATGGGTCCCCCAGGAAAAGCCACAAAGTGCTTTACTTCTAGCAAAGCACTTTACGGCTTTTCCTGGGGTAAAAGGTCTTGCTAGAAGTCTCTGACACATAGGAAAACTTACATATTGGGGCTTTTGGGGTTTCAAAACATAACATTCCTTTTAGGCATCCATTAGGAGGGACAAGCAGTAGCCCTACTTATGGGTGGCAAGATGTCACCTTCATTCTGGCAAAGCTGATTGAAGAATGCAGCATTAGATGTGCAGCTATACAGACCTGCCAGGTAGACAGATCTCCTCCTCCAACCCCACATGGCCAAGAGTGTTCTCTGCAGGGCAAGTGATCCCGACATGGGACAGAAATCTGAGCACAGCCTGTAATTTGGCTCTGAGCCACATGGGGCTCAGGATTCCTCAGCCACAGTATTCCAGAGAGATCTGGGGCACACAGAGGCTTCAGAGGTTAATGGGGGATTCCTTTTCCATAGAGACATGGAGTCGGGGGAAGGAAGACCTCCCCACCAGCAAGCAAAGAACAAGCCAAGGAAAGCCAGAAGGTTTCAGGGAACTCAGCTTGCTAGGTTTTCAATGTCTTCTCATACCCTCAGGAGTGACAAGATGCGGGAGTGGAAGGACCGTGACCCTGGGGACCCCAAATGGAGCAAATGGCTTCCTAAAGCCCCAGCTTTTGCATCTGTAATGAGCAGTGACAGCTCCCACCTCATGAGAATGCCGTGGGGTTAATGAAGCTGGGTGACCAGCTATTCCAGTTTGAGTGTCCCAGAAAACTCCTCCATTGTTGACAAACTGAGAAGCTGACTCTCCCACTGGAGGCACCAGGTACAAGGTAGGTGCTCAGGAATTATTTCCCTCCCTCTTGACTCACACTTCTCTTCTGAGAGTGAAAGTTGGAGTATTCTTCAAGCAAGAAGCTGAGACAGCCCTTCACGTACCCTGGGGAGGGGAAGAGAGCAGGGCCTTTGGATTTAGAGGTCCCTCTGGAGCCTGGAATAGACAGACTTGCATTTCAGAGGAAACTTCCCATGGCATCGCCCCAGGATCATCAAAAGGAATCAGCTTCTGGCACTAGCTGTGTCTCTGAGAAAATGTCTGGATTCCTTTGGAAGGTGCCAGGGAGCAGTGAGGGATCATGGGCGTGGGACTCTAACTGCATCGCCATCTCAGCTGCTGGCCCCACATGCTCCAAGCCCACCTTTCTGCCACTTGCAGCCAAGTGCAGCACCAGAACCCACACCCACCCTCTGTGTGGCCACAGCCCCGGGTGTCCATGAAGCCAGAATGTCTTTGGAAAATGGGAACCTTTGGGAAGTACACAGTCATTGTCTAGAAGTCCAGTGGCTGTTCTGACAGGCATCTCCCCATTAGATAAATTCCCCCATTGAGCGACTGACTTTTGGTGGAGTTAACCACCTGTGTTCCATGAAAGGAGAGTAAGCCTGTCCCTTTCCAGAAATGCAGAAACCTAAGGAGTTGAGATCTCGGCTTCCATGGAGGAAATGCCTCAGGGGCAGCTGAGGGAGGGCCATTACCATTTGCAGTTGAGAAGGTCTGGAAGCCCCGCCACACATGCAAAGCCCTGCCATGGAAATCTTGAGTGTCCCTGAACAACCACAACCAGTGGGGGGCTTCTTTGTGTCTGTGAGAATGTTATAACCTATTGAGGCTCTCTTTTGCTGCCAGAAGTTCAGGGTGAACTCCGGGGCTCAATTATAGCATCTATGTTGGTCTTTGCAGTGGATGGATATGTGTCTTATTTACCTAGCCTTGCTTCTCCACTTTTACTTTCTGTTTTCCTTGGTCTGGTTTGTTATTTTTGTGGCATCATAATGGACATGTCTTTGTTAGAAGATGGTGGGGAGTAGAAGAAAGCCATACTTTCTCATCTCTGAAATGCTCAATTATGGTGGGTGTTGCTTGTGCCCAAACAAGCTTGTTGTTCTAAGTCCTGCACTGGAGAAACCCAGTTCTACCAGCATCCAGGGTACTGGGAGCATCAAACCTCAACCCCAGGAGATAATGTGAAAGTTAGTAAATAGCAGTCCAGCCTTTGGGGCTAAAAACATCAGGATTCCAGTGAGATTTGGGGCAAATCAAAATGGTCTATCATCTTCTCTACCTTAGCTTTCCCCACCTGTAAAATGGGTATAATATTACCTCCCGCACCATCAAGGGGCTGAGATGAGCCACATACACTGTGTGGCATGGCACCAGTAATAACCCCCATGACTTCCCCAGCCCCTTGCATATGGGGCTCAGACATTGCACTAAAGGGCTTACCTGTAACTGCTCTGCAGGGTGCTCATATACAGCCCCGGGAGACGCAGGGGGCCAGTAGTGCAGCTGGGAAGTCTGCATCTGAATTTGAACCCAGGCCCTGCCTCCTTTCAAGCCCATGATCTGGATTGCTGAGTCCCACTTCTCCCTGTGGGCCATGTTCTGCTAAGCCTGTGCTGCTTCTCCCACCTGAGGGTGGCCTGGGTTTCCGGTTCCACAGCAAGCAAGTGGGGCCTGCCCTGCCTCTCCCTCTTCAGTCCCACGGAGCCCAACAAGGTGGCAGGTTGGGTTGATTCTCTGATCAGGGCAAAAAGTGGAAGGGAATAGGGAGAGTGGCAAACTTAGCTCAGGCCAAAGCCAGGGACTCTGTGCAGGAGTTGAAAACGTGTGTTTCCTAGACACTCTGCTCCAGCAGCTCAGAGAAAGGAGGCCCTATTGGGCCCCAGAGAAGAAATGTAAAATCAGAAGGGGCCTCCTAGCGTGTCACAGCCAGCCTTCTGCCTCAAGGAAAGCCACAGCCAAGGGCAGGCAAGACACTTAGGCCTCTGTTGACTTACGGGCCCCCGGGGAGTGGGTTGCACCATATTGTGCAAGCCAGTTGCAGCCTCTCATCACTGGTAATGAAGCAAAGTGAAAAAGTGGCCCTTCTTCCTAGCACAGCCATCCTCCTCCCTAGAGTCTCCAGGGAGCCTGGGAGCCTGCTGGCCTTGGCCAGCCAAGCCCCAGTGTGCTCCAGACAGGGCAATGCCTGGCCACCCAGGAGGCTCTCGTATGTGGTGGACACTTCTGGGATGAGGCCCAGCATCTGCTTCATGGCTGATTTATGGCTTCTGATCAGGCTCAATAAAAACCCAGATGGCATCTCACCAGTGTGACACCTGAAGGAGGACCACGCCTCTCAGGACCCTCAGAAAGTTGCTCTGGCATTGGCCACAGGCAGGAACAGACAAGAGCAGAGGGGCTCACTCAGCCTGGAGCCTCACCCAGAGACCCCTGATCAGAAATTTGGAAATCCCTGCCCCACAAACTAACCCTTGCCTTCGACACTTGAATTCCAGTCCAGTTTTCTTCCTCGGCCTCTTATAGCAATAGCTTATGATTCTGCACTGCAGCTCTGTAATGCCTCCAACATGCCTTCATGTCCTCCCCACCGCTCTGTGAAAAATGCGTTAGCATTCCAGATTAACAGAGGAGAAAACCGAAACAGGTCAGCAGGAGTCCAGCCTGCCTTGTGCTTCAGGATAAGGGCAGGTCTGTAGGACCACCACGTGGGGAACACCAGGGGCTTCCGGTCCAGGCAGAAAGGCGGGGCTCCCTCCTGACCCCACCCCATGCATGAAGATGAGGTGGCGAAGTGTCCAGAACAATGCAGATGTGTCATGCAGGAGCCGGCTGACCTGCCTGAAGCTGGGGGGCTGGGCCTGCCCCTCCTACATGTGGGGTGCTGGCTCTTCGGGCGAGCCTCACCTGCCACTCATGTTCTCATCCAAATGAGAATGGTCTGGATTAATGCCTGGCCCAAATGACTCACCGCTTAGACTCAGACCCAGGATAGACATGTTTCTCCATCTCTTTGAATGTTGAGTCCAAACCCTGGCCACCCGACCCACTCACCTCTGGGTGGCCTTAGAACTCCCTGACTGCTGAGCCTATTTTCTTCTGGAAAGTGGAGAACACAGAGGTGCCGTGGGATTCAGTGAGACGGGGGTGTGAAAACACCCCAGGTGTTCTGGGCACAAGCTCACCTGGCAGGTGCCTGTCCCTGTGCCCTCTGGTGGGGTGGCAGGGGGAGGGTGCGGTGGGGGGAGGCTCAGCAGCTGGAGCACAGGATGCGCCAGCCCTGCAGTGTGCCTGGGCTGCTTCTGCCCCAGAGCACTGGCCTCCTCCACTCACAGTCGTGTCCCAGGGTGCCCACCAGCCCCAGCCTCTTAGGGAAAAACACACTGATGAAGCTTCTGAGCACAGTGCAGACCTGCTGAGGCACAGCCAGCCAGCAGCACTGCAGAGCTGGTGCTTTGGCAGGAGGGAGGCCTGGCTGCAGCCTGAACAGTGCAGATGTCATTGGAAACAAATGCCCAGACCACAGTGTCTCTTCCCATTCCCACCAGGCTCCCTGGACATTTTCAAGAATCCCCCAGGACAATGTAAGCCTGATGGGACATAAATGATTCTTGGGGATGGCCCTGAAGCTTGAGCCTCAGCCCCAGGACCCCCACACCCACCCCACCACAGCCTGACCCATTATGCAGGGTCTTCCTCCCATTGCCAGGCTGTGTGACACCCAAGCACATTCCTTAACTGCTCTGTGTCTTAGTCCTCCTCATAAATGGAGATCACAATAGTCCACCCTCATGAGGATGAAGCTGTGTGGATGAAGCAAAGGGATTAGCATGGAGTGTTCAGAACAGCTCCTCCCGCACCAGGCAAACCAGCACCCAACCCTGAGTCACGAGTGACAATGCTGTCTCCCTTGCCATCGGCCTGACTTTCACCCCATCTTCATTGATGAGCACATGCTCTGTGCCAGGCAGTGCCAGGCGAGGGGATAACTGGGCTCAGTCCCTCATAGCTTTGAGAAGACCTGTAGTATAGGCCATGCTGCTGCTGTAGGTGCCTCAAGGTGCAGCCAAGGCACAAGTGAGGGCACATGAGCTGGGAGTCGAAGGCTGAGGCAGCTTCTGCAAGGCTGAATTTGTCTTAAAGCTTCACCACCTAGGATTTTGCCCCCCAAAAAACTGAAGCTGTGCAGTTGCAAAGGCAGGCCTCCCAAATGGTGGCATTTCAGGCTTTGGAAGACAGGCAGGGAGAGGCCCTGGGGTCAAGACTTCCTCCTGGCCCCACTTACACCACACCCTTCAGGGACTCGGACCTATATGGAGTTGACCCTGGGACAGAGCCTCCTAGGTTCTTCCCAAAGTCTCACATCCTGCCTGTGTTTGGGAAGGGAGCTGGGCTGAGGCCCAGAACTCATCCACCCTGACTCCCTTCCCAAGTCCAGTCCCCAAGCCTAGGAGGCCCACAAGGGGATGTCAAAGGTCTCCCACTACCCACTGCCCACAGCTGCCTCTCCATGCACATGCACACACCCATGCACACACTATCCCATGCTTTTCTACCTCAGATGCACTTTCAGGGATATAACATTGAGCAGGCATCCCTGGGAATCCTGCAACCGTGGTGTCAGCCAGAGCATGCCTCAGGCAGACTAGGTGGTAAAGGAGGCTCTAGATCACCCAGCTTCCTCACTCCCTCCCCAGAAGGCAGGAATATGGTCCCCATTGAGGATGCAGCTCTCTGTGTTCTGGCCTAGTCATCACCTTCCTACTCTGAAGACTGACCTGGCCGGTGGGCTTGGTGACAGCTGCATGCCAGGTGCTGAAGCTGCATTGGCCCCAGTGCTGCCAGGCTGCCCCAGCTGGGTTCTCTGGGCAGCAGAGGGTGAGACAGATTTAAGAGTGCAAATGGTGTCTTGGGAGTACCACACAGGAAGGAAAGGCAGGGAGTGGGACGGGGCAGGGAGTGTCCAGGCTGGGATGCAGCTGAGACAAGGTCTCTGCCAGGACCAGAGAGCTCTGCAGCAGGGATTTGCCATTAGGAGAGGCGCTGCTGGACAGGAACAGCTATGCCCTTGTACCACCACTCTGCTCAGTCAGTGCCTGGGGGTGGCCCCAGGAGGAGTGGCGTTGGCTAGGAAGCACCCAGAGGTTAGCCCTCAGCTAACCACACCCCGCATCTGGGCAGCAGCAAGTACTTTCTTACCGGGATCCTAGGCAGTGAGTCTCTGTGCCTGCCATCTGGGTCTTACAGGAAAGGCAAGATGCGGTTACAATGATAGTGCCTAGTACCCAGGGGCTGGTGCACCAGGGTCCTATGGAGATGTGGGACACACCTGTCCTGGAAGGTCAGGGATAGGGCTTAACAGTGGATGAGAGGCACCCAGCAGTGGAGGAGGGTGCCCATGGCCAGGGATCTGCACAGGAAGGGTCAGGAGATGATGGCCAGTCATGGCAACACCCTGGACTATGGCTGCAGGACTGAAGCCCAGACCCTGGCCCTTTCCAGATGCTGCCAGGAGCTTTCTTGTTCTGTCGTTTCTCTTCTGTCTGAAACCATAAGAGCCTGGTGCCATCCCAAGTTCACTTCCTCTCTATCCCCATCATCTCTATTTGGAATGTGGAACCAGAACACACTGGCCCCACAGAGGGCCTCTCATTTCTTGAAACAGCCCAGGCCTTTTCTGCCCAGCCCAGGGGTGCTCATTATGGAGGCAGAGATGGTGACGGGCGAGTTACCAACTAAACCCAAACCACCCTGGTCATGTGCAGCAGGAGGAGTTGTTGTTTTTGGCCTCAGGAGCCAGCTCAAAACCAGGGGTGATTTTGATCATATGCAGCTGTCGCAGGCCCATGTACTCCAGTTCTGCAGGCCCAGTTCAGTGAGCAAAGGGTTCGAGCTTCGGCCTGAGGGGCAGAGGGAGGCAGGGCTGGAAGGACAGGCCTCGCTGGGCCTATGCCGTACCCTGGACGGCACTACCCTTGGCTGCTCTAGGAAGGAGGAACCTGAGGGTGTGCACACAGCCCCTCAGAGAAAATCCTCATCTCCTTCTCCCAGAGTGGTGTTGGGCCCAGGCCCGGCCCCAGACTGAGGGTGGGAACAGTTCAGCCCCGAGATCCACCCGCGTCAGGCACAGCCAGGCTGCTTGGATGCTACTGCTTCTCTCCCCTCTACTCTAATTCGATTCCCTTGGGAGCCCACAAAGTTGGAACAAGAGTTATTTTCAAATAAGAATCTTTTGCTTACCAAGTATAAGCTTCCATTCCATTAGAAAAAAATACAGGGCTCCTTCCATGAAATTTCCATTGGAAACCTGGCCTCTATTTTGAAGCAAAAGCATCTTAAGAAACTGAGTTCCCTGACTCTCTCTCGGCTCTGCCCCATCTCAGCAGGCTGACACTGGTTCCCAGCAGCCCCTCACATGCTGCTGTATGGGCACTACTCCTGGGGGCTTGTCAACACGTGCATTTGGTTTAGGAGCTTGGGGTGCCGAGACCCTGCAGATCTAACAAACTCTCAGCCAGCAAGCCAAGACCTACCAAGCTCTCGGTTAGATCTACCAATCTCTCAGTTAGATCAACAAGCCCTCGGGCAATGCCTATGATGCTGCTTCACTGGCTGCACAGTCACAGGGACCTCCCCAGAACTGCTGTGCAAAGGGTCAACTTCCCAGACCCCCAGAGGCCAATGTCTTCATGGTGCTCCTGGTGGAGCCACCAGCTGCTCCCAGCCCGGCTGCCACACAGAGAGTACGGCAGGTAGCACATGCTGGGAAGGGTCACCCACCTCCAGGCTTCACCAGACCATGGGAGACTCCAGGTTGGCAAAGTGAGCCAGGGAGAGGAGAGAGGAAGAGCAAGGACAGGGCCAGAGAAAACCTAACATCTAAACTACCAGCAGAGAAAAGGTGCCTGCAAAGGAAACGGAGAAGAAGCATGCTGGGAAATGTAGGGAGCACCTGCAAGGGACGTGTCACTGTGGAAACCAAGGAGGAAGTGGTTCACACTCC
This sequence comes from Homo sapiens, assembly GCF_000001405.40. Classification (NCBI taxonomy): domain Eukaryota; kingdom Metazoa; phylum Chordata; class Mammalia; order Primates; family Hominidae; genus Homo; species Homo sapiens. The sequence continues at coordinate 47,248,952 of NC_000010.11, forward strand.
AGTGTTGCAGAGAATCCCTGAGAGCTTAATGCTGGAGGATGCTCCTTGGATTGAGTTCAGCCATAAGGGGCTCAATCATTGGGCTACAGTGGCTCACTGGGAGAATGGGGTAGAAGCCAGTGAGCAAAGGAAGGGGCTGGACATGAGGGAATGGGGCAAATTTGGGCTCCCTCTTTCTTCAAGAAGGAAGAGCAAGGCAGGAACCAGCAACCAAAAAGGGGTAAATAAAGAGGATGACAGGAGCAAAACTGTGCCACCAAAGCCCCAGCAAGTAGTCCTTAAGGGCAAGGGTACAGGGAGCCATCTTGAGGTTGACAGATGGGTTGAAGAGAGAGTGTCTGCTGCTCCCACCATGGCTTTGGGCTGGAGGTGAGGCAATGCTGAGAGTGAAGGAGGAGCGTGAGTTCTGATGGTTCTGATTCCAGACACACACACGTGGTCTGATGTTCTTCAGCAGCACCAAACAGGCCAGGTATCAGTGCTGAGAAAGGGGTGGATGGATTAATTCATGGCTGGGGTTTTGCTGGGGCCTAAACCGAAGGAAAGTAAAGCAGGAGAGACCTGCAGGAGAGTGGCTGCAGTGGTGATCTATAGAGTCTAAGCAAGCGAGGAGCAGATGAAGGCAGTGGGGATCCAAGAGGTGGGGAGAAAGCAGAGAGAGTGATGGTCTTGGAGATTCAAGTTGTGTGTCCCAAGTAACTGATTGAGACGGTTAGAAGGGAGGAAGTTCTGGAGTAAGAAAGAACTTTTTGTTCTGGTTGATGGCATAAGTGGGTAGCAGAGAAGCAAGCACAATCATTAGAAGTGATCAAGCAAGAGATCACTGAAGGGACTTAAGTCCCAGAGGGCACTCCCAAGGGTGGCCACCTAGGATAATGACTATTTAAGAACTGAGCTCAGTGGAGCTCATGACCCTGTTCCTGGGATGTGAACCCATAAAAAAAAATCACATTCTCAGTTCAGCACTCTCCTGTATTGATGAATAGCCAGACATGCGGTGGTGACATCTGAGACTAGTCCTCCACTAATAGGGAGAGACCCAGGGCTGGTCCCCGCAGCCAGATGCAAGGCACTATGGCCCCTGGGAGATGCTCCAGGGTGGCAGCTTTGCCTTCCCAGGGCAGAAGCTGTCTCTGAGGGCTGGCCTTGTCTGCCCCAATGACCCAGCAACGAGGCAGTTGCCACTGGCACACCCAGGGTGAATGTGGGCTGAGACGTCATGCAGGGCTTCAGAGCAAAACAGAAAATGCCACACAGATGAGTGCAGCCCCCATGAAGGGAGGGATTCCTGTACTTTTTTCTGCCAAAGATTCTAATCATTTATGTCTCCTAAATTCACCTTCGGCGGCACCATTAGGTCCTATTCAACTACATGAGTGTTACACACATTATTTTATAACTTCGCAACAATGCTGAACATGAAAAATGTGAACCAGTTTACATGTATCTCTATATGGACACCTTTGTTTATCTAACTAGTAAAAGACATCAGTTTATTTATTTATCCTTTCTCTAAACATGCCCATTCAAGTGGAGCAACTCGATATCCACAAGCAAAGGTTCATTTGTACTCCTACCTCGTGGCGTATTCAAAAATCAACTCAAAATCAGTCAACACCTAAATATAAGAGCTAAAACTATTAAACTCTTAGAAGAAAATATGAGAATATATAACAATCATAGTTTTGGCAAAGGATTCTTAGATATGACACCAAATAAATAGGCAACAAAAGAAAAATTAGATAAATTGGACTTTATCAAAACTTAAAACAGCTGTGCATCAAAGACCATTATCAAGGATATGAAAAGGCAAGCTATGGAATGGGAGCAAATACCTGCAAATAATATATCTGATAGAGGCCTAACATCCATAATTTATAAAGAATTCTTATAACTTAATAATAAAAAAATTAAAAATAGGCAAATTTCTAAATAGACATTCTCCAGGGAAGCTATATAAATGGCCAATAAGCAAATGAAAAGATGATTGACATTGTTAGTCACTGGGGAAACACAACTTAAAACTATGAGACACTGCTTCATACTCACCAGGATGGCTTGAGTTGAAGAGACCAACAACAAGTGTTGGTAAAAAAGTGAAGAAGTTGAAACCCACTTATGCTGCTGGGGGAAATGTAAAATTGTGCAGCCATTTTGGAGAACAGTTCATCAGTACCTCAAAAAGTTAAAAGTAGAGTTACCATATGATATAGCAATTCCACTCCTAGGCATATATCTAAGAGAAATGATAACATCCGTCCACACAAAATCTTGTATATAAATGTTTATAGCAGCATTATTCATGAATAACAACATAAAAATCCATCAAAGGATGAAAGCATGCCCAATTTGGCTAATCCATAAGATGGAATCCTATTCAGCTATAAAAAAGGAAAAATCTTGAAAAGGTTCATGAGTGGACCAAGAAAACTAAGTGCTAAGTGCTATTATGCTAAGTGCTGTAAGATGACAGACACAAAAAGTCACATGTTGTGTTTATTTTTATATGATATATCTAGAATAAGTAGAACCACAGGGATGGGAAGCAGATTAGAGGTTACCAGGGCATGACAGGAAGTGGGATAGGGAATGATTACTTAGTTAATACAGGTGTTTTTGTAGGGTGAGGAAGAAGTTTTGAAACTAGACAGCTGGGGGTAGCACAGTGTTGAGAACACATTAAATATTATCACTGAAATATGCACTTCAAAACAGTTGATTATATGTTATGTGAATTTCATCTTAATTTTTTAAACAGAATTTTTACGTTATGCTTAAAAGGGGAAGCAGGAACTTTTAATTATAGGATCACAGTTATCTCTGACACTCAGGATCCCTCAAATTGGGTGGCTACAAACTAATGCATGGTGTCTATGCCAACTGGAAAATTCCAGATCCCTCACAGGTATTTACTGAATACGATAACTAAATAAAGTGAGTGGTGGGGGGACCCACAGGGGAAAGAATGGGCAATCATAAGAGGCAAATCTCCTCTAGCTTAAGTTTAGTGATTCCTTGGAAGGCATGTAACACCGGAGAGCAAACACTCATGCCCTTTCCTATGAACTTGCGAATGGACCCAGGTGTACCTGAGCTCTCAGAGACTCTGACTGCTGGGTAGAGGGACACTGGGTACTCAGGAATTTGTTATGGCTCCAGCTCAGGGAGGGGTGGTAGGTGGCAGGTGGCCAGTGGTCTTCTGTCACCCCACCTAGGAACATACATATCTGGACACACCCCTGCGCTCTGTGGCATCTGGGACAGGGAAGATGTCACCACTTATGCTTGTTCTGCATAGCTGCTGCTCAGCAGCCTTCATCCTGCTGGCTGAGGCCCATGCCCTCTCTCTAAGGACCTCTTGGCCCAGGTCTGCAGAGATCACTGCACAGTGGACAGGACTCTGCCATTCGGGTTCTCTCCATGCCTTCAGCATGAATGCCTCCAAGGAGGAAAGCATGATCACACAGCGGCCCAGAACAGCCAAGCAGAGGCCGTGGGCAGGGTGGAGAGGGGCTGCATGGGGATGAACAGCAGGAGAGAGGGGGAAAACGGCATCACAGCTTGCACCCCCACCTGGTCAGTTCCCAGCTGAGGGCAGGAGACTCTGGCTGCAAGCAAAGAAGTTCAAGGCAGGCTCTGGTCATTTGTGCAGGGCAAAGAGGTGACTGAAGCCTCAAATCTGTGCCCCAGCAGGCTCTACCCAGCCCAGAGGTGACCCCATTCAGCTCTGATGGGGCCGTAGCCCCAAGGCCAGGGTTTAGAGGAGAGCGCCAAGGACAAGACAGCAAGGGGGCTCAGAGAATGGAAGGGGCTGGGACTGACATCTCATGTTCCCTTAAATTGAGTCCTTGTTGCCTCCTTGCCCGAATAAAACATTAATGTTCCTCATTAATGTTCAGTTCACTAAAGATGAAGCCCGTTAGAATATGCTATGGCTCCAGCTCAGGGAGGGGTGGCAGGTGGCACCCCAAATTCTAAAACCCTCAGCCTTTAGAACCAAAAGTCTCTGTAAGATCTCGTCTTACTCTTCATGTGGGGAAAATGAGGCACAGAAGGAAAAAATGAGCTGACAACAAAAATCAGTTCAAAACTTTGTGTTTTGTCATCCAGGCCACTTCATATTTATAGACACACGTGTCATGGCCTCAAAGCCAGGAGAAACAAAGGATGCTGATCGGAAGGAGTGAGGTCTCAGGATGGTGGATGAGAGAGAAGCAATGTCAGGAGAATGCCTAAACTCCTACAAAAGGACGTGATCCCTATGTGCGTGCCCCCATGCCCCTCCCCACCATGTGTAATGATAGGGCTTGGGGTAGGAACTGGAGCAGTGCATGAAGAGGGACTCAGCACACCAAGTGCAGGCTCTTGGTCTGTGCATTGCCATAGGCATTGGTGCGATGAGATGCTGGACTTACATAGGCCCTGAATCCAACTTCTCATCACCTGGGAAGAGGTGGGCCAGCAGTGTAGGGCCACAGGGAGGCATAAAAAGGGTGACATCAAAGGCTGTGCTGAGCCACTGTCGTCAACCAGCCTCACACTGCTGGTTATCCCAGAGGCTTGGAGCAGGGTTGGAGGGATGAAGCAGGCCTGGACTGCGTCCTTAGGAAGACAGAAGCCATCGTCGATATGGCCGTTCCCTTGTCCCCTCCCTCCTGCTCCTACAGCAAGCATACCAGGGCTGACTCCTCTCCACACCGCAGCATGGAGGTGTGGAACCACCCCACAGACACCCTACACCTCCCAGGTCTGGGCAGAGAGCAGCCAGCTGGCTGCCGAGGTGTTTTTCCATGTGGCTGGGGGCCCGCTGCGGCTGCTCTGGCCGGGTGGTGACTCACAGCTGGCAGGACTCTGGCCTGGCGATATTTTGAGATCCGACTCCATGATGGACTGATGTGACAGCTTTGTTCTCTAGGGCCCTTTTGATTTGTGAATCTCCCTTTGTGGTTTGCTAGGGATGCTCAGACCCTGCTGTTTCTGGGCTCCAGCGACCTCTCGCTCAGCTGGGCAGGCGGGGCCGGCTACAGCGGGGGTGGCAGACAGCGAGTGGGAGCAGCAGGGCTCAGTGAGGACTGAGCCACCACCGGCCTGGGCAGCTAGAGCTGCACTTCCAGGCTGTGTTAGACTGACTGGGTGGTCGTGGAAGAATGATAAGTGCCTGCTCAGAGCCAGCTATGCATGGCCAGATCGCAAACCACAGGGCTGCCCTGCTGGGCTTGGGCCTGGGCCCAGAGCTCTCTAGAGCATCTGGGGAGGCATGGGGGTGGACCCGGAGGCTTCTGGAGACCTGCAAGGCAGCCAGCCCTTGGGAAAGAGCACTTGGGGCCTGGGACAGCCGGGCTAGCCGGAAGACTCAGAGCCAGTCAGCAGGGTCCGTGGGACCTCATTTGTGGCACCTGCATTGAAGGCAGGCAGGGATACAGAGGAGAAAGGGCTTCAGAGCCAAAGACAACTAACTGGGTTCAAATCCCAGCTCTGCTCTGGCCGGGGCTGGGGCCGTGGGCAGCTTATTTGACTTCTAATCCCTCACTGGGAAAATAGAATCATAATACCCATCTCTCCAAGCTTTGAAAGGTTTCATGTGAGCATTAACACACACAGATGTGCTCAGAATTCTATCTGCCCAGAAAATATAGTCCTCTACCCCTCTCTAATACACACACACACACGCACACACACCACATTCCTCCAGCTGTCTGCCTCCTTCTGTGGTCCCTGGGGTAGGAATGACTTGTTCTCAGTTTCTTTCTGGCCAGGTGTCCCTCCATACTCAGTTCCATGGATTCTCTTCCCAAGATTGATGTGTTCTCAGATAAAGGTGAGCCAGTTTCCAGCCACCTGCCTGAGGGCAGCTGAATTCACACAGACACACACACACACAGACATACAGACACACACACACACACACACACACACACACTGCTGACTCCCAACACTAGCTCAGCAAATATTACTTAACAGGGCCTTTTTAGGTTGCTGAAAATTTCATGGTCACAGATGTTCCTTCCAGTTAAACAGTAAGCTGCTACTGGGCAAAGCTTCGTACAAAAGAGGGAAAATGCAGACCTCAAACCGAGTTTTGCTAAATGAAAGAAGGAGGAGATGGGAACTAAGGAGCTTTGCAGATCCAGCAAGATGTGACATGACCCAGGGTTTCAGGGTTTCAGCCCCAAGGCCACCACCACTTAGAGGAGATAGCACTAGAGTGTGTCCTTATGATGCAAGATCTGGGTTGGAAGAGGCCTCATGTGTCACCCTTCCCTAGCATCATGTGATGCAGGACATCCCCAGCAGCAGCTAGAGACACTTGCCTCGGGACCCAACCAGGGACGCAAACGCACTCCCCTTTGGGCAGCTCTCAGTGCTAACAAGTCCTCTGACTGGTGAAAACCTGTAGCAACTGAACCTTATTCCGCTGCCTGGGCCACGTAATACAGATCTGCTTCCTGTTCCTCAAGACAAGATGAGGACCCTTTACAGATTGAATGAGTCTTCTCATTCCCAAAATAAACCACGAACCATCAGCCCACTTTTTCTGGCAGGGAAGAGTCCCAAGGGTCCCACTCTCTTCTGCAGTAAAGGACAATGCATCACTTTACAACAGGATAAGACGGCTCTGGGGAGCCTCTAGGGAGCCCGTGCTGAAAACCCTCCCCTGGGCTACCTCACCTCAGCAGCTGGGGTGCTCTATGTGGTCCTGCCAAGGGCCGGGGACTGGCCTGGTGTCTGGGAGCCTTGTCTTCACTGCCCAATCATGGCGGCTTTGATCCCATGACTCTCAGCTTTTCCATCAGAATTCAGAGGGCAATAATAGCAACTGCTTGCTTGTAAAGTGCTTGGAGCTCAGAGGAGAAAAGGTGTCAGACAAGTGTAAAATGTTACTACTGGCACAGGCCAGAGGATGGAATGGAAAATCCCAGCAGAAATTGGGAACTCAGAGGAAGCCATTTGTCAGCTCCTCTGAACAAATGGATACAGGAAAAGGGGCCTTCCTCTGGCAGCCAGGCACAGCCCAGGTCAGCTGGAGGGGCTGGAGGAGATGCAGGTGAACATGAACTGTCCTGCCTTCTGACATCAACTACTGATTTAGCAGCCATGCCTTCCACCTCAAGACCAGCTGTCCATTGCACACCCTAGGCAGGGCTGCCAGCGGATGAGCCCAGGTACCCAGAGCTCCAAGCAGTCAGCTCAGCCCTCAGAAGCCTCCTGGAGAAGAGGACTGCAGGAACTAACCCACTGTAGCAGCCATCTGGAAGAACCAGCCCAGTTCTCAAACAAGGGTGCACCAGGCAGAAGAGCCAGTCAGCATGTAGCCGTGAAGACTGGGAAGGGCAGAGGGAAGAGGCACGAAGCACCTAGATGACGCGATGAACTAAGGAAAACTTTTAAAGCACTCTAATTGCTGTTCTCAGAAATTCAGGAAACGTATACATTCATTAAAGAATCTTCTGGCAATACATCTTCTTAGACATTATAAGTGTGACCCACCAATTCCTGTCTTCAAAGTGATCATCAGTAAATGAACTGAAAGATAAAGTCAAGGAAATCTGTCAGAACGTAGGGTAAGAAGACAAGGAGAAAGAACTTCAGATTAAAGTGACTCACATATCTTGTTAGGATTAATGAAAAAATAAAACCATCTAACATTTTAAAACATGAAGAATAAAGAGAAAATCAGAAACATGAGACAGAAAACATCATCACCTACTAATAAGTAAGACTGGCATCTCATTAACGAAACTTACTGTGACTACATTGTTGAAATTCCAAAACCTAGAATTTGACAGTCTCACAATCACAGTGGGAGATTTTAGCACCTACTGTAACTTCATCACACCTATGTGGTTCAACTTTTATGAAACCAAGTTGTGAGTTGTTTTCAGGTTACCATGGGCCCCCAGATTGAAGGTGATGTAATCTGAGCGTGCTCAGGCGAACCAAATGGACAGCCACAGGAGGAACCTCAGGGCTGGGACTGAGAAATTGGGACTGAACTGAGAAGCAGACACTGCCTGGCAGGAGCCAGGATCCAATCAGAGGAAGCTCTGGTATCACCCCATGGCAGGATCCAGTAAGATCATGCCTCCTGGCACCACCTCATTGCAAGATCCAATCAGATCACACCTCATTACCCTATGCTTATAAAGCCTGACCCAAACCCCTGCTCGAGGAGACAGGTTTGAGAGTTTTCTCTTGCCTTCTTGCCCATTAAGCAGCTTTATTGCTGTTTTTCTTTTCTCAAAAGCTGGTGCCATGGCATTGGCCTCTATGTGAATTGGACACCAAGCCCATTGATCGCTTGGTAACAATACCATGTTCCTAGATGGGAGGACTTAATATTATTAGGATACCAATTCCCCCCAAATGAACACAAATATTAGATTTTTCTCCTTGACTCTTGACAGTGAAAGCTTGCGTATGAACAATTAAAGACTCCCACTGAGGATTCTGAATCTGAAACTCATACTGCAAAGAATCAGGGGATACTTTAGAATTCACTCTAGTTATGGTGATGGTGATGGTGGAGATGCCAGAGGAGGGGATGGAGGGGAAGTGGCGGGAGGTGCTGGTGTTATGGGGGTGGTGGTGGAGGAGCAGGTGGTGGAGGTGATGGTAGGATGGCAGCACCCAGCACCCAGAGTCTAGTGTAGACAATAGCAGCAGAATCAGAACAGCCTCTTGGCAGCAAGCGTCCAGGGCAATGTCTCCAGTGGCACCATTTGGCTTGTTTTTGGCTCTCTGGCATCCCTCTATCCTGGCCTTTTGTCCAAGGGTTGCTTCTAAACACTACAATCTCTTACTAAGACATCCGTTATCCTTCTAAGTCTCTTTGCTGCCTATGTTTAATAAAGTAAGTTTCTATTGCTTACAACCAAGAACTCTGGGACAATGAGTCTTCCAATCTTGAGTAAAGGAAGTATTTTGTAAGCAAGGCAGGAAACCAGAAATATTGTTTTAAAAGCAGAAGACTGACTAATTTAACCACAAAACTTGAAACAACTCAATAGGAAAAGTGAAAGCGCCAAGTTCTTAAGGGTCACAGCACAGAAGAAAGAGGAAGGCTGGTAAACATAGAATAAGATGCTCATTCTCACAAATCTTCAGATGGAAAAAATGAAATTCCATTTTTCCCTTTAGGTTAGCACAAAAATACATAAATGATACATAATATCCAAGGTGTGACTGGGTGGGAAAATGGGGTCTCTTACAAAGCACTGGACAATGCAAAGAGGTGACATTTTCAGCTGAATTGAAGGGTATCTCCCAGCATTCGAGGTGAGAGTTTTCTCTACTCAAAAATGTTATTTCTCAGTATTTATCTTAATAGAAATACTTGCACAAAAGCATGAAAATATTAATAGCTGACTTATTTATAGCAGCCCCAAAGTGTAGGCAATCTAAATAGTATCAACAGGGGATAATATTTACTTCCAAAATAACCAAAATATGGAACAAAACAAAATATGGAAAACTGAGGAGGAAGTAAAAAGTGTTTAATGGAACTATATTTACTGATCTAAAAGGCTCCTTGGTTTGGTTTATTCTTTTTTTTTTTTTTTTTGAGTTAGGATCTCACTCTGGTGCCCAGGCTGGAGTGCAGTGCCATGATCTCGGCTCACTATAAACTCTGCCTCCTGGGCTCAAGTGATCCTCTCACCTCAGCCTCCCCAGTAGCTGGGACCACAGGCATGTCCACCCAGCCAAGCTAATTTTTGTAGAGATGGGGTCTTGCTATGTTACCCAGGCTGGTCTCAAACTCCTGGGCTCAAGCGATCCTCCCACCTTGGCCTCCCAAAATTCTGGGATTACAGGTATGCACCACCTCGCCCGGCTGGTTTATTCCTTAGTGAAAAGGTGATTGCAAAGCACTCTATATGGTATGATTCAATTTCTCTTTTAAATTTGTTTGAATTGCAAGGAGGTGGGTACGTTCAAGTTAGACTTTATATACCTCTGTAACAAGCAATATTGTAAAACCAGCATGTTTTGCTTTTCCAGTTTCTAAGCAAAACTAAAAGTAAAAAGGAATTGGAGTCCATGGGATACACCTTTCATGGTAAATTAGTAGCAGTGTTTCTCGTTTGTCCTGAATCCTTGTGAACCTGCTGGGGGTCCTAGCTAGTCTTGGTGTAGGCTGGACCTTGGGCTGTGCCCTATGCCTTCCTGCTAGGGGAGTTGAAGAAGGACAGGAGGAGGCATGAAACATGCCTGGTTTCATCCCATGGCTTCAGGAAAATCACTCCAGAGCCTAGATCAAGTTAATAGGAGAAACACTGCAAAGAGTAATATAGCTACCTATATTACGGACAGATGAAAAGGTATTTATTTGACCCAGTAAGTACAATCTACCATGCCTGCGGCACATCCTGAAGGAATATTACTGGGGGCCTGACTGCATGACTGCTCTTTGATTTATGGAGCCAAAGTGAATGAAAGGCAGGGTCAATACAACTGCCTTTCGGCTCCACTTTCCATTCCATTTCATAGAGCAGGTGAAAAGATATGCCTGCCTATAACAGGACTGGGTGAAACTCAGGAACCTCCAATGGAACATTTGCATGTCTGTGTCAGTGGGCATTTCTGTCATCCAAGAGGGGACTTCCATCTGAGGTGGCTTTTGAGGCAGGAGCATAGCTCCGTCAGGAGGAGGCCTGAGCTAAATGCACATTGTCCATGCTGGGAGCTTTCTGGGCAGGGCTCAGGGGGACGGGTTGAGGGGGCTTGTCTAGGAGCTGGATTTCTGAAACGTGATACATGGCTCCTGTTTCCAGTGGATCAGCCTGCCTTTCAGAACCTACAGGAGACTGTACTTCCAAGAAACAAGTGCTTTCCTGAGGGACTAATCTGCCTGCCCCCCACTTGAGTGCTGACACCAAGGCTGAAGGCAAATCCCGGCTGGAAGACGAGGATGTAGTGGGCTTGGGTGTGAGACAGATTTGGTTTCAAACCATAACTTTGGGAAAGTCACTTCCCTGAACCTTGTTTTCTTCCTCTATAAAATGGGCACAATATTATCTTCTTCATGGAGCTGCTCTACAGATTCAGTGAAATAATGGATTTGTTTCCCAGGGCTGTTGTAAGACAGCACCACAAACTGGGTGGCTTAGACAACAGACGTTTATTGTAGCACAATTGTGGGGGCTGGAAGTTTGAGATTAAGGTGCTGGTAAGTTTTGTTCCTCCTGAGGGCTGTGAGAGAGAATATGTTCCAAGATTTTCTCTGAGTTTCTGGTGGTTGATTTCAATGTTTAGTATTCCTAGGCTTGTAGAAGCTTCACCTGGATCTCTGCCTTTATCTTCACATGTTATTTTCCTTCTATGTTTGTCTGTGTCCAAATTTCCCCTTTTTATAAGGACTCCAGTCATATTGGATTATCAGCCTACCTTAATGACCTGTAATGACCCTATTTCCAAATAACGTCCCATTCTGAGGTAGTTAGGGTTAGGACTTCAACATATGAGTGAGGGGAGGCACAGTTTAACCCAGAGCAAGTGGCACATGTAAAGTGACTGGTGTAACATAGCTCCTGAATGAATAGTAGCTCTCTTTGTCCACCAAGTCCCCCCTTGCCAGCATCTAGACGGAAAGAGGCAATGAAGGTGGAAGAGGGAAGCCACATATGTCTCAGTGGGTTCTTTAGGTTGGGAGTCACCCACCCCACACAGCTTCTGCCCAGTCTCTCCCACTCCAAGAGCCCATCCATCAGTTCGTTTGGCCAGCAGGCAGCAGCATTTCCCCAGAGCCCCAGGAGCTCTTGTCTGCTGTCGTTTGCTGATAAGCCAATGCTTGCTGACGCGTGTCCTGATTTCAGAGTGTGTCTGCCTCTCTCCTCATCCTGTGGCCATGCTATGGTAGCTGAGAGCAGGGATCTGCCACTCCATCGCTGTGCACCTTTGACCCAGCTGGGGTCTCACAGAGATAGTCTCTAGTGAAGGTTTGAAGGATGTAGAAAAGAAGGAACAGCAGCTTCAATAACAAGATTGTCATAAATTTGTTTAATATAATCGCTGCCTCAGCATCCATTTTTATGCCTGACATAAGCTGTTTGGAACTCAGTTGTACCCAGTCGCCTTTAGACTCAGAACTTCCTCTCCCCGTGTGGCTGTTCCTCATCCCACTGACCCAAAATCCAATACCTGACCATAATAACACCAAATGGTCATGCCAGAGTCAGGAAAATAAGTCCCCACTTCAAGAGTGTTTTCTTTAAACCAGTCAGTCCACAACCCCAAAGGAAAGCCTAAGGATAATGCCCATGAGTCTTAATAAAAGCAGAGTCCCACAAGTGTTCTCTCTTCCTCACCCACTGGGTAAGCTGCCTGCCACCTCCTGACTTCCTGTAGGCCTCTAGTGTGCAACCATCTGCTGTGAGGCCTGTGAGTGAAATGTTTTCCCTGTTTCATGCATTCTGGTTTCACTTCTTCACTGTGTCTAACCTGACACACACACCTGAACCTAATTTCCCCCATCAGAGCTCCACTAGAGAGTGGCTGTCTGGGCTCACGGCCACTCTCAAGAGACACCACAAGACCCAGTGGAAAGAAACTAGCAATACAAATCACAACAAAAGGGGGACCTGTTCAAATGCCTGCCTCCGCACCCCGCTCCCGCCCCACCCCCACCCTGCCCCCCAGCCATCTCGCTCTAGAAATCCCCCACCATGTGCAAAGAGATCCTGTCTCTCTGGGCATCAGCATAGAGGACCGCTGGCCAAGCCACCAAGCACTTGGCTCACATAATAAACCAAAACCTGTTAAAGCTCCGTGCTACTTGAAAAGGACAAAAAGACAAATGTATGTAGAACAGGGTCCAGGCTGACCTCAGTTCCCATGGGAGATAGCAACATGCCATCAGCAACTGTTCCCAAGCAAAGCAGCAGGCACTGGCCATAGGAGACAGCCTGGGCTCAGAAGGCTGTGGGGGAGGACCTGGCTCCTGCTCTGTCTACCTTTGTGTCTTGGGTTCCAAATATATTCTGTAGAAATTCCAGATATCACTCAATCTCAGAACCTCCATGTCTGAGTCTTAAAAACTGGGTTAAAGATGCCTCCTTTGATATAAGAATTAAGGAAAACATGACTGTAGATTTGTAAAGAGTAGGGTTTTCATGGAAATCTTTACTTTGCAGGGGCATACCTGCAACATGCTGGCCTCACAATACACACTAACGGAAGTTTCTACATTATCCTCAGAGGTTACCCCAGGACATTTTGCATCACTGAGCACTGTGAGAAATTTTCTTACCTTGTGTTTTATTCAGTGATGTTGTAAACTGAATGTTTGCGTCTCCCCCAAATTCCTATGTTGAAGCCCTAAAGCCCTAGCCTGCAGTGGTGATTGTATTTGGAGGAGACTTGGGGAGGTAATTAGGGTTAGATGAAGTCTGAGTGAAGGCCCTCACGATGGGATTAGAGCTTTAATAAAAAGAGATACCACACCTTTCTCTCTCCACCACCTGAAGACCCAGTGAGAAGGCGGCTGTCTGCAAGCCAGGAAGAGAGCCTTCATCAAACCCAACCATGCTGGCACCTGATCTCACACTCCCACCCTCCAGAACTATGAGAAAATAAATTTCTGTTGCTTAAGCCACCCAGTATGTAGGATTTTTGTTATGGCAGCCTGAGCAGAATAATTTGAGTAAAAATCTATTTTTATTCTTACTCATTAATAATTCATTGACTTTCTTACAACATTCAAATGCAATGAAAAACATTAAAAAATAATTCTCTTTAAAGAATATCTAGGAGAGAAAAACAAAGCAGCTATTTTTATATTTTATAGCTGAGCTGTCTAATATGGTAGCCAACTACCACATGTGGCTACTAAGCACTTGAAATGTGGCCAGTCCTAATTGAGATGTGCTGCACATGCAAATTACACAACGGATTCCAGACTTACAACAAAAACAGAATATAAAAGTCATAATTTTTATATTGATTACATGTTAAAATACTAATGTTTTGGATCCATTAAGTTAAATAGCACATACGATTAAACTTAATGTTATCTGGTTTTCTCTTTTTCAATGTGGCTATGAGAAAATACGACATGACACATTTGCTTCATATTTGTGGCTTGCCTTCTATTTCTATTGGACAGCACTGGTCTAAAGTCTGAAGCAGTAGACAAAGCATGGGCTTTTGAATCAAGAAGCTCTGCATTCCCATCCAAACTATGTCATGACCAGCTTTGTCAACATAGGCAAATGACTTCACCTCTGTGACCCTCAGCTTTCCTGTAAATGAAATGGAGAAAAGAGCATATTTCACAGTGTTATAGTGAAGACTACCAGTGGTGGTGGAATCAAGTATGTAGAATGCCTAGCAGGAGTTTGCTACCTAGTAAAAACTCAATCAATGTTTGCTTCCAACCCCATAGTTAGTAGGAAGAGAAAACCATGCTGTCAACGCTCTCCTAATCAGCACCAGCTGCAAGGCTAGTGGCTTTGTAAAGATGGAGCTCTGAGCAGCACAGACAGTGAGAAGAAGTCAAGGAACACCGAGAAAGTTGTCAATATTATTCTGTTTGAAAAGTTTACTTTTGGGGGAACATCTTTTCAAGGTACCTGCTTGCATTTCTTTAAAGCTTCCTCTGCAACATGGTTTATGTCCTTAATCAGTAGGGAATTGTGATGGGTCAATATTGATGCAATGCTGTGTGTTTTGTAAACAAGTCCCAGCTGCACAGAGCTTGTTCCACTCCCATCCTCCCCATCTCTCACACATACCTTGGAAGGTCCATGTGGATCTTCACACCTCCCAGTTCACAAGCGTCACTATGCCTGGCAGCAACTCCAGGAATTACATTTTATGTCGTGATCATAGAGATTTGTTGGAGATGATTGGTCTCTTCAGTGCCAGTCTTCTAAATAGACTTGAGATAAAATACAATCAAGAAAACTTGAATATGGAGAGAAGACCAGTGTCTTGATGTAGTAGCCCAGATATTCATATTAAACACCTGGGGATACTCACTGAGTGTAAACTGGGTCTAAGAGCATGGTGGGCTGTGGCTGCCCACACTCCGCAAGGCTGGAGTGTGATGGAGTCTGGAGGCACAGGGTATCCAGAGCATGAGTACCAGTAGCTCCCCTGGGGTGCTGGGGGTTGGACTGAAGACTTGTGTAGTTTTCCACCCACATTCTATGAGGGAAAGGGACTCGTCCTAGGAAGAGTGAGCAGGTAGGATCCAGGTCATGTGGAAACAAGTGAAGGAAGAGAAGTGTTTAATCCGGAAAGAAGACAGACACTTGGGACATCTAAACATTGGACTCATTGCATGCAAAGAAAGTTCTCACCTTGCTCTGCTGGCTCCTTTGGGTGGAAGAATGGACAGTGGGTGGACTCTTCTGGGAGACAGACGATTTGTTCCCATAAGAAAGAGGATAATTATTTACCTAAGTCCTTCTTTATTTCTAAAAAGATTCGAAGTAAGTGAAAAGAACAAAGTGGTCCACAAATGCAACAGATTGTTTTGCTAGGCTGTGGTATGTGCCTCTAATGGTGGCCAAGTAGTTGTCACCCGTGCTCCAGCATGGAAGTCTTTGTTGAGGGTGGACCTCCAACCATGGGTATGGAAGTGCAGCCACAATTCTTGCATGACAACACTGGGACCTTCCCATGAAGCTCAGCTACACAGCCAAGTCTGTGAGGTTGCAAAGTTGGCTTGGAACCTTCCTTTCTCCTGAAAAATGTGTCCTCCTCTAGTAAAGTTCACTTTCCCAGTCCTTGACCAAGCCCTGGTGACCACAGGCTCCTGGCCTCACCATCAGGCATGGGGACTCCCAGACCAGCCCTCTCTCCAGTGCTCATATACAAAGGAAAATTAAAGCCAACAGTAGAATATGCAACAACTGAAGAGGAAGGACGAAGCCGGAGGCAGGTTGGAAGAAGAGTCTGACGCCCCCGGGGGGCCTCTGGGCTGGAGAGGAGGCATCCTTCCCAAAGCAGCATGTGCCTATCCCTGGTGGGGATGCTGTTGTTTTTGCCAGCTCTGCCTGGGCCCTGGACTAAGTAATCCCCCCAGGATGGGGTCTGTTTGGGCAGGGTAGGAGGTGTTTTCAGTGTTGTTCAGTTGCAGTTGCCTTTGGGGAATGGGAAAAAGTGAGTCAGACACCGTCCTTTGAACCTGGGAGCCCCTGCTGAACTTTGAAGAGACAGGAAGGAACCCTCATTAGTCACTCTGTTTCTGTGGGGCCACACTGGGGAACAAAGGCTGCTCACGTGTGTTGGCCTGACAGGCTTTCCACAGGCCGGGACCAGCATGCTCAGGGGCAATAGCTTCCAGTGGAATTGTTTAAGCCTAAGGAAGCACCCCCAGCCCAGAATGTTCTTCAGGGCCCCCACAGACCACTGCTGCCCACAGCCCTCACCAAGAGAGGAACATAGAGGGGAAGCGGGGAGGGGAGGAGGAGGCTAGTAATATAGCTCATAGTCAGACTCAGACCAATCTGCTGGTCTTGGACAAGGAGTTTTGTGAGCAGAGAACTCATGCTGCTCTCCTTGGGCACATGGAAATTGGAATCCTAAGGTTGGCCTCTCCCTTAGGAAACCAAGAACTTAAACGTGTATGTACTCCACTCTGGGAATGACCCTAAAGAATTGATCCTGGGTTTTCAAAAAATACACAAAAATGGTGACTTCAGTATTATTCATAACAGCCGAAGCTTACAATAGACCAGTTAACCAAAAATAGAGGATTGGCCAATTAATCTACTGTATGTCCTCAGCCACGATCTGTAGGAAAAATTTATAAGCACATGGGAATATGTTTATGCATCCAGTAAAAAATATAAAATCATGATATGAAAGAGTGCAATTCCATTCACAATAGCAAAGACATGAAATCAACCTAAATGCTCATCAACAGTGGACTAAATAGAGAAAATATGGTACACATGTACCATAAAACACTATGCAGCTGTAAAAAAGCGTAAGATCATGTCCTTTACAGCAACATGGATGCAGCTGGAGGCCATTATCCTAAGTGAATTAACACAGGAACAGAAAACAATATACCACATGTTCTCGCTTATAAGTAGAAGCTAAACATTGAATACATGTGGACACAAAGTTGGAAACAACAGACACGGAGGCCTACTTGAGGGTGGAGGTTGGGAGAAGGGTGAGGGTCAAAAAACTACTTATCAGGTACTATGCTCACTAGCTGGGTAATGAAATTATTTGTACAGCAAACTCCAGCAACACGTAATTTAACAAACCTGCACATATACCCCCTGAACCTGAAATAAAAGTTGAAAAAGAGAAAAAAAGCGTGTAATTGTATCATCACAGCTGTGTAAAAGGACAAAAACATCCACAGGAAAAGTCAAGAATGGAACAGCATCAAAATGGGCTTTAACTTTGTGTGATGGGAATGAGAATTATGTTTTCCTTTCTATTTGACATTTCCCAAACTGTCACTGATGAATGGATGTGTTTGATCACTATTTTTTTGCTTTACAAAATAACTTCAGGCTGAAACCAAGTCAACAGCCCTTCCATGAGTATGTACTTGGCTCATGGGAGGTCACAGAAGAAGCCTCTCCCTGCAAAGTATCCCATGTTGATGGGACTCAATGGAATTTAAAGACTCATAATCCACAGAAAGTTGCCTGGGGGTGGAGGTGCTGGCTCCATGATGCAGCTGTTGGTCCAAGCTTCATCTTGCCCTGTCCACAGGAGTCCTCACAAAGCCCCAGAGAAATCTGGCCATTCTCCAGGGGACCGAGCATCCCCCATGGTGCTGCATGGGAGGTAATGTCTATCCTCGGGGTGTCTCATGACGAAGCTCATGGATGGAGGACCCAGAGAGTTGACTGGCCATGTGTGTTCTCAGCCCCAGGTAGTCAGCATTGAAGGAGCATCACTGACCAGAAAAGGAGGCAGATGGTCACCTGATCAGGTCTCCCTCTGTCCTCTCACTCTCACCTCCATCTCTTCTCACATTGACCGTCACAGGATAAATGATTTCCTCACTCTTCCCAAGGGTCTGGCCCCATGACAGAGAGGCACAAGTGCCACATGTGTCCCATTTACTGATCACGGAGACACTGGCAATCCTGTGTCAGGATGATGAGATGACTTGCACCTGGCAGGACTTGGCAAACATCTCTGTGTTTCTCCATCATCACTACTATTTTTCTGTTATCACCACCAAAAGAGGATGTTTTTGACAATGGGTATGCTTCCAGACCCCACAGACTTGTGCCACAACAGTGTCATGGTCCCAGAAAGAATATCTGTCTGTTAAGGGATTAAAAGCCATCAGCAAAATAATTACCTGCAGAATCTTCCACTGGGTCAACCTGAAGATGGATATATAATAAGCTCAGTGTTCCAAACACATCTGAAGATTTGGAAAGTACACCAGATATCACTGGAGCTGTGCACATGAGAAGTGCACTTGCTGTGTATTTGCCCTTCTTACAAATGAAAAAACTAAGCTCAGAGAGGGAGGAAGTGGCTGGCCCAAATTCCTGGCAGAACCAGGACAAGATCTAAGATGCATCACACCATTGGAACCCTTGTGACATAAGGCTCACATCTCACATGCATGCAGCTAAGCAAAAAAATGACCCAGGGAACATGCATATTTGGAACCTCATGTATCACTTCTTCTGGATGGCAAGGTCTTTCTGGAATCTCTCAACTCTCAAGATTTCAAGGAACTCCTGTTCTCTGCCTAAAAGGTCTGTTATCAGTTGCCACCCAGTGGGCAACCCACCCCCACCCACCCCCACACCAAGACACACGAAGGAAAGGGCTCCTTGCTGCCTCCCTCCTGCCCCCATGGTACTCAGACCTATGGGCTCCTGCTTGTGCATGGAAAAAAGCCCAGCTTTGCCGGAAATCTCCTGATGGCCCCCAGAGTTCAGATAGTGAGTCTGGAATCTGCTTCCACCCCTGAGCAACAGGGCAGAGGAGTGGGAGAGACTTTGCTTAGGAAAAATTCTCACTGGACTCTGCCCTGCTTCAGACACTCATTTGGATTCCATTGCCATAATTGCCACGTATAACAAATTTCTCCATGATAGTGTTGAGACTGCCGGTTTATGCATTCCCTTAGGGAAAGAAAAATAGCATAGAGCGAACACCTACTATATGCCTTGTGGAACTGGGTAGAAGCAGTATGAACACCTCCATTTTACTACTGAGGAAACTGAGGCTCACGAAGGGTGAGCAACTTGCTCAAACTCACCTAGGCAGTATGCAGTGGAGCCGGGAATCCAAACTAGGTACGTTTACCTTCTCATCTTGTCCTGTCTCCTCCACACCTGGCTGTGGTCCTGAGTTCATTTCACCATAGTGCCATTAACCCTCACATTAAGGAGGAGAAAATGGAGGCCCAGTAAAATAGCATGGTGTTGTCTTCAAGCAAACATAGCAGATAAAAGTGGCATTGTGTCCACTTATTTCCCAAAATTCCAGTAAAATGGCTAAATGGAATTAAAATCCATAAATCTATGAAGGAGAAAAGAAAAATAGAGGTGGCAGCGGATAAGAGATGTCAAAATTTGGAGAAGTTAGAAAGGTGAAAGCTAAGCCTACAGCAAGGAAGACAGTAAGAAGCCTGCAATCTGGCTCAGTAACACCTTGTAAGGGCTCTGGAATTGGAGGTTCCAGGAACGATAAAGGTGAGAATGAGATGTGGAGCTAAAAACAGAGGTTTTGTGGAACTCTGAATAAGAAAAAATGCATTCTCCTATCCTCTCCATACCCAGCAGAACCAGGTGAGTTTCTTCCCAGAGCCCTCAGATCACTCGCGGTATCCGTCCTGGGGAACCTGGAGAGAAGACGCTCTGGATTCAGGGACGTGAGTTACTGCTAAGGACTTGTGTAAGTGCCTTACTCCAAAAGGGACGAAGCGAACTTCCAGATGAGCCTTCGCATCCTCCGCCCTTTCCCTCCTCCACTCCCTTAAGCCTGGCAGCTACATCTGCCCCTCCCCCAAGAGGAGATGGAAGCTCCAGAGCTGTCCAAGAGAAAATGAATTGACATTTGGGGTCCCTCAATGGATGACCAGGTCCCTCCTAATCACACTACTGGGAAGGCTCTCAATAGACCAGCCCCAGCCCTCACTCACACACATGCCTGGGACTCAGAGTGTCCAATCAGCTTTTTGTGCCTTGGTCTGAATTTTAGTTTTATATTTTGTTTTGTTTAGATTTCAAATAGACGTGTTTGAATTCATGAAACTTCTCAGCTCAGCACACACTCTCACCATTGGCCCATGCAACGTTCTCTGTTGTTTTAGTCTGTTTCCCCTTTATCCTCAAGCCACAATCCTGTCTCCCCATAAGCAGTCATTATGATGTACTTAATATAATTTCTTAAAATATATATTGTATTGTACATGTGCGAATTTCTAATTTACATATATGGTATTGAGATATTTCATTCTGTTTCTTACCTTCTTCGCTCAATGCTAGGTGCACTCTTTGTGGTGTACAGTTCTACGGACTTTGACAAAGGCATAGAGTCAAGTATCTATGACTCGAGTAGCATGCAGAACGTTCCATCCCCCTAAACACTCTCTATTGAGGCCCTCTTGTGGTCAAACCTTCTCCCCTCCCCCAGCTCCTGGCAACTATTGATCCTTCCCATTCTGTAATTTTGCTCTTTTTAGAATGTCACATCAGTGGCATCTTTTGGGTCTAACTTCTTTTACTTAGACACATGTATTTGAAATTTATCCTTATTGTTATTAAGTCAGTAGTTTATTCCTTTTTATTTCTGAGTTTTATTCCACTGCATGGCATACCACAGTTTGTTGATCCATTTACCTGCTGAAGGATATCTTCATTATTCCCAGCTTTTGTTGATTATGAGTAACACCACGACAAGCAATTGCAAGTTTTTGTGTGGAAGGAAGTTTTCAGTTCACTTGAGTAAATACCTAGGTGTGGGAATGCTGGGTCATCAGGCAAGTGGAGTTTTATAAGAAACTACCAAAGTGTTTTCCAAAGTGTCTATACCATTTTGCATTCCTATCAATTACTAATGAGAGTTCCTATTGCTCCACATCCTCACCAACATGTGATATTGTCAGTAATTTTTTTTTCAATTTTAGACATTCTGATAGAGGAAGACTGCTGTCTCATTGTGATTTTAATTTGCATTTCCTTAATGACTAATTCTGTTGAGCATTTTTTTAATATGCTAATTGCCATCTCTATAACTTTACTGGTAAATCATCTGATCAGATCTTTTGCCAGTTTTTAATTAGGTTGATATTTTTTATTGTTGACTTTTAAGAGTTTTTAATATTTTCTCAACACAAATTATGAGATACACAATTTACAAATATTGTCTCCCAATCTCTTATTTTCTGTCTCCTATTTTTCTTCTAGAAATTTTTTTCTAGAAAGTTTATACTTTAGGTTTTACTTGTAAGTCAATGATGCCTTTTAAGTTTATTTTTGTTACATACATGATGAGAATGAGGTGTGAATCAAAGTTTTTTTGTGCATATGGATATACAATTGCTCCATCACCCTTTGCTCAAAATACTATCCTTTCTTCACTGAATTGTCTTAGTATCATTTTCAAAATCAGTTGGCTATGTATGTGTGAGTCCATTTCTGGGCTCTTTACTTTGTTCCATAGTCTATTTGTCTGTCTTGACACAAATACTACACTGATTTGATTACTGCAGTTCCATAAGTTTTGAAATTGGTAAATGTTACTTTTCCAAACTTGTTCTTCTTTTTCAGGGTTTTGGTTATTCCAGGTCCTTTGAATTTCCATATGAATTTTAGAATTGTTTCTCAGTCTTACAGAAAAAATCCTTTTAGATTTTTATTAGCATAGCATTGAATCTGTAAATCAATTTGAGGAAAATTGACATCTTAATATTAAGTCTTCTGATCTGTGAATACAGTGTTTCTCACCATTTGTTTAGATCTTTAATTTCTCTCAACAATGACCTAGAATTGTCAGTATCCTAGTCTTTCTTTATCAGATGTATCCCTAGATGTTTCACATTTTATCCTATTATAAATGGGGCTGTTTTCCAATTTTAATTTCTGATTTTTTGATTTGGTAGATACACAATTTTTTACATTAAGCTTGTATTGTATAACTTTGTTACACTCATTTGTCAGTTCTAGTGGATTTTAAATTTATTTTTAGTTGACAAATATTATATATATTTATGATGTACAACATGTTGCTTTGAAATATGTATACATTGTGGAATGGCTAAATGAGCTAATTAACATCCATTACTTCACATACTTATCTTTTTGTGATGAGACACTTAAAATCTACTCTGCGCAATTTTCAAGAATCAATGCATTGTTATTTACTATAATCATCATGTTGTACAGTAAGATCTCTTGACCTTATTCCTCCTATCTAACCCTACTGACTTTTTAATAGATGCTCTTCTTTTTCAAAGTGTGTTAGTTATTCATACACTTTTATTCTTCCGTATAATTTTACAACCATTTTGTTGAGTTCATTAAACAAAACCTTCCAGAATTTTAATTGGAATCGCATTGGATTTATAGATTAAATTTCAGAGGACTAAAATGAATACAATGCTAATTCTTTCCATGTATGAATCAGTTCTTATCTTAGACATTTTAATGAGGCATTCGTGTTGTCACCAAGAAGGCTGTGATGGTTAACTTGATGTGTTAACTTGACTTGGCTAAGGGGTGTCCAGACAGCTGGTAAAGTATCATTGCTGAGTGTTTCTGTGAGGGTAATTTCAGAAAAGATCCACATTTGAATGGAGGAACTGAGTAAAGCAGATGGCCCTTCCCAGTGTGGGTGGGCATCGTCCAATCCCTCGAGGTCCTGATTAGAATAAACAGGCAGAGGAAGGGAGAGCCATTCTCTCTGCTTGAGTTGGGACATCCATATTCTCCTGCCTTCAGACGTCGGTGGTCCTGGTTCTCGGTTTTTGGGCTCAATCTGGGACTTACATCATGAGCACCCTGAACTTCAAGCCTGATTTACACCAGTGTCTTTCCTGGGTGTCCAGCTTGCAGATGGCAGATCATGGGACTTTTTGGCCTCTATAAATGTGTGAGCCAATTCTCATAATAAATCTATCTATTATGTATATCTATATATACCCTATTGGTTCAGTTCCTGTGGAGAACCCTGACTAATACAAAAGAATTTCTATTATTTGCTAGCATAATTCCTGGGTCCCTCATTGTGAGTGACATCTGATCTCCTACTATTTTTCTAGTTAGATATCATTTCTATAAGCTTTCTGGCTTTTGGGAAATATATCCAGCCACATTACTGAACTTTCTTGTGACTTCTTGTAGATTTTGTCTTGTTTGTTTTGTTTCATTCTTGGGTTCCTAGTGACTATCTCTTCAATTTGAATGAATGGCAAAGGATCCTCAGGCATTTGAGGAGAGTCTGCAGCATGAAAGACAGATGCCAAATAAAACAGAGGTGATGCAGGAAGCAAAAGAAGACCTCCAATAGACTTGCATTAAGATTCTCAGAGAGGCCAGAGGAAAAAAAATTGCATTAAAAAAGAACAAGAAGGTATAAGAATTAAACTCATAATAAAAAAGGATTATTAGAAATAAAAATACATAATAACTAAAATCTTTTAAACAACAAAGACATTTGGAAATAAAAGTTTAAAAAATTTGCCAGAAACTAGAACTGCAACAAAAAAAGATCGGCATTTTTTCATATATTTGCTGACCACATGTATGTCTTCTTTTGAGAAGTGTCTGTTCATATCGTTTGCCCATTTTTAAATGAGATTCTTGGTTTTTTGCTTATTGAATTGTTGAAGCTCCTTACAAATTCTGGATATTCAACCTTTGTTGGATGTGTTGTTTGTGAATATTTTCTCCCCTTCTATAGGTTGTCTGCTTACTCTGTTGATAGTTTATTTTTCTGTGCAGAAGCTGTTCAGTTTAATTAGGTCCCACTTGTCAATTTTTGTTTTTGTTGCAATTTCTATTTTTTTCCTTTTTCTTTATCATTCTTTTTTTTTTTTTTTAGATGCAGTTTCGCTCTTGTCACCCAGGCTGGAGTGCAGTGGTACCATCTCAGCTCATTGCAACCTTTGCCTCCATGGTTCAAGTGATTCTCCTGCCTCAGCTTCTCTAGTAGCTGGGATTACAGGCACCTGCCATCACGACCAGCTAATTTTTTGTACTTTTAGTAGAGATAGGGTTTTGCCATGTTGGGCAGACTGATCTCTAACTCCTGACCTCAGGTCATCTGCCAGCCTCGGCCTCCCAAAGTGCTGGGATTACAGGTGTGAGCCACCGTGCCCGGCCTTTTTGCAATTTCTTCTGGGGACTTAGTTATAAATTATTTGCCAAGGGCAATGTCCAGAATGGTATTTCCTAGATTTTCTTCTAGGATTCTTATAGTTTGGGATCTTACATTTACATCTTTAACCCATTTTGAGCTAATTTTTGTATACAGTGAAAGGCAGGGGTTCAGTTTTATTATTCTGCACATGGCTTAGGGAGTCCTTTCCCCATTGCTTGTTATTATCGACTTCGTTGAAGATCAGATGGTTGTAGGTGTGTAGCTTTATTTCTTGGCTCTCTATTCTATTCCATTGGTTTATGTGTCTGCTTTTGTAGTAATACCATGCTGTTTTGATTACTATAGCCTTGTGATATAGTTTGAAGTCGGATAGTTTGATGCCTCTGTCTTTGTTCTTTTTGCTTAGGATTGCTTTGGTTATTTGGTCTCTTTTTTGGTTCAATATGAATTTTAGAATAGTTTTTTTTTCTAATTCTTTGAAACAATATTGGTACTTTGATAGGAATAACAATGAATCTGTAGATTGCTTCAGGCAGTGTAGCCATTTTAACAATATCAATTCTTCTGATCCATGAGCATGGGATATTTTTCCATTTGTTTGTATCATCTATGATTTCTTCCAGCAGTGTTTTGTAGTATGCCTTATAGAGATCTTTCACCTCCTTGGTTAAATGTATTCCTAGGATGTGTGTGTGTGTGTGTGTGTGTGTGTGTGTGTGTCTATTGTAAATAGGATTGCATTCTTCATTTGGCTCTCAATTTGAACATTATCGGTGTATAGAAATACTACTGATGTTTGTACATTGGTTTTGCTTCCTGAGACTTTACCGAAGTGATTTATCAGACTAGGAGCCTTATGGCAGAGTCGTTAGGGTTTTCTAGGTATAGAATCACATCATCTGCAAAGAGAGATAATTTGATGTCTTATTTTCCTATTCGAATACCTTCTATTTCTTTCTCTTCCCTGATTGCTCTGGCTAGGACTCCCATTACTATGTTCAATAGGAGAAGTGAGAATGAGCATCCTTGTCCTGTTCTATTTTTTAAGTGCAAAGCTTCCAGCTTTTGCCCATTCAGTGTGATGTTGGCTGTGGGTCTGTCATAGGTGACTTTTAATGTTTTGAGAAAGGTAAATAAAAACCACAATGAGATACCATCTCACCCCAGTCAGAATAGCTATTACTAAAAAGTCAATAAATAACAGATACTGGATAGGTTGTAGAGAAAAGGGAATGCTTATACATTGTGGGTGGGGATTCAAATTAGTTCAGCTACTATGGAAATTAGTTTGGAGATTTCTCAAAGTACTTAAAACGGAACTACCATTTGACCCAGTAATCACATTACCAGGTGCATACCAAAAGGAAAATAAATTGTTCTACCAAAAAGCACATGTACTTGTATGTTCATCACAGCACTATTCACAACAGCAAAGACATGGAATCAATCTATACACTGTGGAATACTATGCAACCATTAAAAATAATTTCCTCTGCAGCAACATGGATGCAGCTGGTGACCAATACCTTAAGCAAATTAACACAGGAACAGGAAATCAAATACCATACGTTCTCATTTATAAATGGGAGCTAAACATTGAGTACACATGGACAAAAAGATTAAAACAATAGACTCTGGGAACTGCAAGAAGCTGGAGAGTAAAAGGGGAGGCAGGGTGGGAAAACTACCTATCAGATATGATGCTCACTACCTTGATAATGGGATCATTCATACCCCAAACCTCAGCAACACACAATTTACCCATGTAACAAATCTTCACATATACCCCTGGATGTAAAATAAATGTTGAACAACTAAATAAATATTTAAAGAGAGAGAGAGATTGGAAACGGGGGACAAGTGTAAGAAACCTAAGGGAATAATTAGAAAATTTCTTAGATTGGAAGGACATGTGTTTCTACACAGAAAGAGTCTACACAGTGGCCAGCACAATGTATAGCAGAAACATCCATGAGGGTGCATCAGCATGAAGATTGAGAACACAGGGAATCAAAAGAAGATCCTAAAACTTCCAGAGGGCAAAACTGGAGAAGAAAGGTTACACAGAAATAAATAGAAATAAAGGACATTGAACTTCTCAGTAGGCATTCTGGAAGCTAGGCTAGTTCCAGAGTGTAATGGTGATCCATGCCTTGAGGGAAAAGCCCAAGAAGAAATGTTTCAAACTGGGATGTTAAGGATGGTCAGAGAGGAGACAAGATTCCCAAAGCATAGCCAGGTGGGACAGCGACAGATGGAGTCCAGGCCTGCTTAAACGTTGCTAAGATGGAAATTACCTTTTGCAGGGGAAGATTTGACTTGGGAGAATAGCACTGGATAAGATAAATGTGGACAATGGATGCACCCCAGAAGACTGGAACTTACTAAACTCCACATCTTTATTTAAGTGGGATTTCCCAGGACAAAAATCTACAGAAAGATACTAGGAAAGGAAAAACAACAACAAAAGAATAGGAGGGAAGTTTTGCCGAACAGACCCAATAAACATCATTTACTTTCTTTCCCTCAGCTGTCACTGGATCTCTGCTTTAGATTTTGACAACAGTAACCTCAATGTGGCTTTCACTAAATACAAAAAGCTGAGAGCATTGCTTTGCCTGGATTAACTGCCCTAGTAGCTGAGGATTTGCCTCTGTTTTCTAAATTCAATGGGTCCCAGAATGGTGCTATAATTAAAAGTCCAGAGTTTGGTAGAGCCTTGGGATTAGGTTGTACTGTTCCCTTCTGATTCATTTTAGAGTCTTCCATGGGGAGAAGCTAAATTGCTCGCCAGGGATGCTAGGTGCATGAATAAAGGGGCAGTGGTTGATCCTGGGGAGCAGTGGCCTCATGGCAGCAGCTGGACAGTCCTCTGGCTGCTGACTCTTCCTCCAGGATGGCCTTGCCTCGGTTGACCACAGGCTAAACCATAAGGGGTTCAGAGATGAAATGAACACCCAAGAGCTCTCATCCTTGCAAATGCATTGGAAAGAGCAGCTGTAGCCCCGTGTCTCCTCAGTCTCCCCAGGGAGCAGGAGGGCTCCCTGAATGGTGAATCTGGGACAGGCAGTGAGGACAGCAACCAGCCTCTTCCTCTCTCTGGATGAGCTTTCCCTTGTGCCTTGTCACCTCCTCCTGCCCCACTGCCCTTCATGTGAGCAATCAGGATACAGGACCCTCATGAACAGTAGTGGCAAGTCCCCAAGCCTCAGCAGCTTCACTGTCTTTGCAGGCTCACTATGTAAGTCAGACAGCCTTCCTCAAATGGGAAGTCAGGGATCCAGTAGCGTCCACTTTGTTCTTCTGCCATCTTAGAGAGCTCACGAGGTGGGAAATGTGGAGGACCTCACCCCCTACACACTGCCTTGGACAGGAAGTGATACTTGACTTTTGCTCACATTCTCATTGGCAAGAGCTAGCCACGTGGCCTCCACCAACTGCAAGGAAGGCCGGGAAATACAGAAGAAGGGTACAGACACTTGGCAGGAGAGCGTCAACCATCCCTGCCACCCTCTGACTGCACAAGATAAGCTCTGCTGTCCTCGCCTTGGGTTCTCCAGCTTTCCATGGCTTCCACCCAGAGTCCTATGCCCTACCTGGGCCCCATCCAGGATGCCCCTCCCACATCTGCTCCTCCTCGCTGAGCCCGCCTCATTAGTTTTCCATATCCATCCTTCTCTACAACCCCATGATCCTGCTATAGGTCAGGTCCCTGACACTTCCTGCCTGGGACACTATGACAGCCTCCTTCCTCAACCCCTGCCTCGGCTCCTTGCTTCCCTGGTTCCCCTGCCTGAGTCCTCACCGAGTTCTCTCTAAACATAAGCCTGACTGTGTTCCTCTCAGACTTTGAACTCTCTTGTGACTCTCAACAACCCAAGGCTATAAGACTGAGTCCAAACTCCACGGAGTCTTCTCAAGCCCCACTCCTGCCTCTTTGGCATCCCTCCCCTGACAGTCCAGGAGTTATCCCTACCGAGCTTTCAGCAATTCCCAACACATTTATGCATTTCCTAATTCCAGGACTTGGAATCCTCTTCCCTGCTGCCTGCCTGGTGAACATCCTCTGCTTCCAGGAGGCAGGACTATCTCTCCCTCTGTGAGGGTGCCCATCGTGAAGCTGACCACATAATTAATAATCCAGATCAGGGCACTTCTGAGAATGACAAAGGTCACTAGGTATGAGTGGGGATGGTCCCAGGCACTCCCTGTCCATGAGTGCCCAGGCAGAGCTGATCTCTCTAGGCTGTGTGCAGCCGACTGTGTCCCCACCTCCCCTAATGATTACCTGACTCACATGACTGTGAGCCCTGCAAGTGCAACAGTGCCAATCAAAGAGAAATGCAGATTCCTCACCAAAGACGAGAGTACCAAGGCCTGGCCCTGCCACCTCCTGCCTCTCCCTGGCTCTGGTCTGCAGCCTGCACCATGAGCACCCCAAACTCACTGCTAAGTGGTCCCCTTGCCTGCCCTTTGATGGTTGGTGACTAAGCTTCCTCATGTCTCAGCAGGCCTTTCCTCCCCAGGTGAGCCCAACCACCAGCCACTGTCACATCCTCCCAGTTGGCCCTGCATCCTGTCTTTCCTAGAGCCACCCTGCCAGAAACGATCCTGTGACTACTTTGTCTACTTATAGGTTTATTGTCACCTTGCCCACTGGAATACAAATTGCACAGAGAGAGGGGTAGGGGGGTGGCCGGTCCTGCAGCTTGTCCTCTGAGTTTCCAGGACCTGGAGCTGGCCCTGGGGGGATTGGAGGGGCACTCCCAGAGCTCCCCCAGGCCAGGAGGCCTCCCTGCCCCACTTCCTCCACCCCCTGGGCCTGGCTCAGCCTGGCCCTTTCATGAACAAATGGAAATGAGTATCTCAGGAGGGGCAAGGCTTAGCCAGTATGGCCTGGACCCCTGTTCTGTGGCTGAGCTTCGGCGCCCGGTCCCCAGGGTGACCCCGCCGGTCTCTGCTCTCAGGCAGGCCCGGCCAGGAACACAGACGCCGCAGTCACATGCACGCCTTGTCAGACGCAGATCCTCCCGGCTGCACCATAAAACCCTAACTAGGCATATAAAAGCTGCCTGCCAGCCTGCCAGGTGCCTCTGTAGGCTCCAGAGAGGCGCTGACGGGCCCCCAAGGTGGCGAGGATCCAGGACACGATGGCACCACAGCTGCACGGGGACCTGGACACCTGGCTCCTGGAAATAAGAGGTGTCTCAGTGAGGCTGCGGGTGGTCCGCTTAAAAAACACCAGCCAGTTGCCCTCTCATTCTGAGGGGTAGGATACCTGGCATCATGGAGGGTGATTTAAAGAATGATGTTTAAACCTCAAGATGAACTGTCAAGGCACATGTTACACAGACACTATGCTTGTGGAGTCAAAGGTCATTCAAGGTCATGCAGCCACAGCCAGCTCCTCCTCCACCCCTTGCTGTCTAGTCAGGACAGCCACTTTCCCTGCCTGCTGCCTTCCATGGACCTCCTCCAGGTCTGGAGAGAACCTCCTTCAGGTCTGTCCAAAGCCAGGTACCTCCCCCATGAGGAAAAAGGGCTGTCGTTTCCTGAATCCAGCTCCAGCTAGGGTGGCAGCTTGAGGAGGGGGATGATGACCGGACTCCAAGCTTTGTCTCATGCACCACCTTGTTCAGTGCCCAGCCTCAGCAAGGACCGATCCCTATGCCTCTGCCCATGACAGTCCCTGGGCCTCTGAGCTGCCTGCAAGACCACTCTGCTCCAGCAGCCAGCAGAAACCACTGCCTCTTCCTTCTCTCCCAGGGTTCTGCTGCCATGGTCCTGCTGTCTGTGATTGTCTGAAGGCCTCCAAGTCCAGGGGTATCCTGAACTCCCACTTCACCCAGACACTTGCAGTTCCTGGGAAGCTCATGGCTGCTCCCCTCTCTTCTTCCATCTCTTTGAGCCCTGCCTGCAAAGCCTGTCCTTCTTTGCCTGTGCTGCTTCCTTCCCAGCTCAGTCACCACCTCCAGGAAGCCTTTTGGGCCTCTCCACTCAGGCCCAGCTAGGGTCCCCCAGTGAGAGCGCTGCCATCGCTGCCATTTCCCACCTGCCCCTCTGTCCTCACCTTGTGCCCTGACCTTACTCTCAGTCCCCAGAAGCTACCACCCCCCAACCAGCTTTGGACACCCCTGCTCTTATTTTCTGCATCCCCAGAACTACCTGCCCTAGTGCTGAGCTCATGGAAGTTCCTCAGGAAGCATCTTCACATGGATGTTGAAGAGAAAAAAATCTCCAGGTCCCACGGGGTGCTGTGGGAGTCCAAAATCAGGACTCCAAAAGGCCTGTGAGCCTGGCTTGGGGAGGCAGGGCCAGCACCTCCCTAGCTTCACCCAAGAGGCATTCCAGCACCTGCCCCAGCCTTCTGTAATCAGCAGTTGACACAAAGTTCATCATTCCCGCCAGGCATGACCTGACAGAGTGGCTACTCAAGATGGGGGAACAGCCTGGCTGCTCAGCAGGCCTTGTGGAGTCCTGGGGTTAGGCCAGGGTTCTGGGGCGCAGAGATGACAGCAGGGCCACCTGGGGGGAGGCTTCCTCTGCCACACCATGTAGAGGCCACCCGTCCACCCATTCCGTGGAGCCTCACAGCATCTCACACTTCCTAACACCCCAAACACCCCAAAGAGAAGCCCTTCCAGCCATCAGAAAGAATGCATAGAAGCTGATGGGTTCAGAGCAGGAGCATGGCTGAGGAGCCCAGGTTATTCTTAATTTTCATGCCCCAGATGAGTCATAAGCCAGCCATTCGAGCCCATGTGCCTCACAGGGTGGGCCAAAAGAAATCCCACCCAGACCAAACAGGTAGCTGTAACAACAAACAATAATAACAATTACATGCAGTAACATAAGCGATGCAGGAAGAAACTATAACTGAATATTTAATCTAGGAAGAGAGATGTCACAAGGCTTAGAATTATCAATGACATGAAGAAGAATTAGACTTGCTTTTGTAAAAGTGTAAAATTTGATACATAAAAAATAAGCTTAGTAATATCACTATTTTGGGGATAGCAGTTTTAAATATATACAAAAGCTCTGCAAATATTTGTATTCTTTGAGCAAATAATTTCACTTCTGCAAATCTGTTCTTTGGTAGTATTTAGCAAATTATTTGCCAAAGCCAAAATAATTATAAATATGGAAAAAAAAGGTATTTAGGCACAAAAATGTTCTTTTTGTTATTGTTTATAATATGGAAAAACTGGAATAAACAGCAAGGGAAGATTGGTTAACTGAACCATGGCAAAGCTAACCAATGAAATACACAGTCAATTGGCTGAACGTAGTGGCTCATGCCTGTAGTGCCAGCACTTTGGGAGGCTGAGACGGGCAGATCACTTGAGGCTAGGAGTTTGAGACCAGGTTGGCCAACATGGTGAAACTTTGTCTCTACTAAAAATTAAAAATAAAAAAAAAAGTTAGCGGGAGTGGTGGTGCACACCTCTGTAGTCCCAGCAAATTGGGAGGCTGAAGCACGAGCATTCCTTGAACCCAGGAGGTGGAGGTTTGCAGTGAACTGAGATTGCACCACTGCACTCCAGCCTGGGCAACAGAGCAAGACTCTGTCTCAAAAAAAAAAAAAAAAAAAAAAAAGAAAGAAATATACAGTCAGTTAAAATATGTGTTTTTTATTTGTTTGTTTTTTGGGTTTTTTTTTTTTTTTTTTTAAACGGAGTCTTGCTCTGTCGCCCAGGCTGGAGTGTAGTGGCATGATCTCGGCTCACTGCAAGCTCCACCTCCCAGGTTCACAAAATTCTCCTGCCTCAGCCTCCTGAGTAGCTGGGACCACAGGTGCCCGCCACCACGCCCGGCTAAGTTTTTGTACTTTTAGTGGAGATGGAGTTTCACCGTGTTAGCCAGGATGGTCTCAATCTCCTGACTTCGTGATCCACCCGCCTCAGCCTCCCAAAGTGCTGGGATTACAGCGTGAGCCACCGTGCCCTGCCTAAAATATGTTTTAATACAGATTTAGAAGGTACAAATCCAGTTTTGTTACATGGATAAATTGCATAGTCGGGGCTTTTACTATAACCATCACCCAAATAGTGTATACTATACCCTTTATGTAATTTCTCACCCCTCCCACTTTCCCACCCTTCCAAGTCTCTAATACCTATTATTCCACACTCTATGGCGTATGTTTTTGAAAGTTTGTTTGTGATATTAAACAAATGCTTATGTTCTAACACTTAGTGACAAAAAGAAAATCCACATCTGTTGACTACAAATGGATCAACTGTATGAAAAATAAGAGATTCACAGAGAAAGGATGGAAGAGACTTGAACCACCTGGTAATGGTAAGTTTGGGTGGTACAAAAATAGAGAATTCTTTCTATCTGTGCTTTGGAGATGTTCCATATATTGTTCAATGAGTTGTATGTACATTTATAATAAGAAAGCATTTTTTCAGTACCCTGCGAGTTGGTATTTCTGTCTGATGGCTCTGATGTGGGGGTGCAGGTGCTAATATAGCACCATGGGTGTGGCTTTCTTGGGGTCGCTGGTCACAGACGGCACCCCTGAAAGCAGGGACAGACACCAAAAGCTGTACTGTGCACCAAAATGGGCAGAAGGAAATAGCAAGCCCCACAGAGGAATGCATATTGAGAAGCACTCTGTTTGATGAATTTTACCTGAAGTAGAAATATGTAATAAACACTAGAGTGCTAGACTAGCTAACAACAAATGCTCACAAGGAAGAAAATCAGGGGAAATCTAATAGAATTCCAACTACTTCGTATAGGGCTGAAACCATCTCATGCAATATGTTCATTTGGTTAATTTGAACCTGAAGCAAGGGCATCACTGGGCAAAGTGGCATTAGAAGAATCTACCCCGAGTCTAGCTGGCTTTGGAGGGAATTGGCTTTAACTCTGTCAGGTTGGCCCTGACAGCAGGAACAGTGCAGAAGCTCAGGGGTTCCTGTCCTATGGAGCCAGTGGCAGCTGCAGTCTGACACGGGCACTGTGGACACAGGAGGAGAGGAGGTCTCCCCCACAAGTCCTTCACAGGAAGCAGAAGACCTAGGTGGCAGCCCCTCACTACCTCCCTCCTGGGGATCTCCCCAGCCCATCTTCCAAGCCCCTCCCAATGCAGCCCCCTTCCTGCTGACTGCCCTCCCAACAACTCCCATGTCCATGGAAGGCGCCGACCTGAAGCCTAGCCATCTAGTTTCCTTCGCAGTCTGTTTCACCCTGTGCTCACCATGTCCAGCCCACCATGCAGTTTACTCCTCCCTGAAAACAGCTAAATGTCAGAGAAGGGCATCAGTGCATATTATCATGAAGAGAGGGAGTCCCAGGAGGCAGCACCTGGCATCGCAGGAGGGTGGAGGGGTGTGGACAGAGCTTGGCCAGGCAGGGGGTTATCATATGCATGTGTACAGGGCCCAGTTGACACAGCAGGAGGTGGAAGGGAGCAGAGGGGTGGCTGGAGGCTGGCAGTCCCACAACCCTGAGTGAGCAGCAGCATGAGCTTGGAGGAGTCGTGAGTCAGCTTTGGTGGGCAGCAGGGCACTGCCACAAACCTCCCCGCACCCCCACCACCCCCAAGAGGACCTGGCTTCTCCTAGGATGGCCTGAGAGGGAAGGAACCAAGGCTGAGGCACACATAGGTGGAGGCCAGAGTGTGGGATTGATCTCTCAGTTCTTCACCCAGCAGGCCGAGGAGCTGTTCACATGATGGCCTTGAATCGTCTCCATGCTGGAAATGGAGGTGTGGGAGGACATCGTCCCTGTGCAGGCCACGGTGGGACTGGAAGAAACCAGCAATGCCAGCCCCAGTGGCACTTACTGTAGCTTTCCTTAGCCCAGGACTGAGGGTTTCCTGAAATGCTGGATGTTCATTGCTAAAACTGGGAGGATTCAGGGTAGATGAAGATGGTCACCCTAGCCCGGCGATGAGCCGAGAGCTGCATGTGCTTTCCGCAATCCTTTTGCTCTTCACAGCACCCCGAGGAACGTTCATCATTATCTGCATTTTTCAGCAGAGGAGAATGCCAAAGTCTTGTACCTGCAGCAAGAAGCCGGCCCCAGAGAGGCTGACCCCAGAGGTGAGCTGGGCACAGCAGCCCCAACAGCCAGGAAGGAGGCAGTCCTGAGGCAACGAGCAGGAACCCCAAGGTCTCCAAGGTGTGAGGGGATCAGCCACCAGCCTGAATCCACAGCTCTGCTTGCTGGGTCCACCTGCACTGAGCGGGTTGGGTCCACAGGAGGGGATCAGGGCTCTACCCACAGAGGCAGAAGCACAAAGATCACAGCACTGCTTTAGCTATGATGGTATCCAGCTGGATGTGAGTCTGCCAGTGCCTCCCAGAGTCTGACCTACTGGAGGTAGGAGGTGGGGTGTGGAAAAGGGCCATGGGGACAGGGGAAATGTCAGCAAGAAACCAAGTAAATCCCAGGAGGCCAATACTGTGAGTCCTCTGGACTGAAGAATATCTGTTGGGAGATACTCTATAGCCTGGAGCGCATTCACAGAGGTGGGAAGGAGTCAGGAAATGCACTGAACTTCTGTGTAAACAATAAATGATGGGACAGAGTAAGTGAAAACAATCTACTTTTTAAGAAATCATGCCATAGTAATTAGTAAGACTGGTTTCATAAAAGCTGAGCTCTGCTCAAGGGATATAAAATGTACTGGACATTCATCATTTTGCATGTCCCAAACAGCTCACCCTTCATCAAATAGCACATCCCTCCACCACCAAGAGCCACACACTTCCCTCCACAATTGATCCAGACTTGAGCACCTGCCTCATGCCAGGTCAATCAGTCCACCTCTGGCATCCCCAGGCTGGGCTGGCAGGGAGTCATGCCTTTCCTCCTTGGTCATAAACCATGGTGGAGAGGGCCCAGAGATGCTGGACTCATGACCTCCATACATTCACCCCCTCCACTATTCTGTCATAGGAGAGAATGATGCTGATGCCTGAGGCCAGAAGAAAATGTTTATGGCAGTAGTTGGCAAACTACAGCCCACAGGCCAAATCCAGGCCATCATCTTTTTTTTTTGGTTGGGTGGGGGGCAGGGGGGCGGACAGAGTCTTGGTCTGTCACCAAGGCTGGAGTACAGTGGTGCGATCTTGGCTCACTGCAACCTCTACCTCCCGGGTTCAAGCAACTGTCTGCCTCAGCCTACCGAGTAGCTGGGATTACAGGCGCCCGCCACCATGCCTGGCTAATTTTTTGTATTTTTAGTAGAGACGGGGTTTCACCATCTTGGCCAGGCTGGTCTTGAACTCCTAACCTCGTGATCCACCCACCTCGGCTTCCCAAAGTGGTGGGATTACAGGCGTGAGCCACCGCACCCAGCCCATCATTTTTGTATATAAAGTTTTATTGGCACACAGCCATGCCCATGCATTGACATTTTGTCTATGGTTGCATTCACAGGCAGAGTTAAAACCATATGGCCCACAGAGCCTGTAATATTGACTGTCCGGCCCCTAGAGCAAACATTCGCTGCCTGTGGGTCCGCATGGCTGTCAGAATGTTGATAGGCCTACCTTACACATCACTCTCACTTTACAGTAGCCAAGCAGTAATTACATTGTCCATTAACACCAAAGCTGTTTTCATTCTGAAGAGGGAGAAAGGGGAGAAGAAAAGAAGGAAGGGAGGGAGAGAGGGAAGAGGAGGAAGGGAGGGAGGAAGAAGGAGGAGGAGGGAGGAAGAAGGAGGAGGAGGGAGGAAGGAAGGAGGAGGAGGGAAGGGGGCGGGAGGGAGGAAGGAGGAGGAGGGAAGGGGGCGGGAGGGAGGAAGGAGGAGGAGGGAAGGGGGTGGGAGGGAGGAAGGAGGAGGAGGGAAGGGGGCGGGAGGGAGGAAGGGAAGGAAGGAAGGGAAGGGAGGGAAGGGGAGGGAGGGCAGGGAGGGAGGCTGACAATGTGGAAGTCCCTACTTTGAGTTTTCCAGAAGGCTAGCTCATCCCTTCCTCTAGGCAGTTTCGTTATCTCAGCCAATTAATCCTTCATTCTCGCTTGTTCAGTTTAGCTTTGGCTTCTATCGTCCATGATGTCTGAGTAAATCATGGAGGAGTAGCAAATCCTGCTAGAATCATAGGAAACTGACAACTGCTCAGAGCTGAGAGTTTCCGGCTGTGAACTTTTCTACCCTCCTGACTCATGATCGGGGCTCAGAAGGGAGGCCAGAGGAAAGAAGGCAGTGGAGGGGCTTCATGCCATCGAGGGCATCACCCCCATGTGTCATGGTCCCCTTCCTCCCCTCCCATGGTCCTGGAGCAAATTCCCTAACTCTCCAGACACCTTCCATGGGACAGACTCTCATCAGCCACTGTCCCCCCATGAGCCTGGGGCAGAAGACAGCCACCTGCAGGACAGCTCTGCACAGGGCTGTCTGGAGCAAGTCCCATTCCTAAGGGGAAGGAAAGGGCTGTGGAGGCAGGGGGGCTTCTGAGAGGGCTCCTGAGGGAGACAAACTTGATCCTGGGACTCTTGCAGGTGGAGAAAATCAAGGGTGGGTCTGGGGGATGACATGTCAGGCTGAGAGAACGGCTGAGGAGGCCTGTCCTTGGGAGGAAGGAGTATGTGGGCAGGAAATGAGAAGACACGCAGGGGCCTGGAAGAGAGGTGTGAAGGAGGGGCAGGGACCATGTGTTGGTGTCTGACACAGGCATCATGCCACGGAAAGGAGACAGGTGAGGTCCCACAAGCAGGAGGGTGGCAGGGGCACGTCTGTCATAAGGAAGATTGCCCTGTAGCCTTGAGGAAGGAGCCTGAAGGCAGTGGGCCTGGCATAGCGACCAGCAGCAAGAGAGCATCAAGACCTGGATGAGAAAGTGTCCGTGTGCAGAGCAGGCAGAGGGGGCTCCAAGAGATGAGCTTCACAGGACTGGCAGCCGGCTGGGGATGAGGGGAAAAGAGGGAGGAGCCAGCCATGAACCTTCAGCTCCATGGCACCATCACAGTAGGGGAGCAGGTGCAGAAGGAGAAGCAGAAGATCCCTGGAAGCAAGCTTGGTATCCCAGAGCCACTGGGGAATGCCAGCCTGAGGTCTGAGTGGAGATGCCGGATTGGGAAGTGGATGGAGACGTTCTGAAAGAGAAGGCCCAGAATAAGCAGAGAATCCTGAGCTCAGAACTTAGCAAGAAATGGAGCTGTCAGCCCAAGAGTCCAGAACTGAACCCTGCCCATAGCCTCGAGGGCTTTGAAGCCGGTGCAAGATAAGGGAGATTTCAGCCTGCACCTTGACTGCAGCCTTGAGAAAGACCCTGAGCTCAACCACAGCTGAACCACTGACCTACAGAAGCTGTGAGATAGAACCTGTGTATTGTTTTGAGCCATAATAAGTTTGGGGATAATTTGTAACTAAAACACCTTCCCTCTTCTCTCATCTTCATCTCTCCTCCTCCTCTTCCTTCCCCTTTTTTTTTCCTGTTTCTCCTCCTCTTCCTGTTTCTCTTTCCCCTCCCTCCTCCTCCTCCTTCTCTTCTTCCTGCTTCTCCACCTCTTTATCCTCTCCTCTGCTGCCTCAGTTCCCTTCAGTTAGACACAGGTGTCTCTGTGTTACAGGGACCTTGGCAGCACCAGCCCGGTCTGGCCACCTGACATTCCACCTCAGCAAACTGAAGAGCGGGGCTGTCACCACCAAGTCTGCTTAGAAGAATCCTGTGGAACAATGACTAACCCAACTTAGGATTTCTCCTGGGATTCACTGTGGCTGGGGGAAGTGTTAGGACTGGCATACACCAACCCCCTGGCATGGCACTTAGGCAGCCTCTCAGACAGGCAGCTCCACTGAGCCTCATGTGTGGTTTGGGGGAAGCCTTCTTCCACAGAAAGGAGAGAGCTGTTTCAAAAAGAAGGCAGGAAGCCATGCAGGCAGACAAAACAGCTAGCGAAGGGTGGAGTAGCAGGGTGGAGGGTAGGGTAGAGGAGACTGGGGCAAGGGGCCAGGCCATCAGAGTGCCCAAGGCAGAGCTCCAGGATGAAGGGCTGCCTGGGGCAGAGGGGAGAGCTGCTATGTCCCAGAGCCAGAGGGTGGGTGAGAAGAGGGAGGGTACATTCCACCTGCCACTCAGACCCCATGGGGAGGCGGCAGGGTGGGGAGATCCACTGATAGCTGAAGTCACCAAAGAAAGAGGAGATTGTGATGCCTTCCAGGTCATGGAGTGGGCACTGCGCTGGCTGGCACCAAAAGCATGGCTGAGGAGGCCAGGCTCAGAGGGGTTCCCAGACGTGCTCCACTCTAAGTGACCTTGGGCAGTCCCCGGTCTGTTCATTGTCTGCACCATGTGAGGTAAGGGGCAACTCGAGGGCTGCAGCAGCTGCCAACCCTTCCCTGCACTGGCAGCCTCATCTCCCCAGGTGGAAAGCGCCTGTAAATCTCAGGAGCCAGTGGGCGGGGTGCCCTGCAGGCTTTCATACTCGCTCGGCCAATGTCTGCAGGCTGCCGTGCCAGTTTCCTAACGCTGCATAATACACGTCCACAAGTTTAGCAGCTTAAAACAGCACACATGTGTTATCTCACAACTTCCACGAGCCCGGAGTCTGGTCACAGCTTGGCTGGGCTCTCCAGTCAGGTTCCCACATGGCTGCCATCCAGATATTCTCCAGGCTGCAGACCTTTCCGGAGCCCAAGTCCTCCCTCTCCCAAGCCCCTAGCAGCTGTAGTATGAGGGCCCCACTTTCCTCTGGGCTGTCATCAGGGATGGCTCCAGCTCCTAGAGGCCTATGACAGGACCCTTCGTCAGGACATGGCCAGCATGGGAGCCCTCTCTTCATAAAGGGCCCAGGCCACCATTCAAGGGCTGTCACCGGATTAAGGCAGGCCCACCCAGGATAATCTCCCTTTTCATTCCATCAAAATCAGCGGTTTGGGGCCTTCAATTAGATACACACAAAATCGCATGACCTCTGCCATATAACACAAGTGAATCCCAGGAGTGACATGCGTCATATTCAAAGGCCCCACCCCAACTCAGGATGGAATTGCTATGGGCAAATGCACCAGGAGCAGAATTCTGGGGACCACTTTAAAATCCTGCCCCCAAACCTCCCTGTGTCTCAGCCCACACTGGGTCCTGGAGCAACAACAGGGAGTAAGAAAGACTTAGCGCTCAAGGCCCTTGCTGGCCTGATGCAGATGAGACGTGGAGAAAGATTGTTCCACACAGTGGGACGTATCTTACAGGAAGACATGACTATCTCTGAAACGCAGGGGCCAGGACCTTTGCAAAGAATGGAGTCTTGGGGCTGGTTTTTGCAGGACGCTTATTCACCTGAGTCAGAGGGGCTCCCAGGCAGGAGAAATTGCTGGTGTAGGCATTGCCCAAGTCGCCATCCTTCAGTGAACCACCTTCACCATGCCTGCCATCGTTATCATTTACTTAGCTGTTTTTTAAAAAACCCACTCACTCCGTTTTACTTAAATTTATTTTAAACAGAATCTTTAAATCTCAAGTATAAATGGAAAACCAGCATTCCTTGTTATAAATAGAAGTTAACCATAAAAATAAATAAAAGAAACATGGGCTTATGAATTTCTTATGAACCTGCCAGCTGCTTTTCCTGTGAACAAGGGGAATCAGGAAGTGTGAGAGAGATGTTAGAGAAATACCAGAAGAAGAATGATATTTTTCAGAAAGGTGGAAAGGGAATAAGGAAGTAAGCAGTTGTCATGTTGGGACACATGGCCACTCTAGGTGCCTGGGTCCTGCCATCTCATGTGCAGCACCCCAGAACCAGGCTCAGGGGTGGCAAAATGAGTGTGGCGGGTTTATGAGGCCAGAACCTAGGAACGTCACCACCCGGAAGGGGTGAGAGAGGCTGCTGGACAGAGGGGGAAGTTGACTGGAATGCGATTACAACGGGGGCTGTGGCTGTTCCCACAGGTAGCTCTGGAGTTGGGATGGTCCCTCAGTGTTGTCCCAAATTGAGACTAGGGAGCCCAGACTTTTTTGTACAGCCGTGTGGTCCCAGCTGGGAGATGCAGCGGCCCTGGGGAAGAGCAGGCATGGCCACGGGCTGGGCAGCTCCTTTAGGCTGCAAAGGGCAATTCCTGGGGAGGGTTTCAGCCAGGAGCCATCAGCAGGCACCACCCCTGAAAGCTGGGAAATGGGGGCCTCAACCCTGAAGGGTAGAGCTGGGCAGCTCCACAGTGTCCTCTACAGGCTTCCCTCTCCACAGCTGCATCCACTTGTTTTGTATAATCCGGTCCTACCTGGGAACAGCTCCCCCAGGATGCTCCCTGGTCTCTTTTCCTGGGAAAGCTTACAAGAGGAAGAAGGTTAAAGGGGTGATCACAGTACCTGTGCTGCAGCTGGGCTCAGGACCATGGGTACTCACCAATTCCCTCCTCTGCCACCCATTCCAGGTTCTCTTCCACCTTGGCTAGTGCCTCTGCTTCTCTAGGGGCTCACCTGGTGGGTGGCGCAGACTCACGCCCCAGAGAGTTGTCATGCCCTTCTCAAGCTGTGGCTCCTTCCCTTGTCCATTTGTCATCAGAATTGGGCAGGGAGGCACCAGGAAATGACCCAGTAGGTCACCTGGATGCTAAAGACATCCTCCCTGTCCCAGTGTGTGACAGCACAGGTTTGATGACCTGTGCAGGATGGAGACTCCCCTCCTTCCCACCAGTCTCTAGACGTAGGAGCTGGTGGTGGTTGGCAGCACCTGTCACTGAACATGAAAAGGGAATCTTGCCATGTCCCCTGGAGGAAGCATTCCTCCTCTGGGCACCAGGACCTTTAGACCCACTGTGCCGAGCATTCAGGCAGCACAGATTCCCCTGGTGGGCCACTAAGTGTGACG
This sequence comes from Homo sapiens, assembly GCF_000001405.40. NCBI lineage: Eukaryota > Metazoa > Chordata > Mammalia > Primates > Hominidae > Homo > Homo sapiens. The sequence goes on from NC_000010.11 coordinate 47,289,994, forward strand.
ATGAGCAATGCCACTCCTATTTCTGTGCCTTGGTTCCTGGACCCATGATTTCTACTGACTGAGACACAGCAACACATATTGACCATTGGTTTGGGGTGAGTATTGTGTTGTGGAGGATGGCCTCCCACCCTCTCAGAGCATCCTCTCCAGATGGTGCTTCAGCCGCACTTTCCAATGCTCTACCACGGAGATGCGCCAGAACTGGTATATCCCATTGGCCTGTGTTCACTGTGGTGCCTCCTTTGCTGCGAGGTGAGTCCTTTGGTTCCATGCTCTGTCACACAGGATCCTGAAGGAGGATATCAAATGCTTTCTAAGTTTTGTGGTGCTGACTGAGGCTCTGCAGGCAAAAACAGCAAACCAAACCCAGAATATGTGTAGACTCCAGACCAGACGAATCACTGCTCTTTCCAGGGTGGAAAGAATCCAGTTAATCATCCTTCCACCAGGTAACTCGTGTGCTCAGCCAGGGGCAGGCCATATCACAGGCTTGGCATTGGTCTCCCTTGCTGGTTGGCTGCACACTGGGAAGTGGCAGAGCTAGATTGGCCCTGGTCAGTTGGCACTCATGCTGCCATGCTATCCACAGCTCCCATTCCTGCCACAGCAGCTCCAGGCAGGCACTCATTCTGACTGATGGCAGAGGCTGCTGATGTCAACTGACAGAGCCAGTCTATATCCTTGGCTGTCTAGTGTTTCTTCCACAGTGGGTACTCTCTGGTGGACGCTGACATGCAATATAAAGATCCTCTCACTCCCTGCCGACTCCTGTAGGCCTATTCATATGCCTTGTCCACAGGCCTCCGTAGCCCTGACATTTCAGATGTTTTCTTCCAGTCCCCAAATCAACTAATCAAGCCATTTCCCACTGCCCCAAAATCCCTCAGGTCACTTTTCTTTCCATATAAGGTGGATGACCAACTGTACCCCCAAAGCTCTGCCCATAAGGAGGATTTCCCTTCATTGCTGCTGTCTTTCAGGGTCATCCCTGAGTTAGGATACAGTGCAACAAAAGTCCATTTTTACTTTATACCCATATACCAAGTCTACTTCTCCCTGCGCCAAACTCATACATTTTCCTTCTCCATCACCTTATCATAAGGGACCCCCACGTGGTCACAGGTATGAAATGAAAGAGAAGCACAGGTGCACAGTGGTAGATGGCCTGGAGGTATGAGCCACCTACTAGTGCAGCCTCACTGCACCCCCAACACTGCTCATGTGCATCCCAGATGGACCACTTCCATCTTTGATGAGTTACTGCTGGGCCCACCCAAGCTTATGGACCATGTAGACATGGTGGATCTACAAGAACACAGCTCATGACAGGCAGTTCTGGCTGCATGATCACCTGATGGTGCATGATTAAGCTCTTCATCTCGAATGAAGCCCAGTATCAGGAGGTGCTTTTCAAAGGGCATATAATTCTCTGCTGCAGATGGCTTGGACTCGCTCCTATTGAACCTTGCCACAAATCCCACATGATATCTGTCTTCCACAGATACCTGTAATACCACAGGTCTGACAGCTCCTATGATCCAAGCAGCTGGGCTGCTTGCTCACAGCCTAGACAGGTTGCAGATTTCTTTCCTGCTCTGGGTCCACTCACAGCTGGCATCCTCCTGTGTCCCTCTGGGTCAGAGTAGCATTCACAACGATGGAACTTGTCATCTCCAGAGCCCAAAAAAGTGCCAGGAATTGTTTATTCTTAGAGATGGGAAGTGCAAGATACAATGTGTTTTCTATTTTGGAGGGAATGTTCCAAGTTGCTCAGGCCAAACCTCTATGTTTGGATGTTTTGTCTCCTCCAAATCTCATGTTGAAATGTGACCTCCAATGTTGGAGGTGGGCCTAGTGGGAGGCGTTTGGGTCATGGGGGCAGATCTCTCATGAATAGCTTGGTGCTGTCCTCGCAATAATGAGTTTGTTCTCACTCTGTGGGTTCACATGAGACCTCGTTGTTTAAAAGGATCTGGCACCTCCTCCCTCTCTCTTTCATGTACCCCCCTCACCATGTGATCCCTGCTCCCCCTTCACCTTCCACCATGAGTGGAAGCTCCCTGAGGCCCTCACCAGGAGCAGATGCTAGGGCCATGCTTCTTGTACAGCCTGAAGAACCATAAGCCAAATAAACCTCTTTTCTTTATAAATTACGCAGTCTCAGGTATTCCTTATAGCAACACAAATGGACTAACACACTACCTCATAGTCTCAGTGATGAGGTTCATGGGGTTCATCTCCCACCCTCTGGAGCACAGGCATCTTACCAAGTTCTCTAAAGTATTCTTACTGATTACTGATTCCACTTCTTACTTATTCATTCTGGTTAACACAATGTCATTAATACAGAGGACCAATGTTATGCTCAGTGGAATATCCAAATGATCCATATCCATTTGATCCCTCATAACAGAGGTGGTACAGTTAACATGGCCCTAGGACAAGAAATACACATACTAGTAAATGCATACTGGGACCTGCCCCATGGGAATGAAAACTGCTTCTGTGTTCTTGAATGGGATGAAAAAGAATACATCCACCAGATCAGAGGTGGCATACCAGATTCCTGAGGCCATGTCAATCTGCTCTGCCAAGATCCCACATCTGGCACAGATGCTGAGGTAAGGGCTACTCACACATCACTTGGTGAATTTGCAGTCATTCTCTAGCATACGTCTGGTTTTCTGTAGGGGACATACTGGTGAATTAAATGAGGACAGTGTGTAACCATAACAGCTGCATCCTTTAGGTTTTTAAGGATGGCACTAATCGCTACCATTTCCCTTGGGACACGACACTGATTTTGATTTATTAATCTGGCCAGGACAGGGATGAGGGAATGGTTTCAGACACTTCTCCTTGGACTTCTCTACTATGGTAACTCTTACCCCACAAGTTTCAACTTGCCTTCCCCACTCCTCTAACTCTTGCCCTGTAAGCCAAGGAACCAATGCAAAGTTCTGGCAGCTACCAAGGATGTTTGTTGCAATTCTATATTTGAGGTGTAAGGAAATCGCTGTGGATGAGTCCGCAAGCCCAGCGAGCTGGGCTGCACCAGGATTCATTGATCATCTGGTTTCCACAAAATCCACTCTAGCAGGGGAGTTGTAATGAGGCCTTGGGTCCTTCGTATCAATATCAACCTGGACCATGTGTCCATTTATTCTTGAAGTGTCTGGATGTTTCCCTTCCCTCAGGTTCAGTGGTTGCCTGAGTAAATGGTGATAGGTCCCTTTGGGGAAGGATTGGAAATCACCACCATCTATCCTTGCTGTGGTGTTGCAGGCGCCTTCCTCCTGAGGTCCCAGCCTCTCCCTCACTCAAAGTGTTCATGTATAGAAACTGGCTCAAGCCCATCAAAGAAGTGTGACCTTTTTTGGAGTGGTTGTCCTCAGCCTCATTTATCCATCTTTGATTTGTCTTAGTTTGTACAAATTGAATGGTGCTCTTGTGGGCTGTCCATCAGTATTACCCCCAGCGACTGCAGGTTTGATTAAATGTCTTCATAGCTCCCCATGAGTTGGGAACCCTGACTGAAATCTGACTGCACCTCTCATTTTGATAATTGCATCTACTTTGATTTGCACAGCAAAATACTCCATTATTTTGGGATCCTTTCATCCTCATTTCTGCTAGGGAGCCCAGATCAGTAACAATACCCTCTACCCTCAGCCCCAGCCTACAGATAGAAGCCATCCCTCAGCTTTGCATGTTGCTGGTATCCCTCTTACCAGTGGATTCCTTATCACTTTGGTAAATGGAGAGTCCTCTGAGTCCTTCCATGGAACATATAGGCTGGTGGCTTTCCAGCCTGCGTACCATTTCTAATCCAGCATGTCTGCTCTCTGAGCCTTTAGTCCATTCTTCTATCACTTACCACAGCTATTTCAGCGTTGACACATCACTTACTGCAGACCATTGCTTTTTCCAAGTGTCCAACGGCCAACCCATAAGCATATCAGCCCCGTACCCTAAGGCACTTGCCATGGTGGAAAACCGGCATCATGGGACCGTGCTCTTAGACTGACAAACTCTCCCTTATCCACTTCCAAATCCAGTCTCCCTTGATTCAGCACCCTTGGGACCCATCCCAATCATACTCCCTCAGGTCTTGCTTATACACGTTGACTCTGCAGATCCTCCAGTCTACCATATTCTTCCCCTTGGTGGGCCCGGTGTGTCCGGAGTTGGTTCCCGCCACTGGGTTTCTGATCTGACTGACTTAGGAATGAAGCCGCGGACCTTCACAGTGAGTGTTACAGCTCTTAAAGATGGCACAGACCCAAAGAGTGAGTAGTAGCAAGGTTTATTGTGAAGAGCAAAAGGACAAAACTTCCACAGCATGGAAGAGGACCCGAGTGCCGCTGCTGGCTGGGGTGGCCAGCTTTTATTCCCTTATTGGTCCCCTCCCATGTTCCATTTCTGTCCTGTCAGAATGCCCTTTTTTCAATCCTCCCTGCGACTGCCTACTCTTAGGATCCTGCTGATTGGTGTGTTTTACAGAGCGCTGATTAGTGCATTTTACAGAGCGCTGATTAGTGCATTTTACAAACCTCTTGTAAGACAGGAAAGTTCCTGATTGGTGCGTTTTACAATCCTTTTGTAAGACAGGAAAGTGCCCCAAGTCCCCCCTTGACCCAGGAAGTCCAGCTGGCCTCACCTCTCACCGAGACTTCCCTGGCTGGGCGAAGTGGTGACATAAGCCCAGGTTTCATCTGGCAGCCAGGGGACAGGAAAGGGTAGATTATGAGAGGGGCGCACACTACATCTTTATCATCTTCAAGCAAGGTAGGCAGAGCCCACCTCCCCAGGTCCAAAGTGTTCAAGGAAGTGTAAGGTTTTAAGACTCTTGAGTACATCCATCAAGATGCCCCCACTCCAAGTCTCAGGGCCCCACCCCTGACTTTGGCATAACAGAAGTGCTGGGGTTAAGAATCAAACCATTTCTGGAGCTCTGCTATCTTAATATGTAAGTCCTGGGCCCAGTCCTCAGCAGGACTGGCTGTAACAACTGAGGGTTTCTTTATATGGTGCCATGATCCTCCAATTCTCACACTCTGCCTTCAATTAGTGTTTCATCCTTCTCAATCTTTTATTGTCTATTTCTAATGCATCCATGGCACTTGACAATCCCACTGTCTTCAGAATTATTCCTTCCCCTGAACCTCTCTAACCCCTAAGAAAGTGACCCCTCCAACTCACCACCACAGCATCAGGCTATGGGGACTCCAGTTACAGCAGCCAGAGTCCTCGTTGCCACTGAATGTCAGATGATGAGGGCCTCAGATGCCACCTTAGAGCCCACTTCCTTAGATCACTCCTGGCATGAATTATCTCAGGTTGGATATCTCAGGGTAGGGACTCTGAGATCGAAATTTGAGTGCATAAGTATATGGGAGAGTGCTAGGGGGACCACACCAATAAGGGAGCTGAGGGACTAGGATAACCAGAGAGAGAAGCTAAATGACACAGTGGTATAGACAGCCTCGGAGCCAGGTGGCCCTACAGTGTTTTCCAGGCCCCTGCACCTAGTCACTGGCTTTGGCTGCCCCCGGAGTGTGAGATAACTTGAGTGAGGCCGCTCCTGTCGGCCTTCCTGAGGAAGGGCTCCACTGTGAGCCCTCAGCAGACAGAAGTCCTGGCAGCTGAGGCCATGAATGTCTGGGTGCTGGCAACAGGGGAATTAGCTACAGCCACCTTAAAGCCATGGGGAGGGGCCTGGGATGAGAACCCAAGGAATGAAGCTGCTCTAAATTCTGGGACAGGAGAGGACGCATAGGAACAGAGGCTGGAGAAAGACTCCACCAGGACAGAGAGGCCAGATGGTTAGGGCTTAAATGCCAGGACAAGGACAGAAGGCTTTATCCATCCTGTGAAGGAGAGTAGTCAAAGGTTTTGAGCAAGATTATTTGGGGGTGATAAGGAGACTGCGAAGCCACAAAGGGGTCCTAATTTTCAAAGTGTCCCCTTGGCCACCTCTCCCATAGACTCCTCTTAACTGGCTGGCTCCGGCCAACTCTCTCTCCCTCTCTCTCTCTCTCTCTCACACACACACACACACACACACACACACACATACACACACACACACACCACTGCCCTCCTCCCCCAAATCGGTTCCCTTCAAATTGTCACTCCCCACAGTGCTGCATTCATGCATCAGTTCTAAATAGCCCCACTGTTCAGCTTTAAAGAGAAGTAATACCAATTCCCATGTTTGCTCAGAGAGCACCATATTTCATCAAACCAGAGGCCATGCCGGCTCAGATTACTGACCGAGACAATGTTCTGTAATCCTAGTTTATTCACATGTCACGGGTATTTTAGCAAAACAGAAATGAATGGCCCCCACCACCCTAGGAAGTAACGGGAGAGTTGGGTCCCCGCCCAGGGGAAGTCATGCTTTCGCTTGCCACGGTTCTCAGAGGAGCCGACTTTGATTTTCTGAGCTTTTCCCAACTTTAAGAAAGAGAATATGGGCTGAGGAGGAGTCACAAAGTGGGTAGTTATTTCCCTGTAAAATGTTAACTCCACAGATGGATTTTGCCAGAGCAAAAATAAAATCTGTCATTGATTATAAAGTCCTTTGTGCTTGTTATTTCACAGATTTATTACACTCTGGCCCCGCGGCCTGGGGAGGCCCTGGGGTTCCTGTCTCTAGCACCCCACAGCTCATGCCCCAACCGGAATAGGGACTCACTTGCATTTCTTTTGTCCTTAAGGGCCAGGAGCTTTGAAAATCTAGATGAAGAGCTGTGAATCTTCCTCCCAATCTTTGGACAAGAACCCGCAGACACAGACAATAACAGCATAACAGTTCCTTGGTAGAGGTCTGTGACTTCCTCATCAAGGAAACATTCCTTTTCTCTTTCCTTTTTTTTTTTTTTTTTTTAGTTGTTGGCACTGTGCACTAAGAAACGAATTTTCTCTGCAGAGTAAGGAACAGCCAGGCTTGAAACTCTCACCAAATCTGCCAGTCTGGGTCTACTTTAAATGTGCTACAACTTCTTTCAAACACACAATAAATGAAAAGACCAATCTGAATGATCAGTGCAATTTAGTTAGTATCATGTCACTTTAAAATCTGGCCAAGAATCCTCATACTATCCTGCTCTTGTCCCCATCTTAGAGTTGAAAAAACTGAGGTCCAGAGAAGGCAAGTAACTTGCTTAACATCACACAGCTAAGTAGCAGTGAAAATAGGGACATGAATCTAGTCCCAATTGACTCCACAGGGTCATGGGAGCACCCTCACTTCCAAGAACATGTTGACATGGGGCCACAGAACCAGCGGGAGAGTACAGGAGCTACAGCAGAGCCTGGAGGCCAGACTTCTCACTTAAAGAAGAGGCTCCTAGGATTCCAGAGAGGCAATGGGGCTGCCCCAGGGTTACAGAGCTAGTTAAAATCACACACTAGCTCTGCTACAAATTAACTGGACGATATCATGAAACAATCGCTTGGGAACATTTATTTGGGGAGAGGTTCTTGATGAAACCAAATGAGCTTGCTTTTCAAAACTACCCAGGGTTTGTTTTACTTCCTTACTTGGGTGCAGAGCTTCATAACTATGGAGTCTCTTCACTCCTTGCTCATGACTTTCTGAGCTGAAGAAAACCCTGCTATCCCAGAGTGCACAGCAAGGAGGCCTAGAGGACTGAGGGCCCCCAAACTACTTCTCACCTGTCTGGAGAGAACACTGTTCACTCCAATCAGCAAGTTCAAGACCTCAGCACCCCTGGCAATTGCAGTGTACGGAACTCCCAGAACCATGATAATTTTGTAGGAAGCTGTCAGAAATCACAGATCCAAGGACTTGTCTCCACAATCTGCCATCTCAACTCTTATTCTGAGCTGCGGCCTGAGCTATTAAAAACAAAACATTCTCGTGGGCAAGCTCCACAATTAGCCTCATTTCCACACTAGAAAAACTGTTCTGCATGAGCTGAAATTGCACAGAGATTGTTTCTTGTCATAGTGATGCTGTTTCAAGGGCCGTGCTGAGAGCCAGCGAGGATGTGACCCAGTGGTAATCTGAATTGCTTCACCAAACACATTTTTATCCCATCATCTCGGCTACATGAAAGGGGGCCACAGTGCTCGTGTTCAAGGCTTTACAGTCCCGCTGTTCAGCAATAAAATGAGGCAAGAAATATTAGCCATCCCTGGCTGATGCCTTAATTCTTTCCCAACAATGTCAGAGAATCTGTACCCTACAGGTTTTAGTGCTGGCTAAAGCCTGACCCTCAGGCTGGCTTGAATGGAGCGGGAATGAGTTAAGGAGAGCCAGAAGGCTTTAATGGACACGGATTCCAAATAGCCCAGCTTGTGCGGGCCTCCTGCGGACTCACCCTCCTTTTCAACAGGCCTCGATTGTGTATGGCCCCAACAGACACAAAACTACCCATGAGCAGAGGTTACCCCCAGCCGGTGCAGGTCAGAGGCATTCTGGGGGGGAAGGGGAGAGGGGGACAGAGGGGAAGTGAGGGGCACATGGAGAAGGAGGGAAATGGGGGTGGGAGTGGGGGAAGGGACCACTGAAAGATGGTCTGGATCATTTATAAGGAGAGATTCACTAAGTCCCAGGCTGAGACCCGATCATCTCACTTCCAGGCAAACCATTTTTGAAAACTGGTTCAGAACAAATGGGAGCTATCCTAATGGGAAGTTGAACACACTGTGATCTAATTTTCAAAACAAATAAAATGCTTTTCTCTGGTTTTCCAAAAGCTACAAGTCTGAGGTTCAGAAGCTCTTAATAGGATGGCCTCTAATTTGACACTGCAAGATTTTAAAAAATTACAAATGGGTCATGTTTTACACACCAACAGAAGCCTTTTCCAGCAATTTTTCAATTATTGCATTGTGAGCCCTCCAAGAAAAGTAACTATTTTGGCTCACAGAGCCCAAAGTTACCAAGTAAAGGGAACAGCCTGTTCACAAGTTTGCAAATAGTCCTTTGAAATGTAGCATAGACTGTATCTGGGAGCTTTCTGGAAGAACATGGGCTTGACGTGGTCCTTTCCTTCCCTCTCAAGGGTCCTTAAACTTTTTAGGTGGGTCTTGGGCCCCCTTCTAAGTCTAGGGAAGCCAGTGGACCCCTTCTTAAAAGAATGTTTTTAAATGCATAAAATAAAATATGCAGAGTTACAAAGGAAGACAATTACGTTAGAATAGAGTTATCACAAATATTTAAAAACAATTTTGTAACATAGTAACTATGTTCCTTTTTGCTAACTAACTAGCAGTAGGCCTAACTGAAGTGGTAATGAGCAAACATGATACTTTGATGAATCCGCAACCACTCTCATGTGATATGAAAATATCTGTGGATGGTGCCTATTGGTGACAAAGTCACTAATACCACTGTGGTTGGTTGCTTGCATTTATAACATTAGTTAATGCTAAGTTTCAGTTAGAGTTAATGAAAATAAAGATGTATTTTTTTCCCCATCAAGTTCATAAGAGCCCTTGAATTCTATCAATGGAGAAGAAATCCTGCTAGAGGCAAGACAAAGATCAGGACCTTCTGCCCCAGGGTTAAGCTGAGGGGCAGTGGGCCAGGGACTCACTACACCCTCACTTCACTGGGAATCCTTCTTAGGAAAGCCACTGCTTTCTCTCTTCCTGCTCTGATGCTTTGGAAATGTTTTTAAAGGCAAATTGAAAGCATGTCTTATTCCTGCAATCCTGAAGGCCACATGTCCAAAGATTAATAAGGACCTTTGATGTGTTTCTTCAACAACTGAAATTACTCTCGTCAAATAAAGGGCTGGTTAATGAGCTAATTCTGAGTTTTAATCACGATCTTGTTCCAGTTCCCTTGGGTGGCATGAGCTTTGGGGTGAGGGCTTTTCTTTACGGAGTCAGCCCAGAGAGGATCTCTGTTCCCCACACTCTCACATTTTGGACATACGCTGACTCCGAGGCAACTGGGCGCACACATATCCCCTCTCTGGTCCTCACAGGGGAGCTGTCATCTTGCAATCACATAGCCATCGCATGCCATTGCAGGGGCAACCCAGCAGGCAGGCCCCCCTCCAACTGCCGCCCAGCCCCCCTCGCAGCCAGGGCAGGCTGCGGCGCCGACACACAGGAGCCGGCTGCGGGGCTGGGTCTCGGGCTCTCGGCTGGGGAGCGGGGAGCGCGCTCGCCCACGCCCCCCACACTCGCGGGCGCACACCCCGGCGCGCGCACGCTGCCACACACGGGCGCACGCACACGGCAGCCGGGCCAGGGACGACCCTGTCAGCTGCAGCCCCAGAGGTCCGGGGCGCGCAGCCGGGTCCCCTCGAGGGCGCAGCCGGCCGCCCCGCCCCGCCCCTCGAAGCAGCCGGGCCGGGCGCGCAGTGGGCTACAAACTTTCGCGGCGCGAGTCCGCCAAGGCAGCGCGCCGACTCGGGCTCGGCTCGGCTCTGCGCTGCTCCGGACGGCTGTGACCGCTGGCCGGGGGCTCGGGCCGCCGGTACCCACGGACCGCGCGCCCGGGTGCCTGCTCCGCTAAGCCCCTCGCCCCGCGCGGACCTCGGTATCCAGCGCCCTGCTGCCCGGGCTCTCCCCGCGCGCCCTACTGCCGCGAGGTCAGTCCGCAGCCTCCGGTGCGCCAGCGCTCGCCTTCCTCCTCCTGGACTTCGGCCCTTTGCCGCCCTCACCACGCCATGGCTCATGTCCCCGCTCGGACCAGCCCGGGACCCGGGCCCCAGCTGCTGCTGCTGCTGCTGCCGTTGTTTCTGCTGTTGCTCCGGGATGTGGCCGGCAGCCACAGGGCCCCCGCCTGGTCCGCACTGCCCGCGGCCGCCGACGGCCTGCAGGGGGACAGGGATCTCCAGCGGCACCCTGGGGACGCGGCCGCCACGTTGGGCCCCAGCGCCCAGGACATGGTCGCTGTCCACATGCACAGGCTCTATGAGAAGTACAGCCGGCAGGGCGCGCGGCCGGGAGGGGGCAACACGGTCCGCAGCTTCAGGGCCAGGCTGGGTAAGTAGAGGGTGCCCCAGGACCCCTTCTCCTCATTCTCCACCTTCCTCACTTTTCTGTCTCCCCACCCGTGCACCTCTACTTTTCCTCTTCTAGCCAACGGGTGAGTGGTTCATTCATTCTTTCACTAATGATTCACTGATCTCTCCATGCCAGGCCCTGAACCTCCAGTGGGGCACCAAGAGTGGCAGCAGGTGGCACAGAGGTCCTGCCCCTGGGGTGCTCCCACATTGCTGGACATACACAGACTACCCCATACACAAGGCTGTAAGCACAGAGAGTGGAAGAGGGGACATAGGCCAGGGGAGTATCCCTGTCATAGGGTCAATTATGTGGGCATTTTACAAATGAGAAGGGCACAGCCAGTGAACATAGGCAGCCCTGCAGAAGCTCCAGGCACTGGGCCCTGTCAGGAAGCAGGAGCCCCTAGCTGGCGTCAGCTATGGTTCCTGTGTCCAGGGAAGCAGAGTGGACTGAGAAGGGCCTTGGCTGCCCGGGATTGAGGACTTCCACGGACTGGCATGAAGCGTTCAGACCACAGGGGTTTAAGGAAAGGCCCAGGGGCTTAGGCAGTGGGAACACTCTGCCTATCTCCGGCCTCTGTCCCACCTTTCCACTTCCTCAGCCCCTTGGATGGAGCTGGGCAGAGGGCACTTGCAAAGGCCCATGCTGCCCTGTTCTGAGAGCACTTCCAGGCTCCTGCCTCAGCAGCCTGCCCACCTTTGCAGGCCCTGGGTAGAGAGGAGGTGCAGCCAGGGCCACAGGGGTGGTGAGAAGACCCTGGTTGTCATGGTGATTACTCCTGGTTGCAGAATAATGTTCCAGAAAATGTGGGTGGGGGTCTCCTGCAGCTCTGCAGAAGATGAGGCCATTCAACAGGAGAAAAATCTGCAGTCTACAGGCTCCCCTCCTGAGGGAGAGGGAAACAAGCCTAGCTGTGGAGCTAGACAGCCTGGGGTCAGATCTGTCACTGGCTGTGTGACTCAAGGTAACATCTGTGGCCTCTCATAACCATGGATTGGGGAGCACCTGCCACAAAGAGGCCCCATGCCCTCCTCCTCCACTTAGCAGACTCACCAGGTCAGTGGCCCTGGGCTCCAGGCCAATTGGATCTAACTCCATCCTCACTCATAACTTTCTTGCACCATGTGGGGTCCATTTCTTGAGGAACGTTATTAAATTAAACCATTTAAGAATCATCTGGCATGAACATGACCTTGGGTAAATCACTAAAGCTAGGTGGACTTGAGTGTATTCATCGATAAAATGGGCAAGGCTTGCCAATATCTCCCCTGTGCAGTTGAAGGGAAGATGAAATGAGGTCATATGTGCAAGCTCAGAGCCCAGCACTGGCCAGATTAAGTGTTGATGTACGGGATTCCCCTGGGAGCACAAATAATCGTGCTAAGTATTGTGTATTCCTGTGGGTTTAAACTTGACCTTGCTTCTCTATTAACTCAATCCTCAAAGCCTTGTAGTTGAGGAAGCAAGGCCAGCAGGGTCACTGCTGCGACACGGGTGAGCCTGCCCACTGAGCCCATCTACTTGCTGCAGCCAGGCATGGAGATGCCTTCTTGTGTCATTCTGTTTTCACAGAAAGGGGGTAGTACAAGTAGCAGTGGAGTTCAGGTTATTAATCTCAAAAAGGACCTGAAGACAGTATCTCAAATCCAGCACTCCCACTTTAAAGATAAGGAAACTGAGACTCAGTGGTTGTTCACAGTGGCAGGGGTTGGCAACTCCCATCTGCCAGGTCATTGCTGTTCTCACTGTCACTCCCCACACCCTGTCATCTCCCTCAGAGCTATGACCAGGGTCTGGGAGGGGTAGGGTGAAACAGACAAGCCTGGGAAATCAGGATTCTGGTAGTCTGGAGTGTCTGACAAATCCCTCTTCTTTGGAAGCCTGAGGCACATTTGGGTGTGAATCCCAGCTGTACCAGCTACCAGGTGTGTGCAGTGGCACAGGTTAGTTTACCTCTCTGAGCATCAGTTTCCTTGTAGTACAGTGAAGAAGTGAGGATTAAATGGGCTAAGCAGGTTTTGTGCTTTGCATACAGTGGGGGCCCAGGCAGGTTGCTTGATCCTCTCCTCCCTTGATTCATCTGAGTGTTTCATGCCAAGCCTCTTGCCTGCCCTCAGATGTGCCTACTTCCTGATCCAGTGACCTGTCTGAGGAGGTATGAGTTTGGGCAGGGACCCTTCTCTCATGGATGATGCCACCCATGTGGGAGGCTTCAGCTCTGGTCCGAGAACATGCCAGTCTCAGCCTGCTCCCCAGTGGTGGGTTTCTGCTGCCTCAGTGGGGCAGCACCTCTTCCTGAACAACAAATGCCTCCATCCCCACAGCCTGCGATACGTAACTATACCTCCCCCGCCACCGGGCAGTGCAGCTCAGCTGCCAAGTGCTGGCTGTGAGCTGGCCTCGTGGGGTCCAAATCCCAATTCTGCGATCTGGGCAAGGGACTGAACTTGTCCATGACTCAGTTTTTTTCACTTCTAAAATGGAGCTAATAGTGCTCCCCTCCTTATAGGATTTTTTTTAATGGAAACTGAGATATGTCAAGTGCTTACACCATTCCTGACACAGGTAAGTGTCAATGGTGTATTAGCTCTTGCTGTTGATATACCAGCCACCCCTTCCTTCCTTCCCTCATTGCTCCCTGAAGTGAATTTCGTTCCTTATTAAATCTGCATCGGTGGGGAAAGCCTATGAACCTGACCCTAAGGGTTAAGGTTAGACCACCCCTAATTCCCACTGAATGACGTGTGTTTAAATGTAAGCTTTGTCACCTACCAATGTGATACTGAGTTGGTTTTCTTCATCTCTAAATTGAAAATAATACTACATACTCACCTGTCAAAAATGCCAAAATTCAAGTTGATTTCAGTTCCCCAAGTATTCCCTAAGCACTTCGTTTGGTAGCAGATGCTGTAAGCTCAGGGAGCACAAAGATGCCCAGAAAAGCTCATAAACTAGCAGGGCAGATCAAAGTAAGCAGCAGAATAGGGCAGCAGGCCTGGGGGGTGGCATATAAGAAGGAGGGCAGGGGTGCTGCGGGAGCCCAAAGGCGCACTGACCTGGCAGGGGCAGAGCCTCTGGGTGGGGCCAGGAAAGCCTTCCCAGAGCAGGCCAGGCCCCAGCCACTTTGAAGGGCAGGTGGGCCTTAGCCAGGTGCGGAAGTGAAGCTGTTCACTGTGTTCAGAGACTGCCAGGAGTTTGGTTTTAATGATAACGCAAGGAGAGAAAGGCAGGAGATGGAGACGGACAAATAGGTTGCAAGCAGGCCATGGAGAGCCATGAGTATTATGAATTTGTTCCCCCATAGGCAATGGGGCAATATACAACGTGCATGCGTAAGGGACAGAAGGAAGGAAGGAGGGAGAGAGAGAAGAATAGAGGGGAGAGAGAGAAAGGAGAGAGGGAGAGAGAGGGAGGAAGAGGAGAGACTGCAGGGAAAAAGAGGGATAAAGGAGAGAGAGTGATTATAAATAAATGCATGCTTATTGGGGAAAACCTGGAAATTATAGAAGATCACAGTAAAGAACATAAGTCATCCCTAATCACATAGCCAGATATAACCGGAATTGTTAGTATGATATTTTGGTAGAATCATTCCAGCCATATCTATCTATCTATCTATGTCTCCACTATCTATATCTCCATTGTTTTACCCTTATATGTAAGATATATATGGATATATGGATATATTTGAGAGATATATATGTGAGATATATGTGGATACATCTTTTATGGATTATATTTTCAGCATGCAGGTAAAACTTGCAGGTATTTCCATTTGAAATTACTTTTTTTCATTACTGGTCATCTTGAACTTTTCCCCATGCCTGCTGGCTATTTGCAATTCTTCCTGTGGAAACTGCCTCCTTGTATGGGAGTCCCTCCTTTGTCCTACTGATATGCAAAGGTTCTTTACACAGTAAGGATCTTAACCTTTCACTTCTAATAGAGAATTTGCTTTTGAGACATGAGTGCGATGTAAGAGGGAACAAAGTTCTGGGACCACTGTTGTGGTTGAGTCTGGAGCCCTGAGCGCAGGGTGGAAAGATGCTGTGTTCAGGATGGTTGTGTAGAAACAGGAAGCAGAGCAAACAGGGCCTGGAGATTGGTTAAAAGCAGGAATGGGAGAGGCAAAAGAGTTCTCAGGCTCCTGCTGGAAGGGCTGGAGGAGAAGTGAGGCCTCCCACTGGGCAGGAGGTCAGGGAGCAAGGGTGTAGTGCCCTGAGGGTGGCAATAGTTCCTGAGGCCATAACTGTTCTGAGCCCTTGCTGGGTGCCAGGCACAGTGCTGCTAGTGCGCTCTGCAGAGCTGATCTCACAATAACTTTTGGAGGTGCAAATACTCTATCCAGTTTATGAATGAGGAAACTGAGGCACAAAGTGGCTCCATGACTTGCCTGAGTCCCCACAGCTAGTAAGGGATGCCAGCAGGCGTTGAACCTCAACCCTAGAGCCTGCATGGAAACGGGCACTAAGTACTAAATCTGTGTTAGTTCCCTGCTCTTCTCTGCAGCACCGTCTGGCCCACCGCCCCTTCCTCCAGCTTCTGTTGGTGCATGCATCTAAGCCCAGCGTTCTCACTGATTGCCCTAGTGGCTGTTTGAGGGGCAGTGGGTGAAGGGACAGATCTCCAAACCGTCTTGGAATCTTTTTATATAGGGCAGAGCATCTAAGGGGCTGCTCTTGGCCTGAGAGTTGACCAGCAGTGGGGCTGGACAGGCCTTTGGATGAGGAAGTCCCTTCCCCCAGTACCATCCCCACTGCCCTCAGGAAGGAGGCTGAGTGCCCAGCAAAGTGGACCTGGTCACAGTTCTGAGAATTCCCAAGAGCCACTGAGATCAGCTTGTCTAAATAAAGTCAGTCTTTCTCTTCTTAGGGAGTCAGAACTCAAAAATATCAAAATAATGACCTCTGTTTGCAAAACGTGCTGCAGTTCACAGCACATGATCTTTGTCCATTAGCTCTTAGGCAGATCATGAACATATCCAGAACACATGGAGGAGCAAAAGGCATGGGCTTGGGGTCAGACAGAGCTGGGTACAAGCCCCGACTCCACCCCTTGCCAACTGTGTGACTTTAGGCAAATTGCACACCCTCTCTGAAGCTTCAGCTCTTTGTCCACAGAATGAATGACCGCTCCCTACTCTCTTCATGGTGAAAATGATGAATCAAGCATGCAGAACACTCAGCATAGGACCAAGCACATACACTTGGAGCTCAGAATGTCATAATTAATAAACAATTTTCTTCCAATTTAAAGATGAGAACACTGAGGCTCAAGGGGAAGTCTGGCTAAACACCTGGGTGCCCACTGTCTCCATTTGGATTTGCATCATCAGCTGCATCTTTGTAAAGAATGAGGATTCCTTGACTTCTTAAGGCTGTGGTTACTGCACTCTAGGGAAGCATGCCAGGAACCCCCAGTGTTAACTGAAGTAACAGACCACACTTCTCTTGTGCCCACTTGGGCAGGATTTTCACAGACAATCTCATTCAACATGCATCTCTGAGCTCCAACTGTCACCTAAGCCTTATGGTGAGGTCTAGCGGTGCAGTAGTGAATAAAACTGGCAGTGTCCCTGTCCCGTTAGAGTTTATGTTTTAGGAAGATAAGAGCAGTAAATCAGTATACAGCAGGATGTCAGGAAGTGCTCTGAAGGCCAATGAAGCAGGGGCAGACAGAGTGATGAGGCTGTTCTCCAGCCACGGGAGCCCAGGGGACCCATTGTGGGAGGTTCCATTTGAGCAGATACCTGAAGAGGTTGAGTGGTACTGGATGGGGAACCATGAAGGTGGAAGGAAGCGTGAGGCACAGTCCTGAGAATAAAGCCACATGTTGGAAGGAGAAGAACGCCAGTGTGACGGGGGCAGAGGGGTGGGGTTGGGCTGTGGATAGGAGATAAAGTTGCAGAGGTAGGCAGGCCAGATCAAGTAAGGCCTTGGTAAGGGGTTGAGTTTTATTTGGGGCAATGGAGGGCTCCGAGCTTGGGGGGTGACCTGTGATGGAATGCACCCAGCACACCGGGGGCCTCGCTTGGACAGTGCTCTTTAAAACTGTGACATGAGGAGACACTGAAGACGGGTGTCATTGCCATTACCAGTCTGTCTCCCCTCTAGGCTGAACTCCTCCTGGGCAACTTTGTTATCTGTCTCCCCTCTAGGCTGAACTCCTCCTGGGCAACTTTGTTATGACCCTGGTCAGCCCAACTTAGCCTGGAGTAGGAGTTTTGCAAATCTTTATCAGGAAAACAAAGAGAAGAAGAGGAAGAAAGAAAGGAAAAGAGGGTGGATAGAAAAGGGGAAAGAGGGGAAGAAAAGAGAGGAGGGAGGAAGGCAGAGAAGAAAGAAGAGAGAAAAGACATGAATCACAGAGCACCAGCACGCATCAGAGGAAATAATGACGTTCTCTTCAATGCTTCTCTCTTATGGCTTGGGCTCGGCTAAACTGAAAGATTTCAGGTTGAGGTCCCTTCTCTGAGCCACAGCCTGGAGCCCCCTGCACTGCGTACATGCAGAAACATCCAGAGAGAGGACCAGCCTGTGGTCCCTCATGCACTGGGGCTGGGGGTGACCCATCTTGTCCCCAGCAGTCCCCAGCAGGGAGGGTCTTCCCAGAGCAGGCTGCCCAGTGAGGGCTGAGCTCCCTCTGGCAGGAGGCATTCAAGCCACATGGAGGTAGGACTTATACCCTTTTGCACAACCTCAAAGGTTCCTCCCCACTCTGAATCTGTTAGCAGAACAATGGAGGAGTTGAGACTTGAACTGGATCAAAGAAAAACAATGTGCTGTGTTGGCTGGGTTGCAGCTCAGATATTTGGATCAGTGAATGCAAGGTACCCCAGTTGATGGAGGGGAGCTTGCTCTGCCAGCCTTGGTCCTTTAGATTCAAGAGGCAGAAAGCACATTTGGGGGCACCTCCTTTGTACCTGGCACTTCACTAGGCTGTTTCTGTGATCTTCCAGACAATCCTCTGTGTGAGATGGAGGCTGTTGTCCCTGTGAGGCAGATGGGGAAAGCAAGGTTCAGGGCGTGGCGCCACTGAGTCCTGGGAGCTTGGTTCCTAGGGCATTTTCTAGCTTGGGGATGGGGGGGTGCAACATTATTGGTGAACTTTCACCCCATCCATCGGTCAACCCCAGATGCTGCAGATACACCACCGCTACCACCGGAGTGAGCTATCAGCTGCCACTGACTTCCCAAACTTCCCTGATGGCCAGAGTCCCCTGGAGTGCTGATTAAAATGTGGAAGTCATTGTTATGCAGTCAAGGCCACATGCTTGGGGAAGCCAGGTTCAAGTGTGCATTGAGACCCTGGGCTGCTGCTTATGTGTGGAGCATGTTGAGGGGCTGTGACACTGTCCTGGCAGGTTTGTTGTGAGGATTAAATAAGGTAATGGCTTCAGTGCCACCTGAGCCTTTACTGGCATTTATTTATCAGGCCTTCCATAGATGTGCTTCTCTGTTTCTTCCCGCTCATAGTCCCTTAAGAGTATGTGAACAATCCCAGTTGAATTATGCCTTCTTCCCAACAGAAACAAAGAAGAGAAAGTGGAATATTTCTGTTAAAAAAAAAAATCCCTGCAGATGCTGTAGGTACAGGGGTCAGAGAGGTGTGGCCCTGACCCATGCCCCTAGAGAGCCCAGTGTCCCCCACACACACTTCCCGGGCTTGGGAGCCCTGCTCCTCTCCAGACGTTCCCCAGCAGAAGGACACTTCGTTGTCAGGAAATGAAGCAGTGGAAAGGAGAAAGCCAGCCTGGCCTCTCTGGTGTCCTGTTAGTGTGCGGCATCCTAGGGAGGCACCAGGAAAGACTCCCCACTCCTCAGAAGCCTAGAGCGGACTTGGCCATTTGAGAACGCTCACTGATATATAATAATGTTTAGGCGATTCAAACCTGACACAATACTCATGCTGCTGCCAAGGTTGGGGCAGCTTCCTGGGACTGCTGACATGGCTGTGCTGCCCTGGTGCCCTGGGGAACGCCTGCTTCCACCAGGCAAATAGGAAGGAGTGGCCGGCAGCCCCAGGGAAGCCGGAGCTGGAGCATTCTTGAACCAAGTTGCAGATGTAATGGTTGAGACGTCCCGGTCTTTACCTGGACCTTGGAGATTTAGTCAGGTTGCCTTGTGTAATCCTGATGCTGCTCTTTTCTTGTTAAAACAATCTTAAAAGTCCTCAGGCAGAACAAAGAGCAGATGCCTAAATGGCTGTACTTTTGATCCTGGTTTCCCTTAGGAGGTGCTCAAAAAGCATGAGCGTTTATTTATTTCGTCTCTTTTGGAAGAATGTTTGGGTTTAATGTGAAGTGTATTTAATGATTGCATTTAAAAACTGATTGCATAAATAGAGGGCTGTGCAAATACAGGAGGGGCTGCCTTGATGCAGGGCTTGGACCCAACCCAAGCCATCCTGAGCACTTAATGAAGGTGTCAGTGACATTTGTTCATTTGTGCATGCAGAGGCAGTAGAGGGCAGGGGGAGCAAACAGGAGCTTTGGAGTCCAGCAGGCCCGAATGCCTCCCTGTCTGCCCCTATTTCTTTGCTGTTGCTTTTTGTTGTTGTTGTTGTTTGCTACGGGATATTGACAATCTCAACCTTAATTCCTCACCTGTGCACTGAGGATTGCAAAGGGCGCCCTCATCAGTTTCATGTGAGGATTACACGAAAGGAGGGAAGCAAAGCGGGGGAGGAGGATGGTCCTGAAAGTGTGGATCGGTGGGCGTTTGCTCCTCCAGCCCTGGGTGGGAGACCCTCAGGAGCACGAGCGAGAACTTCACAGCCTGTGGTCTCTCCTTCCCTCACAGAAGTGGTCGACCAGAAGGCCGTGTATTTCTTCAACCTGACTTCCATGCAAGACTCGGAAATGATCCTTACGGCCACTTTCCACTTCTACTCAGAGCCGCCTCGGTGGCCTCGAGCGCTCGAGGTGCTATGCAAGCCGCGGGCCAAGAACGCTTCAGGCCGCCCGCTGCCCCTGGGCCCGCCCACACGCCAGCACCTGCTCTTCCGCAGCCTCTCGCAGAACACGGCCACACAGGGGCTACTCCGCGGGGCCATGGCCCTGGCGCCCCCACCGCGCGGCCTGTGGCAGGCCAAGGACATCTCCCCCATCGTCAAGGCGGCCCGCCGGGATGGCGAGCTGCTCCTCTCCGCCCAGCTGGATTCTGAGGAGAGGGACCCGGGGGTGCCCCGGCCCAGCCCCTATGCGCCCTACATCCTAGTCTATGCCAACGATCTGGCCATCTCGGAGCCCAACAGCGTGGCAGTGACGCTGCAGAGATACGACCCCTTCCCTGCCGGAGACCCCGAGCCCCGCGCAGCCCCCAACAACTCAGCGGACCCCCGCGTGCGCCGAGCCGCGCAGGCCACTGGGCCCCTCCAGGACAACGAGCTGCCGGGGCTGGATGAGAGGCCGCCGCGCGCCCACGCACAGCACTTCCACAAGCACCAGCTGTGGCCCAGCCCCTTCCGGGCGCTGAAACCCCGGCCAGGGCGCAAAGACCGCAGGAAGAAGGGCCAGGAGGTGTTCATGGCCGCCTCGCAGGTGCTGGACTTTGACGAGAAGACGATGCAGAAAGCCCGGAGGAAGCAGTGGGATGAGCCGAGGGTGTGCTCCCGGAGGTACCTGAAGGTGGACTTCGCAGACATCGGCTGGAATGAATGGATAATCTCACCGAAATCTTTTGATGCCTACTACTGCGCGGGAGCATGTGAGTTCCCCATGCCTAAGGTAGGGTTTCTTCCGCCTTTTGCCAAATTCTAAGGCTCAGCTCTGCCGCTACCGTCAAGTTCCTCAGCCTGCAGGACTTCTGTTTCCCCATCTGCAAAATGGGAATAACAGTACTTCCTATCTATTCCAGGCAGGAAATAGGTAGACATAGGTCACCAAGTGGCAGCCCGTAGGGTAGTTGCCGCCCACATATGTGTGAGTTTGGCTGTGTTTTTTGAAGTATTGGCTTGGTTGAATTGGGACTTTAAAATGAGAACATTCTTTTGAAAAGCAGGAGAATCCATGTCTTTAGAAACGCATCCCCACATAGCAACTATCTGCAGAGGTTGAGTAGATGCTGCTTCCTGTACACACGGCAGGTCCCAGAAGCTCCCTCCTGACCAAGGCTCTCATTTCTGTTCCCAGCCTGGACCCCAGAGTGTGGCAATCTGTGACTAGCACAGTGCTAGCCTCAGCAGCTCTCCCACTGTAGATTCCCTCCTCCTTGCAGCTCAGGGCAGGAATCCACAGGGAATAGGCCTTCACTGTGCACAGGGTCTGCAGGACACACAGCACTGGGCTGTTCTGTCTGTTGCACCAGCCTAAGGATTTCCAGTTCTCACCTTCGCTCCAGACTGGGCTGTGGCTGAGTCCATCCCTCTCCCTGCAGCCTGCTCTGCAGCAGCCTGGCTGCTTGTGATGTCAGCCCTCGGCACTCAGCACACAGTTTCTTCCTGCTTAGTTACTCTGCCCAGGGCAGGTCATGCCTTTCCCTCCAAGAAAAGAAAGTCAGTGCATAAATCCAATTTGAACTTAAATAATCAGCCAGCTGGGGAAGTCCAGACCCAGACATGGGGCAGCAGTAACGTGTTTGGGAATTAAATGGCTTCTCCTCAAAACTTCTCCTCAAAACCGTGCATGTGCAAGAGAGAGGGAGGTGCCTGACATAGAGACGGAGCCTGCTAAAAGGGCCTAGCAAAGACCCAGGCAGATGCAAGCCCGGAACCCTGAAGGCTTGCAGCTGGTTGGCCATGCGGTTAGCTTATCACCCTGGCTTGCTGCCTCCCCACCTTCCGGGACACCAGCCAGAACGCTGCAAAGGCAGGTGTCCCTGCCCTGCTCCCTTCCCACCACACCCACACAAGAGGGCTTCCTCCTCAACAGCACTACATATACAAATCTCTGTTTGGCTGGTGATGCACTGAAGTGGATGACCCGGTTGGTTCATCTTGTCAGAGGTGGGCACAGTTTTCCAAGCCAGGTCACTTTCTAACTAGGGGTCTTGGTCAAGTTACTCAGTCATTTTAAACCTCGGTGTCTTCCCAGTAAAGTCCAGGTAATACCCACCCCATAAAATTGCTAAGCTGACAAAAAAAAGGGGGTGATGCAGGGAGAGCAGCCCCTAGGAAATGTCAATGTCCAGCCTGTCACACTGCCACGCACATGCCAGGCCTTCCCTTCAGTGACAAGAGCACAACCTCGTGAGAAGCATGCCTGTCCTCCTCAGACTGCGAGACCAGGGCTGTGCTGGCATCTCGCTGGGTTTTCCCTCTGGGCAGCTTCTGCCTGCTTCCTGGTGCTCCGCGGGGATGTGTGACACTCAGGCGCCCCCATGTGGCCCTGCCGTGTTGGGGACACAGCGTGCCTCAGGGAAGCCAAAGGGCAGGAAGGCCTGGGGGCTCTTGGAGACCTCAGCCCGGAACTCAGCGTATGTCTGATTTTAGAGGAACCGTGTGCCCCGCCTTGGGATCTCGTCCATTCCTCTAGGTGGATGCCTATTCTGTGGCCTCAGCCGGGGAACAACAGCAGAGCAGTATGGCCTGGGACTGTGAGGATGGCATGGGTGCGTGGGTGGGTGAGGGCGGAGCTGAGGTAACCCTACTCCTTTTCTGCCTTGCAGATCGTTCGTCCATCCAACCATGCCACCATCCAGAGCATTGTCAGGGCTGTGGGCATCATCCCTGGCATCCCAGAGCCCTGCTGTGTTCCCGATAAGATGAACTCCCTTGGGGTCCTCTTCCTGGATGAGAATCGGAATGTGGTTCTGAAGGTGTACCCCAACATGTCCGTGGACACCTGTGCCTGCCGGTGAGACCACTCCAGGGTGGAAAGAAGCCACGCCCAGCAGAGCTGCCTTCTCGGAGCCTTCTGCAACCAGGACTTGTGGTGCAGCTGCAGACACAGAGCACAGCTCATGGGCAACATCACTGGGGCCCAGAGAGAGCTGTCCGCCAGTGCATCATTAGGGGGTCTTTCATTGCTAGTGACTAGCCCCTTAAATGCCAGCCTGAGTACCTGAAGGAATCTGGGAATTAGCCCTGGCCTGAAAGTGGCCCATCATTCATACCCACTGTTCTGAAGGCTTGAAAACAAAACATATCCACAACATTGGCTTGATGTGATCATCATCTCATAACTGAGCAAGAAGACTATGCAAATCTTAGGGCGCTCGCTCCCTGCACACGGAAAGAACTCTGTTTAAATGCTCAGTTCAGAACACTTTGGGCCACATAGTGATTTTGGAAAACAGGATAATCGTGGTGTAAATGAGTGTTTCCTTTCAAAGTCCACTGCAGAGCTTTTATCCATATGGTATGCACATGTAGCCAATATTGGTTTCTTTTTCTTAATATATATATTTTATTTTAAAACAACAAAAAGGGAGGGCGTTGACACCATTCCCCACAGAGATAGTCATGCTGAGTGTGGGTTGTTTAAACATGCATATTGAAATAACACATATAGTAACGTGGGAATACTAAAAAATAACCAAGATTTTATATTTTTGTAAATTATACTTTCTATACTGTAGATTGTGTATGTTATGTGTTTTTATGGAAAGCTAATAAATTAAAGGTACAGTGGTATCTTGAAAAACTGAATGTCACCCATTTCAAAATCTCACTGGCTCCCCATCTGTAAGTACACCATCTGGTGGTTGCTGGGGTCTCAGCCTCTTTTAGGGTCGCTGGAGTCCCCTAAGCCATCTCCATACTCCCTGGTGTCTGTCCCAGGCTCCAGAAACCCAGGCTTTCCCATGCTTTCCAGGGGCCTGTCCCACTACTGGTTCCTGCAAACCCAAGCTAGGCTGATGTTGAGAATGGACATGGCTCCAGACAGGGACAGTGGCCTCTCGGGGTTTCTCCTCATCCCCTAGCCTCAGGGACATGGATTGATTGGGAGGTGCCTGGGGTGTTTAAAAAAACATCTATGGTTGCCTGGTCAGAGATCTTTTACTTCTGGTAATTCATGGAGCAAGAGATTCAACATAAGTAGGGGTCTCTCCTGAGGTCCAAGGACTCATGAGGAAGTGGACGGGCCATGTGGTCTCCTGCACCTGCTTCTCTTTTGCTTGTGTGTAGAAGGATCACCCAAGCCACCCCAAATTGTTCCCTTATGCCCTTCGTTTACATTGCCTTATGATGGAGTGCCTGAAGCTGCTTAACCAGCATTTCTGAAAGAGAATCTGGATCCAATTTGAGACAGGTGTATATATAGCAGTCCCATCAGCTGGGACCTACAGATGACGTGGCCCCAAGTCTTAGAGGAAACTGCAAAGCCATAGTGGTTTTCTAAGAGGGGATGTCCAAGGAGAGAAGCAGCTCTGGTGTCTGTCTTGGGCCTTAGGCTGGGCTCTGGAGACCAGGATTCCTGTGCAAGGGATATATGGGGAAGTGCTCTCAGGAGACATGGGCAAGGGTGAGGTGAAGCAGAAAAGCAGGCTGGGAGCAATCCTGTGGGGAGCTTTGGAGCTTAGTTACTCCTCAGGGCAGTGTGGCCTCGAGCAAGGGAGCTGGGTGTTCAGGGCCTCTTGGCTTCTGGCTGCCCTGGGAAGGGCGATGTAAAGTCCCAGTTCCCTGGCCTTCTGCCCAGGCAGCCACAGTGATTCCAGGAGCCTAGGTAGCATCCGAAGAGTGGCAACTCCTGGAGGCGAAGCCATTGAAACTGGAGAATGATTAGCCAGAACTGGTAGGTGAGGGGGATGCGAGGGTGCCAGGGTGAAGCTCCGCAGCTTCTGCTCAGCATCTCCTATGAGGTGCTCCAAGTGACCCTGGGACACATGCGTGAGCAGCTGCCGTGGGGACCCCTACCTGCTGGGCACATGGCCCTGCCTGCTGACAGAGGTCAGGGGAGTGGTGGGATGGTCCTCCACACTCACCACCTTATTCCCTTACTCCCACAGGAACTGGACATGGGACCAAATTGTTCCCTTCAAGCTGCTATAGGTTGCTGGGCTGGCGCAAACTGGCCTGCACTTTAGTGCTTGGTTTGCCATGTCTAATTCTCTTTGGAACATGACAGGATATAAGTTAATAGCAAAATAAGTAAAAATATTGGGGCTTAATAAAACTCCAAGTCCCTTTCTTCTGAATATTCCATCCCTCATTTTCTTCTCATTCAACTGCCCCCTTTCTATTTTTGCTAAACATGGGCTGTCCAATAGTAGTTTTATCTTATTCTTTCTAGCACTTGCAGTTTCTGGGAGGCCTTCTGGATTCCCCCCAAATACCTGGAATGCCTCTGAGTCCTCATGTCTGGCTTACTGGGATTGGGGAGGGCAGGCTGGGACACTCTCCCTGGGTCCAGCTGTGGGCATGGCCTCCAGGCCTGTGCCTGGATGGAAGGTGCTCAGTTGTTGCCATCTTTCCTGGGCATGCCCTGAAGACCTTGGAATGTGAAATGGGGCAGGTCCCAACTGGGGACATGACATGTCCCAACTCTACAGTAGGAGAAGCTGGTATCATTAGTGACCCCTCCAATGTATAGAAGACCACGCAGTTACAGGATCTTGCTTAGCCTCACAGCAGCCTTGCAACTTACTGCCCAATTGGAGCTGCAGAAAAACAAGCTCAGGAAGGGTAAGTAACATGTCCATTGATGTCTTGCCAAGACCACAGGGAACATTAAGTTTGATGCTCAAGGCCGCCTGATTTAAGGCCTACATGACTGGCACTGACCCTGAACTTCCTGGCCAGTGATCCCCAGTCTGCTAGGATTGTCCCAACAACACTGAGGTTGGGACACAGTAAAGTGAGGTTAAAAAGAAATATGTTTATGAAATAACTTGTTTTTCCCTTAAAACAAAAAATGTCAACATTACATTGTCATAAGAGCCCAAAAGATTCCATCATACGGTCTGGACACGGTTTGCTGATGTCACTCAACTGGGCCTGTTTCATTCTGGAGGGAGCAGGGTGGTGGCCTGCAGCTGGGCCGCATCTCTGAATTTACACATCCTCTAGAAGGGCAGGGCCTCTTATAGATTAGTTCATGTGACAAACATAAATAGTACCATTGAGAGCTAAAAACTTGAGGGCTGGGAGAAAACTTCAGAAGGCTTCCAATACAACCTTTATACTTGAGAAATGGGGAGACTTGAGTCCTGGTACTACCAGGTGTTTTGCCTGGGGTGTCCCAATAGGTGCCTCTCTATGACTTCATAAAATGTCATCAGAGCAGAAGCTTATAACTCATGTTTCTTCTGTGGCCAGGATGGAGACAAAGCTGTGACTGAGGAACTTATGCATGTCTGAGGTGGGAAGGGGAGGATGAGAGGAGGAGACTCTGGAGGAGGAGGAATGGAGACGACTCCACAAAGAGGCTGACTTTGAGACCAAGCAGGACGAAAGAGCCGGGCTTGGCTGGTGGAATAAGGACATCACAAAGAGCGTCTGCAGCAGCGCATGCCAGGGAGGGCTTGAAGGTAGTGTCAGTGAGAAACCAGGAGGGCTGGCCAGCTGGCCAGCTCTGGCTGTGACTTGTGCACCAAAACACCAACATTAGAGTTCAAAACTATTTCCCTTTATCAAAACCTGGAAACATAAGATCCTTCACAGGTGTTTCTGGGATTTCCATTCCCCTTCTCTCTGCTCCCTGAGATAATAATGTCCATGAATCCTCTATCTATCCTGCCTCCAGTCCGCTCACTCACGCTCAGCCCAACCCCAAGCCATGCTCCTCTAGCATCTCCCAGCAGGCTTGTTTGTATGGGTCAGGGATAGGTGGGTCAGATGGAGAAGAAATATGTTTATTTATCCAATTATGTAGCATTTACTATGTGCCAAATACCATGCTAGGCAATGTATTCATATGTTTTCTCTTGGAAGGCTCTTATGAGTTCCCTCTTTTGTCAAAACCACTGTGCAAAATGCCTATCAGAGTTGCCTGGAGAGCTTGACACAGTTGGGCCCCCTAGCATTGTTTCTGATTCAGGTTGAGCCTTTATTTCTATCCAGTTCCCAGGCACTGCTGCTGCTGGCTCCATGGCCATGCTTTGAGAACAGGTTTTTTTAGTGATGTCTCCTGGGAGGGAAGGGGTCCCTGATGCTCTGGAGTCATGGTGTAACAGAAACTCAGGTGAATCCTTTCTCCCTCCATGAAGGAACACTGAGGTCAATGTCACCTTTTTGGAGGAACGGGCTTCAAGGATGCTTGAAATAAATGGATGAGTCAAGTTTACTTCTTTTGTTCATTGAATTGTGCTTCTTCCGTACCAATTGCAGTGATGCCATGGTTTCTGTAATTCACAAGTCCTGAGATTTGTGACCCTACTGAGGTTTTGGTTAAAAGTAACAACAGCACAGTCATGTGAAACCGTCTGGGTATTGAGAAGAGACAGGAGGACAGGGCCAAGCTGGCAGCCACTGGGGCAGAACCCAGCCTGACTAGCACCCACCACAGAGCATGCCGAGGTGTTCAAAGACATATGCAGAGACGAGCATGGGAGGCCTGCCCTGGAGGAGCCTTGGCTGGCTGTGAAGGCCCGGCAGGCTCACTGGGCATGTCAAATTGCTGCCAGCAGAGGAGCAGCCCTGGGGCCCTTTAGTGGTTGTTAGATGAATCCAACTGTTTCTTGGAACACAGAGGTTGCATGGTGCAGGAGTCCTAGGCAGGTACTAAAAGGCAGTCAGAACTGGCCCTGGTGGAGGACAGGGGGAAGGGACATGAGGTGGTCCTGGTGGAAGAGCACAGCTCCCTCTGCAGCTCCATGGAAAGGAAGGGCAGAGCTGTCCCAGGGGTGGGGGAGAGAGAAACAGTCACAGAAAGATCATGTACTGACAGGAGCAATACTAATGACTAGTTATTGCATGCTTACCCTGGGCCATATTCCTGTGGAACACCCAGGAATCTGTGGTGCCCTCTGGCCCTCTCCCTAGACTCACAGCACGGTAACAAATGTGATTCCTGAGCACGGCCCTGGACTAGCACAGGATGAGACCTGGCCACTGCTATACCTCCTTGGAGGCTGAAGCCCAGATCCTGTGGTTTGTCTCCTGAAAAAAGTGGGGGAAAATATAGTCCAGCCTAAGGAGCAATGCAAATTAGCATTTTTGTTGCTGCTGTTCATTAATTTGCCAAGGATTAGAAAGAAGTATTGGTTAACAGTGTGGTAAGATGAGTTCTTAGGCTCAGCTGAGAGTGAATATTTAAAAAGCATTTGTGGAAAGCCGCTTAGCAATGCTTACCAAGAGCTTTGCAAATGTTATGTATACCTTGACCTAGATATTCCACTTCCAATGACCTGTCCAATAAAATAATACAAAATATACACTATAACAATGTACGACAATGTGTCTTGCAACATTATCTTAATAGTCTTGATTGTCCTACCATTGGAAAATATTTGACTAAATTAAGATATGTCCATAGAACTGGAAAATGTTTAGTCATTAAAAATGAAGTTCATGGGCTGGACGCAGTGGCTCACGCCTGTAATCCCAGCACTTTGTGTAGTGGAGGCTGGCAGATCACTTGAGTCCAGGAGTTTGAGACCAAACTGGGCAATGACAGAACCCCATCTCTATAAAAAAATATAAAAATTAGGCTGGCGTGGCGGCTTATGCCTGTGGTCCCAACTACTCAGGAGGCTGAGATGGAAAGATCACCTGGGACCAGAGAGGTCGAGGCTACAGTGAGCCATGATCATGCCACTGCACTCCAGCCTGGGTGACAGAGTGAGATCTCGTCTCAAAAAAAAAAAAAAAAAAAAAAAAAAATGAAGTTCATGAAAAGCTTTTCACGAAGTGGGAAGGTATTTACACAATCCTTTCCCAGTACCTCCTCCTAGTGCCCAGACCTAGACCCTTCTGGGGTTCTTGCCAACCTGACTCTCTCCCTGTGCTGTCTGCGCCACGCCCATCCCAGGGTCCTAAGCCAATCAGGACATTCAGGACATTGCATTCCCCCAGCCACGGTGATTGGCTGGAGTGTTTGTAGATTATCCAATCAGAGTCAGAGAGACACCACGAGACTCCCTAGGACTTCCTGGAAAAGAGGCTTTTGCTCCTCCTTGACCCCACCTAGCTACCCATTTGAAAGGGATGCGGGCCGGCTGCAGTGAGCGGCCACCTTGCCAAGACACAGAGAGATGGAGCGTGAAGCCAACACAGTGTAAGGCAGGACTGAGAGAGGAGAAAGCATGGCTAGAACTTTGCCTGTACTGTAGCTCAAGCCACGCTAAAGCCAAACCGTTGCCAACCAAGAAGGTTTCATTAGTCAGGTGCAATCCACTTTGCTTAGGCCTGTTTGGATTCTGCTTTTCTGCAACCTGTGACAAAAGGAATCCAAATGACAACATTTTAAAAATTTTAATTAAAAAATTTTTGTCAAAGAGAAGCAAGCCTGTATATATCAAACCATGTATACCTCAAGTGGCTTCGAAAGTAAACCTAAGGCAGAGACTGAAGACACTTTGGTGTAGATTTTCTTAAATTTTATGCCAGTCTTTGCTTTATTTAGGTATAGACACATAAGACTACCATAATTCAGATCGTTAGTCTTTGAATAATCATGTGGACTGACTTCCCTGGGAAGTCGGTGAAGAATTAGAAAGTACACAATTTGGAGGAAGAGGGGGGAAAGGAGAGATAAATAAGACCTTCTGTGGTTCAAGTGAGGCAGCTCCTTCCTGAGGCCCCAACAATGCAAAGCTGGTGATAGCAGAGGGAGGGGTCCTTCTGCAGGAGGGAACATCCAGGGTCTGTTTCCTCCTGGGAAAATCAGAGCAAGTTTGAGACTTGTTCCCTAAGACCCAGAGTTAGGGGGATTTTCTCAGATGGACCAGGGTCCATTTGTATGAAAAGGTAACCAGGTCCCTGAAATCACCACCTGATGAAAGTGGGAGTCCCGCTGGTGACCTAGGCCCCCCGTAAGAGCCTACAGATTTGAGAAAGGGCTGGTTGGAATCGGTGTTTAACCATAACTGGCCTCTTACCTTCACCCAGCCACTGGCCACAGAGACACGCATGCTGGAGGTGGGTAAGCCCGGCACACGTCTAAGAACACTGTTACCTTATTGCCTCATGGGGGCCACCCCACAGACCTGGGCTAGAGGACATTCCAGCAGCTAAGAACAAGCAGCCGTTTAGACATGTAGGACCAGTGCCCAACAGCAAAGCCAGTGTTGTTGAGAAGCAACAGCAGGTGGGACCCCTCTCTCCCTCCCGCTTCCCAGCATGAAGAAGCTGGACTAACACCTTCATACCCTATCTCCTTTGGACTTAATTTACCCATGGAGCACTTGGACAATTCAGAAAAGGAGAAGACTAGACTTCCTGATAATATGGATCAGGAAACCTCAAGCAATCCATTTAATACAATGAAAGAGATGTGAACATATTGATATCTTGAGTTTGTGAGGCAAATCTTTTCAGATATACACCGGCATGTTGCATTGCACAGCTCCAGGGAAAGACACCCATGTCAGAGTCTGTGTGGCCAGCACCCACAGGCAGCTGTGATGACCCTGGATACAGTCAGGTCCATAGTCCTTCATCTGAGACCTCCAAGTAAAGAACCATCTGAGAACCTAGAGTTTCTTTTAATTCCTTTTCTGGGAAAACTTGACCTGAATGGACATTTGTGTCTTTATTTGTTTCACTGCAGAAATATTCATGTGTGTCATTATAAGGTGTTGTCTCTGACCCCTTTGGGAATGTTATTGCATATACACAATACAAAATCCCCCAAATCTGAAACTGTCGGAGTCTCAACACAATCCTGGCCACAATGGTTTCAGATATAGGATTGTGGAGTTGGATGTGTCTCAAAATGCTAACCATGGGCATCACTGGATGATTAAATTGTAGGTTATTTATTTTCTCTTTAATGTTTTCCATTTCCCAAGTTTTCTATACTATAGACTACTGTTATAACAGGGGAAAAAAATGTCACATTTAAAAAATAACGTCAGGTAGCAGCCCCTTGCTCCTCCCTGAGCACATCCAGGCCACTAGGCTATCCCTCTGCTCAGCCTCTCGTGTGTGAAAAGCTCCTGGCCAGACCATGTTGCAGGCATCTGCCCTGTCCTCACTCCTCCCGGACCACACCTCACTCCGCATTTGCAGCTCCATTTCTTGGGCATGGCACCCATTTATTCATCTTTTCTCTGCCCCATGGAATTCTTGCACTGAGCTGGATCAAAGCCCAGCACACTTCCAGTCCTCTTCCCAAGCAGCATTTCTGAAGCAGCACGCTTCCCGTCTTCCCCTGGCCCATGTCATCAAAGGACAGAGATAGCAAGTTCTATTCAGGCCCAGCCATTCAGGGGCTCCTGATTTCACCCATCCCCCTCTGCAATCTCTGACCGCAGCATGCTGTGGCCCCTCCTGCACCCCCCTAAACCTGCTCAGCTCTCTGCAGCCTCTCCCGGACAGCCTCACCAGCATAGAATACCTTCCCCAGAGTAAACCACCAGGCACAGCATACCCCAGAGTGTTTCTAACCATGATCCTTCTTTGCTTTGCTCAAAGCCACACGTGATGGAAATGGACAGAGTCTAAGTGTGGACATACTGCTCTTAACGCAGTCCCTGGGGCCCTTTCCTGGGCCACAGCTTATCAGCCTCCAAAGGCCAGGGGATCATCTTCTTGGCATGTACCACTCTCAGAACAACCCACCTACTCCCCTGTCTACCAGATTGCGTGGTTCTCCCTGCTGATGAGTGTGGGCCAGGTGGCTGCCAGGTTGGTGTGAGCTAAGACCACCCCACAACAGACCAGTGACACAGCTGGGATGCAGGGATGTGGGGAGCTCCCCACAGGCTGCAGTGTGTTGTGGAGCTCCGACAGAGCAGGCTGGGGGAACCCAGGGCTTCCTCCCCCAGCTCCAGCTCAATCAGGCCTGGGCTGGAGAGGGGGCATCCAGAATGCAGCCACCAAGCCAGCCTGGGGCACAGCATCCTCTTAACCCCTATAACTATCTTCTGAATGGGAGGCTCCAAGAGCTGCAGTGACTTGTTCCAGGTGACATTTGCAGGGAATCGGTGAGGGAGTTGAGATCCCAGCCTGTGTCTAGTTTGACTCATCACCGCACTAAATTGCACGGGAGCCATATTCACTCGTGATCTCTAATGCTCAGCAGTGCATCCCACCAACAGAGCAGGGAGGCTTGCTGGCAGGTTCCGATTCTGCAAGGAGCAGGCCTCTTCTGAGCCCTGATGTGGTCCCCACACTCTCCCCATCTCCCCAGCCCCCACGGTTCACTGTGATCTTGTGCTGTCCTTTCTATATTTGGAGGACTACTTGGTCTTGTTTCCTGGATTCTTCACTCCTGTGGCCCAGGAGATGGAGCATATGTCACCCTGCCTGGAGATTCTTCTGAAGAGCCCTGGCAAGGAAATGAGAAAGTATCCTAATTAGGGGGCAATAACCCCCTGGAGAAGCACAGATTCTTTACAGTAGGCCGTGTCCTTCCCGCATGCCCTGTGTGTTTGTCAGATGTTTATAGAGCCTTCATTAACGGAAGGCTCCCTCAGATAAGACGTCGGAGCGCGGCATCGAGGACCAGATAAGCACAAGTGGAGGACAATCCAGCCCGGCAGCGGGTGAGAGTGGGTGCTGGCCAGGACGGTTCCTTCAGAGCAAACAGCAGGGAGATGCCGGCCCGCTCCTTCCCAGCTCCTCCCCGTGCCCGCTAACACAGCACGGCCGCCTGCAGTCTCCTCTCTGGGTGATTGCGCGGGCCTAAGATGTGTCCTGGGGCACTGTGGGTGGCCCTGCCCCTGCTGTCCCTGCTGGCTGGCTCCCTACAGGGGAAGCCACTGCAGAGCTGGGGACGAGGGTCTGCTGGGGGAAACGCCCACAGCCCACTGGGGGTGCCTGGAGGTGGGCTGCCTGAGCACACCTTCAACCTGAAGATGTTTCTGGAGAACGTGAAGGTGGATTTCCTGCGCAGCCTTAACCTGAGTGGGGTCCCTTCGCAGGACAAAACCAGGGTGGAGCCGCCGCAGTACATGATTGACCTGTACAACAGGTACACGTCCGATAAGTCGACTACGCCAGCGTCCAACATTGTGCGGAGCTTCAGCATGGAAGGTAGGGTCTCCGCTTGCACCATGCGCGCTGGGGTGGGACTCACAGGTCCACAGCTGCTTTCCCCAGGGTGGAGGCCACTGGCCATAGGAGGCTCTTCAAGCTTCCATTTAAATTAGTTACAATGAAATAAAATTAAAACTTATTTCTTTAGCCTCACCAGCTTCCTTTCAAATGCGTGGCTAATGGCTTCCCTATCAGGCAGTGCAGACTGAAGAACATTTCCATGGTTACTGAGAGTTCTACTCAGCACTTCTGTTGTGAAGGATTCACCTTCCCCAAGCTGTGTGCCACATTTCACACAGCAGGTGCACAGGGATGCCAGCTCTCTTTTTTCCACCCCTTCTCTTTACTCTCCTCTTCTTTGCATCACTCCCCTCTGATTCACTTCTCTTCCTTTCCCCCTTCCCTTCCTGTCCCCTTCCTACTTCAGAACAGAACAGGCAACCTATTTCACCTCCAACTAACTGGGATATTTTTAAATTTTCAAAGCACATCTATTCCTTTCTTATGAAACGGTTTTAAAAATCAGATAAAATTCTTGGACAGAGAAGTGTTGGCAGAGAACCTAATTGTTTTTAAATAGAAATATATCTGATTTAGAAGGACTAGAAGATAACAAACACGGACCTAGGACCTATGTCCTAACTCAGACAAGCTCACATGATGCAGGGGAAATAAGTTTCTGAAGAGCAAAACTGTTCAGTCAAAGCTTGCAGCCACCAAGGGTACCCACCCATGTCACCTAGGAAGTGTTAAGCCTGCACACCTAGGAAGTGTTAAACCTGTCTGCCTGCAGAGCTGGCTTTTCCTGCTGCTGCTGTCTCCCTCTGAATGTCCAGGAGCACAGAGCCTCTCCCTTCCTGGGTCTGAGACTTGCAAATGGCTAAGGGGCCTGGCTCCATACCACGCCCAGGCCAGACCTAACTGGTCTGCAGAGGCAGGACTGGCACTTCAAAACCTGCCAGCTAGGTTTCCCTATAGCACAGGGTCTCCACACATGTGGGTATATAGCAAGTGCTGAAAAAATGCAACCTCTTTTCCCTGTCTGTGAACCAGCCATTGTATAGCAGGAGCGTGCTAATGACAAAGTGTCAGCCCAGGATAAATGGGATATCGAGATAACTATGTGGCTAAAAGCCAAGCCCCATTTTTGCTTGACATGACAAAGCAATTGAAGCTAATAGATTTTGTTCCTGAAACACTAAAACCAATTATCCACTTTTGCTTTGTTTGGAAATTACAATTTCAAACGATTTATACACTGTTTAGAGGCTGAGATTTTTGATATTGTCTTAATATTGGGGTTTCACTGTCCCCACCCAGGATCTCTCCTTTAAATTCATACACTCAGGATCTTCACTCAGGATCTGACAGTGAGTTTTTCTGTTTTCTTTATGTACTCAATAGCTGTGTGCTAGTAAGTCCCAGAATACTTAACTAGCTGTATGCATTTTGGCAATTAACTGCCTTGAATCCCAGTCTCCACATCTGCAAATGTGGAATAATAATTAGATCCTCCCAGGGTAAGTGAGAGGATTAAGGTGAAATGTATTCTGCAAAGCTCCCAGTGTAATGCCTGGCACATAGTAGATGCTCGATAAACAGTAGGAACTCTCAATCCCAATTGGAGGCATCTCCTTTGGAAGATCTTAAGTGTACCTTTCAAAATACTCTTATACTTTAAGGGCTTGGGTGAAACCAAATAGAGATAATACAGACCAAAATTGTTATCCCAGATGCTCTTCTGTCTAAACCCTGAGACTCAGCTTCAGTGTCATGGAAACAGACCCTCCAGCAGATGCCCACCACGTGTGTTTGCATTTCAGATGCCATCTCCATAACTGCCACAGAGGACTTCCCCTTCCAGAAGCACATCTTGCTCTTCAACATCTCCATTCCTAGGCATGAGCAGATCACCAGAGCTGAGCTCCGACTCTATGTCTCCTGTCAAAATCACGTGGACCCCTCTCATGACCTGAAAGGAAGCGTGGTCATTTATGATGTTCTGGATGGAACAGATGCCTGGGATAGTGCTACAGAGACCAAGACCTTCCTGGTGTCCCAGGACATTCAGGATGAGGGCTGGGAGACCTTGGAAGTGTCCAGCGCCGTGAAGCGCTGGGTCCGGTCCGACTCCACCAAGAGCAAAAATAAGCTGGAAGTGACTGTGGAGAGCCACAGGAAGGGCTGCGACACGCTGGACATCAGTGTCCCCCCAGGTTCCAGAAACCTGCCCTTCTTTGTTGTCTTCTCCAATGACCACAGCAGTGGGACCAAGGAGACCAGGCTGGAGCTGAGGGAGATGATCAGCCATGAACAAGAGAGCGTGCTCAAGAAGCTGTCCAAGGACGGCTCCACAGAGGCAGGTGAGAGCAGTCACGAGGAGGACACGGATGGCCACGTGGCTGCGGGGTCGACTTTAGCCAGGCGGAAAAGGAGCGCCGGGGCTGGCAGCCACTGTCAAAAGACCTCCCTGCGGGTAAACTTCGAGGACATCGGCTGGGACAGCTGGATCATTGCACCCAAGGAGTATGAAGCCTACGAGTGTAAGGGCGGCTGCTTCTTCCCCTTGGCTGACGATGTGACGCCGACGAAACACGCTATCGTGCAGACCCTGGTGCATCTCAAGTTCCCCACAAAGGTGGGCAAGGCCTGCTGTGTGCCCACCAAACTGAGCCCCATCTCCGTCCTCTACAAGGATGACATGGGGGTGCCCACCCTCAAGTACCATTACGAGGGCATGAGCGTGGCAGAGTGTGGGTGCAGGTAGTATCTGCCTGCGGGGCTGGGGAGGCAGGCCAAAGGGGCTCCACATGAGAGGTCCTGCATGCCCCTGGGCACAACAAGGACTGATTCAATCTGCATGCCAGCCTGGAGGAGGAAAGGGAGCCTGCTCTCCCTCCCCACACCCCACCCAAAGCATACACCGCTGAGCTCAACTGCCAGGGAAGGCTAAGGAAATGGGGATTTGAGCACAACAGGAAAGCCTGGGAGGGTTGTTGGGATGCAAGGAGGTGATGAAAAGGAGACAGGGGGAAAAATAATCCATAGTCAGCAGAAAACAACAGCAGTGAGCCAGAGGAGCACAGGCGGGCAGGTCACTGCAGAGACTGATGGAAGTTAGAGAGGTGGAGGAGGCCAGCTCGCTCCAAAACCCTTGGGGAGTAGAGGGAAGGAGCAGGCCGCGTGTCACACCCATCATTGTATGTTATTTCCCACAACCCAGTTGGAGGGGCATGGCTTCCAATTTAGAGACATAAAACACAGGCAGATCAAGTAGCATTGATCAATGGCATGATTCCAACTCAGATTTGTGGGACACCAAAGCCCAGGATCTTCCCAAGTGCCCTGCTGCAGTTTAGCAGGTCCTCTCCAGCTAAAGAGCAGTGAGACATTGGGAGCCCAGGAGTGTTGAGGCCAGGCCAGGCTGAGGCCCATCAGTCACAGGTGTGACTGGGCTGCTTGTCACACACAGGGCGTGGTCTGGCCACTGTTGCCAGTGCTCACTCAGCGGCCACATGCTTTTTAATATGACCCCTGAGGCACTGAAAAATAACCCCAGGCCAACTGCAGGATAGAGAGAGAGGTCAGGACAGCAGCCCTGTGGGCTGCATGATACACTGTGGCTGGAGTTATTGTGACCCCCTGGTGCAGTGCTCCCACGGCCAGTGGTGCACACAGGGCCATTCACTGTCCATAGACTGAAACCATGTGACCATTTGAGAGGGCCGGGCACACTTTCCCCTGAGGGATGGGGCAGCCTGTGGCCAGCACCTCTGCAGTTACTCTGCATAGCCAGCTCACCAGCATGCCATGCCCAGGGTGCCCCCCAGTGACAACCTCATGGGAGACGGGCCTGGATTTGAATTTGTTGGAATTAAATGTGCTCTGGCTTTGGTCTTTGAAACATATCTATTTTTATTCCTTGGTGACATGTCCTTAAGTGACAAGACTCCAGCCTTCCTGGGCGAGGCCTCTCCAGCCTCGGAAGAGCTGCAGTCCTTATCGGCTATCACTGGCTCTGCCTGCATTTGCCGGCTCTCTTGAGTCACGTGCATCCCAGCACCCCGCCTGGGCTCGGACTGTGGGACCAGACTCAGCCTCCCCGAACACAAGGGAAGATAAGGCTTCCATTTGCTCTGTGTTTCACCCTCTCCTCTGTCTCTCCAGGCCACACATGGAACGGGGCGGTATGAGGAAGAGTCTGAAAGTGGTGAAGAGTGCACCTATGGCCCTCTGACCTCCAGCCAGAGCAGGGCCTAGGGGAGGCTTAGAGAGGCCAGGGCCTCTCCCCGTGGTTGAAGCTCCCATTTATTTAAGAAAAAGTGGGGGGTGGGGAAAACGTTATGTTAAATGTTTACATGGAACCAATGAACAACTTTAACACACAAATACAACGAAACATTCTTGTTTAATTACTGGCGTTATAGAAAATATGAATTCCTGCTACATGCCGGGCAGTGTAGTGTTACAATGCTATTCCAAGTTGGGTGTTGAGCATCTTCTTTCAGTCCTGGTGGTGTGCTTCTGTGCCTGCTTGAAAATTTCACTCGGAAATAAAGTCAAATGTCTAATTTGCAGCCCCTCCTGAATGTGAGACCCAATCTGGAGGACCCTATAGACTCATACCCTGCCTACCCCACCCTCCAGACCCCACTGGGTTGGGCCTCCCCTTCCTAAGGAGGCAGAGGGGAGGGGCAGGCAGCCATCTCAGGACTGGGTGGATGCAGGTGGGTGGTGTCTGCACACTGGGGTGAGTGATGTGGTGTGTGCACATTGGGGTGAGTGATGTGTTTGCACACTGGGGTGAGTAATGTGTGTGCACACTGGAGTGAGTGATGCAGTGTGTGCACACTGGGGTAATATGTGTGCACACTGCAGTGAGTGATGTGTGTGCGCACTGGGGTGAGTGATGTGTGTGCACACTGGGGTGAGTGATGTGATGTGCACACTGGTGTGAGTGATGTGTGCACACATTGGGGTGAGTGACGTGATGTGCACACTGGAGTGATGTGTGTGCACACTGGAGTGAGTGATGTGTGTGCACACTGGGGTGAGTGATGTGTGCACACATTGGGGTGAGTAATGTGTGTGCACACTGGAGTGAGTGATGTGTGTGCACACTGGGGTGAGTGGTGTGTGTGCACACTGGTGTGAGTGATGTGTGCACACATTGGGGTGAGTGATGTGAAGTGCACACTGGAATGAGTGATGTGTGTGCACACTGGGGTGAGTGATGTGTGTGCACCCTGGGGTGAGTGATGTGGTGTGTGCACATTGGGGTGAATGATGTGTGTGCACACTGGGGTGAGTGATGCAGTGTGTGCACACTGGGGTAATGTGTGTGCACACTGGGGTGAGTGATGTGTGTGCACACTGGGGTGAGTGATGTGGTGTGTGCACACTGGGGTGAGTGATGTGTGCACACTGGAGTGAGTCATGTGTGCACACATTGGGGTGAGTGATGTGATGTGCACGCTGGTATGAGTGATGTGATGTGCACGCTGGGGTGAGTGATGTGTGTGCACACTGGGATGAGTGATCTGTGTGCACGCTGGGGTGAGTGATGTGTGTGCACACTGGGGTAAGTGATGTGTGTACACCCTGGGGTGAGTGATGTGTGTGCACACTGGGGCGAGTGATGTGTGTGCACCCTGGGGTGAGTGATGTGTGTGCACCCTGGGGTGAGTGATGTGATGTGCACACTGGGGTGAGTGATGTGTGTGCACCCTGGGGTGAGTGATGCGGTGTGTGCACACTGGAGTGAGTGATGTGATGTGCACACTGGGGTGAGTGATGTGTGTGCACACGGGGGTGAGTGATTCAGTGTGTGCACCCTGGGGTGAGTGATGCGGTGTGTGCACACTGGGGTGAGTGATGTGGTGTGTGCACACTGAGGGGGGTGAGTGACGTGGTGTGTGCACACTGGGGTGAGTGATGTGGTGTGTGCACACTGGGGTGAGTGACGTGGTGTGTGCACACTGAGGGGGGTGAGTGATGTGGTGTGTGCACCCTGGGGTGAGTGATGCGGTGTGTGCACCCTGGGGTGAGTGATGCGGTGTGTGCACACTGAGGGGGTGAGTGATGCGGTGTGTGCACATTGGGGTGAGTGATGTGGTGTGTGCACACTGAGGGGGATGAGTGATGTGTGTGCACACTGGGGTGAGTGATGCAGTGTGTGCACACTGGGGTGAGTGATGTGGTGTGTGCACCCTGGGGTGAGTGATGCAGTGTGTGCACCGTGGGGTGAGTGATGCGGTGTGTGCACACTGGGGTGAGTGACGTGGTGTGTGCACACAGAGGGGGGTGAGTGATGTGGTGTGTGCACACTGGGGTGAGTGACGTGGTGTGTGCACACTGAGGGGGGTGAGTGATGTAGTGTGTGCACACTGGGGTGAGTGATGCGGTGTGTGCACCCTGGGGTGAGTGATGCGGTGTGTGCACACTGGGGTGAGTGATGCGGTGTGTGCACCCTGGGATGAGTGATGCGGTGTGTGCACACTGGGGTGAGTGATGTGTGTGCACACTGAGGGGGGTGAGTGATGTGTGTGCACACTGGGATGAGTGATGCGGTGTGTGCACACTGGGGTGAGTGATGTGGTGTGTGCACACTGGGGTGAATGACGTGGTGTGTGCACACTGAGCGGGGTGAGTGATGTGGTGTGTGCACACTGGGGTGAGTGGAGTGCTCGTGTATGAGCTTTTGTGTGTGAGGGGGTGGGACGTCTATGTGTAGAGGTTTGCAAGTCAAAGATGACACTTACTTCCCTGCCTTCCTCTACCTCCCCACGTCAGGAGAAGCTGGCCCTGAATTGCCCTAAAAGACAATCCTTAACTCCTCCCCTCCTCTCCAGCCTACCACCACCTTCTTGTTCTCTGACCCCACAGCGGGGGCTGCCTTGCTGGCCCCAATCCCAGCCCCATAGCTCCAACCAATCTTCTGGGTGTCCCAGCTACAGTGCCACCACCCCCACCCCCGCCTGATGCTCCTGATGGACCTCTCTGGCTCTGAGGAGGGCCACAATATTCCTCCTGCACGGTCATCATTGGCCTGGCTCTGAGAGCTGCTGACATCTTGTCTTGAGTCCCCTGGGGAAAAGGCCTGTGTGCCTCTCACCTTGGTCACTCCTGGAGGGCCAACATGATTGACAGATGTGCAGTGAGAGAACATACAAGGAAACACCCAAGACATGTTCCCTGGCCTCCATGTCACTGGGCGATTCTTGTGATCAAATTTCCTCTGCCTGATGACTGCCACGTTCAAGGCTGCATTCGTAATGTTTCCTGAAGTATTTCCCTTGCATTCCATCAGGATGGTGATCTTCTCAATGTCACATGGATGAAGAAGTGGAAGTCCAGCAAAGCCAGAGGCCTGTCCCCAGCCATACACTGAGTTGGCAGGATAGCCAGGCTGTCCTCTGCCCCTCATTGTGACCTGACCTCTGTACCACAGCAAGTGGAGAGAGGCTGGGGAATGCCATGTAGAAAGCAGCAGCGAGACACATGGAGAGACAGAGACAGTAAGACAATGGGGATGCAGAGAGGCTGCCAGGAGCACCTCCGAGCACCAGCCCTGGCCCAGCGCTGCCTCCAGTGCCTCTAAATAACCAGCAGATGAGTAGGAGTCTTTATCCTACCTTTTACAATCACATAGGAGACAGAAGCACTTGGAGCCCTCACACTTTGCTAGAGCCACAAGCCAGCAACTGCTGGAGCCAGAATTTGAGCTCCAGTTTGTGACACCAAGTCCAGATTCTCTCTACTGTATGGACTACTGTCCTGGTGCTTTCCTCAGTGTCAAGGTTAAAGTCACACTGAAAGGAAAAATCAAAACGAGGGCATAAAAAAGATAAAACAAACACAATCTATGCTCTCCTGGGCGAATGCTGCCCTACCAGGGTGCTGCCCCATCTTGGTCTCCACCCACACTGGGCTCCACCCTCTCTGGACTCTGCCCTCTCTGGGATCACTCCTCCCTGGGCATTGCTGTCCCTGGGCACTACCCTCCCTGGGTTCTCTCTGCCCTTGACTCTTCCCTCCCTGGACTCTCCCCTCCCTAGGCTCTTCTCCACCTAGGGACCACCCTCCCTGGGCATTGCCTTTCTTGCCCCGCCAGTGTGAGAATCTCTGGTCAGCCTGGCACCTGTAGGGCACTACTCACTTGAGAAGGAGAGGTCTTGTTAGCAGGTCACTAAACACTGGGGCTGTCCCGCTTTCAGAATTCTACCAGAATTGGAAGAGAAGAATCCCTGGTCAGTACTTTTGGGAGTGTGCAGCCTTGTCTTTTTCAAGCCTGGCTTAACTCCCCAGCGCAGGTGGAAGTGGGAGGCCCCGCCCCACTGAACTCAGAAGCTCTTTTTCCCTGTTGGGCACCAAGGCTTTGGTTCCGTATCTGGTTCTTCTGATCTGCTGTCTCTGCCCTGGATGTCAGCTCCTCCTCAGAATCTTCCTTAGATTTCTGCTATGCCTGCCCCTGGGGCCTCTTATTCTGGGCCCCTAAGATAGGCCCGCTTGGACCTGGAAGGCTCCACGCCATCATCTCTGGGGGTCCTTACAGCAGCCCTCAGGGAGGTGGGTTTGCTCCTCTGCAGATGAGGAAGGGAGGTGGAGGAGGTAGTGCTGGGCACACAGCAGCGGAGCCCGGATGACTGTCACATCTGGGGGTGCACTCCCTTCCCTGACAAGCCCTGCAGCAGGCCTGGCCTCCAGCTGTGACAGTGCAGAGATGGAGGAGAGGCCAGTAGGACCATGCTGGCCTTTCACCCATAAGGGGCCTGGCTCCGAGAATGCTACAGTTCTCGCAGGCTCGGGTGTGTGGCCCACTAGGCGCTCAGGCTCTGCGCTTGGTTTAATGGTCTGCTGTTGCCATCTTGAAATGTGTAATAAGTTTAGAAGAAGGGGCCCATGTTTTCATTCTGCACTCAGCTCCACCAACGATCAGCCAATTCTAAATGCATGTAGGGGGTGACATCTTGGTTTCTCAAGTCCCAGAGATACTTGGGAGCTGTTTCAGGCCTCAGGGGCGACTTGGTCCTGGGAAGACAGGAATCTGAACGTTGCTGCTAAGAGCTTGCCCAGGGAGTCCAACAGCCCTGCCTGCCTCCCCAGGTGCAGAGTGAGGAAGCCCTGAGGCTTCTCCAGTGTGTCAGCCAAGGTCAGAGAAACTGCTCATCTTTCAAAGGCCAGCCTGTGATATCCGTGCAGCAGCGAGTTGGGGGAGGGGTCGGAACTGCTGCCACTTCTTCCCTGGCCTTCTCCCGAAGCACCAAGGAAACCATGCCCAAGGCAGGCCACACCTCAAGCTAGCGGGAAACACAGGTGGTTTATGCAGGGTAGGACTGAACAAACCTTCAGAACATTTTTCTTTTCCTTTACAAATTGTAGAATCTGAACCTTGGAAAAGAGCACCTACTCCAGGCAGAAACCTGCACAGCAGTGGCCTCAGCTTCCCTGGAACACTTCTGGCTCAGCCTCCCACCACTCTCCCAGAAAGCCTGGTTCATGTGAACACGCCCATTTATCAGGAGGATGTTCTCAAGCCTGAGCCAAAATCTGTCTCTCCTCAGCACCCTCCCATGAGCTTCTGCTCTGACTCCAGGGACCCCTTGGTCCTGGAGAGCCGTGATATATGAGCCATCTCCCTGGAGGGTGGAGGGGGTTAGGCTTGGGCAGAAATGGACAGGGTTCTAGCCAACCAGGCGCCAGGGGCTGGGTCACTTTCTGGATCAAAGTGAGAAAAATGAAGACAATGAAATATTGTTTGTAAAAGCCAAATACAGTTTCAGGAGTGTTCAAATATCTTCCTACTTTTTATGAAATAATAGAGACAGTAGGTAATAGGTTTGTGGGGTTTATTTTAATAATGTTCAGACTTGGCAAAATAAAATTGTGACAACTCTGCATTGATTTTCAAAATGATTATTTGAGACAGGGTCTCGCTCTGTTGCCCAGGCTGGAGTGCAGTAATCTTAGCTCACTATAACCTCTAATTTCTGGGCTCAAGCAATCCTCCCACCTCAGCCTCCCAAGAAGCTGGGACTACTACTACTACACAAATTCTGACCAGAGCCCAGAGATGGGAAGATGAGATTCACACAGATGCTAGTCGTACGCAGGCATTGGCACTGGCATGCTCTGAGCCCTCAGTGGAAGGCAGCTGCTCTTACTACTAACCAAAGGAATGAAGATCAGATCAACAAGAAGTTTCTATTAAAGAGCCTTCCAATACTCACACTCTCTGAAAAAGAAATCTTGACTCCAAGTCTGTATCTTAAAAATCAATATTTAATATGGAAAGATTCAGTATATTAATTAAATTAATTTAAAAAATAAGTTTAGCTTTAATTTAGTATAATTTGATGTTAACCGAACATTGCTTTTCATACTGAAAAACAGAAAACTATCTAAAATGACCAACAATAGGAGAATAATTGAATGAACTGTGGTTAGTTCCTTCCTCTTTCTTCCTGGACCTGATTTGGGGTAGGGTTACAGAGCATCCAATTTTTCTCCAGAAGTCACTGGGACACACAGCTGAGGGGCAGCAGGAGATAGAAAGAAAACAAGACTGTGTGTGTCTTCAGTCACCCCAGATACCAGCCTCTTTGCCTCAAACAACACAGGTTTGAATTGAAGCAGAGCCTGACCAGGAATGACAGCTCCCTCACCCATACCCGCCCTAGACACGTAGCTGGATATACATGTCCACGTGGACACACCACACACTACACGTGGACACGTCCACACATGGACACACCATATATAATTTAATATATTACATTATAACTTAATATATTCAATCTTTCCGTATTTCATACACTTTTTAAGATAGAGGCTCTGAGTTAAGATTCCTCTTTCAAAGAGTATGAGTATTGCAAGACTCTTTAACAGAAACTTCTCACTGATTACATACACATCACCTGTGTGCACACATGGACACATCACACATTAACACATGCATGCATGCATGTGTGCATGTATACATATGTGCACCACACATGTGCACACCCACACAGGCTCACACATGCATGCAACAGGACTTTCTGATGCATTAGGCAACTTCTGAAACTACTAAAAGGCTCAGAGGAAACACTCTCTTCTTGGGCAAACTGAGGCAGAAAGAAAGGAAGAGAAGAAACTGTGTCTGAGGATGCTGTGGTTTACATTCAGGGCCAAAGTCAGAAGTAGAAGAGAGAATTTGCATCAGAGTGTTGTCTATGTGTGTGCTTAGCCTTATTTATAATTATGGAAAAGCAAATGGAAATGATAACAAGATTCCGTTCTATATTCATTAGAGTTGCAAAAATGA
Organism: Homo sapiens; assembly: GCF_000001405.40. Classification (NCBI taxonomy): domain Eukaryota; kingdom Metazoa; phylum Chordata; class Mammalia; order Primates; family Hominidae; genus Homo; species Homo sapiens. The sequence continues at coordinate 47,334,323 of NC_000010.11, forward strand.
AAGCATGTAACAATACAGCATATTGGCACTGGTAAGGGGAGGAATGAGCACTATCATCAGTGGCTGGTGGGACTGTCATGGCTTCAGTCATCCTGGAGGACAATTCAGCAGCATCAAATAGAGATGAAACACTTAGAAACTCCATTTATTTACGCCCGTTCTGGAGACATGCTTGCACATGAGCAAACAGGCACTTCAGAGAGAAGCACTGGAGCATCACTTGCAATCATGAAAGGCTGGCCATGGCCTCATAGTGGGTGCTGAGCACCTGCCCAGATCAGGACCCCTTCCCCTGGAATTGCCTTCAATAGCCTATAGGGAGCAACTTGCCCAGGTCTCATCTCGTCCCTGAGGACAATCTCCATCCGAGAATGGCATAGGGGGCATGAAGGCTTGGCTCTGGCTTCAATTTGGGGTGACTTTGAAGAGACAACCCCACTCCCCTTGGAATTGGCTGAGGTCCATGGCAGCTGCATCACTCTCAAACTTTCCTTCTCTCTGTGCAGTCCAAGGCCCTCCCCTTCTGACAAGTGCAGCTCCCTAGGGTGCCACCGGCATGCTTCCTGCAGCCAGTCCCATCTCTGTCTGTTTCACTGGAAACCCGAACTGTGACAGACCAAATATCCATCAGTCAGTGAAGAACTGACTAAAGAGTGATACATGGCTATGGTGACATAATGTAGAGCCATTAAAAATCATCCTAGTTGATGCACACCCACATGACTACATATCAAAAATATAGTGCTGAGCAAAACGAGCATGTTGCGGAGTGGCATGTGATATCTGGCACATACATAAAAACCCACAGAGCATCTGTGTTCCAAGGATATGCTTATATATAAGGAAGTAGTTCATAAAAGGACCAGAAAGACACACAGCAAATGGCAGGAAGAAGAATGTCAAAAAGACATGTCACTTAATTGATAATGGTCTTTTTTTCTTCTGTGATTTTGTAAAATCCATACATGGAAAAAAGAATGGAAGTGAATGAGTTGGTGTTGAGAGTAGGTGGTTCTGGGTGACTTTGTCCCCCCATTGCACTGACATCTTCATGCCTGATGTCTCTTACTGACCTGTTAGCTCTTAGGAGAGTGTGTAGGCAGAAAGCTAGGGAAGAGAGGTCTCAAAGTCCATCTGCATTCCCAGTCTCCTGGTGTTCTGAACTTGAGCATTGACATTTCTCCTCGGTTGGTGGGGGGTGACATCCCTAGTACTAAGGGCATTTGGAGGTCTCAGCATCAGTAAAATGAAGCTGACCCTGGAAATGACTCTTGGAAGCAACAGACTGTCCCCAGGCCAAACTGGACCGGGCACTCTGAGGCTCAGCAGTGGACACAAAATGAAGGGAGACCCAGCCCAAAAGACATGAAGCTGCAAACATTTTTCAAATCCCCGACAATGCCCGAGGTGTGACCACCTCATGTGAGCCAGGTGGGCAGTGTGTGAGCACTCAGTACCCCCACATCACACTCAAATCCTGGAGGCCATGCTGCAGCCCAACCTCTGGCACCTTTTGTGGTCATCTATGTTAGTGCTGGACCATTCTTCTTCCCTTCTCTGGACAATGCTCCCACTAGGCAGTATTTGGGCCACCTCTTCCTCTGGCTCAGTGACCATCATCCTAGTTTGCCTGGCATGGTTCTGGTTAACGCCTGTTGTTCCTGTGTAACTAGTACTAGGGTACTGGACGATGTTATGCAGTATCCCCAGTCAGGGGCAGCTCAGGAGCCAATAGCAGAGGCCAACTGGAAACAGCAGGGTGGCTGTCAGGGCGCGGAGGGAGGGTTGGCCCTGCCTGTGTTCAAATCCTGACCAGGTCACATACTGGCTGCATGGTCACAGCCAGGAGACATGGATCACTGGGTCCTTGCTCATCATCCACAAAGTGCCACATACACAAATGTTTCCCAGGTTCTCGGGAAGCCTGCACTTCTGTCCTTGCCTGCTTCTCTTTGTGTGTAATGCTCAGGAAAACATTTGAGCCACGGCGTTCTCTGTCACCTGAAACCTTCATTTGTTCCTCATTCTTTTTTTCCTTCCTCTCTTCATTGTCTTTCCCACACTCTCCTAGTGCCATTGGCCTTTCTAGTCATACCTGAGTTGGAAGTTGCCGCGCGCACACCCCCAGGCCCTCCGTCTGCCAGGCAGCCACAGCCTCCCGAAGACAAGCCAAGTGCCCGCGGCTCTCAGGGAAAAGATCCTAATGCCTGTTTATTGCTGGAGTTCAGACACACGCATACGTCTGATGGGCTTAGGGGAAACAGCAGGAAGAAACACAAACAGAGAGGCCACGTCATGGAAGAACTTTCCTAAACGAGGATGGCACCCCACATTGCTGTGACTAAGAGTTCAGGCACAGTGAGAGGAGGAATGTATGCTTTAGAGAAACTCTAGTCATTCACACAATGTGTGTGTCTGCCATCAATGAGATGGTATTTTTTCCTGGAACCTACTTGGAGTTCTGAGAATTCAAGTGCTCCCTAAGCCTGGACTGTTCTCAGAACAGAGAGGCTTAATATGGGCATAAGAACGGAGTGCCTTGAGGAGCCAGCTTCCGGTCCAAGTGTCGTTTTTATCCTTGAGCTTCATGAGATGTCATTGACAAATAAAATTGCATATACTTACAGTATACGATGTGATGTTTGTGTATACACTGCAAAATGATTGAATCAAGCTAATTAACATATCCATCACCCTACATGCTTTGTGGTGAAAATGTTTAAGATCTACTCTCTTATGATTTTCAAGTATACAGTACAGCATTATTAACCACAGTCACTAGGCTACACAGAAGATTTCTGGAATTTATGTATCCTTTGTACCCTTTGACCAACATTTTCCCATTTCCCTTTCCTGACTCCTCGCCCAGCACGTGATAATCCAGTTTATGTTTAGACTGACTGTGCTTCTGGAGAAATCTTTTAACCTCTCCGAGCCTCAGATTCTTCTCCTAAAAAACGGCAACCATACTACCTGTGATGACTGATTTTATGTCAACTTGACTATCCGATGGTGCCAAACTGTTTGGTGCAGCACTAGTTGAGATGCTGCTGGGAAAGTATTTAGTGGATGTGATACACTTTTGCTACCAGTAGCCTGTACGTGAAGCAGATTATCCGCCATAATGTGGGTGGGTCTCATCTAATCAGTTCAAGGCCTGATGAGCAGTTTCCTGAGGAAGAAGCAATCAGCCTCAAGACTACAACAGAGAAACCCTGTCTGAGTTACCAGCCAGCTGCCTGCCCTGTCAAATTTGGTCTCAAGACTACAGCATCGACTCTTGCCTGAATTTGCAGTCTGCTGGGGCTTGCACAACAGATTTCAGACTTTCCAGCTCCCACAATCACATGAACCTATTATTTAAAATAAACATCTCCATTTTACATCTCCCCATAAGACTCCTTAAAGCGGGGATGTAAAAGGGAGATGTTTATTTTAAAGAATAGGCTCATGATATCTCTGGATTGTAATGATTAAATGAGAACATGGTGTACAACTGCATTTCCATATGCAAAAGAATAAATTTGCTTCCTTACCTCATAGCATAATCAAAACTTAACTCAAAATGGATCAAGGACCTAAAAATAAGAGCTAAAACTCTTAGAAGAAAACATAGGGGTAAGTCTTTATGAGCCTGGCTTTGGAAAAAGATTCCTAGATATGACATCAAGAGCAATGAAGGCAAAATTAGATAAACTGGACTTCATCAAAATGAAAACATTTTGTGCTTCAAAGGACATCTTCAAGAAAGTGAAAGATTAATCCACAGAGTGAGAGAGAATACTTGCTAATTACGTATATGATAGGGGACTTGAATCTAGCATATATAAAAAACTCTTACAACTCAATAATAAAATGATAAATAACCTAATTTTTAAAATAAGCAAATCATCTAAATAGACATTTCTGCAAGGAAGATACACAAATGGCCAATAAGCACATGAAAAGATGCCCAACTTCATTAGTCATCAGGCAGTGCAGATCAATGCTGTAATGAGATACCCCTTCACACCCACTGGGATGGCTATGATCAAAAAGTTGGATAATAATTGTTTTCAAGGTTGTGGAGAAATCAGAACTCACACATTGCTGGTGGGAGTGCAAAATTATACAGTCTCTTTGGAAAACTGGCAGTTCCTCAAAAAGTTAAACATAGAGTTACCATATGACCCAACAATCCCATGCCTAGGCATGTATCCAAGAGAAATGAAAATGTATGTTCACACAAAAACTTATACAGACATTTTTATAGCAGAATTATTCATAATAGCCAAAAGGTGGAAAAAAAACAAATTTGTATCAGTTAATGAATGAATAAACAAAATGTGGCATATGCATAGAATGGAATATTATTCAACCATAAAAAGGAGTGAACTTGAGTCCAGGAGGTGGAGACTGTAGTGAGCCATGGATGAACCTGCAACATTGATGAACCTTGAATACATTTTGCTAAATGAAATAAGCCAGTCACAAAAAGTCACATATTATACGATCCTATTCACGTGAAAAATTCCAGAACAGGAAAATCTATAGAAATCGAAAGTAGATGAGTAGTTTCTTAGAGCTGGGAGGCAGGGATGCGGGTGTGGATAGTGGGTAAGAGCTGAAGGTTACAGGGTTTTATTTTGAGGTGATGAAAATGTTCTAATATTATTGATTTTGGTAATGGTCATAAATTTCTGTGAATACTAAAAATCATTGAATTATATACTTTAAATGGGTGAATTGTATCTCAAGAAAATCATTTTAAAAAAAAGATTAAACGAGACAATCTTCATGACAGGGTACAAACAGAAGCGGTAAGTATTTTCCAAAGCCATTCTGCCTTTGTCCCAGCTACTTCTTCCCTTTTATGAGTCAAAGCATCTCCTCCAATTCCTCACTGTTAGGCTGTCCTCAGATGACAGAATCCAGGCTTTTCTTCTCAGAGACAGATCCACCGGTGGGGAAACAGATGCCCCTGTAGACCAAGTCCTCTCTGCAGCAAGGCTCAGGACACACAAGCCCAGGTTTCCAAAGCACAGGACTGTCAGGGCAGCGCCCGGCACAGGGCTTCGTGGATGTGGTGCTCCACTGAGATACCTACCTCAGCATCCCTGCTCAGCTTCTAGAAAGTGCCTAGGGTGCTGATGAAGGAGGACACTCAGGGAGGAAGATGACTCCTGTGAGTGCCTGCTAGGGACCTCCTTGCCTTAGACCACCCCGAGCCCCTGGACCAACATTCCCACTTCCTTGAATCAGTTCCACATCAGATACCTTAGGCAAGAGAGAGAGAAGGCTGCCTCCTGCTGCCTGGCCACACTTCGCACCCCCTGCTCCCTGCATACTCCGCCTTGCCCAGAAGTTGGTCCTCATGTTGAGCCCACATCCAGATGAGTGGACCCAGCCTCGCTCCCTGGACTTTAAGCCAGCCCTGGGCCCTGAGCCCTCCCTGCTCTCAGGCCTCCCCGGTGAACCCTGCTTCCCAAACCCTGCAATGTCCTGCTGTCAGATTCCCAAGGCTGTGTTCCACTAACGACTCCCAAGCCCCCTGTGTCATCCCACCTAATGGCCTGGATTCCTGAAGGGCGCCCGGGCTGCTCTGCCTGTTGGGTTCAGGCTTCACCCCTGCATCTGTCAGTGCGGGGTCCATCTCCTCCGTCTCCTCTAGACTAATGCCCTGCAGTTACTGGAGACACAGCCTTGCCACAGCCACAGGGGTCCTAGTCCCTGCTGGAGCCTCTCTCCCCACCCCACCTCCTGCCACAAGTCCGTGCCTGGGATTACGACACAAACAGGAACCAAAGCTCAGGGCAGTGTGTGTGGGATCCTCTCTCCCTTTAGCAGGTCCATGTCTCCTCAGCTCTGTGCTCTTGAGCAAGTTCTGTGCTCTCCCTGAGCCCCAGCTTTCTCATCCCCAAAGCAGAAGGAGCAGTGGCTTAGGAGAAATGGCCTGGGTGGGGAGTGATGAAGGCATCATCCATAAACACGGCACATGCCCTGCAGATTCAGACAGCAGGGACCCGACTCCGATCCTGGGTCGCTAGCCTTGTGGTCTTACCTTCCTGTTAAACAGTGTCATTCATGCATTCTCTCCAGATGCAAATTGCTTCCTCATTTCTTTGTGCAAATCAAGCCTTCCAAACAGCCTAAGGCCCCACCCTCCTGTGTTCAGTCTCTAGGATATCTCTGGCTGAAATGTACTCTGTCTGAAAACTTGAACTTCTGTCCTCACTGCACAGAAAAGGTGTCGCGCAGGGAAGGGCAGGACAGCCATGTGCTTCCGAGGGGCTTCCATCCTGCAGAGAAGGGGCTTCTATCCTTCCACCCAACCACTGTGTGGGTGATGAGCCCCTGGCTGATGGGAACTTGGTCACTATTCTGAACCCATTACACACCTCAGAACTCATCCAGGTTCAAAGGCCCTAGGCTCTGCTGCCTGACACACAGCACCCCCTGGAGGCAGCAGTGGGTAATGCACCCTCATGATTCCAGCTCCTGCTGGAATCACTGACATCAGGCAAGTGATGTCATCTTTGAGGCTGTGAATACTTTCTAATATAGATCATTAACAGCTGGAATAATCTATGTTCTGATACTTCAGTTATCGTTTTCCTCTGATGACACAAAACTGTGAAATGCTCAGTCGAAAAGTAGGAATAAGGTATAAGCCCAACCAGCCCTCCTTTCATGCTTAGCGCAATACTTCTCAGCCCCTCAAGTACTTGAAATAATATCAATTCCATACAAACTTTTCCCAGCAAATAGAAAGGGGGAGGAATAGGAAGAGAAAAAATTACTTTCCAACACTTTTATGAGGTAGACGTTACCTAGATACCAAAACCAAAAGAAAAGAAAACTTGAGAGCGATATTCCTTATAACCATGCAAAAGCCCTCAACAGAATACCAGTACATTAAATCCAGGAACATATTCAAAGGCTAATACATCATGAACAAGTGAGATTTAACCCATAAATGAGTGGCTGGTTCGAGATTAGAAAACCAGTCAATATGATTAACTATGTTAACAAACTAAAGAAGAAAAAACATCATGTTAGTAGATGCATCTGACGATATTCAAAACTCATTCACGATTTTTAAAAAATTCTCAAATTACTAGGAATAGAAAAGAATTTTCAACTGATAAAGGGCATCTACCAAAAAAAAATCTACAGCTAACTTTATATTTAATGGTAAACTGGATGTTTTCCCCCTAAGATCACGAACAAGGCACTGGAGACCCTAGCAAGAGCAATAAGGCAAGAGTAAAAAATAGCATCCTCGTGGCAGGCACCCGTAGTCCCAGCTACTCCGGAGGCTGAGGCAGGAGAATGGCGTGAACCCGGGAGGCGGAGCTTGCAGTGAGCCGAGATCACGCCACTGCACTCGAGCCTGGGCAACAGAGCGAGACTCTGTCTCAAAAAAAGAAGAAAAAAAAATAGCATCCTTAAGTTGTCAATCAAGAAATGCAACATGAACACCCCTTTAGAAAATTCCAAGGAATCTTCCAAATGTATACTAGAATAAATGAAGGAGTTTAGCAAGTTGTAAAATATATGATCAAAACATAATGAATAACTGGACATTAAAATTTAAAGAAAAAAGTGCCATTTACAATAGCACCAAAAAAAAAAAACCCCACAAAATACATGGGTATAAACCTAGCAAAATATTTGCATGATCTATATAGTGAAACCACACAACACTGATAAATAAATCAAAGAAGGCCTAAATAAGTAAAGAGATATAACGTATTCATGGGTTGGAAGACTCAGTATTGTTAAGAGGTAAATTGTCTGCAAACTCATCTATGCATTCAATTCAATCCCAATCAATAATCTGATTGTAAAGTCAATGATTTGAATCAAAAATGTATATGGATAATCAAAGGAACTAGAATAGCCAAAATAATTTTGATAAACAATAACAAAGTTGGTAGACTCAGATTACATAATTTCAAGACATATTATAAACTGTAGTAAACAAGAGAGTGTGATGTGGGTAGAAAACAGACAAATAGATGAACGCAGTGGAATAGACTGTGTAGAAATAGGCCCACACAGATGCGATCAATTGCTTTTTTATCAAGATGCCAATACAATTCGCTAGAACAAGGAAAGTCTTTTCAACAACTAGCGTGGGCTCAACTGGATATCTAATTAACTGAAAATACATCATAGACTCACGTGAAACCTAATACTGTAGAAATTCTAGAACAAAATACTAAAGGAAAGGTTTTGTGGCCTTGAGATCAGCAAAGATTTCTTAGCTGTGTCACTAAAAGCATGAATCGTAAAGGGAAAAAATGATAAATTTGGACTCATCAAAGAAAAACTTTCAATCTTCAAAAGACACAGTTGACAACATGAAAAGACAAGGCATGGACTAGAAGAAAATATTTGCAACACATATATCAGGCAAAAGTCTTACATCCAGAACATAAAAATAACTTTTACTTTATCAATAATAAGACAAACAACTGCCTCCCTTCCCCAACAAATGAGCAAAAGATTTGAACATCGATTTCACCATAGAAGACATACAAGTGGCCAATGAATACATAATAAGATGCTCAACGCCATTAATTGTTAAGCAAATACAAATTAAAATCACAATGAGATGCCACAACATACCTATTTGAATGGCTAAAATTTAACTGTCTCTCCTTACCAATTGTTGCCACTAATGTGGAGGAACTGGTAGTCTCTTGCTGCTGGTAGAAATTTAAATTTTGGAAAACAGTTGAGTCATTTCTTAAAATGTTAAATATACATTCCTATCCTAGGTATTATATTACTCCAGCAAAAAGAAAGACACACATCCACACGAAGACTTGCACTCAAATATCCATATCAGCTTTCTTTTTTTTTTTTTTTTAACAGTCGCGCTCTGTAGTCCAGGCTGGAGTGCAGTAGCACAATGTTGGCTCACTGCAACCTCTGCCTCCTGGGTTCAAGCAATTCTCCTGCCTCAGCCTCCCAAGTAGCTGGGATTACAGGCATCCGCCACCATGCCTAGCTAATTTTTGTATTCTTAGTAGAGACTGGGTTTCACCTTGTCTGTCAGGCTGGTCTCGAACTCCTGAACTCAGGTGATCTGCCCACCTCAGCCTCCCAAAGTGCTGGGATTACAGCCGAGAGCCACCACACCTGGCTCATGTCAGCTTTCTTTGTAATATTCATCACTGGAAGCAACCTGAAGGGCTATCGACAGGTGCATGGATAACAAATTGTGGTCCATCTGTGCAATGGAAGGCTACTCAGCAAACAAAATAAATGAACTATTGGTACACTCAACAATATGGGTGAATCCCACAATCATTATGCTGGGCAAAAGAAAACAGATAAAAAAAGGGTATCATTTCTTTTATAGCAAATTCTAGAAGCTACAAGCTAATCTATAGTGTTGGCAGCAAGTAAATCCATGTTTGTCTGGATATGGGAATGCAGAGGGGACTGGGGAGCAAAGGGGCACCAGGAAAACTTGAGGGCGACAGCAATATATGTTGCCCAGGTGGCGGTGAGAATTTCGGGGGGGTATGCATGTGTCAAAACTGACTAAATGATACACTTCAAATAGGTTCATTATATGTTAATTATACATCAATTAAGTAGTGAAAAAAGGACGTACTTATTAGATAATTTAAAAGGTACTGAAAAAATACAATACAGGAAACAAACAAGTGTATATGCCCTTTGACTCAGCAAGCCCAAGTTTGGGAATTTATCCACAAACAAAAAAGCACCTTAGGCCCTTAAGAACGCGTTTTCAAAAACATTTATCGCAATATCGCTGAAACAATATTGAAGTAAAAACAGAAAAAGCTTAAAATATGCCTCACAAAGGGTCAGTAAATCATCAAGAACTACTACAGGATGAGTATCCATTATCTGAAAGTTTTGGAGAAAGAAGTGTTTTAGATTTCAGATTCTTTTTGGATTTTGGAATATCTGTATGTACATAATGAGATATCCTGGGAGTGGGACTCTAGTCTAAACACAGTATTTATGCCTCATGTATGCCTTATACGCATAGCCTAAAGGTAACTATATCAATATTTTAAATAATTTTTTGCATGAAACAAAGTTGGTGTTAAGTACTTATGTGTGAAATTTTTCACTTGTGGTGTTGTGTCGGTGCTCAAAAAGTTTCAGGTTTTGGAGCATTTCAGATTTCAGATTTTTAGATTAGGGATCCCCAGACTACATGTAGCCATTAAAAGGATGAGTTTAATGAGTATACTTCAACTGGGAAGGATGTTTGTGTTGTATGTTTAAGTGAGTAAAACAAAATGCAAATTATCATCTATGCTAATAAACGGCTGACAATAGGATGGACAAATGGATGGGGTGCCCATAGATGTGTGGATGGATCTCTCCTATATGTGCACCTCCCTGCGTGTACACAGACACAGGTGACAATGGCTAGACATTCAATGCTGATTATTTGTTACTAAAGGAGGCTGGATTTTAAAAGCTTTGGAAAAGGTTTGTTTGCACATTTCTACAAAAATGAGTATGTTTTACTCCTCTGATTTAAGAAAAAAGTAAAATGAAAATACATAAAATGAATAAAAAGTCAAGGTTCAATTTGCTTTGAAGTGCATTTAAAAATGTGTTGGTTTGCAGGGGAGAGGAGGCTTGCAGGGTAGAAGAGGCTAGTGAGGCGGAGCTGAGATGAGAAAGGGGTAATAAAATGTCTGTGGTAGAATCTAGGGAGGCAGCCATTAAACTAAGGTGGCTCTAACGCCCTGATTTCCTACAAGAGCAAATTGAAATCTAACTCAGACTCATTTACTGTAAGCAGCTAATTTAAAAGAAACCGAAGCTTAAGTCCAGCCAACCACTGATGGCCAACTGGACATCAGTTGCATGGTCTCGAACTTTCCACTAGGATGTCCCAAATCATGCAAGGGCCGAAACGCTAAGCAACCAAAGCATCTGTAATATTTATTCCACTTCTGCCTTCACCCTGTGGAAGCCTCCCCTTGTGCTCCCTTGCAGAGCCCCAAACTGCCTCTTGTGGGGAGCTACCAGATTCATGAATCGCTATCTGCTCGGATAAGTTCTTTAAAATGTGAACATGTCAAAGCATTTCTTTAAATGATGGCATATAGATATTTGCTGTACCACTTGAACATTTCCATTATAAAACATCGAGGGGAAAACTAACATAAAACAATAGACAGACGAGGGCTTTGGCCACTGAAAAGACAACATCTGTGATGCAATAGGCAAGACGCTCCTTCCTGTACTGCCCAGCTCCGCTTGCTCCCTGACCATCCCTGCAGCAGCCCTGATGTGTCATTGTCCCCCTCTTAACCTGCGCTGCAGGTGCTGCAGGGCTGGGCTCTGGAGCCTGGGTCTGGTCATTTCTCCTTAGATATGTAGAGGCCCAGGAAAGGTTTGGAGCCTAAGAAGCCCTAGGACTCCAGGTCTCCAGGGCAGCCCCAGCCTCTTGGAATGACTTTCCCTAATACCACAGGGGTGTTCTAATCCCAGGCAGACCCAAGCTGCCCCTCACCAACTCCTACGTCCTCAACTTCCTTTCATAACTTCTAGGATGGAAACACCTAATCCTCCAGCAATACTGAGGCTTTTCTCCTTATTCTGTTTTCCCTTTTGAAGAAGCCAAGGCTCAGAGCAGTCGAGTCACCTAATCATGGTCTCATGTCGCCTGATCAAGGTCTCATGTCACCTTATCAAGATCTCACCCACTCACCTATTCAGTTCTCACCAGTTCAGTTCAGGATGGCTTCTAAGCTACCCTGCACAGCTCTGCCCACAGGACATTTGTATAAGTGAGGGGGTGCAGGGCCTTCCAGCCCCCTCCAACTCCAAAACTCAGCCCCCAAGATCAAGTGGACTCTCTGAACCCACCCTGGCCCTACAGTTGTCAGGGTCTGGATGGGAAGATGTAGAGCTCTCGGCTTTCACTCTGGGGACTTACCCAGAACATATTCTCCTCATGAGCTAAGGAGGCTGGCTGCCATCTTCCTACATCCCCCCACGGCCTGGGGGCAAGGACACCCTGGCCCCCTGGAGTCTGGAGAACTCTGAGGACAGAACTTGCTCTTCCACCTGCTTGGGCCTTACCCACAGGAGAAGCACTGCTTCTCTACCCATGCCCCATCCAACTCAGGCACCCCAGGGACTTGCAACAGTCTGATTTTTTCTCACGTCCTTCTTAAGGCTCTGGGCTAGCCACACAAATCAAATCCCAGTGATAGGTCCAGACAATCCTATCCTGAAACTACATCTTAGTAAGACTCCAGGGAATCCTTTCCCCAAAGACAGTCTTACTCCTGTTCTCCCCCAAGCCCTTTCTGGGCCAGAAGCTTTGCCTGGACTCAAGCAATGGCAGACAAGTGCCCTCTGAGGACACGGAAGTGCATGCTCAGAACTGTGATTCTCCAAGTGGAGGCAGAGGAGAAGGCCCAGGCTTCCCAGCAGGGCTAAGGATATGCAAGGAGTGCATTCATCCGGAGGTGTTGGCAGCATCCCAGCCCCACCCCATTCTCATCGTAAATCAGGCTCACTTCCATTGGCTGCATACGGTGGAGTGATGTGACCATATGTCACTTGAGCATTACACAAATCCTAATGAGCTAAAAATATGTTTGTTTTAGCTAATTGACCTCTTTGGCCTTCATAAAGCAGTTGGTAAACATCCTCAGATAATGATTTCCAAAGAGCAGATTGTGGGTCTCAGCTGTGTAGAGAAAGCCCACGTCCCTGAGACCACCTTCTCCAGCTGCCTACTGAGGCACACAGGGGCGCCTGCCTGCTGCCCGCTCAGCCAAGGCGGTGTTGCTGGAGCCAGCTTGGGACAGCTCTCCCAACGCTCTGCCCTGGCCTTGCGACCACTCTCTGGGCCGTAGTTGTCTGTCTGTTAAGTGAGGAAAGTGCCCATCTCCAGAGGCATTCAGCGGCAAAGCAGGGCTTCCAGGTTCCGACCCCATAGCAGGACTTCTTGGATTTCTACAGCCAGTCAGTTGCAAGCAGCACCCACATTATTTCTATAAGAAGTGGCAGGAGCTGGGATCTGAAGAGTTCAGCAGTCTACCTTTCCCTGTTTCTTGTGCTTTATGCAGTCAGGAGGAATGATCTGGATTCCATGTGAAGCCTGGGACCACGGAGACCCAAGACTTCCTGCTTGATTCTCCCTGCGAACTGCAGGCTGTGGGCTGAGCCTTCAAGAAGCAGGAGTCCCCTCTAGCCATTAACTCTCAGAGCTAACCTCATTTGAATGGGAACACTAGTCCTGTGATGTCTGGAAGGTGGGCGCCTCTACACTCCACACCCTACATGGTGGTCCAGACACATCATTCCCAGCATTAGAAAGCTGTAGGGGGACCCGTTCTGTTCCCTGGAGGCATTAAAGGGACATAGAAATAAATCTCAAGCTCTGAGGCTGATGCCAGCCTCAGACTCAGCCTCTGCACTGTATGGGCCAATTGTAGCCCCAAGGACTTCTTCTTGCTGCACCCCCTATCTGTCCACACCTAAAACGATGGGCTTCTATTAGTTACAGAACTCTCTGGCCTGTTTTGTTTTGCTTTGCTTTGTTTTGTTTTGTTTTTTTGTTTTTTTGTTTTTTAGCTATGAAACAGAGGTAATATCTAATACAGATAACTTACCAGTAATGAGTGCTTCCTACTTACTGGGTACTGGGAAGAAGTGCTTTACACATATTTTCTCATTTAATCTACACAATAAGTAATTAAGACATTTCCCTGAGGCCACGGGAGAGACAGTGGCAGAACAGTTCTCCAAGGAGGACTTGCAAGTTAATAACTGGACTTTGCAAGGCTCTGGTGGAAACTGTCAGCTTGTAAAGGATGGAGCACAGTGTCTGGCATGTAGCAGGAACTAAAATAATGGCAGTGATTAATGTTATGATATGCAGACACAACACAGCAAGATAAGATGCAATGTACCTTCTGGGTCAAACCACCCTGGCCACTCCTCCCCGATACCCAGGGTTGATGTGCTTGAATTAGACAGGATTAAAGGCTTACTGGAGCTGGAAGCCTTGCCCCAACTCAGGAGTTTAGCCCCAGACCTTCTGTCCACCAGCTGAGAAGGACAAGGGCGGAAGGCAGCTGCACAGAGCAGGGCCACGGCCTTGCACACAGTCCAGGGAGCTTTTGTGCAGGAGCCAGGCCTCCCCCTGGGTCCCCATGATGAGAGAATGGGTTCTGCTCATGTCCGTGCTGCTCTGTGGCCTGGCTGGCCCCACACACCTGTTCCAGCCAAGCCTGGTGCTGGACATGGCCAAGGTCCTCTTGGATAACTACTGCTTCCCGGAGAACCTGCTGGGCATGCAGGAAGCCATCCAGCAGGCCATCAAGAGCCATGAGATTCTGAGCATCTCAGACCCGCAGACGCTGGCCAGTGTGCTGACAGCCGGGGTGCAGAGCTCCCTGAACGATCCTCGCCTGGTCATCTCCTATGAGCCCAGCACCCCCGAGCCTCCCCCACAAGTCCCAGCACTCACCAGCCTCTCAGAAGAGGAACTGCTTGCCTGGCTGCAAAGGGGCCTCCGCCATGAGGTTCTGGAGGGTAATGTGGGCTACCTGCGGGTGGACAGCGTCCCGGGCCAGGAGGTGCTGAGCATGATGGGGGAGTTCCTGGTGGCCCACGTGTGGGGGAATCTCATGGGCACCTCCGCCTTAGTGCTGGATCTCCGGCACTGCACAGGAGGCCAGGTCTCTGGCATTCCCTACATCATCTCCTACCTGCACCCAGGGAACACCATCCTGCACGTGGACACTATCTACAACCGCCCCTCCAACACCACCACGGAGATCTGGACCTTGCCCCAGGTCCTGGGAGAAAGGTACGGTGCCGACAAGGATGTGGTGGTCCTCACCAGCAGCCAGACCAGGGGCGTGGCCGAGGACATCGCGCACATCCTTAAGCAGATGCGCAGGGCCATCGTGGTGGGCGAGCGGACTGGGGGAGGGGCCCTGGACCTCCGGAAGCTGAGGATAGGCGAGTCTGACTTCTTCTTCACGGTGCCCGTGTCCAGGTCCCTGGGGCCCCTTGGTGGAGGCAGCCAGACGTGGGAGGGCAGCGGGGTGCTGCCCTGTGTGGGGACTCCGGCCGAGCAGGCCCTGGAGAAAGCCCTGGCCATCCTCACTCTGCGCAGCGCCCTTCCAGGGGTAGTCCACTGCCTCCAGGAGGTCCTGAAGGACTACTACACGCTGGTGGACCGTGTGCCCACCCTGCTGCAGCACTTGGCCAGCATGGACTTCTCCACGGTGGTCTCCGAGGAAGATCTGGTCACCAAGCTCAATGCCGGCCTGCAGGCTGCGTCTGAGGATCCCAGGCTCCTGGTGCGAGCCATCGGGCCCACAGAAACTCCTTCTTGGCCCGCGCCCGACGCTGCAGCCGAAGACTCACCAGGGGTGGCCCCAGAGTTGCCTGAGGACGAGGCTATCCGGCAAGCACTGGTGGACTCTGTGTTCCAGGTGTCGGTGCTGCCAGGCAATGTGGGCTACCTGCGCTTCGATAGTTTTGCTGACGCCTCCGTCCTGGGTGTGTTGGCCCCATATGTCCTGCGCCAGGTGTGGGAGCCGCTACAGGACACGGAGCACCTCATCATGGACCTGCGCCACAACCCTGGAGGGCCATCCTCTGCTGTGCCCCTGCTCCTGTCCTACTTCCAGGGCCCTGAGGCCGGCCCCGTGCACCTCTTCACCACCTATGATCGCCGCACCAACATCACGCAGGAGCACTTCAGCCACATGGAGCTCCCGGGCCCACGCTACAGCACCCAACGTGGGGTGTATCTGCTCACCAGCCACCGCACCGCCACGGCCGCGGAGGAGTTCGCCTTCCTTATGCAGTCGCTGGGCTGGGCCACACTGGTAGGTGAGATCACCGCGGGCAACCTGCTGCACACCCGCACGGTGCCGCTGCTGGACACACCCGAAGGCAGCCTCGCGCTCACCGTGCCGGTCCTCACCTTCATCGACAATCACGGCGAGGCCTGGCTGGGTGGTGGAGTGGTGCCCGATGCCATCGTGCTGGCCGAGGAGGCCCTGGACAAAGCCCAGGAAGTGCTGGAGTTCCACCAAAGCCTGGGGGCCTTGGTGGAGGGCACAGGGCACCTGCTGGAGGCCCACTATGCTCGGCCAGAGGTCGTGGGGCAGACCAGTGCCCTCCTGCGGGCCAAGCTGGCCCAGGGCGCCTACCGCACAGCTGTGGACTTGGAGTCTCTGGCCTCTCAGCTCACAGCAGACCTCCAGGAGGTGTCTGGGGACCACCGCTTGCTAGTGTTCCACAGCCCTGGCGAGCTGGTGGTAGAGGAAGCACCCCCACCACCCCCTGCTGTCCCCTCTCCAGAGGAGCTCACCTACCTTATTGAGGCCCTGTTCAAGACAGAGGTGCTGCCCGGCCAGCTGGGCTACCTGCGTTTTGACGCCATGGCTGAACTGGAGACAGTGAAGGCCGTGGGGCCACAGCTGGTGCGGCTGGTATGGCAACAGCTGGTGGACACGGCTGCGCTGGTGATCGACCTGCGCTACAACCCTGGCAGCTACTCCACGGCCATCCCGCTGCTCTGCTCCTACTTCTTTGAGGCAGAGCCCCGCCAGCACCTGTATTCTGTCTTTGACAGGGCCACCTCAAAAGTCACGGAGGTGTGGACCTTGCCCCAGGTCGCCGGCCAGCGCTACGGCTCACACAAGGACCTCTACATCCTGATGAGCCACACCAGTGGCTCTGCGGCCGAGGCCTTTGCACACACCATGCAGGACCTGCAGCGGGCCACGGTCATTGGGGAGCCCACGGCCGGAGGCGCACTCTCTGTGGGCATCTACCAGGTGGGCAGCAGCCCCTTATATGCATCCATGCCCACCCAGATGGCCATGAGTGCCACCACAGGCAAGGCCTGGGACCTGGCTGGTGTGGAGCCCGACATCACTGTGCCCATGAGCGAAGCCCTTTCCATAGCCCAGGACATAGTGGCTCTGCGTGCCAAGGTGCCCACGGTGCTGCAGACGGCCGGGAAGCTGGTGGCTGATAACTATGCCTCTGCCGAGCTGGGGGCCAAGATGGCCACCAAACTGAGCGGTCTGCAGAGCCGCTACTCCAGGGTGACCTCAGAAGTGGCCCTAGCCGAGATCCTGGGGGCTGACCTGCAGATGCTCTCCGGAGACCCACACCTGAAGGCAGCCCATATCCCTGAGAATGCCAAGGACCGCATTCCTGGAATTGTGCCCATGCAGGTGAGACCCAAGAGAGACCTGGCTGAACCCAGTCCCGGGAGTGAGTTGACCCATTGTCCGCACATGCAGGGCTCTGTGCACAGTGCGTGACAATGGCTTTTAGATTTGTTCTCACGTTTAAGTTTTGACCGGTCAAGTCCTTTCCTCTTTCTCAACCTGTTCCATCCACTCTCTGTGACCCTGGGGTTGCTGAACACCTCTGTAGAACATTCATATTAGGTTGGTGCAAAAGTACTTTCAATGGCAAAACCCGCAATTACTTTTGCACCCACCTCACAGGAAGCCAGTTTGAAAGCCAACCAATACTCACAGGAAGCCAGTTCGGAAGCTCCTGGGATAGAAGGCATTTCAGCCTTGGCTGGGTGGAAGGTGAGTGTTGGCAGGGCTTCTCATTGTCAGTGCTAGGGAAGAGGCCAACACCTGTCAGAGGTGGCCAATGGACTTCACCAAGTGCCCCACGCTGGCCGAGAGCTCCACCTAGGCAGCACTCACACCTCCACACTGTTCTACCTGTGGTCTGCTGCATCGTCACAATTGGGCAGGGCAGCATTTGCCATGGGATCCCTTGCAAGGAGGGTCTGAGACCAGGGCTTGGGTGCAGGCGCTTTGTCTGGGAGGCGGTTACTGAAGCAGGCATGAAGGAGGGAGCAGGGAGAGTGGGTTGGGAAGCTGACAGGCAGGTGCCTCAAAGCTGTTCTGCTGAAGCCAGGACCCTGACGAGTGCAGGGATGCTCCCAGGCATAGCCCTCTGCAGGCAGGGCCCAGTGGTTCCTGTCCCGCATTGGCCAAGAGTTGCCCTGAGACATGCCTCAGGGTGGGGCAGGCTCCCTCTTCTTGGAGAAGGCCTGAGCTACGGGTGGAAAGGCAGGGCTGTGCTATAGGAGAGCCTGTCAGTGGGGTCGGGTGCAGCTGAAAGCAGAGGGGGCTGAGAGTGCCAAAAGCATCTACTACAGAATTGTTATCCCCATTTTCCGCAACTGAGGCCCGGAGAGGAGCAGAGGGGAGTGGCCTGAGGCCAGAGAGCTGTGACTGAGGGCAGGGCAGGGCCTGGAGGGCAGTGTCTCTGTCAATGAAGTCTCCTTGCCTGTCAATCTCACCAAGACCTGCCTCCCTCCAGCAGCCTTAGAGAGGGAGGAGGAGGTGCATCCACGTGCGAGTAGCCTGTGCTAGGCTTGCAGAATCCCCAGTTTCCAAATCAACATCTCCTTCCTTTCCAGTATAGCCAAGGTTCACGATTTGGAGTCAGATGTGGATTCAGATTCTGGCTCCACCACTTACTGACTGTGTGACCTGAGACTAGTTACTTAATCTCTCTGTGCTTCAGTTTTTCCATGGAAAAGATGGGGATCGTGTTATCTCCTGTACAGGTGGCTGTGAGGATGATGATAAGCTCTACAAAGTGCTTAGTACCGGGCCAGGTGCCTGGTAAAGGTAACTAACATCTTCCAATCCTGCCCCAGTGGAGCAGCTTAGAGACATAGGAAGTATCTGGTAAGGTTGGAGAGGTCAGAGGGGAGTCCATTCCTGGGCCTTCTAGCTCAGGACACCAGGGCATGTGGGTGGCAGACAGGAGCATCCTCTGCAAGGAGGCTGCCCATAGATCACACATGTCCCAGTGGCATGTCACATCCAGACATGCCACTGGGAAAGTCCCTGGTGTCTACTAATTCCTTCAGAAATGTTAGTTCCTGTCCCATGCCCTTAATATTTCCCATGGCGCCTGCTTTCCTGGGCTCTAAAACTGGCTGCTCCTCCTGACACTGAGTAGGACCTCCAACTCTTACAGATCCCTTCCCCTGAAGTATTTGAAGAGCTGATCAAGTTTTCCTTCCACACTAACGTGCTTGAGGACAACATTGGCTACTTGAGGTTTGACATGTTTGGGGACGGTGAGCTGCTCACCCAGGTCTCCAGGCTGCTGGTGGAGCACATCTGGAAGAAGATCATGCACACGGATGCCATGATCATCGACATGAGGTCAGTGGCCAGGGGTCAGTGCTTCCTAGCCAGGACGCAGGGCTGCCAGGGGACAGTCAAAGCTATGGGCCACAGCAGGGAAGAAAAGGAACCCTGTGACACAGCAGAGGACCTGAGGGGGGCCAGGCCTCCTGCCTATCAGGGCTTCGGCCAGCTAGCCCAGCAGATCTGCTGTCATTGCAGGTGGGGCCCAGCACTGGTAGTTTTTGCAAGCTTCTCCAGTGATTCCAATGTGCATTCCAGATTGAGAATTACCCCAGATTTGCCTGGTCATAGGATTCAGTGGGGAGGAGAGGAAGGAGATGTTAAAAACACTGATTCCTGGGCCCCACTCCCCTCTTACTGACTCAGAAGCTCCAGGGGACAGGCCCGATAATCTCTATTTGACAGGCATCCCAGGTGATTCTGATGGTCAGTGGTGTGTGAGACAGCCAGGCCCCCCACCTGGGAGTGTGCCTCACATCATACAAAATCAACACATGACAACCCTGGTCATATGAATCGTACAGGCAGAATTTGGAAATCACACAGGGAAAATTTAGAAGTTAATCACTATTGTTAACAAAAGAATTCTTTGCATCACCAAATGATTGTCAGAAGGATGTCTTCAGCTAGCCACCTCCCCTCTGTTTCTGTAAAAATGTGCCTCATATGTCATGAGTTTACCTCATGGACCAGGGGTAGGAGGTGGATGAGTACCCTCAGGCAGTGGCCAGACCTGGCATCCCATGACTCTGGGGTCCATTGGTGGACATGCCCCAGCACCCTCCCTGGGCAGGTTGCCTTCCTCAGACGGGACCCTTCCATGCTCCCGTGTTGTCTGAAAGAAGTGGCAGGGGGTGGCAGACCAGAAGCATTCACCCAGCTCCAGTTCTCTAGCCCTCAGCGCTCACTCACATGGTTCTTAGTGGTCACTAGGTGGCTCTCGGTCCTGCACCCACTGCTTCTCCTCCCTGGGAGATAAAACATTAGCCCTGGCTCCAGTTCTGTGTGTGTTCACAGCCTGAGCTTGAGGCTCCTGGGGTCTCTCTGATCATTTTATTCTTTAGAAGTTCTGTTGAGCACCCAAATGACACTCATGCTAAGTCTCTTTCTTCTGAATATGCCATTTACACTTTTTAAAGAGGAGATGGCCCCAGCCTGCAAGTGCACTTTGCTTAAAGACCCTCCCACCCCTGAGGTTTGTTTGGAGGTTCAGACACTGACATCACAGGCCCCGAACCCAGCCAGGCCATCCCAGGCCATCAGTTGGACGAGGCTCCTTAACACATCACTAGCCCCAGTGGGGAGACAGGGGCCCAACGAGGTCACACAGTGGGACAAATCTAAATGGCCTGGGAGAAATACAGGCTCCCCTGCTCCCAATGCAGCTCCACAAGCCTGAATATTTCAATACACTAAGTGCCCTGTTAAGACACCTGAACTAAGACAGCTGGTAGGTGTCATAAGATTGTCACAGAATGCAACGGGAAAAACAATGTTTCCCAAAATGTGTTCCACTCATAGGAAGATATGGGTGCAGGGGAGCAGTCCATGGTCAATAAATGGGGGAAATTTATCAACAAGTTTCTGACTGCAGGACTTGTCAGGGCCTTTAATATATTAACATGTATTAATTACATAGCAGAAGGAAAGGATAACATATTTGATCACTAAGTTTCTTGTTCTAAAGAGACTAGTACTCTTGGAAATACTCTGGAAAATGCCAACCCATGGAATTCTAAAGGAGGAAGAGGCACTAGACTGAGGCTGCCAAGAATTAGAACCCTCCATGGGACAAAGATCCTGGCCTCCCCGAGGGGCACACAGGGCCTCACTGTGAGCTCAGCCCCTGAACAGGCTCTGCTTCCCATCCTTCAGGTTCAACATCGGTGGCCCCACATCCTCCATTCCCATCTTGTGCTCCTACTTCTTTGATGAAGGCCCTCCAGTTCTGCTGGACAAGATCTACAGCCGGCCTGATGACTCTGTCAGTGAACTCTGGACACACGCCCAGGTTGTAGGTACGTGGAGAAGCTTTCTCCTTTCTGCTGTCATTCTAGAAGCTTCTGGGAAACCAGGGAAAGACAGCTTGGGTGTAGGTAAAAGTCATAGTAACCAGAATGTAAGGCCCTGTCCTAGTCCAGGCACTAGATGTGCATGATCTCGAATCCCTGAAAAGCATGTATCACTATGCCCGTTTTCTAGAGGAAAAAAAAGGGGGTGTTGACTAGGTCAAATATCTTTTCTAGGGTCATGCAGCTAATAAGTGAAACCCAAAATGTGAATATTAGTTTGTCTAATACCAAAATTTCCCCCAGGCTTAGCACCATAATCACCAGCCTGCAGGACAAATGCAGAATTTGAAGGATTCTCCCCGCCCCTCACCAACCCCAGTGGGCATTGCCAGTGCTCACAGTACTTGAGCTCTCAAGCCACAGTGCCACAAACTTGCCTGGAAAGGTCATGATGCTGATCGGGCTTCTGTTCCCCGCCCTGGGCCCAGAGCAGTGGCTATAGGAGCAAAGGCAGGCCCTGAGCTTTACAGAACCATAACTCTCAAAGCCCCATTCCAGGGTGGATGGCCTCCATCTATCTTCCCTGCCCAGTGTGTAAGACCAAGGAACTTGTGCTCCTACCCAACAAGAAAGGACTGGAGAGACCGATGGGGGTGTGCCTGTGACCAGAGAAACACCCCACCATTTTCATGTCCATGCTTCTGTAATACACAGGCATTTTGCTGTAGCTCCTAGGACATACGTTCAATAATATTACAAGTGTAAATGCAAATCAGAACCAGGTGAATTCTAAATTCAAATAGATGTTCAAGACTGGAAGTTAAAGATAGACTCAATTCTGCAGATAATGAGGCCCCAAAACCGCAAGGTCCAATATGGGAGCCACAAGCCACCTGCGGCCACCAAGCATTTGAAATGTGGCTCTCCCAAGTTGAGATGTGCTGGAAGTGTGATGTGCTGGAAGTGTAATGTGCATACCAGATTTTGAAGACATTATGAAAAGAAAACCTCATTAATAATTTTATTTGATTACATTTTGAAAAGAATGTATTTTGGATACATTGGCTTAAACAAAACATGATTAAAATTAACACCATGGGTTTCTTTTTGCTTGCTTAACATGGCTACTAGGGAACCTAAAATGACATCTATGGCCAGCATTCTGGCTCACGTTGCATTCCTGTTGGACAGTGCTGTCCTGGAGAGTTGTTCTTATACATCACAAATTGGGCTTTTCTGAGTCCAAAGTGAAAAGGAAGTCAGGTCGGTTTAGGTGTTCTCATTATTCATGAAGAGAGAGGATGCTCCTTTCTCAGGAGAGTCAAGCCTTTCCTATCACTTGGCATAAAAAGGCCTCGTTGGGAGTTGTCAAGCACTGAAATCCTCGTGATTGGGCATGCATTCTTGTCCCCATTTTACGGATGCAGAAATCAAGGCTCAGAGAAGTCAAGTGGCTCACAAGTGGACACAAGGACACAGACCTAAACCCCCGGGCCTCCTCCATCACTGCAGGCCCAGGCAGGATAGAGAAGACAGGTGCTCCAGGGTCCTGACATGACCCCCATCCTGAAGGGCCTTATGTCTTCCAGGTGAACGCTATGGCTCCAAGAAGAGCATGGTCATTCTGACCAGCAGTGTGACGGCCGGCACCGCGGAGGAGTTCACCTATATCATGAAGAGGCTGGGCCGGGCCCTGGTCATTGGGGAGGTGACCAGTGGGGGCTGCCAGCCACCACAGACCTACCACGTGGATGACACCAACCTCTACCTCACTATCCCCACGGCCCGTTCTGTGGGGGCCTCGGATGGCAGCTCCTGGGAAGGGGTGGGGGTGACACCCCATGTGGTTGTCCCTGCAGAAGAGGCTCTCGCCAGGGCCAAGGAGATGCTCCAGCACAACCAGCTGAGGGTGAAGCGGAGCCCAGGCCTGCAGGACCACCTGTAGGGAAGGGCCCCATAGGCAGAGCCCCAGGGCAGACAGAACCTCTGGGACACACACCAAGGGCACTCCTGCAGGTGGCCCGGCCTGAGGTTCCCAGGAGCAGCAAAGGGGCCTGCTGAGCTCTGGTTAGGTTACAGCTGGAGGTGTGTATATATACACACACACACATGTATATACACATATATATGTGTATGTATATATATGTATATATATATGGCTTTCCAATAACCACCTAAATTTTAACAAAGGTTCCTTCTAAGTGGTAGAACTTGGGGTGGTATTTTTACCTTCCTTCTTCATACTTTGCTCTTTTTCTTAAATACTCATTAATGTGCATATATCATTATTTTCAGATGCAGCTATCATTATTCCAAAATACAAAATAAAGAAGATAAAATAAATTATATACCCGAGCCATTAACCACAATTTAGTGATCACTAGTGGTTGTTAAATCTCTTCTTTTCATGAGTTCTCCATTCACATTATTTAGATCTTCTGGATCTGCCCTGCTGACCTCTATGGACAGCTGATTTTATTTAAGATGTGGTGCAAGATGCTGTGGGGTCAGCAGGTGGCAAAGATCTTGTGGATCTTAAATAGGGAAAGGGCTGGTGCGGCCCTTCTGCTGGTGATGTACATACACTGGCTGTGTCTCTTCTGAGCCTCATGCCGGCTGCATAGCTGGCCACTCTCATCTTCTACCCAGGAGCCAGCTGAGACACAGACAAACTCCGCAGCTCACCCAAGGTCACACATCCAGCATGGTGGACCTGTGTCCTCCTTTGGGCCACCCAGCATTTGCAGCACCTTTGGATGATCAGAGAATCACTGCCCATAGGAATCAGTAGGAAACAGTGATGTCAGCCTTGCCTGGGTGGGAAACCAGCCCAGCCACTTCCCCAGCTGAGTGGTTCTGGGCAATTTGTTTCACTTCTTTGGGCCTCAGTTTGTTCACCTGTTCAATGGGAGAAATAATACTACACTTGGAGTTGTGAGAATGAAGTGAGTTAATCTAGTGTCCAGCCAATGTTAGCTGTCATAATTTCTCCACCACAAAGCTGAACACTCTGGAAGCCCCACTTTTCCAGCCCTTCTGGCAGTAGGGCATGGGCATGTGATCCTGCCTTGGTCAACCAGAAGCTCCTGTGCAAGATGTTTAATCTGGAGCAAGTGGCCAGGGAGCCTGGGCAGCGGCCATCTGCCAGAAGCCTAGTGTACAGGGACAGCACAGCCATGCCCTGTGCTTAGCAGGGACAGCAGCAGCACCCTCAACAGGTGCTTCCTCGACTTCCTGGTGTGACTTTGGCTGTGGTCCTAGTGGAGTGACCCATTGTCCCAACCCACTGCTCAGCCAGGTCCCCCAGCCTGCCCATCTAGGACTGGGCACCATCCGGGCTCCCTCCTGAAATCCCTGTCTGCTTCCATCCACCAAAGACTTCATTTTTCTGTAATGAACAGCACAGTCTGGTGCAGCTGGTTAAAGGGTAGGTGAGATCTGAACCCATAGCTGTACAGTTCCAAAGATCCTTCTGTTTCCACCACATCATGAAGACACCCTGGGCCTGATCTGGAAAGGGGGTTTGAGATAGAGAGGAGCGAGAGTCCTCTGCGTAGCAAAGAACAGGCTCAGCCTTCCTAAATGCAAGCTTTCTTGCATTGTTACCTGCTTGCAGGCACAAGACTGGAGAAAAAGGAAAAGGAAAACAAAATCCCATCAGGTCTCTTTTCTGGTGGGACAGCCAGATGGCCGATAGCTGCCTAGAAGTTCAGATGAGCCCTGGGCCCCTTCAACTCTCTATGCCCTGGTCTGAGCTCATGGCCTGCACCCTGCCCAACCCTACTTACCTCCAACTCACATCTTGCACACAGCCACACCTCCTTCCAGACACTCAGACTCCCTCAACTCTGTCCCCCCACTGCTCACCCAGTGTCCACCAATGATCAGGACCCAAGATAAGTTAATACCTGAGTTAATGTCACTCTGCTCTGCACCCAGCCTGCCATCGTCTTTCCCTTCCTTGTCTTGGGGTCCCAGCTTTGTGCTTAAATCCCTGACACAGCTTCCTGCCCCATCTCTGTGGCCTGACCTGCAGCTAGGGGTTCATCTTCACTGGAAGGGCATTGTTAGGTGATGCAGACACTTCTGGAAGGTCATATTTATCTGTCCCTCTTGCAGATGTGGTGAAGAGGTAAGTCACCCAGTACCAAGCAGGGGTTCATTTGACTGGCATCCAGGGGTGCTGGAGTGCCCCCAGGAGTCAGCTCAGCCCTGTTGTGACAGCATGTATAATAAATGGATTATAAAGGCCCTGGCAGGGACTCAAAGCTGGCTCTCTGGGGCAAGACAGGCCTAGAAGCTTCCCTATTGTTCACTATCAAAGCCCAGGCCACACTCTGGGCAGCCAAGCCAGAGTCATTGGGTAGAGAAAAGAACTCAGGGTATACTGGGCCCATCTCTCCCTGCCTTTCTTTCCCCTCCAGGGCAGATCCTGAGGATGCCAGGCCAGCCACAGGGCAAGTGGTGGAAACAGAGCTGTCTCAGACCTGGTCCCTGGCGCCAGAGAAGACTTGGGGGACTGGGTGTTAGCAGCAGGGGCAGGGCATGGGCACAGTCCACTCATGGGCATCTTTGCAGTCTGACCAGGAACTGACAGCACAGAGCTGGGGGGCATGGTGAGGGTGGTGACTCTGAGTGCTGGGGGCTCATTTCCAGATGCTCTCAGTCAGCAACAAGCCATGCCTCTGCCAGGCTCTGTAAGGAGAGGAAGGAAAAGGTGATCTTCACCTCCAAGTTCTTGCTGGAGACGTGGTGACCCCCATCCAGGGAAGGAGGGGCCAGGGACTATTGCAGTGATATGCTTCATACATAGGGAATGCAAAAGGACCACATGGGGACCCTCGCGGGCCTCCTGCTTTCAGGCTGGGCTGAAGCAATGAGGAAGGAGCTTCCTCTTCCTGTGTCCCTGTGTCTGCCCCGCACAGGCCTACACAGGAGAGGGCCCTGACTGTGCACCAGAGGGCCCTGGTTACCCACACAGCTGTGATGCGGTGAAACGATGTGACTCAGAAAGAAAAGCAATGCAACCGGTTCACACTCCAGGCCAGGAAACCCACCTCCAAGGTCCCTGCCTGGGGGCACCCACCTCCCATCTCCTGGTTCCTATGGGATTTAGCTGCCACCTGGCCTAGGTACCCTCTCTGCTTTGCTGACCAGGGCTGCCAGCACTAAAAATAGCCTCCTAATCCAAGCAGCTTAGAATAGCAATGGGATCAGACGATAGTGGCTTCCTCCGTCTTGCCCCAGGAAAACACGAGATGGCAAGATGAATGGAAAGAAAGCGTTAGAGAACCCCTCCCATTCTCCCTGCAGGCACTGCCTCCCCAACCCCCTTTCAAAACCGGTTTCTGGGCCGGGCGCAGTGGCTCAGGCCTGTAATCCCAGTACTTTGGTAGGCTGAGGCGAGCAGATCACCTGAGGTCAGGAGTTCAAGACCAGCCTGGCCAACATGGTGAAATCCCATCTCTACAAAAATACAAAAATGAACTGGGCATAATGGCGGGTGCCTGTAATTCCAGCTACTCGGAAGGCTGAGGCGAGAGAATCACTTGAACCTGGGAGGCTGAGGTTGCAGTGAGCTGAGATCGAGCA
The DNA here is from genome assembly GCF_000001405.40 of Homo sapiens. Classification (NCBI taxonomy): domain Eukaryota; kingdom Metazoa; phylum Chordata; class Mammalia; order Primates; family Hominidae; genus Homo; species Homo sapiens. The sequence continues at coordinate 47,361,105 of NC_000010.11, forward strand.
CTCAGGCTTGGGCAACAGAGCAAGACTCCATCTCCAAAACCAGAACAAAACAAACAAACAAAACGGTTTCTGAAACTTCTTCTCTCCTAGGAAGTGTCACAACCCAACCCATGTTGGAGAATGGCTTATCTTTCAAATAAAAGGTTTATCCTATGAGGTTCTGATCTTGCTATGCCATCTGTAGACCTACCACATGACTTCTAAAAACACAACAAAATTAGGCAAATGACAAGGGTGTGTGATTCCCTCTCTGAAGGGAAGTGGCCTGCAGGAAGGCCTGCTGCCTCCAGATGGCGCCATCACTTCCCAAGGGAATGAGGAGTGCAAGCCCGGCCTGGGGGCTACTCTGGCCGACTTTCACCCCTGATAAGGGCTCTCTCTCCGTGCTCACAGGAACAGGGTGGTACGGCTGAGGTTAGAAGCGCCAGGCCCAGCACCGGCCTGTTCCAAAGCTGGGAGCATAACAGAGTAAGGGGTCACCGGCTGGTGGCGACCCTGCACCATCACCACCACTGACATGCTTCCATGAATCTATGTCACTTTGGCCATCAGTGTTTGCAAAACTATTGTGTCAGTTGACAACAAATTTCATATAAAGACCTGAACTCTGGCCTTTCTCGAGGCCTGCATCCAGCCTGGCTGTGCAGTCTTCACCCAGGCATTGAGCTCCCCACCATTGCCACTTACAGGCAGCTCCATCCACTCATTAGCCTACTTCAATAGACATTTGAGCTTAGGATCCCTGGCCTAGAGATGCAGGAATTGGCAAGAAGTTGAATTCTAGGAGCCCACCATTGTAGTGGTTTTACTCCTTTCCCAGGTAAAAACAGAAAGAAAACTTGACATTTGTTAAAATCGAGAACCAAAATGAATCTGAATTCAGAATGTCTTAGTTTAGCCTCATTAGCATATTTTGAGGACTTTTATAAATCTGAATTGAATGGCTGCCGCTGGGAGATAATTTATTAAGATAGAATTTGCCATGTTTCCAGCTACTGTGGATATTTTTCCTCCTCTGTTCCATAAGGTCAGCCAAGACTTTCTGCTCATCGACTCAGTGTCTTCGTGTCACATGCCTACCAACAGCTTTGCCAGAAAGCCACCAAGGCCCTAGATCCTAGGAGAGTGGAGAACAGAAGCAAAGCTGGCCAGAACAGCAAGGGGACACCCTGGGGCACTAAGCGACAGGGTACAATCTTGAGGTGGGGCATTGAGGAGCTTTTGTGAGCTTGAGAGACAGGTTAGGAATTCAATAGTGACAGGGTGAGTATCTTACCAGGCCCACAGGATGGGGTGCTGAGCGATTCAATTAGACATAGAGAATTTAAGGAATGTGGTAATTCTTGCCCAGGATTGTAAAATTAATACCTGCTGATGTGATACATTGTGGCAACATCTCATGCCAACTCTTAACTGGCATATAGAAGGTGACTGCCTAGTCCATCTGGGCTGCTATAACAAAATACCATAAACCGGATGACTTATTAACAACAGAAATTTATCGCTGACAGTTCTAGAGGCTCGGAAGTTCCAGATCAAGGTGCCAGCAGCTTTGGTGTTTGGTGCCATCTTCCTAGTTGGGAGATGGCAACTTTCAGCTGCATTCTCACATGGTGGAAGCAGGGAACTAGGTCTCTGCGGTTTATTTTAATTTTTTAGAAACTGGGTCTCACTGTGTTGCCCAGGCTGGAATGCAGTAGCACAATCATAGCTCACTGCAGCCTTAAACTCCTGAGTTGAAGTAACTCCCCCACCCACCCCACCCATCTCAGCCTCCTGAGTAGCTGGGACTATAGGCACACACACCACCATATACAGCTAATTCTTGTATTTTTTGTAGAGGGGGTGTCTCACTATGTTGCCCAGGCTGGTCTCAAATGCCTGTCCTTGAGCAATCTTCCCACCTCAGCCCCGCAAAGTGCTGGGATTACAGGCATGAGCCACTGCAGCCAGCCACTGGGGTTTCTTTCTTTTTTTTTTTTCCCGAGACGGAGTCTTCCTCTGTCACCCAGGCTGGAGTGCAGTGGTGCAATCTTGGCTCACTGTAAACTCCGCTTCCTGGGTTCAAGCAATTCTCCTGCCTCAGCCTCCCAAGTAGCTAGGATTACAGGTGCCCACCACCACACCCAGCTAATTTTGTGTGTGTGTGTATTTTTACTAAAGATGGGGTTTCACCATATTGGCCAGCCTGGTCTCAAACTCCTGACCTCATAATCTGCCCGCCTCGGCCTCCCAAAGTGCTGGGATTACAGGCATGAGCCGCTGCACCCAGCCTCTTTTGTAAGGGCACGAATTCCAACCTCCCAAAAGCCCCACCTCCTAATACCATTACCTCAGGGGTTAGGATTTTACATAAGTTTTGGGAGACACAAACATTCAGACCATAGAAGTGGTAGAGAGAGCTTGAGCAAAACCATGATTTAACATGTCTACTCTCCAGGAGATACAGGAGGGCAGAAATGGAGAAGGGCTAAGAGAGGATTTGACTCCCAAAGAGACTCTGGGAACCCAGCCTGGTGATAATTGGGACTGCAATATTAACAAGCTGTAAACCCATCACTTCCACGAATCACTTTTGAGTTTGTCCATTTAAATGGCAGGCTGTGAGCAATTTGGATCTACATCCATTTTTACCAAAATTAACTCCAACTTAAAAATCAGAGTTGGGGGAAGATAGTGTGTTGTTTTTCATAACTTCAAATTTTCCTAAATGCCTATCCTGCTTGGGAATGGTGTAACTGGTCAAGGTTACTAATAATTACATGTGAGGCCGTTCTAATCACATGCAGTGTAAACTGTCGTTTGGCCTAGCTGAGGTTCCTCATGGATTGTGGATGGGGCAAGGTCCAGACCTCTCAGTGGTTCTAAACTTGACCTCACCACCACTTGCCCTGCAACGCTGAGCACATCAGCTCATGTCTGTGGACCTCAAAGTCCAATGTTGTACAGGGAGGGTGTGGTCTAGAAATCTAAAGTCCCTTCAGTTCTAAGTGTCTATCATGTCTTGGCACATTTCTGCCTTTCAAAGAGATTTCACAGAAATTACAAACCAATCAATTAAGCCAGAGAAGGACAATTGTGCACAGCATTTGATAGATCCTAAAACCCTCCCGAGAAGCTGATTTGAGTTGTGGCAATTGCCAGGCCAGAACCAGGCATCTCACTCATTCATTCATTCGACAAATGTCTGTTGAACACCTACTATGTGGCTACATTTCTCTAGATGCCAGCAATGCTGCAGGTAAAAAAAACCCACCAAAAATCCCTCACAGAGCTTACATTCTAGTGATAGGAGACACGGTAAGCAAGACAAATCAGTCAAAGACTTAGTATGCAAGATAGTGAAAGTGCTGGAGAAGGACGATAGGAAAGTGTGTGTGTTTACGAGTAGCAGGTGTGAATTGAAATTTGAGACAGGGAGCCTACACCTGCTGCTGTCCCAGTTCCTGAATCATCCAACCACACTGGGCTGGGCAGACAAGTGGCAGGCTAAAAAGGACATGAGCTCAATCTGGGGTCCTGGAGTCTTATTCTTGCACTGATGCTCCTGAGCCCATGGTCTTAGGAAAGTTCTTGACCTCTTGGAGTTTAATGTCATCTGCAGCAGAGTGGGAATTATTAATAACAATCTGCCTCCTGGCTGCTGCGTGTCAAGTGCATAGTGTGGGGCCTCATGCCGAGACCTTGAGTTGCCCTTTCCTGCCTCACCTGAGACAGCACACGGGGAGGCTCCCATAGCTTCAGCTGCCTTCTGTGCTCAGCCTCTCCATGTGTAAATGACACCCCCACACAGCACCTAAAGGGGCCAGCAAGGCTGAGCTTTCCTTGTCTTGTCTTAGTGAGCAAGGGACCTCCCAGTGTCCCTTTGGGAATGATGATGCTTTATTGGCACCTGCAGGGAGCACCCTTCCCTCTTCTAGATGTGGAAGACAATGAGCTCAGGGGGTCCAGGCCCCCTCCTCCAGGCCACGCTCCCCACTGCAGCTGGAGAGTACCCCCAAAGTGCCTCTCCGAGCCAAGCCCTCAGTCCCCTCGGTCCAAACCGCTCTCCCGTGAGGCCCTCCTACCCCTGCCCCTCCATCTCCTCCTCACACCCTGACACAATTGCAGACTCTGGACTGATCTTTCTCCTCAGCCACTGCTCCCCTGCCTGCATCACCAAATCACCGGCACATACTTGCCTTTGAGGCTCAGCTCAAAGTGCCCAGGGATGCTGAATAAATGAATGGAAATGGACCCACTCACTCAATCCCTTGCCTGGCCAGGGAGACAGCGTAGGTGAAGGAAGCTCAGTACACATGGAGCCTTCCAGCTGCATGGCAGCCTCCTGCAACCCTCCACAGCCAAAGGAAGATTGCACACATATTCAGACCCAGCTTCTCACACAGAAATTATTTCCACAATATTTATTATGCACCAACAATATGCCATGCCCTGTTCTGGGCACCAGGGATGCACAGTAAACAAACCAATCTCTGTTCCCAAGGAGCTGACAGTGTGGAGGCAGCAAATCAACAAGACGACAAACAGAAAGATGGTTGCAGATGGTGAGACATGCTGTGAAGGAAGCAACAGGGTGATGCGGCTGAGAGAGGCAGAGGCTGCAGGGCTGCTTTACGGGGAATCTGGGAGACCTCTCTAAGGAGCTGACCTGCGAGAAGAAGCCCTGTGGAACCATAGCAGGAGCAGCACCATGAAGAGCTAGATAGAAAATGTTGAATGAAGCCCAGGCTTGAGAAACGGCACCAGAGCTGTGGTCAGAACACGGGAGCAGACAGTGGAACAGCAGCGAGGTGGTATAGCGGGGTCCCCTCTGCCCACTGCCACCTGTGGGCCTCATAAGGGCAAGCTCGGCCCATGAAGGTAGCAGGTATAGCTTCAGGGAAGTGTCAGAAACACTGGAAGTGTTATAGCATCATCTGCAATTGACTCATTGTAGAAATGGAAAGGAAACAGCTCTTGCCTTCCAGGGCTATTGTAGGACTCACTATAACATCTGTATTCTTCCAGTGCTTATGCTATTGCCTGGCACACAGGGAGAGTGAAATGAGTGCTTGCAATTAACATGAGGCAGGGACTTGTTCATGAAGCAGCTGGCAGGTCCTGCTGGGGTTAGGCCTGTAAGTGTGAAGGGCAGCCACAGGGTTGGAGGCATCATCTGAGTTACACTTTCAGAAGATTATCTGGTTGTGTGTGTGTGGACAATGGATGCGTGCATGGTGAGAGGCAGGAATGGAGGGAGCGAGGACATCAGAGCAGCCAGGTGGGAGTGCTGCTGCCTGGAACGGTGGACAGAGGAGAGCAATAGAAGAGGTGCAGTCTGGGAGGCTGGCTGAGATCCCCACCTGCTCAGCTGGGCTTATTCCCAGCCACAAGCCTGAGATCTGTGCTGGGGACTCATTGGAGGGCTGGAAACTGCATATCAAAAGAACAATATCTGACAGTGAGGTGGAAACCAGTGCAAAAACGACACTGGCTTGGAAACTCCCCACAAAGGGCTTTCACGCAGACTGACCTGTGGAATGTCAAAGAGTACAGCCTGGGCTCCACACATCCTTAGGAACAAGGGCTGATGCGGGTACCTACAACAGCTACTGACCGAAACGCAGTAGATAATAAATGGTACCTAGAATGCTCCCCAGCCTCACGATCTGGAAGCCTAGTTTTTGCACATGTCCTATTCTTGGAAGGTAAAACAGCATGTGTGTAGGTGGTGGGGAGGGGGTTCTATTTCCCCGTATTCATATACTCACAATGTGAAGAACTATGGACCAGGTATTGGCTGGAATTACCTGTCCCAATTCCTCACCCTCCTGTGGAGGGGATGGATGGTCACTCCCTTGTCACAGCTTCACCAAGGGCAGCCTACACTTTTCCACTCCTTAATATTGGGCCTGGTCCTGCCACTTGTATGGGCTGAGAGGACATTGGCAATGTGACCCAAGCAGAGGCTTGAGGTGTGCTTGTTAGACTCACCCTCCTGTGTTCTTGGCATGACCACGAGAGAAGCGTGCTCGCTCTGGGTAGCCCACCAGCCGAAGAAGAAAACGAATATGACTTGATCAAATCTGAGACTTGCTGCCAAGCCCAGCCAAGCTCAGCTTAACCTGAGCCAACCCACAGACTCACGACTTAGGCAGATGCTTTAGCTTGTCTGCCATGGAGATCTTGTTAATAACAATAGCTAACTAGTACAGACATCATCACAAACCTTGTTGACTCAGTGCTCAGGGTCTGCAGGCAGAATGCTGGCCACTTTCCACACACCTTTCATGTGACCTGAATGCCAACCTAAGACACAGTGTTATCATCTCCATTTCACAGATGAGAAAATGGGGACTCAGCAGGTTAAAGCTCTTTGTCCAGGGTCACAGCTAGTATGTGAAAGAGCCCAGATTCGAATCCAGGCTTGTGTGCCTCCAAAGCCCATGATGTGTGCCAGGAGTTGCCCCTGCTCTCTGTGCCTGTTAGGGCCTCTACCCTGGATTTGCAAAGCCCATCACTTTATTTCAGGACTTCATTTCCTTCAAAACACATCATGCAGGTGTGGCTTTTTCAAATTATGCCTGAGCTGTTTATCTATGAATGCCAAAAGCAGCAGCTCTGCAAAGGACCATGACAGCCCCCTCAACGCAGGCCCAGGGAGCCCCCCTCTGCCAAAGGCTGGCTGCTGCACCCAGCAGGTCATTCTGCGGTCACCTGCTAGCTGTGAGAAGTCATGTGCCGGGAGAGGTGGTGGCGCTCCCGGAAGTGCTCCTGGCACACAGGGCAGGCAAGGGCCTCTTCTCTCCGCTTCTGAGAATGTGGGTCAGGCCCCGCATGCTCCTTTTTGTGGTGGGATCGCATGTGAAAGACCAGGTCGGACGTTAGGCGAAAGGACAGGTTGCACTTTGCACACCAGTTCTGGGTGGACAAGCCCAGGGAGGTGAGGGTGGGTGGCAGGAGGGCCCACGAAGTGGTGGAGGATGATGAGGGTGGGGGCACCTGGGCCTGGGTATGCTCCAGCCACAGTGTAGGGGCACCCAGAAAAGTGCTACAGAGTGGAGCATTCTGTGGCAATGCTTGCAAGTTCCACAAATCACCAACCAAAAGCTTGGGAGTTGAAAGTCGACCCCAACAAGCGAGGTCTGTAGTGTTGAGGAGTCCAGACAGCTCCCCCAGGGCATCTGCAGATTCCCCTGCAGGGAAGACTGAGGTTAGCTCAGGCCTCTCTGCTGGTCGCTTGGTTGGTTTGCTAAAGGCGCTTCTTTGCTCACTTCGTGCTCCGCTGGGCCACACAGAGAAGACTTTGCTGCCAGCTGGGCCTCTGGGGATGTTCTGGGTCAGCTGTGGGGCACCAGGTTGGCCTGTGGGGTCATCGTGCTCCCTCTCCTGGGCCTGAGCATCCACCTGCCGGTCCTTCATCCTCGGCAGCTCCGTGAAGGCGCTCTGCCTCTGCTCTCCACGTGTCTTCGGGGGCAGCGGCTTGCCAGGTCGGGGCTTGCCTGGGGCTACCAACAGTGCCAGCTCCGCACTGCCCACATCCCGGCCCGCCCTGCCCACAGCAGCCTCAGGGCCCAGGCGGTTCGTCTTCTCGAGCAGCACTGGCTTGCAGCCCCGGCCCAGCTCAGGTTCGCTAAGTCGCCATCTGTTTTCAGCCGATGGGCTCAACGGGGCTCCCTTCCCAGCTGCCATGGTGATCACCAGGGCCGGGGCCACAGATAAGCAAGGTGGCCACTCTGGCATTCATCAGTCTTTGGGGGTTTGGGGTTCTGGAGGGCTTGGCCCAGCAAGGAGCCATGAGATATGGAAGCTCCCCATGACACTGGGCTGGACACACTCGGCCACAGGGCCCTGCAGAGAGAGGAAGCGACAGGCAGTGAGATGGGCATTCATCACTCAGGCACAGTGCATCATGAGCTGGCATCAGACAGGACCCTGATGCTCAGGCCTCCTCCGCTGTCTGTGGGATGGGTGTGCTGACTGCACCACCTCTCAGGAGACAAGGAGCATGGATGGCACCATCCTCCAGGGCCCACCTCCCTGAGGCAGAGTAGGGACTGAGGTCTCTGCTGAAAATGCCCATGGGCAGCAGCCTCTACAGCTCAGTAGAGAGAAACGTAGGATTCCCCTGTCAAAAGTGGTTCCTGGGGATTAACCAGGCATGAAATGGAGAGTCTGCAGGGGAAGGGAAAGAGCCTGCTCTGGGGGCTGCATTAGGGCCTTGGGGGCCCTTCAGAAGTTTCTGGGTCATCTGTCAACAAGTAGACTCCATCATGAGGAAGCCATGCACCCTCAGCCCCTGCTCCATGCTCGAGCTACCTCTGGCCCTGGCTGAGTGCTGAGGGCACAGGGAGGCCGCAGCATGAGGGTCGCAGTGTTGGAGGACCATGGACTTCATGGTCTTTGCTCCTCATGCAGCCCTCTCTGTCCCGACCCTAATTTCAACCCATTGCTCCTCGGTCTACCAGACCTGCCTCCCAGCCTGGTGGCCCCTTTGTCCACATCACATGCCCTGTCAGCTTCTGCGCGGTCTCTGATTTTCTCAGAGCCATGCTTCTTGTGAGAGTCAAGTGTCCCCACTCTTCCCCCAACTCCCAAGTACATGTGGGCAGCTTCATTCCCATCGTACCTGTGAACTCATTCCAAAATGCACCTCAGGCACAGTCTCCCCTTGAGGCTTGCCCAGTGCTCTCAGACACAGACAACACTCCCTCCTCCATGCCCTCACTGTCCTGGGCACCAAAGGCCTGCATGCACCACGTGCAACATTATATTTACTTGTTTGTGGTCTGCTAGAAGGCAAACTCTAAGAACCCAAATATGTCAATTCACCTTCACATCTGTAGTACTTAATCAAGCCTGCAACAGGACAGGAGCTCAGGAAGCCTTTGCTGAATGAATGAATGAATGAATGAATGACAGGACAGCAACTGTTAGAAAGAAGTCAACTTCCTCCTCCCAAAGAGTGTGGAGACCTGCTCCTGCACAGAGAGGAGAATGTGAGCCCTCCATATTCCCATAGGGCCAAGGGAGGAGACATCCGCATGGTGAGAAGGGCGAGGAGCCTACTGCAGCCTGCCTCTGAGCTTCTCCACCTCCTGCTCCTTCCCTGTGCTCCTTGCTGGGCACTTGGCCCCTGCCCAGTCCATAGCTCAGGCGCAGGTGGGGAAACCACTAGCTGTAGCAGAAGGGTATGCTTTGCTTTCCAACTCTGATGTAAAATCAAACTATGAAGCTCCACCAAGGGCGTCCAACCTATTCCCATTTCCTCATCTCCCCTTGGTTCCAACCCCAGTGAGAACCCACCCAGCTTTTCCTTAGGGAAATAGCCCACCAGCCTGTATTCTGAGAGCTCTCTAAGAATACAGCTGATTGGCCTGTGGGTGCCAAGAGTCACCTTAAGGGTGGAGGTCACACAAGGGCCTGGAACTCTGAAAGTACTCTCCCTCAGGCGCTGGACTAACAACAGTCTGACCATGGCTGGAAGAGGCAGGCTGAAGGGTCAGATCTGCCTAACAGGAGAGGGAAATGAGGCATGGTTTATAGTGGTGAAAGCAACAAGCAAGTAAATGCGTAACTCCAGAGACATGGTGAACAAAGCAGGATGCATACGCAAGACGAAGCACTGTGCAGCCTCGGACAGTGATGCTCGCTATGCTTATGAACGAATGCTGAGGAGGCAAAAGGACAAAAAGATTATAGATTTGGTGTAACCTATTCTATGCACACACACACACAAAATGCATACACCAAAGGAAAAACCCCAGGAGGAAACACAGAAAATGACCACCAGGTCATTTGTTCATTGATTCCCTCTTCCGTTCATTCCGCAAGCATTCACTGAGAGCATGCAGCATGCGGGCCCTGTGCGAGGCGCGGTAGTGACAGTGGTGATGAGGCAGTCCTGAGTTCAGCTGTACAGAACACAGGGACCTGCACATGTGCCAGTGTTGCAAACAGGCAATGGTGGCATCTAAACTGAGCTCTGAGGACCCAGAAGGGACTGCCCAGGGTTCACAAGAAGCTTGCATGGGGCCTGTGGTGTGGAAAACCTGAGGGCTCTCTGGGGAACTGAGCCTAACATAGTTCTGCAGTGGGAGAGTGCCCGGGGAGGGGCAGGATCCAGAAGCCAAAATAAAATGGACCTGACTGTTTTTAGAAATAAATGATTCATTTTTTAAGTGTGGCTATAAAGACTACGCAATAGTATGGGAAAAAAAAGCTTATAATACAATGTTAGTGTCAGATATAAACATGTTGTAAAACAAAACAGGAAAAAAGCCTATCTACCAAATAAACAAAAACATGAAAGAAAACATACCAAAGCAATAGATATGTGAAAAATAATTTTTACTATGTACATACACCATATAACATATAGTATACATAGTATGTATACATAATATACCATATAATACACTATATATGTAATGTGCTATATACTATGATGATGCTAGTATCATGGAATTTGGGGGAGTTTTTTCTCAACTTTCCAATATTTTCAAACTACTCTAGTCTTATTTTAGCATTTTGTTTTGTTCTGCAGTCAACTGTTTTAAAGGCGGCAGTGCCCTTTTCTGCTTGGTCGGGGTCAGAATTCTGTAAGGGATTCTCACGGCCCAGTGGAGCTGAAGCCTCTGTGACTTCAGAGATGCTACTTTCCTAACTGCTCCAGGAAATCATTCTGAGGTGAATTCCTCCCACTGTCTACTCTCCTTTGGAAAAGAGGAGTCCTAGCCCCCACGCTGGAGTGCTCTGGCTGGAGTTTCCTGGGAGCGGAGGGGCCTTCCCAGTGGGTGGACTATTTCTCATGGGGGCTTCACAGTCTGTTTCACACTGCCTAGAGAGACCCCTCCTCTGCCAAGCCTGGAACTGAGCATTCCCTGGGCCACAGGAACAAAAGGAGAGCTTTGGAAGAAGGGTGAAATGCCTGGGCACTCAGATCAGATCAGATCAGCTTTTAGGCAAAGTGCATTTCATTTTCTGTTCATTCATTCACTCAGTAAACATGCAAAAAGCACCTACTATGTGCCAGGCTCCAGTCTACATAAGACTGGTGACTCTCAACACTGACTGAATTCTAAGTAGTTGGAAATGACTGGAGAGTAGGGTGAGTGTGCAGTGTGGCCTGGAGAATGCATGTGGAGTTCAGAGTAGGAAGGTCCCCTGTGGAGGCCCAGAGAAAACTTCAGGGCTAGATGCAGTCCTGAAACAGCAGCCCTGGCCCTGCCCATGCTTGAATGCAGGAAGAGAACCTGAAATGTGGGGACAAAGAGCAACTGGCCAAGAACAGAGCCGGTGATGCTCAGGGGAGGGACACCCTCCTGTCAGCCCTCCCCACCCACCCCTTCTATGCACCAGCCTGTATCCAGTAACATGTCGCAAGGTCTTTGCTGGAAGCTCAAGCCTCCTCTGCTTTCTAAGCATGGAGAAGACAGAGACCAGTGTGAAGTATAGGTCAAGAAAAAAAATAAAGAGAAGGAGAAAACAGAGAAAATGCATAAAGATTCCCAGCTTTAAACCTTCTTCCACCTCCATCGTTGCCCCAAATTCCTCCAGGGCTCTCTGTCATGAAAATTTCAGAAAGTGCATGAGAAAACTTTGCAAATGAAGTCAGGGGTCACAGGCAGGGGAAAGTACTGGTCTCAGACTAGGCCAGATAAAGAAAAATATCAAAGACATCAGGAGAGCACCGACCTCGCCCATGGGATGCCTGCCGCAGTGAGATGCCACGCACCTGGCCTAAGTGAGAGGTGGACACACTCCCCTGGCAGCCACCATCTGGGGGTTCAACCTCATGTGTGTCCAGAGCTCTTGATGGGTGATGGAGGGATGGGCAGAGGCTGCTTCATCCCCACTGGAATCAGGCACCTCCTGCCGGGTGTTGACACAGATGTGAGGAAGGAAGGAAGCCACACCTATGGCAGACTGAGCTCTGTGGCTTACTCTGCCTTGGCGTGTCATGGGGCCACTGACCCCCATCACACTAGATTTTTCCAACCCCAGCAAACACACAGAACTCAGCCACCCTCACAGAGTCTCAAAAATAAAGGCTCTAGTGCTTGGCAAGTAAGAAATTAGGTCCATGCATGTGGCAAAAGTTAGACACAGTGAGCTTTGCTGGTTTTTCCCTCTGTTTTCCTTCCTCGGCAACATTCTTAAAAGAAAAATCAAAATAGTAATTACAACAAAAATGTCCTTGTTATCCTTCAGAGAGCACGGCACTGTATTTTCTTCACTCTAATGACTATTGCATCTATTTCCAAGCTTCAGACTATTAATAATACACAGGAATACCAAGAAGCAAATTAAAACAGAAAGGCACAAAAAGTAGAATGGGAAAGACGTGGGTTTGAATCTCACCTCCACGCATTTATTATGGAGCTTCAGTTGTGTAATGCAACTTCTCTGAATACTGGGCAATCGTGAAATGAGTGGGAACATAATGCATTTAAATAGGATAATAATATCTAGAAGGAGGCTCCCACCTCACCCGGCCCATGTCAGTGCCTCAGGAACGTTCATTTATTTCTTTGTGATCAAGGGACAGGAACAAAATGTACGGCATGGAGAAGTAAACAAAAGAATCAATGACTGTACACAGCCATGCTGCTGGGACATGGGACACCTTCTCCAAGCCCAAGATGGAGAGAGGCAAAGTCTTCCATAGACGGAACATCACTCTCCTAACTAAAATAGTTGCATTCTCAAAGATACAAAATGTGCCACTTTCTTAACTGAATAAACGCAGGCAGCATGGCGAGGAAGGACGGCCCAGCAGGCCTTGCCCAGTGTACCCTGAGAGAACACCAAACATTCTGCTCTTAGGTGCTCCATCCACCTACACTGTTTTATTCCCATGCCTTCACCAGATGTTGAAATGTGCTGCCAAATCAAACCTAGACGTAAGACAAACCAAAATAACAAGGAAAGCTTGCTGGTTAAGACTGAGAAACAGCGTGGGGTGGGCAAAAGCTAAGATGCTCGGGTATGAGTCTCAACTTCAGTGTTTCTAGATGGCCTTGGGCAGGTCCTTGTCCTTCAAAGATCTTGCTCAGCTGCAAAATGAGGAGGCTGCACCAGGTGTCCTCTATGGTCCTAAATACTATAAGGCGCCGAGTGACATCTTTATGTGGCATTATGATGCATCTTTTGTGATCAATCTGGTTTTTTAGACATTATTTTGACAAGCTAAAGGGCAAAAAATGCAGATCTAATAATCAGCTGTGACACAGCATGATACTTCTGTCAGCCATAGCCATACCCAGACTAAGTTGCTCTTCTAATGTTCATGAATATTCAAATACAAACAGGACTGTGGACTCCTTCTAAAAGAGGTGGATTAATAGGTCCCAGGAGCAGATCCCTGGTTACCTTGACACTCCACAGTGATTTCTCACATCCCTTAGGTTCCAGCAATCAGGGCTTCCCACCTGCAGACAGCAGCCTCTACCTGGGTAGTTTAAACAGAAAGGAACTTATTAAAGGCTATCATGCAGCTCATTAAATCCCTGTGAGAGCCAGAGACCAAGCTTGGGAGCTCTCCAAGGGTCAGGGTAGCCAGAAAAAAAAGCCTAACCATGCCCTGGCACTGTCTAGTAGAAACTGCTGGTACCAGCACCAATCACAAGGGACCAAACTCCTACAAAGTCCACCACAGCCACCCCACAAGTCCAGATGTCCCTGCCACCGTGAGTGACAGATATCACCTGCATGCCAAAGACTTCAGCTCATGGGACTCGACTGCACATCCGGGGCTGGGTGATGTATCTGGCTGCTTGTGAGGATCTGTGTCAAAGGCCTGCACCCTGGCTGCAAAAGAGTCTGGGAAACATGGATTTAGCTTCCCAACCTCTGCAGTGCAGGAAAGCCAAGTGAGATGGGGTTAGAAACAGTTGTTGACTGAACCAATGACAGTATCTGTTACTGTGGCACTTAATAAAGCTCACCCCCTGACGAAACTGAGTGGACACAGCCACGCAATTCTGTCTGAAGGTTTTCGTCTCTGCCTGCAACTTGATTTTCTTGGTATGCAGCCAGTGGTGTGCTGGAGCCAGCTCACAGTGGCTTGTGAGATGATCAGGAATGTTTCAAGTTAGCTGTTTTAACTCAGACATTATTCAAAACTAAACTATACAAACTTACAGTCAAAGAAGTTATATTAAAAACACAGGCAATACATACTCAGAACCCATCATTTCCTAGTCATTCTACTACACATTCCCATTGCCTACGCTGTGGACGCTGCTCCACCTGCCGGTGCGGGGGCTTGCCACGGTCCACTCCTCCTCATGCCACATCCAGGGATATCGTGAGTGGCCAGAAATCAGGGAATCAGCCAGAATGGGATTATTTATGGAAATGCTATAAATCAAGGCTTGATTTCTTGTTTTGTTCATTGTCTGGACTTAAGAAAGTAATGGAAAAAAATTGTCAATAATGCAGATTAAACTGAAATTTTTGTCTTGTCGATAGCTGTTATATTGTGAATAGCTCACAAAAAGCTGAGGGACTATTCTTCTAGTATTCCGAAACTATTATGTGATTTAGGAAAGAAGTTATTTAGATCACTGACAAACAAGTGAAGTTCTGACATATGTTCATTGTTCCACTTTCATCTTACACTTTATTGTAAATGAAAATATCACCCAAAATCCATGTTGCAGCTACATGCTGAGAACCAGCTGTTAAACACTTACCACACACCACAGCATGTACCCCATATACTTTCTAATTCTGGGCACCAGAATAATCAGAGAGACCCTCCTGGAAGAGGCAGGAGGCCTCCAAAGGGCAGACAGATACAAAGAAAAGAGAGGGCAGAAAGAACGGCACACGCGAATGCCAGGCAGTGACAAGAGTGGGTTAGACGTAAATCGAGAGTGTTTGTGAGGACTGTTTATGGGTAAGATCACATGGTCTAGCCACAGGGACCCACACCATATCTCTTAGGGGAGACAGTCGTTCTTTTATTCTGTGATAACAGGATGAATAGCATGGAAGTATTGCTCCACATGCAATGAGAGAGAAAAACACCTCTTCGTAACAGGACCTGGGATGGAGACAAGCCCACTTGAGTGGTTTGGGAGAAATGCTTCAAGATCAGGGATGGACCATGGACTGCCTGGGGTGCCTGAGGAATGTCCCATTGAGGAGGTGATATTATCTCTGGGTGTTGATGGATGAATACGAGTTCACCAATCAGGGATGGTAAGATGGCACAGGCAAAGTCCTAGTGGAAAAGAAGGGCTGGGTATATTTCAATCGTGAGGAAAAGACTGAGGGGCAGGAATTCAGCGAGACAGAGAGGATTCCTGTAAACGACCACTTTTCATTCACACTAAGCCAGGTCAGACCCAATTGTGAAATTCAACCCTGCCGAGGGAGGTATGGGAGAATAAGGAGAGAGAGTTAGAGTGGGAGCCAGGAATTTGCCCAGCTCTTTGCTCTGAAGAGCTCTGGGCTCCTTGACATCCATTTGCACTCATATCCTCCAAGAAGGGTGTACTCCCACCGTGCAAAGTCAGAGAACTCCCCACCCCATCCTCCTTCTCCCCCAGCCCTAGCACAAATGGAGGGGCTGAGGCAGTCACACTATGCCCAGCCTTCCAGACCACCAGATCCAGCAGAATGGGGGCTCAAGCCTGAGGGTCCTCACTGGTTCCCGTGCAGACACCTACAGAGGAGCCTGTGGCCAAACTCACACTCAGAGACATGAAATTATAGATGTCCTCCAGTGGAAATTATAACCCAGTGCTATTTCCCTCCAGAGCTTGCAGCTCTACCCTTGTGTGCAGACTTGAGGTGACCCTCAAGAAGCAGCCCAGAAAGCAAAACAACTGGGCTGCATCTGCGAGCTGCTCACACCAAAACACCGTCAGGGCTGCCATGCTGACTCGGGTTGCAGAGACCACCTTCAGCAGCCTGCCTGGCCATAGTCAGTGTTGCCGCTATCACCTACTGGACTGTTGGTCCCTGGGGAGAGACAGCCTGTGTTTGATCTATCTCTGCAACCCCCGCAGGGCATCTCAGGAAGAGTGGGGTGGACTGCAGGGTCCCCCTTTGCCCCAGGTTTTTAAACCAGCTGACAGGAAAGGAGGAATACGCGATCTCTACGACAAGAGCAGTCAGATGGCTTGGTTCTGTTTTATGCTACTCAGCATCCTTCCTAACCAAACCCAGTTTCAGTTTGAGAAGCTGCTTATGTGTGCCTGGTACTGGAACTCTCTGAATAGCTCAATCCCGGTCTTTTTTGAGCTTATTTCTCCAGTTCTTCCTCTGACACTGTGATCTACCTGCCACCATAACCTTCTAATTAATTCCTTCTTCACAAAGTTGGCCAGAGTCCATCGCTGTGGTTTGCATCCAAAGAATCCTGATTGCTATGGATGTGACAACTCACCTCAGCTCAGAGCACTATACCTCCAGGACTCTCTCACAGAACAATAACAATCAAACACAGACACTCACACACACACACAGCTGCCACCCAGAGATGCCGGCAATAACAATCTCACACACACACACACACACACACACACACACACACACATGGCTGCCACCCAGAGGAGCCAGCAATAACAATCACACACACACACACACACACACACACACACACACACACACACACACGGCTGCCACCCGGAGGCGCCGGCTCAGCCCTGCCCCTGCACCTGTCAGCATCTAGCAGCAGCTGCCACATTCACAGAGCACACAGGGCTTCTGCCTGCCAGCTCTGACTTAATTCGACTGTGTTTGCACCCTGGTTGAGGGCAGTTTTCCTTCCTTGCTGGTTGCCATACTCATTTTTTCTCCTGACCCTCAGGAGTGCCAGGCCACTTCAGGCACCTGGGGACAGGGGATCTGTAGGCATAGGTGCACAGAAGGACAAAAGTTGGAGCAATGCACATGCAGGCTTGGCAGGATGGGTCTGGCTGTGCCTGGCCCCCACCCCCACACTAAGGGGCTGCCACCCCACCACCTGGCCCTGCCCCTAGAGAGAGCATGTGTAACCTCATCTCCACTCGCCAGAAGTGCTCACTCTTGGTTCTCCCCACACATGGATCCACTCGCTTCTCTGCTCCCCTGGCAGAGCTTCGCGAACTGCCTGCCTGTGCCAAACTGGACCTCCATGGATGGACCAGCTTTCAGCCTCACCCTGGAAGTGCCCACGGTGTGGAAGGGAAGACATGCACTGACCACATGTAAAGGTGGCACCCATGGGGAGGTGGTATCAGCCCTGCTGGGATGCCTTCATCCCTACCCGCTCTCACCAGCCCCACCCTCAAGTTCTGGAAACTAGAACTCAAGCTCTTCAAGTGCCCCCTCCACTGGTGAGAGGTACTGGCAGAACCAGACTCCACTCAGCATTCCAGAATTCTCATCCTTAGAAAATATTTATCCCAGGGCTCAGGGAGAATCTAGGAGTGGATGAGAGCCTCCATGGCTTGCTATGCATAAATATAGCCTGGGCCAAATCAGCTTCTTCCTCTCCCTGCTTCCCGCCCAGCCATGAAAGGATGTACCTGCGTCCAGCCACTTCCTGCAGGAGCTCTCAAGGAGATGAGACAGAGAGCCCAACCCTCTCATGGAGTGAAAGCATGGGATAAATCAGAGAGAAAGCAAGAAAAGTGAACATAAAACCTCACGTTCCCTTTTGTCACAAGCTTTTGACTAGCTCCTGTGGAACATCGCCACCCCGCCTTGCCCTGCAGACCACCCCGTGTGACTTCATGAAGAGGACGCAAACCACGTGGTGCAGCAGGCTCCACACCACTCCTGATGCCCTTTTTGAGTGGATTCCTCAGAGGGGGTGCCTGACGTCAGAGGTGAATGTCGGCCAGTGTCTCCCAAAGAGGCAGAGGCAGAAACATCACTCCTCTCTGTGTTCCCGAGCAAAGCACTCAACCTCTCTGAGCCTCAGGTTTCCATCTGTAAAATGCGCTCTGGCTAAGCTGTCTCTCCAGGCCATCCCAGACCTACTCATGTATGACTAATTGGAAGAAACCAGTTCTCCTTTACAGCAGGATGGAACATTTGCTATCAGGATGCTTCAGGGTATCAGAATAGAAGTTACCATTTATCGGCTACGTAAGTATCTACATGACAAACAATAGTATTAACAAATGAAATAAGGCACCTTGTTCATTTCATTTTCATAAAAACCATATGAGGGAAGCTATGTGTCTCAATTCAGATGCACTTATCTCCAATCTGCCAAATGCCATCCCGATAAACTCAGGGCAGCATCTCAGCTTTCAGAGACCACTGTGGATCCTGACACCGCCAACTGCTGAATTAAATATCCCACCCAGCTTCACACTCCATCAATGTTAACATCCAGATCTTAATAAGAAGGAGCAGGAGGATGGAGAAAATGAGGAGATGAAACTAGGAACTAGCTGGGGACCTTTCATCCCACCTGGGACCCTGGAGGGTCACCGCTGTCGCATGCATCAGCACTGCATGGAGTAAGGTCAGTAAGGCCAGGGCACAGCACGTCCTCCAGAACCCCAACAGAACAAGGGCCAGACCGAAGACCTGCAAGGTGGAAAATGACGTGAGGCTGGCATGACTTGTCCCCAGGGAGCCCCCGCCAGCTCCTCATGCACGTCTCTCCTTTGCCCACAGACTCACAGCCTTCTTCTTAGTCTAGGATCTTTCCCAGGGCCAACATCAGATTTGAGTCTCTTCCACCTCCGGGCTTCATTTCCAACACCTCTCAGACAGCACCTCAGATGGGGGTATCTCATTCCAGGTCATGCTATACCCTGGCCAGGGCATTCTCTTGGTCAGAGCCCTGAGCACACACACTGCAGCCCACGCTACGTGGCTCCTGCTTTCCTCCGGGAACCTGCCTGCGCCCTTTGCACCTGCAGATCCTCCTCTGTCCAGACCGCTGTGGGCACAGTGGAGCTGTGCCTTCCTCCCCTTCACAGACACCAGCTGCCCTAGACGGCGATGGATCTATGAAGCCCTTGTTCTCCTTGCTCCGAACATGATATGAAAAGATGCTTTGTGGTCGTCAGCTCTCCTCAGTAGGTTCAGTTCACACCCGGGCTCTCACCCCCTGACACTCTTTACTGGCCCTCGTCACTCTGTCATTGTGAGTGTCCTGGGAAGGGCTCCTCTTGTTCTCCTTGGCTCTTGTCCCTCTGACCTCAGCAAGACATCTTTCTGAGCCACACAGATGTCTCTCATTGCCACCCCATGTCTTTCCTACTTGAAAAAAACAGATTTAATTCCAGGACTCACCCACCACTTTCAGAGCCCTCAGATCACGTGAATCACAGAAATCAAGTGATGATCTTTGAAACTTTCTGAAACTGAGCTCCCCAAGTCTACAGGGGATCTAACCATGCCTGGCCTTCCCCACCAACACAGAGCACATCTCCCAAAGGCTTCCAACCAACCTGGGCCATCAACCAGGGTCCCCTGTTGCCCAACTCAGCAAGTGCTGCATCCTGGGAGATGAAGCCTCGCCCACCCCACAGTGTTAAGAGCTTGTGGTTCTCGGTTTATCACCCATCCTCTGGTGACTGCACACTGATCATTCACTCATCTGGGAACCACTGGCCACATTCTCCCACATTATCACCTTGACCAGGTTGTCTCAGGTAACCTTCGAGCCTTCCATCCAAATAGATGTTAAGTGCACGGGCTCCACGGTTGGAGGCCAGCTCTGCTGTATCCAACCTGTGACCTTGGGCAAGGCGTGGGTCCCCTCCAGGCCTGTTTTCTGATCTATAAAGAGGGTCACCTTGGTGTTTTCTTCACTGGGTTGTGGGAAAGATTAGAAGGATTAATATAGAGAAAGTGCTAAGGAACCTGGCTCAGTAAACATTAGGGGTATCACTTCTTATCGCACTGAGTGCAAAGGGACAGAGTCCACTCCATGGCAGCCTTCCCATTACTCCTGAGCTCTCAGGGACCAGTGCATAACAGTGTTTAATAAATGACCAAACAGCCTGGGCATTTTTCTCCTTCCTGCTCCACCTACAGAAGAAAGAACTCTTGGCAAACATCTGGATAACCTCTTTTTCCTGGGATGTCTGAAGTCACTCCCTAACCCAAGCCAACTGGCCAGCCTCAAGCTGTTCTGAGCTGCAGGTCAGGCACCAGATCTTATTCAGAGACACCATGTACCCCCACCCGCTCCCCCCAAGCAGTGCTTTGCTGCATCTGCTTTTCTCTTCAGTTAAAACACACAAGAGCAGAAAATACCTCCTGTCTTCTAATCCTTTGGTATCCCTAGTCTCTGCAGAAGCTTCCCAGACCCTTTTGGAAGATTCCAGAGGACAATCATCTACGGGCCTTTTCTGCATTTGGATTGTGAGGTCCTGGGGTTTCCTAAGAAAGGGAATACACCTGTTTCCAGGAATCCTCCTGGCTCTGGCACACTGAGGAAATTAAACACTGAAGGTGATCCAGGCTTTCCCAGAGGCTGGCTGGTGGCACTGGGGAGATGAGCAATTCCTGGTCAGCCCCTACAGGCTCTGTGGCCAGCTACGCCTGGACCCCTCTAGCAGCAATGCCTGCTGCATTCGAGGAAAGCCAAGTGCAGGAGACTGCGAACACAGCCAGTACCCATGGAAGCAGGGAGAGTGGCCCTAGTGCAACATAACTTGGCCACGTCGACCCTCATAGGGGTGGATGTGATCTCATCATCCACTCAGATGTCTGAGACTGTGCAGAAGCAGGGCCAGTGAAAGCAGAGGGCAGATCCAATGCTTCAATGGGGCCCTGCTGTGCAGATTGAGAGTCTGCCATGAATATGACTGAGGATGGCCAGGACATAGAACAGGGAGCAGTGTTCTGCCAAACAATGCCAATAGGCAGTGGCTGGTGCTGTGTGGAGTGATATTTTAGACGTTATATTTGCCAGGGCTGCAGCAACATGGAAGTCACATAAAGGGACTGAATTAGCCCTGGTCACTCAGGCGCCAGGGCACTACTTGTGTTCCAAATCAACCCTGCCACTACCTGCCTGAGCTCAGACAAACACTCTGGGCCTCCATCTCTTCATAAGTAAAACAAGAATGGTGATCTTCACTTCAGGCACTCACGGACAGGACTCAACAGGGCTCTGTGCATGCCAGATAGCAAGAGCACAAGGAACAGCAGCTCTTTTCCTGATACAACTAGAGAATAAAGGTGGAGCCTGAGACAGTGGTCCCAATTCCACTGGCAGCCTTCAGGCAAAAAGTCCATGATTTTACCTCAGCTATTCCTTCCGACCTTCCCAGGTTCCAACAATAGCATCATCTAAGGATAAAAAGACAATGATGTTCTTATAGAGGCACAGACCACTAATGAGGAAAAATAAGTTTAAAAATATTTAAGTTTGTCTTTTTTTTTAAATAATTGGTGTGATTATATGTTTCAAACAAAAGTTGCCACCTCTTGGATGTCTGAAAAGAAATCTGCCAAGCAAAGCAGACACGATGATTCTAAATCATTTGCAAAGTCTTTTATCCCTCCCCCCAGAATCCGCATATGTTGGGGATCAGGGATTAGATATAAAGGCAATTTAACTTTTTAAACCAGAAAAAAGCCTCACAAATCACAGTTCCATGCACATACCTATGAATTTGTCCAAAATATCTAGCATATGCAAATTCTTTCACTGAACACACTGCAATGCACCTTCATCATACTTAATTTCTGTTTAATTCTGTGTGATTTATCTACGGCCAAATTTCCATTTCTGTATCAATCAAAAGTAAATTAGTTGAATTTTCATTAAAGGTCATAATAAACTACAATATCATGTTAACTTATTTCCAAGAAGTGAAAGCTTCAACCTTTATTGGTAATTAAGATCTTTACAAACAAACAAGGGCTCTTTTATAACTTAGTGCATATATATTATGTATTTGTGTGTGTTTGAACATATAAATATGTATGTGTCATAAAATATCATTAAAAACTAAATCACATATCTCTGATAAGATTACATTGTAACCAAGAAACAAAAAATTGCCTCGATATAGTTCTATTTTATCCCTCAAAAAGAATGAGACTTGATTTTCTAGAGTTCGTCCCTTATGCATCTACGACAATCTTTGATACTAACAGGAAATATTTTCCCCTTGGCCCTCCTATCTAATGTACATAAAATCATTACTTTCAAATGCCATAATTACTGCCATAAAATGTCTAATGTCTCCCTCAGGAGTAATTAATTTCATTTCTGTACATCAGTGGCATTGGCAACTACATATTTTAGAAATTTACTGTTAATTTCTTATTTCCAGGCTCCCTCAAATGTTTCAAAGCCCTGGCCTCCCACTGTCTTCCTACAACCCTGCTCTGAATCCTGTCCCCTCCCTCCCCTGCACCTGGCATTGCATAGCCTGCCCAGAAGGCAGGTGTGGGTGGGAACGCCCCCTAAATGCTTCTGCAAGGCTTAGCTTCCTGCTGTGCTGTCTGTGTCTATTAGTAAAGGCAAAATGTCAAGGAAAGGATTCAATCAACCCCTTGTCTCTAAAACCAGGTATGTTCTTTTAGCTCATTCTAAAAACTCATTATAATGTGATCATTTGGTATTGTTTTGTTTCCCAGGAAAGGCAGTGAACAGGATACATGTCCAGATCTTTGGATATAATCTGTTGGAGAAAGGATCTGGGGCTGATGCATGGTTCTTACCCTACTGCCCAGCGCAAGCCCGGGCTGAGAATAACAGCAACACAGGATAAACCCCGGGAGAGACAGTGGGAGGGAGGAAAACAACTGCAGCCTGAAAGTCACCCTAGGAGAAAAATTCATAGGCAGAATTCTTGAGTGCTGAAAAAACAGGGGGGAGAGGGAGAAGGTAGGGGAGAAGAATAAACAAAGAGAGGAAAAGAGAGAGGGAGAGAGACTGACACAGAAGAAAATGAAAACAGGAAGACAATAAAGAAGAGATAGAGGAGAAAAAGTGAGAGAAGAGAAAGGGAACAGAAACGGGGATGGGACTCGGAGACGACGTGGGAGAGAGAGGAAGCTGGCGACATTGGGAAGGAAAGGACCCCACAGTCAAAGGCAGGACTCAACAACCCTGTCCTGGGGAAAGGCTGATGTGGAAGTGAGATGGACCCCGCCGCCCGCGCCCGCTCGCGGCTCTGTCCCTGCAGACAGGAGGGTGCGCCTCACCTGGGCTCTCTGGAGATGTGGAGCAAGAGGTGCTGGTGCAGCACAGCCTCCTCCCGGCCAAGAGCACTGCGCGTGGCTCTGAACTTGGCGCCGGAGCCCTGAGGGCGGCCAGATCCCGCCCCCAAGCCGCTCCCGCCTTCGGGGCGTGGTCTCGGCGTCGCCCACCCCCAGGGAAGCTCCAGCCTTCGGGGCGGGGCTTGCGGGTGGGCGGCCCCGGCAGGGGAGGGTGCCGCTGGCCAAAGAACTCACAACCCCGGGAGAAAACCCCCTTCTGACCCTCTGGGCTGCCCGGCCCTTCCCCGGCTCAGCTCCGCGGAGATGCCCCCAGCTGGCTTGGTCAGGGCCGGGCGCCATCGCCTGCGGGAGGGCGAGGGCGTTCTTTGGAGGCGGTGCCTGCTCTCGCCTACGCCCTCTGGTCCTGGGCGCCCGACCTCTCGCTCCTGGGCCCGCGGGGCCTCGGCGATGCGGGCGAGGGCTGCGCGCGGTGCCTGCGGCTCCAGTCTGCGCCGAGGACCCCCACGGCCTCCTGGCCCTCCTTCCCCCAGCAGCCTGGCGGCCGCTCGATCGGCACCTCCCCCCGCCGGAATCGCCCAGCTCCCCCCGGGAGCGCCCGCCGCCTCTGCTCCCCAGACCTCAGCTGTGACCACGCAACGCTCTGCCAGGAAGGCGGACTCCGCGACTCGGGCCATGGTGGAAAATGACAGTTAAAGTGCGTTAAAATTAAGAACTTATACTTTGATTAAAAAACAACAAACGGAGTGAAAAAGCAAGCCACACACTGAAAGAAGATACTTGCAGCAATTGATAAAGGATTAGTATCCAGGATATATACTTTTAATGAATTAGTGTGAAAGAGAGGAACACCCAAAGCAACGAATGGACACAGACATGAATAGGCACTTCAAAGAGGAACCACTAACGACCAAAATCATGTGAAAGGACGAAGTCTCTAGAGTAATTAGAAAATGCAAATTAAGACCACAAGGAGATGTTTAATCATTAGGCATAAATGTTAAAATATAATAATACCAACTGTCATGGAAGGCATGAAGCAAGGGAACCCTAATATGCTGGGGCGAAGTACACCCAATTTCATTTATTATAAAAGACCACTAATTTAAGATATTCTATTATACTAAATACAGCTCCAAAAGAGGGGGAAAAAACTGACAACCAACCAACTCAAATGCTTTTCATCACTTGTAATTTTTAAGTTATATAAAGAAAGATCTATTTTAGACTGTATTAATCCATTCTCACACTGCTATAAAGAATTGCCTGAGACTGGGTAATTTATAAAGGAAAGAGGTTTAATTGACTCACAGTTCAGCATGGATGCAGAGGCCTCGGGAAACTTACAATCATGGTGGAAGTGGAAGCAAAACAGGTCCTTCTTCACAGGGTGGCTGGAAGGAGAAGAATGAGAGAAGTGCAGAGTGAAGGGGGTAAAAGCCCCTCACAAACCCATTAGATTGCCTGAGAACTCACTCACTATCATGAGAACAGCACAGGGCAACCACCGCCATGATTCAATCACCTCCCAGTAAGTCCCTCCCCCTACATATGGGCATTACAATAAGGACTATAATTCAAGATGAGATTTGGGTGGGGAAACAGAGGCAGGCCATATTATTCCACCCCTGGTCCTTCTCAAATCTCATGTCCTCATATTTCAAAACACAATCATGCCTTTCGAACAGTCTGCCAACGTCTTAACTAATTCCATCATTAACCCAAAAGTCCAAGTTCAAAGTCTCATCTGAGACAAGGCAAGTCCTTTCCACCCATGAACCTGTAAAATCAAAAGAAAGTTATTTCCTAGATATAATGCAAGTACAGGCATTGTGTAAATACACCCATTCCAAATGGGAGAAATTGACCAAAACAAAGGGACTACAGGCCCCATGCAAGTTTGAAACCCAATAGGGCAGTCATTAAACCTTAAAGTTCCAAAATGACCTCCTTTGACTCCATGTCTCACACCCAGGTCATGCTGGTGCAAGATGTGGACTCCCACGGCCTTGGGCAGCTCTGGCCCTGTGACTTTACAGGGTACAGACCCCCTCCCAGCTGCTTTCTTGGGCTGCCTTTGAGTGCCTGTGGCTTTTCCAGGCACAAGGTGCAAGTTGTCGGTGGATCTACCATTCTTGGATTTGAAGGGCAGTTGTCCTCTTCTCACAGCTCCACTAGGCAGTGCCCAAGTGGGGACTCTGTGTGGGAGCTCCAGCCCCACATTTCCCTTCTGCACTGCCCTAACAGAGGTTCTCCATCAGGGGCCTGCCCTTGCAGCAACTTCTGCCTGGTCATCTAGGTGTTTCCACACATCCTCGGAAATCTAGGCAGAGATTTCCCAACCTCAATTCTTTTTTTTTTTTTCTTTCCTGACATGGAGTCCCACTCTGTTGCCCAGGCTGGAGTGCAGTGGCATGATCTCGGCTCACTGTGACCTCCACCTCCTGGGTTTAAGTGATTCTCCACTTCAGCCTCCCAGGTAGCTGGGATTACAGGCACCTGCCACCATGCCAGGCTAATTTTTGTATTTTTAGTACAGACAGAGTTTCACCATGTTGGCCAGGCTGGTCTTGAATTCCTGGCCTCAGGAGATCCGCTGGCCTTGGCCTCCCAAAGTGCTGGGATTACTGGCGTGAGCCACCACACCTGGCCCCAAACCTCAATTCTTGACTTCTGTGCACCCACAGGCCCAACACCATGTGCAAGCTTCCAAGGCTTGGGGCTTGAACCCTCTGAAACAATGGCCCAAGTTGTACCTTGGCCCCTTTTAGCCACGGCAGGAGCTGAAGCAACTGAGACGCAGGGCACTATGTTCCAAGGCTGCATAGAGGAGATGAGGGCCAATGAGCCTGGCCCACGAAACCATTTTTACCTCCTAGGTCTCTGGGCCTGTGATGGGAGGAGCTGCTGTAGGTCTCTGAGATGACCTGGAGACATTTTCCCCATTGTCATGATGATTAACATTCATCTCTTCATTATTTATGCAAATTTCTGCAGCAGGCTTGAATTTCCCCCAGAAAATGGGTTTTGCATTTCTATCACATCTTCAGGCTGCAAATTTTCTAAACTTTTATGCTCTGCTTCCTCTTGAACCCTTTGTTGCTTAGAAATTTCTTCCACCAGATACCCTAAATCATCTCTCTCAAGTTCAAAGTTCCACAGACTTCCAGGGCAGGGGCAAAATGCCATCAGCCTCTTTGTTAAAACATAGCAAGAAGCACCTTTATCCTAGTTCCCAACAAGTTACTTATCTCCATCTGAGACCACCTCAGCCTGGACTTCATTGTACATATCACTATCAGCATTTTGGTCAAAGCCATTCAACAAGTCTCTAGGAAGTTCCAAACCTTCCCACATCATCCTGCCTGTCTGCTTGTTAGCCCTCCAAACTGTTCCAACCTCTGCCTGTTACCCAGTTCCAAAGTCACTTCCACATTTTTTGATATCTTTACAGCAGCACCCCACTACCTGATAACAATTTATTGCATTAGTCCATTCTCATGCCGCTGTAAAGAACTGCTCAAGACTGGGCAATTTATAAAGGAAAGAGAGATTTAATTGACTCACAGTTCAGCATGGCTGGGGAGGCCTCAGGAAACGTACAGTCATGGCAAAAGGGGAGGCAAACACGTCCTTCTTCACATGATGGCAGGAAGGAGAAGAATGAGAGAAATGCAGAACGAAGGGGGGAAAGCCCCTCACAAAACCATCAGATCTCATGAGAATTCACTCACTATCATGAGAACAGCATATCACCCCCATGATTCAACCACCTCCAATGAGGTCCTTGCCCCAACACATGGGGGTTACAATTTGAATTATAATTCAAGATGAGATTTGGGTAGGAACACATAGCCAGAACATATACACTTGGTAGAAATTTTCTAAAATTATATGCCACTCTTGTGCATACAAAAATGGAGAAAATAAAATTGATTAAGGTATTTCTACAAATGTTTTACAGTAACACTCTGACTTCTGAATCACGCTTGAATCCCACTTGGTTGTGCCCATGTTTTTCCACACACTATACCCTCTCTGCCATTCAAAGCCCTGGTCATACAGCAGTTTTGACACTGGGATGTGAACTCATTCACACTCCTGCCCTAGAGCTGGGGCCTGTGTTCCCTCCCACTGACTCTTGGTATCCCATTGACTGCTTGGATTAATAGAGTACAGTGGAAGTGACACTGTGTGATTCCCAAGGTGATGCCATAAAAGGCTCTACAATTTCTGACTTGCTCACTGAAAATACTTACTCTTGGAACTCTAAGCCACCTGTTAAAGCCCAAGCACCTTTAAGCCACCATGCTGAGAGGAAGCCCAGGTCATACAGGGAGGCCACATGCAGAGTCTCCATTCACAGTTCCAGCTGAGCCCAGCTTTTGAGTCCTCCTGCCAGAACCCACACTTATGAATGGAGGATCCTCCAGAAATCCCAGTATCCAATCCTTCAAGTCATGTCCGGCTGCTCAAGCCTTCCCATCAGGGTCTCCAGACATGTGGAGCCCTCCCCACTCTGCCCTGAGTGCCTGATCCTCAGAACCTGTGAGTGTAATAAAATGGGCCTTCATCATAGAATAAATAGGCTTCATTGTCCTCTTATTAATGCGGGAAATTTCCTTTTTGTTTCATTTTGTTTTCCTGCTTAATACTGTTGTGTTCCCCAGGAATGTTTCCTGCTCCAGGCTGACAAGTCCTCAGTCTCCACGCCTTCCTCACCTACTGGCTTCCTTGCTCACTTCCTTCAGCCTGGCCTCTGATTTCAGGCTGACCTAGTGACCGTGCACTGGAGGCCTGTGCTGTGGGGTCCCCTGTACCAGCCCACATTTCCCGCTTATCTTTACCACCAGCCATGAAGTAGGGGTGGAGACGATGTTTAGCCCTGGGGAGAGGAGGAAACTGGCTCAGAGAGGTTAAGTAGCATGCCCTAGACATTCAGCAGATTCAAACTTGGATCTTATAACTTGTGTCTACCTGATCCACAATCCATGCTATTAGGTTTTTTAAGTTATTAATTGTGATAAAATATATACAACATTAAATTGACCATTTTAACTAGTTTTAAGTGTACAATTCCTTGACATTAAGTACATTCACAGTTTTGCACCCATCACGATCACCATGCATCTCCAGAATTTTCTCATCCTCGCATACTGAAAGTCTCTATTCACTGAACAATTACTACCCATTTCTCCCTCTTCCAAACCCTGGTAATCTCTATTCTCTTTCCCGTATGTATGAAATGTCCACCACAGGTATCTCACGTAAGTGGAATTATACAATATATTCACACAAACATGCAATATTTGACTTTTTCTATCTGACCTATTTCACTTAGCAAAAGGTTTTAAAGGTATATCCATGTTATGCCATCTATGAAATTTCATCCGTTTCTATGGCTGAATAATATTTCTCCGCATGTATATGTACCACTTTTTGTTTGCCCATTCATGTGTTGATGAACACTTGGGTTACTTCTACCATCAGGCTATTGTGAATAATGCTGCTATGAATACTGGCAAACACATATCTGTTTGAGTTTCTGCTGTCACTTCTTTTGGGTATATACATATTTACAAGTGGAATTCATGGAACATATGGTAATTCTATGTTTAACTTTCTGAGGAACTGCCAAGCTGTCTACCACAGTGGATGCACCATTTTACGCTCCTAGCAACAATGCACAATAGGTCCAATATTTCTACAGTCTCTCCAACACTTGCTATTTTCTCTTTTTTGATAATAGCCATCCCAATGGATGTGAAGTTGTATCTCATTGTGGTTTTCATTGGCATTTCCCTAATGACTAGTGATGTTGAGCCTCTTTTCACATGCTTATTGGACATTTGTGTATCTTCTTTGGAGAAATGTCTACTTAAGTCTTTTGCTTAATTTTTGTTGGACTTGTTTGATTTTTGTTGTTGATATGTAGGAGTTCTTTATATATTATGGATATTAATCTCTTATCAGATACTTAATTTGCAAATGTTCTTTTCCATTCTGTGGACTGTCTTTTCACTTTCTTGATACTCTCCTTTGATGCATAAAAATGTAATTGGCATGGACAAAGTTCAGTTTTTGACTTTTTTGTTTCGTTATCTGTGCTTTTGGTGTCACATCCAAAAAATTATTATCAAATCCAATGTCATAAAGGTGTTTTCCTATGTTCTCTACTAAGATTTTTGTAGTTTTATCTCATATATTTAGATTTTGATTCATTTTGGGTTAATTTCTGTAATGGCGTATAGTAAGGGCCCAATTTCATTCTTTTGCATGTGGACATGCAGTTTTTACAGCACCATTTGTTGAAACTACTGTCCTTTTCCAGATTAGATAGTCTTGGCAACATTTTTTAAAAATCAATCAACCATATACATAAAGGTTTATTTCTATGCTTTCTATACTGTTCATTGGTCTATATACCTGTCCTTAAACCGGTACCACATTGTTTTGATTGCTGTAGCTTTGTAATAGATATTGAAATCAGAAAACACAATTACTCTACTTTCTCCTTTTGAAGATTTTTTGAGGGGCTAAGGGATAGTATTTGTCATCTCTTGAGATTCCATGTGAATTTTACCTGGATTTTTCTATGTCTGCAACAAAAATGCTGTTGAGATTTTGGTAAAGATTACACTAAATCTGTAGATGTCTTTGGCTAGTATTGTCAGTCTAACAATATTAAGCCTTCTAATCTTTAAACATAAAATGTCTTTCAATTTAATTCTATCTTTAAACTCTTTTAACAATGTTTCGTGGTTCTCAGTAAACCTATTTTTGCCTCCTTCACTTAATTTATTCCTAAGCATTTTATTTGTGAGGTGCTATTGTAAATAGAAGTGTTATCTTAATTTCACTTTATTTTTTATTGTTAGTCTATAGAAATGCAGCTAATTTTTGCAGGCCAATTTTGTATCTTGCTACTTTACTAAATTTATTTATTAGCTCTAACAGTTTTTTGTGGAATCTTTAGGGTTTTTACAAGTAAGATCATATCATTCATAAATAGGGACAATTTTGCCTCTTCTTTGCAATTTGGATGCCTTTTATTTTTATTTCCTGCCTAATTGCTCTGGCTTGAATTTCCATACTATGTTGAATGGACACAATGAAAATGGACATCCTTGTATTGCTCTTGATCTTAGGGGAAACATTTTTTATCTTTCAGCATTGAGTATTTTAGCTGTGTGTTTTCGTATATGTCCTTTTTCATGTTGAAGAACTTTATTTTTAATTTGAGTGTCTTAATCAAAACAGGTATTGAATGTTATCAAATACTTTATCAATGGAGATCATGTAGTTGTCTTAATTCTACTAATGAAGTGT
This sequence comes from Homo sapiens, assembly GCF_000001405.40. Lineage (NCBI taxonomy): Eukaryota > Metazoa > Chordata > Mammalia > Primates > Hominidae > Homo > Homo sapiens. Next base: position 47,391,561 of record NC_000010.11, read on the forward strand.
ATAATACTGATTTTTTAATGTTGAATCATTTTTAAATTATGGAAATAAATCTCATTCTTTGGGGATATAAAAATCTTTTAATAAACTGTGGAATTCAGTTTGCAGTATTTTGTTGAGGATTTTTGCACTAATATTGATAAGGGATTTTGGTGTATAGTTTTCTTACAGTGTCTTTGTCTGGCTTTTGTATCAGTGCAGTGCTGGCCTTTATAGATTTCGTTTAGAAGTGTTCCATCACCTACAGATTTTTGGAAGAGTTTGCAAAGGATTTTTCCTTACATATTTGGCAGAATTTACCAATGAAGCCATCTGGTCCTGGACTTTTCTTTGTTGAGAGGTTTTTATAACTAATTCAATCTCCTTACTATTATAGGTCTGTTCGGATTTTCTATTTCTTCACAATTTTTTAAATTTTTTTATTTTTCATCAACTTTTATTTTAAGTTCCGGGGTACACATGCAGGATGTGCAGGTTTGTTACATAGGTAAACGTATGCCGTGGTAGTTTGCTGCACAGATCATCCCAACACCTAGGTAGTAACCCCAGCATCCATGAGCTATTCTTCCTGATGCTCTCCCTCCAACACGCCCCAGTGTGTGTTGTTCACCCTCATGTGTCCATGTGTTCTTATCATTCAGCTCCCACTTATGAGTGAGAACATGTGGTGTTTAGTTTTCTGTTCCTGCATTAGTTTGCTAAGGATAATAGCTTCCAATTCCATCCATGTCCCTGCAAAGGACATGATCTCATTCGTTTTTATGGCAACATATTATTCCATGGTGTATATGTACCACATTTTCTTTTTCCAGTCTATCGTTGATAAGCATTTAGGATGATTTCATGCCTTTGTTATTGTGAATAGTGCTGCAATGAACATACACATGCATGTATCTTTAAAGTAGAATGATTTATATACCTTTGGGCATACAGTCAGTAACGGTATTGCTGGGTCAAATGGTATTTCTGCCTTTAGGTCTTTGAGGTATCACCACACTGCCTTCCACAATGGTTGAACTAATTTACACTCCCATCAACAGTGTAAAAACATTTCTTTTTCTCTGCAACGTCACCAGCATCTGTTGTTTTTTGACTTTTAAATAATTGCCATTCTGACTGGCATGAGATAGTATCTCACTGTGGTTTCGATTTGCATTTCTCTAATGATCAGTGATGTTGAGCTTTTTTTCATATGTTTGTTGGCTGCATGAATGTCTTCTCTTGAGAAGTGTCTGTTCATGTCCTTTGCCCACTTTTTAATGGGGTTGTTTTTTTCTTGTAAATTTGTTTAAGTTCCTTGTGGACTCTGGATATTTAACCTTTGTCAGATGGATAGATTGCAAAAATTTTCTCCCATTCTGCAGGTTGTCTGTTCACTCTGATGATAGCTTCTTTTGTCAAGTGTTTCTTCTGTTGCAATTATTTTTGATGTTTTCATCATGAAATCTTTGCCCGTGCCTATGTCCAAGTGGTATTGCCTAGATTTTCTTCTAGAGTTTTGGGTTTTACATTTAAGTATTTAATCCATCTTGATTAATTTTTGTATAAGGTGTAAGAAAGGGGTCCAGTTTCAATTTTCTGCATATGGTTAGCCAGCTATCCCAGCAATGTTTATTAAATAGGGAATTTATTCCCCTTTGCTTGTTTTTGACAGTTTTGTTGAAGATCAGATGGTTGTAGGTGTGCAGTCTTATTTCTGAAAATGAGAGTGGGAAAATGAGAGTGGGAAAATGACTACCAGTTTAACAGTAATGAAAAATTTTATAATGACATACTAGGAACATCTGAACACCAACAAATAGAATTAAATAGATGAAATGGGATAATTCCTAGAAACACACAGTCTATCAAAATCAAATCATATTCTTTATGAGCACCCAGATTCATAAAGAGCAAAATATTCTTCATGAGCACCCAGATTCTTAAGAACACCCAAATTCATAAAAAACATTTTATCTATTTAATTCCACTTGTTGGTGTACAGATGTTCATTTTATGTGCTTATAATCTTTTTTATTTCTGTTAAATTGGTAGTCATAGTCCCACTCTCATTTTCTGATTTTAGTAATTTGAGTAATCCTTCTTTTATTCTAAGTCATCCAAGAAAGAAGTTTGTCAATTTTGTTGATTTTTCCAAAAAAAAAAACACACAAACTTTTGGTTTCATTGATATTCTCTATTTTTCTGTTCTCTTTTTCATTTATCTCTGCTGTAATCTTTTTTTTTCCTTTGCTATTTTTGGGTATAATTTTCTTTTGGTTTTCTAGTTACATAAGATGTAAAGTCAGTTTATTGATTGAAGAGCTTTTCTAACTTATTCATTTAGAGTTATAAATTACCCTCTTAGCACTGCTTTCCTTGCATCTCATAAGTTTTAGTATGTTGTGTTTTCATAGTCATTAATCTCAAGGTACAGACTGTCCCTAACTTATGATTGTTCCATTAATGACTTTTCGAATTAGCAGTGGGTTTAATGGGATATACCCCAATTGTATGCCAAGAAACATTTGTATTTTCTAATATTCTTTGTGATTTCTTCTTTGTCCTATTGTTTATTTGAGAGCATTTTGTTTAATTTCCACATATTGGTGAATTTTTTAGTTTTCCCTCTGGTATTGATTTCTAGTTTATTACATTGTGATTGGAAAAAGTGTTCTGTATGATTTAAAACTTTCTAGATTTTTTAAGACTTGTTTTGTGGCCTAACATGTGATCTATCCTGGAGAATATCCCATGTGCACTTGAGAAAAACATGTATTCTGCTATCTTTGAGCAGAGGGTTTTGTATATGTGTGTTAGGTACACTCAGTTAAAAGAGATGTTCAAGTCCTCTATTTTCTTGTTTCTATCTTTTCTTACATTCTGTCTGATTCTATACCTGATTAAAGTAGGGTACTGAAGTCTCCAGCTATTAACGTAAGTCTTCCTATTTCTCCCTTTAATTCTGTCAATGTTTGTTTAATAAATTTCATAGCTCTGATTTTTGGTACATATCTGTTTATAGTTGTTTTATCTTCTTAGTGAATTGACCCTTTTATTAATATCAGTCTTTCTTTGTCTCTTATGCCAGTATCTTTTAACTTAAATTCCATTTTGTCTAATATTACTGTGAGCATCCTCACTCCCTTTTGGTCTTCATTTGCATGTAATGTCTTTTTCCATCCTTTAATTTTCAACATATTTGTGCTTTTAGATCTGAAATGAGTCTCTTGACAGCATGTAGATGGAGCATGAATTACTGATAGGGAAGAACTTACTTATGTCATTTTATATTCGTTCTCTGTATATCTTCTAGATTTTTTGTTCCTCATTTTCTCCATTTCTGTCTTCAGTTGTGTTTAGGTAATTTTTTGCAATGACACATTTTGATACCTTGCTTATTTCCTTTTGTGTATATTGTATTATATCATATTATAGATATTTCCTTTTTTATTACGTGTGATTACATGTAACATCCTAAAGTTATAACTATCTAATTTGAGTTGCTATCAACTTTAACTTAACTTTAATTGTAAACAGCAGAGTTGAGTATAGCTTTGTGCCCCTGTACAGCTTTGTGCCCCTCTTTATCAAGGTTTTGTGTGCCCAATAACAGATTTATAATGATTTTTGTGCATTTGCCTTTTAAATTCTATAGAAAAATAATAGAGATACAAGCCGAGATTACAATATTACTGACTTTTATATTTTCTCATGTATTTATTTTTACCAGAAACCTATGTTCATATGGCTTCCAGCTATTGTCTAGTGCCCTTGAATTTTCACCTGAAAGATTCCCTTTAGCATTTCTTATAAGACAAGTGGTAATGAAGTCCCTCGGCTTTTATTTGTTAATGCCTCAAATATATTCCTTATTTTTAGAAGACAGTATTGCAGAACATGGAATTCTTTGTTAATAGCTTTTTTATTTCAGTTCTTTAAACAAATCAGTAATTCCTGATTTCCTTTATTTCTCTTTTCTTTCTTTTTTGTTTGTTTGCTTGTTCAGAGAAAGTCTCATTCTGTCTCCCAGGCTGAAATGCAGTGGCATGATCATGGTTCACTGCAGCCTCAACCTCCCAGGCTCAAGCAATCCTCCCACCTCAGCCTCCCAAGTAGCTGGGGCTAGAGGGATGCACCACCAAACCCAGTTATTTATTTATTTTAATTAGAGATGGACCTCACTATGTTGCCCAGGGTGATCTCAAACTCCTGCAATTAACGATTCTCCCATCTTGATTGATTATAGGTGTGAGCCACCATGCCAAGCCTCTTTATTTCTTTCTTCTTGTTTTTCCTCACCTCTTTGAGCATATCTAAGATAGATATTTTAAGTCTTTGTCCAGTATGTCTAAAATATTGGCTTCTTTGGGGGCAGTTTTTGTCCATTTATTTAGTTCCTTTGAATGAGCTATGTTTTTCTGTTTCTTTTTAAGTCTTGTGTTTTTTATTTTGTTTTTGTTGTTGTTGAAAGTTGGGTGTTTGATTATTATAATGTAGTAACTCTATAAATTATATCCCCCCCCACTTCCCCATAAGTTAATGGATTATTTTTGTTTTTGTTTTTTGTTTTTTAATTGTAAAATCCTGTAGTAGTTTGTTCATTTTGAAAATTTTTCAGACTATTTTTACAAAGGCCATTCCTGGTTGTGTAGGATCACTGAAATTTTTCCTTCTGTAGTTCATGTTCAGGTGATGTTTTGACAGATTTCTTTGAATGCCAGGAGCTAAGACAAAAGGAAAACCACTAAAAAATTTAACAGAAAGAGCAGCCACATTCCTGTCTTTGCAGATTGGTTTTGTTCTGGGCACTCCTTCACAACTTAACTAGACTTGCTCTAAGTCTATGGAAAGCTTAAAGTGTGGACTTCTCTGAGCACATATCTTGCCTGGGCATGTCCATGACTTTCTAAATTCCCCTGTGTACACAGCTTATCCTAAACATCCTAGTTCCCAAAGAGTCACACCTAGCTTCTCCTGGGGGCCTTTGATGGTCTATTGTGTATTCACCCAAACTCTCTTGCCTCAGGCATCTATGGGGCTTTTTGTCCCCTGTAGATTTGTCATCACTTTTACAAGAAGTGCTTACCACATTTTCTAGATGTGTTCTGACTGAGCTATATGAGATAGAGTAGAGGGAGCTAGTCTTTTGGGTGTCCTCCAGCCAGGTTAGAACAGATATACACAGAAATGTGCAAGTAAGAGCTACGCTGCTCCCTCTAGTTCATAGACAATCACTTGGAACTGGGTCACTGCTCAAGACCAAAACTGCCAATATGCTGTGAAAGTGTTGCAGAAAGGATATGTGAAAAGTGAAGGGGGCCTGCCCCTCCACACCTGAGGGTATTTCTCACAAGGAGGAGATGAGAGACTGAGAAAAGAAATAAGGCACAGAGACAAAGTATAGAGGAAGAAAAGTGGGCCCAGGGGACAAGTGTTCAGCAAGTGAGGACCTGCACCAGCACCGGTCTCTGAGTTTCCTCAGTATTTATTGATCACTATCTTTACTATCTCGGTGAGGGAGATGTGGCAGGACTATAGGGTAATGGTGGGGAGAGGGTCAGTAGGAAAACATATGAGCAAAGGAATCTGTGTCATAAATAAGTTTAAGGAAAGTTACTGTGCCTGGATATGCATGTAGGCCAGATTTATGTTTAACTTTACACAAACATCTCAGTGCAGTAAAGAGTAGCAGGGCAGTATTGCTGCCAGCATGTCTCACCTCCAGCCATAGGGCAGTTTTCTCCTACCTCAGTAAATAGAATATATGGTCGGGCTTTACACCGAGACATTTCATTCCCAGGGACAAACAGGAGAGTTTTTATCTCAACTGCAAAGAGGCCTTCCTCTTTCACTAATTCTCCTCAGCACAGACCCTTTACGAGTGTCGGGCTAGGGGACTGTAAGGTCTTTCCCTTCCCACGAGGCCGTATCTTGGGCTGTGTCAGTGGGGGGGAGACCTGGACAATACCCAGGCTTTCTTGGGCAGAGGTCCCTGCAGATTTCCACAGTGCATTGTGTCCCTGGTTAATTGAGAATGGAGAATGGCAATGACTTTTACCAAGCATACAGCCTGCAAACAAATTGTTAACAAGGCACAACCTGCACAGCCCTAACTCCATTAAATCTTGATTCAATACAGCACATGTTTCTGTGAGCACAGGGTTGGGGCTAAGGTTGCAGATTAACAGCATCTCAAAGCAGAACAATTTTTCTTAGTACAGATCAAAATGGAGTTTCTTATGTCTTCCTTTTTCTACATAGACACAATAACAGTCTGATCTGTCTTCCTTTCCCCCACAAAAACATCACAAAACTTTCCTGTGATTTTGAAGGTAGCTTTTTCTCAGTTGGGCACCTGGTATATTGCAGTAAATCTTTGATTACTGTTTGCCTGAGTCCCTGAAAAGTTGGCACACACAGATTCTGTTTTTTTCTTTCAATGTTTCTATGGGGGAGCAGGGGCTTGGAGTGTTTAAGCCACCATTTTGATGACATCATTCCATGCTGCTAGTTTTTGCTTGTAATTTCATTTTTACATTAATTAATGAAAAGCTTGAAGATAAATGTAAATATCAAATACTCTATGAAGGCTCACACACACACACAAAAAACCCAAGGCTCCTGCTCGACTCTTTCCCACTTCTGATCTCACTCCCCAGAAGCAGCCACTTGCAAGTGTTTTAGCTTTTTCTTCTGGTTTTATGTCCTTGTTTTTAAAAATATGCTTGTACTGACTGCTGTTTCTTGCTGTTGTCAGCTTACATATTCTCTGTTGACTTCTTCCTATGGGGGAAGAGTATTTAGCTTTCTCATAGCTGAGTTTTCCTACAGGATTCAATCCTACCCACTTCCATTTCTGCAATGTGGTTATATCACTATGATGTTTTGGTCTCAAATTGTAATGGTAGAGGTGTTCTCAAATGTTTGGTGATCCTGGTCTCTCTGTTCTCATGTAAGACTGGGGCACTAAATCATAAGTAGAGCTCTGTGTGCCAGAAGCCCACATAGTTTGCACTCTTCCATGTTGCCTCCTTCTCCTCCTTCTGGGGACATGTCAGTTCATGTGGCCCTTCACCACCCAAGAGCACTGGCTTCCTCTGTGGTCTAAAATGTAGACCCTTCTTCAAAATCATCTCAAACTGGAAATTTTACCAGAGTGGGTGAATGGAATGAAGATTCTTGCTCCCCATAACCCTTCACTGGAAGACCCTTTTTGCTGAAGGAAAAAGAGAGTAGAGTGTAAAGAGAAGGAAATTGGAAACTGTTATCATTAGTTAGGAAAGGGGTTGTCTTACATGTTAGTGTGGGAGCTGCCAAGGGCAAAGTCTGTGTTGTGGATGAGTTTTGAGAGTCCAGTGCTTTGTTTTCCAGTATCGTTTGATACCACAGTGTCACCTAGACACCCTAAGTGCAATGGGTAAATTATGGTTTTGCAGCTAGACCTGGGTTCAGATCCATGCTATTAGGTTGGTGCAAAAGAAATTCTGATTTTTGCATTTTAAAATTTGCTGTTTGATATTGGAATACATTCTTAAATAAATATGGTTATGTTATATATCATTTTAATGTGCATTTCTCACTTTATGTTTTTTGCTAATGACTTATTACTTGCTGTTTATTTTATATTTATTTTAGACTGTGGAGCTGATGTTAGACAAAAAGCGAATTCGGGTGATTTTCTTATTTGAGTTCAAATTGGGTCATAAAGCAGCCAAGACAACTTGCAACATCAGCAATGCATTTGGCCCTGGAACTTCTAAGGAATGTACAGTGTAGTGGTGGTTCAAGAAATTTTGCAAAGGAGACAAGAGGCTTGAAGATGAGGAACATAGAGACTGGCCATTGGAAGTTGACAACAACCGAGAGCAGTTATCAAAGCTGATCTTCTTACAATGACGCGATAAGTTGCAAAAGAATTCAGCGTCAACTGTTCTGCAGTCATTTGGCATTTGAAGCAAATTGGAATGGTGAAAAAGTTCAATAAGTGGGTGCCTCATGAGCTGAGCAAAAATTTAAAAAATTGTCATTTTGAAGTGTCGTCTTCTTTTATTCTACACAATAATGAATCATTTCTCAATCCGCTTGTGACGTGTGACAAAAAGTGGAATTCATATGACAACCAGTGATGACTACCTCAGTGGCTGGACCAAGAATAAGCTCCAAAGCACTTTCCAAAGGCAAACTTGTACCAGAAAAAGGTCATGGTCATGGTTTGGTGGTCTGCTGCTGGTCTGATACACTATAGCTTTCTGAATTCTGGCAAAACCGCTACATCTAAGAAGTACGCTCAGCACATGGTTGAGATGCACCAAAAACTGCAATGCCTGCAGCTGGCATTGATCAACAGAAAGGGCCCAATTCTCCATGACAATGCTGGACTGCACATCACACAACCAACTCTTCCAAAGTTGAAGGAATTGGACTACAGAGTTTTGCCTCATCCGCCATATTCACCTGACTTCTTGCCAACCAACTACCACTTATTCGAGCATCTCGACAACTTTTTGCAGGGAAAATCATTTCACAACCAGCAGGATGCAGAAAATGCTTTCCAAGAGTTTGTCCAATCCCAAAGCATGGATTTTTACACTGCAGGAATAAACAAATTTGTTTCTCATTGGCAAAAATGTGTTGATTGTAATGGTTTCCGTTTTGATTAATAAAGATGTCTTTGAGCCTAGTTATAATGATTTAAAATTCACAGTCTGAAACTGTAGTTACTTTTGCCCCAATGGAGGCAGGCAGTGACATTCCCTGTGGAGCTTGATCCTCAGGCAAGGGAGGACCAGGTTCCCACAAGGGAATGTCACTACCTGCCTCTGTTGGTGCATCTGCCTCTGGGTGTGGGCCTCAGCAAGCTGTGAGTGCAGATCCCACACTTGGTGAGCACAGTGGGAGGGAGGCTGTGGGGCTAGGGGCTGCTTAGCTGGTACCCTGGGTATGGCCAGGCTTTCTCTGAGCTCATGCTTGTCTCAGGGCACTCAGGCTTTGGAGAGCTTATGAAGGGCCCTGCCTGGATCCTCCATGGTGGGGTCAGTAGCCCCCCTGACCCCAGTCCCAGTGGAGTAGGTGAGGAAGAACAGACATCTGCCTACCAGACAGACGCGCCTCACAGCTATGGAAATTGTGACAAATTGCTTGACCGTTCAGAGCCTCAAGTTTTTCATCTGTAAAATGAAAATAATACAGTATGCAGATTTAGATGCAGGCTAGAGGAGGCAGTGGAACAGTGGAGGGGAGAAGGCTGCTCTTGGATGCATGAGAACTACCACATACAAGCATGATGTTCAGGAGGCAAACATTTATAGACATGGTCATTGCTGGAGGGGAGAAGAGCCTCCTGGTAGGCTCCCCTGAGTACATAATACACAAAAGACCATAAAGCAACACAGATACAGAGAAAGGACTCAGATGAGGGCACCAGCCTTAGTTTTAACTGATACCATCTCCAGGACCTTGGACAAAACACTTAATTCACAGGCCTCACATTTTCCCTGCAAAACTTGAAATATTTCCCATTTCTGCCAAGCTGTACCTACCGATGGAGCTGTGGGATTGCAAAGACCTTTGCGTCTTGGGCGGGTAGGGCAGATGTGATTGATCCCCACCTAGATGGAAGTCTCACAAGGCTCCAACCCCCTTCAAGCTCCTTACTCTGTGTCTGGGGACTAAGTGGGAGAATATTAGCAGTAAGATCTGGAAGTCAGGACAATAAGGGCATGTGGCTCTCCCTGATGCTGGGGAAATGATGACGCCAGGACAGCAGTGGCCAGGTGTGCTTCTTCCCTCCCCAGTGGTGTCTGCTGGAGAAGGCTCTCCATGCCCAGAGCGGCTTGGCTTTGCAAGCTTATAAGAAATATGGGAGGCAAAATGGCCCAAAGTGCACATCCTCCCTTGCCTGAGGCCCAGGCTCCCACAGGGAATGTCACTACCTCCCTCTGTGGGTGCTGGGAAATGTGGGACAGTGAGCAGGATCTGGAGGTGTCATGAATAGGGTTAGCAGGTCACACACAGGCTGCCAGAAGGATCCCCAACCGAAGGGTCCGGTCTGATGTCCAAGAATCCAAGAGTCCAACAGAGGAATGATGGACCAGGTCTGGGTCTGTTGTTCTCAAGGGGCGTCTGATGGACCGTGATTCCCAAGAGCTCTGCCCTATCCAATCACAGATGGTTGGGGATGGATAAACCCCCCGGGTAAGTGGGAGCAAGGAGAGCCAGCATATCAGAATTGCTCAGGGCTTTTCAGCTGGGACATCCTCCCACAGTTCTTATCTACACGGCCCCCAGCTAAGGTAACCAGTCAGCTATCCTCCTAGTCAGCTGACTATGGTAATAGTCAACTATTAGCAAAAAATGTACCTCATCCCTGAAAGCCTGTTGGTCCCAGACAGACAGGTCTGGGTGGTCACCCTAATGAAAGTCACCACCCAGATGATCCACTGTGGTTGCTGGGGGTGTACCCCAGCCAAAGCTCTGCTGGGGTCGGGGGAGCTTGTTAAGAGACTGCTAGGAGGCTGGAGTGGACAGACACCTGCCCACCAGACAGATGCGCCTCAACTCCCTAACACAGGTCTCCTTTGTTTTCAGGCCCAGCAGCCTGGATTCCTGCCTTGACCTTTATGGCTCTGCAATACAGAAGAGATTGCAGAGAAATAAGTAAAGTGAGGCTGCAGCCTTCCCTGCACTGCAGGAAGCTTTTCCTCTGGCAGGTAGAAAGCACAACCCATCAGATTGGGTGGGCGTGGGAGTTCCTCGGTGGGGGACACAGAGCACAAAGTGGCATTCTGAAACAGGAATGAGGCCAGCGCTCACTGGTTCCATTGGATCTCGGCAGCCTTGGCTGGCTCCTGCCTGTGAGCCCTGGGAATACTTGAGCCCCAAGTTTGCCCTTGGGGACATCGCAGGCTGGGAAGGGACATTAGGTAGGTAAATCAGTGACTCAGTCCCGGAACCCTGGGTTATGCACTGCCGAGGGTTCAAGGAAAGGGACAAAGAACTCACATGGAAGGTTAAAGGAAAAAGCAGGAACTCCTAACGACAAAGTCAAGAGTGGCTTCCAGGGATGTGGGTCTTTGAACTGGGTCTTGCAGGATGGAAAAGACAAAACACTTAATTCACAAGCCTCACATTTTCCCTGCAAAACTTGAAATATTTCCCACCACAGGGGACCTGTGGTGGAGTGAGTGGTCTTGCTTGGCTTAGCTTGCTGAGCTAATGAGGTTAGCTCAGGCAGGGCTGGGAGAGGGCTGGGAAGGTCAGTTTGAGGCCAAAGCCACAGGGGCTCATTATGCCAGGCCAAGGAGCTGAGATTTCCTGCTGTGAGCCATAGACAGCCAGAGAAGGCTCTTGAGCAGAGGAGTGGGATGATCAAGGTGGCACTTAAGGAAGAAAAGTCTGATGACTGTGGGTAAAATGAATGGGCAACAAGGGCAGGATCCATGGGGAGCTCCGCTGGGGATGTATGGCAGCACTGTCGCTGAGGGCCACTGAGGGCCAGCCGGCAGGAAGGAGGGTCAGGGAGAGGAAAGGAAGGCTGTGTGCATGGCTGCCAATAGGATGAGTCACTCCTCTGGGATGAAGGAGGAATGAGGGAGAGGAGGGGGAGGAGGGAATGGGGTGAAGAGGCAAAGAATTTTCCAGTAGAAGGGAGGCCAGCTGGGAGGGCTGTGTGTGCATCTCCCTACTTGTTCAGCATGGGGGGTGTGTGTGTGTGTCCATGTGTGACTGTGTGTGTGGTATGCATGCATGTTTGCGCATGTGTGTGCGTGCATGTGTGTGTATGTGTACGTGGTGTGTGTGAGTTTGAGTTTCTTTGGGGTGTGTTGGGATTGTGGGGATGCAGCAAGTTGCCATCCTGACTTTCTTTTGTGGATCCCTCGTCTCCACAGGCCTCAGAGTCCACTGCATTTATCTCACTTCCCTGTGTCCAGCAAGGGGCCCCAAGATGGAAGAGTTGGGGTGGGAGGTGGGGAGTGGGCCTCACCGCCCTGGCTATGCTTGGGTCCAGTGCAGCCAGTGCCTCTGGCTTCTCAGGGCCATGTGCTTCCTCCCCAGCCTGAGAATGTAGCTGTCTTTCATCACCTACTCCACGGAGGGCAGCATCGTCCCACAGCTCACATTCACCCCAGGCAGGGGAGTGCTGCTTTGAGCCCCCAACGGAGGCCTGAGAGGCTGGGCCAGAGGGAGCTCCAGAGAGCTGTGGGGCTCCCTGAGACCTTGGTTGGGAGCCTGACAGCACACAGGGCAGGCTGCTCAGGGCATCTCACAGTACCCACCCTGACCCCAATGCCTGTTCCCCTGAACCCTCTGACCCCTGGTTGCACTGTTACCTGTAGCCCCTGTGCTCCCGAATTTCTTGGCCTCCCTGACCTTCTCTGTCCCCTGTCCTCCCTCTGCCCTACCTCCTTCCCCAGAGTGCGGGGGCTGGTGGGCAGGTGTGTGTGTCCTGTGAACACCTGCCTGTGCTGGCTGCTGCTCTCTGTGTGCCCCTCTCTGCTCTGGCCTTCTCTATGGGAGGGAGACAGGGTCAGGGTAAGGGGGAGTGCTGGAGAGTTTAGTGCAGAAGAGCTTGGTCCCCTGGTGGGTCTCAGACAGGGGAGACCATGGGTGGGGTCCTGAGCCCCAGGCCAGGCTGGGGAGCTGGAGGAAGGCAGGAGGAGCAAGCTCAGGCAGCTGGAGTTGGCCTAGAGGGGTGCCCAGGCCCAGCAGGAGGCACTGCAGAGCTCCTGATTGGCAGGAGGTAAGAACACTTCTGATGCAAATGCCTGGAACTGGGCACTAAGAGGGTGAAGCACAGAAGAGAGCCGAGGATCCTGAGGACTGGATGGGGGCCTGGGCCCCACTTACAGCTTTGAGGAAGAGCTGGGACGGGGCTTCTGCTCCCTGAGCTGGGGGAAGGCTTGAGTTTGTGCATAATGTGCTGTGGGTTTGGGAGAGGGAGACCTAGGTGGGCATGAGGGCGAAGAAAGCAAGTTCACGGGGAAGGACTCTGGGTGGTGGCCCAGAGGGGCAGCAGGGGCTGGGCAGGGCCTGGCCTCCTTCCCTCCTGGGCTGAGGCTCTCAGAGCTCCCCCACATGGCAGGGACTCTCTTCCTGCAGTGCGAAGCCAGCCTTCAGGGTCCATGCTTGGCCCAGCCTTGCTGTGCTGGCTCAGCCTGTCACATTGGATTAGCCTGTCCCAGTCCTGCCATCAGAGCCAGCTCTGCCTGGCCCAACCAGTCCTGTCTGCTTTAACAGAGGCTGACAGGCCACATCCCCGAGCCAGCCTGCCGTGCTCAGCTGCCTGCACACCCTTTGGGGCCGCTTCTTTCAGCCTTTGGTCTTTTGGTTTCGGGAGCACAGGAAGTCAAGGAGCCATAGCACTCTTATTAAGCAGATTTGCTACTTTGGTAGGATAAAGAGAGTGGAGGAGATTGAGTCAGGGTCAGGGGTCTGGAGTTGTGGGTGCTGGGTGCAGGGCTGGGGGCTTAGCAGGATGCCTTTTCCGAACTCAGCCCTGCCTTTTGAAGGATACGTTGCCCAACACAAGGGAAGCCCTTAGGGTTAGGTTTAGGATTAGGATTAGAGTTAAGATTAGGAATGCCAGTCCCATTGCCTGTCCCTGAATCTCAGTTGCATGCCTTTGGATTAGGGTTAGGGTTAGGGGTTAGGGGTTAAGGGTTAGGGGTTAGGGTTAAGAAAGCTGGTCCCATTGGAAGGGCCTGATTTGTAGTCACACATCTATGGGATGCTCCCATTTCACCATGGAGGGTTCATGCTGGGCCTTTATGAGCTCTCCAAAGTCTAAGTGCCCTGAGACAGGCATGAGCTCAGGGAAAGCGAGGCTATACCCAGGGTACCAGCTAAGCAGCCCCTAACCCCACACCCTCCCTCCCACTATGCTTACCAGATCAGAGACAGAGAAAACAAAAATATCTCTAGTCAAAGTCACAGCGATGAATGAGCATGATAAGGTATGTGCCTGGCACCCTCCTCCATTCAGGGAGGTCTTCACAGTAGACAATGGCTCCAGGAGAGCTCGGGAGCTGTTTTGTAACATTCCATCCCTCTCCACCTCAATCTTTTTTTTTTTTTTATTTTTCTCAGAAAAACAATCCATGAACATCTTACCTTAACAGAGGATCTTGAGTCTCATGGACACACATTCATGCAGGAAGGAGGTAAAATGGTACAGACCACTAGAGCTCACAGAATGTGTTCTAGTTCCTCATGCTCTTAGGGTATTACTGGGGTCGCCTCACTGTGCATTCTTAGAACATCTTCATTTCCTTACAAGCAAATTAGTAGATTCAATGTGTCAACTCCAGAGGTAAGCCCTCCTGCTATCCCCATGGTGGTCCCATAGGGTGAACAGAGCTGGGAATGGGCCTCAGAGAGCTCTGTGTGCAGATTCCTGCCCTGCTTCTTGGAGCAAGTTGCTCACCTGCTCCGAGCTCCAGGTGCCCTCCCAGGTGCAATGAGCATAGTAATCCCCCGTTCCATGGAGTTCTGAGAACTGTGTGGGATCCTGCGTGTGCAGTTCTGGTGCTCATAACCCTTTGGTGCTTGCCCTCCAGCTGGGCTGTGTGAAAAGGAAGAGAAGAGCCAAGGGGTTTGCCCCCTTGCACACACCTTAGTCTTCCTCCTCCCTTCCTCGTGTCCCCTTCAAGCGACTTTCATCACCTGATCGTGTCTCAGATGGTACAGAAGGCTGTCCACAGCCCCCGACTCCCTTCCCCACTGTGGGGCTGCAGGTCTTGTCAGGAAGAGGCGGGGCTCGTGGGGAAAGGCATTGAGGTGGCCATGGGATCCCCTGCCCAGGTGCCACTGACCTGGAGTCCTGAACTCCTGGGCCCAAAGATGTTGGCAGGGCTGCCCGCAGGCTCTGCCCATGGGACTGCCCGGCTGCTCCTCCCCCTGCCTGTGGGACAGGCCTGTGCTTGTGGAGCTCTGGCTGGAGCTGCCCTCAGGCAGAAGTGGTGCAGGCTGCTAGTGGGTGAGGGTTCAGGCAGAGTGATGGGAAGGGCCCTGCCCCTCTCCATCCCTCCTCTGTAAAATGGGTACCAGGCTGAGGCCCCGCATCACTCTAGGGGTCTCTGGGTGGCAGGTGCTTGGGTCTTGGCAGCCTCTCCCCTGGAGGATGAGGTGGGGGCACCTGGCCATGCCTTGGAATGAGCAGTGCTGCGGGCCCAGCCAACTGCAGGGGTCCCGGAGCTTCTGGAGGTCACTCCTGATGCCTTTGCTGAGCAGGTCACTCCTTGCTTCTTCTGCAGACAACAAGGTTACCAGCACGATTATTGCTATGACCAGTGGAGCACAGGTGCCAAATGCATTTCAGGACACTCTCAAAGAAGCCAGTCAGGTTCATAGTTACCAGTATTTTGCTCCACCCATTTTGATGACTAATACTCAATACCTTCAAATGCATTTCAGGAGACTCTCAAAGAAGCCAGCTGGGTTCACAGTTACCAGCATTTTGCTCCACCTATTTTGATGACTAATGCTCAATGCCTTCTTTCCCTTAGGCTGAAAGGCTGGGAGCCTGGGGGCCACCGTTTACACCCTGGGTGTGGCTGATTATAAGATAGGCCAGGTCATTCTGAACTAGTAACCAGGCACCACTCTGGAGCTGAGTGGAGAAAGGCATCCCAGGCGGCTTTCCCAGGGCCACCACAAGGACAGTCATCTAACTTGCCCCCAAGTGATTTGGGCCAACCCATGGCCACTGCAGAAGTGACTGACAGCGTGTTGTAGAAATCCCACCACACCAAAAGCGGGGGCGGAAGAGTTCCCCACTCCCTGATAGTGGGCTGCTGGCTAGAGAAGGCTGTGGCCCTGACAGCCTGACATTCTGCTGCCCCCAAAGCATGGGGGCAAGACACTGTCCCCTGAGCCTGTGACCTGCTGCATCCTCACCTCCTGGGTGGGGGTCCAAGCCACGTTCCCTCTCTGAAGATAACAACAATTGCCCACAGCCTGGACCGCATGTTTGCAGTGGGTCATGGAGTTTCTGAACAGCATGGCCTAGTGGACAGAGTGAGTGGGGCCAATTGGAGAGGTGGTGGGGGCCTGGCTCCTGTGCCCTGAGGCTCACACTCCCTGCCCCTTTGTACCTCGCTCTCTATTCCAGATCGGAACACAAGGTGTCTTGAGGTGAAGTCTGTGGAGCCTCCACTATGTGTGCAGGAGGTGAGCACTGAGGAGGCCCCGCTGTAGTAAGAAGGGTATGTGCTGCATGTGTGGTATATGGTGTGTGTGGTGTGTTTTGTGATGTGTGTATGTTGGCTATAGTGGGTATATGGCGTGTGTGGTGTGTTTTGTGATGTGTGTGTGTTGGCTATAGCGGGCATAGGGCGTGTGTGGTGTGTTTTGTGATGTGTGTGTGTTGGCTATAGCGGGCATAGGGCGTGTGTGGTGTGTTTTGTGATGTGTGTGTGTTGGCTATAGCGGGCATAGGGCGTGTGTGGTGTGTTTTGTGATGTGTGTGTGTTGGCTATAGCGGGCATAGGGCATGTGTGGTGTGTTTTGTGATGTGTGTGTGATGGCTATAGCGGGCATAGGGCGTGTGTGGTGTGTTTTGTGATGTGTGTGTGTTGGCTATAGCGGGCATAGGGCGTGTGTGGTGTGTTTTGTGATGTGTGTGTGTTGGCTATAGCGGGTATATGGCGTGTGTGGTGTGTTTTGTGATGTGTGTGTGTTGGCTATAGCGGGTATATGGCGTGTGTGGTGTGTTTTGTGATGTGTGTGTGTTGGCTATAGCGGGTATATGGCGTGTGTGGTGTGTTTTGTGATGTGTGTGTGTTGGCTATAGTGGGTATATGGCGTGTGTGGTGTGTTTTGTGATGTGTGTGTGTTGGCTATAGTGGGCATAGGGCGTGTGTGGTGTGTTTTGTGATGTGTGTGTTGGCTATAGTGGGTATATGGTGTGTGAATGTGCGCAGTATGGTGTGTGTGCTGTGGAAGTTGCGTTTGGATGCATGTGGTGTTTGTGCGTGTGTATGTGCTGTGTGAGTGTGTGTTGTGCATCACGTATGGTGTGTGGTGTGTGTGGTATGTATATGGTGTTTAGATCATGGATGTTTCTGGTACAGTATGTTTATGTTGTGTCTGTGGTATATGTGTGCTAGTTGTGTGTGGTATAGTGTGTTTGTGGTGTGGGTGTTGTATCTGTGTGTATGTGGTGTGGGCATGCACAGCAGCTAACCCGGCCCATAGGCCGGGAGCAGTCAGGGTTCATCTCAGGAATCCCAGGCAGGCGTAGGAGCTGAAATATCTGTGTAATTTACCACATCAACAAAACGGGAAATAGGAACCAGGCAATTTTCTCAGGGGGATGAGGAACAAGAAGTGGGGGTGTCAACATCTCCTTCTGTTCCTGGGAACAAAAGGAAACCTCCGTAACCAGAAAAAGCCATCCACACAAACACCCTTGGTTCTCCTCGGCCCCAAAGGATAAAACCCAGCACCCATCCCTGCTGTCTGGGATGTGGAGAGAATGTCCTCTTGCCAGCCAGGGTCCCAGCATGTGTGGAGACAGCCCTGTGAGGGCCTCTGTGATGACCCCTGTCTGTCTTGAGTTCTGTCTGTGTAGGCTGGGGCTCTGAATGGCTGACGTTTGTACAACTGCAGCTGCTGCAAAGGAATAGAGCCCTGGGCATCCTCCCTCCAGGGGTACAGCATGAGGCCCTTAGCAAGACCACCAGGCCCTCCAGTAGCTGGGCTCTGGCATCCGTGTTCCTTACTGCAGAGCACCCTGGCAGTAGGCTGTGGGGACAGACACATGGTCCATGTCTGAGCTCTGCTCTCCACGGGCACATGACCAGGAGAAAATAGTCCAATTCCAGTGAGCTCCAGAGGTGCCTCACATGAACAGAAAGGACGCTGTCAGGCCTGTCGTGAGTCCCAGGGCACTGGGCTGTGCAGGGACTGGCACAGGGCTGCGAGCTGGCAGGTCCCAGAAATAGGGGCTGTGCTGACACTTCCATGATTGGTCCTGGGGTCTGTCCCCGACCCCGCCTCTCCCCCATGCAGAGCTGAGGATGGGGGTGGAGTAGAGAGAGCTCCCCTCCCCCTCGGGGTCTCTTTCTGCTGTTCCTGGTTTAAAGCCACTCAGCCGTGCAGCAGTGTGACAGCTGCGCTCCTCTGATGATGTCCCCTGGACATGCACAGGCTGTGGCATCTGAGCAGCCCTGTCAACCCCAGGTGAGGATGTGAGTCGTCACCCCTCACTGGAGGCAGCCGAGTCGAGGTGACAGGTGCCCTCTGCCCACCAGCTCGGCCCTCTGCCTCTGCTCATGTGGCCTGGCAGTCACGGCCCTGACCTGTCAGCTGTTGGCCAATTGTACAAAGCCACCCCACATGGAAGGTGACAGTCACAGCAGGGAAAGGCCAAGGCAGGAGCCTGGAACCCAAATGCAACAGAATGAGCCCTCTCAGCAGGCTGCTACCAAGAAGCCATGAGGACTCCAGGGAGCCCAGGAAGGAGCCCAGGGAGGGAGGCACGCAGCCCAGACTCCCCCATTCAGCCCTGGGCCTCATATCCAGCCTGGCAGAGGCCTCTGCTGGGCTAAGGACCAGCCTGGAGCAGTGAGGCCCTCCAGGGGCCACTCCCTGCTCTGGGCACCCTGTGCAGAGGTGGGACCAGGTGGGGCATAGGCACTCTGCAAGCCCTGCCTCACCTTGAAAGGCCGAGCCCACCTGCCCTTTGCAGCCCTGCTCGAAGGGCACCTTGTCCTGGAAGCCTTCCCTGATGACCAGCCCCTCTGACTTCCTGCAGTCCAAGGGCTTGGTCTGTCCCTCTCATCAGTCACTTGTCACCCAGGATGTACCATGACTTCTGGTTGTGTGTGTCCAAACATAATTTTCTTATTTAGTTCTTTGTTTTTCTTCTAACCTTTCATTATTAAAATGTTCAAACTTTACAGCCAAGCGGAAAGGATTGTGCAATGTACACGCCTGTTTCCATCGTGGGGATTTTTAATTAATGCTTGACCATGCTTGCTTTATCCTGTCTCTATGCATGTCTTCCTCTCACTGTCTCTCTTTCTCTCCACCAATTCATCTTATTTTTGGATGCATTCAAAATATTTTACAGTCCTCAGGGTACTTTACCCCTAAACCCTTCAGTTCGTATATCTTTAACTAGGGAACAATATTTATTAAGTTCTCTTTTTGCAGTGCACAAATCTTGTGTGTCATCTGATGAGTTTTGACAAGAGCACACACATCTGTGTAACCACAGACCCTGTGAAGATGTGGAATGTTACTATGGCCCCCAGAAAATCCCCTCAGACCTCTCTGTGCATGTGGCTCAGTAGTTCCCTGGGATTGAGACAAGAAGTGGAATTGTTGCATTAAGGGCACACACTTGTGAAACGTTCTTCAGTAGTGTTGCTTTTCTGTCCAGGAGGCCATACCAAGCAGTGTGCGGGAGTCCCAGTCCCCACCGCCACCCCCAGCACAGGTGACTTCTATCTGTGTCCTGTTGCCCTTCTGGTAAGTTGTCAGCCCTACAACACTGCTCAGGACTGCAAGGACTTGACCCCTGTGGCCTGAGGGAGCACTGTAGGATTTCAGGGTGGAAAGCTCCAGCTGAACTGCCCCCGTGCAGAGGCTGAGGCAGGGTGCCTTTCCTGGGTTCCTTGGATTAGGAAGGGTGTGGGAGTCCTCCTGTGGGCTCAAGGCCCAACCACCTCCTTGTGGACCCTCAGTGACACCAGATGAGGATTTGGTCCAGTGGACACACAGATGTTCATTCAGACACAGCCACTTCCTTGTAGGGAAGCCCCCTGGGAATTCAGTTTTGGGGATGGATCACCAGGAGCAGGGAGGTCAGAGTGGAGAGAGCCCTCCACTCTTCCTCACTCAGACTTTTGAGTGTTGTTCTTGCAGAATCCAAGCAAGTGATTATTCACGGATATGACTTTAATAATGCAAAGAGCCAGGACCAAGTTATTTGCAGATTCTAGTTCAGCAAAGCCAAAGTCATTGATAAGTAGCCTCCTCTGAAATCTGAAATGATCCAATGAGCTTTTCCTTTGAGCATCACGGTGACATTCAAAGAATTTCAGATTTTAGAGCACTTTGGATTTTGAATTTTCAGATTAGGGATACTCAACCTAACTAAGCAAGATCACCTGTGTAGAGCAGCTGGCACAAGTATGGACTTTATAATATTTTAAACTCTCCTATTGTTTGGCAACACTCAGGCATCCGGGGACCTCTGCAATTGGGGAGTGGCCTGAGGAAGCGCACAGTCTAGGCAGCCAATGTGCCCTGGGTCCTGAGCGAGTGTGCTCTTCCCCGCTGAGTGCCCGGGGTGCAGTTGGATTTTCTGCATCCCCCTCAATTCTTCCTCTTGACCCCTTGTTACATTCATTCCATCTGATCATGTTATGTTCAATGGCCTCTTATTCAGGGTCATCTAGTAAACTTGGAATGACTCCTCTCCCTGCAGGATGCTTCTCAGCCATCTCTCCTCCTGTCCCTGAGTATATAGAATGGGGAAGAGGCTGTCATTGTCACATTCTCATGTGGCAGAGTTGTGTAGATGGTCTCAGGCCATTAAGATTCCACTGACGTATACTTTCGTGGGAGTGGCTTAGGGATGGAGCAGCCCCCTCCTAAGGAGAGCTACCGGGTATTGAATGCTTCTCATATCAGATATTGTGCCAAGTGCCTCACACTCAATATCTCCATGAATTCTCAAAGCAGCCTTACTGCATTTCCTTTGCATGGGTGGATGGCCAGGGCAGGGGTGATGGAAGAGCTTCCCAGCACCACACACCTGGAGAGTAGACCCAGGAGATCTATCTGCCCAGTGGGGGCCTTCTGCGTCCCTGAGATGATGGTTTTTGGGGAAGGCATGGCCCTGCCTACCCCCAGGAAGTCCATTCAGATGCCTCCTCTGCCCGCCTGTGGGTGCACTGGTTTCCTGGAGGGCACTAGTTTTTTCTCCAATGTGGGCCAGCACCAGGTCTCACATAGGAAAGCCCATGCCACAGTCCTGGGTACCTCTGCAGATGGCCACCCTGCTCCTGGTTGGTGCCTTTGCAGAAGTGGCCGGGCATGGCTGCCTGTTGCAGGGAGCTCGGATGTACTGAGGAGTGACTTTGTCATTAATTACATTTTCCTCTGAAGAAAACATTCGAGAAACATTTTAGAAATAGGGAAGCAAGAAGACATATTCAAAGCTTGATGTTTCTATATGCTTCATGTTTTCTGTCTTTATAGGCTATGTTTTTGTGATTTAAGAAATTTTTTAATATGGTGACTGAAGTATGGGTTTAATCGGTTAACCTATTTGAAAACTCTTTTCCCAGCAGCCCGGTGTTGCTGGACCCTCTGCCCATCTTGACCCTGAGCCATGGCCTCAGGGTGCCAGTGCCACCCGCCCTCCCCAGGAGCTCCCTGAGCTCTCCTGAATGCCATTCTGCAGTCAGGTCACACATCTTGGGGATTTTTACCCCAGTAATCCCACTCTTTCCATCTCTCAAAGTGAATCTGTTTCCTGATCGTTATCTTTATCAGCACCAAGGAAGAGGTCAACAGTTTAGAAATTCATGGCTAATCTGACCATTGTGTTCAGGTCAACAAATTGTTCCATGTGGAAATGAGTCATTTTGTCCATAGTAACCCTGACCTACATGAAAAAGAGAAAAACAATAGAAAGTAATTTTATGTATACATGAAATTTTAATTTATAAAATTATAGTATTATATTTTGTTATACATATGTACAATTATTTTTAAAGTGTTAATTATATTTTATTATAAAAATGATACAATGTAGAAAAAAGAAACATAGACAAAACATAATGAATAAAAACATTGCCCCAAATCCCAAACCCAAAGACAAGTGCTATTAACATTTTCAACTACAACATAATAAATTTAATTTTGCTTAAATATGATGGAAGAAAAAGAAAATGAAATGGGATTGAAGAAACTGTGGAACATCACACGAATGCTTCTGGTCGCCTGTGACGAAGCGGCTGTCCCTTTCTCTCTGTGCCTCTCCTTCCCTCTGCTCATGGACATCACAGCACGTTGCACTCTGCCATCTATTTTGTTCTCTATTTTTAATTTTGTTGTCTGTCTCCCATGCAGTCCTTAAAGGTGAGTCCTTGAGAGCAGGGACTCTGCCTGCCTTTCCTGTTACACATCAGAGTGCTGCACAGGGCCTGGGCGTGGCGGGTGCTCACAGGGGTCTCTGCAATGGGAAAGCAGAGCCCAGATGCCAGTCGTGGACCACAGGGTCCGCTCTGCGTGATGAGGACCGGAGGTGGGAGGAACAGTGGACGAACATGTGCATCGACATTCTTCCCATGTCATTTCCTTTTAGAAAAAAAAACAATCAGTATGGACAAGACTTTCATGACTTGCCCTGGACCAAAGATTAAAAACAACCTGGACAGTAAGTATCCCTGGCAGGAGGCTCTAGAGGGCAGGAGGCTCTAGAGGGCAGGAGGCCAGGGGTCACAGCTGGGCACTGTGAGGTGTACAGAATGTGGATGCCCCCCTGCTGGGGCAGCACGTGTCTGCGGCTGGGCTGAGAACACATTGCTCACCTCCCTTGTTGGTGGCCCCCAAGGTGTTCAGGGATCTGCAGTGTCCTAGGGATCTGCAGTGTCCTAGGGTCTGTGAGGAGGGCAGGATGCAGGAGATGATTGCCCGAGGAATGGTACCGTTGCTCCAGGTCGCCTTTCAGAGTTAAGCCAATGGACTCTGTAAATACAGAAGAGCCAGAATGGTTGACACCAAGCAGCCATTTGTGGTCACTTAGGACACAGTCACAATGACATGAAATCTCATGCAGGGCCCCTTGCTGCTGGACCCACATCCCCCTTGGCCATTGTTGCTGAGGTTGACCTCAGTGCTTTGGGGAATGAGAGCATTACCCATGCTGTCTACTCACCAAGGGCAAGAACTGCATCTCTCCGGGCTGGCTCTCACCATCTTCGCTTTCTGTGCTTTAAGGAGGTCTTTGTTGAAGCCAGCCTGAACAATGGCAGAAATGTCCTTTCTAATGACATCACTATGAAGAGCACCACCTGTGTGAGTACCAGGGTGGGGATGCCACCAACCTGGGCTGTCCAGAGGCCCTGCACTGGAATGAGATACACCCTGGGGAGGACAGAAAGAGCACACAGTTCCCAGGCAGTCCCAGAAAAGTAATGTGTGCAGCAGGCACCTGGGCCTGCTTGATCCTGTTCCAGCTGGCACTGGTGGATGAGGATTGGAGGCTGTGTGCCAGGAGCCAGAATCCAGGACCTCTAGGGTCTCCACCTTCTCCACGTGGGCCTCTCAGGTCCAGGGGATCTGGAGGATTCCACGCACTACCTTCAGGATGCGTGTGCCGCTGAACCGGTGCCCCAGCTGCTGATATGATCCTAAACCCACTCACAACCCTGTCGCCCGAGCCTGCCTGGTGGTCATCTGCTGTCATTTCCCAGATGCTGTCAGCCTCCTTTCTGACCCTCCTACCTGCTTGGGCCCCGGAGCTGTCCCTCTCTGCTCCCTCACTGAGCCCTGCAGTATGTCTTCTCCTGCTGCCGATGGGGAGGCTGTTAGGCGTACAGGCCAGGCTCAGGCCCAGCACGAGCTCTCTCCTCTTCCCTCCCTAGCCTTCTCTCTAAGCAGAAGTCTGGATTTGGGGAAGCCCTGGGCAGCCTGCATTCCCAAGGTTGCCGCCCAAAGTCCCTTTACTGTGAAGAACACCCAGGGAAGAGTTCCCGTTGCTTACACCCCATGTGGCCCTGGTTCTGAGCCAGGCCTTTTTCTGAGCTCTCTAAACCTCACAAGTGCCCCCAGGGAGGGCGGCTTATTCCCTTTGCACAAGTGTGGAGGCTGAGGCTCAGAGCGGTGCACGGATGTGCCCACGGTGCAGAGCCTGGAAGTGGGGAGAGAGGCTGTGGGTGATGGACCCGGGTCTCCTGCCCCTGCTCCTGCGCCTGCACCTCTCTTGGACACAGCACCCCCACCCTCACCTGTCTTTGTACCTGTAGATTTTGTGGTCCTCACAGAAGCCCTGTGCTGCAAGCGAGGTGTTCAGTGAGGCTAGGTTCATGAGACCAGGAAGCTTCTGGGACTTTCTTGGCAGGGCTCTAGGGCAGAGCCTTTAAGCAGGACCGAAGGAGGGGTCTGTAGCTCTCTGGGGACCAGCCCTGACTGCTAGCCTCACTGTGGTACATGGAGGAGGGACCAGCTAGGGAGAATGAGGAGTGGGCAGATGGGCCTCCAAATGGTGGGCACTGGGAAGAGGCCACCCAGGCCACTGACATTCGCATTGTCTACCAGGTGTAGTGCGTGTTAATACCTTTCTCCTACAGGGTGCCAGTCCACCACATACCACTCATCCACCACAGGCAACCCATCCATCACAGAACACGCATCCATCACAGACTACTTGTCCACCACAGGCCACTCATCCACCACAGAGCACCCATTCATTATAGAACACCCATCCACCACAGGCCACCTATCCATCACAGGCCAGCCATTTACCACAGAGCACCCATCCACCACAGAACACTCATCCACCACAGATCACCCATCCACCACAGAACACTCATCCACCACAGGCCACCCATTCACCACACAGCACCCATCCACCACAGAACAGTCATCCACCACAGGCCACCCATTCGCCACAGAACACCAATTTACCATAGAACACCCATCCATCACAAAACATCCATTCATCATAGGCCATCCATCCATCACAGAACATGCATCCACCACAGACTACCTGTCCACTACAGGCCACCCATTCATCACAGGCCACCCATCCATCACAGGCCACCCATCCACCACAGGCCAACCACTCCCCACAGGCCACCCATTCCCCATAGGTCACCTTTTCACCATAGAGCCCCCATTCACCACAGAGCAACCATCCACCACAGAACACCCGTCCATCACAGGCCACCCATTCACCACAGAGCACCCATCCATCACAGGCCAGCCATTCACCACAGGCCACCCATTCACCACAGAGCACCCATCTGTCACTGGCCAACCATCCATCACAGGCCACCCATTCACCACAGAGCACCCATCCACCACAGGCCAGCCGTTCATCACAGGCCAGCCATTCACCACAGAGCACCCATCCATTACAGTGCCCCCATCCATCACAGGCCACCCATTCACCACAGAGCACCCATCCACCACAGGCCAGCCGTTCATCATAGGCCACCCATTCACCACAGAGCACCCATCCACCACAGGCCAGCCATTCATCACAGGCCAGTCATTCACCACAGAGCACCCATCCACCACAGGCCGGCCAGCCATCACAGGCCAGTCGTTCACCACAGAGCACCCATCCATCACAGGCCAGCCATTCATCACAGGCCACCCATTCACCACAGAGCACCCGTCCACCACAGGCCAGCCATTCATCACAGGCCACCCATTCACCACAGAGCACCCATCCACCACAGGCCAGCCATTCATCACAGGCCAGCCATTCACCACAGAGCACCCATCCATTACAGTGCCCCCATCCATCACAGGCCAGCCATTCACCACTGAGTACCCATCCACCACAGGCCAACCATTCATCACAGGCCACCCATTCACCACAGAGCACCCATCCACCACAGGCCAGCCATTCATCACAGGCCAGCCATTCACCACAGAGCACCCATCCATTACAGTGCCCCCATCCATCACAGGCCAGCCATTCACCACTGAGTACCCATCCACCACAGGCCAGCCATTCATCACAGGCCATCCATTCACCACAGAGCACCCATCCACCACAGGCTGGCCAGCCATCATAGGCCAATCGTTCACCACAGAGCACCCATCCATCACAGGCCAGCCAGCCATCACAGGCCAGCCATTCACCACAGAACATCCATCCATCATAGGCCATCCATCCATCACAGGCCAGCCATTCAACACAGGCCACCCATTTGCCACAGAGCCCCCATCCATCATAGGCCACCCATTCACCACAGAGCCCCCATCCATCATAGGCCAATCATTCATCACAGGCCACCCATTCACCACAGAGCCCCCATTCACCACAGAGCACCCATCCACCACAGGCCAGCCATCCATCACAGGCCACTCGTTCACCACAGAACACCCATCCATCACAGGCCACCCATTCACCACAGAGCACCCATCCACCACAGGCTGGCCAGCCATCACAGGCCAATCGTTCACCACAGAGCACCCATCCATCACAGGCCAGCCATCCATCACAGGCCACCCATTCACCACAGAACATCCATCCATCACAGGCCAGCCATCCATCACAGGCCAGCCATTCAACACAGGCCACCCATTTGCCACAGAGCCCCCATCCATCACAGGCCACCCATTCACCACAGAGCCCCCATTCACCACAGAGCCCCCATTCACCACAGAGCACCCATCCACCACAGGCCAGCCATCCATCACAGGCCACCCATTCACCACAGAGCACCCATCCATCACAGGCCACTCGCCCACCACAGAGCCCCCATCCATCACAGGCCACCCATCCATCACAGGCCACCCATCCACCACAGTCCACCCATTCACCACAGAATATCCATCTATCACAGAGCACCCTTCCACCAAAAACCAGCCATCTATCACACACCACCCATCCACCACAGACCACCCATCCATCATAGACCATCCATCCATCATAGACCACTCATTCACCGCAAACCACCCGTCCATCACACACCACCCATCCACCACAGACCACCCATTCACCACAAAGCACCCATTAATCACACACCACCCATCTATCACAGAGCACCCGTCCATCACAGACCACTTGTTCATCAGAGAGCACCCATCTGCCGTCATAGGACACTGGTCCATCACAGGAGGCAAGTCAACCAGAGGGCTGGACTAGCAACCCACTAATCATCCAGGTCCTGCCGGCCCTGCTCCTGACCCTGCTGCTGCTTTGTGGTTTCTGGCAGCTATGTGGCAGGAGAATAAGTGCTCCCTTAAGTGCTCCCTGCCCGCCCAGCCCTGGGGCTCAGACACAGGCCCAACCTCCAAGGGACTTCAGCATGTGACTGCCGTGTGATCCCACCTGTGGGAAGTTTCTCATCAGTTCCCAGGTCATCACATGAGCCAAGGGAAGCTGTCCACACGTTCACAGAGTCTAGGAGGCCTGGGCTTCTGTAGGACCTCCTGCCACGGCTGGTCACAGCTGGCCTGAGATGCCCTGGACATGGGGTTGAGGCCTGCCCTGGCTCCTAGAGAGAAGTGACCCCAGAACCCCTGAAACCAGGGCTGCCTCAACAAGCTGGACTTCTGGAAGCCTCAGATGGACAAGGGCCAGGAGGTGGCCTCTGTGTGGAGGGAGGAAGAGAGGGTCACCCATGAG
This sequence comes from Homo sapiens, assembly GCF_000001405.40. NCBI lineage: Eukaryota > Metazoa > Chordata > Mammalia > Primates > Hominidae > Homo > Homo sapiens. Next base: position 47,418,865 of record NC_000010.11, read on the forward strand.
GCCCTGCTGGCCCAAATGGAGGATGGTGCTGTAACCCCCAGCTGTCTGTGCCTTGGGAAACCAGTATGGATCTTGGCATATGTCTGGTGCCTTCCACATTCCTTCATCTGTCTTTACTGAGCTCCAGTTTCCCCTGGGCCCCATGCTGGGCTGGGGAGGGACAGAAATGAAGCAGCCACAGTTCCCCACAGGGAGCTCACAGTCCTGTCTGGTCAGGGATGAGGGTGAAATACCCACCCCACAGGAATGGGAAGGGCCCCCTGTAAGGCAGAGCAGGAGTCAAAAGCAGAGATGGAGTCCAGGGCGGGGAGGGTGATAGAGGCCCTTGGAGCTGGGGTGCACGGACCCAGCCCAGAGAGCTGCAGACAGACAGAGCAGGGGGAGGAGAGGACAGAGCCCAGCCCAGAGAACAGACAGGTCTCATCTCTGCCCAGGGAGCCACGAGGGAAGGAAGCCGGGGACTCAACCATGAGGCTGGGAGGTCAGGGAAGTCTCCCAGGGACAGACAGGCTCTCCCTGAGGAAGGTAAGTAGGGTGGGCTCTCTCTTTTCCATATGGCTATGGGCAGAGAAGGACACTTGCAGGGACTGGGCCTCTCTAGGGACCTGGTCCCTGGCCTGGCTGAGCCCTAGGAACCCCACAACGGCTGTACAGGAGTTTCCCTTGGGTAAGGTTGGAGGCTGAGGCCTGGGAGGAGGAGCCTGCTGGGTACACCACAGGCTCAGAGTGCCCAGGTGGCACCCAAAGGCCATGTCCTGTCCTTTCCTGCTGCTCCAAACCAGGGTCCAGACCATGCTCTGTCCTGCTGCCCCACCCCCATCCAGCCCTGCTCCAAACCAGGGTCCCAGCTGTGTACTGGGCCAAGGCAAAGCCAGCCCACCCCCATCCAGCCCTGCTCCAGACCAGGGTCCGAGCTCTGTGCAGGGCCAAGGCAAAGCCAGCCCACCCCCATCCAGCCCTGCTCCAGACCAGGGTCCGAGCTCTGTGCAGGGCCAAGGCAGAGCCTGTCCACCCCCATCCAGCCCACGTTTTTCTCTTTTGAACATTCTAGACTGTCAAGGATCCACCACCTGTGCAGAAGCCAGAAAAAGTAAGTCGCAGTTCCGGTCCCGATATTGTCACATCCCAAGGAGCCCACTGACCTTCACCAAGAGTGCCATGAAGGCTGCGCCCCATGACCTCCACCTGCCGAGGCAGAGAAGAGGGTGACAGAGGGGCAGAGTGAAGCCTGAGAAGGGTGGGGACTCACAGTGATGTCCCCAGCACGCCCTTCCCACTCCCTGCACCCCTCAAAATGAGGCTTCTCACCAATTCACAGCCTGGGGTGGCCAGTTTCAGCAACTGTGATGATCTCTCCTGAATAAATGGGGCTCGCCTCTCAATATTCCACAGAGCATGTATAAGATGCTAAGGACGGAGGCGCTCTGGAAAAGGAGCCCCGTGTTTTAGGGACCTGGCCCCGTCCCCAGGCTCCGGATGCAGATGTGGCTCCATTTGGCCTCTCTGGATCCCTGTCTCCTGGCAGGGACGAGGGGCTGGCTGGGGTTAGCTTCTAGGGATGCGGGAGTCCTGGCAGGCACCGAACTGGGAGAGACACCCAGCCCAGTGAACACAGGGGCCAGGAGTCTGGAAGCAGGCTTCTGGGCCAGGGACCCACCCCAGGGGCCATAGGCTGTGGTGAGGGCAGTAGCTGACGCAGGAGGCCCTGGGCCTGGGATGGGGTGGGAACAGGCCTCCCTGGCCAAGGCTGGCCTCTGCGGTGCTCCAGAGTGGGCTCAGGGAGGCTGCATCTGCAACCAGGTGGATGCAGACAGTCATCTGCAAATGCTGGGACTGTTGCACAGCCCCCAGAGCAGGCCTCTTTCAACAGGGCTGGCCGCGGAAGAAACAAAGGGACAGAGACGAAGTCGTTGGCATTTAGGGGAAAAACCATGTCTGCAAACCAGGAGGAGTTTGCATGTTTCTCACACAAAAGATTCTCCCCTGTGGTGTGGGCTCCTCACTAGTCCTTTCATTCCCCAGATACACATCTGGGAGTGGTCAGCACTGTGCCTGGTGCTGAGGCAACGACACCATGGCCTTGCACCCAGGATCTGCCCGGAAAGGAAGCAGACAGTTCTGTTTTTCATTTTTTAGGAGCCAGAATAGGAGAAACCACCTCCTCCTCCATCACCACTGCCCCCGCCTCCTGTGAACACCTGCCCCACTGTGATTGTTTATTGCTGTGGGTGCCAAGGAGTGTGCAGGATAAGAGGGATAGAGGTGAGAAGCACAGTGGAGAGGGGCTGTGACCCCCAGGCTGGGACTGTGGGAGGAGGGGGCAGCCGGATCCTGCCACAGAGGCCTGGGCCCTGGAGGAAGGCAGGCTCTATGGGTGTCGGCCTTTGGTCACTTGATGCCAGGGGCAACCAGAGGCCCACCTCACCCTAGTGTCCCAGTGGAGGGCAAGCATGAGGGCTCCTGTCCCCTGCACCACCAGGCCTGTCTCAGCACAAGGAGTTTCTCTTTGAAGGAGCCAGGTTTCTGGATATAGCAGCTAGTGACGTCTGACCAGTCCTGGCTCTCCCAGAGGTTGTAATCAGCTCTGGTAGTGGCTTAGGTTTCAAACCAGTGGCCTGCGGGTTTATGAGTCAAACAAACTGAGTCACAAAGAGTCTCCCGCAGGTCAGAAAAATATCAACGTAAAATAATCAAAGGGTCAGAATGTAGATTAAAGATAATTTATTCACTTGAAAAGATTGAGGATGGACCAACTGGGAAGCATAGATTCCAAAAAACAAGTCAGTATTACAAAGTGGAGAAGTTAGAGAACATTTATACAGACAAAGTTCAGGAAAGTTAAACTGAATTGTAACATCTGTCCATGTGAAGCTTAATGATAGTTACAATGATCTGATTAGTGGAGATAGTCTTTCTCTTTTGGGAAAGGTATATTTAACATTCCACACTAAAGATGTAACTATCATGAGGTCTTGAGCACCCTCTGTTCTCAGATAGGAACAGGACAACAAAGGAGGCAAGTAATCTATAACAAGCATCAATGATGGGAAGGGAGGCGTTCTGGTCTCTGGTATCTCCTAGTCATTTACAGAACTAGAAAAATGAGAGAGAATTAAGCTATAATCTATGAAGCAGAATTGCAAACACGGCATGTGACTGAGTCTTCAGGGCTTAACTTCCCCCTTGGCATAATAAATTTAGAAGTTCTGGACATTTTACTTCTTTTACATTTCTTCATTTTCTTCAAATTATTTCAGAGAAAACAGGGCAGAAGAATCATGTATTTAAGTCAAAATCTCACCCTACTAGGAAGGCTCATTCGTAGGAAGTCATGTCCAATAGGGGAAGAATTAGAAAGAACTAAAGCCAACGTATAAAGTAAACAGGGGAGAAGTGGTCCTCAAACCTGATTCAGGCCACATGACTGCCTCTTTGTTCAAAGCAGTTCTCTGAGCAACCATTATTCTAGCCGCTTTTGGTTGTGCATTGACTCGATTGCAAACACATGCCATAACAGCAGTGTAGACAAAAACAGAACAAAACACAACAAATGATTATAATTCCCAGAATTAGTAACAGTTTTTTACACCAAGTTCTCCAAGATACAAACCAGCTGCATAACTAATCAGAGAGTATAGAATCTGAAAAGTTAGTTATTTGAATTTGTATACCCGTGATTAATTTCATGAAGTTGTTCAATTCATCTGGGGTAGAGACACAACACTGAGTTTTTCTGATGTACAAGTTCCTCCTCAGGCTGCACTGAGTGTGTCTAAAGCCATACTCTTCTGTAATGTAGCAGTTCTCATAAAAGCAACTTACTTGTTTAGCAATGACATATCCATGCAGCTATTATTTAGGGCCTTTTGTGTATAATTGGTTAGGATATCTTCATGACAAATGATATTCTTAATACCTGATTTGTGGTATAAAGATGAAAGCTAAATGATCATACCGATGAAACACAGAATGAACACAACGAGACTGTGAGAAAAATTTGCAGATTTTGACAGGGTATGAACTACTTAACCTGTGCCCAAGCATAAGCCAAGGAACATGGTCTTAACCATCCTGGGGGTAACCATGGCCAGAAGTTAGTACTACATAGCCAAGACATTCCATTTGGAGCTAACCAATAAATACTTGCTCATTGTGCCTGTTCACCATCATGCCAATCAGTACTTTGTAATGTAATAGTGCGGATATATCATTCTTTGGATATTCATCCCATATCTTCAGTGTTGTTGAGTAAGGCATTTTTGGTATAATTTATCTGTTCACAAAACAAACGGGCAAGTTGACTGAGCTGACCACAGCAGAGGGTAAGGCAGATAAAACAGTCCCAAATTTGTGTTATACTATCCTAAAATTGAGTTGTCTTATCTCTCAAATGAGGCAATTTTGTTTCATCCCTCTGACGGGGCACCATCAGTGTTAAAGGTAATGTATTAGTCCATTCTCACACTGCTATAAATACCTGAAACTGGGTAATTTATAAGGAAAAGAGGTTTAATTGGCTCTGCAGGCTGTACAGGAAGCATGGCTGAGGAGACCTCCAGAAACTTGCAATCATGGTGGAAGGTGAAGGGAAAGCAGGGATGTCTTACATGGCCAGAGTAAAGGAATAGAGAGAAGGGGGAGGTGCCACACACTTATAAACAATCAGATCTCATGAGAACTCACTCACTGTCATGAGAACAGCAAGGGGCATATCCGCCCCCGTGATCCAATCACCTCCCACCAGGCTCCTCCTCCAATGCTGGAGATTCCAATTCAACATGAGACTTGGGCGGGGACACAAATCCAAACCATATCAGGTAACGAACTAGTTTCTTTTACTGAGAAGCTCTTCCCATGCTCTTTACTCTGTAAAGTATTATTAATAGGCCAGTGGCATACTTTATCCTTAGTCATACTAGTGTCAAGCATCAGTGACTGTTTAGAGAAACATGAATACATTTTTCTTCTTCTTCTTCTTCTTTTTTTTGTTTGAGATAGAGTCTCACTACCCAGGCTGGAGTGCAGTGGCACGATCTTGGCTCATGGCAACCTCCACCTCCCAGGTTCACACGATTCTCCTGCCTCAGCCTCCTGGGTAGCTGGGACTACAGGTGCGTGCCACCAAGCCTGGCTAATTTTTTGTACTTTTAGTAGAGACAGGGTTTCACTGTGTTAGCCAGGATGGTCTTGATCTCCTGCTTTCATGATCCGCCCTCTTCGACCTCCCAAAGTGCTGGGATTACAGGCGTGAGCCACTGTGCCCGGCCAAAACATGAATACATTTCTGATCTTATACCCAATTTTGTCCTTGGAGAGAAGATACTCATCATGAAACACCAGAACTACTGGAAGGGGCATGAGACTCATATCAGCCCATTTTGACATTATTATAGATAAATATGTGAGATTGAGTAATTTTTAAAGAAAAGAGATTTATTGGCTCATGGTTCTGCAGGCTGTACAAGACGCATGGTGCCAGTATTTGCTCAGCTTCTGGAGAGGCCTCAGGATTCTTACAATCATGGCAGAACACGAAGGGAGAGCTGGCATATCACATGGCACGAGTGGGAGCAAGAGAGAGACGGGGGAGGTGCCACATTCTTTTAAACGACCAGATCTCGCATGAACTCAGAGCAAGAACTCATTACTGTGAGGAGACACTAAGCCATTCATGCAAGACCCACGCCCATGACAGAAACTCCTCCCACCAGGCGTCACCTCCAATATTGGGGATCACATTTCAACATGAGATTTGGAGGTGACAAAACATCATTGCACATAAATAAAAATTATTTTAATATTAGTAATTTATTTATTAATTTTTATGTGCAGTGATATTTTGTCACCTCCAAATCAAAATATAAATTATTTATTTTAACAAGATATGGAGGTGCATATCACTGCACATAAATAAAAGAATTTAGGTATATCAAAGGTATCCCATTTAGACCTTTTTAGTTTTAAGTCTTCATAGATTAGGTAAGAACATTTTTCTAGATACTGACAGGAGATGGTACTATAAATCTATAAATACACGAATCAAGCTGGAGTTTCTAAAGGGGGATCTCTCATCAAGAAGACTGACTTGGTCTTAAAGGGATGATTGCTCATAACCTGAGCTCTCTCTTTTTTTATTTTTTTTTAAGATTCATGAGATGTATGAGCATGTTTGTTACATAGGATATTGCATAATGCTGGGCTTTAGGTTTCTACTGAACTCATCACCCAAATAGTGAACATAGTATCCAATAGGTAGTTTTTACACCTTGCTTTCCCTTTTTCCCCACTTACGGAGTCCTTAGTTGTCTATTTTTTCCATCTTTATGTCCATGAGTATCCAATGTTTAGTGCCCACTTACAAGTGAGAACATGCAGTATTTGACTTTCTGTTTCTGTTTTAATTTGCTTAGGATAATGGGCCTCCAGCAGCATCCATATTGCTGCAAAGGACATTTCAATCTTTTTGTTGGCCACATAATATTCCATGGTATATATGTGCCACACTTTCTTTATTCAATCCTAATTGGCACTTAGGTTGATTCAATGACTTTGCTATTGTGAATAGTGCTGCAATAAACATGATTGCAGGTATCTTTTTGATAGAAAAATGTATTTTGCTTTTGGTAGATACCCAGTAGTGAGATTGCTAGGTCCATCGATAGTTCTATTTTTTTCATTCTTTAAGAAATCTCCAATTCTGAAGTGGCCAAGATGGCTGATTAGAAGCAGCTAATGTGCACCACTCTCACAGAGAGGAAAGGAAAGGGCAAGTAAATGCAGCACCTTCAACTGAAACATCCAGGTACACACATTGGGACTAATCAAGAAAACAACTCTACCCACAGAAAATGGAGAAAAGTAAGGCAGGACCACAGCCCACCAGGAAGACACATGGAACCAGGGAAATCTCCCCCATCCAGGGAGACAGTACTGGAAAATCAGAGGTAACTAGGGACTAGAGTGGACTCCCAGCATACTGCAGCAGCCCTAAGGAAAAGTGGACAGACTGTTACATGGATGCCCATTCCAATATCTCCTCACTGGGAAGGTGCTTAAGGCCCAGGCCTCCAGCCACCCCCACCAGGGCTATGGAGCCAGGAGCAGCTCTGCAACTCCCTGGATGGAGCTCCCAGTGGGAGGGGTGGGTTGCCATCTTTGCTGTCTTGCAACCCTTGCTCTTGCTGTCTCCAGGCATGGAAGAGTCTGTGGGAACCAGGGGCTGGTCCAAACCCCCAGCACAGAACAACTTTCTCTCGGAAAAGCAGCCAGACTATTCTCCATGCAGATCCCAGTTCTTACTTCTCCTCACTGGGCAGGGCCACCCGACCTGGATTCCGGCACAACCACCCTGCCCCTCCCTGATCACCACAATCAGAAGCAGCCCAGCATTCCCCAAGGAGGTAATCCCAGAGTCAAGCCACAACCTCTCTGCCACTACAGTTGCAGTGGCGCAGCCCTAACAGTCCTAGAACTGGGAAGGAGCAAAGGGCCTAGTCATTATACTGGCACCTCCAGCATATTGCAGCCACCATACAGAGAGGAGTCCAGCCCCTCTTTTCTGGGAACCCCCATCCCCACTCCATAAGGCAAGGCCCCTGGCTCATGAATACAGAACAGTCACTGCACCCACAGCTGAGTGAATATCACTGGTAGTAGCCCAGAGTTTTCCTGGGAAGAGGGTCTCAGAGGCATATAACAGACCTTCTGCCACTTCCGCAGTAAGTTATATTCCAGATGCCCTTGATTTGGAGAAGATATAAATCATTATACCATAAAGACATATGCATGCAAATGTTCATTGCAGTACCATTCACAATAGCAAAGACGTCGAATTAACCTACATGCCTATCAATGACAGATTAGAGTTAAAAAAAAAAGTGGTACATATACACTGTGGAATACTATGCAGCCATAAAAAACATGATCCTATCTTTTGCAAGAACATGGATGGAGGTGGAGGCTATTATTTTTAGCAAAATAATGCAAGAAGAGAAAACAAAATACCTCATGTTTTCATTTACAAGTGGGAGCTAAATGATGAGAGCTCATTAACAAAAGGAAGGGAACAACAGACAGTGGGATCTGCTAGAGGATGGAAGGTGAAAGGAAGGAGATGAGCAGAAAAAATAACTATTGGGTATGACGCTTAATACCTGGGTGATGAAATAATCTGTACAACAAACCTTCATGGTACCAGTTTACCTATATAACAAACCTGCACATATGCTCCGGAAAAAAAAATTATTTAAAAGAAATCTTTGTACTGTTTCTATAGGAGTTGAACTAATATACATTCTCACCAAGAGTGTATAAACATTCTCTTTTCTCTGCATCCTCACCAATATCTGTTATTTTTAAAATTTTTAATGAGCTATTCTGACTCGTGTGAGGTGGTATCTCATTGTGGTTTTGATTTGCATCTCTCTGATAATTAGTGATGTTGAGTATTTTTTTATATGTTTGTTGGACACTTGTATGTCTTCTTTTGAGAAGCATCTGTTCATGCCCTTTGTCTATTTGATAATGGAGTCAGTTGGAGGTTTTGTTGTTGATTTGTTTAAGATCCTTATAGATTCTATATATTAGTACCTTGAAGGATGCATAGTTTGCAAATATTTTCTCCTATTTTTTAGGTTGTCTGCTTATTCTGTTGATAGTGTTTTGTGTGTGTGTGTGTTAGTGTGTGTGTGTATGTATGTGTGCAGAAGCTCTTTAGTTTTCATGGTTTTTTTCTTTTTTTAATTATACTGTAAGTTCTGGGGTACATGTGCACAACATGCAGGTTTGTTACATAGGTATACACGTGCCATGGTGGTTTGCTGCACCCATCAACCCGTCACTTACATTAGGTATTTCTCCTAACGTTATCCTTCCCCTAGCCCCCCACCCCCAAACAGGCACCTGTGTGTGATGTTCCCCTCCCTGTCCATGTGTTCTTGTTGTTCAGGTCCCACTTATGAGTGACAACATGCAGTGTTTGGTTTCCTGTTCATGTGATAGTTTGCTGAGAATGATGGTTTCCAGCTTCATCCATGTCCCTGCAAAGGACATAAACTCATCCTTTTTTATGGCTACATAGTATTCTGTGGTGTATATGTGCCACATTTTCTTTATCCAGTCTATTATTGATGGACTTTTGGGTTGGTTCCAAGTCTTTGCTATTGTGAATAGTGCCGCAATAAACATATGTATGCATGTGTCTTTATAGTAGAATGATTTATAATTCTTTGAGTATATACCCAGTAATGGGATTGTTGGGTGGAATGGTATTTGTAGTTCTAGATCCTTGAGGAATCACCACACTCTTCCACAATGGTTGAACTAATTTATACTCCCACCAACAGTGTAAAAGCATTCCTATTTCTCCACATCCTCTCCAACATCTGTTGTTTCCTGACTTTTTAATGATTGTCGTTCTAACTGGTGTGAGATGGTATCTTATTGCGGTTCTGATTTGCATTTCTCTGATGACCAGTGATGATGGGCATTTTTTCATGTCTGTTGGCTGCATAAATGTCTTCTTTTGAAAAAGCGTCTGTTCATATCCTTTGCCCACTTTTTGATGGGGTTGTTTTTTTTCTTGTAAATTTGTTTTGTTTTTGTTTTTGTTTTTTGAGATCGAGTTTCGTTCTTGTTGCCCAGCCTGGAGTGCAATGGCATGATCTTGGCTCACCACAACTTCCGCCTCCCAGGTTCAAGCGATTCTCCTGCCTCAGCCTCCCAAGTAGCTGGAATTACAGGCATGCATCACCACACCCGGTTAATTTTGTATTTTTAGTCGAGACAGGGTTTCTCCATGTTGGTCAGTCTGGTCTCAAACTCCCGACCTCAAGCTATTCTCCCACCTCAGCCTCCCATAGTGTTGGGATTACAGGTGTGAGCCACCACGCCTGGCCTTTTCCTTGTAAATTTGTTTAAGTTCTTTGTAGATTCCGGATATTAGCCCTTTGTCGGAAGGATAGATTGCAAAAGTTTTCTCCCATTCTGTAGGTTGCCTGTTCACTCTAATGATAGTTTCTTTTGCTGTGCAGAAGCTCTTTAGTTTAATTAGATCCCATTTGTCAATTTTGGCTTTTGTTTCCGTTGCTTTTTGTGTTTTAAAGTCTTTTGCCCATGCCTATGTACTGAATGGTATTGCCCAGGTTTTCTTCTATGATTTTTATGGTCCTAGGTCTTATGTTTAAGTCTTTGATCCATCTTGAGTTGACTTTTGTATATGTGTAAGGAAGGGGTCCAGTTTCAGTTGTGTCAGATTTGTCAAAGATCAGACAGTTGTAGATGTGTGGTGTTATTTCTGAGGCCTTTGTTGTGTTCCATTGGTCTATATATCTGTTTTAGTACCAGTACCATGCTGTTTGGTTACTGTAGCCTTATAGTATAGTTTGAAGTCAGGTAGTGTGATGCCTCCAGCTTTGTTCTTCTTGCTCATGATTGTCTTGGCTATGCAGGCTCTTTTTTGGTTCCATATGAACTTTAAAGTAGTTTTTTCCAATTCTGTGCAGAAAGTCGGTGGTAGCTTGATGGGGATAGCATTGAATCTATAAATTACTTTGGGCAGTATGGCTATTTTCACGATATTGATTCTTCCTATCCATGAGCATGGAATATTTTTCCATTTCTTTGTGTCCTCTCTTATTTCCTTGAGCAGTGGTTTCTGGTTCTGCTTGAAGAGGTCCTTCACATCCCTTGTAAGTTGTATTCATAGGTATTTTATTCTCTTAGTAGCAATGGTGAATGGGAGTTCACTCATGATTTGGCTCTCTGCTTGTCTGTTATTGGTGTCTAGGAATGCTTGTGATTTTTGCACATCGATTTTGTATCCTGAGACTTTGCTGAAGTTGCTTATCAGCTTAAGGATATTTTGGGCTGAGACGATGGGGTTTTCTAAATAGGCAATCATGTCATCTGCAAACAGAGACAATTTGACTTCCTCTCTTCCTATTTGAATACACTTTATTTCTTTCTCTTGCCTGATTGCCCTGGCCAGAATTTCCAATACTATGTCGAATAGGAGTGGTGAGAGAGGGCAGCCTTTTCTTGTGCCGGTTTTCAAAGGGAATGCTTCCAGTTTTTGCCAATTCAGTATGATATTGGCTGTGGGTTTGTCATAAATAGCTCTTATTATTTTGAGATATGTTCCATCGATACCTAGTTTATTAAGAGTTTTTAACATGAAGGGGTGTTGAATTTTGTCAAAGGTCTTTTCTGCATCTATTGAGATAATCATGTGTTTTTCGTCATTGGTTCTGTTTATGTGATGGATTACATTTATTGATTTGCGTATGTTGAACCAAACTTGCATCCCAGGTATGAAGCCAACTTGATTGTGGTGGATAAGCTTTTGGATGTGCTGCTGGATTTGGTTTGCCAATATTTTATTGAGGATTTTTGCATTGATGTTCTTCAGGGATATTGGCCTGAAATTTTCTTTTTTGTTGTGTCTCTGCCAGGTTTTGGTATCAGGATGATGCTGGCCTCATAAAATGAGTCAGGGAGGATTCCCTTTTTTTCTATTGTTTGGAGTGGTTTCAGAAGGAATGGTATCAGCTCCTCTTTGCACCTCTGGTAGAATTCGGCTATGAATCCATCTGGTCCTGGACTTTTTTTGGTTAGCAGTCTATTACTTACTGCCTCAATTTCAGAACTTGTTATTGGTTTATTCAGGGATTCGACTTCTTCGTGATTTAGACAGGAGGGTGTGTGTGTCCAGGAATTTATCCATTTCTTCTAGATTTTCTAGTTTATATGCATGGAGGTGTTTATAATATTCTCTGGTGGTGGTCAGTATTTCTGTGGGATCAGTGGTGATATCCCCTATATCATTTTTTATTGCATCTATTTGATTCTTCTCTCTTTTCTTCTTTATTAGCCTGGCTAGCAGTCTATTTTGTTGATCTTTTCAGAAAACCAGATCCTGGATTCATTGATTTTTTGAAGGGTTTTTCATGTCTCTATCTCCTTCAGTTCTGCTCTGATCTTAGTTATTTCTTGTCTTCTGCTAGCTTTTTAATTTATTTGCTGTTGCTTCCCTAGTTCTTTTAATTGTGATGTTAGGGTGTCAATTTTAGATCTTTCCTGCTTTCTCTTGTGGGCATTTAGTGCTATAAATTTCCCTCTGCACAGTGCTTTAAATGTGTTCCAGAGGTTCTGGTATGTTGTGTCTTCATTCTCACTGGTTTCAAAGAACATCTTTATTTCTGCCTTCATTTCATTATTTACCCAGTAGCCATTCAGGAGCAGTTTGTTCAGTTTCCATGTAGTTGTGTGGTTTTCAGTGAGTTTCTTAATCCTGAGTTGTAATGTGATTGCACTGTGGTCTGAGAGACTGTTTGTTATGATTTCCATTCTTTTGCATTTGCTGAGGGGCGTTTTCCTTCCAATTATGTGGTCAATTTTAGAATAAGTGCAATGAGATGCTAAGAAGAACGTATATTCTGTTGATTTGGGGTGGAGAGTTCTGTAGATGTCTATTAGTCCCGCTTGGTCCAGAGCTGAGTACAAGTCCTGAATATCCTTGTTAATTTTCTATCTTGTTGATCTGTCTAATATTGACAGTGAGATGTTAAAGTCTCCCACTATTATTGTGTGGGAGTCTAAGTCTCTTTGTAGGTCTCTAAGAACTTGCTTTATGAATCTGGGTGCATATATATTTAGGATAGTTAGCTCTTCTTGATGCATTGATCCCTTTACCATTATGTAATGCCTTTCTTTGTCTCTTTTGATCTTTGTTGGTTTAAAGTCTGTTTTATCAGAGATTAGGATTGCAACTCCTGCTTTTCTGCTTTCCATTTGCTTGGTAAATATTCTTCCATCCCTTTATTTTGAGCCTATGTGTGTCTTTGCACGTGAGATGGGTGCAAAGTGTCCTGAATACAGCACACTGATGTGTCTTTAGTCTTTATCCAATTTGCCAGTCTGTCTTCTAATTAGGGCATTTAGCCCATTTACATTTAAGGTTAATATTGTTATGTGTGAATTTGATCCTGTCATTATGATGCTAGCTGGTTGTTTTGCCCATTAGTTGATGGAGTTTCTTCATAAATTGTAAATAGCTTTGGCTATTTAGGCTTCTTTACAATTTGGTATGTTTTTGCAGTCGCTGGTACCAGTTGTTCCTTTCCATGTTTAGTGCTTCCTTCAGGAGCTCTTGTAAGGCAGGCCTGGTGGTGACAAAATCTCTCAGCATTTGCTTGTTTGTAAAGGATTTTATTTCTCGTTCACTTATGAAGCTTAGTTTGGCTGGATATGAAATTCTGGGTTGAAAATTCTTTTCTTTAAAAATGTTGAATGTTGGCCCCCACTCTCTTCTGGCTTGTAGGGTTTCTGCAGAGAGATCCGCTGTTAGTCTGATGGGCTTCCCTTTGTGGATAATCCAATCTGTCTGTCTGGCTGCCCTTAACATTTTTTCTTTCATTTCAACCTCGGTGAATCTGACAATTATGTGTCTTGGGGTTGCTCTTCTCAAGGAGTATCTTTGTGGTGTTCTCTGTATTTCCTGAATTTGAATGTTGGCTTTTCTTGCTAGATTGGGGAAGTTCTCCTGGATAATATCCTGAAGAGTGTTTTCCAGCTTGGTTCCATTCTCTTTGTCACTTTCAGGTTCAACAATCAAATGTAAATTTGGTCTTTTCACACAGTCCCATATTTCTTGGAGGCTTTGTTCATTCCTTTTTATTCTTTTTTCTCTAATCTTGTCTTCTCTCTTTATTTCATTAAGTTGATCTTCAATCACTGATATCCTTTCTTCCACTCCATTGATTTGGCTATTAATAATTGTGTATGCTTCATGAAGTTCTCGTGCTGTGTTTTTCAGCTCCATCAGGTCATTTATGTTCTTCTCTACACTGGTTATTCTAGTTAGCAATTCATCTAACCTTTTTTCGAGGTTCTTAGCTTCCTTGCATTGGGTTAGAACATGCTTCTTTAGCTTGGAGGGGTTTATTACCCACCTTCTGAAGCCTACTTCTGTCAATTCATCAAACTCATTCTCTGTCGAGTTTTGTTCCCTTGCTGGCGAGGAGTTGTCATCCTTTGGAGGAAAAGAGGCGTTCTGGCTTTTGGAATTTTCAGCCTTTTTGTGCTGGTTTCTCCCCATCTTTGTGGATTTACCTGCCTTTGGTTTTGATGTTGGTGACCTTCAGATGGGGTCTTTGAATGGACATGCTATTCCTTTCTGCTTTTTAGTTTTCCTTCTGACAGTCTGGCCCCTCTGCTGCCCATCTGCTGGAGTGTGCTGGAGGCCCACTCCTGACCCTGTTTGCCTGGTATCGTATCACCAGTGGAGGCTGCAGAACAGCAAAGATTGCTGCCTGATTTTTCCTCTGGAAGCTTCATCCCAAAGGGGCACCTGCCAGATACCAACCAGAGCTCTCCGTATGATGTGTCTGTTGGCCACTACTGGGAGGTGTCTCCCAGTCATGGTGCACGGGGGTCAGGGACCCACTTGAGGAGGCAGTCTGACCCGTAGCAGAGCTTGAACACTGTGCTGGGAGGTCCACTGCTCTCTTCAGAGCTGTCAGGCAGGGACATTTAAATCTGCTTAAGCTGTGCCCCACAGCCACCTCTTTCCCCAGGTGCTCTATCCCAGGGAGATTGGGGTTTTATCTATAAGTCCCTGACTGGGGCTGCTGCCTTTTATTCGGAGATGCCATGCCCAGAGAAGAGAAATCTGGCAGTCTGGCCACAGCAGCCTTGCTGAGCTGCAGTGGGCACCACCCAGTTTGAACTTCCCAGTGGCTTTGTTTACACTGTGAGCATAAAACCACCTACTCAAGCCTCAGCAATGGAGGACACCCCTCCCCCCACCAAGCTTGTGCGCCCCAGGTCCATCTCAGACTGCTGCTGTGCCGGCAGTGAGAATTTCAAGCCAGTGGATCTTAGTTTGCTGGGCTCTGTGGGGGTGGGACCCACCAAGCCAGACCACTTGGCTCCTTGGTTTTAGCATCCCTTTCCAGGGGAGTGAATGGTTCTGTCTCAACTGGCGCTCCAGGTGCCACTAGTGTATGAAAATAAAAGAACTCCTGTAGCTAGTTCGGTGTCTGCCCAAATGGCCTCCCAGTTTTGTGCTTGAAACCCAGGGCCCTAGCAGGGTAGTCACCAGAGGGAATCTCCTGCTTTGCAGGTTGCAAAGACCGTGGGACAAGCACAGTATCTGTGCCGGAGTTCCTCAGGCTCAGTCCGTCATGGCTTCCCTGGGTAGGGGAGAAAATTCCCCTATCCCTTGCACTTCCTGGATGAGGTGACGCCCCACCCTGCTTTGGAACATCCTCTGTGGGCTGCACCAACTGTCCAACCAGTCCCAGTGAGATGAACTGGGTACCTCAGTTGGAAATGCAGAAATCACCCACCTTCTGGGTCTATCTTGCTGAGAGCTGTAGACCAGAGCTGTTCCTATTTGGCCATCTTGCCAGCAATCCTCCAGCTCTTTAGTTTAATTAGGTCCCATTTGTCAGTTTTTGGTTTTGTTGCATTTGCCTTTAAGATCTTAGTCATAAATCTACACCTAGACCAATGTCCAGAAGAGTTTTTATTATATTTTCTTCTAGGGTTTTTACAATGTGAGGTCTTACATTTAAGTCTTTAATCCATCTCGAGTTAACTTTTATATATGGGGAGAGGTAAGGATTCAGTTTTATTCTTCTGCATATGGCTAGCCAGTTTTCCCAGCACTATTTATTGAATAAGGTGTTCTTTCCCAGTTGTTTATTTTGTTAACTTTGTCAAAGATCAGTTAGTTGTCAGTATGCAGCTTTACTTCTAGGATCTGTGTTCTATTCCATTGATCTATGTATCTATTTTTGTACCAGTACCATGCTGTTTTGGTTACTATAGCCTTGTAGTATAGTTTGAAGTTGGGTAATATGAAAAAAACCTCAGGCTTTGTTTTGTTTGTTTGTTTGTTTGTTCTGCTTAGGATTGCTTTAGCTATTTAGGCTTTTTAATTCCATATGAATTTTAGAATTAGTCTTTCTAATTCCATGAAAAAACAATGTTGGGAATCAGATAGGAATTGCATTGAATCTGTAGATTGCTTTGGGAAGCATGGTAATTTTAACAATTTTGATTGTTCCAGTTCATGAACATGGAATGTTTCCCCATTTGTTTGTGTCATCCATGATTTCTTTCATGAGTGTTTGTGGTTCTCTTCATAGATATCTTTCACCTTCCTGGTTAAATGTATTCCCTGATATTTTATTTGTGTGTGTGTGTGTCTATTGTAAATGGGATTGCATTCTTGATTTGGTTCTCAGCTTGAACATTATTGCTGTATAGAAATGCCACTGATTTTTGTACATTGATTTTGTATCCTCAAACTTTACTGAAGTTGTTTATCAGGTCAAGGAGTCTTTTGGAGGAACCCTAAGTGTTTTCTAGGTATAGAATTATGTCATCAGGGAACAGATCATTTGACTTCCTCTTTTCCTACTTGGATGCCTTTTATTTTTCTCTCTTGCCTGACTGCTCTGGCTAGGACTTCCTGTACTATGTTGAATAGGAGTGGTGACAGTATACATCCTAGCCTTTTTCCAGTTCTTAGGAGAAATGCATCCAACTTTTGCCCATTTAGTATAATGTTCACTGTGGTTTGCCATAGATGGGTCTTATTAAATTGAAGTATGTTTCTTTGATGCCTACTTTGTTGAGGGTTCTTATCATGAAGGGATGTTGAATTTTGTCAAATGCTTTTCCTGGGTCTATCGAGATGATCATATGGTTTTTAATTCTGTTTATGTGGTGAATTACATTTATTGATTTGCATGTGTTGAATCATTTCACATCACAGGTATAAAGCCCACTTGATTGTGAAGAATTATCATTCTGGTGTGCTGCTAGATTTGGTTTGCTAGTATTTTGTGGAAGATTTTTGCATCTATGTTCATCAGGGGTACTGGCCTGCAGTTTTCTTTTTTGTTGTTGTTTCTTTGCCAGACTTTGATATCAGGATGATACTGGTTTCACAGAATGAGTTAGGGAGGAATCCCTCCTCCTTGATTTTTCTGGAATAGTTTCAGTAAGATTGGTACCAGCTCTTCTTTGTACATCTGGTAAAATCTGGCTGTGAATCCCTCTAGTCTAGGACACTTTTGGTTGGTAGATTTTTATTACTGATTCAATTTCTTAACTCATTATTGATCTGTTAGGAGTTCAAGTACTCCTAGGTCAATCTTGGGAGGCTGTGTGTTTCCAGGAATTTATTCATTTCCTCTAGGTTTTCTAGTTTGTGCACATAGAGGTGTTCATAGTAGTCTCTGAAGATCTTTGTATTTTTGTGGTATCAGTTGTAATATCATCTTTGTCATTTCTGATTGTGTTTATTCAGATCTTCTCTCTTTTTTTCTTGGTTAATTTAGCTAGCAGTTTCTCAATGGGTCTAATGGCCCAACTCTTCCTTTCATTGATCCTTCGTATGGGTTTTTTGAACTCAATTTTATTTAGTTCTGCTCTGATCTTAGTTGTTTTGTTTCTTCTGCTAGCTTAGGGTCTACTTTGTTCTTATTTTTCTAGTTCATTTAGGTGTGATACTAGATTATTAAATTGAGACCTTTCTATCTTCTTGATGAAAGGATTTAGTGCTATGAGCTTTCCTCTTAACATTTTGCTATATCCCAGAGGTTTTGGTGTGTTGTGTCTCTGTTTCCACTTGTTTCAAAGAATTTTTTGAGTTCTGACTTAATTTTGTTGTTTACCTAAAAGTTATCAAAAACAAGTTATTTCATTTCCCTGCCTTTGTGTTGTCTTGAAGATCTTTCTGGTATTAATTTCAAATTTTATAGCACCGTGGTCCAAGAAGATGCTTGATATGGTGTCATTTAAAAAATGTATTGAGACTTGCTTTATGACCTCGCATGTGATCAGGATGAGAGAATTTCATGAACAGAGAATATCTATTCTGTGCTTGTGGGTCAAGTATTCTGTAGATATTTCTTAGGTCTATTTGGTGAAGTGTCAAATTTAAGTCCAGAGTTTCTTTATTAGTTTTCTGCCTCAATGATCTGTCTAATGCTGTCAGTGGGGTGTTAAAGTCCCCCACTATTATTGTATGGATATCTATCTGTTTTCTTAGGTCTAGTAGTATTTGTTTTATAAATCTGGGTACTCTGATGTTGGGTGCATATATATTTAAATTACTTAAATCTTGTTGAATTAAATCCTTTATTATTATATAATGACCTTCTTTGTCTTTTTTTTTTACTATTGGTTTTATCTGATACAGGAATAGCAACTCCTGTTCTTCTTTGGTTTCCACTTATGTGATAGATTTTTCTCCATGTCTTTATGTTGAGCCTATGGGTGTCATTACATGTGAGGTTGGTCTCTTGAAGGCAGCAGACGGTTGGGTCTCATGTTTTTCTATCCAATTTGCCATTCTATGTCTTTTAAGTAGAACATTTAGGCCTTTTTTGTTCAAACTTAATATTGATACATTAGGTTTTGATCCTGTCATAGTGTTGTTAGCTAGCTGTTTTGTACTCTCAATTATGCAATAGCTTTATAGGGCCTGTGGGCTTTGCACTTTTGTGTTCTCTTTCTTTCTTTTTTTTTTTTTTTTGATGAAGTTTTGCTCTTGTTGCCCAGGCTGCAGTGCAATGGCACAATCTCAGCTCACCACAACCTCCGCCTCCTGGGTTCAAGCGATTCTCCTGCTTCAGCCTCCCAAGTAGCTGGGATTACAGGCATGCACCACCACACCCAGCTAGTTTTGTATTTTTAGTAGAGACAGGGTTTCTCCATGTTGGTCAGGCTGGTCTCAAACTCCCAACCTCAGGTGATCCACCCAACTCAGCCTCCCCAAGTGCTGGGATTACAGAGGTGAGCCACTGCACATGGCCTTATGTGAGCTTTTATGGTAACAAATATTATTTATTTCCATATTAAGAACTCCTTTGAGCATTTCTTGTAGGACTGGTCTAGTGGTCATGAATTTCCTTAGTACTTGCATGTCCAGAAAAGATTTTACTTCTCCTTTGTGTATGAAGCTTAGTTTGGCAGGATAAAATATTCTCGACTAATTTTTTTTTTCTTTAAGAATCCTAAAAATAGGCCCCCCAATCTTTTCTGGCCTGTAAGGTTTCTTCCGAGAACTCTGTTGTTAGGCTGATGGGATTTTCTGCATACGTGATTTTGCCCTTTTCTCTAGCTGCCTTTAAGACATTTTCTTTTGCATTGATGTTGGATAGTCTGATAACTATATGCCTTGAAGAGGCCCATCTTGTGCAGTATCTCACAGGAGTTCTCTGAATTTCTTGTGTTTGGATGCCAACTCTCTAACAAGATTAGGATTTTTTTTCTAAATTATTTTATCAAATGTGTTTTCACAATCACTTACTTTTTCTTCACCTCTTTCAGGAATGCCAATAAGTTGTAGGTTTAGTCTTTTTATACAATCCCATATTTCTCAAAGACTTTGTTGTTTTAAAAAATTCTTTTTATTTATTGTTTTCTGACTGGCTTAATTTAAAAGAATGGTCTTCCAGCTCTGAAATTCTTTCTTCTGCTTGGTCAAGTCTATTGTTAAAGCTTCCAACAGTATTTTGAAATTCCTATAGTGAGTTTTTCAATTCCAGAAGTTCTATTTCATTTTTTCTTAATATAGCTATCTTGTGTTTCATATCCTGAATTATTTTTCTGGTTTCTTTGTATTGGGTTTCAACTTTCCCTTGGATCTCATTGAGTTTTCTTAAATCCGTATTTTGAATTCTTTATCTGTCATTTTGGACATTTCAGTCTGATTAGGATTCATTTCTAGCAGCTGTGTGATCCTTTGAAGGTGCCAAAACACTCTGGCTTCTTGTACTGTCAGAATCGTGCTGATTCCCTCTCATCTGAGGGAGCCGTAGCTTCTTAAATTTGAATTTTCTGTCATTTAAATGGGACTTTTGTAAACTTATTTTTTTCTCTTGAGGGTGTGGCTGTCATGTATGTTGTATATGATTGTGTGGCTTCATCTCTGGGTGCTTTCAGGGGACCAAGGCTCTGTATAGGTTAATTGGTTGTGTATAGCTTCAGTGCAGTGGCTTTCTTAGGTGTTGCTTCTTATAGCTATGTATTGGGTGTAAGGGCAAACACAGTATCTCCTGCAGGGCTGAGGGTGTGGAAGTCTCAGGAGGCTTATTTCATGGACTGGCACTAAGCCCTTGCGGTGGCAGGTTTTTTGTTTGCTCATGCAGTTCAGGCTACTGTCCAGTAGATAGCACTTAAGAGTAAGAGCCGGCAGGCTGGCTGGTGCTGAATGGATGCATTCGCCCTGAATACACCAGGAAGAGATTATGATGGAATGCATTGAGGTCCTGAGGCAAAGAAAAGGTGGGTGCTGCAAATCCCCATCCTGAGCCGACAGGAATGCGATCCACTTTCCTACGATACCCCTGTCACAGGACCCATGACCTTCTGTTTATAAAGGCTTCATCCTTTGGTTCCCAGCCACACTGTGGCTGGGGGCTGTGGATATACCTCTCTGATGAATATCACTAAAATGGGGCCTGAAGCAGAGCCTCTTCCCCTAGTCCATGGCAGGCAACTCCATGGTCTATCCTCCATTGCCAGGATGCTGCTGCTCTGTGTAGGATGAGGGAGTTAGGCCTTTGCCTTCATGAAAGCTGGAAGCAGGCAAAGGCTCACTTTCAGTAGGGGTGGTGCCACCATGAAGAGCACTTTCCTTGAGTTCATGCTCACCATCCCTAGCAGGGACGACCACCTTTGCATCCACAACAGTGTATGGTGGGGGAGGTGGGAGATGAAACCCCTCCTAACATTTGTTCCCAGTCATCAATGATGCCCCTGCAGCAGTTGGCCCACACCCACATACTCTTTATCCTAAGAGGGGCTTTGGCAGGCTGTGTTTCCTTTCCTCTTCCTTTAGGGGCAGCCCACCCCAAGGGTTAGATCTCCAGGGAGTCCCACAACTCCCTGGGGACCAGCCATGCTAGCCAAAGTGAGAGCAGGGGGGGATCTGGTGGTACAGTGACTCAAGGGCAGAAAATTCTCAGTCAGGGTAGGAGCACCATCAATGCACACTCAGTATGGTGCCCACAATCTCAGTTTGCTTCTGAGGGCAATGTGAGCATGCCTCCACAAGCTGGCCAAGCAGTTTGCTGTCCCTGGGGAGTTCTCAAATAGCTACCAATAGTGTTTCCCTGGGTCAAAAGCGAAAAGGTGCTCTCCAAAAGTTGGGCGTTCAGTAGATTGTCACAGAGGAGAGAAGAGCAGAGAAGCACTCCCACCTACACTTTCCACAGGGCTCTGAGTTCCTTGGGGGTTGATCTCTGCGAGACTCTTGCTGCTTTCCTTTTCCATGCCTCAGCTTCTTTCTATGGGCACGATGACAGGTCCTGGCTCTTTTCCCTCTGTTTTCAGTTCAGAACTTGTCCATTTAACAGTAACTTAAGACCTTCTTCCTAAGGAGATCTGGCATCCAATGTCCCTAGTCCGCCATCTTGAAAAAAATGGATTATCTTTTCAAGTGACCAAAGACTGAAAGGGAAAGATGTTTTGGATCTGGTGTGCTGCTTAAGGGGGTTTACTCCTCAAGGTGTCACTCTTGTGTCACTTCTTCTCTTTTACATGGCTCACTAAATCCAGGAATCATGAGCACTTACGGCACTGGAAGAACAACCCTTCTTATGTGCCCACCAGGGTAAACAAGCTTCACTGCATGTTCTTCTTGGAGATTACCTGGGGGACAATCGCATGTTACAAGCCATGAACTCAATCGCATGTTACAAGCAATGAAGTCAAACACTTCTGCAAGACCTTAATTGCTTGAGGTTCCTTTTGGCAAAGAAGAAAACTTTCCCTTATCCCAGGACTCATCTTTATCCTCAAAGAAAGTTTCTCATTGGTTTTGCTCACTCATAAAGTGACTTTACATACGCCAAATGAACCAAGCTTCAGCGTTTAGCCAGTTTTTAAATAAAAAGTATTTATTTCTTAAATACTTCTTAAATATTTCTTATGCTATGAAACATTCACCTCCTCTTTTCAGAGAAGGAAACTATTTTCTTCCCTGACCAAAATTGTGGTGAGAGAAAAGGACGTACAAACTCTGAAGGGTAGTTCAACAAGCAACCTGCAACCTTAGAGAAAAGTAAAAATCACAAATCCATGAACAGCAGAATTTTTAATATATATGGATATATTCTAATATATATATTCTAATGTTGTGTGTGTGTGAAACTCCTACCTTAAAAGCAGAGCTTCAATTCTAGCTCCATCAAATGTGGAACTGGATCACTAAAATAATGTCTGAATCTCAAACCAAAATTAGAGAGATTCGAAACCCAAGAGGAGCCATGGCAGAGATTCCTGTCAGTCCTTGCAAGTTGGGCGAATGAAAAGGCATTCATCTTGGCACCAAAGCCTTGGTCGATGACATAACAGGAGGGATCAGTTGAGGCGCACTTTGAGTCCCTTCAAGGTGGCCGAACGTCAATCTAAAATAATCAAAGGGTCAAAATACAATTTAAAGAGAGTTTATTCAAGCACAAAGTGTAAGGATAGGCTGACCAGAAAGCACAGAGTCCAAAGAATGGAGGTCAGTATTCCAAAGTGTAGAAGTTTGGGATCATTCATATAGACAAATTTCAGGATGTTTAACAAAATCTTAAAAAGGTGTACTGCATACTTACAATGGTCTGATTAGTTGAGGTGGTCTTTCTTTTTGGGAAAGGTAGATTTAACATTCCACACTGAAGATGTAAATATCAAGGTATTTTGGTTACCGTCTGGTCTCAGAAACAGGACAATAAAGGAGGCAGGTAATTGATAACAAAGATCAGTGATTGGACAGAGGGATGTCTGATCTCTGGTCTCTCCTAGTCATTTATAGAACTAGAACAACGAGGAAGAGAGTTAAGCTATAATCTAAGAAGCAGAATTGCAAGCATGCTACATGACTCAGTTTCCAGAGCTTAGCGTCCCCTTTGGCATAATATATTTAGAAGATCCTAAAATTTTATTTTATTTTTTTACAAAAACAAAAAGGACCAGTCATGAGCCACGTTCTTACCACCATGAAAACTCTGGGGAAATGCTGGTGGCACCTGAAGCCCTGGAAGCAAGCTCTTTGGGCAGAATGATGAAAAGAGCTCACCAAGTGGGCCTTGTAGCTGAGATGAGCTTACAACAGCTGCAGACAGCAGGGGCTGAGATGGAGATCTGAAAGCAGAAGCTCCAGGCACCCACATCCCCAGCCCCTAGAAGACCCGACCATGTCTCAGGCACCCTCCCTCACCCCTCTGCTTTGAGGGCTCTTCTCTGCATCTACTAACTTTGCACGCCAAGGCTCAGCTGTCTTCTAAGCCTGAGCCTCAGCTCTGATCTTGCCTCTGATAAACTGCCTTCCCTGAAGCTCCGAGGGAGGGAGCACTCTGATCTCAAAGCCCCAGAGCACGAGCACTTGGCTGAGTCTCTTTCCCCAGCACTAAAGATAGACATTTTCTGTCTCTTTCTGTCTCTCTCCTCTTCTGACACAGGTTTGGGAGCTCTTTCACCTCACAGAACCATTGTCTTCCCTTCCCCAGGTCACACCAAGCTCAGAACTGAATTCAAAGCAAGAATGACCAGAATGTCTACAGGTTTGGCCCAGACTTCAGCCTGGAGGTACAACAACAGCCTCTCTCTACCTCTTCTCAGGGCTCAGGACGGCTCAAAAGCACATTCCACCTTCACCGCCACTCCTAACTACGAGCCAGCTGGGCCCAGAGCCCGGAACATACCACCAGGATGTACCAGGACAGTCTATGCCTTCCTGGAGTGGCTCAATCATGGGCAGCCTGAAGCCCCCTCTTCACACCCTAGAGACGGCATCCAGACTCCAACCTAGGCCCAAGGAGGGCCTTCCTTCCTGGTCAGTGATCTCCTCTGTTCCTTATTGGGCTGATCCAGGGAATGTGTCCAGTGCAGCCCTCACCACAGACCCTGAGGATCAGATCATCCCTCAGGCTCCTGGCTCAGTCTGGGCCAAGGATCTGACCACGGGAAGCACAGGAAGATGAGCTCCAGGCAAACCCAGGAACCAGGGCCCGAGCAGGGAAGCTCTCCAGTGGTTTGGGAGTAACCATCACCAGGTCTTGAATGCTGGTCCAAAGAGGGGCAGGGCAGTGTGAAGAGCAGGAGCCAGACCCAGTTCACATCCAGCTTTATGAATCTCATGCTTTGTAACCTGGAACAAGTAACTCAACCTCTCTGTGCTTCAGTTCCCTTCAGTAAACTGGGATAATAGTAGCATTTACTTGTATAGTTACTGGGAGGATTAAAATAGTGAAAACGTGGAAAGTTCTTAGTCTAGCAACTGGCCCACAGGAAGACTCAATACGTATTAGTCCTCATTATGTTACAAGGAGGAGGACAATCTTAACAATTTGCTTTCTCATGGTTCCAAGGTGATGACCAAGGAGGGTATCTTTACTCCCTGTTAGAACAAGTCAGGGTTGCCCACACAACCTTGTCAAACACACCCAGCAGCATTCCTGGCCTCAAGTGACCAGCAAATGAAATGAATGGGTTCCATGTCCAGACACAGTCTGGGGGGCCCATGGGCACCATTTCGATGTGCCTTGTGCAGCCCTCCTCAGCAGATGCCTGACATGGCTCTCTGAAGAGCCATGATCCCAGAGGGCAATTGTCAAGGGCAAAAGCCATGGCCTTCAGCCCACTGGGAAGGTCTCTGTGCCCCAGCTCACCCAGCCCCTGCACTGGCACCATATCTATGGCACCTGGTTGCAGCTTGGTGAATAAGGTTGCACAAAGTATCCTGACTGCCCTGAAAAGCAATGTGGTCATGAGGAAGCAATGCAGCTTAGACACTGCCTCCAGAAGGCATCAGGATCCTTCAGCTCACCTCAGCTCTGTCCCCAGAAACACACCCAGATAAGACTTCAGTCTCCTCCTGGGGGAGGGGTCCTGGCAGCCTTATGGGTTAGGGGATGGCCACTGTGGGCCACAGAGAGTTTGGAATCTGGAAATAAAACGGTATTTTTGATGTAGGAGGAGGAGAAGCCAGGGATAGTTTTAGAGGAAAAGTACAAAAGTTGGAAGGACATGTGCTGGCTGAGTACAGGTCCTGAATTGAAACATGAGGTGGGAATGGGGCCTGGGCAGGAGCTGGTGGAATGGGAAAGGAGCCCTGCTTTAGGGGGGCACACAAGGGTAAGGCAGGTGAGAGGACCATGCTCTGCTCATTGAGGGAAGGTGCCTGAGACCAGGGAATAGAGAAGAGGAAGGCAAGAACAGGCCAGAAAGCAGCCCAGGACCCATGGTGGACATCCCTTGGCCACTCGGGGCTGCAGTCAGGCCTTTCTGGGCCCTGGTGGGGATGGGATGAGGGCCGTGTGTTGCAAGGCAGTGCAGGCTGCTGGCAGGTGACTTCCTCCCCCTGGATGCTGTGTTTTGGCTTCTCTGTGCCCCACACTCTGGAGAGACACAGGCCTGGCTTCCCCAGATGCCCACTGAGGCTGCATATGAGCCTGACACTCCCAGGAGGAAGCAAGAGATCTGACCACAGACAGAGCCAGGACCAAGGAGAGGGAGGGCAGCACCAGGCAGGAACTCTGGGATCTTTTCCCCCTCAACACTGGCCACTCAAGCACGCCCTTCATCCCTGTGCTGAAGCCCCCTGCTGCTTCCTGGTTGGGCATGGGGACTGGATCCTGCAGGCAATGGGGAAGCATTTCTAAAGGGTGTGAACTGAGTAGGGTGACCTCTGAAGATGGGTAGCTGGTGTATCTGGAACCATCTATCTCCCCTTCCTCCACACTTTTTGATACTGTCTTTCCCACAAACCTCTTTTATGTTATGTAAATGGTTTGCCCTGCAGCCTGTATTGGGTAGAAAACAAGGCCCTTGCCATCAGGTTTCATCATCAGACTTATCCAGTACGTTAGTCACCTTAATGGTGTGGACAAGTTTGGAACCAGCACTGGGGGAAAAAAATTTCATATAATGCCATCCATTTAGACATATGACCCCAGAGCAAGGTAGAGCATCCCCCATCAAATCTAGTACAGGATAGATTCATCTTATAAATGCACAGAGCTGCATGCACCAGCAGCCCTGTGGTCCTAACACCTCAGGACCCACCTCAGTCCTGGGGGACCTTCCAGATTTGGGGCAACGTCAGCTATACAAGTCCTGTTTTTTGACGTGGCTTCCCATTCCAGTCTTTTTTATAGACTCTGTACTATATACTTTATTTTTTAACCAAATGATATAGTTTGGATATGTGTCCCCACACAAATCTCATGGTGAATTGGAATCTCCAGTATTGGAGGTGAGGCCTAGTAGGAGGTGATTGGATCATGGGGGTGGATTTCTCATGAATGGTTTAGTACCATCCTCTTGGCATTGTCCTCACAATTATGAGTGACTTCTCACAAGATCTGTCTGTTTAAAAGTGTATGTCACCTCGCTGTCTCTCTCTTGCTCCTGTTTGTGCCATGTGACATGCCTCCTTCCCCTTCATCTTCTGCCATGAATGGAAGCTTCCTGAAGTCTCCACAGAAGCCAGGTAGACATCAGCACCATGCTTCCTCTAAAGCCTACAGAACCATGAGTCAATTAACCTTGTTTTCTTTATAAATTACCCAGTCTCAAACATTCCTTTATGGCAATGCAAAAATGGCCTAATACACTGACAAATAGTACTGTTACATATTCATAGGATACACACAACAAAGAATGAAAGAGATTGACAAAGATCTACAGGATGTATAGGACACCATTAGGTGAACAAATATTAATATTATGAGAATTCCAGAAGAAAAGCAGAAGGGGAAAGATGAGGAAAATACATCTAGTGAAATATTATTGGAAGACTTCCCAAGTCTTAGGAGAGAGATACATCCAGGTCCAGGAAGTTCAAAGAACCCCAAACAGATTCGACTCAAACAGATCCTCTCCAAGGCACATTATTGTCAAAATGTCAATAGTAAAGACAAAGAAAGAATTCTAAAAGCAGCAAGAGAATAGTCAAGTCATATATAAGGAAATACCCAGTAGACTAACAGCAGATTTCTCAGCAGAAACCTTACAGGCCAGGAGAGAGTGGGATGATAAATTCAAAGTACTGAAAGAAAACCACTAACAGCCAAGAATATTATACCCAGCAAAGTTACTCTTTAGGAATGAAGGAGAAATAAAATCTTTCACAGACAAGCAAAAACTAGGAAATTTATCACAACTACACCTGACTTCCAAGAAATGCTCAGGGAAGTCTTGTATCTGGAAATGAACAGATAATAACCACCATGATGAAAAAATGCAAAACTATAAAACTCACTGGTATAACTTATACACAAAGGAGAAAGAGAAAGGAAAATCATTAGATAAAACAACCCAATCACAAATATAAACAATAAGAAGGGAAATAAGGAACAAAGTCCTTTGGTCTTTTTGTTTCAGGGGCACAGGAAGTCAAGGAGCCCTGGCACTCTAATTGAGCTGGTTTGCTGCTTCCTATAGCAAAGAGACAAGGGGAGACTGAGTCAGGGTCGGGGGTATGGAGCTGTGGGGGCTGAGTTTTCCTGAACTCAGCCCTGCCTGTTGAAGGCTAGAGTGCCCAATACAAGAGAGCCCACAGGGCTATGGTTAGGAAGGCCTGTCCTATTGCCTGTCCCTGACCTCAGCTGCACATCCCTGTGTTGCAGTTAGGCTTAGGGCTAGGAATGTTGGTCCACTGTTAGAGCCTGAGTTGCCTTTGCACATCCATGGGAAGCTTCCTCTCTCACCATCAATGGTCCAGGTGGGGCCCTTGGTGAGGTCACTTAGGCCTGTGTTCCCTGAGACTGGGATGAGCTCAGAAGGCCTTGAAATCTCTAGTCAACATCACAGTGAGGAATGAGCAGGACAGAGACCTTGCCTGGCCCCCTCCTCCATCCAGGAAGCCCTGCACAATGAACAGTGGCTCCTGGAGAGCTTGGAAGCCGATTTTTAACAGTCAACCCCACTCCATCTCAACCCTCTTTTTACTTTTTTTTTTCAAAAAGAAATATGTAGGGCTCTTTGTACATGTTGCCAGCAGGAGAAATGTTCATACTGAGAGGATTTGAAAGGGCACAGACCACTAGAGCACAGATAATGTATTCAAGTTTCTTAAGTTCTTAGAACATTGCTGGGGTCATCTCACTGTCCAGGCTCAATATTTCTTCATTCCTTTGAAGGCAATTCAGAAGATGGAATATTTCAACTCTGGATGTAAGCACCTGCTGTCCCCATGGTGGTCATGTAGGGGGAATACCAGAGTCCCTGGGTGATTTATACTCAGCACCTTCTTTCTCCTGGGCTGATAAATCTCAGCCTGGGGGCCACCATTTACATCGTGGGTATGAGCCAATGTGAGTAGGAGCGGGTGACTCAGAACAGGTGGCAGGTGTCACTCTGGAGCCTACTGGGGAAAGGTGTCCCAAGTGGCTCTCCCAGGGCCACCCCATCATCTAACCTGCCACAAGTGAGTTGGGCCGACCCATGGCCACTGCAGAAGTGATTGACCAGCAGATCGTATAAATCCCACCACACCAGAGGGGAGGGCTGAAGAGCTCCTCCGCTCCCCAAGAGTGGGCTGCTGGCTGGAGAAGCCTGTGGCCCTCAGAGCCTGACATTCTGCTGCCCCCAAAGCAGACAGACATTGTCCCCTGAGCCTGGGATCTGCTGCATCCTCACCCCCTGGCCGGGAGTCCAAGCCACCTCCCATCTCTGTAGATAACAACAATTGCAGACAGCCTGGACCATGTGTTTGCAGTGGAGAATGGCTTCAAGGCCCTGAGAAGCACCATTGATGCCATGAGTGGGCTGATGTGAGGGGCTGAGGCGCCTGGCTCCTATGGCCAGAGGCTCACTCTCCCTGCCCTGCTCCACCCCTCCTGTGTTCCAGCTCACATCAAAGGCCTGCACTGCAGTTAGGTCTGCGGAGCCCCCACTGTGTGTGCAGGAGGTAAGAGCTGAGGAGGCCCTGCTGAGGGCAGAAATGTCTGTGCCTACGTCTGGGGGTGAGGAAAAGGCTGTGGTTTGTGTGTGTTGCCTGTGTATGTGGTTATGTGTGTTTGTGGTGTGTGGGTGTGTGTGTACTACATGTGTGTGGTATGTGATGGGCATATGTGTGTGCATTTTCTGTGTGGTGTGGCACATGTGTAAGTAGTGTGTGTTTGTGGTGTGTAGTATGTGTGTGTTGTGATGGTGTGCATGTGCTGCGTATGATGTGTGTGTGTGGTGTGTGTGGTATGTGACATGTATGTAGTATGGGTAGCTGTCTGTATGTGTGTATAGGGGTGTGCAGTGTGTGAATTTGGTGTATTTGTTGTGTGGTGTGTGTGAGGGTTCAATGTGTGTGTGTTTTGTGTCTAGTGTGTGTTTTTCTGTGGTGTGTGGTGCATTGTGTGTGCTATTTTTGTGTAATGTGTTGTGTGTTTGTGGTCATGTGTGTGTTGGGGGTATGTGATAGGTGGTATGTGTGTAGTATGTATACATGGTTTGTAGTGTGTATGGTGGCTGTGTGCGTGTAGAGGGTCATGTGTGATGTGTGGGTGTTTTGTGTGTGGTATGTGTGTGGCATTGCATGTGTGTGTGTGTAGTGGGTGCGTGTGATAGGTAATGTGCATGTGGTATGTGTGCATAGTGTGTGGTGAGTGTGGTGCTTGTGTACATGTATAGGGCTATGTGTGATGTGTGTGTATTTGCTGTGTATGTGATATGTGGTATGTGTGGCAGTGTCACTGTGTATGTGTATCTTGTGGTGTGTTGTGTGTGGTGTATGGTATGTTCTGTGTGTATCAAGTATGTGTGTCTATGGTGTGTGAGTATGTGTATGTGCTGGGTGTGTAGTGTGTGTGGGGTGTGTGTGTGTGTGATGTGTGTGTGCTGTGTATGGTGTTGGGTGCATGCTGGGTGTGTGTGTTGTGTGGCAGAGAGGGGAATGTGTGCCCTTTGTGTGGTGCGTGTATGATGTGTGATGTGTGTGGTGTGTGTATGGGATGTGTGGTGTGTCTTTGGTATTTTTGGTGTATGTGTGTTTGCTATTTATGTGTGTGTGTGCTTTGGGTATGTGTGTGTGGTGTGATGTGTGTGGTATGGGGTGGGTTGAGTGTGTTTGTGGTGCAATCTGCATGGGTGGGGGGGTGTGGATGTGTGGCCCACATGAGTGTGAATGTGAGTGTCTATTGCTGTGGGGGGAATATGCAGCGGTGGTGGTGTGAGTACCTGTGTACAATTCTTGTGTTGTTACCTCACAACAATAAGTTTAACCCTAAAGCAAGAAAAGACATGTGTGAGAAGCTCTCAGGGAAACACCAGCAAATGGCATGGAGCAGCAGCTAACCCAGACCACAGGCCAGGAGCAGCCAGGCCTCCTCTCAGGAAGGCCAGGCAGGTGCAGGAGCTGAAATATCTGTGTAATTTACCACATCAACAAAACGAGAAACAGGAACCAGGCGGTTATCTCAGGGGATGAAGAACAAGAAGTGGGGGCGTCAGCATCCTGTGAGCAGAAGGAAACCTCCATAGCCCAACAAAGGCGTCCACACAAACACCCTCAGCTCACCTTGGCCCCACAGGATAAATCACAGCATCTGTCTCTGCTGTCTGGGACATGGTGAGGATGCCCTCTTACCATCCAGGGTCCTGGCATGGGTGGTGACAGCCCTGTGTGGTCCTCTGTGATGACCTCATCTGTCCTGACCTCTGCCTGTGTGTGCTGGGGCTCTGCTTGACCAGCATTTACACAGCTGCAGCTGCTGGAGAGGAAGGGAGCCCTGGGCATCCTCCCTCCATGGGGACAGCATAAGGCTGGGTGCCACTGGCCCCAGACCAGCAGCTGGGCTCTAGCCTCCCTGTTTCTCACTGCAGGGTGCCCTGGCAGTAGGCTGTGGGGACAGACACACCATACATGTCTGAGCTCTGCTCCCCATGGGCACACTACCAGGAGCAAATTGTCCAATGTCAGCAAGCTCCAGCAGTGCCTCCCATGAACAGAAAGGACGCTGTTAGGCCTGTCTTGAGTCCCAGGGCACTGAGCTCTGCGGGGACTGGCACAGGGCTGGGAGCTGGTAGGTCCCAGAAACAGGAGCTGCGCTGACACTTCCATGATTGGTCCTGGGCTCTGTCCTCGACCCTGCCTCTCCCCGATGCAGAGCTGAGGATGGGGGTGGAGTAGAGAGTTCCCCTCCCCGTCGGGGTCTCTTTCTGTTGCTCCTGATTTAAAGCTGCTCAGTCGTGCAGCCAGTGTGACAGCTGCGCTCCTCTGATGATGTCCCCTGGACATGCACAGGCTGTGGCGTCTGAGCAGCCCTGGCAACCCCAGGTGAGGATGTGAGTCGTCACTCCTCCCTGGAGGCAGCTGAGTCAAGGTGACAGGTGCCCTCTGCCCACCAGCTCGGCCCTCTGCCTCTGCTCACGTGGCCCGGCAGTCACAGCACTGACCTGTCAGTTGGCCGACTTGTGCAAAGCTGCCCCACATGGAGGGTGACAGTCACAGCAGGGAAAGGCCAAGGCAGAAGCTTGAACCCCAGATGCAACAGAATGAGCCCTCTCAGCAGGCTGCCACCAAGAAGCCAGGAGGGTTCTAGGGAGCCCAGGAAGGAGGCCAGGGACAGAGGCAGAATGTAACTTGGAACCACCCGTTCCATGAAGGTCCAGAGCAGCCCCTAGCCCTGCTCAGGGTAGCCGAGTTGGGCTGGCCAAGGTGTGCACCACCCAGGCTCAGATGTACCTTCCAGTGTCCAGCTGGCAAAGGCCCTTTAGAAACCTGAGCAGGGAGATGTTGAGAGTGCAGCCTGGGAGCATCACATTTGGAAGCAGCTGCTGTTGGCCTCAGCTGTGGGAGAGGACCCAATGCTTGCACTGAGGGGACCCAGGCCTGGGAGCTCAGCACAGGGCACCAAGCTGGCCTTTCCTGCTCTCTCTCTCACAGTCTCAGTGCCCCCACAAGTTTCTTCCTAAGGAAGCATCATGGCCATTGGATGGGTGACCTCAGAGGCCAAACAGGAGATACCATGAGGAGGAGCAGGCCAGGACAAGCCAGCTGAAGTCGGCAGTTGGAAGGCCTTGGAATGAAGGTGGGCCCTGCAGCTCCCCATGTGAGGAGGGTGAAGCCCCAGGCCCCAGCCAGGGGCCGACATGGAGGGACACCCACTATTCCTGCCATTCCCATTTTACAAAAAATCTAGAAATTTGCATTTTTAGAAAGAATGTTCAGGTTTGAGACAGGGTCTCACTCTGTTGCCCAGGCCAGCATGCAGTGGCACGATCATGGCTCACTGCAGCTAAATTTTAAAAATTTTCGTAGAGACAGGGCCTCATTATGTTGCCCAGGCTGGTTTTGAACTCCTGGGCTAAAGCGATCTCCCCACCTCAGCCTCCCAATGTTCTGGGATTACAGGCATGAGCCACTGTGCCTGTCAAAGTTGGGCTTTTAACTGTGGGCTCCCGTTTTTGAAAATCCTTGAAAGCCTCAGAAAGCATGTCGGCAGGCCAGCTTCACCCACAGCCCGCCTTGAAGGTGTGACACTGCAGAAAGACAAGAAGCAGGGTTCAGAGAAAGCTTTCCTTGGGTGCATAGACCAGGGGCACCCCAGGCGTCAGCAGGGATTGGAATGCACAGGGCCAGGGCCAGGAGGCGGGGTGGAGGCCAATGCCCTTGGCAGCTGCAGACCTGTGGGAACCCCAGCTGGCTCCTGGGGCCAGCCCCACCTGCCCTGTGTCCCCTGTGGTGTTTGTCTCAGGGCAGGAGCCACAGTGGTGGAAGGACACACTCCCTGAGCCTCAGAGTGGGTGCCCGGTGGTCCTTGTTGGATCAGGAAGAGCAGGAGATGGGGAATCACCTGTAGGTCTCTGGAATCGCAGCTAAAACAGGGCTTCTGTGATGGATTGCCCTGAGCAGGGTCCTAAGTGGCTCGCCTGCCGCACCCGTGTCCTGGCCCTGCCGCTGTGGGTGTCCTGCCTGCCACAGGCACACAGAAGGACAGGGAGGAGAGACCCCGAGTGTTCAGCAGCCCTGAAGAAGGCATCGAGGCCTGGGTGCTCAGCTGAGGCATGAGACATGGTATCTTCAGGCAGCCTTGTGGCTCCACTTACACCTGACATCAGGGAGGGCCTGGCTGAGTGCACAGCCTGTACCCCTGGGGCCTGAGAGAGCACCACAGATTTCAGGGCGGGAACATCACGCTAAGCCCACCCTGTGCAGGGGCCAAGTGAGACCTTTCCTGGGCTCCTTGCTTCAGGCATGGTGGGGAGAGGGCCCTTGAGTACTCAAGGTCCAGCCGCCTCCTCTTGGACCCTCAGTGACACCAGGTGAAGATTTGGCCCAGCGGACACACAGACATTGGTTGAGACACAGCCGCTTCCTCACAGCAGCCTCTGGGAATTCAGTTTGGGGGAGGACCCCCAGGAACAGGGAGGTTGGAGGGGAGGCAGCCACCCATTCTTCCTCACTCAGCCTTTGAAGGGCCCTGCCCCCACTGCCTCTCTGCATCTCCCACCACAGTCCTCCCCCATAGACTTGCTTTCTTCCCCCTCATGCCCACTTCAGTCTCTCTCTCCCAAACCCACAGCACAGGAGGCACACACCCAAGCCTCCCGTCTCCCACAGAGGGGAAGCCTCCTCCCTGCTCCCCGTCAAAGCTGCAAGAGGGGCCCAGGCCCCCTCCCGTCCTCAGTGTCCTCACCTCTCCTCTGTGCTTCGTTCCCTCTGGGCTCAGTTCCAGGCATCTGCATTGGAAGTGTCCTCACCTCCCCGCCTATCAGCTCTGCAGTGCCCTAGGGCTGTGCCACCTCCAGCACCATGGACACTTGTTCCTCCTGCCTCCCTCCAGCTTCCCAGCCTGGCCTGGAACTCAGGACTCCACCCAGTGGCTCCCCTGTCTGGGCCCACCAACTTCCCTGCGCTAAAGCCTCAGCACTCCCCGTGGCTTTGACCCTGTCTCCCTCCCCCACCGGCCAGGGCGGAGAGGGACACACAGAGAGCAGCTGCCAGCATAGGCAGGTGTTCACAGGATACACACACTTGCCCCGCCAGCCCCTGCACCCAAGGAATCCTCACAGCCACCTCCCAGGGAAGGAGGCAGGGCAGAGGGAGGGCAGGGGAGGGAGAAGATCAGGGAGGCCGAGAACTTTCGGAGCACAAGGACCTGCAGTAGCAGTGCAGCCAGGGGCCGGAGCGTTCAGGGAAACAGTCATTGAGATCAGGATGGGCACTGAGTGGTGTCCTGACCAGCCTGCCATGTGTGCTGTCAGGCTCCCAACCAAGGTCTCAGGGAGCCCCTCAGCTCCCTGGAGCTCCCTCTGGCCCAGCCCCTCAGGCCTCCCTTGGGGGCTCAAAGCAGCACTCCCCTGCCTAGTGTGAGTGTGAGCTGCAGGACGATGCTGTCCTCCATGCAGTAGGTGATGAAGGACAGCCGTGTTCTCGGGCTGGAGAGGAAGCACGTGGCCCTGAGAAGCCAGAGAAACAGCCAGGGCGGGTGACACCCATTCCCCACCTCCCACCTCAACTCTTCTGCTTTGGGGCCCCTTGCTAGATATAGGGAGGTGAGATAAATGTAGTAAAGCACTCTGAGGCCTGTGGAGAAGAGGGGCCCACAAAGGAGAGTCAGGATGGCAACTCGCTGCATCCCCACAATCCCAGCACCCCCAAAGACACTTGCACTCACCACACACACATGCACACACACACCACACACATGCACCACCACACACACACACACACAATCACACAGACACACATATGCACATCACACAGACACACATATGCACATATGCACACACACACCACATGCACACACAAGCACACACATGCACACACACCACATACACCCCGCACACACACATATGCACACACATGTGCACTCACACACTCCATGCTGAGCATGCAGGAAGACAGACACACAGCTCTCACAGCTGGTCTCCCTCTACTGGAAAATTCTTTGCCTCTTCACCCCATTCCCCTCTCCTCTCCCTCATCCCTCCTCCACCTCAGAAACCCAGCAAACAAGGCAGAGCAGAGGGAACACAATTCAGGCCAGACCCACAGCTTCCCCACACCATCTTCCCATCACCTGCATTTACTGAGGTCAGACCACAAAAGCCCTCTGGGGCCACCATGCAGCTAGAGGGTCCAGTGAGCTGCTGGGGTCCTGAGTAGTTTGAGGAGAGTCCCCTAGAGTCCCGTAAGCAGCAACTTCTGGTGCAAGGGCAGCCTGGGGCAGGCCGATGTGTGGGGCAGCCTGCCAGCACCTGCCACCCAGTGCTGGAGGCCGGGAGCACTGGAGAATGGAAGGACAGCACGGCTCAGCCAGGACCCAGGGGCCCATCCAGTCCTGACCCTGTGCACAGGCTGGAATGCTCTGTGCCTTCCCTCCTAGCGTGTAAGCATGGTTAGGTCCTGGGGGTTTGGATGTGCTCAGCATCCTGCTTGGCACATGGCAAGTGCTGAATTCATGTTATTTCACATTCTCCACCTGTGCCCAGAGACCTTCCCCATCCTTCCCAGGCTTGAGCTTTGCCCCCACTGGGGTCCCCAGCAGAACCCTAGGAGAGTGGGCAGGGGCATGTAGCAGGAGGCGGCTGAGAGGACCCTTTGGACACTCACTCCCACTCTCTGAAAGAACAGGCTCAACAAGGCTGCCAGCCCTCAGCGAAGCCCATCCATTGTCCAACCAGATGCCAAAGGGGGAAATCACCACCCTCTGGGTTGTGCTAAAGATCAAGGGGGAAAGACCTATCCAGCGCATCTCGGAAGTCCCTAGGCTGGGCAGGGAGGATGGACTCCCCTTCCCTTCCAGCAAGCAGGGAGCTCCTCTCATTGCTGGCTTTGCTTAGAAGTTGGTGGGCTGGGGTCTGCATTCCCTAAGCATCAGCATCCAGAGGGAATGAGAAAAATCAGAGGGAGTTCAATGGTTGCCTCCCCAACGGGGTGAGCTGAGGATGTTGGAGTGAGCTGAGGATGGTGGAGTGGGCTGAGGATGCTGGAGTGAGCTGAGGATGGTGGAGTGGGCTGAGGATGGTGGAGTGAGCTGAGGATGGTGGAGTGAGCGGAGGATGCTGGAGTGGGCTGAGGATAGTGGAGTGAGCTGAGGATGCTGGGGTGAGCGGAGGATGCTGGAGTGACCTGTCCTGCTAGACACTTCTCATGTGCTCCTTGTGCACAATATCCTGTTTCTGGTTTCTGTCTCGGTCAGCAGTGCTGCAGGGCAGATGCTGCTCAGGTCTGTCTTTGGAGTTATTCCACCTTTTGTCTTAAACTCTCTGTTGTGTTTCATTTCTCATTGATGAATTTTAGAACTTTGGTCCTTTTAAAACTGCATTTGTATTAATTAGCTGTTCTTGTCATATAATTTTATTCCTTTATCTTGTTTAAACATTTCACACTCCCTCATTTAAATATTCCTTTTAGATCACTCCATTCTCTTTACTTTCTGGGACTTGAATCTCCTTGTTTCTTGTATTTGCTGCCTCTCTTTGGGATACCTGGGAGTTTTTCCTCTGCGCTCCTCTTCAGTAGAAAATGACGTTCCATGAGAATCCTGGTTTCCCTGGATGAGGACGGTGTCTCCCGGGGAGAGTTTCCCGTTTGGCTTTGTTGGAGCCTGGCAGGTTCTCTCAGTTGCAGATGGGTATAATGTTAGCTCCTCAGCTCAGAGTTTCTGCACCAGCTCACCGCAGACTTGGGGCCCTGGTTTCCCACAGATGCCCAGGGCAGGGGGCCTTCCTCTGTGCTAGGTGCTGCTCCGTGGTATTTGTTCCATGACTCTGCAAGCATTGTTTTAAAAATCAGTTTGTAACATCGGCCTAGTAAACAAATGTAACACTTGTGTCTCCTGGAACAATGGACTGTCACCACCCCCTTCTCATCTTCATGCCAGTCCTCAGGGAGGCCCCTGCGCCACTGATGTCTGAGGCCACCAAGGCAGGAAGACCCTGGGGGGAGGGTAAATGGGAGATGCCTCTCAGCCCCTGTGCCTGCTGTCCCCTGGGCCCCAGGGTAGAGCTTCTGCAGACTTTGTTCCTTCCCATTTCTGAGACAGCCTGAGCTGGGGCCACCCTTCCCTTCATGGAGTCCCAGCTGTCAAACAAACACCTCCAGGGCCATCTGCTCTCTGAGCAAGAGTTTTCCTCCTGGGATGCCCCCACCCACCCACAGAAGCAGGGATATAGGGAAGAAAGGACCAGGATTTCTGGTTGCAATAATTGTATCCGTGAGTTTGAGACTCCCAGATTACCTTTGGACTCATGAGCTGAACTGCTGGGCATTCTGGCCTGGATGTCCCTGGAGCCCAGAACCTCCACAGGGATCATGAGCAGGGGGTCACTGCCCCAGAACAATGAGGGCACCCACATGGTCTACCCTGGCTCCTCACTCGTCAGAGGAAATGACGAGATTCCAAGGTCCCCTCCGGTATTGCAGGCTGGCCTGAGCCACAGGGTCCTGACCCAGCATGGCATCAGACGCCTGGAGCTCATCCTGCAGGAGCAGCCATAGAGGAGTCCCCGGGTGTGCTGGGCAGGGGGGACATATTGAATCTCATTCACTCTGGACAGCTGTGGTCTCTGCAGAAGCCAGGAGGCCTGTGGCCCCCAAACTACCCATAACGATGCAGTCCAGCTGGAACTGGGGCCTTTTGGCTTCAAAACATGTTGGAGTCTTTCCCCAGAGCCCCATTGTCTTTTAGAAATTACCACTTAGAGAGGGTAGTGCTGCTGATAAAGCTTGGCATGCACTGAATTGTGTCCTCCCCAAATTTATGTACTAAAGTCCTAACCCAGATTCCTCAGAATGCAGCTGTACTGTGTTTGGAGAGGATTTGTAAAGGTTAAATTAAACAAAGTCATTAGGGTGGGCCCTGATCCAGTACGACTGTTGTCCTTATAGGAACAGTTTAAGAAACAGACATGCACAGAGGGAAAAGCATGGGAGGACACAGGAGGAAGGCGGCCATCAGCAAAACCTGGCTCCATGAGATTCAGAGGAAAACAACCCTCCCCACACCTTGACCTTGGACTTGCAGCCTGCAGAATTCTGAGGAAAAAAAAAATGTCTGTTTTTTTGTCACTCAGTGCGTGGGACTTTGTTCTGGCTGCCTAGTGGACAAATACAATGGCTTTGCTGTTAACAGCCCAGACCCATGCTTCCTGCACATAAGGCATGGGACTCCCTCTGCCCAGGCCCAGCCCTGGTCTCTGAGCTGGCATGAGCTCACCAGGTAGGCTGCAGGCAGCAGGCAGGAGTGGGATCTGATGGAAGGGGCGGTGCCAAGGCAGTGAGGGTGGCAGAGGGATGCTTGCTTTCCCATGTGGCTCAGCTTCGTGGAAGCATCTGGAGCAGGAGTAAAGGAAGCAAGGTGACAGGGGCCACTCATGGGGAGACAGGTGAACAGGCTCCTCCACTTGCTGGAGACAACTTTGGGGACACCTGCTCTGCCCACAGCCACACCCTCAAACTTCTCCATACCCCGTGCTGGGTCCAGCAGCAGCCCTGATTGTATGGTATGACCTTGGTGGTCAGATCAGGCATAGACAGCTTGACCCAGACTATGGGATCAGAATCTCTCCCCAGCAAAGTGGCCATGGGGTCATCTGAACAGAGGATGAGCAACCGCAGACTGCAGGGCTACTAGCAGCCAAGTACACAGAGAGGCAGAGGTGGGGAGAAGACAGCAGAGCTGAGGCCGCATGGCCCAGGGAGCAGGGAAACCTGAAGGAGACCCCAAGCAGGGGTCCTGTGGGCTTTCCAATGTCTGGTCCTGCTGAGGCCTGGCTGCCCGGGTGATCATGAGCCAGCAACCTATAGTCACTACAGTCCTGTCCTTCTGGTCTCCTCTTGGGTCCTGCCTCTGCATAGCCTGTAGCCAGGCTCAGGCTGGGATCTCCCATATGGACTCTAAGGCAGGCTTTCCTATACTTTCCATGGAAATTCTCCAGCTGATAGAGGAAGTGAACACCCCAAGCTGGGGCCACATTCTCAAGTGGTCTGTGAAATTTTTGCAAGGTTTGTGGTTCATCTCAAAGATTCATAATTTCAAAATGGAATTCTTGATAGTTAGAGAGATTTTTCACATAACCCTGAAGGGCTCCTCCTTCTCCAGGGTTGGGTCAAAGTCTTGTGTCCAGAAGCCCCCTGGTCAGCAGTCCTCTTGGTTTCCCCAATCACCCACTGTCCAGCCTGCATGGGTCCTTCAGTCCAGGGCCATGGTGAGGCTGGGTCCCTGGGCCTGGCACCATCTAGACACCCCTTGGGGGTCCAGTGACGTGCAAGCTACATCTCTAACTCCCTGACCTCTGCCTTCTCTACCTCCCTGCCCACTCCCTCATTCAGAGACACTGAGCATCACCTCTCAGGAGTTTCCATCTTAACACAAGATGGAAGAGAGTTTCACTTCAGGCCACTGTTCCCACTGTGTCTTAGTCCATTTGGGCTGCTCTAAAGAAACTACTGCAAACTGTATAATTTTTAAACAACAGGAATTTATTTTAAACAGTTCTGGAGGCTGGGAAGTCCATATCAAGGCAGATTGAGTTTCTGGTGAGAGTCAGCTCTCTGGTTCATTGTTAGCATCTTTTGGCCAATAATGTCTTCTGTGTCCTCCCATGGTGGAAGGGCTGAGGCAGCCCTCTGGGACCTCTTTTATAAAGGCACTAATTCCATCCATGAGGCTCCACCCTGGTGACCTAATCACCTCCCCATACCTGCACTTTCTCATACCATCCCTTGGGGGTTAAGATTTCAATATATGAATCTTTAGGGGACACTAACTTTCAGGTCATAGCATTTGGACTTTCACCATTGCCCCACCCCCCAGCCCTGTACTTCTTGGGCCTTCGGCCTCAGACTGAGTCACACCATTGACATTCTTGTTTCTCTAGCTTGCAGATAGCAAACCGTGGGACTTCTCAGTCTCCATAACCACATGAGCCAATTCCTATAATAAATCTCCTCTTGCATATACCTGTATATAGCCTGTTGGTTCTATTTCTCTGGATAACCCTGGCTAAT
Organism: Homo sapiens; assembly: GCF_000001405.40. Lineage (NCBI taxonomy): Eukaryota > Metazoa > Chordata > Mammalia > Primates > Hominidae > Homo > Homo sapiens. The sequence goes on from NC_000010.11 coordinate 47,458,832, forward strand.
ACACACTGCAAGCACCTGTGCAATACCAAGGGCCTGGCCATCTGCTTGAAATGTAAAATAGAAAACCTACGTGCACACACACACACACACACACACAGAGAGAGAGAGAGAGAGAGAGAGAAAGAGAGAGAGAGAGAGAGAGGCCCTGCCCAGAGCCTTTAGACTTTTAAATTTTCAAATAATCGTAGATTGACAAGAATTTGTGAAGGGGTCCCAATATCCTTCACCCAGTTTCTCCACTGTTTACATTTTACATTCTACAGAACAATATCAAAACAAGGAAACTGACATTAGCACAATGTGTGTTCTTCTATTACATTGTATCACATGTGTAGATTCCTGTAACCACCAAGACACAAAACTATCCCATCATCCCAAGATCTCTCCTGCTACCTCTTTGTAGTCACACTTCCCCACCACCGCCTCTAACACCTGCCAACCACTAATCTGTTTTCACTGTTTATAATTTTGCCCCTGGAAGAATGTTATACAAGTGAAATCGTACAGTATGTGACTTTTTGAGATTGGTTTTTTTCACTTAGCCTAATGCTCTTGAGATCCATCCATTTAGTTATTTGCATGAATAATTTGTTTCTTTTTATTGCTGAATATTGGCATAGATGTGTCACTTAGTTTAAGCATTCACTTAGTGAGGGACATTTTGGTTCTTTTCTAGTTTCTGGCTATGATAGGAAGACACAGGAGAAAATCATCTGGACCTAGGAGTTGAGGATGAGTTCATAGGCATGGCACCCAAGTACGATTCATTAAAGAAAGAATTGATAAATTGGACTTCATCAAAATTAAAAACTTTGCCTCTGCAAAATATTCTGTTAAGATGATGAAAGGACAAGCTATGGAGGGGAGAAAATATTTGCAAACGCGTATCTGACAAAGGACTCACATTTACAATGCATAAAGAGCTCTCAAAACTCAACAGTAAAAAAAAAATCTAATAAGAAATTGGGCAATAGACATGAAGAGACATTTCATGGCCGAGTCAAATCAGCATGTGGAAATATATTTAACATCATTAGCCTTTGGGGAAATGCAAATTGAGATCATGAGAAATCACTGCACACTTATTTGAGCAGTTGAAATAAAAATATAATGATAAAACCAAATGCTAGCAAGGATGCAGAGAAACCAAATTTCTCATCCCTTGCTTGTGGGAATATAACATGATACACACAGCCACTCCCAAAAATAGATTGACAGTTTCTCAAAAAACATGCACTTACCATATTACTCAACAATCACATTCCTGGGCTTTTATCAGAGAAATTATAATTTAAGTTTGCACAAAAAGCTACACACAAATGCTCATAACTGCTCTATTCGTCATGTTTTTATTGGCAGGTAATTTACATACAAAGAAATTCAAAAATCTTAAATTTCACAATTCAATGTGTTTTGTCAAATGCCTGCACTCCTGTCCCTCCCCCACTGTAAGATTTACAACACTCTAGCACCCCCAAAAAGTTATTTCATGCCCCCTTCAGCTAACCTCTACCATGCCACTCCATCCATAAACCCCAAAGCAACTATTTAAAAAAAAAAAAAAAAAAGGCAAAAACCGCAATTACTTTTGCACCAACCTAATACTAGTCTGATTTTTAAATCACAGATTCATTTTCATATAAATGGAATCATACAATGTTTATTCTTTCATACCTGACTTCTTTCATTCAGGAACACGATTCAGAGCTTCTGCTGTGCAGTAGGGGGCATCAATAGTTCATTTTCTTTTTATTGTCTGCTACCATTCCATTGTATGGATTCAACCTAGTCTGTTTATTCATTCTCCTGTGAATGAATATTTGGGTTATTTCTAGTTTTTGTCTTTTATGAATAAAGCTTCTATTTTCATCTTTTCAGAAGTCTATTTGTTAGATATGAGTTTTCACCTCTTTATCCTTGGATAAAAACCTAAGGATGGACTCGCTGGATAATATAATAGGGTATTTGTTTAAATTTACAAGAAACAACCAAACAATTTTCAAAAGTGTTTGCGTTCTTTTCCTTACTCACTAGAAATACATGAGGTGGGCTTGTTTGAAGTTTGTGGATGTGTATGCGCTTCTCATGTGTGTACTGGCATTTGTCTATGTTCCTTTGTGAATAGTTTACCCAAGCCTTTTGCTCATTTTAAAAAACTGAACTTTTTGTTGAGTTATAGGAATTCTTAAATACTCCAGAATCAGGAATCAAGTCACTTTTTTATGTTTTATGCATATTTTCTCCTAGTCTTTTACTTGTCTATTGACTTGTTTCTTACTGATGAAGTTTTTTTTTTCTCACGGCTTAAGTCCAAGGTGTGTCTTTTTCGTCCAGCCAGGTGGCCCCGGCAGGTCGCTCCTCAGGGACCCACATGGGCCAGGGCGGTGCAGCAGTGACCCACAGGGGCCAGTGCAGTTGAAGTGGCTTTGAAACCTGATTGGAGAAACAGACTGCTCAGCTATGAGAACACACAGCGCTCCAGAAAACTGGTGTTCAACACAACGCGTCACTCTGGCTTCCACTGCTGCTGCGGAGAGTCAGGTTCTCCGGCAAGGCCCCGCGCGCCCGCCCCCGCGCGCCCGCTTCTCTGTCCAGGGAACGCCTTTCTGCGGGCGGAGGCGGCTACGAGGGGGCGCTGCGAAAGCGGATTTCCAGGCACGCCTGGCGCCACTAAGCGGCGCTGAGACGGCGCTGCCTCCTGACTGCCGGTTGGAGGCTACAGGGGCTCTGGGGCAAGGGCGGCTTTTAGGAGTTTGCTGGTCACGAGGGGGGACGCGACCTCGTCCAAGATCTGTCTGCAAGGGACCCTTCCCAGCCGATGTGAACACAGCCCGGGGAAAGGGGCCGTCCGGGGAGCAAAGGCAGCCCGGGAAGAGGAGTAGGGGCTGAAACCAAAGGCAGCCTGGGTACCCAGGTTTTCCCAGGGGACAAGTCCCCCGGTTAGCTGGGCACAGGGAGGCATGGAGAGCGGCAGCAACTGCGTTGGGATGGGGCGGCTGCCCCAGGTTGGGGCGGTGACCCATGTTCCACCAGGCCAGGCGCAGGGCTGAGGTGGCCGACTCCTGTTTCACAAGTGAAGACCTGGTCACCCCAGCAGCAAGGCATTCCGGAGTGGGAGAATTCCTGAGTCCTGGGGAGGAAGCCGTGGTTACAGGGCTGTGGCCCTGAGCAGGAGCTGGCTGGCCCAGCAGGGTGGGCCGAGCACTTCAGTCAAGGCTGAGCGCCAGGCACCAGGGACTCAGGTCTGAGAGACCTGATGTACATCCTGCTCCAGAGCAGATCACAGAGATGCGCCCGCATGAATCCCCAGGCTAAGCCCAGAATTCCGTGGAAGATGCCCATGGGCCAGGAACACGGGTAGTCACCGCGCTAGGGCATCACACAGGGCCCCCCTTGGCCAAATACCACGAGGGAACTTGGACACCTGCATGGGGCCATGGAAGTGCCTGCAACCTCACACTCAGGCCTAGGGCTTACCGAAGTATTGCAGATATTTGTGTTCTCAGAGTAGGAGCTTAGGAATCAGTATCTTCTCTTCACTACAGGGACAGAGATGCAGTGGCCTAGGACACATCACAAATATTTAAAACGATGTCCTTGGTCAAGGACAGAGGTAGCCAAGGCCAGCCTTCTCCCAGGAAACTAACCCAGGACCCCAAAGCACAGAGCTGTTAGGTGGGAGGGAATTGGTCTGTATGTCTCCCTATACTGTTGCAACACTTCGGCGCTGGGCTCCCTGTCCCAGACTCACCTTCCATACTCAAGCCAGAGGCTTACGAAAGCCGGGTTAAGATCCTCCCCTGCCTGTCCCTGTAAAGCTTCCCCACTGTCTCTGGAAATCGTTTGAGCTTCTTAGCCCCACAGCATGAGCCCGCTCTGACTCAGGCCCTGACAAGCTCTTTCTCTTCTGTCTCTCCCTCCTCTGTTGATATGGACACACCATTCCTTTGGCATGTCTAGTACAGACCAGATCCCCTGCTGTTGTTAGCATTCCTCCCTCTCCCTGGAATGTTCTTCCTTATCTGTCTACCTGATAAGCACTGAGTCATCCTGCAAAACTCTGCACAGCTTTCACCTTCCCTGAGGAGCCTCCCCTGGCCAGCCCCACCCTGTTGCAGGCAGAATGCTTGGCGGTGGGTTGCTGACCAACGATGTGGGTTGCTGACCACAAATCCATTCCCCCTTTATTCCTTGCCAAGGGAATGCTGATTTTGCTCAGGTTGTCAACCCTCAGGGAGGTGACCCTAAACATGCCAAGTCCAACACACTAGCTCTACCCCCTGAGAGCATGAGAACAACACGGATGGGCGTGTGCCCGGATCTGGCCTTGCCCTCATGGACTGCAGGTCAGGGGTGGGAAGCTCTTATAGAGCAGCCCCAGGAGCCCTAGGGGCCATCCTGCTGGCCATGCCATGGCAGTGTCAGAACCCCAAACAGCACCTGGGGTGAAGGAGCTACTGAAAGAGTGGAGAGACTCCACTTTGTCCTGTTAGATCTGTCTCAGAAGTATTTTTATTAGGATTGACTGGGGAAGCTTTCTTCCACAGGGAGCCTAAGGGGGCCCAGAGAGTCTTCTCAGAATTGGAGGCCATCAAGGATTGGCTCAGGCTTGCTGGCTACTAGGCTCTCCTGTTCCCAAAGTCCATACTCTTGTTTGTTGTTATTCAAAAATATTTGTTGAAAGCCTGCTATCTACTAGGCCCTGAATGTTTAAAAACAAATAAAGTTCCTGCCTTCAAGGGGCTCACAGCTTTTCTGAGAGGACACGTAAACAGATAAAATGTCATTAGGGTGTAGTTCTGTGTAATAGAGAGTGTTCTTAGGTGCTGACAAGAGCATCTACTCTGTAGTTTAAGCAGAAAACAAATGTATGAAAGGCTATTGGACGGCTCACAGAATTCTGTGTGGCACGAACACTGTGTCTCAAATCATGCTGCAGGACAAACTTGGGGCTCAGTATGCTGGACCATGTTGTGCCTTCTCTCCCAGCCAGTGCTGCAATGGAAGAAAAGGAATTCAGCTCCTAGGAAATGCAAAACATTGATCTGAGGATAGAGAGGGAGTATATGTAGATATCATCTCTTGGAGGGAATTAAAAAGCAACGATGATAGAGCTATGGCAAGGCTACAGGTAGGGAATACCTATGGCAAAGAAAAACCAGAGCTAGACGATAAAGTAGTAAAACCAGATTTTATTCAGGACTATTGCAATAAGCGAAAAGAGACCTCAATATACAGTCAGGCTGATTCTAAAAACAGCATGAGAAGTTGAGACTTGGAGCCATGGAGCAGGTAGGAGTTGAAAGATGGAAAATTACCAAGAGGAAATGCCAGGGGTGAGGGTGATGCTGGCTAAACTGACCTAACAGGAGACCTGCTGAAGAAAGGCCAGGGTGACCAGACATCACCTGGGAAGGTGGAGGATGAGGACCCTGATCGGATATTGGGAGTGGTCAGATAGGAACAAGGGGAGTTCTTGCTGAATTGACTTAGTGGGATTCTTGCTCAAATTGGATTTTACAAGAAAGTACACAGATGAGCCTAGAAGGTTCAGGAGCCTGACTCAAGTTTGCTCAAGTAAAGAAACTTTGTCACTATTCCCTTATTTTTCCCCTATGCTGAAATTAAACTAGGCAGACTCCAAATTATCTTTAAAAACATAGGTGTATTTTTAACAAATTCCAAAGAGCAATTGCAAAAGCACCTGTGGAGCGTGTCTGCTTTACCAGAAGTGCCCAAAAGGTTACTCCAGCAAAAATGATTAGCAGGTGCTGTGGATGCTGCTGGTGTCCTGGCCAGGGCCCCTTTGCTTCCTTCCCCAGGTGCCATGGGGGTCACCTGGAGGGAGTCAGCACATGGGGCCGTGACCCCTTACACCCATGCTGCTCCAGCTCTGACCCCAGGCAGAGAGAGCTTCCCCTCTAATCTGAGGAGACCTCTTGCTTCCAGGCCTGTCCCACATTTCTCTGCTGGCAGGGAGGCAGTGGGGGTGATGTCCATTCTGCCCCATCAGGGGAGATGATCAACTTCATGACTCTGCTTAAGCAGATCCCCTTGCTGGGCATGTACTTGGACTTGACCAAATTTCCTTGGCTGCAGCTCTTCTCAAGGCTCCTGTTTGGCCACATGAGGCCTGTTTTGGGGTGGGCTGCAAAAGAACCCATCGAACCAGTGGTCAGGGGAGCTTGCAGGGCAGAGAGATCCTCTAAGTCCTTCCTTCCTTCCTTTCTTTCTTTTTTCTTTTTCTTTTTTTTTTTTGACAGAGTCTCGCTCTATCACCCAGGCTGGAGTGCAGTGGCACTATCTCTGCTCACTGCAATCTCTGCCTCCCGGGTTCACGCCATTCTCCTGGCTCAGCCTCCTGAGTAAGCTGGGACTGCAGGGGCCCGCCACCATGCCCAGCTAATTTTTTTGTATTTTTTAGTAGAGACAGGGTTTCACCGTGTTAGCCAGGATGGCCTCGATCTCCTGACCTCGTGATCTGCCCACCTCGTTCTCCCAAAGTGCTGGGATTACAGACTGAGCCACCACGCCTGGCCCCTCTAAATCCTTTCTAAAGAGTTTTGGCAGAAAGCAGCTAGGCAATGGCTCAGAACTGAAAGCAAGTCTGCACACAGAGCAGGACTTGAACTGAAAGAAAGGAATAAGAATTCTCACCCAGGGCTGGGATCCAAGAGACGCACACTGATACAACTACTAAAAGGTTGTTAAACTCCCGAAGGGCCCCTGCCTTGCTGTGTTACAGTCTGATTGTGTATTGTTGAAGCCCTTACCCCCAGTTTGCTGGTGTTTGGAGATGAGCCTTTGGAAGCTAATTAGGGTTAGATGAGGTTATGAGGGCGGGGCCCTCATGATGGTATAGTGATCTTATGAAAAGAGCAGGAGAGAGAGAGAGAGCTCTTCCCCCCGTGAACACGTGTAAGCACAGAGGAAAGGTCATGGGAGGACGTGTCAAAAAGGCAGCCGTCCGCAAGCCAGGAAGAGGCCCTCCCCAGGAACTGAATTGATCTTAGACTTCCCAGCCTCCAGAACTGTGCAAAATAAGTGTCTGTTATTTAAGCCACCTATTTATGGTATTTTGTATGTCAGTCTGAAAAGACTAAGACATGTTGGTGAATAGCTGCTGCACCCCCAACACCCAGGAGCCTCCCCTGGGGCCCCACAGACACCCTGCCATCCAGCACTAAGGGTTGAGGCCTGGCCCTGCAGGGGCCGCTACTCGAGCTCTGCTCCACCCCTGCAGACAGCAGCCATTCAGGTGAGTGGGTTGTGCTGCACCAGTTGTTAAATATTCTGAGCACCACTTGTGGTGGATTTAAAAACAGTCCCCAGATTCGTTGACACTCTTCTCATTGACAGATTGGGTCTGTGTCCCCTTTCCTTGAAGCTGGGGTGGCTTGTGGTGTCTTCAACTGATAGGGCACCGGGGAAGTGATGCCATGTGACTCCTGACGCTAACTCACAGAAGGCAATGTGGTGTCCTTCTTGTCCACTGGGAGACGGTGGAGCCCTACCACTTGCTACCCTGAGGCCACCATGCTGGAGAAGCTACGTGTAGGAGTGCAGGGGACAGTCCCAGTTGAGCCTGGCCTTCCAGCCATCTCACCAGGGGCCCAACATGTGAGTGAAGAGGCATCCAGATGGTTGCACCCCTCTGCCCTAGAGTCACCCAACCTTCAGGTCTTCCCAACTGAGACTGAGTCCCCTTACTTGTTGGGTCAGAGACAAGCACCTTGCTGTGCCCTCCAGAACTGCTGACCCACAGAATCTGTGAACATTATACATGAGGATTTTATGCTACTGGCTCTGGGGTGGTTCGAAAGGCAGCAGTTGTAACTGGGAGCCCACCCTGTATAGAAATGTGAGGAAACTGAGGCTCAGAGAGTAAGTGACTCAGTCACTGATATAGTTTGGATATCCCCTCCAAATTTCATGTTGAAATGTGATCCCCAGTGTTGGAGGTGGGGCCTGGTGGGAGGTGTTTAGGTCAGGGGGCGGATCCCTCATCGCCTGATGCTGTCCTCACCATCTTGAGCTCTAACAGGATCTGGCTGTTTAAAAGTGTGTGGCACCTCCCCCCACCTCTCTTGCTCCCACTCTCGCTACGTGATGTTGGCTCCCCCTTCACCTTCTGCCATGACTGTAAGGTCCCTCCAGAGGCCTCCCCAGAAGCTGAGCAGATGCCGGCACCATGCTTCCTATATAGCCTGCAGGACTGTGAGCCAATTAAACCCCCTTTTTAAATAAATTACCCAGACTCAGGTATTGCTTTATGGCAACACAAGAATAGCCTAACACAGTCAAAGTCATGGAGCTGGTGCAGGGCAGAGCCAGAATCTGCCTCCCGTCCAAGTGAATTCAGAGCCCACGCTATTCCCATCTCCCTGATCAGGCTGGTTCCTGGGCACACGCTTACCCCTCAGGGCCACTTGAGGGGAAGTTTGCAAACTGGAGCATGTTCAGGGGTGATGGCCCCAAACAGGCTCCAGGAGGGACCACTGAAGGGACTGGGGACACTGGGCTTTGACAGAGGTCATCGCAGAATTTGTGGGCCTTCTTCAGATATCCAAAATGTTGTTACTGGGAGGGAATAAGTGTTGTGGCCCTAGATGGCAGAGGTGTGGGCTTGATGCGGCTGATTTTGGTTCAGGTAAAGCAAGAACTTTGCTGGTCACATCCATTGGAAAAAGATTGGGCTGTCAAAGGACGCAGTGAGTCCCATCTTTGGAGGCAGCCAAGTGCACCCGGAGTACTCAACTGCACCCTGAGTATCGCCAGTACACCCTGAGTACCCAAGTGCACCCCAAGCACACCAAGGACCACCCCTGGGTGGATGCCAAGGGGGTAGTCAGGCCACAGGTTGGAACAGCACCAGCTGACTTTAAATCCCTCTCTAACCCTGAGATACAAGGATGTAGCCTACACATCAGGAGGTGAATAGAATCTACCCTCATTTGCAAGAGTTGTCCCCAGGGCAGCGGTGGCTGCAGCCCATCCAGTGTTCCCACTGGGAGATGCCCATGAGGTGCTCAGGTACAGCCCATCCAGTGTTCCCACTGGGAGATGCCCACGAGGCGCTCAGGCTTCGTGGCTCCCCAAAGCTCTGTTTCTGACAAATTAAATTGGTCCTACACTGGTCCCTGCTAAACATCCAAAGATACTTTGAGTTGAATACAAATCTTTATTATTTTGAAAACCACAGCAAAGGCACTTCAGAATCTCCAGGTACCCAGTCTCAGTTGCCGTTCAGTGGGGACAAGAGTGGTGCTGAGGGCATGGTCACACCCTTCTGTGCTGCATGCAGAGGGGTGCAAGGCCAGGGCAGCTGACCTGGTCAGCCACCAGGGGAGCCCACGCCTCTTATAACACAGTGTCCTTGGGTCAGGAATTTGTAGTTTATTTTGTTATTAAGATGGCGAGAGAATTTTTCGTCCATTTAGAGCCTAACATTTTTAGATGAATGTTAATGGCATCTCGGTTGGGATGGATTCGTGTTCGTTTCTCAGCTGCTGAAGGATGTGTGTTCTAAAACAAAAGGGCTCCCAGCCAGCTCTCCGGCTGCATGATAGAGAAGTGTTTTGTAAGACGCTTGTTAAAAACCCATATTCCCTGGCCCCTCTTGTGGAGACCCTGTTTCAGTAGATGGGAATGGGGCTGGGGTCTGTATAACCTGTGCCCAGGAGACTCTGTGACCAGCTTGGGAAGCTCCTGCAGGGAGGAAGGAATGATCCACAAGTCCCCAAGCCCTTCATGCTGAGGCATCTGTCTGGCTGGAGAAACACTAAGGTTGGCATTGTGCTCACACTGGGAAATGACCTGGAGGAAGTTGGGAAGAGGAGTCCAGGCCGGTTCCACCCTCTGGGTCAGAAACCCGGCTGGAAAGCACTGGAAATAGGGAAATAGAAGACCGAAAGGCTGGGACCCCCCTCACACCCAACCTGCGTCCATGGCCGAGGTTGAGTGAGGAGTCCTGGAGACTCTGGCTTCATGGTCTTTGCTCTTGTTCTTCTGTGCCTCAGGGGTCGCTGCCCACCAGGCTCAGCAGGGCGTTCTTGTAGTCACCGCTGGTGTCTTCCTGTGGGCAGGAGGCGCATAAGCGTGAGAAGGGGTTTGCTTGTGCCTGGCTCGGCAGTGGCGGCTGTGTTATTATGACTAAGAGGTGTGCCCCTGGCCTGCACCTGGCCCGGCCCTCCAGGGTTCCTAGCCGCAGGGGTTGTGCCATCACCCCTCTTTCCTTGTTTTTAATTTCAGGCTATTCCTTTACATTTCCTTTTGATTCTCTTACCAACTACATGCAGGATTGATGTGGAAAATGAATCAGAGACAGTTCCACTCCTAAACAAGGAAGGGGTCAGCTGTCCCAGGGTTCTTCTATTCGGGAGCCAGGGTGCCCAGCCATTCATTTACACAACAGGATGCATCATTATTCAACACCTGCTGTGGCAGCTTGGGAATCAAGGCTGAGAGTGAGGCATCAGCACACACCTGGGGGCAGGGCCGGGGGTGGAGGGAGCCTGGACCATCGCACCCTGACGGTGTGGCCGAGGCAAGCCCCTTCACCTCTGTGGGACTCATCTATGAAATGAGATCAATGCTGTGCTGCTGTGCATCTTGCTGAGACGTGGTGAGGGTACAGCAGGAGGAAGGCGAGCTGGTCTGCCCTGCATCTGGCTCACATCGGGTCCACAGTGTTTGTCTCCTGATGAGACTGACCTTGTGGTCCGATGACTGAGGAGCCCTGTTTCTTAGATAGTGGTAGGTCCTGATGGGACTGGCTAGTCCGGGGTCTGCATACAGAGCTGGGAAATGGGCCAGGTCAGATCACCCAGATTCTTCTTCATGCAGTTGAGGACAGCGGGGCCAAGAGAGGGGAGTGAATTCATTCACAACGGCATGGTGAGTAAGGGGTAGACTGGGGCTAGACCCACTTTCCACACTCTGGACCAGTTTAGGTCTCATGGTTATTGTCTACTTTTCACCATTTAGTAAAATTTGCCTGTTTTGAGCCTGAAATCTCATTACGGGTTTCAAACTACAATGAAATTTTTTTTAACTTTTTCCTTTCTAGACACGATCTCACTCTGTCACCCAGGCTGGAGTGCAGTGATGCAGTCCTAGCTCACGGCAGCCTTGGACTCCTGGGCTCAAGCGATCCTCCCGCGTTGGCCTCCCAAAGCACTGGGATTACGGGTGTGGGCCACTACGCCTGGTGATTTTTATTATTTTGAGGACAATTTTTCGAATAGTTTTTAGAAAGAAAAGCATTAATTTTGTTTACTTTTTCAAATACATGAGTTATACTTGGAGTGTTTATACATTTGCCTCTTAATTTCAATGCAGGAGTTTTTAACTCATATTAGTGTTGAAAACCATTTTTGCTTTAATGACATCTGTGGTCTACACTAAAAAGAAACGTTTGGTCAATGTATTCATGATTCTAACTCAATTTTCTTAAGTAACAACATTAGATAAAATTTGAAGAGGGTGGCTTCATGTATCTGTAGAAATCTCTCTGATGCCGTAAGTTACCATGTGTGGTTAAAAGGGTTAATGACAATCAGCTCAGACTGTCTGCAGGTGACAGCACAGTCCAGGCTGGTGTGTGCCTTGCCCTCCTGTCTCCCGACAAGATTGGCTGGGGAGCCTCAAGTGAAACCAAGAATAATTCCAATCCTCTCTTGCCCCTGCCCACCTGTTTCAAGATGTTGCCATCTTGAAACATCTGGAAACAGAAATGTCTTTTCCACCTATTGTCAGCTATGTGTTTCTTGAAAAGTGCACTTAACAACGACATTTGCAGAAGAGCTAGAGACTTGACTTAGTAGCCAAAGAAAACTTGGGGATACATTTGTCCTAATGTGACTTCTGCTAATGAAATCATCAAGACCTCAATTTGCAGACACCCCCAGAAGAGCTGTTTCTCCCAATTATCGCAGCGTGATAATCAGTCTGTGTTTTGAAGGCTCCAGAACTTTTGCTAATTGGAATCTGGTTAGATAGTCTATTGGCGCTCATCTGACTTATCTCCTTAGAAGTTGGCCGCCAGGACTACTTAAATCTGGATTTGAGCGGTGGGCCCGATTCCTACCGGACTAGTTCATCTCATTGACTTTTCAGAGGTGGCTTCTTCTGCAAGGATTTGGTGTCTTTTCCAAGGAGCAACCATAACTTAAATGTGAAACCAACTTTCTGAGTGGGACACAGGGGAGCCTCTGTGCCCTGGTCTCTGCATCTCCCCTCTGCCCCCCATTCCCCTTGGGATCCAGCCACACTGACCTCTGCTGTTCCCTGCACACACCACATGGTCATGAATGCAAGCACATGGTGCCCACTGGGAAGGGAGGGGCTCACGTAGTGTTGGCCACAGCCTCCAGGTTTCCCTGAATGTCTGGGTTTCAGGCTGGCCTCAGCATTGGGAATGCCTGCTTACCATGATCATGCTGCTGAGGGTCTTGCCGTACATCTTCTTGAAGTGACATTTGATAAGATTTAAGTCAATCTCGCTCCTTGAAACGATGTTTCTTATCAGGGTCCCATCACGCGTCCCTGCTCCCTGGGCAAGACAGCAGCCATCAACAATCCTGCCTCACCTTTCCTGTCCATCTCTGAGTGATGGACGGATCTGTGTGGTTGGGTTCTGGGGCTTTTAGAGGGAGGGAGATGTGGGAAGGAGCCTGTGCTTCAGCCAGGGAAGCATTAGGAGGGAAGCTTTGGTGGCTTAGGGTGTCCACTCCCTTAATTCCTTCTCACCCACTGCCCAGAACTCTTCCTTTATGATGCCAAGTGCTCCAAACTGCAGTATGTTTGGTTTGCCACATCAGATTCTAGACACAAAATACTCACTGCTCCAGGAACAAGACTTCCTACTAGAGCAATGGCAGCAATCAGCTCAGCCAGGAATTTCACAGGCAGGGCCTTCCTGCTCACCTTCATCCCTGACCAGTCTCATGTCAGCTGGGGCCACATGGCCAAGGGAATCGCATGCCCTCTCTCATTTCCTGGGCAGAAGTGGCCAGAGGGCTTGGGTTTCGGGTGTGGAACTAACTTCAGGGGATATCAGCAACCATCAATCAGAGAAAACGGGCAATGGTTTTAGTTTCAGGGAATTATTCACCTCTGGAGATGCAGCGTCCCTTTCCCAGACTCAATTTCACCTCCGAGAACTAAAACCTTTCTGATCCACGACAGGTTTGGGTAAGATAACTCCCCCGTGTGGAGGATCGTGGTGGCTTTGAGCTCCTTGGCTTTGCACTTGGTGCTATGTAGGGTGAGCGTCAGGAAGAAGAAGACAGGACAGTTACCTTCATGGCATAGTAGAGTCTCTCTGCAAAGTAGCTGTGGAGGTTTTGGGTGCATTTCACTGGCAAACAAGAAAGCTGTGTTAATGTCTGGAGCTGGTAGGTGGCACTGCCTACAACTTTATGTCTTGCCTTAGGTCTTAAGAGTCAGTGTTGTGCAAGGCTTGGCATATTTCTTTGTTCCGTGCCTTTCCCAATGTGAGAGGCTTTGTGTCAGGTGGCGTGGGACAGGGAAGGTAGCCCGGGGCACTGGGCACAGCTCCAAAGGCCCAAGCAGGCAGGCAAAAGGGTAAGATGTGAAATGCACCAGACTGTGGGGCTCGTCTGAAGACACCAGCTCAAGCCCATCCAAGGGCAGCTCAGACTCAGGACAGGCCCTGGGCTCTCAACCCAGAGACACCTCCACCAAAAATCCAGCCTCTCAGCTCCACAGAAGCACCATGGGATGGTGGCTGCTGGCCTCAGAGTGCCCTCTCTCTCACACTTATCAGCAGGAACCCTGCATTTTGAATTCCCATGTGACAAGTGGAGTTTGGCCCCACAGGACTAAGGCACCTGGGGGCGTCTGGTCCAGAGACTGGGCCCATGCTTGCTCCCATGGGTACTGCTCAGAGACTTGGCATCTGGGTGGGGAAGGTTGGCATTTTCACTTAGGGCTGCAGAAGGAGCATGGGCTTTGAGTGAGGTAGGCATGTGTTCACTTCCTGCCTTGATGGTGCAGTATGGCTTCATTACTCAACCTCCCTGACTCATCTGGGAAGTGAGACTGATGCGAGGCTTCAAGGTGAAGTGAATAGGAAGGCCCAGCATGACGGAGCACTGCATGGCTTCACTATTCCCTGCTGGCAGACTTCATTCTTGGTGGGTTCAGGCCAGATCCAGGGGTGGAAGCTGAGATTGGAGCAGGGGTGTGATTAGATGTCCTGACATAGACCGGATTGTATCACAGCATCCAAGGCCAGCTGGGGTGTCTCAGATGGCCCTGTCCACCCAGAGAGGCTAGGAAACAGCAGGGAGCCTGCTGGCTGCTGGCTTTGCACGGAGGCAGCCTGGTGTGGAGGTGAGAGCTGCAGGCCAGGAGTCCGGACCTGGGCTCTGTGTGTAAGTGGGAGAAGAGACGTCCCTCTGCCCTGGGCCTCAGCTCTTTACTCTGCAGTGACTCTTCCCATTGTGATCTCAGCCCTGGAACCCATGAGAGCTCTGGAGTGGGTCCTCCTGAGTGGCCCTGACTTCCTGCTGTGGGGAAGATCCCCAGTGTTTCTCAGCATCAGACCATCCGTCACTCAGTTTGGACTCAAGCCACACATCACTGTTTCTTCAACTGGCAATGAAGGCAGGGGCCAGGCCCCTGGTTCATGTCCAGAAAGATGACTTTGTGCTGGCCAGGGCTTCACAACCACAGCCAGAGTGCTCCCTGCATGGCTGCCATGAGTACACACAGGGTTGGGGCTGGCATAATCACTGGCGTATGCATTTGTGTGCGCACACACACACACTGTCTGTCTCACACACACACACTCACATTCCACCCACAGTCATGCACACACACCCTCAGGCACACACACTCTCACGCACACACACACTCATGCAGACACACCCACACAGCACTGGGCACCACGTGGGCAGCACAGAGAACAATCTTTGGCAGCACACACTGGGACTCTAGAGGTGGAGCAGTCCCTGGGTGAGGGAGACAGGCAGAGTGTGAGTCGGGGGGACATCCCGTGAAGGTGACACAGGGATTCTTTCTCTTGTGGTCGCATCCCTAGGCCCTTTGTTCTTTGGTGCTGCCCCACGGTGAGCCCTGTGGCCTGAAAAACGTGCAAGTCTGAGCTCTTACCCACAGTGAGCATGGCCTCCTCCAGTGAGCCATGGGTCTCACTCTTGATGCTGTCCTCAATGCTCTTGTTGGCAATTTTCTCATACTCTTCAAACACTGTGGAGAGGGCTCTGCTCAGGGGATGGTCAGACCTCCTCGTGATGCCCCTCAGTGTCTCGGATCAGAGATCGCACATCAATTTGCCGCCCTGACCTCCCACTGGTGGCTGGGGAAACAGTCCTGGGCTCCCTGGCTCTCTCCCTAACTCTAGACTTGACAAGGCAGAAGCACGAGGGAGAGGCTCATGGCCAGGACACCCCCTGTGGCCCCGGCCCCAGCCCCTCCCTCCCTGGTACCTCTCAGCAGGTGAGTGGCACTGCGCGTGCACAGGATGGTGATGAATTTCATCTCATCAGTCCCACGAATCTTCTCGCCTGCCGCATACAGATCCTAGCATTGGGACACCCACAATAAGCCAGTGAGGGAGACCAGGGAGGTGAGGGACTGAGCCCCAGAGTCCCAGAGCTGTGGCCATGGCCTGGCCCTGTCCACTCTGCCAGGCCAGCATGCTCCCCTGCTTGGTCGTCTCTGACAGGGAGCTCCCCTTTCTCTAGCAGCTCTGGCTTAGAATATTTTCTCTATCCTGGGCCACAAGCTGCTCTAGGAACTGCCTGGTCCCCAGACTTCCCTCTGCCAGCAGGCAGACCTACAGAGACCCGGACACCTGTGTCCAGCACTGGGGCCTAGCGCCCCCGGGTTCATGGGCTGTTCCTGCCAGGACAGAGCTTTAGTGCTCCCCCACCCCCAAGTCACACTCCTTCCTCCCGAGTCTCCCAACACCCTCACTCTCCTCCCCAGACACCACAGGACAAAGGCCTATAGGGAGCTGAGCTGGGTGGGTCCCAGCCCAGTGTCAGAGAAAGCCCCCGTGGGCAGAGGAGCCGGAGTCCAGATGGCAGGGGGTGGGGCCACATGGCCGGCTGGGCGCAGCCTCACCTGTGCGTCTTGGAGGGCCAGTCCTGGGTCCACAAAGCTGCTCACATCATCCCTGCTGCCCTAGGAACAGAGGAGGTGGCTCTGTAAGGCAGGCCAGCTGACCAGAGCATTAAGGGCACAGGGGGGATCCTGGGCTTGGAGGGCAGGCATGGCTCTGCTGCTCTTTGGCTGTGGAAACTTCGACAAGCCAGTTATTCTCTTCAGCCCTTGGTTTCCTCATTTGTACAATGGGGGTGGTAAGGACTGCCTCATAAGGCTTGGCGGATTCAGTGAGCTAAGGTAAGCAAAGTGCCTGGCATGAGGCCTGCACGAAGGACCTGCTCTCCTCCCGCTTCCAGGATGCTCTCACATGGCTGAGTAAGGACAGGTGTGGGGGCTCTGCAGTTGGGACCCTCTAACCATGCTGAGACACACCCAATGAGCCCTGGCTGCTGGGCTATCCCATGCCCCTACCCTGACTCTTGTGGCGCTATTCAAGGGCTGCTCCCTGGGGTGGAGCTGTTGGGACTCCCAAACCAAGGCACTCCCAAGAGCCTAGGCTGTGACACCTGCAGGAGGCACACCAGGATCCTCTCCAGGTAGCCACTTGTGTCTGCTTGGATGTCCTCCTCCAGGCTGGACCCATAGTCTGCAGGGAAACAGGACCATGAGGCACAAGCAGAGGCCCACAGCCTACCCGGGGCCTGCTTTCCTCCTTCCAGCCCTGTTCCCCATACTTCTCCTTATTAAAGCCTTCTAGGAAAGAAAGTCCTTGGCACAGGGCATGGATGCAATGCCCGGGTGTCCAAGTGGCTGTCGCCTGGGTGGTGCTTCACAACTAGAAGCGACATGCGTACCCAACCAAGCTCAAAGCACAAGATGGACCAGGTCAGAGAGCCAGGCTAGGGGCTGCCAACCAAGCTCCATTTCATCTCAAGGCTTGGCAAAGCCAAAGCCTCCAGGAAAACTCCCCACTAGGTACATGATGTGGAGGACTGACTGGCCTCTGCTAGCCTGGGGTCCACACCCCCTACTACCACAGTCCTCAAGGGCAGAGATTTTAGTTGGTCACAGGCCTCTCTCCCCTGTAAGAGGAGCTGGTGAGCTTACAGATCAAGTCTGAATCATGTTCAGTGTCACCATCAGGCACAGATCTTGGCATACGGTAGGTGCTCAGCACCTGTGGGTAAAAAAGTCCCCAAAGGGTCCTTTCTAGTGTGGCCCAGGTTAATTCTTGATCCTTGTTCCCTGCCAGGCTGCCAAAGCTTGTGGCCACTCCTGAGCCCCTCCATCTGTGCCACCCCTTACCTTCCTCATACGCCTTCATTATCTCCCGCAGCTGGTTCTTGGTCCGAGAGGCCAGGATCTCAATGATGACACCCTCCTTGGTTCCTAAGCCCTGTGGACAGAAACCTCTGCCTGCTGGAGTGCTCTGCCATGACCTTCTGCTCTGTCCACACCTTCTTTTCTCAAGATGCCTGAGCCTCAGGAAGGACCTCACTGCCCTGCCCCACTTGAAGTGGGAGGATGTGATGAGAAAATCACATGCTTCAGTGATGAACATTGAGGGCAAGTGCTGTGACGGGGAAGCCCTGTCTCAGCTCTCCCTCCTTAGCTGGGTGGTCTCAGACAGGCTGCTCCATGTCCTGGAGCCTAAGCATCCCGATCCATAAACAGGAATAAGAAGCCTCCCCTGCGCCAAAGATAGATTAGGGAGCGTGGGTGTAAAATGCCTGGCAGTGCCCATGCAGCAAGTGTCTTTCCAAACAAAATGACTATAGTTACTGGGTCCCCATCCTTATTAATCTGCAAAAGCAAAGAGTAGTGAGAGGTAAAGGGAAACCCAAGGGGCTGTGCCTGGGACTGTAGAGGTGGGTTTCCAATACCACTGTACACCTGAGCTCGTGAGGTTCTGAGAAGTACTGATTTTGGCTTCATCACGGCCACTCAACGTGTCAATCAGGCACCAGTGACTCCAGGTGTTGGGTGCAGTCTGAGCAGCAGGCTGCCTGCTCACTGGGCCCAGTTATGGCCCATATGGCCATTCCAAACAGTGGCTCAAGGGGAGCTCTGGGCTGTAGGTTCCCGGTCCCCGCATTGCCCCTACCCAGTCATGTGAGCACCCCTGCCACTCCCCTGCCCTGTCTGCCTGGTTACCTTCATGGCGTCATGCAGCTCCTTGGCTTCGTATCTGTATGGCGGGTACATAAGGGCCACAATGAGCCTCTCAAACTTGCCACTGAGCTCAGACTTCAAGGTCTCAGTGAGGTCCTAATGCGGGAACAGGGAAAGGTGATATTTGTCATAAGCCAGGCCCACCTGAGTGCAGGCAGCGGAGTGGTGGCTGGGTCCAGGGGCTTGGGCTGGATTCTGCGTGGGCCTTGCCACGTGCTGGCTGGGTTTCTTGGGCCAGCTCCTTAGCTTCTCTTAGCATCAGTATCTTTACCGGTTACACGGAGAGAAACGTGCTCCTGCTTCATCCCGTTGCTTAGGGGGTTGTGTGTGACTCAATTCAGCATTCAGTGCAGTGCTGGGCACATCATAAGCTCTCAGTAAAATGAAATTGGTATTGCTAGCTAGACTGCAAGCTCTGAGTATGGCATCACCATAAAATACCTGTCACTTGGCACTCAATGAATGAATGCATGCCTGAATTAAAGACTTCGTCTCACATGTGCCTCCTTCTAAGGTCACATGTTGCTACGAGGAGCCACCAGGCTACATCAGCTGATCTACAGAGCAGCAGAGAGATCAAGGGCTTTGTCAGACCTGGATTTTAATCCCCACCTTGTTGATTACAGGCTCTGGGACCTTGGGCAACTTAAAACCTCTCTGAGTGCCAGTTTCCCCAAATGTTTGAATACAAAGAATGTATCACTGTGAGGACTAAGAGAGGGAAACTGTAAAAATGCATACTGGGTTCTCCAAGAGAATATTTGAGCTGATCTTCCTTCGTTACATCTCCAAACTAATGATATGAGTCACTAGAGGCTTGAGGCAACCATGGCTGTGCACATATTTAATCCTGTGTTTACTGTGTACCCCCAAATGTCAGGCTTTGTCCTAGGGGTGGAGTGCAGGTGGGAGGAGAAACAAAGGGCCTGGCATGCTTACTCCAGGCTCTTAGAATTCCCAGGTGGCAGAAGGGACGAGGTGTGGGTGCAAGCAGCTCGACTGAGGAAAGCATGCCCACGCCCCAGAACAGAGCAAAGCCAGGCCTGCATGCCTGGGGCATGGAAAAGAGAAGGTGGTCTGGGCTCAGAGGGCAGGGCGAGATAGCCTGGGGGCAGGGAGACAGACCTCCAGTGGGGCCTGTTGGGTGCATGAGAAGGAATGCTGTGAGAGAGGAGGCAGGAAAGGAAGCAAGGAAGGCCAGCCCCCGGCCCGGGCTCTGACACCTAAAAGTAGATCTGCCAGATAAAACACAGGGCAGCCAGTTACATTTGAATTTCAATAAAGAACAATTGTTTTCATGCAAACATGTTCCATGTGCCCATGCTGCCAGTGGGCTGGCTCTAGGGGAAAGTCGTCCAGAATGGAGCTGCCTCCCAGGCTGTACCCCCAACCCCAAGGCTCACCTATCCCCACCCCCACCAGCCTTCCCCTTGCCTTGCCGAACTGAGCCTTGAAGGACTTGGCGATCTGCTGCCGCTGCGTGTTGCTTCTCTTGGTGAGCACATCGATGATAGCCTGCTCGTTGGTCCCTGCAGGGTTACAGCACAAGTGACCCTGCTGCCCCCAGGGTGACACACTGGTGAGGGCGGAGGAGGGGAAGGCGAAGGCAGCTGCTTGGTGGCTGAGCAGTTGGGACCCGACACCTGGATAGTTCCAAACCCCCAGACCATTTTCGTGGTGTAAACAAGACCCTTAGGAAATCTGCCTCCCCATTTCCCACCCCACACCCCCACAATGTTGGGGCGTGCCCAAGGCCAGCCTCACAAGATGGAATCTGAGGTCTGGGTGGCTCTGGACATCAGCCCGGGCCTTTGGAGCTTGGCCGAGTGAGATCTCTGGCCCTGCCCTCCTTTGTGTTGGTCGCAGTAGGGGAAGGTCAAGACTAAGAGTCCAACCCCTGAATCCGAGGCCTGGCCCAGCAACTGCGTGGCATTGGGCAGCCAGCCTCATTTCCCTGGGCCTCCGTTTTCTCATTTGGGAAGTGGAGATAACTTTCTGCTTCACAGAAAGCAGAGGGCATGAGAACGTTTTCTGGGCTTGTCAGGAGCGGCAGTTCTCATTAAGGCCCCTGATCCTCAGGCAGAGCCGGCTAAGGGGTCAGTCCCACCTGGGGTGAGGTCAGGGTACATGCTCTGCTCTCAGGTCAGGAGGGCTTTCTGGGCAAGCTGTTTAAATCTGGCCTCAGGCCAGCCCTCGCCCACTCACGGTAGTGCTGAGGGCAGCACTGGGCAAGTGCAGGAGATGGGAAGGGAGCCGGCTCCATGGCCATCGACATGGGGCAAGGGGGCCTTGAATCAGCCCC
Organism: Homo sapiens; assembly: GCF_000001405.40. Classification (NCBI taxonomy): domain Eukaryota; kingdom Metazoa; phylum Chordata; class Mammalia; order Primates; family Hominidae; genus Homo; species Homo sapiens. The sequence goes on from NC_000010.11 coordinate 47,479,401, forward strand.
ACAAACTCCCAACACCTCACACCCCTGGCAGCTCTGTGCCTGGCATCATAAAGCACCACCCCCTTCACACTTCATGTGACACACAAGGCCAAGAATTCTTGGGGCCACTTTACAAGTGAGAAAGCTGAGACTGATGGGAAGTCACTCACAGAGACACACAGCTCACCTCCCCACCCCCATTACCCAGGGAAGAGCAGCACCCTCCTGTCCAGTCTTGCAGGGTGGGTGCTGACCTCACTGCAGAAACAGAGGGCTGTGTGATTCTCTGGGTAGTGGAATCAGTTTCAGAGTATCATGGGACACCCCAGCTCCCCAGATGTCCCCTGGCACCCGCTTTCCAGGGCTGTGAGCGGAGGGGTCTTGAGCAGAGGTGGCAAGGCTGCCAACACCCACTCACCGATCCCCTTCATGGCTTTGTAGAGGGTCTCTGCATCAGGGTCTGGGTTGAAGTGGGAGCTGCTCTTCACTGTGACACCCTCCTGTTCAATCTGCAAGAGAACCAGGCCTGCTCAAAGCAGGCAGGGACAGGGAGGGCAGAGCAGGCTCCCAGCCCATCTGGTAGCCCGCCCTGACAGGGTGAGCCCCTTCCCTGGGCACGGAGATCTGCTCAGCCCTTGCAGGCCAGTGCTCTGCCCTTCAGCCCCTTGGCCAACAGGGTGGAGTAGCCAGAGCCAGAGCTTGTGGGGAGAAGCCACAAAACCTTTCCTGTCCCTGTCTGTGCCATCTGACTGCAGACAGCAGCCCCAGCCACACCCAGCTCCTTCCAGCATCACCCACCAGCAGCAGGAAGGGACAAACTCACCCAAAGTTAGGAGGGGAAAGAACACTGAAGCAAAGGCTTCCTGGAGCTGCATGCACCACCTTCAGAGTGTGCAGATGAGGTTGGAAGGCTGAGCATGGTTCTGCCTTTCTGAGGAATGGTTTGAGCTCAGTCTGCCCTCTTCCTGGGGAGTTGGGACTTACAGCAACTTAGAGGGCAGGGGCCCAGCTGAGCATATTGATAGTTCAGGGTGTTTGCAAGTCCACAGGCCCATGGGGCTCAGAGCGTCAGGTTTAGAAAAACCCGCACGATGCTCTGCAGATTGTGAAATAAACCAGATAACCAAGTGCCTGAGCCCTTGATTTCCAAGCCTCCAGTTCAGGGCTTGCCTGAAGGCTCTTTAAACTTGTGCCCTGCAGAATTTCTCAGATGATTAACATGGACATAAGTGTGTTTTGGGTGGAGGAATGGTAGAGAATGGAGGGATATTGGAGATAGGTATTGAATTAGAGGGAGACTCAGAGATCCTCCAGGATGAAAAAGAGTTTAGTCCCATCCAGTCTTGTCTTCCATTTACCTGTTCACTTATTCCTTCCATCACCTCCATCATCTGCCCATCTACTTTCCCACCTACGCACTTACCCATTTGACTACCACATCCATCCATCCATCCACCCACCCATCCATCTATGCACCCGCCCATCCATCCATCCATCCATCCATCCATCCATCCATCCATCCATCCATCGAAGCCCTGGGTTAGATTGTGAAAATACAGAGATTCCAATGGATGGTATATCTGTAAGTATCTTTCCTTTGAGTAAGAGGTAAGGCATCTTTCTGAACTCTTTGCTTTAATTTCAAATGTCTGGTGACAGATCTTCCTGAGTCATTTCTTAGCACCATGTTTCACAGCAGAAATTGTTAGAAATAATTCCTATGGAAATTCCATCCAGAGAGAGCCAGTGTGGTCCCAGATATTGCTCATCGGTGTCCACACACACGATATCCCTTGCTTGTGGAGTCACGCTCTGCTATTACTCCTGTTAGCACTTCAAGCCCCTTGTGTGTGCCAGACCTGGGCCAGGTGCTTTAGAAGCAATGCTTATGTCATGGCTTCCTCAACAGTTGTGCTAGGTAAGTACTGATGCCTCACTTTACAGAAAGGGAGCTGGACTCCCTTACACAGCTAGTAAGTGATGCTGTTGGGACTCCCCAGCCTGACTCAGAAGCTGAGCTCTATCTACCTCCCCTGCCCTACTGATGACTCCACCTTTCCCAGACAATGAGTGTTCCTGGAACGTTCCACTGAAGGAAGCTTCACCCACAGGAACGCAGGTCATCTGGGAATGTGGGAGGCATCTCAGCTCTCAGTGCCTGCCGGCTTCCCTCTGCCCCAGCACTCGGGGGCTGTGGTGCACCAGCGAGTGGCCAGGCTGTGTAACCGCATCCCTGAGGAGCATGCAGTCCCGCAGGGGTGCGGTAGGTCTCAGGTGCAGCATTTGTAAGCAGCTCCCTGGCTGGTTCTGATTTTGCTGCATTGAGAAGCCTCTGTCTCACTTCCCACTCTAAGGTTTTAGAAAATAAGTGTTCTGGGAATCGGAGCCCTGGCTATCAGTGTGGAGTCCTGGAGCTCCAGACCTCCTGCTGAGAAGGAAGGGTCAGCCTCAGGCTCCTGCAGGGTCTTGCCCAGGGCCGTGCTAGTCCAGACAGGCACATTTTCACTGAAAAGGTGACTCAGACCAGCCTGTGACTACATCTATTAATATAACTTGTTCTGTGACAGGCACAGGGGAGCTGCCACGCCTTGGCCTTCCCCTGCTACGTGGCTGCCCAGAGGCCTGGGAGATGGGTTTGTCTCTATGAGAGACACAGAGGAAAAGGCAACACCAAAAAGAGAGGTGCAGATGGACCCTGCCTGCAGACAGATCTCTCTCCAGTGGCTCCCTCATCTCCTCCCATCGCGTTCCTGGCCCAGCTTTGTGCCTAGAGGACACTGGGTCTTCGCTAGCAGCTCAGCTGTTGCAGGTGGGGTCTACCTGTGAACTTGCTACCCCTAGCCAGCTCTCACATGGGGTATGGACGACCAGGGTATGGTTTTGGCCCTGGAGTCAGGCTGTTCAGATTCTCACCTAGACTCTCACACTTACTAGTGAGTTCGGGCACCTGCCTAGCCTACTTGTGCCTCAGTTTCCTCATCTGTGGATAAGGATACTGGTGTCTACTTCATAGACTCCTTGTGAGGTTCAAGGGAGATATTGAATGTGAGGTGCTTAGAGAAGGGTCCGGCCACAGAGTAGGGACTCAGTGAGTGTCACAGTGATCCTGTCAATTTGGCAGGTCCCTACATGGACAGCCCTTTGTCCTGCTGCACTGGGTGCAAGGCCCAGTGCCAGACTGCCTTGGCCAGCAACTGACTTTGGAAACCACCCAGCACTGGGCTCTCCCTGCCATGTCCACCTCCTCAAAGGCAGGTTCCCAGCAGTCTGGTTGAAGCTGCAGGCCTCCATGGCCCCTTGTCCTGGAAGAAGGCTGCTTCCCTGGGGGCCAGGACAGCTGCCCCACCTCAGCCTGGCTTCCTCTTTGTCCCACCTGTCCAGAACCTAGCATGTCTGACCCTGAGGACACTTGCTTGGGTTGCGACATCTATGATCCAGAGACTCCCTGAAGCTGGACAAGCCTGGGTATCCCACAAAAGCTCACAGAGAACCTGGGGCTGGGCAGAGAGACCCAACTGCTCTCTGACTGGAGCCTGCTGGCCATTGGACCCTAGCAAGTCACTCAGTGTCTCTGAGCCTTCATTTCATCATCTGCAAAACAGAAAGTGCAGCCCTGACATCCTGAGGCTGCCTGGGAGGAAAGGAAAAGGGTGTGCAGAGCCGGCAGCCGGGAGATGTCACCTCTGTCCCCTTCTGGATATTCAACTCCTTAGCACAGCGATGGCCTCAGGCTCAACCATAGATGGAAAGCTCCCGAGAACCCATCAGTTCTGCTGGGGATGGGCTGCCCTGAGCCCCGGGTTCCTCCAGGCTCTAGCAGGCCAGGTCCTCCTGCTTCCCCTCTTCCCTCTCCAGTCTTGACAAATGAACATCATTGATCCCTGAGGTGAAGGCATTGATGGGTCCCCAACAGCAGGTTCAGGTTACTCTCATGCTCAAAGCCCTTCAGTGCCTTCCCACTTCTCTTAAGGTAAAGCCTAACTCCTCAGCCTGCCAGGCAAGGCCTTTCAGGACCTGGCCCTGCCTGCTTCCCCAGGTCCATCTCCTCCGGTACCAGGACCCTTGAGCTGTGCTGAGCAGCTTCCCTCGAAGCCAAGCTCCCTGCCCTCTGACCCTCTGCACACAGTTCCCTCTGCCAGGAGCAGTATGCCTGATTCTCCCCAAATGCACACGTGTGTGCACCCCATACACATTTACACACAAGGCTCAACCATGATACCCCCTCCTTTGAGTGGCCCCACCCCTGCAAGGGTCCCTCCCCTGGACTCTTCTCAAACCTCAGCTTCCCCCTTGCATTTCTAGATTTCTTCATCAGCCTGTCTCCCGGCCCAGGTCCCATCCCTGCCGTGGGCACTCTAGGCCTGGGACTGTTTCTTCTCGGCCCCTTCCCACCCTCCATGCTTGGCCCAGGAGGCAGCCAAATGTAGACTGAGCCACTCCCAGCCAAGGGCGACTTTACATTTCTCAGGACTCCCTGGTGACCAGCACCCAACACCATGCAGGAACCCAAATCTCCTGCCAGCTCCCACTTACCCAGGATTTCCACCAGGCCATCTCTTTCACCTCGGGGGCACCTTTCCCAGGGAGATGAAGAGACACAGGTTGGCCTCTGCTGGGACTCCACACGTCTGGCTCCTGCAGCTGAGGAGTGAGCAGGCCGCTCACTTGGGTGTGGGGGTGCAAGCCCGCCCAGGGCAGCGCCACACCTGCCTGCCGTCCCCTCGCCCCCGGGCTCTGCCTGGCTTTGGGCATCTCCTGTGGCTCCCAGGCCCCACCCAGACACTGCCCAGGCCTGCTCTGGGGAATTACACAACTCACTGGCAGATATTTGGGCTGTGGCTGTTACGCATACTGGAAATTCTTAGCTCCAGCCTGCGAAAGCCCCACTCAGTAAACACAGCTCCATGTTGATTAGGCTGGTCTCAAACTCCCGACCTCAGGTGATCTGCCCACCTTGGCCTACCAAAGTGCTGGGATTACAGGCATGAGCCACCGCACCCAGCCCATTTTCATCACTCCTAATAGCCATGGAGTATGCCATTTAATCAACTGCATATGCAATATTATTTTTTTTTTCCGGGGGCAAGGGGCTCATATTCACCACAGATGGGAGGCCAGTTGGTGAGAAGGTGGCAGGCGGCACAGCCACCTTATACAGCATGCCATACTGGTCCACTGTCAGACCGGTGATGGCCTCAGCTCCATCACCCCCCAGGCTGACTCTGGCTCCTGCCTGGCTCTGCCCGGCCACCACAACCCCTCGGGACCATTCAGAGGCATCACTGGAGGATGTGTGGTTAGTGGAGCAGCTGGTCATGGGGAGGTCTCGTTTCTTTGGTGGAAGGCATTCCTGGTTCCTCTCATGAACAGGTTTCATATTGCTTTGTGGTGTTCCTGGAGCCTGGAAGGAGTTGGCTTGCTCCCTGGGGCATCAGGAGGGGCTTCTCTGTAGCTTCTCTGAACCCCTCTCTGCTTCTGGCTGGGGCACCTACATCTGAGCTTCCAGTGGTGCTTCTGAGCAGCTGTAGTAAGCGTCCTCCCGGCTGGCTCGGGAGCCAGCCCATTTCACCACGCTTCCCGGGATCCACCCGCTCATCCTGGAGCCGCTGCAAACCTGGCCGCCGCCATCCCCAGCCCCGGAGCTGCCCCATACCCCTGTATATGCAATATTTGTTAACCATTCCCTTTTGGTGCCCATCTAGGTACAGGTATCATTTTTGGAGCTAAAGTATCTATAATACACTGGAAGTAACAGATGTCACCTCCATATTGTACGCCAAACCTAATAAGCAGAGCAAAACTTTTCATCCAAGCGATTTGGTTAACATTTTAGGATGTTTCTAATCTCTCAGTAATACAAATATGCTACAATAGATCTGTGTGTTTATCCTTTGGGCACCTGTGTGTGCCTGTGCATACCTGGAGAATAAAGTCCTGTGAGAGGAACTGCCATCCAAAGAGGGTGTTTCAGTCTGTACTGCCACCAACAATGTGCTTGTGCTTCTGAGCTTGCGTTTGGGTCAGGAGAATTTGAAAGTCATCAGGAACCAAACCAGGATATAAGGTTCAGCTGTAGCTGGAAAGTGGCAAGCGTTCCAAAGCTAAGACATTGGCTATACCTGGGCTGTTCACAAACTGTGAGTCCAATTCTAGATGAGATCCAGAAGTATGGTGAGCAACTCACTTATTTTTTAAGCAAAACACCTTTTTTTCTCATTTCTGCTAAGAACAAATAGCTTCCAGCAAGAGAAATAGGGGATGCAATATTTTTACAAATTACTTCTCTTTTTTTTAATTAAAAAATGTTAAGTTAAATGCTACTTAAAGATATGTTTAACCTCTATGATACTGACTTGCTCATGAGAAGGAGAGAGGGCCAGGCATCTTGCCCACTACTACCCACTATCAACACTTAGGCCTGACATCAGTCTCTAAATAAATATTCTGGGCCAGGTGCGGTGGCTCACGCCTGTAATCCCAGCACTTTGGGAGGCCAAGACAGGTGGATCATGAGGTCAGGAGATCGAGACCATCCTGGCTAACATGGTGAAACCCCGTCTCTACTAAAAATACAAAAAATTAGCCAGGAGTGGTGGCGGGCACCTGTAGTCCCAGCTACTGGGGAGGCTGAGGCAGGAGAATTGTTTGAACCCAGGAGGCAGAGGTTACAGTGAGCCAAGAACATGCCACTGCACTCCTGCCTGGGCAACAGAGTGAAACTCCGTCTTTAAAAAAAAAAAAAATCAACAGCAGCTTCTAGGATGATGAGCAGTGACTCAGTCTCTCCTTGACCAGATTCTGTAACCGTCCAGCAGAAATGCTTATCTGATCTCTGCGAGAACAGGAAGCAGCTCAGTGGGGGCCTTCCTTGCTAAATTCTTCATCAAGCTGGTCTGTTATCTGCCCTGAGTCCTGCAAGAACATCTCAAGAAAAATCCCAAAAACATGCAAGACAAATGAGGGTCCTCCCTTAGCATGTCTTGAAGCACTGAGGCACCTGAAAGTTGTATATAGTTTCTGGTGAAACAGTTTTTTAGGAAATGAAGCACAGACACTAACTATTCTTCCAGAAGAGCCCCTTCCTGACATGAAAGATCTTACTTAGCATGACAGAGAAGCATCTGTTTCATCATGAGGACCTATCCAACCAGCAGCAGGGGCCCCAGTGCCAGTGTCCACCTCAGCAGAGGAGACACGGGGGACATGCAAAGTGTTTCTGTTGAAAAATACTTCACCTAGGGTGACTATAGTTAGCAGCAATGTATTGTATATTTCAAAGTAGCTAGAAGGCTAGGTACAGTATCCCATGCCTATAATCCCAGCATTTTGGGAGGCCCAGGCAGGCAGATCACCTGAGGTCAGGAGTTTGAGACCAGCCTGGCTAACATGGTGAAACCCCATCTCTACTAAAAATAAAAACAATAAAAAATAATAATAATAAAAATTAGCCAGAGATGGTGGCCTGCGCTTGTAGTCCAAGCTACTTGGGAGGCTGAGGCAGGAGAATTGCTTGAACCTGGGAGGCAGAGGTTGCAGTGAGCCGAGATCACACCATTGCCCTCCAGCCTGGGCGACAGAGCAAGACTCTATCTCAAAACAAAAACAAAAACAAAAACAAAAAAACAAAGTAGCTAGAAGAAGGGACTTGAAATGTACCCAACACATAGTAATACCAAATATTCAAGGTGATAGACACCCCAAACACCCTGATTGATCACTATTCTGTGCATGTAATAAATACTTAAGTGTACACCATAAATATGTAAAATATGTTATGTCAACAAGAAAATACTTTGCCTAGTGTTTCCATCCAAATGGGAATAAATCCAGCGCTCAATGTACACATGTCATGGCTTTTTATTGAGACTGGGGAAGGGCCGTGGTAGCAGGTGCACTCACTGTCCAAGTTTGTCCAGACTTTCTGCTGCATGGGTGATGGCATTTGTGACTGTGTTGGTCACTGTCTCGGTGATTTCCTTCATCTTTTTGTCCCCTGACTCCTGGGCTTTCTTTATGGCTTCAGCAATGGCTGTTGGAAAGAGGAAGAATGTCCTAGTGATCCACCTGCTGAACTTGTGTCCCCTTGAGTGGCCTGTGGGATGTGGCCATCTTAATGGATTAGTCTCTGGAGTGGCCCGATGGGACCAAGGGCAGCAGGATTACTGCAGAATGAATTTGAATTTGGTTTTAATTTCCCCAACAACTTGCATTTCTTCAACTGTGAGTGAGACTGAGCATCTACTCATGGGTACATTGCCTGCTTATCCTTTTTTCTGGAAAATGCCTGCTTATGTCTTTTGACCATTTTTATATTGGGTTGTTATATTGGATTATCATTTTTATGACAAATATTTTTCATCAGTGTATAATTTTTCTTTTGGCTTGGTTTATAGTGTTTTTTTTTTTGGCTATAGAAAATTTCAGTTTTGGATTGTCAAATTTACTTAATATTTCCTTTATGGCGCTGATTTTTTTGTCATAGTTCTAAAGATTCTCCCCTCTCCAAGATTAGGCCAAAGTCTCTGATGTTATTACTATGTCTAAATGTTTACGATGTCTTCCCCCTCAAAACTCATATGCTGAAATCCTCAGTCTTAATGTAATGATATTAAGGGGTGGGGCCTTTGGGAGGTTGAAATTAGCACCCACATAAAAGAGACCACGGAGAGCTAGCTCCTTCCACCATGTGAGGACAGAGCTGGGCCCATCCATGAACCAGAAAGACTCCCTCACCAGATGCCAAATGTGCCAGTGCCTTCCTTGATCTTGGACTTCCCATCCTCCAGGAGTGTGAGAAATAAATTTCTGTTGTTTCTAAGTCACCCAGTTTATGGTTTGTTTTTGTTTTTGAGACAGAGTCTTGCTCTGTCACCCAGGCTGGAGTGCAGTGGTGCAATCTCAGCTCACTGCAACCTCCGCCTCCCAGGTTCAAGGGAGTCTCCTGCCTCAGACTCCTGAGTAGCTGGGATTACAGGCATGTGCCACCATGCCCAGCTGGTCTTTGTATTTTTAGTAGCAATGGGGTTTTACCATATTGGTCAGGCTGGTCTCGAACTCCTGACCTCAGGTGGCCCACCCGCCTTGGCTTCCCGAAGGGCTAGGATTACAGGCGTGAGCCACTGCACCTGGCCTATGGTATTTTATAAGAGCAGCCTGAGCTAAGATGTTTATCTCCTAGTAAGTTAATAAATTCATTTATGTAAATGTAAGTCCTTCATCTACCTGGAATCTATTTTGTTGAAAAGGAATGAGATATACACATGCTTTGTACATAGTACTACTCATAGCTCACACACATCAATTTAACATTTAACATAGAATTTTACATGTTAAATTTTTTTTTTTTTTTTTTTTTTTTTTTTTTTTGAGACAGAGTATCACACTGTCGCCCAGGCTGGAGTGCAGTGTCGCGATCTCGGCTCACTGCAAGCTCCACCTTCCAGGTTCACGCCATTCTCCTGCCTCAGCCTCCCGAGTAGCTAGGACTACAGGTGCCCGCCACCGTGCCCAGCTAATTTTTTGTATTTTTAGTAGAGATGCGGTTTCACCGTGGTCTGGATCTCCTGACCTCATGATCCGCCCACCTCAGCCTCCCAAAGTGCTGGGATTACAGGCGTGAGCCACCGCCCCCAGCAATTATTTTTTTCTTTTTTTTTGAGACCGAGTCTTGCTCTGTAGCCCAGGCTGGAGTGCAGTGGCATGATCTAGGCTCACTGCAAGCTCTGCCTCCCAGGTACACACCATTCTCCTGCCTCAGCCTCCCAAGTAGCTGGGACTATAGGCACCCACCACCATGCCCGGCTAATTTTTATGTATTTTTAGTAGAGACGGGGTTTCACCGTGTTAGCCAGGATGGTCTCGATCTCCTGACCTCATGATCCGCCCTCCTCAGCCTCCCAAAGTGCTGGGATTACAGGCATGAGCCACCGCACCCTGCCATGTTAAATGTTTTGTCCCAGTGTGCTGTCACATAGTCTTGTGTGACTTTGTCTTCTTATTCCACAGAGAGAACCATCTAGACAGTGTCCTAACGCAGTACAGTCTGTGGCCTCTGATGAGCATAGATAACTGCCCCAGCCAAGAGGCTCTGAAAGGCTGCAACATTAGGGGCAGAGTTTGACCTGGTTAGTCAAAGAACAGGTTGGCCCAGCACCTAGCTTCCCTTCCTCCCTCCCTCCTTCCCTGCCCGACCTCAGCCGGCTGTACCTTTCTCTCCAGTCTCCTTGGCATGTCCCACCACCTCCTTCACCACTTCCTCCACGGCATGAACTGAACAGAGGAGACAAGTCCAGGGTGAGGGCTCAGAGCAGGCCGGCTGCCCCCGAGTCCAGGGTGAGGGTTCAGAGCAGAGCCGCTGCCCTCCCAGTCCAGGGTGAGGGCTCAGAGCAGGCCCACTGCCCTCCCAGTCCAGGGTGAGGGCTCAGGGCTGGCTTATCCTCACAACAGACCTATACATCCCTGGGCATCCTAGATGGGGCTCTGGGGTGCCACCCCCAGCCAGGACAGACTGACTCATGAGAAGGACCTTCCCCCACAGCTGGCTTCATTTGGAGACGCCAGGGCCTTGGCTGCTGGGAGACGAGCTCAATGAGCCCCATGAGGGCATGGGTCCCTGAAGCCCCTTGGCCCTGCCCGGCCTGGAATGGCAATGAGCAGGCAGTCTTGCCAGCTGAGACATGAAGCCCAGGCTGGGCCTGTGTGCCAGGTCACACCCCTCTCAGGATGTGCTAGCGCCTGCCTCAGGTTGGTTTCCAAAGCCTCATCCACTAAGACCAGGTCTCTCAAAGCAATTCCTCCAACAAAACGGAATTCTCTGCCTACTTCAGAGTTTTTTAAAGTGTGGGTGGTAGCGTGCTAGAACTGAAGGATTTCAGAGTCAGAAGAAATGGTTCTTATTCTAACTCTACCTTCCACCTCTTGGTTCCCTCATCTTTAGAATGGGAATCTGTTGGGATGATGAGACCCAACACCAGGTCACGGGGGCGGCAAGTCCAGCGGAGTCAAAGGAATGACAAAGAGACAGTTCGAGAGAGAAAATGGGAGCAGGGCGCTATCGCGAGTGTGGAGGCTGCGAAGGCCCCGAGTTCTGGGAGCCCACGCTATTTATTGGTGATCTAACAAAGAAACAGGTGGTGAGGATGTGGAGGTTGAAAGGAAACAGTGTATCAAGTGAATGAGAAACATATGGCTACTTGAGAGAATGGCAGTGCTAGAAGCAAGGAGCCAGCAAGTCTAGCAAGCCCTGCCTCAGCTTTTCTCCCAACGCTGAGCTTTTCTCCCAACAGGAATCATAAAAAACTCAGAGGCTAGTGAAAGGTTAAAGCAGGTGGTCCACACCAGCTGCAGAGTCAAAAACAAAATACGCATCTGCTGCCATTTAGAAAGAGGACACAAACTCAGGCAAGACTTTTTCACACGATGACCCATGAGTGGGGCCTGGCTGGGCCTCCCCACACATACCTGCTGACCTCTGAATACAACATACACTTCGGGACCAGGTGCAGTGGTTCACGCCTGTAATCCCAGCACTTTGGGAGGCCAAGAGGAATGGATCACTTGAGGTCAGGAGTTTGAGACCAGCCTGGCCAAAATGGCGAAACCCCGTCTCTGCTAAAAATACAAAAATTAGTCGGGCGTGGTGGTGGGTGCCTGTAATCCCAGCTACTCAGGAGGCTGAGGCATGAGAATCACTTTGAACCCAGGAGGCAAAGGTTACAGTGAGCCGAGATCGCACCACTACACTCCAGCCTGGGTGCCAGAGCAAGACTCCATTTCAAATACAAATACAAATAAAAATAAACATGCTTTAGGGGACTTGGATGAAATTGAAAATGCCCTTTTTGACTTTGAACAGACTTGGTGACTTGTTAAGAAATCTTTGAAGCTTTAAAGTTATGGTAAAAATAAAAATCCATCTTCCTTTTCCTGCATAGGTTATTCAGAATAGGCTGTTTTGACAAGAAAGGCTCCCCAGATTTCCAGAGGGAAGGGTCCAAGCTGCCAGTGTTCACCCAGCACCAGGACTCATGCCCTGCCCCCAGGAGACCTCCCCAGGTCTGCACCCCTCAACTCCGTGCTGACTTGGTAGAGCAGGAGACCAGGGTTCCTGAGGGGCCAAGGCCTCCCCGCAGGTCCTCGCCTGCCTACGTAGATCCGCCTCCCACAGACCCAGTCTGCCCCAGATCCCCCCAGCCCAGGTAGAAAGGAGCCCTGGGTCCTCACTGGCTCCCTCGGTGGCCTTCTCGGTGCGGTGGGCCAGGCCCTCGGCAGCCAGCTTCCCCAGGCCTCCCAGCATCGTGTGGCAGCAGACAGTGGCGAACTAGGATGCTGAGGACTGGCCCAACATGCTTTTATAGCTGCCTCTGGTGCCTATCTAGGCTCTGGGGCAATAAGCCCTCACCCCAGCCCAGTAGGAGGCTGGACAGGTGAGTCAGTGAGGGCGGCAGCAGGAAGGGGCTGGGCGGAGCCACCCTGGAACTAGGGTGGCAGCATCCCCTGACAGCATGAGGCTTCTGTAACCCTGTCCTAGGGACCCCGTGAAGGATAGGGGCAGGGAGCAGGGCTGGACAGTAGAGATCTGGACATGCTTCTTCCTTGAGGCAGAGGGCCTGAGTGCCAGCCCCCCTGAGACCAAAGCTTCCCAAGCCTGGGTACTGATATGTACCTGGAGACAAGGCCTAGGATTCCAAGCCTGCTGCTCAAGGTCCCCAGTGTGGCCTAGTAAGAGGTTTGGGGGTTCTATGGGCCTGGAGACCTGGGCAGTCCTTTGAGTCATGAACACAAGTGGAATGAGGGTGACTGCCCTCCCCATTCCTGGAGACCCTGGCTCTGCAGAGCAGTTTGCGGCCTCCATGGGACAGGGTGGGGCGTTCAGGGTGGTGCCTTGCCCGAGTCAGAGGGGGGCACAGCACTGGGCAGAAGCGTAGTCACCTGGTGTCGCTCAGCTGATGCTCACTCACCCAAGAGGCTCTGTGAGGTCAGCAGTGCCCTCCTATCCCCTGGCAGTCCTGGAGGAGTAGACAGAGGCCTCCACCACCACTCAGGGAGATGCTTCTGGCCTTAGCTAGAATCCCCTAGGAAGCAGCTTCCCTGGCTCCTGGTGCATCGCATGAGGAGTGGCAGGGCTGCTCCCTAGTTACTCATGATGGACAGACATGCCTCAAGCCACCTGCCACATGCTGCTTCCCTTAGTCACCAGCCCAACCTGAGCCTCCGTTTCCTCATCTGTAAAATGGGCATAGCGTGCCTTCTTGGCTGTGTCCCTAATCATCCCTGAGGCAAAGCATGCAAGCTCCTGGTAAACACCTGTTCCCTCCACTCATCATTGAGGTGCCCTTTGGCAGTGAGCTCTGACCAACTGGTAGGGTGTGCCAAGGAGTGACTGGGACGTGAGGCTGCCTTGGAGCCAGAGGGCTGGGGAATGTGACTTCTGCTGGCCAGGAGCCAAGGAGAGGTCTTCCCATGCTCCTACTTCTGGGGTGCAGGCCTGTGGCAGGGGTCTGAGGCTCTCTCCCCAATGCAGGCTCCTGGAGCTGCTCTCCTGGATGTGTCGGGGCCTGATTAGTTTACTGGACTGTGGGCCCTCCCAGCCTGGGACTCGGGAGCTGAGACCCTCTTGCATTCCTGCATGGTGTTTGCGGGCTCCAGGGCTACGGCCAGTCCCCCTAGGGTGGACAGTGGGTATCGTGGGCAGCAGGACCTCTGGGTCTCAAGACTGTGGCCCCACACATGCCATTGCTGTCTCCTTTGGGCAGGGGTGAATCGGGGCTTCAACAATTTAGAGGGGCCTCTTTATGAAAAAGAATACAATAATATGATTCTTGCACATTTTTCATTTATATACGTATGAACTTCTGGACCCAGAAGGGGCTGTGAAAGTCGGGGGCCTGGAGCTCAGGCGGGTCCAGATGACCCTGTCCTCCTTTTGTAACAGCCAGAGTCCAGGATGCTTTGCCCAGGGCATTGGGCTGGCACTGCAGAGGCCTGGGGGATGGGGTGACACCTGGGACATGGCTGGTGGGAATTGTTCTAGGAAACCTCAGGGATTCTCCCTGGACCTGTCAAAGCCCCTTCCCTGTTTCTTCTGAGGCTGTGTGTCCCCCCACTCACACAAGGGTCCTTTCTATGCCTGCTCCCCTGATAAATGTCATCTGCCTGCTCTAGAATGGCTTCCAGACCCCACAGACCCCCTCCTCATGAGCTCCCACCCTAGGGTACTCTCCACCAGTCCCCGCTTTCAGGAGCTCACCAGACCCAGACAGCCTGTTGTCAGAGCTCATCCACACAGCAGGACCCTGGCCCACTGCCCAGCCCAGAGCCAGGCCCACCATGGCCTCTGGGGACAACTGCCCTTCCCCCCACCCCCTCCACATGGTCCCCTGCCCATGAGACCCTGCCCTGCTAATTTAATGCACTGCCTTGGTGTGAGCACTGTGATTCTAATGACAACACACCATGGCCTTCTGGGCGAGGCTGGGTCCAGACACAGATCCCAAATGCCTGCTGGGGAGAAGGCAAGAGGCCCGGGGAGGCCCAGGACAAGACATGGGTCCCAGGCCCTGGTGCCCTCCCTCTTGGCCTTCCAGCTGCTGCTGCTGTGACCAGATTCCCATTCACCCAGCCCCGTCCATGGGCCCCAGCAAGCCATCTGTGCCCCACAGAGGGCAGACCCCTAAGAGTGGGACCCCTTTCTAGCCAAAGAACATGAGATAGCCCCAAATCCTCCTAAACATGATGGATCCTGGTCTGAGGGGCTGGGCTCAGGTGACTCCTGCAGGGAACTTCACCTGCCTGGATGAGGTCAAGTGTGAATCAGGTGGGGCCTGCCCTCCACCACCCCATCATGGAAGAGGTCCAGCCCACAGTGGGCCCAAGAGGGCCGCCCTTGGACCTAGGGACCCAAGTCAGCATATCCTGAGTCAGAAGGTCAAGTCCAGCCTCCCCTCAGGCAGGGAGAATCTGGCTTTGACAGGAGCAGATAAATTCTCAAGGTGGAATTTGCCCAACATACTAGTTTGGCAAGGGACTAGCTGGCTGAATCACTGAGTCAAGGACAGCCAACGTTTCCAATAGCAATTTGCCAACTTAGCAATTACCAATTCTGAAAAACAATTTGTTTATTTGAAACACTTAAATACTTAGGCTGTCTCATGTCTGAAGCATGATGATGCCTTGCGTGATTTAAAGGACAGACGTCACGAATGCCAAGAGTTTTGTGGCGGTCCATCCTGCCAGTGTCTTCTCCCACTTTTGTTCTGTGGATTTGAGCTCACAGTTTGTGCTGTGCCCACCGCCTGCCCACCCTAACGAGACTCCTGGAGACTTGGCTGGCCAGTCACCAGAGGAAGAGGGGCCCAGCAGCACGCCAGCATTCACCCACCTGTGGGTATCAGTCAGGCTCCTGGTGGAAGCCAGAGGACATATTCGAATGGGTACTTGAGGAAAGGGGCTGTTCACAGAAGTGTGGACCGAGTTAAGGGAACCAATAAGAGATGAGGAATGTCCTGGACCAGCAAGAGTGGGAGCTGTTATCTCCCTGGGTCTAGAGGGACAGGAAAGGTGTCCACAGATCCCAAAGAGAGCTGTGGCTGTAGAGGAGGATCATCAGGAGCTGCAGCCATCAGTAGAAAGATGTGGCCACTGCCAAACCAACAAGGAAGAATCTGAGCGAATAACCACCTCTCCTCTCTCTCTCTCTCCCACCTCCTATGACGTCCTCCACTGTGTGAATTCCACTAGGGCCAGACAGTGAGGCACCCTGGTGATGCAGTCCAAGAGGGAGTGGGCAGAGAGGAGCCAGTGGGTATGGAGGGGAAACAGAGAAACAGAGAATTCCAGCTCACTCTGCGGGATTTCTGGGTCTGATAGAAACATGGCATTATTATTATTATTATTATTATTATTATTATTATTATTATTATTTTGAGATGGAGTTTTGCTCTTGTTACCCAGGCTGAAGTGCAGTAGCATGATCTCGGCTCACTGCAACTTCTGCCTCCCGCGTTCAAGAGATCCTCCTGCCTCAGCCTCCCGAGTAGCTGGGATTACCGGCACATGCCACCATGCCTTGCTAATTTTTGTATTTTTGGTACAGATGAGGTTTCACCATGTTGAACAGGCTGGTCTTGAACTCCTGACCTCAGGTGATCCACCTGCCTCGGCCTCCCAAAGGGCTGGGATTACAGGCATGAGCCACTGCCCAGCCTGCAGCAGCTTAATTTTACAGTGTCCCTTTTCTCCTTCTGGAAACTATATGGGGCAACAACAAGACTGAGGAGGAAGAGGAGGAGGAGGAGGAGGAGGAGGAGGAGGAAAAAGCCCATCATCAATACACACATCAAACTCAACTTCAGAGAAATTAGGAAGCTGGGAAGCCACGTAAACCCAAAAGCAGGAGACACCAGCAGAACCAACGCAGGAAGCCAGGGAAGTGCAGAAGAACAGGGCATGGGGGGCAACCCAGGGGGGAATCTTCACTGTTGCCAGCAACACACATTCCCAGCAGGAGAGGACCCTCAGAGTGAGAACGCAGAGCTGGAGAAATGAAGAAGGAGCAGGTGGTGCCCGGGGAAGTCCAGGGGTGTGGGATCTGAGAGCACGCCTTCCCAAGAGAGGCGGGAACACTTGGGAAGGCAGGGCTGAGTCCCTGGAGGCTGTATCTGGGAAAGGAGGCTGGCAGTAGAATCTTCCTGAAGCCGAGTAGGTTCTGAGAGGCAGAGGGGCAGTGGTACAGAGGTGAGGCTGACGCTTCTGTGCAGGAAGGGCAGGCTCCTGAGGAAGGGAGCCCCGAATGCTCTCCACTAGATTCCCAGGGAGCCCCACTCCCTCCACAGGGACCTCGCGCTGACATCTGGGAAATGCCATTCATACTGGAACGTCCGACACACTGCCATGAATGTGAGGGTTTTGTGACTGATGGGGTAGGTTTCTCTCTTCCAACTTAATAGTATAATGTCCATTTATTCCTCCCCCAGCCTCCCTGAACATGCACCTCTTAGATAGCCACAGTACGGTGATCAGAACCAGGAAATCCACATTCTCATATTTAACTATATTAAAATTATTTCACAAAATAACCAATTTTATTAATTTAATTAAATACATTTAACTAATGTTTAAATATATTTAAATAATTTAACTGATTTAAAATGAACATATTCGCTAAACAAAAGACCTTATTGGAGTTTCACCACTTTTTCCACTAATGTCCTTTTTCTGTTCCCAAATTCCACCCAGGATCACGCTGCATTTAGTTATTTCTTAGTCTCTCGCCGTTTTGTAGGACTGCAATAACAGTTCCTCAATCTTTCCTTATCTTTCATAACCGTGACATCTTGAACCAGTACTGATCAGTATTTATGAAATGTTCCTCGATTTGGGATTGTCTGATGTATTTCCATGATTGGACTGAAGTTACGAACTTTTGGCAATTACAGCACAAAAATGATGTGGAATCCTTCCCAGTGCATTCCATCAGAGTTATGGCATTGATAGTTCTTCTTACTGATGATGTTGAACTTGTTCATTTGGTTCAGGTTTCTGCTGGGTTTCTCCATTGTAAAGATACTATCTTTCCCCCTCATAGGGGGAAAGATCTTAGGAGAAATACTTGGAGACTATGAAAATTTTGTATTTTCTCAAACGTTAAAATTTTTTTTCAGGCCAGGCGCAGTGGCTCATGCCTCTAATCCTAGCACTTTGGGATGCCGATGTGGGTGGATCACCTGAGGTCAGGAGTTCAAAACCAGCTTGATCAACATGGAGAAACCCCATACCTACCAAAAATACAAAATTAGCCAGGCATGGTGGTGCATGCCTGTAATCCCAGCTACTCAGGAGGCTGAGGAAAGAGAATTGCTTGAACCCGGGAGGAGAGGCTGCAGTGAGCTGAGATCGTGCCATTGCACTCCAGCCTGGATAACAAGAGCAAAAGTCCATCACAAAAAAAAAAAAAAGGCCAGGCGCAATGGCTCACACCTGTAATCCCAGCACTTTGGGAGGCCAAGGTGGGTGGATCACCTGAGGTCAGGAGTTGGAGACCAGCCTGACCAACATGGAGAAACCCCATCTCTACTAAAATAAAATACAAAATTAACTGGGCATGGTGGTGCATGCCTGTAATCCCAGCTACTCAGGAGGCTGAGGCAGTAGAATTGCTTGAACACGGGAGGTGGAGGTTGCCGTGAGCCGAGATCCTGCCATTGCACTCCAGCCTGGCCAACAAAAGCAAACCTCCATCTCAAAAAAAAAAAACAACAACAAAACACCTATTTTGACAGCCGGGCATGGTGGCTCACACCTGTAATCCCAGAACTTTGGGAGGCCAAGGCAGGCGGATCACCTGAAGTCAGGAGTTCAAGACCAGCCTGGCGAACATGGTGAAACCCCGTCTCTACTAAACATACAAAAATTAGTTGGGCATGGTGGCATGTGCCTGTAAGTTCCAGCTACTTGGGAGGCTGAGGCAGGAGAATCACTTGAACCCAGAAGGCAGAGGTTGCAGTGAGCCGAGACGGCGCCATTGCACTCCAGCCTGGGCAATAGAGTGAGGGATCTCAAAAAATTATAATGAAAAAATAATAATTCTATTTTGAATTGTGGTAAAATATACATAAAATTTACTACCTTAACCACTTCTAAGTGGCAGTTGGAACAGGGGTCAAGGAGAGCCCTTGGGTTGGGTAATGTATATTCACATTGCCATGCAACCAATCTCTGGAACTTTTTCATCTGACAAAACCAAAACTCTATATCCACTAAGCAACTTCCCATTTTCTCCCTTCCCCATGTCCCTGGCAACCCCCGTTCTACCTTCTGTTTCTATTAGTTTGCTTACTCAGTCTGGACGCTTCACATAAGTGAAGGAACACCGTATTTGTCTTTTTCTAACTGGCTTATTTCACTTAGCGTAATGTCCTCAATGTTCATCCATGTTGTAGCATGTGTTAGAATTTCCTTCCTTTTTAAGGCTGAAGAACATTTTATTGTATGTATATACCACATTTTATCAATTCATCTGCCTATGGACAACTAGGCTGCATCCATCTTTTGACGAGTGTGAATACCACTGCTATAAATATCAGTGTACACATATTTCTATGAGACCTTGCTTTCAATTATTTTGGCTATATACCCAGAAGTGATATTGCCGGATCATTTGGTAATTCTATTTTTAATTTTTTGAGAAACTGCCTGTCCTGTGCTGAGCAGGTCTATATAAACCTACCCGCAAAGGCCAAGGAACCTGAGATACCAAAGAAAGAGGCTGACAAATCCAGTTTCTCAGAAAGAAACATTTAATAGGCGTTTATGAACAGAAGGCAAGTCAGGGATGGCACCAAGATAAGATGGTGGATCCCTGTGCCATCACCCCCACCCCCCCGACCCAGGGCTTCTATAGCATAGGGGAAGGGTAATGCGGGCTTCAGCAGGGATGTGTATGGCCAGACACGGTGGCTCACGCCTGCAATCCCAGCTCTTTGGGAGGCCAAGGTGGGCGGATCACCTGAGGTCAGGAGTTCCAGACCAGCCTGGCCAACATGGTAACACCTCGTCTCTACTAAAAATACAAAAATTAGCCAGGCGTGGTGGCAGGCGCCTGTAATCCCAGTTACTCGGGAAGCTGAGGCAGGAGAATCGCTTGAGCCCAGGAGGTGAAGTTTGCAGTGAGCTGAGATTGTGCCACTGAAGTCCAACCTGGGAGACAGAGTGAGACTCGGTCTCAAAAAATAAAAAATAAAAAATAATTTTTTTAAAAAGATAAAATAGAAATCGTAGATGAATTGTTGGAACTGGGATTAATCAGAATATGGCAGATTAGCATCCAAGATGGAATTGCTTTATTCTCATTCAAGGTTTCCCTCATTCTTCACTCTCCCCATGCTGGTCACCTTGCTGTTTGTTCCTCAAACACATATGAAATGCGTTTCTGTCTTGGCAGTCATCCTGCTACCTGTAATGTCAGCACTGCTTTCTGTTGTCCCTTCAGTCAGGTCACTGTTCAAATAGCTCTCTAGACAGGCTCTTCCTTATCATTCTACTTAAAATAGCCCCCAATCACTCTGTGTCCCTTTAGCCTGCTTCCTCTTCCTGCTATTTCATACTACCTGAAAAAAATACTTGAACTTCCTAGAACATAAGCTCATAAAAGCAAGAACTGTGCTCCACCTCTCCTCTCCTCTACCCCAGCACTCAGAAGAGAAACAGAGTCAGCATCCAGTGAGTGTTCATGAATCAAGTCACTGCTTGGCAGAATTCAGCACTGGGACCACAGCCTCGCCTATCTTCAACTCTTTCTCCTTCTGCTTTTCCTCCTCCCACTCTAGTAGCCACTCTTCTGGGGGCTTGTCCCTTAAATGATTAGTCCTTACTGACCTATTTTCTGTCCACTTTATCTGTTTTTGAGAGAGGGTCTCACTCTGTTGCCCAGGCTGGAGTGCAGTGGCATGAATATGGGTCACTGCAGCCTCCACCTCCTGGGCTCAAGTGATCTTCCTGCCTCAGCCTGCCATGCCATGTAACTGAGGCCACAGGCATGTGCCACCATGTCCAGCTAATTTCTTGATTTTTTTTTGGTAGAAATGGGTCTCACTTTATTGCCCAGTCTGGTCTTGAAGTCCTACACTCGAGCAGTCCTCTCAACTTGGCCTCCCAAAGTGCTGGGATTACAGGCATGAGATACTGCACCTGGTCTTATTTTTTCTTTTCTTAAGATACAGGGTCTCACCATCTGGCCCAGGCTGAACTCAAACTGCTGAGCTCAAGTAATTCCCCCACCTCAGCCTCCGAAGTAGCTAGGACTAAAGGCATGAAACCACCATGCTTGGCTTGTCCAATTTCATTCTACACACTTTCTTGGTATTTAAACAGCTGCTGTTGCTCTTCATTCTGTAGCTCTACATCAGATTCATGCTCTAGTCCTGTATATCCAAATGATGACTAGAGGCTGCCGGCTCTGCTCTTTCAAAGGCACAATGAGCGTAGCCCGTCTACAAAACTCTCCCTTTTCCAATCCAGCTTTCCCTCCTGCATCACCTATCTCTCTACATCTGGAACCATCGGCAGCTGCCTTCATAAGGCACCTCAGTCTGGCATTCGGAAAACCACCCTGTCTTGCCAGAGCCTCTTGGTCTTGGGTAGCAAAAGCTGTATGCAATCTAAATCAAGCTTTCAATCATGAGAAATCACATTCCTTCTTTTCCCTTTGTAATATACTCATGTGTTTTTTTTTTTCCTTTCTCAATAAGCAAATTGTACCACCATCTTATTCTGAGATGCTCCTTTTTAAAAGCTGTAGATCACATTAATGGAAGTGGTTACTGCTGGGAATATTTTCCATGTGCAATGATCTGTAACCCTCTTTTTCTTTTTTTTGAGACCGAGTCTTGCTCTGTTGCCCAGGCCAGAGTGCAGTGGCACAATCTCTGCTCACTGCAAGCTTTGCCTCCTGAGTTCATGCCATTATCCTGCCTCAGCCTCCCAAGTAGCTGGGACTACAGGTGCCCGCCACCACGCCCAGCTAATTTTTTTTTTTGAGATGGAGTCTCGCTTGGTCGCCCAGGCTGGAGTGCAGTGGTGCAATCTCAGCTCATTGCAAGCTCCGCCTCCTGGGTTCACGCCATTCTCCTGCCTCAGCCTCCCGAGTAGCTGGGACTACAGGTGCCCGCCACCACACCTGGCTAATTTTTTTTTTTTTTTGTATTTTTAGCAGAGATGGGGTTTCACCATGTTAGCCAGGATGGTCTTGATCTCCTGACCTCATGATCCGCCTGCCTCGGCCTCCCAAAGTGCTGGGATTACAGGTGTGAGCCACCACGCCTGGCCATTCCCAGCTAATTTTTTGTATTTTTTAGTAGAGATGGGGTTTCATGATGTTAGCCAGGATGGTCTCAATCTCCTGACCTGGTGATCAGTCCGCCTAGGCCTCCCAAAGTGCTAGGATTACAGGTGTGAGCCACTGCGCCCAGCCTAACTGTAACCCTCTTATCTCAACTAGCTGACATTATTACTTCACATCCAGTTCAATTTATAAATTAAGAGAGGTGCCATGGGCCTGGTACGGTGGCTCACCCCCATAATCCCAACACTTTGGGAGGCCGAGGCAGGTGGATCACGAGGTCAGGAGTTCGAGACCATCCTGGCTAACATGGTGAAACCACGTCTCTACTAAAAATACAAAAAATTAGCCAGGTGTGGTGGCAGGCACCTGTAGTCCCAGCTACCTGAGAGGCTGAGGCAGGAGAATGGTGTGAATCCAGGAGGCAGAGCTTGCAGTGAGCAGATATCATGCCACTGCACTCCAGCTGGGGCAACAGAGCAAAACATCGTCCAAAAAAATAAAAATAAAAATAAAAATGAAAAAGAGGTGCCATGTGTACAAAAATCAATGCACATTTATGAAATTTTTTTTCAAATATATTTTCACACATTTTATCTAAATACATAATACAGAAGCCTGTGTGACTTGGGCAATGTGGCCAGGAGGGCCTGAGACTAACACATCCACCTTGGCAAAAGGACATAAAATATGTCTTATGGTCAGAAAAATCAACATTTTGTGTATTTACTTAGTTTACGAAAAGTACTGAAAATGCTATTACTAGCTGAATTTGTGATTTCCTTTTGAAATTCTGAGTTATCCTTATTTTTCCCATTTTGTTTTTGCACCAAGGAGACTGCAGTCAAATAAAACAGATACTACACGCACTCGTCGGGGCAGCCGTACTGCAGAAGCACGTTGATGCACTCCTGGCTGGAGGCCTGCCGGGCGTAGGTCAGCGCTGTGTTCCCGTGGGCATCTCGGGCCATGACGTCCACCCCGTCAGGAGCTGCTCCAGGACCACATTCCCCTTGCGGCAGGCCAGATGGAGTGCCGTGCAGCCGTCTCCCTCCCCACAGGTCTCGTTCACCTCCTCACGGGAGCCATGTGCCAGCAGCAGGATGGCTGTCTGCAGGTCCTCATCAGTGGTGGCCCGCAGCAGCTGCTGGCCCAGGGACAGCTCAGTGCAGGGTAGTGGGGCCAGAAAGAGCTTCTCCTCATATTTGGAACGGATCCACCATTCCTTCTCTTCCCTCGTGGACTTTATTGAGGGTTTTGTCTGCCCCTGGCTGCTCCCTTCCCAGATGCTGTTGGCTAGCTCATTGCCAATAGATGACATAACCTTCCTGAGCTCAACTGGCCAGTCATCCAGCTCCAGAGATCGCACACGGGAAAGGCGGGTGCCAAAACTGCGGTGGATACCTGAGCATTCAATACACATGAGGACTCCCAAGTTCAAACTGGCCCACTTAGGATTCTGGGTCTCACAGTCCACACAGTGGGCGTTCCCACGCATGTTTTGGATCGACTGCAGGGCCATGGCCTCACTCTGGCTGGTCAGCTGGGACTTGCTTTTACTGCTCTTGCATGACTGCAGGCTGGCCAGGATCTGGCTCTGGATGGCTTGGACCCAGGCATCCCGCTCCTCATACGTCGTGGCTTCAAAGTGCCACGTTTGGCCAGTGGCAGACACAATCATAAAGTTGTTGGTGCTTTTCTTCTTTAGGTGTTTCTTTTTATTGGCATGAGGAGAGGGGGGCGGGTTGAGCTTGGGGCTGGTGGTGCTGGAGATACCGGGGCTGAAGCATATGGAGTCACCCAGCCCGGTGTCCATGTCCTTGGATAGGCCATTGCTTTTAGAGCTGGAGATGGGTGCACAGGCTGATGTGGCTAGGGATGGCCACTTTCCTGGGACTTTGATGGTAGATGTCCGAAGGTCAATCTCTTTTTTATGAATATTCTTCATATAATCACCTAAGCTTGAATAATAGGTGAGCACGCCATTGGAACACAGGGTGACGTATTTCTTTTTCCATGTCTTCAGCCATTTTCCACTTCGCTTTAAGAGCATGCCCTGTTTAATGGGGATGGCTCTGCCGCTCCCGATGGTGTCAGCATGATTCTCCGGGGCTTTCCTCTCTTTGTCTGGGTCACTCCCTTTCTCAGATGTAAACAGGTTGGACCAGCGCATGGACCGCTTGCAAACGGGGGTGGGTGTGTTGGCAGTGGGAGGAACACTGAACTGAGGGTCCTCCTGGCTGGTGCTGGGAGTCGGTGGAATGGAGGAGGAATAGTTATTTAAACTCCCACCTCCATTTCTTTTCTTCATAATGTGCACGGTGGAAACCTGTGTGGAACAGGAGGAGGAATGGCTTCAAAAATTGGGTAGTGGCTTGCAGGATCCTATAGACAGCTCACAATTACCTTTTAAAAAGATACATTTTCTGGGCCAGGCATGGTGGCTCACACCTGTAATCACAGCACTTTGGGAGGCCAAGGTGGGTGGATCACGAGGTCAGGAGTTCAAGACCATCCTGGCCAACATGGTGAAACCCTGTCTTTACAAAAAAAAAAAAAAGAAAAAAAAATTAGCTGGGCATGGTGGCACATGCCTGTAATTCCAGTTACTCGGGAGGCTGAGGCAGGAGAATTGCTTGAACAGGGACCTGGGAGGCAGAGCCTGCAGTGAGCCAAGATCGCGCGATTGCACTCCAGCCTGGGCTACAGAAAGAGAGTCCATCAAAAAAAAAAAAAAAAAAAAAAAAAAAAAGATACATTTTCTGTTGTTTGGATAGTATATTTACTCACACTAGCTCACTAACTAAACAGAGCTGCAGATCAGTTCTTACTCCAGCACATTCTTTTTACAACACTTAAGATGACTAAATGCAACATGAAATGGGGAAGATTTAAAAAAAGATGGCTTTGACTTCAGCATGAAACAGATACAAGTGTACGATGAAAATACAACCTCAATAAAAGTGCCACTTACCGCAAATGAGTGTAACTGTTCATCAGGTATGCTCAAAGATCTATCTGCATCTCTATAAAATAAGAAAGTGCATTACTTCAAAAACTGTTAATATCTTAGTATAATATTTGTTGAGTAAAATACTTCCTCCTGTGTGCTTTGGTGTTTACTTTACCAAAGCAGTTTTTACAAATTCTTCTCCTGGATCCTGACTTGCAGAGGGTTTCCTGACTTCTTCTTTCTCAGCACATCATGGTCTGTACCGTGAAGCCTTTTATATGATAACCAGTCAGAAATGCCCATGAGTATTGACTCTCCCTAACAGGCCATGGCAATAAACCAAACATATTTTCACTCTTCTAACCACACATTGAAACACAAGAATGTTCTACAAAGCAGTAGTAGTAAACTTTAATAAATGTAAATGTGATTCAGATTTCTTAGCTTCCTTTCTCTTTAGTTCTCTGTAGTATACTCTCATGATGTTTTTATGTATTTTCTGTTGTCTGAATGACAAACTCATCTACCTTTTTAAGAGGCCAGTCTTTGAGGAACTTTAAACTTTGTAAAACTAATGCATTGTGCCTGTGTATAAACCAGTGGTTCTCCAAATGTGCTCTGTGGACCTCTCGGGATCCCGAAGACCCCTTCCAGAAGGCCTAAGAGGTCATAACTGTTCTTTTTTTTTTTTTTTTTTTTTTTTTTTGAGACCAAGTTTTACTCTTGTTGCCCAGGCTGGAGTGCAATGGTGCGATCTCGGCTCATGGCAACCTTCGCCTCCCAGGTTCAAGTGATTCTCCTACCCCAGCCTCCCAAGTAGCAGGGATTACAGGCACCTGCCACCACTCCTGGCTAAGTTTTGTATTTTTAGTAGAGATGTGGTTTCACCATGTTGGCCAGGCTGGTCTTGAACTCCTAACCTCAGGCGATCCACTTGCCTCGGCCTCCCAAAGTGCTGGGATTACAGGCCTGAGCCACTGTGCCTGGCCAACACTGTTCTGAATCATACTAATTAAACCTGAGAAAGCTGATGAAAAATTTTAAAAATTTGTGAAAGTAATACAAAGTCATTGCCTGCTTTTTCGTTGACACTTGCCATGATTGTATAAAAGCAAAAGTAGGTACAATGGCTGGTTTCTCAGCATAAATCAAGGCAGTGGTACCAATTACATTAGTAGTCATTCTATTCTTCACTGTCCCCTACAGGTAAAAAACATAGCCTGAATTTCTTAAGAACGTCTTTGATGAAGCAATAAAAATTAATGTTGTTAAATCTTGACATGTCTCTAATATTCTGAATAAGTGGAAAGTTAATGAGAAGTGCTTTTTTTTTGTTTTTAAAGAATCCGTGATTTAACTGTGAACTGAAAAATCACTTTTTTCACAGAACATCATTTTTATTTAAAAGTACAACTGGGCCAGCGCAGTGGCTCACGCCTGTAAAATCCCAGCACTTTGAGAGGCCAAAGCAGGCAGATGGCCTGAGCTCCTTCAGGAGTTCGGGACCAGCCTAGGCAACATAACGAAACCGTGTCTCTATCAAACATATAAGAAAATTAGCCTGGCGTGGTGCCACACATCTGTGGTCCCAGCTACACAGGAGCCTGAGGTGAGAGGATTGCTTGAGCTGAGATCATGCCAATGCACTCCAGCCAAGTGACAGAGTGAAACTCGGTCTAAAAAACCAGTTCAACTATCATTCTCAAAAATAAATGAAGTGAGAGGTTGTCACTTCAAGGGAAATACGTATTTGTTCCCAATGATAAAATTTAAGCTTTCCTGTGGACTTTGAAAAACTTGTTCCTTCTACTGTAGGCTTGGCAGCTTTTCAATACTTAAAGGCCTGTTAAAGTAAGATTGGTGGTTAAACTAAAAGTGATTTTTGACACAATAAAACATAAACCAATATATTCCAAGTAACTAATGCATGATATTATAAATGCAAGTATGGAGCAAAAGATCCATTTACTGTGCAAGAAAGATCAATGAGTACTGATGGAATAAATTTATTAATATGTAAAATGCCACCGTAACTAATTTAAGAAACCACCACTTGTGAAGTTTTGATTTAGTGTTTTAACAAATACCCACAACTGTCTGAAAACTTTAAAAATACACCTTCTACCAACTACATATTTGCATGAGGTTAGGTCATCTTATTGCTTCTTTTTCTCTTTTTTTGAGACAGAGTCTCTCTCTGTCACCCAGGCTGGGGTGCAATGGCAAGATCTCGGCTCACTGCAACCTCCACCTCCCAGGCTCAAGTGATTCTCCTGCCTCAGCCTCCCAAGTAACTGGGACTACAGGCATGCACCACCACGCCCAGCCATTTTTTGTACTTTCAGTAGAGGCGGGTTTTACCATGTTGGTCGGGCTGGTCTCAAACTCCTGACCTCAAGTGATCCACCCACCTTGGCCTCCCAAAATGCTGGGATTACAGGTGTGAACCACTGCGCCCCACCAGCTTATTGCTTTTTTTGTTTGTTTGTTTAGACAGAGTCTTGCTCTGTCACCCAGGCTGCAGTGCAATGGCACGATCTCAGCTCTCTGCAACCTCCGCCTCCCAAGTTCAAGCGGTTCTCCTGCCTCAGCCTCCAGAATACGTGGGACTACAGGTGCGTGCCACCATGCCCAGCTAAGTTTTTGTATTTTTAGTAGAGACGGGGTTTCGCCGTGTTAGCCAGGATGGTCTCGATCTCCTGACCTTGTGATCCGCCCGCCTCAGCCTCCCAAAGTGCTGGGATTACAGGCGTGAGCCACTGTGCCCAGCCTCATATTGCTTCTTTGAAGCAAATTGCAAAGAAAGCTCTAGAGAATCCATTTGTCTCCTATTAAGCTCAACATGAGAGACTTTAAATAATATAAACAAATGACACACTTTTTACTCAACTTTTTGTTGTAGAAAAGTTTTTTTTCAATGAAAAACTTCTGTTAACAATACTGTTCTCAAGGAATATTTTCTGTTTTTATAAACTGGGTCATGGGTTACTACTGACATCTAGTTGGTAGAGGCCATGAATACTGCTAAACTCTCTGCAATGCACAAGACAGTCCTCACAACAAAGCATTATCTAGCCCATAATATCAACAGTGGTAAGGCTGTGAAATCTAAACTAAAAATAGATTTTGAAAAAATTTCAATTGTATAATTCTACCACACTAAATATCAATATAATCAATATAAACATATACTCTTTGAGATTCTCAATCATTTAAGAATTATGAGAGTCTTAAGGAACAAAGAAAATACAAATAATTTGCTTCGATATTTTAGTAGGCACAATACAGCTTATGATGTCTAGAGCTGTGACCTAACACTGAGCTTGATATCTTGCAAAGTAATTAGCTAGAATAACAAGACAGGTTTCTAAAAAGCTCACCTTTGTGTGATATGATGAGGTATCTCCAAGGTCACACTGTGGAAGGAAAACAAATTCATAACAATAGATGTTATCATTTGTTAGGCCTGCAGACATTTTTTAAAAGGGGGGCAGAGGAAACTCTCCTAGCGGCCCTGAAATTCAAATCTTCTAGTTCAGAACAGTACCATAAGGGCACTTTGTTTTCATTTCTTTGTTTTTTACAAAAATATGAGAACCAAAATGCAAGGAAATATGCCGTTAGAAGACGCGTTTCTGTTGGTGATTACAATATATAAATAATAACAGATTTCCCTTTTATATGCTTTTCTACCGATGAAACCTTTCGTCCCATGCGATTTATTTTATGTATTTATTTATTTTTTGACCCAGAGTCTGTCTCTCTTGCTCAGACTGGACTGCAGTGGTGCCATCTTGACTCCTCACAACCTCCACCACCCAGGTTCAAGCGATTCTCACGCCTCAGCCTCCCAAGAAGCTGGGACTACAAGTTTGCGCCACTATGCCCAGATAATTTTTTTTTTGGGGGGGTGGTGGGTGGAGTTTCGCTCTTGTTGCCCAGGCTGGAGTGCAATGGTGTGATCTCGGCTCACCACAACCTCTGCCTCCCGGGTTCAAGAGATTCTCCTGCCTCAGCCTCCCAAGTGGCTGGGATTACAGGCATGTACCACCACACCCAGCTAATTTTGTAGAGTGAGGCTCAAAACAACTGAGGGAAGGTAAATCTCAATTCTACTAATAGGTCTACACAATATTAGCACTTTTTAAAAAGCCTGTAACATTAGCATGTGAGATGGATATGTCTATAGTGCTTCAAGTAGTTTTCATCTCTGAAATAATTTTAAAATCACAGAATTTAAAGTTACATGCTGGAAAGGACCAATGACCTTATGTGACATTTAATTCAACACTTGTTTTACAGATCAGGGAAACAAACCTTAAAACTGACTTGCCCAAGGTCCCACCAAATAGGAGCAGTTTCTCGTCCTAAACTCAAATTAAGCAGTGGCTCTCAAACTTTGCTGCACATTAAAATCGCCTGAGAAGCTTTAATATCTGCCTCATCTTCCACATGAGACATTTTAATTTAATTAGTATTGGGTATGGCTTTGGGCATCAAGGTTCTTGGTAAACGTTTCCCAGGTGATTTCAATCAGCAGCAAAGTTTGGAATGATTGAGCTGGGGTGAAAATCAGAATCTTCTGGGATGCTTTTCTTCACAGAAAGATGCCTCACATCCATCCCGATTTTCCTAAAAGGCTTCTCAGTGCCTAGAGATAGAGGGAAAGTGGAGATGGGAAGATACATGTATTTGCAGACTTGCATTTTGAAAAAAACCTTGCATAAGTGATCTCAGCGAGTTCCACCTATCCCACTGACAACAGTGCACTACTGATTCATGATAAAACATTTTTCAATATATCTTCTTGAAGCCAATTTGCCCTATTAATTTGTTCAATAACTTTATTTCACCAATAGTGAATACACCAAATGATTATTTCTCAAACTTGCTGGTGGCAAATTAAAACTTACTATACTCTCAAAAGTAGACTTCTAAAAAGTAGAATAATGAGGAAAAAAGCACAAAATTAGTTTCAGCAAAATTAATCTTCAAAGCTGCTTTTGAATTATATGCTAACTTATCAAAATCTTTGGAACTCAGAAGAAGCCAGGGACTCTAGTCAAAGTAATTTTTGTGTATGTGTGCTCAAAGATTTAAGAGACTTGGCTGACTACAGACATTTAGTGATTACTCAATAGGTCCCAAAGCTCAGGACTTGAGACAGAGTTTGAGTTCAGTTTTTGTTTGAAACACAATTTCCTCTCAACTATTGTTAAAAGGGAGGGAGGAAAGTGACATTATTATGAGTGTAAACTTGCCACTTTTAATTGAAGTAAAAGTTATTGACAATTGAATTAGCTAAAAAGGCTAGTGCATTTGAAACAAAATTGTTTATAAGCTAGTTATGTTTACAGAATGAAAAGTTAAATTAAAGATAAAGACATTAATATTCTAAATTAGCACTTTCCAAACTGTGTTCTAAAAATCAAGACTAATAACCCAAGGAGATGAGAATAATGTACACTGGACGGCCCCTGTGGAGCTGGTGGTGGTGTTGGTTGTTGTTCCTTTTAAAATAAACTTCATCTCAGGGTGCTCTCAAAGCGCATCTTTGTGGCCCACGAGGTGCTCATGCACAATGGGAGAAATTCAAATGCAGATACACTGTGGTGCCAGAAGAAGAAAAGCTGTTCCTTCTTCCAAGGATAATGTCCAAAGTAGTGCACACTGATTTGGGCCTATGATGCATTGAAAAACTAAGTTTCCACAAAAAACATTCAATAAAGGGAACCTATCCTTCTCACTGTGTTCAACATTGTCTAAAGGCATAAAGACATCAAAAAGACACACTGTTTCTGGGTTTGCTTCTTTGCTAACTGATTTTTCCTTCCACCACGACGTCTAAGATTAAAAGAGAAACTGATACTTAATATTCAGAATCTGAATATCAATATATGGTTGACTCCAATTTCTTAAGCTGATTGCTGAAGAGGACAACCAAATGGCTGAAATAATTTCCGAATAAAGGAATCTGTCCCTCGGCAGCATAGTTGTACTCACGATATTATTGTCATTGTAAGATAATGCTGGATGGCTGTGCTGTCATCAAGGAATATTGTCGAACACGAGCTGTATTGTTGACTGAAACGCTCAGTAGATACCTGAAGGGGAAGGGAAGTGTAAGTCAAACTTATCAAAGTGTATTTTTTTCTCAGTTAAAATGTCAAATGACAAAGCACTAAGATATGTCTTACACTCCATGAACTGCCTGAGTGTGGTATCATGTGCAATCTATAGAAAACCCATTGGAGGCTCTCAACTTCCAGAGATGATGTTTAAGATATGGGTTATAAAATGCTGCCCTTAATATGGTACCTGTCATCAAACCTAACAAGGATTTTATGAATTACCGTTAAAAATAATGGGAAAAGTCGGCTTCGCCGGGCGCGGTGGCTCACACCTGTAATCCTAGCACTTTGGGAGGTGGAGGCGGGCAGATCACGAGGTCAAGAGATCGAGACCATCCTGGCTAACATGGTGAAACCCCGTCTCTACTAAAAATACAAAAAATTAGCCGGGCGTGGTAGCAGGCCCCTGTAGTCCCAGCTACTCGAGAGGCTGAAACAGGAGAATGGGGCGAACCCAGGAGGCAGAGCTTGCAGTGAGCCGAGTTCGCGCCACTGCACTCCAGGCCGGGAGACAAAGTGAGACTCCGTCTCAAAAAAAAAAAAAAAAAAAGAAAGAAAAGTTTAAAATGAGATTTCATATTTTTTTCTACAGCAATAAAAAGCAGCCAAGAATTTCTATTAATTAATTAATTAATTAATTTATTTATTTATTTATTTATTTTTGAGACGGAGTCTCGCTCTGTAGCCCAGGCTGGAGTGCAGTGGCGCGATCTCGGCTCACTGCAAGCTCCGCCTCCCGGGTTCACGCCATTCTCCTGACTCAGCCTCCTGAGTAGCTGGGACTACAGGCGCCCACCACCATGCCCGGCTAACTTTTTGTATTTTTAGTAGAGACGGGGTTTCACCGTGTTAGCCAGGATGGTCTCGATCTCCTCACCTCGTGATCTGCCTGCCTCAGCCTCCCAAAGTACTGGGATTACAGGCGTGAGCCACGGCGCCCAGTCCTTCTATTATTTATTTACTACGATAAAATGTAGTGTATTAAATAATCCTGCTACAAGAGCACTTTATTGCAGTGAATACAAGACTAATGCATTTACTAAATTACTAATCCTAAACGTATTATTTCAGGTGATATTGTTACAAAAGAAGTGTTTCAGATTCAGGGGCTCTGTGTGCCAGGGCTGCTAGGCCACCAACAAGTGAGGAAGCCATAGGTTTCTCTAGTCCTATTTTCTTATGTGGAGGATAAAAAGAGTATCACTTAAATATTCTCTCACACCCTAAAAACAAATGACAACTTAAAAAATCTAACTTTCACTTCATGTTTAAATAAGACTGCCAAGACATGACTCAAATGAGACTCTTGGAGAATACTTTGCATTCACTTCAAAACTTGATCAATTGCATTCTATAAATCATCTGACCTGCACCTAGCCATTTTCCTGCTCTACCCCTGCTCTCTGCCTAGAATACTGCTTTTCTCTTTCCTTGCTTCAGCAAGCTCGACTCCATCTACCCTCTTGGATCTCTTTGTCGGCAGCCACACCAAAAAATGTATTTTTATACACTAATTAGTTGAATTCACCACTGCTTACAAGATGCTAATTCCTGCAGAGTATTCCCCTCATGAGAAAGTATGCCTCTCCATAAGAGTAAGGGAGGGCCCTTACTCTTCCTACCTCCAGCTGCTGAGCATAGAATTTTGAGTAAATCCAAAACTTCGACAAGTGTTTGACAATTCAGTCATCATTTGGAAGGTAAGTCTTACTACATTTAATTACAGCAAAAACACTACTAACAGTTTACTCTTTATAGGTATTATTTAAGGTAGTCACAAAATAGAAACAAATAATCTAACGTCAGTCAGCATAAATGAGAGTATGAAATTTTACAATATTTAACAAGAAATGGAAGGGGTTACTTAGTAGTTTTAAGGTTTAATGACAAAAACTAGAAAATAATCGTACCTAGTAATTTAGTAAGTCAAAACCAAAGCCTTACCATCAAAGGTGCAGTACCCATTGGATGCGGATGCCCACGCACTGACTTCTGCTGTACCTGCTGCCTCTCATTTTAACCCATTAAAAATACTAAAGTTGTTTTCCTTGTAGACATCTTTCACCTCCTTGGTTAGGTCTATTCCGAAGTACTTTATTTTATTTTAGTTTATTTTTGCAGCTATCAGAAAAGGGGTTGAGTTCTTGGTTTGATTCTAAGCTTGGTCGCTTCTGGGGTATAACAGAGCTACTGATTTGTGTACATTAATTTTGTCTCCTGAAACTTTGCTGAATTCATTTATCGGTTCTAGGAGCTTTTTGGAGGAGTCTTTAGGGTTTCCTAGGTATATGATCATATCATCATCAAACAGCAACAGTTTGACTTCCTCTTTACTGATCTGCATGCCTTTTATTGTTTTCTCTTGTGTGATTGCTCTGGCTAGGCCTTCCAGTAGTATGTTGAATACAAGTGGTGAGAGTGGGCATCCTTGTCTTGTTCCAGTTCTCGGGGGGAATGCTTTCAACTTTTCCCCCTTTCAGTATTATGTTGGTTGTGGGTTTGTCATAGATGGCTTTTATTACATTGAGCTATGACCCTTGTATGCTGATTTTGCTGAGGGTTTTAATCATAAAAGGATGCTGCATTTTGTCAAATGCTTTTTCTGCATCTGTTAAGATGATCATGTGATTTTTTGTTTTTAATTCTGTTTATGTGGTGTATCACATTTATTGACTTGTGTATGTTAATCCATCCCCGCATCCCTGGTATGAAACCCATTTGATCATGGTGGATTATCTTTTTTTTATTTTTTGAGATGGAGTCTTGCTCTGTTGCCCAGGCTGGAGTATGCAATGCGGTGATCTTGGCTCACTGCAACCTCTGCCTCCGAGGTTCAAGCGATTCTCCTGCCTCAGCCACCCGAGTAGATGGGATAACAGGTGAGCGCCACCACGCCCGGCTAACTTTTGTATTTTTAGTAGAGATGGGGTTTCACCATGTTGGCCAGGCTGGTCTCGAACTCCTGACCTCATGATCCGTCCGCCTCAGCCTCCCAAAGTGCTGGGATTACAGGTGTGAGCCACCGTGCCTGGCCCGATTATCTTTTTGATATGCCGTTGGGAACTACAAAACATTGCTGAATGAAGTCATGGACACAGACAAATGGAAAGACACCCATGCTCATGAATGGGTAGAATGAATATTGTGAAAATGACCATACTGCCAAAAGCAATCTACAAATTCAATGCAACTCCCATCAAAATACCACCATCCTTCTTCACAGAACTAGAAAAAACAGTCTTGAAATTTATATGGACCAAACAAGAACCGGCACAGCCAAAACAAAACTAAGCAAAAACAACAAATCTGGAGGCATGACATTACCTGATTTCAAACTATACTATAAGGCCATAGTCGCCAAAATAGCACGGTACTGATATAAAAATAGGCACATACACCAATGGAATAGAATAGAGAACCCAGAAATAAACTCAAATACCTATAGCCAACTGATTTTCAACAAAGCCACCTAAAACATAAAGTGAAGAAAGTAAACCCTATTCAACAAATGGTGCTGGGATAATTGGCAAGCCACATGCGGGAGAATGAAACTGGATCCTCAACTCTCACCTTACACAAAAATCAACTCAAGATGGATCAAGGACATAAATCTATGACCTGAAACCATAAAAGTTCTAGAAGATAACATTGGAAAAACCCGTCTAGACACTGGCTTGGGCAAAGACTTCATGACCAAGAACACAAAAGCAAATGCAACAGAAACAAATAGGTGAGACTTAACTAAAGAGCTTCTGCACAGGAAAAGGAACAATCAACAGAGTATACAGACAACCACAGAGTGGGAGGAAATCTTCGCAGTCTATACATCTGACAAAGGGCTATTATCCAGAATCTATGAGGAACTCAAACAAATTACAATTACAAAAATATGGAACCAGCCCAAATGCCCATCAGTCAATGAGCGGATAAAGAAACTGTGATATACATACATATTATATATATATATATGAGGAATACCACCTCAGCCATAATAAGGAATAAATTCATGGCATTCCCAGCAACCTGGATGGAAGTAAGACTATTATTCTAAGTGAAATAACTCAGCATGGAAAACCAAATATCATGTTCTCTTTCCTACGTGGGAGCTAAGCTATGAGGATGCAAAGCCATAAGAATGATACAATGGACTTTGGGGACTTGGGGGAAAGGCTGGGAGGAGGGTGAGGGATAAAAGACTACAAATTGGGTTCAGCGGATACTGCTCAGGTGATGGGTGCACCTAAATCTCACAAATCATCACTAAAGAACTTAGTCATGTCACCAAATGCCACCTGTTCCCCCAGAAACCTATGGAAATAATAAATAAATAAATAAAGTACAGCATTTTTCTCAGCAAACATAAAATAAAACAAAGACTAAAGTTCATATTTTTCACTCTCCTTTTGGGCAGGACAAATTTTAGATAGGTTTTTAAAGAATTAGTAACTTTTTTCCTTTTTCCGAGACAGGGTCTCCCTTTGTTGCCCAGGCTGGAGTGCAGTGGTGCAATTATAGTTAACTGCAGCCTCAAACTCCTGAGCTCAGGTGATCCTCTGCCTCAGCCTCCTGAGTAGGTAATATGAAAGGCGCATGCCACGAGGCCTGGCTAATTTGTTATTTAACCTTTTTGTAGACATGAGGTCTTGCTATGTTGACCAGGCTAAAAATGAACAAATCTTAATTAACTTAAATATTTCTAACACCTTGGGCATTCAGGAAAACAGCTCCATTTATGTTGTGAAGTAATGGGAAGCATATGGCAGTGGATAAACTTTGAATGAAAATATTAAACAAGGCCTTAGGAGAAAAGTGTAATATGCTTATTATAGATACATTAATTTAAAAAATTCTCTGGCTTAATATCATTATACTCAAATTAGACTTTGATTTAAACATAGGTCCTAAATTTGGATTAAATATAATAGATTGACCACAAATTTATTTCGTCTCCCTCTGGAAGCCTCATTAGTCATAAAATAAAGGTTACACCCATGACCAGCACAGAAGGTTGACAGAGATAATTTTTAGTAAATGCTGAGACATAAAAAGTAGACAAAGGAGTGGTAAATAACACAGAAACACAACTTTGCTGACTACAGAAAGTGACTGGAACAGAAGCGAGCCAGTTTGTCTTGCAGAACTAAAGGCAGGTTGTGAACTTACAGGCAAATGGCACTTTGGAAAGTAGGGTAAAATGTAAAAAAAAAAAGCCAGCAAGGTCAGTTGCAAATCTCTAACTAGAGCCCAAAGTCTACCTGTCCTTCCATCTGACAAGAAACTTAGATGTGTGTTCTCTGGATATATCAAACCTGAGAATTTCTGGCTCAGAGATACTATGGCTTAAACCTGAGATATAAAGAAAACTGTACACCAAAAATGGAACTCCAACTTTCTTTGCTAACTCTGCTTTTCCTTTCCAGGCCTGCTTTTACTTTCCAGGCAGAAAATTGGGAGATCCTTCTCAGAAGAAACTGAAATGTCTTCAGTAAAGATCCCCAGATAATACACTGAGGTCTCCCAAATGAAAAGCTAGTCAGGCTTCTAAGGCCTCACACTGAGTGCTATCAGTTAACAGAAATCCTGCTTCCAAATAAAGCAGGCCAGGGACCACCACACATTGGAGGGAAGCCTCCAAGAAAAGAGATCAAAACAATAGAAAAAAGGAATTGATAGGACCAGTCAAAATCAGGAGCAAAACTTTAAAAAAAAAATCTTAAAACACTCTCAAAAAATATAAAATTCAATAGAAATAGTAGAGGATAAAGTCACAGAATATCCCAGAACTAGAATAAAAAGACAAACTGAAAAAAATAGAAGGGGAAAAATTAAAAATCAATGCAGGTGTACTGGTCTAAGCAGCCTAGCATCTGAAGAACAAGACTATCAGTAAAAAAGTAACAGAGAAAATAAAAAAAAAATTCTCAAGAAGAGATAGTCTGCAGGTTTAGTAGCCTCAATAAAATGAAAAGATCCCCAACAAGCTGTTATAAAATTTCAGAACCTTAGAGAGAGAGATTCTAAAAAGCTTCCGCAGATAACTAAAACCTGGTTGTAAATAACATATCACACACTGGCAATAGATTCAAGAACAACACTGTAATAAGAGCACAACTGCAAAATGTCTTCAGAACCATACAATTTAGATTCAACCTAGAGGTGTACTCTCTATCAAAGAGGAGGGATTTTAACATCTCCACCCAGGAAAATGTGTTCAAGTACAACTAGAGACGATAACAGGACAGAAGGAAACACAGAATCTAGGACTCAGGAGATCCCACACAAGACAGCAGTTACGTGAGATCCCAAAAGACTTTAAGGAGTTAGCCCAGAAAAGCAGACATTGAGCATATCTAGGGAAACCCACGCTATATTGAACTAGGATGACAAAAGGCCAAAGAAAGTTGCCCCCCACACACACATAAAAAGGAACAGATGTGTTTTTGCAGATGGAAAATATCTTTGAAAGGCATGTGATAAATGCTACAATACTTGGGGGAAAAACAGCTATTAGAAAATAGGCAAATGAATATAGTCAGAAAATTAGCTTCATGCTAAAAAATAATGGATGTGAAAGCAAACAGAGCACCCAGAGGCTACTTAATGATATTTGGATAGATAAACTAACATAGGCTAGGAAAAAAGAAGATCCAGGAGAATTGCAGAAGTGCTCAGATTTCAGAACTGTTTCAGAGACAGGATGAAGGACATGGAATGCAGAGGCACAGTGAAAACACCATATGACTTAGCAGTGAATAATATTTGCAGAGTCATAATCATGTAAATATTACTGATTTAATTAAAAAGTGTGCTACAATTGGAAGAAACACAGGGAGAAACATAAGATCATGGTGTAGCGAGGAAGATACGCTTTTACCCGCTGTGATAGAAAGTCAATAGACAGTGCTGGCAATTAACTTAACTATTCTATTTTTGTTCTTTCATTAAAAATAAGATTAAATATTTAAGGCACTTTTTTTTTTTTTTTTTTTTTTGAGACAGAGTTTCGCTCTGTCGCCCAGGCTGGAGTGCAATGGCACGATCTTGGCTCACTGCAACCTCCGCCTCCTGGGTTCAAGTGATTCTTCTGCCTCAGCCTCCTGACTAGCTGAGATTACAGGCATGCACCAGCACGCCCGGCTACTTTTGTATTTTTAGTAGATACAGAATTTCACCATGTTGGTCAGGGTTGTCTCAAACTCCTGACCTCAGATGATCAGCCTGCCTTGGCCTCCTAAAGTGCTGTGATTACAGACGTTAGCCACCATGCCCAGCCTTAAGGCAGATCTTTTGAACCAGACTATTGAAATTTAACTTAAATGTCAGAAATCTTTAAAAGGTGGACACGCTAAGCTAAACACTTTTCTGGATAAATTTAATACTCAGGAAAATAGAAGAGATTTAGAAAATCCACAAAAAGAGGTCCATGCTACCACCACCAGGTCCACATTGTAATTTAAAGAAATCAAGAGAGACATCCTTTTATGTCAAACTATCAATTTCTTAACTATTTGAGTGTTTACTTACATGGTTTGTACAGTTGCTTCTTCTTATTTCTACAACTAAGAATAAAAAAAAAAAAAAACTGGTCACTTCTGATACAAATACCATAAAATAAAAGTAGTTGTTAACATCTTACTGATTACTCCTATGTAAAATGAGACAAAATTCCATTTAAAAAAATAATTTTCAATAATTTATAATTTAAATTATCTGGCATGATTAATTTCATAAGTCAAATCTAAAAACTTAGTTTTTCATTTAGTTTACTTTTTGTTTCTATTACATACAAATGAAAGAATCCTCATGTACAAAAGAAAAGGGTAAAAAAATTAGGCCAGATGAAAAATTTAGCTAATAAAAAGTTTAACTGTTGCATATATGAGCCATGATCCATTAGTATTCTCTCATTCTGCATTTACACATAGCTTACTTTAATTATCAGACTCTAAGAGCTAACAGCTCTAAGAACTACGTCCTGACCAGACACCTATCTCTAGATGCAACAGAATCCCTGTAAGCATCTTGAACCACACTTAGTGGTTATCTACTAATATGTCACTAAAAACAAATCAAAATTAAAAAACGGTCTTTACACAACTGGAAAGTAACGTATCTTAATTTTTTTTTTTTTGAGATGGAGTCTCACTCTGTCACCTAGGCTCGAGTGCAGTGGTGGGATCTCAGCTCACTGCAACCTCTACCTCCCAGGTTCAACCAATTCTTCAGCCTTAGCCTCCTGACTAGCTGGGACTACAGGCACGTGCCACCATGCCTAGCTAATTTTTTTTTGTATTTTTAGTAGAGACAGAGTTACACTGTGTTAGCCAGGATGGTCTTGATCTCCTAACCTCGTGATCCACCCACCTCAGCCTCCCAAAGAGCTGGGATTACAGGTGTAAGCCACAGAGCCTGGCCTAAATTTTGATGTTAAAATGAGTATACAAACCTAATTGGACATGGTGTCTGAAGCTCAAAAAATCATTTTTTTTCCTCTAAAAAGAGGCCAGAATAATAAAAGCCCCAAGAGGGACTTGGGCCATGCTTTGTTTCCTACACTGCCTCTGCCTTTGATGCTGGAAGGGCCTTGTAGGCAAAAGTTCCTACCACCGAAGAGTGAGGGACATGGAATAGCTTTTCTTTTACTGCTTCCATGCTCTCTAGGTGTGAGAAGCCCATGGCTCTGGAAGGAACTGGGAAATACAATTCTGATATGTTTTGGATATGTTGCCCCTCCAAGTCTCATGTTAACATGTGACCCTTAATGTTGGAGACAGGGCCTAGTGGGAGGCATTTGGGTAATGGCAGTGGATTCCTTATGAATGGCTTGGTCCCATCCCCATGGTAATAAGCAAATTCTCATTATGGTAATTTAAAAGGCTGTGGTACTGGCCAGGTGCGGTGGCTGAAGCCTGTAATCCCAGCACTTTGGGAGGCTGAAGCGGGTAGATCACTTGAGGTCAGGAGTTTCAGACCAGCCTGGCTAACATGGTGAAACCCTGTCTCTACCAAAAATACAGAAATTAGCCAGGTGTTATGGTGCCCACCTATAGTCCCAACTACTCGGGAGGCTGAGGCAGGAGAATTGCTTGAACCTGGGAGATGGAGGTTGTAGTGAGCCAAGATTGTGCCATTGCACTCCAGTCTGGGCAACAGAGTGAGACTCCATTTCAAAAAAAAAAAAAAAAAAGAGTGTGGTACCTTCCCCCTTCCCCTCTCTCTTTCACCGTGTGGAACCACCTGCTTCCCCTTTGCCTTTTATCATGATTGTAAGTTTGCTGAGGCCCTCACCAGAAGCAGATGTTAAAGCCATGTTTGTACAGCCTGAAAATCTTTGAGCCAATTAAACCTCTTTTTTGTTATAAATTACCCAGCCTTAGGTATCTCTTTATAGTAATGTAAAAAATGAAGACAAATTCTAACCAGAAATAACTGACTCAAGATGGGCAAAGTCTACTCAAACTATAAAAACAAAGGTTACAAACTCCCGTGTTTTACTGTGCTGCATTACTTCGCACACTATTATAGAACCCTCACTTGTATTCTTGCTGTTTAAGTCAACTGGAAAACTTGGCTGTGTATGGCTTGTTGGCAAATAAATGAGGATTTAACATAACATTAGGGAAATAAGCAGGAGTAGGGCATGTTTAAATTTACATGACATCAAATGAAAAAGTTAATAACCTAAAACTTTTGAGTAGCATGAACTTGGATGTGGTAAATGAATGTGGTCAGAGGACTGTGTAAGAGGAGGCCCAAATCACAGATTCAATCCCTGATGATAAACAACTATGTTTTTTAATTTGTTTAAATGAAAACCAAGCTGAAGCCTAAGTTCTATCATTCATCTTTAAAGTGTACTTTTTGGAGCAAGGGAAAAGGGATTATAAATAAAGATAAATCCATTAATTATAAATAAAGATAAATCCAAGAATTATAAAGAGAAATCCATGACTCCTCCAACACATGACAAATTAATTGTGTTGATAAAAAGATGGCAAAATGTATAAACAAAAAGGTTACACGTTTTCACTAACATCATAACAACTAAAGGAAAGTATATCACATATTAAAATAAGACAAGTGAACATGTGAAAAGGTGAAAAATTTAAACCAATATGAGTTTTTCTAAATACTTTCTATAACCTGATCAAACAAGAGCTTTTATTCTTTCTCTTGGCGGAAAAAACAATGTTGTCTCACCATCTGTTTGAGAGTTCCTCTGGAATATTGTGCTTGCCTCTGGATTGGCAGAAGAGTTAAACTCCAAAGCTATATGCATAGAGGAAGAAAAGAAAAAGAGATGCAATCATTGATAAAAATTTATCAACTCGTTTATTCGGCTGCTGCATTTAGGCTATTTCACTATCTCTACTTTGATTCTTATCCATTGAAATGAATGTATAGACATAAGATAGAGCCAGGCAAGATGGCACATGCTTGTAGTCCCAGCTACTCAGGAGGCTGAGATGGGAAAATCACTTGAACCCAGGTCAGGAAGTTGAGGCCAGCATGAGTAACACAATGACACCCTCCTTTATTTAAAAAAAAAAAAAAAAAAAAAAAGAAGAAGAGGTAAATTTTGGCTTTGAGTTGTGTAAAATCAACTTTGCATAAAATAAATCAAGATGGCAGTAAGTTTTAAAAGACAGTCTATTTTATAGGCAAAATATAAGATGTATTCTAGAGTTTTTAAAATTTTTAAAAAGTAAATTCATCATATCTGTCACTTCCATTTCATTCTGAGGACACAGAACCTTAGTTCTCTTGAGTAGCTGTCTTCCATAGTCATGTGATATCTCTAAGTTTTCATTTCTTCATTAGCAATACATAGGGAGAACATACACAGGCCTTATTTGTATTGGAAAGGGCCAAGTGAGACATACATAAACTGTGTTGTAATCCTAAAGAATGACAATAAAGAGCCATTTTTGGGCTCTCATCCAACACTACCCATCTACTAACTGGTGTGTAACATCCATCAGGCTTTCCAAACATCACCAAGCAGAGTATAAGTTTATACAAGTACTTACATGCTTTGTGTATAAAGGTACAATCAATTAATTCACACAATGCATTTGTTTATTCTAAAGCAATCCTTAAATATCTTGAAATGTGAAGATAGTACTTCCAAGTTACAAAGTCACACTCATAATGAGTCTTAATTATCCTACCTCTTTAAAAATTAAGAGCCCAACCAAAGTTTAAATAGAAGAGCTATAAGACATTTCCTCTAGAGTAATGAAATCTCTGGCATTTAAATGAAACCAATAAGCCAACTGGATTTAATATGTTTATGATGCAATGTTTTCTATTTTGAAAATTTCAGTTTTTATTCAAGAACCATATTATTACCCAGAATTACTTTTACTTAGATTCATCTCTTTGCAAAATTTTAGAGGCAAACCAACTAATTGTTTTCTGTTTTCTACCGGCTCCCATCCCCTGCCTCTGCCAACAGTGTAGAGACTAAAAAACTCCAACTCTTTCCTTTTTTTTTTGTGAGACGGAGTCTCGCTCTGTCACCCAGCCTGGAGTGCATTGGCGTGATCTCTGCTCACTGCAACCTCCACCTCCCAGGTCCAAGCAATTCTCCCGCCTCAGCCTTGTGAGTAGCTGGAACTACAGTCATGCGCCACTACGCCCAGCTAATTTTTGTATTTTCTTTTTTAGTAGAGACAGCGTTTCACCATGTTGGCCAGGCTGGTCTCGAACTCCTGACCTCAGGTGATCCGCCTGCCACAGCCTCCCAAAGTGCTGGGATTACAGGCGTGAGCCACCAAGCCCAGCCAAAACTGTAACTTTCTTATCTTTGAACAAGATGCTATTGTCAGGAGGGGAAGGGACAAAGGGGGAGCCACGGCAACAAACACTCTTACAGGGAAGTCTGACATTTTAACCTG
The DNA here is from genome assembly GCF_000001405.40 of Homo sapiens. NCBI lineage: Eukaryota > Metazoa > Chordata > Mammalia > Primates > Hominidae > Homo > Homo sapiens. Next base: position 47,522,199 of record NC_000010.11, read on the forward strand.
CAATCTTTATATTACACATTAAAAGTCTACGTTGACGTTTCATGTCTTTTGAAAGTTTTGACCGTGAACCAATCCCCACCTCTCTTTTAGAACAAGGAGGTAAATAAAGTCTGTTAAGTCACCAGAATAAATCTGGAGACACATTTTCTGTTAAAGTAAGAATTTTAAAGTAATCAGAGCCTCATAGGTAAACTCCTTTGAGAAACCCCAAACACACACACACAACCATTTTTCTGCAGCCCCGGCTGTGACATTTTATACCTTTCACAATTATTTTAAGCACTCTCCTTTTTTCTTTTTCCTTCTGTGTTCAAATTACAGTTAGAAGAAACTAAGCAGCTTCTATCAAGGTGACTTAAAGCAGCCCATTAAGAATACCATATAGCCTCTCCCGTGGCAACCTCCATTCTGATTTTAAATAAGAAATCCCCAAATATTTGAATAGGAACTGTCCTGAGATTTGGCTACTTTAACAAAGGAAACAATTAGGCACTTACCTGGTTCCTTCACTTAGGTACCATCTGGATAGGTTCAAAGAAAAATTAAGATGGGTACTGAAAAGTTGGGATATTTGAGTTTTTATTGAGAAAAGGAAGAGAATAGCTCAAAGAAGCCTAAACAAAGTCCCACAGGATAATAAACAGAGCTACAGACACTGTTGTCTCACCATCTGTTTGAGAGTTCCTCTGGAATATTGTGCTTGCCTCTGGATTGGCAGAAAGGTTAAACTCCAAAGCTATATGTATAGAGGGAGAAAAGAAAAAGGACGTAATCATTTATAAAAATTTATCAACTCATTTATTCAACTGCTGCTTATTCGACAAGAGCCATAAATAAATGGTCCCATGCCAGCCTGGGAGAATGAGATGAGAGAGCAAGAACTGGGCGATTGGGAGGGGAGGTGAAAAGAAACTGACTGGACTCGGTGGGGAAAGACTAAGGGGTGGGAATTCAAGGCAGAGCCAGCTTTTGTTCCTGGCCAGCCCCCGGGAAAGCTGGCTACAAGCAGAAAGGAGCTCGAAGTGTGGGATGCCTCAAAGGGAACCTTGGGGACAGCAGCAGCCAGAGGCAAACCGAGGGTAGATGGCACCTATCACCTCCTTACCTTCAGGCATCTCCCGGTCACGAACCTGGTGCATGTGGAGGTCCTCACCAACTTCAACAGTCACCTCAGCAGGCTGTACAGCAGCAGCCATGGGCGCTCCTGCCATCCTGTCCTCAGCTCCTGCCTCATAGATCTCAGATTCAGAGGGACACACCGACCCCTGCTGCTGGTCAAACTCGAGGCTGACGCTAGGGTGCACACGACAGGTCAGTATGTTCCCCATGGGGCGCCTCTACTGTCTGCCACCACCTGTGCCTCTGCTCACAGCTTTGGCCACGCACTCCCGCTGTCCTAGGCCGAGGCTATGCTGCACTTGCAGAGATGGTCTTCCCGCTCCTCGCCTGCCCACCTCACAGTGCGGCCCCGGGCACCAGCCCTGGCCCCGGCCCCGGCCCCGGCCCCGGCTAGGGCTGCGGGCCAAGGCCCGCACCCTGCTGCCTCCCCTGAGTTGACTTGTCTGGGAGGGTGAAGACCAGCCGGCTTATTTAATAGGTTGTGAACCCAACAAGCGCTGAGAGACACAACAACTGCCTGAAGAGAGAACAGACGGAGCTCCTCCTCCTTCTGTAGTCACCTACAGACTGAAGCCCACTGGCCCCAGGTGGGAGCCCAGGCATGTGGCACACAATGCCCCACCCCACACTTCACAATGCCCTCCCCGACACCTCACAGTGCCCCACCCTGCCTGCCACCCCTCCCCAACAGCTCAGAATGCCCCTGCCTTGGCTGCCCCACCCTGTGGCTTATGATGCTGCTGCTCTCCTGGCCCCTCGTGCAGTGCCAATGGGACTAAGGTTTTCATTCATCACCAGCTTCCTGAGATTTTAGTCCTAAGAAAAGCACAGGGTAGTTCATTCCTCGAAGCCAGCTTCCTCTACGAGTTCTACACAAAGCCTCAGTAGAGTGGGTCCCATTAGCAACCAAGTTGAACAACTTTTATTTGCTGTCTGAATATAGATACACCTGAATTGTTGACTGCTTTTGTAACTAAACACTCCTCTCCTGTCTTCCAACGAGTGGTCATTTTTGTCCGCAACTTGATCACAGCAATCCCTGGGGCCCTAGCTCTACTCTCAATAAAGAGTTATGGCTGTGTGTTTTGAATGACACCTTAGGACCCATCCTGCCTCCACCTCCTTCTCCATAAAATAGAAACCTAACTTGTCCCTCCAAGCTCTGAAATGCTGAAACTTACCAACTCCCTTTTCTCCCCGCTATTTCTTCCTTCCATGGCAGGGACTTTCAGATTTTCTTTCTTTTACTAACAAGGCACTAAACATGATTTTCTCATACAAAATCGAGAGCCATAAAGTGGCTTACCACAGTCCTATTTCAATAAAGATGAATACTCGACATCTGGCAAGTAGTGTGTGCCTGACAGTGTCCCCACTGTGCTATGCTCATTTAACCCTCAGAAACAATCTCATGTTACAGATTTTACAGAAGTTGTTGGGACAGAGAAGGTAAGTAAACCCCCCCAAGGTCACATGACTGCTAAGGGTGGGGCCATAGTTTGATCCCAGGTAGTCTGAATTCCCCAATTGCTTAAGCATGATTATCAGAAAGTATAGCAGTCTGTTTTCACACTGATATAAAGAAACACCTGAGGTTGGGTAATTTTTAAAGGAAAGAGGCTTAATTGACTCAGTTTCACATGGCTGGGGAGGCCTCAGGAAACTTACAATCATGGCAGAGGGGGAAGTCCTTCAGGAAACTTACAATCATGGCAGAAGGGCAGGTCCGACTTACATGGTGGCCGCACAGAGAGTGGGAACATGTGAAGGAGCAACTGTCAAACATGTATAAAACCATCAGATCTCAGCTGGGCACGGTGGCTCACACTTGTAACCCTAGTACTTTGGGAGGCCAAGGCAGGTGGATCAACTGAGGTCAGGAGTTTGAGACCAGCCTAGCTAATGTAGTGAAATCCTGTCTCTACTAAAAATACAAAAATTAGCTGGGTGTGGTTGTGCATGCCTGTAATCCCAGCTACTCAGGAGGCTGAGGCAGGAGAATCACTGGAACTCAAGAGGCAGAGACTGCAGTGAGCCAAGATCGTGCCATGGCACTCCTGCCTGGACAACAGAGCAGGACTCCATCCCAAGAAACAAAACAAAACAAAACCCTATAAGATCTCATGAGGACTTACTGAATATCACAAGAACAGCATGAGGATAACTGCCCCTGTGATCCAATCACCTCCCCCTAGGCCCCTCCCTCGACACATCGGGATTATGGGGATTATAATTCATGATGATATTTGGGTGGGGACATGGCAAAACCATATCAGAAAGTAAAGGTAGAAGTCAAGCTTGGATGGGAAATGACATTGTAGATTATTATTATTATTATTATTTTGAGACGAAGTTTTGCTCTTGTTGCCCAGTGAAATTGTTTCTCTAATTTCATTTTCAGATTGTGTCTTGTAGATGTATAGAAATACAATTGATAAATGATTCTGGCTATTAACCTTTTATGCTTCAACCTTGCTGAACACTATTTTTTTTTTTTTTTTTTTGAGACGGAGTTTCGTTCTTGTTGCCCAGGCTGGACTGCAATGGCGTGATCTTGGCTCACTGCAACCTCCGCCTCCCGGGCTCAAGCGATTCTCCTGCCTCAGCCTCCCGAGTAGCTGGGATTGCAGGCATGCGTCACCATGCCCAGCTAATTTTGTATTTTTAGTAGAGACGGGGTTTCTCCATGTTGATCAGGCCCACCTCAGCCTCCCAAAGTGCTAGGACTACAGGAATGAGCCATCGTGCCCAGCCAGATTCGTATATTTTTAAAAGAATTTTTTTTACTTTTTATTTTTTTTTTTTTTGAGACAGAGTCTCACTCTGTTGCCCAGGTAGTGGCACAATCATTGCTCACTGCAACCTCCACCTCCTGGGTCCAAGTGATTCTCATTCAAGTGCCTAAGCCTCCCAAGTAGCTGGGATTACAGGATCCCGCCCCCATGCTCAGCTAATGTTTGTATTTTTAGTAGAGATGGGGTTTCACCATGTTGCTCAGGTTGATCTCGAACTCCTGACCTCAGGTGATCCACCTGCCTTGGCCTCCCAAAGTGCTGGGATTGCAGGCGTGAGCCACCACTCCCAAACAGAACAACATTTTTTTGATGTGGATTTTAAAATGCCTCCCCTTCTTTCAACATTAAGTCCCTTCTACATGCCAGGCACTGTATGTGTGAAATAGTCCCAACTCTCAATGAGTTTAGGCAGATACACAAACAAAGGCTTAAGGAGGTCAGTTTTCTGAGACCATACTGCTGGACAGTATATGAACCTGGGATACAAACCCACCTCTATTTGACCTCAAATTTGATGCTGGGGTGGTTTTAATTTTATTCTGGGAATTTCAGTCATTCAACCATAAAAAGGTGAAAAGTCTCTGTCAGATGTGCGTGTAGTGGTCTGTATAATAAAGACTGAAGGAAGCAACCAAACCAATTAAGAGACTTTCTCTAAAGGCAGAGTAATGCTAAGGGCAGTGGCAGTGACAAAAGTGGAGGAAAAAGTCTGTGATCATTTGGGAGACAGAATAGGAAGTGCTTGGTCATGAGATGTGAAAGAAGAGGGGAAGTAGAAGGAAAACAGAGCTGCTCAGGCTCTGCTGGGGAAGACTGGGTATGTAGCAGTGCCTTCCTCCTGGCCGAGAATGTAGGAAGAGAAATAGGTAAGGAGGAAAAGATAGTTTTTTACTCTCAGTGTCACATTAAAATGGAACTCTCTGGTCAAAAGTTGAATATAAATCTCTGTAGGCTAAGTCCATTTGTGACATCCCAACATATGTTTTCAAAAATAACATACACACTAAATCAAGCCATTAAGCGTAACTGGGGAAATTTCCTAAAATTTACATGCTAAAAAATCACCATTTTTCATTTATTACTTTCATGGAGCAACTTTGAATCTATGGTTACAGCAGGTGAGGCACCTTGTATAAAATAAAGCTAATACATGAAATAAAACCATTTAAAATTCTATTGTTCTCAGAGAATGGAGAAAGCAATTGAAGCCATGGGTGTGGAGGTGACTGCCTTGAGAAGTTGTGTATAGTAAGGAGAACTGGGAAGAAAGAAGACCTGGAGAATAGGGTGATTTGCACGGCATTAAGTGAAGCTTGAAAAAGTGAGCACTGGGAGTCAAGAGACATGTATGAATCAGGAATGGCTGCTCCTGTGAGTTGTTAGAAAGGAGATGATGCCTTCTTTTCATATCTATAACAGTAGCACCTAGCACAGTGCCTGTTCAATAGGTACTCGACATGTATTATCCCAATGCAGAGTCAAATTTTGCCAGGAAGGCAGGAAAGCTACAAATTAGCTATGGCAACTTAGTGATTGGGCTTGTGTGTGTGTGTGAGTGAGCTGGATGTCAGGCAGTGGGCAAAGTAGTGAACTGGAGGTGAGAAAACAATGACACAAACTCAGGGCTTCTCTTCCCAAGTATTTGGCTGAGAAGAGAGATGTAGTATTAAAGGGAGATATGTGGTAAAGGAAGACTTTTATTTCAAGATTCAACAAAAGCGTGAGTATACTTCTATGTTAAAGGGAAAGAGCCAATAGAAAAAACACATTTTTGAGGTTAGAAGAGAAGGAAGAACTAATGCAGAAGGGCCCCAAAAGGCACAGGTGCGTGCAATCCGGATCAGGGACAGATTAGCTTTGGATTCCTACAAAAGCAAGAAGGGAGAAAGGACCATGTGACACTAGAGCTATTTCTGGTAAAGGAAAGGTTTGGGAAAAGATCTTTTGATCACCTTTATTTTAACAGAATGTTTTTTTTTTTTTTTGAGATGGAGTCTTGCTCTGTCACCCAGGCTGGAGTGCAGTGGCACGATCTCGGCTCACTGCAACCTCTGCCTCCTGGGTTCATGCCATTCTCCTGCCTCAGCCTCCTGATTAGCTGGGACTACAGGCACCCGTTACCATGTCCAGCTAATTTTTTGTATTTTTAGTAAAGATGGGGTTTCAACGTGTTAGCCAGGATGGTCTCCATCTCTTGACTTCGTGATCCGCCTGTCTCGGCCTCCCAAAGTCTGGGATTACAGGCGTGAGCCACTGCACCCGGCTAGACTTAAAAAAAAAAAAAAAAATACTGTGGGAAAAAGGATATTATGTATAGAAAAGTCTACACTTCTTGATACAACTAACTAAAAAAAGCCTGATACACTAAACAAAACCCAAATAATGTCTTCCCTAAAAGTGGGTAACTTGAAAAGCAATTCGAGCAAAAATCAAGGAGTTCAATTATAAATAAGTATATCAACAAAGTGAAAGATGGGTTTAATTTTTCCCACAAAAAGTTAAAAGAAATAACAGCAGTTTTAGAGGAAGAGGAAAAAATAATAAGAAAATTACATGCAGTTGCAAAATGTGTGACTATTTACAAACTCTAACATATAACTACAAAACGGACCAGAAGAATCATTATCATAGGAAGCAAAGGGTCATTTCAAAAATCAGAGGAGGGATGATTCATATTTAATTTAATTCTGTGGAAAAAATTTAAGTAACCTTTGAGGACAAAAATAGGTGATATGTTGAAATGCGGGAAACCACAGTGGAAGGAAAAAGAATTCAAGAAAGCTCAGTTTCAGTAACCAGTATCTAGTAAAATCTTCAGGACCTAGAGGCTACAATCTGCATTAATAGTGTCTGAAGACCTAGAAATGTCATTAAATACCATTTTGGATAATTCTTGTAGACTTGAGATGATGTCTATTTAAAGTTACAAAATAGTGCCCGTATTTCTGTATTCATTACAGACAACAATTGGATATGGAAAAGAAACTAACATGCTATGCCACAATCTCTAAAGAAAGATTAGGGATGTTTCAGCTTAAAGCAAGAATAATCACAATAAAGTTTTACGACCCTTTGCAAGCATATATGAAAAACTTACAAAAAGTTTGTAATGATCTTTTCTTAAGCTAAGAGAATGGAAAAAATGAGAAAAATTAAATTATAAAATGAAACTTTGGTTTAGAGGTAAGAAACATTTGATGACAGTCAAGAGATCAGGGTTGTACAGTGTATTATGTGAATGTTGTGACTCATTGGTTTCATCTTGGATATCATAACTTGACATTTTGTAAAAGTGATTTTTCATGGGAGTTTTTTCAGGTGCCCTGAAAAGTCCTGTCCCATGAGAAGCGAATAATAGTCTTCCATATTCTTGCGATATCTTAATGAATAGCATCTTCTACAGTCTTCCATTGTTTAGTCCTTGGAGAGACACTGACTGAAGCTGTGAGGTTTCACAATGACATGTCAGCCAAATACATATGCTCAGATTTACCATTTATCAAGAGGTCTTCACACTATCAATTGTGCAATTATCATTCTACACACAGGCAGTGATAAAGGGAGTAAAAAACCACAGCCATGGATCGGGAGACCAAGGTACCTCCAGAGGAGTCCAGTGGGTCCAGAAGCCCTTTGGATGTTGGTCAGAGGCTCCTCTTGGGCAGAGATCACAGCAGCAGCCAACAGGTCTGGTGAAATCCTTAAGAGTTCTCATGGACAAAGCTTGTGAAGGCATCTTAGACAAGATCTTGTCTTTGCTGGTTTTATGATCCTCTGCAGATGGGTCTATTCTCATTATCTCAGCCACCTTTCACTTCCTATCAGTTCAGTTCAGGTCTCTCATGATCCCAGGCAGCAGTAGTTGTTATCACGTGAGTTCATTCATATATGTTTATCTCTTTGGGGATGGGGGGACAACTTCACTGTGGACTTAATTCTACTGGAGATGAGTGACCCCATTTTAAGACAACAGGATCACAAATTATTATCACATATCAGCAGGGCAGACAATAGCTACGACCTGGGGCTGAAAGCAGGTAACTCCATTTATCCTGTAAACATTGTCTTGATTATGGTGCCAGTTGCTGTGAGGGATTTCCTTTCCACCACCTGTTTTTCACAAGGTTTGAGTCTGAACTGCTAACATTCTACTGATTTCTGGGTGAAGGGACTGACTGCACCATCCTACCCTGTCAGAGCACTTGCCCCAGTACTTCCACTTTAAGAGTTTTCCACCTTGTCCAGAACTACAGTCCATTAATCCCCTCATTTTCTCTCTTAAGAGAATAAACAGGCCAGGCGCGGTGGCTCACGCCTGTAATCCCAGCACTTTGGGAGGCTGAGGCGGGTGGATCATCTGAGGTCAGGAGTTCGAGACCAGCTTCGCCTACATAGTGAAATCTCGTCTCCACTAAAAAAAAATCACAAAAATTAGCCGGGCGTGGTGGCAGGCGCCTGTAATCCCAGCTACTCGGGAGGCTGAGGCAGGAGAATCCCTTGAACCCGGGAGGCAGAGGTTGCAGTGAGCCAAGACTGTGCCACAGCACTCCAGCCTGGGTGACAGAGTGAGACTCCCTCTCAAAAAAAAAAAAAGAAAAAAGAGAGAAAATAAACAACACATCTCAAGTACACACCCACATCCCTCTTATCCCAAATACCAAACACACAAAAATCCAATCTGTCTCCTTCTACCTAAGCAATTTTAGATAGTCACTGTCTCATAATTACCTTAAGCTCCCTGACTTGCTGCTCATCCTTTCTCTGGCAAAATCTCATCCTTGGATGAGCCCGACTTTGTGTTTGCTCAATGACACCACTCACCTGAACCAGAAAAAATATCAAAAAGTGGTCAGAGATATCATCATAAATTCAAATTACTTACACAAAAAATTGGCCCTAAATGTTTCCAGAAATCAATAAAAGTTTTGTTTCTCCAATGACATCATTTCTTCAGAAACCCAATGTGTATAACCTATTTTTTCTATGTTCTTCTAACATTTATTCAACTTCTCTCATCTGATATCTTGCCAAATCATTCAAAGAGAAAATATATCCCATTAGGCAAGAGCCCACCATATTCCCATCACCTGAGAAAATCATATGCACAGGATGCACCCACCTCACCTTTCTCTGCCTCATCATGTCAGAAAAAGTACCCCACCTTTTGTCACAAGGCAAACCTGAGATAAAAGATTTAGATGGCCTGTAATTCCAGCACTTGGGGAGACCAATGCAGGCAGATTATTTGAGTCTAAGAGTTCAAAAGAAGCCTAAGCAACTTAGGGAAACTGCATCTCTCAAACAAATACAAACCATTAGCCTAGCATGGTGGTGTGGTGGCACATGCCTGTAGTCCCAGCTACTCAGGGTGGGGAGCACTGAGGTGGGAGGATCACCTGAGCTGGAAGGTTGTGGCTGCAGTGAGCCGTGATCACGTCACTGCACTCCAGCCACGGTAACAGATATTTTTAAAAGGATCTTCTCTGTTAAAAATAATCAAATAAACAGGTGGCCATGAGGCTGAGGTGGCTGCCGTGCACTCAATTCCTCCTTAAATAAACCAAAACTTGACTCAGTGTAAATAATAAAAGGAAATGTAAGAACCAATCAGAAACCACCAACTAACATCTAACTAGAGACCTTCCACTGTAATGTTCCAAATGAGGCCACTGCTCCACTTCACCCAATCAAGTATTTTCTTTTTCTTCCACATTCACCATATAAAATTCTTCCCCCACCCTCCCTAAGCCTCTCTGTGGGACCTCTGAGCTGCTTGCAGTCTGGGGCTGCCTAGTTTATACATTTCTGAATGCTCAAATATATTTTCTAATGTTTCAAAGTGGCTCTGGTGTAGGAGGTTGTTGGTGGAGTGACCCGAGAGTATACAGGAATTGAGGGCATATGAGATCTCTGGACTCTGCACTCCATTTTGCTGTACACTCAAAACTACTCTAAAATAATAATATATCTTTAAAAATCTATAACTAGCACGTAGCCCTTTTCAAGCCTCCAACTGGTTGGAGCCAGTTCGATTAAAGCTCAGAAGAAAAACTGGTTAATAAGCTAGTTCTGACCCAACTGGCAAGAAGCGGCAGGAAAGACCCAGGCCAGGGGAGCATATTGCACATGCATGCACCAGGAAACTGGAGGAAGCTTGGAGGCCCTTTAGCCTGGTCCTGAGCCCGCTGAAACTGCAGTTACAGCACAGATGCCTGGGGCACCAATCTGAATCTGCCAACATCCAAGGCCACATGAACACAAATGCGCAGTCTCCTCTGCGATCGGTAGCTAAGGATGTTAGGCCATGATTGGACTAGGATGGGAGATGAACTGAGAACTATGGATTCTGTAGGTTGTTGTTGTCTCTTCCCACCCCAAGCAACAAGTGATGAACACACACACACACACACACACACACACACACACACACACACACACATCCCGTAGTGACTAACAGGATCTCCCTCCAGGGGATTTGCAGAAAGGGGAGCAGAAAACATCCCAGGGGCCTTTCACAGCTACTTCCTTGAGCCCCCTTTCAGACTGCTGTCTAGACCTGTCGCAGCCCAAACATCACCACCCTGATATGCAGAAGCTGGCATCCTTACCTGAAATTCAACACCAAGAAATGATCTCTTCTACTCAACACTGATAGAAATACCTCTAAGCAATGTCCTCATTGGCAGGGGTGGAGTGGGGGAGTTTCTTAAAAAGTGAGGCCTCTGCCTACCACCTAGAGAACCTGGAAATTTCCATCTGTGCCACAAAGTCCAAATCACTGGCCACTGCCCCAGTGTATGGCAGATTAGAACATCTCTCCATTAGATCTGGGTTTCTATTCCATTGAGTGAAATGGCTTTTCTATTACAGGAACAGAATAAGGGATCAAAAGGGTCTTACAACTGAACTCCAGTGTACAGTCTGCACAGACACTAGGCTTGTGCAAATATGACACAGCGAGGCCCCAGGACCCTTAAGCCAGCTGAATGTACTGAGTTTCAGGAAACAGTGAGATACGTTCAGCAAAACAGTGGGCTTCATGCTGAAAGAAGTCATTCCAAGTAAACACACATCACACACACACACACACACACACACACACACACACACACCCCCGCAGACACCCTAGTGGCCAATAGGTCCTCTCACCAAAAACCTGTGATCAGGAGAGCAGAAAGCCTCCCAGGGGTCCATCACTGCCCTTTCTGGAGCCCCTTATCAGATGGCCAGCCCCAGGACAGCACTGTCTGATCCTGGTCCAGTCCAAACCACCATCACCCTGTGATGTGGGAGCTGGCCACTTCACCAGAACCTCTGTGTCAGAAAAATTTCTCTTCCTTTTAAAATGATGAGGGGGAACCTTCAGACAGTGTCTGATTAGGGTGGGTGGAGAGAGGGGTTTCCTAGAAAGTCAGGCAGGGCAGGGCTGAAGCCCTCTGGGTTAACTGAGTGCTTTTGATATGAAGGCAGGTAAGACTGGACAGGTGGGGGTGTTAGTGAGGGGATGGTGTAGGGTGTGCTGAAGAACTCCACTTGGGCTCTCCACACCAGGGAAAATGACCATAAAACATCCCATCTTCACTGCTCAGAGAAGGCTAGATCTGCTGTGAGCTAGAAAGCCATGTGGGGGCAGCTGATGAGTCATCAAATGGGAGAAATCTGAGAGCCATGTGTTCCACAGGCCTCTGGTCCTTGTTCAGGCAGCAGGGCACTGTGACATGTGGCTCCTTGGCCCCTTCCAGCCACCACCTTGATTGCATGCTGCAGGGAAAGAGACTGAAGACCAAGAATGGGGTCTTGCTCACCATGGGATGATGGCTCAGTACAGAGCTGAGCTATGTATGGCCCAAGAGGCAGAACGTGGGGATGACCCAGGCTGAGCTGGGGGATCCAACTGAACATGCACTTGCTAAGAAGCTGTGGGCTATGATGCCTTGGGACCCCAGTCTGGGTCTAGAATTGTAGCAAAACAGGCTACTGGTAAAAGTTCTTGAGAAGCCAACTCACTTTTGCTGTCATCCATGGGCAAACAAACCAAGCCCCACCACTTCCCACTCCCTCTGAAAGCCTCCTGCCCCTCTGATCGACCACACCACAATGGTGTCACTCTGTAAGGCACAGGTAGACAAGGCATCCAGCCATGAACACTCCAGGGCGCACACATGTCCAGAATACGCTGGTTCTTGTTGAGACTCCACTCTTCCAACTCAGACAGAAGCTCCCCAATCTCCTCAGCCACTCCCAACAACTGGAGGTCTGAAAACTTTCATGCATGCCGCTATGGTCTAAACCACTCGTGGCGGTTTTCATTTTCATTTTCCTGATAATCAGTGATGCTGAGCACCTTTCCATATGCCTTTTCACCAACTGGATGCCTTCTATGGCTAAATGTCTATTCGAATCCATTGCCCATTTACAAATCTGCTTTTTTGTGGGCTTCTTGATGTTTTTCTCTTTTTTTTTCCTATTTATTTATACAAGTTCCTTAGGTATTTTGGATATTTTTTAAAATCATTTTCAATTCCACTGCCCAGTTATAATTTTTTTTTTTTTTTTTTTGAGACGGAGTTTTGCTGTTATTGCCCAGGCTAGAGTGCAATGGTGCGATCTTGGCTCACAGCAACCTCCACCTCCCAGAGTCAAGCAATTCTCCTGCCTCAGCCTCCTGAGTAGCTGGGATTACAGGCATGTGCCACCATGCCCAGCTAATTTTTGTATTTTTAGTAGAGATGGGTTTTTTCCATGTTGGTCAGGCTGGTCTCAAACTCCCGGTCTCAGGTGATCCATCCACCTCGGCCTCCCAAAGTGCTGGGATTACAGGCGTGAGCCACTGTGCCCGGCCAATTATCCCTTTTTGTGTTTTTTTGGGGGGTTGGGGGAAGAACAGAGTCTCACTCTGTCATCTAGGCTGGAGTGCACTGGTATGATCTCGGCTCACTGCAGCCTCCGCCTCCCAGGTTCCAGCGATTCTCCGGACTCAGTCTCCCGGGTAGCTAAGATCATGGGCGCGCAACACATGCCCAGCTAACTTTTGTATTTTTAGTAGAGACAGGGTTTCACCATGTTGGCCAGGCTGTTCTCAAACTCCTGACCTCAGGTGATCCGCCCACCTCGGTCTCCCAAAGTGTTGGGATTACAGGCGGGAGCCACCACTCCCGAACCCATTTTGTGTTTTAACATCAGTCAACACTCCTATTTTAAAATAATAACAATGAATGGCGGTACCTTAGAACAAAGGAATTATAGATCTTTCTCTTGTCTTAGTGCAGACATTTTGTCTATAAAATGTTATTCACAGATGAACTCATGAGAACATTACTGTGAATTTTAAATCCATATACAAGTGTATGCTCATTCATGAATATTTCAATAAAATAAAACTAATAGCAAAAAAGAATTCCAGAGTTGAAGCAGTTTCAGGAAAAAGGAGTTGGCAGTATGAAGTAAAATAGCAAAAAAAATTTTTTTTTTAAATGGGTATATTTGTGTCTACAACTTTTTTTTAATTATAGCATTAGACAATGTGTATATAGATACGTATATAAAGCAATGGAAGTGGCATTGTTTTCATACTAGTCTAGAATATTAAAAAATATGTAATATGTGATCAGCAAAATAATGGCCCCCCAAAGATGTCCACAGATTCCTAGAACCTTACATGAAAACGGTACATCATGCATGTGATTCAGGTAAAGACCTTGACATGAGGAGACTACCCTGGTGCTATGGAATGAACGTTGTGTTCCGTCACTGTTCATGTGTTAAAATCCTAACCCTCAAGGTGATGGCATTAGGAGGTTAAGCCTTACGGGAGACTCTGCCCTCATGACTGGGATTAGCACCTTATTAAAGGCACAAGGGAGCTTGTTTGTTCCTCTCACCATGCGAAGACACAGCAAGAAGGAAGCCTCTATGAGAAAGCAGGCCTTCACCAGACACCAAGACTGCCGGCACCTTGATCTTGCACTTCTCAGCCTCCAGGACTGTGAGAAACAAAGTTCTGTTATTTATAAGCTACCTGGTCTAATGCATTTCCTTGTAGCAGCCTGTATGGATTAGGACAGTGGGCTCATGTGGATGATGACGGTGTCTCCATTCAGGACTAAGTAAGCACATGAGTCCTTAACAGTGGAAGAGAAGGGGGAAGGAAAGAGCCACAGAGACATGTGGCCATAGAAGAAGGGCCCATGGGATGCAAGGTTGCTAATGGTGAGAGTGGAGAAGAGCCCAAAGCCAAAAAATGCAGGCAGACTCCAGAATGTGGAAAAGGCGAGAAAAAAGATCCCCTAGAGCCTCTAGAGATGAAGGTAGCCTTTCCACCACCTAGATTTTAGCCCAGTGAGATCCACATCACACTCTGACATACGGGAGTGTAATAAATTTGTTTTATGCCCTGACATACTGGTAGTTTGTTGTAGCAGCAATGGACTAGTAATATATAAATATATATATACACACACACACATAAACACTACCCCCACCACCACACACACAACATAACTATCTATATATACCCCGCCCTTCAAAACTGAATCAGATAAACTACACATTAGCATTAACTTAGCTGGGTGTGGTGGCACATGCCTGTAGTCCCAGCTACACAGGACGCTGAGAGGGAGGATCACTTGAGCCCAGGAGTTTAAGATCAGCCTGGGCAAACACACTGAGGCCACATTTCAAAAACAAACAAAAAACACAACAAATATTTGATTAAGCTCATTTCCCAAATTTGAAGAGGAAACAATTATTAGATAAAGAGGAGAAAAGAGAAAGGTAGAGCTGCTGACTTCTGTGGTGGAAGCACAGGCACAGGCCCAAACATACTCCTGTCCTCCTGGCTTTCCTGTCCCTTCTCATAAGGGACACAGGAACCTCTCAAACTGAACCATGGATCACAGAACCATACTCAGAACGCAATACAGTTTTGTCTACAATTTTTTATATATCTGTGTCCCTGTCTCTGCCTCCCATTCCCAACTCCCTTACTCTTGTTAGAAAAAAATGGCTATTATCAAATATGAGTACATCCTTATATACTAATGCCAACTGATCACCAGCTGGTTTTCTTCTTTTACAAAGTCATAAATATTTAGGCTTTAACACATCTTCCAAGCAATAGAATGTTATTTTCCAGTTCATTAACACAAATTCTATATCTAAAATGAAGACTTCACAAGTTGATTTAAATAACATATTAACGAAAATCGACTGGCCATGGTTCAAACTGACATTTTAATTAAATGTGATGATAGGTTGAGTAACCTAGCAGTACTCTAAAATGACTTTTGGTTATGGCTTTTTCCATATTATGCTTAGGCTGAGGCATCCCTAAATGATTCAATTGTAATTCCCCTTCTTAAACATGAGATTTATCTTTACAAAATAATTTATTTTCTTAAAATTACAAGTTAATTCTATAGTTCATGCATACATAATCTCAGTAGATATCAGCTGTATGTGTACACACATACATATAGGTATTTGTATATACACATATTACATAATTTAAAAAAAACTTATTAGCAGGGTACAACCACGAAGACAAAGAGGCTTTGTGTAATGTGATGGAAACACAACTGCAGGACAAACAACAGGCTGCTGTGAGGGCTGTATTTACCCTTTCTGATGTAAGACTTGGAAAAACATGGATACTGGATATCTAATCCCCATAACAGAAAATTTAGGGTGCAGAAAACTTCCCACAATTTTTACAGACAATGTCAATAGAAAGGCATTCAATGCAGGGAATACACAGTGTGACAGTATACAAAAATAAGCAGGTTGATGGTTTAGATTTATGAGACAAGAGAAAGAAATAGTAGATGATGTCATAATTCTCCTTTTATGGAGTTATGAAAATTCTTCATTTTATATAAGGTCAGGTGCTTTCAAATGTCAATGAGAAAAATATTTAAAGGAAGAATCAAATCTAAGACGTAGAGAGATCTTTATAAATGTGAACTTCAGGCCAGGCACGGTGGCTCATACCTGTAATCCCAGCATTTTGGGAGGCCTAGGTGGGCCAATCACGAGGTCAGGGGATCAAGACCATCCTGGCCCACATGGCGAAACCCCGTATCTACTAAAATACAAAAAATCAGCCAGGAGTGGTGACGTGTGCCTGTAGTCCCAGCTACTCAGGAGGCTGAGGCAGGAGAATCACTTGAACCCGGGAGGCAGAGGTTGCAGTGAGCCGAGATAGCACTACTGCACTCCAGTCTGGTGACAGAGCAAGACTCCATCTCAAAAAAAAACAACAACAACTTTTTTTCATGCTGAGAAGATATAATCATCAACACATTCTTGAGCACAACTATGCACACAGGCACTTCCGCATTCACAAGCCATGCTGTGTGCACACACTGATGCCCCTAGATTCCTTTTTTGAAGAGGTGGTCTCTTGGTGTGTCACCCAGGCTGGAGAGCAGTGTTAGGATCATAGCTCACTGCAGCCTCAAACTCCTGGGTTCAAGTGATCCTCCTACCTCAGGCTCCTGAGTAGCCTGAACTATAGGAATGAGCCACCATGCCCAGCCAATATTTTCATTTTTTTGTAGAGATGAAATCTTGCTATGTTGCCCAGGCGGGTCTTGAACTCTTGGCCTCAAGGAATCCTCCTGCCTTGCCCTCCCAACATGCTGAGATTACAGGTGTGAACCATTGTGCCCAGCCACCGGATTCTTTATTAAGAAGAAAACTTGTTTGCTGACATGTAGGCAATGAATTGATGAATAGTAGTTCATAAATTACTAATTTACAAGTCAATATAAATGAGTTGAGTAAACACAAAATAACAGCATAAATTAATAAACAGTTTACGACCTCAAGTTTCTTTTTTTCCTTTAAAACATTGCTCTGACAGAGACTACTACTTGTCCATTCCATGGAAAAGTCAGAGGTGGTTAAAATGTCAGAGGTACACTTATTAACACCTTGCTGCCTTTTGTGTAGCTTCCTCTCAGTACTTCACCAGTTGGGATTGACACACCTCTCCAGCTGGGTTCAGGAGCCAGACAGGAGCACACAGAACAGGGAATCCAAAGCCATCTCTGACACCAAAAGCAATGAAAACAAAAATAACCAAACATATTATCAAGAAATGAACAAGAGATCGATATCAAGTACAGCAAAAAGAGAAGAAATCACTTAATCTGCCAGGCTTTCATTCTGACAAAATAATTTACAACACGCATGTCTCTATCTGACATGTGTGAATAGAAAAATAAGAGGTGACAATAGAGTAGAGGATTCGTCTTCCAATTGTCTCTGATCTATCCAACCTTTGTTACACATCAGAGAGCTCTCCAATTTATAAATAAACAACAGAGATATGCGGCAACCAGGACACAGAGACATACTGAGAGTACTGCTCAGCTCTCTGCCTAGGCCTGATTCTGATGATCCCTGACAATGAGCACTGTGAAATTTACAGCAAATCAGTACACATACACACAAACACACAAAAGAGATACTTCATGGGCAAAAAGCATCAAAGATATAAAATAAAATGCCTGAAAGACCATAAAACAACTTCTGATGAAATGCTGTTTTCATTTTGCAGTAGTAAAATATTCACCACCAAATCTACAATTAGCTTAAAAATTACAATAAGTACAGTACTTTTGGATCCCATCTCCAATTCACACCTTATCAACATGTAATAATCACACTGCATCTACAACAAAGCTGGATGGACTTTATGTGCTGAATACAACTTGTACACTAAGAAGGAAATTTTTTGAAATAATGAGAATACAAAATTTGTATGCCATGCTCTACTTCACAAGTTAAAAGAAAATACAATCATTTCTATTTTTAAAATGCATCGAAATAAAATACAGAAAAGAGTATTCTAATACCAGTTAACATTAAGAGAATATATCTCTAAACCAAAGATCTTGGATCTTCTAGAAAGACAAAATCAGCTGGTATATATTTGGATAAGAAAAAAAAATTAAGAGATCAAGAAAGGAGAGAAGACGTTCGCACAGAATCATCTCCAAAAATGGCTTTCTGACGCATTCGACCAGTTTTCAAGTCTATTTGTTTTTCCTCCTTTGGCATCAACAGCCTATATCACCAAGGATATGCAAAATAATTCAATTTGTACATTAATCAGCTAATCTAGAACTGGAAATATAGTCAATGAAAATACAAAAGAAACAGAAAATGTCAATGAATTGCTTAAGATGTTTAAGATGACATAGCGTAGGGAAAAAATGATCTGATAAACACCGGAAGAGTTAATAAGGAAACTGAGGCATGGTTCCCTAACACCACACTTCAAAAGAACTTATAGAGAGAATAAAGGAATAACCCTTAAAAAAAAAATCTAATTTTAGAAAAAAATTGCTCAAAAGGGAAGTTAGGGTTTTATAGATCTTCTGGAAAGCTGATTAATTTCTAAGCTAAAAACGCATGATCCTTAAGAGAAATGGCTGAGTCCAGGCCCAAGGCAGGAAGAGGACAAAATGAGCCTGGATCCTCTGGTTCTGTCAGAAAGTAAGAAATGCTCAAAGACTAACAGAGACAGTTGAAGGGACACAGGAGACAGGCCGAAGGCTCCCGCAGCCGAATCTGGGACAGCATAGGCATCAGAAAGTACAATGACAGTGATGGAAAATAACCCATGGAATAAAACGCAAGTGCATTAGTCAGCCGTGATGCTGAAACAAAGGGGAGAAGAGAAAGCTCTTTGTTAAAAATGCCAGGTAACAAACTTAGAAGGAATGACAGAGGAATAACATCCATTTTGAGTCACCAGTGCCATAACTGATAGAGAAGATTATCAGGGGGCTAAAATCACTGGATGAAAGAAAACTATATGAAGCTTTTTAACGTAGCACAATAGATAAAAGTATGAAAACATAAATTAGAAAAAACTAAAAATCATACCATAAGGGATGGATAAGTTAGAATACAGGAATAACAGGCCAGGCATAGTGGCTCACATATGTAATCCCAGGATTTTGGGAGGCCAAGTCGGGAGGATTGCTTGAGCCCAGGAGTTCGAGACCAGCCTAGGCAACATAGTGAGAACTCGTCCCTAGAACAGAACAAAAAAAATTAGCCGGGAGTGGTGGTGCACTCCTGTAGTCCTAGCTACTTGCGGGGCTGAAGCAGGAGGATCACTTGAGCCTGGGAGTTCAAGGCTGCAGTGAGCCAAGATCACACCACTGCACTCCAGCCTGGGAGACAAAGTGAGACCTTATCTCAAAACAAAAACAAAAACAAAAACAAAAACAAAGAAACCACAATAACAAAAAAACACTGGTAACAATAAAATCATGATTACATAAAGACTGTATAGAAAAAAAATCCTCAGAATATAGAAATAAAATTATGTATTTTACCTGTAGCTATATTAGAAGAGAGTATTCTTGTAGACAAGGATGACTAGAAGGATATGCAAAAATGAAAACAGCTAATAACACTCATTACGTCAGGCACTGTGGTAGGTAGTTTATGCACATTGTAACAAATTATATACTACATTATCTCAAGATTTTCAGATAAATTTTACTGGGAGTCATAAATCAATACAACAAAATCAATGTTTTGCAAACATCCACTAAGCATAAAGGTATACAAATTCCCAACCCAGACTGAAAAATAATTCACATAAGCCACACATTAGTGGAAACCTACCCATGGGAGATAATACAACATAATCTAAATAAAACTTTCAGAGACAAGGCATGTGGCTTCTGGACAGCCACAAACTCCCTGACTCTGCTCTAGTGTTTCGGCCATCAAAAGAAAGCCAAGTGGCCTCAGGTCTCTGAAAAACCAAAAAAGCAACCTATGGAAGATGGCGTGGTATTTGAGGAATATTTGAAGTCTGTTGAAAAATGCATCCTGTATTTTTTTTCAAGATAAGACTCCCTTGTAATGTCAGGTAAGTGAAGAGCCCTCAGAGACACATGCACACACAAAGAAAAACAAAACGACATAGAATGAATCCCACCAAAATGTGTTATGATGGCAGAATTATGGGTGATACAATCTTCTGTAATATATCTTTTTATTAAAAATAGAAAAAAAGCAGACTTACCCTTGATTATCTATAGCCTCTGACCCAAGTGGTTTGGAATTGGAAAGCAGCGTCACTCGACTTGAAGCCATCTTGGCATCAATGGTGGAGTAGGTGGAGATGAGACTCTGGACCAGCTCATGGGTGAGCCCCACCTTGTCCTATCAAGGCCACCAAGAAAGGGCACGTGAGGAAAGCACAAAGATCCTGGAGAGACACTGGTTTCACTCAGTTTCTCAAAATTATCTTAGACACATTTCCTGAGATCTTTTCTTAATGCCACAAACACCAGAGAAGAAAATCCTTATAACAAAGCTTGAAATGGATCCCCATCTCCATTAAACTTGTCCAAAGCTCAGTGAGTATATAACCTGATAACCTAAACACCTAGCTAGAAAAACCTCAGTTCCAGTGCTACAACAGTGCTAGCTTTTCTAACATTTTTAAATAACCCTGCTTTTAACCCAATAAAATTCAACTACAGAACTAAGAAATAAATATTGGAAATCCACTTTAAAATAATGAGGAGACCACTGTGATTGAGAAAAAGAAAAAGACAAACGAGAGCTGGAAAGCACACTGATTTTGTAGAAACAGAAATAAGCCGTGCAGGTGCCACACTGGCAGCAGTGCCCGCGCTGGGGCCATGGATCAAGGAGGCATGGAGGACAGGACTCTTCTGCTTGGTACAATGAAAAAATGGTATTCTTTTTATTCTACATATTGACAATATGCATTTGGGCCTTTATTATAAGTACAAGAGAAAAATCTTCAATAAATAAAAGCTGAGTACATTACTTTTTTTGATTAAAAAATAGATTAGGAAAGAATAATGAGAGTTCAGAGCAAAGACTCCTGCCTCACTGATGCCTGAAAACCGTGGCTGCCACCAAGGTCAACACAGACAGCGTCTTTGTCATACAGCACACCCTCAACTCCAGAAACAGGCACATAAACCAGCTGCTCCTTCTTATTTAAACAGCACTTCTTTTGTTATTCAGGAAGAACACAAGGGTCTGGGAGGAAACCGATGTCACTCATGGCAAAATGTTCTACCCCTGGAAGACGGGACCCAAAAAGCCAGCTTCAACTGACAAGAAGTCAGTAAGTATCTACTGTTGACTGGGGGGTTAAAAACGATCCACAGTCCAAGGGCTTAACCCATGACCCTAAAGAAGGGCATTGTGCCACACTGGAACAGTGGCCCTCTAGCTACAAGAGGTCAGAGAAGAGGGATTCGGTAACACCTTTGCAGGCCTACACATAGCTGGCTTACTTTTAAAACCTCCAGCAAGGCCATCTTCCCTTGTTTGGTCATTTTTCATTTTTCCTGAGAAATGAAGCCATCCCAAGAATCCTATGTGCAATTCTAGTATGTTCTACAACAAGAGAATACCTGGCATGTGAATTTGGCTTTTATCTTTGAAGTGTGCTCCTCTTAAATAACCATAAAGTGACACCTGCCGGTCACATTTGATGTTTGTTTGGATATCCTCCGGGTTTGTCAAATCTTCCATCCTAGAAAAATAAACTCAATCATACAGCAGAAACGAATGCCAAAGTTCCTATACCTCCTTTCATGTGTCAATGACTCATCACACTCTTGTCCACTAAGCACATCACTTAGGAACTAGAAAATGCAGAAATAAGGAAGCACCGTTCACCATCCAGCAGAGGAAAAGGGGCAGGCACACAACTGTGTCTCTAGGCTGAAAGTGACATTCATTCCATAAGACACCAGATGGGAGACGACGTCTACCTGGGGTCAGGGAAGAGTGAAGAACATATGCAGAAAATCCGTTTCTGGAAGAGGGTGAGCCTGTGCTCTGGGATTTGTACTGTGGCTTGGATTCTGGCAGGTGGAAAAGGGGTATTCCAGGCTGAGAAAATCACAGCACAAAGAAGAGCACAAAGGAAGGAAACTGAAGGCACGCACGAAGGACTCCAGCACCCGGGCACGAAGGCAGCATCACTGAAAACCGAGGCTGAACGTAGGATGGGGCCACATCCTGTAGCCTTAAATGCTTCCAAGTCCTCCCATTTTCCTAAACATCTCATAATTAATTTACTCCCAAAGGCACAGCATCTTTGAGCAATGATATAAGTAGACATTTTCCATCAACTGCACTTCTACCCCCACTATTCAAATAGGCACAAAATAAATCCTATCACTGTTCTTTTTCTAGCCTTTTTAGCTTTGAAATACATGGCCCAGGAAGAAAAAGTTTACAATCACTTTTTACCTGTCTGCCAGGATATAAGGGTGAAAAGTTTGCCATGAGAGGCCTAAACTTCATAACTGTAATAAAATGGCCCAGATTGTGGATTTCTTGGTTTTGATA
Organism: Homo sapiens; assembly: GCF_000001405.40. Taxonomy (NCBI): domain Eukaryota; kingdom Metazoa; phylum Chordata; class Mammalia; order Primates; family Hominidae; genus Homo; species Homo sapiens. Next base: position 47,544,488 of record NC_000010.11, read on the forward strand.
TTCTCCATGCACCATTCCAGAAAGGTAGAACAGTTTGGCAACCTAAACATTAAAGGAAAATTAAAAATTAAATTTCAATTAAATTCTCGTCAATACTGCAACAAAATAAAAGCTCTAAACAAGAAGCAATCCTAAGAAGGGAGACTTCCAGCAAAGCCACTGTCCTGAGGCTTCCAGAGCCTTGCTGGATTCTTTCAGGACTTATTAGAACCACACAGAGGCAGACTGCTCTGCAACCAAGCCGGTGCATCTGTCTAAGTATGGTGAGGAGAGGGAGGTGAGGCCTCTGAGCACAGAAACGGTTCTGTGGCCGATGGACCACAGCAGTATGGAAAGGAAGGGGCAGTGCCTGGTCCTGTAACTGGGAGAAACTTCTGATGTACTCTATTAAGTCCCGACTCCAAAACACCCAGACATTGCCTGGTGCAGCAGGTACGGAGACAAATGAGATACACCAAGAGGCCCAGAATAACCACTCTCTTGAGGGACACCTTCCAGAGACTGGGAACACATACACAAAGGGAATTCAGGAGGCAATTCCTAGAGAGATGTTTAGTAATGTCTCTTCAGTCTTTTTGTTTGTTTGTTTGTTTGTTTGTTTGTTTGAGATGGAGTCTCACTCTGTCACCCAGGCTGGAGTGCAGTGGTGCACTCTCAGCTCACTCCACCCTCTGCCTCCCAGCTTTGAGCAATTCTCACGTCTCAGCCTCCCTAGTAGCTGGGATTACAGGTGCATGCCACCACACCCGACTAATTTTTGCCTTTTGAGTAGAGACAGGGTTTGGCCATATTGCCCTGAGCTCGAAACTCCTGGCCTCAAGTGATCCACCTGACTCTGCCTCCCAAAGTGCTGGGATTACAGGCATGAGCCACTGTGCCTGGCCTCTTTAGTCTGGTTTTAAAGGATTATACTGTTAGTGTCTAACAATTATTTCTCTTCCTACCTGGTAAACTTCTGTCCAGAACCTGTGTTTTAATCGCTTCTTTGTCTTCTTCAGTTGCTTGTTATGCTTGAAGGAGTCGAGGTGGGTGAGAACTCCCAGAATTTTAGGAAAGCCATGTGCTTGACAGATGTTTAGAAACTCAAACATTTCCATTTCAAACCCAAAGCTGGCATCTATAAGCATCAGTACCTACAAGCACAACACATTATTTCTCGAAGAAACTACCAAAACAGACCACCTACACTAGGGGTTGGCAACTGGCCCACGGGCCAAATCCAGCCCATCACCTGTGTTTGTAACTAAAGTTTTATTGGAACATAGCCACATTAATTCCTTTACATATTGTCTATGGCCGCCTGTGCACTACAACTGCAGAGCTAAGTAGCTGCAGAAGATATGATCCACAAAGCTGAAAATATTCACTATCTGGCCCTCGACAGAAAAGTCCCACTCCAGACTAAATCAAATGACTACACAGGCATCACCCAGACAGAGAAACCACCACCCTCTGACTTGCTCTAAAAGGCAACCATAAGACAAGGCCACTAGGATATAAACATCCATTTTAAGAATTCTAATGCATGAGAAGTAACTCAGAAAAGGCTGGGTCTAACCTGGCCCTTACCTAAGAAATCCTAATTTAAAGAAATGAAGTTTTCTGTAATGTATTTTTAAGCCAAATAACAGGTCTCTGACATCCAAAGAATGGGAAGAAAGTGATAATCAATGAAATATATTAAATACGTACAGAAAACCAACCTCTTCTTTCAATCTCCTCACAGAAAAAAAAAAAAAATCTTTTTTTGCTGGGAAGTATACAATGGAAACCTCTAACTTGTATGTTAATTTGTATAACTCAATTGCTCAGAAATATTTGAAATAGCTACCAGTTTAGAATTAAGTAAAAAAACAGAAAGATTATGATGAATGGTAGTCTATAAGAAAATATAAGCAGATAAGACCAATTTTTTTTTTTTTTTTTTTTTTTTGAGACAGAGTCTCGCTCTGTTGCCCAGGCTGGAGTGCAGTGGCTTGATCTCGGCTCAGCGCAAGCTCCGCCCCCCGGATTCATGCCATTCTTCTGCCTCAGCCTCCTGAGTAGCTGGGACTACAGGCACCCACCACCACACCCGGCTAGTTTTTTTTGTATTTTTTTAGTAGAGACGGGGTTTCACAGTGTTCACCAGGATGGTCTCGATCTCCTGACCCCGTGATCTGCCTGCCTTGGCCTCCGAAGTGCTGGGATTACAGGCGTGAGCCACCGCACCTGGCCAAGACCAATTTTTAAAATTTAAGACACTTCAAAGATGCAAAATAATTTCAGAACTGATTCCTGGAAACTTGTAATTTTAATACTAAAGATAGTTCTGTTTCTATCTTTCCATGGATAACTAAAAATAACACAAAATGGAAACAGAAATGCCCATCCTTGATTAAACTAGGAAACATTCAAAACCCAAAACCACAGAATATATGAAGTTGGGCTTGTAGGAAAGCACAGCTGCCACTGCAGACCAAGGCAGCAAGCAGAGCTCTCCAGCAACACTGGACCAGCTCAAAGAACAGGTGGAATATCCTCACACCACATCTGATGCCAGAGTGCCAAGGGACAAGCAGCTGGTTGTAGGGTCAGGAATAAAAGGGAGCAAACAGTCCCTCAGCTGCCAATCTTTGCCATCTAAGCCAGTGTCACTCCCCTAATCCACACACGCACGTACACACCCAAATCCACGTACTGTGTGTGCCTCTGCTGTACTCAGGAGGCTTTGACAACCCAGAGCAGAGCAATCAACATAAGCTAGACTAAATAAATTATGGTGCATCCACAGAATGGAATGTTATATTAAAAAGAAGGAGGCAGAGCTACAGTACTTACTGATTATACACCTTCAAGATATATTACATGAAAAAAGCAAAGCATAGAACAGTGTATAAAATAAGCTACCGTTTGTGTTTTTAAAGGGTGGCATGTGTGTTTATATGTATCTGGAAGGATATACATATACATATACATATATATAAAGGTCTGCAGGGACCTGAGAGACCAGAGGTTACAGCAAGGAAAGAGAAAATGCGCATTGTGTGTACCGTGCATTACAGTTAGAGTGCTTTACCAAATGTGTGTGCTCCTTTTGAAAATCTTAAGATTTACATAGGCATCTCTCTCAATGATGGTTAAGAGGCTGGGAAGGGGAGCAGGGAGGGAGGGACAAAGAGGGAAAGGTTAACAGGTACAAAAACACAGTTAGATAGAATAAATTCTAGTGTCCAACAGCACAATAGGGTGACTATAATTTATTATATAATTCAGAATAACTAAAAGAATGAAATTAAAATGTTCCTAACACAAATAAATGATAAATGTTTGAAGTGACGGATCTCTGAATTACCCTGATTTGATCATCACACATTGTATGCTTCTATCAAAATACTACATGTACCCCATAAATATGTACAACTATTATGTATCCATAATAACTAAAACTAAAAAAATGTAAATGCATCTCTTAATATGTATGTGTTTAAAATTAGAAACTTGCTACATTTTAAATAAAAGAGAAACAAATGACTTCTATGAACTATTCAATCATTTCAAGTATACAAGTTTAGTAATCTTTACACAACTTTACATTAATTACACTTATTTTTACTAATAGTAGCATTACATGTTCAAAATTTGAATGTTATTTAGTTTTCTGACATTACAATGGCACAACTTTAAAATCTGTATTACTTTTTCCTTTATATTTTAGGAGTCTTCCTAGGCCAAAGTATAAAATCTGTAGCTCTAGCAAAAACTAAATAAAAATGAAAAAAACAAGGTATCTGTCACCCTACACCTCCTAATCAATATGGCTTATTTTTTTGCTAATTTTTTTTTTTTTTTGAGACAGAATTTCACTCTTGTTGCCCAGGCTAGAGTGCAATGGCACGATCTCGCCTCACCGCAACCTCCATCTCCTGGGTTGAAGCGATTCTCCTGCCTCAGCCTCCTAAGTAACTGGGATTACAGGCATGCACCACCTCACCCGTCTAATTTTGTATTTTTAGTAGAGACGGGGTTTCTGCATGTTGGTCAGGCTGGTCTCGAACTCCCGACCTCAGGTGATTCACCCACTTCGGTCTCCCAAAGTGCTGGGATTACAGGCATGAGCCACTGTGTCTGGCCTTTTTTTCTTTTTTTCTTTTTTTTGCTAATGTAAAAGATCATAGAATATCAGAGATAGTGAACATTATCATTTCCATAAATGTACATTTTCCACACGCTGAGTACTATCTAAATTTTCTATTGATAAACTCTGACCACTTCTTCAGGCAATTCATGTACTTACTTTAGCATTATCATTAAGGATGAAGGTTCTAGAACCATCAGGAACAAGGGTCCCATCTTCACACAAGTTACTTAACTGCTGGGAGGCTCTATTTCATCTTATGTAAACTATAGATAATACCTACTCACCTCAAGGGTGTATCAAGGGTTTATGTAAGCTAAATTTGTAGAAAGCAGTTAGCACAGTGCCAGGAAGGATCCAAGAAGAAATGGTACTTACTATGATATATTTGTACATATATATGTATGAATGTTAATGAGCTCTTATTAGCTGTGTTCATTAAAGGTTTTCTCCATCCTGTGATTTGCTTTTAGATTTTGGAACACATTTCATTGTGCACATTCCATTTGTATTATTAATATGACAACATTTATTACTAATATTATTATCATCATCAATTCAATCACATCTACTATATCCCTGATAATGACCATGATCCTTTTAATAATCACAAAACTCTCTTCCCTTCATCACGGGGTAAATAACCTACCACAATGCTGTAAGTCTCCATCAGCACCCCAGGCTGCCCCTGCTCACTTACCAGATCTGCTACTTTAGCCAGATCAATCATCATGTTAATGTCACACCCACATTCAATAATGGTGAGTCTGCGCTTTTTACCTATAAGTGAAAAGATGAAAATTTTACTTTAAAAAGACCCTGAAAAAACTCTAACCATCAACTCTTAATTTTCATTTTTTAATTGCATCCAGTAAAACACCACATACGTTTACAGGAGTGTACCAGAAGTTCATTTTTATAGGCAAAAACTGGTAAAATAAATTCCATCCTGTTTTTCTTCCTGTGTTCTAAATTTAGATAATATCAAAAGCCTACCCAGATGAATAAAAGTGCTCAAAACAGGGAAAATTCTGACTAGACAGGCTCCACGATAACCATGATCTTGCTGTTCAGCTGCAGGCCAATGTCTTCACCTCTATCAAAATTTCCTGTATTCCCACTATCGCTAAAAACATCCTCAAACATAATGCAACAGAATATTTACAATGATAATTATTTCTAAATTAAGGTAATAAGAAAATGATCAAGAAAATATTGGCTGGGCACAGTGGCTCATGCCTGTAGTCCTGGCACCTTGGGAGACCAGGGCAGGTGGATCCCTTGAGCCCAGGAGTTTTGAGATCAGCCTGGGCCACATGGGGAAATCCCATCTCTACAAAAACATAAAAATTAAAAAAAAGGAAAAAAAAGAAAAATTAGCCAGGCATGGTGGCATACACTACTCAGGAGGCTAAGGTAGGAGGATTGCTTGAGCCTGGGAGGTTGAGGCTGCAGTGAGCTGTAATCACACCACTGCATTCCAGCCTGTGCCACAGAGCAAGACTCTGTCTCAAAAAAAGGAAAATAAAATATGGATGCGCCAAAGATAAAGAAAAGCCTCAATCCAACTATATTACTGCAATAATAAGAGATTTCAGAGTGTACATTGCCATTCTACCACTGGACGTTTGTTTCATCTTCCCTCAAACTTGGAAAGGTCACCATCTCCCAAAGCAGACAAATTCTCATAGGAAAAAGAGAAAACGCGCACTTCCACCAGCATGTGGCTTCATAAGGGCAAGCATGTGCACCTGGCACATAGGAGGTACGTGCTGTCTGTTAAATGGTGTGTTCGCAGTGACCAGGCCTGTCAGGCCCTTCCAAGGAACATGCTTGGCAAAGCCATAGAGCAGTCAGGATAAGGTATGTATCACATCCTTATCTCTGGGAACTTATCCTTTTATGAAGTTATAGCTAACTTAGTAAAAGTAAGAGAGAGGTAACATGATATGACAATATTTAACATGTTCCACTCAAGAAAACAACAAACACACGCATGTCCCTCAGATGACAACAGCCACGCCAAGTCTGTGTCTGTGGCACCATCTCCTACCTGACACGATCGTCACAGGGCCTCTGATCTCGGTGAACTTCTGCCAGGTGAAGTTCCGAATGAGGCATTATATCAAAGTGCTCTTTCCAACTTTGGAGGCCCCGTCACCACTACCGGTATTGGTGGCGGCTCTAGTGGAGTTCCATCAACCACTGGAATATGATGCTTTTGTGTCTTCAAATCCAGAGTCCTATTTATTTAAAAAAGAAAAAAAAAGTAAACTCACTTTTAAAATAGAGTAAAAGGTATCAACCTTATAAGTAGACTTTTTTTTAGTATAATTACAGATATGAGTACTTTAGTATATTTTATAGAGAGTACAACAGACAATATAAAAATATAAGTAACTTGTCAATTATTAACTTCTGACCCCTATCCAAATCAATTGCTGTTCAATAAAGATGTAACAAGATGACTTCAATAGTATAGAGTTGAAAATTAAACACACCTTAAATCTGACTGCTTTATGAGTGATTTTTATAGTTTTTTAAAAACCAAAAGGTAAATACTGAGGCAGTGCATCATAACAGATAAGAGCAGAGGCTCTGGAGTTAAATTTGGCTCTCCGACTTACTGGTTGTATGATTGGAGGTAACTTGTTTTCTTGACCTCAGTTTTCTTGTCCATAAAATGAGGGCAAGAATGATTCCTACTCTGGTAAGGCTGCTGGAAGGATTTAGTTGAATAACGTTTAAAGTACACTGCTAAGAATATCATAAGGACTCACTAAATAAAGCTATGTTAGTATTACATATTGTAATTTTTGTATTTTATATTACAACTTTGTAAAACATATCCAGAGGGAAAAAGCACACTTATCACCATAGAAACAGTTTAAAGTTTAGGAAGAATCAAATTCTATAAATTCTTGTATCTTGGGCAAGAAACGCCAACCAGTGTGCAGATGCTGGAGGCAAGGCAGCTTCTATGGCAAGTCTTCTCACGTTTTAGTAAAAGCCACACAGCATGCATCTCCATGTCCTTTGGAGCTGGACTAGACTTGTGAATCCAAATGTCACCTGTGAGAGGCTCCTAACTATTTAAAAAGATTCAATGGAAGAACCATCAGACTGTAGCTAAACACACCTGTGAAAGGATCGAGACATCCACACAGCAGACTGAACTGCAAAAGCATTGGCATTTCTCTTCTGGGCATTTTCTTAGTCTCCTAGCTGGAGATCCTGCAGATGCCACTTCTTTTTCTTTGCAGCTTTGGGTCCACCGTTTTTCTTTCTGTGTTTCTTCTGGTCCTTAGTCTCCATAGTGGCTATTTACCAATAACAAGTAACTCTAACCTACAAGGAAGAAGGTTGGGGTAAGGAGGTGGGAGAAGCATTTTACAATCCAGGCAATACCCAGGGAAAAACATTAAATTTCATTTATTTCTTTATGAAGACATGATGTATTTGTTCACTGAACAAGGGTAGAAACTGCTTAACCATCCCCAATTTCATTTCTCTCTGTTATGCTATAAATTAGATGAGTTACCTCTGCTAAGGTTACATTCTATGGTTAAGTTACTTTTTATTCATCTCAAGTGTCAACATCACCAGTACCTATTTCTGCAAGGATGGAAATATTCTATATCTGTACTTTTCAGCCATTTAGCCATTAGCCACATGTGGTTACTTAAAATGTACTTCAGAGAAACTGAAAAAATGAATTCTTAATTAATTTCATTCTAACTCTAAATAGTCACATGTGGCTACCATACTGGACAGCTCAGACCTAGACATCGACTGGACTAACGAAGTGGTTTCCTAACTTAAACCAGAACTTAAATTTCAATAAAAAATTTAAAACGTTTTTATGAACTTCCAATAGGATCGCAGTATTACTTTTAGTACCTGTTGACTCTAAAACTTCTAAATTACAGCTCATCTACATACATTTGAAAAATAGCAATATCTGTATGTGTGAGATATGACTGGTTTTAGATGATGCCTGGAGACCCCATGGACTTACAGAGACCCTTCCAGTGATTTCTGAGGTACCTGGGAATCTGTGGCCAATAAATTGGTAGTCACTGAATCTGTGAGTTTTTTTGGAATATCGGGCTGCATAAAATCTGACAGCTTGATTGAGAAAAAGCGGGGCAGGGTACCATTTCATTCAGTTAAGGTCCTGTATTCATTCCGTTTAATAAATGTTTGTGTCTGTCTATGATGTGCTAGCCACTGTGCCAGAAAATGGATATAGCTATGGTCTGATTGGCAGAGGAAATCCAAACTAGTATCTTCCGTGCCATGCAATAAGGGCTACATTGCAAGGCTGCAGAGGGTGCTACTGGAGCACAGAAGTGAGTCAGAGGCTTCTCACAGACACACACACGAGCGGAAACAGAAAGTCTTTATATATCACCATATGTCAAGGAACACTGGCCGGGAGTTAGGAGAGCTGGGCACTAGGAACGCTTTGAAACTGAATAGCTGTGTGATTTCAGAGGTTATATTGCTTCTCTACTATATTTTACTGCCGAACTTGTACTGTTTCTCTCCCTTTTCTTCTTGGTGGGAAAAGCACAATTTGGGGTCAACAGATTCGGCTCAGGTCTAAGTCGCCTGCCGGGACCACGTCGCCAGGAAACGACGTCTCCCCGACACCTTCCCTCCCAGTCCGGGCTCTCTGCAGGGATTCATCCCGTCACTCTCCCAACGACCCCCGGGCACACCTCAGGCAGATGCGAAATATGCCGCTCCTCGGGAGCAAAGATGACCCGGAGGACCGGGGGAGGACCTTCCCATGCGCACGACTCGCGATCTTCCCAGTGCCCCAGAGCCACGGACCCAACCGCCGCCTACCCCAGCCCGCGGCACCAAACCTGTTCACAACTGCGACTCCTTAGGTCCGCTTGGACACCGCCGGAAACGGAAATTCACCCTCGCGCCGACTCGCCGGAGGGAAACAAAAAGGCAGAAAAAAAGGGACCGCCGCCTGGATGACTTTCAGGGGACAGCTGGAAGAAAGACTCGTCAACGGCCGAGTGCTGGCGCCGGCGCCGTCTGCGCAGTGCGTTCCACCGGGTCCGCGTCCCTCCCGATTCAGCCCCACCCCGCCCTCGGAATCCGCTGCCTCAGCTCCTGCTGTGGCACTCCCCAGCAGCTTGCACCTCGCTCGCGGAGTCCTTGCTGAAGGCCAGGGCAGCTGTGCGGCCTGGCGCGGGTTACTTGATGCCGTGCAAAAGCCAGGAGACACATTTGGTTCTGGCCGCCCCGGAGTCACCGTGCCCGGGGCGAATGGACTATGGCTGGATTGGGAGTCCACTTCCTCCTCTGTAAAGATGACAGACGAGGGAGATCTCGCGTTCTGGGGGTGCCCTATAGCCCTCTTTTGGCCAGAAGCGGTGGATCACGCCTGTAATCCCAGCCTTTTGGGAGGCCGAGGCAGGAGGATTGCTTGAGCCCAGGAGTTCAAGACCAATCTGGGCAACATAGGGAGGCTACATCTCTCAAAAAATAAATAAATAAATAAATAAATAAATAAATAAATAAAAATAAAGCCAGCGTCGTGGCAGGGCGCCTGTGGTCCCTGTGGTCCCTGTGGTCCCAGCTACTCTGGAGGCTGAGGCGGGACGATCGCTTGAGCCTGGGAGGCAGAAGTTGTAGTGAGCTGAGATCGAGCCACTGCACTCCAGCCTGGGCGACAGAGCAAGACACTGTCTCAAAGAAAAATAAATAAATAAAATAAGGCCCTCTTTTTCCGGGACCAACAGACTCTGAGGGCAGGGACAAACTGACCCAGCCTAAACTGCCTCGCCTTCCCTGCTCCCGGGAAAGGGGCTTTCCCTGAGGGAAGGTAGCATCTTGCCATTTTCTTCCTGCACAGCTTTGCCTTCCCAGGGATCCACCCATTGCCACCTGAGGAAATGCCTTGGAGCCCATCTAATCCCCAGCCCAGCTACTTGGGACGCCTACAGAGACTACATTGTCAGAGGATGCATCTTCCTCTAGTCTTGGAGGGTTTCTTTTCAATATGATCCCACCGGTGCATGCAAGGCTCAATTCTACATCAAAAAACTAGGCCCACTCCTGTCACCGAGACCCCCAGGCTTCAGGTCCTGTCACAGTGACCTTGTTATCACCCCCAGCAGCCCCCAGGTATTCACTCTGCATAGGCTATATACTGGGTGCTGCACTAGGGAGGCTACCTACGTGGCGCATGCTTCCCTTATCCCTGAAGAGCTTAGGATGTTGTAACTTCTTCACACTAGGCCTCTTACTTCTTGGAGATGTCAGTAGCCGGGTAAATAATCTTTCTAACATCCTTTTGGTCTCATGAAGCCCATTCTTGTCCTCTGCCCTACCTCAGCTTCCCCCTCCCTCCATGATCAGACCTTAGACCTTGTCAGGTCCAAGGACTGCAACCCTCACAGTATCCCACTCTGACCACCACCTCCTATCTAGAGCAATGGAGAGACTTTGTAGGTGAAAGCTGTCTTTGCTACTGGTTCTCCTATGCTCCCTCGCCTGGCTCCTGCAGGCGGTTGACTTCACCAGGGACACAGTGGCCAGTGCCCAGCAGGTCCCACTCCTCTCACCAGCTCCAGGCAGTTTTATTATAGAGTAACTCTTCTGAGACACCGCTCCTTTCCCCAGCACCTAAGGAAGTATTTCTAGTAAGTTCCAGTGGTATAGCATCGGTGACTCTCCTGACAAGCAGAGGGCCATGGCTGGGTTCCTCTGATGAGGTGCAGGGGCAGGGCACTAAGAGGGGAGGACTCTCCTGAGTTCTCTACCTGAGCCCTAGACTAGTAGCTGCTCCTCCTATACTTCCTACTAGTCTGTGCCTGGTTACTCCACTTCCCTGTTGCAATTAACAATTCCCTAGGTACACTTTTCCTGTTCAAATGACTGTGTGGCTTCTCTTTCCTAATCGGACTCTGACCAATACGCTATCATTTGCCAACAACTCCCAAAGTTTTATCAGTGACTCAGACCTCTAACCTGAACTCCAGCTGCCTCCATGACATATCCATTTGGATGTTTAATGGACATTTCCAAAGTGATATGCCCTACAGAACTCAGAATCTTCCCTCTCAAACCAACTGCTCAGCAGTCTTATGATCTTAGTTGATGGCAATTCAGAAGTGAATTGCAGGACACCCGGTTTGTATCTGCAGAGAGAACTGGAGAACTGCTTAGTGTGGAAAACCCACACATTTGGTTTCAGAAGTGTGTGAGTAGAAACAGTTTTCCTTTTATGTTTGTTGGATGGATAATGATGAACCTAGCAGGACACAGAAAGCTAGGCAGCAGTGGAACTGAGAATGAAGTTATACTTAATAGCAGAGAATGAAAAAGAAAAGACAGATAAAACATTTTGAAGAAAGGACAGTAATGTATTCCCAACAGGTAGGATTTACAGGATGGAGAGAAGAGGCAAAGATAACTACAAAATTTCTAGCCTGAGAGACTGGTAGAAAAAAAATGGTGGTATCAGGGACAGACAGGGGTTATTAAGAAAAAGGATTGGATTTTTAAAATAAAGAAGATCTGGTGTAAAATTATCCTCAGGAAAACTGGAAAACTAGGCATGTACTTCTCTCCATCATGCCCTTGCACAGTGCAGTCCTTCTGCCTGTCCATGCCTCGCCTCCCCCTCCCTAGGATTCCTCTTCCTCTCTTAAGACCCATCTCAAATATCACCTAGACTTGTAAGTAATTTACATGAAACTGGATACCTGAGGTTTCAAGCCTTTATCCCTTTGAAAGTTTTTAATAACAAGTTACTGTTATCTTTTACTAAGTCCAAGTTTATATTCGCCATTTTAACTAGCATCATTTCCGTTTCCAAGAGGTATTTGGTGTGAAAGTGCAACTAAGTTTACTGTTAATCAAGATCAGAATAAAAGAATCTACCAAAAAAATTAACAAGATCCCCCTTTTAATGCATAATCTTCCATCCATCAGGCTGTAAGTTAAATACCTAACATAAAAGAAAGCTGTATGTTTTATGGATATGTACATATATAACTGCAGGGAATATGATTTGGAAGGATATACACTTAGAGAAGACTGGGGTCACAAGTGGTAGTCAAGGGAGTCTTCAGCTTTCTTTTTGTATTTCAATTTTGACAGAAATACATACATATGTATTATAATTTTAAATTTTTAATGAAAAAAAGTATTTTTCCTTTTTTTTCTTGATCTGTCACTACATTATATTTTTCCAATATCAGCTAAACATTTGCTTCCCAGAAAGCTTAGTTGTCTTTTCAAAATTTATTCAGGTTAAAATAAAAGATTTAGACAATGAATTAAAAATCTAAGATGGTATTTGCCTACTTTATACAGAACAGTACATTGATGCTGCTAAAGCAATTAAAGTATAATTTTTATTTTCTTTCTTTTTTTTTTTTTTTTTTTTTGAGATGGAGTCTCACTCTGTCACCCAGGCTGAAGTGCAGTGGTGCAATCTCAGCTCATTGCAACCTCTGTCTCCTGGGTTCAAGCAATTCTCCTGCCTCAGCCTCCCCAGTAGCTGGGATTACAGGCGTGCACCACCACGCCCAGCTAATTTTTTTGTATGTTTAGTAGAGACAGGGTTTCACCATGTTGGCCAGGCTGGTCTCGAACTCCTGACCTCAAATGATCTGCCCGCCTCAGCCTCCCAAAGTGCTGGGATTACAGGCATGAGCCACCACACCCAGCCTAAAGTGTGTACTTTTTCTTAGCTCCTATATGCAGTGCTCCTTCCCCATGCTGAATGTCTGAATTTTTATCTGAGACATAGTATTTCAGATGGTCATTACTTACGGGTGGTCATTAATAGTTCCTCCCTGCTTCTAACCTTCCTCTCCTCATTTTAAATTAAGTTACGCTACATTATTGTGGATTAGAAAGTACATTAATATTAAGTGAAAAAATATGATCTGATGAGTAAGTGGCAAGAGTGTTAACGTATGAATATTAAGAGTTGTTCTGAGGCCTTTTTGCTTTTCTGGGGGTTCTGTGCTTGTGGTAGAACTCTTGGTTATTTTATAAATAGTTGCTGAAAAGTGAGAGAGTACAGCTGGAAATCAGATTTCTGATGAATAAATCAAACCCTATTAAGAGAACCAGGTTGAAGTAATTTTAAAACCATTTGGATTTTCATAAATGTTTTGTTAATGATTAATTATAAAAAAAAAACAGTGACTCTAGCTGGAGGCTTTTGTGTGTTTGCTTTTGAGTCAGCTAGGAAAAGGAAGAAAAATTCAAGCTTAGTCAATTGTGGTTTTCACTGAATCTTTTTTAAAGTAATGAGCTGGTTTGTTTTCTTCATCACTGTAGCAACTTAAGCTAGTTTCTGCTTTTGATTTTTATTTCTCCTAGAGAAACTTAGCATGCACTGCTCATTAGACTTGAGCATACTAAGGAATATCTGTGGTAATTAAGTTAAAAATCAGATCAGTGCTTTGTGCTGTGTATAGTTGCAGATGTCTGCATTTCACTAATATTCTTTGGAAACATCTGGATACCAGTTAACATAAAATAACTGTTTAGTTGGTTTCTGTTCAGAATAGAAGGAATGATTTAAAAGTTCCCATTGTAGTACATACGTCATTCTGTCCCTAGCCCTTCCTCCAGCTTTACTGAGATAGATAAATAATAAACGTCATGGGTGGTGTGTCTTCAGTTTCCTCTGGTGAGCTGGATGCACAGATTACTTTGTCAGCAGGGTGGCCTTGATTTTTAGGCCATGTGTCTAATGGCATCAGCTCTGTGGCCGACACCTGTGTACCGAGCCCATTCACTATCTAGCTTAGCCAGCCGTGGACTCCTGCTCTTTGTTAAAAGTATTTACCTTCATTCCTACTAGCACAGTTGACCAAAGACTCAGTTGATCCCAGACACTAGTAATGCATCAATGGAGTCTAACAGGGTTTTAAGATGTGTGTGTGTGTGTGTGTGTGTGTGTGTGTGTGTGTGTGTAGAAATGGGATCTCACTATTGTTGTCCAGGCTGGTCTTGCACACCTGAGCTCAAGTTCTCCTGCCTCAGCCTCCCAATGTGCTAGGACTACAGGCATGAGCCACCATGCCTAACCCTCTAAGACTTTGGGATACAAAAATATAATTTACTTTCCTCCATTTCTGGAATAAAACATCTCTTCCTTCCTCCCCCTAGTTTCTGTTCTGTGCCCCTGTTTGATCTCTGTTGGTCCTGTTCACCTTCAGCCTTCTCTGCTGAAGGAGGAAAGGCTTGGTTTTATAAAAAGTGACAATATTCAGACCACATAAGATCCTTCTTGCTTCATTTTGGATTAAATATTTTAAGATTTTCTGATTTTCTTGTATGCATATGTATTTACCTATTATTTGACTTTATTGAATAACTTCAAATTGAGTATATTTGAATGGGAATGGGCATTAAAAAGGGCTAAGCTTTCCCTGCCTTTCAGAACTTTGTATGTATATGTCACATCATTTTGTCCTTCACATTCTCCAGTTGTGCTATTTTTTCCCAATCCATTAAGTAGAGTAACTTCCTTTTTGGAGTCTTACTTTTTTTTTTTTTTTTTTTTTTTTTTTGAGGCGGAGTCTCAAACCGTCGCCCAGGCTGGAATGCAGTAGTGCAATCTCAGCTCACTGTAACCACCGCCTTAGCCTCATGAGTAGCTAGGAAATACAGAAGCATGCCACCACACCCAGCTAATTTTTGTATTCTTAGTAAAGATGGGGGTTTCACCATGTTGGCCAAGCTGGTCTCGAACTCCTGACCTCAAGTGATCTGCCCAGCTCGGCCTCCCAAAGTGCTGGGATTATAGGCGTGAGCCACCACATCCAGCCTCCTTACTTAAATCTCTTAATGTGCCTTAGAATGTAGTTAAGAATTTTCAGGTGACAGTATATTTTTGATAGTTATCTTTGGTTTCCAAACCCAGAGAAGGAAGAGTAACTGGCTTTTTCTGTTTGTGGGTACATTGTGTCTTATTGGAGATTGTTTTGTCTCAAGTATTGCCGCAGAGTATTTTATTAATGGGTGCACTTTAAAATTTTTTGTTTTTCAGATTAACAGTTTAGGTAGCCCAGTACTCGGTATTTGCCAATTTCTAGAATTAAAAACGTGTGTATCACTGGTTAACTAGAAATTTAAAATGAAAATGTGTCTTCTTTAGCCCAGGCAATATCACTTGCATTCACTTCTATCCCCTCCTTGTCCCTACTCTGTTGGCTCCAGGGCTTCTTCCACTAAGCTGGTACTTTCTTTATAGCTCCTCCTGTACTTCCATTCACTGAACCTTTATTGGTTCATAGCCTACAGAAAATGCCTGTGGTGTGAGAGGTAATTTGTGAAACTGCTTCTCTTCACTGTTTAGCAGGTTGAGCTCTCTAAATGGGTGTAGCTGGGAAAGAAAATTTAACTTTACAAACAAGAATTCCTGGGTTCCATCCAGCGGAACATGTCTCTTGTTATACACACACAGTTTCTGACCCATATCATTCCATGACTTATGATAAAATGGACATTCTGTTTACACTGTTGTGTGGAAGGAGAGGTCTGGTTCCTAATTTTTAGTAACATCTATTTCTAGAATATTAGGCTTGCCATTTGAATGCTTCTGTTTGATTTATGAATATCATTGGTTCCAGCAGTTTTTAGCTCCCTGCTAAATGCAAGTTAAAATTTTTAAGTTTCTAAGTTAAAAGAAAATAACTTTTCCTCCACTTAAGAAAGCCAGGAAAATTAAAAATAATGTAGTGATGACTTCCACAGGCTCTAAAAGAGCAATGAAAAAAGTGATTTATGTGTGGGAGAAGAAATACTAGTTCTTAATTAATACATTGTTTTACCACTTCCCGTGAATTTATGTAGAAGTAATGAAACCAAGGTTTAAGTCATTTGTTCAAACTCCTGTCAGTTTAGACTTTTTAATTGCTTTGTTACATGCCATTGCTTTGTAATACTTGTTATAGCAGTGGTAACAGTTGAGATTTGCCTGTTTGACCACTTGCAGGGCACCGTGCCAGATTCCCCATGTGCGATGTTCCTCGCAGTTGTGACGCCCATCCTAGGAGGGTGGCGTTAGCACCCCTCCATGCAAGCGGATGGTGCAGGCTGGGTCACCTGGGCACAGCGCCTGACTATTTTCCTGGCTTAGTGTAGTTATCATTAAATATGTGGTATTACTTAGAAGCATTTTGAATAATTTGAAAAGCACATTTTAGTGTTAAAACAATTTTTTTTTTTGAGAAAAGGTCTGGCTCTGTTGCTGGGGTGGAGTGCAGTGACCTGAGCGTAGCTCACTGCAGCCTGCAACTCCTGGGCTCAAGCGATTCTCCTGCCCCAGCCTCCTGAGCATCTGGGACTACGGGCACATGCCCCCACACCCAACTCAATTTTTTTTAAGATACAAAGGATTCATCTTAATATTATTTACAATTTTTTTTTCCTTTTCTGTGGGCCTCATCTGACTGGAAAGCCTTTCAATTTTTTTATTTTTTAAATTGTAAATTGACAAATTGTAGATATATATTTATGAGGTACAAAGTAATTTTATGATTTATGAATACAACATTACATAATTAAGTCAAGCTGATTAACCTGTTCACTACTGGAAACAATTGCAAATAATTATCATTTTTTCTGGTGAGAACATCTGAAATTTACTCAGTGATTTTGAAATGTGCAGTACTTTTTGTTGTTGTTGTAGAAATGAGGTCTCACTATGTTGGCCAGGCTGGTTTCAAACTCCTGAGCTCAAGTGATCCTCCCACCTCAGCCTTCCAGTGTTGGGATTACAAGCGTGAACTACCATGTTGGGCCAAATGTGTAATCTATTATTATTTACTGTATTCACCATGCTGTGCAATTTATCTCAAAGAAACTTATTCCTCCTGTCTAATTGAGGCTTTGTGCCCTTTGACCATCATCTCCCCATCACCCCCATCCCCAATGTTGTATACTGAGTCCTTTCATGATATGTATGGAGGCTTATGGTAAGTTATTTAAAAGTACATGTATGTCAAAATTTTTTGTGGCCATAGCTTTTCTTTCTTTTTTAAATTTTAAGAGTCAGAATATTCGTATATTAATTCAGCATGTATTTGAGTGCCTAATGTATGCCATTTTCTATGTTAGGAACAAGGAATTAAAGCAGTGAACATAACAAAGTCTGCCCTCGTGGTGCTAACTTGCCAGGTAGGGAAGCCAGATACTAAACACATGTATAATGCAAAGTCAGTAATAATAAACGATATGAAGAAACAAGTAAGGTAGGAGAGGCAGGAAAGTGGGAGTGAGAAAGAGGTGCTCTTTTAAATACAGTGGTCAGGGAGAGCCTCTCAGAATGAAGTTTTTAACAGAGACCTGAATGAGATGGGGGAGTCAGCTATACAGATATCTGCTGTGTGCTAGAAAAATTACCTGTAATTTTGCATTCTAAAAGTTTAATGAGTACATTTATTTCACAATTTGAGAATCAATTATGTATAAGATATAGTTGTAAGCACATACTCCTCTAAATATGATTTGTTTTTACAGTAGACCAAATAAGTATGTTCAGCTTAGAATATGCTCTTTATGATCTGTATAATAAATACATTCTCTTAAAATATTGTTAATATTAAGGTTGATGTTTTCAGAAACATATAAAAAAGCTAGCTTTTAAAATTGACTAGGGAAGTTCTCTCAAACTGCCAGTCCCTGAGATATTGTATATTTTCTATCTGAAAAACTTTTATTCTCAGAATTCTTTAAAAGAGCTGTCCCTGAGGCTCCCATTACTTACCTGTGACTCCCAGTGGAAATCGTACCCAGCCCCTCGAGAGGGGCTGAATCTGTTGAGAGTGGGAGGGTAGAAAAAATGCTGCAGCTTCTTGTGGGTAAACTTCACACACAAACACCCAGTGCCCCAAGCACTGTGCAGTCAAACATCAACCCTGCTCAGACTTTCCTCCTTGGGATTGAGAAGCAATGGATTATAGAGAAAGAAAGGTGGCTTAGCACTCCAAAACTTGGAAGGGTAATTGACCAAGACCCCCCAAAGCCAAAGCAGTGGGCATCGCCACTTTCTGTATACCCTATACCAACACGTAATGGCTACTAGATACAGGGGCACTAGTACCTGTCTGCTTGGCTACCTCCCCTTCTTGCAGAAGTGGTGAAGGGAATCACTCAACCTCAGGAAGGGAAAATGGCTTTCTCATCTTCAAATTGAAAGAGGTTGGCAGTGGGTGAGGAGAATAACAGGTAAGGATCTCTTTCAATATACCCATTTGAAGCCAAAACCTCAGTTTAGACATACGGTATTTTGAACCTGGTGACTATTCATTGCCCATGTTTGTGAATTATCAGAAAGCAGAATTCTTGCCAGGCATAGCGGCTCATCCCTGTAATCCCAGCACTTTGGGAAGCCAAGGTGGGAGGATCACTTGAGCCCAGGAGTTTGAGACCAGCCTGGGCAACATGGTGAGATCTTGACTCTACAAAAAATTCAAACATTAGCTGGGCATGGTGGCATGCACTTGTGGTCCCAGCTACTCAGGAGGCTGAGGTGGGAGGATTACCTGAGCCCAGGAGGTTGAAGCTACAGTAAGCAGTGTCTGTGCCACTACGCTCAGCCTGAGCAACAGAGCAAGACCCTGTTTCCCACCCCTACCCACCCCCTAAAAAAGCAAGCTGAATTCTTGAACTCCCTGCAACCAGGTCACGCAAACCAAAGGTAAAAGGAACATAAAAAAGCCTTCTGGAAAGTGTACAGAAATTCATTGCAGGGTGATTTTTGTCTTGTGAAATCATAGTTACTGTTATTAGCAGCTTTTTTAAATGTTTTATATTCATTTTTTATGGTGTTCTGATGTATGAGCTGCTTCAAGTGTTTTTGGACATAGCTTGGGTATAAAATGTAAAAAGTGGATATTTTCAATTTGTAGCTTTCTTTTTTGAAACTTACTGAAATTTGTTCTAAATATATCCCCTTCTTTCTCACCCACCCCAACACATTTTTTAAAAAACACCACCAGGTATCCGTTATAGCACTGATGTGAGTGTAGATGAAGTAAAAGCTTTGGCTTCTCTGATGACATACAAGTGTGCAGTGGTTGGTAGGTGATCGCTTTTCTTGCTACCTAATGAGAACTCTGGGGAAATATGTTTACAAACATGTTACTGTTAAGATGCTATAGAAATATACCTTATCGGAACTGATTTTTTTTTAAGTTGTACTCTTTAAGACCTGCATCATTTCTCAATTACTCTAAATTAAGATATAGCCTTTTTTTACGGGAGGGATTTTTTTACGGGAGGGAGCTAATTGGATTTTAAGTCTAGATCTTTGTTTTCAATTCCTCAACATATTCTATAAATAAGACCAAATTATAGTAGAAGGAGAGTAAATAAGCTATTATCTTTTTAAAGTGGTGAAGAGCACTGATTAAATATATATTAGAGCCCCAGCCCCCGCCCCAGCTGCGCGGGCCCCCGCCTGGCCCATGGACTGCACAGCCGAGCGGGCGCCTTGAGCGCGGTGCGGGTCCTCGGAGCACCCCCGAGGTGAGCGCAAGCAAGGTCCGGCATCATGTGCTAGGTTATTCCCAGTGCGAGGCCACACTTGGGCCGTCGGAGCAGCCCCTCCTCACTTCAGGGGTCACCCTCCCCAAGACCCATTGCCCCATCATGGCCGGGGACCGGCTCCCCAGGAAGGTGATGGACGCCAAGAAGCTGGCCAGCCTGCTGCGGGGCGGGCCTGGGGGGGCCTGGTCATCGACAGTCACTCCTTCCTGGAGTACAACAGCTGGCATGTGCTCAGCTCCGTCAACATCTGCTGCTCCAAGCTGGTGAAGTGGCGGTTGCAGAAGGGCAAGGTGACCATTGTGGAGTTCATCCAGCCGGCCGCACGCAGCCAGGTGGAGGCCACTGAGCCACAGGACGTGGTGGTCTATGACCAGAGCACGCGGCCGCAGACAGCTTCCTCTCCATCCTGCTGACCAAGCTGGATGGCTGCTTCCACAGCGTGGCCGGCTGCTTCCACAGCATGGCCATCATCACGGGGGGCTTCGCCACCTTCTCCTCCTGCTTCCCCGACCTCTGCAAGGGTGAGCCTGCTGCCCTGCTACCCATGAGCCTCTCCCAGTCCTGCCTGCTCGTGCCCAGCGTGGGCCTGACCCTCATCCTGCCTCACCTCTACCTGGGCTCGCAGGAAGACGTCCTGAACAAGGATCTGATGACGCAGAATGGAATAAGCTACGTCCTCTATGCCAGCAACTCCTGCCCCAAGCCTGACTTCATCTACCAGAGCCACTTCTTGCGGGTCCCCATCAACGACAACTACTGTGAAAAGCTGCTGCCCTGGCTGGACAAGTCCATCGAGTTCGTCGATAAAGCCAAGCTGTCCAGCTGCCAAGTCATCGTCCACCGTCTGGCCGGCATCTCCTGCTGTGCCACTATCGCCATCGCCTACATCATGAAGACCATGGGCATGTCCTCCGAAGACGCCTACAGGTTTGTGAAGGACCAGCGCCCGTCCATCTCGCCCAACTTCAACTTCCTGGGCCAGCTGCTGGAGGACCAGAGCAGCCCGAAGCTGCTGGCCGCCGTGCAGGGCGACGCGGGCACCCCCTCAGGAATGCAGGAGCCTCCCCCCAGCCCTGCGGCCGGGGCCCCACTGCCATGGCTGCCACCACCTACCTCAGAGACCGCTGCCACCAGGAGTGCAGCTGCCAGGGAGGGCGGCCCGAGCGCGGGCAGGAAGCCCCCGGCGCCCCCCACGGCCACCAGCACGCTGCAGCAGGGCCTGCGCAGCCTGCGCCTCTCCTCGGACCACCTGCAGGACACCAGCCGCCTCAAGCCCTCCTTCTCTCTGGACATCAAGTCGGCCTACGCCCCCAGCAGGCGGCCCGGCGGCCCGGGCCCAGCGACCCCGGCGAGGCCCCGAAGCTCTCTGAAAGCTGGACAGCCAGTCGGGGCCATGCTGGGCCTGCCCTCGCCCTGCCCGGACGCCGCGCCCAGGCACGCCCACGGCCCGGCGCGCTACCCCGCGCGCGGCCTGAACTTCGGCTACGCGGCTGCCGGGCCCTGGCCAGCCGGCCAGCCCCGGAGCCTGGACGCCACCGCTCGACTCCCTGAAGCGTCCTCGGTGCTTCAGCCCCGAGGGCGTGCAAGGGCCGGGCAGGGTGCTGTTTGCGCCCTTCGGCCGGGCGGGCGCCCCGGAACCCAACGGCTGCAGCGACCTGCCACGGCGGGAGGCAGCAAGGGCTGAGCCCGGGACGCGCGGACCAGCTGGTCAGACGAGCTGGCCCCGGATTCGCACTTCAAGTGCTGCAGCTGCCAGATGGAGTTCGAGGAGGGCATGGTGGAGGGGCGCGCGCGCGGCGAGGAGCTGGCCGCCCTGGGCAAGCAGGGGAGCTTCTCGGGCAGCGTGGAGGTCATCGAGATGTCCTGACCCCTCCGCTGCCCTCGGCTCCGCCGCCCGCAGCTGGGCAGTTATAAATATATATTATATATAATGCAAAGAAAGGCAAATGGTTTTACTGCGATTTTTATCCAGAAGTAAATATTTCGATTTTTTATTTATTTAAGCTGTTCATTCTGGCACTGATTTGGCAACAGTGCGGGTGGTCCTCGAGCTCTATTTTTACTGTCTGGTATTTAAACCGAAACACACGTTTCTAAGCAATAAGAGGCCACCTTCAGTCGCAAGTTGCAGGCCAGGCCTGGGGCCCCTCCCTGATCCCCCGCCCCAGAAAACACTGCTGACATTTGCAGAGGCTGCCGAGCTTTCGTGAACTTTTTACACAAGAGAAAGTTGAAAAAAAAAAAAAACTTTCTTGCCACAAACTGAGCCGCAGAAACCCCCTTCTTCCCCCACCCACCGCCCCTGCTCTCTCCCTTCGGGCTCCGCCCCAAAGCCATAGGCTGGGGGAGCAGGACCTGGTGTGCCCCAGAGAGGTGCGGCCAGCCCTCCACCAGCTCTAGGCACCAAATCTTGGTGGCAGGGAGGGCACCCCGCTGCCCGTTGCCCCAGAGCTGTTCCCTCTCAGGGGAGGACATGCATTGGGCCCCATGGTGCCAGGGCGTTGAGAGGGGCTGAGGAATAGAACAGTGTGTGTAGGGGCTTGGGGCAGGGGGTTCTGGAGGGTCAGATGAGGCGGAGCCCAGGGGAGGATGGGGGTGTTATTAATGCCCCAACTCCTGCCAGAGCCCCAGTCCAGCCACTGAGTGCCTCAGAAAGGCCATTCCCAGAGGGCTGCGGCCCTCCCTTCTCCTTTGCCCCTGCCCCCAGAGCTACCTGACTGGCAGGGCGGCACTACTGCAGGAGAGGAGCTTGGCCTCCGGGGGTCAGGCAGGAGGGGGGCCTGGCTAGCCTGTGCTGGCTCCACTGGGCGGGGAGCCCTGGACTGCCAGGTATGAGGAGGGGGTGGGCTTAGGGTCCTGTTCCAGGTCCGTCCCCCACCTAGCAAGGCCCCAGGCAGGACTTGGAAACCAGGTGTGCACCTGCAGGCTGAGGGGCTCCATGAGCAGGTGCTGCCTTGCACAGGGAGTTCAGGCGCCAGCCAAGCCCCCGTGCTTCTGGGGTAGGCCTGCTTCACTTAGGGAGCGCTGCCTCAAGGCAGATAAAGCCCCCTTGTTGACCCGACCTGCATGGGGGCCTCTCAGGAGAGAAACTCTCGTGCGCCCCTTTCCCAGGGCGCCCTCTTTCTAGACAGCATTCCAGCCCCCAAACACAGGTGGCTTTTGGGCCCAGATGGGTCAGCCTGCTGCTCCTGGCCCATACCCTCTCAGGCCGTTGGGACTCCTGCCCTTCAGATGTCCTAGGGTCTAGGAGTGGGCCAGTCACCCTGGGAAGAGGCCAGGGGCTTGGCAGGAGGGGCGGCCCAGGCGGGACCCAGTCCTGAGTCCTGGAGCAGGGCCAGGGAGGCGCCCGCCCCACCCCAGCCAGCCGCCTTCTCTGCTGTTTCTTCTATTTGTTCTTCTTTTCACCCACAGCCCTGTGTTCCTGTCATCCCTCCTTTCAGCAAAAGTCCTGTTCCCGTTCCCTCTGTCCCCACCCACTCTTGTTCCCCAAGAAAATAAGCTATCATTGTTGCATTTGCAATCTATGGATTAGAGGTTTAAGTATTTATTATTATTGGTTAATTATTATTATGTTTTATATATATATATTAGAACTTGGCTAGCCAATTTTATTGAACAATTCCTGTTCAATAAATGTTGTTTAAAGTACAGTTGAGAAAACGATGGTAGGTTTATTTCTTGAACTTTCAGAAATTCAAGCTTAAAGCATCACACGTTTTTCTAATATTGTGTGGCGCTTTCTGTCATTTTACTTTTTTAACCTTTATATGGAATAGCAACCATCAACCTTCTCTTTCAGATGTGCCGTTTGGGGGTGCTAAAGCTGGTGTTAAGATCTATCCCAAGAACTATACCGTAAGTATGAAAGTTTTTGTTTTTGTTTTTGTTTTTGCTTTTTTGACACAGAGTCTTGCTCTGTCGCCCAGGCTGGAGTGCAACGGTGCGATCTCGGCTCACTGCAACCTCCGCCTCCTGGGTTCAGGCGATTCTCCTTGATCCAGTAACTGGGATTACAGGTGCATGCCACCATGCCTGACTAATTTTTGTATTTTTAGTAGAGAGGGGGTTTCACCATGTTGGCCAGGCTGGTCTTGAACTACTGACCGCAGGTGATCTGCCCACCTTGGCCTCCCAGAGTGCTGGGATTACAGGCATGAGCCACCGCACCCGGCCTCAAAGTGATATTTGTGCACACAGTGCATTTATGAAGGACTTGAAATTACTGGGCTTCTCTGTATCCCCCATATCAGTGAAATCAATAGTCCCCATTGCTTTTCAAATGGAATGAAAAAAGTAAAGAATTAACTCATTGAGTGTTTTGCCATATAAAGGTCACCTACTTAATATCTATATCCTTTATCATTTTCTGCTTTGTTTGGTTTTGTTTTTATGAGTCTTGTTTTTTTTTTTTTTTTGCTTTTTGTATTATTATTTTCTTATTTAAAAGGTAATTAATATCTTCATATTATTAGACACCTATACCCATATTTAAGAAGTACTGTGATCTGGCTGGGTGCGGTGGCTCACGCCTGTAATCCCAGCACTTTGGGAGGCCAAGGCAGGCGGATCACGAGGTCAGGAGATCGAGACCATCCTGGTTAACACAGTGAAACCCCGTCTCTACTAAAAATACGAAAAATTAGTCCGGCGTGTTGGTGGGTGCCTGTAGTCCCAGCTACTCAGGAGACTGAGGCAGGAGAATGGAGTAAACCCGGGAGGTGGAGTTTGCAGTGAGCCGAGATCATGCCACTGCACTCCAGCCTGGGTGACAGAGCGAGACTTTGTCTCAAAAAAAAAAAAAAAAAAGAATCACTGTGATCTAATTAGCCAGGCATAGTGACGCACACCTGTAATCCTAGCTACTCGGGAGGCTCAGGCATGAGAACTGCTTGAACCCAGGAGGCAGAGGTTGCAGTGAGACGAGATTTCACCACTGTATTCCAGCCTGGGCAACAGAGCAAGACTCTGTCTCAAAAAGAAAGAAGAAAAGTAGTACTGTGATCTGAAGTTTTTAGTTCAGGATCTCATGCTAGTGACAAATATCTTAACTAAGCCAATAAAAACCTTACTTTTTATCCTGTCAGTTCCAAGTAAATTCAAACTGGTTGTCACAATGCTTTACATAATACTAAATTATCTATATACAAACATAAACAGATATGATTTTTATTCTCTTTAAAATTCACCATTTAGATGGAATATAATTATATTACAATTAATCTTAATTAAGATTTGGTATATTTTTCAGTGGGGAATTAATAGAATGGGAATTTGAGTCCTGGTTCTACTATCTTGTTTTTATAACCTACTTTTTTGATCCCTTATTTTCTCACCTTTAAAATGGCATTGCCTACCTTATGAGTTGTTCTAAGGATGAGAAGACATGAAAATGTACTATAAATAGAAAATAAGATGCTAGCTATAATCTCAAGCGATTTTTGTATCTTTTTTTATTTTTATTGTTTTCTTATTTTACAGGATAACGAACTGGAAAAGATCACAAGGAGGTTCACCATGGAGCTAGCAAAGAAGGGCTTTATTGGTATGTGTAGCCACATAGATTTTGGCATAAAGTGGGAACATCTAAAAAAATCTTTTTTTTTTTTTTTTTTTTTGAGACAGAGTCTTACTCTGTCTCCCAGACTGGAGTGCAGTGGTGCAATCTCCTCCACCTCCCGGGTTCAAGCAATTCTCTTGTCTCAGCCTCCCAAGTAGCTGAGACTACAGGCATGTGCCACCACACCCAGCTAATTTTCGTATTTTTAGTAGAGATGGGGTTTCGCCATGTTGGTCAGGCTGGTCTTGAACTCCTGACCTCGGGTGATCCACCCATCTCAGACTCCCAAAGAGCTGGGATTACAGGCATGAACCACTATGCCCGGCCTCCTACTATTTGTGATAGGAGCTTTTGCCAAACATACAACATTTTTGAAGACACTGATCTTCGTTTGCTTGATGTCTTCGTATCTTACTATTATCTGTGTTTATATGTTCTTTGTGTGTGATCTGAACATTCTTTCCTATGATATGTAAATATTTGTCATTTACCTTCTAATTTTCAGGCAGTTTAAACCTTTCTATACATATATTTTTAATCTAGAAGGCTTCTAATTTGTTTGAATAGAATATACATAATTATTTAATAAAATGCTTGCCCTATCAGTATAGTTAATAGAATGTTAATAGTTACTTAATAATATAATACTTGCCCTATCAGTATCAGTATAGTTAAACAAAATAAGGTCTACTTAAATAGGAAATAAAGTGTATTTTTCTCTACTTTCTTTCTCAGCATTTCCCCCACCATGGACAAATGCCTATGAAATTAAACTATAAAGTCTGGGCATGGTGGCTGGTGCTTGTAATCCCAGCATTTTTGGAGGTTTTGGAGGCTGAGGTGGGAGGATCACTTGAGCCCGGAAGTTCAAGACCACCCTAGGCAATATAGCGAGACCCCGTCTCTACAAAAAATGAAAATGTTATCCAAGCGTGATGGTGCATGGCTGTGGTCCCAACTACTAAGATGGGAGGATCCCTTAAGCCTGGGAGGTTGAGGCTACCATGAGCTGTGATCATGCCACTGCACTCTGGCCTAAGTGACAAAACAAGACCACATCTCAAGAAGAAAGAGAAAAGAAATAAAGCTATTCAGATTCATTTTTAGGAAAAAAGTCATGAAATAAATGTCATGAAATAACCTAATATAGAAATACAGTAAGTATAGGTAACTCTAAAACTTGACTAGATTTGGCCTGTCTTTCATAATAAAAGGCATTTGGGCCTTTGACGTGCCGCATACCCAGCACTACTGTGAATTTGTGCATCATTACGAGGAGCCTATTAACATGAGTGAACTATCTCACTCACACTTTTATAGGAGTACCTACCGATTCTGAGATATGGTGAATTGAAGTCATGTTCAGCCTGTTAATAGCCTTCATAATTTTCAAAAGGTCTTTCCTCCTCACCTAAATCTCAAACACATTTTATAGTCTTGAATGGTTTCAGACTTTATTCAGTCATATTTATCGCCCATATCTGCAATATCTCCAGCTAAATTTTATCAGTCTTGACAAGTACCTAATAATTCCAAAGGTCAAAAAGTGATTCATTGGAATACTGAAAGAAAACACAGCTTAAACTCTAGTAACTTGATTTATTTGCCTAATTCGCAAAGGCCTCATTGACCCATGATGCAGCTAAATTGACGTCTTGGCCCAGACAGCTTTGAAGCCTAGGAGGCAGGCAAAGGGAGTTTTTTCTCTCACTTCTCGGCAAACCTTCAAATTCGATGCTATTTATCTGTTATTTCCTGACACTCCACAGAGAGTGTCAGATTGAGGCTCAGACCTGAGCCTGAGCCCTGATCCTATCACATGTGTGTTTAGCATCAGCTTGTAAATTTCTACAAAACAAAACAAAACAAAAAAAAAGAGGCTGGGATTTTGATAGGAATTGCATTGAATCTGCACACCAATTTGTGGAGTATTGCCATCTTCCCCACCCTCCCCAAAAGGGTTTTGCCCTTTCACCCAGGCTGGAGTACCAGGCAGCAGTCACTGCAACCTTGACCTCCTGGGCTCAAGCAATCCTCTCACCTCACCCTCCCAAGTAGCTAGAACCATAGGCGTGCGCAACTGCACCTGGCTAACTTTTTAATTTTTTGTAGAGACATGGTCTCATCACGTATCCCAGACTGGTCTCGAACTCCTGGAATCAAGCAATCTTCCCACCTCAGCTTCCCAAAATTCTGGGATTATGGGCATGAGCCACTGCACCTGACCAGTATTGCCATCTCAACCATATTAAGCCTTCCAATGCTGAATATGAGATGTCTTTCCATTTATTTAGGTCTCTGATTTCTTTCAATGATGTTTTGTAGTTCTCATTGTAGAAGTCTTACAACTAAGTATTGTATTCCTTTTAATGCTATTCTAAGTGACACTGATCTATGGTTTTCTTATGATGTCTTTGTCTAGTCTTTGTATCCAGACAATTCTAGCCTCATGGAATGAGTTGAGGAGTGTTCCTTCCTCTTCTGTTTTTGGAAAAGCTTTTGAAAGGTCGGTGTTCATTCCCTTGTGTGAGTGTAAATATCACCTATGTAAAGTTCTGCAGGACCCTGATGTCTCCACCCTTCTCATCCCCTTATATCTCTGTGCACCAAAATTACCCTTTCATCTCCTACTCTATAGTCACATGCTGTTAGAAAAGTTGCTTTTTTAAAAAAGATGAACTTCTGCCTCAGACCGTGCTCTCTATATAAGAATTTACCTGTTAGGCCAGTCGCGGTAGCTCATGCCTGTAATCCTAGCACTTTGGGAGGCCGAGGCAGGCAAATCACCTAAAGTCAGGAGTTCGAGACCAGCCTGGCCAACATGGTGAAACCCCGTCTCCACTAAAAATAGAAAAAAGTAGCCAGGCGTGGTGGCGGGCACCTGTAATCCCAGCTACTCAGGAGGCTAAGGGAGGAGAATTGCTTGAACCTGGAAGGCAGAGGTTGCAGTGAGCTGACGTCATGCCGTTGTACTCCAGCCTGGGCAACAAGAGTGAAACTCCGTCTCAAAAATATAAAAATTAAAAAAAAAAGAAGAACGTATCTGTTATTCAGGAGCTACTTGTAATCTGTGCATCCCAATACATTAGTTTTGTATGGAGCAGAAAACTAGTAAGCCTAATAATTGATACCTTGTGATTTTGTTTTGGGTGGGTGAAGCTGTTTCATGTTTAACATGTATAGACTGTTTTTGAGAAGGATTTTATCATTATATGTTTGTGATTTACAAACTGTGTGCTTCAGACTTGCCACTTGCCAGAGCCCTTCTCCAATTGGAATTGTTTTTTGTTTTTGAGACAGTCTCACTCTGTCGCCAGGCTGGTGCACCGTGGCGTGATCTCGGCTCACTGCAACATCTGCCTCTGAGGTTCAAGCAATTCTCCTGCCTCAGCCTCCCGAATAGCTGGCACTACAGGCGCGTGCCATCACGCCCAGCTAATTTTTGTATTTTTAGTCTACAACGGGGTTTCACCACGTTGGCCAGGATGGTCTCGATCTCTTGACCTCGTTATCCACCCACCTTGGCCTCCCAAAGTGCTGAGATTACAGGCGTGAGCCACCGTGCCCAGCCAGCTTTTTTGTTTTTAAAATATATTGTTTAATCAAGATGGGATCTCACTATGTTGCCCAGGCTTGTATCAAATTCCTGGGCTCGAGCCATCCTCCTGCCTCAGCCTCCCAAAGTGCTGGGATTACAGGTGTAAGCCACTGCCCCAGCCTAGTTGGAATTGTTGTTTGAGGTAACAAGCTTACTTAATCCTAAAGCAAGCATAATACTTTCGTAGATGCCTCTAGAAAGATTCGGGACCAATTTGTCATTTGTACATTGGGAGAAAAGGAGTGGTTAAACAAAGTTTTACTGACCTCCAGCAGAGGTATGTCACTAAAGGAATGGAAAGTGAGCAAACAGGAGCTGGAGAGCACCAGAGAGCCCTTTTGTCAGTGGATGAGGCTAGAATATGGCATTAATCCTTCCAAGTGCTGTGTGGGGTTAGACTTCTCATGAAGGATAGGTTTGGGTAGGTTAGACTTCATGAGATTTTTTCTGTTTTTAAGTTTTTTGTTGTCCTTGTTGACTTCATGAGATTTTTAAGGTGACTAAGGGAAGGGTGCTAAGACATAGAGTTACAGATTAGGTGGGAGGTGGAGAGGGTTGGGGTATAAAAAGCAGTCCTTGAACATTTCAAAGTTGTCTTATACCAGCCCTGTATCCAATATATCACATCTTGTTCAAAGAAGTTGATTATCTAGGCCTTGGGCCCCTGAGTTAAAGAAAAACATTACAGTATACTGATTCCGTCGACTAAAAAGTAAAATTTATAGGAAGAATTGAGTACAGTCCTTAGAAAGAACTTTAATTATTTTATGGGGGGACATAATGGTTTAATAGTTTAACCTCTTTTTTTTTTTTTTTTTTTTTTGAGAGACAGAGTCTCGCTTTGTCACCCAGACTGGAGTGCACTGGCGCAATCTCAGCTCACTGCAACCTCCGCCTCCAGGGTTCAAGTGATTCTCCTGCCTCAGCCTCCCGAGTAGCTGGGATTACAGGCACTTGCTATCACGCCTGGTTAATTTTTGTATTTTTAGTAGAGACGGGGTTTCACCATTTGGTCAGGCTGGTCTCGAACTCCTGACCTTGTGATCCACTCTCAGCCTCCTAAAGTGCTGGGATTACAGGTGTGAGCCACAACATCCAGCCTAATAGTTTAACCATTTTTAAAGTTGTGTTTTTCTTTTTGTAAAGATGAGTTTCTATTATACAGTTGAAATAATATAGAAAGTTATAAACAATATATATATGGTGGGGAGAAAGAATGGGGAAGAGAAAGAAAATTGTAAGTGGGAACATGTTATACATGTTGTATGAAACCTGCCTTTTTCCATATGTATGTTTGTGATAATTCCAAGTAATTTACATGCATATGTTATCCTTTTTAATGGCTGTTTAGTACTTTGCATAGGTATACCATAGTTCATTTAATTGACATACAAGATAATTAGATTGTTTTTATTTTTACTATGTTTGAGAGGAGTATTTCTGCACCTTTACGGATTTGAGTGAGCATCACTTAACATGTTTTTATCAGAGATCTTACTGTAGCCGTCAGTAGTAGTGCAGTCAGTGATTTCTGTTATTGCCTGTAAGCTAATTTGTTAGCCTAACACTTCAATTTGCTACGATCTGAGGAACTGAAAGCTAAGGCCTAAAATTTTATATGTGCTAAGTGTCGAATAATAGGTCAAAGCTGCATTCTTCCACAAGTAAAGATAATATGGGGCTTAACACAATTGCTTTAGCAATGTGATTTTCTCCCCTTTTTCTCTACTTGGTAAGGAGGGCTTATACCCCCACTAAGCAGGCACATGCCTGTAATCCCAGCTACTCAGGAGGCTGAGGCAGGAGAATCGCTTGAACCTGAGAGGCAGAGGTTGCATTGAGCTGAGATTGTGCCATTGCACTCCAGCCTGGGCAACAAGAGTGAAACTCAAAAAAAAAAAAAAAAAAAAGAAAGAAAGCAAGCAAGAAAGAAAGAAGGAAGGAAGGAAAGAAAGAGAGAGAAAGAAAGAAAAGTAAATCTGTGGATATTGTACAAAAGATTGTTTTATGATTTTTTAATTTTTTAACATAACTTTTATTGACTTGTATTTGTATTTTTATCAAACATACTTCATTTGTTTATTTATTTATTTTGAGATGAAATCTCACTCTGTCACCCAGGCTGGAGTGCAGTGGTGGGATCTTGGCTCACTGCAACCCCCGCCTTCCAGGTTCAAGCAATTCTCCTGCCTCAGCCTCCCACGTAACTGGGATTACAGGCATGAGCTACCATGCCCAACTAATTTTTTTATTATTAGTAGAGATGGAGTTTCACCATGTTGGCCAGGCTGGTCTCAAACTCCTGACCTCAGGTGCTCCACCTGCCTCAGCCTCCCAAAGTGTTAGTATTATAGGCATGAGCCACCGCACCCAGCCTCAAACATACTTTAGACAATTTTTCACCTCAGCACTATTGACATTTTAGGCTATGTAATTCTTTGTTATGGGGGCTCTCTCTGCCTTGTAGGATGTTTAGTAATATCCCTGGCCTCTACATATTAGATGTCAGGAAGACCCCTCAGTTATAACAATGACAAATATATTCAGATTGCCAAATGTCCCCTGTGGAGCAAATTCATCCCTTGTTGTGAACTGTGATCCAGAGAGCCAAATAGTGATACAAGGTTTATTGTTCACAATAGCTCGTCCCCTCCAATCCAGACATCTGCCTCACCATATTCCACTCCCCAGAGGCAACCACTTTCAACAATCTTAAATGTTTCATTTTTATTCTATTTAAAGCCTTTGCTCATTTTTAAATTGGGTTTTGTCCACATTATTGAGTGGTAAGAGTTCTTTATATACTCCACAGCCAGTTGTGGTAGTATAGGCCTATGGTCCCAGCTACTCAGAAGGCTGAGGCAGGAGGATAACTTGAGCCCAGAAGGTCAACACTAGTCTAGGCAACATAGCATGACCCTGTCTCTAAATGAGTCTTTGAAGTATATATATTCTAGGTAATTGACCTTTATCATGTATATAATTTGTAAATATTTCCTCTCAATCTATTAGTTGTCATTGCGCTTTCTTGATAGTCTCCTTTTTAATCTTGAGAAAGCATAATTTATTTTTCCTCTGGTTGGTGTGCTTTAGGTTGTATGTAAGAAACCATTGCCTAATCCATAGTCATGCAGATACATCCCTATCTTTTTTTTTTTTTTTTTTTGAGATGGTCTCGCTCTGTCGTCCAGATTGGAGTGCAGTGGTGTGATCTCATGGCTCATTGATAACTGCAGCCTCTACCTCCTAGGCTCAAGCAATCCTCCCCCTTCAGCCTCCCAAGTAGCTGGGACTATAGCACCAGCTATAGTCAGCCTCCCAGGTAGCTGGGAATATGGCACCAGGACTATAGCACATACCACCACTAAGCACAGCTAATTTCTGTATTTTTTGGAGAGACAAGGTCTCACCATGTTGCCCAGGCCAGTCTTGAACTCCCAGGCTCAAACAATCCTCCCACCTCAGCCTCCCAAAGTGCAGGATTACAGGTGTGAGCCACTGTGCCTGGCCTAGAGAGATTTTTTTAAGAAATAGTGACCAAAAATATCCCACATTTGATGGGAATTGTGAATCTACACATTGAAGATGCTCAACAAATTCAAAGCAGGATAAACTCAAAGAGATCCACACTGACACACATTATAATCAAATTGTAGAAAGCTAAAGACAGAAAAGCAGCAAGAGATAAGTGATTCATCCTGTACAAGGGATCTTCAGTAAGACTAACAGTTGCTTATCAGAAATCACGGAGTATAGAAGGCAGTGGTGGTGTGCTGGGCATGGTGGCATGTACCTGTAGTCCCAGCTGACTGAGGCTGAGACAGGAGAATTGCTTGAGCCTGGGAGGTGGAAGTTGCAGTGAGCTGAGATGGCGCCATTGCACTCCAGCCTGGGCGACAGAGCAAGACTCCATCTCAAAAAAAAAAAAAAAAAAACAGGGTTGGGGAAGCTCAGCATGGTGGCTCATGCCTGTAACTTCAGCACTTTTGGAGACT
This sequence comes from Homo sapiens, assembly GCF_000001405.40. Lineage (NCBI taxonomy): Eukaryota > Metazoa > Chordata > Mammalia > Primates > Hominidae > Homo > Homo sapiens. The sequence goes on from NC_000010.11 coordinate 47,577,304, forward strand.
GAAGTGGGATCACCTGAGGCCAGGAGTCCACAACCAGCCTGGGCGACATAAGGAGACCCCATCTCTACAAAATAAAAATAATTAGCCAGACAAGGTGGCTCTGGCCTGTGGTCCTAGCTACTCAGGAGGCTGAGACAGGAGGATTGCTTGCAGCCAGCAGTTTAAGACTAGCCTGGACAACATAGTGAGACCCCGTCTCTACAAAATATAAATTAAAAAAATTAGCTGGGCATGGTGGTGTGCATCTGTAGTTCCAACTACTCATGAGGCTGAGACAGGAGGATCGTTTGAGACCAGAAGTTGGAGGTTACGGTGAGGTATGATCATACCACTGCACTCCAGCCTGGTTGACAGAGCAAGAACCTGTCACTAAAAAAATAATAAATGAATAAAAATATAAGAATGCTTGGCCTGGTCTGGGCGTGGTGGCTCACGCCTGTAATCCCAGCACTTTGGGAGGCCGAGGCGGGTGGATCACCTGAGGTCGGGAGTTTGAGACCAGCCTGGCCAACATGGAGAAACCCTGTCTCTACTAAAAAAATACAAAATTAGCCAGGCATGGTGGCACATGCCTGTAATCCCAGCTACTCGGGAGGCTGAGGCAGGAGAATTGCTTGAACCTGGGAGGCAGAGGTTGCAGTAAGCCGAGGTCACACCCGATTGCACTCCAGCCTGGGCAAAAAGAGGGAAACTCCACCTCAAAAAAAAAAAAAAAAGAAAAAGAATGCTTGGCTGGGCACAGTGGCTCATGCCTGTAATCCCTGCACTTTGGGAGGCCGAGGCAGGTGGATCACCTGAGGTCAGGAGTTCGAGACCAGCCTGGCCAATATGGTGAAACCCCATCTCTACTAAAAATACAAAAATTTGCTGTGTGTGATGGCACGTGCCTGTAATCCCAGCTACTTGGGAGGCTCAGGCAGGAGAATCACTTGAACCCAGAAGGCAGAGTTTGCAGTGAGCAGAGATTGTGCCACTGCACTGCAGCCTGGGCAACAGAGCAAGACTCGGGCTAAAAAAAAAAGCTGAAGTGAGTCCTTCAGGCTAAAATGAAAAGATACAAGATAATAACTCAGAGCTATATGAAAAAATAAAAATCACTGGTAAAGGCAACTATATAGCTAAATATAAAAGCTAGTATTATTGTATTTTGGGTATGTTATTCCTCTTTCTCCTTTATGATTTAAAAACATGCATGAAATAATATGCATCTATGTTAATAGGAACTAATTGTTTAAAGACATAATTTGTAACAATATAGCTAGGGGACAGAGAAAGGAGCAGAGTTAATGTATGCTATTGAAGCTGAGTTGGTATCAGTCTGAACTAGACTTAGAACTCAGCATGTTAACTGAAATCTTCATAGTATCCACTAAAAACAAAACTTTAAAAATATACAGAAAAGGAACTAAGAAAGGATCAAAATATTACAGGATAAATCATTAACCAAACACAAAAGAAGGTACTGAGGAGCAAAACACTTTATGTAGAAACTAAACAGCAGGATGACATAAGTAAGTTCTTTGGTGTGTGGGTTTTTCTGTTTTTCTTTTTTGGGGTTTCTTTGAGACAGAGTCTTGCTCTGTAACTCAGGCTGGAGTGCAGTGTTTCATTCTCAGCTCACTGCAGCCTTTGCCTCCCAGGTTCAAGTGATTCTCAGCCTCCTGAGTAGCTGGGATTGCAGGCGCCCACCACCAGACCCAGCTAATTTTTTGTATTTTTAGTAGAGATGAGGTTTCACTACATTGGCCAGGCTAGTCTCGAGCTCCTGGCCTCTAGTGATCCACCCGCCTCGGCCTCCCAAAGTGCTGGGTACAGCCATGAGCCACTGCATCCAGCCTGTTTTTGGTTTTTTTTGAGACAGGGTCTGGCTCTGTTGCCCAGGCTGGAGTGCAGTGGCACAATCACGGCTCACTACAACCTTGACCTCCGCAGGCTCAGCTGATCCTCCCACCTCAGCCTCCTGAGTAGCTGGAACTACAGGTGTGCACCACCATGCCCAGCTTATTTTTCTATTTTTTGTAGAGACAGGAGTCTTGCTATGTCGCCCAGCCTGGTCTCAAACTCCTGGGCTCAAGCAATCTGCCCACCTCAGCATCCCAAAGTGATAGGATTACAGGCGTGAGTCCAACCATAAGTAAGTTTCTGTTTTTTGTTTTTGAGTCAATCTCACTCTGTCCCCCAGGCTGAAGAGCAGTGGTGCGATCATGGCTCACTGCAGCCTCACCTCCAGGCGGGAGCCACCGTGCCCGGTCAAGTAACTTTTCTGTTTCAGTAATCACTTTCAATGTAAATAATCTCATCAATGGAAAGATCGGCAGAATCAATTTTTTTAATAATGTAATACATAATCCAAATATGCAACTCACAAAATACTCACTGTAGACCCAAAGACACAAATTTGTTGAAAGTGAAAAGATGGAAAGAGATAATCCATGCAAATAGTAACCAAAAGAGAGCCAGGGTGGCTATACTAATAATACCACACAAAATAGATTTTAAGCCAAAAACTGTTACAGAAAAACATTTTATGTTCGTAAGAGAGTCAAATCACAAGAAGATGTAACAATTATAAACACATATGAACCAAAAAAAAAAGGGCTCCAAAATGCACAAAGCAAACTAATAAAATTGAAGGAAGAAACAATTTTACAATAATGGAGACCTCAATGCAGTGGCTCTATCACAGCTCACCGCAATCTCTGCCTCCCAGACTCAAGCAATTCTCCAGCCTCAGCCTCCCCAGTAGCTGGAACTATAGGCACACAGCACCACACCCAGCCAATTTGTGTATTTTTTTGTGGAGACGGGGTCTCACCATGTTGCCCAGGCTGGTCTCAAATGCCCAAGCTCAAGCAATTCACCCACCTCAGCCTCCCAAAGTGCTGGGATTACAGGCCTGACCTACTGCGCCCAGTCAACACCCCACCTTCAACAGTAAATAGAACATCTAGACAAAATCAATAAGGAACTAGAGGAATTGAACAACACACTAAACCAACTAGACCTAACAGACATATAGAAAGCTCTCCATCTAACAAGTGCAGAATATATATTCCTCTCAAGTGCATATGGAACATTCCCCATGATAAATCATATGTTAGGTCACAAAACAATTCTCAATACATTTTAAAAGGTCAAAATTATATGAAGGGCCACATGTGTTGGCTCACAGCTGTAATCCCAGCACTTAGTGAGGCTGAGACAGGCGGATCACTTGACCCCAGAAGTTCAAGACCAGGCTGGGCAACATGGTAAAACCCTGTCTCTACGAAAAAAAAATTTTAAAATTAGCTGGGTGTAGTGGTGGTGAATACCTGTAGCCCCAGCTACTCAGGAGGCTGAGGCAGGAGGATGGCTTCAGCTTGGGAGGCAGAGGCTGCAGTGACCCGAGATCATACCACTACACTCCAGCCTGCAGGACAGAGCAGGACCTGTCTCAAAAAACAAAACAAAAAAAAAAAACAAAAACAAAACAAACAAAAAAAAACAGGCCAGGCTTGGTGGCTCATGCCTGTAATCCCAGCATTTTAGGAGGCCGACGCAGGTGGATGACCTGTGGTCAGGAGCTCAAGACCAGCCTGACCAACGTGGCAAAACCCCATCTCTACTAAAAATACAAAAAATTAGCTGGAAGGGGAGGCAGGCACCTGTAACCCCAGCTACTTGGGAGGCTGAGCCAGGATAATCTCTTGAATCTGGGAGACAGAGGTTTCAGTGAGGCGAGATCACGCCGCTGCACTCAACCTTGAGCAACAGAGTGAGGCTCTGTCTCAAAACAAACAAACAAAAAAATTATACAAAAAAAAAAAGTGAACTGCATGTTGCTGCACAGTCTACCATAGCACAAATGTCAATTGCTTCTTGGCTTTCCTGGGGTGATGGGAGGTCTGAACCTAACACAGTCTCACCTGATCCTTCACAGGAGTCACGTAGCCTTTCTCTCTCCAGTCCACAGATGTGGGGATCTCAAGAAGCAGGCGTTCCTGGAACTGTTTCCCGTTCCTGTGCTTCTGGTATTGAAAACCATTCATCACCTGCCTGAATTCTTCAGTGGTCTTCAAAGAAAAGTAAATAAAATGTTAAGAAGCAAGAGATTAATTTGGTAAAGAACTGAGGAGGGGAAGCACAGAGCTGGGCAGCCCACAGCATACTTACCATGTCTCCAAAGGTGTTCATGGCCATTGTGAAGCTGTGTTTCCCTTGGCTGTATTCCTGATTGTGCTGCTCAGTCATCTTCATGTTCTCTCACACTGCTCTCCTCCATCCTTCTTCATTCTAAAGGCAAACATGTAACTGATGTTCTTCATTTCTTTTTTTTTTTGAGACGGAGTCTCGCTCTGTCACCCAGGCTGGAGTGCAGTGGCACGATCTCAGCTCACTGCAAGCTCTGCCTCCTGGGTTCATGCCATTCTCCTGCCCCAGTCTCCCGAGTAGCTGGAACTACAGGCGCCTGCCACCATGCTAACTTTTTGTATTTTTTTTTAGTAGAGACGGGGTTTCACCGTGTTAGCCAGGATGGTCTCAATCTCCTGACTTTGTGATCCGCCTGCCTTGGCCTCCCAAAGTGCTGGTATTACAGGCGTGAGCCACCGTGCCCCGCCAATGCTATTTATTTCTAATTAAAACCCAACATATGCTAACCAAGTGAATCTTCAGACAGAGATGTAAGAGTAACCATGGCCAGGGAAGGCTTGACACTTCTAGGAGATGTTTTCCAAGCTGAGACACAACAAGGGTGTATGCCCATATCGTGCTCATAATCAGTGCTATTAAGTTATTGTGTTAGCTTATTGGTAGGAGCCAGCCTCTAGAAGCCACTCTCTGGCCATATGATCCCAATAGCAATGCCCATCTCTCTGGTGTTCCCCTGGACAGTTTCAGATGCCACCAACCATGTCATATAATCTCTTGTGCTTTGCCTTCCACTTGGTCCATTGTGCGTCTAGACTGTGGTCACGTGTTAGAGCAGCTGAGGCAATTCCCAGGAAAAAGGCAGCCAGGAGGAGTGAAGGATTCATGTTTCAAAAATCTAGGAAGGGAAAAGAAATGAGGATCTGATTAGACCGATCCTAAAAAGCCATTTTACTACCCCCTGAGAAACTAGGGCCACCATGGTAGAATAAAAATATTTAAATTATTCTTCCAAGCATTTACCTAAGGACTGTGGAAGAGGCCAAGGATGTGGCTGGAGAAAAACAGGGCAAGTGGAGGTATTGGAGGGACCCACCAAAATGAAAAGCAGCCTGTCCAGAGCTGTAGGAGTTGAAACAGTTTTCTGGGATGATGATGACAGGCTACGAAAAGGACAGGAAGGTACCTGATGGGCGAGAAGCTTAAGGCAACAACCGGGAAACTAGGAAACCGTTGGCCCAGGTTTTGTACCAATTGTGCTGAGGTCATCCAGGCAAAACCTCAAGAATGAAGACATCTAATTTCAAGAAGGGACAAAGGGATCCCCAATAATTGGGAAGTCACATCACACCTTGTTCTTGGCTAATACACAACAGAAGGTGAAGTATGTTTTCCAAATGCCCCTTGTAATGAAACAGTTATTGAATGTCTTCCCAGGACAAACTGGGAAGGAGAGCACCCATCTACCGCCGTTCCCGCAGTCCTGCAGTCCTGCAGGTGGGCCAGTCCTGCCAACACTCCAGCTCCCCTCACAGAGCATAAACTGAATCAGGTGGCCGAACCACCGGAAGCCAGAGTCCCCAGTGTCCGCGCCCACACAGGGGTGGGTAGGCAGCTTCCCAGGCTTTGGGCTGGGGACCCAGGCCAGGTCCCCTGGCTCTTGCTCCCGCCCTCCGCTCATGCTCACTGTGGCCCCAGGACGTGGGCGATGTTGCAGGGAGCAAGGGGCGCCTCTGCCTGATTTGCCGGGGTCGAGCCTCCCTGTCCCACCCCCACCGGCCCTGGGAATACTGCGGCCTGGCACTCCGGAAAATCCCTCACTCACAGAGCTGAAGGACTTGCTGGGTCCCTGGTGGCCCCTGTCCAATCTTAGCCCACTGGGGTCTCAGCTGCTGTAGCCACAGGTGGACAGGCACAGTGGGCAGGTGCTGGGTCCAGGAGTCTCCTGTCGCCTAAGGCCGCCCGAAAGCAGCTAATTGACCTCTAAAGCCCCTAGACCCCCCTGCCCCCTTGCCGCCCAGGCAGGCCCGCCCCCACCACTTGCCCGCTCTGCGATTGGCTGCGCCAGCCGCTGGGCGGGGCCTTCCGGCGTGCTGACTCCTGGCATGTGGAGCAGCTCAGTCCCCTTGCCTCAGTGGAACCGGGGGAGGGGAGCTGGGGGCTACGAAGAGAAGGGTCGGAGGTCTCCCTGGAGGGTTCGGATCAACTAAGTACCCTATTTAATGCCCTGGGCGGGTGGTTTATGAAAAGAAATTTACAGGAGCCCTGTGTGCATTTTCAGCTTAACCCTGCTTTTCCCTTAGGCCTAGAATTTTTGATTAAAATCTCCTGCAGGGCAGAGAGCCAGAGGACTGTAATCCAGTGGTTCCTGTTTAGTCCACAGCAAAGGTGCGGCTGGCTGGAAGAACGCACAGCCTGCAAGCAGAAGCCTTACCTCCCAATTAAGGGTGTAGAAGAATCTGGGCGTGTTGCTGGTGGCTCATGCCTGTAATCCCAGCACTTTGGGAGGCTGAGGCAGGCAGATCCCTTGAGCCCAGTAGTTCGAGAACAGGGTGGGCACCCTGGCGAAACCCCTTCTCTACTAAAAATACAAAAATTAGCCGAGTGTGGTGGCCCGCGCCTGTGGTCCCAGCTAGTCGGGAGGCTGAGGCACCAGCATCGCCCAGCCCGGAAGGTTGAAGCTATAGTGAGCCGAGATCGCACCACTGCACTCCAGCCTGGGCGAGAGGAGACCCTGTCTCAAAGACAAAAAAACAACTGGTAGGAAAACGCACCCTCAAAACACATGATGAGATGGTCGAGACCAGACCCTAGGAGGGTGGGGACTGGCTGGGTGGGTATCCAGAGACCATGGGCGTTTCATAATGCATTGTTTCCCGTCTCCTCCACTCAGCGACTCTTCTTCCCCTGAAGTCTTGCATTAAGTAAGTGAATGAATCAATCATCAAGTTAATGAAGCTCTGACTTTGTACTTGTTGTCCTTTGCTTGGTACAGTTGGGCACTGCCTTAGAAACAATCTCCAGGTAATTTTCCCAACTGCTTTTGTGAGGCCCAGTTTTCCATTTTAAAATCTAAGATTACCTCAGTAATCTTGCTTTTACAGCAAATGGGCATGGAGCCTGACAGATATATTTAAACTAAGTTATGGACAAGCTGCCTGGTGCATTAGGTAGCATAGGAGCTAACCTTGTGGGACATCTCCCCATATTCGTAATATTCACCCCTACATCTATAATCAATAAATGCTTGTTTGGAGGCCATAGAAACTCTTCCTGAGATCTGACCTGTGTCTTCTGCTATCTGCCTGATTTCTCCCCATAGAACAGGAAAACACTGTGTAGGAGATATTGTGAATAGAAATATGAATATAGGCCGGGAGTGGTGGCTCACACCTGTAATCCCAGCACTTTGGGAGGCCAAGGCGGGTGGATCACCTGAGGTCAGGAGTTTGAGACCAGCCTGGCCAACATGGCGAAACCCCGTCTCTACTAAAAATACAAAAATTAGCCACGCATGGTGGCAGGCGCCTGTAATCCTAGATACTCAGGAGGCTGAGGTAGGAGAATTGCTTGAACCCAGGGAGGCAGAAGTTGCAGTGAGTGAGATGGCACCACTGCACTCCAGCCTGGGCAACAGAGTGAGACTCTGTCTCAAAAAAAATAAAATAAATTACAAAAATTAGCCAGGCATGGTGGTGGGCGCCTGTAATCCCAGCTACTCAGGAGCCTGAGGCAGGGACAACGGCTCAAACCTGGGAGGCAGAGGTTGCAGTGAACCGAGATCGCACCACTGCACTCCAGCCTGAGAGACATAGCGAGACTCCATCTCAAAAAAAAAAAAAAAAAAAAAAAAAAAAGAATATAAATAGGAAATACAGTGATTCAAATAAGCAATTGTTAGTTCCTCAGATCAGAACTGTGAGTTCTATACTAGACTCTTACATGTTATTTCTTCTGGTATCTTAGCAATGATTCTGAATAAAGATCAGACTCCTTAGTCAGCAGGTGGGACAGTTCTCAATAACAGAAGCTGGGTTCTCAGGGGATCCCGTGGATATGAGGATGAAGGTTAGAAGCACTTGGGACCATACCTGCAGGTCTGATTTGAGGACAATGAGACCAAGACAGGAAGGCAGCACCTGCTGAGGGGCTGGGGGTGGGAGAAGGGAGGAAACGGGACACAAGAAAATAAGTATAAACCACCAGACTGCAGTCAGTGATCAACAAAATTCCCAAGTTTATATTGAGAAGATTTCCCTGGTTTGGGGTTTTGAAGAGATTATATAAGGGATTCGGGTTGCTTGATTTTTTTCATTCTTTTTCTTTTAACTTGGTCTCAATTTTTTTGTAAAAAAAAAAAAAAGAATGTCTTATGTGCACCTTTAGAACTGGTGAATGAATGAACCTCCCTTTTTAAATAACTGAGATTGTCACTGAAGCACTGTCATCCGATTTAGGCTTAAAAATCTGACACTGAATTTATCCTAGATGATAAAGTGCAAGTCTCTTGTCTCCTAGAAATGATCAGGCAAGGAAACACCCAGGAGGCCCAGGGCAAAATGCCCTCCTGGAAGCTGGTGGGGTAGGAAGATGCTGAGGCCCAGTATGGTCCCTGGAGCATGCATTCTGTGTGGTGACAGAAATTGTTTGCTTGACCGTACATTGGTCAGGCTTCTGAACCTTCTGCTAAACCCATCTGTGCACTTTTTGTAAAATTCAGTTTTAGGAAATTACCCTGCTAAGTCAGTTTAGCTGGCAGGAATCCCCGTCCACCATATACTGATCAGGGTCCTCATCCCCCACCATCCCGCAGCTGATGTCAGATAACCTTGGCCTGTGCTCAGCGAGAATCTCGTTAGGTCAGTTTAGCCAGAATCCTCCCTTACCCTTCATGTTCCCTCATAGTCATTTCCTATCTGCTAACCCCCATCCTCCTCCTTGAGTATAATTACCACTTCCTTGTGCTGGATTCAGAGTTGAGCACAATTGCTCTCTCTCACTGTAAGAACTACTTGCAGTGCTCCTAGACCTACATATGTGAACCTGTTTCTTTAACAGTGACTCACCTGTCTTTTTCTCCTTTCAACTTGACACTAGCTGAGGCTTATCCGCATCAAAGTGGAGGGACTGGCCCCGGGGGATCCTCAGGGCTTCACCTTGATGGCCTGCAGGCTCACATTCCACTTTTTCTGGTGCCTTCTGGCTCCGAGTCCAGTTTGCCACACAAGTGATGGAGGTTGGAAGGAGGGATGAGGTGACAGAGGTGAAGGAGGGTAAATTCTTTTCTAAGCCCTACTTGCCTGACATGCATTTAGGTTTTTAGAAAGGAACCTGACCCCACCCTTTATTTTCTATCTCCCACTTCCATGACTAGCCTTACCTGTAAAAATGGGGCATAGAAGAGCCCCCATCTCCTAGGGCAGTGTTTTTGAGCAGGGGGTCACTGAACAGTAGCACCTTCATCTCTTGAGACCTTGTTAGGAAATTCTGGACTTGGGGTGGTTGATCATGCCTGTAATTCCAGCACTTTGGGAGGCCGAGGCTGGCAGAACATGAGGTCAAGAGATCAAGACCATCCTGGTCAACATGGTGAAATCCCGTCTCTACTAAAAATACAAAAATTAGCTGGGCACGGTGGTGTGTGCCTGTAGTCCCAGCTAATGGGGGGCTGAGGCAGGGGAATCACTTGAACCTGGGAGGCAGAGGTTGCAGTGAACCAAGATCATGCCATTGCACTCCAACCTGGGTGACAGAGGAAGACTCTGTCTCAAAAAAAAAAAAAATAAAAATTCCTGGAAATGGATTAGCTTGCTGACAAGAGTTATTCCATTGTGTGTTTCTACCTGCAATACCTGAGGATGCCCATTTTCTCACGATTTATAAACTAACTCATTTTATAGATGTAATTTTCATACATTTGGGGGTATCGTTCTAACTTCATTATTATTACTTCAAGGTGTTATTATTTCCCCATCATCATCATGGTCATTATCATAACTAGTTGGTGCTGACAGTAGTCACCCTGCATTGAGAACTCATACTCCAGGCCCTTTCCACATAGACTTGATTTAATTCCATTCACTCCTCACAACAATCGTCTGAAAGAAAGAATCACTAAGCCATTGTATAATTGAAACACAAGAGGCGAGTGACTTGTGTGCCCTTGGGCAGGTAATTTAAACACTCTGTGCCCCCAAGTTCCAATAGATAAATGTAAATAATAATATCTTTCTTACCTAATACATGGGGTCAACAGTTAAAGTACTGTACATTTGTGAGGTATTTCATGGCACCTGTGAATTGCTCATGTGATGACTTAGTGTGCTTCCAGTGTCAGTGTGCTGGGAAGGAGACAGAATAAGAAGAAGACTGAAAAGATGCCGAGTCTAGTGCAGGGTATCCTGGGGAAAACACCTCCTGTTTGTCCAACAGCGATTGGCCACACATTGAAGACACACTACCTGGCTGTGAACTGGGGTGACCCTGTTGAAATCTTGTGGAAAGCTTGAGATGCTCCTTAGAGGGTGTTTATCCCTCGAGCTGGCACAAATGCGGTTTGTTGTTCAGTTTTTCCTTCTACTCTGCCTCTATCTGGTACAAAATGGAATTGAAGAGGATATAAACCAGCAAGGAACAATCTGAAATCAGAATGGTGACAATGGGAGAAAGTAATCTTGGTTCAACCCAATGTTCACCTGAAGTCTCTTTATTAAAGACTACTAACAGGAACGAAATTGCATAATAATCTTCCTATGATAATTTCAAGTTCCAGAATTTCTCTATGGAACTTTCAAATTTCACCTCTGTTAACTCATGGAATTTTCCCTAGAATCTGCAAATTACCGAAGTCTTTGGAGGTTTGATGATCACTCACTGGTCAGCGGTACTACAAAAGGATTCTGGGGAGTTTGACTCAGTGGTCAGCAAAGGCTCTTCTGAATCTTCAGTCTGATTCTGAGATTCCCCGGGGAGAACTGGAGCCTTTCTTAACAGCTGTTGATTGGAAAGACCACCTGCTTCATCCTCTATTGCAACAGAAATAGCCATTGTGAATCTCCATGGGGAGGCACAATGAGTTTTTTCTAGCATGTGTGACTCAGGTCATTTTGTTCCGTGGTTTCCAGTTGTGGGGACTTGGCAAGGTCACACCCTCCCCTGAGCCTCAGTTTCATCGCTCAGAAAATGAGGATAACAATTCTACTTGCCTCATAGGATTGTTGTGAAGATTAAATGAGACATGTAAACATTTGCTTATAGTAATTTCACACCACTTTATTGTGGAATCAAAGACAGAATTCTTACAGAGGTCTTGGTTAGTTAAGAAAACATCCATTCAAAGATTTGATTCACAGGACACCCTCACTGTCTTTCTCTCTCTTTTTTTTTTTTTTTTTTTTTGAGACAGGGTCTCACTTCATTGCCCAGGCTGGAATGCAGTGGTGTGATCTCAGCTCACTGCAACCTCTGCCTCCCAGGCTCAAGAGATTCTCCCACCTCAGCCTCCGAGTAGCTGGGATTACAGCCATGCACTGCCACTCCTGGTTAATTTTTGTATATTTTGTAGAGACGGGGTTTTGTCATGGTGCCCAGGTTGGTCTTGAACTCCTGGGCTCAAGCAATCCACCCGCCTCAGCCACCCAAAGTACTGGGATTACAGGCGTGAGTCACCACACCTGGCCCTTGCTTACTTTCGTACTTCCCAAGAGGCAGGTTACCAAATTGGTGAAATTAACCATAACATCATTGTGATGGGCAAGCAGATATATTAAAAGCAAAGATACAGCAGGTTAACATTAAATTTTGCTCATCCCAGGACAAACCTGGCCACAGGAGGCCTTTGCCAGTATTCTGAAAAGTGTTGTGACCATCTCCTTTAAAGCTCAGTTAAAGGTTTCTGGCTGGACTCCAGGCTGCTTCAAGCTCTTTACTTGTCTTTATCATTCTTTAAGGAGGGACCCAGACACAGTATGCAGAGGCCTGAATCCTCTAGATCATTCTCTCTCCACCATGAGTCCTGCCGTGGGGACTTTTCCAGCTCCCTTTGGCCTTATGAGCCAGAAAATCAGGCTAGAGCCTAAAGAGAATAGAAATTTCAGAATCAGGCTTGTTCTGCGACTGTATGGGGGAGCTGAAGGACACAATGGGCTTTCTATATTGGAGACTACCCATCATACTCTCTCTGCCCAGGGAGAAAGGACAGATGCTGTGTGATTTTGTAGTCTGTGATTTGGCTTCTCATTCTCGCTGCTCTCTACACCTCATTGTTTACTTCACTCCCCTGAAAAAAATGCTCCCTAACAGGCTCAGTACCCAACTTCTGGGTATTGCTGCCCACATTTGCCTTGGTTCTACCTTTTCAGATTGCAGGATCCTGAGGTTTTGCTTGGAGCAGCTCAGATTCTCCACTAGATCTAAGATCTCACCTAGTCCTGAGGATTTCCTTAAAGGGAAGGGGAAAGATAGATAGATGATAGATAGATAGATAGATAGATAGATAGATAGATAGATAGATAGTTGCTGCCTTTGCTCTACAGCATCTGCTTGGTGAAGAGGCTCAGGATCTGGATCCTGGCCTCTCAGCTTTCAGGAACCCCATTCCCCCCTGACAGGGGTGGCAAGTTCATCCTATTATTCATTAAGAAATTTGAAAACAATCATTCAGGAATTTTAGGTCAAGAGCTGGAAAACCCCAAGCCTCCGTCACCTGAGCAAAGGGAGATACTGTGAGCACCTGCAGGATACACCCATGTTCCACCACCTGCCTGAAGAAGCCTGTGGTTCTTGTCAGCTTCTCAAGGGTGAAGTGCCAATCCTTTTCTGCTTGAGCAGAAGAGCAGACCAAAGAGCTCATTGACTCAAGGAGCATCACGGCAACTGAGCTGCACCTGGAAGAGAAGAATCCAGGGTGTGATCCACAGCCAAGGCCTGAAGCAATGGGGCCCATACTTGGCCTCTCCAGGGTGAGTTGTGACCCAAGTGCTGGGCTTTAGCCCATGAGTGGTCCCTCTTGCCATTTCCAGTTTCCTCCCAAAGAGAGGCCAGTGTTGGTGATTTCATTTCTTATAATCTCCTTAGGAGCACAGGTTTTGGTTTGTGCCTTTTTTGGATCAGGTTCCCTGCATTGCAGCTGCTATAATTAAAACTATTAACAACAACACAGCACCACAGAAGCAAGTTAGTTGCTAATGGAATTTGCTGATAATGCTGTCTTCTAGAGACCACTCTAGTAACTGGAGAGCCTTGGTGTAGAGCTGATGATAAAACCTATTCCTGCTTTTGTCAGTCATGAGGAGCATTTCCTTTCTAGACAGAGGAACTGAAACCCACATGCCAGCCCAAATTTACCAAAAGCAGTCACTGGAATACTCATCACACCATCATGTCTCATCTTATCCCTTTCGTTACCTTCAAATACGGCCCCATTTCCTGAGGACCAGAACTCCCTTATGTGGGCAGCAGGACTAAGGCCCTTGAGTTACCTGTGGTGACTCCTCATTAAATGGAGGAATGTGCCAGTATTTTCAGCAAAACATGAATCTGATGAAACACTGACTGAACTGTCTCCTAGTTTCAAAACAAATTATTACCACTCAGGGCCTCTATTTAGGGCAATCAGAGTCAGAAGTGGGAACGCATCTTGTCCTCCTACCTTGATTAACAGTAACTCTAATTGCAGGATGATGGTCAAATCCTCTCTCCTCTAATGTGCAGTTGTGAAGGATTTAGGCTCCACTGCTCATGCATTTGGGTGGGGCCTGAATCACTTTCAGTCTAGCACAGGCGGGTCACTTCAGGCCTTCCCACCTCCATCAGCATCCTTCAATCCTCCCCTGACATCTCTCATTTATGCTTCCTATTGATTCAGAGGTCCCAACCCGAGTGGCTAAAAGAAACATTCATTAACCTTTCTACAAAGTCATGAATAATCCATGGATTACATTGAATTCATCCCTACTAAAACCATCTTCAGAAATTCAGATGTAGTAACCTTCTTTCTGAATTTTTTTTTTTTTTTTTTTTTTTTTTTGAGATGGAGTCTTGCTCTGTCGCCCAGGCTGGAGTGCAGTGGCATGATCTCAGCTCACTGCAAGCTCCACCTCCCGGGTTCACGACATTCTCCTGCCTCAGCCTCCCAAGTAGCTGGGACTACAGGCACCCGCCACCAGGCCCGGCTAATTTTTTGTATTTTGTTTACTAGAGACGGGGTTTCACTGTGTTAGCCAGGATGATCTCGATCTCCTGACCTCATGATCCGCCCACCTCGGCCTCCCAAAGTGCTGGGATTACAGGCATAAGCTACCGTGCCCAGCCAAGTATTCTATCCTTAATGAACACATATATGCACATTATATCTATTTTTTATAATATATATATTTAGAATTGAATGTCAGAGTACATATCAGTGTTGGAGGAAGAGAATAAGGAGGAAGCACAGAAAGTAAAAAGGAAAAATAGGCACCAAAAAAGATTTGGAGAATGGCAGATGGCCAAGGAGATGCAGTTGGGAAGTGCCTCTTCCATGGAGAGGAACCCAAATATCTAGTAAACCTTCACATTTTAAACAGATCTTTTGAGAGAAAACACTGAAAGTTGACACAGAGGTGACACAGACACCATGGTTGAAGAGGGAAGAAATGGGACAGTCTGCTCAGAGTCACTAGACATCAGGACTGGCCCATATACCCTGAACAAACCCAAGGAAGGGGTGAGTGAAGGAACCCTGGGACACTACATACCCATAATGTACCTCTGAGATCCTAGTTACAGGAGTTTCTACGACCCTCATAGATCTTTGGACTGGTAGGAGAGCTGCCTCGAGCACATGCAGAGGCACAGTTTGAACCCACACAGAGCCCAGAAGGCTTTGTTGTGCTGTGCAGCTGCAGCAAAATGCAACCCTAGGTGCCCATCCCACAAGCCTCCATTTCATACTGAGTGGCTAAGTTCCTGCTGTCCGCCAGGCTGGGAGTGAACCGCGCCTGGCCTGCTCACATGCCCAAGATAGGCCCCATCACCAGTGCTGTGTGATTAAGTTGCATCTGGTCCACATGCCCCCTTGCCTGTCAACCCCTTCCCAGAGCTCATGCCTGGTCACGCCTGCAAGAGGGTGTCCACAGCACAGCATCCACTGCATAGCTTGAGTGTTTTGTTGACAGCCTGGGAAAAGCTCACCACCCTGTCCCCAAGTCACAGCCAGTGCTTGAAGCTTAGAGGCCAGAGGACAAATCCGTGAGCCCAGTCCCAACTCCCCAAGACTCAAGTATACCACCCAGGGACACTGAGCTGAGATTTGTAACCTAATCTCAAGTGAAGGAGGATCCTCCATAGTCAGAATGCAGAGAAGGGTGTGGTATGGGTTCTCATGGGGGCATGGGAGCTGGACACCCCTCCCTTTGCAAGACCAGACCATGAAGGGTATGGCCTGATGGTGGTAGCTTCTTTCCCAGGGAGTGTCCTGGCACAGAATGCCTGGAGCAGCTCAACAATGTGGGAGCAGATGGCTTGGGGAAAGCCTAGTTGGTTGGGCTTGCCGCCAGGGCGAGTGTCTGTGGGAGATCTGCTGGGTCAGGGGAGTGTAAGCTAGGCAGACTCCATGGTTGCCTGCTGGGCTGAAAATCATGGGCTGCAGACTCCATACTGGTGTTGCACCCATTGTGCCACTGCCCTGCCTGGAGATCCTCTACCCTTGAAATACTGCATCATCAGAGCAACTGCAGACATACCCTAAAACCTGCTCTGACTTTGGTAAGCACAGTGGACTGGTGGGTCTCTGGAGAGTTGTGTGTCCCTAGAGATGTAATCCTCAGTGTGGACCATCCCTAAGGGAAGGGGGAGTGCAGCCTGCCAAAGCACCACATGAGACAAAGAAAATGTGGCCATGGCATAAGCCACTGAAAGGAGCACCACCAAGGCCCAGAACCAGACTTGGAGAAGGAATTATGTCTCGCCTCCATCTCCCCTCCCCAGTGCACTGTTGCAGATGCAACAATAGCTCTTCCCATAGGGGCCCAGAAAGCGTGCACTGAAAGAAGTTGTTTCTCATGATTCTCCAGTGAGGGCAAGCATGCACCAAGACCCCACCTGCCAGCTCTTACTCTTAAGTCCATCTACCAGACTGAAGTTTGAGTTATACCATCATATAAAAATACATTGCTAAAACAAGCAACATCTGTGAAAGCCACTGCAGCAACCTATCTGTAACCAAGGAACATATATGGAAACTTCACCCTCTGCAACTACAGAGAAATGAAGCCAATCAATCACATACACCACTGTCATACTTTCAAAGAGAATAAAAAATATAAAAGCCCTGTGATGGTTAATACTGAGTGTCAACTTGATTGTATTAAAGGGTGCAAAATATTGTTCCCGGGTGTGTTTGGAGGGTGTTGCCAAAGGAGATTAACATTTGAGTCTGGACTAGGAGAGGCAGAACCACCCTCAATCTGGGTGGGCACCATCTAATCAGCTGCCAGCACGGCTAGGACAAAGCAGGCAGGAGAAGGCAGAAGAGCAGACTTGCTGAGTCTCCTGGCTTTCATCTTTATCCTGTGCTGGATGCTTCCAGTTCTTCAGCTTTTGGACTCTTGGACTTACACCAGTGGTTTGCCAGGGGCTCTCAGGCCTTCAGCCACAGACTGAAGGCTGCACTGTCAGCTTCCCTACTTTTGAGGTTTTGGGACTCGGACTGGCTTCCCTGCTCCTCAGCTTGCAGATGGTTTATTGTGGGACTTTACCTTGTGATCGTGTGAGTCAATGATCCTTAATAAACTCCCCTTCAAATGTACATCTATCCTATTACTTCGGTACCTATAGAGAACTCTGACTAATACAAACCCCATCTAAATGAAGCAAATTCAAAAAAGAAGTGTCAACTCCCGCAGATGGAAAGGAATAAGCACAAGAAGTCTGGCAATACACAAAGCCAGAGTGTTTTGTGATCTCCAAAGCCTCTCACTAGCTCCCTAGGAAAGGATCCTGACCAGATGTAAATGTCTGAAATGAGACACATAGAACTCAGAAGATGGATGTCAAGGAAAGTCAATGAGACATAAGACAAAATAGAAATCCAATGCAAAGAAACCAGAAAAACAGTCCAAGATTTGAAAGACAACATAGTTATATTAAGAAAGAGCCAAACTGAACTTCTGGAACTGAAAAATTCACTAAATAAATTTCAAAATATAGTTGGGAGACTTAAAAACAGACTAGGCCAAGCAGAAGGAAACACTTCAAAGCTTGAAGACTGATTCTTCAAATTAACCCAGTCATGCAAAAATAAAGAAAAAATATTTTTTAAAAAGACAAAGCCTTCAAGAAATATGGGATTATGTAAAGAAACCACTTCTACAACTTATTGGTATTCCTGAGAGAAAAGAAAGAGTAACCAACTTGGAAAACATATCTGAGGAAAAAATTCAAGAAAATATTCTCAATTTTGCTAGAGATGTTGACATGCATACACCAGAAATCCAGAGAACCTCTGTTATACACTATAAAGACAGCCATCCCCAAGACACATAGTCGTTAGACTATCCAAGGTTAACACAAAAGAAAA
The DNA here is from genome assembly GCF_000001405.40 of Homo sapiens. Taxonomy (NCBI): domain Eukaryota; kingdom Metazoa; phylum Chordata; class Mammalia; order Primates; family Hominidae; genus Homo; species Homo sapiens. The sequence continues at coordinate 47,594,993 of NC_000010.11, forward strand.
AACAAATCTCAGACACAGCTAGAGAAAAGAGCAACACTACCTACAAAGGGAACCCATCAGACTAACAGTGGACTTCTCAGAAGAAACCTTACAATCCAGCAGAGATTAGAGGTCTATTTTTAGTACTCTAAAAGGAATGACATTCCAGCATAAACATTCATATTCTTCAAAACTAAGCTTCATAAACGAAGGAGAGATTGAGTCTTTCTGAGTCAAGCAATCGGTAAGGGAATTTATCACCACTAGACTAGCCCTGCAGAAATGCTTAAGGGAGTTCTAAATGTGGACATGAAAGAACAATACACAGAAAAAGCACAGTTAAGTACATAGTCCACAGACTCTATAAAGCAACTACGCAATTGAGACTGCAAAGAAACTAGCTAACAAAACTATGACAGGAACACAATCTCACATATCAATGTTAACCTTGAACATAAATGGCCTAAATCCTCCGCTTAAAAGACATACAGTGGCGAATTGGAATAAAAAAATCAGAATCACCCATCTGCTGTCTTCAAGAGACCCATCTCACAACTAATGACACTCATGGGTTCAAAGTAAAGGGATAGAGAAAGATTAATCATGCAAATGGAAAACATAAAAGAGCAGGAGTTTCTATTCTCATATCAGAGAAAACAGATCTTCAGCCAAAAACAGAAACAAGGACAAAAAAATGTTATTGCTTAATGACAAAGGGCTCAATTCAATAAGAATAATTAACTATCTTAAATAAATATGCACCCAATATTAATTGGAGCATCACGATACATAAAGAAATCACTACTAGACCTAAGAGGTAGACAGCCCCTCAGTAATAACTGGGAACTTCAACACTCCACTGACAGTGGTAGATAGATTATTGAGGCAGAAATCTAAACAAATAAATTCTGGACTTAAATTTGCCACTTGACCAATTGAACCTAATAGACATCTACAGAACACTCTACCCAACAACCACAATATATATATTTTTTTCTCATCTTCACATGGAACATACTCTAAGAGTGATCACATATGCAGTTATAAAGCAAGTGTCAAGAAATAAAAACAATCAAATAATATCAAGCATCTTCTTGGACCGCAGTAGAATAAAAATAAAAATCAATAGCAAGAGGAACTCTAAAACACAGACACTCACACACAAACACACACGGAAACTAAAGAAATTACTCTTGAATGACTTTTGTTTGGGTAAACAATAAAATTAAAGCAGAAATCAAAGAATTTTTTAAACAAATGAAAATAGAGACACAATGAACAAAAACCTCTGGGATGCAATAATAGCAGTTTAAAAAGGAAAGATTATAGTGCTAAATACCTACATCAAAAAGATAGAAATATCTCAAATTAACAATCTAACATTGCACCCAGAGCAAGTAGTAAAACAAGAAAAAAAACTACATCCAAATATAGCATAAGAAAAGAAATAACAAAAATAAGAACAGGACTGAATAAAATCGAGACTCAAAAATCCACACAAAGGATCAACAAAATGAAAAGTTGGTTCTTTGAAAGTGTAACCAAAATTGATAGACTGCAAGCAAGATTAACAAAAAAGAAAAGATCCAAATAAGCACAATCAGCAATAACAAAGGCGACATTCAATCGAGTCCCACGGAGATTCAAAAGATTCTCAGAGACTACTATGAACATTTCTATGTGCACAACTAGATAACCTAGAAGAAATGAATACGTTCCTGGAAACACACAACTTCCCAAGATTGAACCAGGAAGAACCTGAAACACTGAACAGACCAACAATGAATTACAGAATGAATTGAATAAGTAATAGAAGCCTAGGACTAGATGAATTCATAGCTGAATTCTACCAGACATACAAAGGGGAGCTCATGCCAATCCTACTGAAACTATTCCAAAAAATCGAGGATGAGAGATTCTCCTCTAACTTACTCTACAAAACCTATATCATCCTGATACCAAAATATGGCAAATACTCACACAAAAAACAAAACCCTAGGCCAATATATCTGATGAACATAGATGAAAAAATCCTCAACAAAGTACTTGCAAACCACATTCAGCAGCACATCAAAAAGATAATACAATATCAAGTGAACTTTATACCTGGGATGTAAGAGTTGTTCAAATATATGCAAATCAGTTAATGTGATTCACCACATAAACAGAATTTAAAATGAAAAAAAACATAAGATTATCTCAACAGATGCAGGTAAAACATTTGATAAAGTCCAACATGCCTTCATAATTAAAACCCTCAATAGACTAGGCATTCAAAGAACATACCTAAAATAATAAGAACCATCTATTGACAAACCTAGTCTACGTTATACTAAACAGGCAAAAGTTGGAAGAATTCCCATAAGAATAAGAACAAGACAAGAATATCCACTTTCACCACTCTTATTCAACTTAATACTGGAAGCCCTAGCCAGAATGATCAGACAAAAGCAAGAAACAAAAGGCATCCAAATAGGAAAAGAGGAAATTAAATTTTATTTCTTCACTGATGATAGGATTCTATACCTAGAAAACCCTAATGATTCTGACCAAAGACTCCTAGAGTTGATTAAAAATTTCAGTAAAGTTTTAAGATAAGAAATCAATATACAAAAAGCAGTAGTATTTCTATACAATGCAATATTCAAACTGAGAACCAAATCAAGAACACAATCCCATTTACAAGAGCCACAGAAAAAAAAAAAAAAGAAATACTTAGGAATACCTCTATCCAAGGAGGTAAAAGATCTCTTTAAGTAGAACTACAAAACACTGCTGAATGAAATCATAGATGACACAAACAAATGGAAAAATATTACATGCTTATGGATTGGAAGAATCAACATCATTAAAATGTCTTTACTGCCCAAAGCAATCTACAAATTCAATGCAGTTCCTATCAAACTGCCAAAGTTATTTTTACACAGAATTAGAAAATCAATTCTAAAATTTGTATTTAACTAAAAAAGAGCCTGAATAGCCAAAGCAATCTTAAGCTAAAAGAACAAAGGCAGGGGCAACACATTACCTGACTTCAAACTATACTACAAGGCTACAATAACCAAAATAGCATGGTTTGGGTACAAAAACAGACACATAGACCAATGGAACAAAATAGAGAATCCAGAAATGAAGTCCCATACCTACAACCAACTGATCTTTAACAAAATTGATAAAAATACAATGGGGCAAGGATACCCTATTCAATTAATGGTGCTGGGAAAACTGGCTAACCATATTCAGAAGAATGAAATTAGACTCCTGTCTCTCACCATATAAAAAAATTAACTCAAGATTGATTAAAGACTTAAATGTAAAACTTTAGACTATAAGAAGCCTAGAATTAGACCTAAGAAGCTCTTTTGGATATTGGCCTATGCAAAGAATTTATGACTAAGTACTAAAACACAAAAGCAACAAAAACAAAAGTTGACAAGTGAGACCAAATTAAACTAAAGAGCTTCTGCACACTTGCATGTTATATTGCAAATATGAAATAGCAAAGACATGGAATCAACATTGGTTTCCAACAATGGTGGATTGGATAAAGAAACTATGATGCATATACACCATGGAATACTATGTAGCCAGAAGAAAGAATGAAATCCTTTCCTTTGCAGTAACATAGATGTGCCTGGATGCCATCATCCTAAATGAATTAAGATGTAAACAGAAAACCAAATACCGCATGTCCTCACTTATAGGTGAGAGCTAAACTTTGGGTACACAGGAGCAAAAGGATGGAAATAACAGACACTGGGGACTCCAAAACAGGGGAAGGAAGGAAGGCAAGGTTTGAAAAGCTACTTATTGGGTACTATGTTTACTATTCAGATAATATGTTCAATAGAAGCCCAAACCTCAGCATCATGCAATATATTCATGTAACAAATGTACACATGCATGCTTAATCTAAAATAAATATTAAATAATCAAATAAAATGATTTCCATGAATAAAACGGTAGATATGATTATGTGGAAAATGCTTTACTATTTATTATGTGGTGAATAATTTAATAATATTTAATAAATACATGAATGAAAAATAGCTACAACTGTGTGTTAGGATTTCAATAATTTTTTATTTCATTCCTATAACTTTTATGTATTATTATATACATAATAATATATAGTTAATAATAACAAAAACAACATGGTATTGAAATAATTTCCACCCAGAAGGAGGATCAACATATTTAAGTGACTACACTACTCAAGATAAAAATCATTTATCAAACAGATCAAAGTCATTTACCTGCTTTCCTTTTTATAGGTCCTAGGAACACACGTGCCATAGACAATAAAACATCACTTCCCCCATCCCACTACCTTGGACTTTATTTAACATCTTTGGGTAGAACAGAAACTGTTGATAAGGTGAGTTTTGTTTTATAGACAAGAGAGGAAAATGGATACTTTGTGTGGTCTGGGCCTTAGAAACAGACTAAGATCTTTTTTTTTTCTCTTTTGCTTTTTTTACTAGCATAAAATATTAATTGACAAAACACTGAATACAAGCTTCACTATCATAAAATCAAAACATTTAAGCAATATTCCAAAAAAGATTTGACAAAAACTAGTCACCAAGAGTACAAAAATTACACATCAACGCAAAGCATAAAAAATGTGAACTTTCAAATTAAACAGTCAAAAACATGTACCTGCGTGATCACCTCCACACCTTGACTGCCTTCGTCTGCAGCACGCTGCTGGTAAAGGCTGGGTGGCTGCACCGTCGTCCCCTAACCCAACATTGCTTTCATCTGGGAAAATTCGCTTGATAGCCAATTAAGCCATGGAGGCTATTACATTTACACGGGGCTACGCACAATCTCAGGGGACGTTCAAACAGCAGTTCGTTCCTCACACGCACTGTTGGGTGCAAAGGGCACCTGGAGAGTGAGGGAGACCTGGGAGCTTTCCTGCGGGGCCTTGGCCACGCGGCCGTCGCCGGCACCCTGTCCCTTGCCTGGCAGGGGACACAATATTTGTACAGATTATGGTATAATTTGAATGATTTTCTAATCTACTTATCTTAATTTATATAGTTTATTTAAATGTCAAGGCAGAGAAATACATTGATCATGTTAAGGTCACGTGATGTGGTGGCGCAGTAATGACTTCCTGAGGAAACAGAAATCGGATGTTTTGTGATTTAGCTATGTGCACTAAACTTATTTTCCATGTTTTGAGAGCACATTAAACATTCACGTACAATGTGGGAATAGGCTGGCTCGTAACCAAAACGTCCAACCCAATGCCACCCTTTGAATCGCTGTGAACACCATCCTATTGCGGTTCAGAGAAAACAAGCAAGGCTGCGAAGCCCCGGGGTTCAGGCAGCTGCAGCGCTTGGGCCAAGGTAGCTCCGCTCTCTGGTCTGAAGCCACGTGGCCCCACCCCGGGGCGGCCTGGCTTTTTTATAGTGCTTATTGCTGTGTTTGGCATGCCATTCAACCCATCGGGATGTTGGATAGTGACTTGAGAGCAATCCCTAGATTTGCCCTGTCGGGATGTTGCATACTGAATTCGGAATAAGCCCTGCTCAACTGAGGCACTATCACTAGGAGGAGGCACTGATTCCCGCCTTTCAATGCTATCTATTGGTGAAAGAGGAGTTGGATGGCATCTGGGAAATTAGTATCACTTCTACTTTTTCTTCTTTTCTTTTAAAGGTTAAAAATACCTTGTATTAGTTAATACTGCTATAAAATATGAATATCCAAATCTCTGTGGCTCAGTAAAATAGATTTTTTTTTCACTCAGAGAAAGTTCAGGTTCACCCTTAGTAACCCAGGCTGACAGAGACTCTTCCATTTTCTATACATAGCTTCCCCAATTGCCCAGAGAAGAGTGGAAAGATTTGATAGGTGACTGTACACAAGAATAAGAACTTAGTACCTAGTCACTAATTTACTCGTTGAATAAACATTTATGGAGCTGAACATATTAATCACTGGGCAGACGCTGGGACACAAGAAAAATCTTTAAGATATGTCACTGCTTATTACCAATAATGTTCTAGTGAGTAACAAGAGTTAATAACACGACTAATTATAGTATTGTAAATATAATTACAGTTCCAATAAGACATACACACACACAGAACGATTTTGTCTGGTTGTTGAGGAAATCTTTATTGATTTAAGATATCTTTTGATGAACAGGATTTTTCAATAACTATCAGAAAAAGAATGTCTATGACTTATTTTTAAAAACTATTTTCTTATCTGCCTTGCATATCTGACACTTTCATCTCCTATCTTCCTTGAATACAATATAGAACCTGACATTTCTTTCCTTTCAAAGATCCTTAGAGCATTTCCTACATTTAATCTGAATGTCTTTCTCAGTAATTTTTCCCATACAAGCAATTATGGCTACATTTTCTTAATATAATCATGAAAAGGTGAGCAAAACTGAAAATTTAATTTGGAGAATAGATACGAAACATTCAATTAATTCAAGTTGTTGTTAGGCTGCATATGTTCAGCTTTCAGTGAAGATGAACAAATGATGATAAATGAGAAACTGAAAGAAAACAAACCAATAGGTGTTTTTTAAGAAACAATATTATTAAAGTGCATGTGTTTTCTACTGAATGAAAGCAACATAGACCTTTTCCTCACATTGGTAGTTAGTAAGATGTATAAAAACAACTTTGTAAAGAACAATTAATACAGGTTAATGAATCATTGTGAAAAGGGGATAACACACTTTATTGTAGCAATGATCTGCAAGGTGTTAAATGTTAAAAAAGATGAAGAACAATTGAGTAGTTATTTGATCACAGTGTTTATTAAATTGCTTTTCCTGTATCTGGCAAGCTTTACAGAAATGTCTTCAACAGAATAACTGTGTTAAAAGCCAAATGAAATGCATTTTGAAATATGATTCTTCACTTGGTGTGCAGGTATAATCTCAGGTGTAATTCAGACAAGAGACAAATTCAATTTTAAAGTTCCATTTGTTACAATTTGATGATTGTGATTAAAGAACCATAAAAATTTTATCTTTGACATTTCATTTTTTCCTCACAAAAGTATTCTACTGCAATTTTCTTAGTTTTCTTTCCTCTTAACTGTGGTGTTACCTATAAATGCTGGATTTCTCTGTTTTACGTGCAACAAATCTACAATCAACTATTTCTGGAACGCCACTTCATTTTAACAACAAGGACCCATAAATATTTTAAAAATTCAAAATGTTATATATAAAATGTTAAATGATACACATAATACATTTCTAAGTAGTAATTATGATTATGCCCATAATTATACCCATAATTTAAAAATATGTTACCTGAAGTAAATTATTATACGTTTTATGTTGGAAGTGTTCATTTATCTTTGATCTCTGTTAACACATTGTACTATGTGGTAATAATATAAACTGCCTTACTGGATAGTGATGTATCTTTGGTTTCATATTGTTACTGGACTAATATTCCAACACTATAGATAGTGAAATTTAACATTGAAACAATTTGATAATGCCATCAATGAATCCAGTTTTTAAGAGTGGGATCCATTTTCTAAAATTGAGTATATAGATACTTCATGAGATATCTTATCATGCATCCTAAACCAAACCAACCTCTTCCCCTGACTGTCTTACAGTGTATTATTATTATTTTATCCACCACAGCAACTAGTACATTTTTCAGAACCTAGTAGATATTCAGTCATTGTCTATGGAATACATGAACACATTCTGAATTTGGACAGTCATCATTCTTGGTGTTTTAAAACAAACACTTCCTGAATTGCATCCACTATTTTCTAAGAAGCCCTAGGAATTCATTGAAGGAGGGTATGGGTAAGTTGTGGGTGAAACTGTAAAGATGTAGGTCCTCCTCCCAAAACTTCTTCAGCGTATCTTCATTGCTGTTTGTTTGCTTGCTTGCTTGCTTATTTTAAAAGAGATCTAGATATAGTCTAATAAGAATTGTATAAATGTGATGTTCCACAATGATTCTAACTTACATGGTGCAAAATAATAAAATATTACATTCTACCTGTTTGTAGAAAACCATGGATACTATAAAGGATCTAGATTTTCTCTCTCCTTTCCTTCTAAGATTTATTCACTCAGCAAAGACTTACCTGGTGACTACTTAGTGCTAGACACTGTTTTAGATACTTGGGCTATAACAGTGAAAAGAACAGTAATTGAATTAATGAAAAGTTCATTTTAATTAGCTGTATGGTAAAATAGGAAACTAACAAAAATAAAATATAACATGTCAAATGGCAATGACTGCTCTGAGAAAAATAAAGGAGAATAAGAGATTCTAAATTATTATATACGGCCAATATTACCAACATATTATAGAAAGAAATGAGTTCATAATGTTTATCAGAGAATTCCATGAAAATAGCTAAATTTTTCTAGAAAGCCAGGCACTGATAAGAGAATAAACAAACAGATAACCGATTTTAATTTGATCTTCTCTTACAGGTGCAGCTATGATCTGCCATTGTATATAATATAAAATTGAAAATTGTTTATATTTCATTCACGTTAGCATATAATGTTCTTACTTTTTTTTTTTTTTGAGACGGAGTCTTGCTCTGTCACCTAGGTTGAAGCACAGTGGCACGGTCTCAGCTCACTACAACCTCCACTTCCCGGGTTCAAGTGATTCTCCTGCTCCAGCCTCCCAAGTAGCTGGGACTACAGGCAGGCACCACCACGCCTGGCTAATTTTTGTATTTTATTAGAGACGGGGTTTCACCAAATTGGCCAGGCTGGTTTTGAACTCCTGACCTCAGATGATCTGCCTGTGCCTCGGACTCCAATAGTGCTGGGATTACAGGCGTGAGCCACAGTGCCCGGCCAACGTTTTTACATTTAAATATCAGACATCTATCATATTCCTTTCTCCCTACTACAAACATTGTATGCTTTTCAATAGGCATAAGATTTTGTTTTCACTCAGGTTGGATTCAACAGGTATTATTTAGCAGTTCATTGCATCTATCCATTTACCCAATAGAGGAAGTATACAAGATACAAATGAATAAAGTGTAATAATTCTTATACTATTTGCCCTTATGTCATGTAACTGCTCCATGTTTGTATTCCGAAAACCTAACTGGGAGGGAAAACTCAGAAAAATAGAATAAAAAGTATTATATATCTCATACATCCTCATTTTTGAATATTCTAGGGGTACAGATCAGTATAAATAAAATACTCTGGTAAGTGACCACCACATCATCTGTTTGTCATTCTTAGACCCAGAGTATACCATTCTTTTAAGAAAGAAAACTTGCTACTGTACCTCCTACCCAGTAACATATATATCACATATCATATATATATCATAACATATATATCATATATCATATATACACATATCATATATCTCATATATATAACATATTTGCTACTGGTTAGGAGTAACACTCAGAAAATTATACTTAATAATGTAGTACAATTAGGTATAAATTCACTTAGTATTTTTAAATTTTACGTATATTCCTATTTATATGAATCGTCATTTAAAATCACATCTACTGATCCTGATAGCATTAAAGGCATAAGAGGTACTGAGGATATTAATTTAATTTTGTTTACAGCTATGCACAGATATTTTTAGTTCACTGAGATTTAATCCAGTAGTCTATTATTTGATTAATTGTACAGCTATCAAATCATTCAGGACTCCCACTGTTTCAACAACGAGAGTGGAAAAATATTTTTTCATTTATGTTTATATGCAGCTATTTGTAGTCTAAATTAATATCCTAGCAATTGATGGTGAAATTAAAATTATTTCTGTCAGATGTGGTAATTTGATGACAGTGGATAAGCATGGGAATAAAAGAAAGTTTTGAGGAAGAGGGGACAGTTTTTGTTTACTTAATGATTATTCCAAAGATGTTAAGTAAACATTCTATAGAATGCAACATATAGTGGAATACAGCATTGAAACAATTTAATAATGTAGTCAATGAATCCAGTTTTTAGAAATGGGATCCATTTTCTAAAACTGAGCATACAGATACTTCATGAGATGCTTTATCACGCATCCTAAACCAAACCAACTCCTTCCCTTGACTGTCTTGCAGTGCATAGGGCATCTCTACACTCTAGGAAAGGAATTATCAATCTGTTTATATGCCACTTATAAAATCATACTTAATGTACGATTAGGCATAAATTTACTTGCATTTTTAAATTTTGTAAAATGTTAACGGAAAGTGTTCTTGAAAAACATTTCTGAGAATTCCAAAAAATGAACAAATTTTAATACATAAGGGACAATATCTTTCTAGTGAATTGATTATCAGAGTGTAATGTGGTATGTTCTGATTATGTTACATAATATTCTGATTAGCAGAAAATTTTGAATAAGTGAATTTAGCAAAATGTTTAGAGGTCAAGAAAACTGTTTTAGACTGACTATGTTTTCTGACCCAAATGTAAGAAAGAACCCAATAAAAAGAGGCAGCCAGATAATGCTGTTGTTTGCAAACTTAAACAGAAGCTTGCATGTAATTTATGACTCAAAGAAAAATAAAAATAGAAGTTATACTTTATTTAGAACTTAATGACAGTGAAAAATTGCACATAAAAAGGAAGACTGTTGAATACAGCAAAAGCTGGAATTATATAAGAAATATAAACATAAACACACAAAATAAGTGTAAATTATAATGAAGTAAAAATATATCAAAGAGAAAGAAGGAAGCAGTACAATAAAAAATAAAGTTGATTCTTTAAAAACCATACTTAAATAGACAAATTTCCAGCCAGATTGTTTACCAAGTAAAGAGAAAAAGAAGGAGATAGATCAAAAGACACAAGATGATGATGAAAAGAGGGTCAGCACTTATAAACATAGTAGAAATTTAAGCCATAATGAGCACAAGAAAGCATTATCAACTTACTTTTGAATATATAAAATAGACACTTAAAAAACTGAACAAAAATGACTTACTAGTTTTAAAAGAAAAAAAAAAAAAATCAAACATCTATCCTTCCAAAAGTATAGACTTCAAAAGTATAGTCCCAGATGGGTGAACATAAACCACACTTTAAGCAAGAACTCTCAGTTATAACCACATGGGTGAACATAAACCACACTTTAAGCAAGAACTCTCAGTTATAACCAGATGGGTGAACATAAACCACACTTTAAGCAAGAACTCTCAGTTATAACCAGATGGGTGAACATAAACCACACTTTAAGCAAGAACTCTCAGTTATAACCACATGGGTGAACATAAACCACACTTTAAGCAAGAACTCTCAGTTATAACCAGATGGGTGAACATAAACCACACTTTAAGCAAGAACTCTCAGTTATAACCAGATGGTTGAACATAAACCACACTTTAAGCAAGAACTCTCAGTTATAACTGCTTGCAGTTTTAGAGGATCCCAGCCACACTCCTGAACCAGAGCTTGGCACTGGGTATTCCCTCTGGAACACCCTTTTATTTCCTTCTCTAAGCAAAGACATGGAATCAACCTAAATGCCCATCAGTGGTCTGCTGGATAAAGAAAATGTGGTATATAAACACCATGGAATACTATGCAGACATAAAAAAAGAACAAGATCTTGTTCTTTGAAGGGATGTGGATGTAGTTAGAGACCATTATCCTTAGCAAACTAACACAGGAACAGAAGATCAAACACTGCATGTTCTCACTCATAGGTGGGAGCTAAATGATGAGAACACACGGACACATAGAGTGGGGGACAACACACACTGGGGCCTTTTGGAGGGTGGAGAATTGGAGGAGGGAGAAGATACAAAAGAATAACTAGTGGTTACTAGGCTTAATACTGGGGTGATGAAATAATCTGTACAACAAACCACCATGATACAAGTTTACCTATGTAATGAACCTGCACTTGTACCCCTGAACTTAAAAGTTAAAAATGAATGAAGCCTGTCAGAACCACCCATTTAGCAGTCTAACATTTTCCCTAGTATTCCCAAATCCCTTTGCCTAGCCAACATTTTTCACAGCACTTTTTGTCTTCAAACTACTGGCCTGAAGCAATCTGGCTTAGCTTTCTGAGTAGCTGGAATTGCAGGTGTACCAGTGTGCCCAGCCACAGTTTTTTCAAGACCTGTTTAAGACAACAGGTTAGAGAAAATCAAGATAATATTTTGAGGGGGAAGAAGGTAAAATCAATTAAGACAGGGTGCACAGAGTACTTGAATGGTACAGATAATGTTTATCCTTTGTACTAAATGGTGTGTATGTGGGAATTGGTTATATTATTTTGACTGTTTGTAGTCATATTATATACATATGTGTATAAATAAAAATAAAAGAAAAAATATAAGCTAAATTTATAGATATATTAATTTTATTTAAATATAACAAAGATTTGCCAGTATTCAAATGTCTGCAATGATTCTTAAAATGCACAGAACCTGTGTTTAGGTACAGTATCACTGTTCATCCAGCCTTCATTCACTCGAATCTACTCTTACCTAAAATTTGTACCGTAAGTAAAATTACATTCTGTATGACAGAAAGCAAATTACAATATTAGAACAACATTATGGAAAATTGGCATAACATTGTACAATCATCCATTACTTTATTATTTATCATTTTGCAAATTTTTATTATATTAGTAAAAAAGTCTAACTGTACTTAATAGCTAATACATATATTATTTGATATTTTTAAAGACCATTATTAAAATAATAATAATTTGGGGGTGAGAAGGCCTATTGAAAAATGACCAACGTGGAAATCATAAATAAGTTTGATGCAACAAATATTTGTGAGTCTTATAGTTAAAAATGTAAAAATTCATTATAAACAAAGCTAAAAGACAATAATATGCATTGGGAAATATTTGCAACATTTACTTCAAAGGTGGATGTCCTTAAGAGAATTTTTACAAATTAATAAACATTTAAAAAGGTGAGGAGTGGCAATAGCTATGAGAGACAATTTACAAAAACATAAAAAATATGAAAACTGTTTAATCTGTAAGTACATCAATAAAAATTTTATTATTGTAGTTATTTTATCTATTAAATTAGGAAAGGTCAATACAATTGGTAATCTTCCAAGTAAATATAGGGGAGAAGGTCTTTCTCATACACTTATAAGAATATTATTTTGTTAGAATGCAATTAAATAAACACTTGGTAAAAATCCATATCCTTTGTCCAAACAATTTAAGTTCTAGACCTCTAGAATCCACATGTACATATACATATATACATACATATACACACACACATTCACACCTATATATTAACAACTCAAATCCAACTCCAACTCTTTTGTAAGTAGTATTTTGTCCAACAAATAAATTTATCTCAAATTCTTCTTGACTTTTCTCCATTATAGAGCCAGCAATTCTACGTGTAACTCTACCTCTAATTCCTTTATTTGCATTTATTTCTGCTTTCAAACCCTTATATGAGGCAAGTGGGATTAATTTATTTCATTACCTTAACTAGATTCATCGCTTTACTTTGTCAAACTCTGATTGATTTGCTCAACTCAATCTTATGTGTTCAAGAACTTAATGTGGATTCCTGTTCCACCTTATGAAAGTCTTTTCCAAAAACTTGCTAAATTCTTGACTCAAGACATTGCAGTCAGTAATGCATTTCTCTCCTCAAATACAATGGAACTGTGTTCTAATAAATACTCTTCAACAATGTGCAGTTATTTCTCCACAACTATCAATTCCCCTTAAAGCAGAATTTTACTAAAAATGGCTTTATCCTTCTGGGGATAATCAGTAAAATGGCAATTGGTGGGTGAATTAAAAATATACTAAAAGCAGATGGCAGAACATGAGTGCAGATTTTTACTACAAAGCTTAGGAAAAGCAAAAGGAACTTGAATAGAGAAAATGCAGAAAAGCCCTCCTTTGGCTATTAGGACGGAGAGAGCAGAAGTATGTTTAGAGCTTCAAAGAGTCTGACTCTTTGCAACTGTTTATCTTAGGACTTTAAGGAAGTAAAAGGTGCAAGTGAAACACTCTGGATTATAAAATAGAATCTGACACAGAGGATTCAACCCAGTTAATATGCATGTTGCTTACATGGAAATGCTGAGAAATTTTTAGCAAATAGATAGAAAATGACAGATGGTAGGTATATAGAAAATAATTGTAGGAAAAAATGTAAAATGAAGATTTATGGTATTCCTTTTATATTTTATTTTGTTAATATGTTGCCCATAATGCTTTATTTCAAAGAATGCAAAACCAAAAAAGTAGTCCCTTCCTAACTTCCCCTGCAGCCTTGTCTTGTGGAGCTTGTATTTTACTTCATGAGAAATGCCAAGGAGATGTCATTTAAGCTGAAAACCTCCAGCAGAATTAGCCACAATATTTGGGAAAAAGATGTTTCCAGAAAAAGAAAGAGCTAGTATAAATGTCCTTAGGCAAGAAAGAGCTCACGATGATTGAGGAACAACAACAAAAAAGATTATTTCACTCAAGAAAAGTGAATTGGGAGTACAGATACAAATGATGAGGTCTGAATATGATTCATGGGGCAGGTCACACTAGGGTGTTTGGGTATGGTCTAAATGAATGCGCGGCATGAGTTGCTTTAAGGAGAGGAGTGACATGATTTGACAAGTTCTTAAGAGATCCCTTTGATTACTCTGGGGAGAATAGAACATAAAGTAGCAGAAATGAAAGCAAAGGGAGATAGTAGGAAATAATTGCACATTTATAAGCAAGAAATGATGTTGGCTTGGACTCTGGTTATAGCAACAAATAAAGAAAAAAGGAAATACTGAGAAGAGTTGATTGGATTTGCTGACATTCTCAACATAAATGGAAGTCAGTATTTTTTTCTAATAAATATAATATGCGTAAATATTTTTAAATATTTAATTCTTTTACCACTAATGGGGCACGAGTAGACTTCAGGGAACATGCCAGTACAGAACCATATAAATGTGATCATTGGTAGAGATAGGAATTAATAGGCATTTGAATGTCTCCCTCAACCTGGAATACCACAAATAAAGCTCTTTGCTTTTCATGTTGCATTGTTATCATACCCTATAGTTTTCTGCCATTTTCAGTTACTTAATATTATGTTTTGCCTCAATAGATTATAGTGCTTTCTCTTGTTGTGTTATATTTGCAGCAATTATTAGTGAAGTTTTAAACTTCAATATCACATCTAAAACAGAGCAAAATTGTTGCATACTATTTTCCATTAAAACATGAGACCACTATGACAAAAAAAGCTAAACATGTCATGAAATGACTTACATTGGATGAAAGTATATGCAATATATTAAGAAATAATCTCTGACTTTATAGTTTTTTATTTGTAGTTTTTACTAGAACGTGAAATCAATATGTGAACCCTGGCTGGAGTTTGCATCTAAATGTAATAAAATAAAAGAAACTTTAATATTATCATTGAAGCATTAATGTACATTAGCGAGCTGGACTATATAAAATAAACTTTATTATATTTAGCATTTGATTTTTATTTATGTATATTATAAAATGAATATAGTTTATATTATAATAAAAATAAAAGAAGTAGTATGTTAACTAATTAGTATAAGATGCCTACTAACTACATATCTGCCTAAATTTTTGACCCATGAAACTTCAATGATTTGTGTTAATGTTAAGGCCTACATTTATTTATATATATATATAATTAGGGGAGGAATTGTTAATTCTTTCATTTTAAAAATTTTAACTTTGCAGACAAAGTTGACTATACCTGTGGCAGAACACTGCAACAGCTATAAATAAATAAATAAATAAATAACTTTTATTTTCTGTGGAGCTCCCAGAATTATGAATTATTCTGTAGATTGAGATTTGCCAAGGTCCTTTTCTTAGAGTTGCAAGAGCATAGGAGAAAGTCAAGGGAAATAATAAGCAGCACTTGATTTCCTTTACCACAGTGGATGGGCTTCTAAAACCAAATTACCTGACTATAAATCCAGATCTATCTTCTGCAGGCTATGTGATTGTGGATGTTACCTCTTCTGTGCTTCAATTTCCTCATCTGTAAAATGGAATTATAGCCTACCCTATTTTGTAGTATAGTGAGGATAAATAGAATGAATGTATGTAGTTCTTAGAATAGAGCATGGCACGTGATAAGTGGTCAATAAAATATTGTTTACTACTAGTTATGTAACAGTCACTTCACACATAATAATGATTTAATAAAGGAATAAGAAGAATGTAGAGCACAGCTTCTCAACATTGGCACTATGACATTTTGGGTCAGACAATTATTTAATGCAGAGGGGGCTATAGGATGCTTAGCAGTGTCTCTGGCCAGTAGTGTACCTCCTCCTCTCCAAGTTTTGACAATCACAAAGGCTTCTAGACATTGACAACTATCCCCTGAAAAGTAAAATTGTCCCTGCTTGAGAACACAAATATAAAGTAACCACTCAAAGATTACATTACTAATTTTAATTGAATTTGACCAGCATTATGAAATAAGCATAAGCTTAAGTTTCTACCCTTGATTTTGTCATTGTCAGTTAGGGCAGCAGAGAACTCCAATTCTGAAAATTCTGAACATGTGCTAATACCCTACAATATAATCAAAACTTTCATTTTTGAATTGTATTTCTTAAAAATTAGAAAATTTATTAAGCAGCAACATGGAATAATTAACCACAAAAATGTTGAACATAAATCTCATTTGCCTAAGTTCTCTTTTGAAGTCCTGTTTCACTATATAATTATTATGTGTTTTGTTTCACAGCTAGATAACAGCCAGTTTTTTCTCTGAGCCTAAGGTTGCTTCTCAAATTTATGGTGGTGGCTTATAGCTCTTCTAAGTTTCTATAAAACTTCAGCAACCTGCAGCAGGTTGAAATTTATTGATATTGAGTTATTCACCAGGTCATATTACAAAGTCAGGGACTGACTCACCCAAACCAGATGCTCCCCCTGCCACCAGATCACTAGGAGATATTGCAATCATTTCCCCTGGCTACTAAATTAGCAAAAATTCTCAGGGAGAGAGAAGGGCAAGATGGCACAGTTTAATACTTAGTATTATTCTTTTATTCTTTATCATCATTCCCTTTGAATGGATTAAGAATCTGACATAAATATAACTTGCTAAAGAAAGGGTGTTAGGTGAGAGGGAAGTCATATTGGTCTAAGAAAAGTCTTAGAGAAATATTTGAAAAGAGGTAGAGAGAAGGGCTGGATTGGAGTGGGTGGGTGGGGAATCACACTAAGGAGATGGATCATTCATAATTTCTTTAGACATGGTGAGGCAGCCACAGGAGTCTGAACTTGTTGAAACCCTAGTCTGAAGCCAATAAAAGTGCTCAATAAGGTCACACTTTGATCTTCTCTGCCTAAAGCAGTTATTCACCCTATCTTTGGGAGAGGAAACATCTACAAACCTTTGTTCTCTTTGTTAGCAGAGGGATGACATGAATTTGGGAAAAATGTTTGAGAGACAAAATGAGATTTAGCTCGAGCAAGTGATCGACTTGTGCTGGGTTGCAAATGGACTTTTTCAACAGGCAGGTTGAAACTGTGCTTCAGCAATTAGGATATCAGATATAAACATCCATGCACAGAATTGGAAAGGTTCAGCTTTCATGGTTGCTATGGTTTGAATGTTCCCCCCAAAACTCATGTTGAAACTTAATCCAAAATATGACAATATAGAGAACGAGCTTTTTAAAGAGGGGATTGGATCATGAAAGTTCTTCCCTCATGAGTGGATTAATCCATCGATAAGTCAGTGGATTAATAGGTTATCTTGGGAGGGAAACCATTAGATTTATAAGAAGGGGAAGATAGACCTGAGCTAGCATGTTAGCATACTCAGCCCTCTTGCCATACGATACCCTGTGCTACCTTGGGACTCTTCTGAGAGTCCCCACAAGCAAGAAGGCTCTCAAAAGATATGCCCCATCGACCTTGGATTTCCAAGCCTCCTTAGCTGTAGAAAATAAATTCAGTTCTTTGTAAATTACTCAGTTTTAGGTATACTGCTATAAGCAACAGAAAATGGACTAAGACAATGGTCTTATCCAGAACTTTGTAAACTAGAATTGGCTGTTTAGATTCAGTATGTATTTTTTTTACAGATTCAAAATAATTTTGTTTTGAACTGTACAATGAAGGAGTGTCATAAGCTTTTCCACATGTAGAGGCTCTAAATATCAGTCTGGCATTGTGATAAAGCAGAGAGTTTAAACCCAATCCTATTTGTGCCCCATGACCGTTCTTTCTGGTTACAGTTCAGAAAAGTAGGAATGGATGTGTAACTCAAGGAGAAGCATATAATACATGAAGCTTTTTCTCAAAATTTTGATTTAGAAAATGAGGTATTTTAGTATGTTAATTATAGGCATCTCAACTGAGAAGTCTAATAGCATTGGGCCAGAATTGTCGCAGCAGTCCAAAGCCATGGATAAACTTAAGTTAAAGGGAGCAAATACTAACAGCCTTCCAAATTAATCTGTATTGGAGAAGATGATAAACAGATGAATGGGAACTAGAAACCATGCAGACTTGGAACTAGATATAAAACAAACAGCTATCTAATGATTTCTTATTTACTCTGAGCCCAAGATATTTTTGTATCCTTTTAGTTAAACCTCTGTTTTACTAAGGAAATTTAAATAAGATTCTGTCTCTTGCAAGAAAATAACATCTAAGACATCTTCGTATTTAATACTGCCTTAATTTTGTTTACTCCAGTGGTCCCCAACCTCTTTGGTACCAGGGATTCGTTTCGTGGAAGACAATATTTCCATGGACAGGGTTGGGGGGAAGGTTTTGGGATAAAACTGCTCCACTACTCAGATCATCAAGCACTAGATTCTCATAAGGATCAAACTAGATCACTTGCATGCGCAGTTCACAGTAGAGCTGGTGCTTCTGTGAGAATCAAATGCTGCCAATGATCTGATAGGAGGCTGAGCTCAGGAGTAATGCTCACTCATCCACCTCTCCCATTCTGCTGTGTGGCCCAGTTCCTAACAGGCCCGGTACCAGTTTGTGGCCCAGGGGTTGGGACCCCTGTTTTACACTATAACATTTCCACACTTCTCTCATGGCCTTTCAGATCCACTGCTTGTCTCAACTCAAGTCTGGCTACCTGAAAATTCGATTATTTTTTCAAAGTGAATTTGAATATCTTTATGTTGAATACACAGTCTCCACTTTTACGCAGCCCCTACTGTCTTATATCATACCTCTCTAGCCCTGGAAGACATCAACTTTACATTCACTTTTCCTGTTTCAGGGCTATTATTTTATCTTCAATTACCAAAATCTATCTACATTTAGATACTTTAACTTGCAAATACATAGTAAACAATTACAGATTATTTAAAATAGCAGTTTTCCCATGAGTATAAAAAAAAGGAACAATAAAAGCAATATTTGTTGAGTATTTTAAAGTGCCAGGCACTGAGCAGTGTGCTTTGCTTAAGTAAATGTTTGACAAAATAAAAGGTCCTTTAAAAGTTCCATGCTTTAACATTAACAACCATATAAAGATAAGGTTAGACTTCCTATCAAATTAGCAGTTTTGTGAAGATAGGCCTTTTCTGCTATATAGAATCTCCTCAAACCTGAGTGTTCGTATTATGGATTATCTAGTATACTCCATAGCTATCAAGTTTGTGTATGTTTCTTTCTCAAGCAAGTTATCTTATTTCTCCTTATTTCTTCAGACTTATCCTTTCTTTTCTTTTCTTTTCTTTTTTCTTTTTTTTTTGAGACAGAGTTGCACTCTTGTTGCCTAGGCTGGAGTGCAATGGCATGATCTCGGCTCATCACAACCTCTGCCTCCCGGGTTCAAGTGATTCTCCTGCCTCAGCCTCCCGAGTAGCTGGGATTACGGGTATGTGCCACCACGTCCAGCTAATTTTGTATTTTTAGTAGAGACGGGGTTTCTCCATGTTGGTCAGGCTAGTCTCGAACTCCGCCCGCCTCAGCCTCCCAAAGTGCTGGGATTACAGGCATGAGCCACCGAGCCTGGCCCCTAACCTCTCATTTCTAAGGAAATGACAAATTAAGTCTTTTATGCAAATACAGTGTAGGGTCATTTAAAAATATTTTTTGTAATAGGTGTCTCTGTACATAAATCTATTTAATTTTTTCTCTTTTACAGTAAAAAAGGCAATACTGTGTTTTAGTTTCACCAAAAATTTCAGTAGACCATTGTGTAAAGGGATACATTTATATGAATTTTTTTGACATAGTAAAAACTAAGAGGGGAAGTTATTCAAATATTTCAGCATAAATTCCCTTTCCTTGAAATTGCAATCGTCATGTGTAGCTACAATTCCTCAGCATTCCTCTGTAGTAAAAGTAGCTACAATTCCTCAGTATAAGAAACACTAAGGTGGAAAATTAATTGTTAAGAGAACAAAGTCATAACAAAACAACAAAACAAAAAAGTAGGATATAGAAACATTAACTCAATATCACTCTTGAAGCTCACATAAGAGAAATTATTGTACTAGACACTGTGGTTCATCATCCAGACCCCATCTTCATGGGAAGACATCGATCCCACACTCATGGGGAACATCAGCAGCTGACCATTCACACCTGTACCTTTCACTAAATATTGTCCTAAGACAAACTAAAATGAACTAACTCGCCCAAAGTGGTGCCTCCTTTCAGAGAGCAGCCATTGACCCATGGCTGGCTAATGTAGTTATACAAACATGCAACTGCTTTGCATCAATTTGGGACAACTCTGAAAGAGGCCCAGTAGGATTGGCTGAAGACTCAGTTCAAAGTTGTCAAATAAAGCACACCATGCCCAGCTGAATTTACATTGTTTACTATGAGTATATCCCATGAAATATTTAGGAATTACATATACTAAACATTATTCATGATTTATATGAAATTTAAATTCAATGGGCAACTTGTACTTTTACTTGGTAAATCTGGGAGCTTTTCCTTAGTTGCATCTGCATGGCAGGTAAGCATGTCGGTATGCCCAGACCTCCCTTCTTTGCTTCCTTATAATTGAGTCCCAGAAAACAAGCAATCATCTCAGAGCCAATAGGCATTGAGTCTTTTGATAATCAAACTCCCAAAGGTCAAGGAAAAAGAGAGTATCCCAAAAGCACCAAGAGAACAAACAAACACATAACATACAATGGAGCTTCAGTATATCTGGCAGCAGACTTTTCAGTGGAAACCTTACAGCCAGGAGAGGGTGACATGACACATTTGAAGTGCTGTTTATGGGTCCCTTCGGATTGTAACGGGGAAAACAAGAATTGTAGCAGGAAGAATTAAAAGAAAAGAGAGAAGCTTTTTTTTTTTTTTAATAATCTGATCTTTTTCTATTGAGAGGCAGGCACCCAAATGCTGCTTCTGTCGGGAGTGAATCTGTAAATTCTTTGTAACTCTGTGCTACCTATTTGTTAACCTGTGTAATTTGTTCTCCTGCTGACTTCTTGCAAACACTTGCCAGTGGGTATCTGAAGCCTCTTACATCTTCTGTGGCACGGACTTGGCCTATATTTAGCATATTCACTCATCTAAAGTGGGAAGAAGAATCTGGCATCTTTTCTCTTTCTCCATCTTGCCATCAAAAGCTGCCTCAATGAGCATGTAGCCTTCAGAATTTTGAAAGCAAGAAGCAGGCAACAACTGGCCATGTTTAGCTTCATCTTGAAACTCTTGAGGACACCTATCAAACTTTCCCAAAACTGTCTCATCATGTATGGTTCCATTGCAGGATGGGTGCAATGCTGAGTGCCAGAAGGAGAGGGATATCCCATTCTTTCCTTCTTGAAATTGCTCCCAGTCTTTTTGAGCTCTCTTCCTGTTTGGAAGCAAGTTTAGTTCTCCTTACAAAAGAGAAAATAATTAAAAGCACTCTCACTTAGGTAACTAATTCACTTTCTATATGATAATTCTTAGAATGTCTAGTCCTCTCTTTACATAAGAGTACAGGTAATTGAGGTCAGTGAAGGTTTTAGTTACAGAACTGGTCTGGCTACTTTTTATTAAAACCTGCAAAGACTTAACTGTTCTTCTATAATTTAGGGATACTCATCATTTAATAGGGAATAAACAAAAATTTGAGACAAAAGGAAATTCTGTATCCATGTCATATATATACATATAAATTACATATAGAAAAAATGGTTTAGAAGAGGAGTTAATATCAATTTAAAAACGGGAATTTTAAAGCTGGGAATAATACATAGCATAAATATGTATAAGGATTCAGCAAAATGTTAGTTGAAACAGGGGCCTAAATAAACTTGAAGTTTAAGAAAGTTAAGAAATGAACCCAAATATGCATAAATCTGAGGACAAAATTTGATATTGCTGCTAATAAAAAAGGGAGGGGCATCATATTGGGAGGCTTCATTAATAAAAGTAACAAATTATGAGAACAAATAGTCTTGTTATAGTTTATCTGGTGAAGCATTTTAATGAGGCATAGCTGTCTGTTCCATTACCGAACGACTTTTCTTATGTGTGCTCTGGTAGATTTTCATATGGCTACACTGAAAGATATTCCCAAATGTCTGACTAATAACTCTATCTATAGGCAACTGTTCTGAAGGTTTAAAGTAAGGAGGATGGGGTTCATTTAGAACCAGTGGGAAAAAATGCTAATGCTGGGCTTTGAATTTTATGGATGCTGTAGCTGTTATTTTTCAATTAAATAAATGTTTTATATGCCATGTTTTGTAGCTATCGCAGTTAAACTGCCCTCATCTTTTTGCCCAGCAAAAAACCCATTAAGATCTTCACTGAGATTGAGTCTAGGTTTTTTATAAAATTAATAACTTTGCTACTGGTTTCTCAAAAATGAGTAGAAATGACTTTTCAATGCAAATGCCAGTTTTTGATACAGTGAAATTATCCTGTCTGCAGTGACTATTTGAACTTTTATCGGCAATTGGACACTGAGAGACTTAGTATATGAACAGATTTATCCTTAGATTATCTAATACATGCTTTGCGCCCTGCACCATAAAACCTGATCTATTTTTAAAGCCTTGGTTGTTCTGAAAAATGAAATGAAATTGTATTAAATGGCATTTTGACTGGGGAGAAAAAAAAAACTTCATGTGGTTTAAGAGAATGGATGCCGGCAATTGACTGTCTACTGTTTATTCAAAACTTATAGATTAGCAGCCAGATGTGGCAGAAAGTTGGCTGATTTTTCATTCACAACAAAAACGATGCTGTGCTTAATGAATGGAGGTTTGTTATCCCAGTAATAAGTAAAAGGAACATGAAAGCCCTTGTGTTTAATGTTCATGCAAATAAGCTATTTGCAGGTGGCTTTTGGGCAGGGTCAAGTATTTTCAAATATTTTTCAAAACTGGGTCAAGTTTTTTAATTGTCAAAAATTACCAGCTAGAGGAAAACCTCCTAAAAACTTTATTATGCTATTTCCCAAGTAAATGAAATGACAAGTCACTTATCATTTAATAAATTACATATGAAAATTCTTTTCCTTATGATTTCGTCAATAAATAAATTCTAGAGGATTCTAGATATATTTATTTGGCATCTTTTTTTTAATGTGGTATCAAATTTTGTGGATATTCTTTAGAGAATCAAATTCTTAAAATGGCATTGAACATTTAATTTAAAATGTCCTTCTTGAACCATACATGTTTATTAAAAAGTTATTTTATATAGGTTATCCATTAAAAAACAATTTTCTATATATGTAAACATTTATGATAACTGCTCATTATTTTGGTCCATACTTATTTATCTACCTATTTAGTAAACAATACAAATCATACGCTTTGTAAAAATAAAGGCCTAGTCTAATATTACTCTCTGTCAGAAATAAAATAATTCAGAGAAGTCTGTATTACAAGACAAAATAAAACAAAATAGAAAATGATGAGAATCACAAAACCATTGCCAAATTTCCAGCTATGACATTTACTCTCCATGTGGCCTTAGGTATCTTACTCTCTTATTTTAACCTTTCTTTGATTACTGTAAAAATAATTTGTTACTAAGAAGCCCTCTTGCTTTAGTAGCTGTGAGTATAAAATTAAGAACATAATTCTCAAAAAGTGTTTTAGTCTTCCTGGAAACATTTTAAAATATCAATTAATCATTGAACAATACACAATCGCTTGATCATTTGCTAAGAGAGGGTTGCATTCTCATCTCTGTTCACTTCTGTCCTTTCTGAGACTTATACAGGTATGAGAGCTAGAAAAAATATTAATGTGTAGTAATTCAAAATTTCTCATTCATGAATCACTTCAGCAGTGCAAAGAATACTCTGTAATTTTTAAAAGGCATTTTTATTAATATACTTCTACTATTCTACCCCAATCAACAGCAAATTTACCTAAATCATGAGACTACTGGTACTGCTAATTTTTAGAAAAGAATGACATAAACTGCTATTAAACCCAATGAATCCTTTACCCACAATGAGAATGTCCACGAGTCAGCTCTTCTGACCCTCTGGCCAGTGTTCTGGAGTTACTGATCTCCAACTTTCTAATTGAACTCTAGCTTGGTATGTGAGAGCAGCCATGGGTGAACCAGTGGAGCAAGATTTAAGCCTTGACATTGCCATTAATGATTCACCACCTGTTGCAAGTTCAATCAGTTATTCACACACCAAATTGTGGCCGCAGAATTCTGGGAGATAAACTAAGTTAGAAAGATTGGGGGTGAATAAATGTTTGCTAAATCAGAATTGTTAATGATAGAAATCTGTATCTTAACAAAGTTGAGAAATCTTGTCTTCTTAACGTGTATTTATTGACTTCCCAGGATATGTCTTAGTGAGGAAACATAGCTTCTGGCATTTATTATTAGAGTGATAAGGAATAATAAACCACAGTGCTTGAGAGACAGGGAAAGGCAGGGGGAGCTAGAGACACAGTAACAGAAGCAGATTAATTGACTGATGAAATAAACTTGAGATAAGAGAGCACAGAGGAGGTTCAAGAGATGGAACCATATATTCCTCTCTATCTGCTCCCACCATCAAGGAAATTCATAGCATATTTTATAATGAATCCCTGATAAATATTAGTCTATAATTGAAAATCTATTAAAATGACTATTTCTTAGGGTACACAAAAATATTACAACAAAACAAGTAAAGAAAAGTTGCCATGGGATGGAATATTATATTTTCCTGCATGTCTGCTTCAAGGCAGAATCCTAATGGTCATGTATGTAGGTAAATTATTCTTTTTACAGCAACTTCTGGGAGGTGGTATTTGGTGGAGTATAAAAGGCAAGGGGTGTAGTGAGGGTAAAGTGTAAGTACTTTGATCTTGAGCCTTGACTATATTGGACTTGGGATCTCGGAAATCTTGGGGATAAGCAGTGGATTAAATCCATAAATTAGTAAAGTGTTGATTATACAACAGGTAGAACTACGTGCCACTTTTGGAGGGACAGTCTTCTTTTTTAAAAAAAACAAAAGGCCTTAAAGGCTTTATGTATATATAAAGCCTTTTTTAATTATAATAAATACATTTTTTTAATGAAACAATCTGCACATATACAATTCCACTCTCAAGAAAGGCAATTATTTACATAATTATGCAGAAATTCCTATAATTATGAAAATAATTGCCTTTCTTCAGAGTGGAGTTGTATATGTGCAGATTGTTTCATTTTAAGAAAAGAAATATTTACTGATTTGATTAACTGAAGTTCTGGACGCTTAAAAAATGATTAAAATACACAGATCTACTATCTGTCTTCATGAACTTTAAATGTCTTGTAAGAAATTCAAGTAATAAAGACTACAACATTTATTATTTAACTGGAACATGTATTATTTATTATCCTAACTGAGGTTAGGAAGCACCATTATTTATTATATCTATATTAATCAAGTTGTATCCTGTAACAGGTTTCCTGTTATCCACTCATGTCTTCTAACTTCTGAAGTATTGTTTAAATTACAAGGGAGAAACCTAGACACTACATTTTCTAGGATCTCAGGACAATAGAGCTCCAGGTAAAATTATGCTAAATAAGGGCATGAGTGTTAGATGTGGATGTCACAGTGAAGAGATTTAGAGCATTTTTCTGGTGACCTCCTGTTTAGGTTTGACAAGCATCTAAAATCATTGTTAGCAACTTTCCCATAATTATTGCATTTTCAGCCTTTATGAAAATAGCAGCATTTTTTTTCCTTTCTTTGCCCATGCACACCATCTAATCATGAGATAAGTCTCCTTCTGAGTCCCTAAATACATGACATACATAGATTGGGATCTTTTTCTGACCTGTTCCTGTCTGATACATTCTTCAACTCTAAGATGAGTTCATACTCATCTTCTGAAGCCCCTGGGAAATGGAAATATTTTTTCATATTGGATGTTGGTAGAGACCCATCATTTAATGAACATTTATGTGCCAGGATTTGTGCAAGACACTTAGATACATTATTCATGTACCTCACACAAATGTATCAACAACACAACAAAATGTCTGTATGAAATAATAATTATTATATCCCTTATATGGAAACAGATCCAGAGAGGAAGATACACTAGCATGTGTAAATAGAGGATTCAAGAATTAAACATCCATCTGTCCAACTGACTACAACCTCTTTCATAAAATGCTAATTTCTCTCCTGCTTCTAATTTTCTTATCAAACATTGTCATCTATTGTTATTGGGTCTATGGGTGGGTAGTGACTCCTTGGTTTCCATTTTGTTCTAGCGGATTACTGTCTTCTTTATTTTTGTTCTAGTGTTTATTGAGAGTCCTAATTAATTAACCTGGCTGCTCTGACTTCCATCAGCTCACCATTGTCTCTTCTCCCAGCTCATAATTTCTGTAACAGAGCTCTAGGCTATGCTAAAGTTCTGCTATATGTTGCCAGTCTCTCTAGATCCAAGTGCCTCTTGTCGGCCAAGTTTACATGCACGTGTTTAAAATCTTCTTATTGACTCTATATACAAAGTCTTCACATGCCTTCCTCCTTAAAATAATAGCGTTGTGAGAAGAAAAAAAAATCATCATTCTTTTTAAAACTAATTCAGGATGTCTATGTTATACAACAACAAGACGTGGGGGAATATTTACCTGGTAGTTCTGTCCCTCATTATCATTCTCACTCATTATAAAATTGGTATCTGAAAAAAATCTTGCTGCAAAAACAAAAAAAATGTATAGGTTATAAAGAAAAAGTTTGCTTCACATCATAACCATTACCCATCCCATTGCCAAAGGGAAGATTGTACACTACATGATTCTGGGAAGCAGCATTCACATAGACTATAGTGTGCATGGTACATGCAAGAGACCCCATAGTACTACCCGCTTTGTCCTCCTTGTAGACATGCTCACAGATGATCCATGCTCCCTGACCTGCAGTAGTCAAATAAAAGAGTAGCATCAATTTATTAACATTCTTTCCAGACCATTTTCTAGGTATCCTCATTATATATTCCTTCAAATGGAAGGATTTTATTCTGTACATCACATCTCACTGTACACATTTTTTTCTGAAATCTGAAATCTGAGTATTTTAATTTTATACAGTTTCAATTGTGAGAAGTACCTGACAGACTGACCTGACCTAACACTCTCTAAGCTAAAACACTCATAAACTAGCATAGAAGCTTTACACATTTATCCATTTCTCTAATTTACTTACCTATTGTTTCCTGAAACATCTATTAATCTTGCAGTTATTTGAGATGACTGTGAGCTTACTATTTGCCAGGGATGGCATGAGCACCTTGGTTTAGTCTAGTGCCTGGCATTTATTTTCCTAAACTGTGGCAGCAAGTTTAGCTGTAAGCATATTTTTTATCAGAACAATCATCCATCTTTAACTACATGTGAGGAAAGTACTTTCTTATATTGCATTACACATTTTTATATGGCCACAGAAATCCTTACTTAGTCTGACAAAATTACGGTAGATTTCTTTCTCGCAAGGTCAAGGAAAGAATCATTCTGTACTGTTTCCATGGAGATGTTTCTCCTTTTCTCAATTGCCAATTGTCTACTGTGTGTACTGGGTTCCTTCTTTTCATATGTCA
This sequence comes from Homo sapiens, assembly GCF_000001405.40. Classification (NCBI taxonomy): domain Eukaryota; kingdom Metazoa; phylum Chordata; class Mammalia; order Primates; family Hominidae; genus Homo; species Homo sapiens. The sequence goes on from NC_000010.11 coordinate 47,622,957, forward strand.
TGAGGATTCTCACCCCAGCATTCTGCTCCTCTGAGTCAAAGCCCTTGACTTTCACTTCTCAATTGTTTTGTTTGTAGTTTTTTTGCTTTCCTTTATTTTTCTTACTCTATAAATGCTATGAAAGTGTATGTAAAAATTTACCCATCTTTTAGTTTATATTTGTTATCACCCTTTATTCATATACCAAACCATATAGGAAATGAATATAAGGAGATCTTTCTTAGTAGGAGGTAGAAGTAAAATTTTGTTTAGAATAAAAACAGAAAAAAAGAGAATAAAATTCCATATCACCAGTTTGCTTCTAAATGCCCAATGTTTCCACTTATGAGCTTGCTACTGTACACAACGCAAGGGCTTGTAAAAAATTGTCTAAATGATAGTGGTTAAGGACGTACTTTAGGCTAGGTTACTTTAAAAAAATATATCATCACTTCTGCCATCAAAAGTGAATTTGATGTATCATAATTGTTAAAGTTGAGGAGGGTCAAGGATTCTTCTCATTCTATGGTTTCCTTATAAATACACTTTCTAATAAATGCCTAATTTTTTTCTGTGAAATTAAACCATTAGATATTGCTGAATGTCTGTATGTTTCTTATTTTTCTAGAATCTCATTCTTAATTATAGTTTTATATTTTTCCTTCAACAAAGTCTTAAAACCCATGCAGCTGGTGTCTATTATTTACATTCTGTGATGTATTTTATTTGACTTTGTGTTTTTAGTCTTTTCACAGAAATCCTTTTATTGTGATCTTCTTGTCCAAAAGCACTTATTTCATATCTCTTTTCCATACCTATCTTCATTAGCAGGTTGCATTTCAGTTTCTTCAGTCCTTTTTTAGATAATATATTTTACTACATCTGCCTTCACAACACTGTATATGCTCTGATGATCAGGTCTCCCTTCTTTTTTTTTTTTTTAAATTCTCGTCCTCTTTGGGACCCGTGACAAAGTAAAAGGCAGATTTTTTTCTCACCTGACTTAAAAGTAAAAAGGTGGCCGGGCGCAGTGGCTGATGCCTGTGATTCCAGCACTTTGGGAGGCTGAGAAGGGCGGATCGCGAGGTCAGGAGATCGAGACCATCCTGGCTAACATGGTGAAACCCGGTCTCTACTAAAAATACAAAAAAAAAAAATTAGCCGGGCATGGTGGCAGGCGCCTGTAGTCCCAGCTACTCGGGAGGCTGAGGCAGGAGAATGGCGTGAACCCAGGAGGCAGAGCTTGCAGTGAGCCGAGATCGCGCCACTGCCACTCCAGCCTGGGAGACAGAGTGAGACTCCATCTCAAAAAAAAAAAAAAAAAAAAAAGAAGTAAAAAGGCTTCATATGTTTCTCCTCTGATTCTTCTTAGGCCCAGCATTTCCAAAAACAAAATAGTACACAAAACATTAGTTGTAATGATACTTCAAAAGGTTCAAATACTAGTTTTTGGCTGCTTTCTGTCTATATTTTTCTTCTAGAGAAATTTTGTTATGAAGTATTGAACTATTCAGTATACTTTAATATTTTCCAAATAAAGTTTCCAAACTGATATTTAACAATATTCTCTTATATTCAAACATATTCTGAACTATTTTCTGCTGTGTCTCTAGATCAATATTTATAAATCTAGATTGTTCATGTATTTTTTTTCCTTTGCTAACTTTCAAGATCATATCAAAAAGCACCACTGTTGATTCCATTTTTTATGTTTCATTATTTGAAACTATATTGACATTTTTCCTCTTCTTTATCATTCCCTGTTATCTCATCTTTGTGAGTCTTCCAATTAATGTTTTTTCCTTTGAATTATTTATTTTTTAACTGAAAATAAATTGTATATATTTAAGGTGTACCACATGATGTCTTAAAGTATACATACATTGTGGAATGGCTAAATCAAGCTAAACATACGCATTATATGCATTACCTTGTAATCGGACCCCTTGAGGTGTCAATACCTCAGCATTTTTAGTGATTGAGATAACAAAAATTCGAATTAGGCCCTTGCTTGCTTGCATAAAAGCCAACATCCCTTGTTCTCACAATACAATTGCAAACTGCTGATTTACTATTTCTTTGTCAACCAGGAGAAGATAACTTTAAGGTAACAAAAAAACATTTGCAGAAGGAATGAATGCCTATAAGGATGTTGCAACTAACTGCTGAGGCCCAGAAGTCTGGTTGCTCAGGATATTATCAGAGATTAAAGAAACACAGACTTTCCCCTTGGTTCCCTAAAACTCCCCCTCTCTTACTGTCTAGCTGCAAAAATATCCTCTCTGCATTTTTTTTTTTTTTTTTTTTTTTTTTTGAGACGGAGTCTCGCTCTGTGGCCCAGGCTGCAGTGCAGTGGCGCGATCTCGGCTCACTGCAACCTCCGCCTCCCAGGTTCACGCCATTCTCCTGCCTCAGCCTCCCTAGTAGCTGGGACTACAGGCGCCCGCCACCATGCCTGGCTAATTTTTTGTATTTTTAGTAGAGACGGGGTTTCACCGTGTTAGCCGGGATGGTCTCCATCTCCTGACCTCGTAATCCGCCCGCCTCGGTCTCCCAAAGTGCTGGGATTACAGGCGTGAGCCACCGCACCCGGCCCCCTCTGCTTCGTCTTATTGTTAAGACATGTCTGAGAGATCTTGCCCCGTTCTCACTTTGGCCAAATGGAATAAACTTTTATCTATCCCCAAGCATTGGTGTGTCAGTGTTTGGTTTCAACTGAGCATCAGGTACATGAGCCCGAATTTGGGCCTCTACAACATCTTCACCTACTTACTATATTTTGTGTGTGTGGTGAGAATACTTAAAATCTACTCTATTGGCAATTTTCAAATATAAATGTATTGTTATTCGCCGTAGCCACCATGATGTGCAATCAATTTTTTGAACTTACTCCTCCTGGCTAACTGGAATTGTGTGTCTTTTGACCGACATCTCTGCAATTTCCCCATGCCCTAGCTTCTGATGACTACCAATTAACTGTCTGTTTCTATGAGTTTTACTTATCTAAACTCTCTATATAAGTGAGATTATGTCATAGTTGTTTTTAAGTGCCTGGCTTATTTCACTTGACGTAAAGTCTCCCAGGTTCATCCGTGTTGTTGCAGAAGATTTCTTCCCTTTTTAAAGCCCATTAACCTTTTATAGATCTGGTACTGAGGCAATGCAAACTTATTGGACAATTATATGTTATTTGAATAAATTGAAACATAACAGCTTATAAAGGGTCAAATGGCAGTTAATAGCCTAAGAAATAGGTTTGGAATATTATTTCTTAGCATAAAGGATAATATTGGTCAGAGTCTTCTAGGCTTGAATTCTTGGCTACTTAGATTTTATCAAGTAAATTGTAAAAGGATAGTCAATCACTTTTTTCACATGAATTGCTGTATGAATTTTGATTTGACAAGAAAGACTGTGAAAACAAAACCACTATTATCTGTGAACTACCTAATGTGGAAAGAAATATCCTTAAATAAAACTTTGAGAAAGTAGATTACTCAATTTTTTCCGACAGATATCCCATATATTGTAACTAATTATAATATTTAATTGAATACAAAATCTTTCTTCTTAAGGAAAGATTTTATTCAGTTTTAGAACGTTAAAGTTTCTCCACTCTAATATATACAGAACTTCTTTAACCTTTAAAAATATTGCTTCACTTATTACTCATGATAATTGGGCCACATACATAATTAAAACACACCATTTATTATTTACCCTTGTAAAAGTGGCATCTGGTTCCCCAACTTAGCTTCAAACTGTAATTTTAAACAAATAATAAAGTGTTTTGAAACATTAATGTGGTTAATTGTCTTATCTATTGTCTATGTTCATCAGGAGCTGTGACATGCGCAAAGGAAGGTAATCAGAGGAAGGAAGAGAAGAAGCTAAGTTCTAGAGAATCCATTAATCATGGTTTAGATGACTGACCATTTTATTATTTTCCATTTTCCATTTAAAAACGTTCCATTTTTAAATTGGAAGGGGGTATGTTTTAGAATAGAATAACGAAATTCCCTCCATCTCCTCGTAGTGTACGTGATTAAGAAGAACCTAACAGAAACATAAGGTTCTAAGGTTCTTGCTGGAAATAATAATCAGAACTGTAAGAATTCTCTTATAGAAAACATTTAAAAAAGGAAATTCTAGCAATAGAATTCATTGTTAAAACTGTAAGTCACAACAATATTGTCTCTGCATGCTGACTGTACTCCTCTGTAATCTTCAAAGGCAAACAGGAACAGTAATAATCTTTTCATGTACTCTTAACTTCCTTCTCTGAAAGGCTAGAAAATGTCTTATATGTAGCACTCATACTGTCATTTAATCAAACCCAGTTTCTATTTTTCTTCAATTTCTAGGGGAATGGCTACTTAGTCTTTCTGGCATAATGTGAATTTCTTAAGTGTCTGTAGACTACATCTCCTATTTTTACTTCTTGAAGTTTCTCTCAAACTGTGATAAAGAGTGTCACTCTATCGGTACTGTTAACAATGTAAATTTTGTTTCTCTTTTTGTTACTGCCAAGATTCCACTGACTGTTGAAATATAAAAGAAAAACAGCATTAAATCAGGTGTGATAAAATCACCTTTTTCTGTTTATCTCCACCACTGGCATTTATTGGCACTTGGAAACTATTTATAAACTCATACTCTTGTAACAGTCTTGTAACTGAAACCCACTGGATTCAAAATCTATTCCTAGTACTTAACTTTCTTCTGAAAATTCCCTCATCTATAAATTTGAGGATGATGATAATTGCAAAGATGCCAGGGAAATTTATAATCATTATTGAACTAATCCTTTTGAAAATATAAAGCAGCATTAAATGTTACGATTACTAATCTTTTTAATTAAAGTGGCAAATGTGTCCAAAAATCTGTAACTAAGTTCATTACTCTCATTTATGCAGCTAAACTTAAGTTCTACCAAATGTATTTTTAAGTTGATTAAAAATATGGTTGGCAGCATTTATAAATACCCATTATTAACATGCTATACTGGTAAATATATTTCTGCTCTTATGACTAGAGAGTGTTGTACTTTAGTAAAAAACTTATACCTCAATAATTATCTGCTCTCCTATTTTTATTTTATTTGCAATAGATATGTATTTATTCATGCATTTGTATTCTTATTGAATGAAGGATGTTATGTCACTTGCATTGAGTACATAGGCATCCCTTTCGACAAATAAAATCAGAATCTAAACTACAGAACCAGGTTCAAGTGGGGACAGAAGTACAATTTTAATAAAGGTCAAAGTTTTGCTAGTGTTTCACTTAAAATTTATTTTTAGGCTTTCTGAATGTTCTCTTAAAGAAAAAGACTTAATCATATACGTACCTTTTTTGTATTGTTAACAAGGAAGAAACATACTAATATGAATGGTACTACATACATTATACATGTTATACAAGAGAAGAAAATTATATATTCAAGATAAACATTTTTATAATCACAATACTTCAACATAAATGTGTTCAATATAGTAAAGATGCAGGTTGTATAATTTGTCAAGCAAATTCTCAATTATGTTTGAATTCTATTTAAAATCAACATTAGTATTGACAATATTCATATTTAAGGCTTTTTAATTATTTAAATAGGTTCAAGTTTGCTGTGTTCAGCATTATTAGTTGTAAAAGTAGGCTCTGGTACCGAAAATATATATTTTTAGCTCCCTTCTGTCAGTCTTTCCATTAAATGCTATAGGCTCACAGTTTTACATGCCTCTCAGCACCTCACTGCTCTTGTTGCCTATAATATTTTATTAGTTTAATCCTTCTGAAATAATCCTGGTCATTCAAAACCAATACATCAAAATCTTCTAGAGTGAACAAAAGAAAAAACATTTGTGAAGATTAAAAGAAAAAGGAGACTTCTCAGATATATTAACTTTAAAGACTATATCTCACAATTATGTAATATATTTGTTGCTTTATCTAATTAGATTTGCATTTCTTATATATACCATGCATATAAAAATATATTTGATACAAATTATAATACAAGGCATACAAAAATAGACCATTATAATAACAGAACATTTTCTAAAGGGATTTTAAAACTGTAAGCCAAATGCCTTAATCTAATACTACTTCTAAAATGTATTCTAAAGAAATAATCTTGCATGTGTGGTTAGACTTAATTACAGAAATATTCATTGTAACCTTTCTTTAGAAGTGAATATTGAAAACTGAAATAAATCTAAATGTCCAACTTTATAATTGCTAGTTATGGAATACTAACAAATGAAATCCATGCTTTTAAAATAGCATTTAGTGAAGCAAATATATGTTCAAAATACATATAAAGGAAAAACTGGTATGTTATTAAAGAAGATAGAATAAAATTTATTTTGAGAGTGTATGCTAATAAGACAGTTTTGATATTTAGGAAAATTAAAATGTTAGGTAATATTTTAAATAAAAAAATAAATTTTCTGTTTGCTGAGATTATACGTATTTTAAACAATTTTTAATGTACGCTATAGACACTGAACATGTATAATTTATGTATCAAGAAAAAAATCAATAAGTTCAATTTTTAAAATCAAAATTAAAAGTCACATAATAGATCAGAGAAGATAAAGATGAATTACACTTTTTTCTTTATCTAACAAAAGAGAGTGCATGGTTTATGGAGACAGACAATTTTTTTCTCTGGTTTTAACTCTAAGATATAAAAGGAATCTATTGTATACATCTGGAAATAAGAGGTATTTAATACCTAATGTATATTAAGATTACTGTTTTAGCTTTTTTTTTACAATATAGAAGTACTGTGTGATGACTTACCTTATCAACCATTGAAAGAGCCATTTTCAAAGATTGATTAAAATCGAAGAGTTCCATAAGCAATTTTCACTAAAGCATTGAAAACTATTATCCAAGATTAAGAAAATACTTTTCTAGGGATCCCTCATATCTAGGGATCTAATGACCATTAGATCCACCTTGTATAATGGAATTAGGACAACCCAAAGATCTGGATGATTGAATTGTCATTTGGGGATTATTACCATCATACAGCTCAGTTTATGGCAATTTCTATACATGTGTTTAGTATTAATTGAAGGAAACTCATAGGAATTAGATGCCAGACATGAAGACTATATACATATCTTCAGAGCGCTTGTGTCCTAAACTGAAAAGTGTGTTTTAAGAGTCTGGGATATGAAACCACCTTTTCTCTATTCTTGTCAAATCCATGTCATTCTAGCTACTGACATAATTTATGCAATATAAATACAAATAATAATAAGCAAAGTTATATGAAAATATGTTTCCAGTATATAGGTAGTTTTAACCATTCTTTTTAGAAGAAATGTGTGTGTGTGTAAATGTCTTAATTGTTAAAATGATTAAGTCATTCACAGGTTTGTTAAAGTTTTTCCATGTAGCTGGAGTGATAATAATTTGTATTACATTTTAGAGTGGTTTGATGCAAATAAATAAGAACCAACTCAAAATGTTATTGAGGTTAAACTCCAAGAAGACAAAAGGAAAACTAAAATAACAAATTAAACTATAATTAAAACATTTCAACTAAGAAAAAAGTAAAAAGTTAAGCTATCTCAGACAATGTTCGAGATTGAAGCTTGTTAATTGCAATGGAAAAACTGCTAATTACCACAAATAGTAATTTAGAGGCATAAATATTACACAGGTGTGGCTGCAGGAAGTTGATATTAATCAAACACATTTGGCATTTTCAATGTTGCAAAAATTACAATTGTAAACACCTTCCATACAATCAAATGTTATGTGAATTTTAAATGAGTCTCAATAAATTATACTGCATAAAAACAGGATTTTTACTATGGATCATAATTGTTAATGTCTTCCGTACTCAAGGTTGAAATATAAATCAATTCACTCTATTATTTGGTTTGGAAGTTTAAGAGGACAATTCACATTTCCTTTGATACACTCTACCAGTGTCACTGGACTGGTGATGTGACAAGAAAGGTCTTCTGTAGAATTGAATTGCAATAATATGGAGATTATAACAAAATTATATATGTACCTAAGAATATTGACTTTAAAAGCCTTCTTCAGATTGCAACATTGATTTCCAGATCTGTTGGGAACTAGCTGCCTTACTTAATGTAACAGTCTTGGCAATGGAATAATCATATATATCACCTATGGATAATTAATTTTTAATCATTGAAATTCACTGAAATATGTTGAACATGAAAATCATACAAATATAATTTTGTATGCTGTTTCAGATTCTTTGGAATTTTATTCTAAGCATCAATCAAGATGGTATAGTACGAGAAAGGTAGAACATGTAATTATAAATTCAGGATTCAGGAAGTTTATTTTTCTCTTCTTTTTAATTCTCTCAAAATGATCTTGATTCCTGCAAAGTGTTAGTATATCTGGTAAGTAAGAGTCTATTTCTTTTAAACTTCATCTGTATTAACCAGCTTTATATGACCAAAATGTCCCCCAAATTTAAATCTTTGCACAGTAAGGCCTTATATGTACACCTGGCCTCATTTCAAAAGACTAAAGCAGTTGTTCTCAAATTCAGCTGCACATTAATATAAACTGGAAAACTGTTTAAGCTCCTGATGACAAAGCCACATGTGAGACTAATTTATGCTGAATCACTGGGCCAAGGACCCAGGTATCAGCATTTTTTAAAACTATAGAGGAATAACCAGGGTTGAGAACCACTGCACAAAATGGTAAATGCAACTTTTATTTAAGTTATTTTTTTTAAATAAATAATGGTTGAATTGATACTGATCTTAGTACCAAGTCATGGCAATTTTTTCAGACTTAGAGAATTCATCCTGGCATTGAGATTATTAAAGAACCTAGAAATCCAAGTGTTTTTGTTTATATTTTTCCTGTAAATATTAGAGTATGCTAGTGCTCATCCTTATTTGATAATTTTGGAAAATATATTAAACATTTGAGATTGAATATCAAAAATCTCTAAAAGAATTTTAGAAATACCATTCTTCTATGAAATAAGTAAGCTCAATCAAGATACATATTATAGTGCCCATTTAAGAAAGTCTAATAATAATGCTTGCACTGCTTAAAGATTAGGTTGATAAATTAATTATTGTTAATCCTACTTGCATAATCAACGGACACCTAGGGATGGAGTCTTAAGTATAGACACAGAAGTTGAATACTTTTAAGAACTTTTAAATTTACATCCGGGTTAAATTTTACTTTAAAATTATGTTGAGTGGTTGTGATTAGTACATGTGTGATTAGAACCGTCTTTCTCAGGTTATTATATCACCATATAGACACAGGAAAAATAATAGAATTAAAAATAAAGCAAGAAAAATAATGTGACACTTTATTGGCTTCAGATAATTATTTTGAGATCCTAATCCTACCAAAACATTCTGCTTTTCTTAACTTGATCCTACTTTTGTTTGTTTGTTTTAATAAAGGATGAACCAATATCCTGAGAAATTTTCAAATAGGGCTGGTTATAACACTAAGAACCTAGATCTCACTATGTTTTAGAAAAATTGTAAAGTATTTCAAATAATCAGTAAAGTTTCAGCTCTGCACCATTGTGTCTTTGCAATATGGGGAAAGTCACTTCACTTCTCTCCCTCTCTCGTTTTTGGCACATGTAAGGCAGAGAAAATAATATCTACTCCAGCTATCCCACATGTTATTATAAAATATAATAAGAGATAGAAAATCACTTTATAATGTTCAAAGTATTATAAAAGTAAGCCATGATTATATGTGGGATTAACAGCAGTTTGTTATTTACCATTTAATGTATTTCTAATGTACATTTTTGCCATATTTAAAAATGTTTACATTTCGATTTTTAAGTGAAAGAGTAACGGTATGACATTATGCCATGTTATATCTGATGCCATTATGTCAAACAAACAAACAAAAGCATTTTAAACTATTTGGAATCTTACCAAAATAAATCTTATAACTATGATAATACAGGTTTTTGAGGATTTAGTTTGTACGCAAAAACAGAGGCAATAAAGGCAAAAATAGATAAACAGGATTACTTAGAATTATAAACCTTGTGCAGAGCAAAGGAAACAGGAGGGTGGAGGGTGGAGAGGCAACCTACAAACTGGGAGAAAATATTTGCAAACCTTATATCTCAATGTACTAGTGACTATCACCCTAATAACTAGTCATGGGAGCACTGTCATGCATTTGGTATGTTTTTGTTTTCGGGATGCTGCCACTTACCACGGCGGGAGCCTGATCCCTGCGGAATCGACTGTAGCTGGACTTATCTTGAATATTCTGAGCCAACATACCAAACCATAAGGTGCTAATTCATTCATGCTTGAAGGCCATAATAATCAATACACATTCACGCACACATGTACGTTCACGCACACGTACGTTCTCACACACCCGTACGTTCACACACACACGTACGTTCACGCAGTATTTAAAGGAGTGCTTCCGATTAAATCCGCAGATCTGCCCTCCCCCCATCTCTGAGTTTATTGTTAAATTAGGTAAGCCAGCCCCCAAAAACAAGATACTTAAATTGAACCTAGTCAGAGCCCTAAAAATCATAATTTAACCATGAACACTCCAACCCTAGCCCCTCGATTAACGTAATTTTCTAAAAAATCCTAACATTCTCCAACCAAATAAAATCTCCTATTTCGATGCTAACTAAATCTCTGTCCTAATACTTATATAATACTTCAGGTATCCCGCTCTGAAAAGCTTGTATCCCAGATATTATAGTCCTAAATCAAATATAACTTCAACTACAAATGGCCCCTCAGCGAAAACCTCTGCTAGTTCAACTTTTTTAAAGGCCCTAAACTTCCAGGACTGTAAAGGACCACTTTAGATTTATACCTAACAAGATCCTACCCCCTGACATCCCCCTAGTATTTCAAAATACCACTCAAATGTTTTTCACCCAGTTAATGTAGCTTAATTATTTAAAGCAAGGCACTGAAAATGCCTAGATGGGTCCGCACAACCCGGTAAACATAGAAGTTTGGTCCTGGCCTGTTTTTTGAATTCTTAGTAAAAAATTACACATGCAAGCATCCCCGCCCCAGTGAGAATGCCCTCCAGATCACCTGGATCGAAGGGAGCAGGTATCAAGCACGCATAAACGCAGCTCAAAACACTTTGCTCAACCACACCCCCATGGGAAAAAGCAGTGATAAATTTTAAGTAATAAGTGAAAGTATGACTAAACTATACTAATATTTATGGTTGGTAAATTTTGTGCCAGCCACAGCGGCCATACGATAAACCCAAGCTAATAAAACTCGGCATAAAGAGTGTTTAAGGTCTACATTCAGTAAAGCTAAGCTCCATCTAAGTGGTAAAAAACTCCAGCTGAAATAAAACGATTACGCTCCTTGAGGATAAGATGCATATTGTAACAATTTTCTATATCCTCCACAATGTTTTGCAGATTCAATAACTATTTAATGAATTGAGTTAAATTTGCCTATACTCTTACGCTCATAAATAACCTTCTAATTCTCAATTCCTCTAAAACATAGAAAAAATTGCCAATATAAAAAAGCAAGAAAGAAGATATTAACCATTTTGTCATTCAAAATATGACTCATTCTTATACAACTACCTTTGTCAGCATTCTTGCCATTGGACTATCTAGACTTTGACGCTGGTATATCATGGCTTGTTGTTAGAGAAGGTAAAGTTTGGAAAACAGAAGCAGTTATGTAAAGCAATCTTAGAAAATCCTTGAGTTTCCCTTAGAATTTTGTGTCTTCTACATGTTTTCTGTTTCACATAGATTCAGTTTGCAGAGTTATGTCATAATTTCATGAGCGTATCTGTCAGAGAGCCCTTTGAAGGCCTATTTAATCCAACTAAGACCATTTTTTATTGTTTTAATACCATTGAACTTGTTCTGATAATTGAGGAAAAAGAGAAAGACATTCCATATAATACACCAGATGCCTAAGTGCTTTGGATAGTCATAAGCCTTTTCTCCTATAGCTTCCTATTTAGAAATGCCTGCTCTTCAGAGTTTTCTTAAGCTTTCCAACTTGCTCCTTCCATTTTATAAGAATAATAGTCTATTTAGGAAGACTATTATCAAATAAAAATCAGAATGATCAGTGGACACCTATTTTAGCCTTGGGATTTATATCACAATTCCCTAAGACTTTATATTTCCAGAAAAGAAATTCAAACTAAAGGTCACAATTACTATTATTATAGTAATACTGATAAGATGTGCATTTTAACTAAAAGAAGTTCCCACTATTTTTTTTTCTTTCTACTTTTCAATAATCCTTGGGACCTTAGTAGGAGTGTGCAGTAGTCTTGTGGTGTATTTTTAGTTTAAAAGTCTGAGCATACCTAATTACCACTTGGTAGATATTGTTCAAACTCACTTTTGAATCCAAGTGTTTTTACCCTCATAGAATTTTTTTTAAAACGAGTATTTGCTTGTTTCTATTATACTGTAACTATTGGAGCTACTAGGAGGCCTTTTAAATTTCACCAACAAGTAGGCAGAATGGAGACTAACTGAAGGGTTGATGGGCTTAAAGAAAATAAATAACCTAACAAAACCACCAGGCTAATGGCAAAACCAACATTAGGAACCAAGTCACTTTACTTGGGATTAGTGGATACCAAAATGTGCTTTCTCGGAAGCAGCACTTTACAAGGAAATACGGAAATCCACCTTTGTTGTCCTTCAGCTAAAGGGAATAAAATCATGTACTTTCTATAATTTTAACCCTGTTATAACAGATGCTACATGAACTCAAGTGGAACTCTGACTGCCTTGAGAGCTGAATAAAATGCATCCCACCATCCGTTGCAGCCGCATCAAGGTATTAAAAAGAGAGACAGAAGGAAGAGGTGAGAGAGGCACAAGTTCAACAGTGTGAGGCAGTCAGACACAATGGGAGGGAGAAAGAAATAAATGTCTGAATGTCATTGAAAGAAGAGACAATGAAGGCATATGTAAGAGTCCTGCTAAAGCTATGGAACCTCAGGAGCCTATTTGTAAGAACTACAATTTAGAATAGGGAACTTGCAATACAATGCCTGACCTTTATTTCCTTTCCTGCCTCGAACTTGTGAAAACCTTTGATTGACTTTTCTATGAACATGAATTACTGTTACAATATTTAGTTGAACAATATGAATTTCTCAAAGCAGTAATACAGCGCTACAGCATAGCTTAACATTGTTTAAGTAATATGGTTTGCTTATATTTAAGTCATTTCTAAGGGACCCATGCAAACACAGTCAGGAGATCTATTTCTGATGTATTTCCAAGGCTAGAAACAAAAAAATGCTGTTAATGCATAAACAGTCAAAAAACCATGCACTGTGGTTTTACAGGGACCTCTATTTCTAAAGATGATTGTTGCATGAGGGTCTCTGCCTTTATGAAGGGAAATGTGTAGATTTTAACTAGATCTGTTTGTGTTTTGAAAAAGAAAATCATGTTTCTGCACTAAAAAATAAATTCCTAATCAAACCTTTAAAGTTAACATTTAGAACAGGGACAGAAACTTCTGTTGTTTCCTAAGTGTTTTGCTGTTGTTCCTGTTTAGTTTTAAATCATTTTTTAGAAGTTTTATTGAGGTATAAAAAAATTGTACACCTTTCATATATTCACCTGGATGAGTTTGGACCAATATCATCATCACAACCAAGGTACTGAACATACTTATTCACCTCCAAAAATTTTCTTGTGTTCTTTTTTAATGGTGGTAGTATATTTTTAAGAATTCAGCCTTTGAGCAGGGTACGAAGGACCTTCAACAACAAATGCAAAAGTAAATGAGCTAAGTTCATATAAAGGGTTAGCTCTCAGTGAGATATTCAAGTTATGATCATATCCTCAAGAGGCTTGTAAACTGACTGTGGGTTTCCAGTTTGGTTATTCACAGATAGGCCTTCATTTGCTCATTCACCTATTCATTCATATAGCCACTCATTCATTCTCAAGAAGAGGTATTTGTCCATATCTCACCATGTGGATGAGCAGATGGTCAGTTCTCACTTCTTTTGCCATTAAGTGTGCTCACCGTTGAGCTCCAGGATGATATTTTCTCTCACTTTGCGTCATTACCAAAGTGGCTATCAAGATTCCCTCCCCTACCTTCTTTTTCTTTTTTCAATGTTTAAGAGCTGGAGTTAATTTCTTGACTCCTTTGGTAACACATGCCGATATATACCACTCAAGGCCTGTTGGATTAAACTGTTAAATTTGTCATCTAGCTAATGTTTTCTCAGAACCAGACAAATTAAACAGAGTCAATTGTTGAAATTATTTCAAAAGATAAACAATCATAGAATGGAAATAAACTACAGAAAGTAGGGAACAGGAGTAACTAAGTCTCCTAGAAAACATTTGCAGCAGATGTTAAGTATCCAGTCTCGTTGTTATAAATGAATTTCAAAGAATCTCATGAGGAGCAGCTTTACAAAATTTTACTGCACTAACAAATGGCAGCCAATCTCTGTAGTAAACACAAAATACTGTAACATCCTTTGTATCTCCTTAAATTAAGCCAATTTCTGCTTACACAGAAAATCTGTCTGTGGAAAACACTGCTTAGAATTTGAAAGCACATTAATCTGGAAGCCACAACAGAAGTGTGCTTCAGAAAACTTCTTAATATTTTTCTTGTGAGTTATTCTCTTTACGCTTTTCACATTACAATATTACCAAGTTATCATAATGTATTTTCTGCACTCCCAGAGCAAGATAAGACTCTAGTAGTTGCTGGGAACTATGCATTGTCTAAATATGGGTTCACATTCTCTCACAGTGATTCTGGAATCATACACACAAATGAGATCACTGCTGTCAGATCACTGGGATTAAGACTCAACCTCTCTACTCACTGGCCATGTAAATATAGATACAGTACTCAGATCCTCTGAGGCTTAGCTAATTATCAGTTGATTTGGTCTACACTTACCACATTAATTATTTGAAAGGATTCGTTGATATAACATGTGCTGACAACCATAATCATTATTAAGGCAATGTTTACCAATATGTGACTTTAAAACAGATACTACTATTAGATAACAATTCACACTATACATTCAATATTTAAACAACAGAATTATAATTTTGTGAAGCAAATTTTGTACTCAAACAGAAAATCCAATTCTATAATTATTTTCTGCAATATTGGGTCATAGAACCAACAAAGAATATATGACTGGCTTAGACGTATGTAATTACTTATGCAATTAGTAATAAAATTCTTCACTCATTCCTAGATTTGAATCCCTGATGCTCTGCGTAGCAGCTGTATAGTCTTGGACAAGTTGCTTAATCTGTCTGTACCTCGATTTCCTCATTTGTACTTCAATTTTCTTATGTGGTAAATATAAAATTACTTAACTCAGAGCTATGAGGTCAGTTTTATTTGAGAGAATCCAGAATAAAATACTTAGCACACATTTCCTACCATTCAGCATGCATAATACGTACTCAAGGAAATTTTAGATCTCTGTACATGATTAATATATTAAATCCTCAAACCGACTATAATGTCTGAAAATGCATGTCTTTATGTCACTGTACCTCTCACTGCACTTGGCACAGTGTTGTGAATATATTTGTCATTTGTATGTTCTTTCTACCATACAATTCTGCCACTCCAATTAGCATATTGTGTTGGAAAACAATTGGGTGCTTGCCTTATGTTTTACTAAATTTATACGGAACTACGTTGACACTTCCTTGCCCTTCAGATGCTGGCACTCACTGGTTGCTTTCTAGTTCTCAGGAGTCTCTGTGTGACTCTGTCCTTTACACTTGCCCTGCAACATCACCCTCAGCCCTAGACAAAGCCAACATCATTTTTAAAAACCTGCAAATATGTCTGCAATTCACTGTATGAATATTCTCATTCTATCAAAACCCTGACCTCACTAACTCAATGGAGCAATACAGGATGAGAAAGTAGTTTATATGAAAGTCATAGAAAGCTTGCTTTGTTTATTCATCCAAACGTATGTTTTTAAAGGACGAGGCTTTTATCTGAAACAAATAAAATTATAATTTGAAATTTCAAATAATGTGACTAATATATTATGAATTCATTTCCAAATATAGAAATAATTAAAACACTTGGGGTATAGAAAAATGAGTGCTGTATCTATTCTTTTCTTATATTAATTTTACCCCAGCTGCCAGAATTTAGTTTTTTGTTTTTGTTTTTTTTCTTTTTCTTTTTTTGAGACCGAGTCTCGCTCTGTCGCCCAGGCTGGAGTGCAGTGGCGCTATCTCTCCGCTCACTGCAAGCTCCGCCTCCCGGGTTCACACCATTCTCCTGCCTCAGCCTCCCGAGCAGCTGGGACCACAGGCGCCTGCTACCACGCCCGGCTAATTATTATTATTATTATTTTTTTTTTTTTTTTGAGACGGAGTCTAGCTCTTTCGCCCAGGCCGGAGTGCAGTGGCGCCATCTCCGCTCACTGCAAGCTTCGCCTCCCGGGTTCACGCCATTCTCCTGCCTCGGCCTCCCTAGTAGCTGGGACTATAGGCGCCCGCCACCGCGCCCGGCTAATTTTTTGTGTGTGTTTTTAGTAGAGACGGGGTTTCACCGTGTTCGCCAGGATGGTCTCGATCTCCTGACCTCGTGATCCGCCCGCCTCGGCCTCCCAAAGTGCTGGGATTACAGGCATGAGCCACCGCGCCTAGCGCAAAGATGTATTTTACTAATACCACAGAGGTATAATCTGCTGCTACTTCTTGATCAGGAGTAAACAAGTTTACTTCACAGCAGTTGATCTAATTTTCTTCCCCATTCATTCAATGGTATTTTTTTTATTGTTATAGAACATACTGAATTGGATAATAAGTCCTTTTCTTTTTCTTTTTTCAGAAATGGTTTCTACTCTGTTGCTGAGGCTGGAGTGCAGTGGCATTATCTCGACTCACTGCAGCCTCTGCCTCCTGGGCTCAAGAAATCCTTCGACCTCAGCCTCCCGAGTAGCTGGGACTACAGGTGAGCACCACCATGTCCACCTATATAATTTTTGTATTTTTTTTTTTTTTTTGTAGAGACAGGGTTTCACTGTGTTGCCTAGGTTGGTCTCAATCTCCTGGGTTCACACCATCCTCCTCCCTCATCATCCCAAAATTCTGGGATTACAGGTGTAAGCCACTGCACCCAGCTGAGAAGGCTTTTTATTATAGGTTGTTCTTATTGTTTTATTTAGTTGGTTTACTTGTTGGTTTTCAAGGTAAGTTTGACATATAAGGTGGTATAATGTTTAAAGGTCAAGTTATAGAGATAGCTAGATTGAAGTTCAAATCCAGAGCCAAGTTACTTAGACTCTCTAAGGACTTGTTTTTTCCCTTATAAAATTAAAATAAAGTGGATAGCCACTTCATAGGTTTGTAATAAGAATTAATATGATCATGATGTCACAGAGTTGCAAAGAGATACTGAAACTTGGCTCTGCCAAAAAATATTAGCTATTGCCATTATGATTGTTCTCCTTAATACCTAAGGCATTTGCTGACAGTCAGGTTACTCATCATGTCCTTCCAGGAAAAAAACTTTAAGAATGTTGAAAACTTAGGAACTACTTTTAAAATTTAATTTTCAGACCTGACATAACACAGCTGAGGAAGAGAGGTGGTAGCTGATTGGGGATAGATGTAGAGATCATTAATGGTATAAGAGTGTGAGAATGTGAAGCAGGATAGGATATGATATTACTCATACAGATCACAAATACATGTCAAAATTATATTTATCATTCATTTAAGTAAAATTCAACATTGTTTTCTTCAAAGAAGAAATTGCGCATTTCACTCTATCTATTTAACTCTGGAAAATTTTACAAATTGAGCATGCCATTTTTTAGTATGAATTCCTTTATTTCAGCTGCCCTGCTAACTTTGGCATGATGAGCAGAGAAAAAATAAACAGAATGATTAGTTCTGAAATATGAAAAAGTGTCTAAGAAAAGGAGTAGTCTTGAGAAGTAGGGAACAGGATGAAGTCACTAGGGGACAGAAGGGTAGGAGGGAGTGGGACCAGACAAACACTGAGCTCTGCATGCACACGTAACAGTCTAAAATAGTCATCCAGCACGCAGACTCTAAGTCAAGATAACCAAGATGAATTGCCAACTTCTCCACAAGCAATATGACTTTGGGTAAGGTATTTGAGTTTTCTGTGTCTTAGTTTCTTCAACTGATAAATAAAAATGATGGTCATATCTACTTCATAAAATTGTGATAATTGATTAATACATGTAATGAATAGCGTTTGGCATTTAGCTTAATAATAAGACTTTTCATTAAAATATTAGCTACTTTTGTTAGCTAGCAACTCTCAGTTTTGCCTAAAGCTGACCCCATATCTAGGGTGAGGTTTTGAAAGAAATTCAACACCATCAGAAGTAGGTCTGGAAGTTATAAAGGAAAGCTTAAAGAAACAGAAATATGTGCAACACCTATTTACAAAGAATCCATTGGGAAAACCCCATTGAGCCCAGGGAGATGGCACATGTCCCCTTTGGTTATGGAATTCAGTTCCCTGACGGTCAGTATACTGTCTTTGTTCCCAAGGCAAACTTTTTAATAATTGTGATCCCACTCAATAGTCATGTTCACTTACTTTATGGGTACATTTGTGGCATATTTTAAAATGTGAAGTTGAGTGCATTTCACCTGAAAACCAAAGGCATGTAATGACAACATGCTATAGAGGAAAAATTATTGATTTGTGTAAATAGGCAGATCTTGTTTGTATTCTAGCTCCATCACTTACTAATTTTGTGATATGGGCAATTTATATCCTATCTGAGCCTGTGTTTCCTCTACAATATGAGGTAATTTCTACTTTGAAGTATTGTTATGAGGGTTAAATATAAATTACTTTCTGGTTTATGATGTTGGTATATACTACTTCTATGCACAACCGTTATTTTTATGAATAAGATTTTAACAGTAAGCCACAGAAAATATAATGTAAGACTGATTCTTAGAATCTATCAAAACAGGTTGTAAAAATGACTTAAACATCTAGCATGGCAGTGACTAACATTTTGAAAAGCTTAATTTTTCCATTAAGAACTATAGCCCAACACAGTGTCTGTGCTTCAGTGTTCCTCTTATCAGGAAGGATAATATGTGTGATGCATGGACTAACTCTAATGAAAATTTTTATTCTTAAGACACAAAATATTTCCCAGCACAGTACATAAGGTCTTTGTGCTTATGTCAGCATTGGAGATAAATTTCTGGGAAAGAAGTAGAGAAACTGCTCATTTCTATAGACATCAAAACACCAAAGTAGCCGGGCGCGGTCACTCATGCCTGTAATCCCAGCACTTTGGGAGGCCGAGGCGGGCAGATCACCTGAGGTCAGGAGTTCAAGACCAGCCTCAACATGGAGAAACCCCGTCTCTACTAAAAGCACAAAAAATTAGCCGGGCATGGTGGTGCATGCCTGTAATCCCAGCTACTCGGGAGGCTGAGGCAGAAGAATTGCTTGAACCTGGGAGGTGGAGGTTGCAGTGAGCCGAGATCGTGCCATTGCACTCCAGCCTGGGCAACAAGAGCAAAACTCTGTCTCAAAAAACAAAACAAAAAAAACAACCAAAGTAAAAGTGAAAATAAAGGTACACAGCAGACTTTTTCTTTTTAAATACCTAAACTGAAAAGTATACCTGTCAAGAAACATCCAACTCATGAATTACTTTAAATATGTTTTTAAAACAGCGTGCTTGTTTTATAACAATAGATTCATGCTAGTTATCTGATATTCCCCAGTGGTTGCTTTGTGGAGCTCAGTGTCATCCTTGGAGAACATGGGCAATAAAAAGCATTTCTTCTGCACCAGTAAGACAAAAACAAACTGACTACTTCTCACATAAACCTTGGAGGGCTTCCCTCAGTGGGGTTAGTGATCAGCAAATCATGTCAAATAACCCCTTTTGTTATTTTTGACATAATAGTGTTCCTAGCAGACAGTACTCAAGAATTCCCAGATTCTTAGCTGTAACATAAATTTAATATACTCTCTTTTATTAAAAGTCAAGCTGTTTATTCACAGTAGCTCTTAGGTCTACGTTTCATTTTACACATATATGTGGATGTAATAGCTTTTTCCTTAGAACTTTTAAAAAATAGAATTCAGTAAAAGTCCTATATTTGTATTTTCTATGTGTCAAGAACAGATAAGCATCATTAATGTGAACCAAATTTCAATTGAGGAGCTGAAATTAGGAAGAATTGAAAAACACCTGAAATAAATCTTCAAGTAATAAAGGGGAAAGTTTACTTTAGAATTAGTGTATCAAAAATGAGAAAATTGGCTGGGCGCAGTGGCTCACGCCTGTAATCCCAGCACTTTGGGAGGCTGAGGCATGCAGATCACCTGAGGTCAGGAGTTCAAGACCTGCCTGGCCAACATGGTGAAACCCTGTCTCCACTAAAAATACAAAAATTAGCCGGGCATGGTTGTACATGCCTGTGGTCCCAGCTACTCGGGAGGCTGAGGCAGGAGAACCGCTTGAACCCCAGAGGCAGAGGTTGCAGTGAGCCGAGATCACACCACTGCACTCGAAACTCGGTGACAGAGCGAGACTCCATAAAAATCAATCAATCAATCAATCAATCAATCAATAAAACTTTTTAAAAAGTCATTGCATTATTTTTAAAAAATTAATAGTTTCAAAATGTATACATGTAAAATCTAACTGGGAATACTTTGTATCTACTTGTAGCACAAGATTAAATTTATTTTCAATTACTAGGAGATTTGCACAATAGAGTATATATTTACTTTAATCTGTATGACTAAAAGCCTCATTGTCAATGTGACTATGTCATCATTATCACATTCATGAATCTCCTGATTATAACCTGCACAGATGGTCTACCTACAGGGCTCTGGGATAAGAAACTTGCTGTCTGTCTACAGAGGAAGCCGTTTTCACTTCCAGATAGTTCTGAATATTTGCAAGTACTTGCTGATTTAGAGTCAAATTATGTCTTGCTGTAACATCCATGTTACTGAACTTACATTTGAGATAAACCAAGATTAGACTAAACCATGCCTTCAAATGACACTCTCAAAAATGTGATGCAATTTATGTGCCAAAACTATCCTATCTTGCCATTTTCCTCCATTTTTTAGGAAAAGCATGGTCCTAGTTTTGTTAGCCACAGTTGACACTACTATTTTAAATCACTATGTCATTTGTATATCCTACATTTGAACACTCTTTAGTGTCTTCAAGTTAAAATATGCATAAAAACTGCACGTCCAGGATACTCTACCTGGAGAAAAACATAGCTCTCATTAACCTTGTCCAGACATTAAACTTATAAGAGAAAAATCATTATTTTCCTGTAACCAAATTATTCCGCTAAATTTGTTTTTAGGCAGGATTAATAAACCTTTACTGTAAAGGGAAAGAGGCTAAGATTTTAGGTTTTGTGGGCCATATAATCTCTATACAACTGTTCAACTCTGCTGTTGCAGTGAGAAAGCATTTATAGACAATACGCAAATGAATGAGTGTGTCCATGCTGCAATAAAATTTAATTTATTGCAGTCTATTGGCTGGATATGGCCTGCAGGCCATAATTTGCCAACCCTTGGTTGACAGTATAGCTAGCTAAACACTGCTTGTTGTAGTAAAATCTTGCTTTTTAAAACGTATGTCTCTCATCCTAGTATTGTCATTACGTGTGTGTGGTTTATTGTTAAATATGTAATATTTAAGGGTCTTTCCTATTTAGTTTTATTAACTAAAAGCTGTTTCATAATTGTAATGCACAGACATCTATATAGGTTTTTATTTTATCATTCAACCTATTAGCTAATCCTTAGAGTTGTTTCATTTTTCATGTGTTTGACAGATGAACATGTCTAAAACACTGATGATAATGTTACCAGAATATAAACAAAAATGAAATTTTCAGGTTAAAACCATTTTGTTAGTAATATGTAAGTATATCAATTAACCATTAAATAATTTACCAAATTATTCCATTACCTAATCCATATTGCTCCTTCTTGTCCACAAGAATATAGTAAGGTACATGTCAAATACATACCTCTGACTTTAGTGGGCATTTAATGTATTATTAGAGGATCCTGATATCTGTCTTTCTTAAAGAAATTAAACTCATCCCTAGTGATTATACTTTCTTCATCTAACACTATAATATTAATAACATTTGAAAAAATAATGTCTAATAATTAACACTAGATTTAGAGTATTTTTAGACAATTTTCTAAAATTATCTGAAAAATTTGACCAGAATCATTGTAAAATTCACATCTGAGCTTATGAAAGCCCACTTTATTCCACTCTAAAAGAACAAAATTTTGTACCTTTAATTTTATCTTTTAAAATGTTTTAACATAAAGGTAGTGGGAGACGTTACTAAAGGAAGCTTAGGTAGTAACGTATTTGTCGTCTCAGTTAACACAAAGACCATAGATGGGGCAGATCTGCAGGATGCAAAAACTTTCCTTTTTCTCACCTCATAGTAGTCATATGGCTACTGCAATTCTCTGGTTTCATGTGCTTACAAAATGTCCTTTAGTTAAAAATAAAAAGAAAGAGAAAGAGAAAGACAAAGAAAGAAAAAGAAAGAGAAAGAAGAAGAAAAGAGAAAAAATAATTTCTTCATGTGTCTATTTAAATTAACAAAGACGTGAATTGTCCCAGACCTCCCTGTGATGAGTAACTTCATGTGTCAGTTTTACTGGGCTAAGGGTTGCCCACATGGCTGATAAAACATTATTTCTGAGTATGTCTGTGTTTCCAGAGAAATTAGCATTTGAATAGGTAGACTGAGTGAAGAGGATCATCCTCACCAATATCTATGGGCATCCTTCAATCTATTCAGAGCCCAAATAAAACAAAAAGGCAGAGGAAGGGCGAATTTAATCTGTCTTCTTGAGCTGGGACATCCATCTTCTCTTATCCTCTGATATTGGAACACCTGGTTCTCAGACTTTTGGGCTTAGGTTGAACTATATCACTAACTTTCCTGGGCCTCCATCATGCAGGCAGGAGATTGTGGAATTTCTCAGTCTCGACATCCTTGTGAGCCAATTCCTCCCAAGAATTATCTTCTTCTAGCTATCTCTGTCTCTTTCTCTATCTATTTCATCTGTAAAAGTATCTGTATCTCTGTGTCATCTATATCTGTATCATCTGTATCTTTATCTCATCTGTCTCTATCTCTATCTCTACCTCTATGTCTACATCTGTCTTAGTTATCTATCTCATTTATGGTTCTGTTTCTCTGGAGAACC
Source organism: Homo sapiens (assembly GCF_000001405.40). NCBI lineage: Eukaryota > Metazoa > Chordata > Mammalia > Primates > Hominidae > Homo > Homo sapiens. The sequence continues at coordinate 47,646,212 of NC_000010.11, forward strand.
TTAACTAATATAGTCCTTATCTTACAACTCACTTGCCAGCTTACCATGATTATAACCAAGTTGATCACTTCAAAAGAATACTAAATAATATATATTGTTTACACTAAGAGATAGCTAGCTACTCTCCTCAAGCTGAATCTGGCCCCCACCTCACTTAGTAGAGCAAGCAAACTAAATGTAGATTATACATTTTTTACTCATTGAAAAAACCCAAATAATAACTTATGACATGCTAAAATTTAAATTTTGATATACAAATAAAATTTTATTAGAACACAATTATATTTATTCATTTACATTTACATTATTTGTCTATGGCTACTTTTACACTAATGCAGCAGAGTTTGTTAGTTGAGACAGAAACAGGCCAATAAAGACCAACATTTTTACAATATGACCCTTTAAAAAAAAATGGACCCTTGGTTTAGACTGATCAATAATCCTATGGGAGGATTTTAATGATTTTCATCTGTAACCAACCAAGCACATTTTTTTTCTTGGCTAGGATAAATTTAGAACATCTATGTCCTTCCCTAAAATAGCCCCACATACTTGAAAGTCTGATTCTCTCATAACTATATTTTTTTCTCTGCTGTTAAAATTTGAACTCATTCTCTTCAGAAATAAAGAAAGTAACAAAATAGAAACTAAGCAGTCCCATTTTTATTTTGCCATTTATGAGGGCCTATGCCACCTAGCGGTGATTTAGTATGTATTTAACAACCAGTTCACTGAGAAAAACTGCTGTATTTTTAGTTTGCTTAATTTAGTGGTGTTGAATATTTCCTCTATGACCAATTTTGGCTTACGAATATGATTTCTTTGAATGCAAAGTTGGGAGGAGATGAGCACTGTGTGCTCCTATGAGGAGTTCCATCTGGCTCAAACATAAACACTATTAACATCACTTTGCTCTAGACATGTGATTCTCTTTCATAATGCTTCTTGCATTAACTGCAATATAAAAGTTACAATCCTTATTATTTTTGAAAAACTCAATTTGTATAGGACTCTTGATAATATTTTAATATGTATACATTTTATAATAATTTTTATTGATATTTTTTCTTCTTTTATACTTTTTTTTGTTTATTTATATAGTTTGTTTTCACATTAAATGGGAGAAATACTGACATTGTTCAATTCACACCCAGGGAAATTCTGTGTGAATGATATCATATTATATTTCTTTTAATGCTCTAAACAATGTTGTGAGGTAAGTGTTATCTCTGATTTGCATATGAAGAAACATATTCCGAGATTAAAAAATTGCCCAGTTTCACACAAGGAATAAATTGGAGCACAGGAGTTCTATATAGATAGACCTGTATGACTTCACAGAGTGAAATGGACAGATAAACAATTCACTTTCCAGGAGAAATCACAGGACAATGGATATCAGAAGAAATGATGGGACCAGGGTAATATTGGATGTTTTGTATATAAAAAACTAATGTGGGCAACAAAAAAGCATATAAAGTCACTGAAGCAAAATATATATAATATATATTGCGAAATCTAAAAGAAAATATGCTATTGGTAGGCCATGGCTACATTATAAAAAACATTTCATTTCACATAAAGTATGAATACTACACTATGACTATGAGTTAATATTAAAATTTGACCACATAGGAAATAGGAGAAAAAAGTAACAACACTGTGGAAAGCAAAGAAAATGACTGCAAGATGAAGCTATCACCACCATCTCGTGGCCACATACGGACTTCCTCAGAAGCTTAGATGAATAAAGGGAAGAGACTGGAGTTATTAAAATTTGTAAACTCAGAGTAAAAGCCTTCCTGAGCTGAGGCTAGACCTCTGAGGGAGAGATATGTTCCAACTGCTGCTGTTACCTCTGAAGAGGCACTTTCTGGGGCTCTGAAAAAATTGGTAAACTGAAACAATTACTGCTCCTAGGGCAAGGGGATGTTCTTGGGAGAATATCAGCAAGGACGGCAAACAAACAGGAAAAGGAGATCTATTCTTCCATTCTCTTGCCTATGTTTCTCTAGTACCTCCCAATAGCAGAACGTAGCAGGATCCCACTTGAAGGAACTTGGAAAACGTAGCTTGCTGATCCCCATCACGGCATCATAGCAAATTTATTTCAGAGAAATGTGGCTAAAGATCAAGATTATTAGTAAATCAATTTTTTTACCTAATTTTTAATCTGTATTGATTTCTTATAACATAAATATCTGTGGTTACAGAGACCTCAGTATTTTCTTTTTCTTCTGTAGCAGCATTTCAATCTTTTTTGAAGTTCTACCTCTCTTTCACTTCTAGTTCACACCATGTGAGAACAATGGACCTAATCATCATGGGCAGTGGTCATAATATGTCTCAACCTGCCCAAAATAAAGATGCTACCCCATTAACCATATGTTTTATTTTGTAATACGATCATGATCCAACCTAGTCTAATGAGAAACTTAACTAGAAATTTTGTTGGAATTATTGAGGAAAACAGTGTTCATTTTCTGAAAAAGTAGCTTAGCTAGTAAGATATAAGCTCAGTGCTACTAGTGGCCATCTTGATGTGGAACAATACTGAGAATATTTCTTCAGGTAATCCTACAAGAAATGTGTGCAAAACAGAAAAGAGGAAGTTACAATGAGAAATTTCTTACGTACTATATTCAGTAGAGCCTCAGGGTAGCTCTAAATCTAGATACTTAATAAGAATACTACTGATAATAAATAATACTCATATAGCAAATACTATGTGCTAAGCATTCTTTCATGTACTTTATAAGATTAATATATCTAATACAAGGACTGTATGAGATAGATATTATTGTCCAGTTTTATTATGTCCTGCAAATAAAATGCCCTGACAAATTATATTCTCTCAATCATCTTTCCTTTGTTTGCAATCAACATTTTATATGTATTCACTTATTATGTATCACTCCTTTGATTCCTCAAAATTTATTTAGGGCTATATAAATATTTTGCTACTACTGGAATTAGCAAAACTTTAAGGTTAAATTTTCAAACATGTTATTGCCCTCATCATACTGTAGCAAGAATTAGTAATCAATGATACATAAACCCTATTTATTTATCCGAATTATTCCATTTCACATCCTCACAAAGGACACTATTCTGTCACCATTTAACCCTTGTCCCCAAAATCTCCTCATAAATGCAGTTTCAAAAACAGCAAATAGATAAATTGGACTTTATTAAAATTAAATTTTTTTTTTTGGTGAAATGGAGTCTTGCTCTGTTGCCCAGGCTGGAGTCAGTGGTGCCATCTTGGTTCACTGCAACCTCTGCCTCCTGGGTTCAAGCGATTCTCCTGTCTCAGTCTCCCAAGTAGCTGGGACTACAGGCACGCACCACCACGCCCGGCTAATTTTTGTATTATTAGAAGAGATGGGGTTTCACCATATTGGCCAGGCTGGTCTCGAACTCCTGACCTCGTGATCTGCCCACCGTGGCCTCCCAACGTGCTGGGATTACAGGCATCAGCCACTGCGCCTGGCCCTTAAAATTAAAAAAATTTTTTTAAAGTTTTTATTTTTTTGAGACAGGGTCTCATCATGTTGCCCAGGCTGGAGTACAGTGGCGCCATCATGGCTCACTGCAGTTTCAACCTCTCTAGACTCGAGCGGTCCTCCCACCTCAGCCTTCTGAGTAGCTGGGACTGTAGGCATGTGCCACCACATCCCAGTAAGTTTTGTATTTTTTGTATTATAGGAATTGGGGCCAGGCACAGTGCTCACTCCTGTAATCCCAACACTTTGGGAGGCCAAAGTAGATGGATCACTTGAGGTCAGGAGTTCGAGACCAGTCTGGCCAACATGGTGAAATCCCCTCTCTACTACAAATACAAAAATTAGCTGGGCATGGTGGCACGCGCCTGTAATCCCAACTACTTGAGAGGCTGAGGCACGAGAATCTCTTGAGTCTGGGAGGTGGAGGTTGTAGTGAGCTGAGACCATGCCACTGCACCCCAGCCTGGTTGACAGGGCAAGTCTGTCTCAAAAAAAAAAAAAAAAAGAAAGAAAGAAGTGGGGTTTCACCATGTTGCCTAGACTGGTCTTGAATTCCTGGGCTCAAGCAACCTGCCTGCCTTGGCCTCCCAAAGTGCTGGGATTACAGGTGTGAGCCACTGCACCTGGCCAAAATTAAAAACTTCTATGTTTCAAAGGACATCATTAAGAAAGTGAAAAGACAACCTACAGAATGGGATTAAATATTTGCAAATTGTGTATCTGTTAAGGGTCTAGTATTTAGAATATGTAAAGAACTATCACAGCTCCATAAGAAAAAAGCAAATAATCCAATTGAAACAATGGGCAGGCCAGGTGTGGTGGCTCACGCCTGTAATCCCAGCACTTTGGGAGGCCAAGGTGGGCGGATCACGAGGTCAGGAGATCGAGACCATCCTGGCTAACATGGTGAAACCCCGTCTCTACTAAAAATAGAAAAAAATTAGCTGGGTGTAGTGGCGGGTGCCTGTAGTCCCAGCTACTCGGGAGGCTGAGGCAGGAGAATGGTTTAAACCCAGGAGGCTGCAGTTGCAGTGAGTGGAGATCGCACCACTGCACTCCAGCCTGGGCGACAGAGCGAGACTCCGTCTCAAAAAAAAAAAAAGGGCAAAGAATTTGAAGAGATATTTCTCCAAAGAAAATGTGCAAATGGCCAAATAAACACATGAAATACACACATGAAAAGGTGTTGAAATCATTATTCATTAGGGAAATGCAAATAAAAATCACAGTGAGGCCAGGTGTGGTGGCTCATTGCCTATAATCCCAGCACTTTGAGAGACTGAGTCAGGAAGATCACTTGAGCCCAGAAGTTAGAGACCAGCCTGGGCAACATAGGGAGATAGGCGTGGTTTGTGCCTGTAGTTCCAGCTAGTCGAGAAGCTGAGGTGGGAGGATCTGCTTGAGCCTGTGCCGTCGAGGCTGCAGTGAGCAGTGATGGTGCCACTGCACTCCAGCCTGGGCGGCAGAGCAAGACCCTGTCTCTAAAATAATAATGATAATAATAATAATAATAGAGATACCAATTCACACCCACTAGAATGACTATAATAACTTAAAAAAAATCTCAAAAAAAAAAAAAACCCAAAAAACAAAACCCCAACAACTGTTGGTGAGGATGTGGAGAAATGGGAACCCTATAAGGGTTCCTTACTTATAGAGATGTAAAATGATACAGATGCTATGGGAAACAGTCTGGCAGTTCCTCAAAAAGTTAAACATACAGTTGCCATATGACACAGCAGTTCCATTCCTAGGTCATCCCAAGAGAAATGACAACATATGTCCATACAAATACTTGTACATGAGTGTTAATAGCAACAATATTCATAATTGTAAAAGAGTGGGAACAACCTAAATGTAGATCAGCTGATGAATGGATAAACAATACGTGGTCCAGCTGGGTGTGGTGGCACACACCTGAAATCCCAGCGCTTTGGAAGGCCGAGGCAGGTGGATCACCTGAGGTTGGAAGTTTAAGACCAGCCTGACCAACATGGAGAAACCCCATCTCTACTAAAAATACAAAATTAGCCGAACATGGTGGCTTATGCCTGTAATTCCAGCTACTTGGGAGGCTGAGGCAGGAGAATCGCTTGAACCTGGGAGGTAGAGGTTGCAGTGAGCCGAGATCATGCCATTGCACTCCAGCCTGGTCAATAAGAGCGAAACTTTGTCTCAAAAAACAAAACAAAACAAAAACAAAAACCAGTATGTGGTCCATCCATACAATGGAGTATTATTCAGCCACAAGAAGGAGTGAAGTACAGATTCATGCTGCAACATGGATAAACCTTAAAAACATTATGCTGAGTGAAAGAAGCCACGAAAGATCACATATGGTATGATCCCACTTATATGAAATGTTTAGAACAGGAAATCCATAGAGATAGAAAAGAGATCAATGGTTTCTAGGAGATGGGGAGGGAGGCAATTGGGAATGACTGTTAATAGGTATGGGGTTCTTTTTAGGTGATAGAAATGTTCTGGAATTAGTGTAGATGGTTGCAAAATGTGAATACGCTAAAACTACTGAATTGTATACTTTGAAATGGTAAATTGTATGCTATGTGAATTTTATCTCAATTAAAAAAAAGTATAGGCCGAGTGCAGTGGCTGAAGCCTGTAATCCCAGGCTTTGGGAGGCCGAGGCGAGTGGATCACTTGAGGCCAGGAGTTCGAGAACAGCCTGGCCAACATGGTGAAAACCCATCTCTATTAAAAAAACAAAAATTGGCTGGGCGTGTTGGTACATGCCTGTCATCCCAGCTACTGGGGAGGCTGAGGCACGAGAATTATTTGAATCCAGGAGGTAGAGGTTGCAGTGAGCCAAGGTCACACCACTGCCCTCCAGCCTGGTCAACAGAACGAGACTGTCTTGAAAAAAAAAAGATAAATTATGGTATTTGCTTTGGAATTAAATAATTAGTAACCTTTAGTAAGGTTTGGTAAAGGTTTAGTAACCTTTAGTTAACCCAGTTAACTTCTGTGTCTTATGCTTGTCTTTGTACTGAAGTAGTTGAATGCCACTGACCCACAGAATGAGTTGCCAGAGAATTGGAGCAACATTCTGTTGTGGGAAAGAGAATACTCTGTTCTACCTTAAAATTAGATTACCAGCATATCAATTGAAGGGTTTTAAATAGTGAGTGATGTGTTTCAATTTATATTTATATTATATTTACACTTGATCTTAGCCAAAAGTCTGAGTAGTGATTTTATATTATATTTATAAAGATCACTTTAGCTTTCTCCTGGAGACTGGATTGGTAGGGACAAGGTGACATTGGTGAACTTGGTTAGAAAGTCAGTCAAGCCCGTGTGCAGTGGCTCACGCCTATAATCCCAGCACTTTGGGAGGCCAAGGCAGGTAGATCATCTGAGGTTAGGAGTTCGAGACCAGCCTGGCCGACATGGTGAAACCCCTTATCTACTAAAAATACAAAGATTAGGCAGGCATGGTGGTGGGTGCCTGTAATCCCAGCTACTCAGGAGATTGAGGCAGGAGAATCACTTGAACTCGGGAGGTAGAGGTTGCAGTGAGCCGAGACTGCGCCACTGCACTCCAGCCTGGGCGACAGAGCAAGACTCAGTCTCAAAAAAACAAAAACAAACAAACAAAAAACCAGTCAGTACTCTAGGGAAGAAATAACAATAGCTATATTATGACATAGTAGTGAGTTGAAGATAACTGAATAGCCAAAATATATTTTGGAGATAGTTTGATATGAGAGGCGAGGAAAAGTAAGTAGTCACGTGTGGCTCTTTGTTTCTGGCTTTAATAACTCCAGTAGTTCTGGAAGAGACTTAGTGGGAAAATTAAGGACATTTTGGATAAATTGAGTTTGTCCAAATGGGGTTTCCAAGTGGAGAGTTGAGTAAATGAAGCTAGAGCTCAGGAAAGATGTGGACCAGAGTTATAAGTCATATTTATTTATTTATTTATTTTGAGACAGAGTCTCGCTCTGTCGCCCAGGCTGGAGTGCAGTGGTGCGATCTTGGCTCACTGCAACCTCCGCCTCCGGGGTCAAGTGATTCTCCTACCTCAGCCTCCAGAGTAGCTGGTATTACAGGCGTGGGCCACCATGCCCAGCTAATTTTTGTATTTTTAGTAGAGACGGGGGTTTCACCATGCTGGCCAGGCTGGTCTCGAACTCCCGACTTTAGGTGATCCTCCTGCCTCGGCCTCCCAAAGTGTTTGGATTACAGGTGTGAGCTACTGCGCCCAGCATAAGTCATATTTAAAACAATGGGAATGGGTAGGAACACCTAGGGATAGAGTATGGGAAATAGAGTAGGGTCCAGTATACAGCTGTGCCAAATTTCACATGTACAGGTTAGATAGTGGAGTGGGTCAGTTCTGTTGAGAATGCCCTGAAAGCTTGAATAATGATAAGCACGTCCATTTTAACATCATGAGGTAGTGGTGACGTTGTAAGAGGAGTTTCAGTGTAGTGGGTTGTCATGGGTTAAAACGTTCAGATTGTCATGGGTTAAAACGTGAATTGGATATGAGGAAGTGGAGTGTGCAAAGATAGTTTTCTGAAAGTTTTACTTGGAAGAGGACAAAAAATTGAGACTAGACAGTTTGAGGAGGATGAAAGGTCAAGGATTCTAAGCTAGTGATAAAAATTTCGTCAACATCAATGAATAGGTAATGTAAACACGTTAATCCTGGGATGGATGTGAGAAGAGCAAAGAAAGGAGTCATGGGGGAATATCAGCTCTAAAGGTTGAGTAGAGAAGGAAGGAGTGATCTGAGAGGTGGAAGGAGGAGTAGGAATTATCATAGAAACTTTAAGCTTCTTGAGGGCTTGTGACTGTGTCATGTTCATCATTTTATCTGAAGTTCTTATCAACAAAGTAGCTTTCAGTAAATATTTATTAAATGAAGACAAAAATTTTAAGAGCCATCTGCAATGTCAAATGTAGCCCACAGTTGAATGAATATGAGGACCGGGAAGTGTCCCTTGATTTTGGAGTTAAGCAGCTGATTGCCACCTTCTGTAGAACAGCTTCAGTGGAGTCTCCATGATAGAAATAAATGCCAGGTTGCTGAGGACTAAGCGTGGATATTTGTTGAGAGTGGAGACAGTAAGTGCAAACATTCTTTTCAGAAAGCTTTGCTCTTTTTGAAGCTTTGCTCATAGGGAGATACAAGATAGTAGGTAGAGGGGCAGGCTGTGTTTAGATGAGAGAGACTTCAGCATGTTTATATGCTAAATGGAAAAAGGAAAAAGGAAGGGAGAAGTTGAAGATGTAGAATAAAGGAGGTGTGTGTGAATGATTGTACATTGTCTTTGAGGTTAGTGGGAATGGAGTGAAGATACTGGGTTGCAGTACAGATGAGAATACAGTTTCCACTGAAGTAGGAATAAAGGAACAATAGATGGTGCAGATGGGGAAGTGTTTGGGTGGCAAGTGAGAATTCTGGATATCAACACTTTATTTTTTTCAGTGAAGGGGGGATAAGGTCATCCACTGAGATTATAGTGGGGATGAAATGATGATTGTAGGGGACTGAGGAGAAAAGGAGAATTTCAAGAAAGCCTCTGAGGGAAGTGAGAGGGCAAGCTGAGTGGGAATACTTAGAAAAAATGGAATCATGGATTTTTCACGGCTGTGGTATATATATTTGTATGAATGATTTCCTCCTTCTCTCAGGGCTCAGCAGCCTGGGTGAGCACACAATTGAACAGTTGGATTGGTCTTGGCCTGGGTTTTATGTGTCAGTGTGACAGAGAGGGTAAGGAGGCAAGATATTTCAGTAGCGAGAGTGTTTGAAGTGATGGGCCATTGAGTCTAGGCTGAATAGGGAACAAATGAAACCAGAAGGTGGCTGCTGGGACATGAAGTGGTTGGTGTTCAAGACTGGATAGTGGAAATGAAGATTGAACGGGAGGAGCAGTTGCTGGGTATGACAGAATACAGGATCCAGCTATGGAGTGGGTTTATGAAGTAGAGACAACGTTCCCAAGTCTTTAGTGAACATCAGAGAGTGTCATCTGTTAGAACTTTAGCTGCGGCCGGGCAAGGTGGCTCATGCCTGTAATCCCAGCACTTTGGGAGGCCGAGGTGGGCAGATCACCTGAGGTCGGGAGTTTGAGACCAGCCTGACCAACATTGAGAAACTCCATCCCTATTAAAAATACAAAATTAGCTGGGCATGGTGGTGCATGCCTGTAATCCCAGCTACTCGGGAGGCTGAGGCAGGAGAATCGCTTGAACCTGGGAGGTGGAAGTTTCGGTGAGCCGAGATTGCACCATTGCACTCCAGCCTGGGCAACAAGAGTGAAACTCAGTCTCAAACAAAAAAGAACTTTTGCTCAAAGGCAGGTGGTAGCAGATAAGAGGTAAGGAAAATTTAGTGAAGAAAAATTCAGTTTTTAAAAACGTTTTAGGCTGGGTGTGGTGGCTCACGCCTATAATCCCAGCACTTTGGGAGGCCGAGGTGGGCAGCTGGCTTGAGCCCAGGAGTTTGAAACCAGCCTGGGCAACATGGCAAAACCTTGTTTCTACAAAAAATACAAAAAATTAGTCAGGTATGGTGGCATGCACCTGTAGTCCCAGCTACTTGAGAGGCTGAGGTGGGAGGATCTCTTGAGCCCAGGAAGTTGAGGCTGCAGTGAGCTGTGATTGTGCCACTGCGCTCCAACCTGGGCAACAGAGGGAAACCCTGTCTCAAAAAACCCAAAAAAAACAAAAAACAACATTTTATTTTGGTGATGGAATTCTCTATTGTTTCGAAGAGTTTTGTTTGTTTTAAAGACATTAACCAGTTTTCTCGAGGGATATTCTATGAAAAAGTGGGTTCCATCATCCAATAAGTTTGAGAAACTGCAAACTCTATCCCGTTGGTAATTCACAATGAACCTCAACTTAGATTAATAAAGGCTCTGGGAAATGATGTTACTATTAATGATTTAACATTTATTGAGCACTGTCTAAGGCTCTGTTCTAAGGCTCCCACATGCATTATTGTTTCCAGTCTTTACAGCAACTATCTCAATTTAAGTCACACGGCTAAGCTGGAATGGAAGAGCTGGGATTCAAATCCAGAAAGACTTGCTCCATAGGATTCTCAAGCCTATAACCAGTATGGAAACAGGCTTGACATTAAATCCAGCATTTCCCCATCTTGTTTGGTTATGGAACCTTATTATCTTTTAGTATTTATAGAGAGATTAGTCAGTTGTCCACGGCATGGACCCTGGGAAGTGTTGCCTGAGTCAGTTTACACTGGTGACTACAGTCTTTTAAACAGCATTGTTTCAGACTATAACTAGTTTTTTCTAACTTGGTTCTCTGTTGACAATACTTAAATGTTATATTTATTTTTCTATTTGAGAGCCTTATATTTTGACTTCAAGGCATTTTCTATTCCCTTTCACAATGACCTTCCCAGGAATCAAAGATATTGTCACCACCACACATTACATTTGAGTTACTAAAACAGTTTATAATCCAAATAGCTATTTCACTTTCCTTTCTCTGGTCTAAGATTATCTTACTGTAATTTGTTTTTTAAATTTAGAGACAGGGTCTTGCTATGTTGTCCAGGCCAGTCTCAAACTCCTGAGTAGCTGAAAATATAGGCATGTGTCACCTCAACCAGTTTATTGTAAAATTTTAATGTTTAGAGATCTTGGAGATCATCTTTTATTTTTAGCAGTATTTATTTAGTTTTGCAGGTAGAGAAAATGACAGCTGTGTAGTGCTGTGGAAATTATAATAATTCATATCCAAGCTTGAATGTCAGCTCCACCTCTTTACTATAGCTGTGGCCTTACAAAACCTACTTCGTTTCTTGAAACTTGTTTCTTCCTCTAAAAAGATGAGGATAATATCTTGCAGGGTGGCTATGAAAATTAAGACAGTTCATACAGTATCTGGCACATGGAAAGTTCTCAATGTTAATTACCCATTTTTTTCTGTTTAAGGAAATAGTCTCAATCCTATACCATGAATGAATTATGAAAATAGTTGGAAAGGAAACAACAGTTTTAAATGTAAACTGTCTCAGTCTTATGCTGACATCAGCTACATTTCTGGTAAAGTGATGGTGTCATGATACAGGTTATATTAAGAGTTAAAACCAGTTTCCTTCTGGCTTTCCAACTGACATAATAAGCAAAACCTGCCTGGGCAAACATAGACCTATTTATTGGCTCACTTATTATTAATGTTAAAGTAGCTTTGGTGCTGACTTCTCCTGTTCTTGTTTTAAAATTTCACTGTTGTCATTTAAAATCTGACAGACCTTCAGAAGCTTCATAGAATGCTTAATGGTTTAAATCGTCTCTAGAACATGTGAAGTATCTTTTCCAAAGTGGTTTTCTCCATCTGTCAGTATGTTCAAAATCATGTGTATAGGGCCGGGTGCCGGTGGCTCACGCCTGTAATCCCAGCACTTTGGAGGCTGAGGCGGGTGGATCACGAGATCAAGAGATCGAGACCATCCTGGCTAACATGGAGAAACCCCATCTCTACTAAAAATATAAAAATCAGCTAGCCATGGTGGCACGCACCTGTAGTCCCAACTACTCGGGTAGTCCCAACTACTTGGGAGGCTGAGGCAGGAGAATCACTTGAACCCGGGAGACGGAGGTTGCAGTGAGCCAAGATCGCACCACTGCACTCCAGCCTGGGCAACAGTGCAAGACTCTGTCTCAAAAAAAAAAAAAATCATGTATATAGGACAGAATTGCTTATATTTTCACATTTACTACTGGATGCCTGTTTGGTTTTCATAGCAATCAACTTTTGGAGTTTATGGGCAGTACTTAACATATATAACCTAAGTGTGGATAATTATTTAAAATAAGGCTATTGGAAGAAAAATCTATAGGGATTTCTCAGTTTTCACAACAACTCCCTGAGCAAAGAAAAAATAGGTTGGTTTGAGTTGTATTTGATGAGATTTCTAATATTCTATTTGAAATGCCCCCTAGTAAGCACTAGTGATAGGTATTAATGAGCTGAATTTGATTTCCAGTTCCAACTCTGTCCCTTGCAACTTCTGTAACCTTGAAGGTTTCTCTACGTTTCAGTTTCTTCATATGTAAAAGAGATTACCAATATTTCCCTCCCAAGGCTGCTGTAACAGTGAAGTGTTGAGGTTTTTATTTATTTATTATTTATTTATTTATTTATTTATTTATTTATTTATTTATTTGAGACAGAGTCTTGCTCTGTCGCCCAGGCTGGAGTGCAGTGGCATGGTCTCGGCTCACTGCAAGCTCCGCCTCCCAGGTTCATGCCATTCTCCTGCCTCAGCCTCCCAAGTAGCTGGGAATACAGGCGCCCGCCACCACGCCCGGCTGATTTTTTCTATTTTTAGTAGAGATGGGGTTTCACCGTGTTAGCTAGGATGGTCTCGATCTCCTGACCTCGTGATCTGCCTGCCTAGGCCTCCCAAAGTGCTGGGATTACAGGTGTGAACCACTGCACCCGGCTGTGTTGAAGTTTTTAATATAGCCAGCACAGCATGTGGCACATAGTAGGCACACAGCCATTGCATGTTTCTTCCAGACATCTCACTGCATTTTTCAGTAATATTCTTTTCAAGTACGTTCTTCTTTCTCATTCCTTAACATTTAAAAGCTGTATTCAAGAGAGAATATTAATGTTTGCCAAGTAAACTGAAAATATTTCCTTTGCAGCCCACACTTAAGAGTGTTTTAGGCCGGGCGCGGTGGCTCATGTCTGTAATCCCAGCGCTTTGGGAGGCCGAGGTGGGCGGATCACCTGAGGTCAGGAGTTCGAGACCAGCCTCAGTATGGAGAAACCCTGTCTCTACTAAAAATACAAAATTAGCCGGGTGTGGTGGTGCATACCTGTAATCCCAGCTACTTGGGAGGCTGAGGCAGGAGAATTGCTTGAACCCGGGAGGCAGAGGTTGCAGTGAGCTGAGATTGCGCCATTGCACTCCAGCCTGGGCAACAAGAGCGAAACTCTGTCTCAAAAAAAAAAAAAAAAGAGTGTTTTAGCAAAAAATGATTTTATGTATGACATACCTTGGTTTAAATCCTGGCTTTTTAATTTTAATTTTTTATTTTTTGAGACAGGGTCTTACTCTGTGGCTGAGGCTGGGGTGCAGTGATGTGATCTCTGCTCACTGCAACCTCCGCCTCCCAGGCTCAGGTGATTCTCCCACCTGAGCCACCTGAGTAGCTGGGAGTAGAGGTGTGCTCCACTATGCCTAGCTAATTTTTCTATTTTTAGTAGAGACAGAGTTTCACCATGTTGCCCAGGCTGGTCTCAAACTCCTGGGCTTAAGCTATCCACCAGCCTCGGCCTCACAGTGTTGGGATTACAGTTGAGAGCCACCAAGCCCGGCCTGAATCCTGGCTTTTGAATGTAATAGTGTTGTGACCTTAGGCAAGCTACTTAACCTATCCCTAAAGTATTATGAGGCTAAAGTGAGTAATAGTATGTATAAAACATCTAGTTCATTGTCTGGTTTGTATATTCCCAAAATAAATGTTATTATTTTAAGTGGAAACTGTTGTTTAATTTGATAATTCATATAATTCATGGCTTTTGAGAGCCTGCTCTACTCAAAGCCCGTTAAGAGCAGGCAGGAACATTGTGAACGAATGTTGGGCATATTATTATGCAAGTGACTGAATTTGGCCTTGCCTGTAATCAGGTTCAGCAAAAGTGGTATTTTCTTTCTTTCTTTCTTTCTTTTTTTTTTTTAAATTGAGACAGTCTCGTCCTGATGGCCAGACTGGAGTGCAGTGGTGTGATCTCGGCTCACTGCATCCTCTGCCTCCTAGGTTCAAGCGATTCTTCCACCTCAGCCTCCCAAGGAGCTGGGATCACAGGTATATGTCACCATGCCTGGCTAATTTTTGTATTTTTTGTAGAGATGGGGTTTCGCCATGTTGGCCAGGCTGGTCTTGAACTCCTGACCTCCAGTGATCTGCCTGCCTCGGTCTCCCAAAGTTCTGGGATTACAGGCGTGAGCCACTGAACCTGGCCAAAAGTGGTATTTTCTATTGCATTTGAGGTAACAGAAATTGATGGGCTTGTTATTGCATTTGGCGTGGCTTTTTTTTTTTTCCATGTTGTCTTTCTCCACTGACTGTCAAAAAAAAAAAAAAAAAAAAGGCTACATTCATGAGTGCCACAAGAGAGATTTATGATTCCCAAGTGCTACAGCAGACCAAGGTATATTTTGGTATCTAAAAAGTTTTTCATCTTTTGCTGATCTTGTTTATTAGAAATAAAGATGTTACTCTCCTGTATTAAAATTTAACACAATATTGGCAAGCTAAATTTAATCAAATATTCTGCCCATTTTAAAATTCACTTCCTAGCCTGTCCATCCTTCCTTTTATTTTGTTGTTTGATTTTGTTTTATTGTATGCTTTTAGCAGCCTGAAGCCATGGTTTTTAGTTTCTGTCTGTAGTGATAAGTGGAAAGGAGGGATGAGGAAGGGGCTTTACTGGCCCAACCAGAAATAGAAACTAAGAACCCAGGACTGTATTATCTCCCTTGGACACCCAACACTATATAAAATTGATTCCTGCCCTGGCAGACTAAGCATTGGAAAGCTGGTGCTAAGAGTGTTATGAGAATTCCTAACAAATAGAAAAGCTCAAGGATTGACACTATAGTAAAAGATTTCATTTTGACATGTTTATAATTTACTTATCAAGTTAACAATAAGGTGTTTTTATTTATTTATTTTTGTTTATTTTTATTTTATGTTTTGAGACGGAGTCTCGCTCTGTTGCCCAGGCTGGAGTGCAGTGGCTTGATCTTGGCTCACTGCAAGCTCTGCCTCCCGGGTTCACGCCATTCTCCTGCCTCAGCCTCCCGAGTAGCTGGGACTACAGGCACCTGCCACCACGCTTGGCTAATTTTTTGTATTTTTAGTAAAGACGGGGTTTCACCATGTTAGCCAGGATGGTCTCAAACTCCTGAACTTGTGATCCACCCGCCTTGGCCTCCCAAAGTACTGGGATTACAGGCGTGAGCCACTGCACCTGGCCTTTTTTTGGTATTTTTAGTAGAGACGGAGTTTCACCATGTTGGCTAGGCTGGTCTCGAATTCCTGACCTCAAGGCCTGCCTTGGCCTCCCAAAATGCTGAGATTACAGGCATGAGTCCCAGTAAGATTTTTAAAGGGATACCAAAATAATCAACATTTATTTTAGAAGGTGACTTTCTTCAATGAGATGTCAATGTCTACTTTCTGTTATATAGTGCTATGGTTTCTTTTTTCTTTTTTTTCTAAGTGAGGGTCTCACTCTATCACCCAGGCTGGAGTACAGTGGCATGATCTCGGGTCACTGCAACCTTCACCTCCCAGGTTCAAGCAATTCTTTCACCTCAGCCTCCAGGGTAGCTGGAACTACAGGTGTGCATGCCTCGCTAAGTTTTGCATTTTTAGCAGTTGTTGGCCAGGCTGGTGTACTGTTTCTTTTATTGACTGAGATCTATATTTACACAGCATGAAAGTCTCAGTTGCATTAAGTACATTCGCATTGTTATGCAACCATCACCATTATCTAGTTCCAGAATTTTGCCGTCACCCTAATAGAGCTTGTATATATGTCCCCACCAAATCTTATGTTGAATTGTAATTCCCAGTGTTTGAGGTGGGGTCTGGTGAGAGGTGTTTGCGTCATGGGGCAGATCCCTCATGGCATAGTGTTGTCCTCGCAGTAGTGAGTTAGTTCTCACGATCTCCTTACTCCATCCACCTGCTTCTCCTAAAACTTTGAAATACGCTTGGAATTGAAAGTGTTTAGTTTAGTTTGAGGATAGTTATCTAAAAGTGACATACAGGGCTCCTGCTTTGCTCTTCCTTAGTAAATTTCCTATTTTATTACACAGTTTACTAATACAGAGGACTTGAGTTTTGTTATTTCCATGGAAAACATTATTGAATCTAAATTTAACTAGAGATGTGTAGTTCAGGGAGGGAGAGTGGTTTTATAATATGAATCTTGGATTTGAAATGAACTTAAAGCAAATGAATAAAAATTGTTTCATTAATTATAATGTCTGAAATAATGCATGTTTTTGTGAATAAAAATTGATATAATAAAGTTTAAAGTGACAGGAGTAGATATAACTAATTGTATTTATAATTTCTTGGAAGTAAAATAACATTTTTGAAAAATATTATACAATGACCTCACATACAGTGACCTCACTTAATCTATGTGAGGCTATACACAGTGGCTCATGCCTGTAATCCCAGCACTTTGGGAGGCTGAGGCAGGTGATTGCTTGAGCCCAGGGGCTTAAGACCAGCCTGGGAAACATGGTGAGACCCTGTCTCTACAAAAAATACAAAAATCAGCTGGGCATGGTGAGGCGCACCTTTGGTCCCAACTACTTGGGATGCTGAGGCAGGAGGATCACTTGAGCCCAGGAGGTTGAGGCAGCAGTGAGCTGTGATCGCACCACTGCACTCCAGCCTGGGTAACAGAATGAGACCCTATCTCAAAAAAAAGAAAAAAGTCTATGTGGAAGACACCGCGTTAATTGTGTTGGGTGGTTTAGAGATGTTTCTGTCTCCTTCACTGATGACCGTGTGTCTCTGCTGCTGTCGCTCACTGGTGATTATCAACTCAACCTCTTATATTTGTTTTAACAAATATTTATACACCCTTTGTAAATTTGCGTGAGATAAAGTCATTATAGTTAAAAAAAATTTTTTTTTTTTTTGAGACAGAATCTTGCTCCATTGACTAGGCTGAGTGCAATGACATCATCATGGCTCACGGCAGCCTGAACCTCCTGGGCTCAATTGATCCTCCTGCCTCAGCCTCCTGAGTAGCTGAAACTACAGGTGCATGCCACCATGCCCAGCTTGTTTTTTATTTTTTGTAAAGACAGGGTCTCACTATGTTGGCAGGCTGGTCTCTAACTCCTGGGTTCAGGTGATCCTCCTGCCTCGGCCTCCCAAAGTGTTAGGATTTCAGGTGTGAGCCACCATGCCTGTCCTATGAAGTCATTACAAAGAAATAAAATTAATTGGTTTCATTGGCAGTATTGAATTTCAAAGCAGAAGGGGTGCTTAAGAGAAATAATGCCTTTGGAGTGATTTCTGATGCTAGATGAAACTCATATCTCATTTAAGGTGTCCATCTGAATTTTATGTTTGGATGATTGTGAATTATTCCTTAAAGCTTGAAGTGAACTCTGGCTCTCTAGGATAAATTAATCTTTATTCCTTTAATCTTTATTCCCTTAGGGATATATTAAAGGGATCAAATTTTTTTTTAGAGTAATGTAAAATTAAGGGACTTCTTTTGTTAGGTGAATTTCTCAGGTTTTAAGATATCAGTATCATTGTGGACATTGACTACATTGTCTACTAAATTCTGTAATTTTAACTTATAATTCTCAGTAATTGGCTGGGTGCGGTGGCTGACGCCTGTAATCCTAGCACTCTGGGAGGCCAAGGCAGCAGATCACCTGAGGTCAGGAGTTGGAGACCAGCCTGGCCAACAGGGTGAAACCCCGTCTCTACTAAAAATACAAAAAAATGAGCCGGGCGTGGTGGCGGGTGCCTGTCATCCCAGCTACTGGGGAGGCTGAGGCAGGAGAATTGCTTGAACCCAAGAGGTGGAGGTTGCAGTGAGTTGAGAATGTGCCATTGCACTCCAGCCTGGGTGACAAGAGTGAAACTCCATTTCAAAAATAAATAAATAAATAATAAAAATAAAAATACAAAAATTAGCTGGGTGTGGTGGCGGGTGCCTGTAATCCCAACTACTCGGGAGGCTGAGGCAGGAGAATCGCTTGAACTCGGGAGGCGGAGGTTGCAATGAGCCGAGATCACGCCACTGCACTCCAGCCTGGGCTACAAGAGTGAGACTCTGTCTCAAAATAATAATAATAATAATAATAATTCTCAGTAATTTTTGCAATTTTTTTGGTACCTAAAATAATTTCTGTTATTGTGTTGGATAACTTTGTCAACTTCACTTTGGGAATATCTAAATACAGGTAGCTGCATTCGAGCCAGAGGAATATTGGGTTTTTTTGTTGTTGCTTATTTTTGAGGCAGCCTTACTTTGTCACCCAGACTGGAGTACATTGGCACAATCATGGCTCACTGCAGCCTTGACCTTCTGGGCTCGTGTGATCCTCCCAACCCAGCCTCCCAAGTAGTTGGGACTAAAGGTGTGCACCACCATGCCTGGCTAATTTTTAAATTTTTTTGTAGGGATGGAATTTTGCTATGTCACCTAGGCTGGTTTCAAACTCCTAGGCTCAAGCAGTCCTCCCACCTTGGCCTCCCAAAGTGCTGGGATTACAGGTATGAGCCACCACACCCAGTTGAGAAATACTGGGTTTTAATCAAGATTATTGTCTGAATATTGAGTCTTAATGACTTTTTTGATTTTGTTTTTTTGGCCATAGTATTAAGTTTGCAGTTGATAACCTTCTGTACTAACTAGAAGTAGTATAGAAACTGCAAATTAAAAAAAAAAACCCAGGTAAAATGTTGATGGCTGCTATTTTTATTTAAGGTATTAATAAAGGAAAAGAAGTCAGGGACATTATGGAGGTCAAGTTTTATATTATTAAAACTCAACTTCATGATTTATACATACTTAGAAATAGTCTGAGTGATGTGTGACCAAAATATGATTTCTAGGAGGAATGATTGTTACATCCGTGGAATAGCTGCGTACACTTTATTGTTCTTGGTGCTTAAACTTTAGTTGTCCTGCTAAGATAAAGGAAGACATTCTTTCAGTTGGAAATCATGATAATGTATTTCTCCATTGAAACAGTATGGTTTGAACAGTGCTATATATTCATACTCATTATTATTCCTTAAATGAATATTTTAAGCTCCTGATAGAAGGCAGGTACTGTGTTATATGCTGTTTGTGTTACCAGAATACAAAGATGAAGAGAACAAAGTATTACACAATTCCTAATCTCACATAAATGCTATTTTTTTTTTACTAGCTGTGGGGAGCACAAAATAAGTGGTTGAAAGTCATCTGACACAGTTACATTTATTCCTTTCCTTTTCCATGGCTCTTAGGAATAAATTGTTCTACTCTATGGATTAAATTGCCCTTTGTTTATTGCCTGGGATCCCAACTTTATTTCATAATTTTATTTCTTTGAGGAAACGTTTCACAAGTTTTATAACAAAGTATAACTCAATTTGGAGAGCACAATCTGTGCATAAGTTGGAGGCTACCTATTGTGAAATGGAAAAATGCTTGTCCTAGCATTACTGAGTTAATGTATAGCTGGTAGAAAGTTTTCACTCTTAATTGCTAACTTGCCTAGTGAGAGTGAAAGATTGATTACGGCAACTAAAAAGTATAAAAACTACTGAGTAGTTTTTAGGTACAGTCAGTTCTTCAGTAGAACAAGAATCTTTAGAAATAACTTTCACTAATTCTTTACTAGTTGTTTTTCCTATTTCTCTTGGATATGGATCATCAGAATGTTTTTTGTCCCTCTTACCCGCCCCCCCCATCCCCCACCCCCCGCCTCCCACTTTTTTGTTGGGAGGCTTATGTGAGAGCATTAGAGGCCTTGAATGTTTGGGTAGACAAGGTAAGTATTCAAATAAACGTTTCAAGATCATTGTGACAGTGAAATTATTTGATATGAAAAAGGATCTCAGTTATTAGAAAAAACACAACTGTGTTAATACTGACAGCCAGCGTTGCTATAAGTGTTTTATGTGCATTATCTCACTTAAGCTTTACAACAGTCCTAAGAGAGGAATGCTGTGGTTATTACACCCACTTGACAGACCAGGGAGCAGAAGCACAGAAACCCAAGGATTTCTGCTGTCAATGTCATGCATTTGGCTGGAGTTATGATGTCGTGCAAGTAATGTTCCTTCTTTTTCCCTCTAATTCATTTTTATGTTTTTCTTTTACAGGGCAATTTTGTAAGATTTAGTTTCCAGGGGTCAGGTTTGTTTGGGCTTTATGTCCTTGGGAAATCCTCAGTACCTTATTTCCCATATTCCATACTTTTTAATCTTAATTTTTTTTCCCCTCAAATGTTATACAGTTTAATGAGTCAAGTGGTCTTTCAGGGATTCTTAAAACAAACAGTAATTCTCAGCCTCCACCTTCATTTCCTCTTCTCATAGGTAACCATCCTCAACTCATAGGTATTTGGAATTTACCTGCGGTTTTTCAAGAAACATTTAAAAAATTGATTTACTTGAATTTTCAGGTTAGAACATAAATTATTTGCATGATTTGCTGTGTCCTTGTGACTAACTCAACCTAAACATTCTATCAGTTGTCCAAATTTCCCATTTTCTTTCAAATTTCCCATTTCCTTCACTTACTTTGTCAGTTTCATCATCTTGAAGAAGACTTTTCCAGAGCACAGTGCTCCAACATGGAGTAGTCTCTGTTTTCTCATAGTGCCCAGCAATCATCCTTGGAATTCTCTTTTCTTTTCTCCTGCATTGGCACTTCTGTTTCTTCTCCTCTTATGTCTTCCTGTTTCATGGGAGGCAAATATTTGATACCTTATGTTTTCTGAAAACACTTTATTTTCCTCTCACCCTTCATTAGTGGTTTCACTGTATGTAACATTGAGATTGATGATTTTGCTCCATTGTCTTCTAGCTTGTGTTATGCCTGTTGAAAGTACAAAATCATTCTGGAAGTTTATCTATTGTTAGCCATTTCCCTCTTCTGGAAGCTTGTAGGATCTTCCCTTTGTTTCCACTGTTCTGAAACTTGTAAATGATACGCTTTAATATGGTTGTACTGTATTTTAAACAATTATGCTCTGCACTCAGTGTTTTTTTGTTGTTGTTTTTGTTTTTTAATTTTTAAATTTATTTATATATTTTTAAATTTATTGTTTTTGTTTGTTTTTTGAGACAGAATCCCACTCTCGCCCAGGCTGGAGTGCAGTGGCATGATCTTGGCGCACTGCAACAACCTCCGCCTCCTGGGTTCAGGTGATTCTGGTGCCTCAGCCTACCCAGTAGCTGGAATTACAGGTGTGCATCACCACGCCAAGCCAATTTTTGTTTTTTTGTTTTGTTTTGTTTTGTTTTTTTGAGATAGAGTATCACTCTGTTGCCCAGGCTGGAGTGCAGTGGTGCGATCTCGGTTCACTGTAACCTCCGCCTACTGGGTTCAAGCCATTCTCATGCCTCAGCTTCCCGAGTAGCTGAGATTACAGGTGTACCACCACGACTGGCTAATTTTTTTGTATTTTTAGTAGAGACAGGGTTTCACCATGTTGGGCAGGTTGGTCTTGAACTCCTGACCTCAAATGATCCACTCACTTCGGCCTCCCAAAGTGCTGGGATTATGGGCGTGAGCCACCGTGCCTGGCTTCACTCAGTGTTTTCAGTTACGAAACTTACATTGTTTAGTTTTGGGACATTTTCTTGAATTATTTCACTGGTTTTTTTTCCTCTCTGTTTTCTCCTGTGGATTCCCCATTGCATAGATGCTGAATTATCTTGACTGGACCTCCAGTTTTTTCTTCTTGATTCTGTTGCCATCTCTTTGATTCCTTATTCTTTCTGATAAATTTTCCTAAGTTTAATTTCCGAGAGCTCTTTGGAAAAGTATCGATTTTTTTTCATGGATGGAGTATCTACTCTTTTGACACAGGGTCTTGCTCTGTCGTGGCTCACTACAGCTTTGATTGCTCAGGCTCAAGCGATCCTCCTGCCCTAGCCCTCCCAGTAGCTGGTACTACAGGCCTGCACCGCCAAACCTAGCTAACTTTTTTGATTTTTAGTAGACAAGGTCTCGCTGTGTTGCCCAGACTGGTCTCGAACTCTTAAGCGCCAAGCATTTCTCTTGCCTCAGCCTCCTAAAATTCTGGGATTACAGTGTAGTATCTTCTGTATTCTTTCCATGGACGCTAATGATGGGGTATAAAATTCCTTTTATTTATTTATTTTTTATTGACATCAGAAATTCCTGCTAATAAAATTCTTTTTAAATTTTAAGTTTTTTTCTTCCCACAGTTGTCCGTGTTTCCTCCAAGTTCCTTTTCTATTTTTTGTTTTCCTTTGTTTTCTTTTTGTGGTAGATGCTTTCCTCAGATGAGTGGTAATCCTTGGCTGTTTGCAGTTATGCCTCTAAAAGCTGATTGGAAGCTCTTAGTACCTCATTGGTACTTGTTGACTAGAGTTCACTCTAGGGTGATCTATCTGTGTCATTTGCTGGGGCACCCTTCATGTCAGCTTCTGATTACTTTTCCCTTTTCTGAAAAGGGAGAGAGGTCTTTTAATTTCCTGTCTGGTGGGAGGAGGTCTGTATGCCACTTCTGTGAGAGAGTGAGGGAAGTAGGGCAGTGAGGATTTCAGTATTCAGTACATATGTGTTTTCTTAAGGCCTCTGTTTTCATTAAGCCTCCCCCGCACCAATGTGCTTTATGTTTCCCTGCTCTGAAATCCTCCTGAGGGAATAATCCTCTAGAATTTTGCCTTGGTGGGAAAAGCATAGTAACCTAACCATGTGGTATTTAGGAAGGTACTGAGAGATTGAGCGTTTCCTAAGGAGCTTTCAGCCAGCCTTCTTTATTTAGTGCTCCCTTCACACCTGTTTCTACAGGCGCTATCTGTTACCAGTTCCTGAGCCTTTTGAAGATTCCGTGGACGAAGGTTGGTTTTTGGCTTTCCATACTGCTGGTTTCTTGGATCTGCTATGTCAGTTACCATTTATGCATTTGCTTTCTAGCTTTTAAGTTTTGTTTATGCCTTAAAAATACCTGATGAGGGCCAGGCGTGGTGGCTCAGGCCTGTAATCCCAGAACTTTGGGAGGTCGAGGCAGGTAGACTCCTTGCATCTGGGAGTTTGAGAGAAGCCTGGGCAACATAGCAAAACCCCGTCTCTACTATAGAAAAATTAACCCGGTGTGGTGGTGCACGCCTGTGGTCCCAGCTACTTGGGAGGCTGAGGTGGGAGGATCGCATGAGCCTGGGATGTGGAGGTTGCAGCGTGCTGAGATCATGTCACTGTACTCCATCCTGGGTGACAGAATGAGACCCTATCTCAAAAACAAAAACAAAAAAACCCCAAAAACCTTATTAGTATTTTAGCACAATTTGGGGAAGAAATGAAGTTAAATATATGTATGTTCCATCTTCTCTTTACCCAGAACTTATTTCTAATTTTTTTTTTGTTAAGCATCTTTTTTGTTGTGGTAAAATATACATAAAATTTATTATTTATAAGTATACAGTTCAGTGACATTAAGTACATTCACAATGTTTTACAGCCATCACTACTTTCTAGTTCTAGAACTTTTCTATCACACCAAAAAGAAACCCCATACCCATTAAGCAGTCACTCCCCATTCCCTCCCTCCCCCAGCCCCTGGAAGCCACGAATGTGCTTTTTGTTTCTATGGATTTGCCTTTTGTGGATATTTCATATAAATGAAGTCATTCAGTATGTGGCCTTTTGTCACATGTTTTCATTTACCATAATATTTTTGTGGTTCATCTATGGTATAGCATAGATCACTGCTTCCTTCTTTTTTATGGCTCAATAATTTTCATTGTGTGGATATATCACATTTTGTTTATCTGTTCATCAGTTGATGAACTTTTGGGTTGTTTCTGCTTTTTCTGGCTATTGTAAATAGTGCTGTTATGAACACTGATGTACAATTTTTGGGGGTGAACATTTGTTTTTATTCTTTTAGGTATATAGCTCGGTGTGGAATTGCTGGATCATATATGGTAATTCTGTCTTTAACTTAATGAGGAACTGCCAATCTGTTTTCCTCAGTGACTGTACCATTTTATATTCCTATTAGCAATACACAAGTGTCCCAATTTCTCCACATTTTTGCCAACACTGTTTTCCATTAAAAACTTTTTATTATAGTCATTCTAGTGGGTGTAAAGTGGTATCTTTTTGTTTTGATTTGCATTTCCCCAGTAACTAATGACATTGAGCCTTTTTTCATGTGCTTGTTGGCCATTTGTATATCTTCTTTGGAGAAATGTCTGTTTAAGTCCTTTGCCCACTTTAAATTGTGTTGTCTTTGTGTTGTAGAGTTGTAAGAGTTCTTTATACATTCTGGGTACTAGACATGATTTTCAAATTTAGATACATGATTTTCAAATCTTTTGCCTCTAGATGTTTTTTACTTTTTTATTTTTGATCCTTGAACTCATCTATATTCTATGGTTGTGATGTAATGATGACAGAATTGGTGTCATTTGTGTTTATTTACCAGGTTATTTGGAAGGATTATATTTTAGGTGCTCTCCTCTCCCCCAGTAAATGGTATTACGACACAAGGGTTATAAAGGACTGATAAGAAATTACTTAAGACAGAAAGGGAAGTTGGCCTGCTTCCAAAATGTGGTCCCAGCAGAAGTGAAGTTAGTTACACCAATAACCACAGTCAAAAAGCTATTTTTAACCATGATAATGTATTTGTTGTTATTAATATTAAAGATTATATTTTGCCAGGTGCAGTGGCTCACATCTATAATCCCAGCACTTTGGGAGGCTCAGGCGGATGGATCACTTGAGCTCAGGAGTTTGAGACCAGCCAGGGCAACATGGTGAAACCCCATCTCTACAAAAAATGAAAAATTAACCGGGCTTGGTGGTGCGTGCCTGTAGTCCTAGCTACTTGCGAGTCTGAGGTGGGAGGATAGCTTGAGCCCAGGAGGTCAAGGCTGTGGTGAGCCGAGATCGTAGCACTGCACTCCAGCCTGGGCAACAGGACAAGACCCTGTCTCAAAAACAAAACAAAACAAAACAAAACAAAACAAAACCGACTATATTTCTGCATTAAGTGGGGGTTTGGAATCCTATCTAATATTTGAGATAATAATTGTTATAGTATTTTATTGAGCTTTTATTGGGTACCAGATGTGTTCTAAGTTTTTTTCGTGAATTATTTTCATTAATCTTATTCATTGTTGTGTCCTGAATGAGTACTCACATATTTGTTGAAGGGCTCAATGGTCCCTAAAACCTTAGATGCTGTTTTGGAAGGTTAACTTGCCAAAGGTCACATAGTTGGCAAATGATGAAGCTGAGATTAACATTAAGATCTGATTCCAAAGTAGTCTTTCTTAACTATATTGCTTTATGTGGAGTTTTGCCATTGATGTCTAGACAGAAAATCTCTAGCAATGGAAAAAAATAATTTTTAATTAATTTTAATTTTTTTAGTGTTTTGCTTCTTTTTTTTTTTATTTTGTGAGCCACCGTGCCCAATTGGTTTCTTTTAAAAGACCAGTTAGTTTGTGCATTAGGCCTCTTGATTAATCTGAGGTATTTAATTAATATCTTTGAAATCCTTAGATTTACTGTATCACTTCTGCAATATCTAAATTTTTCCTTCTTACTTATTTCTGTTCTCCTTCTACAGTCCTTTCTATTATGTTTAATCATCAAAACGTTGTTCTTGTTTTCTATTGCAATCTAATTTTTAGTGTTATGCTGTTTCCAGATGCCATTTGGGTCATTTTCAAAAAAAGATGAGTAATAATTAGCAAGTAATGAATATTGTTCTTTTTACCATTCATTAAGAACAATTGTTAATTGTCTTATTCTATTGTGAAGAATATCTGTAATTCCTGCTTAGAACCTGGGTTGATAGCAGGATATCAGGAAGCACTAAGTGTACACAGAACGATATAGCTGGAAAAAGTATATATGTTAAAGAATAATATGTTGTCTAAGGATGATCACACAGGTTCTTTTTTGGTAAGCTTCAAAACTTCTTATCTCCCATGAAAGTACTTTTTCTTTTATAATATGCAACAATAACTTTCTGTTTAGTTAATTAGTTTTAAAACAAGCTTAAACTTATAATTTATAAAGAATCATATTTGCTCCCTATCATTGTTTTATAGCTGGGGCTATACTGACAAATAAGAAAAATAAAATTCCTGCCCTTGTGGAGGAGACAGTTAAAAAATGGGACAAATACATTTCAGATGGAAATGAGGACAATGGAAGAAGAGTAGAGCAGGATGAAGGCATGAAGGGTGACTGAGATCTGGTCAATCTTTAGATAGTGTAATACGGGAAACTGCTTTGAAAAGATGACTTTTGAGCAGAGACCTTAATGTACTGAGGGAGTGAACCATTCGAGGTCTGGGGAAAGAATTCAGCTTCCTCTTCAGATGTACAAAATTACAAGATATTGCCATTCTTGTAACTGAAAACCTATAAAAGCAGGATAAGAAGTACGGTTTCTAAAAACCCATCGAAGAGCTGAGGATACAAGGGAGCCTAAATGAACCAAACTCCAGAAAGTAATCAAACTTTCATAGTGGAGAAGAAACCCATGGTTGCTCTAGGATGGAACAACGAAAGGAATAGGAATCCACCATAGATGAGGGGAAAGGAGAAACCAGCCACATTTTTTTAAAATCAGATTTTTAATGGCCACGTATGGGCTGGTTTGACAGGTTAGGATCCTAAGAAGCCCTAGCAACTCTGGCACCAAAGAGCAAGTATGCACCCACACTCCAGCTCCTACCCACAGATGTTCACTGAATGTTCAGGAGTAGTAAGCCAAAAGCCTGGGCCAGTGACGAACTGGCATAGATAATACCTGAGGCATTTGGAACCTCTCCCAAGTATAGGGCAACCACCCTTAGAAGGCAGGATTGCTGAGAAAAATCCAGCAGAGGCTCTCCAGGCTTTCAGTTCTGGAATGCTGCAGGCAGGGGAAGAGCTAGAAATAACTCTCACCCCACACTCTGGCAGTCCATGTTTTCAGCCACCAAGGACTGGGGACAGGGCAGAAGAGGTGAGTGAAACTGCTCTAATTCATTTCAGGCCTTCACAGAATGTAAGGAAGCTGCCCTCCAGAAGCCTGGCTGGGGAGGAGGAGCAGGGCTGCACGAGGGCACCTGAGCTTCAGAAAGCAAGGTGTGCGACTGGAGAGCAAGGAGAATCTAGCAAACCAAACTCTGACCGTGGCGCTTAATGCAGAGATAGAGTTCCTACAGCTTTTTTTTCTTTCTTTTTTAAAATATAAACTTGAATTTTTGAAACAGTTTCAGATTTAAAGAAAAATTGCCAAGATAGTATAGAGAGTTCCCATAATGCTGCCTCTAGTTTTTCCTATTTTTATTTAATTTATTTATTTTTTTAGTTTTTCCTATTTTTAACACCTTATATTAGTATGGTATATTTGTTATAATTAATGAACTAATACTGATATATTTTCATTAACTAAAGTCCATACTTTATTTACCTAATGTTTTGGGATCCCATTTAGCTGTCACGTCTCCTTAGGGTCCTCTTGGTTTTGGCATTTTCTTAGACTTGAGCTTCTCATCTCTTGTTTTTGATGACTGACAGTTTTGAGGAGTATTGTTCAGGTATTTTGTAGAATGTCATTCTATTGATATCTGTTTGGTATTTTTGTCATTGTTACAGTGAGGTTTTGTATTTTTGGGACGAAGAACATGCAGGTGAAGTACAATTTGCTTTCCTTTTTTTGAGACAGTGTCTCACTCTGTCACCCAGGCTGGAGTGCAGTGGTATGATGACAGCTCACTGCAGCCTTGAACTCCTGGGCTCACATGATCCTCCCTCCTTAGCTTCCTGAGTAGCTGGGACTACAGATGCATGCCACCACACCTGGCTAATTTTTTTTTTTTTAATAGAGACAGAGTCTCACTGTATTGCCTAGGCTGGTCTTGAACTCCTAGGCTCATGCAATCCTCCCACTTCAGCCTCCCAAGTAGTTGGGACTACAGACATGTGCCACTATGCTTGGCAGTACCATTTTCATCACATCATATTAAGGGGATATACTGTCAATATGACTAATCAGTGTTGATATTGACCTTGATCATCTGGTTGAGGTAGTGTTTGTGTATTTCTTTACTACAAAGTTACTCTTTTTTCTCCTCTGTTTACATACTGTACTCTTTGGAAGGAAGTTACATATGCGCAGCCTACACTTAAGGCATGGGGAGTTATGATACCCCTCCTCAAGGGCAAAGTGTCTGTATAAATTATTTAGATTTCTTCTGCATGGAAGATTTGTCTCTTCTTCCTCATTTATTTATCCATTCAATTTTTAAAATATTAGTATGGACTTATGGATATTTTATACCTTGGGTTAAAATCTTATTATTGCTTTATTTATTTTATTGTTCAAGTTGTTCCAGCTTTGGCCACTGGGAGCTCTTTCAGTTGGTATGACTTTTTGATATACCACTGTCAGTATATGTGTGTATGTGTGTTTGCACTTTCTCACTTTCTGGCACTACAAGATGCTCTAGTATATTTAGAGACTAAAGCATGTAGTATATGCTTTAGTATATGCTTTATCTAGTATATTTTTCTGTCTCAATCCTAGAATTAGCCATTTCTCCATGGAGCCTTGGTTCCTTTTACTGGAGAATGGAGAAACCAAGATCTAGGTGCTAGGTGTACATGTTGCTACTGGGGTGTTTTTGCTTGTAGGCCATCTCAGCTGACAGAGCCAGAAAATGTATGTATTTATACTACCCTGTATATATCCACATATCTATAAATATTTCTATATGTATCCATCCGTATCTAATTAAGCTAAACATGAGTTTATATTGATGTATTAGGTTCCAGTTGAATCACTACATGGATGATTCTAACTTCCTGCCCTTGCTTATCTGAAAACTCCTGCTCCAATAGTGAGAAATCTGTCTCCTACCATCAGCCACCCATTTACTTAATCATTCTACTCTAGTATACATGTAAGGTACTCCCACAGTTTTAAAAATTGGTGGCTTGGCTATGAAACACAAGCAGGTCTCTGTAATTTTACCTAGGCTCAGATCCCAGACCTGCTCAAGTGAAAGGCTTGATCTCAGTCCTTAAATATTTGAAGCCAGTGATTAATGTTAAATTAAAGCTGCATCATAGCCCACACCCAGCTCAGTTACATATTGGATTGACTCAGACTCCCTTCTAGTGTCCTAACAGAAAAATTGTCATGTCTTTTTCTGGAAGTAAAATATTACTTAATTTAATAAGTAATCTATTTTTATATAAAATGTCTGGTGTGTAATGAAAAGTTACAAGGCACAAGAAAAGCAAGAAAATGTGACCAAAGGTCAAGAGAAGAAATAGTCAGTAGAAGAAGACCCAGAGATGATCCAGATTTATCAGACAGGGATTTAAAGATAATTATGAAAAAAATGCTAGATGATTGAATGATAAAGGTTAACAATATGCTTGAAAAGATGGGGATTTCTGTAGAGTCATGGAAATTATGCCAAAGAACCAAGTTGAAATTCTATTAAATAGAGGTGAAAAATATACTAGCAGAGACCAGGGAAAACAAAAAAAGGAAAGAAAAGAAAAGGAAAGGGAAGGGAGGGGAGGGAAGGGAGAAAGAAAAATATACTAGCAGAAATGAATTCATTACATGGGCTTAACAGTTTATGGACATAGCAGAAGAAAGAATCAGTGAATATGAAGACAGATTGGAAAGAGAAAAGACAGAAAAAGTCAGGGAGGGGTAGAAAAGAGATTTTAGATCTGTGGGATAATATCAGATGGTCTAACATATATGTAATTGGAGTTTCAGAAGGAGAGAAGAGAACGTGGCAGAAGACATATTTGAAGAGACAATGCTCAGGAACTTCTAAAATTGATGAGGTCATCAATTCACAAATGGAAGGAGTTCAGCAAATCCCAAGCAAGTTAAATACAAAACAAAAATAAGCCAACAAATTTAAAAATCCCATATATAGGCATATCATAATCAAACTGCTGAAAACTGAAGATGGAAGAGATCTTACAAGCAACAGGAGAGCAACAGGAGAATAAAAGACACATTAGTTATGTGAGAATGGCAACATGGGTTATGGCTATTCCATGTTTTAGGACCAGAAAAAAATGGAGTCTTAGCTGAGCATGGTGGCACATGCTTGAACCCAGGAGTTTGAGTCCAGCCTGAGTAAAGTAGTGAGACCCCATCTCTATTTAAAAAAGAAAAGAAGTCCAGGCACGGTGGCTCACACCTGTAATCTCAGAACTTTGGGAGGTGGGCAAATCACAAGGTCAAGAGGTCGAGACCATCCTGGCCAACATGGTGAAACTGCGTCTCTACTAAAAATACAAAAATTAGCCGGGTGTGGTGGTGCACACCTGTAGTCCCAGCTACTCGGGAGGCTGAGGCAGGAGAATCACTTGAACCCAGGAGGTGGAGGTTGCACTGAGCCGAGATCATGTGCCACTGCACTCCAGCCTGTCGACAGAGCGAGACTCAGTCTCAAAAACAAAGAAAGAAAAGAAAAGGAAAAATAGAATGTTAAATACAATGGGATGACATCCATAAAGAGCTGAAAGAAAAAAAAAAAAAACAACCTGTTAACCTAGATTTCTATGGCCAGCAGAAATAGCCTTCAAAAATAATGGCAAAATAAAGACTTTTTGGACATATCAAAAAGGGAAAGAATTTGTTTCCAGCAGACCTGGACTCAAAAAACATTAAAACATACACATTAACAAGATGTGGGTTTTACAGCATATATGTGATTATACAACCATGAAAGAACAAAAAGGAGGAGATGGAATTATACTGTCATACATTTCTTACTCTGTGAAAGGAGACTGTAGTAACTTCTGGATGCATATGTAATCTCTAGAACAAGCACTAAAAACACAAACAGGGATACCATAAAGTCAGTACATCTGCCCAAGAGGGATTAACCGCTACGAGAATCATTCTCCTACTGTAAACAGCTAGAAAACAGGACAAAAATACATGAAACAACTGTTTTCAGACATTGGACAACAGGCAGCACAGGATAGTGATCCCTGAGAGAAGGGAAATAACTGATATGAACCCTACAGGGGTTCCTATAGGCAGTTTCCAGATTGTAGCACAGAGTAGGGGAATCCAAATAGAGCCCAGGAGAGTTTGGAGAAGTCAAGGCAACTAGAATTTGTGGGGCAGAAAACAAGAATAAAAGGAACTACACAGAAATCTATAGAAGTAAGAGAATCTTTGATTGGACACTCATCTGCACATGTGAAGTGTGGAAGTCAGCAATGCTGGAGAAAGTCACACTGGAAATCAGAACACTGAACAATTCCAGGAGCTCACACAGAGCTGGGAATAGTTTATGTTTCCATTAGGCATAGTGGAGAGACTGTTTCATACAAAGGACATTGGCTAGAGTCTTCAAAGTGGGGTTAAATTAGCTATAGACTAAAGGCCTTTCTAAACCTACCCTAAGCTTCAAGGCAGGTTTTGAAAGGACCAGGCTGATTCTAAGTAACTCAATTATGTGCCAAAACTAAACTCTTTTAAAGAATACAGTAAATGCCAGCACCTAACAATTAAAATGTTCAGCATTAATAATATATTAATGAAAGATTACTAGGCATACAAATAAAAAGCAGGAAAATGACCCATAACCAGGAGAAAAATCAATAGAAAAGAGACCTAGAAATGTGGAATTATTAGAAATAATTCTGATGATTGAATTATCAGCCAAATATGTTAATACAAGTATTATAATGACTAGTAGAGAAATGAATGATAGATAAAAAGACACAAGCCAGATGTGGTGAATCATGCCTACAGACTTGAGGGTAGGCAGATCAGCTTGCCCAACATGGCAAAACCCTGTCTCTACTAAAAATACAAAAATTAGCTGGGTGTGGTGGGATGTGCCTGTAATTCCAGCTTGGGAGGCTGAGGCACGAGAATTGCTTGAACCTGGGAGGCAGAGGTTGCAGTGAGCTGAGAACATGCCACTGTACTCCAACCTGGGTGACGGAGTGAGACTTTGTCGCAAAAAAAACCAAAAGACTCACAAGTAGTATCTAAAGATGAAAAATACCAGATATAATATCCAAAACTGGGGGAAAAACTGGATGTGATTAACAGCAGATTAGACACTGCGGAAAAAAAGATCATTAAATGTGAAGGTATAGCAGTAGAACCTATTCACATTGAAGCACAAAGAGAAAAAAAATACTAGAACAAAGTTAATAGAACATCAGTAACCTTGGGACAATAGCAAGTTGCCTAATACATGTATAATTGGAGTTCCAGAAAAGTGGGGAAAGGTAGAAGGAATTACTTTAGGAAACAGCGTCTGGGTGGCCAGGTGGGTGGCTCACACTTGTAATCCTAGCACTTTGGGGGGCCGAGGGGGGTGCAGATCATTTGAGATCAGGAGTTTGAGACCAGCCTGTCCAACATGGTGAAATCTCTTCTCTACTAAAAATACAAAAATTAGCTGGGCTTGGTGGCATGCGACTGTAATCTCAGCTTCTTGGGAGGCTGAAGCATGAGAATTGCTTGAGCCAGGGAGATGTAGGTTGCAGTAAGCCAAGATCATGCCACTACACTACAGCCTGGGCAACAGAGTGAGAACCTATCTCAAAAAAAAAAAAAAAAAGAAAAAGAAAAAGAAAAAGAAAATAAGAAAATAGTGGCTCATCATGGTGGCTCATGCCTGTAATCCCAGCACTTTGAGAGGCTGAGATGAGAGGATTTTTTGAGCACAGGAGTTCAAGACCAGCCTGGGCAATTTCCTTAAAAAAGAAAAAGAAACAGTGACTATAAATTTTCCAAATCTGATGATAACCATAAACTCTCAGATCCAAGAAACTCAGTGAACTCTAAATAGAATAAACAAATATAATCATACCTAGGTATGTAATAATAAAATTAGTGCCAGTCATGGTGGCTCATGCCTGTAATCCTAACACTTTGGGATGCTGAGGCCCGGAGTTTGAGACCAGCCTGGGCAACATAGTGATACCCCTATGTCTACAAAGATTAAAAAATAGAAATATAAAAAGTTAGCTAAGCATGGTGGCACTTGTCTGTAATCCCACTTACTTGGGAGGCTGAGGTGGGAGGATTGCTTGAACTCACGAGGTCAAGGCTGCGGTAAGCCATAATTGTATTCCACCCAGGGTGATAAAGCATGACGGGAGATCCTGTCTCAAAACAAAACAAAACCAAAAAAAGGCGAGGCACAGTGACTCACACTTGTAATCCCAGCATTTTGGGAGGTCAAGGTAGGATGATCGCTTGAGCCCAGAAATTGGAGACAAGCCTGGGCAACATAGTGAGACCCTGTCTCTCAAAAAAAAGTTTAAAAAGGCGGGCATGGTGGCATGGGCCTGTAGTCCTGTCTACTCAGGTGGCTAAGGTGGGAGGATTGCTTGAGCTTGGGAGGTTGAGGCTGCAGTGAACTGTGTTCGTGCCACTGCACTCCAGCATGGGAGACAGAGCAAGATCCTTTCTCAATAATAACACATAAACCAATGTTACAATGAGAAGAAATAAATTCTGGTGTTCGGTTTTTTGTTTTTTTTTTTCTGAGATGGAGTTTCTCTCTTGTTGCCCACGCTGGAGTGCAATGGCATAGTCTTGGCTCACTGCAACCTCCACCTCCTGGATTCAAGATGATTCTTTTCCCTCAGCCTCCCAAGTAGCTGGGATTACAGGTGCATGCCACCACACCCAGCTAATTTTCGTATTTTTAGTCCATCACGTTAGCCAGGCTGGTCTCAAACTCCTGATCTCAAATTCTGGTGTTCTATTGCACAGTGGGGTGAGTATAGTTAAGAGTAAAATATTATTACAAAATAGCTGGAAGAGGGGCTTTTGAATGTTCTTTCACTAACTGCTCTGATTGGATCATTATGCAACATGGATATGTATCAAAACATCGAACTGTGGCCCGGCGTGGTGGCTCATGCTGGTAATTCCAGCACTTTGGGAGTCTGCGGTGGGTGGATCACCTGAGGTCAGGAGTTCAAGACTAGCCTGGCCAACATGGTGAAACCCCATCTCTACTAAAAATACAAAAATTAGCTGGGTGTGGTGGTGCATGCCTGTAATTCCAGCTACTCGGGAGACTGAGGCGGGAGAATTGCTTGAACCTGGGAGGCAGAGGTTGCAGTGAGCTGAGATTGCGCCATCGCACTCCAGCCTGGGCAACAGAGCAAGACTCCATCTCAAAAAAAAAAAAATCAAATTGTACCCCATAAGTATGTACAATTACAATATGACAGTTTAAAAAATAAATTAAAAAAAAATTCTCTTGTACTTACCAGCTGAATAAAAAATAAATTTTTAAAAGGAGAGAAGTCTTCTTAAAAACCAGTTATTTACCCCATCATTAAGTTATAATGAACTTTCTTATGGGAATTCTTTGATAAGGAAGCTCCTTTATGCTGAAGTTTTATTCTTTTCATACCTCTTTAGATAAATCAGTGCTTTAGGAGCATATGTCATATGACTCAATGGCAGTGTTCTAACTTGGATTCTAGCTCCACATTGTGCAAAGGCAAAAAACCAGAGAGTCAGTGTGGTAGTTAAGAACTTATGTTCTGCTGTTTGATTTCCTACATGCCAGTACTCCCTCCACTACCTGCAGTCTTCCTGACCTGGGGCAAGTTCCTTTTGTAAACTCTGTTTTCTAGGGGGATGGTGGTGGAAGAAGGATGGTGATTTGAGCCAGGCAGTAGCAGGTGGAGGTGGAGAAAAGTGGTCAAACCCTGAATGAACGTTAAAGATAGGACCAAAAGGATTTGATGAGAAATTGGAAGTAGAGCACGGGGAAAAAGAAAGATATCAGTGATGATGCCAAGGTTTTTGGCCTGGGGAATTGGGATAGTGGAGTTGTTATTTGCTGAGTATGACTTTTCACAAAGGAATGTCAAGGCGTAAGTAGCAAAGTTCTTTTTTTTTTTTTAATTTTTCTTGATTGTGTTTGTTTTGTTTTTCATCTTTTGTGGGAGGTGGGTGGAGATGAAAGCAAGCACAGGGGTTGGCAGGCATACCCCTGGCACCTACCTGTGAGTTCATGATTACTAGTCTTAAAGTTCAGTCCTTTTTATTTTTACTTTTTTTTTTTTTTTTTTTTTTTTTAGAGACAGTGTCTCACTCTGTCATCCAGGCTGGAGTGCAGTGGCACAATCACGGCTTACTGTAGCCTTGATCTCCCAGGCTCAGGTGATCCTTTCACTTCAGCCTCCTGAGTAGCTGGGACTACAGGCACATACCACCCTACCCAGCAATTTTTTTAAAAAATTTTTTGTAGCGACATAGTCTTACCATGTTGCCTAGACTGGTCTCGAACTACTGAGCTGAAGCAACCTGTCTGCCTCAGCCTCCCAAAGTAAAGTACTGTAATTACAAGCTTGAGCCACCGTGCGTGGCCAAATTCTGGCCTTTTGATGTTGCATGGTGTGGATGGGGAGGCAAAGTGTGATATTTTAGGAATTTGAGGATTTCTTCTTCGACCTTAGGCGTGACATTGGACAAATGACATCTGGGCTGAGACATTTTCTAGTAATGCTGGATCCAAAAAACTCTTATCCCATTGTCTCATAGCTTCATTACACAGACCTGGCGGCCATGATCCTCTTTTTTCCCCCTTAGTTGCCAAACATGGGTTCTCTGTCTTACCTCATTTGAGTCTTACCTCAGTCTTGAGAGTCTCAAATGTGTATCATAGTTTTTAGACAAAATTCAACCTTATTTCAATTAGTATTTCATTGTTATTTAAATATTTTAACAGGAAAACTGAGCAATGTTTCCCTTTACCTGTTAATCCTGTTATAATATTTTAGATAAAGTGTATTAGAAGGCACATTCTTCATTAATAGAATATTTATTCATGTGTTTATATGGTTCTTAACTAGGAATACCATATAGTCTATCTCCAACCCTTTGAGAAGGAAAAAAGATCCTGACTAAACAGGACACCAGAAGGGCATGCCTAAACTAGGACTGTTCTGGGCAAATCAGAAGGCATGTTCACCTTATTCTTTTTATTCTTTCTTTTTCTTTTTTTTTTTTTTTTTTGTGACGGAGTCTCGCTCTGTCGCCCAGGCTGGAGTACAGTGACGCGATCTTGGCTCACTGCAACCTCCACCTCCCGGGTTCAAGCGATTCTCCTGCCTCAGCCTCCTGAGTAGCTGGGACTACAGGCACATGCCACCATGCCTGGCAAATTTTTTGTGTTTTTAGTAGAGACGGGGGTTTTGTCGTGTTAGCCAGGATGGTCTTGAACTCCTGACCTCATGACCTGCCCACTTCGGCCTCCCAAAGTGCTGGGATTACAGGCATGACCCACTGCACCTGGCCTCACCCTATTCCTAAGGCCAGAAAACCAGCTAGAGTAAAGTTCACTTTCTGTTTGAGTGCTTGGACTTTATTGGGAGAAGGCAAATGCCCTGGAACAAGAGTGAAAGGGAGAAATTCCCGTTGTATTGCAAGCCAGAATAAGAGAGGCTCACCCACACTGGCCTAAGGCATCTCAGTTGTTGATGAGAATGTGATTACAGATGTCTCACTTGAATACCAAAGACAATTGCAAAGGAAATTAAAAGTTATGCAAAGAGAGTCGAGAAGTCAGTTGTCTGCTCACAGGTTGGCTTTAGTGGCTATTACTTTGAGATACTAAATGAGCGATAGCTTTAAACTTCAACTGCTTTTGTTTCTGAGGAAAAAAATCATCTTATATCTTTTCATAAGTTGCATAAAAAGTGGACATTTTCTATTATTTTAAAGAGTAAATTTAGGTACAAGCATTTACTAATTTTTTTTTTTTTTTTTTTTTTTGAGATGGAGTCTCGCTTTGTTGCCCAGGCTGGAGTGCAGTGGCGCAATCTTGGCTCACTGCAAGCTCCGCCTCCCTGGTTCACGCCATGCTCCTGCCTCAGCCTCCAGAGTAGCTGGGACTACAGGCGCCCGCCACCACGCCCAGCTAATTTTTTGTATTTTTAGTAGAGACGGGGTTTCACCCTTTTAGCCAGGATGGCCTCGATCTCCTGACTTCGTGATCTGCCCGCCTCAGCCTCCCAGCATTTAGTAATTCTTAAAAGAGTTCAGCATGAATATACACAGTACGTGGGTTATTAGTACTGTGTTGTTAACACAAATGAACTATGATAGCAAATTGAATTTGGTTCAATCAGGTCAAAGAATAAAAGGATGACTTTCTTTAACCACCAGCAAAGGATAGTATAATGAACCCCATGCAACTATCACTTAACTTCAATAATTTCAAGTTTGAGTAAGTTGCAGAGTAGTAATTTGAACCCACATCTCTCTTGTTCCAAATCCCTTGCTTTTAATTACAATCCCATGTGGCTTCTTTGTCATTTGATGCTATTGAGCAACTTTATGATTTTTTTGGTGTTTTTGGTAAAATAGACATGAAAAGGCATTACTACAGGGAGTTTTTTCACTCCCTGGTAATAAGAGGGGAAAAGCACTCTCTTTTAATGATACATGTTTTGTAATAAGCATTTTTTTTTAGTTGCAGTGTTCTGCAAAGACAAAACCTGCTGATACAATTCATCCTGTTTTAGAAATCTTTGACCCATTCATCAGACTCTGACCACTCTAAAGATAAAGGATTATGGTTGTATTGGTTTTTCCGACTGAAGCGGCCTTCTGCAGATTGAGAAATTGTATAATTATTAACTGCGGTAATGGAGATGTACTTGCAAGTTTCATCTGGTATCTTAATGACCTTTAACCCTCTGAGTACACCTAAAACATATCCTAGAATTATTGAAATTAATCAGTTGTCCATAACTTTTCTGTCTGTATAATTTGGCTATCATACATATTTTGTTTCCCCCTGCCCTTGCCAGTTTCCATCCTCCTACTCACATACTCACAACTCCTATAAATTGGAGTATTTAGTAGCAGTAGCCTTTGATATAAACACTTTTTAAAAATTTACTATTTTTTGAATTAATAGGGCCACTTTCTAGTCAAGTTTTTTTTTGGGGGGGGGGTGAGGAGGGTAGGGTAACAGTTCTACACTTACAAGGGTATTTGTTTAGACCAAGCTTGTTCAACCCACAGCCT
Source organism: Homo sapiens (assembly GCF_000001405.40). Classification (NCBI taxonomy): domain Eukaryota; kingdom Metazoa; phylum Chordata; class Mammalia; order Primates; family Hominidae; genus Homo; species Homo sapiens. Next base: position 47,684,507 of record NC_000010.11, read on the forward strand.
GTGGGGCTGCATGTGGTCCAGGATGGCTTTAAATGCAACCCAACATGAGTTTGTAAACTTTCTTAAAACATTATGAGTTTTTTTTGAGATTTTTTTTGAGACAGAGTCTCGCTCTGTTGTCCAGGCTGGAGGGCAGTGGCCCGATCTTGGCTCACTGCAACTTCCACCTCCTGGGTTCAAGCGATTCTCCTGCCTCAGCCTCTGGCGTAGCTGGGATTACAGGTGTGTGCCACCACTCCAAGCTAATTTTTGTATTTTTAGTAGAGACGGGGTTTTACCATGTTGGCCAGGCTGGTCTCAAACTCCTGACCTCAAGTGATCTGCCCACCTCGGCCTCCCAAAGTGCTGGGATTATAAGCATGAGCCACCGCGCCCAGCCTGCGATTGTTTTTTTTAAGCTCATTAGCTATCATTAGTGTTAACTGTATTTTATGTGTGGCCCAAGACAATTCTCCTTCTTCCGTTGTGGCCCAGGGAAGCCAAAAGATTAGACACCCCTGATTTAGACAAATAAGTGAAGGCACACTGAAATAACAGTTATATATAATAACCTTGTGCCACCCAGCGCGGTGGCTCATGCCTCTAATCTCAGCACTTTGGGAGGCTGAGGCGGGCGGATCAGCTGAGGTTGGGAGTTCAAGACCAGCCTGACTTACATGGAGAAATCCCATCTCTACTAAAAATACAAAATTAGCTGGGCATGGTGGTGCATGCCTGTAATCTCAGCTACTTGGGAGGCTGAGGTAGGAGAATCGCTTGAACCCAGGAGGCAGAGGTTGCAGTGAGCTGAGATTGTGCCATTGCACTCCAGCCTGGGTGACAAAAGCGAGAATCTGTCTCAAAAAAAAAAAAAAAGAAAAAGAAAAAAAAACACAAAAAAACCTTGTGTTTTGTGGATCTCACATTCATCTCAGATATTTCTTGCCCTGGGAGATCCTCTGAATTCTCAGGACTGCTTCGTGTCATCCCTTTATGCTCTACTATCTTCCCCTGCCTAGAAGGCAAGTAGGGCTTTGAATCTCACCTTTGATTCTACTGTGATCCTATCAAATATAGTAATGCTAGAAATATAGGTCTGAAGTTTGGGAGAGAGATTGGCTCGGTATAGATATGTAAAGCACAGTTGTATATGTGGTAGTTATATGAATGGGATTGGATGAAATTCTCTAGAGGTGTGTGGAATGGAAAGAGGTGGCCCAAGGAGGAAGAGAGAGAGAGAGAAATTGGAGAGGTAGAACAATTTAGGAAAGAGTAATGTTCTAGAAACTAAGGAGAGAGTTTCACAACTGCAGTGGTGAAGCACTGTGAGTTCTTATTTGGCAATTTGGACTTCATTATTGTCTTATCACAGATAGGAAATGAAAGGTTGCAGAACATTTAGGAGAAAATATTAAGTGAGGACACAGAAGCAGTAAATGTCGTATATGCCTTTTAAACATTTTGGAGATTACCCATAGTAGGCCTGTCCCTTGGGTAAGGCAATTAGGGCAGCTTTCCTGGGCCCTATTTTGGGGTGGGGAATGACTCGGGGACTTTATTATATGACTTTTTTTCTGAACATTAATAAAATTCAGTTTCAAAATTTTGTGATTAACTGTAGTCCTAAGAGCCTACGAAAAATGCAGATAATGGGCAGTTCCACATTGGTTGAACTGCCCCAGGCTTCTCTCTTCTAGAGATGCTGTCCCTTCCTTTTAATCCTGTAGTAGCTCCTATCACTTTTTTTTTTTTTTTTTTTTTGAGACAGAGTCACCCAGACTGGAGTGCAGTGGTGTGATCTCAGCTCACTGCAACTTCTGCCTCCTGGGTTCAAGCGATTCTCATGCCTCAGCCTCCTGAGTAGCTGGGATTACAGGTGCGTGCCACCATACCTGGCTAATTTTCGTATTTTTATGGGATTTTACCATGTTGCCTAGGCTAGGCTTGAACTCCTGACCTCAGGTGATCCACCTGCCTCAGCCTCCCGAAGTCCTGGGATTACAGGCGTGAGCCAAGGCTCCTGGCCTCCTGTCACTTTTTATAATTGTCAGTTTGTTTTTCCTCTCAGAAATTAAGCTCCTTAAAGCTCTCTATTATTGTTTTGAATTCCCAGGGCCTAGCATAATGCCCAGCACGTAATGTTTAGTGTTTGTTACGTGAGTGATTGAAGGAATAATCCAATACATATCTGTCTTAAGTACAAAAGAATTCCAATATGGTGGTCTCACAGAGTCAAAAAAGCGGAATGTTTCAGAAAAGAGGGATTGATAAACAGTTTCAAATGGTACTAAAAGTATTGAAAACTGACCTTTGGATTTGGCTTCTAGAAGGTCATTGGCTTCCATAGTGAAAACTTTTATAACAAAATGGTTGGAGTAGAAGTGGTTGAAGATTAAAGGAGAAATGAGATGTAAGAAACAACAAACAAGTTTGTGGGGGCGGGGGGGTTGGTTTTATTTTTAAAGATTTGTAGCTGAGCATGACAGTATGTATCTGTAGTCCCAGCTATTTGGGAGGCTGTGGCTGGATGACAGCTTGAGCCCAGCAGCTTGAGGCTGCAGTGAGCCATGATTGCACCATTGCACTCCAGCCTGGGTGAGAGAGAGAGACCCTAACTCAAAAAATAAAATAAAATAAAATAAAATAAAATAAAATAAAGATTTGAAGCTAAAGGGAAGAAACCATTGGAGAAGAAAGCCAAAGATCTGATGGAGGAGAATTCATTATCATGGTAATGTTATGCATTTGATTTGCATATATCTAAGTATTCCCACCAACATTTTTTTTTTTTTTTTGAGACAGAGTCTCACTCTGTCACCCAGGCTGGAGTGCTGGAGTGCAGTGGCACGATCTTGGCTCACTGCAACCTCCTGGGTTCAAGCGATTCTCCTGCCTCAGCCTCCCTAGTAGCTGAGACTACAGGCTGGTGCCATCACGCCCTGGTGATTTTTGTGTTTTTAGTAGAGATGAAGTTTCGCCATGTTGGCCAGGCTGGTCTCGGACTCCTGATCTCAGGTGATCCTCCCGCTTCGGCCTCTCAAAGTGCTGGGATTACAGGCGTGAGCCACCACGCCTGGCCCCAACCAACATTTCAAGATAATATATTTCTCCTCCCACTTGGGTTTGACATATTAATGTATTTTGAACTTGAAGGCTTTTGCTGTGCTATTTGGGGCCCCTAGTGGTAAATCTAATAATGACATGCAATAGAACAGCTAATATACCAGTTATTCCTTATGAAGGTTATTCTTTCTATGAGGATTAAATGAGGTTGGAATATGTAGTTATAGCAATAGTAGTGATTCTTAATCATTTTTTTAAAAAGAGAGTCTCGCCAGGCACGTTGGCTCACACCTGTAATCCCAACACTTTGGGAGGCCAAGGTGGGTGGATCACTTGAGGTCAGGAGTTTGCGACCAGCCTGGCCAACATGGTGACACCCCATCTCTACTAAAAAAACTAAAATTAGCTGGGCGTGGTGGTAGACGGCTGTAATCTCAGCTACTCGGTAGGTTGAGACAGGAGAATTGCTTGAACCTGGGAGACAGGAGGTTGTAGTGAGCTGAGATCGCGTCATTGCACTCCAGACTGGGTGACAAGAGCAAAACTCTGTCTCAAAATAAATAAATAAAGGGTCTCACTTTGTTACTCAGACTGAAGTGCAGTGGTGTGATCATGGCTCACTGCAATGTCCGCCTCTCAGGCTCAAGTAATCCTCCCACCTCAGCCTCCCTAGTAGCTGGGACTATAGGTGTTCCACCACTATGTCCAGCTAATTTTAAGAAATTTTTTAGTTTTTAAATTTTTTTGTAGAGATGGTGGTCTTACTATGTTGTCCAAGCTGGCCTCAAACTCCTGGTCTCAAGTGATCCTCCCACCTCGGCCTCCCAAAGTGCTGGGATTACCGGTGTGAGCCACCATGGCTGGCCAAAAATGAGTAATTTTTTTTTTTTTGAGATGGAGTCTCGCTTTGTCGCCCAGGCTGGAGTGCAGTGGTGAGATCTTGGCTCACTGCAACCTCCTCCTCCTGGGTTCAAGCGCTTCTCTTGCCTCAGACTCCCGAGTAACTGAGACTATAGGCATGGGCCATCACAGCCGGCTAATTTTTGTATTTTTAGTAGAGATGGGGTTTTGCCATCTTGGCCTGGCTGGTCTTGAACTCCTGACCTCAAGTGATCCACCCCCTTGGCCTCCCAAAGTGCTGTGATTACAGGCGTGAACCACTGTGCTCTGCCCCAAAATGACTAATTTAAAGGTGACTGTAATATAGTTAAACAAATGCCTCTTTTCCCATTCTTTACTAACTTGTTATTTAAATGGGGCAAGTTTTTACAACATAAGAAACAGGCCAGGCGCGGTGGCTCACGCCTGTAATCCCAGCACTTTGAAAGGCAGAGGCGAGTGGATTTCTTGAGGTCAGGAGTTTGAGACCAGCCTGGCCGACATGGTGAAACCCCGTCTCTACTAAAAGTACAAAAATTAGCCGGGCATGGTGGCACAGACTGTAATCCCAGCTAATCAGGGGGCTGAAGCAGGAGAATTGGTTGAACCTGGGAGGTGGACGTTGCAGTGAGCCTAGATGGCAACACTGCAGTCCAGCCTGGGCAACAGAGCAAGACTCCATCTCAAATGAAACAAACATACTAAAAACCTATTAACTTGTTTGATGTGAGTGTGCTTAGCTTTATTTCCCTTAAAGAGAGTCTTTTTTTGAGATGGAGTCTCACTCTGTTGCCCAGGCTAGAGTGCAGTGGTGCAATCTAGGCTCACTGCAACCTCCGCCTCCTGGGTTCAAGTGATTCTTCTGCCTCAGCCTTCAAGTGGCTGGGACTACAGGCATGTGCTACCACGCCCAGCTAATTTTTTGTTTTTAGTATAGACGGCGTTTCACGCTGTTAGGCAGGATGGTCTCGATCTCCTGACCTCGTGATCCACCTGCCTCGGCCTCCCAAAGAGCTGGGATTACAGGTGTGAGCCACTGCGCCCGGCCTAAAGAGAGTCTTTAGGTGAAAAATTTTTGTGAATATTGTGATTTCTCCTTAATAATTTCTTGTGTATTTATGAATTTATATAATTAAATGGCATATCAAAAAAATCACCTATGTTAATTATGTTTTTGACTCAGTTATATTTTCTTTTGGTACATTATTAAGTTAATATCCATATGCAAAAATATGCTGACAATATATTAATTTTGGATTTTTCATTTTTATCAGAAATCATGAGTGGAGGATCTCAAGTCCACATTTTTTGGGGTGCTCCAGTTGCTCCACTGAAAATGACAGTATCAGAAGACACAGCTTCTTTAATGTCTGTTGCTGACCCCTGGAAAAAAATTCAGCTTTTATACAGTCAACATTCTTTATATCTGAAGGATGAAAAACAGCACAAAAATCTTGAAAACTATGAAGTCCCAGATTCTATTGGTTCTCCAGATCTTTGTGGTCATTTCTTAGCAAACTGTATGAATAGACATGTTCATGTGAAAGATGACTTTGTACGTTCTGTTTCTGAAACACAGAATATAGAATCCCAGAAGATTCACTCCTCTAGACTGAGTGGCATAACTAGCTCTAATATGCAAATATGTGGATTTAAAAGCACAGTTCCGCATTTAACCGAAGAAGAAAAGTATCAAAGCTTCTCAGTGAAAATAAAATTAGAGATGAACAGCCTAAACATCAGCCAGATATATGTGGTCAGAACTTTAACACAAATTTGTTTCAGTTGGGCCATAAATGTGCAGCTGTGTTGGATTTGGTTTGTAGTACTGAAAAAATTAATATAGGGCCTGAAGTGGTACAAAGAGAGTGTGTGCCAACAGAATATCATGAAATACAAAACCAGCGTTTGGGATTATTTTCCTCGAACTCAGTAGATAAGTCAAGGTCTGAAGCAGCAGTTAAGAAGGTCTCAGACCTTAAAATATCAACTGATAAAGAATTTCTCAGTATAATTACCTCCAGCCAGGTTGCTTTTTTTAGCTCAAAAGAAAGATAAAAGGCGGAGTCCTGTAAATAAAGGGAATGTAAACATGGAGACTGAACCAAAGGCAAGTTACGGGGAGATAAGAATACCTGAAGAGAATTCGATTCAGCTTGATGGTTTTACAGAAGCATATGAAAGTGGACAAAACCAAGCATATTCCCTTGAACTTTTTAGTCCTGTTTGTCCTAAAACAGAAAATAGCCGCATTCACATAAACTCTGATAAAGGTCTTGAAGAACATACAGGATCTCAAGAACTTTTCAGTTCTGAAGATGAACTGCCACCAAATGAGATACGTATTGAGTTGTGTAGCTCAGGAATACTGTGTTCCCAACTAAATACCTTCCACAAAAGTGCTATTAAAAGAAGCTGTACCTCTGAAGATAAAGTGGCCCAGTCTGAAGCTCTATCTAGAGTCCTTCAAGTAGCTAAGAAAATGAAGTTGATTTCTAATGGAGGAGATTCTGCTGTAGAAATGGATCGGAGAAATGTGTCTGAATTTAAGAGTATTAAAAAAATCATTAATAAAAAACTGTGATTCTAAAAGCCAGAAGTATAATTGTTTAGTCATGGTGCTATCTCCATGCCATGTGAAGGAAATAAACATAAAATTCGGACCAAATTCTGGCTCTAAAGTGCCTTTAGCAACAGTTACAGTAAGTGATCAATCAGAAACTAAGAAGAAGGTTTTTCTGTGGAGGACTGCAGCATTTTGGGCATTTACAGTGTTTCTTGGAGATATAATTTTACTCACGGGTGAGGTCATTATGGTATAGTGGTAGCTTATTTTATAAAGCTAAGTTTTGTTTGTTTTTGTTTTCTCCCACTTAGTCTTTGAAGACTCTTTCTTTAGTCATTTGCCTCTTCTGAGCTCAGCATAATTGATCCCTTTATTGCATCTGCATTGCTCTCCTTTCCATTGTCCACTCTCCTGCCCATTGCCACTTCTGGGCCTCTGTTCTATCCTTCTCAGCTCTGCCCCTTCTTTCCACTTATCCCCTCCTTTAATAAGCCTTCCCTAGTCAGGTGGAGTGGGTCACACTTGTAATCCCAGCACTTTGGGAGGCTGAGGCAGGAAGATTGCTTGAGGCCAGGAATTTGAGACCAGCCTTGGCAACACAGAACCCGTCTCTACAAAAAATAAATTAAGTTTTGCGTGCCTGTAGTCCCAGCTACCCAGGAGGCTGACATGAGAGGATTGCTTGAGCCCAGGAGGTTGAGGCTGCAGTGAGCTTTGATTGGGCCACTGCACTCTAGCCCAAGCAACAGAGTTAGACCTTTCTGCTTCTTTACCTAATGTCTAATAATGCTGTGCACATTGTGTTTTTACTGTGGGAACAGTTATTGATTTCTGTTGCCTTATTTTATTATCAAAATTATATTAATTACACTTGGAAATATGGAAAGGAAAAAACTGGTATTATACCAACTTCATATAACCACCAATAGAGTTCGAGAGTGTTGCCTTCCAGTTATTTTCTCTGTTCTCCTTAAAATGTGTGTGCATGTGTGTATATATCACACATAGAAGCTCATATTTATTGGGAGCTTAGTTTGTGAGACCCTGTTTTAGATTTTACATGCATATTTCATTACAACAAGTATATGAGGAAGGTACTGATTTTTATCCCCACTTTTCAGTTGAGGAAGCTGAAGCCCAGAGAAGTAAAGTAACTTGTCCAATGTCATACATCTAGGAAGTGGCAAAGCTATAGTTTCTCCTAGACTCCAGAATTTATACTCTTACTATATAGTTGTAACCATAAAGAACATTTTGTTTTTTTAATTTTTAATTTATTTATTTTTAAGAGACAGAGTCTTGCTATGTTGCCAAGTGCAGTGGGTACTCACGGGCACAATCCCATTACTGATCAGCATGAGAATTTTTGAATTGTTATTTTTAATTTTTTGTTTGTTTGTTTAATAAGGACAGGATCTCACTGCATTACCCAGTCTGATCTCCAACTCCTGGGCTCAATTGATCCTCCTGCCGCAGCCTCCCAAAGTGCTAGGATTACAGGCGTGAGCTACCGTGCCCATGGTATTTTTAACATGCCCTTGTTTCCAACCTGGACCAGTTCACCCCTCCTTAGGGAACCTGTGGTCCTCCACTCCCAGGAGGTCACTATATTGATGGCAAGCTTAGTGCAAACACCTGATCGGCTACAACTCTGAACTCCTGGGCTCAAGTGAGCCTCCTGCCTCAGTCTCCCAAGTAGCCAGGACTACAGGCACGCATGCCGCTGCACCCAGAGAGAATATTTAATTTTTTTTTTTTTTTGAGACAGTCTTGCTCTGTCACCCAGGCTGGAGCGCAGTGGCACAATCTTGACTCACTGCAACCTCCGCCTCCTGGGTGCAGGTGATTCTCCTGCCTCAGCCTCTTGAGTAGCTGAGATTACAGGTGCAAGCCACCATGCCTGGCTAATTTTTGTATTTTTAGTAGAGACGGGGTTTCACCATGTTGGCCGGGCTGGTTTCGAACTCCTGTCCTCAGGTGATCCGCCCACCTCGCCCTCCCAAAATGCTAGGATTACAAGTGTGAGCCACCGTGCCTGGCCAGAATATGTTTTCACCGAAGACATCTAACATTGTGTTACGTGTTCTTTGTTGATTTAAAATTGACACATGGTGTATTAGAGCAGGAGGAAGTTGATTAAGCTTAATAAAATATCTAAAGAAAGAATGTGATACAGAGGCGGTATTTAGAAAAAGAAAACTTCGAAGCAATATTGATAGTCCTACCAAATAGTTTACAGGAGGAATGAGAACCTTAGCTAATGTACCTTGGTGTTCCTGTAGGATTGTCAAGTACAATCTTTTTTTTTTTTTTTGAGACGGAGTCTGGCTCTGGCACCCAGGCTAGAGTGCAGTGGCGCGATGTCTGCTCACTGCAAGCTCTGCCTCCCGGGTTCACGCCATTTTCCTGCCTCAGCCTCCCGAATAGCTGGGACTACAGGCGCCTGCCACCGCGCGCGGCTAATTTTTTTGTATTTTTAGTAGAGACAGGGTTTCACTGTGTTAGCCAGGATGGTCTCGATATCCTCACCTCGTGATCCGCCCGCCTCGGCCTCCCAAAGTGCTGGGATTACAGGCGTGAGCCACCGCGCCCGGCCGAGTACAATCTTTTATAAAGAGGTAAACACAAAATTGTAATGAACAGGCTTAGCATAGCCACATCCCACTGGCAATATTAGCTAATATTATTTATATGTGATTATATTATTGGAGGTTCAATTCACCTAACTCCCTCTGTTCTGATTCAGTGCTTGCTGAATACCTCTTTGCTTGTGATTTGGCTTTCTAGTTGTAGAGCTGCCCACAGCATGAGAACAGGCTGAAATACTGTTTTTTTTTGGGCAATTATTGTAAATGAAAAAAAAATGTTTTTTTTCTTTAATTTGTTTCATTAATTGATTTAGTATGAGCTTATGTTGCAGAGCTGAAATCTAGTTTTGGAGTGTTAACAAAATTAAGTTTCCCAGACTGTAAAAGAGGGCTGGATCCTGGACCATGGTCATTTTACCGAGGCAATTAATGTCAGCAGGGACCTCTCAGGGGCCTTTTCCGTTTTCCTAGGTAGGTGTAAACTCAACTCTGCAATCTCTGTATTTTTTCCTAACATCTCTATAGTTGTTAACGACTAGGTAACATTCTCTCTGGTGGCTGTAATGCAATTTACTTAACCATTTTCCTATTATAAGACATTTAGATGATTTCTATGAACTTTTTTTAAAAAATCAGATTTTTTTTGTCTTTTTAAGAAAAAGAGGATCTAGTTCACCGAATTCTGAATAAGTTTCTTTTGTGTGGAACAGATGGAAATGTTGGGAAAAAAAAGAAATCTACACTTTTCTGTTGTCCTAATGAGTCAGTGAACTTAGTTGGATAGCTTGGGTAGTTCATACTACCTATTGATATATACCCCCAAACAGAAATCTTCCTTTTTTTTTTTTTTTTTTTTTGAGATGGAGTCTTGCTCTGTTGCCCAGGCTGGAGTGCAGTGGCGTGATCTCTGCTCACTGCAACCTCTGCCTCCTGGGTTCAAGTGATTCTCCTGCCTCGGCCTCCCAAGTAGCTGGGACTACAGGAGCCCGCCACCACGCCTGACTAATTTTTGTATTTTTAGTAGAGGCAGGGTTTCACCATATTGGCCGGGCTGGTCTCGAACTCCTGACCTTGTGATCTGCCCACCTTGGCCTCCCAAAGTTCTGGGATTACAGGCGCGAGCCACCGCGCCCGGCCCATACTGAAAAATTTGAAGTAACAGATGTATTCCAGACCTTGTTGAATACCAACACAGTAGACAGTTTGCTATTATAACTTCTAGCAATAGAATGAAGAGATGCCAAAAATAAGGATTACCTAAGGGAGACTACTGACTAGAATTAGAAGAAGATGGGAGGCTTAACATTGGGAAACCACAGTGTTTAAAGGACAAACAGAATAAGGACTAGGAGCTGGGGCATGTCAGTGAGAGGGTAGGAAGGAGCCAGGAGGCCAGGGCGGGCTACCCATCCCCTCCATGCACCACTAGTGATTACTATGTCACTAATCCAACATAGGCTTCACAGTCCTAGCTTTCAGAATGCTCTCCTTGAAATTTCTTGTCTGTTCCTTTTTTCTGAAGAACATGCATCCTGAATGTTGGATCATGAAAAGTCTTGAATGCTGTACTAGCTCTTCCTGGCTAGGCAGTGGGGAACCACTGTTTTTTAGTAAGTCACCTGAACTCATTAATGCTCTGATATATCACTCGCCTGAACTCATTAATGCTCTGATTAATGACTCATTAGCATTGTAAGAAATGGGTTGCAGGCGGGACAAGCACCTGTTGGGAGGGAAAGGAATGTGTAATGTAAAACAGTAGTAGTGGTGGGGCATGGGCACATTTAAGCAGCAGAGGGGTAGGTGGGAGCTGGTGGCAAGGAGTGGGAAGGGAGAGGCAAGATGACTTCAGATTTTAGTTTACTTGATTAGCAGCATAGCATCAACAAATGAGTTGGGCGCTATGAAAGGAAAAGCAGATTTGGACATTGCTGAGTTTGGGGAGCCAATGGAATATCCAGGTGGGAATTTCCATTAGGCAGTTGTAGATAAAAGGTTCAAAAGCTGAGGAAAGGGTCTGGAATCTAAATCTGTAAGTAATCACTTGGAATTTATACATCCTTGGTTTTCTTTCCTATTATCTCTAAATTATTTCACTATTGTTAATATACGTTTATACCTCTGACACTGTATGCTGATTAGATCCTGCCTTAGAGATAGCTCCCTTCCCCTCTTTCTCTTTACAGCTCACACGTTTTGCTCTACCTACAATTGTTTCTACCTGTTGGTATGTTTAGTTCTACCTGATTCTACTCTATCCGCCTTAGATATACAGCTCTCTCTTTCCAGTTGGAAAATGTTCCCTACCTCCAAAGTCTTTCACTTTTAACTTGTGTGGAAGATAATTATCGTGCTATTTAGGGAAAAATAATCAAGTATGTTAAGAATGCCTTATATTCAGATATATTTATAGTAGAAGGGACCAGTGCATACTGAATATTATTACTCTCCTAGGCACTACGGCTTTGGAACCACTACTTTGCCTTCTGGTCCTAAAAAAAATTATTTTTGATGTATCAGAAATATACATGATAACATTTTCCTTATGTAAATAAAAGCTATTAAACCTTTTTTATATAGAGCAGTGGACTTCCATACTGCTATCATTTGAATATAAAGAAGCAATTTTGTTAATTTACCTAGATTTAGATTTTAGATTTGCTGTTTTGTCATTTCGTGCCCTTAGGCAGGTTATTTAACCTATTTGATCTCTAGTTGCTTGGTATATGGGAGGCATGCATAATATTTTGCTGTGACTAGTAGGTTAACCACATTGTGAAGGAATTTATGGCATGATCAGAATGTTTTTTTCTCTCTCTAGATGTTGTTATTCATGAGGACCAATGGATTGGTGAGACAGTACTACAATCAACATTTAGCAGTCAGTTATTAAATCTTGGGAGTTATTCATCTATTCAGCCTGAAGAATGTAAGGCACATTTTAAATGAAGTAATGTATTAGTGTTTAAAGTATAAAAACATACTAGGAAAGATTAGAGTTAAAATGGTTCTTTTACAAAATGTTTTCTAAACAGTTGGAGAGTATTGGTTTCTTTTCATTAGTAAGAATGAAAATAGAATTTTAAGAAATGAACTTGTACATTGTAAATCACATTTATTTTAAGAAGTATTGGGTATCATGTTTCGTTTTCTTAGGCTGTCAGTATAGTGGTGGTTCTTCACCTTTTAGGGAGTCAGAGACCTCTTTGAGAATCTATAGACCATTTCTCCAGAAAACTGGACTTATGTAGATAGGCACAAAATTTTGCTTATAATTCTAAAGCATTCCGTGGACCTCTGAAGTTCTTCTGTGGAACTTCTGAGCCTCTGATTAAGAATCCTTGAGGTAATAAAAATGTATTGGTCTCGTATTCAGACAGCTGTGGTTTGAATCCTTATTCTCCTGTCTACCACTGCTAAGAAAAGCTATCTTTCTTCTTTAATGTCCAGTTTTCTCTTCTTTAAAAGAAGCTGTTTAATGAGGAAACTAGCAGCTATCTCCTCCACTAGGAAATAAAATGACATAAAAAAAAGAAAGAAAACAAAGTAAGGGAAACAGTATAAACTTGTGGTTTTGGTCACTGGACTCAGATAGACCAGGATTTGAATCCTGGCCCTCTTACTTCCAGTCTTTGTCTTTAGGCAAGTTATTTCACTTCACTATACCTTTATCTCCTTTTCTGTGAAATGGAGATAAAAATACATATATACCTTATAGGGTTGTTATGAAGATTAAGTGAGAAAATGAATATAAGATGTTGAACCTGCACATAATGTAGTAGTAACATAGTAATATTAGAGGGAGAAATAATAAGCTAGCAAAATATATTTGATAAAATGCTGAAGTATCATACAAGAAAATAGCTAGAGAAATATACTGATTATACAAGAAGATAACTGGAATAATAGGAAAGTTATAGGATGTATATGGAAGATAGAGCATGGAATTCCAATCTTTGAATTCTTAAAGAAAGGCAGAGCAAGTAGAAGGGAAGAGCAACAATTAGAATAACAAGAACTGTGTTTGGGATGGGCAAGGTTTCATTATATACTAGGGTGGCCCATCAGCAGAAAACCAACTCTGACATATTTCATAGACAACTCAAATAGAGTTCTTCATCTATCCAATATATATTTATTATGTGTTGACATTGTTTCAGGCACTGTGTTTACTGTACACTGGGGGTACAATGGTGCCTGTCCTCCTGGAGCTTATGTTCTCATGTGGAAGACAGACCAAAAAAAATGAATGAAACAGACATATAAGTAAAATATTTGCAGGTGATAATGAGTGCTATGAAGGAAACTAACAAAGGGTTAAGATACAGAATGCCATGGTTCTAGTTGAGAAGGATTGATCATGGAGTAGAATCAGGGTTAGGAAGTTGTTACAATAGCTGCAGTTGAGAGATAATGGGAGGCCAGTGGAGCTAAAGAGCCGAGATATATTTGTAAATAGAGTTAATAGGATTTTCTGATGATGTGGGTCTGGGGATCAGGGAAGAGGGACAATCTACTGCTACTGGATTACTGGTTTAAGTAACTAGGTAGCCTTTATTGTGAAAGACTGAGAGGGAACTGGTTTGTGGGGAAAAGGGCTATGTTTCAAGGCATGTTAAGTTTTAGATATCTTTGAGATATTCAAGTGGAGATGTCATATAAGAACTGGAAACAAAGTTCAGGACTCAGAAGACAGGTTTAAAATTAAGAGGCAAATTTTAGAGTTATTAGCATACAGATAATATTTCAAATTTAAAAGTTTTTAAAATAAATATTATCTGTATAATTATAGAATCACAGGGGATTGCAAAAATAATACATAAAGTCCCATGAACTCTTCTTCTAGCTTCTCCCAATGGTGATATCTTATATAACTTTAGTACAATATCAACAACAGGAAATCAACATTTGTATAATACTGTTAACTAGTAATATACTAGGATACTTTCCCTTTCAGTATCAATAAATATAGTATCAGCCTGGCACAGTGGCTTATGCCTGTAATCCCAGCACTCTGGGTGGCTGAGGCAGGAGGATTACTTGGGCCCAGGAGCTCGACACCAGCCTGGATGATATGGTGAAACCTCATCTCTACTAAAAATATGGAAAAATTAGCCAGGTGTAGTGGTGCACACCTGTAGTTACAGCTACTGGGGAGGCTTAAGTGGGAAAGAAAGTTGAGGCTGCAGTGAGCCATGATTGTACCACAGCACTTCTGCCTGGGTGACCAGAGTCAGACCTTGTCTCAAAAAAAATTTTTTTCTTAAATAAATAAATATAGCATCAATACAGCATTATAATATGATTAATACTATATCAATAAAATAGATACTTAGTCCTAATGCCAATGTCTTATTTAATAGAAAAGCACTCGAGGCATTGTCATTAAAACCAGGAAAAAGATAAGGATGTCCACTATCTCTGCAACTATTCATCTTATACTAGAATTATCAGCTAACGCACTTAGACAAGAAGAGGCATCTGGTCTGGTGCGGTGGCTCACGCCTGTAATCCCAGCACTTTGAGAGGCCAAGGTGGGCGGATCTCTTGAGGCCAGGAGTTTGGGACCAGCCTGGCCAACATAGCAAAACCCTGTCTGTACTAAAAAGATGAAAAATTAGCCAGGTGTGGTGGTGCATGCCTGTGGTCCCAGCTACTCAGGAGGCTGAGGCATGAGAATTGCCTGAACCTAGGAGGTGGAGGTTGCAGTGAGCACCTGTACACTGCACTGCAGCCTGAGGGACAGAGCGAGATTCTGTCTCCAAAAAAAAAAAAAAAAAAAAAAAGAAAGAAGAGGCATTTGAACATTTGAATGGATAAAGAAGAATGAAAATTATCTCTATTTACAAATGCTCTGATAACATACCTGAAAACTCCAGGGAATCAAAGTTAAAACAAATTTAAATAATAAGATAATTCAATGATATAACAGGATGCAAAATTAATGTTAAAAAATATCATTAGGCTGAGTGCAGTGGTTTGCGTCTGTAATTCTAGCCCTTTGGGAGATGAAAGTGGGTGGACAGCTTGAGCCCAGGAATTCAAGACCAGCCTGGGCTACAAAAAAGAAAAAGGAAAAGAAAAAGAAAAAGAAAAAAATGCTGGGTGTGGTGGCACACACCTGTGGTCCCAGCTGTTTGGGAGGCTGAGGTAAAAGGATTGCTTGAGCCCAGGCTGGGGGATGAGGTTGCAGTGAGCTGTGATTGCACCACTGTACTCCAGCCTGGGCAACAGAGCAAGGCCCTGTCTCAAAAAAAAATAATAATAATAGTAATTAGACAATATACACAAATAACAAACAGAGGGCATAATGATAGTGAAAAACTCATTTACTATAGTAATAAAGAAGATAGTTCAAAATACAGTTAACAAGAAATATGCAAAGCCTATATGAGGAAAAAATTTAAACACTCCAGAAAGAAATGAAGACATGAATAAATGGAAAGACATTTCCTGTTCTTGGATAGGATGACTCAACATTATAATGATGTCAGTTCTTCCTAAGTTAATATGTAAATTCAATGTAGTTCCAATGAAAATATATGTGTTGTGGCATATAAAAGTTGATACTAAAGCTCATATGGGAAAACAGACATGCAAGAATAGCTAGGAAAAGACTGACAAAGGAAAACTACAGAGGAGGGGAACTAGCTTTACCAGATGTTAAAACATACTATAAAGCCTCTGTAATTAAAACAGTGAAGTACTGATGCATGAATAGACAAGTAGACCAGTGGAATAGAGTAAGAAGATTAGAATTAGACCCACCTACATATAGCAATTTAATATATGACAAAGATAGTATCTGGAATCAGTGAGATAAAAGCTAACTTCTTAATAAATGGTGCTGAGACAACTGGGTAGCCATTTGGAAAAAAGGGAAAATTGGACACGTATCTCACAACAAACAGTAATAAACACCATATGGATTAATAGTCTAAATGTAAAAAATAAAATCATGCAACAACAAGAAGGAAACCTGAATGAATCCTCTGTAATCTTGGTGTAGGGAAAGGCTTTTTCTTAATATTACTCAGAATCCAGGGGCAGTAGAAGATAAACTGATACATTTTACTGTAGAAAAATAAATTTTGCATAACCAAAACACTATAAACAAAGTCAAAAGACAACTGACAAACTTGGAGAAAATATTTGTAACATACAACAAAAGGCTAATATCCCTAATATATAAAGAACTTTTAAACCTTGAGTGACAAAGTCTGGGTGTGGTTGTTCACACTGGTAATCATAGCATTTTGGAAAGCTGAGGTGGGAGAATCACTTGAGCTCAGGAGTTTGAGTCCAGCCTGGGCAACATAGTGAGACCCTGTCTCTACAAAAAGTCAAAAAATTAGCCAGGTGTGGTGGTGCATGCCTATGGTCCCAGCTACATAGGAGGCTGAGGCAGGAGGATTGTTTGAGCCCAGGAGGTCGAGGCTGCAGTGAGCTGTATTCATGCCACTGCACTCTAGCCTGGCAAAAGGGAAAATGTGAAAAAGAGATGAACAGTCAATTTTCAAAAAAAGATATAAAAATGGCTATCAAATATAACTTATTAGAGAAATTCAAATTAAAACTACATGGAGATACCATTTCTCACCTATCAGATTGGCAAAATTAAAAAAAAAAAAAGCACATTCTGTTGGCGCAACTGTGAGGTAATGTGCCCTCTTATACATTGGTGGTAGGAATGCAAATTGCTACAACCCTTTTGAAGGGATATTTGGCAATATCTAACAAAATTACATATGTACTTAGCTTTCAACCTAGCAATCCCACTTCTAGGAATCTACCCTGAAGCTACATCTCCAACAATATGAAAATACATATCACAAGGTTATTCATTGCAGTATTGTTTATAATTGCAAAATATATAGGAGAATGATTCACTAAGTTATGGTACATTCACATAGTGGAACACTATGTACTATGCAGCTGTACAAAAAGAATGAAAAAGATCTCTACGAACTGATATGGAGTGATTCCCAGGACATACTGTTATGTGAAAACATAAACCCCCCAAAACTGTATGTAGTATGCTGTCCTTCCTGTAAGAAGGATTGGAGGAATAAGAAAATACCTCTGTTTATTTGTGGAAAGAAAATGCAGGAAGGATAAACCAGAAACTAAAGAGATTGGTCACCTACAGGGGGCACGTAGGAGAGGGGTGGAAGAAAGTGGGGAATGGGAACAGGATAGCAGGGGTCAGGAGGAAGTGACACTAACAAATGAATGTATTATTGTTACAAATGAACCCAATATTGTTACAAATGAATAAAATAACTACACAGAAGGGGGTGGGGAAGAAAAGAACAAACCTAAGTAGCTGTGGAAAAGAGTATATTGACTGGATTCTATAAGGCTAATGACAGAAAGGACTGTACATAAATGCTGCAATCTAGTTAGAAATATGTTTCTCAAAGGGGAATGGCTTAGCAATAACCTTATGTACATACTAGAATGAACAAATGAGTACATAGATTGTAGATAAGGAAAGCTGGATTTCTCACTGTTGGAGAAAGAAATTATAAACAAGGGAAGGTTAAAACGAACCAGAGGTATTGTTATAAACTGAGGATTTTTAATATAGATAAATGGATACAGAAATATAGGCATGTGTATATGGGTGGGATAGTACACATACATAAACATCTCCTAGTTCTGTCCATTGAGCGAGCACAGCACAGATGCAGTTACTCCCCAGTAATAATGAGCATACCTGGTGCCCAGATCTTCGTCTGTAAACATTTTCTTTTCTTTTCTTTTTTTTTTTTTTTGAGATGGACTCTTGTTCTGTCACCCAGTCTGGAGTGCAGTGGCGTGATCTTGGCTCACTGCAACCTCTGCCTCCTGGGTTCTAGCAATTCTCCTGCTTCAGCCTCCCAAGTAGCTGGGACTACAGGTACGTGCCACCACGCCCAGATAATTTTTGTATTTTTAGTAGAGATGGGGTTTCACCATGTTGGCCAGGCTGGTCTTGAACTCCTGACCTCAAATGATCTGCCCACTTTGGCCTCCCAAAGTGCTGAGATTGCACGTGTGAGCCACCGTGCCCGGCCTCTCTTTTTTTGAGACAGGGTCTGGCTCTGTTGCCCAGGCTAGAGTACAGTGGTGCGATCTCGGCTTACTCCAACTTCCGCCTCCTGGGCTCAAGCCAGCCTCCCACTTCAGCCTTCCAAGTAGCCGGCACCATAGGTGTGCACTACCACGCCTGGCTAATTTTTGTATTTCTTGTAGAGACTGGATTTCACCATGTTGCTCTGGCTGGTCTCGGACTCCTGGGCTTCAGCAGTCCACCCATCTTGGCCTCCCAAAATGCTGGGATTACAGGTGTGAGCCATTGTGCCTGGCCAACATAGTTCTCTAATGAAAGGAACCAGCTCTGCTAAAAGTGGTTGATTACAGGACTGGGTCAGGGCAAATTCAGGATAAGCCTGGAAGTCTAGTGGTGCCAGACAAGACATGTTGAAATAATGCAAGAGCCAACCTGAAGGAACACCTACTGGCTAAAGCTGAAGCAATTTGAGTAAGAAAATAATGATAGTATTGGATTAGAACCCATAGATTAAAATCTTTACAAATCCTTACTGATATAAAGACATATTTATTTCATTAACTAACCAGAGGGGAAGAGAGAGCTCTTCCTTCCAATGGAATTCCAATTAATAAATCTGAGAGAAAAGAAAAAAAAATAGAGAATTACTGGCCATGCTCAGTGGTTCATGCCTATAATCCCAGCACTTTGGGAGGCTGAGGCAGGTGGGTGGCTTGAGCCCAGGAGTTCGAGACCAGCCTGGGCAACATGGCAAAACCCTGTCTCTACAAAAAATAGAAAAATTAACCAGGTTTGGAGGTGTGCCCCTATGGTCCCAGCTATTCGGGAGGCTGAGGTGGGAGGATTGATTGATCCCAGGAGGTTGAGGCTGCAGTGAGCCGTGATCATGCCACTGCACTTCAGCCTGGGCAACAGAGTGAGACTCTGTCTCAAGAAAAAAAAAAAAATACAAAACACAAAAATAGAGAATTACCATCAGGCAGAGATCACAATAATAAATACTGCACCGACACAAATGCACTGATAGATGCTAAAATTAGTAGGTGAAAGTCTGAGGAGAGAGAGCATTGCATAGTCTCAAAGTATCTCCCCAGGATACCAGCTTACTAGAGGGAAAATAATAAATTTATAAGAAAACTCTTCAGACACCAAGTTAACTGAGTGATTGGGGTAAATATCACCAGTAATAAGATGTATGGTATCATAAATTCTTTGATATTATCCATTGAGAAGGATCCACCATATTTTTTGTGGAATTGCCAAAAATGCATAACTTCATTCCAATCATAAAACACTGGAGAAACCCAAAGGGAAGGACGTTCTACTAAATAAATGATCAGGATTCTTCATAAGTGTCAAGGTAATGAAAAAGAAAAGACTGAGAAACTCTTATAGACTAGAGGAGACCAAAGAGAAATAACAACTAAATGTGAGGTGGGATCTTGGATGAAATCCTACATAGAAAAAGCATATTAATAGGAGAATTGGTAAAATTTAAATAACATATACATTTTAATTAACAATATTTAATTAACGTTAGTTTCCTGTTTAAGATAATTTATAATATGTGAGATGCCCACATTAGTCGACATAGTGAGGAATATAAGGGAACTCTGTACTATTTTTGCAACTTTTTTGTAAGTCTTACATTAGTTCAAAACAGAGTTTTTAAAAGAGCTGTATACGATCATCTCAATAGGTACAAAGAAAGCTTTTGATAAAATTCAACACCTGTTCATTAGGAATAGAATAAAATTTTCCTTAACTTCATAAAGAGTGTCTTTAGAAAACCCAGAACAATTATCATCCTAATTGGAAAAATATTAGAAGCATTCCTTTTAAAATTCAGGAATATGACTAGGATACTACTATTACTACTTTTCTTCAACACCATATTAGAGTTATTAACCAGTGCAATAAACATGGAAAAATAGATATGTAAAGATTGGAAAGGTAGAAATAAAACTGCCATTATTATAGATGGTTTACATACCTTTTCCCTCTGAAAACTACAAACAAATTATCAGAAATAATGTGAAAATTTAGCAAAGTAGCTGGATATAAGATTAACATACAAAAGTCAATCACATTTCTAGAGTAGAGCGACTAACAATAACAAAGGAAGCTGTCATTGACAACAATATTATTTTGTACTAATAGTAATAAATGTAACAAAGTATGTGCAAGACCTAAAAAAGGAAAAATTTTTAAATGAAGAAAAACTAACAAAGAATGAAATAAACATACTTTATTCATTAATTGGAAGATTTAACATTGTGAAGATTTCAGTTCTTTTCAAGTTGATTTGTAAATTCAGTGCATGTTCCATAAAAATCCTCGTAAGATTTCAAGGGCGCAGTGGCTCATGCCTGTAATGCCAGCACTTTGGGAGGCCAAGGTAGGAGGATCTCTTGAGGCAAAGAGTTAAAGACCAATAAGATTTTCATGTAATTTGATAAGATTATATGATATTTATGTAGAAGAGTAAGTGGTTGAAAACAGCAGGGCATTTTAAGAAGAAAAGCAGGGAAGAATAATTTACCCTATCAGCTATCAAGACTTAGTATGAACCTATAGTAACTGAGATGGTGTGGTTTTGCCCAGTTGAAGTCAGTTAAATTTTAATTTTGAGATTTCTGTAAAAGATACAAGTTTAGTCTTTTATTATGTATATTTGAAGGTGTTACATTTTGGAAAGTGTGTGTGTATGAATGATAGCTAAATGGCTTCTAAGTAAAATTCAGCATATCTTGTAGATGTTGATAGAATAGAAGGGGAAGGAATGTTTTGAAATAATGAAAATAACATGGTATGCAAATGCTTTGCAAGAGATTTGGGAAATGTAGATATCTCTGGTTTTAAGGATGATCTAGATTCAAGTAATAGTTCAGTAATTTCATAAAACTCTTATGACAAAATTCTGGATGGAGAATATTCTATGAATCCCCTAGAGAGTTTCAGGTTTTTGTAGAATGATGTGAAAAATCTTGAACTAATTAGATAATCTTTAGAAGTTACTTCACAATCTTTGTTTTTACACATACACAGGAATTTATGGTGCTTTATTTTTTACAAGTTAGTAGCTAAATAAAGTATATTCTAAAGTTTTTTATTGATGTAGGGAAATGGCTACCAGTGGACATTTTGAGAATATTGCAGTTGTTTTCCTTCTGAAAGAGTAAACCGGGTCATGACGCAGCGAGTTTCAGTCGTGACTTTTCTGGGGGCATCGCGGCGTCCCCTTTTTTTGCCTTTAAAGTAAAACGTCGCCCCGACGCACCCCCCGCGTATTTCGGGGGGCGGAGGCGGCGGGCCACGGCGCGAAGAGGGGCGGTGCTGACGCCGGCCGGTCACGTGGGCGTGTTGTGGGGGGGGAGGGGCGCCGCCGCGCGGTCGGTTCCGGGCGGTTGGGAGCGCGCGAGCTAGCGAGCGAGAGGCAGCCGCGCCCGCCGCCGCCCCTGCTCTGTATGCCGCTCTCTCCCGGCGCGGCCGCCGCCGATCACAGCAGCAGGAGCCGCCGCCGCCGCGGTTGATGTGGTTGGGCCGGGGCTGAGGAGGCCGCCAAGATGCCGCAGTCAAAGTCCCGGAAGATCGCGATCCTGGGCTACCGGTCTGTGGGGAAATCCTCATTGACGATTCAATTTGTTGAAGGCCAATTTGTGGACTCCTACGATCCAACCATAGAAAACACTTTTACAAAGTTGATCACAGTAAATGGACAAGAATATCATCTTTAACTTGTAGACACAGCCGGGCAAGATGAATATTCTATCTTTCCTCAGACATACTCCATAGATATTAATGGCTATATTCTTGTGTATTCTGTTACATCAATCAAAAGTTTTGAAGTGATTAAAGTTATCCATGGCAAATTGTTGGATATGGTGGGGAAAGTACAAATACCTATTATGTTGGTTGGAAATAAGAAAGACCTGCATATGGAAAGGGTGATCAGTTATGAAGAAGGGAAAGCTTTGGCAGAATCTTGGAATGCAGCTTTTTTGGAATCTTCTGCTAAAGAAAATCAGACTGCTGTTGATGTTTTTCGAAGGATGATTTTGGAGGCAGAAAAAATGGACGGGGGCAGCTTCACAAGGCAAGTCTTCATGCTCGGTGATGTGATTCTGCTGCAAAGCCCGAGGACACTGGGAATATATTCTAGCTGAAGAAGCAAACTGCCCGTTCTCCTTGAAGATAAACTATGCTTCTTTTTTCTTCTGTTAACCTGAAAGATATCATTTGGGTCAGAGCTCCCCTCCCTTCAGATTATGTTAACTCTGAGTCTGTCCAAATGAGTTCACTTCCATTTTCAAATTTTAAGCAATCATATTTTCAATTTATATATTGTGTTTCTTAATATTATGACCAAGAATTTTATCGGCATTAATTTTTCAGTGTAGTTTGTTGTTTAAAATAATGTAATCATCAAAATGATGCATATTGTTACACTACTATTAACTAGGCTTCAATATATCAGTGTTTATTTCATTGTGTTAAATGTATACTTGTAAATAAAATAGCTGCAAACCTCAAAAAAACAAAAAAAAACAAAAAAAAGAGTAAACCAATTTGGTTACTCATTTTACCAATTTGGTTTTGATTTTGCAAGTGGTTACAACTCATGAGAGGATTCTTATTTCTGATCAATATATTGTGTTTTTGGAAAGGACTTCTGGGAAATAATTATGATGAAGCCCTCGAGCAATTGCAACAAAACCAAAAATTGAAAAGTGGGACCTAATAATACTTTTTTAAAATTTATTTTTTAGAGACAGGATCTCACTCTGTTACCCAGGCTGGAGTGCAGTGGCCTGATCATAGCTCACTGCAGCCTCAATCTCCCAGGCTCAAGAGATTCTTCTACCTCAGCCTCCTGAATAGCTGGGACTACAGGTGCATGCCCCCATGCCCAGCTAATTTTTGTATTTTTTGTAGAGACCAGGTTTTGTCATGTTGCCCAAGCTGGCCTTGAATTCCTGAGCTCAAGCGATCCTCTTGTCTTAGCCTCCCAAAGTGCTGGAATTACATGTGTGAGCCACCACTCCCAGCCCCAGAACAACTATTATTAAAAAGTCAAAAAACGACAGATGTTGGTAGGCTGTGTAGAAAAGGAAATGCTCGTACACTGTTGGTGGGAATGTAAATTAGTTCAGCCGCTGTTGAAAACAGTTTGGGGTTTTCTCAAAGAAGTTAAAACTGAACTATGATTTGACCCAGCAATCCCATTACTAGGTATATATCCAAAAGAAAACAAATTGTTCTACCAAAAAGACATAAGCACTTGAATATTCATTGTAGCACTATTCACAGTAGCAAAGTCATGCAATCAACCTAGGTGGCCATCAGTGGAGGATTGAATAAAGAAAATGTGGTACATATACACCATGGAATTCTACACAGCCATAAAAAGGAATGAAATCAGGATGGTGCGGTGGCTCATGCCTGTAATTCCCACACTTTGACAGGCTGAGGCAGGCAGATTGCTTGAGTCCAGGAGTTTGAGACCAGCCTGGGCAAGGTGGCAAAACCCTGTCTCTACAAAAAATACAAAAAAATTAGCTAGGTGTGGTGGTGCACACCTGTGGCCCCAGCTATTTGGGAGGCTGAAGTGGGAGGATCACCTGAGCCCAGGAGGTGGAGTTTACAGTGAGCTGAGATTGTGCCACTGCATTCCAGCCTGGGCAACAGAGTGACACCTTGTCTCAAAAAAATAAATAAATAAATAAATAAATTGCAGCAACACAGATGCAGTTGGAAGCAATTATCCTAAGTGAATTGAGGGAGGAACAGGAAACCAAATAACGTGTATTCTCACTTATAAGTGGGAGCTAAACACTGGCTACTCATGGACATAGAGGTGACAACAATACACACTGGGGACTACTAGAGGGAGAGGGTTGAAAAACTACCTGTTGGGTACTGTGCTCAGTACCTGGGTGACAGGATCACTTGTACCCCAAAGTTCAGTATCACGCAGTATTCCCAGGTAACAGACCTGCACATGTACACCCGAATCTAAAGTAAAAGTTGAAAAGAAAAGACTTCTGTTCTTTCATCTTTATAGTGAGGTGTTACATGTTTTACAAACCTAGTTCTGATAATGTGACAGGAATATAAATTTATCTTGAATATTATTAAATATATAAGTCAAAGATCAACACAGTGTTTCCATGAGGTAGACTTTTTTTGGAATCTAAATAACCATGTGTTTCCATGTAAATTTTTATGAATCAGGGACAAATATATAATTTGATGTCAGAGATGTTTTTGTTCCCCAAAAGCTCTATCTTGTTCATGAAAAACGAAGCCCAGAGAAGTTATGTACAAGTTCACAGAGCTCATTATTGACAAAACCAGAATTTGAATACAACTCTTCTGATTCCAGATTTGCTGGAAATACTGTGAAAGAAGAATTCAGTCTGGTAGTATTACGTGTGGTTTTAATTTTTTCTTTGTAACTTTAGTTTGAATTTTATGTGTGTGTGAGCATCTGCATTTACTTTTAAAAACTTTTATTGTAAAAGCCTTCAAACATATACAAAAGTAGAGAATACAAAGCATAATGAACTTAAGTACCTATTAGCCAGCTTATTAAAACATGGTCAGTCTTGTTTCACCTGTTACATCCCTTTTCTTTTACTGTCTAAAGGAAGGAAAGAAGAATCACAAATCAGTTTATGAAGTCTGCTTTCTAAAAAGTACTTAAGTGTTTATTGCCAATATCTTATTTTGGTCAGCAATCAATCACGTACTCAAGCATACTTCTCTTACCTTCAGAGAAATTAAAATTTAATCAGCAAAACTCATCAGCCTGTACATTTAAAATATATGCATGTTATTGTACAGAAACTATACCTTAATAAAAAGTGAGAAAAAAAAATGAGACAGGAAAGAGAAAAACATTTAAAAGACATAGTAACTGAAGAATTAAATAACCAATCCAACACTTGAAAAATATTACAATGTAGCACATGCTTAAAAGCTCTCTGAGCTCAGGGAAAAAAGCAGCACTGTGAATCTATAGTGGTCATCATTCTATGTGGTATTGGGTAGGACAAGAAGACAGCCTTGCAGCTGGAAATTGGTGAGGACGGAGGCCTCGTGTGGAAAGAGTAAGGCACACTCAGGGAGAGAACCAGTGAGGTGGCTCTGAGCCTGTTTCAGAAGGGGCTTGAGGAAGAACGGCAGAGGCTAGGATAGTTGGGAAAGCAGGATCAAATCAGACTCCAGGGATTGGGGAACCAATTGGCTGTTACAGGGTGGTGGAGTCAAAAAAGAACAGAAATTTTGTGTTTGGTTAATTGATAGAAAATGATATTATTAACAAAGTAAAGAAGTATGGGAACAGCACAAGTTTTTTGGGGATAGTAAATAATTCCATTTCCATTGATTAAAAATATCAAGTTTATTTTTACATCTAAACTGATTCAAGACTTAGCTATTGTACATGTTTTAGAGAAAACAAAACTATATTTTATATCTAATCATACTTTACAACATAAAATACAGTTCTAAAAAATATTATTTGTCAAGAAAAATGTAATGTTGCCATCTTTTGTCTGTATGCATGTTTTTTTTCCTTAGATTCCAGTGTAGTTAGTGACGTTGTACTTCAAGACTTACTGGCATATGTGTCCTCAAAACATTCCTACCTCAGAGATCTTCCTCCGAGACAGCCTCAGAGGGTGAACAGTATAGACTTTGTAGAATTGGAGCACCTTCAACCTGATGTGTTAGTCCACGCAGTACTAAGAGTTGTTGATTTCCTATACTGACAGGTAAACATTTTGACTGCCTCCTTAATTTTAGATTATGAAAAAATTAAGATACAAGACCATCTTAGTGTACCATTTGGTTATCACTATATATGTATCATCAGCTATTAAAGTATGGTATCACGTGTGATAGAGTAATGCCAACTAAGATACTCATTTTCCTTTTCCAGAGGCAGTATACAGTTATAGAGGACAGAAGCAGAAAAAAGTTATGTTAACAGTGGAACAGGCCCAAGATCAACATTATGCGCTTGTATTATGGGGTCCTGGAGCAGCCTGGTACCCTCAACTTCAAAGGAAAAAAGGTAAATACACCAAAAAGCATTTAACCTATTTATATTTCGGTAAATGATTAATGTTTATGAGCCCAAGATGGAGAAAATCTTAAGAGACGAGACAGCATTTGAAATACAAGTGATCATGATTGAATATTCTTCTGCAAATTTCTTCTGTTAAAATTTTGTACCTCTTGTAGCAATTCATTTATCTAATAAGTCTTCATTAATTAATGGTGGTGAAATAAAGGCTTAAATTTATTCCCAGATATACTACTTTACCTTTTTAGTGAAGATCTTACCTCCTTCAAATAATGTTCTTTAAACATTTAATTCTGGAGAAGCTTCTACAATTTTTTTTTCAGCCAGAGTACTCTGATAAATAAATGCTATGATTATAAGGCAGATGTCAAGGGAGTTACCTTAACTCTTTCAAGTCACAATTAATGTTCAATAAATTACAGTTTCATATTTTTATTATAGTTGTTTTAAAAGCATGCACTGTTAGCCATCCCTAGAATGTTCAGTGTTAAAATATGACCCATGATTACATTTTTCTTTAAAGCATAAATTATTTCTGGTATATTGAATTAAATGGAATTGATGTTTCATTAAAATAGTATAGTGTCTTCCCTTTGCTCTTGTGAGATCCTTTAGTTGTAACAATCAAAGACAGTTTCATTTGTGGCTTATGAGTTATTTTTCCCTGCTAAATTAATTTAGAGATTGATTCAGTATATTATTATTTTTTACCTGAAAGAGTTAATGTCTCTCCAAACTTCTGCCTTCCAAATAGTTATTTGTAGATAGGATCTATCACATTGTCTCTCTTAATCATTAATAGCTATGACTAGGATTTGAGATAAGTCTAACTTTGGACTTTTATGTTAAGATCAAACAGGGACAGATGTTTGGTTGAGCAAGCTGACAAACATGTATCAGTGATAGACTAACTATGATCATTGACCACCATAGCCTGGCTGAGAACATGAGTCTAGTGCATGCTACACAAGAATGTAGGTCACAGGTATAGTGGAGCTGTAACAGAGCAGATTGCTCCATGTTTAATGTGAATATTCTTTTAAAATTAATAGTTTTTTGGTTAATAGAAGAGAAATTACAGTTGTCTCTAGGTGACTCTATGGTGTTTAGGTTAGTATTGAAAACGTATGAATCCAGGAATTAAGATGTTGTTGTTCTTTGTACATTCATTCATCCAGCCCCCCTTATTTGTAACCATCATTTTAAAGTTTTAACATCTACTTCAATACCTCACATCAGTCTTTTTAAGATAAAAATACCAATTTTGAAGGATTACTTAAGTAATTCTATTTTCCTGATTTTACTTTTCTTTTCAAGAGACCAACCCCATTTCCAAATTCCCAGCAAAGAGAATCTGATTGCCCAGAGTAAATTTGATTCAAAAAACTGTGATCAGGAAGACAGGGTCACGCAATACAAATATGAGAGCTTGAGCTTATTTCAGTGGATGGGAAAACAGTTAAGGGAATCATTTGTGATCTGGGTGAATACATAAAGATATTCACTACCAAAAATGTGTATGTTCATTAGCTTAGAAAGATATATGTAATGTATTATTTAGTTTAAAAAGTAGATTATAGGCCAGGTGTGGTGGCTCACTCCTGTTAACCCAGTACCTTGGGAGGCTGAGGTGGGTGGATTGCTTGAGCCCAGGAGTCCAAGTTCTCATCTTAAAAAAAAATAAAAAATAAAAAAAATTGGATTGTAAAACTTCATGTATAGAAAATATATTATGTTATCATATAATAAATATTTTTATGTTTATATAAGTTAATACACAAAAATTTTCAAGAAAACCCTTTATATATGATAGTATCTCATTTTAATAAAAATGTATCTATAAGTACATATGTGCATTTGAAAACCTGGAAATATGCATGTATAGCAAAATGCTAGCCGTAGTTATTTCTGTATAGTAGTATTATATGTGCTTTAATTTTTTTCTTTATACCTTTAGTTTGAATTTCATATGTGTGTGAGCATCTGCATTTACTTTTAAAAACTTTTATTATAAAAGCCTTCAAGCATATACAAAAGTAGAGAGAATACTAAGCATAAGGCACTTTTTTTTTTTGTTTGTTTGAGACAGAGTTTCATTCTTGTCACCCAGGCTGGAATGTAGTGGCATGATCTCTGCTCACTGCAACCTCCACCTCCTGGGTTCAAGTTATTCTCCTGCCTCAGCCTCCCAAGTAACTGGAATTACAGGCATGTGCCATCATGCCCAGCTTATTTTTGTATTTTTAGTAGAGACGAGGTTTCACCATGTTGGCCAGGCTGGTCTCGAACTCCTGATCTCAGGTGATTCACCCGCCTCAGCCTCCCAAAGTGCTGGGATTATAGGCATGAGCCAGCCACCGCACCCGGCCAGCATAATGAACTTCGGTACCTATTAGCCAGCTTATTAAAACATGGTCAGTCTTGTTTCACCTGTTACCTCCCTCATCTTTACTGTTTAAATATTTCACAATAAATGTATTTTATTTTATAATTAAAAATAAAATTAAAACCTTATGCTTTTTAAAATAAAAGAATAGTTAATGTTTGGAAAATCTAGCTAACAATGTGAGAAAAAATAGAATTAAATTTATACTTTATATTTGTGCCAATATAAATTTCAGATACATTAGAGATTCAAATACAAAAATAATGAAACAATGAATAGTAGAAGAAAATATAGGCAAAATTATTTGTAATGCAAAGGTTGGTAGGGTAAATAAAATCCAGGAACAAAAACTATTATACATAAAAACCACCATGTACAAAATTGAAAGGCAACAAAAAAAAAACAGAAAAAAAATTACATTGTCAGACAATAATGCAGTAAGCAAAAGACACATATCTATAGAGTTAAATGGGGAAAGGATATGAGTAGGCAAGTCCCCAAAGAAGAAATAAAAATGGCCAATAAATATATGGAAAAATTGTTCTTACAAGTAATTGAAAACACACAAAGTAATGATGATAGATTATTTTTCTTTTAAGAAATTGATTGAGAAGATATGGGAAAACAGCTACTGTCATCAGCTATTGGAAATGCAAACTGGCAGAACCTTTCTTGAGGATAACTGACAATTAATATGAACAAATTGGGGGTACTTTTAGCCCAATAATTTTAGCTCTAGGAACTTATCATAACTATGTATAAAGATGTAGCTGAAAATGGGTTTATCATGGTATCATGTATAATTGTGAAAAATAAAAAACAACCAGAGTCCCTCAAAATAGAGGTTTGCTGTAATAATTTTTAAGATTTTGGTGTATCTGGACAATGGCATATTATGTAATATTTAAAAGCAATGTAGAATAATACATACATATAAAACTATATTTGACTTATTAAGTCAATCCCAATAAATAAAATCCCAAACAACTGGTTGTCCGCTAAAATGTTAACTGCTTATTTAGGGTGTTGAGATTATGGCTGCTATATGTTTATTTACTTGGCTTCTCTTAGCTTACTTTTCTAATCAGGTATTTTGTAATAAGACAAGAAAGCTATTTTAGTGATTGGTTTTAAGCAGTAACTTGGAATATATGCTTTAGTTCTAGCTAGTGATGTTCTGTCTTTACAGATTTACTGAGATGTTTGATGATTTTCCACCAAAAAAAAAAAAAAATCTTTAGTGAAAGAAACTAAGGAGATGAGCAGGTGTAGTAAATTAGATTTATGGCCTGAAGTGAGAAACTAAAAAGACAGCTGATGTTATCAGAAAAATGAGTGCTAAGAAACCCTCTTTTGTTTTATTATAGTTTTGAAGTTGAATTTACTAATACAGAATATGATAATACAGATAAGTTGAATTTACTAATAGAGAATATAACAGTAACAAGGTCTGTGTTACTGTGGCTTTAAGTATTAGAATTGTGGCCGGCGCGGTGGCTCCCGCCTGTAATCCCAGCACTTTGGGAAGCCGAGGCGGGCGGATCACGAGGTCAGGAGATGGAGACCATCCTGGCTAACACAGTGAAACCCCGTCTCTACTAAAAATGCAAAAAAAATTAGCCGGGCGTGGTGGCAGGCGCCTGTAGTCCCAGCTACTCCGGAGGCTGAGGCAGGAGAATGGCTTGAACCCGGGACGTGGAGCTTGCAGTGAGCCGAGATTGCGCCACTGTGCTCCAGCCTGGGCAACAGAGCGAGACTCCGTCTCAAAAAAAAAAAAAAATTGTTACTGAGAGTTAAAAATAAGTACTATTGTGTCTAAATGCTTTTTGTTCTAGAAAAGTTAACTAAGATAACTAAAGTATTGAAATATGAGTGAAATATTAGACTTGGGTTCATTTCAGTGTCCTTTCTTTAACAAAACAAAACAAAACTTTGCCTATAGATAGATACATGAGAATTTTCTTTACAGAAAGCAGTTGGTTATTATAAATGATGACCGTTCAGGAGGGCAAGGAATCTTTAGAAAATATTTTATTAAAATTATCTCTGGTGGCCCGGCGCGGAGGCTTATGCCTGTAATCCCAGCACTGTGGGAGGCCGAGGTGGGCGGATCATGAGGTCAGGAGTTCAAGACCAGCCTGACCAACATGGCGAAACCCTGTCTCTACTAAAAATACAAAAATTAGCCGGGAGTGGTGGCACGCACCTGTAATCCCAGCTACTCAGGAGGCCGAGGCAGGAGAATCACTTGAACCTGGGAGGTGGAGGTTTCAGTGAGCCGAGATCACACCACTGCTCTCCAGCCTGGGCAACAGAGCGAGACTCTGTCTTGGAAAAAAAAAATAATAATAATAATCTCTAGCATGCTTCTGTTGTCTTAATGCACCATTCATATTTTGTCTCTGTTTACCCAAATTCTTTAGTGATAAAAGATTAGTATTCAACTGACTTAATCAGATCAATCTATTTAATCTGATACTAAGCCTAGATTTTTTTTCCTTTTTGGTGACTTTTGTTTTTACTGTTTTTGTTTAAGGTTATATTTGGGAATTTAAATATCTTTTTGTTCAGCGCAATTACACACTAGAAAACCTAGAATTGCATACAACGCCTTGGTCATCCTGTGAGTGCTTGTTTGATGATGATATAAGGGCAATTACATTTAAAGCAAAATTTCAAAAAAGTGCACCCTCCTTTGTGAAGATATCAGACTTAGCAACCCACCTAGAGGATAAGTGTTCAGGTAAGATTTTTATATACATAAATTCTGCTATTTTTATTTCTTTTGAAACAGAGTCTTGCTCTGTTGCTCAGGCTGGAATACAGTGGTGTGAACACAGCTCACTGCAGTCTCCACCTCTCAGGTTTAAGTGATTCTCCCCGCTCAGCCTTTCGCGTAGCTGAGGAGGGAAGGGAAGGCTAGTGCATACCATCAGTGCATGCCACCACACCCAGCTATTTATTTATTTATTATTTTGGCAGAGACAGAGTCTCCCTATGTTGCCCAGTCTGGTCTCAAACTCCTGGACTCAAGTGATCCTCTTGCCTTGGACTCCCAAAGTGCTGGAATTACAGGCATGAGCCACCACACCCAGCCCACTGCTAGTTTTAATATAAGCAAAAAGGCTACCACTTGTGGTAAAAATGTATAAGTCTATATAAAAGTGAAATATAAATCTTTGCAAATATCTGAACTAGATTCCAGTAGTTTTAGGAACTATGTGCTAGGAACCAGGGACAAAGAGCAAATACCTATTTTTTATTATATGACAAGTGGGAGCAGAAATTCAGATCCTTACTTTATCTTGGCCAAATGCCAGATTAAAATGTTACTAGTTGGGTTAATTCACATATATGTGTAAATATGTTTTCCAATATATGATTGAAGGGTTAGCATTGTTATATCATAAAACTATGCTAAGGAGAATACAGGCAGAAAACAAAGACAATACCTCTCAAAAAACCCAACTTTTAATTGAATACAGAGATTTCATTCTCAGAGAAGAACTCCTTATTCTTAGTTCTACACTGAAACATTTACTAATACCAGCAGATAGTTTAAATTAATAATATTTCTGGAAGGTAAACACAGATGATAGAAAATTTATAAGCTTTTATACTATAAAAATTTCATACTATTTTCAAAAATGGAAGTTGCCTATGGTCATAAAAGACTCTAGATTTATACTAACTGGTAAAATCTTGGTAATGTTATAGCATCATGTAAGTTCCTAAGCCAGTTTTATATTTATGTGCCCCTCCCGTGCTCTGCTTCTCCAACTTCACAGACATATAGAGGTGGTCACCACAGGAAGGAATGCCAGACACAGTTGAGGGGCTACCTTACTTTGCAGAGACGTTTAGTTTGGTGCCATGGAGAAGTCAACTCTGTTATTTACTGCTTACACAAAACAGTTATCTGCTGGGATTGAAGTCTAGAATTAGGTTTAAAAATAAAAATAAATAACATCATGGACAACAACAAAATAGGAGGCCACCACGCTGATGATGAAAGATTCTCAGGCTATAGCCCCACTTGTTTGAGGACGCAGCCAGGAATTGTGCATGTTCTTGGAAGTCCTGGAGGTGTGCTCCTCATTAGCAAGCCATGCCAAAACTGTGCCATTAAAATCAGTCCTTCAGAGGCTTTGTTCACAGAGGCCTGTTTAGCCTTTTTCATTCTCTTTATGTTCAGCTATGAGGGCTGAATTCATAGTTTCTGTCATAGTGTATGTGTTTTTAAGACAAAAATGGAGAGAGAATATGAAAACACAAGCAACTTTTCCCTAACCTATTTTATAGTTAAATAAAAGGAGAAAGAGAGATCAGCATGGGAGCATTTCCTAGAAGGGTCTGCTTGCTCAACAAAAGCCAGAGGGGGATGAGGCTAGGCCTGAGTCCTTGTAAAGAAATGAAGACGCTTACCCAGTACCTCATCTTACCGCCAGCAGAATTTCAGTGCTCAGCGGAGTGACCCCCTTGAAAGCAAAGTCCACATTCAGCGTGACCTTTTAATTCTTTTCAAGAGTTGTGTAAATTTACAAAATGATAGGATTATGTGAACATTCTTTTAAAATTATTGAATTATTACGAATTTTTTAGGCTGGGCAGGGTGGCTCATGCCTATAATTCCAGCACTTTGGGAGGCCGAGGTGGGTGGATCATTTGAGGTCAGGAGTTTGAGACCAGCCTGGCCAACGTGGTGAAACCCTGCCTCTACTAAAAATACAAAAATTAGCCAGGCATGATGTCGGGTGCCTGTAGTCCCAGCTACTTGGGAGGCTGAGGCAGGAAAATTGCTTGAACGCAGGAGGCAGAGGTTGCAGTGAGCCGAGATTGCACCACTGCAGTGCAGACTGGGTGACAGAGCAATACTCTGTCTCAAAAAAAAAAAAAAAAAAAAAAAGACTTTTTGAGTGGAGGGAGGAGAGCAAGGGTTGAAAAACTAACTGTTGGGTACTCTGCCTACTACAGGAGACTACTTGGGTGATGATATGCCCATGTAACAAACCTGCACATCTACCCTCTGAATCTAAAATAAAAATCGAAATTTTTTTTTTTACATATTTTTTTAGGCCAGACACATTGGCTCAAGCCTGTAATCCCAGCATTCTGGGAGGCCAAGAAGAGTGGATCACTTGAGCCCAGGAGTTGGAGACCAGCCTGGTCAACATGGCAAATCCCCATCTCCACAAAAAAATACAAAAATTAGCCAGGTGTGGTGGTGTGTGCCTGTAGTCCCAGCTACTCAGGAAGCTGAGGTGGGAGGATCACTTGTGCCCAGGGAGGTTGAGACTGCAGTGAGTCAAGATTGCACCACTGCACTCTAGCCTGGACGACAGAGTGAGACTGTCTCAAAACAACAAAAAATAATAATTTTGTAGTGATTTAACATGTCTTTGGAAAGATGTGGTATTGAATCTTCTACAGTTTGTTACATATTCGATCGCTACGCACTCCTGCTAACTCATGTAGGGATATGTGACACAATTGGAAGAGATGATGAAACCGTCTTTGGGCATTGAAAGACTAAAGCAAATGAAGTTAAGAACAGAAGACTCATCATTAACTGGACTCTGAAAGAGATAACCAGAAAACAGTAGGAGACTAGAGTGATTAGTTCTTGACCTGGAGTGTTCTTACTTCTAAGTGGATGAAGAAGAACAAATTTGAAGGCTTAAGGCTTAAAGAAGCCTTTAAATTGACTATGGAGAAAGGGAGAATAATGCTCAAGAAAACTCATAGACCTCACCAGTACACAGTAAGACAAAAGTAAATTAGGAAAAAATAATGTCTGGGAGATAGTAGACTTTCAGTATTTGTTTACTGGTGAATGGATGAGCCAT
Source organism: Homo sapiens (assembly GCF_000001405.40). Classification (NCBI taxonomy): domain Eukaryota; kingdom Metazoa; phylum Chordata; class Mammalia; order Primates; family Hominidae; genus Homo; species Homo sapiens. The sequence goes on from NC_000010.11 coordinate 47,718,961, forward strand.
TAGCAGTGAATTATGAATATGCTTGAGGTTTCTTGTGAGTCACCTGAGAAACGATTAATAAATGAGAACTTTTTATAACCCACAGCCAGAGTATATAGATGATAATGGTGAGCGGAAAGTTGGAAAAAAGTTTAAAAGAGAACAGGCTATTGATATTTTTACGTAGAGAGAAGAAGAAAAGTTCACCTCCTATTTGGCTTTTTTTTTTTTTTTTTTTGAGACGGAGTCTCGCTCTTTCGCCCAGGCCGGTGTGCAGTGGTGTGATCTTGGCTCACTATAAGCTCTGCCTCCTGGGTTCAAGCCATTCTCCTGCCTCAGCCTCCCGAGTAGCTGGGACTACAGGCGCCAGCCACCGCGCCCGGCTAATTTTTTGTATTTTTAGTAGAGACAGGGTTTCACCATGTTAGCCAGGATGGTCTCGATCTCCTGACCTCGTGATCTGCCCGCGTCGGCCTCCCAAAGTGCTGGGATTACAGGTGTGAGCCACTGTGCCCGGCCCCTATCTGGCTTTTCACCATGATCAGTTTAAAAGAAGACAGGGCAAGGAGAGAGGGCATGTTAGCTAGTTTCAAGTATTCGAAGGGATTTCTTCTAAAGGAGGTATTGAACTTATTTTGCCTGATTCCAGAGGATGGGGAAGGAAGGAAACATCACATGTTCAGCCAAATTAGCCAAGTAAACCTGCTCTCAGTTGCAGCCAGACCTCCCTGCCCTTAGATTCTAGGAAAATAGTAAAGAAGACGAAGAACAAGACCTCAGTGTATCCTTTTACTACAAGTGACTGTAAATCAACTATAAAATTAGCCATGTTTGTAAATTAAAGTTATAATTTTGGCCCAATAATTTATAACATATCTGTTTGTTGTTTGTAGGAGTGGTTCTAATTAAAGCCCAGATTTCAGAGCTGGCATTTCCTCTTACAGCAGCTCAGAAGATATCTCTAAATGCTCACAGTTCTCTGAAGAGTATTTTTTCTTCTCTTCCCAACATCATATATACTGGCTGTGCAAAATGTGGATTGGAACTAGAAACAGATGAGAACAGGATCTACAAACAATGTTTTAGCTGCTTGCCATTTACTATGAAGAAAATATATTATAGGTAAGGCAACTAAGCAAGCCAATTTGATGGAAAATAATTATTATAGATCTGGAAAAACTAGTCTGTAAACTCTTACTTTCTAAAAAGAATTAACTAGAGCTAGTCGAAGAGAATAAAATTTTCCCTGAGTGATAGATAGCTATTTATGGTAGCAAAAATTACCCAGGAATCGTTATAGGAATTTCTTAAAGATAGGAATTTCTTAAAGCAGTAATTGGGAGATTTTATTGTCTTCAAACAGCTGTACCAAAGAAACATTTTCCTTGGTTTACTTTTTAACCAAAATCTAAATGCTCATAAATAACTCATTTTCCCACCTTAACATATAATTAGAATTTAAAGGCTAAAAGTATCATATGATGTCACCTCTGAGTTGTTGTGGAAGCTAGTAAGACATTTAAGCTGTTTTCCCACCTTTACCTTAGAAATTAAAGCCAGCAAATAAATGTTGTATGGTAAAACTGCTAATCAGCTCAGTGAAAAACACATTGTTTTTTGAATAATAGGTAGTCAAAAGCTCAGACATTTTTCTCTTTACCTTATAAATTACATGTGTTTACAAAATAGCACTCAGTGTTTTATGCTCCTTATGATTATTTCTAAATATTGCGGTATCTAAAAACTAAATTCAGATATATTCCACATGTTATCATGGCATACTTCAAGAAAAGTTATAGAAGCTTAATTTGTAAACCTTATTTCTCTTTACAGATATTATGTTTGTTATAAATAAGTGAATGAATTTTGCTATTACTGTGAAAGTTGCTTTTGTGGAAAAGAAGATTGAATTAAGATGTATGGTAGGCTGGGTGTGGTGGCTCATGCCTGTAATCCCAGCACTTTGGGAGGCCGTGGTGGGGGGATCGCTTGAGCCCAGGGGTTCAAGACCAGCCTGGGAAACATAGGGAAACCCCATCTCTACCAAAAAAAAAAAAAAAAGCTGGGCATGGTGACATAGGCCTGTAGTCCCAGCTACTTGGGAGGCTGAGGCAGGAGGATTGTTTGAGCCCAGGAGATCAATTGTTACAGTGAGCTATGTTTGCACCACTGCACTCTAGCTTGTGCAACAGAGTGAGACCCTGTCTCAAAATCAAAACAAAAAATGCATGGTATGTAACAAACAACATTGATTTATTAATAGTTAAGGCCCCTCAAAAGTATGTATAGGTGACTTATTTATATCATTCCAAATGTTTCTATTCAATATAAGCATTTATTGGACAAAAATACTGCTCAATACTATTCCTTATGGGGAGGAGGGCCTTTGAATCTTTAGTTTACAAAATGACTGTTCAAGAGAAGGACTTCACAGATCAGTATCACCTGATTATGGCATAACTAGTATGAGGTATTTAAGATCTCTTCCTAAACTATACCACATTAAAGATGTAGTGCTAGTTTGTTGTCTTACTAGAATGTTGAATGGTCATGTTAAGGCAAGAATTATTATTTTTTATTTATTTAAAAGCCTTTTTTTTTTATTTTTTGAGACAGAGTTTCGCTCTTGTTGCCCAGGCTGGAGTGCACTGGTGCGATCTCAGCTCATCGCAACCTCTGCCTCCCAGGTTCAAGTGATTCTTCTGTCTCAGCCTCCCAAGTAGCTGGGATTACAGGCATGTGCCACCACGCCTGGCTAATTTTGTATTTTTATAGAGACAGGGTTTCTCCATGTTGGTCAGGCTGGTCTCGAACTCCTGACCTCAGGTGATCCACCCGTCTCAGCCTCCCAAAGTGCTGGAATTACAGGTGTGAGCCACCAAGCCCAGCCTAAAAGCCTTTAAATTATTAGAGTCCAGATTATGTGGTTTCCTTGGAAAGAAAATATTGAAATTAACAAACTCCCTTCAAGTTATCAAGTATGTGACTCCAAAATCATCTATATAAATCAATCAGCAAACTGAATAAGAGAAAACTCTCATTGATTATTTTTCTAAGACTCAGTCAAATATTTATTAGGAATCCACGTATGTTCACATATCACATGTGTACTGTGGATGTTATACTAGTTGATCTAAGTAGACTTATTGTGCCCAAGAAGCTTGGTAGTCCATTTAAGAAACACTTAATGAACATTTGTGTGGCACAACAGTCCCAAACTATGAGTGGGTTGATCATATTTTACATTGGTTGTAACTTGGAGCTGATTTTCCAATGGAAGCAACATTAGATATTGCAATGGAGTCTCATACGAGGCCACAGACATTTATTAAATTAACATGTAGATAGCATAGTTCCTGCTCTTCAAGCTATCATAAAACTCAAATACCATTTTTAACAATGTTTCTACAGAATATTCAGATTTACATTTTTGGAATACAAGAAATACATTTATTTTTCTGTACTGGAAGCAAAAAACCCCAGCAGGTCAAACCACAATTAAGGCTCCTATTTAGGCAGCACTAGGAAATGTTTGGGTCTCTCAAGAGGTTGTAATCAAGGTGTAGGCTGGGGCTGCAGTCATCTGAAGGCTTGACTGGGGCTGGAGGATTCATTTCCAAAGTGGCTCATTCATATGGCTGACAAGTTGAGTTCCTCTTCACTTGGGTGTCTCCACGGGCTGCCTGAATGTTCTCACAAAGTGGCAGCTCATTTCCTCAGAGCAGGAAAGGCAAGAAAGAGAGTTCCAGGTGGAAGCCAGCCTTTTTGTGACCTAGACTCAGAAGTCATGTGGCATCACTTCTATCAAATTCTGTTCATCAGAAGTGAGTTTAGCTGTGCGTTGGAGAGTGGATTAGAATGAAGCTAGTGCAGAGAAGCGGTAAGAGGCTGTTGCCTTATTTTGGAGGGGAGATGATGGTGGCTTGACTAGAGAGGAAGCGGTAGGAATAAAAAGAAGTGGACAGATTTGAGAATGGTCGGAAAATAGTTTGCAAGATGTAGTGATTGGTAGGTAAAGAGAGAGCACAGGTACATTGCAAATCATTGACAGTTGGGTGAACAATAAGATTATTTATTAAAACAAGTAACCTTGGGAGAAATCTTGATCATATTGAGCTTGAGTTCCTGAGAGGTAACAAGTTGGAAAGTGGTTAGATGTAAAGAAATGCAATTTGCAAGAGAAGTCTGGGCTAGGCTTATAAGGTTATCTGTGGTGATTGAACTTTTCCTTGGTTTCTGCACCCTGTTTTGTTTTTCCTTCTTAATCTTCAGTGATTACCTCTCATAATGGATTATTCTTACTAGCCTATAAAGACAGTCCCATATTTCTCTTATTAAAAAACAAACAAAATCATCCATTAACATTACATCTCCCTCTTATCCCTTCGTTTTTCTATTCTGTTTTATACCCAGCCAAACTTTGTTAAAGAGTTGTAAATATACTCTCTCTCCCCTATTATGTCTTCAGTTTCACTTCAGTTATTCCATTCTACTCCTACCATGCTGCAGAAGCTGCTTTTGTCAAAGTTACACTTTTGATGTTGCCTGAGGCATGGATACTTCTTTCCTCGCTCTAACTGCTCTCAGTTATATTCAGCATGTCAGTCCACTTCCTCCTTCTTGAAACAGCCTCCTCCTTGCTTTCTAACCTGTCTCTCAGGCCCTTCTTTCTCAGCCTTTTCTACCCCCTCTTTAAATGCTGGGGTTAATCTTGAGCTCTCGTCTGTGTCCTTCCTCTTATTCTTTCTGTACATTCTGCCTGGATGATCACAGCTGTTTTCGTATTTGTACTTAACATCTTCACCCTGATTTTCTCCTCCAGGCTCCAGTAGTCAGGTATCAAATTCTTTGCTTGATGTCCATCTCACATTTAAACATACCCACAATAGACTCTTGTTTTTCCTAAAACCACACTCAAATCTAGTTCTCTTCGTTTTTATACTTTCTGGAAAATGGCACACCATCTACCCAATTATTTAGGCTGGAAACCTGGGCACAATCGTTGCATCATTTTCTCTTCCCTACCTCCCCTATCTAATCTATTAGCAAGTCCTAGGAATTTTCATTCAGAACTATATCACAAATTCATCCACTTTTTTCCATCTCCACTGCTAACATCTTAGTCCAGTGTATCTCAGCAGGGGCATTGTTGACATTTTTCTCAGGACAGTTTCTCATTATGTACCATATCCCACATGCTGCGGGGCATGTGGCATCCCTGTTTACCTTCCCCTAGCTGAACCTCAATTACTGTGAAACCAAAATGGAAAGTCAGTGCCTGCTGGTCTGGAATCACTCAGGCCTCATCTGAGTCCCTACTACCTATTGCGCAAACCAGCACACCAGCAGTCTCTTGGTGGGGCTCCTCCTGGCCTTGCCTCCTCCCCTTTATTCTCCACCCGTTGGCAGTGTGATTACCCTTTGCTTCACCCATCAGTCATCTCCTTGTGCTTGTTTCCTCTGCAGTCTCATCTGCTGCCACTCCCCTGTCGTCCAGCACTCTAGCCACGTGGCCTTCTTTCAGTTCTTCAGACATTTTGATTTTTCTCCTTAGGATGTTCTCGAATGTCTTCCCTCTGTCTGACTCCACAAGGCTGGTTTCTTCATGTCTTAGATTAAATGCTGCTCTATCAGAGAGGCCTTTCCTAACCACCCTTCTTTATTTTCTGTTATAGTAGCCTGGGTGTGCTTACTGTAATTTGTATTTGCATACTGTCTTTTCTAAAAAACATTTTTACTGAAGTTAAAATTCATATACCATCAAATTAATCTTCTGAAATGTACAATTCAATGGCTGTAGTATATTCCAAGGGCTGTGTAGCTATCACCACAACCAGTTAGGACATTTTCATTACCCAGCCCTTTACAAAGCCTCATACTCATTAGCAGTCACTCTCCATTCCCCATGCCCCTCAACCCATGGCAACTACGAATCTGCTTTCTGTCTCTATAGATTTGTCTGTTCTAGATATTTTATATAAATATTATATAATATGTGATCTTTTGTGACTGGCTTCACTTAGCATGATGTTTTCAAGGTCCATCCATGTTGTAGCATGTATCACTACTTCATTCCTTTTTATTGCAAAATAATATTTTATTGTATGCACATACCACATTTTATTTATCCATTCATCAGTTGATGGACAATTGGGTTGTTTCTACTCTTTGGCTATTATGAATGATGCTGCTGTGAACATTTGTGTACAAGTTTTTGTGTGGATATGTGTGTTCATTTCTCTTGGGTATATATCTAGGAGTGGTGGAATTGCTGGGTCATATGGTAACTGTCTGTTTAACCTTTTGAGGAACTACCAGGCTGTTTTCCAAAATTGCTGCACAATTTTACATTCTCATCAGCAATATGAGGGTTGTAATTTCCCCATATTCTTGCCAGTACTTCTTATTCCGTTTTTCTTTTTGTTGCATGTGCTTTCGGGTCATATCTAAGAAAGGTGTCATTTCTAAGCCAAGGTTATGGAGATTTGCTCCCGTATTTTCTTCTAAGAGTTTAGTAGTTTTACCTCCTACATTTAGGTTTATTATCTACTTTGAGTTAAGTTTTGTATATGGGATAAGGAAGGGGTATAATTTTATTTTTTGGCATGTGGATATCTAGTTGTCCCAGCATGAATTTTTGAAAAGACTGTTCCATCCCTGTTTAGTCATCTTGGCACCACTGTTGAAAAGCTTATTTTCTTTCTTCTTCTTTTTGTAGAGATGAGGTCTCGTTGTGTTGCCCAGGCTGGTCTCAAACTCCTGGCCTCAAGCAGTCCTCCTCACCTTGGCATCCCAAAGCGCTGGGATTACAGGCATGAGCCACCGCGCATGCCCAATTTCTTCCTATCCCTCTACAGTTTTACGTTCCTTGAGTGACGGAACCAGATTTGTCTTTTTCACTAGTGGGTACCCAGCACTTACCACAGTCCATGATAGATACTCAGTTTGTATTTGTTGAAATAAATAATGGAGGGAGAGAGAGGCTGAGGAAAGAGTGTAGAGTGAAAAGAGGAAGGAACATAGAGTCATCGTGTGAATAAAGGGGGAAGTGGGTTTTTAGGGGGAAAATCAGTAGTTATGTTTTAGCTCTGTTACATTAAATTCCCCCGCTAATGAGCCTGTTTCTGAATTCTGTTCTCAATTTATTTTTTAAAAATCAATGTAGTTATAAAATAGGTACCACATGCCATGGTTAAAATGCACACTACATAGGAGGTTATAAAACAAAGAGTGAAAGTCTCCTTCACCATCCAACCCTCTCCCACCAGTGCTGCTTCCATGCTGGTGAGAAGGTTTTTTGTATGTCCTTCCAGTGATTTATTATGTTCATCCCAGCACATGTGTATCCCTTTCTTTAGAAGCATGTGGACAGAAGAATATTGTTCATATTGTTGTTCCCTAGAGTCTATCCTGGTGCTCCTTCCCTAATAGCACTTGCAAATGTTCTTCATTCTTTTTATCAGCTACATAGCATTAAGATGTAGGATGCACTGAAAATTGTTAATCCAGTTTTATTGATATGCAAAACAGTTTATTTCTGATAGGAAAGAATTCAGTTGAAAAAAGTAACTTGAAATTGTGATTGTGAAATATGTGATTATTATTTTTATTTTCATTTCTAAAAATAATTTATAAAACAGTTTAATATATTTTTATATTAGTATCTGAAATTTAAAAATGGATATAGAATAAATAAAATGTAGTAATTTATCATTTGAAGCTCTTGGGGAAAAAAAAACCTTTTTTTCCTTCTAGGATGTCACAGAACATCCTAGAGTTGTTTTAAGCATTAAAATTAATCCTGCATAAAAACCAAGTGCTTTTTGGAATTATTTTTCATTTAAGCATTTCTTTTATTTGAAAATCTTTTTGAAGGTCGTGTGTTGTTTACTCTTCTGTAGGCCAGCGTTAATGACTGCCGTTGATGGAAGACATAATGTTTACATCCATGTAGAATCAAAGCTGATAGAGAAGATTCTTCTCAACATTTCTGCAGACTGCCTCAACAGAGTGATAGGTAATATATCAGTGTGCCATCAAGAAGTTGTTTTATTCAGGAGTATAAATGGTATATCAGAACAGAAAGAGCACTGTACTTTAAATTAAGAGCTTTTCTGTCCATATGAAAACAGAAGGATAATTTAGCTTAAGTGAAATATAAGCCTATGTAAGTTAGAAGGTTGACTTGCTTTACACCTGTTAGTACATGAACAGCGGGAGGCACCTAATTTCTTCTTAACCTACATTTCCTGTTGGTAAGCAAAAACTATTTTACTTAACTCTAGTTTTATAAGAATGAAGTCAATGAGTGTATGACATAATATATATGAAGATAGTCCAGTGTCAGTGGAATGGATTTGCAAGATCTTCAACCATGATGTCTTAGTTGTCAGTGGCTAAGAATAAAGCAAAGATAATATATTTGTCAGGTATTCAAACTCCATTCCTGTTCTCATTAGCCTCAGATCCTCTAAGCTGATGAGCTAATCTGGTTCTGTGATTGCTTTATCTTTCAATAGTAGATTGTTTTTTGTGTTTTTTTTTAGTTGGGGGTGTCTAGTAATTTTGAGTTGAATGCTGAACGTTGCATATATTAAGTAGAACAGTACAAACTGAGGTAAATAGTAGTTGTACCTGGAAACAGGCATGCCTCTTCTGGTCCTTTACTGGAGGTGAGGGGTGAGCAGGATGGTCAGCCTTGTCATAAGTTGAGTTGGATTCAGGTTTTGTTGTTTCTCTGGTTACCTTCAGGTCACCACTGGTTTCAAATTATCTTGTGCTTATGGTGGGAAGTGGTTCCCCAGTATTCCTGCTCCACCATCAGCATAGCCCTCCACTCTGCACCTGGGCCTCAGAGAAAGTTTCTTTCCATATTCTTGCACCTCCCCAAGTTGCACAAGCTTTTGTTGGTTGTTATTTGGTGCATCCTAACCTGGTGGGTGGGAGCAGGGTTGTTCCTCTTTGATTCTGGTCCAGCCCCAGTCTTATACGGATGTTGCACATGGCGCTTTCTTGGTAGCCCTGTCCCTTATGTGGCATGGCAGCTGAGCTCTGTCTTGTGCCTTTAGTGGGTCTTGTGTGGTCCTGGCCCTGCCCCAGCAGTAGGGGACCACTAATGGTCTTGACCCAGGGTGGTTTTTCAGTCCTCCCCCAGGATGGAGGTTTTTTTTTTTCTTTTTTCTTTCCCCCATCTGTACTGGTTCCTCACCTGTACCCTGGGGCAACAGGATTTGGTGTCCCTCCTCCAGCAATTGAAGGCTTTTGTTCCTTAAAGGGGAGGCCAGATGGTGCTTTGTGTTTTGTAGTTGGAAGCTTTCTCTGATGTCTTGCCCTGCCCCCAGTCTTATGAGCACCTGGTGGAGGTGAGACGTACTATGTGGAAGAGCCTATGAGGATGCAGATGTTCCTTATGTTGCTGACACTGGCAGTTCATTGGCTTTTTGCAATTAATTTATTAATAAAAATTAATCACATTCTTCTTTCCTGCCTGTATGGAGGACCTGTCTTCTTCCCAAGGCCTGCCCCAAGGGAACCTGTGCTCCTGTTCCATCTCCCTGGAGGCACCTGTCTCCTTATGTTTCAGTCTTTTTGGCTGTTTTACAACCTTGGTTCTCATGTGTATTCAAGAAAATGATGATTTTATATTTATTCAGTTTTTTCCAGTAACTGTTAGGGTAGGAGCCACTTTTTCCAGCTTTCTACATCTTAATTAGAAGCCTCTCTCCGTTTTTTCCCCCATTTTCTTTATTTCATTTTTATTCTTTTGGCTATTTTCATTCCTTTTCTTAATGTTACTTATATATTTTCAGTGTTATCTCTTCTTTTTTTTTTTGAGATGGAGTTTTGCTCTTGTTGCCTAGACTGGAGTGCTGTGGCGCGATCTCAGTTCACCATAACCTCTGCCTCCTGGATTCAAGCAAGTCTCCTGCCTCAGTTTCCCAAGTAGCTGGGATTACAGGCATGTGCCACCATGCCCGGCTAATTTTGTATTTTTAGTAGATATGGGGTTTCTCTATGTTAGTCAGGCTGGTCTTGAACTCCCAACCTCAGGTGATCTGCCTGCCTCGGTCTCCCAAAGTGCTGGGATTACAGGCGTGAGCTGCCGTGTCCGGCCTATCTCTTCTTTTTTGCATAATGTAAATTAGTCTTTATCTCTTAGAGAAGCATAATTCTCATATCACATATACTTCAGTGTTTTGTCCATTCTTGAGACAATTAAAGTTGTACTTCTTGGCATTAATTAGATTGTGATCATAAGTCAAAATGTCATTGGTCATAAAGTGGTCATCAGACCATGCAGACTATTACTAATATTGGTTATGTTTTAGTTTATTGCAGTGAAAATACAAAATTTAAAAGTTATTGTAGAGAATTATCATACCCCCCAAAATATGTCATTGGTCCTCCAGGACTCTGTAGTCCCCATCCAAGAAAGACTGTGATAATTGTCAAGGGGTTAGTACAGTCTGAGCATGGTCGATGGTGCTCTGTCATTCTGGTATTGAACAACCTCCCAAATGTCTTGATTACATGTCCTAAAAAAGTGAGGGGAAGAGTGTAGGACAAATGCAAAATAAAATAACACATTTAGCTATACTTTTAGTATTTTTTATTATTGAGATTCAATATTTAAGTGACCGATTCAAGATTCTTTTATATAAAAAATGAATATATGCATAAGTAACTGTGATAAGAACTGTGGATGGATAAGAGCACTCGTCTGATGTACTGCAGCATAACCAGAACTGCTGTTGGTCTGAACGGTGTGTTATCTGGGCCTGTTTCTTGTGTCAGGGGGATCACATGCTGTCACTCTGGAGTGCCTCAATAGCTTGTAACTAGAAAGAGAAGGTATAGAAAGAGTAGTTTACTTACCTGTTTATTTATTTAGAGGCAGAGTCTTGCTCTGTTGCCCAGGCTGGAGTGCAGTGGCACAATCTCAGCTCATTGCAACCTCTACCTCCTGGGTTCAAGCAAATCTCCTGCCTCAGCTTCCCGAGTAGCTGGGATTACAGGCATGTGCCACCACTCCCGGCTAATTTTTGTATTTTTAGTAGAGACAGGGTTTTACTGTGTTGGCCAGGCATGTCTCGAACTCCTGACCTCAAGTAATCCAGCCACCTCCGTCTCCCAGAGTGCTGGGATTACAGGTGTGAGCCACCGCTACTGGCCGGGAGGAGAAATTTAAAATGGGTTTGAGACTTGAGGAACCAAAAGAAACAATGAAACCATTCAATGTGTGTGCTCCTGTCAAGCTAGCAGCGATCTTGAGAGCTCTGTGTTTTCGTCTTCTGCAGTTCCTTCCTCAGAGATCACCTATGGGATGGTTGTGGCAGACCTGTTCCACTCCTTGTTGGCAGTCAGCGCAGAACCTTGTGTATTGAAGATTCAGAGCCTTTTTGTGTTAGATGAAAACAGCTATCCATTACAACAAGATTTCTCCCTCCTGGATTTTTATCCTGACATGGTAAAGCATGGAGCCAATGCCCGTCTCTGAGGCCAGAGGAAGAAATTGCAGGCATTTCAAGGAAGAAGTACTGAAATGATTTGTCTTTTGAAATAAATGAATGACAGGGCTTTTGCTTTGGATTTTTTATGAAATATATTTTACAAAGAGAATTGCACTAGATATATAAATTAAAACTTTTTTCTAAGAAAATCCTGTGAGGTTTAAAAAGATTGTTTTTGTCTTTTGGTTTCTTCCTTTCTTCTGGAGAAATGATCTACCAGTCAAGGCAATATGTAGCAGATCCCTGGGAATTAAAGGTTTGCCCATTTGTTCACTGTATTTAGTCCCTGCTACATTCCAGGCATCGTACTAAGTATGGGGAACCACAGAGAAGACACTCCTTCAGAAACTGCTGCAGTGCTTTCGCTTATCCCTACCTAAAAAACCGTCAATGTGAAATCATTTCCTTGATTATAACTATAATGATAATGGATTAGTTTATATAAACCTATGTTTAGACAAGTTCAAGACAAGCGTGTCTTTCTATAAAAAGTATTGAAAGTGAAGGAAATGAGATCATGTTTCAATTTATTAAAGCAGGGAAGAGCGTTCTGTGGTTAGTTCGTGTCTAGGATTTGAGTGCCTTACTGAATGTATTTACCAGCAAACATGTAGCAATCTGTTCTCTCATTGTGATTGTGGAAGAAGCTCATGTAAAATGATAGTCATTAATGAGGAAGTATGGCGTGGTACTTATTCTGTAAGTTCAGAGTATGCTGAGTGTTAATAGATTGTCATATTGCCTGAAAATAAATTCATGATGACATGAACAAGCTTCTTTTACCCTGTGTATGTTTTTAAAAATTCCTTTGGTTCAGAGGTGGTTGTTGTTTTTTAACTTGGCTTCCCTAAGAACGAACCACAAGAGTTTTGTGATTCTTTCAAAAATAATATGCCAAAATGCCTTTGTGGGAGCACACACACACAAATGCATGTTTCTGTGGAGAAGGATCCATAGCTTTCAACAAATCCTCAGAGGGTTCTGTGACCAAGAAAGGTAAGAACAAGGCTTTAACTGATGAGTTTCTTTGTGGGGTAGATAAGGGAATTAGAGCAAATGATTGCCAAAGTTTTGTCTAGCAACTAATAAGGTGGGTACAGAAAGAATTGACTCCATTTTGTATCTAGAGAGACTGGAATTCAAACAAAATCATTGGCTCCCTTCAATGATTCGTTGAATGGGTGATGAAACTTGAGCCTGTAGTTGACGCCTTCTAATCTGTGCTCTCTCAACTATAACCACACTAGGCAGAGATTTGGAATTCTGATATAAAATCTGCCCAGTCAATATAGGCCAACCAAGAGAGCTGTTCGCTTAAGTGTGCCCTTCCCCACTTCGTCCTCAAGTGGAGACCTAATCCCTACATCAACCAGAACATAATCCCCAGGAAGAGATGGCTCTTCACATCCTATTGGGAAGAAATCTTTAAACCATTTCAGGTGAGTCAACAGATCACACCAACATCTCTTCACAGTTGTTGGTATGTATTTCATTAATTAACACATATTTCCAGGAGCCCTTATTTAGGTTGGGAACTGTTTCCTCCAGTCCTGAGGAATCTGAGCTATCTACAGAAGTTATGAGCTATTTAAGTGGGATCAGGATCAGCCCATTGCTCCTGCTATGGTCTGAATGTGTCCTCCCAAAATTCTTACGTTGAAACCTCATCTCTGATGGCATTCAGAAGTGGGGCATCTGGGAGGTGATTAGATCATGAGGGCTCTGCCCTTGTGAATGGGATCAGTGCCCTTACGAAAGTGGCCCGAGGGAGCTTCTTTGTCCCCTTCTGCCACAGGATACAGCCAGAAGGTGTCATCTTTGAAGCAGAGAGCAAGCCCTCACTAGATTCTCAATTTTCTGGCACCTTGATCATCCCAGCCTTCAAACTGTAAAAAATAAGTTTCTGTTACTTATAAATTGCCCAGTCTGTTATTTTGTTATAGCACCCAGAATGGACTAAGACACCTTCTGTGTGTATTCTTTACCTGAGTTGACAAGTAAGTGTCTTTATTCTGTTATGTTTTCATAAAACTCAGTGGGGTAGCCAGAGTGTCATCCAGCAGTCCCATATCTGGCAGTCTTATGGTGGGCATTTCAGGGAGACCTCATTCTTCATCTTCTGTTAGTTCAGCTTGCAGGGACAGCTCTCCTATTTTTAGAGAATCATTTTTATTTGTTAGTCACTTAGTTTCCCCAGAGGTATCCTTTTTCTAACAGCGTTAGAGGCATTCACCTTTCTCCCCACTAGTAAGATCTGTGCTGTTTCATTTTACATCTTTTTTTTTTTTTTGGTTGGGGGAAAGGGGGCTGATCATCAAATGAGTTGACAACATTGGGTGCATGATCCACCCTGCAGACGTTCGCTGAATGTCTACCATGTGCTAGGCACTGGAAATGCAAAGACACAAATGTCTGCCTTCTGTAAGTTCACAGGCAAGCTGGTGAAGAAATATTTAAACAAAATTATATCAGCGCCAGGATTAAATCTGTGTGGAATACAGAGCCAAGGCAAAAGAGGTAACAGTAGGATGGGTTTGTTAGTCATGACTCTTGGTTGCAAGTGATAAAAACCCAACTCAGAGTAGCTTGAGCAAAAAAGGGGGACTTGATTGACTCACATAAATGAGGGTAGTACCAGCTTAAGGCACAGTTGAATCCATTGGCCTAAATTACCTGGTTACCCCAACTCCCTAATCTTTCTTTCTTTCTTTCTTTCTTTCTTTCTTTCTTTCTTTCTTTCTTTCTTTCTTTCTTTCTTTCTTTCTTTCTTTCTCTTTCTTTCTCTCTTTCTTTCTTTCTTTCTTTCTTTCTTTCTTTCTTTCTTTCTTTCTTTCTTTCTTTCTTTCTTTTTTTTCTTTCTCTCTCCCTCTCCCTCTCTCTCTCTCTCTCATCAGAAGAGGTCTTTTACGCTGTTATTGCAAAAGCATAGATGTTTCTACAGAGTTTTGATAGGATAACATTTTCACAGTGATTATGAATTTACATCGTCCCTAGAATTCTAAACTACTGGGATCTGAGGCCGTAAGTTGTTTAAGAGTATTCTGACATTACCTTAGATTCAGCAAAACTTGAATAGTTGATCATGCCTTTCTTAGAAGAAAATATCTGTAATTTCTCAGAACAATATAGAATGAGACAGAAAAACTAACCATCCCTATGTGCCTTATTTTAAGTGATATATTTGTATCCTGATGGGTTTCTAGGTGTTGGAACACAGGTCATGAATCATAGAACAATTAGAATAAAGTGTTCGTCTTTATCAGTAGCTTAATTCTGGCCCTTGATTTAATGTCAACAGGGGAGAAATGTGTGAGAGGGGATGAGGTTTGCCAATTAATTGTCATTATGTCTTTGGAGGTCTTGAACCTGATTTGTTATTAAGAAGTGAATTCTACCCACTTAAGGCATACATTTGCTAAAGGTGACCTCTCTGCTTCCACGTTGTTAAGAAATCGTGATTTTTTTCAAAACCATCATCAGCTTTACAGTTTTTGAGGAAAGATCTAGAAGCCTGTTAAAATGGACTTACCAGGCAGGGTTCAGCCCAGGAAACACAAGCCACTCTGGGTATTCTAAACAGAGAGAGATTAATGTGGAATTCAGGTGTTTGCAAAGGTATTGGAAGGCTGGAGGAGCAGGCATCAGTCTGAGCTCCAGGAGGCTGCCACGTGAACGGTGGATTCATGAAAACATCATCATTGGCTGCAATCTTAGACTGAGGATGCAGCTGCTGGCATCCCAGCAACTGACTCTCAAGCACATGGAAGCTGGGAGTTATTTGCTGCTGCCCAAAACTCAGTCCCCACAGCTACACTTGCCAGGAACAGTAGCTTCAGGAAGATAGCCTGGATTTCACTCATCTTCCATATTGCACATGTGTGTGTGTTTCATTGATGGAACATGATTCACGCTGAGAGCTTTAGCTGCAAGAAAGTTTGGGAAATATGTCTTCTCTGAGGCTTTTGGTCTTTGCAGTTCAGGAGCAGTTAGGAGGTGGGACTGGTTGGTTGCAGAGTGAGCTGATTTACTGCACTTAGTCTAGCTTATTAAAGGATCAGCTTATAAACACCCCAGGTAATATCACAATACATAAGTGCTACCTAATTACTGTGTGGGTCTGTTACCAAGAATGTCTAAGTCAAGAAATTGAAGATTGTTTCCTTCAGATTCTGCATCCTAATGTAGAATCTTTCCTATTAGAGTATAAGTAAATTATTTTGGTGTGTTATTTAAGAATATTTGTGAATAGGCTTAATTAAACACCATGTTAAGAAATTATAAACTTAAGGCCAGGCACAGTGGCTCACGCCTATAATCCCAGCACTCTGGGAGGCTGAGGCGGGCAGATCACTTGAGGTCAGGAGTTTGAGACCAGCCTGGCCAACATGGTGAAACCTCATCTCTACTAAAAATACAAAAGTTAGCCAGGCGTGGTGGTGCACACCTGTAATCCCAGCTACTTGGGAGGCTGAGGCAGGAGAATTGCTTGAACCTGGGAGGTGGAGCTTGCAGTGAGCTGAGATCACGCCAGTTCAACTCTAGCCTGGGTGACAGAGTGAGACTCTGTTTAAAAAAAAAAAAAAAATTATAAACTTAAAAAAAAAACGTTTTCCTTTAAACAAAAACGCATGTTCCTTGTTTTTTGTTTTGTTTTGTTTTGCCTTTTTTGAGAGACGGTCTTGCTCTGTCACCCAGGCTGGAGTACAGTGGCACAATTATGGCTCACTGTAGCCTCTACCTCCTGGGCGCAAGCAATCCTTCCACCTCAGCCTCCCTGGTAGCTGGGACTATAAGGGCAGACCACAACAACTGATTTTTTATTTTTTGTAGAGACAGGGTCTCCCTACATTGCCCAGGCTGGTCTTGAGCTCCTGGGCTCAACCGACCCTCTTGCCTTGGCCTCCCAAAGTGCTAGGACTATAGGCGTGAGCCACTGCACCAGGCCGTTTCTTTTTTTTTTTAACTTTGGAAAATATGGATGAATGAAAGTGAGAAAAGTAACCCTTCTGTTATTCTACCAACCAAAGCTAATTGCTGCCAACATTTTAATAGATATTCCTTCAGTTGTTTTATGCATGTATGATTTTGTACATGTGTCTGCTTTAAAATATATAGTCTTTCAATGTTGCCCAGGCTGGACTCAAACTCCTGGGCTCAAGTGATCCATCACCTCAGCCTCCTGCATGTATCTACATCTTATTTTATTTTATTTTTAGAGACATTCTGTTAACCAGGTTGGAGTGCAGTGGTGTGATCATGGCTCACTGCAGCCTCAGCCTCCCTGGGCTCAAGTGATCCTCCTGCCTCAGCCTCCTATGAGTAGCTGGGACTACAGGCATATGCCTCCATACCTGGACACTTTTTGTATTTTTTGTAGAGACATGTTTTTGCCATGTTGCCCAGGCTGGTCTAAACTCCTGGCCTCAAGTGATCCCCTTTGCCTCAGCCTCCCAAAGTGCTGGGATTACAGGTGTAGACTACCACGTCTGGCCAACATTCTCATTGATAGTCTTTGCACACATCTTTCATTCCTTCTGGGAATTTATTCTAAGAAAATAGAATTTTGGGGTCAAAGTACTTGTATGTATGTATCTGTACCAGGAAAAAAGCAGAAATTCCAGTATCAACAGATAACGAGAGCCACGCAGGGTGGTACATGCCTGTAGTCCCAGCTACTCAGGAGGCTGAGGCAGGAGGATTGTGTGGCATGAGCCCAGGAGTTAGAGGCTACAGTGAGCTATGATTGCACCACTGTACTCCAGCCTGGGCAATAGAGCAAGACCCTGTCTCTGAAAAAACAAAACAAAACAGATAACCATTGTTACTATTTTGTTGAACATTTTCCAGATACCCTGATAGAAGACAGATCTGTGCATGCACATACACAATTTTACATAAATGGGACCATTCCATATAGGCCAGTATCTAGTGTGTACTTTTTTTACTCCACAATTTGCCATATACGTCTTTCCAAATCAATCAACATAGATTAAATCATATCAACTACACAGGATTCCATCATTTGTGTGTGCTCTTGAATCCTACTTTTAAAATGTTCTCAGAAAGGTTATCCTGAAATATATTCCTATCAGAAGTTTTCCACACTCTCTCTAAACTGAATGGCATAAGTGAAAGACTAGTTGTTAGGTTTAAAAAAGGTTATCTGTTTTAATTGGAATTTTTTTTGAGGTTTTCTTTTTCTTTTTTCTTTTTCTTTTTTTTTGAGACACAGTTTCACTCTGTCACCCTGGCTGGAGTGCAGTGGTGCGATCTTGGCTCACTGCAACATCTGCCTCCTGGGTTCAAGCGATTCTCCTGCCTCAGCCTCCTGAGTAGCTGGGATTACAGGTGTGCACCACCATGCCCAGCTAGTTTTTGTATTTTTAGTAGAGACAGGATTTTGCCATGTTGGCCAGGCTAGTCTTGAACTTCTGGCCTCAAGTGATCTGCCTGCCTCAGCCTCCCAAAGTACTGAGACTACAGGTGTGAACCACTGCGCCCAGCCTTAATTGAATTATTTTATTGCTAAAGTGATTGTACATTTGCTTCATATGCTTATCAGTCATTTGCAGTTTGCTTTTTCATATTTTACCTTAGACCATTTTTATGTGGGAGAAGCCTTTTATTAAATTAGTATGTTCTCCTTATAAAGTTAGTAATTTTTAACATGTGTTGCAGACATTTTTCCCAAGCTTGTTATATATGTTTGACATGCAGAAATCATAAATATTTACGTGGATCAACCCATCAATCTTTTTCTTTATTGTTTCTAGATTTTATGGCATGCCTAGATAGCTTCTTTTCTACTATAAGATTATACACATTTTCTTCAAAAAATTTTCTGAAACATTTATGATTGTTATATTTGTATTTAAATCTTTAATTATCTAAAATTTAGTGCATGGTATGAATGGATCTAACTGATTCATTTTCCTAAAATGGTCAGCTGGTTGTCCCAACACTATTGATTTCTTTCTTTCCCATCAGTGACATAGATGTGATCTTTATTATAATATGAAATTATTATTCCTGCTAGCATTACCTGTGGACTTTCTAGTCTGTTTCATTGTTCTATATTTATTGCTGAGCCAGAACCATACAGTTAGAATTATTATAACTTTACATCTGATAGGAAAAGTACCCCCATATTTTTCTTCATTAAAATTGTTTTTCTCAGACATCTTTGCCCATCTGTTCTTTTTTATTCCCCATTAAGAGTATATGTTGCAGTGTTTTTTAGTATATTCAGAGTGTGTGACCATCAGCACACTCAATTTTGGAACATTTCATCACCCCCAAAAGAATCATCCATAGTTACATTAACTATACCACCCCACAGCTCTTCCTTAAGAGGAGCTAACAGTCGCTCCTCCATACCCACCCCCTTTCCCCCAACCCTAGGTAACCACTCTTCTACTTAGTGGCTGTATAGATTTCACTATTCTGACATTTCACATGAATGGAATCATACAATATGTGGTCCTTTGTAACTGATTTCTTTCACTTGGTATAGTGTTTTCAAGGTTCACACATGTAGCATGTATCACTACTTCATTGTTTTTATTGCCAAAT
This sequence comes from Homo sapiens, assembly GCF_000001405.40. NCBI lineage: Eukaryota > Metazoa > Chordata > Mammalia > Primates > Hominidae > Homo > Homo sapiens. Next base: position 47,738,022 of record NC_000010.11, read on the forward strand.
AATATTCCATTGTATGGATATACCGCATTTTATGTATCTATTCATCAGTTGATGGCCAACTGAGTTTTTCCCACTTTTTGGTTATTTTTAATTGTACTATCATGAACATTTGTGTGCAAGTCTTTGTGTGGATGTATATTTTCATTTCTCTTGGGTATGTACCCAGGAGTGGAATTGCTGGGTTGTATGGTTTAACCATTTGAGGAACTGCCAAACTTTTCTAATGCAGGTGCACTATTTTACATTCCCATGAGAATGCATTGGAGTTCTGATTTCTCCACATCCTCACCAGCACTTTTTATTATTATCTGACTTTTTGATTATAGCCATCCTAGTGGGCATGCCATCTGTTCTTGAGATAAGTTTAGAATCATTTTTATCCCATTGATATTTTTAATGAGATTGCTTTGAATTTATGGATCATTTGGACATGTTTTCAGTGGTTAAGGCTTACTATTTAAGAAGAGCATGCTTTTTCAATTAATAAAGTATTCTTTAATGTTCCTTAGCTTTAGCTTTATTTAGCAGTCCACATTTAAAGGGTATTAACTATGGAAATTTTTTTTTTTTTTTGATACAGGGTCTCACTCTGTTGCCCAGGCTGGAGTGCAGTGGTATGATCTCAGCTCACTGCAACCTCTGCCTCTCAGGCTCAAGCTATCCTCCCACCTCAGCCTCCTTGGTAACTGGGGCTACAGGCATGTGCCACCACACCTGGATAATTTTTGTATTTTTTGTAGAGATGGAGTTTTGCCATGTTGCCCAGGCTGGTCTGGAACTCCTGGGCTCAAGCAATCCACCTGCCTCAGCCTCCTAAAGAGCTTGGATTACAGGTATGAGCCATCAGCCAGTTTTTTTGTTTTTTTAAATCATTGATTTCAACTATGCTCTGTTGAATCCCTTTTCCATCCCCTCATGTCTCACATGCCTCACATAACTTCCCAGGCATTGTGTTTTAGAAAGTCTGGTATTGTTTAAATTCCAACCTCATTTTGCTCTTCTCCAGAGCATGTCCAGCTAGTCACTAAAGGGACTTGGAATGGGGAGGAGATAGGTGCACCCTTCCTTTCCTTTGACTCCAGCTGTTGGAGCTGGAGGGAGGGCGTGAACTGGCACCGAGGTGAATTCTCCCCATTCCTTCCCAGCTTCCTGAGGCCTAGCTCCTCCATGAGCTGGGGAGGGAGAAAAGAAGGAAAGGGGACAGTGGTACTTACCAGGCAGCTACCACTGTGGTCCTCTCCTTTGATGGACTCCGCTTTTCTAGCCAGTACTTAACTGTTGATGCCTTCTGTGCAGCAGGCGTTGAGTACTCCTCTTTCTGGGGTCCATGTGAGAGTTCTTTCAGAGCTCACTCTTCTATGTACTCTATGTACTCACTCTATCTTATGTACACAGTTGTTTTCATGGGAGATGCAGCTCTGTCTGGTCTTTCCTGCCCCCTCCACTCTCTCCAACTGTACCTCCTTTCTCCATCTTGCAATCTCTCTCTGATTCACTTCACTCGTGCTCAGACAGGCATGGAGAGCAGGTCAGCAAATTCTTCACACTATCAGACTTTAGACAAGCTAAGGAATTTCCTTCTCTGCATACTGTATATAGCACAGTTTGATTTATGTAACATCCTAATCATACTGTCTGGAAGAATCTTACCAAAATGATATTATTCCCCTACATGGGGAATTAGGGCTTGATTTTACCTTCTTTATTATAATTATTTTTACTTGATCAAATTACTAGGAAATATTCCTCCACTTCTAAAGAATACAATTTCCCTGTGTTAGAAAGATCAGTTCCGGTGTGGTGGCTCACTCCCGTAATCCCTGTACCTTGGGAGCCTGAGATGGGAGGATTGCTTGAGGCCAGGAATTGGAGACCAGCCTGGACAACATAGCAAGATCTTGTCTCTATAAAACACTAAAAAAAAAAAAAAAAAAAATTAGCCAGGCATGGTGACACACTACTCAAGAGGCTGAGGCAGGAAGATCACTTGAGCCCGGGAGTTTGAGGCTGCAGTGAGCTATGATCTGCCACTACACTCCAGCCTGGATGACAAAGCGAGACCCTGTCTCTAAAAAAATAAAACCAACAACAAACATACATAAATAAAAAGATCACATCCAAATAATAGAAAAAGATGATATGGTTTTGGTCCCCAAAACTGACATCATGTAGGAGATATTGGAACTTTGTGGGTGGGAGCCAAGCCCATTCTGGTGCCCCTTCTCTAGGTCACGTCTATACTGCTTGTTTGGATTCCTTGGCAAAAACTGATTATGCAAGGCAGTAGGATGCCTGACTCAAATTGGGTCAATCAGATCCTTTTTCTTGGAATTTAAAAAAAAATTGCATGAAAACGTATAGTTAAATGCACAGGTCTTAAGTGTACAATTTAGAGTTTTAACAAATATATACATTCATGTAACTGAACCCCAAACAAGATATGGAGCATTTCCATCACCCTAGAATTTTCATTCATCCCCACTTCCAGTCAGTCTCCTCCATCCATGATGGCCAACCACTATTCTGATTTCTATCACTATACACTAGTTTGATCTTTGTTTGGACTTCATGTAAATGAAATCATACAGTATATATTCCTTTGTAACTGGCTTTTTTTAACCTAAGAATGTTTTTCAGGCTTATCCATATTTTTATGTGAATCAGCAGTTTATTCTTTTTTATTGTTCAGTAATATATCAATGTGTGAATATATTATCCATTCGCCTGTTGAAGGTCATTTGAGTTCTTTCCAGTTTCGAACTATTATGAATAAAGCTGCTAAAAACATTTTTAAAACAAGTCTTGTTGTGGACATAAGTTTTTGTTGGGGCAGGGATTTAAATAGCTAGGACTGAGATTGTCAGTTTATTGGATAGGTATATATTTAACTTGAGAAGAATCTGCCAAACAGTGCTCCAAAGTTGTGCAGTTTTACACTCTCCGCAGCCAAAACGGAGGCTTCCAGTTGTTGTACATCCTTGTCAACATTTGAGATGTCAGTCATTTTCACTGTAGCCATTCTAGAGGCTGTAAAGTGGAACCTCCTGGTTTTGGTTTCTCTTTCACTGATGACTAATGATGCACAACTTTTCATGTGCTCATTGGCCATTTGTATACCTTCATTTGTGAAGTGTCTCTCAAGTCATCTGCACATTTATCTTATTGGGTTGTTTGTCTTTTTACTGATCAGACATATGTATTCTAGATAAAAGTCAGATATATGTATTATTGATATTTCAAAGCATTTTGTTCAGCAGTAGAAATGCTGGCTATATGATTTGAGAATAAAAATACGTATGTAATCGTAACAAGAAGTCTTAAATAAATTAAAATGTCACTATTTTGAATAACTAGAATATATATTAAGAAAAATAATCCCAGGAAATAAAAAATATGCTAGTAATATATTAATTACACATAACAAATTTACAAAATTATATTACCATATAACAGTAATACATAATTCTAAATAAAAATAATCATGCTCACAGATAAAACCAAAAACTTTAAGAGCTTAATTTATTGAAAGGAAATGATTTAAATATCATGAGGGAAATAAAAGGAGACAAGAAGTAGTGGAACACTCTACTGTGCTCCTGCTGTTTGGGAAGATGTACTATACAGAGTTAATTCAACAATAAACAAAGTCCCTGAGGGATGGCCTATACAAGTTGACAAGTTGATGTAAAAATTAATTGAGGGAATTAAACAGAAATGTAAATATTCCAATAACCATCGAATTATACATTTTAAATGGATGAATCATATATGTGAATTATATCTCAATAAAACGATTATAAAAAAAGAATAAACAGGGATTTTTTTTTTTTTTTTTTGAGACAGAGTTTTGCTCTTGTTGCCCAGGCTGGAGTGCAATGGCACGATCTTGGCTCACCGCAACCTCCACCTCTCAGGTTCAAGCAATTCTTCTGCCTCAGCCTCCCGAGTAGCTGGGATTACAGGCATGCACCTCCATGCCTGGCTAATTTTGTATTTTTAATAGAGATGGGGTTTTTCCATGTTGGCCAGACTGGTCTCAGACTCCCAGGCTTAGGTGAGCCTCTCGCCTCGCTCTCCCAAAGTGCTGGGATTACAGGCGTGAGCCACTGCGCCTGGCCTAACAGGGAAATATTTTTCAAGTTAAAGCAAAAAAACAAGGTAAGCCAAGTAAAACTATATAAAAATATATGATTTTGGTGTTTACAGCGCATTGGGTAAAAAATCTTACTCAGAAACAGTATGTAAAATATTTCATTTTTAGAAAACTATACATTAAATCAATGGAGAGTGGCCAAAAAATTTTAACACTGTTTATCTCAAGGAGCTACAACTATGGTAAATATTTTCCTTAATAATGAAATGTGGAAACATTTCTGAGAACAGAAATAAGACAAAGATGTCCATTATCATCACTTGTATTCAATACTTTCCTGGTATTCCTAACAAGAGTAATAAGGCAAAAAAGTTGAAATAAAAATACTAAGATTGGACCTAAGATACAAAACTATGTATGTATATTAACAACTCAAAAGAATCCAGAGACAAGTTATTAGAATTAGTGAGTTTAGCATGACTGAATAAATGGTCAAAATAGGAAAACCAATTTTATTTCTGTATACCAGCAAGAGTTAGAAAATAAAACATTTTAAAACAATACCATTTATGGTAGCATAAAAATTCAAATGTCTGGGGAAAAATTTAATGAAAGATGTCCATGACACTTTAAATATTATTTAGAGAAATGAGAGAAGAGGTAAATAAACAGAAGTACATACCATGTGAACTGATTAGATGACCCAGTATTTTAAAGATGTCAATTCTCCCCTGAATTGACTTATAAACTCAATGCAACCCCGGGCGCAGTGGCTCACGCCTGTAATCCCAGCACTTTGGGAGGCTGAGGCGGGCAGATCATGAGGTCAGGAGATCGAGACCATCCTGGTTAACACGGTGAAACCCCGTCTCTACTAAAAAAAAAAAAAAAAAAAAAATACAAAAAATTAGCCGGGCGTGGTGGCGGGCGCCTGTAGTCCCAGCTACTCGGGAGGCTGAGGCAGGAGAATGGCGTGAACCCGGGAGGCGGAGCTTGTAGTGAGCCAAGATCAGGCCACTGCACTCCAGCCTGGGAGACAGAGCAAGACTCTGTCTCAAAAAAAAAAAAAAAAAAGAAATGGAAAAAGAAAAAAATCTCAATGCAATCCCAATCAAAATCACAACAGGCTTCATATATATATATATATATACATATATATATATACACACATATATATATACACATATATATATATATACACATATATATATATACATATATATATACATATATATATATACACATATATATATATACATATATATGTGTGTGTGTGTGTGTGTGTGTGTGTGAGAGAGAGAGAGAGAGAGAGAGAAGTTGCATGGTTAGGTGGTAAAAGCAGTGTTTGCCATAAAAATCAGGTCGTTGGTTATTTTGGTGGGGAGGGAGAGGTAGTGTTTGGAAGGGGACACAAGGGAAGGTTTTGGGACGCATGGTATACCGGTTGTCAATGTATGGCCTCGCACCTCCAAATCCATCCTTTAATACCTGCTCTGTGGGCACAGCCAGAATCCCCTTCCGCGGCTCCCCTCGCGGCAGGGAGGATGCTGAACAGTAGAGGGCGCTGGAGACACGCTGCGGGAGGCTGTCGCTCGGGTCCGGCTGCGGGCCACAGGCCGCGGATCGCGCTCTGCCAGCACCCCACGCCCGCAAGCGCGGCCCCTCCGCCACCTCGCGGCCCGGCCTGACCTGTTAATCACGTCCCCACGGCTCTCCTAGCGGGGACACCGCCGTCTGCAGGCTCCGTCCCCACAGTGCCCAGACCCCGGGAAGTTTGTCAGTCAGCACCCTGATGCCAGCCGATTCTCAAAAAGCCAGGAGCATCCAAGCAGATGATTTGCCAGACGGTACTGCAGCAATGGAGATGAACAGATAATTCACACAGAAAGAAGGACGGTAGGGAGAGACGTGCGGGGGGTAGGGAGGGCGGAAGGAAGGTCTAGGGGAAGGAGCGGAGGGGGAAGGGAGGAAGGAAGGCAGCAATGGAATGAAAGGAGAAGGGAGGAAGGACTCGTTGAATGCACAGCCTCCCCGGTGCTGCACCGGCAGGAGCGGCTCTCACAGGCATGGGGCCCCCAACAGACCCTACCAGGCTGCGGGAATGTTGCGGCCCTGCAGGGCGTCTCTGTCTTTTTTGAGGTGTCTCTGGTAATATGTGATAATGACAGTATTTTTAGACATTTGGAATCTGATTTAAATTCTAGCTCCATCACCTTCTAGCTGTGGGACCCTGAGAAACGGCACATCCTCCCGGATCCTCCCATCTCTCTTGTCCACACGTGGGGAAGGCTCCTGGTGGGGGGGGGGTTGGGGGGGAGGGGGGAAGAGGGGGGGCCTTGCAGATTTACCAAGCTGATGTACAAAGACCTACTACAGCGGTAAGGGCTAGCTCCTTTCTCCCACTCTGGCAGTCACTCCACTTTGAGAAACATACCTCTTGAAATAAAGCTACAAGTGGAGAGGGGCAGGTGATTTGGGCAAATAATTCCATACTAAATATTAGGACAAAACATCCTAGGCAAATATCACAATCCGGCGTCATAGTGGCATACTAAATTCAACCAAGAAATATAACCATGATGTTGAAAGAGCCAGGCTTATGGAATGTAAACAGCAAACTATTTTATTCTTGTTTTCTATTTACCAATTCAAACTTGCTCTGCAGGTCACTCCTCCCTGCCCCTGGGATAAAATCTAGGGCATGTTCTGTGACTTTCTGGATCACAAAATTCACATGATTTTTGGATCATTCTCAGTTGACCAAAAATGTGTCCTGTAACTTCTAGCTATAAAAATAGGCTCTGTTCAGCATTTAAAATGTCCAATCCCATGTAGGAGTCTAAACTTTCGATTTCATTTTAAGTTTAAGCTTCCTCTTGATTCCTCCCCCAAGCCTGGCCCAGGCTTGCATTTGGCTCCAGGCATTGGGCGGGTAGCAGTGTTTCCTCTCCATTTTTCACTTTCACTCTTCCCTCCCCAACTAGCTTGCAGGGATTTCTGATCACCTAGTAGAGTCTAGAGGCGTAAGGGAAGGAGGTCACCAAGGGGCAGGCCAGGCTTTATGTGAATAGTGCTGTTGTGAGCCAAGTACTTGAGTACTTCGAGGTCCCCTTCTACTGCAGACATCTTCCCTATGGTTCCTGTGACCCAGGTTTGTCTCAGAGTGGGGTTAGCACACGGTACCATCTCCATCCCCTTTAAAAGTATTTATTACATTTTTCTGGAAATGGAAGTCTGGGAATTATATTTCCCTGATAGTCTTATGAGCAGGATTCCAGGTTGATTCTGCCAAATGTGAGGCACTCAGATGAGACTAGAAAGCAGAAAGATGGTTTAAAAAATCATCGTTTTCTTCCTTTGACTCTGCACTTATGACAGCAGGATGCTCGAGACTCTTGCAGTAATTTGGGCAAAGATTTCCACAGTGCAAAATAGCAAAAACGTAACTGGCAAATAGCTGTACAAATTACAGTCCATTTTCATCATGGAATGTCAGTTTGGCAACAATGGCATCGAGGCCCAAAAGCAGCTCTGCAGTAGGGGGGTTCCTCCTTGGTGACTGGATGGGCACAGCCAAGCACAAATTCCTGAAGATCCCAGCTCCAGGAAACATCAGCATGGTTCATTGCGTTGTCCACCTGAATTCTTCACCCCTCCCTGTGGCTGTGTCCATTGCCCTGTAGTGTTGCAGTTCCCCTCAGGAAAAAGATATCATTTACTTCTCTGACCCTTGATTTGGAGCTTGGCTATGTGACGTGCTTTGGCCAATGGGATATTGGATGACACAACATAAGGAGAGACACAGATATGCATCTGCACAATGCAGCTTGCCTTTTTATGCTTCTGCCTTCACCATGAAAAGAGCTTTCCCTGGGGGTAGCAGCTGTCCCTGCAGCCTGTGTTCAGAATGCACAAATGTGAGGAGCCAAGCCCAGCCAGCTTGAAAGTGAGTTGCCAGGCCCAGCGCAGTGGCTCACACCTGTAATCCCAGCACTTTGGGAGGCCGAGACAGGCAGATCACCTGAGGTCCGGAGTTCGAGACGAGCCTGACCAACATGGAGAAACCCCCGTTTCTACTAAAAAATACAAAATTAGGCCTGGCGCAGTGGCTCACGCCTGTAATCTCAGCACTTTGGGAGGCCGAGGCAGGCGGATTACCTGAGGTCGGGAGTTCGAGATCAGCCTGGCCAACATGGAGAAACCCCGTTTCTACTAAAAATACAAAAGTAGCCGGGCGTGGTGGCACATGCCTGTAATCCCAGCTACTTGGGAGGCTGAGGCAGGAGAATCGCTTGAACCTGGGAGGCAGAGGTTGCGGTGAGCCGAGATCATGCCATTGCACTCCAGCCTGGGCAACAAGAGCAAAACTCCGTTGAAAGAAAGAAAGGAAAGAAAGGAAGGAAGGCAGACAAAATTAGCCGGGCGTGGTAGCGCATGCCTGTAATCCCAGCTACTCAGGAGACTGAGGCAGGAGAATCACTTGAACCTGGGAGGCGGAGGTTGCAGTGAGCTGAGATGGCGCCACTGCACTCCAGCCTGGGCAACAAGAGTGAAACCCTAAAAAAAAAAAAAAAAAGTGAGTTGCCTACCCTAGCTCAGACCACCTCCAGCCAACCCACAGATGTGTTAGAAATGAGTGCTTATTTAAGTATGGCATTGACATGTTGTGATTAGTTGTTATGCACCATTATAGCAAAAAAATTGCACACTGATAAAAGTAACTGTTCCCTCGTTGGCTTCACCAGCTTTCCCAAGAATTGTTTAATCCCATTCCCTGTATAAAATCACTCTCTGCTGAGAATCCTTTTTCTGAGAAAAGAATTCTGAGAATTTTTTTTCTGCTTGAGGCAGACCAACACTCATTCCAAGAACAACTGGAAAGGCTGAATAAAACACAGAAAACTTTTTTAAAAAGTTTTTGGAAAGCTTCCCAGTTAACAAACATTTGAAGGGTCATAATCTCAAAAGAAGAAAAACACAAGGAGGCAAGCTGGCCCTCTGTGAACTACTTTTCCCTTCAGGAAACGTGCTGATTTTAGCTAAGAGGCCGAGCATTTGGGCAGACGGCCATAGCTAAGAGGCAGCAAAGGCAGCAGAGTCTTCAGCTGGAGAGACAAGAAATGGAGACTGAGGTTGTCAAGGCAGCTGGAACTGAAGGGGCCAAGATATCATGTAGAAGGGAGACACAGAAAAGGAACACTTTCCCCTTGAGGCATCTGCTGAGTTAAGCTATGCAGAAAGGCTATGAAAAGCAGCAGGTTTTGGCAGTGTCATATTAATGAGATAAAAGTTGGAGTTCAGGACCCACCAAGGAAAAGAAGCCTAATAATCACATCAGACACTCAGTTGGAATCCTTGGAGGACCACACTCTAGATAGACGGGCAAACCAGAGATGGAGATGAAGCCTTCCAAAAACTGCAACATAGACTCTAGTCAGTTCGGTACCATTGGATTAAGGTAAAATCTTCCCACTCTGTCTATCAGATGACATGGTAAACCCTCCCTTGAGACAGACATTGTTTTCAGATCATGTTTCCTGGAGCCACTAAAATTTATTATAATGGTTAGCATTCAACAATAAGTGATCAAACACACCACAAAACAGGAAGGAGGGGAAAACAGACACAACAAAACGGAGCCACTAATGACCCAGATATTGGTGTTATCAGACACAGACTTGATGGGTGGAATAGAGACTTTCATCAAAGAACTGGAATCTACAAGAAAGAATGAAATGGAAATTTAAAACTTAAAAATACAATAATTGAAATTAACTACTTAGCATATGGGTTAACTACAATTAGATTTAGCAGAAGGAACATTCTTTGAACTGTAATATAGGACAGAATAAAAACTCTAAGCTGAAGAACAGAGACAAAGAGTATGGAAAATACAGCAAAGAACATAAGATACTTGTGGGAAGTGGTGAACAGGCCTAACACATATGTAACTGGAGTCTTAGAAGGGAGGAAGATGGGGCAGAAGGAACAGTTAAATAAATATAGGCTGAGAACTTTCCAAAACTGATAAAGCTTTATGATCCCCAAGCAGGATAAATAAAAACAAAACTGCATCCAGGCACACTATACTTTTTTTTTATTATTATTTTTTGAGACGGAGTTTTTCTTTGTCACCCAGGCTGGAGTACGGTGGCGCGCGATCTCAGCTCACTGCAACCTCTGCCTCCCCAAGGTCAAGCGATTCTCCTGCCTCAGTCTCCCGAATAGCTGGGATTACAGGCACGCGCCACCATGCCTGGCTAATTTTTGGATTTTTTAGTGGAGACGGGGTTTCACCATGTTGGCCAGGTTGGTCTCAAACTTCTGACCTCAGGTGATCCACTGGCCTTGGCCTCCCAAAGTGCTGGGATTATAGGCGTGAGCCACCGCACCCGACCCAGGCACACTATACTTAAACTGCTGCAAATGAAAGACAAGGAAAAAACATTAAAAGCAGCTAGAGGCAGGTAGGAGGGACACATTTCTTCTTTTCTTTTTTCTTTTCCCCTCCCTCCCTCTCTCCTCCTTCCTGCCTCCCTCCTGTCGTTTTCTTTTGTAGAGGGGGGGGATCTTGCTCTGTTGCCTGGGCTGGTTTTGAACTCCTGGGCTCAAGGGTGCTGGGATGACGGGCGTGAGCCAGTGCATGTTACTGACACATTACTCTCAAAGGAGAAACAATAGCACTGAAAATCACTTGTCAACAGAAATGATGGAAGTGAGAAGATAATGGAGTGCCATTCTGAAGTTCCTCAAAGAAAAAAGTGTCAACCTGTAATCCTATATTCACAAAATATACTTAAAAATGAATTTGAAATAGATGTTTCTATTCAAAAACTGAGAAAGGCTGGGTGAGGTGGCCTGTAATCCCAGTCCTTTGGGAGGTCAAAGCAGGCAGACTGTTTGAGCTCTGGAGTTTGAGACCAGCCTGAGCAACATGGTGAAATCCCTTCTCTACAAAAAATACAAAAGAATTAGCCAGGTATGGTGGTGCCTGCCTGTAGTCCCGCTACTCGGGAGGCTGAGGTGGGAGGACTGCTTGAACCTAGGAGGTTGAGGCTACAGTGAACCATGATCATGCCACTGCACTCCAGCCTGGGCGACAGAGTGAGACCCTGTCTCAAAAACAAGCAAACAAAAAAACACAAAAAAACCTGAGAAAATTTGCTGCCAGCAGATGTGCATACACAAAAAATACTAAAGGGAATTCTTCAGGTAGAAGAAAACTGATCTATGATAGAATCACAGAAATGCAGGAAATAATAAAAAAAAAACAGAGTGAATATGTGGGTGAATACAAATGAATATTGACTGCACATAGCAATAATAATAATGTCTCGTTAGGTGTAAAATATATGTGAAATTAAAATGAGTAATAATAATATACATGCAAGAGTAGAATGGAGGTAAATAGAGATTGAGTATTGTGAGATCATAGCATTGTCTGGGAAACAATAAAAAGTAAAATTTGTATTAGATTATAATAATGTACAGAAGTTGTAATCTGTGGAGGAAACCACTAAAGAAATTATAAAAGAATGTGTAAGTAAAACCAATGGTAGGGGGGGAAACGGAATTAAAAAAATAATCAGAAAGAAAGCAACAGAAAAGAAAAAATAAAAACAAAAATGGGTAAGACAAATGGAAACAAGTAGTAAGATGGTATTTATGAACACAACTATATCAGTAATTACAATAAATGTAAATTCACGAAATACACAAAAGACAAAATTTGACAGACTTGATTAAAACAACTCTATTCAAGAGACATGACATCATTATAAGAACATTGAAAATTCAAAAATAAGGGGGAAAGTGAAAAAAATACCATTGTGAGTGGTAGAGAAAGCCATTTCACATAATAAAGGTTCACTCTACCAGAAAACATCAATTTTAAATGGGTATGAGCCTAATAACACAACCTCTAAATGCATAAAACAAAAACTAACAAAACTCAAAGGAGAAATAAACAAATTCATAATAACAGTGGCAGGCTTTATCCTCTCTCAGTAATTTATAGAAAAACAGACAAAAATATCAGTAAAGACGTAGATAATTTGACCAACCTGATTAACAAACTTGACCCAGTTGAAATACACATAACACCTGCACACAACTGCAGAATGCACATTCTTTCAAGTGCAAGAACATTATGATAAGAATATTATAGGAAAGTCTGTCATAAACATAGCTTATATAAAAATATAACAGCAAATTAATCTAAATTTTATTTATTTATTTACTTATTTTATTTTTTTGTTTATACTTATGTCATAAACATAGTTTATATAAAAATATAACAGCAAATTGATCTAAATTTTATTTATTTATTTATTTACTTATTTTATTTTTGGAGACAGAGTCTCGCTTTGTTATCCAAGCTGTAGTGCAGTGGCGTGAACATGACTCACTTCAGCCTTAACCTCCCGGGCTCACGCAATACTCCTGCCCCAGCCCTCCAAGTAGCTGGGACAACAGGCATGTGACACCATACCTGGCTAATTTTTGTGGTTTTTGTAGAGACCGAGTTTCACCACGTTGGTCTCAAATTCCTGAGCTTAGACAATCTACCTGCCTTGGCCTTCCAAAGTGCGGGGATAATAGATGTGAGCCACTGAGCTCGACTTAAATCTAAATTTTATTTTATTTTATTTTATGGCCATGCTCCCTCTAATAAATCTAAATTTTAAATAAATAAGTCCAAGTATTATTGTGTTTATGTGTATAAACCTGCACACACACACAAAAGTGTACACACCCTGCTGGTTTCTATTACAAGAATGTTAAGTTTGGTTTGACATTCAACAGTCAATTAGTATAAGTCATCACATCCAAAGAATAAAGGAGAAAAATAAAATTATTTCAAAAGGTGCAGAGTAAGTATTTGAGAGAAATTTAACCTTATTTGTAATTAAAAAAATCTTTTTAACAGCTTGAGAATATATGTTAATGAGTACATTAAAAATCCTATAACAACCATCAAACTTCATGGTGAATATTGACAACTCTCCACATGCCACACCCACCACCCCTGAGATTGAGGATGGACAAGAATACCCACTATCACTACTTATAGTCAGCATTCTGCTGGAGGTCCTAGCCACTGCAATTTGTATACCAATTTTATATCTTGCAACCTTGCCAAACTTATTAGCTCTAGTAGTTTTTTTGTGTGTGGATTCCTTAGGATTTTCCATAGACAAGATTATGTCATGTGCAGATATAGTTTTACTTCTTTCTTTATGATCTGGATCACTTTTATTTCTTTATCTTGTCCAATTGCTCAGCCACTGCAGTTTGGCAAGAGCTAAATAAGGCATAAAGATTAAGAAAGGAAGAAATAAAACTGTCATTCACAGAGGACATGATTATACAAAAATAATCTGCAAATTATTACAATTTAAATGAATGTCACAAAGCCTCTCACTGGATAACAAGGTCAACATAGTTTTGTAGCAACAGAATCTGTATATACTAGCCATAAACAAATATAAAACGTCTAAGAATAAATCTATTGAAGGATGTGCAAGAACACTTTACTGAAAACCACAAAAATAGTTCTGAGAAACATACAAAAGACTTAAAGTGAAGAGATATACCATGTTAATGAATAGGAAGATTGAATATTTTAATGATGTCAAATGGCCCCCAAATTGTTCTACATAATCAATTAAATCCAATCAAATTCTAGCACTTTATTTTGTGGAAATTGACTAGCTGATTCTAAAGTGTTTTATGGAAATGTAAAGGGCTTCTTTCTTCTGGAGTTGCCTTGTGGACAGGATTTGAGACAACCCAGGCCAGGTTTCTCTGGTCCATGGGAAGCATGCGTATGCTTTTTGCCCTGACTATGTCTGTAGAGAACAGCCCAAACAACAACCTCCTCCCCATCAGAGCAGAGAGCCAGCTAGTCTCTTGCCATTTAGATTTTTCAGGGATGAGTCAGAGATACCAGTCTACTCTGTCCTGCAGAAAAGGATACTTATCAACTTTTCCAAGCGGCCCTAGAAAAGTCACTGCTAGTCAGAAATCTCACCTTGGAATGTGGGGGTGGCTGGCATCTATCCGGATGTCAGATGAAACAGAAACAGTTCCACTGTAGTAGCCTGCTCTATAAACACACAGAGAACCCCTATTACATGTGAGCTATGAAGCTATTAGAAACTACAGCTTTGCGGACTACTTTGAAAATGTGCAAGTGGGCCGGGCGTGGTGGCTCACGCCTGTAATCCCAGCACTTTGGGAGGCCGAGGCGGGTAGATCATGAGGTCAGGAGATCGAGACCATCCTGGCTAACACAGTGAAACCCCGTCTCTACTTGAAAATACAAAAAATTAGCAGGGCGTGGTGGCAGGTGTCTGTAGTCCCAGCTACTCCGGAGGCTGAGGCAGGACAGTGGTGTAAGTAAACCCGGGAGGCGGAGCTTGCAGTAAGCCTAGATCGCGCCACCGCACTCCAGCCTGGGCGACAGAGCAAGACTCCATCTCAAAAAACAAACAAACAAACAAACAAACAAACAAAAAATGTGCAAGTGAAATAAGTGACAAAAAGCAAACACAAGATATTCTGTTCATACGAAACACTGCGAGGCGACACTTGTGTTTGTAGATTGACAGAAATTGGAGGTGGAGTTAAAGAGGTAGAAACTCAGTATAACATTCATTGCCTCTTTTGCTAAAGTTGTTTCACTGCATAAGAAAAAGATACTGGTCGGGCTGGGTGCGGTGACTCATGCCTGTAATCCCAGCACTTTGGGAGGCTGAGGCAGGTGGATCACCTGAGGCCAGGAATTTGAGACCAGCCTAGCCAACATGGTAAAATTCCGTCTCTACTAAAAATAAAAAAAATTAGCCAGGCATGGTGGCGGGCGCCAGTAATCCCAGCTACTTGGGAGGCTGAGGCAGGAGAATCGCTTGAACCTGGGAGGTGGAGGGTGCAGTGAGCCGAGATCACGCCATTGCACTCCAGCCTGGGTGACAAGAGGGAAACTCTGTCTCAAAAAATTAAAATAAAAAAAAAAAAGAAAAAGAAGGAAAAAAGAGAAAGAGATAGTGGTTCCATGTGCTGTTCTAGTTACACAAAACAACGTGTTGACGTGCAGGCTGCACGATGCCAGGTGCAAATACACACTACCTGTTACAGTAACTGTGACAAGCACAAGGGCTGCTCACTAGCTTGAGTGCAACTTCTGGGGAGTTGATGGCAGTGATCTGTGGGTACTTCCTTCTTAACAAATTTTACATCAATACTGCAACACAGCAATCTCAGCCCTGTGGGCTATACCATAGCCACATGCTTTCACCATTTCCTGCTCAAAGGGAGAGCCCAGGAACTGAATGCTCTTAATCAGGGAGAGCACAGAAACAGCAGCAGAACAGCTGGAGAACCAGGGCTGTGTGGTTTTGGACTGTGGGGAGGGTGGGCCATGGGCAGACTTGATACAATGTGGGAGGGCATTTGACACAGCCCCGTGGAGGACCTAATGCTCGGGGAGGCCTTCACCCAGCACAGTGAGCCATGCCGACACTTGGTGCCTGAGTGCGCTGGTCACAGCGCCCTCCCTGTGATTTTCCCCATAGCAGTGTGTTTTCTCTGCCAGGCAGAAGGCAGAGAAACCCTGGCTGAAAAAGCAGTGAGGGTCATCGACTGCATGAACACATCATCAGCTTTCCCAGATGGAGGCACCCAAGTTTACCCTGCAGGTCCATTCAGCAGGTAGAGCTGGGTCATCACTAAACAGGATCTTTCTTCTGAGCATCTGAGATTCTGGTCCAAATCAGGGCTGTGAGGACCAGGAGCCGGGATTCCGAGCCCAGGCAGCCCCGCAGATAAGGAGGAGGGAGTGTGTCGGAAGGCTGTATGGCCAGAGCCGCTGACCGGGCCAGGGCTTCTTTGTCCCCTCTTCTCTCCTGCATATCAGCACTCACGTCCTCCTGGCTCGGGCTGGCTGGCAGCTCGGGGAGCTGTTGGATGAAACGTCCATGCGTGTGGCTGTGGCTGTCACATGCAACTGCGAGGATGGTCGGCTCCCAAAGCGGAACCGCGGTGCTGGGCGAAGGGTCAGGGCTCCGTGGTGCGGCAGAGCGCATGCCAGCGCTTCACCAGCTCCTTGGGCTTGCTGAGCATCTCGTCCCAGTGCTCCAGCTCTCTGCCGCGGGTGTACATGTAGGGGCCCACCACCACTCGGCCCAGCTGCTGGCTCTCTGCAGGGGAGGGAGAGCACCGGTGTGCTCCTGAGCACAGAAGCCCCGTCCCCAGTGACCTCCTTTCCTCCCTCCTCCTCCCCAGGAGGAAGTAGCAACTCCCCTCCTCTCTGAGTGGGAGCTGACAGGCCCCAAAGGGGCCCTGCCTTTGCTCTGCAGCTGGAAGGGCTGCTTCTCCCCCTGGGAGATTGGGAGGAAGGAGAGCCCTGAAAGACTCTCTCCTTGAGGGCCACCAGCTCTGCCCCACACCCTTCTGTGGGGCCGTATTAAGTCTACCTTATGCCAAAGAGCTGAGGGAGGAAAGGGCCCCTCTAGAAAGAAGGCCTCGGCCATCCGAGAGTACATTCAGCAGTAACATTCACTGGCCACCGTGGAGAAGGGTCTTAAGTCCAGGCCATGTGGCCAGCCACGGCCTGATGGCTCTGTTTCCCCAGAGTGGCAGTGGGTGCTGGGGTGTGGGGCAGTGTGGGAGCTGGCTGACAGAACTCGCCCAGAACCCCAAAGTCTCATCTGGAGGGCACGAGGAAGGTCAGAGCACCAGGTCCCTGGGCTGGTGGCAGGCCTGGCCCCTCCCACTCTCTCGGGTGATTTGCTCCAGGAGAGGGCAGCAGAGGCCATTGCTTAACCTCTTTCTTTTTCTTTTCTTTTCTTTTTTTTTTTTTTGACAGAGTCTCGCTCTGTGGACAGGCTGGAGTGCAGTTGCAAGATCTTGGCTCACTGCAACCTCTGCCTCCCGGGTTCAAGTGATTCTTCTGCTTCAGCCTCCCGAGTAGTTGGGCCTACAGGCGTGCACCACCACGCCTAGCTAACTTTTGTATTTTTAGTACAGACAGAATTTTACTATGTTGGCCAGGATGGTCTTGATCTCTTGATGTCGTAATCCACCCCTCTCGGTCTCCCAAAGTGCTAGGATTATAGGCGTGAGCCACCGCACCCAGCCAACCTCTTTTTTTTTTTTTGAGACGAAGTCTCGCTCTGTTGCCCAGGCTGGAATGCAGTGGTGCGATCTCGGCTCACTGCAAGCTCCGCCTCCCAGGCTCATGCCATTCTCCTGCCTCAGCCTCCCAAGTAGCTGGGACTACAGGCGCCAGCCACCACACCCAGCTAATTTTTTGTATTTTTAGTAGAGACGTGGTTTCACTGTGTTAGCCAGGATGGTCTCGATCTCCTGACCTCGTGATCTGCCTACCTCGGCCTCCCAAAGTGCTGGGATTACAGGTGTGAGCCACCGTGCCCGGCCCTTTTTTTTTTTTTTTTTTTTTTTGACAGATTCAGCAGCCTCGCCTCCTGGGTTCAAGAGATCCTCCCACCTCAACCTCCCAAGTAGCTGGGATTACAGGGGTGTGCCACCACGCCCAGCTAATTATTGTATTTTTAGTAGAGATGAGCGTTTCACCATGTTGGCCAGGCTGGTCTTGAACTCCTGAGCTCAAGTGATCCACCCACCTTGGCCTCCCAAGGTGCTGGGATTACAGATGTGAGCCAGCATGCCCGGCTGCTTAACCTGTTTCTAGGGTGCCACAGACAGAGCTCAACTGGACTAAAGCTGGGCCTGAAACCCAGGCCTTGGGCAATATTTCAGCCTTTCTGAGCACTAGTTTCCTTAACCAGGGAGGGAGCTCGTACGGCTCCTTCTGAGGTCAGGACAGGAGGCACTCACTCTGCCTGAACACTCGGCAGCCCCTCGTGGTCCCCATCCCAGCAGCCCAGGGTAGGGTGTGGCCTTACTGTCCCCTTCCATGTTCTGCACCACAGTCAGGCTGAGGCTAGCGGTATCCAGCTCGGTGGCATCGGCCTTGAAGCTGAAGGTCTCATTGTACACAGGGTTGATGGAGCCCAGCACAGCTGAAGTCTTCTTGCACTTGACAAACTTGTTGTGGTTCATCAGAGACACTTTGACAAACACACCTAGGGAACGGTGAGCACTAGTGGGCTGGCAGAGGCAGGTGGGAGCAGAGCCCCTGCCTGTGGGAGGTCCGGCTAGGAGGGCACGTGCCCAAGCTAGGTGCCAGGGCCCCACCCCTCACACAGTGCTGCGGCCCCGCCGGCGTGACCAGAGGAAGCCGGCTGAGGAGTGCACTGCCCTGCGGCCCAGGCGGGGCTCCGCTCCCTTCCTTTTCCTTCCTCTTTGCATCAGGAAAGTACCCACGGCTCCTGCAGGCCCTGGTTTACCAGAGCCTAGCACCGCAAGCCTGTCCCTCCCTGTTGGGGGGCTGCTCACTGGGCCCCCAGGCCCCCTGGGGCCCCTTAAACACCTTGTACAGAGGGCTAAGATTTGGTGGGTGAGGGTCAGAGTCACAGTGGAAGGTCTGGATCCTGCCTGGCTTACGGTGACCCCAGATGTGAACACAAACAGGTGGCTGACCACCACCACCTCACTGGGATGGGTGGGATGTGTGGGGTGAGCCCAAATGGGGTGGGACATGTGGGGTGAACCAAGGCCTCCCCTTCTGCAGCTCCTGTATTCTGGGAGGCCAAGCATCAGTGCCCATTGAGTCGGGGGCTCTTCCCCTGTGGGGAGGGAGGTGCGGGCCTCACCCTGGAGGAACTGGACCCATGCCGCTGATGGAAAGGTGGAGGTGGAGGCAGGCAGGACAGTTCAAAGAGCCAAGACGCTGCCTCGGGAAACAGGAGGGGCAGGGCCTGGTATTGCGGCTGGGTTAGAACCCTCCGTAGGGGAGGCCAAGGAGATGCAGCTTTGGGTTCAACACAGGAAGAGGCTTCCTGCACCAGAACTGTCGACCGAGGGACAGCACGTCTTGTGAGGTAGTGAGCACTCCATGATAGGTGTATGCAAGCAGAAACTGGATGGTCAGGGATGAGGTTGGACTGTAGCCCCAGGCTGTAAGCTCGGTGGGTGGGACCTTCCCCAGGAGGAAAGGGAGGAACTCACTGACAATGCCTCTGTCCTCCTGGAGCCGGAGGCCCTTGGCACGCAGCACAACCACCGTCAGGCGGCTCAGGTAGTCGTTGTAGCTGAGGCAGAACTGGAGGTCGCCAAACTCCGAGGGGGGCTGGGGAGGCCAAGATGGAAGCACCCCATCCTGTTACTCTGGCAAGTGCTGAAGGGGTCACAGAACCCCCAGAGAGCCTCCCGCTTCCTCCTAGCGGCCCATGCGACACACCCGCATGGTCCCCTTTGAGTTCCACTGCCATTTTAAGGATGGGGCAACTGTGGTCTGGAGAGTTTAAGGGGCTTGTGCAGTCCTGTGGACCACAGCTAAGGAGTCACACCCAGGTCTGAGCCAGCTGGGGCCTTCCTGGGGGTGGTGGGCTGGAGGAAACATTTCCCTGGGCTGGACCATTTGTGGTGTCATCTCTCACAGCTGTCTAACCTAGATAAGAATCCAAATGTGGATATTTCAGGTTGCTCCAGGGGGTCTGATGGCCAGTGTGACAACAGGACCTCAAGCAGGCCCTCCCTGCCCAGGGGCAGGTCCGTTCCCACCTGTCCCATGCTGCTTGGGGCCTGGGCCCTCCTCCCTGAGTCACTGTTGTAGGGTGGTGTGCAGGATGCTGAGGGCTGATGCCGCCAGCAGGTGCTGGGCCCTGTGCACACCTGCCAGCTGATGCTCAGTGGCATAGGCATGGTGACCTTGACCATACCTCCAGGCTCTCAGCCTCCAGGTCTCTCCAGATGACACGCCGGCAGTCCCCCACTAGGGTCTCATTCTTCAAGGGGAAGAGCACCTGGCCCAGGAGCTGGTGCTTCCTCTGCCTGTCCACGTGGTAGACGGAGAACTTCAGCACCCTCTGGGTGATGGTCTTGCTGGACACCTGGGGGGGACAAGGACACCAGCCAGAGTCAGGCGTGGGGGTAGGGGATGGGATGGTGTGACTTGTTATTCTGGACATGGGTGCTTTTGGGAACGGGTGTCTCAACCAGGGACCCACATCCCCCAAACCTAGGCATTTTCAGGGGACCCTTCTCAGCAGCAGAGCCGTGTACCCCTGGAAAGTGGGGGTAGGTGCCAGGACCTTGGTACACAGAGTGTGGTCCGAGGACCTGTAGCGTCTACCACCACTTGGAGCCCTGTTAGAAATGCAGGATCTTGGGCCCCAGCCCAGATTCATGAATTGGAATCTGCCGTTTAACCGGAGCACCAAGTGACATGGCTGCACGGTGAGTGTGGCTCCGCCACCACCCTGCACTGTAGCAAAGGCCCAGGAGCCCAGGGCACCGGCCTGTCTCTGCTGTCAGAGCTGGGCATGCCAGCTCTCTCCTCCCTGAGATTTGGCCTCCTCGCCTGTGAAATGGGGATTATGGGTCTTCCTCTCTGGTTGTAAAACCCCAATCACAGTGTCTGACCTCCAGCAGATGGCCCATTAATATTGATTTTCTTTTCTTTCCCCTTCTCCCTTTTCCACAGAGGGATTGGATCAAGCTGGGGCGAGATAGAGTGGGGAAGTGATGAGCTAAGAAAAATTAGCCTGCAAGCATGACGTGTCGCACGTCAGCAAGGCTGCAGCCTTGGATTCTGATGTCTTGAGAAGAGCGATTCACCTGTGAATTCTCACAGCCCTGGCCTCAGAAAGACGGCCCGGGACCAGGCCCGATGGCACCCCTCTTCCCAGCTCTCAGCCAGGGCGGAAGGCACAAGTGATGGCCCTGGCCTCCGCAGTCACACTCCTCCTGAAAGCTGACTGGCTGAACCTCACCTCTTGGCTAGCTTGCCACCCAGCTCTTGAGAACATGTTTGTCCAAGGCCTCTTGGCAGGTCTCGATGACTCCTTCCCCTAAGGGCCCCCAGTCACCTGCTAAGGCTCCCAGGCCCCTGTGAAACTGGCTCGGTGCCCCAATAGACTCTCCACCTCCAGACCCTAAGCCGGCCAGCCCAGAGTGCAGCAAGGCACCACACCTACCCTGTGAGGGCACTCGGGCCCCGCGCTGGCCTCTGACAGCACAGGAAGCTTCTGCATTCACGCTGAGGCCTGTCTTTTGCCTTCCTTGGATAAACTTGCCAGAAACCCCATAGTGCTTCAGGCCTTTGGGATAATTCCCCTGAGCCCCATAGGCCAGGGCCTGGCATTCAGTAGTTGCTCTAAAATTGTGTTTTCACCCACTCTCTTCCAGGTAGTCAGGACAGGGAAGCCCAGGCTTCTGGTCACCACTCACCAAATCTCTCCCCTGCCCCTCTATCAGGGATCAGCTCCTATAGGCCTTAACCTAGCAGACTAGGTAAAGCAGAGCTGGTGGCATCAAGGGTCCCGGGGGCTGCAGAGCCCTGGCTGGTACAGGAGGCTGGGCTCTCCTGTAGGTCTGCACCTTCCCAGCAACGCGGAGGGCACCAGACCCTGCCTGCTCCAGAAGCTGTACCTGAAAGATGAAGTGCTCGTCAAACTGCGGGTTGGAGGTTTTGCGTTTGGTCTTGGATTGGAGGAAGCGCCGCTCATCGGGCAGCAGGTAGAGCTTCACCAGGGGGCTGCAGGTCTCCGAGGGGGCTTGCAGGTGCTGTGCCTTGATCAAGCCCACCAGCAGCCGCTCAGCCTCCTGCTCATATTCCACCGAGAACCACAGCCGCCCCAGGCAGCCGTCGGGGAAGTCGGTCTCACTTTTGTCCTCTGGGAACTTGTACAGCTCTGGGTTGATGGCCCCCACCATACATGCATCTCCTATGACAGAGGGTGGGAGGGCTGGCAGGCCAGAGGAAGGCAGGGGCATGGGAGACAGTGGCAAGCTCTGGGCACCCATCCCCATCCTGGCCCATCCGTCTCTGCTGAGCCTCAGCTAGCCTGACCACATCTGCCCCACTCTCCTCACCAGGCTAAACACATCCCCTCTCTCTGGTGCAGCTCCTCCAAGAAGCCTTCTCACCATGAAGGCATTGCATGGCCAGGCTGGGGATCCAGCAGAGTCCTGCCCCCTGGGATTGGCCCCCATCCTTGGAGGTCAGGACCTGTTTCAAGGACACAGTGCCCATCACCTGGCCTAGCCCCCTTCCATGGCGTCTAGGGAATGACTCAGCGATAAAACATTGCCTTTCTTCTTCCTCTTCAAATTAGAAGGGCCAAGGTGATTATTGGGTGGTTCCTGTGATGGTCTCTTGGTAGATCTTCAGGGCAAAGAGGTGGCAGAAAGCTGTGTTTGCAGCCCCTACCATTCTGTCCTCTTGGTCAACCAACCCATCATCCTAGAGTGGGACCCAGCACAAGTTCTGTACATGGCGTGCCTGGGTTCCAATTCCAATCTGTTGCTTACAGCCTCAGTTAAGACTATGTAAAATGGGGTGATAATTCCTCCCCCTCAGAGTCATGGTGAGGTCTCACTCCAAATCAGCACCCAAGGCCATATCTCACCCTCATGGGGTGCAGCAAGCACTTCATAAATGAAAGCACCCAGAAAGAGTGGTCCCTGGGTGGTCCCTGGCATCCCTGGCTGGTTCAGGTTGTGTTCCGGAGCCAAGCTGGTGAAAGCAGATGGGGCCACCCGAGCAGACCCTGACCTCTGGGCAGCCCTGGCAAGGACACTCACCAAGGCCGCCGCTGGAGGTGTGAGGCAGCAGCTCTGATGCCGGGCAGGGGTCCCATGGGGCATCGGCCCACTCTCCACTGTGCAGGGGCACCCAATCTCGGCCTTGAAGGGTTGGGGGCACCACGAATGGCACAGCTGGTGGCCTGTCCAGAGTCAGGGAGACAACATGTAGGTGGCAAGTGAATGGTGTGGTCTCAGAGCGCTCAGCCAGGACGGTTGAGCACCAGGGGCTGGAGGAAGAAAAGCCATCGGGAGCCAGGAGGAGGCCAGGGCACCATTTTCTGGGCCCATACCAGGCAACACACACACACACACGCACACACACACACACACACACACACAGCAGTGGGATTTGGAGAAGGAACACAGCACCTGACAGTGTCAGCCAGTCTGGGTTTGGATTCCTGTTCTGCCACTTACTAATTGTGTTCTCTGGACCTGTTGCTTATGTGCACTGAGCCTCAGATTCCTCACCTGGAACATGGGTTTCATAACACCTGCCTAATAGCTGATGTGAGGTTTCTGGGGTTTCTTTGTGATAGCTCCCAGCACCGAAGCAGCATAGAAGAGGCACCCCCATAAACAGAACTTTCCTTTTCGACCCCACCCTGAGGGAAATTCCAGGGGCGCACTTGGCCCCACATCCTGCCTCACCTGCTCAGTTGGGTCCTAGCATGCGGCTGGCAGGGCCTGTCCCGCTGCCCACTGGAGGCAGCTGTGGTGGCCATGGCTGGTGTCCCAGGCAGCTCCTCATAGGTGAGGGTGGCACAGAACCTTCTCCACAGACAGCAGCTTGCCCCGATCAACAGCAGCAGCAGCAGCCCCCCGATGGTGCCCCCAATCACCAGGGCCAGCTGCTCTGGGGGCAGAGACCACCAGTACTATGATGCCTGCCTGGGAAGGCCACTCTCCCTCACAGCCCTGGCCTGCTGGGGCAGAACTAGGGCAGCAACCCTGCCTCTGGGTTTGATCTCAGGAGTGATAGGAGCAGGCCTGCTGGGGATGGGTTCCGGGAGGGATGCTGCTGGCTAGGTTCCGCCAGCTCTCAGAGGAGAAGCCGTTTACCCCAGGGTCTGAGAGCCCTGGGCAGAACCTTCTAGTTTTCCTTGGAAAACAGCTGGCCCTGCCCTTGGGATTCTGGCTTAAAGAAGCCATTTCCTTGCGCTTCTGAGTAGAAATCAAACCTGCCCTCACCAGAACCTCCATATCCCCTGGGCTCCTGTTGAGGCCAGGAGGGGAGCTGGGGTGTGGACGCAGTCAGTTAAGGAAAGCCCTGAAAGGTACCTTCCCCCTGGTCTGCAATCAAACCTCTACCCTCTGGGGCCCTGGAACCTGCTGCAAGGCTGGACTCTTCTCTAACACCCGCTCCCTCCCCTAGCCCTCTATCAAGGTGAGCACGCGCTTAGGGGAGTTGGTGCGACGCGGTGGACGAGGTGGGGAGGAAGAGGGGGCAAGGCCCCATTGCTGCTGGCCCTCACACGTCCGCATTTGCGGGACCTAGGAGGCTTCGCCCCGGGGGTGCTCAGACGCTGGGTTCCAACCGCTGGCCACCTGGGGCGGGCCAAAAAGGTGCCTCCCTTAGGGTGACGTGCGGCCGCGGGGCATTCAGGTCTCAGGGATCTGCACTGGGTGGGGTGGTGAGAAGGCCGGACCCCCCACACCTCCTAAGCCGCAACTGACCGCGAAGAGCGGGCCTCAGCGTCTACTCCATCCCAGTGCCCCTCCAAGAGCGCGCCGAGGCCGGGCAGGGCAGGCGCTGCACCCCAGCGGGGGCGGCGGGGCGGAGGCAAGTGCTGGAAGGGTCGCAGAGGGGCCGGGGCTGGGCTGGGGAGGCGAGGCTCGCTTACCCGCCATGGGGCTGCTCCCGCAGGCTGGTCTCGCCGGTCTGGGCGGCTGGGGCTGGGCTGCCAGGCCGTCTCTTAAAGCGCCGCGGGGCGCCGTCGGGCGAGCACAGGGGCGGTCCGTGGTGCTGCTGGTGCCCAGCTGCGGCGCGGGGAGCCGCGCAGTGCACGGCAGGGGCAGGGACCCAGCGCCCCGAGGCCGCAGTCCCGCCCCAGCCAGTCCCTGGCCCAGGCCCAGGCCCGGCGGTGGAGGGGCGCAGAGCCGACCGTGAGCTCCCGGAAACCGCAGGGCTCCAGCCAGGGCGGGTCCCGGGCGCCAGGGGCGCCAGGGGCTCCCTGCGGCTTGGGGCAGGGTGCGGTGAGAGTACCACCCCCATCCCGGAGAGCAGGGCTACAGCCTTCACCGCCGCGTCTGACACAGGGCTCCGCACCCGACCCCTCACACCTGGTGGCCAGGACTGAGCCCCCGCCCTCCCAGATCCTCCTCAAGCCGAGGCCCCTCCAGCCGCAGCTCCGACCCCGGCTCGGGGGAGCCTTCCCGGATCCCGGGGTGGAGTCTCCGCGCGGGTCCCGGGCCCCAGCGCTGCCTGCCTGATGGCCTTGGGCAGGGATGCGGCGCTCGCGCACCCGTTCGCTCTCAGCGGACAAACCGGTCGAGAGCGCAATTCTGGAGCGGGTTCCAGAAGCTCCTGGGTTCCAATTCAGGCTCCTCACTCGCCAGCCCTGCGATTTGGGACAACTTAACGTTCGTATGCTGGGTTCAGTCTTCTCAATTGGGTTAATGTCCGTGAGGGGCTCTCGTAAGGGCGGCTGGCCTGCCGGTAACTTAAGAAGCATGTAAAGAACACTTAGAGCGGAGGAGCGGCGCGGCCCAGCCCCTGTTACGGTGGTTATCGGATGGAGGCCAGCGTCGCCTGGGTCCCCTCTGTACACCCAGCGCCTATTATTATGGTGATTATTAGAACGCAGGGCCCGTGCCCACTAGTCCAGGCTGGCGAACGCGCCTTGCGGGAAAGGCGGGAGTAAGGTCGCTGCGTGTCCTCTCTGGTCACCCCTCGGCGCGCCCTGGTCGCGCCCCTATGGTTCCCCCGCCGAGGCCTCGAGGCGTCTGAGTGGGGAGCGAAAGGAATGTGTGTATCTGTGGTGCAGGGGAGTGTGTGTGTGGGGGGGGGAGGGGGTGGTTGTGGGGGAGTGCGTGTTTTGGGGGGATGGACCTTCTCGTTTTACAGCCTTGAAGGTTATGTCCAGAGTCATAGCCTGGGTCCCACACCCCCGCGTCACCTGTGCCTGTCCTAGGGGCCAGTCAGTGTGCGTGAGGCTCCACCCTGCCTGGGCTTTGGCTCACCTAAGGCGAGGAGGGTGGTGAACTGGGGTGCCCCACTGGGCCGGGTCTGGGAGCCCTCAGGGCCAGGGTGCAGAGGCCGCAGCCACTCCCCTTCTAGGGTCTGGGCG
This sequence comes from Homo sapiens, assembly GCF_000001405.40. Classification (NCBI taxonomy): domain Eukaryota; kingdom Metazoa; phylum Chordata; class Mammalia; order Primates; family Hominidae; genus Homo; species Homo sapiens. The sequence goes on from NC_000010.11 coordinate 47,764,080, forward strand.
GTGGGGGCATGAGAAGGCGGAGACCCAGGCCACTTCACCCAGTAACTGTCCTCAGCTGTGCGCTTAACTGGCGAGATCTCCGCTCTACTTGGAGACAGTCTGGGGTGTCTGGAGAATCCTCCCCCACTTCTGCTTACCCCAGGTCGCTGTGGGAGCAGGTGTCTCAGGAAATGGGGCCTGGGTCCCACCCAAGGCCTCGGGTCTGAGTTAGATGTCTGTATGTTTGTTGTTGCCCCTGCAACAAAGTACCACAGATTGAGTAGTTTAAGCCACACGCATGTTATCTCACAGTTCGGGGGGTCGGGAATCTAAACTGGGTTGGCAGGGCCTGTGCCTTCTGGAGGCAAGGGAGCTGTTTCCCAGCGTTTCCAGCTCCTAGAGGCTGCTAGCTAGTGGCCCTTTCCTTTGTCTTCAAAGCCGGCAGCACAGCCTTTTCTAACCTCTCCCACTCCAGGTCATTTCACATCAACTCTTTCTGCCTCCCTCTTGTAAGTGTGATACCCTACCTTGTTTTAACCTGAATTGACTGTCCCTTAGCTGAGAGAGCCAGACACACTCCATTTTGGCTCCTTCACTTGCAGCCCCTTACCCACCCCCCTTCCTCAAGGACTTAACTTGTGCAAGCTGACTCCCAGCACATCAAAGAATGCAATTAATGGATAAGATACTGTGGCAAGCTATATCCGCAGTTCCCAGGAATTTGCCCAGTTGATAGTACCCTAAGCCCCCACATTTGTGTCCGGTTGATGGTACCCAAAGCCCCCGCATCTATCGCCTTGTGATGGATTTAAAACCCCTGCACCTGGAACTGTTTGTTTTCCTGTAACCATTTGTCTTTTAACTTTTTGCCTGTTTTGCTTCTGTAAGAGTGCTTCAGCTAGGCTCCTCCTCCCCTTTCTAAACCAAAGTATAAAAGAAAATCTAGCCCTTTCTTCAGGGCCGAGAGAATTTTGAGCACTAGCCATCTCTCGGTTGCCGGCTAATAAAGGACTTCTGAATTCATCTCAGAGTGTGGCGTTTCTCTATAAGAGGCTCATCAGATAATCCAGGATAACCACCACCCCCATCTCAAGATCATTAACTTAATCACACCTGCAAAGCCCCTTTTGCTATGTAGTCACGGGGTTGGGGATGAGGACTTGATATCTCTAGGACCATTGTGTGGACCATGTTGTCCATGCAGTACCCTGGGAGGGGTGGCTTACATTTCCCCTTCCTCTGTCTAGAGTTCAGTGTGCCTCAACACTGGACTCAGGCAGCTAGCAAGGCTCAGGGGACCCCTACATGGAACCCGTCAGCTATCTTGACCCCTTCCCCCAGCTGCCATGCACCCCCACCTGACCACCCCAGTGGGGCATGGCATCCACACCAGCTGCCTCCATGATTGCGCCCGAGCTGTACTCAGGCTGTTCTGGGGGTGGAGTTGGGTAGTGGGATGTTTTTTGAAAAGGGAATCCCTTCTGGCACTTCCTGAGTGCCAGGCCCAGAGCTGCCATCTCTCGACCCCCATGCTGTGCTTTTCCAAAGTCCCCATCTTTCTCTGTGTCACCAAGTCCTGACAGCTGTTCCTCCTCTGTCCATCTCTATCATGGCAAAAAACCTTGCCCAGCCCTCCATCACCTCTCATCTGGAGCTCTGCATGGGCCTCCTCTCAGCTCTTCAGATTCCATGCTGCACCCACTCCCCTTCCCAGCTGTTGTCTTCCAGGCTCCCCTCCCATTCTCATCCCCCCCACCACCCATCTCTCTGCAGTGCTTGTGCCCAGACTGATGCAGCTACTTCCACGGCTCTGCGTATGCACTGGGCTCTCCCACCATGCTGCTCTCTCCCTGTCTGAAATACTCAATGCCCCTCCCACCCTCCTTCTCCACTGCTCATGTTTCAAGATGAACCCCCAGCATCTTGCCTTCTGTGAAACCCTTCATCATCCCCTCGTCCTCATGGTCCTTGCAGCTACCATGCCGAATATGGGACTCTGTGCCTGAGACTGCTGCCTCACTCTTCCTGGCAGCCGAGGGCCTCCATGAAGGCAGGGGGCCGTGTCTTATTCAGCTTGGCATCGCCACTATCCACCTCCAGGGCTGAGGCTGTGCTGAATGGCAGATGAAGGGCTCTTGCCATTGGGATGAGCTGCCCCAGCTTCTGCCCACATTGTCCATGCATCATACACATCCTGGGCTCACAATTTAGGGCCCAACAGGAGCTCCCTGCCCTGGTCCTGCAGACCAGCTTCTGGGGTCTGCAAAATCACGTTGTCAGCTCTATCTGCAAAATCCTTACACTGCCAGCCAGCCCACTGAGTTTTGAGTCAATCTTCCTCCACGGGAAGATAAAAGCAGGTGGCAGGAGGGAGCTCATCCTTCTTGCTGCTCCTGATGTTCTGAGCATTGAGATGCAGGCCTGATGTACACGATCCCATGGAGCCCTGCCTCATGTCTGCCCTGCAGGGTCATGACCTCCTCCTCAGATGAGGAAACTGAATCAAAGAGGTTTCCTGGCCCACCCACTAAGTGGTGGATCTAGGCCTGGCACCTGGCTCCCTCGTTCCTTCTTCACCAGTGAGCAGCTGTAGGGCAAGGACCCAGGAGACCCTCTCCTGTGGCGCTGACCGTGAATCAGGCAAAGAGCCACAGGCACTTTGGGCAGCCTCCCCTCCATCCACTGCCCGGGGGCTCTGAGACCTGGCTGGCCTGGAGCCAGCTCCCCAGAACAGAAAGGCATCCAGGGTCTGGCAGCAGCTCTGGCTCTGCTTCCTGTTTTCAGACCTTGTTCTTCCCCGTGTCTGTGGAGCTGGGAAGCCTGGAAACAGCAGCAGACATGGGTTCTGTCTTTCATGGCCAAGCGGAAGTTGTATTTCCATGGCAAAAGCACTTCCAAGGAGGGCTGCAGGAAGTCCAAGAGTTTAAAGACCTGCAAATGCCTGCAGGTGATTAATAATTCATTGCAGCAGATGATTACGAGAAAGGCCACTTTCAATTAACCTTAAGAATCATCCCTGTCTAAGGAAGTGTCATCTCTCATCACTGAGGAACACAGAGGCCATAGCAGGATAAAGGCCACGCTGAGAAGCATGTGGAAGACTGTGTTTCTCAATTCATGCAAATTGCACCAGGTCAGCCCAGGTCCTTCTTTGTGAGGAGGGGGAGGGTTCCCCTGCCAGCATCCTGTCTGCTCTTTGGTTCTGCTATGGCGGCCTCAGACTTAATTTCCTCCAGCCCCTTCTTTTGAGGAGCTTGGAGGGAGTATCTTTCCTTGTTGGATCAGAACTTCTCGTCCCCCACTGAAACATGCTGGCTCCAAATTGTGTCTCCTCCTGCAGACAGTCACTCCGACTGGCAGGGTGGGCTTGGGCCTGTGGCTCCCTCCTGCCCCTGGGCGTGGTTTCTGCTTCCTGCCCTGCTGCTCCCCTGCCTGGCAGGCCTGCTCCCCTGCCTCCTCTCAACCAGCACCAGAACTCTGCCTTCCCTCTGGAGGGAACAACTTCCTTCCCCTTCCCTGTCCACACAGTACCTGGCACTCCCCTACTCACCCCTATTCTAGCGCTTTGTCCATGACCCAGGCCTGGCTGCTCAGCCTAGTTCATTTCTGGCTGCAGTGATAGGTTCAGGGATGTCCCTGTGACGCCACCCCCTGCCCCCGTGAGAGGCTAATCAGGATCAACACTGGAATTTTATGGGATGTACTGGGGAAGAGACACCTCCTTTCTGGCAGGAGTTGTTGAGCAGAAGGAGCTAAGTCTGGGGCCATGGAAAGCCCCACGTGGAGGAGCCAGAGAGGATGGAGCCAGCACAGGTGCTGAGGTGGGGACCTATGTTGTCCTGGCAGCCCCTGCATCCTGCTGCATGCAGCCCCTGCCCCTGGAGGGGTGGAGAGAGAGGGCGGCAGAGGGGAGTGAGCCCGCCAAGGCCACTGTGTTAGCAAGGAGCTGAGCCGGCGTTGGCATCAGCTGTTCCAGCTTCAGTCTCTTGACCACCAAGGCTGCCCCTCAGCATGGAGCAGAAGTCAGGAACTGAGGCAAGGCTTGTCCTTCCTCAATCGTCACCTCTGGGCACTCAGCTGTCCTAAAGTTTTTTGACCCCCCTTAGGGATGGGATCTTTTCAGCAAGGGCCATTTGTGGCAAACAACAATTAATTTACTGCTCAGCCTCCATGGCTCACTCCTGCCCCTCCTCCAGCTTCTGTGCTAACAACTGACCCACATTTTTTTTTTCAGGAACAGCAATGTGCTCAGTCACCAGGCATGCATCCAATGAGCCATAAGAGGGCAGAAAGACTTTGTTTTTTGATGTATTAATATGCTAAATTGATGTGTCGGTTAAGACATGAAGAAATTAGCTATCAAACTCCAAAGAGTGGTGACAGACTAAGACGCAGATTTCCAAAGGTGGCTGAGAACCTGCTGGACAACTGTCCCCCAGTGAGAGGAAGGGCTGAGAGAGTGAGGGAGGGAGGGGATTTGCCAGATTCCTTTCTTGAGGGCTGGGGCTGTGATGTGGACTCCCACCTCCTACGGCTGGCCAGGGCTGGGGAGGGGGGTGTGCTCGGGGAGGGGGCTGTGCTGAGGTAGAGAGGGGGCAGGTGGAGCAGAGGACAGCCTGCCCTCCAGCCCAGAGAGTGGGGGATTCAACTCTGCTCTGAGAGCTTGCTTTCTGTCCCCTGGAGTTTGGGAGGCAGACGGACTGCTGGTGGAGGTGCACAGGCAATTGTGGCTTCTTGGTTCTGATGAAGAGAGTAGGCAGCTGCTGTGTTGGGAAGCAGCCGGGCTCCCTCAGATGCCAGCCAAAGGTTTGTGGATCTTGGGCACATGACACGCCACTGGTAGTGCGAGTGTGGCTCAGAGTGTGATGGGGAATTGTCACTGACATGTGCCTGGGGACTTGTCAGGATGTGGAATGTGTACATATTTCCCACAACCAGACATTGGCCATGTGAATGAAAGAGCCGGTGTGTGATCATCTCAGTCCTGACCACAGGCCCTACCCAGAGGGCATATGTAGCACAGTGGAAGGAAGTAGGAGGTGAACTTTCTAGGGGTAGAGGAGGGAGCAAGTGGCTTCTGATTCATTTGCTCAGGTCAAGGGCACTCTGGTTCTGGAGTGGGTGTCAGGGGTGAAGGATCGAGGGTTCCTTTCAAAGGGCCCATTTGAGCATGAAACCTCTTCCAGATCTGGAGAGGTAAGGCATCTTACGAGACCATCAAGACAGAACTTTCCAAATCCCCTTCCTTTCCTCTGCTCATGCTCTTACCTCAGAAGTCTGCTACGGGCAGTGAGAGAGGAGAGAGGAGGCTGACCATGGCACCCTCTCCAAGGGCAGAGGCTGTCTGTGGCTGGCCCTCACCATGGGAGATGGGGAGACTTAACTCAAGTTTGCAGATTTGATTATTACCTAGGTGGCCTTTCTGATGACTGTCTTGGGACTGCGGGGACAGTGGCTAGAAGGGAATGATCTCTGCTGAATACCTGCTCCTTCCAAGTGTGGCCTCCATAGGGAGCTCGGGGCTCTCACATGTCCTCCTTTGTTCCCTCAAATAGATCCCAAGATCTTGAACGAGACCATTTTACTGGGCTTTAGTGCTCAAGGCTGAGGTTTCACTTCCATAAAAAAATCAGTTAAAAGTGCTGAGCCTGTGGGAAGGCTGTTCTTTGGTTACCTTCTGTGGTCAATTAAATGATTGGTCTCAAGTTCTCTCTTCCCTGTACCGGTATTGTACTCCCACAGCCTTGCAACATGGTGGGTGCATTAGACTGTTTATATTGCTTATAAAGGAATTCCTGAGACTGGGTAATTTATAAAGAAAAGAGGTTTAATTGGCTTACAGTTCTGCAGGCTGTAAAGGAAGCATGGTGCCAGCATCTGCTTCTGGTGAGGCCTCAGGAAGCTTCTACTCATGGCAGAAGGTGGAAGGGGAGCAAGTGTGTCAAGTGGCAAGAAAGGGAACAAGAAAAAGGGATGCCCACTTTTTTAAACTACCAGATCTTGCCTGAACTCAGAGCAATAACTCACTCATTACTAAAAGGAGGCACCAAGCCATTCATGAGGGATCTGCTCCCATGATCCAAATACCTCCCACCAGGCCCCACCTGCAACATTGGAAGCCACATTTCAACATGAGATTTGGAGGGGAAAAAACTTCCAAACCATATCAGTGGGACACATGCTTCCCCATGATTTGACTTTGAGCATGGCCACATGACCTGCTTGGGCCACTGGAAAGTTGGCAGAGATGATGCGGCAGAGGCTGGAACTGCACCGTGCGGCTGGCCTTGCTCTCCTGTGCTTTAGCCAAGGCGGTGAGATGAGCATGGCCCAGGGAGAGCTGGCTCCAGGCCAATGAGTGCTCTGTGGTGCAGGTCCAAACCCCACCTGGAGCCTGAGATCAAGGAGTTCAGCCTGAGCCAGCAGACCCCAGCCAACCCACAGACATGGAAGGGAAAAATAAATGCTTCTGGATGATGCCATAGAGACTCTGTAAGCAGCAAAAGCTGAGCAAAACACTGTCACTCTCTTTTGATTCCTTTGGTGAGACTAGAGCTGTGAGCTGGCAGGGCCACACCCCTTGTCCCCTCTCCACGTGCCTCAAAGTTGTGGCTGAAGGTGGATGATCTTGTCACTTTTCCTTACTGGCTGGCCTTGGTCTTCTCTGGACCAGCCTCTGCTGCTGTGGGAGGAATAAAGTGCTAAGGGGTAGTGGGTTTAGGGGAAAGAGAGAAGGCTTGTGGGGGACATCTGAGGTTTTCACACAGCATACTTTATCCTTCTTTTGTTGCAGTGGTGCCCCAGTCAAAAGTGCCCTCTGGGAAAGCCCTTCCCTCCTCTTGGGTGTGGTTGACTCCACCCTCTTCTTCTTCCAGCTGGGCTTGATTCCTCCACAGGTCCCTCCTCCTGGCTGCAGAGATTGGTTCAGGGAAACACAGAGCCAATGAGCTGCAAGGCTGATTTTTCTGACAATGCTGGACAGAGGCAAGGGTTCTTCCCGAGGGTCTTGAATTTAATGAGAGAATCTCAAATGATGAGAAAAAAGCTGGTCTGAGGACAGGGTCAGCTGAATAGGTCGTACCCAGAGAAAGAGAGGGAGAGAGATACTGGATGCTGGTGATGGGTGAATGAGACAAGGCATGAAGCTAGAACACCACCTGGTTTTTCACTTAGGTGAGCCCACAAATTCCGATGTGTACTTAATGCCAGCTTGAGTAGGTATCTGCCATTTGCAATCACAAGTCTTCAATGATACAAGATTGCCCACCTGCTTTGGGCCGTCTGTGGCCCAAATTTGTACCTGGCCTTATTTTAGGGACATACACCTTTCTTGGGTTTGCACACACACATGTGTGTTTACATTTGGACATAGTAGAACAAAATAATTTATATAAGGATTTTGAAATGCTGACCAAATAAATAATCTACACCAAATACTTTACTTACATTGTTTTATTCATTCATTCTTTTTAAAAAATTATTTATTCTTTACAACCACCATCTATGGCAGGTTTTTTTTGTTGTTGTTGTTGTTGTTAGATGGAGTTTCGCTCTTGTTGCCCGGGCTGGAGTGCAATGGCACGATCTCAGCTCACTGCAACCTCTGCCTCCCAGGTTCAAGAGATTTTCTTGCCTCAGCCTCCTGAGTAGCTGCGATTACAGGTGCCCACCACCATGCCTGGCTAATTTTTGTATTTTTAGTAGAGATGTGGTTTTACCATGTTGGCCAGGCTGATCTTGAACTCCTGACCTCAGGTGATCTGCCTGCCTCGGCCTCCCAAGTGCTGGGATTACAGGCATAAGCCACCATGCCTGGCCTATGGCAGGTACTTTTATCACTTAGGAAATCTTTTGGTTACAATTTACAGTAAATCTGACTAAATCTGACTAAATAAGCCTAAATAGGGCTTACACCATAAGAAGATTTGCTTTCGTATTTCATTAGCTCTAAGATGTCATTGATTGTGAAATGCACCACTGTTTTGCACCACTTTCTTTGTATAAGCAAAACTTGCTGCCAAACCATGAAGCCATTCTTTACTATCAAATCAGATATGAGAAGTGACAGTGGTGTCAGAATGTGAAAAAAAAAGGCCTTCCTTGGAATGGGGAGAAATGGTGTTACTTAGCAAGACATTTGTGGTTGGGTAGCCTCAGATTTGACTTGGCAGCTCAACATCATCATCTAAGATCCAGATTCCTTGGATGTGTCACCTGCTCTGCCACCTTCAAGTTTCGAGATGGCTTGGTGTCTTCTAACACCAAGTTCAAAGGCAGGAAAAGAAGGAAAGGAATCTGATAGGGAAAGTGTTTATTTCCTCACTCACATCCCTCATCTTATCAGAAAGCCTCCAGCACACTGACCCTCCATACCTTGTTGCTCACTGGCCAGACCCACACACAGCCATGCTGGTTTCAAGGAGACCAAGAAAGTGTGTATCTGACCTTTTCAGTCCTATAATGGGAGACTGGTTGAAGGAAGAGGACATAAGAAATGGCTGTCAATGCCACGGGATTTCAATTCCAATTTTACAGATGAGAAAACTAAAGCTGGAAGAGGTTAGGCAACTCGCCCAAGGTCACACAACTAGAAATCGGTCAACCCCAGATTTGAATCCAGTGTCGAATGATTCAAAGTTCTTCCCATTGCACCATAAATCATCTGTACATGAAAGACCGAAGACTGAGAAACCTCAAATACAGAGCAGGTAAATAGTAAGGAACGTGTTTGGATGAAATACCAGAACACCTGACCATCAGTGGATCAGATAGGGGTTTATTGTTGTTATGTAGCCAGCACCCCAGAGATCAGCAGCCCAGGGTGGCACAGATGCTTAAGGGTTTCATCAAGATCCCAGGCTCCCTCATCATCCTCCTTCACCTTCTGGAGTGTGTGGTTTCTGTCCTTAAGTTCACAGTATGGCTGCTGCGTCTCAAGGCATCACATCTAGGTTTCCAAGAAACCCCTACCTAGTGATTCCCTCTTACATCTCATTGGTTAGAACAAGGTCACGTGTAACTAACCCCAGATACAAGGAAGTTACAAGGAAAAGTAAATATATTTAGCTAGACAATTGTCATCCCAGTCAAAACTGGTGCTCTGTTTTGGAAGAAGAGGAGAGAGAAATTGGGTAGTGGTTGTCATTAGTGAAGTGGGTATTTGGCCACTATATTTGGTTTTCTTTCTTCTAGGCAGATGGTACAACCCTTGGGGTTAGTTAAGGATGTGTAACTTACTTTGATCAATGAAATGGGAGCAGAAGTGAGATGTATCACTTTCTAGTGGAAGCTTTAAAAGTTGGTGCATAAAAAGACACATGCACCCATATGTTCATCACTGCGCTATTCATGGTAGCAAAGACATGGAATCAACCCAGGTGCCCATCAATAGTGGGTTGGATAGAAAGAATGTTGTGCATATACATCATGGACTACTACACAGCCACAAAAAGAAGGAAGACCTGTCCTTTGCAGCAATATGGATGCAGCTAGAAACCATTATCCTAAGTGACTTAACATAGGAACAGAAAACTATATACTGCATGTTCTCACTTGTTAAATGAGAGCTAAACATTGGGTACACATGGTCATAAAAATGGGAACAACAGACACTGGGGAATACAAGAGAAGAGAGGGAGGGAGGGGGGTCAAGAGTCGATTAAAAACTGCCTATTGTGTACTATGCTCCTCTTGAGTGATGGATTCATTTCTCCTCCAAACCTCAGCCTCAAAATATACTTTTGTAACAACCTGCACATGTACCCTCTGATTCTGAAATAAAAGTTTAAAAAAAGACAGTTGGTACATTGTTCCCCAAGTTCTTTTCCATTGATGTGATGACTGTAAAAGCAAATGCCAAGAGTCCTCCACGATGAACAGAGCCCTCTTGCCAAACCTGTGATAGGCATAGAGCAAGGGTGGGAAATAGACTTGTGTTTAGTTAATCCACTGCTATTTTTGTGAGGTCGCTATTGCAACATAACCCAGACTATCCTGACACAGGTCGGCAATCAGCAGTGTCCACACATAGTCCTCAAGCAAGGTCATGATCAGACCAGGGAGGAGCCAGGGCCTAAGCCTGAACTGGCATAAACAGTGCCCCAATTTCTCCAAAGTGAGGACTGTGCCAGTGGGCCTCAAGACAAGAATTGGGAGTCCACAGCTCCCAGACATTGGGGACCCCCTCCTATCTGGAGCTGCCTGGCTGCCACATATGAGCCTGGTGACCCAGCCACACCCACCAGCTAGCTCATCAGCAGTGTCCATGTCATTATCGAGGCAGAGAAATCCACTCAGCGAGGATTTCCCACGTTAGCCCAGCATCCTTACTTCTCGCTCATAGTAACAGAAACCATGTTCCCGCCTCCAACAGATGCACTGTGCTCTGCACTCCCCTGGTCAGTGGGTGGGTGCATGATGCAAACTGGGCCAGTCAGATGCTTTCATTCTGAAACTTGAATCTTGAGTGAAATAAGCCAGACTCATTGGGGACTGATTGGAATTTACTCACCCCGGTGGAGGCACATGGAAGAGGCCCGTTGGGTCCTGCTATCTATGTCCTCAGAGCTTCACTTACCACAGTTCGGAGAGGACAGCACATCCTCCAGGGGTTCTGAACCTGAATGCAGCAACTGGTTGAGAACCTGAGTTCTGCGCTGTCTTCTGTTGCAGTGGGAGTGAGTAGGGTTTTGGTGGTATATGGTATAACTGCCTTATCTTGAGAAAGAATATTTTAACAGCTGTGTTTATGTCAAGAGGGGTATGTGTAACATTCAACAACCAATGCTGCAGATTGCAGAGGACATTTGTTGTTTTTGCCTGCTCAGCATCTATTCTTGCTGCTTCTGGTGACAAAATTCAGTGGTCCCATTTCTCTTTTAACTCCAGAGCTAGATTTGATCCAGACCTGGCCAGTCAGAGCATCACATGCTGCAGGCCTCAGTGAGTGGTTAGGAGCTGGGCAGTGGCCTACCTTAGTTTACTATGACTTGAACCTGGAATTTGTGGGCAACTTTTGGGAGCCATAATAACAGTAATGGCAGCCGGGCTCACACCTGTAATCCCAGCAGTTTGGGAGGCCGAGGTGGGCAGATCTTTTGAGGTCAAGAGTTTGAGACCAGCCTGGCCAACATGGTGAAACCCTGTCTCTACTAAAAATACAAAAATCAGCCAGGCGTGATGGTGGGGGCCTGTAATCCCAGCTACTCAGGAGGCTGAGGCAGGAGAATCACTTGAACCTGGGAGGCAGAGGTTGCAGTGAGCCGAGATTGCGCCACTGCACTCCAGCCTGGGCAACAGAGAGAGCCTCAGTCTCAAAAACAAAACAAAACAAAACAAAACAGTAATGGCTAGTACAGTTAACTTGGCACTGTCCTTGTTCCTTAAACTCTTGTCCATGGACTTAGAGCTGTGAGGACATAAACATAATCCAGGAGTTCCCAAGACCCACTATGTAGGGAGAGCCTGGCTAAAAGAGAGAGGTGCCAGTTCTGATGACATCATTTAAGCTAGGGGCTCTGGCCAAGCCCGGTTACCCTGGACTGTTGACTTACAAGAAACAGTGAAAAGTCCCTTTGGTGCTTAAGCCAATTTGAGTTGGGTTTCTGCCTCTTGAAGTCAGAAGAGTATTGCCTAATACAATAATTCTGTGTAGGCATACAAGACACATCAGTGGTGGTACCTGCCATGCCCGCAGCCCTAGAGGAGGAGACAGCCAGCAGGTGGCCCTATTTTAGATCATGTAACAGTTGGACAAGAGCAAGCAAACACCTGACTCAGGCTCTGAATCAGGCTGGTCAGGATTTGTGAGTTTTCCTCTGGCATTAAAGATGATCTATGTCTATCCAATTTCTCTTTTTTAAATTGGAAGTTGAGAAACAGGGCAGGAGCAAGACAGCCAGCTGCAAGGGAAGAAGCATGAAGGATATGTGAAGACGTGCCACTAGGAGGAGCTGGCATGGTGGCAACTCAGTTTCAAAGCAGCAGAAATTCAGCATCAGGAGAGGGCGCCAGTTGGTGGAAAGAGCTGGCAGAGCACAGTCAGGAGGAAACCGGTCTGGGAAGCTCCATGAAGAGAGGGAGCAATGGCTATTTCTGAAGTTGTCTCGCCTATTCCTGAGGACTTTTCAATTCTGGTTCAAATCCTCATGCATCCTTATAACAAACCCATTTTTTCCCCCAAACAAGTTGCAGGTGGTCTGAGACCAAAGCAGACATCCCCCTTCCATGTTGCCTCTGTAACCCTCCCACGGTGACCAGCGTATCACTAAGGACACTTTTGGTAGCAAAGGATGGAAATATAATGCAAATTGGTTTTTAAAAAAGGAAATGTATTGTCTTCCTTAATTGAGATGTCAAGGGATGAGACTAGCCTTAGTCCTCACTGAGGTCAAGGCTCCCGGGATGTTCTCGGGAACTTGCTTCTGCACATCCTCACTTTGTCCTTCTCTGGGCGGCTCCAGTATCCGGCTTCATGTAAGATGGTGGCTTCATCGCCACATTCCCTTGGGGAATAGAGTGAGTTTCTTTCTCCAGATTCCCAGATAAAGTATTTATCATTGGATCTAAGTGGGGTACACACTTATCCTGAACAATCTCTGGCCAGGAAACTGATACAGTGATTGGCTGAGGCCTAGCATACACCCCTCTTCTAAGACCCACATGAGCGTAGAGGAGGTAGAGTGTGAGTAATATATTTGTGGAATATATGTTGAACTGCTGGAAGAGAGACTTCAAATAAGATTGGCTTAAGCAAGATAGAAGTTTCTTTCTCCCTCACCTGCCTGCAGGTAAGCAGCCTGGGAGCCCAGGTTTTTTTTTCCCCATCTTGTTGCTTCTCTATCCCTAGGTATTGTGATGTGAGATGTTTCACCATCACCTCCACTGCCTAGCCAGTGGAAACGGAAAAGGCGGAAGAGGAAGGCTCGCCCCTCTGGTTAAAAGTGTCACCTCTCCCTACTTCAATGCTGCTGGTCAGTTACTTGGCCAAATATAGCTTCTAGGAAGTGAGGAAATACAGTATTTTTTTCTGGATTTCCGTATCTCCAGATAAAAAAACAAGAATTCTTTAAACATAGGAGATGAGTGTGATCGGGGGCAATTAGCAATCTCAGCCCCAGCCTGTCCCATTGGCCAGTCAAATTTCCATGTGTCCCCTCCCCAGGGGAGACAACCCTAAAGTTGCATCCAGTGCCTATGTCCAGCTCCAAGCCTGGGACCTGTGGAGGGACAGCCTGCACCATCAGATCTGATGTGGTTTTTGTTTTATTTTTGTTTTTTTAGACAAGTTCTCACTATGTTGCCCAGGCTGGTCTCGAACTCCCGGGCTCAAGCAATCCTCCCATCTTGGCCTCCCGAAGTGCTGGGTTTACAGGTGTGAGCCACCACACCAGGCTTCTGGATGCAGTTCTTTATGGTGTATTGCCCTGGAACCCTTACATACATTGCCTGCCTCCTTACACCCAATATGCAACAGCCAGTAAAAATAAGATAAACATGGTGGGAAACCTCATCCAGAAGAGGGAAAAACACACCCACCAAATCCTGGTGGGCAGAAATTGTGAAGGTTCCCAGGGAGTGGAGCAGAGTCCTTGGATGACAGCGCCTCTCTCCAGGAGTATTCCCTGGGATAGACATCTTTGGACCTTGGTGGTCCCCTCTTTGTCCACTGCCTTCCATGGCACAACTAAAGGGCATCAAACGATGTATCCCTCTTAGGGCTATACAGCTTAAACATTTTTTTTTAGAGAGAAGGTCTTGCTGTGCTGCCCAGGCTGGACTCGTGTGCCTGGGGCTCAGGAAATCCTCCCACTTCAGCCTTCAGAGCAGCAGGGACTACAGGCACATGCCACCACACTGGGCCTGGGCTGCATAGCTTTTGCAGCCCACTTTTTGCAGGTGCAGGTTTGGTGGGTAGGGGTCGGTTGATTTAAGGAGTCAAAAATGCAGACTTGTACCAGCCCGACTCATGGTTCTTTGGTAACACATGCCCCTTAAAATCTCAATTGGCTTTCTGCCTATTTGTGGCTAGTTATCCTCTGGGGCAAGTACAGGTTGGGTATCCCTTATCTGAAATGCTCGGGGCCAGAGTGTTTCATATTTCAGATTTTGGAATATTTGCATTATCCTGGCTGAACATCCCTAATCTGAAAATCCAAAATCTGAAATGCTCCAATGAGCATCATGTGTGCTCAAGAAGTTTTGGATTTTAGAGCATTTTGGATTTCTGGGTTTTTGGTTTAGTGATGCTCAACCTCCTTTAGATTAGCAGTATTTAAGCCTAAAAATGGTGGCCTTTTATTTATCAGCCTGTATGTTATATCTATTCACCTCCCTCTCAACCTGAGACCAGCGAAAACACTCAACTTGGACTGGAAGGCAGCTTCCTTGATCTGGTCTTTGTGGCCGAGCGGCTGTCATTGTCAGGTTGAGAAACGTAATCAAGTGTTTGAGAAAGACTAGGGTCCATAGTCTTGTCTCCTGCTAATCCTGCTTCTTCAGAAAATTATTCTATATCTGCCTCAGTTTGTGGTACAGAAGCAATAGATTTTTCTCTTTATTTTTTTAAATAAATATAATTTTATTCTAAAGGAATATTATTATATGGCAACACTTTGAGAACCATAAAGGCGCCTTTGAAATGTTGTTAGAAAATCACTTAAATCATATTTTTTATGAATAAATTGATGCCATTTTCAGGCACAGTATTTTTTTGGGCAAGCACTGTACAGCATAATTCAAAATATACCCATTTACAGAATCCAATTAGGTATTTTTCTGCTCACAATTATATGATGGCTGATTTCTGCTCACAATTATATGATGGCGGATTTCTGCCTACATTATGATATGATATGATATGATATGATATGATATGATATGATGGCTGATTTCTGCCTACATTATGATATATAACTGCTCTACAGAACATGAAACAGAATTTCATAACATCAGTTATATTTACACTACTTTAAAAATCTTTCAAGATATAAGAATCAAGCTATCAAATATGGAGTTTTTAACAAGCAATAGTTTTTTTTTTTAGGTCTGAAAACTTTTTAAACTGAGGTTATAGCCCATAGGCAAAGGGAGCTTCTTTCAGCACTGCTGTATTCTCTTCAGTATCTGCCTTCCTCGGGCTAGCTCTGTCCACGTTCTTCTGGGTCATGTAGGACTCTGTTGAGAGTGGCAAGAAGCATCCAGCAAACACCTGCATTCTGAAATTTCCAACTGTTTCCTTTAGAGCAAGAGCTGACTTTGCAAGGTATTGCAGGAATCAGTTGATCGACTGCTATGGCATGGCATAAACAGGGTTTCCAGATCATCATATTTATGTATAGCATTTAAAATATGTTTTCAGTTTTGTTACCAGCAACACAGCCCTTCTTGGTAATAATTAGTATACAGCCTTTACTAATAATTAGTATACAGCACTAATAATTAGTATACAGGCTTTCCTTCTGCAAGAGAGCACTCACCCCAAATAGTGACTGAAATAGACTGGAGGTTAATTTCTCTTTCATGGAAAACCTAGTTAGAGCTAGTCCAGGGCTGATAGGCAACCACAGTGTGTTGGGACACAGGCTCCTTCTCTTTTGTCACTCTGACATCCTTAGGGTTTTAGCTTCATCTGATTGATATAAACTGGCTTCACACCATGACTTCATTCCTACCAGGGGAGAGGGAAAGGGGCGAGGCACATTTCTTCTGAAGTGCATGACCGAGAAATTGCAAAAATTACTTCTGCTAACATCTCACTGCTGAGAACTTAATCTACAGCATGTTGGGTGCACGATGCCTGGGAAATGTGGTCATTATTCTGGGCAGTTATGTACTCAGTTAGAGGAATTCTATTACTATAGAAGGGGACAATAAGTATTGGGGGACAATTAGCAGTCTCTGTCTCGGGATGATCCCCCAAATGAAATGGGGGCTGGATTGTGGGGAGCTGAAAAAGCAACAGATGTCTACTACAATGCCTCTCCTCTGAGCACTCCAGCCCCTTCTATTCCCTTCAATCCTTGTGACCTAATTGTCCTTTGGGCATCTGTCTCAGGTCCCCTGAATCCCCCATCATGTAGGCTTTGGGGCCAAGGCACCTCTGATTTAGCCTATATTGTCAGCTTGCAGCTGATAATTATTATTAGGGACTCAGGAAAATGTCTGTGGAACTAAATTGAGGTAGTAATAGGCATTTCTGAATCAACTGCCTTCCATTCATTCATTCATTCATCCAGCCAGCCAGCCAGCCAGCAAACATCTATTATATGCTAAGTCCCAGGGAGTCAGTGTCTTTTTGTCAGACAAAAAGA